>NC_000007.14:240242-2740242 GCF_000001405.40 Homo sapiens
ATGATGATGTTGATAAGGATGATAATGATGGTGGAGGTGATGATCATGGTAGAGGTAATAGTGATAGTGATGATGATGGTGGTGGAGGTGATGATTATGATGTTGATAAAGGATGATAATGATGGTGGAGGTGATGATCATGGTAGAGGTAATAGTGATAATGATGATGATGATGGTGACAGTGATGATGATGATAAGGATGATAATGATGGTGGAGGTGATGACCATGGTGGTGATGATGATGATAGAGGTGATGGTGGAGGTGATGATGATGTGGAGGTGATGGTGGTGATGGTGATGGTGGTAGAGGTGACATTGATAGAAATGGAAGGAATGAGGTGGCAAGAGCTCAAGGCTGCAGATAGATCTAGACTTCTCTGGACAATTCTTTGACTGAGTCCTCATTCATTCATTTGTTTATGAAACACCTGTTCGGAAGCAAGCCCTTGGCCAGGCATGTGATCCAGAAAACTGAACACTCTTGCCCTGGGGCCCTCTCCCCTTGAGTCCAGCAAACAATGCCACCGATTGTGGCCCGGGCCAAGCACTCCTTAGGGAAGAGCCACATTCTGCCTCAGGCTCCAGGAAAGCCCCACAGAGGGGCTGAGACAGACCATGGCAGGGCTGGCAGGGGGCACATGTGAAGGCAGCGGGCGGAGGGCTGCGGGCTTGAGTCTGGCTTCCTGAGCACGTCCTCCCTGAGCAGGGGGTGGGGCTGAGGTAGAGGAGGGGCAGGTGCTGGAGAGCTGACTCATATTCTAGAGGGAACTGGTGAGGTTTCTGCACTGATTGGAGAGCCCCAAGTGGGGCCGGGGCTTACGGGCTGGGGTGAGCTTCGGGGTGAATTGTCCTAAAGGGGTGGTTTGTTGGAAGCTGCTTTCTTCCTTGCCCCTGGGGCTGCTCCCTCCCTGCTTCCTCCTGCTGGGGTCACCTGGGTCTGGCCCCTTCCCTGGGGCTTTCAGCCCAGCTGTGGCAGGAAGTGGCCCGAGGGCCTCGGGAGCGGAGCCCAGAGTAGAATTCACTGCCTGCTGCCCTCTGCCCGGGAGCAGAACACAGGGTCAGATGGGAGCCGCCAGATGGGATGTGCTTTAATGACCGGATTTGTGCAGGTGACTCAAGTCAGCAAGTCGTTCGTCTTCTGCGTGAGCTTTGAGTCTCTTTGCAGGGAGGAAATCAGACTCCGCCTTTTCAGGGCCACTAAATGCGCTTTCCCAGCCAGCCCCGCTGCAAGGCTGTGCCAGGGAAAGATCGATGGAGCCGGGTCTTAGTCCCCTTCTCACCAAGAGGCCTCCGACAGCACTGTTCTGTGGGGGTTGTGTGTGTGTGTGTGTGTGTGTGCACTCCTGCGAGTGTGCATATATGTCCATGCACACGTGTGCATCTGTGAGTGTGCGAGTGTATGGATGCACATGTGCATGAATGTGTGTACGCACATGTATCTGTGCACATATGTGTGTGCACACGTGTTAATGTGCATCCACTGTGAGCGCCCGTGTGTGTGTTTCTGAGTGTGCAGGTGGGTGTGTGTGCATGAGCGAGTGTGTGTGCATGTGCACACGTGTGAATGTGCATCTGTGTGTGTGCCCGTGTGTACGTTTGTGAGCGTGCAGGTGTGTGTGTGTGCATGAGTGGGTATGTGTGTGTGCATGAGTGTTCATGTGTGCATGTGCACACGTGTTAATGTGCATCTGTGTGTGTGCGTGCGTATGCATACTGTAGTGGGTGGTTAGAACTAAACCACTCAGCATCCAGGCCCAGCCCCATGCCAACGCTCAGTGGACATTGCCTGGGCCAGCCCCTCCCTGGGCCTCAGTGTCCCCAGAGGCCCCCTGCGCTCTGGCAGGCCTGGAGAGCTCTGCGGGGACATCCCATTGTACTTCGCCTGCTACTGAGACGTCCACATCACCACACGGTGAGCTCCTGCAGTGTACCAGGCCCTGTGTGTGCCCGTCCCGCAACAGCTCTGGGAGGCAGCTGCTCTTTTTCTCCCTCTGGGGTTTGGAACCTGGGCTGGCGAGGGTCAGTGGCAGCAGCAAGATGAACACCCAGACCTGGAGATGTGCTGTCTGTGGGTCCGGGGACGCGGATCTGACAAATGCCCTTCTGCAGGCCTTGTGTGTACAGGGCAAGGGGCGTCCGCAGGACGGAACGATTCCAGAGGGTCTTCCTGGAGGCGGTGGCCAGGACAGTCCTGACTGAGAAAGCAGAAGGAGGAGGGTGGGAAGGGAGGGCAGGCTGGGCTGCAGGCTGGGGAGACAGCACTGTTCGGTGCACTGGGGGCAGGGCCAGTGAGCTGGGGGAGGGGGTGGACTCGGCCCCCTCCATCCTGGCCAGGGAGCGGGATGGACAGTGGGCAGACACCAGAGGCCTCAGAAGGCCCCATTCTCAGAGCTGCACTGCACACCACTAGCCAGGTGTGCCCATTAGATTTAAGATAAAATCAGACTTAAAACTCAGTTTCTGGAGGCTCTGGTCACATTTCGAGTGTCCCACAGCCATGTGTGGCCACTGGCTGCCGAGTTGGACAGCGCAGAAGGTCACGTCCATCACAGAGGAAGCACCGATGGACAGGCCAGGCTGGGGGTGAGGTGACTCCAGGTGCCCACACCAAGGGGCAGGCTCAGAGGGACGTGGAGTGGCTGTGTGTCCAGGGGACCTGGCCAGGGCGAGAACAGCTGCCCCCCAAGACAGTACCTACAAGAAACCTGTGCCACCCGGGATACCTGTGCCACCCGGGATACCTGTGCCACCCGGGAGACCTGTGCCACCAGGAGACCTGTGCTAACCAGGAGACCTGTGCCACCCAGGAGACCTGTGCCACCCGGGAGACCTGTGCCACCCAAGAGACCTGTGCCACCCGGGAGACCTGTGCCACCCAAGAGACCTGTGCCACCCGGGAGACCTGTGCCACCCAAGAGACCTGTGCCACCCGGGAGACCTGTGCCACCCAAGAGACCTGTGCCACCCGGGAGACCTGTGCCACCCAAGAGACCTGTGCCACCCGGGAGACCTGTGCCACCCGGGAGACCTGTGCCACCCAAGAGACCTGTGCCACCCGGGAGACCTGTGCCACCCGGGAGACCTGTGCCACCCAAGAGACCTGTGCCACCCGGGAGACCTGTGCCACCAGGAGACCTGTGCTAACCAGGAGACCTGTGCCACCCGGGAGACCTGTGCCACCCAAGAGACCTGTGCCACCCGGGAGACCTGTGCCACCCAAGAGACCTGTGCCACCCGGGAGACCTGTGCCACCCAAGAGACCTGTGCCACCCGGGAGACCTGTGCCACCCGGGAGACCTGTGCCACCCAAGAGACCTGTGCCACCCGGGAGACCTGTGCCACCCGGGAGACCTGTGCCACCCAAGAGACCTGTGCCACCCGGGAGACCTGTGCCACCCGGGAGACCTGTGCCACCCAAGAGACCTGTGCCACCCGGGAGACCTGTGCCACCCGGGAGACCTGTGCCACCCAAGAGACCTGTGCCACCCGGGAGACCTGTGCCACCCGGGAGACCTGTGCCACCCAGGAGACCTGGGCGCCGCCTCTGCAGTGGATGTCCCAGGAGCTCAGTTTCCTAGCGGCTTTATCAGGCACCCAGTGGTGCAGGCCTTTGCTCCAGGGGCCTACAGTGAATTCTGACTGCCCAACTGATAAGTAGCTGAGGATTTTCTAAAGAAAATAATAATAATAATAATAATAATAATTATTATTATTATTATTTGGAGACAGGGTCTCACTGTGTCATCCAGGCTGGATTGCAGTGGTCACTGCAGCCTTGGCCTCCTGGGCTCAGGTGATCCTCCCATCTCAGCCTCCCGCGTAGCTGGGATCACAGGTGTGTGCCACCACGCCCAGCTGATTTTTTTATTTTTCGTAGACCTGGGGTCTCACTATGTTGCCCAGGCTGGTCTTGAACTCCTGGACTCATGCTGGGCCGTTCTGGGGAGTCACTGTGCAGACGTAAGGCTCGAAGTTTACAGAAAAGAAATCTTGCCTCCATCTGGAGTTCCCTTTTTCCAGCTGAAAGTTACTAAAATCTAGTAGAACTAGTGTTCTGTGGAATGAGTTTTGCTCAAAGCCAATCCTTCCAAGTTGAAAACAACGAAGGCTTTTTAACCTCAAAAATATCCAACACTCCAGAATTTACCACCCCTGGAACTGCGGGCTGACTGCAGCGGACCATTTGGTTTGACCTTTAGTGTTTTAGAAAAATGAAATCCATTTGCCAGCGCTTAAAACCCGGGAGATTCCACAAGGTCTAGATTCTTTCTCTTGAACCTCAGGATCCCGGCCAGTCTGGGCCTCGGCTCTGCAGGGCGACCCTGGCGGGCAGCATGTTCAGTTTGCCGCCATACCTGCCACTGCCCTGCCCTGCACCCCAACCCTCCTTTGCTGCTGGTTTCAGAAGTGCACAGAGATAGCAATGGCCACAGACCCAGTGGGGTTATGAAGCAAATGTGACCTTCAGGCGCCAGCCCACCATCCGCATTTTATTTTTAAGTAGCTCCTGGAATCCTCATCTGGCCTTGCGCCTACCCAGGGCCCTGTCAAGGCGAATATTATGTGGGATCGTGGAAAGTGGTCTGTTCTCAGAGTTTCTAGCAGCAGAGACTAGTTCTTAAAAAGGCCGTGGGTGGTACACATCTTTAACCCCCCATAAGAAACGTTCCGGGAACACGGAGAATTGTGGCCACAGCTTTCTGAGAACAGCGTGGGAGGACGGGAGCCACGGGCTGGTGTGTAATTGACGGCCTGTGACCCAGACGTGGTCCCCCCGAAGGGACGTGGACATGACATACAGGACCTGTGCCCCACCCCGCTGTTCGTGTGGCGATGATGTCGGCCCGTGGCAGGGCCAGGATGCTCCCAGGAGTTGGGCGGACCTCCGCTGCGTATATGGAAGGAAGGACCCGGCCGGGGAAGCCGAGGGCTGGGAAAGTGACCGGGGCGGCGTCTGTAGTCTGCATTGCTGGAGTGTTGGAGCCCAGACGGAACACAGTCTGCCCTGAGTGGGAGGTGTGGGCTGCAGGGCGTGCGAGCTGGGGATTCCCGCCAGCTCTGGTTTCCAGCACCTGGAAAGGTCACCAGAGTTTGAATCTGGTAAATTCTTCCTGGATTGGGGGCTGAGTTCCCTCCCTGGGCCTGGCATGGGAGGACATCCTGGGACGGGCTCTCCTTCCAGTGGAGGCAGGGGCCAGCCTTGGTGGAGGAAGCCTGGGTTGGAGGCTGAGTTCCCTCCCTGGGCCTGGCCTGGGTGGACGCCCTGGGACAGGCTCTCCCTCCAGTGGAGGCAGGGGCCGGCCTTGGTGGGGGAAGCATGGCAGGGGCCGGCCTTGGTGGAGGAAGCATGCTTACACGCTTACACGCTTACGCGCTTACACACTTATGCTCAGACACGACCTTGACAATTCCTCCACGTTTCCACCATGACCACATCGGTCAAACACTTGCGTGGACCGGCACCTCACAGGGCCCTGCGGCTAGGCTCCCCTTCCCCTGGAGTATTGGCCTGAGATACAGGAGCCCTATGGTGTTTACAGAATGGCACTGACCTTTCATAAACAGCCCCACCTGTGGCCTCCTGTCCCTTGGCCAGGGTGGAGGGACAGGGCGGTGCCCACATTGCCCTTCTTGGGCTCTTACTGTGGGAGGCGTCCACGGCAGAGCCAAGGGGTCCTGGAGGCCGTGGGGGAGACTCGGAAACCAGAGGGTGGGCGGTGCCAGGGTGCACACAGCAAACCGGGGCTGAGCCAGGCCTGGGACACCGAGCCCAGCCTCTCCCCTGCGGTGTGACTGTGGGTCCCAGGGTGGACGTGCCGGGGCCCCCAGCCAGTGCAGGAGAGGCCTTTGAGCAGCTTACCTGAGAAGGGCCCATGGGGAGCTGGGACCTCCGGCCTCCGTCGCAAGGGCCTGCGCTGCTCTGAGGGCCCGTCGGCAGCTGGGTCAGGGCCACGGGGAGCTGGGACCCCCGGCCTCCGTCGCACGTGCCTGCGCTGCTCTGAGGGCCCGTCGGCAGCTGGGTGCCCAGGGTCCCGAAGGCTCAGGGTGGCCCTGAGGAGGCTGGAGCTCCACCGCATTTTTCATATGAGGAACCCAGCACGTCCCGCCTGCCTCCGGCCCCTGGAGGCTTTCTCAGTGACAAACCGTTTCTGTTTCTGTCTTGTTTTCTCAGACAAACGAGGGAGCAGGAGACACCCCCTGACTTTTTTTATTTCTCTGACTACGAGAGGCACAATGCGGAGATTGCTGCCTTCCACCTGGACAGGTGAGCCCTTCCTTCCTCCCTCCATCCGCGCTCCCGTGCGCTCAGACCCACCGGTGAGTGAGGCCGTCCTGCACTGGACACAGCAGGACGTCATCGTCACCTTCGTCACCATCAGGCAGCGCCGGTGCCTGCTCTCCCCCCACCCCGAGTGCTGCCCTGAGCAGGGTCCTGTATGTCATCGTCACCTTTGTCACCATCAGGCAGCGCCGGTGCCTGCTCTCCCCCCACCCCGAGTGCTGCCCTGAGCAGGGCCCTCTGTGTCATCGTAGCCCACACAACACGCGGTAGGGAGAGCCTTTCATATCCCCCTTTACAGATGAGAAACTGAGGCTCTGTGAGCGGCGATTTGCCCAGGTTCCCACGCTCCTAATCATCCCTCTGTCACCGAGGGAGAGGGCGCCTGCCCTCAGGGCACCTTAATCCAGATGGGCCCCTCCTGCACCCCCACAGTTCAGGCAGATGGGAGGCACAGAAGCTGCTGTGCGGTCGGTAATAGAGGAAAAGGAAAGAGGGAAGGAGGCAGGGAGGGAAGGGGGAGTATTAAGTGCTGCGAATCTTAACACAGAGACTCACAGAGCACAGGCTTCTCTGGGAGACCAAAGCAGGCTTCCTAAGGAGGGGGAAGCGATGTTTGTGATGAGGGGGCCTGGGAGGCCCCACGGTCGCCTGTCTCCAGAGGGGCCGCCCCAGCCCAGCAGAAAGTGAACCCCTTGTGAGGGTCAGCTTGGCCCTGCTGCTGGGAAAGTGGGGGGTCCGTGTTCAGTGCCCTCCAAGGGCAGTAAACGGGCCTGGCCCAGGTCCAGAGGGGCCCCGTGGATTGAAGGACCTTGCCCTGGTGCAGTGGAGGGAGGAGGCGCCACCCTCAGCCCCCAGAGCCTCCCTGCCTGCCCTGCACGGCCCTGACACGTCCCAGCCTGGGGTGCGGCCCCAGGGCCGGCAGCATTGGGGTTGCCCTGGGCTAGTTGGAATGCAGAGTCCTGGGCTCCACCCAGACCTGGGACAGAATCTGCATTTTAACAAGATCCCTAGTGACGCGGGCGTACATTGGAGTTTAAAGGGCTTTTTTAAAGATCAAAGTCTTCTGTGGTGACTATAGAAATCGCCAGAAGCCAGATTTTCCACCATTTCAGCTATCTAGAACAGCCTGAACCCAAAAAGGGCTTTTTATGAAAAGAAAGACGGGGAGGGTCATTAGGAAACAGCCCCCCTCGGGTCCACCTGTTTATAAAACAGGACACAGAGCCCAGCACCCAGGCGAGCCGTCTGACAGGTGGAGGGGGAGGGTGCTCCACGCAGAGGCGTGGTCGGGCCTTGGGTCCCGGGTCGGCCCTGGCAGACGGCCCACGTCCCTCCACACCTGGTCACCTCGCCTCACAGGACAATCACCACGTCCTCCGTCAGCAAGAAAAGCTCTCGCCCTGCATTCTCCATTTAATTAAGCGAGTGGGAGCCTGTGGTGTGGTTCAGAAGGAGTTCCATTAAAAGTGGCTCCTTTAATTTAATTTTGTTTTAAATTTAGCCCTGGAATGAGGGCAGGCTTTAGCTATGCAGGCAGTTGGTGCTGTGTGCCCATCAGTGAGGCATCGCCAGCCCCAGTCCCTCAGGGGCCTCTCCCACCCCCATCACCGTGGGGCCAGGCAGAGCCACCGGACCTAGGGCTGGGTTTATTCGGAGGCAGGGACACAGAGGCCCGCTGAGCCGCACAGAGCACAGACCCTCCCCTGCCCCGTTCTTATTTGGAGGCAGGGACACAGAGGCCCGCTGAGCCGCACAGAGCACAGACCATTCCCCGCCCGTTTCTTGCCAGGATCCTGGACTTCCGCCGGGTCCCTCCCGTGGCCGGCAGGATGGTCAACATGACCAAGGAGATCCGGGACGTCACACGGGACAAGAAGCTCTGGAGGACCTTCTTCATCTCTCCAGGTAGCCTGGCACGGGGGCCCGCATTCATCTCTCCAGGTAGCCTGGCACGGGGGCCCGCATTCATCTCTCCAGGTAGCCTGGCACGGGGAGCCCACATTCATCTCGCCAGGTAGCCTGGCACGGGGGCCCACATTCACCTCTCCAGGTAGCCTGGCACGGGGGGCCGCATTCATCTCTTCAGGTAGCCTGGCACGGGGAGCCCACATTCATCTCGCCAGGTAGCCTGGCACGGGGGCCCACATTCACCTCTCCAGGTAGCCTGGCACGGGGGCCCGCATTCATCTCTCCAGGTAGCCTGGCATGGGGAGCCCACATTCACCTCCCCAGGTAGCCTGGCACGGGGAGACCACATTCATCTCGCCAGGTAGCCTGGCACAGGGGCCCGCATTCATCTCTCCACGTAGCCTGGCACGGGGGCCCGCATTCATCTCTCCAGGTAGCCTGGCACGTGCCCTGTGCCCCCTTCCACACCAGGGTGCTGACTCACAGTGCTGTTCCCAACCCACCTCCCACGCAGGGGTGCCCTGTGCCTCCTTCCACACCCGGAGTGCCAGCCCACGGACAGCTTCAAGGTGCCACCATCAGGGTTTAACCAATGTCCTTCTGTGCACAGAGAGACTGTTTCTTCCATTTCTTTGTTTATTTTAACTGGTGAAACGATTCACTTTTGGGAGGTCCTAGCCTCTCCAGGAAGCCTTCTCCAGGTGGCCCAGCCAGCAAACATCCATGGGACCTCCCCACTCGGACTTAAACACACTCAGCAGGACCCCCGTTGTATAGTAACAGGGTGGGCGGCCTCCCCCGCCTCGGCGAAGTGGCTGGACTGTGAGCAGGGCTGGCCCAGGCCCCTGGTCCCTGGTGCCCTTGAGGGGATACAGGATGGCCTGAACGTTAGGCAGGAATAGATGTCTTTGTTGGTGCTGAGGTTTATAAAACCTTCAAGACTCTACGTGATAAGTACAGCGCACACATAAACACATGATTTTCTACTTAATTATCTACCCAGGTTGCTTTAAACCTGACATTTGGGCTGGGCGTGGTGGCTCACGCCTGTAATCTCAGCATTTTGGGAAGCCAAGGTGGGAGGATCACTTGATTTCAGGAGTTTGAGACCAGACTGGGCAACGTGGTGAGACCCCTGTCTACAGGAAATTAAAAAATTAGCCAGCCGTGGTGGCGCTTATCTGTGGTCCCAGCTACTCAGGAGGCTGAGGCAGGAGGATTGCTTGAGCCCAGGAGGTGGCGGCTGCAGTGAGTGGGGGTTGCACCACTGCACTCCAGCCTGGGCAACAGAGTGAGACCCTGTCTCAAAAAAAAAGAAAAGAAAAGAAACTGGCATTTGTGGCTCTGCCGAGGGCTCAGTCCTCCTCTCCAAGCGCCTCTCTGGTACCAGGCCCCTGCTGCACAGCCTGTTCCCATTTCCGATGCTCACCTGGCTGAGCTCTGGGGACACTCTCCTACCTGTCCCGGACTCGGTCCCCTATGTTTCCATCTTGAAGGTCAAGAGTGGTCCCAGCGATGGTGGGCCCTGCAGAATGAAGGGACCCTCACCCCAGGAAACCCTGCAGAGCAAGGTCCCCACTGGGGAGGGGCCCTCCGGATCGGAGGCTCTCACTGTAGGGGGCCTCAGCCACTCTCCTGGCCCATCTGTTTAATTCATGCAGATAAAATCCAATTAGGGCCCCTGATTAGCTGCGTCTTCAGATTTGCTGGCACATAAAACCTTGACCTAAAAGCTCATTTCCTGCAGATGTTTCAGATCGATGTACGGACTCTGCGCTTTCTCTTAATGCATTCATGAATTTGTCAGAACCCGGCCCCCGAATCCATGATTTAATTAAGCTCCGTTCCGTCAGCCAGGGCTCACCGAGATCCTCATTTGCTTTCTTCCTCTCAAAGCCCATTAATAAGAGAAAAATAGGACAGAAAGCTCCACAGAGGCGGGAAGAAGGGCTCCCTTCCCTGGCCCACTGGTGCCTGGCCCTACACACCAGGAATCGGGGCAGAGGCAGAACCTGAGCGTGGGGGTCTTTGAGGGCTCCCCGGTCAGCTGTGCCTGAGCCAGGCACACCTCCAGTGATGGGGAACGCATTGGCTCACAGACAATTCAGTCCCTGTTTGGATGGCTTGAGCTGTCCATCTTTTTTAAGGGGCTGAAACTCGCCTCCCCACCCTGGGAGTCCAGGGCTTCCTAAGCACGCCTGAGCTCCGGCCGCTGTCAGCCCTTGGGTCGACCCTGACCGCACTGTCCAGCCACCGCCTCCTGCCCCACCGTCCACAGGACTGACCGCACTGCAGCCCGCCATGCACACCCTGGTGCCCACGGAGGCTGGGCTCCGCTCCAGTGATGCCTGGATGCCCGACTGCTTCTTATCCACGTCTTTTTACAATTTTTATTGCAACTTTTAGGGTGATGTATTTCAAAGGTTCCAAAGACTGACATTCCCCATCCTCAGGTGCCAGCGCCCCATGCAGTGACTGTGGGAATTCCTCCAGCTTAAACTCCATTCTCTGCATTGCAGACCAAGCTCTCGGTTCAGGACCGATTGAAAGAGACGGTCACAGGGTCACGCAGGGAGGGGTCAATGATGCCCACTGATGCTGAGAACATGCCCTGCCTGGCTCTGCTCAGAGCAGCATCTCCGGAACTCCTCATTTTGTTGTAAAATGAGCCTGTGGGGGCAGGTCGTTTCCTCCCCGTTTCTAAGGTCTTACTGAGTGGCCGGGCACGGCGGCTCACGCCTGCACTGAGTGGCCGGGCACGGCGGCTCACGGCTGCACTGAGTGGCCGGGCACGGCGGCTCACGCCTGCACTGAGTGGCCGGGCACGGTGGCTCACACGCCTGCAATCCCAGTACTGGGAGGACCCCTTGAGCCCAGGAGTTCAAGATCAGCCTGGACAACGTAGCGAGACCCCATCTCTACAAAAAATGAAAAATTAGCCAGGTCTGGTGGCATGCATCTGTGATTCCAGCAACTCAGGAGGCTGAGGCAGGAGGATGGCTTGAGCCCAGCAGGTCTAGGCTGCAGTGAGCTATGATCGGGCACCACTGCACTCCAGCCTGGGTGACAGAGTGAGACCCCGTCTCAAAAAAAAAAAAGACTGAGTTGATTATTAGTCCAAGCAGGTGAATTAAGTCACCTCTATGTCCCATGTTGGCTGACACTTGGAATCCCCAGGTCCTCAGCAGGCCAGGGACGGTGGTCACCGGAGTGCCCCTGAGCTCTGTGCTGCAAGGCGGCCATCGACCACCTTTGGTGCCGTTGCTGGAATCCCTTCTCACGTCTCCCTGGAGCCAGCACTTTATTAAGCGCTCCAGCAGCTTCCCTGGCCACTCCTGGTTCTGGATATTAGTTGCGTTTTCCAGGGCAGCGCAAGTTTCTCCCCTGAAATCCAAGACTTCCTCGGCCACCAGAGGCCCCAACAGTTCCATGTCCCTGCCTGGACAGACGAGTCCTTGAATCTCCCAGAGCAGCCAGGCCCAGCATTGTCAGGCGCCCCTGAACGCAGCCCCTGGAACCCCACTGCTGCCACTCCAGCCGCGCTGCCCTGTCAGTCCGATTTCTTCCAGAAGCCTCTGTGAGCATTTGACTTTCTCTCAAGCAGCAGGGGCCCAGGAGCCCGGATTCCTCTCCTAGAGAACAAAATCTGTTCAGATTCGTTTGCTCCACTTTGCTTTGCATGTGTCTCCCAACCACAGATGCCAGGTGACCTCAGAGGCCCTGCCGGAGCCAAGGGCACATCAGAGGGCTGAGCCCACTGTAGACACCCCCTCGGCCTCCCGACCAAGGATGCCAGGTCATCTCGGAGGCCCTGCCGGAGCCGAGGGCACATCAGAGGGCTGAGCCCACTGTAGACACCCCCTCGGCCTCCCGACCAAGGATGCCAGGTCATCTCGGAGGCCCTGCCAGAGCCGAGGGCACATCAGAGGGCTGAGCCCACTGTAGACACCCCCTCGGCCTTCCGACCAAGGATGCCAGGTCATCTCGGAGGCCCTGCTGGAGCCCAGAGCACATTGGAGGGCTGAGCCCACTGCAGACACCCCCTCGGCCTCCCAACCACGGATGCCAGGTGGTCTCGGAAGCCCTGCTGGAGCCCAGAGCACATTGGAGGGCTGAGCCCACTGCAGACACCCCCTCGGCCTCCCGTGGCCTGAGTGACCCTCCCGTGGGGTCAATCAGAAAAGGGAAAATCCCATCAGCCAGGAACAAGGTGAGGGGGCGAGAGGTGGCCAAGGCCAGTGCTCGGGGAAGGTGGGCTCTGGGAGGGAGAAGCAGGAGGCTGAGCCCCAGGCAGCCCCCTGCCCCACGTAGGGATTGTGGAGCTCAGGTTCAGAGAGGGCAATTAGGACCCCAGCACCGCACAGCTGTGTAGGGGCCGGGCCGCAGTCAGAGCCCACATCTTCTAAGCCCCAAACGCTCACAGAACACACTCCCCTACTTCTCACGTAAGTTACCGTCTGCACGTTGCAAACGTCCCAGAGGTGCACAGGTCATCCGTGCACAGCTTTGCATTTCTGCAAGGTGAGCGCCCCCAGGACCAGGCCCAGGTCCTCAGCAGCTCCGGAAGCCACTCAGCCCGACACAGCCTGGACAGAAGGGCTTTGCCATCATCCGCTTCGCCTTTTTTCCTGCCACGGTGGCCTGGGCTGGGCAGGGCGGTCCTCAGGACTCTCTCCAGTGCTGCGTCCAGCTTAAATGCAGGTTGCAGGAGACACGTTTCCAGCGATGGACCCAGTTCGGGCACCCAGAGCCGCTGCCCTAAGTAACAGTGTCCGCCGGGCCCGCAGCTGTCCAGGGCACAGCTGTCCAAGGTGGCAGATGGCAGACGTCCGCCTTGCAAAACGCTCCTCCTGCTGGGTCAGCCCCGACACAGTCAGCGAAAGGAATGGTGGGAGACGCTTGAGCCGCAGGGTGAAGGAGCCATCTTCGTCCTTGCCAGGAGCCACACTCTTGCCTGTCTGCGCTCTCCGGGAGGCCAACCGTGATGCCATTTCCTGGTGACTGGAGGAGGCAGGATCTCTCCTGGGTTTGTCCGCTACCCTGGCTTTCTCCTTGCTGTTTGTGTCTTTTATTATTACTAAAATGGAAAAGGACTCACGCTCCTTCCTCCCAGAAAGCCCCCACTCCAAGTGCAGGGCAGCCTTCGTTACCTGGACAGCTGCCTCCCGTGGCTTCTTTGTGTAATTCCCAGCCCGTGATGCCGGCGTTGCTGGGACCCCCGCTTCCCGGGCGAGGGGCTGGGCACAGAGCAGGGAGGCACTTGCCTGAGGTCACACAGCTCCAAGCCCTCCTAACCCCGCCCGGGAGGCCCCTTTAATACCCGATTTGGATCTGCAAAGAGAAATGGCTGTGGGCCCGAGAAATGCCTTTCTCTTTTAACACGATACCATCTGAAACCGGCTTAGGCGAGGACGGGAGGCTGTTAACAGCAGACGAATTTTAAGCCTCCAGCCAATGAGCGCTCAGATGAAGATTTTCCTCCTGAAATGGAGCTCCTGCCCCGGTGGGGGCTGCCTCGTCCGACTGTGGGCTGCCGACTAATCTGTATCAGCACGAGACAGGATTGCAGCTGGTCTTTCCTTGATCGTTCGTTCTTACAATAATGACCCAGCGTTGGCAGTGGGGTGAGGGGGCGCGGGAAGGAGGGGGCAGGCAGGTGATCGGGGCGTTGGAACCAGACCAGCCGGGACCTGCCGGGTGCGTGGGGTGTGGTGGGGGCCAGGTCGGCCTGGCACCCACCCCGTTTCCTCTCCGAACCTCAGCTTGTTCAGCTAAGAAAGGGCAGCCGGGACCGGCCACCCTCCTGTTCACTCCGCTGGGAAGCGCCCTGCCGAACCTGCCTTCTGATCCCACGGGGAGCCTGCCCTGCAGCCAGGAGAGACCCCTGGAATCACTCAGCCTGGCTGCATAGGAATGCTGGGACTGGGGGAGCTGTGAGTGAGGTTCGGGGCTCCGGCCCCAACAAAACCACGTTCTCACCAGTTCTACAGCCCCAGGCTTTCCAGAGTTTCTCCACAAACAAATAAAGCAAGAAAAACTAGATTTAATCAGCAAATAAATACAGGAATAGCGCCGTCGGCCGGGCCTCCAGCATCAGAGCAGTGAACCCGCACTGCTAGCGGGCCTGGACAGCGCTTGCATTTTTCTGATTATTCTTTCTTTATTAAGGTATAATTCATGTACCACAAAATTTACCATTTAAAAGCGTACAGTTCCGTGGTTTTTAGTATATCCACAATGGTGTGCAACCATCACCACTGTCTAAATCCAGAATGTCCTGCTGACCCCAAAAAGGAGCCCCGTACCATGAGCAGGCGGTCACCGTTCCTCACCCCGCAGCCCTCGACGAGCAGCGTCCCACCCCCAGTCTATCTGGATTTGCCTGTTCTGGGCGTTTCATATTAAGAGGGTCATACGACGTGTGGCCTCCTCTGTCTGGCCTCCTTCGCGGAGCACAGGGTTCTCGGGTTCAGTGAGGGCTTCATTCCTCTTCTTGTTTCATTTCGTTTCGTGTCATCGCACGGATGGACCATGTTCACCTGGCGTGTCCACTCCTCTCTTGATGGACATTTGGGTGGATTCTCTCTTTTTCGGCTGTGGTGAGCGGTGCTGCTGTGAGCATTCGTGTCTGAGTTTTTGTATAGAAATGTTTTCTCTTCTCTTAGGGGTTTACATGGGAGGGGAGTTCCTGGGTCACGTGGAAACACTGTGTTTAATCAGTTGGGGGCTGCAGACCGTTTCCGCCGTGGCTGTGCCGTGTGCACCCCCCGCCAGCAGCGCACAGAGGTGGCGGTTCCCCCGTCCCAGCCGGCAGCTGCTCTTTTGATGGAAGCCATCCCAGCAGACAGGAGATGGTGCCTCACCGTGGCTTTGATTTGCATCTCCCCGGTGACTCACGATGGCGCCCGTCTCTTCTCATGCTTGTCGGCCATCAGGGTCGTCTTTGGAGAATCAGCTGTTCAAGCCCTCTGCCCATTTATTAGTTTTTTTTGTCTTTTTGTGATTGAGTGATGAGAGTTCTTCATACACTCTAAATGCTAGATCCTCAGATGTGCGGTTTGCAAACGTTTTCTACCATTCTGTGGATTGTATCTTCACTTTCTTGACAATATGAATGCATTTTTTAAAAGACTAAATGTTGGCCCTAGGGTTTCCATAGACCAGCCCCTGATTTTCGAGGGTTCAGGCCGGGCTCTGCCTCTGGGGAGCTGTGTGGCCTCGGGACGTCAGCTCTGTGGGTTCATTTTTCTGTACCGTGGGGTGGAGGTGTTTGCTGGGATTGATGGGGAACTGTGGGTGAGTCCTGCCCATGAGAAGCACCAGGCAGAGCCCGGCCCGGCCTTGGGGGCCGTGAGACCACAGGTGAGGACGCAGCCCTGTGCGGCCCTGGTAACCCGCAGCCTGTCCCTCCCCAGCCAACAACATCTGCTTCTACGGCGAGTGTTCCTACTACTGCTCCACGGAGCACGCCCTGTGCGGGAAGCCAGACCAGATCGAGGGCTCGCTGGCGGCCTTCCTGCCCGACCTGTCCCTGGCCAAGAGGAAGACCTGGCGGAACCCTTGGCGGCGTTCCTACCACAAGCGCAAGAAGGCCGAGTGAGTGCGGGGCCGGGGGGCTGGCGTCCGGCCACCCTACGGCAGAGGGAGCTGGGCCTGGGCGGGCATGGGAGGGTCGGCGCCCACGGGGGTGGCAGAGATGGGTGCAGAGCCTGCTGTGCGATGCTGGCCTGTGTGAGATGACCGCTTCCTGATGAGACGGTGGCAGAGGGCGTCCTTACTCCAGTATTTCCATGTGCTTCCCTGACCCGGGCCGGCCTGCCCACCAGGTCCCTCGAATCGGGGCCTCTCAGCGTTTGAGCTCTGCTCTCGCCCCGTCCCTCTCCTCACTCCTGCGGGAGAAACGGCCCCTGTTCTTTCCGCCCCACGTTGTCCTCGTGAGTGTGTAGTCCAGGTCCTGTTTCCCCACAGAGACTCTGCAAAAAACACGGGGCCCAGAGGTGAAGGCAGCTCCAGGTGGGGTCACCCCGAGGCAGGGCAGAGCGGCTCCGTCCCCTCCCACACCCGTGCTCCCGCTAATGCAGCCTCAGCGCCGCAGCCCGGGCGGGTCCATCTGCAGACGCCAAGGTCCCTGCCGCAGTGTTTCTCTTCTGCTCCTCATGGCACGCGCCGGGCTCCCCAGAATCTGGCCTGGGCCCCCCGTCTCACGCTGGCTCCCCGCAGGTGGGAGGTGGACCCTGACTACTGCGAGGAGGTGAAGCAGACACCGCCCTACGACAGCAGCCACCGCATCCTGGACGTCATGGACATGACGATCTTCGACTTCCTCATGGGTACGTCCCGCAGGGGCACGGGGTCCCCGTGTCACTCGCCTTGCGTGGAGCGGATGCACGCAGGGCTCTGCAGGGCACACTCCGTGGCACGGCCCGGCTGCGGTCCTGTGGCCTGTGAAGGGGCCAGATTGCTTAGAGGTCACGCTGGCAGGAGGAGACGCCGCTCTGCAGAGCACAGAGGCCTCTGAGCTACGTGGCCCGGCTCCCCACGAGCTGTGACACTTTCTGCCTCTCTCCGCAGGAAACATGGACCGTCACCACTACGAGACTTTTGAGAAGTTTGGGAATGAAACGTTCATCATCCACTTAGACAATGGAAGAGGGTGAGCCTGTCCTCGCCCCTGCACACCCAGGGAAGGGCCGGCCACCTCCCAGCTACCTGCAGCCCACCTGAGACCCTGGGGACGGGGGGAGCAGACCCTCCAGTGGAGGGATGGGAATGTCGCAAAGGCCCATCTCAGAGCCAGATGCAGAGGGCGGCCCCAGGCCCCAACCAGGAGGGAGGGCCGCCCCGGGAGTGGGACCTCCGAGGCACAGGAATGCTGCAGACCAAGTCCCGGCAGAGCTGGTGTTACCTGGGAAACGGAGGCCAGGAGAGGCTGCTGGTAGGAAGAGCAGGACCGTGCAGAATAGATGGGCCTCTGCCTGCACGCGGTACCTGGAGCCAGCCAGCGGGGGATAGGCGGCCTCTGCGGCCGCTGCTGGCCTGCCACGGGGGGTCTTGGGCGGCGCTGTGAGACCCTGGTTACCAGGGAGGGTGACCCCTAATAAGCAAAGCATGGAGGCGAGTAACTCGGGCAGGAGGACGTCCATTCCCAGGCTCGGAGGCCTCAGAGAGATGGACTTTGGGCACTTCAATAGCTAAACTGTGGGCTGACGCTCCCTGGAGCCATCTCAACTCGGCTGCCCAGGACCCTTCCCCAGGCCAGAGGCCAGGACCCCACATACAGGGCTGGGGACAGGCGGGGTGGACCCACTGCCTGGGGTGCTGGAGATGGGCAGGGTGGACCCACTGCCCGGGGTGCTGGAGATGGGCTGGGTGGACCCACTGCCCGGGGTGCTGGAGATGGGCAGGGTGGACCCACTGCCTGGGGTGCTGGAGATGGGGCTGGGTGGACCCACTGCCCAGGATGCTGGAGATGGGCTGGGTGGACACACTGCCTGGGGTGCTGGAGATGCCCGGGGTGGACCCACTGCCTGAGGTGCTGGAGATAGGCAGTGTGGACCCACTGCCTGGGGTGCTGGAGATGGGGCTGGGTGGACCCACTGCCCGGGTGCTGGAGATAGGCAGTGTGGACCCACTGCCTGGGGTGCTGGAGATGGGGCTGGGTGGACCCACTGCCCGGGGTGTTGGAGATAGGCGGGGTGGACCCACTGACTGGGGTGCTGGAGATAGGCAGGGTGGACCCACTGCCTGAGGTGCTGGAGATAGGCAGGGTGGACCCACTGACTGGGGTGCTGGAGATGGGTGGGGTGGACCCACTGCCTGAGGTGCTGGAGATAGGCAGGGTGGACCCACTGCCTGGGGTGCTGGAGATGGGTGGGATGGACCCACTGCCCGGGGTGCTGGAGATGGGCAGGGTGGACCCACTGCCTGAGGTGCTGGAGATGGGCAGGGTGGACCCACTGCCCGGGATGCTGGAGATGGGTGGGGTGGACCCACTGCCTGGGGTGCTGGAGATGGGTGGGATGGACCCACTGCCTGGGGTGCTGGAGATGGGTGGGATGGACCCACTGCCCGGGGTGCTGGAGATGGGCTGGGTGGACCCACTGCCTGGGGTGTCGGGTACAGGCAGGTGGACCCATGGCCCAGCTCCCAGCCCAGCAGCCTGTTAGGAACCTTGTACAGGGGCCCTTGACAATTCTGCTTTTCTTCTGGAAGGTTTGGGAAGTATTCGCACGACGAGCTCTCCATCCTGGTGCCGCTACAGCAGTGCTGCAGGTACAGCCCCTGCCGGAGCCGGCTCCAGCTCCACCCTCCTCCCTACTGCGCAGGAGACAGAGGAGGCCACAGCCTTCCCCACCCCACCCCGGCCATCACATGGGAGAGAAAAGGCCCCGAATTCAACCACAGCCCTGAATTCAACCCACACCCTCACTCGGCGGCCTGGAGGCGCAGACCTCACCCGCCCACCACCCCAGGCCCATCCAGCTCGAGCCCCCTCGGGCCTCCACTCTGTGTCCGTCCTGCCACCCCAGTTACAGAGAGAGCTCGAGGCCAGGGCAGACGCCAGCTGAGACACAGGGACCCTGCTCCCGCACGCAGCTGCCGGTCTCTGCCACTGCCACCTTCTGCGGGGGTTCAGACCCCCTTTCCCCCGTTTCATGGCTGGGGACGCAGGCTTGCAGGGCAAACGCTTTGTACTTCTCTAAGGAGGCATCACAGCGCCCGTGTTGTGCGGATGTGCTGAGCTGGGGTCGGTCTCCTGGGTGAGTGGGCCGCCCTCCTCACCTCCCCATCCTCCTGGGTGAGCGGGCCGCCCTCCTCACCTCCCCATCCTCCTGCCGGGCCCCTCTGGGAAATACACCGGCCACCACATCCTGCAAGGGCACCCTCATCCCTTGTGCAGGTGAGAGGCGGCAGACCACGCCGAAGCAGGTCACACAGCCCGGAGGCTGATGAGGTGTTGGATCGCAGGCCCCTCTCTCGCGGTCTCTCTCGTCTCTGCCGTCTCTATCTGTGTCTGTCTCTGTCTCTCTCTCTGTCTCGGTCTGCCTGTTTCTCTTTATCTGTGTCTCTTTCTGTCTGTCTGTCTCTGTCTGTCTGCCTTTCTCTCTCCCTCTCTTTCTCTCTGTGTCTCTCTTTCTCTGTGTATGTCTCTGTCTTTTTCTCTCTGTCTCTGTCCCCCTCTTTCTCTCTCTGTCTCTCCCCCCACTCTCTCGATCTCCCTCTCACTTTCTCTCGCTTTCCCGTGGGCAGGCATCTCCCCTGTCCCGTGCCAGGCCTGATGCCCCTCTCCTCCCCAGGATCCGGAAGTCCACCTACCTGCGTCTGCAGCTCCTGGCCAAGGAGGAGTACAAGCTGAGCCTGCTGATGGCCGAGTCTCTGCGGGGGGACCAGGTGGCACCCGTGCTGTACCAGCCGCACCTGGAGGCCCTGGACCGGCGGCTCCGCGTCGTGCTAAAGGCCGTCCGGGACTGCGTGGAGAGGAACGGGCTCCACAGCGTGGTGGATGACGACCTGGACACTGAGCACAGAGCCGCCTCGGCGAGGTAGTGTCCGCCGGCCGCTGCGCTGCCCGGGACGGAGACAGAGGCGCCGGACCTCCCAGCAAGCGCATGCGCCCGTCGTGAATTCAGTGAATTCAGAGGCAGGACGGGATCATCCGGAGTCGGGAGCTGCTGCCACAGGAGGCGAGGCTCCCCAGGTCTCATAGGACACATTTTGTCAGTGTTTGACCAGAAAAGCTTGGGAAGGAAGCGCTGTCTGTGCTCACGGACAGAGGCGGCCGGCGCCGGAGGCATTCCATCCTTTCTGTAGGGAAAGGAGCCTTTATTTACTATTTTGTATTTATATTTGATGAATAAGTATATAAACAGAGACGTGTACACAGATGCCAATCACCTACCAAACCAAACACGAGGACCGCCCTCCCTGGTTCTGGGGGCCCCTCAAGGCCAAGCTCACCCCTCAAGTGCTCTCACACTCGGGACCTAATTCAAGTAAAAACCCTTTCTCCTTCCTGGGGCCTCGGCTCCTGGAGGGCTGGAGGGTCTCGTCTGAGGACGGGAGGAGGCTCTCGCTGGACGTCTGGCCTGTGCGCTGGTGGACGGATGCCTACGTGGTTTTGGAGGACCCGATGACCAGGCGTCCTGCGAGTCCGCCCGCTGGCCTGCAGCACCCACCTCGGACTTGGCTGTGGACGGTTGGTGCAAGTGCATCCTGCAGGGCTGGCTGTGCGCAGCTGTGGGCTGACCTTTGCAGAGTTTTGTGGAATAGTTTGCAATGTCATAAAAGTGCAATAAAGGTACAGCAGATGTGTGTCGGCCTCACGGGGCGGGTCCCTCACACCCTGGTGTGTGGCTGCCTGTCCACCCCCTCTCCAAAGAAAAACCAGTCCTGGAACCAGGCATGGCCAGGAGTCGGCATTCAAGGTGGCCTGGACCCGAGGCCTGCTGGGGTCGGAGGGGGCTGCCTGCCAAGCCCTGGTGCAAACAGGCCAGGTGGGGCCCCACCTCCAAGGCAGGGCGGTCCGTCCTGGGTTGCTCTCAGAGGCTGGGGCCGCGACCCAAAGCTGCGGCGGCCCCGAGGGCAGCCCCTGTCTGTAGCCCTGGCATGGGCAGCTTCCAGTGTTCCAGCAGGACTGGGCAGCCATGCGTGGGGCAGCTGCCCCGGGGCTGTGGTGAGTGAGGGGCACCGTGAAGGGTGCCAGCCCCTTCCCACTGCTGGCCTCGGGGCTGCAGAGATGGGGCTGGGCTCCCAGGCCAGCATCTCCCCTGCTGGCACCATGTGAGGGGCAGAGGCAGGAGCCAGCATGCTGGCTACCACCTGCCCAGCGTCACACGGCCCAGGAGCCCTAAGAAATCAGCTGTGGGGCCGGTCACTGTGGCCCCCTCTTCTAAGAGCCTCTGCATCCACTCACCTGTCCGTTCCACAAAGTCCCTGACACCCATTTGAGCTGTGCCAGGCTGGGTGCAGCGGGGCCTGAGAGACTCAGCTCTGTCCTCATCACCGCCGCCTTGCAGAGCAGCGGGAGACGCACAGTAAATGCACAGATGGGTCACAAACAGGGCCCTGCACATGGCAAGGAAGTCGGCAAGGGCAGAGGATGCGCCAGGCAGACATTGCGTGTGGGGCAGCCAGGGAGGTGCTGTGGCCCCTTCATCCACTGGCTGGAGCCGGCCCCCCCATGTCTCTCTCTGTTTGGGACTGAACCAAAAGAGGTGATTAAGTGGCGGGAGGGTTCGGGTGGTCCCGGTCCAATCTGACAAGAGCCCTTATGAGGAGAGGAGACACAGGGACGGCCCCGTGAGGACACGGAGAGGATGACATCCACGAGCCACAGAGAGGCCTGGAGGAACCAGCCCTGCCGTGCAGTGACCTCGGACTCCAGCCTCTGGGACTGTCTGTGGTTGAAGCCACCCCATCTGTCCATGGTGCTGTCACGGCATCCTGAGCGGACTCATGCAGGCAGCCTCCAGGAGGGGCTTCAAGGGGCCCCATGAAGGACGGGAGGCAGTGATGCCAGGAGCAGGGCCGGAGGCGCAGGTGGAGAAATGCAGCGGCCGTGCCCACCCTGCCGCGTGGGGCTGGCCCAACAGTGCCAATGTCAAGACCCACAGCCATGATAGAATTAAGTTAGTGTTTAAACAGACATGCCCCGGAGTCTGGACTGATAGAGGGGAGTGCTCTGTGCAGAAGCAGCTGTCGCCATCATCCGGCCACCACCGCCAGGGTAGCAACCACAGGGGAGGAAAAGTGTGCAGATTCCAGGGCCTGGGAGAGACCAGCAGGACCTGCTGCAGGGCTGGAAGTGTGGAGAAGAGAAGGAGAAAGTGTGACCTCCAGGATCTGACTTCAGCCACGGCATGGGGCACCCTTCACTGTGGGGTGTTGAAGGAAGACCCAGAGGGGCAGGGAGGAGGCGTGTGGTGTCCCTGCAGGCACCAGATGACAGCGGGGCTGGGTATAAAACATGGTGCTGCCAGCAAGGAGCTGGAACGTGGAGCCACAGCGAAGGGAGGAGGGTGCGCACGAGGCCTATGACAGCTCATGCACGGCTGGAGTCTGGGTAAGTGGAGGGGCAGCAAGGGTGGGGCTGATGGTCCAGACAGAGCAGACGACCCTTGCTGTCCACTATGGAAGGACACACAAGAACCATCATGCGTGTGAGAGCCTTTGGCATGAGAGACACAAAGCCACAGGGAAACACATGGTGTGGAGACTGTGCTGAGAGCAGAGATGCAGAGATGCAGAGACAGCAGAGATGCAGAGACAGCAGAGAGTGGACGAACGAGGAGGGTGTGGGGTGGCTGGGGATGGCGTGAGGTCCAGGGAACAGGAGGGGCTCTCGTGCACCAGCGTGGGTGGAGAAATCAAACAGGATGAAGCCTCGACAGAAAGAACAGGACACGAGACTGAGGAAGCTCCGAGAGAGCAGCGAGGGAGACCAGTGGCTGGAAAATGAGAAAACAAAGCCACTGAGGCCCCAGCAGCAGCCCCAGTGCCAACCAGCAGGGGGCACAGGACAGAGAAGAGGAAGCGGCAGCAGCCCCAGCGCCGACCAGCAGGGGGCACAGGACAGAGAAGAGGAAGCGGCAGCAGCCCCAGCGCCGACCAGCAGGGGGCACAGGACAGAGAAGAGGAAGCCGCAGCAGCCCCAGCGCCGACCAGCAGGGGGCACAGGACAGAGAAGAGGAAGCCGCAGCAGCTCCAGCGCCGACCAGCAGGGGGCACAGGACAGAGAAGAGGAAGCGGCTGCAGCCCCAGCGCCGACCAGCAGCGGGCACAGGACAGAGAAGAGGAAGCCGCAGCAGCCCCAGTGCCGACCAGCAGCGGGCACAGGACAGAGAAGAGGAAGCGGCTGCAGCCCCAGCGCCGACCAGCAGCGGGCACAGGACAGAGAAGAGGAAGCCACAGCAGCCCCAGTGCCGACCAGCAGCGGGCACAGGACAGAGAAGAGGAAGCGGCTGCAGCTCCAGTGCCAACCAGCAGGGGGCACAGGACAGAGAAGAGGAAGCCGCAGCAGCCCCAGCGCCGACCAGCAGCGGGCACAGGACAGAGAAGAGGAAGCGGCTGCAGCCCCAGCGCCAACCAGCAGGGGGCACAGGACAGAGAAGAGGAAGCCGCAGCAGCCCCAGCGCCGACCAGCAGCGGGCACAGGACAGAGAAGAGGAAGCGGCTGCAGCCCCAGCGCCGACCAGCAGGGGGCACAGGACAGAGAAGAGGAAGCCGCAGCAGCCCCAGCGCCGACCAGCAGGGGGCACAGGACAGAGAAGAGGAAGCGGCTACAGCCCCAGCGCCGACCAGCAGGGGGCACAGGACAGAGAAGAGGAAGCCGCAGCAGCCCCAGCGCCGACCAGCAGCGGGCACAGGACAGAGAAGAGGAAGCGGCTGCAGCTCCAGTGCCAACCAGCAGGGGGCACAGGACAGAGAAGAGGAAGCGGCTGCAGCTCCAGTGCCAACCAGCAGGGGGCACAGGACAGAGAAGAGGAAGCGGCAGCAGCCCCAGTGCCGACCAGCAGCGGGCACAGGACAGAGAAGAGGAAGCCGCAGCAGCCCCAGCGCCGACCAGCAGCGGGCACAGGACAGAGAAGAGGAAGCGGCAGCAGCCCCAGCGCCGACCAGCAGCGGGCACAGGACAGAGAAGAGGAAGTGAGGAAATGGAAGAAGAGGGTTGACCTGAGCTGAAGGACATGAACTTCCACGTGAAATAGCCCCAGGGCCGGGCACAGTGGCGCACGCCTGTAATCCCAGCACTTTGGGAGTCTGAGGCAGGAGGATTCCTTGAGCCCAGGAGTTCGAGACCAGCCTGGGCAACACAGTGAGACCCACCCCCTCCATCTCTACAAAAAATACAAAAATTAGCCAGACACAGTGGCTCACACCTGTAGTCCCAGCTGCCCCAGAGTCTAAAGCAGGAGGCTCACTGGAGCACAGGAGTTCGAGGCTGCCGTGAGCTACGATTGCACCACTGCACTCCAGCCTGGGCGACAGGATGAGACTGTGTCTCAAAAGAAGAAAAAAGGAAAAACTAATAGTTAAAAGTAAATAAATAGTCCCGGTTTCCAGCAGAATAAAAGGAAGGTCAGCAGAAAGGCCAGGACGGCCTGAAGGAACTTCAGGGCTGGGACTGTGGGGTGGAGCCGTCCCTTCCGGATGCCGAGCGAACGGACCTCCCCGCAAAAGCACAGGGGTGAGGGGATGAAGTCATGTTCCACACACAGGATTTAGACACGGCTCATGGCCCATGCACCCGAAACCAGGATGTGCATCGAGGAGAAGGAGGAATGGGGCACAGTGGGGCGGCAGAGGCCCCGGGGTGCTGACGAGAGGAGCCCCGAGGGGGACATGGAGACAGGAGCAAGAGGACCCTGCAGAGAGGGGCGGGTGCCCGCCCAGAAGAACAAGCCAGGGGAAGAGGTGGAGATCCTGGCACGGCCAGGACGCCGTGGCTCAGCCTTGAGTGCGGCCACAGACACATCGTAACAGGAGCACCCAACGTCATTTTTCCATCAAGAAGAAGAAGGCGATATCACCGTATTGGGGAAGGGAGTGTTTGAGTGGGGAGATGTTGAGCTGTGACGTAAGCCTGTTATTTGGAAACACGGAGGTAAATACAAAAACCAAACACGCCCAGCAAAACAAGGAAGGTGATTTTCTCTGGGTCTTTGCCAGGGGCAGGAGGGGTAGGAGGGGCAGGAGGGGCAGGGCCTGCTGGGTTTCATGATTGCGGTGCTATTTCAGACTTTTTAAGCACTATTCACTGGTTTGATACAAAGTCAGAATGCAGTTTGACACCCACTAGCCGGGCCAGAGCTGACAGCCTCCTGGGGAGGGGTCAGCCCAGCCCCACGGCAGCCCTGGTGCACACCCACAGTGAGACCTGAGTTCATCTTTTACCTGCTTTGCTCCTCACAGTTACTCGGGGGTAGGAATTGTGGCCCCGTGTGCCCACGTCATAGTTGTGTAAACCGGGGCTTAGACAGTGGGTCGACTTTCTGGAGCTCAATACGGATAGTGCCTGCATGTGGACCCCGCCCGGACAGCCGCCCTCTTCCCACCTACCCGTTAACACCCATGCTGCATGCAAAGCCACCCACCCGCAGAAACAGGTGGTGCAGAGAGGGGGCGGGGGGATGAGACCAAGGGCTGAGGAACAAAATGAAGAAAAAGGGCTTTCAATTAAGTTCTTTCCCTTGGTGCAGGCTGCTTCCCACGGAGCACTAAGCTGCCACTTTGTCCGCAAGTAGGACAGTGTCTTGCCAGAGAGGCCGACGAGAAGCGTGGGGGTTGAAATTCAAACATGATTTTTTACAAACCAGGGGAAAACCTGGGATTTCACTTCACAGAATTGAGAGTCAGGAAGGGAGTGGCTCACAAGGGGGGCTTCTGCCTGGCGCTGGGACCCCCGCCCCTGAGCCATCGGGGCCGCGCACCTGGCAGAGACCACAGAGCTGAAGGTGGGCACCACTTTTCTCTGAATTAAAGTAAATGAATGAAGAAATAAATAAATATATGAATGGGGATTCGTGTGTGGCCTGGCCCTCTAGGGCCATGGGACAAGATCTGAAGAACAGGCTGCTGGGGAATGCGGGTGGTGGGCACAGCCCAGCCAGGATGCAGAAGCCTGCTCTGAACACAGAGGACACAGCCCACCCCAGCCCACAGCCCACAGCCCAGCCCAGCTGCAGAAGCCTGCTCTGAACACAGAGGACACGGCCCACCCCAGCCCACAGCCCACAGCCGAGTCCGGCTGCAGAAGCCTGCTCTGGACACAGAGGACACGGCCCACCCCAGCCCACAGCCCACAGCCGAGTCCGGTTGCAGAAGCCTGCTCTCAACACAGGACACTGCCTGGCCCGAGACCACGTCACAGAAGGGCAGGGTTCCTGGCCCTCCCAGGGAGCTCCCTGGAGGCACCTGCGCCGTCCTCACCTGGGAGTGAGCTCCATATGCAGATTCCCGGGCCAGGTCCCCAAGCCCAAGTACAGAGGTTGGGGGCAGAGGCCTTCAGCTACCGAGGGTCCTGGATGCAGGGGCTCCCAGGCTGTCCTTTTGGGACTCACGGCTCAGCCCTTCCCCACCTCCTGGGGGGACCTCCCCGGAGTACCCTGACTGCACAGACACCCTCGGCACACCTGGCCTGCAGCCAGTCCGTTCCACAGAACCCCCAAGCCACTGTCCCCCAGGAGGGCCTTCACCAGGGCAGACGACAAGAGAAGGTTCCAGAAGCCTCTGCCTGCCCAGGTGGGCCTGAGAGGGGCGAGGAAGATGGATGGGCCCAGACCAAGCGATTGTCTGAGGAGCAGAGTTCCAGCTCCCAGTGTGTGGGGGATGCGGACATCTTCCTGTGCACAGAGGGCTCTGCTGACCCTTTCAGTGACAGGGGAAGGGCGCCTGCATTTGGAAGAAGGGGCTTGTAGCCGGCCGCCTGCTGGGAGGGCGTCCTCCAGAAGGGGAGGCATTTGCTCCTGCCCTCGCAGCTTGTCCTGAAGTAAAATTCCTCTCCTGGGAAAAGTGGGAGAGGAATTAGGAGAGCCCCAGGGCTGCTGCTGTGTGGGGTCTGGGCGTGGCGGTGCCCGCTGGGCCCGTACCAGCCATACCCTAGCCTAGGTTGCCCAGGTCGGCCACCCAGCTAGGCTACTGTGGGGGGCTCCGGCCAGCCGGCCCCTTCCCAGAGCGCCTGCCCCGCCCATCTCCGTGGGTCCCAGGGCTCGGCCATCCTGTGAGCTGGAGGGACCCGCAGGTCCGCAGGTGAGCGCAGGTTCCCGGGACACCTGCTCATGTCTGGTCCGCGTGCGTCACCTAGAGGACAGCCGGGGAAGAGCAAGAACCAGCGTCCGCGTGAGCGGCGGCCCCAGCCGAGAAGCAGGTGCCTTGTCCTCAGCGCCCAGGGTCAGCATGGCCCCACCGCCTCCCTCAGCCCGGCCCAGAGCCCAGGCCACATGGAGCTTGTGCATCTCCTGCTCCTGCCTCCCCAGGACCAGCTCAGTCCTGGCAACTCCATAACTCCTGCCAGGTAACCGGGTTCTTCTCCTGTACGTCCATTCTGAAAGAACACTGTGCAAATTCAGTACCCTGCACACCAACACACCTACGACACCTCCCTTAAACGTGGAACCGGAAGCCTGGAATTGCCCTGGAGGGCAGCGGGAGCTGTTGCTGCCCCCCCACCGGCCTTCCAGAGCCTCCGAAGCCCCCTGCATGCATGGCGCCTTGGGGCCTTTGCATGGCTGCCCCCTGGAGCTCTGCGCCTGCCCAACCCCTTCACTTTGTTAATTCCTGTCCTGACGCGGCTCAGACGTTTCATCTGGGAGGATGGTTTCAGGTGCACACCACCCCACCCAGCCAATTTTTCAATTTTTTATAGAGATGGAGTCTTTCTGTGCTGCTCAAATTGGTCTCAAACTCCTGGCTTCAAGTGATCCTCCTGCCTCAGCCTCCCCAAAATGCTGGGATTCCAGGCATGAGCCACCGTGTCCAACCCCGTTTTATAAATAAGATCATGTTCTGAGGTTCTGGGAGGACATGAATGTTGGGGGCACACATTTAACTCACTACTGTCTTCCAATCCAGATGAATTTTCTCTCCCTTTCATAGCTCAGTCCGTTTTGTTTTTAAGCGTGCTGTGAGTCTTAACGAGGATAGCAAGTGCCACTCCCCATTCGGAGTAGACCATCATCTCATTTAGAAGAGACAGCGTGCATTAGATACAAAAACTCAAAGGTGTTTAGATATGAATGTGGCAGAGACACAAATTAACTGCGAATCGCAGCTGTCATCCAGGGCAGATTTCCTAAAGAGGTGCTATCTGTCTAAACAGCAAGAAACATTTATTGTAACTCATGGCTATGGTGCCTTCCAGATTTTCGGGAAGTAAAAGGCCATGATTGGTGTCCCCCAAGGCACAGAAATCCTTATTTCGGAGGAAAAGCTACACACCAGCCAGGGTGGCTGAGAACCCTGCCCTGAAGAACAAATCCAACTTTCCCTCAGCCACACCTCAAAGAATATGAACATAAACAGAGCCTCACTCCCTACATCCCAGGCCGAAGGCCACAGCTCAAACCTGCACAGTCCTGAGGCCCTGCATGTTCTGCCTGACCCTGTGTTTATGTATTGGCCACGTGCAGAAATCCTGCAATCAATGAGAGATACATTTGAGTGTCTATAAACTCAACACATGTTTACTGAGCACCTACTATGTTACAAATGCCCTTGATGCTGGGGATGGGATGGGGAGCAAGACAGGCTCTGTCCTAGGAGGATGCCGTCCTGGGACACGCCAGCAGGTCAGGGCAAGTGCACGAAAGCCGTAGGCTTCAGACTTTATTGGCGACAACCGGGACCACTGGAGGACATTCGGCAAGTCTCTGGAGTGCACAAAACGGAGGTTCTCTTCCTGTCTCCATTACACTCTCCTCCTGTCTCCTTTACGCTCTCCTCCTGTCTCCTTTACGCTCTCCTCCTGTCTCCTTTACGCCCTCCTCCTGTCTCCTTTACGCTCTCCTCCTGTCTCCATTACGCCCTCCTCCTGTCTCCTTTACGCTCTCCTCCTGTCTCCATTACGCCCTCCTCCTGTCTCCATTACGCCCTCCTCCTGTCTCCTTTACGCTCTCCTCCTGTCTCCTTTACGCCTTCCTGGCTGCTGGAGGACGGCTCAGCGGGCCCTGAATCCCCACAGTCAGAGCAGGTCACTGACCTCCGTGCCGCAGCCTCAATTCATGAGACTGCTGAGTCCAAGACATGACTCAAAGCTCTGCCCTTGACCCTGGACTCAGTCGCTCCCTCCTGAGGCTTAGGCTGCAGGGGATTTCTCCATTCTCCGCCCTCCTTCCATGGCCCGGCTTGCTTCGCTGGTGGGAAAGGCAGGGAGGGGGCCAGGGGTGCTGAGTAGAACCTTGAAGCTGCCTCCACAATCAGGTCAGCAGTGCATGAAGACCCTCCTCTCATCTAGGGTCACCTCCTCCTTGGTCTGGTCCCGGAGGGGTTTCGGGACCCTCCTCTCATCTGGGGTCATCTCCTCCTCGGTCTGGTCCCGGAGGTGTCTGGAGACCCTCCTCTCATCTGGGGTCACCTCCTCCTTGGTCTGGTCCCGGAGGGGTTTCGGGACCCTCCTCTCATCTGGGGTCATCTCCTCCTGGGTCTGGTCCCGGAGGTGTCTGGAGACCCTCCTCTCATCTGGGGTCATCTCCTCCTTGGTCTGGTCCCAGAGGGGTTTGGGTACCCTCCTCTCATCTGGGGTCATCTCCTCCTCGGTCTGGTCCCAGAGGGGTTTGGGGACCCTCCTCTCATCTGGGGTCATCTCCTCCTCGGTCTGGTCCCGGAGGTGTCTGGAGACCCTCCTCTTTCCTGGGGTCATCGCCTCTGTGGTATGGTTCTGGAGGTTTCTGGAGACCTTCCTTTCTCCTGGAGTCATGTGCTAGCTCTTTGCACCTCTCCTTGCCCAATGGCTCACAGAGACCCCCTCCATTCCTGGTGGCCGCGGCAGCCCGTCTTAGCCCGGGGAGCCCAGAGCTCACCCTTGGCCTCTCACTGCTGGCCACTCTCCTGGCCCTCTCCTGTCCTTCCTCTGCCACATGGCGTCCATGGGAAACATTCGCCCAGCAGCTGTCCGTGGAACCTGCAAGGGGCAACCATGGCAAAGCCACCCTCTCCTCGCCCACCTTTCTTTCTTTCTGTTTATTTATTTATTTTTGAGACAGAGTCTCACTCTGTCGCCCAGGCTGGAGTCCAGTGCCACGATCCCGGCTCACTGCAACCTCCACCTCCCGGGTTCAAACAATTCTCTTGCCTCAGCCTCCCGAGTAGCTGGGATTACAGGCATCCACCACCACCACACCTGGCAGATTTTTTGTATCTTTAGTACAGATGGGGTTTCATCATGCTGGTCAGGCTGGTCTCGAACTCCTGACCTTGTGATCTGCCAGCCTTGGCCTCCCAAAGTGCTGGGATTATAGACATGAGCCACTGTGCCCGGCTTCGCCCATCTTTCTTAGCTGTAAGTCGGGGCCTCTGGGCCTGATCCCCACAGGGACCAGAAGTGAGAACGAGGACACCCACAGTGGTACCCGGGCCATCTCTCAGACCTCCTGCCAGCTCCAGCTTCAGCTGGCCAAGGGGCCCAGAGTCATGGTCTGGTCATCCAAACACCCTTTGTGAGTTCCGCATGGGTTGGGGCTGGGGTGTCTGCCTCCCAGGCACTAGGGAAGTTCCCACTGTGTAATCTGGGACCTGTCAGAAGTTTCTGTAAGGAGGCAAGCCCACCTCTGCCTTCCCTAAGTTTCTGGCAGAGTGAACGAGGACATCTTCCCCCACCTCCAGCCTCCCCAACCCCAGCGGCCTCTCCTGCCCTCTGGCCTGGAGGCAGAACCTCCCACGGCCACCCAGGCTGGCCAGCTGCCACCGTCATTCCCAGAGACCTGTGCCACAATTCCTCAAGGTCAGCTCAGCCTGGGTGAAATTCGTTCATTCTTTAATTCCTCTCAGTGAAAGTTTGAAAGTCTGCAAATGGAGTTTCCTGCTTAAAGAACAAACAACAACAACAAAACACACACACACAAAGTTGGGGGCATGTTTTAGATTAGAGGAGAACAAACTGATATAACGATCAGTATAATATGTGATCTGTGAATACTTGGATCTACAAATATGCTAATAACTTTCATAGGCAGAGGCAGGAGGATTGCTTGAGACCAGGAGTTGGAGACCAGCCTGGGCAACATAGCAAGACCCCCATCTCCCCCAAAAATTAGAAAATTAGCCATGCACGGTGGTGCACACCTGTGGTCCCAGCTACTCAGGAGGCTGAGGTGGGAGGAGCCCTGGAGACTAGGACTTGGAGGCTGCTGTGAGCTATGATTGCACCACTGCACTCCAGCCTGGGTGACCCTGTCTTAAAAAATAAATAAATAAAAATAAAAACAGAAGGATATTTCAAAGGATATTTTGGAAATAACTGGACAGATTTGCCTATGGGCTCTATGTCAGTGATAAGATTGTGTTGACATCCCATTTCCTGGGCCTGGCGCTGTGTCCATGGAGGAGAGCGTGCTTGTCCTTGGGAGAGGCAGGCTGAGGCCTTCAGGATGAAGTGTAATGGCATCTGCAGCTCACTTTGAAATGTTTCAGCAAAAAAAATGCTCACCAGGAGTTCAAGAAGATGTCTAAATTTGGCTCGGGGATGGAATTTCACCCACAGAGTATAATTAGAAAAAATACATTTTATGCAAACTCCGCTCTTCTGTGAAGTAAGTGAGTCAAGATGTTCATGACTGGCGGATTTAGGAGCTGAAGCATTTGTGGGTGTTCACTGCACTGTTCTTTACACTTTTTGGTGGGTATAAGAGAGTGTGCACCGCCTTCATGAATTGTCTGGAGGAAAAGATGTGTACGCACAACTCAGGGCCCTGTTTAGGGACGGGGTCAGCTCCTGCCCGCCCATTCCCCTCTCCTCCCAGGCAGAGGCTGAGGATGTGGAGGAGGAGCAGCATCTGAGGCCCCTGCAGGGGGGAGCGAGGAGGGAGCACGGCTGAGGATGTGGAGGAGGGACAGCATCTGAGTCCCCTGCAGGGAGGAGTGGGGAGGGAGCACGGCTGATGATGTGGAGGAGGGACAGCATCTGAGGCCCCTGCAGGGAGGAGCGGGGAGGGAGCACGGCTGAGGATGTGGAGGAGGAGGAGTGGCGTCTCAGACCCCTGCAGGGAGGAGCAGGGAGGGAGCACGGCTGAGGATGTGGAGGAGGAGCGGCACCTGAGGCCCCTGCAGGGAGGAGCGGGGAGGGAGCACTCCAGAAACACTTCCCAAGTCCACGTGCCTGCATCCCAGATTTCCTCTCCCTGGGATGGCTGCTGGACATCCCAAATTCCGCCGAAGCTGATCCCGCACTCTCCCCCACAGAAGGTTCTCCCCACGCAGCCTTCCCTCATCATCAGTAACAACTCCCCTGACTCTTCTCCTCCCCCAGCACCCCTCACGTGCTGAGCTCCACTTCTGGAGATGGAAGAACAGCCCCTCCCTCCACGCCCCCACTGTGCACGTTCCCAGACACCGAAGTCACCTCCTGGTTCTGAGTCCCAGTGGCCTGCACAGTGACCCTCACAAGAGCCCCTCCCTCCACGCCCCCACCGTGCACGTTCCCAGACACAGAAGTCGCCTCCTGGTTCTGAATCCCAGCGGCCTGCACAGTGACCCTCACAAGAGCCCCTCCTCAGCTCGCAGTCCAAGGGACCCGTAAATGTGTGAGCAGATCACACCCCCTCTCCTTCACGCACCATCCCCATCCCACACGAGGGCAAGGCAGAGTCCTCACAAAGGCCTTCGGGGTCCTCTGCAGGTGGCCTCGGTCCACGTGCTAAGATCATCCTGCTTCTCTTCCTCTCACGGGTTCTCCTTCAGCCCCAGGCCTGGCTGCTTCTCGGTCAGTGGGCATTCACCCGCACAGCCCTCTGCCCTGTGCCTCCCTCAGCCTCGCATGGCTGGTGCGTCCCCTCTTTTGGGTCTGTGCATAGATGTCATCTCATGGGGGAGCCTACTGTGACCAGCCCGTGACCACCCACACACCCATGCGTGCACACACACACCCAGACACACAGGGAGACTGCTGTGGCCAGCCCATGACCACCCACACACTCGTGTGCACACACACACCCAGGCACACACACCCTGGACCCATGACCCTGCTATGTTTCTTTCCCCGTAGTACTTTTCTCACCTAGATTATCATTTTAGTCACCTTTTGGTCAATAATTTGTCTCCTCCGATAGAACCTAAGCCCATGAAGATGGAAGACAGGGCAGGTTTTTTACTACGATTATTGTTCACTGGCATAGCCCAACCACGTCGACCACATTGTAAGCTCTTGATAAAAAATAAGAATGACTCCACATGACAGAAAGAGCCACCATGTGGCCATAAGGGACCAAACCACAGACCCACTCAGGCCGCGAGGCATTTCTCTCTCTGCTTTCAGTACTCGATGGCCTTTGACAACTTCGTGAGGATCTCTGAGTTGACCTTACTTGGAATTCACTGAGCTTCTCGGATGTGTAGAGTTATGTATTTCATCTCATTTGTGACTTTTTGGCCATTATTTCTTCAGGTATCCTCTGTCCCTTCCTCACTCTCCTCTCCTTCTGGGTCTCCTATTATGCACAGTTAGGGGCTCGTCAGGGCCCACAGATCTCTCCGGCTTTGCTCATTTTTCTTTATTCATTTTTCTTTCTGATCCTCAAACTGGATAATCTCAATTGACTTGTCTTCAAGTCACTAATTTTCTTTTTCTGCCTGCTCAAATCTGCCATTGAACCTCTCTAGTGAAATTTTCATCTCAGTTATTTTAGTTTTCATCTCTAAAAATTCTGTTTGGGTAATTTTCATAATTTCTTCTTTTTTTTTTTTTTTGAGATGGAGTCGAGTCTCACTCTGTCACCCAGGCTGGAGTGCAGTGGTGTGATCTCAGCTCACTGCAAGCTCTGCCTCCCAGGTTCATGCCATTCTCCCGCCTCAGCCTCCCGAGTAGCTGGGACTACAGGTGCCCGCCACCACACTCGGCTAATTTTTGTATTTTTAGTAAAGACACGGTTTCACCATGTTAACCAGGATAGTCTCGATCTCCTGACTTCGTGATCTGCCCGCCTCGGCCTCCCGAAGTGCTGGGATTACAGGGGTGAGCCACCGCACCCAGCCAGGTAATTTTCATAATTTCTATCTCTTTATTGAAATTCTCTATTTGTTCAAACATTATTCTCCTGGTTTTCTTTCTTTGCCCATGTTAAACCCAATTAAATATGGCCTGAGAAGGACTCCATACTTCTATATTTGAGTACTTGTGGATGAACTGCAACCTAGCTTAACAGGTAGATAAGATTGAAAACCTAACTTAGGAATCTGCACCTGTAACAATAGCTGAGTCTTGGCCAATTCCAGCAGCCATAGTTCAACCACTCACACACTGCTGAGTGTTCAAACTGTGTTCAAATAAGGCAAACACCAAGCTGTGACCGATCCAGCCATTCTGTACCTTACTTCTGATTTCTGTACCTCTCTTCCCTTTTTTTTATCTATAAATCTTCTTCCACCACGTGGCTGCACTGGAGCCTCTTTGAATCTGCTGTGATTCTGGGGGCTGCCTGATGTGTGAATCATTCATTGTTCAATTAAACTCTTTAAATTTAATTCAGTTGAAGTTTTTCTGTTATCACCCACTGTTTCTTTTAGCTCCTAAACATACTTTAAATAGTTGATTAAAGTCTTCGTCTAATGTGTCTGCTTCTTCTGAGAGAGGTTCAGTTGATCTTTTTTTCTTTTCCTTTAGCATCTATGGGCCATAGTTTCTTGTTTCTTTGCATGCCTTGTAATTTTTTGCTGAAAAGTAGACATTTGGAATATTATGATGTAGCAGCTATGAAAATCTCCTCTCTCCCCACATTTGGAGCAGGGAACTCCAAAATCCATCTGTTCATAAAAGCAATGAATAAACTGGCAAAAACAATTGGAACCAACGGATTGCTGCTTATGTAGTTTTTTTGGTTTCAGTTTATTTTGTTGCTGCTTATTTTTAGTATTTCTGTTTATTTAGTGACTTTTCTGAGTGAATTTTATGAAGTCTGTGTTCTATGCTGTGTGTGGTCAGTGAAGTCTCTGTTCTGTGAGTTCACTCTCAGCTAATGATTCCACAGAGCGAGGACTAAGCTCTGGCTTTTTCTTATCTTGCCCGTATTTCTGTCTAAGGGACCTGGGGTATCATGCCCTACAAACCATAAATTCTCATCAGATGGGTTTTATTTAACCCTGTGTATCATGGCTTACTTTCCAGTCTGACTCTAGCATTACATTATGTGGCAAAGAAGAAAATAAAAATTGTTTACCCCAAAACATGTTTCTGAAATGGCCGTGCAAAGCCGTCCTTTGTGGGGGAACATCTTGCATCTGTAGAGACTCTCTAGTAACATAGCTAGATCTTTTTCTTCCAGGCCCTCCCAATCCTGAAGAGATTAACTGAGAGCCTAGCACCTTGTAAATGTCTGAATAGGAAACATTTGTCATTGATTGTCTCTAAGGGCAGCCATTATGAGACTCCAAAAAAACCGTGGTCTCCACAATCTTTTATCTTAACCTGAATATTTCCTTTCTGTGGATCCCAGGTCTTTAGACAAACTCAACCAACTGTCAACCAGAAAATGTTTAAATTTAGCTATAGCCTGGAAGCCCCTGAGGACCCCCTTTGAATTGTCCTGCCTTTCTGGCCAAACCAATGTATTTCTCAAATGTATTCAATTGCTGTCTCATGCCTCCCCAAAATGTATAAAACCAAGTGTTAGGGACTCTTTGAGGTGTCAGTTTTCTTCCCAGAAACTTCTGTGGCTGGTGGCCCCTTTGCCCGAGGTCTCGTCCTGCATCCAGGGAGAATGAGGTATGCAGACAAGTGGAGGGTGAACAAAATGAAGAGGAGGTTTACTGAGTATTACATCAGCTCAGCGGAGACCCTCTGTGGGTAGCTCCTGTCTGTAGGCAGGTCATCCATTGAGTGCTCAGCTCTCATCAGAGACGAGGCCCTGGAGAGGGTAGCTCCTCTCTGTAGGCAGGTCATCCATTGAGTGCTCAGTTCTCAGCAGACAGGAGGCCCTGGGGTAGTTTCTCTCTGCAACTGGTCATCCCGATATCTGCAGCTCTCAGTGGAGAAGAGGCCCTGGAGAGGGTGGCTCCTCTCTGCAGCTGGTTGTTCCAGAGTCGCTCTGCCCTCTTTGTCCTCTGGTCGTCCTCTGCCCTGCTCTGGCTGAACCCAGGGCTTGTATGGACCTCAGAGGGGGCAAGTGTATGATTATTGGTCTATGGGTGGCCGTGGGTGGGCCTGGAAGAAGCACTATGGGTCCCCACTCCAGTCCAGGGGGCCGACAGCCCAGCCTCCAGCCTTCAGGGTCTCCCTGGCTGAAGGTGGGGCCTTACTGGGGACCCGCCCCTTCCACCCAGGAATCAATCTGCCTCCTGCTGCCATTCGTGGTCCCTGGGGCTCAGCCCCAACCCCACTCCGAGATCAGAACAGGCACCCAGAGCAGAGAGAGGCCAGGCAGTGGAAGCAGATACCGGAGCCTGCAGGGACCGTGACTGCAGACCTGGGCCTCCCACTCTACAGAGCAGGCAGGAGCCACGGACTAGCAGGGTCCCTGCCCCTTCTGAGTGGGTGGGGCAGGAGCTCCCCAGGTGCAGCTGCAGCCACCCTCCAAGGCACAGGCCCTGGGCATCTCTACAGCCTGTACCCTCTGGGGCCCAAGAAGGCTCCCTCCCTCCCACTGCGCCCAGGCAGGCAGATCCTGCCTGCTCCTGACCCTTCCAAGAGGACAGAGAGGCTCGGAATCACAGCTGCAGTTTGGGTGGCTGTAGCCCCACCCAGGAGGGAAGGCTCCCACCAGCTACCTGGGGTGTGCAGCCCAGCTGTGCCTGCCTGCTGCAGCCGGTGTGATGGAGCAGCCACTCACCTTGGGCACATGATCACCTTGGGTACATGTTCTCAGGACCTCTGGAGGGCTGTGTCATGGGCCACTGTCACTCATTTTTGGCTCAGAATAAATCTCTTCAAATATTTTACAGAGGTTTCTGTAAAATATCATTGACAAGAGGTTTCTTTAAACACTTGAAACACAGCACACACATGGGTAATATACCTCCCAATCTCTGAATGGGGGGCTCTGTGTGTGTTCAGGGGCACGCCTTCAACACTGAGGCAATTTTCAACTCTGCCTTAGCCTTCATTTCCTGCTTGTCCAGAAGCTGAAGGTCAGCCAGAAGTGATCATGTAGAGCCTTCTCAGGTCTTTTCTGAACTTGTACACGCTCCTGGGTATGCGCCTGGACTTCTAGATTCCAAAGAATATGCAAAAACCCTCAAAATCTGTATCCTCCAAAGCATCTCAATCCCCAGTCTTTCCTCCCAAGCTTTATGGTTAATCTATTGTTTGCCCCAATGGTTATCCCTTGCCCCAGGCAGTAGTGACTAATACATTTGACTTTAAATGTTTCAACAAATGCCCTATAGGGAGACACTTAAGAGCTCCCAGTTACGTGAAGGAAAGGCAAGCCCTTTGAGGCTGTCCATCCAGGAGCCACAGCGATTGTCAGAGGCATTTGAGCCAGGGCAACCCCATCTTGAACAGGAGCTGGCTAAAATGGGGTTGAGACCTACTGGGCTGCATTCCTAGATGGTTAAGGCATTCTAAGTCACAGGATGAGACATGGGAGGTGGGCACAAGATACAGGTCATAAAGACCTTGCTGATAAAACAGGTTGCAGTGAAGGAGCTGGCTGAAACCCACCAAAACCAAGATGGTGGTGAGAGAGACCTCTGGTCGTCCTCATGGCTACACTCCCACCAGCGCTGTGACAGTTTATAAATACCATGGCTGATGTCAGGAAGTTCCCCTAAAGGGTCTAAACAGGGGAGGCATGAATAATCCACCCTTTGTGCAACATAGCATCAAGAAATAACCATAAAAATGGGCAACCAGTGGCCCTCGGGCCTGCTCTGTCTATGGAGTAGCCATTATTTTCTTAATAAACTTTACTTTCCTAATAAACTTGTTTTCAGTTTACTCTATGGGCCTGCCCTGAATTCTTTCTTGCATGAGATCCACGAACCTTCTGTGGGGGTCTGGATCGGGACCCCTTTCCTGCAACACAACTGCATCCTAAAGTCTGTCCCCTCCTCTGCTGGTGCTAGACGCCTGTGCTGGGAATGTGTGCTGTTGTCTTCAAGGCCTCAAGCTGGTGAGTGGTGGATGGGCCCAGGGTAAGTGAAAAGGCCACAAAGCTTCCTTACTGAGATTCAGCTGTGTTTTCCTGATTACGCACTCCCCTGGCGGCTGCAAGCTTTGATTAGTGTGCAGAGTTCTAAGAAAGTTGGTTCTGATTGTTTTTGCTGGTTTGTTCGTTGCTTTTGAAGACAGATGGATTCAGGGTTCCCTACTCTAGCTTTTTCACTGACGTCTGTATGGCTGGGTTTGGAAAGTTCTTTATACATTCTAGATACAAGTCCCTTCTCAGATATATGCTCACAAAGATTTTATCCCAGTTTATGGCTTGTCTTTTCATTCTTTTCACAGTGTCTTTTGAAAGTTTTAAATTTTAGCAAAATTCAATTTATCAATGAATTGTTTTATGGGTGGTGTTCCTTCTCCTACCCCACTGCCCAAATTCTTTGATTTTATTTCATGTGTTGTGATTTTCTTTTCACCCCCAAATTAGATATTTGATTCATTTATTGGTTCTCTGGATTTTAAGAAGTATTCGTTTTTGCTTTGGCCTTTTTTTCTTCCTTTCTGTTTTGCTAAAGGTTGGTGTTTGAATTATAAATAAAAACATGTATCTATGCTTGTGCACTTCTGTTAGTTCAATGATTAATTAATTCAATGTAATATTTTTATTTAATAATGAAAACATTTAAGAATCTGCATTGACTTTTGCTACACTTAGAATATTCATTAAAAAGCCTAAAATTACATCTTAATTAGCTCCTTAATCCAACTGTTGTTTAACCAAGTGCTTCTTAATTTCTAGTGGATGAGGCATTTTCACACCGAGCCTACTCTGATTGCACTCTACTTTGAAGAGGTAGAATGCGTTATATTTGCATTTGACACAACCGAGGTTGGCTTGGTTTTGGTGTTTTCGGTTATTTTAGCCGAGTACATCATTTAATATTATATAAGAAATGTGCTATTTGTAGATGACAAAGTTTTCTATATACTTATTTATTCAAATTTATTAATTATTCAAATAATTCAACAATAGAGCCTACTTGTCTTAATTTAGTGAATCCCTGAAAGGCTGAGAAAGACGTGAAGATTTCTTCACCATACATGCCTTCTGTTGATGTCTCCCTTTATTTCTAATCATTTTTGCTTTATATTTTTGAGAACTAAGTAATTCAGAAAGAGAATGTGATGTTTTCACTGAAGAGTATCTACTTTATGAATGTAAAATGACTCCTTCAATATTTTTACTTTAATTTTATTCTGACGTTAAGATCAGCACTTTGATTTTTCCTTCTTTACCTTTGCCTGATAACACTTCAGTCAGTCTTTCGTGCATGTGCATAACTTTTCTCTTCTCATTTTCATGAGGAATCTAAAACACTTATATTTATTATCAAAACTGAGGTTTGCCTTTATATATATGTTGTTTTGTAGTTTCACATTTTGTGTTTCTTTGTAGTTTTGTTTCTTTTTGTCTCTTTGCTTTACTTAATAATTTCCATTTGCACTTATTTCCTGTACCAATTTGACAGGTAGCAATTCAGTTCTTATTCTATAGCTGTTGCTGTTGAATTTGTTCGTCACGTCCTGACACAGTCCTGCCATTGTCAGAGTCAAGAACAGGCCCTCACCCGTGACCACACACCTTCTCCTCCAAATTCAGGATTGGAGCAATGGAATAGAAATCATCAAAAGCCAAACCATTATGGAAGCCTCTTCCTTGTGAGACACAGGACGATAATGCTCCCTTTCCCTCCCAAGGCGGGAGACAGTCCAAGGCCCTTGTCAGTTCTGAGCTTCCCAGAAGTGGGGCCTGGGTGGACGGACATCCACTCACACCCCTGGGATGAGCCAGGTGGGCGGGGGTGGCCCAGCTTCGAAGAGCTCGGTTCCAGGATCACAAAGACCCACCAGCGGGGTCTCAAGTCCTGACCCATCCTACATGCTCTGCAAACTTGCGCAAATTATTTCACTGCTCGTGCCTCAGTTCCCCCAATATAAGATGGGATAACAATAGTTCCTACTCGTGGAGTTGCTGAAAAACATTAGATGAGATTATGTCAGAAATGCCAGCAATTGTTACAATTTCTTGTTATTATTGTATGCAAGCAGCTGGGGGGTCTTGGTGAGGAACTAGAAAATGGGCAAGGGTATGTTCCTGGGTATGTGTCAGGCAGGGTTTTCAAGACGGCCCCAAAGACATCCACAGAACACGTCTGGCAACTTTATTTGCTCAGCCTTCCCCCTTCCCCGCCGCCCAAACTGGCCAATTCCTGTGGGACGCTGCACCACTCATTAAATATTGGAAGATTTTCCTCCGAGGAGGTGGGAATGCCTGCTCACGTGACTTCCATTTGACACTGTACTGGTGCGCTAGCTGTCCGCTGCTGTGCCAACCCACCCCACAAACCTAGTGACTCGAGTCAAGAGCCATCATTTGTTTCCCTCTGAAACTACAGCTTGGCTGGGGCTCAGGAGGGGAGGTGCATTGCTCCACGGATGGCATCAGCTGGGAGGGTGGAGCTGGTTGCCTACCCAGCTAGTGAGCATCTATGGCTGGGAGATCAGCAGGGACGTCGGGCGGGCCCCGTTCCTCACGGATGTCATGTCCTCTCTAACTCTCTGGTAATATTAAATCTGCTTGTTGGTAAATTCTCTTGTGTGTGTTCTGTTCATCCTGTGACCTCCAGGGTCAGTTCCTCTCATGATGAACTTGCTGTCTCTCTTCCTGGACACCACGTCCCTCAAAAGTTTGATGTTCTCAGTGGAACAGAATGGAGAACCCAGAAGCAAAGCCACATGCCTACAGCCATCTGACCTTGACAAAGTCGACAAAAATAAGCAATGGGAAAAGGACTCCCTATTCAATAAATGGTGCTAGGATAGCTGGCTGGGTGTACGCAGAAGATTGAAACTGGACCCCTACCTTTCACCATACACAAAACTTAAGGCTGATTAAGGATTTCAGTGTGGGGCCTCAAACTATAAGAATTCTAGAAGAAAACTTGGGTGAGACCCAATTAAACTAAAGAGCTTCTGCACAGCAAAAGAAACTATCAACAGAGTAAACAGACAACCTAGAGAATGGGAGAAAATGTTCACAAACTATGCATCCAGCCAGGGTCTAATATCCAGAGTCTATAAGGAACGTAAACAATTCAACAAGCAAAAAACAACCGTTAAAAAGTGAGCAAAAGACTCAGAGACTTCTCAAAAGAAGACATATAAGAAACCAACAAACATGAAAAAATGCTCAACATCCCTACTCATTAGAAATGCAAAATCATAATGAGAGTCCGTCTCACACCAGCCAGAACGATTATTATTAAAAAGTCAAAACACAACAGATGCTGGCGAGGCTGCAGAGAAAAGGGAACATTGAAACACTGTTGCTGGGAATGTAAATTAGTTTAGCCACTCTGGAAAGCAGCTTGATGATTTCTCAAAGAACGCAATACAGAGCTACCATTCAACCCACAATCCTATTACTGGGAATACACCCAAAAGAAGATAAATCCTTCTACCACAAAGACACACACACTCATATGTTCATCTCAGCACTATCCACAAGAGCAAAGACACGGAATCCACCTAGGTGTCCACCGACAGTGGGCTGGATGAAGAAAATGTGTGTGTACACCGTGGAATACTACACAGTCATGAAGAATGAAATCATGTCCTTTGCAGCAACATGGATGGAGCTGGAGGCTGTCATTTTAAGCAAATTAACCCAGGAACAGGCACTTTGGGGGACCGAGGTGGGTGGATCACAAGGTCAAGAGATTGAGACCAGCCTGGCCAACATGATGAAACCCCGTCTCTACTAAACATACAAAAGTTAGCTGGGCGTGGTGGCGGGCGCCTGTAGTCCCAGCTACTTGGGAGGCTGAGGCAGGAGAATGGCATGAACCCGGGAGGCGGAGGTTGCAGTGAGCCAAGATCGCGCCACTGCACTCCAGCCTGGGTGACAGAGCGAGACTCTGTCTCAAAAAAAAAAAAAAAAAAAAAAGACCAGGAACAGAAAAACAAATAAACAAATACTGCATATTCTCACTAATACATGGGAGCTAAGCATTAGGTACTAGTGGACATAAAGATGCAAACAGTAAACACTAGGGACTCCCAGAGCAGGGAGGAGGGGGTGAGGGTTGAACAGTGGACAGTGGGGACTCCCAGAGCAGGGAGGAGGGGGTGAGGGTTGAACAGTGGACAGTGGGGACTCCCAGAGCGGGAAGGAGGGGGTGAGGGTTGAACAGTGGACAGTGGGGACTCCCAGAGCGGGAAGGAGGGGGTGAGGGTTGAAAATCTAACTGTTGGGTAGTCAGTACCTGGGTGATGAGATCAATTGTACCCCAGACCTCAGCATCACTCCGTATACCCACGTGACAAGCCTGCACACGTGCCCTGAACCTAAAATAAAAGTTAAAATTATTTTTTAAATGTTTATCATCCTTGCTTACACTCCATCTTCACAGCGAAGACGTCTGATGGGCGTCCCGTTACCTGGCTCTGTGTGGCCGGCTCAGGAGACTCCCTGAGGCCTGTCCTGCTGAGCGCTGGGGGAGGGTGCTGCTGCCAAGTGGGCATCGGGCTGCCGGCCCCTCCTCCCAGAATGCCACCTTCACTCTCCTAAGGGGACCCAGATCCCCATCCTGTCTGCCCGGGGCCCTGTTAACCATGGACCCCTCCTCTGGACGTGGACGGCCCCTCCGGGCGCCCCCATCCTGGCCGCCCCACCCTCTCGGGCGCACCCGCGTGTCAGGATCGCCAGCCTCCATCGCTTCCGCATCGAGGACGCACACGGTGTGTCCCTTCAGTGCTACAGAGCACGCACCCTTAAATAGGCTTCCGTACAGTCAAGGATCCTCGAAGAGTAAACGCTTTTAAGCTTTTTCCATTCTTTCTAAAGACTCAGTGAGGGGCCGGGCGCGGTGGCTCACGCTTGTAATCCCAGCACTTTGGGAGGCCGAGGCGGGCGGATCACAAGGTCAGGAGATCGAGACCATCCTGGCTAACACGGTGAAACCCCGTCTCTACTAAAAATACAAAAAAATTAGCCGGGCGTGATGGCGGGCGCCTGTAGTCCCAGCTACTCGGGAGGCTGAGGCAGGAGAATGGCGTGAACCCGGGAGGCGGAGCTTGCAGTGAGCCGAGATGGCGCCACCGCACTCCAGCCTGGGTGACAGAGCGAGACTCCGTCTCAAAAAAAAAAAAAAAAAAAAAAAAAAAAAAAAGACTCAGTAAGGAAAGGAACCTGGCAGCAGATGCCGACTCCGACGGCTGGACCCCTGGGCCAGAGCGGCTCCACGCGTGTTCCCCTCCCAGAGGGCTGCCTGGGACAAGTGCTCAGCTATCGAGGTTCAGAAAACGTTTGCTTTAGACTGAGACATGCCTCTGTAAACACTTTCTTTCACTGGAAGCTTGGATAGACGGACTGTGCTCCCTGAGCCGACGGCCGTGTTGCCCTCTGGAAGGGGCAGTCACGGTTACCAGCATCATTAATATATTAACATGTGGTCTATTGATTATGTCATTAACATATAAGCCAAGGTGAGGTCGACATCCCCTAGTCAAATTACACAATCTCCGGACTCAGCAGCCCTTTAGAAATGATCTTTAAACGTGTGTCCTAATATCCGTGTGGTAGAAATGAGGAGGAACTGTGAACGAATACACCAGGCTCACTGAATTTACGTCCTCCGGCAATCAGGGAAAATGTTAGGACAACCATTAGGAAAAGGGTCAGCTTTGCTGAGGAGCTTGCTCCTGCTTCCGTTTTTTTGTCCTTCTCTGAACTAGGTGACTCCTAGGGAAGCACGAATTCTTTCTTTCTTTCTTTCTTTCTTTCTTTCTTTCTTTCTTTCTTTCTTTCTTTCTTTCTTTCGCTCTCCCTTCCTTCCTTCCTTCCTTCCTTCCTTCCTTCCTTCCTTCCTTCCTTCCTTCCTTTCTTTCTTTCTTTCTTTCTTTCTTTCTTTCTTTCTTTCTTTCTTTCTTTCTTTCTTTCTTTCTTTCTTTTCTTTCGACAGAGTTTCGCTCTTGTCAGCCAGGCTGGAGTGCAATGTCGTGATCTCAGCTCACTGCAACCCCTGCCTCCCAGGTTCAAGTGATTCTCCTGCCTCAGCCTGCTAAGTAGCTGGGATTACAGGTGCCGACCACCACATCCAGCTAATTTTGTATTTTTAGTAGGGACGGGGTTTCACCGTGTTAGCCAGGCTGGTCTCGAACTCCTAACCTCAGGTGATCCGCCCGCCTCGGCCTCCCAAAGTGCTGGGATAACAGGCGTGAGCCACGGTGCCCGGCCAAATTTTCTAAAATAAAATAAAAAATCAGTTCCCAGAAAACAGTCCCTCACTTTGAATTGTGTGGTTTCAGCATTTCAGCTGATTACAGTCATACTTGCACATCTCAAAAATTCTCCAAAGAAACAAGTCTAATGCCAGCGATTTTTATAAATGTGTGCTCATGGCTGCCTTTGCTTCAGCAGGAGAGAAACCTCTCCAAGCTATTTCAATGATATTCCGCCCCTTGGAGATCAGTGCGACCACCACCACCCAGCCTGGCTCACCCAAGCCTTGAGTTTACTCTGCCTGCCTGAGTCGGAATTCGCCCTCCCTCCCTTCTGGGGCGAGCCGAGGGGATGCCAGCCATTGTGCTGCTTCCTGAATGCCTACCGTGGGCTACGCAGTGTTAGACACTTCATGTCGGAGTCAGACAACTCGGCTGAGACACCTAGTTAATAATTACACAGGTCTAATTAACCCACATAATTAGACCTGTCACAGAGATGAGGATGCTGAGGCTCGGGAGCACGGTGGGGTGGGGGTCGTCGTGGGCCACCTCGCGAGCACTCGGCGTTGTGTGGTCTCTGCGAGGCCCCTTTGCTCTGCACCCAGCTGGCCCTGGGGAGGAGCTCTGGAAGGGAAGGCGGGCAAGGCCCCGGGCTCCCTCTAGGGTGCTGGCTCCTTCAGAACCAGGGCATAGGCCAGCACACATCCTGGTTTTGCAGCCCGGTCCCAGCGTGGGGACAGAAAGGGGCAGGGACTCTCCTCACTCTTCTTTGGGCCAAAGCATGCTTAGTGGGGTCTCCAGGCAGGTCTGCAAATACCTCCCCGTGATGAAGCGGTCAGGGGAAATTCCTCCTGGACTTCGGCCTTATTTCATTTTCTTCCCCGCCCCTGGGGCTGTGGCTGGGATTTATTGTGTTTATTTTCCGATGTGTAGCTTTTATGATCTGGGGTCCGCTGAGCGGGGCTCGGACAGTACCCTAAGCTAGGTCGGGTCGCACTGCGCCACTCACTCTGCTCTGCTGACATGTGTGACCCAGGAGGAGTGCCCCGAGTCACAGGCGTGAAAAGCAATGATGCCACTCACCGTCTACAAGAGTCTCTTTCCCTGGGAGAGGATAAGGCCCCTCCCCTAAAAATTCTCAAAAGAAACAAGTCTAACGCTGGCAATTTTTATGAATGTGTACTCATGGCTCTTTCTTCAGCAGGAGAGAAACTTCCCCAGTTTATTTCACTGTGGTGGACGTGGTTGTTTTGGGGCACCCGGACTCTGTTCCCTCTTTCTCTAACAGATCCTTGACTCTTACATGGGGCCACCCCCTTCCCGCCTCAGTCCTCGGGGTCTGGGTAGTGCTGACCTCCCTTTCGGGCACCAGCCTGGCATTTCCAGGGAGAAGATCCTATCCTCCCGGCGGGAGTGACCGACCAGGGGGTGAGGGTGACTCTCCCAGGCCAGCAAGAGGTGAGAGGTGAGGGCACTTACTGGGCCGTCGGGAAAGGCGTTCTCAGCGGAAGGACCTGGTGTGAGATGCTGGTGGCAGGTGCAGGAGGCTCGCAGAAGGCTGGCCGGCCCCATTTCCAGGGCAGAGTTGATGTCATGCGGAGAGGTGAGGGCACTTGCTGGGCCGTCGGGAAAGGCGTTTTCAGCAGAAGGAGCTGGTGTGAGATGCTGGTGGCAGGTGCAGGAGGCTCGCAGGAGGTTTGCCGGCCCCATTTCCAGGGCAGAGTTAATGTCATGGGCTGTGCTCTTTCTTTAGCGGCTCTTGACACCAAAATGCAGGATTCTGTAGGGAATTTTTGAAGTCTGAGGCCTTGTAAACGCTGCGTTTTGCCTCTGATGTTAAAGCAGCAGCGACTGCGTGCCAAGGAGAACCTCGGGATGCTGATGTCCTCGTCTATGCTGGCTGCCAGGAGCACAGTCAATGCAGGGACGCAGAACGTGTTCCGATGCTGGCTAGGCTGGGCTGCAAAAGCGACATATGTCTCATTTCTCTGTTTCTCCCTGAGCCCGTCCACGCATCAGGCACGAGTGAGGCAGAAGCAGAAGATCCAGGCTCCTTCCTCGCTCTGAGGAGTTCCAGCAGAACCGATGGGAGAAGACCAGGCCGACCCAAGGTCCAGGTGGCTATGTGGCTGTCAGGTCGGAAGGGCAGCTCACAGGGTCAGAGGCTGGTGGGCGCTCAGATGAGCAAACCTCAAAGGCTTCTATTGTTTCCATTAAAACTATTTTTTTTTAAGAGATAGGGTTCTGCTCTGTCACCCAGGCTGGAGCGCAGGGTCACAATCATGGCTCACTGCAGCCTCGACCTCCTAGGCTCACCCCATTCTCCTGCCTCAGCCTCCCAAAAGTTGGGACTACAGGCATTTGCTACCATATGTGTCCCAGGCTTCTATTCTCAAAAAAATAAAATAAAAAATCAATTCCTAGAAAATAGTTCCTCACTTTGAATTATGTGGTTTCAGAATCTCCCTAGTAACTGTCTAGTTCAGAGAATGGCTAAAAAAATACTGAAGAAAGAGCAAGCACTCCAGCAAAGCAGACACTTTTCCTAAGTATTTTCCTAATATTCTTTTTAAAAATTGTGTCTGATGGCCAGGCGCGGTGGCTCACGCCTGTAATCCCAGCACTTTGGGAGGCCGAGGCAGGCAGATCACCAGGTCAGGAGATCGAGACCATCCCGGCTAACACGGTGAAACCCCATCTCTACTAAAAATACAAAAAATTAGCTGGGCGTGGTGGCGGGCGCCTGTAGTCCCAGCTACTCGGGAGGCTGAGGCAGGAGAATGGCGTGAACCTGGGAGGCAGAGCTTGCAGTGAGCTGAGATCGCGCCACTGCACTCCAGCCTGGGCGACAGAGCGAGACTCCATCTCAAAAAAAAAAAAAAAAAAAAATGTGTCTGATGTCTAAGGAAATTCAGCACTAATAAATTTGTAGTTAGAAATTGGCAGGTGATTATTCATATTATGAGGTTCCTGACATTACGTGCTCCCCAGATACATTTCATTATGTTTGATAAATGAATTCTGACACATTCAACAGTCCATAGACATCAGAAATCAAGTTTTTGAACCATATTCTATGACGGCAGTTTACAAACAGCACTGACACTCCAGAATTAGAAACACAAACACCACAGTGTGAGCAGCGGCCAGCTCGGAATCATGGAGTTCTAGGAGATGTTTTATACCTTCTTCTATTTTATAAGCTTTCTGCAACAAAAACTGCTTTTAATTAAAAATGTACAAGTAAGATATAACCTGGCCGGGTGCAGTGGCTCATGCCTGTAATCCCAGCACTTTGGGAGGCCAAGGCAGGTGGATTGCTTGAACTCAAGGGTTCAAGGATCAGCCTGGCCAACATGGTGAAACCCCGTGTCTACTAAAAATACAAAGATTAGCTGGGCATGGTGGTGGGCGCCTGTAGTCCCAGCTACTCCAGAGGCTGAGGCAGGAGAATAGCTTGAACTTGGGAGGCGGAGGCTGCAGTGAGCCGATATCGCGCCACTGCACTCCAGCCCAGGTGACAAGAGCGAAACTCCGTCTAAAAAAAAAAAAAAAAAAAAACAACAACAACAACACATAACCAGCATAACCAGATATCACAGAGATAACCCTGAAGTCCCCCATGTTCCCTACCAGTTTCATCCTCCTCTATCCCCTCTAGGCCAAATACAAACATAGATTTGATGTTTATCAAGATTACAATTTTATATTTTTGCCACGTAGATATGCATCAGAAACAACCTAAGTCACTGTTCTATTTTCGGGGTTGATTAATGGCGTCTTATTGCTCGTGTTGTCTAGAACTCACACATTTCGCTGGATGTGTCTGAGAGCCGCTGGATTTGTGAGATTCACTGCTGGTCTTTGAGAACGTCCCCAAAACAGGCTGCAGCTCCCGACTGGCTGATCGCCGGCTCTCTGTTTCCCTTGCGCGTGTGGGAATCAAGTGATTCTCCTGCCTCAGCCTCCTGAGTAGCTGGGACTACAGGCGCCCACCACCACGCCTGGCTATTTTTTTTTTGTATTTTTAGTAGAGATGGGGTTTCACCGTGTTAGCCAAGATGGTCTCGATCTCCTGACCTCGTGATCCACCTGCTTCGGCCTCCCAAAGTGCTGGGATTACAGGCGTGAGTCACCGTGCTGGCCGCGTTTTTAGTTTTGACATCCGATTAAGGGGACAATACGGAGTCACTGAAGTGTGTTTCAGCTTGAGTGTGACTCGGATCCCGAGCGAGGCCAGGCAGCCACAGTGCCCACTGCAGAAGGAGGAGTTGCATGTGCCCACCCCCACGTGCCAGGCTTCTCCTCCAAGGGGGACCCCAGGGGCGCTGAGCCCGCCTGCAGATGCGGTTTTACCAAGGGCAGCGACAGCTCCAGGCACCCCTGGGGCCAGCTGGGTGCAAGCAGCATGAGTCACCTCGTATTTTAACAACTTCATTCATTCATTTATTTTTTATAGAGACAGGGGTCTCACTCTGCTGCTGAGGCTGGTCTCTAACTCCTGGTTTCAAGTGATCCTCCCACATCGGGCTCCCAAAGCGCTGCGGTTTCAAGTATGAGCCCCCAGGCCCCGCTGTCTGGGTCGTTTCAGAGCTGAAGGTGCTGCTGTGAAGATGACATTTCCTGGTGAAGGCTGTATCTATCCCGGGCTTTCTGGCCTCAGGCCGACTCACAGACACGGCTGTCGGTCAGAATTCTGCAGATTATTCCTGGAAATACTATTCAGTCTCATGTCTACTGTGAAACAAAACCCCCTACTCCCGTAAGATCCCGCCTCTCTACTTTTCTCCAGAATTTCCTAACCCGGATGGCTTCTCTTCTCTTCCCTCTGCGTGCGCCTAAAACGGAGCTTCGACCCAGAGGGGACCCGTGAAGCGGCGACTCTGCGGATGGGAAGTCCCCCTCCCTCCGGGCCCTGGCGGGGACTCACTTCCAGGCACTGAGAGGCCGCTGGACGGGAGCACAGGGCGCTGCAGAAAGCGCTGGGACCTGGGTCTCTGGCTCAGCTGACCCCCTGACCAAGGCCGGGAGACGCCCGCCGGGCCCCACGGATTTGGCCTGGACCCCCCGGCCGCTCTGGGGTGGAGAGCGGCGGACAGTGCAGGTGGCGGAGGGGGCCACAGTCCTGGTCTTCGACGCCGGCTCCGGGCTGTGCTCTCTGCTGAGACCCAAGGGTCCTCCCGGGGATCCCGGCGCCCGGAAAGCACCACCGAGTCTCAGGCGCGCCCAGGGCGCACGGGACCGGGGCTCACGGCACCGGGGCGCTCCGAGGAGACTTCCGCCAGTGCAGGGAGCCTGCGAGGACACCCCAAGCTGCCTCCAGGGACGGGGACGGAGCGAGCCCTGCCCTGAGCGCCCCAGGAAGGGAGCCGGGTAGGGGGGGCCGCCCCGCCCGTCGGACCACCCAGCGCGCCGCCTCCTCCTCCCTCCCCCCGCGGCGGTCAGAGGGTCACCCAGACGCCCCACACCGCTCCCCTCGGCCGCTTTACCGGTGGCTGGGGCCTCCCCCGCGCCGGGATTGGATGCGAGAGGACGGGGTGGGGGCAGGCGGGGGACCCCAGGAGCCCAGGTTCCCGCTCCGGCGGAGAGAAGCCCGCAGTGCAGTCGTTGCTGGGCCGCGTAGAGAGGGCTCTGCGCGAAGCCGGCGGGCGGCGCGGAGGAGGCGGCAATTGCAGCCGGGACCCCCAGCAAGCGCCGAGCGCGCCAGGATGTTTGACAGCTCGCAGTATCCCTACAACTGCTTCAATTACGACGCCGACGACTACCCCGCCGGCAGCTCCGACGAAGACAAGAGGCTCACGCGGCCCGCGTACAGGTGACTGCGGGGGCGGTGCTGGGGCTTTGGGGGACAGTGACACCCCCTGCAAGGGTCCCAGGTAGCCGGGACCTGCCTGGGACGAAGGAAGGGCGGGGGAGCTTTCTTCTCTCCGGCGGCGGAGCTCAGAGAAAGGACGCATTTGTCCCTACTTTGGGGAGAGCCAGGGAGGGTTCTTGGCCTCGCGGGGAGGGGCCTCCGCAGGTCGGGAAAGAGCTTCTGGGGTCTGGGTGGCGCCGGGGACCGCGAGCTGCGGGGACACTTTCCCCAACACCGCCTCGCTCCTCCGCCTCTGCGCCCCACGGCGTCCTGCGGGATGGGGGGAAGGACGGGGGGCTGCCCGGTGGAGACCCCGCCTGACCCCCGGGCTCCGCAGCTACATCGCCTTGATCGCCATGGCCATTCAGCAGAGCCCCGCGGGGAGGGTGACCCTGTCCGGCATCTACGACTTCATCATGCGCAAATTCCCCTATTACCGCGCCAACCAGCGCGCCTGGCAGAACTCCATCCGCCACAACCTGTCCCTCAACAGCTGCTTCGTCAAGGTGAGCGCCGCCCCCGACGGGCCCCGGGTGTCCCAGCGTGGCGACACCTGCGCCAGGGCCTCGGTGGCGGGGAAGGGAGGGCACCGCGGCGGCTTCAGGGAGGTCCGTCCTCAGCCCACGGGGCCGCCTCCACCTGCGCAGTGCGCCACCCTCGCCCCGGTCCAGGGCGCCCCGAGGGGACAAGGCGGGCGGGCGCACCGTGCAGCGGAGCCGCTCCCAGCCCCTCCCTCCGCGCGCGCAGGTGCCGCGGTCCGAGGGCCACGAGAAGGGCAAAGGCAACTACTGGACGTTCGCGGGCGGCTGCGAGTCGCTGCTGGACCTCTTCGAGAACGGCAACTACCGGCGGCGGCGGCGGCGGCGCGGCCCCAAGCGCGAGGGGCCGAGGGGTCCGCGCGCGGGGGGCGCCCAGGGGCCGTCGGGTCCGTCCGAGCCGCCCGCCGCTCAGGGGCGCCTGGCCCCGGACAGCGCTGGCGAGGGCGCCCCGGGCCGTGAGCCCCCCGCCAGCCCCGCTCCCCCGGGGAAGGAGCACCCCCGGGACCTCAAGTTCAGCATCGACTACATCCTGTCCTCCCCAGACCCCTTCCCTGGGCTCAAGCCGCCCTGCCTCGCACAAGAGGGCAGATACCCGCGGCTGGAGAACGTGGGACTCCACTTTTGGACAATGTGATGTGGAGCCACCCTGGAGGCCCCTGCAGTTCAGTCTGGGGTCTTCCCCGGACCCTCCCTGGAAAGACGATTCCAGCCCCACCTTGAGCCAGGAAGCCAGGGTTCGGCAAATCCTACAATTTCTCCTGCAGACAGAAGGTCAGGTGCCACACCAGGCCTGGACTGGGGGGACAGGCGGAGGTGGAGCTCCTTAAAGGTATAGACTGTGAGGCTGTGACTTGACCTGTTGGGAAAACAGTTCTCTTGCAGGGAAAACCCCACTGGGTTCCGGTTTTACCTAAGGGTTTGCTCTGGACTGACCTAGTGCTCTTGCTCTGAGGGATAAACACAGGGTCATGTTCCCTGGAGCTGGGAGATATTTCATTCCTCAGTCACTTGAGGGCGAGTTTTCTAGGCAGCCACACCCCAATAAGCCACAAGTGCCCAGTGTGCGGTCAGTGGGCTGGTTCGCGTCGTCCCCATGGTTAAAATAATAGTGGTAAGGCACAAACCGTGAAGAGAGAGGGCAGTCAGCCCCACGAATTAGTCACCCCAAAGCTGATGATGGTGTCCGTGCTAGCGGTGACGTGCTCAGAAGTGACAAATGTATCTTGTTGTGTCAGCTGAGTATTTTGGTGACAGTTTAAGAAATCCATTGTGCTTTTTATACCAGAAGGGAGAAAGACAAGGTGGGAAGGAGGGGCCCAGATTTGGGATGATACTGGGGCAAAGTCCAAATTTCTTGATTCTTCAGAGCAGGGAGTAAGCCCTGATTCAGGCACCTTCCATCAACTGGATTCCCAAAAAATCAGGCCCCCAAGAGAGCAGGCTGTTGATAAAATTCCTGTGACACCTCTCAGTGCACGGTTACAAGTATCCGAGGTGGGTGCACTCCACTTGAAATGTAAAGGATTTAATTACTGTGTGGAGACGGGCATTCTAAAAACACAATTATGCACAGTGAAACTATTTGACCAGCCTCATCATTTTTCACCAGCTCATTTTTGCAGAGTTAATTGCTTTCAGTGACTTAATTTGAACATTAGTATGGATTACACCTAATCTGATTCACTCGGTGACAACGAGTGGCTAATTTTGTGAATGGCAAAAACACGCCCAAGGAGGCTGGCTGTCTCGTTTGGGAATCACATAGTCTTGCTCTATTGGACCCTTAAAAACAGGGGCTGGGCGGCCGTGAAGGCAGGCGGGCTGCAGAGACAGACCAGAACATGCAAAAGATGCTTGGCCCTAGCTTCGTCTCTATTCGGAAGAATCCAAGTATTCCCCCACTCACCTGCCCTGTAAATAGACTCGATGTGTTTGGTTCATTGTTTTGAGAAAAGGGAGGAAGCCGTTGCTGACAGACGCTGTGAACGCCTGGCCCGGTGGTGATGCACCCACTCCCTGGCCTCCGGGCCCGGACAACCGCAGCCTCTGCCTACAAGGGCACCCTTTGCCCAGGGAGAAGGAGTCGGAGTCCGGCCTCAAATGCCTGTTCCTGGAAGTGGAAATGAGGCTTGCAATGTGGACACCTTTCCTTTGCAAATATCAGCTTCTGGTTTCCAGAACTCTCTGCTGGGAGAGCAGCCACGTTCCTGGTGCTCCCGCCGCCCACCGGGTGTAGGATCCTAGGAGATGGGTGCTGCGGCTCTCACACCCGTTTCACAGATGGGAACCTGCATCACAGGCATGCAGCTCCGGGTTGGCTCCTCACCCCCTCCATGCTGGCTTGCACAGGCTACCAGCATGGTGTGTACACGTATGTGTGTGTGTCTGTGTGTATCATGGTGTGTGACCTGTGTCTGTCTGTACTCCTGTTATTTATATCCCTTTGCTGGTTGTGCTAAAAGCATAGATTTAAATCATACAAGATGTAATTTAGATGGTCATAAGAGGCAGATGCTCCCATACATAAGTATATGGCAAAGAAAGTATCTGAAGATATATTTTTCTGCTACCAACAGAGGAAATAAAATTTACATTTTGTCTTTTGAGTTCCTGCACTTTGCTCTGGTAAGCAAAGCCTGATTTGGAACAACAACAGCAAAACCCCTTTTCCTAAACACTCTTGGGGGCCTCAAAATAAGTCAAGGTCTTCATAGCTCATCCTCTCTGAGGATATATTTGCGGCCAAAAGTAGACTCGACGCCTGGGAGAGGCAAGGGCGGCACTGGGGGAAATCTGTGTACTATGAGGTGTAGCATTTGTTTTGCAAAGGATATCAATCATATTTTTAAAAGCAAAGGGACATTTTCAATTTGCCAGTGCATGACACCCTGCAACTTCAGAAAGGTTCCCAGCCCTTAGAGTGAATGGCATTTAATACCAGCAACAAAACAGGGTGAGGGCTGGCTGTGACCTATTCAAATGTCGCCGCCACCACGCACGCTTGCCCAACGCAATTATAATTAAATACTTTATGCCTTTCTTGCAAATCCACTGATTGATCATCGATATGTACATTACCCCCGAGCAGATGTCTGCCACACGTGGGTTACGGATCACCAGGCTTCCATTAACAAAGCTGGGAGGTGCTGCCGAGCGGACGTTTGGGGCGGCGTGTGCAAATGACTGTGCTTGGGACCAAAGTTCCCAGGCTGGGTGGCACCTGGGCCCTGAGCTCCGTTTCCCGAGACTTTAGGGCGCCCCTTCTCACAGAAGCTGGGCAGAGGCTCCTCTACCAAGTGTCGCAGGAATGAGGGGTCGGCCCCCGGTTGTTCCTGGAGGGTGGAGAATCCCAGCCACGTTTATCCCTCCCTCCCACAGATGGAAGCAGGACAGCGGCAGATTTGAGAGCAACCACCAGGTCCCTGAGTGCAAACTGACCACAGATGAGCCCCTCCTCCCCACTGCTGACTTGCTGGGTATAGCGGAGCAGCACCCCTCCAGAGAGCCCTCCTGGGCTGACACCTGCCCTTTGCACCCAGCTGAAATAAAACTCTTGGAATCTGCTGTCCATTGGCCCCTGGTCTGCCTCCTGGGGAAGAAGAGAAAAAAAGCCTCCTTCCTCTTCAAATTCCTTCGGTCCTTGATTGAGCAGGGTGGGGGCTGCTTGTTTATTCATTAGCAAACATTCGTGAGCCCTGAGCTAGGAGATGGGGCGCAACCATGAACCCAAGAGGCCCAGACTGCAGCCCCACAGCACACGCGTGAAGTAGACAGGCGGCTTCTGCGTGCTTGCAGAGCCCCGCGCCGGATGTGTCAGGAAGGGAGCGCACAGGGCGCTGAGCAGAGGATAACTGAGTGTGCAAAGTGCATGGCCAGGCCGGGCTCTCGGGAGCTGAGGCCGTGACGGTGAGCTGGAACAACGAGCCAGGAGGAAAGGGCATTCCGCGTAGGGGGCAGCCTGTGCCAAGCCCTGTGCTGGGAGCCAGAGGCCAGTGTGACCGGAGGGAGGTGCAGGCAGGGAGCTACGCCCGCCCGGCCCCCAAGTCCAGGCCAGACTGACTGTCTCTTCAGCCCTTGATATGCAGCTCCTGCATCTGCCTCCATTTGTCCCTGTTCCTTCTGATATGTCGAACTCCTGCACAGCCCAGAAGGATAATCACCTCCCATGGTCTGGGCGCTTGGCCTTGGTTAATGTGGCCTCAGCATACACCACACACTACTCTTGCTCCTGTCCCCAAGTGTTTCTTCCTGGCCAGTTCCTTCCTGTGCTCATGGAAGGTGAGGATGGTGTGCAGAGGGTGGGGGTCTCCATGAGCCCCTCCTCAGTGTCGCCCAGCCAGGACAGCTGCCCTGGAGGTCTGCAGTGGCACTGGTTTTCCTGGGAGAGAGGGGCACCAGGCGGGAGTCGTGCCACTGTGTGTCCTCGGCAGGGTCCTCTGCCCACTGGAGTCTGAGGCTCCTTGCCCGTGGCACAGGCTGTGCACAGCACCATCCAGGGCTCAGGCGAGAGGCTCTCAGCTGGACTCATGGGCCCTGGCCCAGCTCTGCTCCCACCTCACGCCCCAGTGCATCTGCCTGGCCCTGGGACCCAGAAAAGGAAGGGGCCAGCTCCCTGGGGTATAAAGGCCTGAGCTGGGCGTCCCCGTGGAAACTGGCTCCCCGCAGTCCCCAGGCCACGGCGGCTTTCTGGGCACCTCCCTTCCCGGAAGCAGCCCCCGGACTCCCTGCCTCTTTCCCTGGGACACCGTGGTCTGCCCATGGGCACTGTCAGCTTCCTCATGGCCCCCTCCCATCTGACTGGCAGGCCAGGGGACAAGGACTTCCTCAGGATGGCACCTGGGCTGTGAGGGGCCAGAGGACATGGCCCCTGGTGGGCTGGGACTGGCACCAGGACACAGCTGGGTGTTTCCCACCTGGATTCTTCTGAGAGGCCTACACTGGCCTCCGCGCGGGGGTCTGGCGGCCCTCCCCTCTCTATCTTGGTTTCCTCTGTGGTTCTGCCTGGGTTTGGGGATCAGGGGTGCCACCACTCCCATCACCCCAGGCTGTGACAGGGCTGGGCTCCTGAAACTGCTCGGTTCTAACTTTCCGGCCCCCGCCCTGCCCCAGGGCCAGCCAAGTTCCTCTCCATGCTGAGGGCCCTGGAGTCTCTCCGTGTACACATTCCAGAGGAGGAACCCAAACAGGCTGTTTCTCACCAAAATATGAAACTGAAAACAAGCACAGGGCCTGCCGGAGGCTGCCTGCGGCCTGGGGACTCAGGGTCCGACTTTGCCCCCTCCCGGCACTGCCTCACCACCCCTACACTCCCCAGCCTCCCCTTGGCCCCACCAGGCCCCACCTTGCACCCCCGCCTCCCTCCCCCAGGTCCTGCCCAGCCCCTCCTGGTGCCCTCAGCCCTGCCTGGTCCTCCTGGCACCTCCTGGTCCTCCTGGGTCTTTTCTGCCTCCTAGCCCCTCCCATTCTCCCCCCAGCCCCTCTCTACCCCCAATTCTTACTGGCCCTGTGGCACCCCCAGGTCCCCAGGCCCCTTCTGGACCCCCAGCCCTTCCAGCCTTCCCCCCGACCCTTGAACTCCCCCAACTCTCCTGGCTCCCCATGCCCCTCCTGGCCCTGCCTGGTCCCTCTTGCCCCCCCCCACCCCGCCCCTCCATCCTCCCCGAGCACAGCTGGCCCCCAGCTGCCAGGAGTCTGGGGGCCACCGGCGGCTTCATCAGACACAGGAGACTGTGCTTTGCACTCAGGCCAGTGCACCTGAAATAGCTGCACGTGTCCAGTGCCTCAGGCCACCCCTGGGGCTAGACTGAGGGTCTCACTGACAAAACTCCACTAAAGATGGGGCTCAGGGGAGCAAGGTTTTGAGGGTCTTTGGTCAGGCTGAGGTCCCACAGTAAGTGTCTACTGAGAATGCCTGCCCCAGCATTGATGACGGGACGCAGGGCTGCGGGGTGGCGGGAGGAGGTGCTGGGAGGCACTGGACGCGTGGATGACGGGACGTGGGGCTGCGGGGTGGCGGGAGGAGAAGCTGGGAGGGAGTGGACTCGTGGATGATGGGACGTGGGGCTGCGGGGTGGCGGGAGGAGGTACTGGGAGGGAGTGGACGCGTGGACGATGGGACGCGGGGCTGAGGGGTGGCAGGAGGAGAAGCTGGGAGGGAGTGGACACGTGGATGATGGGACGTGGGGCTGCGGGGTGGTGGGAGGAGGTGCTGGGAGGGAGTGGACGCGTGGACGATGGGACGCGGGGCTGAGGGGTGGCAGGAGGAGAAGCTGGGAGGGAGTGGACACGTGGATGATGGGACGTGGGGCTGCGGGGTGGCGGGAGGAGAAGCTGGGAGGGAGTGGACACGTGGAAGACGGGACGTGGGGCTGCGGGGTGGTGGGAGGAGGTGCTGGGAGGGAGTGGACACGTGGACGATGGGACGCGGGGCTGAGGGGTGGCGGGAGGAGGTGCTGGGAGGCACTGGACGCGTGGAAGACGGGACGTGGGGCTGCGGGGTGGTGGGAGGAGGTGCTGGGAGGGAGTGGACACGTGGATGATGGGACGCAGGGCTGAGGGGTGGCGGGAGGAGGTGCTGGGAGGGAGTGGATGGAGCACATTCAATCTTGAGAATTCCTACGTGTGGGTCACTTCCTCTCCTGCACACGGTGGGCGCCCTGCACACAGATGATGAGTAAATTCACAGGGTCCCAAGAAAGAAGCTTCTGTGAGGGGAAGAGATAGATGGGGAGGTCGTGTCATTCATGACTGTGCCATATCCCAGCAAGCCCAGGCCCAGTGTCCCGGGGTCAGCCCAGGAGGACATCCTAATCCTGGTAGAAAGAAGGGCTGGCGTTTGCCGAGGGCTCTCCATGTGCTGGGCATGGTTCTGAAAACACTCAGAACACTCACCCCCCAGGACCCCACGGAGCCAGCAACACGACACCACCCAGGGCACGCGTGAGGCTTGGAGAGGGTCACGTGCCTGGCCAGTGTGCGGAGGGGTCTGAGCTCAGGGGTCAGCAAATTGTCTGAAGGGACCCACAGGGTCAGTGCCAGGGCCCTGAGAGTGGCCGACAGCATTTGGAGGAGGGGAGACAGGTCCTCCAAGCACAGGTGCAGGTCCAAGGGCCCAGTGTCTCCACACACCCAAGCCTCTGGGGCTGTGCCGCTGCCTCGCAGGGCCCCCAGCTCTCCCCACCGAAAGGGGACGATGTAATGACAGTCCAAGAGAGAATGGAGGTGCGGTCCCCTGCAGTGTGAAGCTCGGGGCTGTAGGCGGTGGGCCCCTTGGCAAGATGCTAGGGGCCGCCACTCTCATCTCCTCAGAGGTGTGGACCCCACTCCAGCAGGTGCAGAGGGAACCCCAGTCCAAGCTGAAATGTAAAGGAGCTCGGTTCTCGTGGCTCTGCTCTCCCGCAGGGGTCCCGCCCTCCTCCAAGCCCCAACAGCCCTGTGAGCAGAGCACGGGGCAGACTCCACAGCTCCACGGTACAGAGGAGGAAAGTGAGGCTCAGAGGGGCCTCTCAGAGCCTGCTGGTGCAGAGGCTGGACTCGCCTGATCCCAGGAGCCCAGGATGCCCAGCCGAGGGCAGAATGACATCCTCTAACCTGGAAGTTAACGGGCACAGCCTCAAGGCCTCCTCCATCCCCTAGCTGTGGTTCTGTTCGACTCCTGAGCGAGCGTCAGAGACGGTGGGAACATTCCGGATCCCAGGGGTCCCACATCGGGGTGTGGCCGTCTCCCCACGCACAGCCTAACCTCCCCCGGCTCTGGAACGTGGCTGGGCAGGACTCACTGCTGCGAGGTAGCCCTGCTTCTGGGGGACACCAACCGTGCTCACCCCTCCCACTTCCACCAAGAGGGGCCTGATGTTCCACGCTTGTCATAATTACATGAGAGACCCAGGAAAGGGGAAGTGCACACAACCTATTACCTGTAATTTGATTTTGCTCTTCAGCCAAATTAACAATCTATAAACATTTGCAAAATTACATGTTTTCATCCTGTGAGAAATACCAAGTGCCTCTTATGCAAATGTGCCCGGTCCTCGTGCTCGGCCGTTCTGGAGAACGGCTCCTCAGAACCCAGCGCGGGGCTTGTCAAGCCAGGCTGTTCACCGTGGATTGCAAATTAACGGGCCTCACATGCTTGTCTACAATTACATTCCCACCAGCTTTAGGCAACTGTAGACCCAGATTCCAAATAAGATGTGAGTTCACTCAACTGAAACTTGCAGTATTAGATTTATAATAAACGAAGAGAGGTCACGCGGCGATGCCATTTTTTAAAAGAAAAGGAAATTGAATGACACCACCCGAACCTGGCTCAACTTCCCCTGTGTGTTGGTGTGACTTCAGCATACACCACACACTCCCACTCCACATGGGCCTGCACTGGTCCCTGGTGGACTCTGTGTCGAACGAGTCACGTTCAGCTTCCCCTGCACTGTGTGGAGCGAGACAACAGAAGAGTACAGAGCCTTCGCCAGCCAATGGAGGCACCACAGCTGGCAGCCACACCTGATGCCCGCCCGCTGCACCCTCCCAGTCACCTGCCCCGAGCCAGGGCCAAGGGGGCCTTTAGGTGCCTGCACCGACCGCTTCCAGCATCCACACTGCTCGCCATGGAAACCCGTCCCGTCCTTTGGGACCGCCTAACAGGTCCTTCTGTGCCCCCAGCAAGCCTATGTCCAGAAACCCACCCACGATTGCTAATTCTCACCCAGGGACACCACCTCTGGATCCTTCACATGGACTCAGCTCCTGCAAAGTGAGGTCAGGTAGCAAAAGAACCACCGCATTATTTGTTCCCGAGTTTGGGGTAGGAAGAAGAGAGGGTTTGGACCAGGCCTCTCTTAAGACAGTTACCTGAAGCAATTTGGTTCCAGAGAGCAAGAAAAATCTGCCCACTCGTGCAGTTCATTGTTTAACGTCGTTAACAGATGTGATGCTTCTCCACAGGTTAGCCTGGTGGAGTCACAGGCCCTGTCTGTGCAACGCCGCTCCGTCCTGGGGCTGCATGGGGTGCTGGACAAACAGCAATGGACATGGGCAGAGCGATGCCTGCAAGGGCCCTGCCCCGTGAGGGCACCCCGTCCCATTCAGAGGCTCCTCACGATCTCTCGATAGGTGCTTTTGGCCACCAGTAACAGAAATCCTGGGTGACGACGGTGTCAACAAATACAGGACGAAGTCTGGGGCAGGGCATAAGGCTCCTCCCTGGGGCAGTTTAATGTGTGAACCCAGCAGGAGGGATGAGGGCAGCCCCGGCCACAGATTCTGGGCCTCGTCCACACAGGGAAGGCCAACTGCTTTAGCCAGAGAAAGACAACACATGAGGAAAGGCAGGTGCATTTGGGGGAGAGGAAGAGGGGAGACGGGTTGCCCCCCTCAAAGACACTGCGTCCAGGCGGAGGGCTCCAACAAGGCAGGGCCTCGAGAAAGTTCTGCGAACCGTTTCACCCACAGCCTCCTTTGTTTCTAGCACCCAGGGAAGGTGCATTCAGGCTGCAGAAGTCAGCAGGCTGCAGGCTGGTGAGCCTGTTGATGGGAAGTTCTGGTGTTGAAAGTGTGTCTTGTGTATCATTCACCGCGAGGTTCTGCAGAGGAGGAGGACTTTTCTTTGGGGACTCCGAACAGCCACCACCTTATCACCCAGGGAGGCTGCAGGGCAGAGAACACTCTCCTCTGACAAGTGGGGAAACTGAGGCTTGAGAGGGACCACAGGTTTAAAGCAGCCAAACCCAGGAATAAATCCAGCCCTTCAGATTCCCATCCCAGGCTTGTTTCCAGACAGAGGAGGGAGAAATGGTTTATTTCATCCAGTTCTCCCACTTGTCCCCAGGACCAGCAGGTCCCCTCTCTGGCGTCCTGAAGCCTCCTTGCGTCTGTGGCTGACCAAGTGCAGATGTGCCTGGCTGTCTAGTGGGCCTGGCTTCATAGGCCTGAGATGCAAAGACAGAACATCACATGGACATGCACACACACACACATGAACACACACACATGTACATAGACATATGTGCACACACACACATGCACACCAACATAGGCACACACGTGAACATGCACACATGTACACAGACATATCAACATACACACATGCACCTGCATGCACACCAACATAGTCACATACATACGTGAACATGCATGCACATACACAGGCATATCCACATACACACATGCACATGTGTGCACACCAACATAGGCACACACACGTGTGAGCACACAAACACGTACATAGACATATATGCACCTACACACATGCACATCAACTAGGCACATGCACACGTGAGCATGCATGCACACACACGCCCGTATGCACAAGCACGCACACATATAGCCACACACATGTGCATGCACAGCGCACAGCGTGTGAAATGCCCACGGCTATGCTTGGGCAGAGTGAGAATGTTCCTCTCTCTGTCTACAGGCTGGGAGAGAGAATGGGTCCTGCTGAGCTGAGGCTGCTGGCTCCGTCTGACCCGCCACGGTCACGCTTCCACGCCCTCACGCTTGGTTTCCTCCCTCTGCAATGCCTTTTTCATCTTTGTAGCCTCGTAAAAACCCACTTGGCTTTCAAGGCCCTGGTGCAAAATGTCCTCCTCTGCTCAGCCCCCAGGTAGAGCAGAGCTGTTTGGGTGCACGCTCCCAGGCCGGGAAGTGAGGAGGCATCTCATATTTAATGGGGACATCTCATCTCCTCCCCGTGTTACAGACGAGGAAACTGAGGCACAGAGACCTGCCTAGGGCCGTGTGATTTGAGGTGGGGTAAGGATTTGCACAAGTCATGCTGGTTCCAGGGTCCCTGCCGCCGCCCACCCGAGGGAGGCGGGAGGTCCTCACGCTGGTGCCCCCAGCTGACCTCCCGAAGCTCCTGTACCTCCCGGCTTCCCGGCCTGCCGCTGACCCCACACACAGTAGGTGCTGCGACGTGTTTCTTGGGCATGCTCCTGCCTACCGTAAAGCCTGGGCTCGCAGAGCAGGCACGTAGGTGGCTCGGCCGTCCCAAACACAGAGACGAGGAGCCACATGTGTCTGGAGTTTCTGAAAAGCTGGGAACAATTTTTCTCACTGTTTTCTGTTTAGATGAACTGATTCGGCCAGATGTGGGCCAGGAAAACCCTGTTTCAAGGTGTCTCCCTCAACACAGAGGAAGCCGGCAGCTCGGTCCCAGAAACCTCAGGCTTCCCTGCTCGCAAGGGGCCCACGCCTCTCCTCCGTGGCGAGTGGTCTAGGCCCGGGTGGATGGGGGGACCCTAAGCTGTGCTGGGTCTGGCCTGAGGACCCTGGGATCCCCAAGGGTGTCTGCCCAGCTGGGGCTGGGAGACACACTCTCCCTGCCTGTGACTTCTGGGGCCTGCCTGGGCCCCACCTTCCCTGAGTCAGGACCAGTGCGCTGGGGAGTCTGCTATCCTGGGCCTGAGCTGGAGGACCCCATGGGCCTCCAGAAGCAACAGCCCTCCCAGGCTCAGTGCTCAGCGCCCGGCAGCATTTTCAGCGTTCACAGCAGCTCCGTGAAAGGTTGGATCGGTTGATTTGATCCCTTTCTGTAGAGGAGGAGACTGAGGCCTAGAGAGGAGGGACTCCTGCAGCAGACAGGCTCTGGGACCCCCCAACAGCCATCCATCCCAGGGCCAGGTGTGGCCTCCTGTCAGCCGTGAACCAGGCACAGCGGGGCTAGGAGCCACTTTCTCTCCACACTGGTTTGCTTCAACAGGGCTAAGGGAGGTTTTCACTTTGGTCCTGTCATGCCTGGGCCATGGGGGCCTCTTCCTGGGAGCATGAGGACAGGGAGGGTCCCGTCTGTAACCGGCCATTTAGAGTCACCTTTGATGGGGTTTCCTCTGGGGAGCAGCCCCTTGTCCCCTGCCTGCTGGTTAGGGTGGGGGTGACCTCCCTCATCCTTTTTTGTTTTTTTTTTTTGAGACAAGGTTTGGCTCCATCGCCCAGGCTGGAATGCAATGGTGCGATCTTGGCTCACTTCCACCTCCACCTCCCAGGCTCAAGCAATCCTCCCACCTCAGCCTCCCCGGAAGCTGGGATGACAGGTGCGCACCACCACGCCTGGCTAATTTTTATATTTTTTATAGAGATGGGGTTTCACTTTGTTGCCCAGGCTGGTCTTGAACTCCTGAGCTCAAGTGATCTGCCCTCCTCGGCCTCCCAAAGTGCTGGGATTACAGGCGTGAGCCACCACACCCGGCCCACCATTGCCTTTGAGTGGGTCCCTGACCCAGGCCTCACCACCTGACCCCTTCCCATCGGCTGCAGAGATTGAGGTGGAGGCATCACGTGACCCAAAAGCAAGGAATGGACCCCAGCCCTGGGCTTCTACTGGAATGGATGGGGAGGGAGCGTTCACACAGTGGAATGTGGTCTGGGCCTGTAGGTGCCACCTGCGGCCGCCCAGGGAAAGCCTGTGGGAAGATGGACTGCACAGCGGAATGCAGAGCCAAAGGGCGGGAGAGGCCGGTCCCTGAGGGCTTGTTTCCAGCACCAGGCTTAAAGCCCAGTGTTGCCTTCCAGTCACCTAAGACAATCATTCTCCACTGGGCTCAGGGCGGTTTGGGTAGAGTCAGACAGATGCAATGGAAAGTATCCTGATTTATACAAAAGCAATTCAGTATTTGCTTAATAATGGGGGATAAGTACTTTGATCCAAGAAACATATCCCTAAAGGTGGAATCGTGACGGACAAGATGGGCACAGCAGCCTCAGGGCCCCAGGGTAAGTGTGGCTACCAGCCGTTACGTGAGAACTGCCTGGGAGATCGGACGCAAATGCAGGTTCTCCCTCAAGTTCTGAGCGGCTGCAGCTGAGGCGGGGCTGGAATCTGCTTTCCCAGAAGCTGCTGAGGCCCAGGAGAGCGTGGGAGCTGTGGTCCTGGCCTCTCCGCTGCTGGGGACAGTTGTGAGGGGCTGGAATCTGCATCCCCAGAAGCTGCTGAGGCCCAGGAGAGTGTCGGAGCTGTGGTCCTGGCCTCTCTGCTGCTGGGGACAGTTGAAGTGGGGCTGGAATCTGCATCCCCAGAAGCTGCTGAGGCCCAGGAGAGCGTGGGAGCTGTGGTCCTGGCCTCTCCGCTGCTGGGGACAGTTGAGGTGGGGCTGGAATCTGCATCCCCAGAAGCTGCTGAGGCCCAGGAGAGCGTGGGAGCTGTGGTCCTGGCCTCTCTGCTGCTCAGGACAGTTGTGAGGGGCGTGCCCTTTGGGTGGTCAGGACCCAGGGCTGGGGGCTTGGTTAGCGAGGGGACAGCTCTGCAAAGACCTTTGGGAAGAAGAGGGGACGGCAGAGGCACTGACCACCTCACCGTTTGTTCCCTGCTATCCCGTCGGTCCCCGTCCAGGGCTGGGCTCAGCCTAGGGCCCCTACACAACGCTCGTGACTCTCAGGGTCCCCAGTGCACTGAGCCCCAGGTGCCCGGGCCACAACCTGCCCTTTAACCTGCACTTGCTGCCCTCCCGCCCCTGTCTCCATTCCCCACCATCTCCTGGAACCCAAAACACACTGCCCCACATCTGTCTGTGGAACTTCCTGGATCACCTGGCCCGGCCACCTTCATCCAGGTGTGAGTTGAAGTCCCGTCCTGCACAGGCACCCTGGGGTGAAGGGGGCGCTGGGGTGTCTGTTCCATTGCTTCTGCCATCCGCGTATTCCGTGTGCGAGTGAGCATCGGGTGTGTGCCCACGTGTGCACGTCTGCTGGGTGTGCCAGTGTGTCTTTGAGTGGGAGTGAGTCTGTGTCCTTGGATGAGTGTGCACGAGTGTGCATGAGTGAGGGTGAGTGTGCATGTGAGTGTGATGTGTGCAGTGTACATGTGAGTGAGCGTGAGTGTGTATTGAGTGTGCATGAGTGTGCATATGAGTGAGCATGCATGTGTATGTGAGTGAGCGTGCATGTGTGCATGACTGTGCATGAGTGTGTGTGCAGTGTGCATGTGAGTGAGCGTGAGTGTGTATTGAGTGTGCATGACTGTGCATGTGAGTGAGCGTGTGTATTGAGTGTGCATGACTGTGTATGTGAGTGAGCGTGCATGTGTGTATGACTGTGCATGAGTGTGCATATGAGTGTGTGTGCAGTGTACATGTGAGTGAGCGTGCACGTGTGTATGACTGTGCATGACTGCATGTGTGTGTGCAGTGTGCATGTGAGTGAGCGTGCATGTGTGTATGACTGTGCATGAGTGTGCATGAGTGTGTGTGTGCAGTGTGCATGTCAGTCAGCACACGTGCTTGTGCCAAGTGAGTCTGCCCATTAGAGTGTGCACACAAGTGTGTGGTGTGGGTTTCTGTGCACTCGTAGGGTGGGGCTGTGACGGGGCAGCTGTGGGAGGCTGCAGACATGTGAGGGGGTCTCTGGGAACCCACACCCCTGTCTGTCAGCTGAACAGTCTCACGGCCCCGCAACTGCTCACATCAACACAAACTTGGCAGCCACTGTCTTTTTCAACGCTGTTTGTACAGAGAAAGGGGTGCACAGAGCCGTGGACCTGCAGCTCCTGGAGCTTCCCGGAGCTGGTCCTCCAGTAGAGGTGCTGGGGATGGGGGGACGCAGCCACGGCCTTCATGCACCAACCTGGGGTCTCCACGAGCAAACTCTGTGTTCAAGGAGGCACTCGGCCTGGGGACGCGGTGGGAAGAGCTATCGGAGGAGCCCCTCGGAGCTGCCTCAGCACAGCTGATGAAAGCAATCAGCGCCCGCCTGAGCTGGATGTAAAGGTTAATACATAAATCAAAGGGAAATGTCAGGTGCCTTTTAACACTGATTGAGATGTAATTGGGCAGGGACCGTGCGCCAGGCACCCGCGCTCACGGAACCACGGCAGGACGTGGAAGAAATTATGTGGCTTGTTTGTGTGTCTGCAATCGCGTCAAGACCGATGGTCCCTCGGCTCTGGACAGACGCCCCCCCAGCCAGCTGAGGATGCGAATATTCATGGCCTGGTGCCGGGTCCGGGGCTGGCTGGTGTTGCTGGGCACTGAGGATGTGCCACGTACATGGAGTCCAGACCATGAGAGCTTTTCAGATGTCCCCAAGAAGCCACCTCATCTGCAGTCATCCCTGGGGTCACGGGGCCGACTCGGGGCAGAGTGACCTGCAGTCATCCCTGGGGTCACGGGGCCGACTTGGGGCAGAGTGACCCAACCCCTTGCAGGCGCGGACCTCCCGCACACCCTGTGTCCTGCGCCCTCCAGCCCGGGCCTCTGCCCTCTCTGTCCCGGCCCTGGGCACCCTCTGGCCAGGTGGCTCCCAGCCCCAGGGAGGGGCTCCAAACAGAGCTAAGTTCCTGCCCAGGGCAGCCTTGCTGCTTCCTACGGCCGGAATCCCAGCCCAGGGTCTCAGGCGTCGGGACGCAGGGGGCTCCAAGCTTCACATGTGTGAGGGCTGCAGACAAGGACGCTTTATGAGATGAGATTGCACGCAGACATGTGTGTGAGAGAGAAATGTGTCAAATTACTCAAAGTAAACATTAAAAATTTTAAATAACAATTTAAAAAGGTATAGTTATGTTTGGCCAGTCCTCCCATTTTTGAAAATAATCCCTTCTCCCGCCTTTTTTTTTTTTTTTTTTAAGACAAGGTCTCACTTCATTGCCCGGGCTGGAGTACGTACAGTGGCGTGATCACCGCTCACTGCAGCGTCAACCTCCTGGACTCAGGTGATCCTCCCACCTCAGCCTCCCAAGTAGGTGCCACCACGCCCAGCTAATTTTGTGTGCGGGTGTATACACACTATATATCTAATATTTATCATATATTAGAGACGGGGTTTTCCTATGTTGCCCAGGCTGTTCTCAAATCCCTGGGCTCAAGTGATCCACCCACCTTGGCCTCACAAAGTGCTGAGATTACAAGCCACCATGCCCAGCCAGTTCTTTATTTTTTTAACATTCCTGTGACGGCAGTAGATACAAGTGGCCTTGTTCCCTCTCTGCCTGGAGAGACCCTGACCACACTCCCCCACCCAGAACTGGGCACCCTCAGCTCCCCCACCCAGAACCGGGCACCCTCAGCTCCCCCAGCCAAGCCTGCTTTCCTCGCTGCTTCTCTGTCAGCCTCCGGAGCTGCTCTCTGCCTTGTTCTTCGTCTGCTAAAAAACAAAATGTTAGCTCCTGTGCTTAGGGAGGGCATCTTTCCCCCTCTCAGCTCAGCTAACCCCTATTTGTGCCCCGAGATGCAGCTCCCAGGCTGCCTCCTCCAGGAAGTCTTTCCTGACTGCCCCTCCTCTCCAGGTGGGGTTGGAGACACCTGCCCCAGTATTTCTGACTTCCAAGCACCAATTTCCGTCTATTTTGATCACAGCACCTCCTAGAAGGGCCCTGATGTTCATGAGGAAGGATTCCAATCTTCCCTTTATTCCTTTTGGTGCAGAGCCCACCAGGCACCGGGACCCTGCCTGCCTGGCCTCCACCTCACCTGCCATGTGGACCCTGATCTGTCACCAATGGCTTGAAACTTCAGAGACTCAGATTGTGCTTCACCCAAAAGCAACACTGATGATGACAATGGCTTGCACTGTATGGAGCTAACCACGTGTGGACGCTGCTTTACTTTACCTATATTTACTCATTTAATCATCACAGCAACCCTCTATGATAGGCACCACATCATCCCATTTTACAGATGAGAAAACCAAGGCACAGAAAAGTTAAGTTACTTGCTTGAGGTCACATAGCCAGCAAAGTGGTGAGGCGAGCATTTGAACACAGGCAGCCTGGGTCCAGGGTCCACACTTTTAGGCTTTTCTTCCCACAGGGTGGCAGATTTAATTTTTAAAAAAGATACCAGTACCATGTGAAAAGCCTTGGCTGAGGCCGAGCAGCTCAGCGAAGTTACTGCTGACACAGGTAATCAGAAAGGCTCATCCAAGGTCAAGAATGTTAGACAGAAATATGGAAATGCAGCCAGGGAAACCAGGACGGTAAACTTTGGGATAAATGCAGGTGTATATTAATTGTACAAAGCAACAATTATTAGGTCTTGTGGAGTTAAAATATGCAAAGAAATAAAATGCAAGAAGACCACAATGCAAAATGAGGAGGGTGTAGAATTCAAAGCTTCTAAGATTATAGCAACATAAATACAGCTGTTATTAGTAATGGTAATAATTGGATTAGACCATAATAAGTCAAGAATACATTTTATAATTGCTAGGGCAAACCTTATAAAAGAGGTAGTAAAATAATATACAACTCACAAATAATGGAAGAAAAATGTTAACCCATTCAAAGAAAGTTAAGAAAGGAAGAAAAAAGGAAACAAAAAACTAATGGACAAAAAAGAAAACAAAACAGTAAGAGGGTAGATCTAAATCCCATTAAATGTAAATGGATAAAAAACCCACTGATGGTCAGACTAGATCAAGAAAAAATCAACTGTATGTTGCTTACAGGAGACACATTTTAACTGTAAGGACACAGAAAGGTTAAAAGTAAAAAAACTATATAGCACGAGGACACTAACCAACAGAAGGTTGGTGTAGCTATATTAACAGACGAAACAGACACTAGTGCAGTGGCTCACGCCTGTAATCCCAGCACTTTGGGAGGCTGAGATGGGTGGATCACCTGAAGTCAGGAGTTCAACACCAGCCTGGCCAAATACTGAAACCCTGTCTCTACTAAAAACACAAAAATCAGCTGGGCATAGTGGTGGGCACCTGTAATCCTAGCTACTTGGGAGGCTGAGGCAGGAGAATCGTTTGAATCTGGGAGGTGGAGGTTGCAGTGAGCTGAGATCAGGCCACTGCACGCCAGCCTGGGTGACAGAGTGAGACTCTGTCTCAAAAAAATAAAAAAACAGATAGTAAAGTTAAAAACTTTTCTATAGATAAAGAGTGACATTTCATAATGGTAAGATCTAACAACAAGCTTAACCACATGTCATATACACAGGCCAGTACTCCAGAACATGGAGTCACCATCCTCCCAAATTCACATGAAACATTTGCTAAATTGATCGTACGTTGGGCCATTAAGAAGCCTCAACAAATTTTAACAGATTGTAAAGTATGTTCTCTGAATACAATAAAATTAATCTAAAACTTGATTAAATATAACTAGAAAAACTCCAGCTGCCTGAAAATTAAACAACACATTCCTAAATAGTCCATGATTCAAAGAGGAAATCAAAATGGAAATGATAAAATATTTTGTGGCCGGGTGCAGTGGCTCACGCCTGTAATCCCAGCACTTTGGGAGGCCGAGGTGGGTGGATCACCTGAGGTTGAGAGTTTGAGACCAGCCTGACCAACATGGAGAACCCTATCTCTACTAAAAATACAAATTAGCCAGGCGTGGTGGTGCATGGCTGTAATCCCAGCACTTTGGGAGGCCGAGGTGGGTGGATCACCTGAGGTTGAGAGTTTGAGACCAGCCTGACCAACATGAAGAACCTCATCTCTATTAAAAATACAAATTAGCCGGGTGTGGTGGTGCATGCCTGTAATCCCAGCTTCTCGGGAGGCTGAGGCAGGAGAATTGCTTGAACCTAGGAGGCGGAGGTTGCGGTGAGCCGAGATCACACCATTGCACTCCAGCCTGGTTGACAGAGTGAGACTCTGTCTTAAAAAACAAACAAAAAAAATAGTTCTAAAAGGTAATGAAGATGCACCCAGCCAAACTGTGGGATGCGGCCTAGGCAGCCCTTCGGAGGAGACTTACACCCTTCACGGAACGCAGTAAAAAGAAGAAAGGCAGAAAGATCAACAGTGTAAGGGTCCCTCTTCATCAGAAAAAGAGCAATGAACCAAACCTATGAATAAAAATACTAGAGATGAGAACAGAAAAACAACAAAATATGAAACAAAAGTACAATGGGGAGGCTCAACAAAGATTTTTGAAGATCAATAAAATTCACCGAGGTGTGAGAACCGAAAGCCCGGGCTTCGGGTGGGGATTTCGGCTTCCGCGTGGCCCTGGGTGAAAGTGCAGCCGTGGGATCTTGGTGGAGAGAAACGCTGGGCAGGGAAGAGGGTGGGACAGAAACACGGAAATGCGGGGCCCAGGCCCTGGGGCTGTTTCCACACAAACTGGGTCCCCAAGCCCTTCAATTCATCAAAAGAACCCAAGTCCTCAAGGACAAAGGGAATGTGGACAGCAGTGGCTGGAAAAACCAACTGAGAGCTCAGATGAGAAAGGGGCCATGACGGCTGTCCTCGCATCCCTCCTGAAGGTGCCACAGCCATCGTCTCTGCGAGTCTCCACCCCTTTGCTCTCCTGCTGCCCTGTCCCACGCAGGCAGTGCTCTCAGCGGGGGTGGTTTACCTCCAGGGCAAATTCGGCAAAGTCTGAATATATTTTTGGTTGTCATGACTGAGGGGTTCCCAGTGAGAAAGGGCAAGGATCCCAGCAAACACCCTACAGTCCCCACCACAACGAATAATCCAGCCCTAAATGTCGATAGTCAACAGTGCCAAGGTTGAGAGACCCTGATATGGGTGGTGTGGTGGGGTTTAACCTTTAATTTTTTTTTGTTATTGTTGTTCTGTTTTTTGTTTTTGTTTTTGTTTTTGAGACAGAGTCTTGCTCTGTCACCCAGGCTGGAGTGCAGTGGCGCGATCTCGGCTCACTGCAAGCTCCGCCTCCCGGGTTCACGCCACCCTCCTGCCTCAGCCTCCCGAGTAGCTGGGACTACAGGCGCCCGCCACCACGCCCAGCTAATTTTTTGTATTTTTAGTAGAGACGGGGTTTCACCGTGTTAGCCAGGATGGTCTCGATCTCCTGACCTCATGATCCACCCGCCTCCGCCTCCCAAAGTGCTGGATTACAGGCGTGAGCCACCGCGCCCGGCCTAACCTTTAAATTTTAGGACATTGGTTGTCAACATGGGTTATGACTGGACCAGAAGAAGAGTGAACATTACCCAGAGGCACTGGATGAGGAGGTGGATGTAGTAACTGACGAGGCTTTGCAGGGCTGCTGAGTATAGTTGTACAGGTTGTGTACTGCACAATCAGAAAGTACCACTCACACTGTAGATCCTATAAATGTGTGTATTTTTTGGCCGATTTTCTAGCAGATGGCAGTAAATGGTCTGATTCTAACAACATCAGCATGTACTAAAATTTTCTGATATGCATAAATAAAGCCCCCTGAGGAACCTCAGTTTTCTAATTTTTATTTTTTCTAATTTTCTAATTTGCACATGGGGCCACATGGGCTTCCAGTAGCCCTGAGATGCTGGGCTGCCACGATCAGGCAGAAGGTGAGTGCGTTTTACTCTGTACTAGGAATAATTGGATTATGTGAACTGGGGGTGCAATCGCGTTGCCTGGAAGTTCAGGTTCCTTTGTTGGTTGGGCATCTGAGAGAGGCTGTGGTGAGCGTTCGACATCCCACCAGACACACAGCGTCTCCGAAGGATCTTCTCGCACGTGTACAATTCCCTGCATTGTGATTTCCGACTCTGTGGCAGAAGACATGCAGCAACATCTCTATCACCCTCGTGGCAGGGTGTGGGTGTGTAACGCGGCTCTTCCCAGACCAGGGGCACCAGATGGATTTGTAAGTAATCTCTGTGAGTCTGTAGCCGGGTGCAGAGGGACTGTGGCCAGCTTGCTGGGAATCCAGTGCTTCAGGGACAACTGTGGCAGAACCTCTGGGAACCCGCGCCGTGGTTCTCAACCAAAGATGGCATCTCCTCACCCCGGAAGGCCTTGGGAACGTGCTTGTATTTTTGGTGGTTGTGATGACTTGGGAGTATATTGACAAGCGTTGGGTGTGGACTGAGATGTTAAACACTCAGCAGTAAACGAGACCACCCCCGCCCCCCTCCTGGAGGAGGCAGCCTGGGAGCTGCATCTCAGGGCACAAATAGGGGTTAGCTGAGCTGAGAGGAGGAAAGATGCCCTCCCTAAGCAGAAGGGCTAATGTTTTGTTTTTTAGCAGACAAAGAACAGGGCAGAGAGCAGCTCCGGAGGCTGATAGAGAACTAGCAAGGAAGGCAGGTTTGACTGGGGGAGCTGAGGGTGCCCGGTTCTGGGTGGGGGAGCAGGGTGTGGTCAGGGTCTCTCCAGGCAGAGAGGGAACAAGGCCACTTCTCAAGATGCCAGCCTGCCCTACTGAGAGACACTGTCCAACGTGGCAGGTGCCAGGCAGGGGCGACAGTGAGGCTCCCAGGGAGAAGCCCCCACATCAGGGCTGGGCTTTGTTTCTGGCTGGGCACATTCAGAGTTCAAGTGCCCTGAAGTTTGTTAATAAGTGTTCTCTCTGCTTAATCTTAGCCAGAGTAGCTGCGTTGCTTGCAACCAAGTATCGTGACTGACACAAGTTCCAGCTTGTTCTTATAAACCCCAGATTGCTCACTGTTCTTATTGTTTTATGTAGCAAATACCTGGATAGCTGTTTCCAGATGTTTGCCATTTTCTTCACTCATACTTTGTTCTCAGGTCCCACTCCTTCCTTCTGGGATAGATTTCCTTCTTCCTGAATTAGATCCTTAAGTAGTTATTTCTGTTTGTGGTGATATCTCAGTCTTAGTCTGAAAAGTAATGTCTTCCTCCATCCTTCCCTCCCTCCTTCCCTCCTTCCTTCTCTTTCTTTGTTTCGATTCTAAAACAAGTATTGCGTTATCTCCTGGCATATATTGTGGTTATTTTAAAATTTGCTGTCTATCAATTGATCAGTCCTGACCATTACCATCTCGATATTTCCCACTGACATCTCATTATCAAAATTTCAAGCAGGAAGAATTGCGCAGTGAACAGCCATAGACCCACCACTTAGATTCTGCAACTGTTACCATTTCATTATATTTGCTTTACCACGTGACATGAACCATCTAATCATTCATCAACTTCAAAGTGAGTTGCTAACATCTGCGCAGTGAACAGCCATAGACCCGCCACTTAGATTCTGCAACTGTTACCACTTTGATATACTTGCTTTCTCACATGACATGAATCCATCTAATCTTTTATAAACTTCAAAGTGAGTTGCTCACACTGGTGCGCTTCACCCCTGAATATTTCAGCATGTGTATGACTAACTAGAGCTCGACAGTTGTTTGCAGAGTTTTACTTTTTTAGGTAAACTTTACCCGGAGTGGAATGCAGCCATTGTAAAGGTGCCATATTGTGCATTTGCATAAATGCCTGCAGTCGGTGGTCGGACCTGAAGGAAGAGAAAGACAATTTCCCCGACTCCAGAAAGTTGTCTCCTCAGTCAGCGCCGCGGGCAAACCTGTTCTGATGTTTTTCCCCACAGATGAGTTTTGTGTGTTGTAGAACTTCACACAATAGCTACTTCCTGGGACAGGGCTTTGAGACTTGTCTGGATCTACGCGTGCATCCGTACTCAGTTCCTTTCCATTGCCGAGTAGCGTTTTGCTCATTTATGTTGGCATTTTCTCTTTTTTATATTTGAGTTGTAGGACTTCTTTATACACTCCTGATAAAGTCCTACGGGTTTTGCACAACTTTTTCTCCCAGTCTGTGTCTTGCCGATTTATTTTCTTCATGGAATATTGACAAAAATAATTTTTAATTTGATAAAGTCTGATTTGTCAAAAATTTTTTCTCTGCCTTAAGAAACCTTCCCTATATCCAGGACATAAAGACATTACCCTGCACTTTTGTCTGGAGGCCTTACAGTTTTATATTTTACATTTGGTAATATCTCCACCTAGAATTAAGTTTTGGGTAATGGTGTCAGATAAGTGTCAAAGTTTTTTCCCCATAAAATCATCCTGGCACCGTTCGTTGAAAAGATTTTGTTTCCCCAATGAGATTGTTTTGATGTCTTTGCCGAAATCAATTTCCTATATGTGTGAGGGTCTATTTCTAAACTCTCTGTTCTATTCCATTGATCTATTTGCCTATCTTAACATAAATAGCACGGTATTTATAACTGTACCTTTACAATACATATTGAAATCAGGTACTGAGAGTCTTACAGCTTTTCTTTTTCAAAGTTGTTTGGGCTATTCTAGGTTCTTTGCAATTCCAAATAAATTGTATAATCAGTTTGTCAGTTTATACGAGAAAACCCGCTGGGACTATGATTAGGATTGTGTTGAAGCCATAAATCCGTTGTGGGAAAACTGACATCTTAGCACGTAGCTCAAATTTTTATAGTACTCTAAATGACGTTTTTAAATTTTCCATTTCTGATTATTTCTCAGTATGCAGATATAAAATTAATTTTTCTCTGCTGATTTTATATTTTTCCATCTCACTAAACTCACTTATCAGTTGTAATTGCTTTTTGTCGATTCCGTAAGATTCTCTACCTACAGCCCGTCTTCTGTGAATACAGGTTTACCGTTTCATTTCCAGTCTGGATGCTTTTCACTTATTTTCTTGCTCTACTGCCCTGGCTGGAGCCTCCAGGACCGTGTTGAATAGTAGGAGCAAGAGTAGACATCCTTACCTTGCTCCTGGTCTTAAGAGGGAAGCATTCGATCTTTATACCCGTTATAAAGTTTATAGGCCACAGGTTTTTATACATAGATACCCTTTATCAGGTTGAGCAACTTTCCTTCTATTCCTAGTTTACTGAGAGTTTTTACTGGGAATGGATGTGATATTTTGTCAAATGATTTTTCTGCACTTACTGAGATAATTATAGGGATATTCTTTTCTGCTTTACTAATATGCTTCATTACACTGATTATTTTGCAAATGTTAAATCATCCCTGAATTCCTGGAATAAGCTCCATTTGGCAATTATAGATATACATACATATATGTGTTTTTAGAAACAATGTTTTACTCTGTCATCCGGGCTGGAGTGCAGAGTATGGGGGCACGATCGTAGCTCAGCGTAACCTTGAACTCCTGGGCTCAAGTGTTCCTCCCACCTCAGCCTCCCCAGTAGCTGGGGCTACAGGTTTATGCCACCATGCCTTGTTAATTTTTTTAAAGAATTCTTTTCACACCAGGTCTCCCTGTGTTGCCCAGACTGGTCTCGAACGCCTGGCCTCAAAGTGATCCTCCTGCATCACCTTCCCAAGTAGCTGGGATTACAGGTGTGAGCCTGGCCCGGCTCTAGTAGACTTTTTATATGAGGAGTATTAGCCTTTAGTTTTCTTTTCTTCTTATGACTTTGACCTGTTTGGGTATTAAGGTAACGATGACTTTGTAGAATGAGCTAAGAAGTATTCCCAGCTTTTCAATTTCAAATGGGCCATTTTCAAGCCTTTATTTCTTTAAAAACATTTGCTGCCCCACCCCCTGCCTACTTTCGGGCACCCCAATTATACGTACATTAGTCTCCTTGAAGTGGCTTCTGCGCTCACTGATGCCCTGGTCATTTTCTCACTCTGTGTTTGCCGTGGTTTTACCTTAGATCGTTTCTATTGCTATGGCTGTAAGTCCACTAACCTTTTCTTCCGCAATGTCTCATCTGTTGTTACTATCATTTGTCGGTTTTTCATCTCAGGCATGATCATTTTCATCTCTGGAAGTGCAATTTGTGTTTTTTAATATCTTCCACATAACTACTGAACTTTTGGCGGGGGGCGCATAAAGCACAGTTATAATAAGTGTTTAGTGTCTTTGCCTGCTAATTCTAACACGTATTCAGTCTGGGCTGGTTTAGATTGAATAATTCGTCGTCTCACTCTGGGTCATGTTTTCCTGCTCCTTATGTGTGGTAATCTTTAATTAGATGATAGACATTGTGAATTTTTCTTGGTTGGATTCTGGGTATTTTTATATTTCTATAAATATTCTTGTGCTTTGTTTTGGGAAACTTCTCAGCCAATATCCCTTCAAATATTTCCCTTCCCTATTTTTCCCTGTGAAACCGCAGTTAGACATATTACAGCATTTTAACTGAAGTTACTTGGAAACAGTTTGATCCTGAGCAGGAAAGATCAGTGTTTGGTTTAGGGCCAAACAGTTCCCGCTATGGAAGTGAGACTCCTCTGTGCTCTCTGCCCAGTGAGCCATGAACACACGAGGCTTCCGGTCTGGCTGGTGGGAACAGGCACTATTCCCTTCTCCTGTGTGGGCACCAGGAACTGGTGCCACTAATCCTTTCAGGTGGTTCTCTCTGAAGCCGTGGGTACTCTCCTCACATAAAAATAACGCTGATGAATATTTAGCTGAATATTCAAGCGGCGGGGGTTTCCTCAGCAGATACCAGAACTCGCCTGTGCCCCTCTGCCCTCTCCTTCACTCTGTCCTGTGAACTCTCCCGTCTTAGTTTGTTCTTCCTGAACCCTCAGTTCTGTGTCCAAACTCCAGGAGTCTGCTGGGCTCCCCTGGATTCCGCCTCCCTGAGCCATGTCCTGAGAACGTCTTCAAGGCAGTAAGCCGGGGCGGCTGTAGGGCTCACCTTGCTGTTCCCATCGCTCAGAGATCATTATACTTTGTTACTTGATGTCTCGTTTCTTGAAAGCTCTTGTTTCACATAGTCTGTCTGGTTTGGGTTATTTTAGGTAGAAGGGTAAATCCAGGTCCTGTTACTCCATGTTGGCCAGAAGCAAAGGTCTCCAGCTGCCTTTTTCTAAATCATCTTTGCCTTTAGTTTTCTTCTCTTTCATTACAACGTGCCATGTGAGAATTCATTTTTTTTTTTTTTTTTTTTTGAGACGGAGTCTCACTCTGTCGCCCAGGCTGGAGTGCAGTGGTGCGATCTAGGCTCACTGCAAGCTCCGCCTCCTGGGTTCACACCATTCTCCTGCCTCAGCCTCTGGAGTAGCTGGGACTACAGGCACCTGACACCACGCCCGGCTAATATTTTGTATTTTTAGTAGAGACAGGGTTTCACCATTTTAGCCAGGATGGTCTCGATCTCCTGACCTTGTGATCCACCCGCCTTGGCCTCCCAAAGTGCTGGGATTACAGGCGTGAGCCACTGCACCCGGCCAGAATTCATTTTTATTCAACCTGCTCAGGACTTAGGATTTTGCATCTGGAGATGCATGACTTCCATCAGTCCTGGAAATCTCTCAGCCATTATCTCTTCAAATGTCTCCCTTCCCTGATTTTCCCTGTGGAACTCCAATTAGACACATATTACAACATTGTAATCTTTCAGGTAGATAGATCTGGGAAAGGAGACGTTTAAAGAGATAATGGTTGAGAGATTAACTTCCACAAAGATTAACTTCCAAAACAATAGCTATTTATCTATCTGTCTCAATCTTGGTAATTGATTCAGATCTATCTTATGAACTCTCAGTAGCTGTATCTACATTGTTTTAATTTCAGTGACTGTATTTTTCATTTTTAGGAGATTTTTTGTTGTTGTGGTTCTTTTCCAAATTTGCCTGGTTTTGTTCCATTGTTTGCTGATCTTTACTCATTTTTTAAGATAGCTTCTTTCCATGTTTTTAATTGTTTGACAATTTTTAATGCTGTGTATTTGATGACTCTTTTGTCTGAATTTCTTGAAGACATCGTCTTGCTGCCACACTGCTTTGCATACTTTGCATTTCTTCTTTGCAGGGTGTATAGGTTTCTCCTGTGAGTTCGTGGTCTGTAGTTTTATCTGGAAATCCTGCGTGGCCGCTGTTGAGGGTGTGTCCCCAGGGTGGTTTGCAATTTGCTGTTGAGGGTGTGTCCCCAGAGTGGTTTGCAATTTGCTCCTGCCAGAGGCCCCCAGGGATTTCCAGGCTCATCCCACTTTTCCCCCAGTTCCTCATTTGGGCATTCCCTGGCCTCATGGTGGTGTATTTTCTCAGCCTGACCACACTGCGGGCAGTTTTATTGTTATAATTCTTAGCAGAAACTTTCTTCCCACGAGAGCTCAGACTAAAACAAACAAGCTCCTCTAGCGCCTGGGCTCCATGCGAGGGTCACGGTTCTAACCCCCGGCTTGTGTGAGTCCAAGGTCTCATCTTTTTTCCATTGACGGGCATTGAAGCACAAGCCCGCTCACACACCTCCCGCGGCCGTTTTCAGCTTGGACTTTTCCTAGTTTCTCAAAGCGCAGGTCTGCATTTGAAAGGGATCTGCCATGTTTTGGGATCTTTCTAAGGGATTTACTAAGTGATTAGTCAGACGTCCTTTTGGGGCAGTCCACAGCATTGCTTACACCAGATATAACCCCATTTTACAGGTAAGCAGACTGAGGCCACAAGCCCTCCCCAGTGACACAGGCTAACACGTGCGGAGCCTTGGATGACAAGGAAACTTGCTCTCGTGGAGACAGCAGAGATGCCTCAGTCAACAGCAGGGAGGCAGGACACGCACATTCTGACGGCACACCCTTCCCCGATCTGCACCAGATGAAACGCAGAGAAACTCCAGTAACTTCCAAAACGATAGCTAACCAGGAACCAAGGATTACCGCTACACCCGGCCCACCCGAATACACCCTGAATTCCCTCTGTGCAGATCCCAGGACTTCTACGTTCTATTTCTGGCATTCTGGGATTCAGCCCGTTGACAAACCTGCCCCAGGCCAGGCCCAGCCAGGCAGGTCCTGAGAACAGGGTGCCACTGTGCCTGCGGGCAGCCCGCCGTCAGCTGGGAGGGATGGAGAAGCAGCAACTGCACCGGACATCTGCCAGGCAGTGTCGACGGCCACAGGGCACGGGGGCCAGCCAGACGTTATGAGACAGAATCAGCACCCTGTTTATTTGAAGCCACCTTTTCTCTCTAAAGGATAACCAATTTGGTCTAAGTTTCTTAGATGATAGAGTAAAAGGTGAAAACCCCATGTATCCTCCCTTTGTATGCGTCAGCTCTTGCCATGACAATGCAGGGGAAAAGCCACCCAGCACCCAGCGGCTCTGGCAGGAGTAACCGCTGGTCAGGGCAGGCGCAGCCAGTGGCCATTCACAGGCTTGGGCAGCAGTAACCACCAGTCAGGGTAGACACAGCCAGTGTCTATTCACGGGGAGCTGAGCTGTGCTTTGCCTTGTGGGTTGGGCTCAGCCATCTGTGCTTTTTTCTGGGGCTCAGGCTCAGGTGGCAGCTACCCAGGGGGACGCTTGTTCCAGGCGGGTCAGGAGAGGTTCTGGAGTGCAGCCCTCACAGCGTACACAGCAGCTCAGCACTGAAGCCCCATGTTCAAACAGGTTCCACGCCAAGCCCAGTGTCAGGGAGTGGGGACGTGCCCTCCTTCCACAAGAGGGTGGGGATGAACGTTCTTTAATAACAGTTTTATCCACCTCACCTGCCTCCCTTCAACCCCAAACCCCAAAGGCAGCTGCCCTGAGCACCAGCGTGTGCCCTCTGCACACTCGTTTCTCTGCAGACGCAGACCTCGCATTCTAGTTTTTGTCACACAGATTGGATCCCGCTCTGTGTACCATTCTGCCTTTTCCTCACCAGTAATCCCTCCCAGGTATTCGAGTCAATATTTGCCGAGCTCTATTTCCCCAGCTCTGTGCTTGTGATCTTGCCAAAAAGGGTCAGGCGTAGCCTCTGATCTCTGGAAACGTGCACCCAGCATGCGTCTCTCTGCTTGTCTGAGCTGGCTTCCCTGAGAGAATCTGAGAACATTTTGGGATAACAGCACCCTCCTGTTTATTGCCTGATACCACATGAGCTCTCAGTCAGCCTGGGAGGTCAATCCCACAGGTTAGCCCTATTTTTGGCGAGGGCACATGGATGCTAGAGAAGTGGCCAAGATCACAGAGCAGCTGAGAGGCTAAGTTTAGTCCAGCCCCAACCCGGGCAGCTGCAGAGCCATGTTCTTGACCCCTCTCCACGCCCAGGGTTGGATGGTGCTGGAAGCGGATGATCTTCCTGATTCCAGGTGGTTCGTGGAGCAAGAGGGGCAGCCATGAGCACTCGGAGATCAGCAGGGAGAAGGCTGAGGTCACAGGGATCCCCTGTTACAAGGGTCAGGGGAACTTGGCTCAACATCACAGGTTCTGGGGGAGGGCAACGGTGGCGCAGGATTGGGGTGAGGGTTTTTGCCAAGGAATGCAGGAGATGAGAAGAGCAGGAGTGTGGGATGGGTCACCCACAGCCTCCCCCTTCTCCCCACTACCTATCTATAAGTTATCACTGGCTCACACACAGAGGATGCTGTGGCAGAGAAGGAACTCACGCCCTGCCCAGACAGCTGCCCCTTGCTTGAGAGCACTGTTTGCTGAGCACTGTAGAACTTTATGCAGAGCCCAGGTAACTTCAGCCAGAGAGGGAATGCGATTTAAAATCTGGCCTAGACTCAACAGTAAAAAGACAAATAATTCAACTTGAAAATGGGCAAAGGATTTGATAGACATTTCTCCATAAAAGATTGGCCACTAAGCACCTGAAAAGATCATCAATGTCACTAAATTATTAGGGAAACACAAATGAAATCCACAATGAGACTCCACTCCACACCCACTAGGATGGTTATAATTTTTTTAAATGGGAAATAACAAGCGTTGATGAGGATATAGAGAGACTGGGACCCTCATACCCTGCTTGTGGAACATAAAATGGTGCTGCCACTTTGAAAAACAGTTTGGCATTTTCTCAAAAAGGCAAACATAATTACTGTAAGACTCAGAAATTCCAATCCTAGGTATACACCCAAAGGAACTGAAACAGGAACTCAGAGAGATACTAGGATACAAAGGTTCACAGCAGCATCACTCACAACAGCCACAAAGTGGAAGCAACCCACCTGTCCATCAACAGATAAATGGAGAAACAAAGTGTGGTTTGTCCATGCCGTGGAATATTATTCAGCCATGAAAAGGAATGAAGCACAGACCCAGACCATAACCTGGACAGCCTCAAAGTCACCCTGCTCAGGGAAAGAAGCCAGGCACAGCAGGCCACTGTTTCCATGATTGCATTTGTATGAAATGTGCAGAATGGGCAAATCCACAGGGAGGGAGAGCAGATGGGCGTTGCCAGGAGCTGGGGGAGGGACACTTATGAGGGACAGCTAACAGGTACAGGGTTTCTTTTTATGGTGATGCAGATGTTCTGGGATTAGGTAGTGGTGATGGCTGTACAATATTGTAAATCTACTGAAAACAGCTGGCTTGTACACCTTAAAATGGTAATTTTCTGTTACAGGAACTGTGTCTTTTTTTTTTTTGGATGGGGTTTCACTCTGTCACCAGGCTGGAGTGTGGTGGTGCAATCTTGGCTCACTGCAATCTCCGCTTCCTGAGTTCAAGTGATTCTCCTGCCTCAGCCTCCAGAGTAGCTGGGATTACAAGCACACCAGCACACCCAGCTAATTTTTTTTTTGTATTTTTAGTAGAGACAGGGTTTCACCATGTTGGCCAGGATGGTCTCGATCTCCTGACCCCGTGATCTGCCCGCCTCGGCCTTTCCCAAAATGCTGGGATTACAGGCGTGAGCCACCGCACCTGGCCCTGTGTCTTCGTTTTAAAATGGCACACACACAGTCTGGCCCAGGATGAATCCTGCAGCCCCTTCCTGCTGGGTAAGACAGAGCACTTCAACTCTCTCTGAGCCTTCAGCTTCCTTGTGCCTGAAATAGGGGCAATAGTGCCTGACTCACAGGCTGTTACGCCAATTAAGCGAGATAAGGAGAGAAACACCCAGGACTATTGTGCTGAATTAATGAGATCATGCAAACAATGTAACCCCGGGATCGAAAATAGGGCCATTTAAAAACGTCACTTGGCCCTGTTCCCATCACACCTGTGGGTGACTTGGCTTGACACCTGGCAGTGGGCCATAACCTCCCTGGATCTCTCCCCAAAGCAAATCCTTCAGCCTCTGTGCTGAAGTCCTAACAGCCTGGCCCTAAGCCCCTTTGCCCAGGACACTCACCTGAAGCCAGCATGTCCCTACCCACTCCAGCCAGGCCTGCAGGGAGGGTGGGACTTCTGAAACCACATCATGTCACACTCCTTTTCCCCGCAGCCCCCTTTAGGAAACCCTGCCAGGTACCTAGAATAAAGTCCACGTCTTTATGGCCCACAGAGCTCTGGGATCGCCCTCCTCCACCTGCCCCAGGCCTCGGCAGCAACCGGCTTCATGCATCACTCCACACCCAGCCCACCCAGCCACAGCAGCGCCCATGGGACAAGCCCAGGCTGTGGCCTTCCGGCTTTGCTGTGTTTTCCACTGCACTTCCCGCTGTGGGAAGTAGCTATGCCATGCTTTCTGATGTTAGGCTGCGTTCATTGCATGACAGTTTTGTGTGCCTGTTTCCTTGTTTGCCCCACAGGCTCCATCCACAGACCAGGCGGCGAGTGGTCAGCGCACGGGAGGACTGCCCTTGGGAAGCGCCGCCAAGGCCTTTCTAGCCTCAGTTTCCCAGCTGGAAAACGAGGGGTGCGGGCCCCTCATGCGCAGCCCCTCCTAGCTCTCGAGGTGCAGCGCGGGACTCCCTAGCCCAGGTGGCGATGTGCTTGTCATAAGCCCCTCTCCCTGTCTGGCCACGGAAGCCGAGGCCTGACCGGACGCTGAGGAGTGGGCAGCTTTCCCGTCATCCCACCCTTTCCAGATCTGTCCCCTAAAGCCGGACGTCCGCGCCCGCCCAGCAGCCGCCTTCCAGGAGCTCGGTGCACCTGCTGTCCCGCAGGTGAGGCCGAGGCTGCACGGCCGCGCCACGCCACCAGGTGGCAGCAGAGCGCCAGGGATGGGCCGGGCCGCGGGCTGGGCCAGGCGCAGAGGGCGGTGATCCGGGCCCCGCCCCAACCCCCGGCCACGCCCCCCGAGGCCCAGGCCCCGCCCCCGCCGCCCCGCAGACCCAGGTCTGGGGTCCAGGCCTGCAGCCCGACGCCCCGAAAGAGAGCAGCGCCCTGGACGGAGCGGGGTTGGGGTGGCAGTGGGAGGGCTCCACCAAGAAGGCTGGCTCTGTAAGCCCCTGACACCCATCTTCTCGCGCAGTCACTCCCACAGCCACCCTGTAAGAGGGGCTGAAACGCGGGGAACGCTTGCAGAGCAGCTGTCCTGGTGCTCAGCGAGACAGTGACCTGCTCAGCCCCTGGCGTCCAGTCCGGCTGCCCTCAGGCCCCTCCCTACCCCATCTTTTCTCAAATGCCCTTTAGGGCCTCTGCACCAAATTGAAGCCGAGTGGTCTCTGGATTCACTCCTGTCCTGACCTAGGAGGGGTCTTGCCCAGACCCCAGGCCTGGGGCCTTGCTGGGGCCAGGAGGGCAAGGCGGGGAGGGGGCCCAGGGATGTTGAGCAGGAGACAGACCCAGGCCAGAGGTTTGCTGAGGACAGAGGGGCAAGGAAGGGCCCCAGGGACCCTAAGCAGTTGCCCCCTGGAAAAGACCCCACCCAGGGCCCTTGCTGAGGACAGAGGGCAGGGGACAGGGGGCTCAGGGACCCTGAGCAGCTGCCAGGAGAGGGACCCAGGAAGTCCGGCCTCTCAAACTGAGGTGCCATCCACTCCCCTTGAGGGAGGCTCGGAGTCGGGAAATCCAGGCAGGTGGGAAGGCGCCCCCCTAGTGTCTTCTTCCTCCGCTGTGCTAGTTACATAAAAATTATGGAAGACCATGGTTTTGAACTAAGCGCCTGCTCTGGGTAAAAATCAAATGCAGTCACCCATGGTCAGGCTGTCTGTCACCAAACCCAACCGAAGTTGTCATCTGACCTTCCAAAAAATCAAGAGAGGGCGATTGGCCAGACACGGCGGCTCACACCTGTCATCCCAGCACTTTGGGAGCCTGAGGCAGGAGGATGGCTTGAGCTCAGGAGTCTGAGACCAGCCTGGGCAACACAGTGGAACCCTGTCTCTATAAAAATAATAAATTATTTTAAAAAACAAAAAAGAAAGAAAGAAAAGGAGAGAGAGAGAGAATGGCCAATTTCCCAAACAGGCCGGTTCCAGTCTTCAATCAGTGTGGAATGAAGTTCCCTCTGCTTTAATCCTTAGCCTGAAGTCACCCGATGTGAGACAATCGATTGGTTGTTTTTGTATTTTTCTGCTCCCTGTCCCCGCCCTGCAGGGACAGTAACTTTGAAACGACCCCTCCGCCTGTGTTCTTTGCCTCTGCTTTCTTCTAGGAAGCCCTTTCCATCTGTAAAGCCGCCCCCTCTGCTCAGCTCGAGGAAGCACTAGTTCTGTTTTACAGAGGGACACATTGCCCGATTCTAGAATCGAAATAGAGTCCATTAAGATCTTTAAACTACATGTGTTGTCATTCTGTCCGTTGACAGTGGAAAACCATTTAACACATTGTTTTGTACTAAAGCAAACACAGATGTCCTCTGGAGTTGAATGCAAAGTTTCCATGAAATCCTGTTTAAAAAACAGAAATGTTGAAGCAATTTTGAACCTGGTGGGTGCTGTGTGGGGTTGTGCCCCCAGATCACAGTGGGGCCACACATTTGGCGTCCTCTGATTTTACAGGTACGCCCACAGAGATGTTTGAGAAACCACACAAAACCCATGGTCCCCACTAACAGGGTCATAGGAGAGAATTTGCTGGAAGTCTGGAGGGATGTCAGTGCTGGTGTGGGCAGGACACCAACGCCACAGGGTGGGGTGCGGGGTTGGCCCCCATGGCCACTCTAGCAGTGACCATTCCAGCCTCATGTGCATTGGGGGAGGCCAGCGTGGGGGCAGTGCTACGAGGAGGGACTTGTAGACAGGCCGGGAGGTCGTACTTGCAAACCCTTCCCTCTACGTCCCCAGGCAGCATCTCCTCCCATCTTTCCCTGGACCTCCCACCCCAGCCTCCCCCAGCTCTGCCCTCTCCTGAGCCCCAAACCCACCTCTGATGGTCAAGAGTCATATTAATAGAGTGTTGAATTTTAAGGTAAAAGCATGACTATCCTACAAATATGAAATGCAGCGAGGATTTTATTGAACGCCTTAATTAGCAAGGAAACCAATAAGACGTTAGAACTGGCTCACAGGAGAATTCAAAGCACATTATATAGAAAATAAGGAATGGGCCGGGCACGGTGGCTCACGCCTGTAATCCCGACACTTTGGGAGGCCAAGGAGGGTGGATCACTTGAGGTCAGGAGTTCAAGACCAGCCTGGCCAACATGGCGAAACCCCATCTCTACTAAAATTACAAAAATTAGCCGGGTGTGGTGATGGGCACCTGCAGTCCCAGCTACTTGGAGGCTGAGGCAGGAGAATTGCTTGAACTCAGGAGGCGGAGGTTGCAGTGAGCCGAGATCGCGCCACTGCACTCCAGCCTGGGAGACAGAGCGAGATTCTGTCTCAAAAAAAAAAAAAAAAAAAAAAAACAAGGAGCACCGAAGTGGATTTACAGATGATGTAATGATCGACGGCATTCCACCAGACAAGGTTAACTTGCATTTTTACGGACACGCATCATTTGTATTATTGTATTATTGTCAGGTTTCTGCAAAAGAGCGTGAAAGGCCGCAAGACCCCGGAAGGGTGCGGGAGACGGGACACACAATCCTTTTTGCCCATTTCAAAGTCTTAAAATTTTCCCGACACAGGCAAAACTGCCTACTTACCCACCATTGTCCCAAACACTAAAGGTCGCAAGCCAAGTCGGTCCTTACCTCCCCCGTCCCGCCAGTCAGCCCCATGACCGTCTCCGCAGGTGTCTGGGTCTTCACCCATCTCCTCTCCGAGTATGAGCCTCTGGTCTGCCCAGAAGCTGCCACCCGCCACCTCCCTGTCCCTCAAGGGTGTCATGTGGGAGTGGGTTCCACAGGCCCAGGTTCAAATCCTTTACTGGCTGTGTCATCTTGAAACCTGTGGTTCTGTGTCTCAGTCTCCACATTTGAAAATGGGAGTGGCATTGGCAGCCACCTGCCCACCCTTCTCCTTCCACGATGGAGGGAGACGTTGCTGCCGAGTGGTTGTGAGGACGGCGTGAGTCCACAGTGTGGGGTAGAGCAGACGGCTTCCAGTGCCCCACCCAGCCCCTCTCCCTTCACCCACTGTCTCTGCCCCACACACCTCCTGGCCCCAGCCCCCACACCCCACCTCCCCCCTCTCCAGCTGCATAGACCTCCCTCCCTCCAGCCGAAAGCATTCCTAGCTCCTGATCATCTTAAAAATAAAACCTGAATGCCTTGTGCAGGGGCAAGCTCCCTTCCATCCGGCCCTGAGTTCCAGCTCTGGCTCCACTGTTCAAGCGTCCGTCCCCCACCCATCCGTCTCTGTGTGCTTGGGCCAAGCTGCCCACAACCCCTCTTCCAAAGGAGCCGTGATTCCCTCACATTCGTCACACAGTCCTCTCCCCTGGCCGTGTGCTCACACAGTCCTCTCCCCTGGCCGTGTTCTCACATAGCCCAGGCATCCAATCAGGGTGCTCCTCATGCAGACTGCAGGGACAGACACATCCTCTCTCCTGGGCAGGGTGGGATATGCGATGTGAAGCCTGGCACTGCAGCAGCTATTTTGTGCCCATGAGGAAGAGCTGGCTTTGGAATAAGGCCAACTATGCAGAGGGCAGAGATGGAAAGAAATTGAGGCCGTGACAGCCTCGTTGAGCCGCTGGGTCAAGCCAAGCCTGAACGCCACCTGCCTCCAGACCTCCCGGCATCAGTCCGTTCCCTCTCAGTGAAGGCAGTTGATTTGTCTTTTCTGTTCCATGCAGCCCATTGCTTCCTAACTCATTTCTTCCCCTCATCTGCACCTGTAGCTGGTTTCTGTCCTTGTGCTGTTTTCCTGGATACCCCAGGCACTGCGTGGCCTGCTGTCTGTGTGTCCAGCCCACTCACTCCCTGTCCTTCCCACCAGCTAGCTGGCACTTATGGCCAAGTTTCCAGAGACCCACAGAGGTGGCCACTGCTCAGAAACAAGGCTTGTTCCTGGGGCGGTTGAGACAGAGATGGGCGCTGGTCCCCGTGTGAAGCTGTGGATACACCAGTGGGCAGCTGTCATGTTCAGACCCAGGACCCAGTACCCGGCGTGGCCGCCCTGGCTGTCGTCACGGCTTCTTTTAAGGGGGCAGAGCAGATTGGCACAGATGTCAGGGGCCCATGCATGTCCCTTGGCCTGGGGGACTTAGAAGTTTTCTCTGTATTTGGTTTCCCCTCTCTCAGCACTTTCTAATATACAGACTAAAACCCCAACTCACTGGGAGGCCAGGATATCAACGGGCTGGAGATTTATGAGGGAAGAGCCGGGTCCCACCAGCAGGCACTAATAGCTCCCTAATTCCTGTCATTAGTTAACGAGAGCCCCTAGGTTCTCTCTACACAGCAGCTCGAATGTAATTACCAGCTGGGAGTGCTGGGCACACAGGCCTTGTGTCCTGTGTTTTGCAAAATTCCCTGAAATGCACTTCATGATTCTGGAAGCTTCAGTCGGCTTGCAATTACAAGTAGCCCTTATTAAAAATCCATGCAGCCTCCCACATCAAACAAAATTAATCAGTAACAAGCTGTAAGGCTATTAGGTCATTTCCCAACACAGAGCAACTCAGGAGTGGCCCTATCTGATTGGCCCATGCACGGAGGCAGGAATTCTCCCATGTTTCTCTGAATGCCGTGAGCCTGACATGAGATGTTTGTCTTTGCTTGAATTACGTTTGGGTGTTATTCTGCTGAATCTATTCCCATTGGCCTGGCAGGCTCACTTTGCAGCGCACACACCACCAAGATGGTCATCTCATTTTGGCCAAGAGCATGAGGAAACATGTGGTCCCTGTTAGGGGAGGACCTCAGGTGTGGCCCTCCTCACCTCAGCCAGGGGGCCGAGCAGGAGCTGTGAGACAGGGTCCTGCCCAGTCTCCCCGCACCCACCTTGCCCTTTGCATGCAGCTCTGGCGCACAGGCAGCCAGGATGAGTCCTTTCAGCAGGCGCTTTGAATCTCATAGCCACTGTCCTTCCCGTCCACCTGGCCCATCCCGGCCCGCCAGGCACCTGCACTGTCGGGTCTCTGCCGGCCTCTATGCCTGGCTCTTCACTCTGCCCACTGGCTGCCCCATGGTGGCCACAGCGACATCTCCCAGCCCAGCCAGGGGCTCTTCTTATGAGAGACTGATAGGAAGGTGGGGTCCAGGCCCCTGCCCTGGCCTCCAGGGTGGGCTTGTGGCAACGGCAGAAACCATCTGCGTGACTTGTGGGGTCTGAAGTCACGGGAGGCGTCGGTGTCAGCCTGGTCTCTGGGAACAGGCACGTGCAACCCCGAGCTGTCCAGTTAGCCGTCTGGATGCTCCGAGGCCACCGTGCTGTGAAACTATCGCACGTGGAGAAGCCCTGAGACCATGGGGAGAGAGAGAGATGCCCGCCTGCCCGCCACGGCTCCCAGGCAGAGCCTTGGCTCATTCTAATCTCTCTGCCTGGACCTCTCCTCCCCGCTGTCTCCACGCGGCCGGCCCCTTTGCATTCTTCACCTCTCTGCTCAGATGCCACCTCCCCTTCATATCACCCTCTGTGAGGGAAACGCCGGCCCCATGGTCCCCCACAACTCCCTCCCTCAATGTCCCGTTCATTCCCTCTTGTGGGGTGATGCTGGTCACAATTCACGCTCCCATATTCACTTGCTGACTTGGGTATTGTCTGCTTCCCCAGCCAGAACATGGTTTCCCACACCTGCCTGGTTCTCTGTTGCTTGCCCGGGGTGCCTGGTACGCAGGACACGCTCAGGATCATGGCCCACTGCCCCGCTGCCCGGACAGGTGCGTAGAGGGATGGTGGCCATTCCCCTCCGCCTCTGTTTCTGTTGAAGACTCTCCTACCCAAGGTTTTACCCTTGAAGGAAATCTTTGCCACTTCGTTGGGCCAGTAAAATGTCATTTTTTTTTAAGTACTGGAGAGGAGGGTATGTTTTTCCTGTGTTCATCGTGGGTGTTCCTTTTTTCTCTTAGAAATTGCTTGGCCAGTCCTCTGCCCATGTTCCTGTCGGCCACAGTCCCCTTTCAACCCACCCTGCTGCCACCCGGAAGGCCTGAACGCCAGCGCCCGTGATGACCTCGGTGCCTGCCCCTCACCTGGGGCCGCCCACCTGTCCCCACCCAGGCTGTGTCTTTGTGTCTCTCTATGTCTTTTTCAATCAATTTTGAACAACTTAAAAGCGAGGATTGATTGAATCTTCTACTCTCTTGTCCCTGCAACACCCAACATGGCAGCTTCATTCCGACAATATTGTGAGGACGATATAGAGGCTCAGTAAGCACTTGCTATTTGCTCGGTTGGTTGGTTAACTTCGTTTAGTTTCCCGTAGCTCTGGCCTCAGTTAGCAAAGTTAATGACATTAAATAGCATATTTTAGCAGTAGCAAAAACAACAAACTTCTAGGAATAAGCCTAATAAGAAATATGCAGGACATCGGTCGGGCGTGGTGGCTCACACCTGTAGTCCCAGCACTTTGTGAGGTCGAGGCAGGCGGATCACCTGAGGTCAGGAGTTCAAGACCAACCTGGCCAACATGGTGAAACCCCATCTCTACTAAAAATACAAAAATCATCCGGGCGTGGTGGCATGCGCCTGTAATCCCAGCTACTGGGGAGACTGAGGCAGGAGAATCACTTGAATGAGGGAGGTGGAGGTTGCAGTGAGCCGAGGTTGTGCCACTGCACTCCAGCCTTGGAGACAGAGTGAGACTCCATCTAAAAAAAAAGAAAGAAAGAAAAGAAATATGCAAGACATACATTTAAAAATATTAAAATACTGCAAGCCAAAGTTAACAGATAGCCAACCAACTGAGGAAGAGGTATTAGCAACTCATACGGTAGACAAGATGCTACTTTCCCAAATACATTTAAAAAAACCCTCCTGAAAACAATGAGATAAAGACCAGCAAACTCATCAAAACATGAGTAAAGAACTTAAATGGGCAACTGGCTTTTTTTTTTTTTTTGACAGAGTCTCGCTCTGTCGCCCAGACTGGGGGGCAGTGGACCAATCTCGGCTCACTGCAAGCTCCACCTCCCGGGTTCACACCATTCTCCTGCCTCAGCCTCCCGAGTAGCTGGGACTACATGTTCCCGCCACCACGCCCGGCTAATATTTTGTATTTTTAGTAGAGACGGAGTTTCACCGTGTTAGCCAGGATGGTCTCAATCTCCCAACCTCGTGATCCACCCGTCTTGGCCTCCCAAAGTGCTGGGATTACAGGCGTGAGCCACAGCGCCGGCCGGCAACTGGCATTTTAACACATAGAAAGACACCCAACCACACTGGTAACAAGGAAACACAAATTGAAACTAAATGGAGGTTCCATTTTATGACGGGTCAGACTGGCAAAAAGCAAAATGCCAGGCAACCCTCAATGTTGACAGACTTGTGGGGAAGCAGGCGCTCTCGTACATAGCTGATGAAAGGACAAGTTAGCACAACGTTTATGGCCACGAAGTTGGCAACATCAATAAAAATGTAAATGCATCTGCCCTTTGGCCCGGCAATTCTGCTTATCCTATAGATACCATTGCGCACAGGTGAGGCCGTCTATGTGTGAAATTACTCACTGCAGCATTATTTACAATGGCCTAAAAGCCCGTTGATAAGAGGTTGTTATATAAATCATAATAGATCCATAAAGTGAAACACAACTGTAAGAAAAACGAGGAGGCTGGGCACAGTGGCTCACACCTGCAATCCCAGCACTTCGGGAGGCCTAGGCGGAACGCTGGGCAACATGACGAGACACCGTCTCTACAAAAATAAATTAACCGGGCATGGTGGTGTACACCTGTGCTCCCAGATACTCAAGAGGCTGAGGCGGCAGGATGGCTTCAGCCCAGGACGTTGAGGCTGCAGTGAGCTGTGACCGCATCACTGCACTCCAGCCTGGGCAAAAGAGAAAGACCCTGTCAAAAAACAAAAAAATAAAAAGGAGTCCACTTTTGGCTTCCATCAACCAGGTTGGAGAAAACAAATGACCACATGTGTCTCAATGTGTCAGAGAGTTACCAAGGCAGCCAGGACCTGAAGGCCCAAGACATTGTGGGGGAGGGAAACGCGTTGAGGTGACCCGAACTTCTGCACCCTTTGGGGCAACCGCAAACTCATAACTGGCATGAGCAGAGATGCTGAGAAGCTGAGCAGGGAGGTCTGCTGAGAATCCGAGAAGCTCAGAGGAGCTTTCAACACTGTCGTGCCAGCAGGAAGACGAGAATCAGAGTGCAGGACTGCTCACACAGCCAGGGCTTGGAGAGACAAGATCCCGGGGAGAGGAAAGGATCCCAACAGTCCAGGGTGTCTGTTTGCAAGCAGCACAGGGTGAGCGCAGAGGGGCTGAGCAGAGGCTGCTAGGAATCTAAGCAGAACTGCGGGAGCCCTGCAGTGCCGGAGAGGGAAAGACGGGCTCAGACCTGTCATGCCAGAGGATCCCTCGGAAGCACCTGAAGCTTTCATATGGACCCCTGAAGGACAACCTCTCCTCTCAACTCTAGATTTAAATCCAAGAGGTTTCTTGAGCTTGAAGTCCAGCAGGCATCTCAGCCAGGACATGCTCAGAACAAACTCCCCATTGTCCTCCCTGCACTGCCCTTCCCCACTCCCCACTGGGTCAGCGTGGCCTCATCCCTCTAGCTAGTTAGGCGAGACCCTGGGCTCAGCCCAGACTCTCCTTTCCTCTCATCCCCACGCTGAATCTGTCAGCAACTCTTGTTGGCTTCACCTTCAAAACATACCTGGAATCAGACCCCTTCTCCCCACTTCAGCACCATCCTTTGGCCCAAGCAACCATGTCCTCTCCCCCGTCCCCCGGCACTAGTACCCAAGCCACCATTTCCTTCTTTCTGCATTGGTATAATAGCTGTCCGGCTGGTATCTCAACATCCACTTGGTCCCGAGAGACACACCACCTGCAAAAGTAAAATCATTGTGCTGACACTGACAGCAAAGCCCAAAACCCTTAGAGTGACCCACAGGATCCAACCTTAGAGTGACCCACAAGATCCTATATTATATCCTCTCTCAACTGTTTTTAATGAAACTTTTATTTTAGATTTTATGTTTAGATTTTTTTTTTTTTTTGAGACGAAATTTCACTCTTGTCACCCAGGCTGGAGTGCAATGGCTCAATCTAGGCTCACTGCAACCTCCACCTCCTAGGTTCAAGCAATTCTCCTGCCTCAGCCTCCCGAGTAGCTGGGATTACAGGTGCCTGCCACCATGCCCAACTAATTTTTTTTGTATTTTTAGTAGAGACGGGGTTTCACCATCTTGGCCAGGCTGGTCTTGAACTCTTGACCTCAAGTGATCCACCGGATTTTATGTTTAGATTTACAGCAAACTTGTGGAGATAGCACAGACAGTTAGGTCTACCCTGCACCTGGCTTCCTCCATTCCTGGCATCCTACCCGAGGACAGGGCACTCGTCACATTAAGGATGCAATACTGGCACACCAGCATTAACTAAACTAGACCTTTATTTGGATTTCATTACTTTTTCCCCACTGGGTTCCTTGCGATTTCCAAACCTGCCTGTGACTGAACTATTGGTTAATGAAACTATTTATTTTTTAAAAGTATTTCTTAATCCCACCTGGCCCAGGAGTGGACACAAACCCGTGAGTCAGGTTCCGGGACTCACAGGTCCCCATCTGAGACACATGACGTAGAGAGTGCCGGGGAGGTCAGGCCGCTGCCGCTGTGTGTTTCAGGGTTGGGGGCTGCCCTCCGGGGTGCCAGGAGCTCCTGTGTGTACACTGGGCAGGACAGAGGGCGGGTGGTGAGGTGCTGTGCCTGGGAGCTTGTCCAGGCCCGATGGCTTTTCTGCAGGCTGGCTGAGGAGCTAATTATCGAGGCGGCGGACCGAGGGTGTTTGCCTCTTGACCTTTTGTGATGCCGCCTGTCGAAGCACGCTTGGCCTCTTCCCAGGGGAAATGCTATCCGAAGTGCGAAGTTGCCCACCGCTGGGGTAAGGGGAGAGGGCGCCGCAATCACCCAGCCCTGACCTGGAATGATCATTTCCTGGTGTGGTGTGGCCGTCCCGTGGATGCTGACAGCCCCAGGGGCAGGGGTGAGCGGGCTGGGGGCTCTGCCGGCAGGTGCCAGGGCAGGGGTGGGCGGGCTGGGCCCTCCCACCGGGCGCCGGGGTCTCCCTGGTCCACACACCCTCGCCTAGCCTCAGACCGCCAGGGCTGGAACTGTGCAGGCTGCGGACTCCAACAAGAACACCCAGTGGAGGGCCTGGGGAGAGGCTTGGAGGCGCTGAACCCAGTCCCGTGCCCCCACCCCAGGAGAGGGCTCCTTCGTCTCCACGTGGCCTCGGGCCCTGCAGGTCCCCCGAGGGCGCAGCCGCCAGCAGGGGGCGCCTTTCTCTAACCTCCCGGGGAAGCGCAGGTGCCGCCCGCACCTCAGACAGCGCTGCCGCCCGCGCCCGCCCTGCGCCGTTCCGTTTGCTCCGGTGTCCCCCAGCTTGGGAGCGGGGCCCCCCAGCCCTGGTTTGAGGCATGACGTTGGTAGGAAGAGCCCCTTCCGTGGAGCGCGGGGCCCGCCGGGGAGGCGGCCCTGGAGCCCCCTCCTCCCACCCGCCCAGGATTGACAGTCCCTGCCTCGGGCGCCCTCTGACCCCCGCGCTCACCGAGAGAGGACGAGGCCCCAGACAGGTTGGGCCGCGATGCAGGTGGCCCTGGGCTCAGGTCCCAGCACCGGGGTTCCTGCTGAACGAGCTCCGCCCTTGCCCAGGGAGGGGCCGGCGGGGGGGGACCCTGCGGAGGGCATTGTCCTGAGGGCACCACGGCCCGGCCGCCCCGCCCAGCGCCGCCTGCCCTCTGAAAGGCCTTTCATCCCGGAGCCGGCAGCGCCACTGGCCGCATCAAAGAGCGTCTATGGAAAGTCATATTTTTCCCCAAACCAGAAAAGTTCAGGCTGGGAGCACAGACATTCAGCTCATTATTTAGAAATAACAAGTCCTCTGGGCCCTGGTATCAGATCAAAGCTCGGAAATTAAATTCTCCAGAAAAGGGGGCGGCCCGGGATCAGCAGATTTGTGTTTGCTTATTTTTTTTCATTCAGCAGCTAAAAAAAGGGACTCAAAATCTGCCTAGCGGTTTGGAAGTCTGGCCCGCGGTGTGTGAGCGGCGAGGAGAAGCGAGCTCCGGAGGCTTCTGGGCGTGGAGGCTGAAAATATTTGGTTGACATGACAATGGGGACGGCCTGGCAGCTTGTCAAGCGCCGGGTCCAGGAATGTCCTTGTCCCGCCCCACCCCCCCAAGCCAGTTCAGACACAGGCACGCACATGCACGCAGAAACACACACACACACAAACGCGCACACATGCACACATGCACGCAGAAACACACACACACAAACGCGCACACATGCACACATGCACCCACATGCACGCAGAAACACACGCACAAACAAACGCGCACACATGCACACATGCATCCACATGCATGCAGAAACGCACACACAAACGCGCACACATGCACACATGCACCCACATGCACGCAGAAACACACACACAAACGTGCACACATGCACACATGCACACATGCACCCACATGCACGCAGAAACACACAAACGTGCACACATGCACACATGCACCCACATGCACGCAGAAACACACGCACAAACGCACACACATGCACACATGCATCCACATGCACGCAGAAACACGCACAAACAAACGCGCACACATGCACCCACATGCAAGCAGAAACACACGCACACACGCGCACACATGCACACATGCACACATGCACCCACATGCACGCAGAAACACACACACACAAACGCGCACACATGCACCCACATGCATGCAGAAACACACACACACAAACGTGCACACATGCACCTACATGCATGCAGAAACACGCACACACACAAACGTGCACACATGCACACATCCACCCACATGCACGCAGAAACACACACACAAATGTGCACACATGCACACATGTACACATGTACCCACATGCACACAGAAACACACGTGCACACACAAACGTGCACACATGCACACGTGCACCCACATGCATGCAGAGACACACACACAAAAGTGCACACACACACGTGCATCCACATACACACACAAACACATACAAAAGCTCATACATGCACACACAAACATGCACACACAAGCACACACACATATACACAAATGTGCATACATGCACAAAGAAACACACACGCACACGCAAACACATACAAACGTGCACACATGCACACGTCCACCCACATGCACACAGAAACACACATGCAGGCACAGACGCATACACACACACACAAACACGCACATATGCACACATGTACCCACCTGCACACAAACACACACATACATACGTGCACACAAGCACACATGCACCCACATGCACACACACAAATGTGCACGCATGCACACATGTACCCACGTGCACACACAAACATACACACAAAAGCTCATACATGCACACACATGCACACACAAGCACACACATATACACAAATGTGCATACATGCACACAGAAACACACACACAAACACATACAAACGTGCACACATGCACACGTCCACCCACATGCACACAGAAACACACATGCAGGCACAAACGCATACACACACACCCACACACCCACATGCACACAGAAACATGCACACACATAGGCACACATGCACCCACATGTAAGCAAAAACACACATGCAAAACCCATGCACATACACATAAGCACACAGAAACACACACACAAACACATGTGCACACACAAGCACACATGCACCCACGTGCATGCAGAAACACACAGTCATACAAAGCACATGCCTATGCACGTGCACACACGCTCACTCACACAAACACAAACATGCATACACACACGTGCCTGTGCACAGATGCTCACCTGCCCAGGAGCTCACATCCCCAGGGCACACATATGCCATATTTACTCGTGTACACACAGGGACACTACAGTGGTTAAAACCAGCTGGCACAAGAATCAGGAGTGTGGCTCTTTGCTCTTGCCCCAGGAGTCGGGGCCGGTTTGAAATTTGTGGCACACCAGAGGACCACAGACCTGCTCTAGAGAGCGCAGGGGCCTTGCTGCCTCCAGATGTGGGCAGAGACGCCCTTGGCAGTGATACTGCCTCTTGCTGTTCCATCCTCATCCCCTCCAGAGGTCCCCAGGCCCTGGCTGCAGGTTTGCGTGGCCCACCAAGGGTCACAGGTGCACAGAAGGCACTGGGCACGGTGCAGTGGCCATCACATTCCCCTGGGGTGCCCTGGATGGGGCCACCTTTGTCCTCTCCAGCTGGGGCCATACTGGGATTATGGCAGAGGTGCCGGCAGGACAGGAATCTCTAAGAAGAAAAGACCACATAGCCTGTGTGGAGGGCAAGAGGGAAGGTGGGCCCCTCCTGGCCCCACTTCTGTGCCCCTAAGCATGCCCAGGTGAGCATCCTACACCTGGCCACTGGGGCACCTGACTCAGGTCCAAGCCGAGCACCATAGTCCCACTCACAGGGCACCAGGGTTGCCTCACTTATGGGCATATGGCCCAGTCTCAGCAAATGAGATGGCAATGCTTTGGCTGCCCAGGCCCCAATCCTGAGCAGCATGGACGGGGGGACACCCGGGCCCCTCCACCACCATGGGGACATCCAGGGCCTCTACCACAATGAAGGAGGCCCATAGTGGTAGACAGTTCTCCACCACCCAGGCCCCTCTACCATCATGGGGGACATCCAGCCCTCTCCACCACCATGGGGATGTCCAGGCTTCCATCGTTCCCATGATGGGGAACATCCAAGCCCCTCATTATGGGGGACATCCAGGGCTTCTACCAGGATGATGGAGACCCAGGCCTCTCCACCACCACGGAGGACGTCTGGGCCTCTCCCCCACCACGGGGACGTCCGGGCCTCTCCCCCACCACGGAGGACGTCCGGGCCTCTCCCCCACCACGGAGGACGTCCGGGCCTCTCCACCACCACGGGGACGTCCGGGCCTCTCCCCCACCACGGAGGACGTCCGGGCCTCTCCCCCACCACGGGGACGTCCGGGCCTCTCCACCACCACGGAGGACGTCCGGGCCTCTCCACCACCACGGGGACGTCCGGGCCTCTCCACCACCATGGAGGACGTCCGGGCCTCTCCACCACCACGGGGACGTCCGGGCCTCTCCCCCATCCACGGAGGACGTCCGGGCCTCTCCACCACCACGGGGACGTCCGGGCCTCTCCACCACCATGGAGGACGTCCGGGCCTCTCCACCACCACGGGGACGTCCGGGCCTCTCCCCCATCCACGGAGGACGTCCGGGCCTCTCCACCACCACGGGGACGTCCGGGCCTCTCCCCCATCCACGGAGGACGTCCGGGCCTCTCCCCCACCACGGAGGACGTCCGGGCCTCTCCCCCACCATGGAGGACGTCCGGGCCTCTCCACCACCACGGGGACGTCCGGGCCTCTCCACCACCATGGAGGATGTCCGGGCCTCTCCACCACCACGGGGACGTCCGGGCCTCTCCCCCATCCACGGAGGACGTCCGGGCCTCTCCCCCACCACGGAGGACGTCCAGGCCTCTCCACCATCATGGAGGACCTCTGGACCTCTCCACCACAACGAGGGAAGCTGTCCCAGGACAGGGCCAACACCACAGATGGCCCAGGCAGCCAGGTCCTGGGTCACATAGCAGAGCTGAATCAAATTCACCCTGAAGTCCACAATGGCAGCCAACCTAAGAGTCTCACAAGCCCATTTAAACCCTTTCTTATGTGGGGTAGTCTGAGCCGGGCTTCCTCCTAAATGCCACAGACATGAAGCCTGCGGGCAGAGCCCCTCCTCCAGGCATCCTCCTGGCCTCTGTGAAACAGTCCCAGGTGCAGAGGCTGACGCGTGGACACAGGCCCCACGGGCAGCCCCAGGTGCAGAGGCTGACGCGTGGACACAGGCCCCACGGGCAGCAGGATCAAGGGCTCCCCCAGGCGCCGCAGAGTCGTTTCCCTTCAAAGCCTTGAAGTCAGCCCCGCCCCTCGCAGAGCCCTTTCTTGCTATATAAGGGAACACCAGGTTCCAATGTGGGTATCGTGTCTCTTTGGGTGGGTGGGCGTTATTCTGCCTTCTGCCTGTGCGTGTGTGAACAAAACAGACGTGTGTGCACCCGGCCCCATGCCCACCTGTGTCTGCAAACAGACAGACAGACAGACACGCTGCCTTAGTCCAGATTTCCCAAAAAGCAGAGTCTGAGGCAGGGATTTCGGTGCAGGTGGTTTATTTGGGAGGAGACCCGAGGAAGCCGGAGGAGCGGAGGGGAAGTCAGGAGAGGACATATCCATGAGCTGACCGCTGCCCTGGCCACTGCTAAGCACACACGGGACCCCGTAGCTAGGGATGCGTCTGTGGACTTCGCGCCCCAATCAGGGCCTCCCTGGACCAGTGGAGGAGCCTGTCGTCCTGGTCCCTCATGGGTGAAGCTTGTTAACCCCGAGGGCCCCTGGACCAGCGGAGGAGACTGTCGTCCTGGTCCCTCGTGGATGACGCTTGTTAACCCCGAGGGCCCCTGGACCAGCGGAGGAGCCTGTTGCCCTGGTCCCTCGTGGATGATGCTTGTTAACCCTGAGGGCCCCTCACCAGAAGAGAGGCGTGTTCGGGTTTAACCTGTGGAGAGGCTGATATCCTTGCAAACGTCTCCCAGCACTCCTGCCTCTAAGTTTAGTGCCACACAGAGACCAAATAAAGGGGAAGGAATGGGAAACATCTGGAAACACTGACAGTGTGACTCTTTTTTTCCTAAAAAACTGATAAAAATAGTGTCATAGACAAGTTCGTTTTCTAGGCAATGTTATTTTAGGCAGGATGTGTTAATGGCATGAGAATTAGTACAAATTAAGTAATTAGGCTAGGCTGGCAGCTAGAGCTGGCAGGCGCCAACAGCCCGCAGTTCGACAGTTTCTGTCCTGACGCTGCGTGTTTGACAACAGCGGTGAGGGAAGCATGCCACACAGCAGAGGATGCGGGGCAAGGGCACGGGTCGGTGGCCAGGGTGCTCTTGAACACCTGTGTCCTCTGGGTGTCCCTCTGGGACTCGGGGACAGGGCAGCCCAGACTCAGACTAATCCCGTGGGCCTGGAGTGCTCAGTGGACACCAGGCCAGCCAAAGCCCTCCTGCCGGCTGTCTGGGCAACGACCTTCACTCTGGACAGAGCTGTGGGGCCAGGAGACCCTGTGAGGCTCACCGACCCCCAACCCGGTACCCCGCTCTCTTGCAAGGGTGTCTGCCTGTGCCAATTTTCACAGCAGCGGGTGGGTTCCGTGGGCCTCCACAGGTGCCTGGCTGGACAGCAACGTTGGTGATGGCTCCCTCATAGCGACCCGCTCTGAGAGAACTGCTAGCCCCTTTCACAGATGGGGAGACTGAGGCTGCAAAGATGAGCGGATTTCCCAGAGCATCAGAGCCGGGGGTGGGAGAGCTGGATCGCTCACTCTCCTCCATACCTTCCCAGGTCTAGGGCAGGCAGGACTCCGTGCAGGACCCCCAAGAGCCCCGCTCTGTGCGACGAGGATGGCAGCGTCCAGGGCACGTCCTGGCTGCCGGTGTCCTAAGGGCAGGATGGGCAGCTCTGCTGGAGGCCTCCAGGTGCTGCTGGTGGGAGCCATGCACCCAGCAGCTCTAGCACGGCAGGTTGCTGTGCATGGCCCAGACAAGCCCCTCCTGTGCTCTCAGCCTTAGTTACCTCCACTGCAGGAGAGGGCTCCAGGCTCGTTGGGAGGGTTTAAAAGTGAGATGCACCCTGGGGGACACAGGAAACACTCAGCAACCATCATCCTTGCCGCTACTGTGGGCCCTGGACACACCCTGGACTGAAGTCCTGTTCCCTCTGTGACCTCCCAAAGCCCAAGCTTCAGTTTCTCTCTTAGTCAGTCCATCTTCCAGAGAAACTTAGCTTTCAGCAGAATCTCCTTTCTTTCTTAATTTTTTTTCTTTTTTTGCGACAGGGTCTTGCTCAGTCACCCAGGCTAGAGTGCAGTGGCGTGATCATAGTTCACTGCGGACTTGACCTCGTGGGCTCAAGGGATCCTCCGCCCTCAGCCTCCCAAGTAGGTGGGACTACAAGTGCACGCTGCCACACCCAGCTAATTTTTAAATGTTTTGTAGAGACCAGGTCTTGCTATGTTGCACAGGCTGGTCTTAAACTCCCAGCTTCAAGCCTTAGCCTCCAGATCCTTCTGCCCAGCCAGAACATTCCCAGATGGAACCAGGTGCCTTTTCCCCATTATACTCCACTCCCCTCTCACTGGTGCACCCCCAGTGCATCCCAGCACCTTGCCCAGCACACACTCAGTGCCCAGAAATCATTCACTGGGGGCTTGGATGGCCAAAGCCCATACCAGCCCCTCCTCCCCAGAGGCGGCCCTCCATCCCCAGGCTGCTCCAAGCTCCGTAGGAAACAGACCACATGCCTCCCTCACAGCACTGGGAAATTCCTGGAGGCGGCCACCATTTGGGGCCTGCCATCTTCCCACAGGGGCCTCGGAGGAAGCCCCAAGACCCAGCCTCTGGCTACCTTGTGACATCCTCTCCTAAAGGACTGGCCTAAGCAGGAGAGCAATTGGATCCCAGCACGGGTCTCACTTTGGATTTGCCAAAATCAGGACTTAAGGCAACGGTTCGGTGGAGGATGTGCTTTGGGAGGTGGTCTCAGAAGCACAGGGAAGGTGTGGGTTGAAGACCCACAGAGGAGCAGGTTCTGCTGCAGGCAGCTGGGGCTCCACCGTGCTGGCAACCCCTGAGGAGCTGTTGTGAAACACACCTCGACGCCACCCTATGGAGGGACAGGAATCCCGGGGCATCTCCAGGACTGGCATCTGTCACTGGCCTGAGGTTGCCCCTGGAAACAATAACACCTGGCACTTTGGGGCTGTCCTGAGTGAGGCTGAAAACGTTTCCAGCCCCCTATGCGAAGCTGCAGTGGCATACAGGGACCTGAGAGAGGCGTCAGTCAGGGTGCACGGGAGCCGTCCGATGCACCTGCAAGTGGACTGAAAGGGGACCCAAGGGGCCGTGGGTCAGTAGGCTTAGTGTCTATTAAAGCAACAAATCCCTCTGAGGGAGGAACGGCACCATCTGTGTGGCACCCCTCTACGCGGCACACGGGAGGGTGCAGTGAGTGTGCCATGCACAGGAATATGATAGCGACCTTGCCCGAGGGTTACTGAGGAACAGGGAAAAGGCTGTGTGAGGCTCCTGGGCATCTCATCGGAATACATTACCGTGCACAGCAGGGCTTAACGCAACAGAAGGGCGTCTGAACTGAGGAGGCCGGCAGGGTGGGTCCCCCTGAGGGCCACGAGGGAGCGTCGGCTCCAGGCCCCTCCCGCCTCCGGTGCTGGCCGCGGTCCTTGCCACTCCTTGTCTTCTGGCCATGCCACTCGGATCTCTGTCTCCATGTCTCTGTGGCCCGCTTCTCTCTGTTCTCCTCTTCTGATAAGGACACTTGTCATTTGATTTACGGCCCACTGGACATCCAAGAGGATTCCAGCTTGAGGTCCTCAGCTAATTACATCTGCGAAGACCCTGTTTCCAAAGGTCACATTCGAGGGTTTGGGTGGGCACGAATTTTGAGGGGATACCGTCCGATCCGGTGCAGGGACTTTCCAGCCGCAGGCTCTAGGGAAGGCTCTGTGCTAAAATGCATCCCCGGTTCACACTGCAGGGCAGGAGTGTGCGGGCGGAAGGAGCCATGCTGTTGAGGGGCCTGGGTAACTGTATAACCTGAGGGTCTCCATGTTTTCCGGCCTGCGTGGGTGCCTCTTCCACGTGAGCTCTCCCACCCCCCCACTCCAGAGGGGCGTCCCCTCAAATTGTCATCTCTCACCACCCTGGACTCTTCAGGGCAAACCGAGCACTGCTTAATGGAAACATTGTTTCTTCAGAGGTGACAATTCCCCCACACCAGCGTCGTCTCCAGCCTGGGTAGTCGAAGTGGGGTTCCTGGGCCTGCAGCTCCAGCATCACAGGGCTCCGCCCCGACCTCCTAAATCACAAGACCCTCAGGCGATTCCTGCATTTGACAATGTGTGAGAAGCACCGGCCTGTGTGGCCAAATCAACGGACAAATTCTCCCCCGGCATCCACGCTTGTCCCCCGGCATCCACGCCTGACCCTAGTGGTCTTCATCTGGTCCAGAGCTGCCCGAGGAGACAGGACAGAATGCAGCAGTAAGGACGACATTTCCTTCTGCTCACGGGTCCACACCAGGCATGTTTCTGACAGCAAGGGTCCCCAGCAGCCCTCAACACTCCAGAGATACTGGGATCCGGTGTGTAGGTTCCCACTACCCCTGCTCACTTCAATGACTCCAAACTTTTTCTGACCATCAAGCATGTTTTTCTAGAAACCCTGTCTTGCCGGGGCAGGTGTTATCAGCCACGTCCTGGTCTGTCCTGCAAAAGGAGGAAATGGCCACGCGCCACCTCCTAGTTCACCTGCACCTGTGTGGGCAGGTCCCGTGCACCCTGACTGCTGCCACACCTGCTGGGGCGTGAGGACTTTCTCGGGCCCCTCGATGTGGCTGTGTGTCCAGCTCCCAGGCACTCAGCGCCCTGTCCCTTGTCCCCTGTCTCCCGCCCCCTTGTTTACCAGTGGGGAAGACAGGCCTGGCCGGTGGGGGTGTGAGTCTGTCCCTGGCCCCAGCTGTGGAGCAGCTGAGCTCATTGGAAACCAGGCTGCGGGCCTGAATGCAGCCCTTGTCTCCTGGCCCCTGTTAATAGCCTCTATAACTGCCCAGCATTTCTATTGACTCAAGATAAGTTCCGGGGGCCGGAGAACAGCTCACTGTTTGGCACATGTCTGCTGGCCAGGCCTGGCCAGACCGGGATGGCAGGGTTTGGTGAGTCCTGCAGGCCAGGCCCCAGCGGTTGGTGCTGGCAGCTCAGCAAACAGCCTGCCCGGGCCACATGTTGCCCTCCTTATCCCTCGGGCCCCGGCCAGTAACCTTGCGGCGATTACACTATCAGCCTCCCTTGGCAGTGCCAGCGTGTGACACACGTCACATGTTCTCGAAACTCTGTCCAGAAACAGGTGTTCGAGGTGACATCATATCTGACCAGAGATCACTAAGTCTTCCGACTTCTATCAATATTTGCATTTCCAGCTCCACGGAGAATCTAATCAGACTTCTGATGACACCTGCCGTGTTTCTGACCCACTGTGCTCCTGGCTGTGGGTATCGAGCCCCCGTCTCCACTCATTTTGGATTTTTACCCTCCTGAGGGCCTAGTGAGCTGACAGGAAGGGCCTCTGGGGTGGCCAGATGAGGGGAGCAGAGCCAGGGGGTCAGGAAGGAGGCCCTGGAGCAGGAAGAGGTGGGGTCCAGGCTGCAGGCCTCAGCCTGGGTAGGAAGAGCCCTTGCTGGGCCCTTGGCCTTTGGTGGCTCTGTCCACACCTCTCCAGGACAGAAGCTCAACATGCAGGCCCCAAGCGCAGCGGAAGACCCAGACTCCAATGGCCAAATCAGGCCCAGTCCACAAGTGCATCCCAGAGGCCGGAGCAGGGCAGCCCTTGGCCACCAGACAAGAGCCAACACTCTGAACCACCACGGATGGGTCCCTGCTCTAGCGGAGGAAACCGCACCCTTTTTAAAAGAAAGAAGCAGAAATAAGAAAACAGAGCCCCGTGGCACCTGCAGGCGGTGGCGTCTCTCAGGCCTCTGGAGCTCAGGCTCTGGGGAGGGGTGAAGCCCCTCGTGGGCAGTGAGTCCCCTCTCAACCAGCCCCAGAGGGCCCCAGAACCCCAGAGAAACTCCCAGCAGCATCTGGGGTTGTATCGAGAAGCCACGAATTGGAGATAACGCCCACCTAATGTCAGAACAAATACGAGGCTGAAACCAGAGAGGCCTGGGAGAGATAAGACAGGCGCTCGCCCGGGCCGTGACCCCCGGCCACCCGCACCCCCATCCCAGCCCAGGAGAAACAAAGCCTCCAGAGCCTCCCGCGTTAATCATTTCTGGGCAGTCCGGGGCAGGGAGGCCCCGTTTCTTGGCTCCCTGGAGGCCCCGCCTGCCAGACCAGGCCAGACCTCGAGGTTTCTGGGGGTTCCCGTGCCTGGAACCCAGCACCGTGAGACCAGAGGACCCAGCAGTGAAGGAGGCAAACCCTGTCCCCGAGCTGCACACGCTGGAGCTGCACACGCTGGAGCTGCACACGCTGAGGGTCAAACGTGACATGCAGGCTATTCAGAGAACCACACAACCACACTAGTTAGCGGACAAAGGGCGGCGTGCCCTGAAGCCCGGGGCCGTACAGCACTGTGGGGTTCCTCACAGGCAAGGGGGATGCGGTAACAGCTTGAAGACGCACATTCCGACTTCAGGAAGCGCCATGAGGCCGGGAAGGGCTCCGTGCCTGTCCCTGGCTGAGGCTTCACTGGGCATATGAGGAGCATGAGAGGGACAAGCTCCTCCAAACCCAGGCCCATGTTGAAGTCAGTGTCCCCCAGCTCCCCTGCTGAAAGAACTGGGTGTGACTGGGCAGGGGAGGGAAGGGGAGGGGAGGGCCTCTCAGGATTCCGAGGAGTCTGTGCTCATGGGGATGCCCAGGCCGCCCCCCAGCCACTGGCAGAGAGGAGCCGTGGTGCCCAAGCCAGGCGGTGGGTCAGAGGCCGAGCGGAGCCTGGCTGGCTGGCTGTCCATGGGCGGCCTCGGTCCGGTTCTTGTCCATTCTTGTCCAGGGCAGTGAAGCTCAGCCCTGCAGAAGCCGAGTGGCTGGGGGGAGCCTGCTTGCACCCACCCGCGGGCAGAAAAGACGCCCTGGCTGGGTGGGGCGGGGAGTCTAACCCCTGCCCTGGCAGGTCAGGTCTGCGGCAACTTCTCCGACATGGGGGGCAGGTGGTCTTCTGGGCCAGGCTGGGAGTTGGCAACTGGGAGAGGGAGCAGGAGGAGAGGGAGGCTGAGGGCCCTGGGGGCCACTAACAGGGGAGATGGGGAGGGCCAGAGTCGCCCCCACAGCGGCCACAGGACAGGACAGCGGCGGGACAGTGGCTGAACCCAGTCCCAGGTGCCAGGTGCTCCTCACCTGTGGTGGAGGACTCCACGCACACGCCAGTGGGATCTTCCTTCGAACGGACACATTCCAGGGGAGTGTAGATTATTGGGCTCACACAGAGGAAGTCGGGAAGCACAGATCAGGACCTGGGAACCCCGTTCAAGACCAAGCAAAGACCTGGGCCACAGAGCAGCAAGAGCTGGAGTGTGGGCTCAGCCGTGTGACCCCAGGTCCTCCCTGTTTCCATGAAGGAGAGGCACGTTCCAGGCAGGGCAGGAGAGCTCAGCTGGCCCCAGGCAGGGAGCGTGTATGCAGGTGCGTGCTCGTGTGTGCACGTGTGTCTGAGCGCGTATGTGTGCGTGTGCAGAGTGAGAGCGTGCTGACCCTGGTAACAATTTGAATTCCAAAAGCTTTATTATAACCTTGCCTTTGTTCGTGGATGTTCAGTGAAAAGGTATTTTCCAGAGCAAACACTATCGATCCGGTGTCATGAATCCTGGACCAATGGTCTAACCTTGAAGTCCGTTTCCAATCAATTTTTCATTTGCCTGAAATTATGTTCACAGAGCTCATTTTTCTTCCATTTCCGTTTTACAACAAAATTATGATTTACTCTGAGTTCTTTGTATCCGTGTTCATGATCACGGCTTCTCACACGGGGGTCCTTTGGGAACCTGTGGACAGGGTGAGATCAGTCGCTGGGGCAGATGCAGGCCTCTCCCCACTCACTCCTCAACATCCCCATCTTTGTGGAATCAACATCCACTTTTTGGGAGGTCAAATGTTGCAAAATTCTTTCCCTCTAGCCCAAAGGAAAATTGGCTGTGGATATGTTAGTGGGTAACGATTACTCTGTATGGACGATTTCTGCTGTTTTTTTTACTTCTTAGAGAATTATGTGATCTCCTGAGCTCGTGATCCACCCACCTCGGCCTCCCAAAGTGCTGGGATTACAGGCGTGAGCCACCACACAGACCATCCTGGCTAACACGGTGAAACCCCGTCTCTACTAAAAATACAAAAAATTAGCCGGGCGTGGTGGCTCACGCCTGTAATCCCAGCACTTTGGGAGGCCAAGGTGGGAGGATCACGAGGTCAGGAGATTGAGACCATCCTGGCTAACACAGTGAAACCCCATCTCTACTAAAAATACAAAAAAATTAGCTGGGCGTGGTGGCGGGCGCCTGTAGTCCCAGCTACTCGGGAGGCTGAGGCGGGAGAATGGTGTGAACACGGGAGGCGGAGCTTGCAGTGAGCCGAGATCATGTCATTGCACTGCAGCCTGGGCGACAGAGCGAGACTCCATCTCAAAAAACAAAAGAAAAAAAAATGAATTATATGAAAGGCTGATATTTTGTGGGGTTTTCGTGTTGTTTTGTCTTGGTTTTGTTGTTTTGGTTTGTTTTCAGTGAATCCTGGAGAAAATCGTGAGCTATTTTATGTGACTGAGAAAAGAGAGAGACAGGAGAAGAGGGAGAGGGGGAGGCAGAGGGGCGCAGGAAAGAAGAGACAGATGGTCAGGGTGGGCAGGGTGTGAGCGGGACAGCCTCCAAGCTCCACAGGATGCATGATTTGTGTCCCCTTGACTGGGTCACGGGTGCCTAGTATCCGCCTAAGCATTATTTCAGGGGTGTCTGAGGGGGTGCTTCCGGAAGAGCTTGGCATTCGAACTGAAAATGAGCGAAGATGCCTCCCCAGTGTACACGGGCACCACTCCAGCCCTGAGTGAGGCTGGTTTGCACTCTGCCTGCCTGAACGGGATCATCTCATCTCCTCCTCCTCCTCTCCTGCCCTAGGACGGGGCTCACTCCATCGGCTCCCGCGGTTTCAGGCTTTCAGGCTCGACCGGAACGCACTGTACAGGCTCCCTGGGTCTCCAGCCTGCAGACGCAGGTGGTGGGACGCCTTGGCCTCCTTAGTCGATGAGCCTGGTCCTCACGGGACATCCCTATACCTCTGCCTCCTGTTGGTCTGTTTCTGTGGAGAACCCTCAAAAACACACCATGAGGTCAAGAGCCCCCAGCCTGGAAGTGATGAGGTTGTGTCTCACGCCAACCACCACCGCTGCCACCCGGGGTCACACGCCAACCACCACCGCAGCCGCCCGGGGCTCACACGCCAACCACCACCGCCGCCGCCCGGGGCTCACGCGCCAACAAACACCGCCGCCGCCCGGGGCTCACACGCCAACCACCACCGCCGCCGCCCGGGGCTCACACGCCAACAAACACCACTGCCACCCGGGGTCACACGCCAACCACCACCGCCGCCGCCCGGGGCTCACACGCCAACCACCACTGCCGCCGCCCGGGGCTCACACGCCAACAAACACCACCGCCACCCGGGGCTCACACGCCAACCACCACCGCCGCCACCCGGGGCTCACGCGCCAACAACCACCGCTGCCACCTGGGGCTCTCATGCCGACAAACACCGCTGCTGCCCAGGGCGGCCTCTGGCATCGGATGTGCAGCGGTGGGCGTGCTTTGGGCCTCAAGACTCAGACAAACACCCCAGTGACAAGGGGGTGTGGGCGGGAGGCAGGGGGTGGCCACGTGGTCACCCTGGGAACCAGTGGGGAAGACCATATGGCCAAGGCCACCGCCCCTCCCATAAACCCTCCTGTCCCTCCCAGAAACACCCTCTAGGGTGGGCCTCTGAAGCTAGTGGAGCGGGAGTCCCCCCAGGGTGTCTAGACATCTCCCTGGTCCACAAGCAGACACATGCTCTGAGTGAGACGGGCCGGGCGACCCCAGCTCTTGCCTGATCCCTGGACACACGTTCTTGCCCTTGGAGACTGAGGTTCCTCCTTGGTGGACAACATCAAGCTCTGCCCAGGGGTCAGGGCAGGGCCTCGGCGGGCTGTAGGGATCACCCCAAGACGCTTCCAGGTAGTCCTTCCCTCGGGCCAAAGATGTGGCCAACAATTTGCAGAAGGGAACGACGCCAACGCTGACCCCTTTGCCATCACTGACCCCTCCACCAATGCTGACCTCCACCAACACTGACCCCCTCCGCCATTGCTGACCCTTCCACCAATGGTGACCTATCTGCCATTGCTGACCTCTCCGCCAACGCTGACCTCTCCTCTGTCGCTGACCCCTCCGCCATTGCTGACCTCTCCGCCATTGCTGCCCTGAACTCACCTTGACTGGTTCAGAGCAGAACCAACGGCCCTGCCCTCCCGGAATCTTCCCGCACTTGGGAACAGCAGTTGCGCTCGCTTCTGCCCCTTGGGAAGCTGCCCACAAGCCCTGAGGGGCCTCCCAGCCATGGAAAACCCTGCCCTGTGGGTTGCATTCCACCAGCCTGCCCCACAGTCCCCGCTGAGTAGCGCGGGAAGGGAGGCTCCTGACCCCCCAGCCCCCCTCCGCTCCTCACCACGACCTTCTCGTTGACCCCAGGCCGCGGGGACGGGGTTCAGGGTCCCTGCCACCAATCCCATGTCCACTATTGCCTCGACAGAGCTCCAGCCCCAGGGTGCATGGGGCAGCTGAGGGGCCCCAGCTCCATCCCAGGTCTGAGCCATTCCTGAGAAGGTGGAAGACAGCACCCAGAACACAGAGGCCCCCACCGGGCGTCTGGGGGCAGGGCCACAAGCGGAGGGAGGGACATCTCACAGCAACATCTCTCTTGCTGGGCTGGAGAAAACCAATTTCCTCTCCCTGCTGTGTCTGTGGGCACGCCAGTCCCTTTTTAATTTAACCTGAATTAATTACCAGGGCAGAGGCAGGTGTTCCTCCTCGGTTTCTCTCTCCGGCTCTTTGCCTTGTCGCTTGCAAGCGCTGGGCAGCCTGCGGGGAGATCTGTCCAACAGTGCCAGGGTCCAAAGACCGAGGGGCCCCGTGCAGGCCTGGGCACTCACGTCCGTGGCACCTCAGGACCACCAGCAGCTCCGGGGGGCTCAGAATCCCTCCAGTCCCTGCTGGGGGTCCCTTGTTGCTTTATCTCTGCAGCTCTCGATTCCTAAGCCTTTCCTGAGTACAGAGATTCAGATTCTAAATCAGCACAGGATCAAAGAACCAGGGGCGACCCACGGACATCCTTGCTGGGCCCCGGAAGTGTGGCTGAGCCCCTGGTGGTCCGGGGAGAGCACAGCCTTCCAGGCCTGACCATGGAGACCCCGGCTTGGTCCCACCTAATCTCTGCAGACCACAGGTTGGTGACGGGTCTCTGGGATGAGGCTGGAGCTGGGAGCACCTCAGGCTCAAAGGAACTTAGCATTTTGCTCCAGGAATAGATAGCCCAGGGTGGGCGGCTGCGTTTCCATTTTCAACACACCCAACCTCAGCACAAGACTCCCAGATCTGCAACGGGGATGGTGACAGTCTCAGTCGACTGTGGCCAGAGGGAAGAAAGGCCCAGGGGCCGTCAGTGGCTTTCACTTCACTTTACAAACGGAAAAACGGTGTCCAGGCGGGGCAAGGTCAGTGGCAAAGACAAGATTCATGCTCAGGTCCCCTGGCCCCAGACACTGCCTCTCAGTGAACACTGGCTGCCAAACCTACCAGCATTCCTGAGACACAGAGAACCCAGTGGGGTCCTCACAAGGCCAGGCATCGAGGTCCTTATCAGGGACCCTCCAGAAAGGAGACCAGGCATCTCGTGTGCCCAGCCCCGCTGGGTGCTTGTCCCACAGGCACGGTGGAGGAGAATCAGCAAGTACAGGAGTCATACACCAGTGATCGGATGTGGCTTAGACTCAACAGGACCCACGGGCCCAGGACGCAGGAGAGGAGGCACTCGCCCACCTGGACCTGGACACCGCCCCTGCATGGGGGACTCAGGAGAGCAGGACCACGTGAGCTGCTGGGATACACATGAGCCGCCCGGGCAGCGGGTCTGCACCCCATGGGAAACACTGCAGAGAAGATAAGAATCAAATGTTTAGTGAAACAGGAATCCTAGCAGCTCCTGACCTGCACCAAGGACCGGGCTGGGAGCCAGGGCAGCCTCAGAGGCTGCCACGCAGGTGACCCAAGGTCCCCTCGTGATCCTGCCATCTCAGGCCCGGAGGAGAGCGTCCCATCTCCTCCCCGGAACCGCGGCATCTGGCAGCCGGCCAGCTTCGTGTGTCCTTAAAGGCGGGGTTCTCCACCTCAAGGGTGCGGCGCCCACCTCCTCCGGGGCCTGTGCCTCTTCAGGTCTCGCCTCAGTGCCAGCGGCAGACCCTCTCAAAGCGTGGCCTGCCGACGCCTGTGTCCATCCTCATTAACAGCCAGATTCAGGGACACCAGCAGGGTGTCACGGGGCAAGTACCTCATGTTCGAGTTCTCCACGCCACAGCCTTGCTGCTGAGAGACCACCCACTATGGAAAGAGCAGGCGTGCACAGCTATGGGTCAGCAGGGCCTCAGATGGACGGTCTCTCCCTCTGCAGGCTGTGGTCAGCAGGCCCCTGGATGCAGGCTGGCCCTGGATGGACGGTCCTCCTCTGCAGGCCGTGTTTGGTGAGTTCGGTTCACATGCATCTCGTCCTCCATGGTCCAGTTGGCTCACTGGACTGTTCGCTTTTCGGCCTGGGCAGGACCACAAGAGAGCAAGGCCGAAGAAACCCGCACTGGCACACATCAAAACACAACTCCACACAACGTCCAAAACTCATGCTCACACACATCAAAACACAACTTCGCACAACGTCCAAAACTCACACACACACACATCAAAACACAACTTCGCACAACGTCCAAAACTCACACACAAAGACACGACTTCACACAGCGTCCAAAACTCACGCTCACACACATCAAGACACAACTTCACACAACGTCCAAAACTCACGCTCACACACATCAAAACACAACTCCACACAACGTCCAAAACTCACGCTCACACACATCAAAACACGACTCCACACAACGTCCAAAACTCACGCACACACACGTCAAAACACAACTCCACACAACGTCCAAAACTCACTCTCACACACGTCAAAACACAACTTCACACAACGTCCAAAACTCACGCTCACACACATCAAGACACGACTTCACACAATGTCCAAAACTCACGCTCACATACATCAAAACACAACTTCGCACAACGTCCAAAACTCACGTTCACACACATCAAAACACAACTTCGCACAACGTCCAAAACTCACACACACACACACAAGACACGACTTCACACAACGTCCAAAACTCATGCTCACACACATCAAAACTTCACACATCCAAAACTCACGCTCACACACATCAAAACACAACTTCACACAACGTCCAAAACTCACGCTCACACACATCAAGATACGACTTCACACAACGTCCAAAACTCATGCTCACACACATCAAAACTTCACACAACGTCCAAAACTCACGCTCACACACATCAAAACATAACTTCACACAACGTCCAAAACTCACGCTCACACACATCAAAACACAACTTCGCACAACGTCCAAAACTCACACACACACACATCAAAACACAACACACAACGTCCAAAACTCACACACACACATCAAAACACAACTCCACACAACGTCCAAAACTCACGCTCACACACATCAAAACACAACTTCGCACAACGTCCAAAACTCACACACACACAATCAAAACACAACTGCACACAGTCCAAAACTCACGCTCACACACATCAAAACACAACTTCGCACAACGTCCAAAACTCACACACACAATCAAAACACAACTGCACACAGTCCAAAACTCACGCTCACACACATCAAAACACAACTTCGCACGTCCAAAACTCACACACACACACGACACAACTTCACACAACGTCCAAAACTCACGCTCACACACATCAAAACACAACTTCACACAGCGTCCAAAACTCACGCTCACACACATCAAAACACAATGTCCAAAGCTCACGCTCACACGCGCGTTGAAAGCAGCCGGAACAACACAATTTCCTCCAAGGGGAAATGCCGATTCGAATGACAGCGAATTTCTCATCGGAAACCATGCAGGCCAGAAGGAAGAGGCACAGGTTTTCGGGCTGGTGGGGGCTGCAGAGGAAGCCGGCGGGGCCAAAGCGTTCTGTGATTGAAGGCGCTGACATCGGCTTCCTGGTTGTGACACGGCGCTCAGCTTTGCGAGATGGAACCATAGGGGACATTGCAAAAAGGGCACACAGAATCTCTCCGTATTAATTCTTAAAATTGCACAGGAATCTACAGTTATCTCAAAATAAAAATTTAATTAAAAAAAAAGTGATATCCTAGAGTCCTGCCCCACCCCCAGTATCTTCCAAACAGGACCTGTTGTCACCAAGTCCCGCTCCCAGCACCGCAGAGAGACCTTGAGCCTGTGCCTCGTGCCTCAGCGCAGTCCGCACCCAGCTCACTCCGTCCCCGGAGCCAGCGGCTCTGCCTTCCCATCGTCCTCTCTCCCTCCAGCAGCCGGGGCCACAGCCTTCAGAAGCACGTGAAAGCAATGCCCCCCGCTGCTCACACCCATTACGGGCTCCCTCTTCCTCCAGGGACGAGCGCCCCGTGGGCCTCCATCAGAGACCTGCTCCCGCCCAGGGTCTTGGCACCTCCGCCCTCCAGCCCGTCCCCAGATCTTGGCTTTGCTGCTTCTCGTCACGCAGGGTGTCCTTGCGTCTAAGTCAGCAGCCCCCTCCTGCCCGGCTCTCCCCACCCTCTTGCCTTGCTTTGGTTTCTTCTGTGTTTGATGTCAGCTGACTGATCTTGCTTCCCTCTCTGCCCGCCTGTCTGTGTCCGTCCCCGCCCCAGGAACTGGTGTGTCTGTGTCAGGAGTCGGTCCAGGCTCCGGCACCTGTGGGGTGCCCGCCGTGTGGCCTGCCTTCCACATGGATGACCGGTTGAAGGGGTGCGGCCTCCACCAGCTTGTCCAGGCTGCGGGCGTCCATGCTCTGTCACTCGGATCCCCCCTAGCTACAGCCGGGGCGTTGCAGGGCTGGGATCTGCTCTGGGAGACCTCTCTGTTCCCACGGCCCACCTGGATCCACCAAGGTCCACCATGGCCTGGCAGTGTCCAGTGAGCGAGGGCCACGATTCTGGGGACGGATGTCTCCCTGACTCCTCTCCCAGATCTCAGCCCTCTTACCCCATCCATCCTCTCTGGCTCGCAAAACACCCTCCAAGGTGAGGCCAAGCCGAGCTCATTCCTGGCCCCACCGGCCCTCCCTGGACGCCCTCCCTGGACGCCCTTGTTCTTTCAGAAAGTCCCGCCCCTCCCCAAACAAGGCACTCTGTCTCCGGACACTCCTTTTCCTCCACCCTACTACACCACACAACCTCACTCCTATTAGCCCTTGGCCCTGTACTCAGCTGAGGAAGTGCCGTGGGGTGCACACCACCTCCCCACCTCACTTCCTCCACCCAGTAGGGACCCCTGGCTCCATTTTACAGGTGAGAAAACAGGCTCTGAGACCTCGAGGAACCTTCCAACGGGCCACGTTCTCTGTCGATTGGCTCCAGTGCTTTAGAGGCCCAGGCCGATAGGATGCATTTTCTCTTCCGGTTTCCAGATTCAGTAGAAACGCCACAGCCCCAAGGCACCAGCTTGTGGGTTCTCGAGCCGTAGAGCCCTTGGTTCCAACAGACTTGCAAAGAGGAGGGGGCCCTTGGGAGGCCCTGATTGGGACACCGCTCACCACCCATTTATGGGGTCTTCAGGGGGTGGGGGCTGGGGCTCTGACGCCCCCGGCTTTCCTGTCCCTCTCTCTGCCCCCTGCTATGGCCCCTTGGGAAGCTCTGAGTGGGAACCATTCACCCACCCTTTTGCAGGGCCTGGAGGGCGGGGGCTGGGGCTCTCGGCTTTCCTGTCCCTCCTCTGCCCCCTGGTACGGCCCTTGGGAAGCTCTGAGTGGGAACCATTCACCTACCCTTTTGCGGGGTCTTCAGGGGGTGGGGGCTGGGGTTCTGATGCCCCCGGCTTTCCTGTTCCTCTCTCTGTGATCCCTGCTATGGCCCTTGGGAAGCCCTGAGTGGGGCACCACTCACCACCCATTTGCAGGGTCTGCAGGGGGTGGGGGGTGGGGCTCTGACGCCCCTGGCTTTCCTGTCCCTCTCTCTGCCCCCTGCTACGGCCCTTGGGAAGCTTTGAGTGGGGCACTGTTCGCCCACACATTTGTGGAGCCTGGAGGGTGGGAGCGGGGAGTCTGATGTCCCCGGCTTTCCTGTCCCTCTCTCTGCCCCCTGCTACGGCCCTTGGGAAGCTCTGAGTGGGGCACTGTTCGCCCACACATTTGTGGAGCCTGGAGGGTGGGAGCGGGGGGTCTGATGTCCCCGGCTTTCTTGTCCCTCTCTCTGCCCCCCGCTACCGTGTCACCGGCCCCAGTGTCCGCAGAATCTGGGCGATTCCGAATTATGCAACGGCAACCGGGAGGCGAAGGGGATGGGGTACAGGGACACTGGGCGGGCAGGCCAGCTGCTCACAATTCAGGTCTCGCCCAGAGGATGTGGGCGCAGCGCCCAGAGGGGAAGCCCTTTAGGACCAGCGCCTGCCGTCCGGCATGCTCCGGGAACATTCCTTCCAGGCTGGATGTGCGTTGCCAGGGAGTGAGATGCCAGGAGGGAGTGTCATCACCACAGTCGGCCACCACAGGATGTGCCCAAGTCTGGCAGGGTCCCCAGGCTCACCAGACCCATTGAGGGCTCCAGGGAAGGGGCTGCAGGGGCGGCCAGTGCGGGGGCAGCCTGGGCGCTGGAGACGGAGGCCTGGGGCCGGGTCCTGTCCTTCACTCCGTAGCAGGACGGCCTTGGACAAGTCCCACATCACCTCCTCAGGCCCACGTGAGACCCTCAGCACCACAGCGTGTACACCGTACGTGCAAAAAGAGGGTAGTCTGTCTTCAAGAAGCATGGCCTTGTGCCACCCATGCCCATCGGGGGTGAAATGACGTCTTGTCCAGGGGAAGTCTTGACACCCCACTTCTCTCCAGAGAAGAGTCAAATTCCAAGCTCTGTCAACAGCTCTAGAAAGGGGGCCTTTGGGGGCTCCAGGGGTCCAGGCCTGGGAAAGAGACTCCTGGCCCGTGTGTGGCCTCATCGAGGAGGACGTTGCTAGTGCTTGTGGATGAAGTCGTGAGCTCACTGGAAGGGGTGTCATCCCTTGTCTCCCAGGAAACGGATGTTCTGGGAAACATAAAAATCAGTGGCAGCGTGTGTTCCACAGCAGAAAATCGAGCCTGAGCCAGGAGGGCCTTTGGGGTTCCAGGCGGACATGTCCTGCTGTCTCACTAGTCAGGCCCGAAGGAAAAGGGCCAGCCCGAGGTGGCAAAACTACACCCCAGTGGGGCCGAGGCCTCAGGATTTATGATGATCCAACATCACCGCTGCACCCTCCCAGCACCACTGACGAGCCCACGGGGCCAGCCCGGGGTGGAGATCCAACACTGTGTCCACTGCCTGGGCCCACAGCCCCTGCCCCGTACACCTGTGAGACCCTGCTGCCTACAGGCCCTAGTTCTTCCAAAGCGTCTCTGGGGAGCATCCTGATGGGTTCCCGGATGGGTCCTTTGCCCTCAGTGGCAGCGGGCAGACGTCACAGCTGCCCCTGTGCCAGGGGTCTCTGGGGGCTACTGCATCCGTCACAGCTCTGCCTGCCTCATGGGCTGTCCTCAGCCCTTGGGGGCCACAGCTGTGCCGACCCCCTTCGCAGTCAGCCTTGCCCTCGGTCTCCTGGGGCCTGAGGCAGAGCCCATGGGCCTCGGGCCTCTCACACTTCCAGCAGCTTCCTCTGCAGCCCATGTCCTCTCCACAGCAGTCAGGCCTGGGTTGGGGTGGGCCGTCCTGTCCTCCATTTACAGAACACAGTGGTCGAGAACACGGGCTCTGGAACGAGTTGACTGGGCCATGTGCCAGCTCCTGGCTTACTCACTCTGAGCACAGAGCCCCGAGTCGGGTTCTCATCATCAACATCCCCCTGTGCATAGGGACTGTCTGGCTCAGGGGGTGTCCAACTCTGGAATCACCTGGGGATGCTTAGCAAGCTCTGTGCCTGGCTCCCACCTCAGGCACTCTGACTTAGTTGGTATGGGACTGAGTTAGCACTGGAATTTTAAAAACTCTCCAGGTGGTTCATTGGTTCAGCAAAGTTTGGGAACCACTGACCTAACTCACAGAGTGGCTGTGAGGGGTAAATAAGATGACATATGCAAAATACATAGTGTCAAGCCTGGCTGCAGACTGGACTCGGTGGATGGCCAGTATCGTTATTGTCATTTTTAGTATCACCACCACCAGCACCACCAGCACCACCATTATCACCGTAACCACCATCATTACCACCATCACTGTTATCATCATCATCACCATCTTCATCATCACCATCATCATTGTGACCATCATCCTTACCACCATCATCATCATCACCATTATCATCATCACAACCGCCATCCACACTGTCATCACAATCACCATCAATATCACCATCACCACCATCACCAGCATCACCATCACCATCATCACCATCGTCATCACCATCATCACCATCACCACTATCACCACCATCACCATCACCACCATCACTATCATCATCACCACCATCACCATCATCATCATCACCATCACCATCATCATCATCATCATCATCATCATCACCATCATCATCATCATCATCATCATCATCACCACCACCATCACCACCATCACCATCACCATCATCACCATCACCATCACCACCATCACCATCACCACCATCAGCATCACCACCATCAGCATCACCACCATCAGCATCACCACCATCACCATCACTGTCATCACTTCTGGATTGCTCTTTCTATATTTTCATCGGAAACTGATGCATAAAATTCTTCGTTCTTTTTCCAGCCAGAAAGCTTATCTATATCCACTGCAAGTGTAGGCAGGTTGCAGGGGAGTTACTATCCTCTGAGTCAGTGTTGGCTTACATATACTTGGGACTGCTGGTTACTTCCACGTTTTAAATTTCTAAGGAGCTTCTCGTTTAAACCTCACTGTAGCCTTGGCATGTGGGCAGTTTTTGCTATCCCATTTTACAGATGAGAAAACAGAGGTTCAGGAAAGTTAGTTGATGTGTCCACGGTCCCACTGCCACCTAATGGTAGATCTGGGATCTAAATCCAGGTGTCTAATCTCAAAACACTTGCAAATTAATTGTCGCCTAGAGTCTGGGGCATGGGCTGACCTCCTGAGACTCTGGTGTCCCGGTGTTACCCTCAATGCCTTTGTTCCTCCTGCAGATGCCTCCCCTTCTGCTTGGATCACAGGAGGCCTTGAGAAAAGGCTTCCAAGGGCTTTGGGTCAGCAGAGCGGAGGAATGAGGCTTCCACGGCGCACTCTGTGCCAGGCCCCCAGCCCACCCCTGACCGCTCTGCCGGGATGTCAGGCAGGGCTGGGCTGTGTCTGGCTCAGGCAGCCGAGGGACACGGCACAGATCGGTCCCTCCTCTCTCCCCAGGGAGGCCTCCCTCTTCAGGCTCTCTCCAGCCTCACCTGCCTCATCTGTGCCCAGGGGCTTTGGCGGGCAGGGAGGATGCTCTGACCCTAGGAAGCCCTGCAGCAGGGAGGGGAAGGGGGTTGACAGACAGCGTCCGGAGCAGGCTGCTGCTGCGGGAACAGGGGAACCCTCAGACCAGAAAGACCTCAGCTCAGGCTCCAGCACGGGCCTCTGCCCCCCTTGGATGGAGGCTGCTCCCCGTGCCAGCTGCTGGGCACTCAGAGCCTGTCCCCAGCCTGGGCCAAGCAGTGCCGAGGGCCAGAGAAAGCCTTTGGATGACGAGTCCTTGAGGTTGTGTCCACAGCAATGGCAGCCCTGGGAAGCCGGTGGGGATGCAGTGGGCTCTGTGCTCGCCTCCTGAGAGGCACGGGGCTGAGGACCTGTGAGCGGGTGGGGATGCAGTGGGCCCTGTGCTTGCCTCCTGAGAGGCACGGGGCTGAGGACCTGTGAGGGATCCGGGAGGGGAGGTGCACAGGGCCTGGCAGTCTGACAGGGAGGGAGTGTTTTTCTTGCTGCGCTTTTTGAGGGAGAGAGGAAAGGAGAAGGGAGAGCACGCTGCCCCAGGACCTGTGACTGTGGGAAGCAAATGGTGTCTAACGTGCACGAACTGCTCCCTGGCACTCCAGGGAAGGGAATTTTCCCAAATCAAACTAGATCTGCTTCCCACCATTGGCTCTCCCCCAGGGATGATAAGTTCAAGTTAGAAGCTCTCAGCCCCGTCCTGCCCTGCGGGTGGGGCCCTGGGGCTCTGCAGGAGGCAACCCCACTGCCCTGACCCCAGGAGCCCTGGGAGCTGTGAGATGTCCCCTCCGCAGCCCAATCACTCAGCCAAGTGAGCTGGCTGTGCTCGCCGCCCAGGCCTTGGTGTCTGCACCATCTCCAGCCCCTTTCCTGCCCACCCACCCTGGGACCCTGCTTGGAGACAGGGCCGTGAAGCGGCTCTCCTCACATTCCCACATTAGCAAGCATCTACAGCCCCGACTCCATAGAGGCACAATGGTCTCCACTCCTGCCCCTTCCAAGAGGAGAGCAATGCTTAGCTTCTCTTCACGCCTGCTTACCCGCTTCTGGGAATAAGGCAGGCCTTGAGAACAAAGGCCTTCCTGTGAGACTCTGGAACGGTGACTGAAACAACAACAAAAAAGCCATCAATCTATCAACTTCACAAAGATAGTTTTGGCATGATGTACCTTGTAACTCCTGTTCTCCTGCTCTGTAAGAATCTTTGTCAATTTTTGTGATAGTCCGACTCCACAGTGGGCCTCAACAATCATGGCCTCCTGGTGTTCACACACTTAGCTGACCCCATGGCAGCTCATGACAGCCATTGCAAGGCCAGGCACGGTGGCTCAAGCCTGCAATTCCAGCACTTTCGGAGGCTGAGGCAGGAGGCTTGCTTGAGGCCAGGCATTCAATAACAGCTTGGGCAACACAGTGAGACCCTATCTCTACAACAAATTTTAAAAATTAGCTGGATGTGGTGCTGGACGCCTGTAGTCCCAGCCACTCAGGAGGTGGGAGGATGGTTAGAACCCAGAGTTTGAGCCTGCAGTGAGCTGTGATCACACCACTGCACTCCAGCCTGGGCAACAGAGCAAGACCCTGTCTCAAAAACAAAGTCACTGCAGCTTAGTCTCTTGGATTGCTCATTCTGTAGAGGCTGGCAGCCATGTTGTAAGGAGGCTCAAGCAGCTCTGAGGAGACCCCCCCCCCCCCATGGGGAGGAGCCACCCTTCCAGCCACATGCAGGAGCCACCTTGGAAGGGGCTCCTCCAGCCCAGCAGACTTTCAGCTGACAGCAGACTCATGAGACCCTAAGGCTGAGCCACTCTCAAGTTCATGACCCATAGAAGCCATGAGAGATGATAAATTATTATTATCCTTTGAAGCCATTAAGTTTTGGGGTGATCTGTGACACAGCAACAGATAACACACTTTTCAACAGTTCTGGAGTTTGCATTATGGAGCTTTTTCAGGGGTCACTGTGGTAAAGTATGAGGCCTTAAGGTTCAAGGTGGACCCCAGTGTCAAAGAGAGGCCCCAAGAGAAGAGGGGTTCCCTTCTCTCTGTCCCCTGCCCTTCGGGAGCCCCCTCCACACATGCCCCCACAGGCCCACGCACCCCAAGCTGTGCCTGGGGAAATAGGTCAGGCCTCCAGCCCAGACCCCTGCAGGTTTCTGCTCCAGAGGAGCTCTTCGAGGGGTTTCCTTGACCACCCCTCCATTAAAAACCGGGTGTCTGGAAAAGTCTTTTGCAGGGAGGACCCTGGGCATTGTCCTCGAGCCACGTTCTAGGGAGGCTGCGGGTGTCCCTGCCTGGGGATGTGGGTTCCTGCTTTGCCAATCCCGCATCCTTGGCCATTTATCCCATTGTGTTGCCAGCCTGTAGGGAGGAGAGAGACAGAGAAGATCCTGTTTCTCCTGCTCATATCAGAGGCTGGCAGGCCTAGAAGGGGCTGAGGGATGGAGCACGACCCTCAACCTGTACAGACAACGGCCCAGAAAGGCTGTGGAATCTGCCCGGGGCCACCCAGCAGGCAGGCAGTGGTGTGGCGGCCCGAGTCCCTCCTCCGAGCCCAGCCTCTGCCCCCGACCCAGGTTCCTCCCAAAGGGTGTTTTCTCACAGACGTCTCAGAGCTATTTTTTCTCTGAAAGCTAAACAATCACTCCTTTGCTCTTAGGATGAGATGCGGTTTGTGTCTACACACAGCAGACCCGGCTGCCCTGGTCCCCAGGCCGCCACCATCTGGCCGTGCACACACTCGCCTGGTCCTGGCCGGACCAGAGGGCGTCTGCACAGGTACAAGGTGGCGGGTGGAGCCCAGGACCCCTGGACAGCCAGGCCATCCCGGGGCTTGGCCGGAAACCAGGATGGCCTGGCCTGTTTTCCTGGCACCTCCTGCACCAGGGCCGTGGCTGCCTGCAGGTGGGGGCCCTCCTCCCAGGTGGTCTGGGGAAGGCGCCCAGTGAGTGGGGCCGAAGCCGCTTCCTGGGGAGGGTTGCTTCACCGCAGAGCCCAGCTGGGCACCCAGAAGTGGCTCAGGGCTGTGTGTTTACTCCTACCCTGACCACCGGCGAAAGGGATTTGAGGGCTGGCTCGTCTGTGGCAGCCACCAAAGTCAATGGAAAAACCACACGGGAGGAAGGGAGGGATGTGGGGTGTTTGAGCTGCAGGAGGGGCATCCCCAGGACGCACGCTGGGGCCACATCTGGGCGGAAGCAGGTGTACCAGCCCAGCCAGGGCAGGGCAGAGCCCCAGGGGCGGGTGGGGGCCACAAGCAGCCCAATCCAGCTCCAAGTAGAATCAATTCCTTTCTGTTGAAAGTTCCGTTTCTAAGAGTGATCGTGTTCCCAGCAGAGTGAACACAGACGTCGGTGTCGGCTCTGCACAACGGCGGTGCGGGGGCCCCGTAAGCACTCCAGGAGGACGCCGAGTGAGCCCTCCCCTCTCACACCCGACCCTCCTCTCTCAGAAGCCACTGCTCTGGTGTGTGGCGGCCGCTGCCTTGCCTTTTCCCATGCAGTTTTGCCATAGACTATTTAGCTTTGTTTCTTAACTCCCAAAACACAAAACTGAACCCCCAGCGATGGCCTGTGCCCCATTCCCCAGTGCACAACGCAAGCCTCCTTCCCGCCAGCGCCAGCACGTCGCCCCGCGGTGCTCCCCGGTGTGAAAGGGCTGAGCCATCCCTCTGCTGTGACTGGCTTCCGGCGGTTTCCAGCGTCTTGCTTTCTGAGCAACGCTGCCGTGAACATCCCACAAACTCCTTGAGTCTGCCATGCACGTCTTTAGAGATAGGTGGAGAGTCGTGCCGGCCCCACGCGGGCAGCCCAGCAGCTCCGGGTGTTGGTGCCACCGGGCACTGTCTGGCCAAGGGTCCCCTTGCTCCGTCCTCGCCAGCCCTGGGTAGGGCCAGGCTTTTTAAGTTTTGCGGATCTGCTGGTGCGTAAGGGTCCTTCGTGGTGATCTCAATTTGCGTTTTCCTGATTGCGAAGGAGCCGAGCGTTGGTCACGCCTGGGAAGCTGTTCAGTGACTCCGTGTGCCCATCTTCCGCCGTCGGGGGCTTTGCTTGTCGACGCCTGTTGACGTTTTTAAATCTTCTGGGCCTCCCTTTTTTGGTCAAATATATATATGGCACATGTCCTGCTTCGGGCTTGTCTTTTCACTCCTTTTATGGTAGATTTTAATGTAACAGAATGTCTTTATTTTAATGTTTTAGAATTTACCAATCTTTGCCTTTATGACGAATAATTTTGTAGATTGTTTCACAAATCCATCCCTAATTCAAAGTCATGAAAACAGCCCTTTAAATCCTCTTCTAAAACCATGACGGGGTTTATTTACATTTAGGAATTTAATCCATGCAGGTCTGCCTTTAGTGGTGTGGAGAGGGACAGCACTCTCTGCTTTCTGTATGTGGGCGTCCGGTTGTCCCAAAGCCACGCTCCCACTCACGCCGCTGCCTCCCTGTCCCGACTCCCTCCCACTCACGCCTCAGCCTCCCTGTCCCGACTCCCTCCCACTCACGCCTCAGCCTCCCTGTCCTGACTCCCTCCCACTCACGCCTCAGCCTCCCTGTCCCGACTCCCTCCCACTCACGCCGCTGCCTCCCTGTCCCGACTCCCTCCCACTCACGCCTCAGCCTCCCTGTCCCGACTCCCTCCCACTCACGCCGCTGCCTCCCTGTCCCGACTCCCTCCCACTCACGCCGCTGCCTCCCTGTCCCGACTCCCTCCCACTCACGCCTCAGCCTCCCTGTCCCGACTCCCTCCCACTCACGCCGCTGCCTCCCTGTCCCGACTCCCTCCCACTCACGCCTCAGCCTCCCTGTCCCGACTCCCTCCCACTCACGCCGCTGCCTCCCTGTCCCGACTCCCTCCCACTCACGCCTCAGCCTCCCTGTCCCGACTCCCTCCCACTCACGCCTCCGCCTCCCTGTCCGGACTCCCTCCCACTCACGCCTCAGCCTCCCTGTCCTGACTCCCTCCCACTCACGCCTCAGCCTCCCTGTCCTGACTCCCTCCCACTCACGCCGCTGCCTCCCTGTCCCGACTCCATGCTGTGTGGACTACTGTTCTGTCCCCACCTCAGCATCACCTTGTCACAAATGTTATGACTTTTTAATAAGCCTCAATACAGACATCCCCAGTTCCTGCCCTGATCTCTGCCCTTCGAGAGTGATTTAGCTATTCCCAGTTCTTTGACTTTCAACATAAATTGTAGAGTCAGTTTTCCATGAACCACCACAAACAATTGCAGAAGTCTGGCTATGGAGTACGTGAGATGCCTGAATTCCTTTGGGGAGAGTTGACATCTTTGTAACTTGGGACTTCTCGGTTCATGAATACAGTTATTTAAGGAACCATTCACTTGAGTCTTCTCAAATGTCTCTCAGCCATGTTTTTTTACATCAGCTTCCTCTATAAAAATCTTACACATTGTTTGTTCTTCCTAGTATTTAATAGGCTCAGGCTTTTGTAAATGACATCTTTTCTAAATTTCACTTTGTCTCTGGCATATGAAGAAAAACAGCTGATTTTTGTGTATATTGATTTTGTCTCCAGCAAACTGCCCAGCTGTCTTACTGATTTCATAATTTACCCTGGTGCTGTTCAGCTCTTCGAACACACATAACCGTATCCTCCGTGACTGTCAGAAGTTGTATTTCTTCCTTTCCGATCTCGTTAGCTTTCATTTCCTTTTCCTGCCTTGGCCCGGACCTGCGGAAGGACGCTGGTGAAATGGTGCTGGAACGCACCGCCCCTTGGTCCCGATATCAAAGCAAAAGCTTCCGGGGGTGCTTCTGCTGTGGGTGTTTGCACATTTATCAGGTTAGGGAGGCGCTGCTGTTCCTACTTGAAGTATCTTTTTCCTGAAAGGACGTTGACTTTTATCAAACATTCTTTTCTCATTTGTTGAAATGACTGTAAGATTTTTCCCTTAAACCTGTTGGTGTGGAGGATTCTATTCATTGCCATTGTGACACTGAACCACTTCTAGTCCTGGGATAGACACGGCAGCCACGAGGTGCGATCCCGTCCACGCGCTCAGCCGTTGAGCCTCACTGCCATGTTTTAGGAGCTGTTATCTCCCTTCTGTGTCAAGGGCCTCTCGCCCCCTGAGATGGGATGGAGAATGCTTGCTTCACTGCTGTTCTCTTGACGGGTTAAAGATAGTGTTATTTGTTTCTTGAATATATTGATAAACATCACCAGCGAGGGCATTTGAACCTGGAATTTGTTTTGTTTTGAGACAGGGTCTGGCTCTGTCACCCAGGCTGGAGTGCAGTGGTGCAATCACAGCGCACTGCAAGCTCTGACCTTCCAGGCTCAGGTGATCGTCCCACTTCAGCCTCCCGAGTAGCTAGGACTACAGGCATGCACCACCACATCCAACTAATTTTTAAAATGTTCTGTAGAGACATGGTCTCACTATGTTGCCGACACTGGTCTGAAACTCCTGGGCTCAAGAGATGCCCCTGTTTTGGCGTCCTGAGTAGCTGGGATTACAGATGCATGCCACTGCACCCAGCTACATTTTGCATTTTGTAGAGACAGGGTCTCACTATGTGGCACAGGCTGGGCTCGATCTCCTGGCCTCAAATGATCCTCCTGCTTTGGCTTCCCGAAGTGCTGGGATCATAGGCATGAGCCACTGCACTCAGCCAGGCTGCCCCCTTTCCTTAGTGGGAAGACTCTCATGCATTGCTGGCAAGGGAGCAGCTGATGCATGCTCTTCGAGTAACGGTTCTGTAACATCCACTCAGGCTCCGAAGCCACGTGCGACTGCCCAGCAGGCCCCTGGGACACACCAGAGGCTGAGTTCATGCACCTGCCCAGGACACGCACGAGCACCCACGTCTGCAATACTGGTGACCGCAAGAAGCTGGAGACCATGCAAACGCGGATCTGCAGGGGAGCAGGTCAGGGGACAGAACACGCCCGGATGGGCCTCGTGGCATGACATGGAGGGAAAGAAGCCGGAAGCAAAAGAGTGCACATAGGAGATTTCAGTTGAGCAGCCGGCAAGCCTGGGACGCGGGGGGCCCTGAGAGTCAGGCCCACAGCTACGCAAAAGCCGCGCTGACAGGAAGTGCAGGAGGCAGCCTGTGGCATCCTGAGAAGGTTCTGTGTCTTGTAAAAAAAATTCTCTGATCTGGGCTGGGCGCGGTGGCTCACGCCTGTAATCCCAGCACTTTGGGAGGCCGAGGCAGGTAGATCACGAGGTCAGGAGTTCAAGACCAGCCTGACCAAGATGGTGAAACCCCGTCTCTACTAAAAATACAAAAAGTAGCCGGGCGTGGTGGCAGGTGCCTGTAATCCCAGCTACTGGGGAGGCTGAGGAAGAGAATTGCTTGAACCCGGGAGGCGGAGCTTGCAGTGAGCCAAGATCACACCACGACACTCCACCCTGAGCGACAGAGCGAGACTCCGTATCAAAAAAAACAAAAAAAATCATTGATCCAAGCACTTAATATTAGCACACGTCACATCATACCCTGTGTGTTATACGGCAATAAAAAGAACAGACACGATACAACTACGTTGCAGAGATGCCCCCTCCCCACTGTCACCACTGCTGGATGTTGGCTGTTCTCTCTGGATTCTGTTCCTTGACAAGCCTGTGTGTGGGGTGCAAGGCCAGCGCCCACAACAGCTTCAGATCCTCTTAGGCCTCGACATGTCACAGGTAATTTTCTGATTCGCACAGGGCTGTGACACCACCAAAGTCAGGTCACGTGCATCCTTCACTCAGGGTCTTTCTGGTGAGCTGTTCCAAGTCAATCACCACACTCAAAGCTGGACACGTATGACCTCCCTCCACCTCTTCGGAGGTCCGAAAGGATCATACACCCATTTCACAGATGAGGCCACCGAGGCTTCCAGGCAAGCCACTCACCCCGGGCCAAGAAGAGAAACGTCTGGGCCTCCTCCTGCCGACTCAGCCCCTCTGACCCCAGCAGTCCTTAGAGAACCAGGACTCAGCCCCTCTGACCCCAGCAGTCCTTACAGAACCACGACTCAGCCCCTCTGACCCCAGCAGTCCTTAGAGAACCACACGGATCCTTGAGGCGATGCCTCCTGAGCTGTACATCAGCTGGGCTACTGGCTTTATCGCCCACTCCCTGCACTTTCTGTTTCTGCAGAGGGTCTCTGCTTGTCCTTCGCTTCTTTACTTACTGGGATCTCAGTGTTGTTGCTTTTTGTTGTTGTTTTTGTTTTGTTTTTTTGAGACAGAGTCTCGCTCTGTTGCCCAGGCTGGAGGGCAGTGGTGTGATCTCGGCTCACTGCAACCCCCACCTCCTGGGTTCAAGCAATTCTCCTGCCTCAGCCTCCTGAGTAGCTGGGACTACAGGCACCCGCCACCACGCCCGGCTAATTTTGCATTTTTTTAGTAGGGACGGGGTTTCTCCACATTGGCCAGGCTGGTCTCGAACTCCTGACCTCAGGTGATCTGCCCGCCTCGGCCTCCCACAGTGCTGGGATCACAGGCGTGAGCCACCTGCGCCTGGCCAGCGTTGTTGTTTATCATCATCAATTTGCATATGTCTGCATGTCATTAAAATGCTAATTCCTTGCCATGGTTGTTGCAAATGTGGCACCCATTTAACTTGCCTTTTACCTTGATACACAAAAGCTTTGAATTTCCACTTAGATAGATGTTTATCGGAACATACTAAGTTCAGAAAAAAAATCCACAGGTGCCGAAGTGAGGCTCCCATTCACTTCTGTGTAATCCTTACTCTTCCGCACCTCGACGGCTTCGAGGCCAGCTCTGACGCTTGTTGGTGCCAGGGCTTGTGAGTCTCACTCTCTATGAGCCTCAGTTCTCTCATCTGAAAAATGGGCACGAATTCCCCGACACTGCTGGTTGTTTCAGGATCCCCTGAGATAAAGTGTGCAAGGCGGTGCCGTCCTCATGCAGGCCCTCCGCCGGCCGGGGAGCGGCTGGGGACCACGTCAGCGTGTGGGTTTTTGGGATGACAATGAAACAACTGCGCGTGTGTGTGGCATCGAGACCGATGTTGGGACTCGTGGATGCAAAGCGTAGTGATCAAATCAGGGAGATGGGCGAATCCAGCCCCACTGACATCATCCTTTCTTCCCGTTGTGAACATTCAAAGTCCTCCCTTCTAGCTTCAAAAATACACAATAAATTATCGTTAACTGGAGTCACCCTCCAGTCCCACAGAACCCTCAAATCCATTCCTCTGGTCTCACTGTAATTTTGCATTCATTAGCCAAGGTCTCCCCCACCATCCCCCTCCCAGCCTCTCATAGCACAGCGCTCCTCTCTAGGAGCTCAACGCTTTTAGCTCCCACACATGAGTGAGGACCTGCGGTATTTCTCTTCCTGTGCCTGATTTATTGTATGTGGCAGAATGTCCTCGGGGCTCCTCCGTGTTGCCTGGAATGACAGGATTTCACTCTCTCGTATGGCTGAATCGTAGCTGTACTGTGTGCATAGATCACATTCCCCTAACCCCTTCCTCTGCTGATGGACATGCGTTTATTCCACATCCTGGTTGCTGGGACTCGCGCTGCAATGAACAGAGGGAGCAGATCACTCATTTCTGTGCCGATTTCCTTTCTCTCGGACAAACACCCGGTCCCGGGACTGCTGGATCACGCGGTCATTCTGTGTTTAGCTTTTTGAGGAAGCTCCATACTGTTTTTCACCGCGGCTGTTACTAGTTTACATCCCCCCATCTGTGTGTGACAGCTCCCCTTTCTCCACATCCTCACCAGCATGGTTTTTTGTTTTGTTTTGTTTTTTGTTTTTTGTTTGTCTTTTTGGTAATAGCAATTCTAACTGGGACAAAATAGTATCTCACTGTGGTTTGGATTTGCATTTCCCCAATGATTAGTCATGCTGAGCATTTTTTCATATACTGTCTCTCAGCATATACAAAAACCCACTCAAAATAGGTTGCAGACTGAAATGTAAAACCCAAAACAATAAAACTATGAGAAGAAAAACATAAGGAAGACACTGCAGAACATTGTTCTGGGGAAAGATTTTATGGCCAAGACTTCAAAATCACCAGCAATAAAAACAAAAATAGACAAACGGGGCTACATCAAACTAAGATGCTTCTGCAAAAGGCCAAGGAAACAGTCGGCAGAGGGAAGAGGCAGCCACAGAAGGGGAGAAAATATTTGCAAACTATTCATCTGACAAGGGACACATATCCAGAATCTACAAAGAACTCAAGCAATTCAACAGGAAAACACACACACACACACACACACACACACACAAGTAACTTGACTGAAAAGCAGGCAAAGGATTTAAATAGACATTTCTCAAAAGAAGACACACAGATCACCCTGACATTTAAAAAAATTCCTGGACCTCACCCAGCCAGGTTCTCCAATGTGAGCACCTTCAGAGTCACCGGCAGGGCTTGAGAAGGCCCCCGAATTTGCATTTCCAGTGGTTCCTGGGTGACACCGACACGGCTGGTCTGGGGGTCATGTTTTGAGAACATCACCTTCTCCAGAGAAGAGACCTGGAAGTGAGTCTTATAAAGCCACATACAAGATTGTGTCACACACACACCTGCCTGGGGCCTTGGGGGCTGGAGTAGAAGGCGCAGAGGCTGCTCCAAAAGGAGGAGGCCAGAGGGCACTTCTGCAGGGGGGCTGCAGCACCCACACCAGGAGGGCAGCAGAGTGTTTGCAAACAAGCCACCCATCCAGACTGCAGCCTGGGGAGGAGGGAGGGGGCCTCTCCAGGCCTCAGGCCGCTGTGCCCACGGTAGGCTGGTGGTGTGAGCCGTCGTCCATCCATGATGGTGAAGAAAGCCTCTCCAGCTCTAAGGCCACCTCCTGTCACCCAGGCATGGGAGAAAGTGGCTGACGCTGAAGACCCCAGCCCCCTCACCAAGGGAACCCCCAGCCCCAGCCCCTTCTGGAAGGCATGGACTGCCTGGAGCCCAGCCCGGTCAGCCAGCTGAGCTAAGAGGATCTGGTGAGTTTAAAGTCGGTCACACTTCTCTGGGCTCTGTAACGAGGGAATGGACTAGATGGGTTGTCAGACATGAGAAACTCTTGGTTGGGGTGGCTACTAGACAGGCCCTCATGAAGAAAGGGGCTGTGGCCATCAGCTCACTGAACAGGTGGGGAAACTGAGGCCCAGAGAGGGATGGGCCTGCCTGAGGCATGGAGGGAGTTGCCCAGATCTGAGCCAGGGCCAGACACCCCTGGTGTGCTCGTCTTCCAGCTGCCACGTGGAGCAGATCACAACATCCCCCCGACCCAGCGTCCCCCCACGGACCCCAGCTCAGAGCACACGTTCTCAGAGTGTGGCTCAAAGACCCCCACAGTTGGCCGGGCACGGCGGCTCACGCCTGTAATCCCAGCACTTTGGGAGGCCAAGGTGGGTGGATCACGAGGTCAGGAGATCGAGACCAGCCTGGGCAACATGGTGAAACCCCGTCTCTACTAAAAATACAAAAAATTAGCCGGGCATGGTGGCGGGCGCCTGTAATCCCAGGTACTTGGGAGGCTGAGGCAGAAGAATCGCTTGAACCCGGGAGGTGAGGGTTGCAGTGAGCCGAGATCGCACCACTGCACTCCAGCCTGGCAACAGAGTAAGACTGTCTCACAAAAATTTTAAAAAAGATCCCCACAGTCGGCAGCAACAGAGGGGGCTGCCGGGCCCACCAGGGCTTATCGAATCATAGCCCTCAACAGCCTATTCTGTGGGTGCTCAGAACAGTTGTCCCCAGTGACCCCACTTCTCCAGGGGTCCACCTGACCTTGATGTGGTCTGCGCACCGGCCACGGAGGCCTGGTGTCTCCCCGGCAGCGGGCACCCTGCACTTCACCAGGAGGGTGGAGAGAGGAGAACGCTTTAGAGCGCCAGCAGCCATCGGGGGTGGACAAGCCCTCCCGGGGCCGCAGCACAGAGCCCCGCCTGGACCACGGCGTCTGGTGACCAGCAGCGTCTCCTAATGTCCCACAGGGTGCCCCGCGTCTGTGGCTGGAACACACCCTCCCACGCCTGCTGTGGTCCAGGTTAGCTGCTCCTGAATCTCACTGGCTGGCTGCTCAGGGACACGATGTGGCTTTAATCACCTGGGTGCTGTTTCAGTATCCACAGGCCCCGTGCACCGTGAGCCCGGAGTCACCCCCGCCTCAGGGAGCCCCCGGCCGAGATCCCTTCCCTCTTCTCGGATTCCTGTGGCAACACCCGCTCCTCCTGCAGGCACTGGGTCTGGCCGCGACTGCGTCCTCCCAGAGGCTGTGAAGGGACACGTTGTGTGCGGTGGCTCCTTAACCTGTTGTCACGGAAGGGGGAACAGACGCCTGGGTAGCAGACGGCTTCGGGAGGGGCGTGGGGCATTCCTGGGCAAGAGCAGACACGGGCCTCGGCGGCCAGGAAGCCGCCCCAGCCGAATTCCGGATGTGGGACCCGGCACATGCCTGGTCTTGTGGGACAGGGGGCCCCTCCCGGTGGTGCTGACAGCCCAGCCCCCCAGGGCAGCCTCTCCGTGCTGCAGGTGGCCTCTCGGAGGCGGAAGATCAGTCCCTCGGGGCTGGGAAGATGGGTCGCATTCCTGGGTCCCACCACGCACCCTGCGTGCCAGGCCCGGGGAACGGATCACGGCACTCATGCCCTTAGACGCGGGCTGACCGAGGCTCCAATCCGCCGTGGCCAGACGCCCGGCGATCGTCCACTGTGCCGAGGCCCCGGGCCCCAGGCTGGCTGCAGAGGCGAACGACGCGGCCGGCCCCGCGCTGCAGACGGGCCGCCTACCCCAGCGGTGCCACCAAGGCCGCTCTCAGGCTGCCCCACAGCTGCGTGCCAAGCCCCTGACGGGCACTTTATGGCACGTTATCTCGCCTGTGCCCCACAACAACCCGGCCGGGTGGGAATTCCGCTCCCATTAAACAGATAAGGAACCGGGATTCGGAGAGGCGAGGGCGGCCCCAGGTCCCGCGGGTTATAAAGCAAGGGCTGGACCCAGCCCGGGCCCACCTGACTCCGAGCCCACCTGATGCTCCGGCACGGGCCCACGCCCCGTTAATAAAATGTAATAAATAGACTCTTTGTTTCAAAGAAAATGTTTTTAAAAGCAAGGCAGCCAAGCCGGGCCCAGGTAACAAGCAGAGGGAGGAGGCCTCAGAGGGAGGAGGCCTCAGCTTCGGACTCAGCCCAGGCCTGGCCTCCCGACTCCCACCACCAGGGGCCTGGCTGTACCTGTGGGGGCTGGAGCCCCAGGGCAGACACTTCGCAGACTCTGTGCAGGGCCAGGTGAGCCCCAGGGCGGAGCTGGCAGCTGAGGGTGCTCCGTGGCTCGGTGCACTGGCCCTGACTCACGAATGCCGCAGCGCGTCCTACGGGAAGCCATGTCACAGCCTCCGTCCTGCAGGGCAAAGGGGGCTGCTGCGGGCAAAGATGGCCAGTGATCTTCTAGGTTACTGGGTGCAGGAAGCAGGAAAAGGCCCAGAGACACTCTCAGTTCTTCCAGAAAGCCCTGGGGGATTTGACTTTGACCACAGTGCGTGCGTCCAGGTATTACCTCATTCCTTGGCTTTTCGCTACAGACAGACTGACCTGGCTGGCCGGGTTGCCGCCTCCCAGTCACAGCTATCAGGTGCAGACCGTTATCTCATAAAACCCAAGGCGGCCTATTAGACGCACCTGGGTGAACACGGGGGGCTGTGGCCACATGAAGGCCAACCTCGGACATGAAAGGCGTCTGGTCGGGGCCATGCTTCCATCTGCCTCCTGTGGACTTTGTTTCCCCAACTAAACATTCATTTCTTGGAGGGCAACGACTGAGCCTTACACTTCTTCCAACACCTGAAGGGTCCAGCGCACAGTAGGCATCCAACACACCCAAAGGGCCCAGTACACAGTAGGCACTCAACACACCCGAGGGGTCCAGCACACAGTAGGTGCTCAACACACCCAAATGGCCCAGCGCACAGTAGGCGTCCAACACACCCGAGGGGCCCAGCGCACAGTAGGCGTCCAACACACCCAAGGGGCCCAGCGCACAGTAGGCGTCCAACACACCCAAAGGGCCCAGTGCACAGTAGGTGTCCAACACACCCTACGGGTCCAGCACACAGTAGGAGTCCCACACACCCGAGGGGCCCAGCACACAGTAGGTGCTCAACACACCCAAATGGCCCAGCACACAGTAGGCATCCAACACACCCAAGGGGCCCAGCACACAGTAGGCGCTCAACACACCCAAATGGCCCAGCACACAGTAGGCATCCAATACACCCAAGGGGCTCAGCACACAGTAGGCGCTCAGCACACCCGAGGGGCCCAGCGCACAATAGGCCTCCAACACCCCCGAGGGGCCCAGCGCAGAGTAGGTGCCCAAGACAAAACGAGATGTTGCCTGGGGCAGGTGACTGCACAGGGCCTGTGAGGGGTGTGGGAGCCTCCCTTGGAGAGTGACAGTCCTTTGGGAGCAAAGGTCAAGGGTGCTGAGCTCTCCCTGTCCTCTGTGTCCTGAGTTGCCACACCCTCCCTTCCAGGTATCTGGAGGACAAAGCACCAAGGCCAACAGCTCAGTCGAAACCGCAAGTCCATTATTCTCTGGGTGGCTCAGTCAGATGAGCCTCAGTTTCCTCCCTTGTGAAATGGGCACATGGACCTCACAGAGTCACTGTGTGAAATCACGGAGCTGTACATCACGACTCTGGTGTCTGGGGAGGGTGTCCCTCTGCATGTACCCAAGAGCCTCCATTCTGAGCCCTGTTACCAGGAGGATGCAGAGGTGGGGCCGTGGTGGGCGACCCTCACTCTCCTCCTTCCTGGTGGGGGGCGACCCTCACTCTCCTCCTTCCTGGTGGGGGGTGACCCCCACTCTCCTCCTCCCTGGTGAGTGGCTACCCCTCTCTCCCTCTTCCTGGTAGGGGGAGATCCTCCCTCTCCTCCTCCCTGGAAGACCCAGGTCAAGCCTCACGGACCCAAATGCCTTTGAGACCATGAAGGAACAGCCCCGCCAGCCAGGCAAGAGGGAAAAGCAGCAACTGAGCCGAATCCACTTCTGGCTTTGGGAGCCGGGGGTGCCTTCAGCAACAGCCTCCTGCTGCCATATGAGCTCGGATCCAATGCAGGCTACAGGCAGCTACGATGGACCAGGCCTTCCCACCTCACGGGCGGCCCTTCACTGCCTCTCCACGGACTGCCCTTGAGGCAGGATCAATCCACCCTGTGCAGAAGAGACGCTGGGCCCGCCCGGCCACACGTCCACCCCACACATCCACCCCATGTACGCTGGGCCCGCCCGGCCACAAGCAGCAGACATCGGGCCTGGACGGGACCCCAGCGAAGCGACTCTGCTCCCTGCGTTCCCCTGCGTGCTGCTCGGGTGGCCGGAACGCCGGGCTCTGGAGAAAGTGTGAGCCGCACTCAGGACAGCCATCCTCACGGGCCTGTGGGTCAGTGGGCTCAGAAATGACCCAACGGAGGCCGCGTGCAGTGGCTCACACCTGTAATCCCGGCGTTTTGGGAGGCCGAGGCGGGAGGATGGCTCGAGCCCAGGACTTCGTGACCAGCCTGGTCAACATGTCGAGCCCCTGTCTCTATAAAAAATTTAAAAATTAGCCGGGTGCGGTGGCGTACACATGTAGTTCCAACTGCTTGGGAGGCTGAGGCAGGAGGATCGCTTGAGCCCAGGAGTTTGCGACTGCAGTGAGCTGTGATCGCACCACTGTACTCCAGCCTGGACGACAGAGTGAGACCCTAACACTCTCCCACTCCCCACCCCCAACGCCAAAAAAGGAAAGAAACGCTCCGAGGGCAACCACGACCGAGCTTGTAGTCCAAGTCCAAGCAGCCCTGTCCACACTCACACCAGCCCTCGACCCCCTGGGCATCAGGACCGCAGCCAGTGCCTCTCACCCAGACTCTGTGCTCCACCCTTGGAGAGTGGGGCAGGGCTGGGCAGAGACCCCCTTCTCTTCCCCACTGTGAGGCCTCCAGCAAGCCCTATTCCCTCCCCGAGATGGCCCCTCCTCTGCAGGAAAACTTCTCCACGTGTGGCCCTAACACGTCGTCTTTAACCGCCGGTCAGCCCCAGAAGGTGCCGGACACCACCTGGGCACCACCAGCCCACAGACAGACATCTGCGTCTCTCTTCTCCCCGGGGCACAGAGGCCAAACCTGCCCCAGCTTCCTCCTCACCCAGCCGCCAAGCTGGGGCTTAGGGGCAAGGATTCCAGAAGCGCTCGCAGAGCCAGAAACCATTCTTCAAGTCAACAAATCACCCCGGCCCCCACCTCCACCGCCGTTTTTAATGGTTAACCAGCACAATAAACACAGCGATAATAGGTTTCTGATCCCTTATCGCCGTCACACCGAGGAGGCTGCCGAGGCTGCAAGTGCCCCCTCCGGGCCGGACCGCAGGCTGGACGCCCCTTTCATCTGCAGCCAAGCAGCTCAAAGGGGAGAGTGTTTCCAAACCAAGCCCTTTCCAGTGCAAATTTTGCAGCAAAAATAGAAAAGGAAATTCTTAATCTGCTGTTTCATGTGTGACGAGCGGTTCTGTGGTGGGACAGCGGCCCCGAGAATGCCCTGTCGCTTTATCTGAGGCCTTCCCCACACAAGTAAGGCTGCATAGCCCAGGCCTTTTGTGCTCTGCGACCAGTGGGCCAGGGCTTTGTTGTGGGCACCCGAGACTGGGCCGGGCTGCCCCATTCCATCGGCCTTTGATCTGAGTTTGGCACCGTAAATGTGGCCGACCGCCTATCCGGGCCTCGGATGCCTGGAGCCTGGTTCCCCACCATGCAGCTTCATCAGGCTTTGAAACAACCGTGCAGGGAGCTAAGCCTGGACGCAGAGGCCGCACCTGCAGCTGACAGCGAGGGAAAGTGGAGGAGGGTTTAAAGCAAAGTCCAGACTCGGAGAAGTCCCGCAGGGGGACCTTGGGCGGTGGAACCTGCTCCGTGCACCCTTCCCCCTTTTATCTCTTAGGAGGGCCTGGGACTTGTGAACACACTTTACCAAAAAACCATAAAGGAAGAAAAGAAGGGGGGGGGAGGGAGAGAGAGAAAAGAAAGAAGAGAAGAGAGGAGAAGGGAAGGGAAGGAGGGTGGGCAGGAGGGAGAGGGAGGGAGGGAAAGGGAAGGAGGGAGGGAGGGAGTGAAAAAAGAAGAAAAAGAAAAGAAGGAAGGAGAGAAAGGGAGAGAGACACAGAGGGAAAGAAGGAAGGGAGGGAGGAAGGAAGGAAAGAAGAAAAAAGAAAGAAGGAGAAAGAGACAGAGGGAAGGAAGGGAGGGAGGAAGGAGGGAGGGAGGGAGGGAAGGAAAGAGTTCAGAAAAATAGTTCCGAGCGACACTCTCTGAAGTTTTAAGAACCTGGCCTCTGTTATGTGATGGTGCCAAGGGCATGAATTGAGGGAGTCGGTGAATGAATGAGCTGAGCCAGCCGTGTTCCTCCCCAGCCGTGTTCCTCTCCCTCTTCCAGGGAACAGCGGGGCCAGCGGGGGGGGACCCCCTTTCCAGTTGGGAGGCCTCAGAGATTCTTCTTTCCCCTTAAAAGGCCTGTCTCCGTGGAATGCCTGCCTCCCAGTGGAACCAGCTGCTGCTTCCCAGTGCAAAAACTCACCCGGGGACCTGGGGTGCTTTTTGCAAACACTGTCTCAGAAGAGCAATGGCGGGGTTCCAGGCCTCGCACCTCACCCCACTCCCACCGCGGCGGCTACCTCTTTCCTCGCACGCTCCATGGAGAGCTGGACCTGCGGGCCGACGGAGGGAACCCTGTACACGCCCCCTCACTCACTCGCCATCCCCTGCCCCAAATGCAGTGAATCTCTCCTGTGGTCCCGGATTCACCGTCTCCACTCAGAGTCGCTAATTCTAGAGACAAGGACGGCCTTGTTCCAGCTGGAACGCACACGGAATGGGAAGGTGAATGGGGTGGGAAGCGTGCGTGGGTCCTGCCACTTGGCTCGTGGGCAGCCCTCTGTGCTGGGGGTCACGTGGGGCCCACGGCCGCCCGTGAAGGAGCCTCCCCTGATGGAGGAGACCTGAGCCCAGGCCGCTGAGTGAGCCCTGAGGTGTGGAACTTGCAGGAGCCCACAGGGGTAGGATGTCTCACAAAGGGTACGGGGTCCGTGTCGGCACCCACGCCACCACCGGACCAGCTGGGAGATCCCGGGCTCAGAGGCAGCCTCTGCCCCAGCGTCTCCTGTGCAGCTGGAGACAGCCAGGTCCTCACTTGGGGACCGAGCCGGCCTCACCTGAGACAGGCCCTTCTGCCCTCAGGCCTGCCTCTCACAGCCTAGCTGCCCATCACAGCTTCATGTTCTGGGCGGGCCGCTCGACCTCTCTGACCCCCAGTGACCCACATCCAAGCTCCGTTTTGGCTAAAGGCGCTGAGATTCCAACCCTGCGGTCCGCGAGGCCCACGGCCCAGAAGCTTGGAACTTGTAGCGTAAGACCTGAGCCTGCTCTGGACTTTCAAAGCTCCACGGGGGCCTCAGCCTGCACCGCATGCATCTGGGGAGGTGGACGAGCAGAGCTCGCCGGTCTCACAGATGGGGAGACTGAGGACCAGATGCTAGAGCCAGAGGAAGGTGCCAGAAGTCCCTGGAAGCAGCAGGGCCTGTGCGTCCATCCCCAGGGCAGATGCTCCTGAAAAGACGCGGCTGCAGAGCGGGACCCGGCAGCGCCCGGAGAGATACTGGAGTGACTCGAGTTAAGACACAGAGGCCACTTTCAGTTCACTGACTGTCCCGGTGCCCGGACCACGGAAATCACTTCCTCGGGCCGTGGGAAAAAACGCAGCCACGGGGTGGGGGGAACCGAACGGGCACGGGGAGGGGCCGCTTTGCATCTTCACACTCGGAGGGGCCTGGCCCTGAGAGGAGAGGAGCCAGGGGCATCCCCGAGGATGGGCAAACAGGCCACCGGCTGACGGAGGCACAGCGGGGCCAGCACTGGGATCCAGCAAAGACGCGGCCGGCAGCTGCCCCGAGAGAGCGCGTCCGTCAGGGAAGAGCGCGTGGGGCTTCCGGTGACCACCCTTCCTTTCCTGACCTCACACCTCGCACCTCTGATAGCTCTTCCCTTCTCAAGAGCTGTCCGTGGCTCCCACTGGCTGCCAACTCAAGCCCCAACGTCTTCCCAGAGGAAGTGGCATTTACACAGGGCCTCGGAGTAGGGGAGGAGGGAGGGCACCGGGCAGGGTGTGGGAACAGAGACCCAAAGGAGACCCGAAGGAGTGGACGTGCATGGCCAGCGCGGCAGGAAGGGGGGTGTGAGGACGGAGGAGAGGGCGGCCCCCCGAGGAGCTGGCAAGCCCATCCTCTCCTGAGGGGACTTGGTGGCTCGGGAAGACCCCCGGGAGTGAGTAGCCCCGGCTGCCGGTGCCCCGGAGACAGGCTACCTGGCCAGTGGCTGCTCAGGAAGACGTTCTGCTTTCTCTCCCGCTGGAAATGGAAGGAGGGGAGGGCGGGGATGGGGGAGCTGCAGAACAGGGGGCCCAGCGAGGGCTGCGAATGGCAGGAAGGCTGTGGGCGGGTGGCGGCTTGCTGAGGCTGGAGGGGCTGCCTGGCCAGGCATTTGCCGTGCAAGTCGGGACGTGCAGCCACCGGCAGCCTCCCCTCAGCCCCCGACTCACAGCCGCAGGCCCCGGCCCACCCTGGGCCCTTCCTGCCCCCGCTCCTGACTGTTCTGGGATATTCCTGGCTTCACGTCCACACTCCGCTGTCTCCTGCTCCGTCCTCGCGGCAGGTCTGGGCCTGTGCGCTGTGGCGACTTGGGCCCGAGGTCTGATGTCTGCTCCGTGACCAGCCTGGCCCAGGCTGTGGGGACAGAGGGTTACTTCTGCAGCCCAGCAGGCACGAGACACAGGCTGGCCCCCAGGGAACAGCCAGACGGTGGGTGGAGATGGGCTGTGTGCCCCCCAGCAGGAGAGCAGGCACCGGGGTGGGCTCATGGCTGGGAGCCCCGTCCTCGGGTGGCCTCTGGGCTGGGCGTCTTTGGGTGGGTGTCTTTGCTGGATCCGTCAACCCTACCTGAAGCCGGGGTTTCTGAGGCATGAGACCCAGGCCCCGAGGTGCAAGGGTGGTGGGCGGGGCGGCAGCTCCCGGCGGACACACCCAGGGCGTCCTACAATGCATTTGAATGTTCAACGCAGCATTCGCCTCTCTGGGCCTCAGTTTCCTCCTCTGTGACTCAGGACAATGGTCCCAGCCCCGTTTCCAGGAAGGCAGAGGACCTTGAGGCCGGAGTCTCGGACGGGGAAAGCCTGTGGTCCCCTGTGCCCATGGGAGAGGCCGTCATTCTCACCGGTCCCATGTCAGGAAAATAAATCAGCGCTGACCACCCAGGGCTTGAGGCCGGCCCCCCCTGAGTGTGGCAGAGGACAAGGCAGCCGGGGCGCCTGGGGCAGTGGATGGAAGGGGGTAGGTGGAGGCTCTGCTGGGGAGGGCATGGCAGGACCCCAACAGGCAGCCCCACCCACTCCCACCCTCAGGGCAGGGACCTGACTTGGCACGGGGGGGCCTTAGGGGCGGGAGACCAAGGGCTTCTGAGACCGGGGCCAGGGCGGGACGGCCTTCTCCAGCGAGCAGGAAACAGATGGGCTGACCAGGGCAGCTTAGGCCCCCAGAGCAGGTAACCAGCCTCTGCGGAGAGGGAGTCGGGGGCTGGAAGTGAGGTTGACCTAGCGCCCCTGTCACAGCCCCACCCAGGCCTGGCAAGGCCACCTCCGACCCAGCCACACCCCAGGTGCCCCTGTCAGCACGGTGAGGACAGCAAGTCTGAGGCCAGGCACAAAAGAAGCCGAGGGGAGTAGGGCCGGGTGGGCGGCTGGGGCTCCTCCCTCTCCTGGGCTCAGCAGAGAGCACGGGCGTAAGGCTTCCGTCCGCACCCCGCCCATCCCAGCCTGACCCTCCTGCCGGCTGACCAGAGCCTCAGGAAGCGGGAGAGAATCTCTGTGGGCTCAGCCAGGCCAGGGAAAGGTGACTGTCCACAGCACGAAAGACCTGCCCCTTCCTGCCCGCCAGGTGTGGACCTGGCCCTGCTCCTGGCATTGGGTACTGGGCAGAATCCCAGAGGTTAGAGCAGCTCACACCCCTCTCGGTGGGACACCCGGCTGTGAACCCCACTCACAGCCCTGCGGCCTTGGGCCAGGGACTCACTTTCCCAGGGCCTCAGTTTTCTTCTTCTTTCTTGTGAGACAAGTTTCCCTCTGTGGCCCAGGCTACAGTGCAGTGGTGTGATCTCCACTCACCGCAGCCTGGAACTCACGGGCTCAAATGACCCTCCTGCCTCAGCCTCCTGGGTAGCTGGGACCACAGGCGTGCACCACCATGCCTGGCTAAAGTTTCTATTTTTGTAGAGACGGATCTCCCTGTGCTGCCCCGGCTTGTCTTGCGCTCTTGGACTCAAGCGATCCTCCCGCCTTGGTCTCCTAAAGTCCCGGGATTACAGGTTCTAGCCACCATGCCCGGCCGAGCCTCAGTTGTCTTATCTGTGAAATGTGAAGACAATAATAGCCACCTCCTAAATCACTGGGAACAGTAAACCGGGAAATCCTCACTGCTCGGAACACAGAAAACAATGAATAGCAACAATTTTCTTCACCATTAATTTATTTTTCATTCACGAAGAAGCCCGTGGGGTACAACTGAGTTAGAGACACAGGACGCTGCGCCGGCGGTGCCAGCTCCTGAACCCGGCCACCTGCAGTCACTCACACGTCCTGGGAGCTGACAAGCTCAGCCCCACTGCGTGGCGGCCCAGGGCCAAGGGTGTGGAGGCTGCCCCGTCTGCGCCCATTTCACGACTGTGGGACTGCTCCACACCTGGGGTCTCAACAGACCCCCACACCAGTCCTAGCGTAGAGAACCGAGGATGCCCTCCTTGCAGATGACAACCCCAAGGCCAAGAGCAGGGAAGGGCCCTGGTCACCCAGCCAGGCCGGCAGAGCTGTGGCTGGACCACGCCGGGTGAGAGCCTCCCCCACCTGGACGCATGGTCTGGCCCACGGCCTGTCCCCGCTCTCAGGCTGCTTCTGTGCTTGCCACGGAGCAGGATCCTCACACTTCCTCCCGCCCAACAGCCCCGCAGGCGCCAGGACCCCCAGGCCTGGGGTGTATCTTCTCCAAGAGAAGCTCCCAACCGCCCCTCTGTAGGTCCCGGGCTGCTGCCACCTCGGGCTCCTTCCCTGGGTCGCAGGGGTCTCTGGGGGCAACTCCTCTCCATGTGTGGCCCGACAGGGAAATCTCCTTCATAGCAAAGCATGGGTGGGCCCGGGTCCCGCCGACCACGGCCCCTGTCCCAAGGCCGCCTCTGGACACTCCAAGCTGTACTGCCTGGAGGACGAGGCCGGCCCGGGACCAGGGAGGCTCAGGTGCGGCTCCTCAGGTGCAGGACGCGGGGCAGCAGGTCTGGGGAGGGCACAGGGCTCGGAGGACTTGGCTGTGAGCAGCCGGGCACTGCCCGAGCTTCCTGCTTCCACAGCCCCGCGGCTGTCCACGTCCTCCCTGCTCAAAGTCCGGGGCGGGACCTCCTGTCACAGACTCTTCTGAAGCTGCCCCGGAGGGGAGGGGCCACCCACAGGACTCCTGCCCCATGCTGGCACCGCCATCCACTTCTCTGAGCCTCGTCCGCTCATCCGTGAAGTGGCCGTAACTGTGGCACCTGCTCAGGACGCCTGGAGACCAGGAGGAGAGGGGTGAGGGCCTCGCGTGGCTCCCAGGAGAGGGGCCGCCCCGGAAGGGCTCGTTTCGTCCCTGGGGGCTGGGCCACCTGCACTCGAGTTTCCCGGTCTGTAAAGCGAGGACGCGGCTCTGGATCAGCAGACCGGAGACTGGGGCCAGCCGGGTGCTGGGCGTGCGTTGGAGGCGCTGTCTGACACCTTGGAGGCGTCCTCCCGGCTTCGTTCCAGTTTCTCCAAAGGCGAATCGCGCCAAGGACCCGGCCCAGCCCAAGAGGAAGGCGCATTGTCCCGAGACTGGCCTGGGCCCGGGAGGGGAGGGAGCGGTTGGGGGTGGCCCTTGCCGGGAGCCCCTCTCTGGGGGGCGTGGCCTGGGCGGGGGCCAGTGTCCTGCGGTCTTGGACCCTGGGCTGAGGTAAGCGTCGTCCTGGGAAAGTGTGGCTCAGCAGGAAGGAGCGGAGCACAGTGAGAGCCGCAGGGACTTCCGGGAATTGGAGAGGGAAGTGTGGGGAGAGGAGGCCGCGGCAGGTGCCTCTGGGGTGGCTTCCAGGCAGGCGAGGAGCTGCTCTGGTGGCCCCCCCGGATGATCCACCCCCAGGTCAGCAGGACTCTGGGCTCCGGTCGCCCCTCCCTCCTCAAGGGTTTATTCCACATGCCCCACGGCCCACCCCGCTCTGCGCAAATTTCCCCTTCGTATAAGGTCGCTGGGTCCGCCCTACTCCTGTGACCGCATCTAAACAAATCACAGCTGCGACAACCCGGCTTCCAAATATGGCCACACACGGAGGCCCCAGAGGTTCGGACTCCACACATGGATTTGGGGAGACACGAATTGGCCTATAACAGGCTCTTGTGCAGAAGGGGAGGTGATGGAGGTGGCTTCTATTCCCAGGACCCTCAATGCTCAGAACGGAGAGTGGCAGACAAGGGGCCTGGTCTGGAAAACTGATCCCCAGCAAAGCCTCCTGCTGAGTGACGTCTTCGTGCAGGTGCAGCTCGGACAGAGGGAGGGAGGGGAGGGGGCAGGGGGACAGAGGGAGGCAGGGGAGGGGGCAGGGGGACAGAGGGAGGGAGGGGAGGGGGCAGGGGGACAGAGGGAGGGAGGGGAGGGGGCAGGGGGACAGAGGGAGGGAGGGGAGGGGGCAGGAGGACAGAGGGAGGGAGGGGAGGGGACTGGAGCAAACAGCAGGTGGTGAGCTCCTGGGCCAGACACAGCCAATTACCAGACACAAGGGACAATCCCATGGCCACTTGGGACCCCAGCCCTCTCCCCGGGAGAGCCAGGGAGGGAAATTCACCTGCCTGCCCCTTCTCATCTCCCAGGTCCCGCTGGTGACCGTGGCCCATGGGATGTCTCTGACCTGCAGCAGCGTCACTCACCCCTCTGAGCAAGCTCTGGGAGGCAGCGTCCCTGTGGATCTGGCATCTGTAGAGACTGCACCATGAACAGCCTTCACTCAGGAGGCAGGTGATGGCCAGGACTCCCTGAGACAGGGGACGCAGAAGGAAGGGGCAGCGGGCTGTGCCCTGGGGGGATCACACTCCCCTGCTCGCAGCTCAGGGGAGCTGGGGGTGGGTGCTGGATCCCCTGAGGCAGCAGGAGACCCCTGCCTTCAGCTCAGAGTGAGCCTCCCCTTTGTCCTGCCTCCCATCAGCTTGAAGCTGCCTCAGTTTCCCTCCCTCCTGGCCCTCATGAACCTCCTGGTGGGTCCAGGGCTTTGGCCAGCAGAGCTAGTGCATGAAGTGTGGAGATGCGGGATGGCATTGCCCCCGGCAGGGACCCCGCGAGCCTGCATGCACGCTGTGCAGACTGATGAGCCGTCCACGGCACTGACTCAAACCATCCAGAGGGGAGTGGGGGATGCCCACAGGTGGGGACACTGAGGCACCGAGAAGGGACCGACCCAGGGTCCTGCTTAAAGAGAGACATCAGGAGACGCCTGGCACAGACAAGACTTATTTTTCCGGGTGCCTCCCACTAAGCCCTGCTATAAATCCAGGAAACTGCACGTGCAGTGGACAGAAAATTCCAAAGCATGCAAGTGGTCAGGGCCCAGGTGGGAGAGACGGCCGGGTGACAGGAAGGAAGAGAGCCAGGCTGGGCATTTCCTGACTCCCAGCCTAGCAAGAGAAGGCAGCTGGGGGGTGGGAGCCATTCCCCTGCCAGGTGCAACAGGGGCCTTGAGCAGGGGGCTCGGCACAGCAAACCACGCCCAGAAAGCCCCTTGGTCCCTGTGGGCCTGAGACCCTCCTCCCCACCAAGAAGTACGGGTGGCATCGGTAGGGGAATGCCACAGCATGCTGGCTCAGCACAGGAAGCGACCATCGGGTAGAAACTTCCTTCCCCACCTAGAGCTGCCACATGGCCGGGGAAATCCCCGGCCCCTCAGGAAGCACCAGTGGAAACTCTGCCAGCACCAGATCAACCAAGGATACCCAGACGGCACCACCCATCCCAAAGAGTAAAAATGTCAGGAACCACAGTTCATGACACCAGCCAGGACCTGGTGCCAACCTACAGGGCGGTGGCCTAGGAAAATAAAGTACATCCACAGGACTCAGAGTCTCTAAGCAGGGCCAAAATGCCCAGGATACAAGCAAAAGCTGCTCATCACAGCAAAAGCTGGAGGACACACACGTGAATGAGAAAAGACAATGAATGACACCAGTGCCAGGACCAGCTCGAGGCTGAGGACACGACCAGGAGGCCAGGGTTGTCACCACAGGGCACCATGACAAAGCAATGCACTCTCCAGAAACAAATGAAGTAGAAGACCTCAGCAAAGACACAGAAGTTATCAGAAAGAACCAAAGGGAATACACAGAGCTAACAACTACAAACACAGAAACAAAACTCTCCGGATGTACTCAGTAGTAAAGTGAAGATGGCAGAGGACACAGCCAGTGAACCTGAGGACACAGCAGTAGAATGGGCCCAATAAGAACCATAGAGAGAGAAAGGGAGGGAGGAAGGGAGGAGGGAGGAAGGAAGGGAGGAAGAGAGGGAGGGAGAAAGGAGAGGAAAAAGGGAGAAGTGAGGGAGGGAGGGAAGGAGGAGGGAACAGAGGAAGAAAAAACGAACAGAGCTTCAGGAACCAGTAGAACAATAACCAAAGACCCACCCGATTTTCAGGAAGAGAACAGGACTGACTGAGGATTTGAATAAGTAATAATGGAATACTTCTCAAATGTGGTGAAAAACATAAACTCACAGAATGAGTGAAAATAAAAATACATCAAAATGTGTGGTATGAAGCAGAGCTTAGAGGGAAATTTATAGTACCAAATACTTAATATTAGAAAAAGAGAAAGCATCTCAAATCAATCATCTAAGTTTTGGCCTCAGGAAACTAGAGAAAGAAGAACAGATTAAATGAGAAGTGGGAAGAAGGAAGGAAATGATAAAGGACAGAAATTAATGAAATTGAAAACAAGAAAACAACAGAGAAAATCAATCAACATAAATTGGTTCTTTTGAAAATCTGTAAAATTGATAAACCACTAGCAAGACTGACAAAAATAAAAAGAAGACGCAAATCACCAATGTCAGAGATAAAACAGGGGATATCACTACAAATCCTGTGGTCATTAAAAGGATCATAAGAAAATACTATGAATAACTTTACACTCATGAGTTTGACAACTTAGAAGAAATGGACCAATTCTTTAAAAACATAAGCCATCAAAACTCAACCAAGATGAAATAGATCATTTGAATAGTCTTAGAACCATCACAGCAGTTGAATTCATAATTTAAAAGTTCCCCAAAAAGAAATCTCTCAGATCAGATGGTTTTACTGGAGAATCTTACCAAACATTTAAAGGAGCAACACCAATTTTACACAATTTCTTCCAGAACACAGAAGAGGAAGGAACACTTTCCCACTTATTTTGTGAAACTGGCTCTATCCTGACACCAAATTAAAGACTAGTTTTAAAATCCTACTACAGACCAGTGTCTCTCCTGAACATAGAGGCAAAAATCCTCCACTAAATACAAGCAAATATAATCCAACAATGTATAAAAATAATTATACACCAAGAACAAGTGAGACTCATACCAAATACGTGAGATTGACTGAGCACTGAAAAATCAGATGATGCAACCCATCAGATTAACAGGCTAAAGAAGAGGAAAATGATATAACTTTATCAATCTATGCAGAAAATATATTTGAGATTGGCTGAGCATTGAAAAATCAGATGGTGCGATCCATCAGATTAACAGGTTAAAAAAAGAGGAAAATGATATAATCTTATCAATCTATGCAGAAAATGTATTTGGCATAATTCAACACACATTCTTAATAAAAATTATTGGCAAATTAGAAGTAGCAGGGAACTTCCATAACTTGCTAACAAGCATCTACAAAATCCCTGCAGCTAACCTCACTTAATATAAAAGGCCAAATGCTCTTCCCTGAGATCAGGAGCAAGACAAGGATATTCATTCCCACCACTTTCATTCAACACGCTGGAAGTTCTATTCACTGCACTAAGGTAAGAAAAATAAATAAAAGGCACACGGATTGGAAAGGAAGAAATAAAATGATCTCTGTTTATCAAGGGCATTATTATTCACATGGACCATCCCAACAAATGTACAAAAAACAAAAAACTAATTAGTGAGTTCAGTGCAATCACAGGATACAAGATCGACATTCAAAAAATCAATCACATTTCCATAGACTAACAATGAAAATGTGGAAACAAAATTTTAAAATGTATTATCATTTACAAGCACTCCAAGAATAATGAAATGCTTAGACATAAACTTGATAAAATATGTCTAGTACTTGTAGGCTGAAAATTACAAAATGCTGATGAAAGGACCAAAAAAGACCTAAACAAATGAAGAAAGATATACCATGTTCATGGATTGGAAGACTCAACATAGTGTCACCTACCATGAGACTGATCTATTGATTTAATGAAATCTCTATCTAAATCCCCCAAGTCTCTTTGTAAATATAGACAAGCTTATTCTAAAATTTATATGGAAAGGCACAGGCTCCAGCTAAACAATCTTGGAAAAAGCATGAAGAGCTACTCTGCTGGGTATAAAAGATTACTGTCTTCACCAAGTCCGTATCAAAAGAGGTTTGGACACATAGATGAATGGAACAGCAGGGAACTCAGACATAGACCCACACAAATATGCCCTGCTGGTTTCCAACAGAGGTGCAAACATAATTCCGTGGAGGATGGGTGGCCTTTCAACAAATGGTGTTGGAGCAATTGGACATCCATAGGCAAAAAATGAGTATCCACCAAAACCTCACACCTTATACAAAATGCAAACAAACAAACAAACAAAAAACCTGTTATATTGAAACCAAAGTTTGAAAACTCGACACCAAAGGAAAAATTCGTAAATTGCACTTCATCAAAATTAAAGACCTTTACTCTGCAAAAGACCTTATAGATGAAAAGGTAAATGCAGACTGAGGGGAAATGTTTGCAAACCATATTTCTAAATAAGAACTAGAATCTCATATATATAAAGAATACTTAAGAACTCTCAGCCAGGCGCGATGGCTCACGCCTGTAATCCCAGCACTTTGGGAGGCTGAGGCGAGTGAATCACGAGGTCAGGAGATCAAGACCATCCTGGCTAACACAGCGAAACCCCGTCTCTACTAAAAATACAAAAAAATTAGCCAGGTGTGGTGGTGGGCACCTGTAGTCCCAGCTTCTCGGGAGGCTGAGGCAGGAGAATGGTATAAGCCCAGGAGGAGGAGATTGCAGAGAGCCGAGATCACGCCACTGCACTCCAGCCTGAGCTACAAAGCAAGACTCCATCTCAGAAAAAAAAAAAAAGATTGCTAAACGTGAACTACCATATCACCCAGCAATTGCACTCTTGGGCATTTATCCAGAGAAATGGAAACTTATGTTCACACTAAAACCTGGACTTGGAAATTTATATCAGTTTTATTCATAATAGCCAAAAACTAGAAACAGCCTAGATTTCCTTCAGCAGACGAGTGGCTGAGTAAACTGGGTGCATCCACGTCACGGGATGTGGCTCCACAAAGAAATGGAAGAAACTAGAACTCTGATGACTCTCTAGGGAATTTTGCTGAGTTAAAACAACCCCAAAAGGTCTCATACTATGTGATTCTCTGTATATAACATTCTGGAAATGACGAAATTGTGGAAATGGAGAACAGGTGAGTGGTTGCTTGCGTTTCCAGAGAGAGAGAGGGGTGTGGTTATTAAAAGGCAGTGGGGTTCTCATGCTGACGCGTGTCTGCCTCTTGACTGCAGTGGGGGCTCAACCACCTGCACCTGTGATCAATTGCATGGGGCTAAACACACACGTGTGTGGTACACCTGACATGGCTTAAATGCTTGTCCTCAAAAATCTCATATTGAAAACTGATCCCCCGTGTTGGAAGTAGAGCCTGCTGGGAGGTGTTGGATCATAAAAGTGAGTCCCTCTCAAATGGCCCAGCACCATCCCCTTGGTGACGAGTTCCTGCTCAGTTAGTTCATGCAAGGATCTGGTTGTGTAAAAGTCTGAGACCAGACCGGCACAGTGGCTCATGCCTGTAATCCCAACATTTTGGGAGGCCAAGGCGGGCAGATCATCTGAGGTCAGGAGTTCGAGACCAGCCTGGCCAACGTGGTGAAACCCCGTCTCTACTAGAAACACACACAAAAAATTAGCCGGGCGTGGTGGCGGGTGCCTGTAGTCCCGGCTACTCGGGAGGCTGAGGCAGGAGAATTGCTTGAACCCGGGAGGCGGAGGTTGCAGTGAGCCGAGATTGAGCAATTGAACTCCAGCCTGGGTGACAACAGTGAAACTGTCTCAAAAAAACACAAAATGTCTGGGGCCTCCCCATTGTCTGTCTCCTGCTCTGGATCTGCCTTCAACCTTCCGCCAGGTTGGAGCTCCCTTAGGCTCTCACCAGAAGCGGATGCCAGCGTCATCTTTCCCGTGCAGCCTGCAGAAACATTAGCCAAATAAACCTCTTATAAACCACCCAGCCTCAGGCAGTCCTTTCTAGCAACACGAGAATGGCCTCACACAACACACAAATGAGAGACTCAAACAGTGCAAGGTTCTGGTCGTGGGGCAGCGCTACAGACGCCACGGGAGGCTGAGGGAATCAGGAGTGCCCCCTTCACCCTTTTTCTATTCTTTCTTACGGCTGAATATGGGTCTACAATGATCCCAAAAGTTGAAAAATGTATTTCAAAAAAGGGCCCAGAAAAGCCTAAAATCCCAGCCCACTGATGTCGGTTGTGCTCTTTCTGTGATGTGACTTTGTTTTTGTTTTTGTTTTTGTTTGTTTGGTTTTTTTCTTTTTTGAGACAAAGTCTCACTCTGTTGCCCAGTCTGGATGGAGTGCAGTGGTGCGATCTCACCTCACTGCAACCTCCGCCTCCCGGGTTCAAGCAATTCTCCTGCCTCAGCCTCCCGAGTAGTTGGGGTTACAGGCACGCACCACCACACCTGGTTAATTTTTGTATTTTTAGTAGAGATGGGGTTTCACCATGTTGGTCAGGCTGGTCTCGAACTCCTGACCTCAAATGATCCACACACCTTGGCCTCCCAAAGTGCTGGGATTACAGGCGTCAGCCACCGCACCCGACTTGTGACGTGACTTTGATGCGTGTGCAGGTGGGAGACAGCATCATAAATGCTGCTGGTTTGAAAAACCACGGCCAAGTACAGGATGCGGCGTTAGAGTGGGCTGGGGCGACGGGACCGTGAGCGGCAGAGGCCAGCGCCCAGCAGGGTCGGCAGCCAGGCCCGGGGGCTCCTCGAATGCCTCCAAACAGGCCCCCTCTCTGTTGGGTCCTGCACCACTGAGGGTTTCAGCTCCAAAGGTGGACAGTGGTGCAAGTACGCAGGACTGCTCTTGGGGTCAGAAATAATCCCAAACAGCAGCAAATCTTAATAAAGGGGAAAATCCAGAGACAAGCAGCAGAAACAGCTCTGGGCCCTGCTGTGTCCAGGTGCCCTCCCCGGCCCTTGGCCACCTCTGTCTATCCTCCACGACCCCAGGCGAGAATGCAATCCCCAGTTCACAGATAGGGAAACTGAGGCGCAGGAAGGGCACGGGGCCGCCCGCGGTTCAGCACCTAATGGGGCTCCGTCCAGAATTCTGCCCAAGTTTTCCTCCGTTTCCCTGGTCCTGAGCCCTGGGGAAAGTTGTGTCATTTTTCCTGTATTTCTTAATGCAATTTCGGCTCCTGGTGAAATTGTTGCGGCTGTGCTGGACCCGGACGTCCCTCCTGACAGCTCCGAGCCGTGGATGGGGACAGATGGCTGAACTGCTGGGAACCTAGGCTGGGAGGCAGCCCCCTACCTTCAAGGGCACCCCTGGTTTGGGGTAGACAGACAGTCGGCTCAGCTCCCAGCAGGGACCGGCCACTTGTGGGAACATGGAAGACCCAGGGTGGCCACATCAGAGGGCTGCGGCGGTCTCTTGGCCTCACCCTGACCTGGGCTGGCCGTTCACTTCCAAAACACCCTGGCTGGGTTTGAATGGTACGTGGGATGTTCTGTTTCCCAGAAACCAGCAAGATGTGAAGCAAGATGGCAGAATGTCAAGGTTTGGCCGAGCTGCAGGGTGGGTGGAGGGGCCTCCACCATGTTCATCCTAGGTATGCGGGATCCTCTCATTCACCACATGTGGGGCCTCCTGGTTCCAGCTGCCCTGAAATGGCCTCTCCAGCCACCGACTTCCTTTCCTGTGTGTCTGGACGCCCTGGGCAGGGAGCCGTTGCTAAACGTCCCTCGGCCTCCAGATCTGAGCCTGTTGTGGAGATGGAGATTCCGGGAGGAAGAGGGAAGGCTCATCCCCTCCCCGTCCACCTTCCTGCAAAGGAAGATTGGCTGGCAACAGGGTAAGGGAAAGAAAGCGGAGAGGGGCAGATTGGACCCACATAACGAGGACCGAGAAGGGGACAGAGCTGGCTCTGGCCACTGGGAGTGGAGGGGCAGGGCCCCGGCTCAACGCCCCGTGCGGGAGGAGGAGGAGGTTGGGGAGAAGCATCACCGGCCGCTGCTCTTCGCGGGAGAAGTGAGGGGATCCAGCTCACGAGGCAGTTGCTGGCGTTTGGGCTGTGAGCTCTGACCAGGCCCCATCCTGAGGCTGGACGACAGGGATACAGGAATCCCCAGGAACCCATGAACCTCAGCGCACGGCCCACAGAACACCACGTACTCCTCAGCGCCAGGCCTGCAGCCACAGGGAATCGCAGCAGCCCAGCCTATGCAGAGGCCATAGCAGGGCTGCCCCATCCTGCCCCATCGACCTTGCAGGCAGATGCCCCGCCTCCCTGTGAAGTGCTCTCCACCGCTCACTCCAGCCGGCTCCCGGGCAGGGAGCCAGGAGGGAGCCGGACACGGAGCGGCCCCGCTCTTCCACCCCCGGCCTGGCCTCTCAAATCCTGGCCTTTGGCTTCAGGACAGCGATGCTGCATCCACATCACCCAGAAGGTGAGGGCTGTGTCCGCCCAGGGAGCCGGGATCAGCTGCTGGGTCTGGAGATCTGAGAGGAAACGGAAATGGCCCCTTCCAAAACGCACCACGAGGGTAGAGCCTCCAGGCCTCTGGCATTGCCCTCGTCCGCACACCCCGTTTTCAAAGTAATCACCCCAGAGAGCAAGGCTGCAGCTGCCGCCCGGGCGAGGGTCCACTCTGGATTTCCAGTCAGAACAGGAGCCACTGCGGTAGCTGCTCTTTCGATCCCCCAGCCTGGGGATGTTTGTCGCGCGGCAGTAGCGACTGGAGTATCCCTGACTGGTGCTCCCTGCACGGCCAGTTCTCTGCCTGGGGCTGGGGCCTGTGCTCTTCTCTGAGGGGCTGACTCCTGAGCTGGTGAGTCTCGGGTGGTTCCCCTCCAGGAGCCCTCACGACCCTGCCCTAACCACTGGTCATGCACCAGCCCCTTCTTCATGCTCTAACATGCTCACTGGACACCTGCTACATGGGATCCCCGTCGGTGAGACTACCCTGTGGTTGAGATAGACAGGTCCCTGCATCCTGAAGGAGCCAGGTCCAGGAGTACATTGCGTGAAATCAAAGCGTGCAGTTAGCGAGGGGGCCCCAGGGTTAAAGCGTAAACCCAACTCCTCCCCAAGGCCCACCGGACTCTGCGAGACCCCGAGCCTGCCAACCTCTCCGACCCCAACCTCTCAACCCCGTGAAGAGCTTACCCCGCCCTCTGCCCTGAGTTCTGTTCAGGGGCATCTCTCTGGCTTTGCCGAAACTCACAGCACAGTCAGTGGTCATGTCTCAGAACGGTGAGAAGGGACAGAATTCCCTTGATACCCTGTCTTTTTCCGGAGCCACACTAGTGTGCTTGTCAGATGTGTGGGGCTTAGAATCCTTGCAGTGGGTCAGCCCCGCCCTGACATCGGCACTGTCTTAGCTCCTGCTTACATGGGGAGCTCACCTCGCCACGCAGCAGGAAGTGGGGCCCCCTGTGCTGCACCACCCCCCAGGCTTTGCAAGTTCTTCCTCACTGGAGCCCAGGGCTGGCTTCCTATGGACAGCAGCCGTGAGCCCCAAGCCTTCCCTCTGGCCTTCCCACAGCCGAGGGACAGGGGACCAGGCTCCGGCCCCACGGCCCCACCTGCCCCCAGATGTGCTGAGTGCTGGTGCCACCCAACCTGCAGTCCATTTGAGGGTCAGCGACCAAAGGTAGAAGAGAGCCTGGGGCTCATTCATTCGTTCAACAAACACCTGCTGAGATCTTTCCTCCGGGCACACGCAGGGCTGTGTTCTCAGGGAGAGACAGACCAGGAAGGGAGACACAAGGCGGAAGGCGTGAGGGCAGGAGGGTGGGAGGAAGGGGAATAGCGGGCAGATGGGAGGATGAAATCACAGCAGGGTGGGGCCAGGTGGCCAGGGAGGGCCTGGCCGGGAGGCAACAGTCTCCACATGTGCAAAGGCCTCAAGGCAGGGTCCACTGGGTGAGGCTGCAGCCGAGTGCAGGAGGTTGGGAGAGAGGCCAGAGGGTGGGCCCGGCCCAGCAAGGGGGTCCTCTCCTTCCGGCAGGCAGCGGCCCTCTGAGAAGGCGCCTCTGCCGGACTCTGGGAAGGCCCCCTCCCCGGCTCTCCTCCTCTCTCCCCGCTGCGGGACCCGTGTCTCAGGGCCTAAGCTAAAACACTTGTTTCCCTGGGGATTTGTCTAACTGCATGAGGCCTTTCTGAACCAGACTTTAGGGCGGAATTTTTTCCTCTCCAAAGAGAGGAATTGGCTGTCAGGAGTTAAAGACAGAATCTTGTGGCAAAGCCAAGCTCAGAGCCTGGGTCCAGGCTGGCCAAGGAGAGGGTGTGGAGGCCACCCAGACGCTGGCCTGGGGGCTGCAGGGGCTGGCGGTCCTGGCCAAGTGACTTTCACCGAGTGGCTGGGGCCGGGGTTGAGTTGGGACTCACCAGTGAGACCCACAGCTGTCCACACCCGTCCTGTGAGGGGGTAAGAGCTGGGGCCTCCAGGAGCTCCTGAGACATGCAGACCCCCTCCTGAGAGGGCTGGGGGGCTGCACGCAGCCTGGGCCTATTCGGAGGCCTTCCTTGGGGAGCGGGAGGGGGCTGCACGAAGGACGGTGACCCCGGAACCACCAGCAGCTCAGGGCCTGAAGGGTAGGGGCGGGCGGTCAGCACGGGGCCTGATGGGGAGGCCTGAGTGAGTGTCAGCCCAGGGGAGTCGTGAAAGGAGGTGAGTGTCGTGCAGCTGGTGTCCCTGCCCAGAGTGGGGTCCTGAGGTGCCCTGAGGGAAGTGGCTGGGGAACAGCTGACCAGAGCTGACCGTCCCCCAGCAGCCCTCAGCCCTAGGGGAGGGTACGGGCTCCTGGGGGCAGGCTCTGTTCCTGTCCCTGAGGGCTCCGCTCCACCTCCTGGCTCATCGAGGCTGGCTCCAGATGTGGGGTGTGTGGGCTCCACTCCCGGGCTCACCCAGGCCAGCTCTGGATGCTGAAGCCACCAGGCACGGGGCTGTGTGTGCAGAAGCAGCCAGGCAGGGCGGCCCAGCAGACGCAGGGAGCGGCCGCCAGCCGCTAGGATCCCGATGCCGCCGCAAGTAAGGACAGGCCCGGGTGCTGCCGCAGGAGGCCAGGCCTGCGCTCGCCGCTGTGGAATGTGTGTTTGTCTGATGAGCATCCCTGCAGGGCCCCAGATGGAGGGTGTGACAAGGATGGGGGCTGAGTCTCCAGGGCCCGGGGGCACCTGCACGCTGCCCCTGGCAGGGGCCCGGGCATCCCACCTGAGCTGGCAGCCCTGAGCCTGAGACCAGGGCTCTGACTCACTTCTGGGCCGCCCTCCTCACAGAGATCTGAGAGGGGCTTTCCCGGAGCCAGGCAGGGAGGCGGCCGTGCACCTGCGGGGGGACTGAGCCCCCCGGAGGGACGAGCTGCATGATGACAGGGAGGGACCCTGGCCTCGCCACCTGTGTGCCTGGGGCTCCCTTCCCAGGGCCTCTCTGCACCCCTCAGGCCCCCTGGGCTTGGCACCTGGGCCCCCAGAGCTCTGCCTAACCAGTGTTGGAAGAGGTTGGGTAAGTCCTGTGGGTGGGAATCCATAAGGGATCAGGCCCCATGACAGAGTCCACAGCGAGAACAGACGCTTCCAGCCAGCCAGGATCGGCCAAAGCCTAATCACGAGCCGACCTGAGCTCGCAGTGTGGACGTCCACCAGCTGCAGTGTTCAGATATGGGAAGGAGGGTGCAGCAGCCGCCGTGGACGCTTTCGCCCTGCAACAACAGAACACACATCAGCGGTGTGCAAACCGGGGCCCAAGGCCAGACAAGACGCAGGCCTACGTCACAACACAAGGTTCTGCCCGAACGCCGCGACGCCCACTGGTTGGAGTATCGTCTGGGGCTGCTGTCTCACCACAGGCGCGGAGTTGAGAGGTTGTGAAGGAGATTGATGGCCCAAAAGCACAAAATCTTTACTGTCTGGTCCCCCACAGAGAAAGTCAGCAAGCCCACGCACACATGATAGCAAAACGTGGCAAAATGATTAGGAAGTGGTGAGTTTTAAGGATTTATTACATTCTTAAAAACAACTTTAGGGTGGGTACGGTAATCCCAGCACTTTGGGAGGCTGAGGTCTAGAGTTCAAGACCAGCCTGGGCAACAAAGTGAGACCCTAACTCTGCAAAAAACGCAAAAATTAGGGGCCGTCGTGGCTCGTGCCTGTGGTCCCAGCTACTGAGGTGGCTGAGGTGGGTGGATCGCTTGAGCCCAGGAGGTGGAGGTTGCAGTGAGCTACGATTCCGCCCTGGGCCACAGAGCCAGAACCTATCTCAAAAGGAAAACAAAACAAAACAAAAAAACAAAAACAAAACTTTATAGTGGTATAATTATCATAAAATAAACTGCATTTTTAGGGTAAAATTGATACATTTGACATATAAATGAATTCCTTCGAAACCATCACAGCAAAATAACGAATATATCTACCGCCCCAGGCTAGTTTGCATTTCCTAGAATTCTGTACAATAGAATCATATCATATGACATCATAGTTTTTAGTTTGTTTTGAGGCAAGGTTTTGTTTCTAGTCACAGCTTTTGTCTTGAAGTCCATGTTGTTTGATGTCAATAAAAGCACCATGACTTTCTCACAGCCACTCTTGGCATGGTACATCTTTTTCCATCCTTTTTTACTTTCAATGTATTTGCACCTTTGGACCTAAAGTGTGTCTCCTGTGGACAGCATAGAGCTGGATCTTTTTCCTTTTAATCTGCTCAGACGATCTCTGCTTTTGATTGGATTGTTTAACCCGTTCACGTTTAGCGTTACTACTGATATGGTTGGATTTACGCCTGCCATTTTACTTTCTGTTTTCTTTCTTTTTTTTAAATTTATTTATTATACTTTAAGTTTTAGGGTACATGTGCACATTGTGCAGGTTAGATACATATGTATACATGTGCCATGCTGGTGCACTGCACCCACTAACTCGTCATCTAGCATTAGGTATATCTCCCAATGCTATCCCTCCCCCCTCCCCCCACCCCACAACAGTCCCCAGAGTGTGATATTCCCCTTCCTGTGTCCATGTGATCTCATTGTTCAATTCCCACCTATGAGTGAGAATATGCGGTGTTTGGTTTTTTGTTCTTGCGATAGTTTACTGAGAATGATGATTTCCAATTTCATCCATGTCCCTACAAAGGACATGAACTCATCATTTTTTATGGCTGCATAGTATTCCATGGTATATATGTGCCACATTTTCTTAATCCAGTCTATCATTGTTGGACATTTGGGTTGGTTCCAAGTCTTTGCTATTGTGAATAATGCCGCAATAAACATACGTGTGCATGTGTCTTTATAGCAGCATGATTTATAGTCTTTTGGGTACATACCCAGTAATGGGATGGCTGGGTCAAATGGTATTTCTAGTTCTAGATCCCTGAGGAATCGCCACACTGACTTCCACAATGGTTGAACTAGTTTACAGTCCCACCAACAGTGTAAAAGTGTTCCTATTTCTCCACATCCTCTCCAGCACCTGTTGTTTCCTGACTTTTTAATGATTGCCATTCTAACTGGTGTGAGATGGTATCTCATAGTGGTTTTGATTTGCATTTCTCTGATGGCCAGTGATGATGAGCATTTTTTCATGTGTTTTTTGGCTGCATAAATATCTTCTTTTGAGAAGTGTCTGTTCATGTCCTTCGCCCACTTTTTGATGGGGTTGTTTTTTTCTTGTAAATTTGTTTAAGTTCATTGTAGATTCTGGATATTAGCCCTTTGTCAGATGAGTAGGTTGCGAAAATTTTCTCCCATTTTGTAGGTTGCCTGTTCACTCTGATGGTAGTTTCTTTTGCTGTGCAGGAGCTCTTTAGTTTAATTAGATCCCATTTGTCAATTTTGTCTTTTGTTGCCATTGCTTTTGGTGTTTTGGACATGAAGTCCTTGCCCATGCCTATGTCCTGAATGGTAATGCCTAGGTTTTCTTCTAGGGTTTTTATGGTTTTAGGTTTTCTATGTCTCATTAATATTTGCTCCTCTGTTCCTCCTTTACTTTTTCCTTTTGTATTTAGTGGAAATTTTTGACAATGTCATTTTAATTCCTTTGATTACTTTTCTCTATCTATATATTTTTATATATGTCAAATATATTGTATTTCTATATGTTACAGTTCCAACAGTAAAATTGTATACATATTGCTTTATTGCAATTGTTTTTTAAATCAGTTAGGAGAAGAAACATGAATTTATACTATCTTTTACAGTCATTTTCACTTTTGTAGTAGTTTCTCTAGGGCTAATAATTTATATCTTAATAGCACTTTTACTTCAGATTTATAGTCATTTATTTCAGGCAAGATCTAGAAATTTTACTACTATAACTATATAAGTCCATTCTATCCCCCGTTTGTTCTCTTATTGTTACACCTATGCCCAACATGTTATATAATTACTGTTTTAAAAGATTTCATGCCAACCTGGGCAACATAGCAAGACCTCATCTCTACAAAAAAAAAAAAAAATATATATATATATATATAAATTAGCCAGGTTTAGTGACACATGCCTGTGATCCCAGCTTCTCAGGAGGCTGAGGTGGGAGGATCACTTGAGCCTGGGAGTTCAAGGCTGCAGTGGGCTGTGATCACACCACTGCACTCCAGCCTGGGTGATGGTGAGACCCGGTCTTTAAAAAAGCAAAATTTTTTTAAAAATTAAAATAATGATTGTATGCCTTTCAAAGAAGCAAAGAGAAGAAAATACATTTACAGAGGTTTTTAAGACATACATGTTAGTTTCCTTATTTGCCACGTCTGGTTCTCTTTGTTGCATCCTGTGGATTCCAGTCACCTCTGAGCACCGTTGCCTCACTCTGATACAGCTTCATATCTGCCAGGCTCCTCATGTTGTCCTTGTCAAATATATTACATTTCTACATGTTATAGGTCCAACAGTAAACTTGTAGAGATATTGCTTTATTGCAATCATTTTTTAAATCAGTTAGGAGAATAAATGTGAAATTATTCTATCTTTTACAGTCACTTTCACTGGCACTCTTTGTGTTTTGGTGTGAATTCGAATTTGAATTTGAAATACTCAAGGGAGTTTCTCAGATGCCCCTCCTTTTCACTTGAGAAGCCTCCTTGACTATTTCTGTTAGTCAGGTCTGCTAGCAAAAAATTTGCTTGTTGTTTTCTGTTTGTTTGTTTGTTTACTAGGAATATCTTAATTTCACCTCTGTTTTTGAAAAATCATTTCCCTGGCTATAGAATTCTTGGTTAGCAGGACTTTTTTGTTTGTTTGTTTGTTTGTTTGTTTGTTTTTTCCAGCACTTTGAATTGCCATCCCACTGCCTCTGGCCTCCATTGTCTCAGATGAGAAGTCTGCTGTTAATTTTCTTGAGGTTCCTTTGCACCCAAGGAGTCATTTTTCTCTTGCTGCTTTCAGGATTTTTCTCTTAATCTCTAGATTTCAACATTTTGGCTGTGATATGCCTGGGTGTGGATCTGTTTGCATTTATCCTACTTGGAGGCTGTTGAACTTCTTGGAAGTAGATTGTTGTCATCCATCAAATTTGGGAAGTTTTCAGCCCTAATTTCTTCAAATATTTTTCTCCTCTCCTTCTATATTTCCATTATGCAAATGCACATGTTGGTGTGCTTAATGGTGTCCCACGCTTCCCCTTGGCTGTGTTCATTTTTCTTCATTCTTCTTTCTTTTCTTCTGGTTATATAATCTGTATTGATCTATCTCAAGTTCAGTGATTCTTCTAGCCAAAATCTACTGTTGAGCCCCTCGAGCGGATTTTTTATTTAGGCTATTGTACTTTAAACCCCAGAATTTCCATTTGATTCTTTTTATAATTCATCCTTTTTTATAGTCCCTATTTTACAGCTCATTATCATCATGCCTTTGTTTTATTCTTTCAACATGGCTTCCTTTAGTTCTTTTGTTTGGTTTTGTTTAGTTCTTTCATATTTTCAATAGCTTCTTTTAAGTCTTTGTCTGCTCAGCTCAACATCTTGGCCCCTTTGAAGCAACTTCTATTGCCTGTTGTTGTTTTTTTTTTTCCTGTGTATGAATCACACTTTTCTGTTTCTTTGCAAATCTTAATATTTATTGAAAATTGAACACTTGAGGTAACATGATATTGTAGCAAGTCTGAATCCTCATCTGCCAACCAGGGGCTTATTATCATTGTTGTTATTTGTTTGTTCACCTGTTTTCTTGTTTGGTGATTTGACTGAAATAATTCTGTGACATCTATATCTCCTGCAGTATGCATCCTGCTCACACTTGTCCCCTCATTTTTATCTTTAAGCCAGTCCTAAGTGTCACCCCTCGATTTAACACAATTTAGTGGTCAGCCACTTGTTCTTAAGCCTATGAGGCCTCCCAACCCTTTGCTGATGGATCTATCTGTGGTTGGAAACTGCTCACAGAGAGTGTATTCATTTATCCCACATTCAGGCACGGACTAGAGGTTCCAATGTCCCTCCCATCACTCCTCAAAGAGTGCAGTCTTAGGCATGCACACAGTCTAATGGACCGCCAGGGACGATGGTGTTAGCTGGAGTCTCTGCCGCTTCCCATGATAAGCTTCTGGTTGTTCTGCCTCTATTGGCATCACCCCACGTGGATACTACCTGATTGCTCTATTGTTTTCAACAATGCCCTGGAGCATTGTTGCTCCATAGCCCACAGTCTGATCCAAACAAAGTAGAATCACTTGGCCAGAAAAGGTGTTGCTTTGAAGCTTGCTATGACCCTCCCCTGAGCAGAAGCTCTGTGCTATGGAGCAGGAGCTGGGAAGTGGGGGACCTCACTCTTCACCAATCACCCCACCTGTATCTCACTATGGAGCAAGCGTTTAGGAAAGGCAAGAGCAGTAACTGAGGTACCACCTGGCTGACTCCACCACCCAAGACATATTTTTAGCAGCACAGAGCCAAGGAGGATGGGATTCCCAATGTTCACTGGTTGCCAAATACACCCTAAGTAGCTCTTCTACACTAGGATGCTGGAAGACGGGAGCTGCCACACTGCTGCTGAACCCACCAGGATAGCTCTTCTGCAGCACAGAGCCTGGGGGAGGAGGAGTGTTGTGTTATCTTCTCTGCCTAGATCTTTCCTATGGAGCAGTTGCTGGGATGGGGGAAAAGATAATTCCGCCCAGCTGCCTGCTCAGTATAGCTCTTCTGCAGCATGTTGCTGATAGAGACTATTAGGAGAGAAATCTACTAATAGTGTCTGGCCATTGGATACGCCCATGGAATGGCTCTTCCATTTCAGGGAGCTGGAAAGGTGGAAGCTTTGCACTCAGCCACCAAGGCTTCTGGAATAGCTCCTTTGCAGCAGAGCCACGGGGGGATGTGTGCAACCCATGGCTCAGATGCCAAGGCCTTCCACAATGTTTGGCAAATTTCACAGATTTTATTGAATAAATGCTTCTCAATTTTTCTATGAACCTTTTGATCAGTCTCCAGAGACTTCAAACGATTGTCTCTGTTTATTTTGATTAGTCTAACAGATGTCTGTCTGGGGAAGAGGTGTTGCCAAACTCCACACACTGCCATTTGCAAAGCCCAATTATCTTTTAAGGAGACTTAAATAATAAGAGTAAATCTAGAACTCGGTGTGGTGGCTCATGCCTGTAACCCCAGCAACTCAGGAGGCTGAGCCAGGAGGATCACTAGAAACCAGGAGTTCAAGGCTGCAGTGAGCCATGATTGTACCACTGCACTCCAGCCTGAGTAACAGAGTGACATCATGACTCTAAACATAAAAAAAGAGTAAATCTTACAGATTTACCCTGTGCTTACCATTTGTGGTGCTGTGTGTGTGTGTGTGTGTGTGTGTGTGTGTGTGTGTAGATAAAGGCTTTCTTATTATACAAGTCTGCTGTGGTGATGGATTCCTTCAGCTTTTGCATGTCTGAATAGTCTTTAGTTCACCTTAAAAAAAAGATATTATTGTTGGGTATAAAATTCGAGACTTACAAGATTCTTCTCTATCAATAGTTTAAAGACACCATTCTCCTGTCTTCTAGCTTATATTGTTTTCCGGTGGGAGATCTGCCATCACCCTCACATCACTGTCCTGGTGGGAGATCTGCCGTCACCCTCGCATTGCTGTCCCGGTGGGAGATCTGCCGTCACCCTCCCGTTGCTGTCTCAGTGGGAGATCTGCCATCACCCTCCCGTTGCTGTCTCAGTGGGAGATCTGCCGTCACCCTCCCGTTGCTGTCTCGGTGGGAGATCTGCCGTCACCCTCACATTGCTGTCCTGGTGGGAGATCTGCCATCACCCTCACATTGCTGTCTCGGTGGGAGAACTGCCATCACCCTCACATTGCTGTCTCGGTGGGAGATCTGCCGTCATCCTCACATTGCTGTCTCGGTGGGAGATCTGCCGTCATCCTCACATTGCTGTCTCGGTGGGAGATCTGCCATCACCCTCACATTTGCTGTCTCTGCACATGGAGCATCACTGCTTTCTCTCCAGCTGCTTTTAAGATTTTCTATTTATTACTAGTTTTGAGCAATTTATAATGTAGTTTGGTGTGCTTTTCTTTGTGTTTCTTGCACTTATATGTTATTGCGTTCTTGGATCTGTGGATTTCTATCTTTTATCAAATTTGGAAACTTTTCAGTCATTATTTTTTCTAATATTTTTTGTCCCCTTCTCCCCATCTATCCATTCTTTCAGGAACTCCACTTACACTTCTATTAAGCCACATGTATTATGTATTGTCCCAAAGCTCACTGATGCTTTGTTCATGCTTAAACTTTTTTCTCTGTGTGTTTGATTTTGGATAGTTTCTATTGATACGTCTTCAAGTTTGCTAATCTTTTTTTCAATAATATCTAATCTGCCTTTTTTCACTCCAGTGAATTTTTCATCCCATTGTGTTTTTTTCATCTCTAAAAGTTTGGTTTGATTGTTTTTCCTATACTTTCTATACCTCTATCTAACTTTGCACATGCAGAATAACATGCTAATAACAATTCTAATGTCTTTGTCTGCTAATCGTAACAGCCATGTCAGCTCTGAGTCAGTTTCAATTGATTGATTTTTCTCCTTTCAAGAGTCAGACTTTCCTGCATCTTTATATGGCTGTTATTTTTGTTGGGTGCCACACATTGTAAAATTTGCTTTGTTGGTAACATGGTCCACACTTGAGGCTAGACCTTCTGAATAATCTCCCCCATTCCATGAATCCTGAGATGTTCCAGTTTGGCAGATAAAAACAGCCTCAATTCCTGACTCTGTGTGTGCTACATACTGTTCCCTCTAATAATTTCAGGTAGGTTTTCTTCCCCTTGCCTTGAACACCCAAGCACCAATCCATCCTCTCTTAAATATTTAAGGACCATACACAATTTTATGGAGTTTCCTTTCATGCAATTATGTGTCCTAAGAACTCAGCCACTGTGGTCTCCCCACACTCTCTGCTGTATCTCCTCCACACAGGGGGTCTGCTGGGCTCCATCTCATTTCCCGCTCCCTACCTCACAGCCCAGAAAGTGTCCCCAGGCAGTGACTATAGAAGATGAGGATTCTTCAGGGCTTGTCTCATTGCTTCCCTTCTCTCTGGGATCACCACCCTTCACTTTCTGGTGCCCAGTTTCTTGAAGACCATGATTTCATATATTTTGTCTGTTTTTAGGTTGTTTCTGGTAGGAGGGTAAATCTGGTCCTCTTGTCAATGCATCTTGGTGACACAAGTTCTCACATATAGATTTAGTTGTGTAGAAGAAATATGGTTGCTCTAGTTTTCTGTAACTCAATGATCTCAGGGCCAAGGGTTACACCTATTCTATTTCCTCCCATCTTCCCAGCACCTAGAGCAGTACTTGCTACATAGTAGGTGCTCAGTAAATGATCAACCCACTGTGTGACTGAGAGTTTTCTCCCTCATTTAATTTCCCTCCTTTTCTCCTGTTATACGTGTGTAATGGAACGGCCCTCAGGGTGTTGGGACCCTGGCCAGGGGTAACAGACAGAGGTGTTGGGGCCCTGGCCAGGGCGAGCAGATAGGACAGGGGAGATAGAAGCAGTGAGATAAGCTCACCCACTGCCAGGGCTGTGGGTACAGATCAGGCAACGGCTGTGAGGACATGGGGAGGGGGGTATGGAGGAAGAGGATAAACCCCACCCAGGTGTATTAGGGGAGGGGGCTTCTCAAGGGAGTCCAGGCCTGTGAGAAGGAGGCAGAGGACTTAGCCAGGGGCAAAGGAAGAGAAAAGACAGCAGACCCATCAGCACATGGCCCCCACGAGAAGCCATCAGGTGAGCCAATGATTCCATATGCTCCAGCCTCATGTGAATGATGACATTTAACAGCATGGACATGGTATGCTCTGCTGTGTTTTTGTGTTTCTTGACATGCAGCTTACATGAAGTGCACAAATCTCAAGTGTGCAGCTCAGGGTGGGACCCAACGTGGCACTGAGGGGCCATAGGGGTGGGAGATGAGGGGCTTCTGCTCCCAGGGCCAGGGTGGGACACCCGTCTCGAAGGAGCAGGAAACAGATGGGCTGACCACAGTGGCATCAGCCCCTGGAGCAGGCACCCAGCGTCTGCAAAGAAGGGGTGGAGGATCCGGAAGTGAGGTCAACCTAGAACCCCCTGTCACAGCCCCACCCAGGCCCAGCAAGACCACCTCCAGCCCAGCCACACTCCAAGTGCCCCCATCAGCACAGTGAGGACAGCAAGTCCAAGGCCGGGCACACACACAAAAAAAAGCCGAGGGGAGCAGGGCTGGGCGGGCCCCTGGGGATCCTCCCTCTCCTGGGCTCAGCAGAAAGCATGGGCATGAGGCTTCCGTCCACACTCCACTCACCCCAGCCTGACCCTCCTGCCAGGGATACAGAGAACTCTGGCCAAGTCCAAGCCAAGGGCTCATGCCTGGGGTGAAGGAGGGTGGGTCAGAGACTCTTTGCCAAAAAAACCCCACAGAATGAGCAAAGCAATGTTGGGGGGCAGTGGTGGCCTCCCCAAGATGTGTGCAAGGCAGGCAGGTGCATTCTGCCACCTCAGTGGCCAGGAGCAAGTCTCACAGCCTCTCTGGGCCTCAATTTCCCTCTCTGTAGAGGACGATGGTGAGACAGTTCCATCCACAGGTGCGTGGGAAGGGCAGGCCTGCAGGATGGACAAGGGTGGGCGAGGTTATGGGCCTCACTCTCTGAATCCTGGAACACCATCCTTGGGGTCCCGTGCACACTCTCTCCCACCGAGGGACTTAGAAATGTTGACAAGGGAATGTCTGAGCAGTTTAAAGGGGACAGCAGTGGCCGGCAGGGATGGGGGTGGGGAGGGGTGGGGAGGCCCAGCAACGTTGAAGACGTCACAGTGCCACTGGAGGAAGCGGGTCCTCACACCTGCAGAGGAGACAGATACCGTGAGCTTTCGAGGATGCCAGTTCCCTGTGATGCCGGCCTCAGGGCCACACTGTGCTGGGTGGCTCAGGAAAAAGGCCTCAGGGAGCACAGAATGCACCGTGCAATGGTTCCTTAAAAAGGTCAATAGGCCTCGGCCCCAGCCCATCGATCTCACTCCTGGATATCTGACCGAGACAAACGAAGACAGCCACAAAAACAGCCACAGGAGAATGTTTATAGGAGCTTTCAGGTAGGAGGTGGGCCTCAGACACTGGACCAGATGGAGGACTAACTAAAACAGGGCCAGAGGAGAAGCAGCTTTCCACAGAAACCTCCACCAACGTGCCACATCAATTTACCATTGCGATGGCAACACCTGGGAGTCACCGTGCTTTTCCATGGCAATGACCCAGTGAGCCAAAAGTTCCTACCCCTTCCCTAGAAAGGTCTGCATAAACGGCCTTTTCATCTGGGTGACATTAAATGTGGATATAAACATGGCTGCAAAACTGCCCTGAGCTGCTACTCTCTACTTGCGGGGTACCCCTGCTCTGCAGAAGCAGCCGCGGAGCTCTAACACTGCCGCTTCCATAAAGCTGTTTTATTCTCCCTACCACCAGCTGACCCTTGAATTCTTTCCTAGGTGGAGCCAAGAACCCTCACAGGCTAAGCCCCACATTGGGGTTCACCCGTCCTGCATCAGCTTCGCTTACGGGAGCCAAAGCCAGGAAAAAACACACGTCTGACAACAGGAGAACACGTTCATACACCAGATGAGCACAGGAGAAATCACCCGACAAGAGCACGCGTTCATACACTAGATGAGCACAGGAAAAATTACCCAACAGGAGAACGTGTTCATACACTAGATGAGCACAGGAGAAATTACCTGACAGGAGAATGAGTTCATATACTAGATGAGCACAGGAGAAATTACCCAACAGGAGAACCCATTCATACACTAGATGAGCACAGGATGAAATTACCCAACAGGAGAACGCGTTCATACACTAGATGAGCACAGGGTGAAATTACCCAACCGGAGAACCCGTTCATACACTAGATGAGCACAGGATGAAATTACCCAACAGGAGAACCCGTTCATACACTAGATGAGCACAGGATGAAATTACCCAACAGGAGAACGAGTCCATACACTAGATGAGCACAGGGTGAAATTACCCAACAGGAGAACGCGTTCATACACTAGATGAGCACAGGAGAAATTACCCAACAGGAGAACGAGTTCATACACTAGATGAGCACAGGAGAAATTACCCAACAGGAGAATGCATTCATACACTAGATGAGCACAGGGTGAAATTACCCGACAGAAGAACGAGTTCATACACTAGATGAGCACAGGGTGAAATTACCCGACAGGAGAACGCGTTCATACACTAGATGACCACAGGAGAAATTACCCGAGAGGAGAACGTGTTCATACACTAGATGAGCACAGGAGAAATTACCCAACAGGAGAACGAGTTCATACACTAGATGAGCACAGGGTGAAATTACCCGACAGGAGAACGCGTTCATACACTAGATGAGCACAGGAGAAATTACCCAACAGGAGAACGCGTTCATACACTAGATGAGCACAGGAGAAATTACCCAACAGGAGAACGCGTTCATACACTAGATGAGCACAGGAGAAATTACCCAACAGGAGAACGAGTTCATACACTAGATGAGCACAGGGTGAAATTACCCGACAGGAGAACACGTTCATACACTAGATGAGCACAGGAGAAATTACCCAACAGGAGAACAAGTTCATACACTAGATGAGCACAGGGTGAAATTACCCGACAGGAGAACGCGTTCATACACTAGATGAGCACAGGAGAAATTACCCAACAGGAGAACGCGTTCATACACTAGATGAGCACAGGAGAAATTACCCAACAGGAGAACGCGTTCATACACTAGATGAGCACAGGAGAAATTACCCAACAGGAGAACGAGTTCATACACTAGATGAGCACAGGGTGAAATTACCCGACAGGAGAACGCGTTCATACACTAGATGAGCACAGGGTGAAATTACCCAACAGGAGAACGCGTTCATACACTAGATGAGCACAGGAGAAATTACCCAACAGGAGAACGCGTTCATACACTAGATGAGCACAGGAGAAATTACCCAACAGGAGAACGAGTTCATACACTAGATGAGCACAGGGTGAAATTACCCGACAGGAGAACGAGTTCGTACACTAGATGAGCACAGGAGAAATTACCCAACAGGAGAAAGCGTTCATACACTAGATGAGCCCAGGGTGAAATTACCCGACAGGAGAACGAGTTCATACACTAGATGAGCACAGGAGAAATTACCCAACAGGAGAACGAGTTCATACACTAGATGAGCACAGGAGAAATTACCCAACAGGAGAACCCGTTCATACACTAGATGAGCACAGGAGAAATTACCCAACAGGAGAACGCGTTCATACACTAGATGAGCACAGGGTGAAATTACCCAACAGGAGAACGAGTTCATACACTAGATGAGCACAGGAGAAATTACCCGACAGGAGAACGCGTTCATACACTAGATGAGCACAGGAGAAATTACCCGACAGGAGAACGAGTTCATACACTAGATGAGCACAGGGTGAAATTACCCAACAGGAGAACCCGTTCATACACTAGATGAGCACAGGGTGAAATTACCCAACAGGAGAACGAGTTCATACACTAGATGAGCATAGGGTGAAATTACCCGACAGGAGAACGAGTTCATACACTAGATGAGCACAGGTGAAATTACCCAACAGGAGAACATGTTCATACACTAGATGAGCACAGGGTGAAATTACCCGACAGGAGAACGCGTTCATACACTAGATGAGCACAGGAGAAATTACCCAACAGGAGAACGCGTTCATACACTAGATGAGCACAGGAGAAATTACCCAACAGGAGAACGAGTTCATACACTAGATGAGCACAGGAGAAATTACCCAACAGAAGAACAAGTTCATACACAGGATGGAGCGCAGGATGGAATCACCACTCAGCGAGAGAAGGAAGCCAGCCACGACACATCAACAGACAATGAGTCCCAGAAGCAGCACCCTGCGTGAAGAGCCAGGCGCACAGACATGAAATCCTAGCACAAGCAAAACCGGCCAAGCTAAAACTCAGCTCAGTGTTGCTTTGGGAGGGCCGGTGCCGGGGACAGGTCGCCGGGAACCTCTGGGGGACATACATGTTCTGCCTCAGTAGGCTTATGTTGAAACCAGCTGAACGGTACAGCTAAGATCTGAACTCTCTGCTGCATCCAAATTCCACTTCCAGAAAAGACTGCCAAGGAAATGAATGAAATCAAAAATCAAAAGCCTCACAAAAGTAATCAATGGGTAGAAGTGGGGATGACAGCCACCCTGAGTCAGGGAAGGGGCAGGCGGGCTCTGGGTGCTGGCTGTGTTCTGTTTCCCGGCGTGGTGCTCCCTCCTTGGACAGGCTCACTTTGTAGTGAAAGGATTGTGCTGTGCATCTGAGATGTGTGTGGTTTTCCACACGCGTGCGATATGTGGATATTCAAAACCACAGAATTTAAAAGTAGGTTCTGCCTAGACTGGGAGCCACGTATGTCCAGGGTGGAGGCCACACAGCCCCCTGGCCCACAGCACCCTCCTGGCCGTGGCCATGCCCCTTCACCACCCCAGGACCACACTATTGACCTGAGTGCAGCTCCCTGAGCGGTGACGGGGGAGTCCACCTGCTGAGGGAAGTGAGGGGAGTCTGTGGGACGCCCAGCTCTCCAAGGCATGGCAGGAGCTCCGGACTTGCTTTCGCTTCCCGCCTCTCAGGCCCTGGGCCTGAACCCCCACACCCCCCATGGAGGGGCCGTTCCCCTCTGAGGCCGAGCCTGGCCCCCCCAGAGCATCTGTCTCTGAGTCTGTGCCTGTCCCTCTGCGAAGGTGAAGTCCAGACAGCTTTGAAGCCCCCATGCCCCCATCCTCGGGGTGGCCCGGGACCAAAGACGAGGCAGGAGCCAGCTGTCAGAGTCTCTGGAACCCAGCAGGAGAGGGTAAGGGCTGGACTACCAGCTGGTGTTTTGAAAGAATGAAGACCTGCAGCTCCAGGGGGAGGGCCTGGCCTGGCCAGCCGCCGAGCCTCCACCCCCTCACCAGAAACCCCTTGGGCTGCGGGCCACCGCCTGACTCTCCCTCCCTCCTCCAGACCACCCTGGTACTCACTCAACCTGCCTTCGCCAAGAGCTGGGGGCGGGGAATCTTTTGCATGACCGGCCCTGGGCCTGACTCCTCTGGTGCAGGAAGAAGCAGATCCAGCAAGGGGGTCCTCCCATCCCTGGTGGGGCCAAACCTTCTCCAACAAGCCCTCAGACAGAGCAGTGTACGGAGGCTTCCTTTGAATGTCGAGGTTTTCCAAAGATCAAAACAGAAAGCAAGGTATTTTGGAAACACCTCATGTGCCAACTAATTAAGTGTCTGGCTGTTAGCAAGCCCCTCACAGAGGAGGGAAGAGCCAGCCGGATCCTCAGCCACCCTCCATAGAAGTCAGATAAGGAGAGAGTTTCTCATCAGAAAAGTACAGGCAAGAAAACCAAAAATAGACAAATGGAATTGCATCAAACCTAGGAGTCTCTGCACAGCGACGGAAGCAATCAACAGAGTGAAAAGGGAAACCCACAGAGTGGGAGAAAATATTTGCAAACCGTCTATCTGATAAGGGGTTAATCTCCAGAATAAATAAAGAACTCTTACAACTCAGCAACACCAACAAAACCAAACAACACGATTTAAAAAATGGGCCAAGGACTTGGGTAGACATTTCTCCAAAGAAGACAGACAAATGGCCACCAACATCTGAAAAGATGTTCAACACCTCTCATCAGTGGGGAAATGAAAATCAAAACCACAGTTAGATATTGAGAGCTCCATAGATAAGATTTCCACATGATCCAGGAATTGCACTGTTGGGGACACACCCAACAGAATCGAAGGCAGGATCTTGGAGAGATGGTTGGACACCCCTGATCTTGGAGAGACGGTTGGACAGCCCTAATCTTGGAGAGACAGTCGGACAGCCCTGATCTTGGAGAGACAGTCGGACAGCCCTGATCTTGGAGAGACGGTAGGACAGCCCTGATCTTGGAGAGACGGTCAGACAACGCTGATCTTGGAGAGATGGTCAGACAACCCTGATCTTGGAGAGATGGTCGGACACCCCTGTTCACAGCTGCATGATTCACAATGTAACCCCAGAGTCCATCAAGGCATGAGTGGGGAAGTGCAATGTGGTCCGTCCACATGGTGGGAAAATTTTCAGCCTTAAACAGGAAGGAAGTTCCAACCCCTGCTACAGCCTGGAGGGGCCTTGAGGACGTCATACTCAGTGAAATAAGCCAGACTCTGAAGGACAAATACCGTCTAATTCCACTTATATCAGGTAGTAGAGAAATTCACATAATAGAGACAGAGAGTGGAATGGTGGGTGCCAGAGGCTGGGGTGAGAGGAATGGGGAGTCCATGTTTAATGGGGACAGAGTTCAGTTTTGGAAGGTGAGAAAGTTCTCAAAATCTGTTGCATAATCATGTCGACATATTTAACACTACTCACCCATATGCTTAAAATGGCTAAGGTAGTAAATTGTATGATATGTGTTTTTACCACAAAAATAAAGAGAGGGAGACACAGAGAGAGAAATAGAGAGATTCTCCTCCCACATCCTGAAACCTGAATTTTCACAAAGGGTCCTGACCATCACAAGAATAAGGCTGTACACTCGTGGTGCCCGCAGCCACCCTACTGACTTGGATGGCTGCAGAGTGGGCACAAGATTGGGGGGTTGGGGGATACCACATCAGGACCGCTCCCCACACCCAAGGCTGTGGCTGCCCCTCCCTGAGCTTCTTCATCTCTCCTCAAAAACCTGACAACTGCACCCTCTGCTTCACGGAGGGCAACCAGTAAGGGCTAATGAGACGGGGACTCACTGTATGAACCGAGGGTGGCAGCTGAGGCAACTGTGGTCAGAGAGAAGAAACGTCCTGACCCCAGTGGCCCAGGGCTTGTTACCAACAGAACCACAGCTGGAGCTCAAGCCTCCTTCCTCCCTGCTAACAGGTCTCAAAAAAACTGCCAAACATTCATCCATCCACGTACTCATCCATCCACCCACCCATCCATCCACCATCCACCCACCCGTCTATGCACCCACCCAGTCATCCATCTATCCATTCATCCACCCATCTATCCACAACCCATCCATCCACCCATCTATCCACCCACCCACCCATCCATCCATCTATCCACCTACCCATCCATCCATCTATCTATCCACCCACCCACCCATCCATCTATCCATTCATCCATCCATCTATCCACAACCCATCCATCCATCCATCTATCCACCCACCCACCTATCCATCCATCTATCCACCCATCCACCCATCCATCTATCCATTCATCCATCCATCTAACCACAACCCATTCATCCACCATCCACCCACCATCCACCATCCATCCATCTGTCTATCCACCTATCCACCCATCCATCTATCCATTCACCCATCCATCCACCCACCCATTCATGAAACAAATATTCATCATATGCTTCTGTGCTGGAAGCATAGAGAGGATGAGACCAGAAATGCCCCTGCCCTTCTGGCACTCACAGCCTAGGTGGGGAAGATGAATACATGGTAGGTAGATAGGCAAGTGACAAAAACAATACCAACCAGGTTACTAGGATCTCAGGAGAAGGCAGCAGTCATTTTACAAAAGTAAAATAGGATACAGGAGTGGTGAGTGGTGGGGACAGCAGTGGGGGTGGGGGAGTCCCCTGTTGGGAGGGGACCCTGGAGCTGCTACCTGCAGCACCGGCAGCTGTGGGGATGGAGGGAGGAAGCTCCCACCTGGGGAAAAGGCTTCGGCCAGGGAGGCAGGCAGAGGACAGCACCTGTGGCTGGAACAGGAAGGGCGAGGGAGGCGCTAGGTGGGAAGAAGGGCTGTGGAAGCCCCTGGAGAGTCAGAAGGAGACACCGCCAGGCCCTGCTCTGCACCACGCGTGGGGCGAGGGAGGGGAGCCGCCCCTTATCTAGGGTTCGATGAACAACGTGATCCCGGGTTCAGTGGCAGCAGCTCAGGCCAGACTTTGTATCCTCCATCGTACTGACTCCTCCCACACCCCTTCCAGGGTCTGTCCACCCAGACATGAGACATGGGGGGTATCCAGGGCCTTCGCTCTGTGCTGGAGGAGGCACGGGGAGACCTGAAGGCTTTGAAGGCCCCAAGATGAATCCCTTTACCTCAACTAATCCGGGCTCAAAGGCAGCCCTGCCCCCAGAAGGGTGGCCCTGGCAGGGTTGTGGGAGCCCTCACCTGGAGAAGGGGCCGCCGGGCCGGCTAATCCCCACCAGACGATTAGGGCCTGATCAGGTTTCCTGACCGACCACTGAGGCCCGGCTTTCCCAGGGCCCGGATGTGTGCGGGACCTCGGAAGACCAAGGTGCTCTCAGGGTCATTCAGACCGTGCTAAGTGCAAAGAAAAGGGAGATGGCTCCGAGTGTCCAAAGGGTAATTATCTGGGATTAGCACCACAGCCCAGCTGGCTCACTCTGCCCGCCTGCTCCCCGCCCGGCCCACCTCGCCCCGGCCCCACTCAGCCCCGCCAGGACCTTGGCTGGGGGACCCTGCTGTTCTCTGGGCCCCTCCAGCCTCCCCCTCCCTAACAGAGCCTCGTCATGGACGAACGCGTGAGTGCCTTCCCAGGAGCGGCGTGGAAGTCGCACACGCTGTTTCCTCAAACGTCAAGCGATCTCCCCTTTGGCATTGGATAAAACGGGAGCGGGGCCTGTCCTCTTTTCCATCTCCGGGGGCTGGTTTCACACTTGGCTGCCTCTGGTTTGGGATTTTCAAGGCACTTGTCTGCAGGGCTGCAGGTGGCATCCCAGGAGGGCTGGGGGCTGGCAGGAGGCCTGGGGGGACAGAGTCACAACCGGCTTTCCCCTCCCTGGCCTCCAAAGACTCCTGCCTCTGCCCCCGAGAATGACACCCGGCCCACTCATCCCACTCCCTTGCTGTGTTGAGTCTTCCAGATTCAGAAATTTTGAGGCATGGTGCTTTGGTGTGTGTGAGGCACGACTCAGCATGCAGAAACGCACCCAGAATTCACGCTGAACCAGGCTTGTCCCACGGTTTCCTGCAGGAGCTCCTCAGGCCAACAGAAATTCGTGTTCCGTGCACAGCTGGGGACCTTGGCCCCACTCGGCTCCCGGGACCTGGGACGCCTGGACCTGTTGACGCCCAGGGAGGGGGTTGTCAGCAGTGTGACCCCAGGAGCATGGGTGCAAGCCCAGGAGGGAAATAGGTGAAGAGGAGGGAGGGGAGGGCTGGGGCAGGAAATGGGGGAATGGAGGGAGGGATGCACCTGGGGGAGGTTGAGGCTGTGGTCAGGCTGCAGCAGCAATGTACTGACCCTCTGGCCCCCAAGAGGACAGTCGGGTGGACATTCCCAAGCTCATGCTGGACACTTTACGTAGGCAGCCACCTCCCCCCTCAGCAAACCCTGCTCTCCACAGCAGGTGCCAGCAGGACACAGAGCCACCGGATCTGAGGGTGCTGAGCTGTGCCACAGGCCTTCGACACAGCTTTGGCTGCCTAGCAGGGAAAGGACAAGCCGGGTCACGCGGGGTGTGACTTCTGCAGGGGCAGCCGCACACCCCAGGACAGGGCATCATGTATGGAGACGCGGACCTGCGGCAGGTGGCAGGGATGCCTGTGGCGTTTCATGTCTCCACCGTCTTGGACAGCAGGAGGGGCCCGGTGGGCCGGCCGGCACAAGGACAGGGCATCCTGCAGGGAAGACACAGACACAGACCCTGTGAAGGAGACAGCCACGTGGTGTGCGTGGCCTCCCCGCAGCCCGCAGCAGCATTCCTGCAGGGCAGACCCCACCCGGGTCTATGGCTCTGTGCTGTAGACAGCCTGCTGTCATCGTCACCATTGTGAAGGACTGGAGGGGTCCTCCCCATGGCCCTCCCTGCAGCCCCAGCTCCAAACCACACCTTGCAAAGGCCCAGCGAGCAGACCTGTCCCCAGGACCTGCACACCAGGGGCAGCCTCTCCAGCCCGCAGGACCCGCACACCAGGGGCAGCCTCTCCAGCCCGCAGGACCCGCACACCCGGGGCAGCCTCTCCAGCCCCAAGGACCCGCACACCCGGGGCAGCCTCTCCAGCCCGCAGGACCCGCACACCCGGGGCAGCCTCTCCAGCCCCAAGGACCCGCACACCCGGGGCAGCCTCTCCTGCCCCCAGGACCCGCACACCCGGGGCAGCCTCTCCAGCCCGCAGGACCCGCACACCCGGGGCAGCCTCTCCAGCCCGCAGGACCCGCACACCAGGGGCAGCCTCTCCAGCCCGCAGGACCCGCACACCAGGGGCAGCCTCTCCAGCCCCAAGGACCCGCACACCCGGGGCAGCCTCTCCAGCCCGCAGGACCCGCACACCAGGGGCAGCCTCTCCAGCCCCAAGGACCCGCACACCCGGGGTAGCCTCTCCAGCCCGCAGGACCCGCACACCAGGGGCAGCCTCTCCAGCCCCAAGGACCCGCACACCCGGGGCAGCCTCTCCAGCCCCAAGGACCCGCACACCCGGCGCAGCCTCTCCAGCCCCCAGGACCCGCACACCCGGGGCAGCCTCTCCAGCCCGCAGGACCCGCACACCCGGGGCAGCCTCTCCAGCCCCAAGGACCCGCACACCCGGCGCAGCCTCTCCTGCCCCCAGGACCCGCACACCCGGGGCAGCCTCTCCTGCCCCCAGGACCCGCACACCCGGCGCAGCCTCTCCTGCCCCCAGGACCCGCACACCCGGGGCAGCCTCTCCAGCCCCCAGGACCTCCACACCCGGGGCAGCCTCTCCAGCCCCAAGGACCCGCACACCCCACCCAGGGTAGCCTCTCCTGCCCCCAGGACCCGCACACCCGGGGCAGCCTCTCCTGCCCCCAGGACCCGCACACCTGGGGCAGCCTCTCCTGCCCCCAGGACCCGCACACCCCACCCGGGGCAGCCTCTCCAGCCCCCAGGACCTGCACACCCGGGGCAGCCTCTCCAGCCGCTGAGGGTTCACCCACCCAGCCGTCCAGGACGGGGACCCACAGTGGGTGCTGGTGGACCATAACGGGTGATCAGGGAGGGACCCCAGCATGGGGCAGGTGGAGAACAATTAAACGAGTATTTGCAGCCGCCTCCGTGTGAAGGAGGTTCTGGGACATGCTCGGAGGTGAGAGCACGCTCAGTGAGCCGCCTCGGCCACGCGGCAGCCCAGCAGCAGGAACAGGTGGGAGGCTGAACACACACGTCCACTTCCTGGAGGAACGAGTCCCCGGGGAGGTGCTCCTGCAGCCACCAGAGGCCTGCCTAGGTGCAATCACTGAAAATCGTCGCATTCTGCGGCAGGACAGATGCAGAGAGCTTCAAAACTGGAGAACTCCTCAGAGAGTCTTTGGACAAGCCCTTCAGGTGACCAAACGGAGGCTCAGAGAGGTGACAGCTAACCCAGGGCCTGTGTCAGGCTCAGCATGGCAATCCACACCACGTCACACCACACCACACGCTCACACCACGCCACAACATGGCAACCCACACCACGTCACACCACACCACACGCTCATACCACGCCACAACATGGCAATCCACACTGTCACACCACACCACACACACACACGCCACGCCACGCTGCACCCAGTAGGTGAAACTCGGCTGAGGCAGGACACAGATCCCCCAAGGGGCTCCCACATCCCCTGGAGACACCTGGTTCAGTGAGACATGACCCTGCCTGTCACAGCAGGGTCTCCGCAGGCCAAGCTTTGTCCGTAACCTGCTCTCCTCGCTACCAAAACAGGTCCTGCCACCCCAGAATTCAGCTGGGACTTGGGGGAATATTCGGAACACCTAGGCTGTTTTTCAGTCGAAATCGGAGCTGCTTCCTTCTTTTCTCTCTGACCTCCTCTGTAGCGTGCAAACATTCTCTAGATGAATCCATTGCCCTGCATCAGCGGGAAAGTGGTGAACTGCTTCGCTCTAAACCACAGCCAGGCCGGGCGCGGTGGCTCACGCCTATAATCCCTGCACTTTGGGAGGCCGAGGCAGGCGGATCACGAGGTCAGGAGTTTGAGATCAGCTCAGCCAACATGGTGAAACCCCGTCTCTACTAAAAATACATAAACTTAGCTGGGCGTGGTGGCGCATGGTGGCGTGGACCTGTAATCCCAGCTGCTCTGGAGGCTGAGGCAGGAGAATTGCTTGAACTGGGACCCACGAGGCGGAGGTTGCACCGCTGAGCCGAGATTGCGCCATTGCACTCCAGCCTGGGCAACAAGAGTGAAACTCTGTCTCAAAAATAAATAAATAAGCCACAGCCAGATGCTCAAGGCCTGCAGTCTGCCAAGGGGTCTGGGAGGGAGGGGGATTTTGAAGGAGCCCTTGGATGACGGCCCTGACACCTTTTTTTTTTTTTTTTTTTTTGAGACAGAGTCTCTCGCTCTGTCACCCAGGCTGGAGGGCAGTGGCGCGATCTCGGCTCACTGCAAGCTCCGCCTCCCGGCTTCACCCCATTCTCCTGCCTTAGCCTCTCGAGTAGCTGGGACTACAGGCGCCCGCCACCACGCCTGGCTAATTTTTTGTATTTTTAATAGAGACGGGGTTTCACTGTGCTAGCCAGGATGGTCTCGATCTCCTGACCTTGTGATCCGCCCGCCTCAGCCTCCCAAAGTGCTGGGATTACAGGCGTGAGCCACCGCTCCCGGACCGACACCTTGTTTTGAAAGAGCTGGTCCACAAGCATTTTTCTTTCAGAGCTCCACGTTTTGCTCATCAGCTTCTCCAACTGCCAAGCAGAGGCCCTGGCCCCCGTGAGTGTCTCCCACGGCCACACCACGCCGGAGCAGAGGAGCTCGAAGCCTCAGTGGTCGGGCCTTTCCTGACACGCCCCGGCCGTTCAAGCCCCTGGCAACCTTGAGAAGGTGCCCTTGCCGGGTGGCTGAAATGCTCCTCGAACTTGTCCAGCGGCAGTAACGGAGTCTCCAGCCTGGGCGGGGTCCCAGCCCTGACCACTCTGAGCCATATGAACACGGGCATGTCCGGTCACCTCTCCACGCCTCGGCTTCCTCGGCCGGGAAGTGGAGCCCACAGAGGCTGCCTTTGGGCTCTGGGAGGCCTGTATTTTCAACCACTGAAGACCCCTCCTCCTCCCCCCTCCTCCCCTCCTCTTCCCCTTTCCTCCCTCTCCCCCTCCTCCCCGACTCTTCCTTCTTCCTCCCCCTCCTCCCTCACCCCCTCCTCCTCCCTCCTCCCCCTCCTCCTTGATCCTCTCCCTCCTCCTCCCCTCCTCCCTCCTCCCCCTCCTCCCTCCTCCCCCTCCTCCCTCCTCCCCCTCCTCCTTGATCCTCTCCCTCCTTCTCCTCCTTCCCCTCCTCCCCCTCCTCCCTCCTCCCCCTCCTCCCTCCTCTCCATCCTCCCTCCTCCCCCTCCTCCCTCCTCCCCCTCCTCCTCTTCCCTCCCCCTCTTCCTCCCTCCTCCCCCTCTTCCTCCTTCCTTCCCCTCATCCTCTATCCTTCTCTCCGTCCCTCTTCTTTCCCCCTCCTCCTTTTTTCTTCCCCCTCCCTCTCTTCCGCTTCCTCCCTCCTCCCCTTCTCTTCCCTTCCTCCTTCCTCCCCCGTCCTCTCCGTACTCCCCTTCCTCCTCCTCCCCCTACTCCCCTTCCTCCTCTTCCTCCTACCCCACTGTTGTCACCGTCACCATCATCTCATCATCACCATGAAGCACCTGGGCCACCCACCACCCCATGTGTGAGACATGGGTGGGGCTTCCACCTGTCACCCCTGGCCAGAGCCCTGGTGTGAAAGGAGCTGATTTGCCACTTTCCACAGACAAAGGGGACCCCAGTCACTTTGTAGCCAGGCAGGGAAAGCAAACGTGACTTGAGTGTTCCTGACCCCATGAGTGTCGCTGAGACACTGAGGCTGGGAGGGAGTGAGCACACCCTGAAAACGGGGATCCCCTCTCCCTGGAACAGGCCTCATGCTGGGTAAAGGGATCTCCTCTCCCCCCGGAACAGGCCTCGTGCTCTAAAGGCTCCGGATTCCTGGCGCCTGCCCTGTCCTGAGTCCTCATGTTATATAACCCGGCACTGGCATCTGTTTTCGTCCTCACTTCACAGAAGGGAAACCAAGGCATGGAGAGGTTGTGCGGCTCACCCTGGGTCACACGGCCAGCTTGCAGGGGACGCGGCCTGTGGTGCCCTCCAGGCTCAGCCTGGGTGACAGGGCCAGCTCACGGGGGATGCGGCCTGCGGTGCCCTCCAGGCTCAGCCTGGGTGACAGGGCCAACTCACGGGGCCCGTGGCCTGCGGAGTCCTCCAGGCTCACCCTGGGTCACAGGGCCAGTTTGCAGGGACAGCAGCCTGCGGTGCCTTCCAGGCTCACCCTGGGTCACGCGGCCAGTTCGCGGGGCCCGTGGCCTGCAGAGTCCTCTAGGCTCACCCTGGGTCATGCGGCCAGTTCGTGGGGACAGCAGCCTGAGGTGTCCTCCAGGCTCACCCTGGGTCACGCAGTCAGCTCACGGGGGCCGCGGCCTGCGGTACCGTCCAGGGAAGCGGGGCCCTGTGGGCGGGATGGGATGAGACCTTCAGCAATTGTGGGAGGAGGGGAGTGGGGGTCAGAGAGAGGCACCAGCCGGCTGTGAGGAGTGAATTGTGTCCCCCAAAAAGATGCACTGAGTCCTGGCTCCAGCACTGTAGAATCTGGTCTTACCTGGAGAAGAGGCCTTCACAGAGGTGATTAAGTTAAGATGAGGTCATCAGAGAGGCCCTAACCCGGCATGACACGTGTCCTCACAAACGGGAGCTTTGGACACAGGCACGCGGGGCAAACGCTGGGGGAAGACTGCAGCGACGCCGTGGCTAGCCAAGGAGCTGCCGAGCCGCCGGGAGCTCAGAGGGCCTGGCGCCTTCCTGAAACTCCTCATGCTGGTGTTGGGGACACAGAGGTGGGTCCCACAGGGTGGGTCTGCTCTCGAGGGGCACCAAGCAGGGGAGAGAAGACAGAGCAGAGATCAGTGAGGGAACTGCACGCCGATCCCGGGCCAGACCCCGACTTTCACAAGGAGACACACGTCGGGGACGCCAGGGAGGCAGGAAAACGTTCCCAGACACTCAGCGGGGCCCGCAGGCTGCCCAGGAGCAGAGACTCCAGACGTTCATGCCACAGAGGCAGAGAGGGAGAGGAGGCACTGGGGCCCCGAGGCTGAGAGGGGCGCAGGGAGCAGCCTGCCCACCACGGGGCTGGGCCTCACCTGCACCTGTGCTCTCAGCGTGGAGGCAGAGACCGGGAACCTGTCCAGGGAAAACCAACAGCCTCCCCAGGAGACCTCACAGTGTCCGCTTGGCAAAGACACCCCTGTCCACCCCTGTGTTCTGGCAAAGCCCCCACAGAGTCACCCTAACCCCCTCAAAGCCGAGCACCTCAAAACCCATGCCCGCCTGGAGAGTTCTTGCCCTCTTTCTCATGCGATGTTTTATTAAAAAAAAAAAGCGGGGGGGTGTAAAGGATATTAGAACTATTAGAACTGAGGCCTGGCCTCAGAGGGTAGTGAGCACTAAAGGGAAAAGGAAAATGATGGTCAAAATCATTTTAAAGCCAGGACAATATGGTGAGACCCCACCTCTGTAAAAAATAGAAAAATTAGCTGGGCGTGGTGTTGTGCACCTGTAGCCCCAGCTACTCGGGAGGCTGAGATGGGAAGATCACTCAAGCCCAGGAGGTTGAGGCTGCAGTGTACCAAGGTCACACCACTGCACTCCAGCCTGGGTGGCAGAGCCAGACCCTGTCTCCAGAAAAATCATTTTGGTTGGAAGAAGGTAGCTGATGAAAAGTCCTAGTTTAGGTTGACTACTGGGAAGATGCTGATCTTAAGCACTGAGATGGCATCAAGCCAGATTCCCCGCCGGAGCCGCCTTACTCCGTGGTGTGGTGTCCAGCGCAGTGGCAGGTCACTGCCCGGGGGACCGGACCGCCGAGGCCATCTCCAGGGTTTTTGGGAAACTGCAGAATGGGTTGTTCTGAGGGTGCAAGGCCCTGGGTGGTGCCGGGGGGGTGGGAAGAGGCAGGAGTGGGGTCCCGTGGGGCCTGTGGGCTCCCCATTGCCCCCCAGCTCCTGGCTTGCTCAGCTATCTTTGTGGCAAGTCAGAGCCCCTGGGGTTCGCTCCCCGGGCCCCTGAGCCAACCTGAAATCAACAGGAAGCCCCTGAGCTGGCCCGGTGCCTCTGGTTTCAGAAGCAGCCAGCGGCCACTGCTGAAATATAGCCCTGGAGTGATGCGGGCCTCAGACTGGCTCCAAGGACTGAACCACAACGCAGGCTGCAAAGGTCATTTTGTGAGAACCCATAAAGTCCTCACCCAGCATCCCCTGGGCTTCAGCCCTTACCTGTCCGCCAGGTGCAGGCCAGCCTCAGAGCCCAACCTCGCCCAGCAGGCCCAGTCCCCATCCTGGACCCTCCCCTGCTCCCACGATCCTCCCAGCAGTCATCTGACGGGTCACCTATACCCATTCTAAGATGAGGAAACAGGCCCAGCCGCTGAACTCAGCCACAAACCTAGGAGGTGAGCGAGCTGAGCCTCTCGGCCAGGTTAGGGGTAGACACTGACTCAGGAGTGTTGTGCCCTCCCCAGGGCACAGTCTTGTAACAACCTGGTGTTCTGATTGACGAGACACTTCCAAAACAGCATCCTGAGGACTCACATGTGAGACAGGCAGTGTCCTCAAGCTGAGAGGGCCTGAGCTCGCTGCCTCCGTTCAGCCTCCCCTTTTGGGTCTCTCACCCCCGCCCCTGGGCCTCAGTTTTTCATCTGTAAAACAGAGCATGCGAGATGCTCTAGACAAACCCTGTGACCCACCTCTACTGAATTAGACCCTCATCGAATGCTGGCTGATGATCCAGGTGAGCCTGTTTTCACACCTGTGCACTGTCTGAGACAGGATAAAAACCCAGAGGTCCAGCTCTCAGTGTGGTTGCAAAGAGACTTACGCGAGACGCATGGGGAAGATGTTGAACAAATATCACTAGTGCTTGGAAGGAAGAGGGTCTCTGAGCCCAGCTTATAATCCCCTAGACCCTGAGTCCTCGAGTGGAGACAATGTTTGAATCATCTTTAGCTCCCCAAGGCCTGTACAGGGCCCAGCATATAAGGGCTCAACATACATTTGAGGTAAAAAACAGTGGGGAAAGCATGTTTTCCTAAAGATGTTGTCTCCAGCCACACACCAGGGTGCCTGACATTCCACTGCTGGAGGTGCCTCCCTTCCCCAAAGGGCTGGCAGGGCAGCAGGGTTTAGTCCATTTACGTTTATTGTACATATCAAAATAGTTGAATTTAAGTGTGTCATTTTGCTACTTGTTTCCTATCTGTATCATACATATTTTTGTTCTTCTGATTTTTCTTCGTCTTCTTTCCTGCCTTCTTTGGTGTAATCAAATATCTTACATCATCAGTTCTCTAAGTGTAACCTGGGGACCCTTGAGGCATCCCGAGACCCTTTCAGGGGATCCATGGTGTCCAAGTCATCATGTGCATAAGCTGTCATTTGTCCTTCTGGCTCTCATTTTCTCATTGGTCTAATGCAAACGCGGATACGAGAATCCAGCTGCTCTCTTGCAAGTTCAAACATTAGAGAAATTTGCAAAAATGTAAAACAATGCTATTTATTTTGTACTGTGGAGAATATAGTTTTTTCTTTAAAAATATTATTTATGTCAATGTGTCATGGGCTTGTTATTGTGAATAATTATTTTACTGAGATTTAGTAAAAAAGACTCAGTTTTTATTCCCATTTCAGGGATGAGCACACAGCAGTTCTCCTCCTTCACCTTGATGTGACTTTGGGCTGAGCCGGCTGTCAGCCTTGGCCTCAATCCTTGATTCCAGGACAGAAGTGCTCTCTCTGCCCGCTTGGCCTCTTCTGGTCTTGGCAGGAAAGGTCCTTGCTGACACCTTCCCTCCCCACCCCCAGTCTGTAGGAGGCCATGTGGGCAGTCCAGCCAGGATGGCCAGGAGAGCAAGATGTTTTTCTGGAATCGCATCCCAGTTGGCCAGAGGCAACTCCGTTTTGTCCAGGGAACCCTTGGCTCCATCCCCCTGGAATCCTGCCCCTGTCTGAAGCTCAAGTCCAGGCCTGGAGGGGCAGCCAGGAGTGAGCGGGAAGGCTCTGGGCCAGGCGCGTGGCCTGGGAGGGTCTGCAGGAGCTGACTCTGGAAGTTGGAGGCCCGGAGGCTCTCTCCACGTCAGTTCCTGTCTTAACTTCCAGTAGCCCCAGAACAGCCCTTCCCATCACCATCCCACGGACAAGCCTGGGGTGTCCGGGGCCCTGGGACTGAAGATGCAGCCCTGCCCAGGACAGGCAAAACCTCCTCAGCCCTCTCAGTCCCAGCTCCCCTCAGTCACCCCTGCAGCCTCACCCAGGGCAGGCAAAACCTTCGAAGCCGTCTCAGTCCCAGCTCTTCCCAGTCACCCCTGCAGCCTCGCCCAGGGCAGGCAAAACCTCCGCAGCCGTCTCAGTCCCAGCTCCCCCCAGTCACCCCTGCAGCCTCGCCCAGGGCAGGCAAAACCTCTGCAGCCGTCTCAGTCCCACCTCCCCCCAGTCACCCCTGCAGCCTCGCCCAGGGCAGGCAAAACCTCTGCAGCCGTCTCAGTCCCAGCTCCCCCCAGTCACCCCTGCAGCCTCGCCCAGGGCAGGCAAAACCTCCGCAGCCGTCTCAGTCCCACCTCCCCCCAGTCACCCCTGCAGCCTCGCCCAGGGCAGGCAAAACCTCTGCAGCCGTCTCAGTCCCAGCTCCCCCCAGTCACCCCTGCAGCCTCGCCCAGGGCAGGCAAAACCTCTGCAGCCGTCTCAGTCCCACCTCCCCCCAGTCACCCCTGCAGCCTCGCCCAGGGCAGGCAAAACCTCCGCAGCCGTCTCAGTCCCAGCTCCCCCCAGTCACCCCTGCAGCCTCGCCCAGGGCAGGCAAAACCTCCGCAGCCGTCTCAGTCCCACCTCCCCCCAGTCACCCCTGCAGCCTCGCCCAGGGCAGGCAAAACCTCCGCAGCCGTCTCAGTCCCACCTCCCCCCAGTCACCCCTGCAGCCTCGCCCAGGGCAGGCAAAACCTCCGCAGCCGTCTCAGTCCCACCTCCCCCCAGTCACCCCTGCAGCCTCGCCCAGGGCAGGCAAAACCTCCGCAGCCGTCTCAGTCCCACCTCCCCCCAGTCACCCCTGCAGCCTCGCCCAGGGCAGGCAAAACCTCCGCAGCCGTCTCAGTCCCAGCTCCCCCCAGTCACCCCTGGTGGCCCCAGGCCTGGCCATCTCTGATGGCTATCAAAGGACAGAGGTGAGAGCTGCAGGAACCCCCAGAGACCCATCCCTGGGCCCTCCCTCTGGAAGGCCAGGGCATCCCCTTTGATGAGACCAGCAGTGTCAATCCTGACAGGCACCTGAAGACCCCGGGGCCTGACAAGCGGGCCCAGGCAGCACAGATGGGCTGCCCACCACTGTCTGGGTCTATGATCAGTGCCCCCCGCCCAAGGGGCCGCTGCCCACCCCTCACTGCAGCTCTAAAGATGGAGGGTGCTTCCTGTGTCCCTGCCAGTGGCTGGTAGAGGAGGCCCACTATCTCAGCGGCTACTTCCGAGGGCAGGCTGGGCCTCCACCCCTCAAAAACTCGCTGTTTCCCAAGCTCCTGCAGGATACCGTGGAGCCCTTGGTGTTTGTCCTGAGTTTCTGCTTTGGAAGTACTGCCCGACATTGTGAAAAACCCGACACAGAGGAACCCAGGAGCCACGGCCTCCAGCCAGCTCCAGGCTGGCCTTCCCCTTCAAAAGGGGTGGGGGACACAGCCAGGATGGGGCCCTGAGCAGTTCACAGTGGCAGAAGGTCTGTGTGAGCATTTCTGCACCCAGGCCCTCCTCCAGGAGCACTGGCCCAGGCCCCTGAGGCAGACGGACAGTGCAGGGGCTTCTCTGCAGGGGCTCCGGGGAGCAGCAGCCCTGGGCACAAGCCCCCCGCCCACTCTCCCCCGTCCCACCCCTCCAACCTCAGTGACTCCACAGTGAAGGTCAGGGGGCCACGTTATGCAGCCTGGCCCAAGAACAGCTCCCCTGTCCCCATCAAGAAACACCAAGCGGTGGGACCCAGATGCAAGGCTGTCCTGACACAGCCACAAAGGGGCCCCCACGGCCCCTGCCTGCAGGGACCTAAGGGCCTCCGAGTGGTGACCAACCTACAACCAGCTCACGAGGAAACGATGCTCCGCACGGTGCACCTGGAAACGACGCTCCCCAACATGCACCCGGAAACAACGCTCCCCACCGTGCACCCGGAAACGATGCTCCCCACCGTGCACCCGGAAACGATGCTCCCTGCCGTGCACCTGGAAACGACGCTCCCCAACATGCACCTGGAAATTACGCTCCCCACCGTGCACCCGGAAACGACGCTCCCCACCGTGCACCCGGAAACGATGCTCCCTGCCGTGCACCTGGAAACGACGCTCCCCAACATGCACCTGGAAACTACGCTCCCCACCGTGCACCCGGAAACGACGCTCCCCAACATGCACCTGGACGACAACCTTCGAGTCCCGCCCACCAGCTCACGAGGAAACGATGCTCCCCCTCCCCACCGTGCACCTGGAAACGATGCTCCCCACTGTGCACCTGGATGACAGCCTGCGCGTCCCGCCCACCCGCCTTCTCTTAAAGGGCCCCGGGAGCCGCTGGCGGCCTCTGGCTGGGAGAAGACCCTACTCATACTAAGAGAGAGCCAGGCCCCATGAATCCACAGTCCGCAGGCCAGCCTCAGTCTCTGCAGCCCGGGGACGGCCCTCCCTGTCCCAGGAGCTGTGGTCATCAGGCGCGGTGCCCAGGATCAGGACAGGGGCAGCCCCAGCCCCCTTTGAGCCCTCCTGAGGTCCTTCCTGTCTGTCCATCACGGCCAGGGCCCTGCTTGCAGGACACGACCTGCAGGCCCATGTACAGGGCCCGGCCATGCCCACCAGAGGCTTCCTGGTGTGACCAGAGCCACCGCCTCCTCTTTCCCAGTGGACACAGATGCTCTGGGGAGGACGGGCCACCCTGAGCGTTGGGGACCCTAAGCCCTGGATAGGAAGGGTCCCGTGCAGCTGCCTTGGAAGCAAGACCCCAGCTGTACACTTTGGGGTCTTTACAACACCAAGGCTGAAGAAGTGCTGGGGGGGGGTGATGGTGGGAGCCTAAGGCGAGTCGTGGGGAGAGGACCCCATGCCAAAAACAGTTAATTTAGGGAAAGGCGGTCAGAGAAAGGAAAGCTGAGCCCCTGTGGGGGGAATGAGGGAGCTCAGGACCCCACCGCGGCCAAAGGGTTCCCTCCACAGGCTGCAGGGTCCTGCAGGCGGACGTGGGTGCAGGACAGCTGGTCCGGGCAGGGTCCGGGTGCTGGGCACACCTGCCCACGGCAGAGGATTCCTTCTCAGACACCGCGCAGCCTGCGGGGCAGGGGAAGCTCCCACGAGGGGCTGCGTGCCTGACACTCCCCTCACCCTCCACTCAACTAAGCTCGGGCTTGGGGGAAGGAATAGGAGAGCTTGGAGCTTTGTGAACGGAGGCAGCTTCTTGCCACCTGCCCAGAGGGGAAAGCCTGCCGGCCTCCGGGGCCGCATCGTCTGACCCTGTTGGACAAACACCTGCTGGGCTTCGACCGGGAGCCAGGCCTCTTCCAGCTCTTTATAAATCCGAGCTCATCTGAGGCTCAGGAACCCAGGAACCAGGCACTCTGCGGCCTTCCCATGTGACAGATGCAGCCACTGAGGCCGGAGACCTCCAAGACTCCCCCAATATGCCCAGCATCGGACGGAGACCCCCGAGACTCCCCCAACACTCCCAGCATCAGACGGAGACCCCCGAGACTCCCCCAACACGCCCAGCATCGGATGGAACCCGGGTGTTGGTTCCAGGGGTCCCCGCCCTATGCACCGCACCCCCTGCTCAGGCCGGCTTATCTTCGAGGGAATAAGAAAGCATCGTGTCCACCCCAAGACCCCCGCAGGCCCAGTGTCCCCAGAGGGCCGGGCGCCCCAGGCCTAGTGAGGAAGGGGCACCCACTGAGGCTGCTGGGAGCTTTCAGGGTGAGGGGTGTGGCACCGGGGACGGAACGCCCAGGCCAGGTTTCAGGCTGGGATTAAGGGTCCTCCAGACCCTCCTTGAATTTTAGGAGAAGCACGAAGGGGTGGGGGCGTCTCTCTCTTCTCTTAGGAGATCTGGAGGAGACTTCGGGCACTGCACTGTGGCCTCCACGACAAGCCGAGGAACAAGGCCGTCCACCCCTGAGAAGGCCACGCAGACCACTCACCGAGGGTCCTGGGGGCTATGGACAGAATGTTTGTGCCCCAAACTCCTGCTCTGAAATCCTCACTCCTAAGGTGTTGGTGTTTGGAGCGGGGCCTTGGGGAAGCGATGAGGTGAAGCCCCGTGGATGGGTTAGTGCCCTTACAAAGGAGGGCTCCAAGAGCTTCCTCACCCCTGTCCCATGTAAGGACACAGCCAGAAGGCACCATATATGACCCAGGAAGCCCTCAGCAGACGCTGAACCTGCCGCCGCCTGGTGTCCACTTCCAGCCTCTGGAGCTGTGAGGGATGAATTTCGGCCGCTTATGAGCTGCCTGGTGCAGAGTTTTCTGTTCCAGCAGCCGGGAGGGACTAAGACGAGGTCCCACAAACTCCATGTGGAGATGGCCCCATTGGGGGCTGTGTGGCCACTCTGGGCCCAGAACACACCCCCTGCCTGGCCCCCGGCTTCCGTCTGGGACCCTCCTCGACCTCTCATCCTTGTGTCTAGGGGGACCAACCCTGCTCCATCTCAGGTGGGCACCTTCACAGATCCGGCCTACGAGAGGACCAGTGATGGCCAACAGTGAGCAGGAGGCCCTGGGGACCCACACACACTGCCCAGGCTGTCCTCAAGAAACACTGGGAGAGCTGCACATCTTTAAGCCTGGCAGGGGTGAAGGAGGTCACACCTCTTTACACGTGGAATGTGGGTGCCTCCCTGCAGCAGAAACCATCCCAGAGGGCAGCAGGACAGAGAGGGAGGCAGGTGCAACCGTGGCTGAGCGTCCAAGTCCCTGGATCAGACCAGACCTGAAGCCGCACGTTCCCCCAGACTTTGCAGCCCTGTGACCCATGCGTTCTCGCTGAGATGGAGGGAGTTTCCTTCACTTGCAGCCCAGAGAGACCCAGCATCGGGAGCCGCCCACCCCTGCCCATCCCGCCCTGCAGGATGCCCCTCAACCTCCTCCTGGCATGCACGGTGGCCAGTGACGCCATGCCCACACTCCACCCCCCAGAGAACACACTTCCTTTCTCGCTGTCTACACCGCCCTTAGGATCAGGCATGTGGAGGGCCCTGGGGAAGGAGCCCAAGAATGTGCTCTGCCCTACCCGGACCCATGGGACTCAGGCTGAACTCTCTCCAGCACAGCTGCAAGACCCTGAGTTCTAGGAGAAGCAGCCCAGACCTGCAGCCCCATGGGCAGCCGGCACTGGACATCCTACCCCAGGGGCCTCAGAAGGAGGGAGCTGGGCTGGGGTGGGCACATGGGCTGGAGACACCAAGGCCTCTGCCCCACTGAGGCTCTGCTCCAGCCAGGAGTCACCCCAGGAAGTGGAGGTCAGCCTTCTCCCTCCTACCTCCTTCCTGGTGGGCTCATGGGCTCGGGGCTGGGAGGGGAGAAGGGGGGCCTGGGAGGAGGCAAGGTGTCTGTGCCAGAGACTGGTCTTTGCACCGAGGCTGCTGACAGGTGGTGTCAGGGAACCTGGGTGCACGTCAGCACCTGCTGTCAGCAGAAGGCAATCCTGCTGAGGGCGTTCAGCTGCCAGGTGGGCAGGGCCCATCTGTCTCTGCGTGGACCCCGTGTATCTGGATGCTGCTCCTTGACTTTGAGGGAGGGGGTCAGGGATGGGGAACACCCTTGGGGCTTGGAAGCAGCCCCCCCCACACACATCAGGCCTCCCGCCTGGTGGAAAATATCCCCACAGTGGGTGCATCCGGTTGGCGGGGAGTTTGGCAGGGCAGGCCCCAGGGGACGTCCCTCAGGGCACGTGAGCCAGCCTGACCCCAGGGCAATGGACGGGAACCTGCCCACTGGGAAACTGAGGCCCTGCAAGGATAGGCACCCTGGCCAGCGAGGCCGTCCATGGGATGGGAGCGGCCCCTTGGAGCTTCCCCTGCCCCGTGACTCAGCGTGCCCTGGCACAGAGCCCCCGGCCCGGTCCCCGCTCCCCAGGGGCGGCCGCTGCTTTCTTCTCGGCCCTGGCTCGGTTCACAAACCCCTTTCACTGTGTGCCCAGCCCTGGCCAACAAGGGCTTATTCAGCACCGGCCTGTGTCCCGTTGCTGGGGAGGGCAGGGCCGGAGCGGGAAGAACATTTGTGTAACGTGGAAGGCATGCTTCTCTCAAAGGGTGGGAGCAGGCGATTCCCAGAGAAGGACACGCAGGGAGGCCGTCCGTCGGTGACCAGACGCCTGACCTCATACACCGGCAATGATGCACATGTCAGACCCAGCTTGTAGCCGCTCAGCCCACCCGACAGACAGCACCAGTGCCCAGTGGCAGCCAGCCCCATGCAGATGAAAGAAAAAGGCACAGCCCAGGGCGGATGCTTCTGAGGTGCAGGTGCCTGTCTGTCATCGGGCAGGAGCCCGCAGGTGGACAGCATGGGGCCCGCACACCTGGGGACCGGGCGAGGGGTGTGGAGCGCCGTGGGGCACCCTGCAGCATCGGGTACATCTGCGTGTGGACAGCAGGACATCAAGAGTCGAAAAGGTGCGATTAACAAGTTGCAGAACAGAACGGCCGTGAACCCATTTTATCTAAACGTGGTGTGTGCGTGTGTGTGTTCGAGGGTGTGCGTGTGTGTGCCTGTGTGTGTGTGTGCGTGTGCGATAGTGTGAACTGAAAAGCCACTGGGCCTCTGGTCAAGGCAGACGGGGCCACTCCCCCCCCAAGCCTGCTCGGGAACTAAGCCCAGGGATGCATTCCCACGCCCAGGGCTTGTTCTAAATGCTCCGCGGGAGGGAGGTCGGTCCCTGGAGGCAGAGATTGTCCTGCTGCTGCTCATGTGAGGACACGGGGAGGGGCTGGGCCCCCAGACCAGGTGGGGAGGGCCCCTCACGGGGCCGGAGTTTGGCCACCTGCCTCTGTACCTGTGTAGCCGAGGAAGGCCCTTGCTGGGCCCGCTGAGGAGGAGACAAACTCTAGAGGGTGGCGACCCGATTTGCAAATGGCCCTGAGCCATCTGATGAATGACTGGCCCTTCGTGGGCCGTCCAGCCGATGGGTTTGGGGCTCAGAAGCCACACTGAGCTGCCCCAGGAACAAGCACGGCTCCTGTAGGGGTGGAGAAGGCAGAAGGAGGGGCACCTCAGTTCCAGGCTTGGAAATATAAGAGGTGTCTGGACCCACCCTCTCCTCCCCTCCCCTCCCTTCCCCTCCCCTCCACCCTCCCCTCCCCTCCACCCTCCCCTCCCCTCCACCCTCCCCTCCCCTCCAACCTCCCCTCCCCTCCAACCTCCCCTCCCCTCCACCCTCCACCAACACTCGCTGTCCTGCACCCGTCCTGTTTCCACAGCAAGTCCACACACGAAGGCCGGGCACTCACTCTGGGCCAGGACTTGTGCTGGGTGCAGGAGGCACAGCAGAGTTGATGCTGCCCTGGCCTCAGAGACTCTCCCTGAGTGCAGGCGGCACAACCCAGTCGAGGCTGCCCTGTCCTCAGAGACTCCCCTGGGTGCAGGTGGCATAGCTGAGTCGATGCCGCCCTGTCCTCAGGGACTCTCCCTGGGGGATAAGGCAGTGCCTCCCTGCCACTCCCCGTGCTGTGCTGGCAAACGTCTAACAATCAGCAACCCAGGAAGACCCTGACTCGCAGCGACTGCCAATTTCCGTGGTGTAAACGCTGCTGCCACAGCCATATTCATGCAGCCCCTGTGATGTCACTGAACATGGCACTGGCAGAAGAGAGCATGGTGGCTCCCAGGAGCTGGCGAGAGGCAGTTCCACTCCCCACCACCCACTCCCATTGCTTTCTGATTCTCCTAATGGGGGAAACTTACACCATGACCCGCCCAGAGTAATAAGAGAACACTCCATCCCTGACTGTATTTGGAGCTTCTTCAGCACTTTATTGTGAAGCCCGGCACCTCTGCCTGGATTCTACGATCAACACTGGCTCATTTCTTCACCATAGACCCAGTCACCTCTCCGTCCCCCCACCCCTCCGTCAACCCATCTTATTTTATTGGATGCATTTCACAGGAAGTTGTAGACAACAGTATATTTCAATACAAATATTTCAGAAGTATTAACTAGAATCCAATATCTGTCAACAGTTCTCTTGTTTTAGGTAAAATTTACAGTGGAATTCACAGATCTTAACAGTTCCGTGAGATGAGTTCTGAGACGTGCACACACCTGCGTCTCCCAAACCCTCACCGGGAATATTGTCAGCCCCTGTGGAGCACAGTAAAGAGATTTATCAAAGAACTGAAAACAGAACTCATCCAGCAATCCCACTGCCCCAGTAAAGAGATTTATCAAAGAACTGAAAACAGAACTCATCCAGCAATCCCACTGCCGGGCAGCTACTCGAAGGAAATGATTACATCAAAAAGACACCTGCACGTGCACGTCCATCACAGCACCATTCACAACAGCAAAGACACGGAATCAGCCTAGGGCTCCACCAACAGACGGCTGGAGAAAGAGAATGTGGTGCATATACACGATGGAGTACTATTCAGCCATGAAAAAGTGTAAAATTGTGCCCTTTGCAGGAACGTGGATGGAACGGGAGAACATAGTGCTGAGTCAAACAGTTCAGAAACAGAAGGACAAAGAGCACGTGTCCTCACTTACAGGTGGGAGCTAAATGATGTGTGCACGTGGACACAGAGTGGGGAACACTCACCCGTGGATGCTCAGGAGGGTGGGGCGAGGGATGAGAAAGTTCCCGGTGCGTTTGATGTACGCTCTCTGGTGATGGCTACACTGACAGCCCCGACTTCACCACTACACAGTGTTTCCATGTAACTGCACTTGTACCCCTTATATTTACAAATAAAAAATAGGCCAGGCACAGGTGGCTCACGCCTGTAATCCCAACACTTCAAGAAGCCAAGACAGGAAGATGAGTTGAGCCTAGGAGTTCAAGACCGGCCTGGGCAACATAGCGAGACCTCATGTCTACAAAAAGTACAAGATTAGCCATGCGTGGTGGCACGTGCCTGTAGTCCCAGGTACTCGGGAGGCTAAGGTGGGAGGACGGCTTGAGCATGGGAAGTTGAGGCTGCAGTGAGCTGTGATCACCCCCCTGCACTGCAGCCTGGGCGACACAGCAAGGCCCTGTCTCAAAAATTAATTGATTTAATTAAATAATAATAACGATACAACCACTTTAAAAAGCCAAAAAAAAAAGACAATATGTCATCAACCTAGACATGGTCCGATATGGTAGCTATTTATGTTTACACTTAAATTCATTAAAATTAAATAAAATTTAAAAGCCGGCTCCTCAACTGCACAGGCCACACTTCCTCAACTGTACGAGCCACATTTCAAGGGCTCAGCAGCCACACGTGACCAGTGACCACCACGTGGCTCACACAGACACGGGCATTCCCGCCACGTGTGACCAGTGACCACCGCGTGGCTCACACAGACACAAGGATTCCCGTCTCCACATGTGACCAGTGACCCACCGCGTGGCTCACACAGACACGGGCATTCCCGTCTCCACATGTGACCAGTGACCACCACGTGGCTCACACAGACACGGGCATTCCCATCACCACAGACACTCCCACTGGACAGGCTGCCCTAGGAAGTTCCCGCAGACCACACTTGGTGTTTAAAACTGGGCTTTCTTCCTCCCTGTTACCCAAAGCCTTTTTAAAAGGCTCTTGGTGGTGTGCTGAGCCCCCTGCACCGGGCGGTTTCCCCGTGGCCTGTGGGTGAAGGTGGAGCTGAGGATGAACTCGTGGGTCCCAGGGGAAGACCATTCCCTTACTCCCTGGTGAGAGGCGCGGTGTCTGCAGGATCTACAAGGCCCCTCGCACGAGGGACATTTGGCTCATCCATTGGCAACATGGGCGGCAGGACCGGGGCGCTGACAGCCAGTCGGCCGTGCGAGGACCCCTGCACGGGCGTCGCGAAACTTCCCAGCGGCTTCCCGACGCCATCATGCATTTTTCATGCAAGGCAAATGGTCTGCGCGCTACGTGGGCCCAATCCTGACACAGCAGCACGGGACCCCTGCAGTACTTCAACCCCATATAAATAAATCACAGGGTGCAGATTGCAAGCCGTCGGTTATGCGTTCCAGGCAGCCCTGGAGAGCCGCCTTCTCGCAGGGAGGCTGCTGCCCCAGGAAGGAAGCACCTTCTATCCTCAGGCACGACGGGGCCCTGCTCTGCACTCCCTCCTGCACGTCTGTGTGGCCTCAGCCATGCTGCCTGGCTCCTCTGAGCACCTGGATCACGGAGAGGAGGCAGGAGGTAGCCGCTGCCTGTTGGCTCCCGTCACCCCTGGGGCAGAGTCCAAATTCCTCAATGAAACCCACTGAACCCTGCACAACCTGGGATCCGCTGAGCCCTGGGGCCTCCCCTCCTGCACCCCCAACCCTCAGTCTGGACCCCTCGGAGACTCTCAGGCAGGGAGAGCTCACTCTTCCCTCCTCCCGCCTTCACCGGCTGTGTTTCCACCGAGAACACGCCTGCACCGTCATGGACGGGGCCTAGAGCTCTGTGGAGGCCCAGGCACTACATGGGCATTTAAATACAGCCGACCCGGCCGATGCCCTAACGCAGGCAGGGCCCAGAGACCAAGAGAGGCCCATACACTGCACGTCCTGGCGTTAAATAACACCGCCCCGGCTGATGCCCCGTGGAACTCGCAGAGTAGCCTCCGTGCTCCCGCCGTGACAGACTTCACACCAGCCTGGACGTTCAGACTCAAGGTTAGAAATCTCAGCTTCCCGAGGACACACAGCCATGCCTCCTGCCTCCCTCCATCGCCTCCGGCTTCACTCTCACGGGAAGGGGGCTTCGGGATGCCGGGCCCGCACTCCGAGTGGCCATGCTGGGTCCGGGTCCTGCACAGAGCGCCCTTGGCTGCCCCCACACCAGGCCCAGCACCGCAGGCAGAGGACTTGGAAGAGGAAGACACGTGGTGCTCGTGGGACCTTTGGGGCAGGAGCCTCGGGAACCCCAGGGCCTTGAGGTACTCAGGATGGGATTGCGAAGGCAGCTCAGGCCTCAGCGGGGCTGGAGGGGAACTACAGGTCCCCTCTTGCCTGGGGCTGAGGGTGATGCTGTCCTCGCCGGGGCCTTCACGGTCAGACCAAAGCCTCGGTCTTGTTGGGGTCTGGTGTGAATTGCAGCCGTCACACAGGTGGTGTGCAGAGCCAGCTCCTAAGAGCTGAGCCTTCATGTCCTGGAATCGGGTGAGCTGGCCGTCATACACAGAACTATTAAAATTAAATCAGCCTGGCGTGGGGGCTCATGCTGTAACCCCAGCACGCCAGGAGTCCGAGGAGGGAGGATGGCTTGAGGACAGGAGTGAGAGACCAGCCTGGGCAACACAGCAAGATCTCATCTCTGCAGATAAAAAAATAAATAGGCCAGGCGCGGTGGCTCACACCTGTAATCCCAGCACTTTGGGAGGCTGAGGCAGGCGGATCACGAGGTCAGGAGACAGACAATCCTGGCTAACACGGTGAAAACCCGTCTCAACTAAAAATACAAAAAAGTTAGCCAAATGTGGTGGCAGGCGCCCGTAGTCCCAGCTACTTGGGAGGCTGAGGCAGGAGAATGGCGTGAGCCCGGGAGGCGGAGCTTTCAGTGAGCCGAGATCGCGCGGCTGCACTCCAGCCTGGGTGACAGAGCGAGACTCTGTCTCAGAAATAAATAAATAAATAAATAAATAAATAAATAAATAAGCTGGATGTGGTGGCGTGTACCTGCGGTCCCAGCTCCTCGGGAGGCTGAGACAGGAGGATCACTTGAGCCCAGGAGGTTGAGGCTGCAGTGAGCTGTGGTTGCGCCACTGCCCTCCAGCCTGAGTGATGGAGCAAAACCATATCTCAAAAACAAATTAAATCATAAGAACTTACAAATAAAGAAGTCACTAAAAACAGAAGCGCTGAACACAGCACGCGCCACTGCCTCTCACGCTGCGGCCCTGTGCGCTCCTCCAGGATCCAGAGGTTGGTCGTGGGTCGTGTCTGTCTGAGGTCGGGTCACGTGGGTGTCACCGCAGGGTGCCCGCCCCTGCCTGCAGCATGTCCCCTTGGCAGCTCGAAGCCAGCCCCGGTGGGAGCATTTGCACCACAGGTATTGGCAGACACTCCCCATCTGGGCTCTTTCTTCCTCGGAGCCGGTGGTCACGGTCAGCAGCCCACCCCGAGCCGCGGAGGTCACAGCAATGTCAGCCTGACTGCGTTCCCCCATTCCAGGCTGCCCTCCGTGGAGACGGAGATGCTCCTCGCTGAAAAGCGCTGCTGGGGTGGAGGAAATACCCGCTCTTAGGAAACCCACTCAGCCAGCAGCGGGGAAAAGCTGAGCTTCTTTTCTGTAGGATGTTTTCTTTTTAAAGTTCTTATCTGAAAGCAAAGAAGAGGCTGGATATGGGCTGTCCGAGGGCTTCAGCTTGCCTGGGTCCTGGGGGCCTCTGGGCTCTGTACCTCCGACCCTCTGCTCCCTGTGGCCTCCCACCTTGGACCGAAAAGGCCACGGTCAGCAAATGCCCCAACCAAGGGAAGAGGAGGTGGGGCCGGGCAGCTGCTGTGAGGTTGGGCGAGGCCTTGTGGCCACAATGGATGTTCCCCTCCAGCCTAGAGCTGGCCGCAGAGTGCTGCCGAGAAGGCCGGCCCCATGGCTGGGGCTGTGGGGGGCAGGGGCTGGAACAAAGGAGCAGCTGGGCTGGACAGCCTTGGCCCTGTCCCCAGAGGCTTCCAGACACATCTCTGGCCCTGAGCTCGAGTGCCTTGTGGCCTTCCAGGGAGGCCGGCACCCGCTTCCCCAGACTGGGCAGCCTCGCCTGGTCCCGTGGTCCTGGGGAAAGACAAGCCTGGGCCGGGGACAGGGAGAGAGCTGCGGAGTTGAAAAGGGATGCAGGCCCCTGGGAGCAGCTGTGGGGCGGAGGCGGGGGGTGGGGGCCATGGCCAGCACTCGGTGGGCTGGGAGAAGTTTCAGGGCTCTGGGTTCTGGGTTCAGGGCTGGAAGATGGATGGAGGGACCAGCATTGGCTTGAGAGCAAGGCTCCGCCGTCCTGGGGCTGGGCTGCTGTGAGCCCTCAGGCCATGCGTCTGGGAAGCTGGAGGTGGGGGTGTCCGAGGGACAGGGGACAGTGGACTGGGCCTGCACCAGGAGACTGGCCGGGGCAGCCATCATAGGCAGGTGTGTGTGGGTGGCGGTGAGGCTCAGCCTCGGGACACAGGAGGCCACACATGAGCTGTGACCTGCACTGGCACCCAGACCAAGCTGCCCTGGAGCTGTGGGTCCTCCCAGACAGGCACGAAGGCCCAAGACCATCTTCCTCCTGCGTTTCCCAGAGCTCCTCCCACCCAGGGCCCGGGGAGTTCTTGGGGCTGGGAAGCATCATCCGTTCTGCAGGGCAGGGGCTGAGCACAGACTGCTGGGCTTGCAAAGGGAGTGAGCGCCAGCTGCCCCTACAGGCCACGGGGTGGCCGTTGCCCTTCAGGGGCTCCATGAACAAGTTTCCTCAGACGTGATGAGCTCCCTGTCACGGGAGGTAAGCAAGAGGGGTCCTCGGACGTGATGAGCTCCCTGTCACGGGAGGTAAGCAAGAGGGGGGGTACTCAGCCCTCTGTGGTGTTTGCTGGCCAATCTTCAATTTTCCCTTCCAGCTAAGACTCTGATTTTCCTTTGGGAAAGTGCTCCATCTCAGTCAGTGTGGCTGGGGGCTCCCCCACCCTAGGCCCCCAGTGGGCCCTCCACCCAGGGCTGGCCCAGACCCCGGTGATTGTCCCAGAGGTGAGCAGGGACCCAGGCCGAGTCACTCAGACTCTGGGACTGGGACACTCAGAGGCCCCTCCCTGCAGGGCCACCAGAGTGTGGGGAACCTGCCTGGGAATGCAGCCCAGGTGGAGAAAAGCAGAGCCAGAAGTGGGAGAGTCCACGCCCTGATCGTGCTGTTGGAGCACCTGAATCCAGCCGTGCCTGAAGCCCACCACCCCGCACTTTCTGGTAGGAGCCAGAAATATCCACCTTGTAAATACCCACCTTGACCTCAATCAGTCTGAGCAGGTTTCTGTCACTCGGACCTGAAGAGTCCTTGCTAACGCCCTCTGCTAGGATGCAGCCCGCCCGGTCTGTCTGTGGCTCTGCCAGCTTCCCGAGCGCCTCTGCAGCTGTGCCTGATGACAGCCTCCTGGGGTTGCCATCTCTCCCTGCCCCTTTGCCCCCCTTATCTTGCATCTTGGGGCGAAGCCTCCTCCCTTCCCTCCCAGAGTCTTCAGGCCCTCCGGAGCCCCACCCAAGGCTGCAGTGCCCCCACCCTCGTTCCAAAGACACAAACTGAAGCAGCCACACGGGGAACCCAGAAGAAGGTCTCTGAGGCACAGCCTGTCGCCCCATAGAAGCCGACTCTTCCTCAGCCTGCCTTGCCAGCACAGGGCGAGGTGGGACATGGGGAGAGGACCCCACACAGACCCCATGTCAGATCCCCATTCCCCGCCCCCTGTCATTTCCAGCTGTGTGACCCCAGGCAAGCCACGTCACCACTCCAAGCCTCTCAGGTTAAAGATGGGGCCAGTAACTCCAGCCGCCTCCTCCTGGAAGTGTGGAGAACACGCCCGCCCAGGCTGCCCGGCCACGGCTGCCCTGCTCCCAGGCAGCGGCACAGGGCTGGATCCCAGGGGTTCCTTGGGCCAGGGGTGGGGCTCAGCTGGATCCTGCAGTGCTGGGGCATCCACCTGACAACCGCTATCCTTCTCACCGACTCCATAAAACCCACCAAGAAAAGCCGTGCAGGACATCCCGGCACACAGCAGTTCACAGTTACTCAGATGCTGCTGCGTCCAGCTCAAGGAGTGAAGGAGGGGAAAGGAAAAAGGAAGGAAGGGGGTGCGTGCAGTGGCTCACACCTGCGAGGTCAGCACTTTGGGAGGCTGAGGCAGGAGGATCGCTTGAGCCCAGAAGTTCAAGACCAGCATGGACAACTTAGGGAAACCCTTCTCTACAAAAAATAAAAGAATTAGCCGGGTGTAGCCGCAGGCCCTGTAGTCCCAGCTACTCGGGAGGCCGGGGCAGGAGGATCCCTTGAGCCAGGGAGGTCGAGGCTGTAGTGAGCTGAGATCGCACCACTGCACTCCAGCCTGAGTGACAGAGCAAGACCCTGTCTCAAAAAACATTTTTTTATTTTAATTTTTTTTTTTTTTTGAGACAGAGTCTCGCTGTCGTCCAGGCTGGAGTGCGGTGGTGCGATCTCGGCTCACTGCAAGTTCCGCCTTCCGGGTTCACGCCATTCTCCTGCCTCAGCCTCCCGAGTAGCTGGGACTACAGGCGCCCGCCACCACGGCCGGCTAATTTTTTGTATTTTTAGTAGAGATGGCGTTTCACCGTGTTAGCCAGGATGGTCTCAATCTCCTGACCTCGTGATTCACCCGCCTCGGCCTCCCAAAGCGCTGGGATTACAGGCGTGAGCCACCGCGCCCGGCTGATTTTGTTTTTTGTATTTTTAGTAGAGACGGGGTTTCGCCGTGTTAGCCAGGATGGTCTCGATCTCCTGACCTCGTGATCCGCCCGCCTCGGCCTCCCAAAGCGCTGGGATTACAGGCGTGAGCCACCGTGCCCGACCCCTGTTATGCCCCTTACGATTATTATTGTATCTTTATGAGCTCAAGCTGCTGTCCCCTCCGAGTCTGGCACATGCTGGCTGGAGACCGGCAGCACCCGGATGGGGAAGAGCAGCCGTTTGGAGTCAGCATTGACAGAAAATCGAACACTGCTGCTCGAGGATTCAGAAGCGGCCCTTCTGAGCTCTGCTGTGCACGCCGCGGGCTCTGGAGAGATTGGCTGGGTCGTCCCCCACCTTCCTGGGGCAAGGGACCTGCCGAAGAGAGCCGGGGAAGAATGTCAACATTGTTAGGAAAACAAGCTTCAGACAGAAGCTCTGCATAGCGGCCACCCGGAGGGAGGTGGAATTTTGCAATGCGCCCCTCCCCGTGCAGGGCGAGTGGCCCCAGGGCACACGAAGGCCCTGGCTGCCGTGAGTTGATTTAAAGCTCGGCTGCCTATCTCTGGTGACAGGTTATTTGTGTAACCTACAGTTTTCTATGCACGTAGTAATTTCCACCTCCCTCCATGTCACACAGAAGACACGTTTTTACCCTGAGTCGGAGCAGGAGAAGTGTCTAAACGAAAGTGACTTCACAAAGGGCTTGACTGACAGGCGGGCGCGGGGAGAGCCGGGATAATGTCCGGGTTATCAAAGCAGACGCAGGTGGGCAGGTGAGAACGGGCATGCTCCCCAGCTCAGAAAGGCCCGTTCGGCTCGCAGGAGGTCCCAAAGCAGGAACTAACAGGCACAGGGATCGCTGGCCCCGTGCGTTTCCCTTTAAACACTGTCTAAGCTGTAACGAAGTCTGATTACAGTTTAGCTGAGATGGAAACTGAGAGGAAGGAACTATAATATTCAGCAATTACAATCACCTTCCTCTTTGGACAATCCCATTTCACTCCTCGGCTTATGCCTGTTCCCCGTGGATCCTGACTACACACCCTAACCTCATGCTTGGCAGTTCGTAAACAAGATGCCGCTCTGTGGTGACGGCGTACGCGAAATGAGAAGCACGACTCTGGGGGCCAGAGAGGCCTGATCTCGGTAGCTCCCAGGCTTAGTCTCTGCGCTACCTGGGCCGAAAGAGCTGAATTCTGCGAAGCTCTGTGTCCTTGCCTGTAGAAGGGGGAAGAACGGAACTTACTTGGAAGACTTGTGTGACTCGGGTGAGGATTCAGCTGTGCACACACAAAGGGACATGAGTGAGCAAGCGTCTGGCACGGACACAGCCGGGTGTGGAACAGCAGCCCCGCCCCGTTGGCTCAGAGGCAGCCGCACGCACAGAGGAGCTGTCTCAGCTCAGAGCCTGGCCTGGCCCGTCCACCTGGCCCTCTGGGAGGGCCGCCCCCCTTGCTTCTCTGGCCAAATTCCTACATCTGGGGTCTCGAGGGGAAGAGGCCGGGATGAGTTGCTGGGTGGCCCAGCAATAAATCTTGAACAATGAGGTGGCTCAGTCTCCCTCCTACCAAATGGACCAAGTTACCTCTGAGGCCGTGGGAGGTGAATGAGTCAGTGTTTGTGAAACACTCTGTGGATCAGATGAAAGGGCTCCAGGAGGGGCTGCCCATTAGAGGTGATCACAGGGAGCTTGGCCCACGCCCCCCAGAATGAGGGCCAAGGGGCGGGGGCGGCAGGAGGCCTGGACGCAGAGGAGGCCACAGCCAGGCCCCACTAAGCCACCTGTTCCCGGCACAGGCATCCGAGGGCCAAGGCTGCAGGAACCGTCTCTGCTGGTCACGTCTGGAGTGTGAGGCCCTGGAGGCCCCCGTGCACGTCCGTGCGATGATGCCGCCCACAACCACCGAGATCGGCCGGAGGGAAATAAGGCCGGAGGCAGCAGCACCCGGGGTGGGGCCTGGCGTGGCCCGGACCACGTAACCTCCTGCGCTTGGACAGCTTCTCCCACCTACCCGGGTCTCAGCACCCTCAGTGGTCTGCGGGGAGCCTGCTGCCATGCAAGTCCCTATAATCTGAGGGTGTGGACGCCCTTTTCTGCCACCATGGCCTGCTCCAGTCGGGGGCCGTGCCTGAGAGTGGGTGAGGGGGACCTCCCCAGCCCCTGGAGACCCTGGCTTGCCCAGGCCATGTGGCCCAGTGGACACAACAGAACCAGAGGCCAGATCCACCCCGGTGCCCACCTCCAGGCCTCAGGCAGCCCAGGGTGCACCGACCGAGGGCCCCACACTGTGCACCACGGCGACCCCTCCCCAAGGCCCCACCCTGCCCCATCCAGGCCCTCCCATCTCTATCTCCAGCCTGGGGGTCTCTGCCTCTCTCTGACCTGGGGCCTCCACTGCACCCACTCAGAGCCTGAGCCAGGCCCATTAAAGGTGCAAGGATTATCACGGAAGGTGGAGAGCTGTGCCAGCCACAGCGGCCCCCAGCCCCTTGCATCCACGGAGCACCTGGGGCACGTCCTGGTGAGACCAGCCACAGGTGGGAGGGAGTCAGCGCCGACTCATGACCGAGCTCTCACCAGCAATTTCTACATTGACTGCACATTGCAATGACAATGTTTGGGTGATGGAGTTAAAATATAGGCTCAAACTAAATATTACCTTTTTTTACATGTTTTCAGGCAGCACAAACAGATTTAAAACCAGGCATGAGGCTGCCGGGCAGCTCTGACCTAGAACAGCCACCTTGTTTTACGGCTGAGGACAGGAGGGCTGAGAAGGAAAGCCCTGTCCCTGCAGGGGCTAATGAATGAGAGGAGGGAGAATGAGCTACCCCCGGGAAGAATCAAATTCCGGAGGCAGGTGACCTCTGGGGCAGGCTGCAAGGACGCGGGCCTAGGGAATGGCTGCCTTCTTCTCTGGGTTTTTCTTTAAACCGCACTGCTCAGCCCAGCCATTTCCAGGAGGCCTCGCCATGGGCACACGCTGAGGCAGGTGGCGGCGCCCGCCTGGCCATTGGCAGACGTGGCTGTGCTAGGCGCCTTTTCTTTCTCAGCAGGACCCGGGGTGAGGAAAGAGACATGCCGGTCACTCAATGAAATAACCATGGAAACGCTGGATTCAGCGGAGGCGTCCACCTGCCCAGCCGCTCCCCCCGGAACTTCCTCCTTCAGTCCGGGGACCGCATCCAGCTTCTCCGGGGCCCGCGTGAAACAGGCTCGCCCCTCACCCGGCAGCCACCCAGAGTCCCGGCTTATCCATCACTGTCAGGCTCCGAGAGCAGCTCTGTTCTGAATGCCCGGCCGCTTCTGCAACACACAGGAGGGAACAGGGGTCCACGTGAGACCGGCCACTGGCAGAGGCCTGGGTCAGGCTGAAAGGTGCCTTGCGAGATGGGCACTCGCCAGCCTGCTCCAGCCAGAGCCCAGTTCCTTCTGAGAATCACACGGCCAGACAGAGGCTTGCTGAGAAGTGGGTGTCCTCCTCTCTGTCCAGCCCCAGCTGCACGGAAGCGAAGCCGGCCCCAGCGTGACTGAGTCCAGAGCCCAGCCCTGAGCACTCACCAAGGGCCAGGACGAGTCAGTGTGTGGGGCAGGTGCCGCCCCCACGACCTCATTCCCAAGCTCCCTCTGTGTCCCCGCAGCCCGTGCTGGCCAGGGAGGCAGGAGGGCATGGCAGGTGCTCCCAGAGCTCGCTTCTCTGCGCGTTCCCGCCGCCCTCCCTCCCTGGTCCTGCGGGCTGCCGGCCTCAGGATCCAGGTCACCTTAGGTGGCAAAGTTGGAGCCGTGCCCCACCTGCCTTCACTGGCTCATGTTGACTCCTTCATCTACGAGACAGTCTGAGCTTGAGGCTTGGAAACTCTCCTCTGCCGGACCTAGCTCTGGGCCATGGATGCACAGAGCCCTGAGCTCAGAGACCAGGAGAGGCTGGCACCATGCTCCACCCAGCAGGTGGCTCCAGGTCATCTGGAGTGTCCCAAAGCTGCAAGGCTGAGGGAGGCTCCCCCTTCCTGGAGGGGCCCAGGCAGCCCTTGGGATGGAGCCAGGGACGGTCCCTGACCCCAGGAGCTCCCTCTCCTCCCACGCCTTCCACAGACCCATCTCCCTCAGGACTGCCTTAACTTGGGGTCACCTAGAAATAGGTTTATGGGGAGGCCATCCCAGGGAACTTTCGCAGGAATGAGGGCTGAGATGGGGAAGGGCTGTTGTCACCACCATGGGGGATTGCTCCAGTGAGAGGGCCAGCACGGGACCCTCAGAGTCTTCCCACCCAAGGGTCATGAGATCCGGGTCAGAGGTCACAGGCTGCTCCTAGGGCCTCTAGATCTCTGGAGAGCCCTTGGCTGCAGTTTGCCGATGCCAATGGCTGGAGGTCAGCTGGCACTCCCACCACGATGGCCAGCGGACAACAACAGTGTGGGCACAGTGATGGGCACCCCCCCGTGTCCACTCGGCCGGGCTGCAGTGCCCAGCGGCACGGTCAAGCCCCATCCAGATGCCACTGTGGCTGTGCTGCAGGTGTGATGGACACGCACAATTGGCTAATTGCAAGTGCTGCAGATCACGAGATGTGGCTGGGCCTCAGCTGCAGCTGAAGATGAACGCCGAGGCTTCCTGGAGAAGGATTTCTGCCCCAAGACTGCAACATAAAATCCTGCCCGGGCTCCCAGCCTGCTCCCCTGCGGGTCTGCCCTGCAGATTTCAGATTCATCAGCCTGGACCATCACATGGGCCAGCGCATTAAATCAATCTCCCTGTGTCTGTGTCTCTGTCTCTCTCCCTCCAAAGGGCGCTGACTGATACGGGACCCTCTGTGTCTCTGCCTCAGGGCCAGGCTCCAGCCCCCGAGAGCCCCTGGTGGCTCAGCCTCTTCCCCACAGCCCTGCCCTCCACGAGGACGCTTTCGGCCCTTGGTGCTCTCTGTGTTACGGATTTATAGGGCTGTGCCCTGGGCCTGGACCTAAGGGGGTCGGGAGCAATGTCTGGACTTCCTGCCACCCTCAAGGTACGCAGGTATGTGTGTGCTCAGGATGATTTATGTAGAGGAAACTGGGGGGAAACTCCTTGCAAATAAACCTCTGAGATCCTACAGACCTCAGGGGGATGGCAGCAATGGTCGGAGCCCACTGCTCAGTCTGCAGATGGAGAAACTGAGGCCCAAAGAAGGCTTTGGCCTCTAGGTATGCCCTTGATTTCTGACCCTTAAGAGAAGCTGAGGAGTATGAGCATTTACTGTGCACTGTGTGGGCTGGTTCCACCTCCCTGAGATGTGGAGGACAGAGGCCCCTGTAACCAAGGCGAGAGTGACGGTCCTGGGGACTCCCGCCAGGCAGGCTGGAATCTGGTGGTACTGAGAGTGTCCTCTGCACACTCCAGGGGCAGCCATCTCAAGGACAGTGGCCATGCAGGGATAACCCTCATTCGAGCCAACTGGGCATTCTCTATGGGTCCCTGTGCCCCCAAGCCCCAGGAATGGACTGGAGCCCTGGGTGTTGGCCACGATCACTGCAGAAGGGAAGGTGAAGAGGAGGCAGAGGTCAATGTTCCTTCTTCCGGGTCCAGGGCCCAGCTCACACACCAGGCCTTGTTCTGGGCCCTGAGAGTATACTGCTGCCCTTACCAAGACCAAGCCCTCCCTGCACTGAGCAGTGGCCCCAGACCCAAGATGCCAGAGAGCTTCTGGTGTGGAGAATCGTGTAGAGACCACTGGGCCCAAGGTCTCCTTTTTACAGTGGGGAGACAAAAGAGACTTGTCCAAAGTCAGCTAGGGCCCCAGTATCCCAGAACGCCCATCCCCAGCCCCTGCCAGCCCTCTTTTTCATTCTCCTACTCCTGAGCAGTAACGGGAGATGGGGCCCACATTGTGATGGAGTTTGGAAAGTATTTTAGGGTACTGCAGCTGTCATCACAAAAACCACAAGCGGAGGGTCTTAAACAACACGGATTTATTTCTCACAACTCTGAAGGCTGGACGTCTAACATTAAGGAACCAGCACAGCTGGTTTCTCCACAGGCCTCTCTCCTCAACTTCTAGATGGCAGCCTTCCCCCAGATCCTCACACGGCCTCTCCTCTGTGCACAGATAGTGGGGATCCCTGGTGTCTCTTCCTCCTCCCATAAGAACACTGGTCCTACAGGATTAGGATTAGGGCCCCAACCTTATGGGATCATTCAATCTTGTTACCTCCTTAAACGCCTTGTCTCCAAATATAGTCACATGGGGGATACAGCTTCCACCTATAAGTTTGGAGGATGCCATTCCATTCGTAACAGAATCAAATGCTAGAGTGGAACTACTCTATTTAAAAGCTCCAGTGTATCCAGGCCGCAGCACATAACGAGGTAGGAAGAGCCGGAGAAGGCCTGGCTGGCCCTGGGAGACACGTCCATCTCACTGCTGGTTCATAAGCATGTGGGCACCCGGGAAGCTGGAGCGTGGCCTGTGTGACGTGGGCGCCCACCACCACGATGAGGCCGGTTCATAAACATGTGGGCACCCGGGAAGCTGGAGCGTGGCCTGTGTGACGTGGGTGCCCACCACCATGATGGGGCCGGTTCATAAACACGTGGGCACCCGGGAAGCTGGAGCGTGGCCTGTGTGACGTGGGCGCCCACCACCAGGATGAGGCTGGTTCATAAACAGGTGGGCACCCGGGAAGCTGGAGCGTGGCCTGTGTGGCATGGGCGCCCACCACCACGATGGGGCTGGTTCATAAAAACACGTGGGCACCCGGGAAGCTGGAGCGTGGCCTGTGTGACGTGGGCGCCCACCACCAGCATGAGGCTGGTTCATAAACATGTGGGCACCCGGGAAGCTGGAGCGTGGCTTGTGTGACGTGGGTGCCCACCACCAGGATGGGGCTGGTTGTGTCACCATCAGGCGAGGAAGCCATCACACACTGCACTGCCGAGGGGGAAGGAAGGAGGAAGAAGACGAGAAAACGACAGTGACGCCACTGCTCCCGCCCGAGTCACCTCATTGGACCCTCACGGTGATCCATGCTGAGCCCGCATTGGCCAATTTTTAAAGAAAGGGTCATTGGTTTGCCTCAAGTCATGCTGACTTCCTTGGGGTGAAGTCGATTTGCACCCAGGGCCCTCAGACTCCAGGTCCAGTGCTCCTTCCACCCCTCCACGCTCGCCACACCCACACACAACCAGCTGTGCAGAGGAGGGGCAGGCTCTTTCCGGAGCTGGCCGGGCAGCGAGAGGTCCCTGGCTGCCAATGCTGGCTGTTCCCGCAGCTGATACTTGAGCCCTGGACATGGTTATTTTTTATCCATTAAGTAATTCCGGTGGAGGCCAGAAAGAAATTGAGACCCACCTTGGCCAGGGCCAGCAAGGCTGCCGAGATAAAAGGTCACACTGAGGGTGGCTGTCCAGCCTCCTCTTGTTCCAACCCAGCTTCCGAATGAAAGCAGGACTCCAGGAAACTCACAGGTGTCCACCCACAGCACCCAGCCACCACCCAGCCCTTGGGGCAGCTCCCTGCTGAGAAACGGCAGCAGGGAGACTGACCGCCTGGGTTCAGACCCCAGCTGGCTTCTCCCCAGCATGTGGGCTCCTCCCCCAGCTCTTCTCCTGTCTGCAAATTGGAATCTCCCCTACAGGAGTTCAGGTGAGCTCATTGCTGTGTGAGGAGCCCAAAGTGTGCTCGGCGCACAGCAGGTGCTCAGTAAATGTGGCTCCCAGCCTGTTGCCTGCCACAGGCTCAAGGGCTCTGTGGAACAATGCCTGGCACTCAGAAATGCCCCCACAGGGCCCCCAGCCCTGAGGGCAAAAGACATCGTGAATCCCTTTGGTTTCTGTGCTTTATTTCCCCCATGCCTTAAAGCACTGGAGTATCAGCCTCATAGGGTGGGGCTGTGTCTTGTCACTGCATCCCCTCACCTAGAGCCACATCTGACTCAGAGGAGGTAACAATGGCTAATGGATGGATGGATGGCAGATAAAGGATGGATGGAGGATGGATGGATGGCTGGACGGATGGGTGGATGAATGGATGGATGGATGGAGGGATGGATGGACGGATGGACGGACGGACGGACGGATAGATGGATGGATGGATGGATGGTAGATGGAGGATGAAGGATAGATGGTGGAAGGACGGATGGTGGATGGTGGATGAATGGATGGTGGATGAATGGATGGTGCATGAAGGATGAATGGTGGATGGATGGTGAATGGTGGATGGATGGATGGATTGTGGATGGTGGATGGATGAGAATGGAGGATGAATGGTGGATGGATGGATGGATGAATAGATGGATGGATGGTGGATGGATGGTGGATGAACGGAGGATGAATGGTGGATGGATGGATGGATGAATAGATGGATGGATGGTGGATGAATGGAGGATGAATGGTGGATGGATGAATGGATGGAGGATGAATGGTGGATGGATGGATGGATGGATGGATGAATAGATGGATGGATGGTGGATGGTGGATGGATGAGAATGGAGGATGAATGGTGGATGGATGGTGGATGGTGGATGGAAGAGAATGGAGGATGACTGGTGGATGGATGGTGGATGGTGGGTGGATGGATGGATGGAGGATGAATGGTGGATGGATGGATGGACAGATGGATGAGAATGGAGGATGGATGGTGGATGGATGGATGAGAATGGAGGATGGATGGTGGATGGATAGATGGATGGATGGTGGATGGATGGATGCATGAATGGATAGATGGATTGATGGAGGATGAATGGTGGATGGAGATGGATGGAGGATGGATGGTGGATGGATGGATGAGAATAGAGGATGGATAGTGGATGGATGGATGCATGGATGGATGGATGGTGAATGGTGGAGGGATCGTGGATGGTGGATGGATGGGTGGATGGATGAATGGTGGATGGATGGGTGGATGGATGGATGGATGGTGGATGGAGGATGGATGGATGGATGGATGGATGCATGAATGGATGGATGAATGGTGGATGGATGGTGTATGGAGGGATGGAGAATGGAGGATGAATGGTGGATGGATGGATGGTGGATGGAGGATGAGTGATGGATGAATGGATGGATGGATGGATGGATGGATGGATGGATGGAGGATAAAGGATAGATGGTGAATAGATGGATGGTGGATGGAGGATGGTAGATGGGTGAATGGATGAGTATGTGGATGGGTAGATGGATGGGTGGGTGAATAGATGAATGGAGGGATGGATGGATGGATGGATGGATGGATGGATGGATGGGAAGGTGGGCGGGTGAATGGATGAGTGGGTGGGTGGGTGGGTGGATGGATGGATGGGTGGGTGGATGAATGTGGACAGACTGGCATAGCCCACATGGGTTCTAGCCCTTCAGCTGGGCAGTTGGAGGAGGTTTCTCAGCCTGGGGCTCTTAGCCTCTGTTTCTCTGAGGAGTCCCAGGCCCTTCTTTGCAGCTAGGAAAGTCAATTCCCCAAACCCCTCCCCTTTCAGTATCTAAATTGAGCAGATTCTACTTGAGGGAAAAGAGCCCCAGGTGAGCTGGACATCTCCCATCCCTCCACACTCTCCCAGTGGCTCCAGGGACAGGTGAGAACTCCCTGCTGCTCCCTAGGCACCCACTGGGTGCTCCCTGTGCCACAGGAGTTGACGCACAGCACCCTGCAGGGGCTCTGCTGGGGAATCTCATCCTGTTTACACGGCAGAGCCTGTGGTCTATCCCATAGCCACTGCCTACCTTGTCCATCCTGCAGCCACCACCTACCTTCTTGGCCACTGAGTTAGGATCTGGGGTAACCCCGAGGCAGCCCTTACCCTCCCTTGACCTTTGAAACAGGGTCTTTGACCCCACTGGTGGGCTCTGAGAAATATTTCCCCTTTCCTTCCACCCACTTCCCCACCAGGAGGCTGCACCTGCCAAAGCCCTGTGACGTTCTAGGGACATTCACTACCCTTTGCATGAGACGGAGGCACACGCAGAGACCCAGAACCTGGGCCGTCAGCTAAGGGTCAGCTCAAAGCTTCCCAGGTCCCAGATACCAAAGGGTCCTGGGGCCTCCACTCTGACACAGGAGCTGGAGCCCTGCCCCAAGCTTGCCCACACTCACAGAGCCAGAGCCAGAACCATCCATCCTGACCCAGGAGGGCCTCCCCGGCCTCACAGCCTCCGAGCCCAGCTCTGCAGAGGTGGCGCGCCCAGCGGGAGCTGTAAACGGGATGTGTCTTTAGCCTTGCTGCCAACTCTTGAGAAGCACGCCCCAGAGGCACAGGCCCTTCCAAGTTTCTCCCTTTTCTTTCTTCAAAATGCAGTCATTGGCTCCCCATCAAGAGGCCTCCTCTGAGTTGTGAGTGTTTCTCCCTCTGCGAGCTCAGCCTTGTGTCTTGACCCCCAGAAATGGTCTCAGTGCTTCTTCCTGAGACCCCCGGAATCCAAGGGGCATGGCCCCCAGCCAGGGTCCCCGGGGTCCTGACTCCACCCAACCACACACAGACTCCACTTCCAGCAGTGAGTGAGGCCCCTTGCCTCCGGGGCAGCAGCCACTTGTGTGGGGAGAGGTTGGGGTCAGCTGATGTGGGCTGGGGGCACCCCAATCTCCAGCTGGCCTAGAGTCTCCGAGAGCAAAGCAAGTCGGAACCGGAGCCGTGTGAAAGTCCGGCAGTGGCGGTGGTTCTCCTGCTGCCCTGCACATGCCATGGTCAGAGTGGCCACAGTGCCCCCATGATGTGCTGCAGGGGCGAGGCGGGGCGAGGCAGGCCTGCGCCAGGGAGAGATGGCCTGGCCCCACCAGCCAGCGCCCCGTCACCAGCACCCCATCACCCTGCATGCCCTCACCCTGTCTCCTTGGGTCCCTCTCCCTACTCAGCACACACGGTGACCTTTCAGGTTCTCCAGTGGGTCCTTTTGGACTCAGAGTAAGACCCTCACCCCTCCCTGGCCTGCCAGACGCTCTAACATCTGGTCCCCATTCCCCCAAGCCCTGCCTGGCATGCTGTCCTGGTCACCCCCCTAGACCCCGTCCTCGTCCTCCAGCTCTTGGCTCAGGTGTCCCCTCAAGAGGCCCCTGAGGCCCCACCCCACTCTCTGCAGCCCCTGGCCTGCCCCTTCCCCACTGCGGGCTTGGGCCCAGGTCCGGACTTGTTGAGGCCTCACCTCCTCCACGGCCACAGCGGCAGCCCAGGGCCTGACAGAGCACTGCAGTCTAACAGGCGCCTGCAATCTGCCCGGAGACGAACTGCCCTGAGCATTTGCTGCAATCTGCCCATGGATGCAGGAATGAGTGCCTTGAGCATTTGGGAAGGAAGAGAAAGGGAGGGAGGGGGAGGGGGAAGCAGTGGGGAGGGAGAGGGAAGAGGAAAAGATGGAGGTGGGGAGAAGGGAGAGAGGAGGGAGGATGGAGAGATGGAGAAAAGAAGGAGGAGGGAGAGAGGGAGGAGGGAGAAAAGAGGGAGGAGAGAGAGAGGGAGGAGAAGGAAAGGAAGAAGGAGGGAGGAGGGAGTGGGGAGGGAGAGGAATGAGGGACAATGGAGAGGGAGGAAGAAGAGGGAGGGGGAAGAGGGAGAGATGGAGGGAGGGAGGACTACTCCAATAGAGGGGGCGCCTCTTGTCCGAGGGGAGCGAAGGGACACCCTGGTCAGGGGAACCGGAAGTGGTTGGATTCCACGGGCAGAGGGGGAGGCCCCAGGATGACAGGAATGGCCCCGGCACAGGAGCAGAGCAGCGACCCTGCAGGACATGTTCAGGGCGCCCGGCCTCCCATCTCCCTGCCTCGTGGGCCTGGATGTGCAGGAAGGTAAGTCAGAGCCTGGCTCAGCCCAGGCTGCCGAAGCTTTGTAAGAAAAATAAACCCCACGTTCCAGGGTTTCCCTGGCCTCCCGGTCAATGGTGCCCTCCGACGTGAGCCCTGACGGGGGCTCAGGATCAGCCTCCACCTGCCTCTCCCCCTCCCAGGACCCTGCATGGCTCCCCGTGGCCCATGGTGAGGCAGGGAGGGCTCCACGTGCAGCCCCAAGCCATGCCAACTCTCTTGTTCTCTGCCCCTGGTGCCCTAGGCTCGAACCCCCCCTGTCTGCAGCACCCAGTCCGATTGTTCCGTTGGGGAGTTTCAGGTGGATCACGCCTTCCTCAAGACCCTCCCAATCCTGCCTGCCCCACCCTGCACCAGCCGAGGACCCAGACTCTCCCCTGGCCCAGCAGTGACAAGTGCCTTGCCCGGCGCCAACAGTGTGTGTGCTCGCGAAGCCGGTGTGGTTCCCTGGACATCAGTGAGGGCCCCACATCACCCGGCGCGGGGCTGGGTGCTGAGGAGCTGCCTCCCGAGGACTGGGTGCTGCCGCTGCGGAGCCCAGGTCCAGGTTCCTTCCCCCACCCTGCTGCCCCAGCTCATGTGGCCTGCTGGGCTTGTTTATGTTGCTATTGTTTTTGTTGCTGTTTTGGGGGGTTTTTTTGAGACAGGGCCTCGCTCAGTCACCCAGGCTGAAATGCAGTGGCAAGATCATGGCTCACTGCAGCCTCGACCTCCTGGGCCCCAGGGATCCTCCCACCTCAGCCTCCCGAGTAGCTAAGATGACAGGTGCACGTCACCACACCCAGCTGATTTTTTAATTTATTTTTATTTTTTGTAGAGATGGAGTCTTGCTATATTGGTGGTCTCAAACTCCTGGCCCTAAGCGATCCTCTTGCCTCAACCTCCCAAAGCGCCGGGATGACAGGCGTGAGCCAGTGCACCTGGCCTGACCTTGATTTCAGTGGTGGTTTCACAACATCCACTTACGTCAAAACATATTGGATTATATTCTTTAAGTATGGGCAGCTTGTTGTTGACAATTTCAACTCAATAAAGCTGTTTTACAAAAATATATATATATATATTAAAAAGACAGAAATGTGATATTGAAATGAGACGGTAGTCATAGGAAAAAAGGTTAATGTGGATTACTTTCTTACACTTTACACCAGAAATATATGTGAATTATCAGAGATCTAATGTGAATGGATCAGAGATAGAATCATAAAATGACATAAAACCACAACGAGGGGTCGTCTGTGCTGGAGGACAGCTCCGTGTCTGGATTCCGTGGTGAAAAAGGGCGCAGAACTGCGCAGTCATCCCCGTGACAATTTCCCGGCTGTGACTCAGCTTCTAGTTCCCAAGATGCCACCATTGGGGGAGGAGGGACCTCCTGTGCCATTTTCACAACTTCCTGGGGATCTCTAACCATTTCCAAATAAAAAGCATTTGAAATTGATGAGCAAAGCCTGAAGGCCTGGAAGGAAACACGAATGGGCTTTGCTATATTCTCTATATTTAAAAAACAACTTTTGCTGGGCGCAGAGGCTCACACTGGTAATCCCAGCACTTTGGGAGGCGGAGGCGGGTGGATCACTTGAGGTCAGGAGTTTGAGGCCAGCCTGGCCAGCATGGAGAAACCCCGTCTCTACTAAAAATACAAAAATTAGCTGGGCATGGTGGCTCACGCCTGTAATCCCAGCTACTCAGGAAGCTGAGGCATAAGAATCGCTTGTACCCGGGAGGCGGAGATTGCGGTGAGCCGAGATGGCGCCACTGCACTCCGGCCTGGGCGAAAGAGCGAGACCCATCTCAAAATTAATTAATTAATTAAATAAAATTAAAAACAACTTTTGCTTTTACAAAAAAGATAAGAAATTAAACAGATGAATGACAAAATGGGAAAACATTTTCAAGTCGTATCATGGGCAAACTTGGGTTTGGGTTAATAGCTCTGACGTATTAATAGCTTCTACAAATAAAGAAAAAGGCAAACATTATTTTTTAAAATGGCCCAAAGAAATGAATAAATAACAGAAAAGGAAAATTCCAGTGTCCTTTAATTATATGAAAACATTCTAACACAAAAAAATAGCAAGTAGAAAAATTTTAAACTGAAGCAGTTTTACCAATGGAAGTGTGAATATTAATTTTTTTATGTTGGTATGCTAATCAGTTAGTAAATTTTTTAAGTATAGTTCAGGCAACTCAGCTAAGTGATCCACTTGTCAACTATAAGTTTTATGAAATCTTAATGTAGGCAGAGTATTTCTGATGAGAATGTCGTGTGCATATTCAGATGTTCTGTAAGTGTGAAATACAAACAAATTTTGAAAACTTTGTATTAAAAAAGAATGACAATATCTCATTACTAGATTTTTTATTGATTACATGTTGAAATGATAACATTCTGGCTATATTGGGTTTGATAAATAAATACATTACTAAAACTGATTTCACCTGTTTCTTTTTACTTTTACTGTGGCTACTAGAAAATGTAAAATTACGCCTGAGACTCAGATTTTATTTCCGTCAGACAGCACCAACCTGGACTTTCTCATTTTCCAGATGAGAAAACTAGGGAAGGGGCTGGACACGGTGGCTCACACGTATAATCCCAGCACTTTGGGAGGCTGACAGGGGGTAGATCATTTGAGGTCAAGAGTTCAAGACCAGCCTGTCCAACATGGAGAAACCCCGTCTCTACTAAAAATACAGAAATTATCTGGGTGTGGTGGTGTGGCCCTGTAATCCCAGCTACTCGGCAGGCTGAGGAAGGAGAATCGTTTGAACCCAAAAGGCAGAGGTTGCCATGAGCTGAGATTGCACCACTGCACTCCAGCCTGGGCAACAGAGTGAGACTCCATCTCAAAAAGAAAGAGAGAGATAGAGAGGGAGAAAGAAAGAGAGAGAGAGAGAGAGAGAGAAAGAAACTACAGAAGGAAGAAAGCACAGCCCTCTCTCCAAGCCTGGCCGGAAGCTTCCTGTCACCCTCTCATTTTCTGTGCCCCCCAAGCTGACACACTGGGGACCAAGCAGCTACTTCCGCACCTGCAGGCATCTGCCTTTCCGAGAAGGAGCGTTTGCTCGCCACTCACTCACTCCCAGGTGCCCACAGGCCTCCTGTGCACTCCTCAAGGTCCCCCCTCCTACTGTGAGCTCCCCAGCATCCCCCCTCCTGCCATGAGCTCCCCGGGGTCCCTGCCCTCTCACATTCTCCTTCCTTACTTAACAATGTTCTTTATTTTGTGTCCGATGAGCTCACGTTTTGCTTCCTGACATCGAAGCCTCGTCTCTGCTCCCCCTGCAATTCCCAAAATGGGAGACAAACGTGTTGGGGTTGAGAGATGGTTTTAGGAGATACGAAGACAGTTCGAGAGTGAGGAAGTTCTTATACGAGGAGAATGCACCTGTTTGCTGCTAATCCGCCCCTTTGACACTCACAAGCTAAGGGCCCTGCCCCCAGGAGCACCAGCCAGAAGCACGCACCAGTGTTTCATTCTGTCTGTGTGTGATGTTCGAATTAACCTCAATTCATGGCAGGAGATGCTAGGTTTTTACTGGAGATACTGCATTTCTCTTTAATTATTTAAGTTTTTTTAAGTGATCTAATTTTATATCAGAGGGAGAATGCAATTTTTAAAAAAAGGAAGGAAAAAATGAGTTAATTTTTTAAAACACACTGAGTAAACAGCAAACAACATCGCGCAGGTCAGGGAGCGAAAGCAAGAAGGGCACCAGGCAGTGGCTGAAATTTAAGGACCCGAATTGGGCCACACCCTCACAGCACAGGGGGATAAACTGAGGCCCAGTTGGACACGGCGGCTCACACCTATAATCTCAGCCATTCAGGAGGCTGAGGCAAGAGGATCGCTTGAGCCCCGGAGTTCGAGGCTGCAATGAGCTGGGATCACACCACTGTACTCCAGCCTGGATGACAGAATGAGACTGTCTATAAAGAAATTTTAAAATTAGCTGGACGTGGTGGTGAGCACCTGTAGTCCCAGCTCTTCTGGAGTCTGAGGCAGGAGGACGGCTTGAGCCTGGGAGGTTGAGGCTGTGGTCAGCTATGATTGTGCCACCGCACTCCAGCCTGTTCGATACAGTGAGACCCTGTCTATAAAAGAAAATTTAAAAGCAAATAAAATATAAAAGGTAAAACAAAACCGAAGCCCCCCTCCCTTCCTTCTAAACCCTTGTTCTCCCTAAAGCTGCTCTGCCCGGGCCCTGTGGCCAGACCCTAGAACCCCCACGTGGTCCCTCCCCAGACCCCTCCCACCTTCCTGCTCTGAGACCCTGCTCTGCTCGCCCCGCTACCTGTGTGGAGCCCACAGGGTGGCCACCCCCAGCCCCTCCCGCAGAGCCCACACAGCATGGCTGTGCCATCGGCCGATGAGGTTTCCTCCCCCCACCCCCCAACCCACCCACAGGCAGGGGCCTGGCAAGGGCAGCTTCCTGCTAGACCCGGCACCGGTGGCAGAGCTGATGGTGACAGGAGCTTGTGCACCTCAGCTCCACAGCATGGAACAGGATCCACAGCCCATGGGAGGCTCAGAGTGGGCGCCCAGGGGTGTTTGTCAAATGAATGAGTGAGCACAGCGAGCCTCCCCAACACCCCGGAAGTCGGCTTTAGTCCCCTTCCTGCCTCTGCTGAGTCTGGACGGCCTCCCATTGCTGCAGGACCACCCCCAACTTCATGTCCAGGAGGGCCCTGAGGCCACAGAGCCCTGGGTCCCACCCGACACTGCCTCAGAGGGGCCTCTGCTCCCTCCCATGCTCCTGCCCTCCTGCCGCCTCTCAAGCTCTCTCCATCTTTCACTTCCCCTCCGCCTCTCCCCCTCCATCCGTCTCTCCTCTTCCTCCATCTCTTCCCCTCCCTCCCTCTCTCCCCATCCCTCTGTCTCTCCCCTCTATCCTTCTGTCTCTGTCTCTCTCTCTTATGCTGTCTCCTCTCTCTGTGTCTTTCCCCTCCGTCTCTCTCTCTCTGTCTCTCTCTGTTTCTCACTCTTCTGTCTCTCTCTGTCTCTGTCTCTCTCTGTCTCTGTTTGTCTCTCTCTCACCCTCTCTCCCCTCTCTCCGTCTCTCTCCCCTCCATCTGTCTCTCTCTCTCTCTCTGTCTCTCTCCTGTCTCTCTCTCTCTCTCTCTGTCTCTCTCCTGTCTCTCTCTGTCTCTCTCTCTCTGTCTCTCTCCTGTCTCTCTCTCTTTCTCTCCTCCTCCCTCTCTTTCCATCTCTTTCCCTCTCTCTCTTGTCTCCTCTCTGTTCCCAGCAGGGCGTGGCTGCCCCAGGAGAGCTGAATGAGGTCTCTGAGCGCTTTGTTCTGCCCTGGGGGAGGGACAGTTGGGCCGGAGGTGCCTTTGCAGCATCACTCAGCAGCCAGGGGACTAATTAAGAGCTTGAGTTACCCTAGCGAGGCTGGAAATGGGACCTGCCTCTGCCCCTCTGCTGCTCCCCCAGGGGGCTGCTGAATCCCTTCCCCGCTGGGCTGCTGGGCCCCTGCCCCCCTCACCCCCCAGCAAACAAACAAACAAACATTCCGCCCAGTTTCTGATTTTCCCAGACGCGCACTGACGTTTGAGCGGCCTGGAGGTCTCTGGGGGCAGCGTCCTGCGCAGAGCCCAGCACAGGTGACCGCCCTGAGGCCTCCCGCCCCAAGAGCAGAGCACGGGGTCACACCCTTCCCCACCCGGCCCCACTCCCTTGTAATTTGGGAGTGACGTCACCCCCTCCTCAGCCACGTTTGAGGAAAAGTCCCCATTCACAGGAAGGCGAGATTTGTGGTGATCCTGAAATAGCCCCAAAGAGCCGCCTGCCACCCCCGTCAACCCCCGTCATGCCCAGAAACCACACCAGGCCAAGGACAGAGGGCAACGGCTCCGGGGCCTTTGAAGCCCACGGGAGACTTGAAGAAACGTCCGGAAGACCAGGCTCTGCTGTGGGCCAGCCCCCGGAGCCATGTGTGAGAATCGCTCGGGGAAGGAGCGTGTGAAGCAGAGGGGAGGGGAGGGAGGGACGCAGCCCTGCGCACTCTGAAACCCGGCTTCTGGCCTCCGACGGGGGAGAGTGCATTCCTGTGGCTCCCGGCCCCACGCCCCAGGGAGGGAGGGACCATCCTCACTCTTGGCAGCCAGGACCCCGAATGCAGAGCTTCCAGGACTTGTCCCAGGCCACGCAGCCACCCCGAGGCAGCCGGGACGCAGAGCCTGGCCCCAGCCCCAGCTCCGCGGTGCACAGTATGGCCTCAGACAGCGGCCTCACGCCTCTGCACCTCAGTGTTTGCACCTGTAAAACGGGACTGGTCCTCAGCCTCCACCTCGAAGGGTTGTGTGGGGTTGCATGGAATTCGCCAAGGGAGCGAAGAGTCTGCGGAGATCACCGCTAATATCCCCAGGGCCTGAGCCAGGAGGGTCCACACCCTGAGGCCACTCAGGCCCCATCAAGGGTCAGCAAGAGGGAGGAAGCCTGGCAGCTCCGTCCACCCCCTCGGTCCTTCCTTGCTGAGCCAGCCCTCCCTGGGTCCCAGAAAGACGACGGGGGTGTCAGAGGTCCCTCCTGCAGGCCGGCCCAGGGCCCCAGCGAGCTGGGGGTTGGAGGGGAATTCCCATCCGCAGGGAGGCACCGGGGCTTCAGGAAATGCCTGGGCAGAGGGAACAGGGCAGGCCAGGCGGGGGTCCGTGCTCTCACCCCTCTCCAGGTGTGCTTCTGGCTGTGGCTTGGAAACATGAGGACCTGAAGAGGGGCTGGGGCCCAGGTGGGCACCATTGCGTAGAGAAGCTGCGTTTGAGGCACGCAGGGGAAGCCCCAGCCCCCTGAAGAGGAGGAGCCTCCACGGCCAGCACAGGCCGTGGTCCCTGGAGACACTGTGGGAGCCGGTGCCTCAGGCCTGGACAAGTGCCATGGGTTGGGGGGGGCGCCCGCACCAGCCATGCTCTCCTGGCAGGATGGGGTGGCTCAGGCATCCCCATGCTCTGGGTAGAAGGTCTTCCTGCCACACTGAGGCCGGCCAGCACCCTCTGCCCCTGCGCCGTGTCCACCATTGTCTGGCTGGAGCCCTGGGGAAAGGCCCCAGAGGCCTGGACTGTCCAGACCCACAGGCACAAAGCGAACTCAGGAGCAGCCCAAACCCGGAAGGAACCTGCTTTCATTCCAGCAGACACGGGCTCCGTGTGTCACGTTCAATGATAACACCTGATTGTTGATCACTGTGTCTAATGCCAGACATCGTTCTAAGGGTTTGTATCTATGAACACACTCACAGGGACCTTGAAAGAGGTTCTGTGATCTCCCCATTTCACAGATAAGAGAAATCGAGGACAGGGAGATGTACGCAGCGTCCCCAAGGTCGTGCAGCTGGTAAGGAAAGGCCCGGAATCCAACCCCGGGCAGCCCGCGCCTTCCGCCCACGTTAGGCTCCCCCACTGTTAAAATTGCACGTTTTTATTGTATGGTTTGGTCTGTTTTCATTTTGAGTTGGTTATGGAAGGCGAGGGCCTGGGGGCGGGTGGGCTAGGCACATACTCCAGGGGCCTCTGAGGTCCTGACCCAGCAGCAGGACCAGGAACCACGTCGATTCTCCAGCATCTTCCCATGGATGGGCACTCCCGGCCGGCATTGCTGTTCCCTGGAGTCAAATGATGCTTGTCCTGCATCTCCAGGCCCCACAGGTGGACGGGCCCTCCTGGGCAGCATTGCTCTTCCCTGGAGTAAAACGATGCTTGTCTTGCATCTACACGCCCCGGAGGCAAGGGCTCCTCAGGCTCTTGTGGGGAGGAAGAGGAGAATGCCACCCCCTCAGCACCCCCACCCAGCACAGGAACGCCCACCACCCTCGTGGTCCTGACGCCACTGTCCTGAGCTGCTGTGACAGGTCTGGGGAGACCCCTGGATCCTCCAGCCCTCCCCCCCCGGGTGGCGAGGGGTCTCTTGCCCACAACAGCTGAGTAAACAAGCCCAGGTTGGGCAAGAGACTCCCCAAGTGGGTGGCAGAGCCTGGTTCTGACTCTATGCAGACTCCAAGTCAGAATTCTCTCCAGGGGTCCACACGGCCACCTGAGGAAGGGGTAACAATTCCTGCACCTGACTGGGCTTTGGGCCTGCGGAGCCGATGAAGTGGGAGCTCACCAGCTGGGGTGGCCAGACCCCCACCTACATGCACGGGTCCCTCTACAGCCCTTCTTGTCACAGCTGCAGGCAGGCCTCAGTTTCCCTGTCTGTAAGAGGGAGGCGGACGTCCTGGGCAGGGTGTCCATTCCCAGGGGCTGCCCTGGGACACAGCAGCACCAGGCATCTCCCCCTGGACAGCACCCGCAGCACCCACAAAAATCTGCCGGGGGCCACCGAGCCGGGGCCGCACAGCCAGAGCAAGGAGGCCTTCCTGGTGGAGGGGGCTCGTCACCTGGCCCTCAGTGAGGTGTGGGTCTGCCGGCGTCTATCCTGAGTCCGTCCGAGCGCCGGCGTCTATCCAGAGTCCATCCGAGCGCCGGCGTCTGTCCGGAGTCCTTCGAGCGCCCGCGTCTGTCCGGAGTCCGTCCGAGCGCCCGCGTCTGTCCTGAGTCGGTCCGAGCGCCCGCGTCTGTCCTGAGTCCGTCCGAGCGCCGGCGTCTGTCCTGAGTCCGTCCGAGCGCTGGCGTCTGTCCTGACTGCATCGGAGCGCCGGCGTCTGTCCTGAGTCCGTCCGAGCACCGAGGTTACAGCCCCTGTGCTGGGGCAGAACAGCATGTCCGTTGGGCTGCAGATGGGACGGTGCCCTGGGGACCCAGGAGGGGTGGACGCCTCCACCAGGGCCTTCTCCACTGGCCCAGCCTGGGCAAGACGCGGGCCCAGGTCAGCATCCACCCTGTCCCCCGTGTGTCCTCGGGGGCCCAGTCAGCCAAGCTCTGCCTCTCCTGACCTCCACCGGCCCATGCAGGCCTCGCCCGGACAGGTGGGAAGCTCAGAAGTCAGGAGCAGTCTGAGCCCAGAGTCAGGTTCCCGCCCTGGAGCATCGCTGGGGCCCATCTCCACGTGGATACAACGGGGCAGCATCCACCTGAACCCGAGGCCATGGGCAGCTTCACAACACAGAGTTCCCACAGTGCCTGGCCCTTCCCTCCTCCCTGTGCCAGGCCTGGGCTGGACGCAGGACGTGGGGACGGCTGTGTCCGTGTCCCCGGGGAGCACAGGGGCCACTGTGAGTATCACATGCAGTCGCTACTCCCCGCTGAGCCTCCGTTTCCCCACCTCTGAGTGGGGCTCCCTCTGCCCCCCGCCCCCACGCTCACACGTGCACAGACGGGCTGGGGTCTGAGGGTGACCTTGCTTCCCCGTGGGCTCCCCCGGAAGGGGCCTTTTCCCTGGGCTGCCCGCCCGCCCGGCCGCCCACATGCCCACCAGGCAGCCGTAGGGACACTTCCTGGCCACCCGCCAGCTCCCCGACTCGCCTATGGTGATTGCTGGCGCCCGGCCAGCCGCTGTCACTGGCCCCGGGGGCCCCTCAGCATTCTTGGCTTTTGTTTCCGATGACGCTGGGTCCACTGGGAAGGGAGAGACCAGACCAGGAGGGGGTTCAGGGAGAGCCAGCGATGCGACGGCAGGACCCCCAGGCCTCCCACCCCAACGCCGGGACCCCCAGGCCTCCCACCCCAATGCCAGGACCCCAGATCTCCCACCCCAGACCTCCCACTCCAACACTGGGACCCCTGGGCCTCCCACCCCAATGCCGGGACCCCCAGATCTCCCACTCCGGACCTCCCACTCCAACGCTGGGACCCCCAGGCCTCCCACCCCAACGCCAGGACCCCAGATCTCCCACCCCAGACCTCCCACTCCAACACTGGGACCCCCAGGCCTCCCACCCCAACGCCGGGACCCCCAGGTCTCCCACTCCGGACCTCCCACTCCAACGCTGGGACCCCCAGGCCTCCCACCCCAACGCCAGGACCCCAGATCTCCCACCCCAGACCTCCCACTCCAACACTGGGACCCCCAGGCCTCCCACCCCAACGCCAGGACCCCAGATCTCCCACTCCGGACCTCCCACTCCAACGCTGGGACCCCCAGGCCTCCCACCCCAACGCCAGGACCCCAGATCTCCCACCCCAGACCTCCCACTCCAACACTGGGACCCCTGGGCCTCCCACCCCAATGCCGGGACCCCCAGATCTCCCACCCTGGACCTCCTACTCCAACACTGGGACCCCCAGGCCTCCCACCCCAACGCCAGGACCCCAGATCTCCCACCCCAGGCCTCCCACTCCAACGCTGGGACCCCTGGGCCTCCCACCCCAACGCCAGGACCCCAGATCTCCCACCCCAGGCCTCCCACTCCAACACTGGGACCCCCAGGCCTCCCACCCCAACGCCAGGACCCCAGATCTCCCACCCCAGGCCTCCCACTCCAACGCTGGGACCCCCAGGCCTCCCACCCCAACGCCAGGACCCCAGATCTCCCACCCCAGACCTCCCACTCCAACACTGGGACCCCCAGGCCTCCCACCCCAACGCCAGGACCCCAGATCTCCCACCCCAGACCTCCCACTCCAACACTGGGACCCCCAGGCCTCCCACTCCAACGCCGGGACCCCCAGGCCTCCCACCCCAACGCCAGGACCCCCAGATCTCCCACCCTGGACCTCCTACTCCAACGCTGGGACCCCCGGGCCTCCCACCCCAATGCCAGGACCCCAGATCTCCCACCCCAGACCTCCCACTCCAACACTGGGACCCCTGGGCCTCCCACCCCAACGCCGGGACCCCCAGGTCTCCCACCCCGGACCTCCCACTCCAACGCTGGGACCCCCAGGCCTCCCACCCCAACGCCAGGACCCCCGGGCCTCCCACCCCAATGCCAGGACCCCCAGGCCTCCCACCCCAATGCCGGGACCCCAGATCTCCCACCCCAGACCTCCCACTCCAACACTGGGACCCCCGGGCCTCCCACCCCAACGCCGGGACCCCCAGGTCTCCCACCCCGGACCTCCCACTCCAACGCTGGGACCCCCAGGCCTCCCACCCCAACACCAGGACCCCTGGGCCTCCCATCCCAATGCCAGGACCCCCAGGTCTCCCACCCCAATGCCGGGACCCCCAGGTCTCCCACCCCGGACCTCCCACTCCAACGCTGGGACCCCCAGGCCTCCCACCCCAACACCAGGACCCCTGGGCCTCCCATCCCAATGCCAGGACCCCCAGGTCTCCCACCCCAATGCCGGGACCCCCAGATCTCCCCTCCAGACCTCCCACCCCAACGCCGGGACCCCTAGATCTCCCACCCTGGACCTCCCACTCCAATGCTGGGACCCCCGGGCCTCCCACCCCAATGCCAGGACCCCCGGGCCTCCCACCCCAATGCCGGGACCCCCAGATCTCCCACCCCAGACCTCCCACTCCAACGCTGGGACCCCCCAGGCCTCTGGGGCCCACAGAGGAGGGGTGGCAGTGAGGGTGGGGGGCTGTGTTGATGTGCGACTTCCAGTGTGGGATGGGAGTCGTCTCCCTGAAGAGGAAGAGGGAGCACAAGGGGCCTTGGGTGCTGCTGGCGCTCCCGAGCTGAAGGCGGGCAGAATGGACTCAGCACCAGGCCTCGGGTGAGGGGCTGGGGACAGCAGTGAGGCCTTGTCCTCCCGCAGACTCCCAGGGGTGTGAGGGTGAGGTCGAGAGGGCCACAGGTCAGGGTCTGACCCTGCCCCACGGGGACATCGCTGCCTGTACGGCCCTCCCCTAGGCCCCACTGTCCACGGGGGCCCCTCTGGGTTAAGAGCAGCGACAACTGTTCCTATTCATACCGCCTGGCCTCAGGTCCACGGCTGCGGCCACAGAGCCCATCCAGGAATTCTGCTGCTCTCAGTTTACATTTAAAATAAATGTTTCCTTAACTCGCATCTCATGGCCGGCGGTGAACGGCAGGAATTGTGAGCGCACATCCCGCCCTCCCTGCTGGACACTAAGGATGGGGGTCCCCTGGACCGAGCCTGGACAGTAGGGATGGGGGTCCCCTGGGCCAAGCCCAGACAGTGGGGGCAGGGGTCCCCTGGGCTGAGCCCGGACAGTAGAGGCGGGGCTCCTGTGAGCCGAGCATGGGGGTCCCCTGGGCCGAGCCTGGACAGTGGGGACGGAGGTCCCGTGGGCCGAGCCTGGACAGTGGGGATGGGGCTTCCCTGGGTTGAGCCTGGACAGTAGGGACGGGGCTCCCGTGGGCTGAGCCTGGACAGTAGGGATGGGACTCCCATGGGCCTAGCTGTCCCCAGACACTGGAGACCTGGCTATCAAGAGGAGAGCCTGTGTGTGTGAGTGGCCACCCCCATCCACCATGACCCGGAGGCTTCCTGTGGGCTTGCTGTGCTGTGCCTCGGTTTCTCACCTGGCCAGGCACCCCGCCCCCAGACGCTGCACCCAGGGTTCCAACCAGGGCATCACCTGGTGTGGCCCAGGCCTGGCAGGGAGCAGAGGCTAGCTCAGCTGTGGTGGGGGAGTTTACAGAAGAGACTTGACGCTGCCTGGGCAGCTCGGGGAGCACCCAGGAGTGACAAGCCCAGGGCCCTGCAGCAGCAGGAAGCCATGACCTTAGTAAGAGCATCCTAGGAGAAGCATCCTGGAGACACAGGGCTACTGTGGGAAACCCAGGTGCAGAGAGAGCAGAGGAAGAAATACCCTCACCTCTCTTCCTCCCGCCTTCCAGTCTCTGACTCAGTGCTGCCATTAGCTAGTCTCAACAGGATCAGTGCTTCTCATTGGCCAGCCTCAACAGGATCAGTGCATCCCACTGGCCAGCCCCAACAGGATCAGTGCATCCCACTGGCCAGCCCCAACAGGATCAGTGCATCCCACTGGCCAGCCTCAACAGGATCAGTGCATCCCAATGTCCAGCCTCAACAGGATCAGTGATTCCCATTGGCCAGCCTCAACAGGATCAATGCATCCCACTGGCCAGCCTCAACAGGATCAGTGCATCCCACTGGCCAGCCCCAACAGGATCAGTGCATCCCACTGGCCAGCCCCAACAGGATCAGTGCATCCCACTGGCCAGCCTCAACAGGATCAGTGCATCCCAATGTCCAGCCTCAACAGGATCAGTGATTCCCATTGGCCAGCCTTAACAGGATCAATGCATCCCACTGGCCAGCCTTAACAGGATCAATGCATCCCATTGACCGACCTCAACAGGATCAGTGTCTCCCACTGGCCAGCCTCAACAGAATCAGTGCATCCCATTGGCCAGCCTCAACAGGATCAGTGCATCCCACTGGCCAGCCTCAACAGGATCAGTGATTCCCATTGGCCAGCCTCAACAGGATCAGTGCATCCCACTAGCCAGCCTCAACAGGATTAGTGCATCCCATTAGCCAGCCTCAACAGGATCAGTGCATTCCACTGGCCAGCCTTAACAGGATCAATGCATCCCATTGGCTGACCTCAACAGGATCAGTGCAGCTATTGGCCAGCCTCAATATGATCAGTGCATCCCATTGACCGACCTCAACAGGATCAGTGTCTCCCACTGGCCTGCCTCAACAGAATCAGTGCATCCCATTGGCCAGCCTCAACAGGATCACTGCATCCCACTAGCCAGCCTCAACAGTATCAGTGCATCCCATTGGCCAGCCTCAACAGGACTGGTGCCTCCCATTGGATTAAACAGGACTAGTGCCTCTCATTGGCCTCAACAGGATCAGTGCCCCCGCTTTGCTGGCCTCAACAGGAACCCAGCCCCTGTGCACACCAGCACTGGATAATAGGTCCAGGATGGCCCAAGGAGAGAAGCTGGCTCACCTGCTGGCTGACAGGTGACCCCGGACCATACTAAGCCTGCCTGTGTGCACCACAATATTCAAGAGAGAGGCTGCGACCATGCACCCACCCAGAACCCACTGGACCCCTGGGTCCCACCAGCTGCCTCCGGCACTCCTGCCCTAGGTGACTGGAGCTGTTTCCAGGGCTGAATTATTCCCAGCTGGCCTCTCCAGCTCTGAGGGTGAACCTGACTCCTCACCACCCCAAGGGAAGCCCTTCTCCCGCAGCTTCCAGGACCAGCAGCTCCCCAGAAGGCGTTGTCTCCTCTGGCTGTGGGCTCAGCCATGGTGGGGCTGGCAGAAGGAGGCGGGAGGAGTTAGCCTGAGGAAACCGCTGGGCACACTTTCATGTATGGGCCACTCCAAGGAGCTCACTGTCCTTCCAGGGCTGGAATGCTAATTACCTCCCCCGCGGGGACAGAGGAATCCTGTGAGGGGGGCCACTCCGGCCTGGAGATCTGCAGCCGCTTGGGCCCTCCCTTCTCTCAGGCCGAGAGCGCCTGTGAGGGGTGGATGGTTACAGCTCGCACGGCCGGGTGCCTGCAGGGCCGGGCTCTGCACCACCCTCTCCATCTCCAGGTCCTCACATCGCTCTGAGATCGGCCTGTCAGGCCCATTTACAGAAGGGGAAACCGAGGCTCGGGAGTCGAAATTCCGAGCTCAGGGCAGCAGAGCCAGGATTTAAACACAGGCTTCCTGACTTCTAGGCTAGGGTTTCAAGCACCTCCCACTCAAAGGGGAGGGTGATGTCAGAAACAGCCACAGGGCTGAGTCCACACAGATCCCCGGAGGCCGGGAATTATGCCCTGACCCCAACAGCCATCTCCCGGCTGGCCGAGGGGAAGTTTGCTGAAATTTCAAGAGCTGCACTTCCAAGCCCAGCAAACACCAGGGCCAACCGTGTGTCCCACGGGGTGCTGGGGTGTCGGGACACAGGGAGTCAGACAGGTCCTCTGTCCACTGAGACCTCTCAGCCTAGTCAGAAAGATACAGAGTGGGTGGGTGGTTCCAAGGCATGGATCTGGCCTGTAAAACTGGATGGGTGGGGACAAAGCACCTGTGAGGGTGGGGAGCTTCAAGGACAGCTTGATCAAGGAGCTGCTGCCAGAGCTGGGTTTTGAAGACTGAATAGGAGTTTTCTACTGGGGAAGAGCATTGCATGTGGAGAAGGCTATGTGCAAAGTGTGAAAGAGCGTGCAGAAACCCATGCACATCATGAGCCAATTCTCAAGCTCCTCATCACCAGCAGGGCAGCCCAGAGGGAGCCCCACGTGGGCAGCAGCAGAGGGAGGACCCCACTGTCCTGGCTCCAGTTCCCAGTTTCTCCTCTGCCCTGCGGCCCCCTGTCTGTTTCCAAATTTCCCCTTCAATGCCGCTAGCTGGGAACCGGAGGTAGCACTGGGCAGGCACCCTCCCAGCGGGGGCACGAGCTCCTCCAGCCAAGACACCAGGCACTTCCTGACTCTGGGCTCGAACGGGGGGCACCGAGGGGGCGGCATTCCAGATGGCATTCCAACTCCTCCTCAACAATCTGTCCATTTCCTGCCTGGCTGCAAATTTCAACATTTCCTCCCCAGGCCACCTCCGGTCTCTGCCCGCCGCCTGCCCTGTGCTGACCGGAGGACAGAGGACGTCCCTTGTCCTGCCAGCTCAGCATGGACCCAGCCCTGCCCTTGCTTGAGCCAAGAGGCCCAAGGGTGAGGAAGCGGGGCAGAGCCGGGGTCGGGGGGGATCTCGGGGTCCAGCCCCCATGATACCACTAACCTCATCTGTGCGCCTAACCTCAGTGGGCACATATGCAGCGCCTTCCATGTGCCAGCCCCTCTCAGACATGAGACACGGCCCAGGGGAGGACATGGCACACGGGGTCTCCCTGCTGATACTTGGGGCGCAGGCATTCCCTGCGGGGAGCTGGACCCACACATGGGAAAGGGACTCCAGGAAGGGGAGCGTGTGAGCAAAGGCCTGGAGCCGGGACCAGCCCAGACGGGAGGCACTGGCCCATTCCAGGTCCCCGCACCCGGAGGCCGGCTCCCCAGCAGCTGACTGACCTGAGCAGATCCTGGGAGAGGCTGGCAGTGGGCAGAAACTCAGCAGAGGACAACTTTGTTTCTTTGCAGGACACCCTCCCTAGGTTTGGGGATGTCCTGCCTAATGACAGCGGGGATCCCCAAGATGCAGTGAGGGCTTCCCCAGCCTCCCTCACACTAAAGAGGTGGCTCCTTCCAGCACTTCCAATCAGACAGGTTCTTATGGGGAGGTGGGTACAGGAGCCTTGTTCTGGGGAAGGCTGCGGCCCAAGGCCCCCTCCCGAGGTCTGCGGGCATGTCCAGGCTGGGCGCCGGCTGTGGGCTGTGGGCTGTGGCCCTGTGGCCTAGGGAGCCCCCGGCAGGGTGCCTAGGGTTTGTTCAAGCCCTATCCGGAGAGTCCAGGGCCCACCCTCAATCTTTGTTTTTTTGGCTTAAAGTAGCTGGAGTCTGTCTGCTGCTAGGAGCCGAGAGCGCCGCCCGCAGTGGGACGGAGCCGGCCCCACAGCTCCGTGCACTCGCGACGTGCGGCGGACGGCGGTGGCTGTGGGTGGTGCTCACCTGACCCAGGGGCCTTCCTGGCCTGCCGTGGCCCGGAAGGACCCTTCGTGATGTCCGATGAGGCGGACGGTTCTGCCCTTGAGTGCAGGAGCCCAGCCGGGCTTCCGGGGATGGGCGAGAGAGCCCCGGCCGCCCACCCCTCCAGGAGCACACTAAGGCCTGGGGGCTTCCCGGGGGGGAGGGCGGACCTGGCTCTTGAGAAACACAACTGACGGCTCCTGCGGCCCGAGACCTGGGCCGGAGCCCCCACCTCCTTGGCGCGGTTCCCAAAGCCGCGTCCCGTGAGTCCCACGAGCTGGAGGAATAGCCATCAGGGGAGGCACCCCCTGGCCTGGCCCTGATACAGCGGGGTCGTGGGTGCTCTGGCGGGACGGCCCCCAGGCAGCCCCGGGCCAGGCCAGCCCAGAAGGGCCTAGGAGGCAGCCGCGTGGTTAAAGTGGGGGTGCTGTTTTTGTTGCGGGATGTCTGTGGGTTTGAACCCCCTTGCCCTCATCACACTGGTGGTGTGAGCCTTGCTCGGAAAGCTGGATTTGAACGTCGTCTGGGTTTGGCGTTGGCCCTCAGGGCCCGGCGTCCTTCCCCGGCGCTGGGACCCAGCCTCCGGGGAGCCGTGAAGCCCTGCCGTCTTGTGGCTCCAAAGCCGGTCCACCAATGACCTCGTGCCAGCGGCATCACGACGCTGCCTCACACCGCACAAGACTCGCCGGGAAGATGCGAGACCCATGACAGAGCCCAGAAAGGCGACGGGGTGGCCCAAGGTCACACCCACGCCAGGCCCAGCACTCTGCTCTTCCCGCTCACCCACTCGGCCGGGCCTGTGCCCTCCCGCCCGGCCAAGTGGGGGCTCCAGGAAGGGCAGCGAGTGCCCCGCGGCCCCGGCCCCACTGCGGGCGGCCGGAACACAGAGGGCGGTGAGGAAGGAGGCGTTCCCTGCCGGGTGCCCTCCAGCAGGATTCGCGAACCCAGGGGAGCGAGCGGGAGGATTTTCCATGTGAGGCCGGCTTCCTGGGGCGAGGCCCACCCGGCGCCAGCGTGGAGAGAGGAGAGGAGCAAAGCGCCTCGACACATTCTCCCTCGGTGATTTAATGGCCGGAGCATTCGTGCGATATTTATGCAGTAAATCCTTCCACTGGGGGGTTTCACTGTGTCACGGGAGGCTCCTCCCAGCCCGTCCCCATCCCGTCCCCCCCAAAAAAAGAATCCTGAGAAAATCTCATTTCACAGTTTCCCATCGAGCCAGGTGCACAGCAGCTGCGGTGGGCATGGCGGGCGCGGGTCCTGGGGAACACCCTCTGCTGGCGTCCGCAGCCCGGGAGGGAGCGTGAAGTGGAGGATCTCGGCAGGCGTGGCTGTGTCCAGGCAGGCGGGTGCTGCCGCGTCCCCGGCTGCAGGGTCTTGGTTCCCCGGAGCCACAGGACGGCAGGGCTTCACGGCTCCCCGGAGGCTGGGTCCCAGCGCTGGGGAAGGACACCGGGCCCTGAGGGCCAACGCCAAACCCAGACGACGTTCAAATCCAGCTTTCCGAGCAAGGCTCACACCACCAGGAAAGCCGATACACTTTCTAAACTCCACTTCTGAGTTGAATATTCGAAATAGGCTCTTAAAGCAAATGTTGGCCCCCACGTCAGAGTCAACCATGTTCATCGGATGCCTCCAGCCCCACCAAACAGTCCACCTTCACCCCACCCTGCCCTGGAAAGTACACCAAAGTGCCCCTGGTACTGTGGGGTTGTGGGGGGCAGGGTGGCACCCGCAAGCGTCTTCTTCAAAAACAGCTGCAAATCCGAGCTGAACCTGCCCCAGCCACGCTGCCGAGCTGAGCACTAGGAGCTGGGCTTGAAGCCACCAGGAGGGGCCCATCCCCAAAAGGACAGCCAAGCCCTCAGCAGCACAGAGCGGACGTCTCTGGGGTGGTCGCCACATACGGGGCTCACCCCACCCTGTGCAGTAGGAATGACCATGTCCTAGACAGATGGAGGCTCGGAGCCTGGGAAGCTGTGGAATTTGCCCAGGGCCCCCAATCAGAAATGGAGAGACAGGGCCCCGAACCAAGCCACTCCCTCTGCCCCAGCACTCCTGCCTGCCCTGGCGCCTTGGGGCTGCCCTGCCTCCTTTACGGCTGTCCCTGCAGAGTGGACTCAGGTCATTGGCCCTGGGGGGCCTGGGGGAGGCTGAGTTTCCAGCAGATCCGTCCTCAGGCTCAGCCGTGCAGAGGAGACTGGCAGATGTGGGCCTGGTTCTCCCAGTGACCAAATGAGGCCCCCATGTGTGTGTCCCCAAGAGACCAGACCAGGTGGGTTGGCTCTTTCCAGACCCCTGCGTGGCTCAGTGCTGAGCTCGGCTGACCGGCCACCCAGCGCCCGATGCCCCAAACATCCACACGCATAGAAGAAACATGACCAGGGCCTGGGAGGGTTTCCGGGCGTCCGCCTCCCCAGGGCCGCCGGGGCTGCTGGTCAGTAGCAAACACAACTCTCCTCTAATAAAACCAATCGTCTGAGGCTGCGGACGCCACAAGAGGAAACAGCTGTGCACTGCTGGCTGCGAACACATGTTTCAAGGCCATCTCTCAGGCAGCCTGCTCCTGCTTCTGAGGAATGCTGGAATCCTGGCCATTTCTGACAACAGAATGCTCCGGGCTATGGAGAGGAGAACCGCCGGGCCGTGGAACATACATTATCACGCACACACACCGATCAGTTCAGCAGACCACCACGGAGATCCTGCTGCGTGCCAGAGACCGTCACGGATGCATAAAGGGGCTCTTAGCCCCTCCCACAATCCTGACCTACTGTGGCCTCCACAACCACAGAAACGACAGATGTCAGAAGTAAAGGGTCCCATATACCCCAAAAGACACGCAGGAGTATCCACGTCCACTGTTTATAAGGGTCCAGAATCCCAATGTCCGTCCGGAAGCGTATGGACTTAAAAACTGGTATACAGCCGGGCACGCGGTGGCTCATGCCTGTAATCCCAGCACTTTGGGAGGCCGAGGTAGGTGGATCACCTGAGGTCAGGAGTTCAAGACCAGCCTGGCCATTGTCTGTCTCTACTAAAAATACAAAAAATTAGCCGGGCATGGTGTCAGGTGCCTGTAATCCCAGGTACTCGGGAGGCTGAGGCAGGAGAATCGTTTGAACCCGGCAGGTTGGAGCTTGTGGTGAGCCGAGATCGTCCACCTGCACCCCAGCCTGGGCCACAGAGTGAGACTCTATCTCTAAACAACAACAACAAAAACTGGTATACAATGGAACACTACACTAACAATTTTAAAAAGACTAAACTATTGATAAATGCAAAATGGATTAACCTCAAAAGGGTTATGGCAAGTGAACAAGGCCCAAACCGAAAGCGTGTGCCTGCAAGATTCCTCCTCCGCGATGTTCTGGAGCAGGCCACGCTAACCGGTGCTGATGAAAAGCAGGAGAGCGGCATCCTCCACGTGGGGATTGTTCTAAGGGCAGAGAAAGCTTTCTGGGCACTGGGAAGACTTCCATTGCCTGGCCTGGAAAGGTGGTGGCCCAGGTGTTTACATGAGCAAGAAGCCCTGCAGCCATACCCACGGGTCCACAGATTTCACCCCGTGGAAATTCTTTCTCAACAGACTGCTGGGAAAGCCAGGTAAATGCTTGAGGAATGTCAGCCTCCTCCCTCACCCTCCTCCCTCACCCTCCTCCCTCACCCTCCTCCCTCACCCTCCTCCATCCTCCTCTCTCACCCTCCTACCTCACCCTCCTACCTCACCCTCATCCTTCACCCTCATCCGTAAACCTCATCCCTCACCCTCATCCCTCACCCTCCTCCTTCACCCTCCTCCATCACTCCTTCACCACTTACCCTCCTCCATCAGCCTCCTCCCTCACTCTCCTTCACCCTCCTCCCTCACCCTCCACCCTCACCCTCCTCCCTCGACTTCATCCCTCACCCTCCTCCTTCACTCTCCTCCCTCACCCTCATCCCTTACTGTCATCCTTCACCTTTCTCCTTCACTCTCCTCCCTCACCCTCATCTCTCACCCTCATCCCTCATCTTCCTCCTTCACCCTCCTCCTTCACCCTCCTCCCTCACCCTCATCCCTTACCCTCATCCTCATCCCCCACCCTCCTCTTTCGCCCTCCTCCCTTACCCTCCTCCCTCACCCTCCTCCCTCACCATCATCCCTCTTTCCATTGAGCCTCAAATCATGAAACAGTAGGAGGCAGAGGCCGGCCTTGGGGAGAATGGGCTGACCACTGCTGCCTACACAGCAGAGAGGTGAGGCAGGTGTCCCTTCAGGCCAAGCCGAAATGTGAGTCCACCTCGAGTCTCAGGCCGAAGGTGTCACAATGGGTCTTTAAAGGTGGAGACCAAGAGCTGACCCCAGGTCTCCCAGCCATGTGACGTTAGGGAAAAACATATCAGGCCCCTCAGACTAGACGGGGGCTCCCCAGCCTTTGTTGACACAGGAAAAAAAAATAGGAAAGTCTAGAGTATTACATAGGAGATTATCCTACCTCCTCATGGCCATCACCTCCTCACAGCCATCACTTCCCATGACTATCACCTCCTTCCTCAACCATCACTACCTCCCACAACCATCACCTCCTCCCACAACCATCACCTCTCACGGCCATCACCTCTTCCCACAAGCATTACCACCTCCCACAAATATCACCTCCTCCCACAACCATCACCACCCATGACCATCACCTCCTCCCACAACCATCACTTCCCATGACTATCACCTCCTTCCTCAACCATCACCACCTCCCACAACCATCACCTCCTCCCACAACTATCACTTCCCACAACCATCACCTCCTCTCACAACCATCACCTCCTCCCAAAACCATCACCTCCCATGGCCATCACCTCGTCCCACAACCGTCACCACCCATGACCATCACCTCCTCCCACAACCATCACCTCCTCATGGCCATCACCTCCTCCCACAAGCATTACCACCTCCCACAAATATCACCACCTCCCACAGATATCACCTCCCATGACTACCACCCCCCATGAGTATCACTTCCTCATAACCATCAGCTCCTCATGACCATCACCTCTCATGACCACCACATCTCACGACTATCACTTCCCCATGACTATCACTTCCTCATGACCATTACTTCCTCATGACCACCACCTCTCATAATCATCACCTCCCATCACTTCCCATGACTATCACTTCCTCATGAACATCACCTCTGATTGACCACCACCTCCCATGACCATCATCTCTCATGACTATCACTTCCTCATGACCATCCCTTCCTCAAGACTGTCACTTCCCCATGACCATTGCCTCCCATGACCATCACCTCTCATTGGCCATCGCCTCCCATGACCATCACCTCTCATGACTATCACTTCCTCATGACCATCACCTCTCATGACTATCACTTCCTCATGACCATCACCTCCTCATGACCATCACCTCTCATTGACCACCACCTCCTATGACCATCACCTCTCACTGACCACCGACTCCCATGACCACCACCTCTCATGACTGTCACTTCCTCATTACCATCACCTCTCATGACCATCACCTCTCATGACCATCACCTTCCATGACTGTCACTTCCTCATGACCATCACTTCCTCATGACCATCACCTTCCATGACTGTCACTTCCTCAAGACCATCCCTTCCTCAAGACTGTCACTTCCTCATGACAATTACTTTCTCATGACCACCACCTCTCATGACCATCACCTCCCATGACCTTCACTTCCTCATGACCGTCGCCTCCCATGGCCATCACCTCCTCACGACCATCACCTCTGTCACCATCACCATCTCTGTCATTCCTGCAACTGTCCTACCACCACTGCCACATCACTGTCATTGCCATTACCATCCCCCTCACAGCCTATTTCCTTAATTAGTGAGATGCGGGTGAGTGTTCCAGTGTCTGAGGACCCCAGGCTGGCAGAAGACGCTGAACTCAAGCCCAGGTCTTCAGATGCCAACTGCATGCTCTCTCGCCTCTGCCCTGGGTCCTACAGTCCCACCAGGCCCCTGGCCAAAGGCTCTATCCCCAGTGCTGAGACATGGTCACCAAAAGCCTAGCTAAAAGTCATTTCTGAAATCCTGTTTTCAAACCTCTACATAAGCCACACATATCTGGAACCTCCTCCTTTTTCCTAATGAAGTCAAAGGTGTTAACTTTACGGTGACTGCATGACTGGTACGAAGCACCCTGGCTGCCCACGGAGCCAACACAGAGCCACTTCCCCCTCCCAGAACCCCACACTCACGCTTACGTAACCCTCGGAGGAAGTCTCACATGATGACCGGCCTGCTGAAGAATGACTACCACCAATACAACTTTTTATGGGGTTGGTGGTAGAGTCTATATTTAAAACAATTCTGCAAATCCCTGGGAAGTGAATGCTCATTAGGATCTGGGGCAGCTTGCAAAGTAGAGACGGAGGTTTCAGCTAAGCCCTGGGGTATTGTAAACTGCAGAAAGAAAAATTGGATGTCAGGAAAGCCAGATCACTTCGACAAAGCTCAGCCGAGGACTTCCTTCCTCTGTCTGGGACTCTGCCTGGGCCTGAAGGCACCAATACGAACAGAAAGGCTGGCCTGTGGGAAGTTCCCAGGGTGTCCCAGTGACCCACACGCATGGGTGCAAGTGCCATGGAGAATGGGAGGTCCAAGAGCTGAGCTCCCACCCAACAGCCCTCCCCACGTGGGCACCTCTCAGAGTTCTGGGAACTAACTTCCCTGCACAGCTGTGTCTCACAGGGGACTCCAGGGTGGCTGGTCCAATAGGAGAGCCACGAGCCCCTGTGTGGGTACTTATGTTAAATTAAAGATGGATGACGTTTTAAAAGTTGAGAACCTCAGCTGTACCAGCCACATTTCCGGTGCCCAGTACACACATGTGGCCGGTGGCTGCCATGTTGGACGGTGCAGATCCAGGGCACACCCTAGAAAGCTCTATCGGCCAGCCTTGGTCCACAGGCTGGGAGCCCTGCAGGACTGTGGTGGGGTCCAGAGCTGAGGGTCCGGACGCTGCCTCAGTTGGCTCCAGCTACCGTGACAAAGCACCACAGACTGCGTGGATTAAACCGCAGCAATGATTCTCACCCTTCCGGAGCCAGAAGCCTGCAATCAAGGCATCGGCGGGGCTGGGTCCCTCTGGAGGCTCTAGGGAGTCATCCCGGCCTCTCTCAGCTTCTGGCGGCCGCCCTCCTTGTGTTCCATGACTTTCAGACGCGTCTCCCATCCCACCTCCCTCTTCACCCACCCCTTGTGTGTGTGAGTTTCTTCCATCTCTCATGAGGACACCAGTCATTGGTTTAGGGCCCACCCTAATCCAGGGTGGTCTCATTTAAGACATGGATTTAACTAGTTACAAGTGCAAAGACTATTTCCAAGTAAGGCCACATCACGGGTTCCAGGTGGACATAAATTTGGGGGACTGCTCAACGCAGCACACCCCTCCCCCACCACCCTATATCTCCCTGTGCCCCGCAGCACACCCCTCCCCCACCCTATATCTCCCTGTGCCCCGCAGCACACCCCTCCCCCGCCACCCTATATCTCCCTGTGCCCCGCAGCACACCCCTCCCCCACCCTATATCTCCCTGTGCCCCACAGCACACCCCTCCCCCACCCTATATCTCCCTGTGCCCCACAGCACACCCCTCCCCCACCCTATATCTCCCTGTGCCCCACAGCACACCCCTCCCCCACCACCCTATATCTCCCTGTGCCCCGCAGCACACCCCTCCCCCACCCTATATCTCCCTGTGCCCCACAGCACACCCCTCCCCCGCCACCCTATATCTCCCTGTGCCCCACAGCACACCCCTCCCCCACCCTATATCTCCCTGTGCCCCTCAACACACCCCTCCCCCGCCACCCTATATCTCCCTGTGCCCCACAGCACACCCCTCCCCCGCCACCCTATATCTCCCTGTGCCCCACAGCACACCCCTCCCCCGCCACCCTATATCTCCCTGTGCCCCACAGCACACCCCTCCCCCACCCTATATCTCCCTGTGCCCCACAGCACACCCCTCCCCCGCCCTATATCTCCCTGTGCCCCACAGCACACCCCTCCCCCACCACCCTATATCTCCCTGTGCCCCACAGCACACCCCTCCCCCGCCACCCTATATCTCCCTGTGCCCCTCAACACACCCCTCCCCCGCCACCCTATATCTCCCTGTGCCCCACAGCACACCCCTCCCCCGCCACCCTATATCTCCCTGTGCCCCACAGCACACCCCTCCCCCACCCTATATCTCCCTGTGCCCCACAGCACACCCCTCCCCCGCCACCCTATATCTCCCTGTGCCCCACAGCACACCCCTCCCCCACCCTATATCTCCCTGTGCCCCACAGCACACCCCTCCCCCGCCCTATATCTCCCTGTGCCCCACAGCACACCCCTCCCCCACCCTATATCTCCCTGTGCCCCTCAACACACCCCTCCCCCGCCACCCTATATCTCCCTGTGCCCCTCAACACACCCCTCCCCCGCCACCCTATATCTCCCTGTGCCCCTCAACACACCCTCCCCCACCACCCTATAGCTCCCCCATGCCCCTTCTCCCCTTTCATGCTGTTCGGGGCGTGTCCATCTGTTGACCGTCTGTCTCCCCCGCCAGGATCCTGTGCACCCCTGCACACGCCCAGCCTGGGCACACTCGGCAGACCGCTGATGATCTACTGGAAGAGCAGACGAGGGTCTGACTTCCTAAGTCATGGTGTCAGCCTCGAACAGGAGTGTTCTGGGTCCAGGGAGATGTCATGGAGTGAGCTGGGCCTGGGCTGGAGGCCTGGCTCTGCTGGCGGGGCTGAGCCCATTCACCCATCAAGCCCCCGTTTCTCATCTGTATGATGGGAGGCTCCCCGCACCACCCTCTCTTCCCTATCACCTTTCCGACTGACCTGGGTGGGGGCCAGGTGTGACTGTGGCCAGGGTCTATGGGGGATCACTGAGGTCCTCAAGATGGCCCCGGACAAGGAGGGGCATCAAAGCAGGGGAGACAGAGGAGCTCTGGCCCCGTCTTCCCCAGCAGCCCATGAGCCATGGATCAGCCGGGGGCGCCCATGTTGAGCAGTCCCAGGGAGCCCGCTGCCCTGAGCCATTTGACCAGAGGGGTGGCCCGGCCAGCTCGGCACAGTGCTGAATTCTGGGGACCTCATCGCTCCTGCCGGTCCCCTAGGGGCTCACAGTGGGGCTGGAACGAAAGGGAGCCTGATGGAGCCTGCAGCTGACTGCCCAGGAAGCTTCCGGAACGCAGCCACGTGGGAGCGGTTGCTGGAACTTCCTCACACTGCCTGTTCAGGCCGGGCCCGCATTCCCCCTCCAAGGGAAGGGAGGGCCAGAGCCGGTGCGAAATCTGTCCTGGCAGCTCCCCAGGGACTCCCGGGGCAGGCTCAAGTTTCTAAGGAGCATAAACTATGTCTTACAAGTCGAGATAGTGACTCCAGTGACTGAAAACATCAGAAATAGCTCTGCTGAGTCAGTCCCTTCCCAAAGTTCTGTGGGAAAGAGTCTGTCGGCCAGAGGGCTGACCCCACAGGCCCCAGCTCACTTGCAACAGCTCCTGCAGCCCAGGGAGAAGGCATGGGAGGGACCCGGGTGGTGGCACCTGGCAGCTGGTGAGCAGCCCTGAACCGTCCCTGGTGACAAGGAGGGGACACAGCTTAGAGGCACCCGCCATGCCACCTTTGTGGAGCTGGGCAGGCCTGGGGTTTAGGGACTCGGCGCAGGTCCCCCGGCCCCCTCATCCTGACACTTCTTTTCCTGGAGCTGCCTTTTCACAGCCTTCCCCCGAGGAGGAGTGACCTTTGGCTTGTTTGGATGTTAAGCGGGGAATCCGCACACAAGCCACAGTGTATGCGCACACACACAGAGGCACTGACGCACGGTGGCTTTACATGAAGGAGGTGCGTTATATCACATGACAGGAAGTTCAAGGTGTGCACTCAGTGATTCTGTGATACCACAGGAGCTGGGATTCCTCCTCCTCTCTACCCTGCCATTCTCAATTGGCCTCACACCTCATAATTGTCCCCTCGTGGTCACAAGAGGACTGCCATAGCTCCAGGCATCACGTCCTCATCCACCACCCTCTAAAGGCATCCCTGCCTTCTGCCCCTTTTATGACTTTTTATTTTTATTTTTATTTTTATTTTTAAAGATGGGTTCTGGCTCTGTCACTCAGGCTACAGTGCAGTGGCACGGTCATAGCTCACTACAGCCTCAACCTCCAGGGCCCAGGCAATCTTCCCACCTCAGCCTCCTGAGTAGCTGGGACCACAGGCATGCACCACCATGCCTGGATAATTTTTTTTTTATTTTTGTAAAGATAGGGGTCTCGTTATGTTGCCCAGGCTGGTCTCGAACTCCTGGCCTCCAGCAATCCCCCTGCCTTGGCCTCCTAAAGTGCAAGGATTACAGGCATCAGCCACTGCACCCAGCCTTGTGCCCCTTTCTGAGAGCCGGGAAGATGCTCCCAGGAGCCCTCGGGAGGCTTCCCTCCGGTCTCGTGGCCAGAATTGTCTCCTGCTCGTGTGAGTCGGTGGCGGGCCAGGCGAATGGAGCTACCGGGGCTGCCGCTTTGGACTGCTCGGCATTTGCCCCATGGGGCTGCACAGGGGCCCAGGCTGGCTGAGAATGTCCCTGGGTCCAGGAGGCAGACGGAGGTACAGCCCAGCAGCCAGGAGGTGTGTCAGGATGTTCCCCAGTCAGCACCCGTGGAGGGGAGGGAGGAGGCAGGGTGGGCGAGGAAGGTCCAACAGTGGACGGCCTGCCCACAAGAAGCTCTGAGGCTGGGAGCTGGCAGAGTTGCTGCAAGTGGGTTGGGCCAGGACTGCTGGGCCTGTGCACCTGCCTGGATGCATCAGTGGTCGTGGGCTGCCCTGGGAAGGGCGTGAAGCTCCCTGCAGCCAAGGATCCTGGAGGTGCTGACATCACCCAGCCACCGGACAACAGCCTGCCCTACTTCGAGGAGCTCTGGGCAGCCCAGCCCCATGTCCCCCTCACGCCCCACCCCACAGCTGACAAAAAGACCACAGGAGTCCAACAGCCAACCAGGGGGAGGCCGTTGAATTCGGGGGACAACCAGAAACGCCTGAAACAGAGATAAAGAGACTGATATGGAAAAGACTGGGCTGGCATGGTGGCTCCCAACTGGGATCCCAGTGCTTTGAGAGGCCGAGGCGGGAGGATCACTTGAGCCCAGAAGTTCAAGACCAGCGTGGGCAACATAGTGAGACCCCGTCTCTTTTAAAAATCCTTTTTTAATTAGGCAGGCATAGTAGTGCGTGCCTGTTTTCCCAGCTGCTAGGGAGGTAGAGGCAGGAGAATCACGGGAGTTTCGAAGTCCAAGGTCACAGTGAGCTGTGATTGCACCACTGCACTCCAGCCTGGGCAACATGGCAAGACCCCATCTCTAAAAGAAAGAAACAAGAAGACATGGAGAGAAATATCCAAAAATGTTTACAATAATGATTTCTGGATAGAAGGATTATAGGAAGTTTGTCGTTTTTTTCTTTGTCCTACTCTGTCTAAAGTGAATATGTATTTCTTTTATAATCAAAAAAACTTAACTTTTTTATAAGAAGTCCTTTTGTCAACAGAGCACAGGGTCTGGATTCAAAGACATGGGCTCAGCTCCTTTTGGGGCAATCCCAGGGCCCGCTGACGAGATCCGGGACAAAGTGAGTTCTGGGGACAGTCGGCTGTGCCTGCAGCCTCTGCTTCAGGATTCCCCACTGTGTTCTCCAGCCCACACTCCAGCACCCTGAGACTGGGGTTAGGTATGACCTTTCCCACGAATTAGCCATGTGATATTTTTTGAAGACATGAATTGTCATACTGCCAGATTCTTCATCCATAAAGTGGATCGTGCCCTTAGCTGGCTCACGAGTTGTGTTTGTTGAGATGGGTAACTCTAGCTGCTCTAATAGAGCCTCATACTCCCCAGCTTGACACAGTAGAGTTTATTTCTCGGTCAGGGGAAGGCCAACCTGGATTGTTCCCAGATGGTGGGCAGCAGTCCACATGGTCATGCAGGGATCCAGGCTCCACTTGACTCAGCTCTGCTGTGCTGCCTTTGGCCCCTCCAAATTCTCCACTCAGACAGAGAAAGAGGGCGAGGATCATGGTGGGGCAGGAGTAGGGCCAGGCTTGGAAATCCCCCGAATCCCACTGGCTGGAGCCCAGGGACATGGCTGCACCGGAGGCCAAAGGTCAGGCAGCCAGGAAGCGCACTCAGGCAGGCAGGATGTGTGTTAGGAGGGGGTGGGGGTGGATCAAGGTTGGCCTCACAAGCGTGGGATTTTGCTGATTGGGCTGTGAGGGTCTTGGCCTCCCAACACACCCAAGCCCCCGGCCATGCACGTGGAGCATGCGTGGGGGGCAGGAGGAGCTGGGTTCCCCCTCAGACGTGGAGCCTCCCTCTCTCTCTCTGGAATGGGCACTCATGTGCTTCTGTCCAGGGATTTGAATCTTGAGGGACAGATGAAGGCGCTGGGACACTTTAGAAATTATTCACAGCAACAGCAGTGTCGTCCTAAACCCGGGGGACGGCCCCGCCCTGGCTGGGACCCCAGGGGTCATGTGGCTCTACTGTGTCCCCAGCCCTCCTGCCGTCAGCCGTCCCATTATCTATCCCACCACCATCTACTCTCGTAGTTTGTAACCAAGACGCGCGGCGGATAGGAGGTCAGTGATGTAAGACTGACCCGGAACTCTTCTGGGAGCTTCAGGGTCACAGGCTCTGGTCCTGGCTCTGTGGAGGCTTCTCAGCAAGGCTGGGGAGAGTGCAACACAGCTGGGTCACCTGAGATCCAGGAGAGAATACAAGATGCACAAGGGGCCAGGTGCAGCAGCTACACCGCCAGCACTGCGGGAGGCCGGGGCGAGAGGCTACATCACCAGCACTGCAGGAGGCCGGGGCATGAGGCTGCAGGACCAGCACTGTGGGAGGCCAGGGCATGAGGCTGCAGGACCAGCACTGTGGGAGGCCGAGGCATGAGGCTGCAGGACCAGCACTGTGGGAGGCCAAGGCATGAGGCTGCAGGACCAGCACTGTGGGAGGCCGATGGGGGAGGCTAGAGCCCCAGCACTGCGGGAGGCCGGGGCGAGAGGCTACATCACCAGCACTGCAGGAGGCCGGGGCATGAGGCTGCAGCACCAGCACTGCAGGAGGCCAGGGCATGAGGCTGCAGGACCAGCACTGTGGGAGGCCGAGGCATGAGGCTGCAGGACCAGCACTGTGGGAGGCCAAGGCATGAGGCTGCAGGACCAGCACTGTGGGAGGCCGATGGGGGAGGCTAGAGCCCCAGCACTGCGGGAGGCCGGGGCGAGAGGCTAGAGCACTGTGGGAGGCCGAGGCGGGAGTCTACACCATCCAGCACTGCCGGAAGCGGAGGCAGAGGCTACACCACTAGCACCAAGGGAGGCCAGGGTGGGAGGCCATGGCAGCACAGGAAAGCTGGGATGTTTCCCAAAGCCCCTTCCCAATGTGGTTCCGGATCAGGGCTGGCCACAGGAGGACGTGGTCTGGACTTGGGAGGAGAAGCTGTGGTTTGGTGTCTGGAGTGGGTGTGGGCCTCGTGGGGCGGGTCTGCTTGTCATCTGGGTGGTTCAGGAGAACGGCCAGCACCTCCGGCTCCTGCAGGCCTCACCCCACAGCCCTTCAGGGCCCTGGGCTGGATGCACGTGTGCTCCACAGCCAAGGGCCCGGCTGTCCTGCAGGGGCCTGGCTAAGACAGGAGGTGGGGAGAGAGCAACACGGGGACATACCAGGTGTTCTCAAGGGCCCCAGCCTGACTCCACTGTCCCTCACTTCATGTCTCTTATGGGCTGGACTGTGCCCCCAGATATTCATATGTCCAAATTCTAACCCCCAGGACCCCTGAATGTGACCTGATTTGGAGACAGGGCCCTTGCAGATGAGATTGAGGGGAGATGAGCTCACAGGAGGCCCCGATCTGGTGGGACTGCTGTCCTCATGGAAAGGGGGAACCTGGACCCAGGGAGAGGCTCACATAGAGGGAAGAAGATGGGAAGAGACACAGGGAGACGACGGCCATCCAGAAGCCAGTGAGAGGGACCAGGACGGATTCTCCTTCAACCCCCAGAAGGAGCCTGTCCTGCAACACCAGGGCCCCAGACCTGTGGCCCTCAGGACGTGAGAAAATCAATCCCTCAGAGGCCCCCAGAACATCCGCCTTCCCATCCCCACGGTGCTGGGCTCAGCACTGCACAGGCCACACGCCCTGCCCGTGGCTGCTTCACCTGCCCCCAGGACATTGCTGAGCACCCTGTTTTCTGTCGGAGTCCCAACGGCACAGAGGCAAGAGCTTTCAGGGCTTGGCACCCGAGCCCTCAGACGGCGGCAGGAGGCATCGCAAGCCTCCCTGGAGGTCTTTTAGGAGAGCGGCGCCAGCGGCCCGCGGGGGCTTCAGAGGGCGAGCAGAGCTGGGCCCCCCGGTGGGTGCCCCTGGGAGAAGCGCATGTTCCAGCTGCCTCCCACCCTGGGCGCGCGTCTCAGGGGCTACGTGAGACCCTCCGCCACGGCCACCGTGGAGGAGCCTGCATGCGAGGCTGGGTGGGGGAACCACAGCACCGTTTCGCGGCTGTTTTGTTTTTGTTTTTGTTTTTTGTTTTGTGGGTTTTTTATTTTGTTTTTGTTTTTGTTTTTTCGAGACTGACTCTCACTCTGTCGCCCGGGCTGGAGTGCAGTGGCGTGATCTCGGCTCACTGCAACCTCCGCCTCCCGGGTTCAAGCCATTCTCCTGTCTCAGCCTCCCGAGTAGCTGGGATTACAGGCACGCGCCATCACACCCGGCTAATTTTTGTATTTTTAGTAGAGACGGGGTTTCACCACGTTGGCCAGGCTGGTCTCAAACTCCTGACCTCAGGTGATCCACCCGCCTCGGCCTCCCAAAGTGCTGGGATGACAGGTGTGAGCCACCACACCCGGCCTTGCTGCTGTTTTTATCACATTAAAACACAAAATTAATTCAGCCATTTCTCCTGACCCCAAAATGTCTGAGGAGTAGAGCAAGCAGAGAGGTGAATGATTCATATCTTTGGAATCCCTACTGCAAACGCGTGCAGAAATAAACTGGGTTTTCCTCCTGTAACAGGGCCGTTTCACCTGGGGGGCTGCACGTCTGCAGAGTGAGGCTCCGCAGGCAGATGCTACAGGGAAAGGCAGCCCTGGGGACCAGGAAATGATGCCGTCCTCTTGGACACTGGGGAGAGTGACCTGGGGGAGGTGGACACAGCGCGGCTGGGGCGAGGCCTGGGCTCCAGGTCCCCATGCAGGGCAGTCCGAGGGTGTCCTCATCCACCTCCCTTTGTACCGTGAGTTTGCTGAGCCAGATGGTGACACAGGGCTCCTGAGGGCTCAGCCTGGAGTCTGTGAGTCTAAATCAGAACTTGCCTGGTGGTCGTCCTTACGTTCATCTGAGGTGAAGGTCTGGGTCCTTCGTGCTTGAATCTCACCCAAGGCAGGAAGTCTTTGCTGCCCTTCTGAGTTGCAAAGCCCCTCCCAGAGGAACAGCACCCTTCAGGGCTATGGGAAGGACCAGGGTTTCCCAAGAGGGAGGGAGGGAGGGAGGGGGGAGGAAAGGAAGAAAGGAGGGAAGGACAGAGAGAGGGAAGGAGGGAAGGAGGAGGGAAGGAGGAAGGAGGAGGGAAGGAGAAAGGAGGGAGGGAAGGAAGGAAAGGAAGGGAGGACAAAGGGAGGAAGGAGGGAGGGAAAGAAGGAAAGAAGGAAGGAAGGAAGGAGGGAAGAAAGGAAGGAAGAAGGGAGAGAAGGAAGGAGGGAGGGAGAGAAGGAAGAAGGGTAGGAAGGAGGAAAGGAAGAAAGGAAGGAAGGAGGGAGGGAAGGAGGGGGGGAAGGAAGGAGGGAAGGAAGGAGGGAGGGAGGGGGAGGGAGGAAGGAAAGGGAAGGGAAGGAGGAAGGGGAGGGAAGGAGGAAGGAGGAGGGAAGGAGGAAGGAGGAGGGAAGGAGGAAGGAGGAGGGAAGGAGGAAGGAGGAGGGAAGGAGGAGGGAAGGAGGAAGGAGGAGGGAAGGGAAGGAGGAGGGAAGGAGGAGGGAAGGAGGAGGGAAGGAGGAAGGAGGAGGGAAGGAGGAAGGAGGAGGGAAGGAGGAGGGAAGGAGGAAGGAGGAGGGAAGGGAAGGAGGAGGGAAGGAGGAGGGAAGGAGGAAGGAGGAGGGAAGGAGGAAGGAGGAGGGAAGGGAAGGAGGAGGGAAGGAGGAGGGAAGGAGGAGGGAAGGAGGAAGGAGGAGGGAAGGAGGAAGGAGGAGGGAAGGAGGAGGGAAGGAGGAAGGAGGAGGGAAGGGAAGGAGGAGGGAAGGAGGAGGGAAGGAGGAGGGAAGGAGGAAGGAGGAGGGAAGGAGGAAGGAGGAGGGAAGGAGGAGGGAAGGAGGAAGGAGGAGGGAAGGGAAGGAGGAGGGAAGGAGGAGGGAAGGAGGAAGGAGGAGGGAAGGAGGAAGGAGGAGGGAAGGGAAGGAGGAGGGAAGGAGGGAAGGAGGAAGGAGGAGGGAAGGGAAGGAGGAGGGAAGGAGGGAAGAGGGGAGGAGGGATTGGTATGGTCAGTATTTTTTATTTGTCCGTCTGATGGCCAGGTAGTGGTGTCTGATTGCGGCTTTACTTTATGTCCTCCTAATGGCAACTGGTGTGAAACATCCTTCCATTCGCTCCCGTGCTGTCAGCGGATCTTCTTTGATGAAACGTTAGCTGATGTGGGAACAGCTACTCTGCCAGGCTCTGTGCCAGGCTCTGAAAATCTGTGACAGAGGCACATAAGACATCCTTGCTCTCTTCATGGTGTTTACAACCTCATGGGAGAGGCAAACACATAAATAAACCTGGTGCCTCGAAGGTTTGGAAACAGAGCAACAGAGCTTTGGAAAGGGCTGGGTGGGCCGCTCCTTCCCTTGTTGCCCCCTGCACACGAGACCCAGCAAAGCTCCAACTCCTCGTCTGGGAACTGAGGGTGATACGGCACCAACTGCGTCAGCGGCCCAGTCCACAGCACCAGGGGCTGGGAAGAGCTTTGTAAAACTTTGCTACCGTTGCCTCCACCACCATCAGCTGGAGGGTCACAGAAGGCGACCCCAGAGCCGGAGCCGGAGCCAAGCCTCAGCCACGAGTCAGCCTCTGCCGGCTCTGAGGACCCCCAGAGAGGGTGCCCCTCCCCAGTCATGGTTTCCAGGCAGTGACGCAGGGTGGTCTGCACCAGGCACCCTTTTCCAAGGATTTCAAGTTAGGTTTGTTTTCCAGAAAGCCAGTACTGGGGCCAAGCCAGCTCCAGGTGAGACAGGCGCTGGGGGTGCTGGGCTGGCCACTCACATCCACCCTCCCCCGGCCAGCGGGCAGGGAAGACCCCCCAACCTCCCTTCCTAGAAAGCGGCCCCATCTAAGAGAAGCCTTGAAATCGGAGCGTCAGGAAAGGAGTGTGGGGCTCAGCCCAGAGCTTTGTCAGCCTCACCAACACGGGGTCCATCCAGAAGGCTCCCGGCCTCCCCGGCCCTTCCTGGCTTTTAGTCACTGCCGAGCTTGTGAGCACTTGTGTGCTCCGGTGAAACGGCCGAGGGCAAGAGCCCTGGGGGGCAGGGGCGCTGTTCTCAGTTCCTGGAGGCAGCAGAGTGGGAGGAAGAGGCCCTGAGATGCCGTCTCAGTGCCCCCACCCCCAGCTTAGGAGAGAGATTACCTGGCCAGGGCCATCTGAGCAGCAAGATAGAGAACCTCTCTCCCTCAGACCTAGGAAACAACATTTGGGGTGCAATCGCCCAGGGAACCCAAAAAGGAGCCCCGGGAGGTCCCAGCCCTAGACTCACACTGACAGGTGCTTCTCCAAAGGAGGGGGCTTGTGGGTGGGGGGCAGCCATGCAGATGGGCCCAACAGCCCCTGGGAGCCAAGGCAGGGGCAGCTCAGGCAGGCAGGGCAAGGAGCGAGCGCAGGCCGAGGATCAGGGTGGGGCAGCATGGGGGCTGGGACCTCTGGTGCCCCCACCACCACCCTGGTGAGGACAGGAGGCACTCCCGGGGCTCGCATGGCTGCTGACCGCAAGCTTATCTCTCCCTGTGTGCATGTCTGCCCCTGGAGACAGGACTCTCTAGCTGCCAGCCTCCCGGAGAAGCCCCAGGCTGAGCTCACCCAGTCCCCTCCAGGCCCTGAACTGCCTCTCCTCGTCCCGAGCAAGCACTCTCCTCTGCCCAGACCCCTGGCTCCAGGCCAAATCCAGGGCTGCTGAGGAGCCCGAGGCCAGGCCCAGGGGAGATGGAGGAAGTGTCAGGTGCAGGCCAGGTCGCTGTTTTCTGATTGATAGGAAAAGAGGGCCAGGCAGGGCCCTGCGGAGGGCAGGGAGGAGTCCAGGTGGAACCTGGGAGGGGAGGCAGCTGGCCAGGGCTCCAGGGAGCCTGAAAAGAAAACAGCCCCTCTCCGAAGCCTGGCACTGTCCTTCCTCTCCCCTCAGGCCATGGGCTCCCATGGAAATCAGGCCAGGTCAGAGGGCACCACAGTTTAAGTGTGAGCCCCTGCAGATCTCAGATCCGTGAGCTGGGGACAGGTTCCCTGGGGCTGCAGGAGCTCCAGAGGAAGGCCGAGGTGGGGCCAGCCCGGCAGGACACAGGTACCTGGTCCCGCTAATTAATTGCTTCCAGCAGGCTCTGAAGAGCAGCTGGGCCCAGGAATGCCCCCTCCAGTGAAGACCGACTCTGTCTAACTTGTGAAGGTTTGGATACTGACGGCGAACCGCTCTTAATAAATCTCTCTCTCCTTCTCATGCGCAGCTCATCTGCAGGGCTTGGTGCCTCTGGGGGGCCAGGACGGTGGGCAGCCCTCCTCCCGTCCCCACACTCCTCCCCTCCCCACCCTCCTCCCTCCCTTCCCGCCCTCCTCCTGTCCCCACCCTCCTCCCCTCCCCAACCTCCTCCCCTCCCCACCCTCCCCTCCCCACCGCTGGGGCTGGTCCTGCTTCTTAGTGCCCTCCTGCCTTGAATGAGCACAACCCATGCGGTGGTCCTCCTGCGTGCCACCTTCTCTGTGCTTCACCTGCATCCCTTGCTGGTCCTTGGGTTCAATAACACTGTGGGGAGTCTCCAGAGATCCCACTAGACCAGATCAGGGGCCCTTATGGACCCTCCCCACCCACCTGAGAGGCAGAATAGCCTAGAGATTAAAAACTCAGAAGGGCCAAGTTCACATTCTGACTCCTCCACTTACAAGATTTGGTGTAAGATCCTTCCTGAGCCTGTGCCTCAACTTCTCCATTTTTGAAGCATAGGTCTCTGGCAGCACCTACCCATGGGTGGTTGTGAGAATTAAAACCTAAAGCATCTAACACCCCATCTGCCCCCAAGCAGCACTAGTCACTGCTGTCATTTCCTTCAGGCACTTACTTCAGTCTACGATTATGTTCCTTTTTGTGTATGATTAATGTCTAAATTTCCCTCTTAATGGTTAGCTCCAGGAAGGCAAGAAATTCATGGTGTCTGGCAGAGTGACAGGTCCCTGTTAGGTGCTCAAGAACTTATGTTGTATGGATGGATGGATGGATGGATGGATGGATGGATGGATGGTTGGATGGAGGACAGTTGGATGGATAGATGGATGGATAGATGGATGAATGGGTGGATGGATGGATGGATAGGTGGATTGGTGGATAGTTGTATGAATAATAGACGGCTGAACAGATTGATGGTTGGATAAACGGATGGGTGAATGGGTAGGCAAGTGGGTGGATAGTTGGATGGATGATAGATTGTTAGATAGATGAATGAATGGATGAGTGGATGGAAGGGTGAAAGGGTAAGTAGATGATGGGTAGATGGATGTGTAGGTGAGTGAGTGGATAATTGGATGGACAGATAAATAGGTGGATGGATGGATGGATCAGTAGATAGTTGGATGAATGATTGATGGTTGGAACAGTTGGGTGGATGGGTAGGTGTGTTGATAGTTGGATGGATGATAGATGGTTGGATGGATTGATGGATGGAAGGATGGATGGATGGATGGATGGATGGATGTGTGAATGGATGGATGGGTAAGTGAATGAATGGGTGGATAGTTTGATGGATGGATAGATGATAGATGGATGGATGGTTGAACACATGACTGACTGGATGGAGGGATGGATGGATGGATGGGTAGATCAGTGGATAGTTGAATGAATGATAGATGGTTGGACAGATGGGTGGATGGGTGGGTGGGTGGATACTTGGATGGATGATAGATGGTTGGTTGGACTGATAGATGATGGATGGATGGATGGATGGATGGATGGATGTGTGAGTGAATGGATGGGTAAGTGATGAATGGGTGGATAGTTCGATGGATGGATAGAAGATGGATGGATGGTTGGACACATGACTGGATGGATGGATGGACGGATAGTTGGATGGATGGATAGATAGAGAGATAGATAGATGGATAAGTGGATGGGTGGATGAGAGGATCTAGTACCAGGGGGATGGCTCCACCTTGATATCCAACTGAGGCCCCTGCCAATGGGTCCATCCTGATTTTGAGGAAGAACTTTGGCGGGGACCTGGGCCAGTCCTTGGCCCCCCCACCCGTGGGATATTGGGCGGGCGGGGATAAAGGGACAGCCTCGGTATCATGGACAAAGGGGCTGCACAACATGGGTGGGATGGGAAGACTGGCGGTGAAATACGCGGGTATGGGTTAAAAAATGGATGGATGGATGGATGGATGGATGGATGGATGAGTGGATGGATGGATGGATGGATGGATGGATGGATGGATGAGTGGATGGATGGATGACAGGAACTAGGACCAGGGGGATGGCTCCACCTTGATGTCCAACTGAGGCCCCTGCAATGCGCACCATCTGATTTGAGGAAGTATCTCTGCTGGAACTGGCCAGTACTTGCCCCCTCACTGTGGAATTTGGGCTGAGCCTGGAAAGCTGCTCCAAGCTATTTGCAAAGGGGTTTCCAGCCTTGGATCCCTAAAGGCTGCCAGAGAGAGGCTCCTGTGGTTCCCTGGGACAAGGAGACCTCCTTCATCCTCCATGCCTGTTTCTCAGACAGTGAAGACAAGGCACAAATGTGTGCTTTGGAGGTGGCTGAGGGGCTCAGACACTGCAGTGTGCAGGCGCCTGCCAGGCCTGATGTGGTGATGCTCGCTCAGGGCCTCTAGGGCAACCCAGGGTCATGTTTGATTTGACGAAGGGGTTAAGTGCGCTGCTCTTTAAAAGCCGGAACACAGACAATGTGAAGCTTCCTCCCTCAGACCCACCACATTGGTGGGCTTTACTTCAGCCCTAGGGACTCCTTCTGTCCCCTCACCCCTCTCAACTCCAACCCCCCCTCCCCAGACTGCAGAGAGGGGCCGGTTCTTGCCAGAGTCGCTCTTAGCCGTTTTGTGAAAAATCCATTTATTGTCTTCATTGCTTGGGAAGTTATAATCTTGAGGCTGCAGCTTCCTAAGGCGTTGCCATGGAGATGAATTTTCTGTCATAAATAAAAGTATTCTGGGGTCAGGAGATCTCAAGCATAACTAGGACAGATTTTGAGGGGGAAAATGCAAGAATTTCAGAAGCACATGAGATGATTTGGGCTGCCTTTTCCGGAGGGTGTTTTTTAGGCTGTCCTGAATTTGGCCTCTAGATGTGGGACCGTCCCTCTGCCGTACCCCCAACCCCGTTCCCCCAAGCCGACACTGTGTCTGCCTGCCCCTCCCCTCCTCCACCTGCTCAGGGCCAGAGCCTTGGGGGACCTGGTTTGGAAATCCAGGTTGGGGTGACGTCTGGGGTCACCCAAAGACGGGCTGGCTCCCAGTGTGTCCTCAGACAAGCCTTTCTGTCCCTGGCCCTAGACCCTGCCTGGGTGAGGGCCTCATTCACTCAGCCTAGGATTTTTGGAACATTCCTCACACGCCTCCTACGGGCCAGGGCTCACTCAGGTATTTCCCCTTGGGCTTGGGGCAGGCAGGGGGACACTCCCACTCCCGCATGACCCCTGCTTCCGAGGGCCCTGACCCCACCCCCACTCTTGCTCACTTCCCACCAGCCCCCATGGACATTAGCTTTAGGGATTTCCTTTTGTTCAGGGTCGCTGCAGGTCTGTGTTCGAGAAGGTGGGGGAGGCGGGACTGGAGCCCGGGAGGAAGGTATGCAGGGCTGAGGGGCCTCTGGAAGCCACCCAAGCCGACAGCCTCCGCCAGCAGTCAAGGGCTGTTTGCCAACCCCCATGCACCCCCTCATTAGGTAAACACAGAGTCCTCCATCAGCACAGGGCCCCAGAGCCATCCCTTGCACAGAGGCCCCAGGGTCCCCCGCGCTCGAGGGCCCCCCATGACCCTGGGACTGGGACTGCGGCACCCTGGGCCTCTCCTCCCAGCCCCGAGGCTCTCACTGGAGGACCCATCTTCCAAGGCTGCCACAATCCCAGGAGGCGGCTCCAGCCCCAGTAGCTCCAAAAAAACGAATGGAGAGGTGAGGAGGGAGAGAACAAAAGAAAGGAGGGAATGAAGGAGGGAGGAGGCTACGGGGTGAACCCTTTGCAGTTTGGACCTCAGACTGTGGTCCCCTCACCTACCTCCCCGGACAGCACCACCCTCCCTTCCCACCTTTGATGGGTCCCTGTCCCAGGAGAAAGCCCATAGAGACATCACACGGGAAGATCCTGCAGGAAGCCCTTCCTCCCTTGCAAACACTCGCAAAAAACGGCCCTTGATCATGGAGAAACAGGCTTCCAGGGCCCCCAGGGGCTGGGGTCCACGGTTGCAGGCCAGCAAGCCACAGCTCCCAGGCTGGGGCTCTAGTGAGTCTAGCCTCCCCAAGACCCACTTCTGCCAGGGGTTCTCTGCCTCCTGATAAATAACTGTGACACTATCTGCCCACATCCCTTGCTGAGCAGCAAAATCAACACAGGACAGGCTGTGACTCGCCAGGCCACGAGGAGCTGCAGGACGTACACACTGCATCGCCATCTGTGGGGCTTGGACAGCCACAGGAGGGACATGGCCCCAGAAGCCTGGCAGGGCATCCCACTGCGAGGGCCCCTCAGTGCCAGCTCTCGTGGCCTCTCACCAAGTCTGGCCCCAGCCCAGCTTTCCATCGCCACAAGCTTGTGCAGTCCACACCCGCCACCAAGAAGGGCGCTGGGGGTTGGGGCCAATGCCAGGTGGGGCAGGGAGGGGACGCTGTGGGAGGGAGGGGTGGCTGAACAGGATAAGGGCCCTGGAATGCACGGCTCCACCCCTGGATGGCTGTGTCCTCGTCCACAGAACAGGGACAGGGCCGCAGAAGGGCACTGTCAGGAGGCGGGATCCCTGTACCCTGATGACTCCCGGGAAGCGGCAGAAATCACGGTCATGAAGGATTCGTAACCGGGGCAGGGCTCTTCTCAGAGCGGGAGAAACAGACAGCGTCCAAGGAGCACCCCACACTGTCCCAGCTGATAAATGAACACAGCTGCAGACCATAGCAGGGTCCTCAGTGAGTCCGAGCTCTCCTGACTCCGCGTCGGACTGAAGCATCCTCGAGGGTGTCTATATGAGCCTGTGTGTGAGCTTGTGTGTGAATGTGTGCGTGCCTGTGTGTGAATGTGTGTGCCCGTGTGAGCCTATGTGAGCCTGCATGTGAATGTGTATGCCTGTGTGTGAATGCATGTGCTTGTGTGTGAGGCGCGCTTGTGTGTGAGGCATGTGAATATGTGAGCCTGCATGTGCCTGCATGAGCCTGCGTGTGCCTGCGTGAGCCTGCGTGTGACTGTGTATGCCTGTGTGAGCATGTGTGTGCGTGTGACTCCATGAGCCTGTGTGTGAATGTGTGAGCCTGCATGTGAATGCGTGTGCCTACGTGAGAATGCGTGAGCCTGTGTGTGAATGTGTGTCCCTGTGTGTGGACCTGCACGTGAGTGAGTGTGCCTGCATGTGAATGCGTGTGAATGCATGAGCCTGTGTGTGAATGTGTGAACCTGTATGTGAATGTGTGTGCCTGTACGTGAATGTGTGTGGTGCTCCATGTGTTTTTGTGTCTATGTGTTTGTCTCTGTGTGGCTGTAACTTTCTGTGACTCTCCAAAAACCCTGATTCAAAACCAAAGACACCACAGGAAAAGAGGACTACAGAACAATTTCCCACTTAAGCATGGACACAAAAATCCTTAACAAATGATTAACAAGTAGAATCAATATAAAAAGAAACGTATTTAATGACCAAGGTGGGTTAATCTCAGGAATGCAAGGTTAATGTAGCATTTGAAAAACTAATCAATGTAATTCACAATAATAGAATTATGTAAAAAAAAATCACATGGTAATTTTAACAGATGCAGAAACCATACAATGAAATGCAATAGATGCAAAAAAAATGGACACAATTCAACAACTTTTCATGATTTAAGAAAAACAAAAAACCCTCTCAGAAAACTAATAGGAGAAGCAAACCTCCTCAACTTCATTAAAGGCATCTACAAAACAGCTACAGCTAACATCTTACTCAATGTTGAAAGGCTCATTGCTTTCTAGCTAATAACAGGAATAAAGCAAGATTGCCCATTCTATTGTCACTTCTATTTGTTCTGGAGGTCCCAGCCAGTACAACAAGGCAAGAAAAAGAAATAAAAGGCATACAGAATGCAAAAGAAGAAATACAACAGTTCTTATTTCCAGATAACATGATCATGTATGTAGAAAACTCAAAGGAATTTCAAAAGAATTCTACTAAAACTAATAAGTGAATTTAGCAAGGTTGCAGGATCTAAGGACGATATACAAAAACAAATTGAAATTGAACAACTAGACCAAAGATCAACCAGCAAGTAGAAGACCTGGACAACATCATACACCAACTCGATCTTATGTGCATCTACAGAACACTCCATTCAACCATAAAGGTATACACATTCTTTTTCTTTTGGAGATGGAGTCTCGCTCTGTCACCCAGGCTGGAGTGCAGTGGTGCAATCTCAGCTCACTGCAGCCTCCACCTCCCGGGTTCAAGCGATTCTCGTGCCTCAGCCTCCTGAGTAGCTGAGATTACAGGCATGCCCAACCATGCCCGGCTAATTTTTGTATTTTTAGTAGAGACAGGGTTTCACCATGTTGGCCAGGCTGGTTTCAAACTCCTGACTCAAGTGATCCGCCTGCCTTGGCCTCCCAAAGTGCTGGGATTACAGGTGTGAGCCACTGCGCCCATCCAGAAACACACATTCTTTTCAAGTGCACGTGAAACATTCTCCAGGATAGACCATATGTTTGGCCATAAAAGAAGTCTCAATAAATTCAAAATAATGAAAATCATACCAAGTATGTTCTCTGACCATAATGAAATAAAATTAGAAATCATTAATAGATGAAAATTTATGAAATTCACAAATATGTGGAAATTAAACAACACACTCCTACATAACCAATAAGTCAAAGAAGACATCCCAGCGAAAACCAGAAAATACTTTGAGATGAAAGAAAACTCAACTTACCAAAGCTTATGGGATGCAGCTTAAAACAGTGCTTAGAGGGACATTTATAGCTAGAAACTCCTAATTTTTTAAAATAAAAAAGAAAAGACGTCAAATCAATAACTTAATCTTCCATCTTTTAAAAAATGGAAAAAAAAACCAAACCAAACCCAAAACAAGCAGAAAAATGAAATAACAAAGATTAGAGAGCTACTTGAAAGGCTGAGGCAGGAGGATCACGTGAGCCCAGTTCAAGACCAGCCTGGGCAACATAGCAAGACTCTGTCTCAAAAAAAAAAAAATTACGGGGGAAATAAATTTTAAAAATAAAGAGTAGAAAAACAATAGAGAATATTAACAAAACCAAAAGTTGGTTCTTGAAAAAAATAAAATAGACAAAACTTTAGCTACACTGACCAAGAAGTAGACAGAATAATCAAATTACTAAACTCAGGAATGAAAAGAGGGAACATTAGTATCAGCCTTACAGAAATAAAAATAATAAAGGAATGCTGTGAACATTGTGTGCCAAGAAATTAGATAACCTAGATGAAATGAACAAATTCCTAGAATCACAAACTGACTCAAGAAAAAGAGGCCCGAAGAAATATGAAGACTTATAGTAAGCAAAGAGATTGAATTAGTAATCAAAAAACTTCCTACAAAGAAAAGCCCAGGACCAGATGGCTTCACTGGTGAATGCTACCAAATATTTAAAAAGGAATTAACACAAATGCTTCCCAAACTCTTTGAAAAAATAGAAGAGGAAAGAACTCATTCTGTGAAGCCAGTCATAACCTGTCACCAAAACCACACAAAGACATCACAAGAAAACTACAGACTACTATCCCTCATGTATAGACACACAAAATTTCAATAAATAAAAATATTAAATAAATAAAATATTAAAAAGCCAAATCCAGCAACATACAAAAATAATGACTGTGCTCCATGACCAAGTGGGATTTATTCCAGGAATGCAAAGGTGGTTCAACATACAAAAAAAAAATCAGTGTAATATACCATATTAACAGAATAAAAATAAAAATCACATGATCATCTCAACTGATGCAAAAAAAGGACAATCTAATATTTTTTCATAACAAAAATAAATAAACACTCAACAACTAGGAATAGAAGGGAACTTTCTCACCCTAATAAAGGACATCTACATAAAACCCACAGCTAGCTAAGGCAAAAGACTTAGAACTCTTCCCCTAAGATCAGGAGCAAGACAAAGATGTCGGCTTCAGCCACTTCTAGTCAACATTCTACTGGAGGTACTTTCTAGCCAGGGCAATTATAAATGAAAAGAAAACAGTTTTTACAAAGAACAAAGCTGGAGGACTCACAATTTTGGATTTCAAACTTACCACAATGTCAGTAATGAAGACCCAAGGCATAGGGAGAGACATATAGATCAATGAAATAGAACTGAGAGTTCATTTAAAAAGCTATACATTCATGGTTGATTGACTTGTCAAGGGTGTCAAGACTATTCAGTGGGGAAGAAGAGTCTCTTCCACAAATCGTGCTGAGACAATTGGATTTCCACCATACAAAAGAATGCAGGTGGACCCCTGCCTCACACCACATACAAAAATTAACTGAAAGCAGATCAAACACCTAAATATGAGAACTAAACTATAAAACTCTTAGAAAAATATCATAGTCACAAACCTTCATGAATGCATCTTGTGTACAAAATTCTGAGCAACTCTGGTCTAATCTGGTTTAATCCAACAGTTCAACCACCTTACAGTTGAGGAAACTGTGGCTCAGAGAGGGGTGAGGCTCTGCTGAAGGTCACTGACCCCCCATGAGCAGAAATGACCTTCAGAACACCCCTCCCTTTCCTGCACCAGGCCAATTCACTGAGCCATTTTGGTATGCAACTCTCTGCTGAGCCAAGAATGAACAAACAAATTAACTTCTCGGCAGGGTGCAGTGGCACTTGCCTATAATCCCAGCACTTTAGGAGGCTGAGGTGGGAGGATCCTTTGAGCCCAGGAATTTGAGACCAACCCGGGCAACAAAGAGAAGCCCCGAGGCCACACCAGTCCCACCTACTCAGAAGGCTGAGGCTGGAAGGATCAGTTGAGCCCAGGAGGTCGAGGCTACAGTGAGCCATGATCGCGCCACTGCACTCCAGCCTGGGCGACAGAGAGAGATACTGTCTCAAATGAATAAATACGTATAAAAATAAACAAGTGACTTTCTTGAGACCCAGTAGCCATAAGTCCTCCCTGACATCCACAGTGCAGGGTCTAGGCTTTTCCATCCATCAGGGCTGGAGGTCTGGCTGTGTAGACAAGTCCTAGCTCTTGGTTCCTGGGGGAGGGGATTTGGGAGTCGACCGTGCCAGTGGACGCTGAGTAGCACAAGGCTGTGCCAGGAGGTCCAGAGGAGCCCAGGACAGGGCAGAGCCTGGACTAGAGACAGGCAGGTGGTCCTGAGGTCAGGTGGGGTTCACCACTGAGTTATGAGTCTCTGCCTGACAAGCTTGAGAAGCCTCCCACGCCAGGTGGCAGCTGCCTCTCTGGACCACAAGCCCCGGCACGCCAGAGCGGCTGCATTCCCTTCTGAAATGCAGCTGTAGGGAAAGACCCAAAGCTCCGACCGCTGACCCCTCCCTGGGGATTCAGTGAGACCTCGGAACCCCTGGGGCAGGCGTGCTGGGGACTACGTGGGGGGATACCTGCGCCATTCCCCAGACGCCTCTGGGGACCTGCTGGGGCTGAGCAGGGACAAGGAAGCCTCAGTGTTGGGAGCACCTAGATGGAAAGATTCCCAGCCAGGCCTCCCTGGCAAGGAGGTATGGAAGGGCAGCAGAAAGTGCCAGAATGGGGCTCCCAACCCAGCCTCTGCCCCACAGCCACATCTCCCAGCCCTCTCCGGAAGGGGTGTCACAGTACTGGCACCAATGGCCCTAGTGGGGGACAGGGGCTGTGAGGCTGGTCCTGCCTCGTGTGTGCTCTGGGCTTTTTCCTCCCAGAGTCCCCTGAGGGAGACAGATGGGGGTTGCAGCTGGTGCTCTGTGGCCCGCAGGGGATGGGGGGGTCTGTCGGCAGTGGCTCCTGCAGCCTGGGTCTAGGGCCTGCAATGGGCTTCCCTGCCTGACTGGGGTTGCCTAGAAGTCAGAGTCAAGGAGGGGTGTTTCTGTCTGTCTATATGTCCTGCACACCAGACGACTAAGGGCCTTGGTGGAGCCCCATGTCCAGGGCCTTGGGGCCACCAGGCTCCAGCTCAGAAACCAGAAGGGCCCGGGATGGCTTCCACCACCCAGGGAGGGGCGAGCAGGGGCCTCAGCCGCCGGATGCTGGTGCGTGGCTGGGTGACCGGGGGCCGGATCATAAATACTGCACATTTTTTGGTGGCTCAAAGGCCGGGATAGAAACAGTGGCTGTTTTATTCTGTAGAAACCACACGCTTTTCATCTGAGTACCCTCAGGGAGTGGGGTTGGACTCCAGCTGTGCCAGGCCAGGGTGGGAGTCCAGGGGGCAGGCCAACTCCCGCTTGCTGCAGTCACCTTTGAGGCCCCGCTGGGTCCCGGCTCCCACCCCAGGGAGAACGGGAGCAGCCTCAAATGCTGACGGCGAAGACCCAGGGCCCCCAGAAGTGCGAGGGCCTCCTTCAGTGCCCGCTCGGGGCCAGGGACTCTGCCAAGTGACCTGGTGTGCCCAGAAAGGACTCAGCCCCCAGCGCTGGGCAGGGCAAGGTGGCCTGGGAAGTCCTTCAGGGAGGGCAGGCAGGGACGCTTCAAGAGCCTGGGGTCTAGAGGTCTCATGGTGCCGGCCCTCACCACAGCTCCTGCAGCTCTGTGCCTCTACAAGGGCCGGCCACTAAGGAGTCCTCTCACTCAGTCTTTCCATCAGGGAAGCCACTCACAGGTGGGCAAAGGGGGGTAAGGGTTGGCGGTCCTGGAGCTCAGCCCATCCCACCGAGCCTCCCTCTCTTCCAACCAGGGCAGTGGTGCAGCCCAAGGTCACAGTGAGGTCATCCAACATCAAACAGCTGGGCAGAGCCCAGCAGAGCCCAGTACTCTCACCCCATGCTTGGCCGAACCTGGGAGGGGGCACCTGTCTCCCAAGCACTCTGACTCCCTGACCCCAACCCAGACCAGGCCTACCAAGTACCTGTGGTCCAGCTCACACCGGGCCCTGTCACCAGGCAAGCTTGGAGGTCTGGACGGGGGGCTCTGGTTGCCAAGGCCCTGCAGACGGCCATCCCATAAACAGCCCTCCCCGGCCACTCACTCCGTTTTCCCAGCTGCCGCCCCATCAGAAAAGTCCTGCGCTTCAACCCCGTTCCTTCAGCCTGGGCAGCCCCCCTGCTCCGGTTCCCCTGTGCCACGACAAAGCCAGCTCAGCTGAGGTCATGAGGTGGCAGACAGGGGCCAGGGTGTGACTGGGACAGTCAGGGTCAGACAGGGCCCGGAGCCCTGGAAGCTTCTCAACTTTGTTCTAAGCCTACAGAGCAGCAGGGGCTCTAGGAGGGGTGGGGAGAGCAAGGTGGCCTTGGGTTTGGAGAAGATAACCCTGGCTGCTCTTGGGAGAGCAGGTGGCTGAAGATGGCACGCAGATGGGTGGGCGACAAGGTTGTCCAGGTGAGAAGCAGCCAGCCATGGGGAGGCTGGTGCAGGACCCGGAGCAGTTGGGGCCATGCATACACGGGATCTGCCCTCGGGCTGCATGTATCCTCCTGCCCACCTCTGCTCAGCTCCTGCTGCTGCCACCTGGCTTCCTGCCCAGGCCTTCTCCAAGCCTCTGGGGGGATCCTGGAACCTCCCGGCATTCATGTGTGCAGGCTCCAGGTCTCAGGATTTGGAGCCCGGAGCTGATTCAGTGAGGTCTCCCACTTGAACATTTCACACCCCAGCCCCTCCCTGTATTGCTGGTATCTGCCCTCCCGTAAACCATATGCCCACAACTCTGTCCTTCAGGTTCTGCCTCTGGGGCACCCAGGCCAAGGCAACCCCCAACATCCCACTTAGTAGCCTCATCTATGAACGGCACCCCGATTTCCTCGGGAAACCCCGTCCTCCCCCATTTTCTGTCTTGTGCTTCTGATGGAAATCTATCCCACAACAGAAACGGTACATGGGACTCAGACCCAGCGGATCCCAGGACTCCGGATGGAGCCAAAGTGAAAGGTGGGGCCTGGCGCGGTGGCTCACACCTCTCATTCCAGCACCTTGAGGGGCCGAGACGGGAGGATCGCCAGAGGCCAGGAGTTGGAGACCAGCCTGGCCAACATGGTGAAACCCTGTCTCTACTAAAAATACAAAAAAATTAGCCCGGCGTGGTGGCAAGTGCCTGTAGTCCCAGCTACTCGGGAGGCTGAGGCAGAAGAATCACTTGATCCCGAAAGACGGAGGTTGCAGTGAGCAGAGATCGTGTCACGGCACTGCAGCCTGGACGACAGAGCCAGACTGCGTCTCAAAAAAGAAAAGAAAAGAAAGGCTGGGCGAGGCAGGCGGGTCCCCTGGACACTGGGGGACGATCCCGCGGCAGGGCTGGGGGGTGGTTCATGGCACCCCTGGACCTAAGAGTAGGAGGCACGAGGCCATGCCAGGCCCCACCCCAGGCCCCACACCTGGGGCTGTCAGCTTGGAGAAGCGCAGGGTAAGGGGGCACCGGGAAGCCGGACCCCGCGGAGACCAGGCACCGCGCCGAGGTCGTGGGAGACGCTTCGGCCCCCTCCCGGCTCAGAGGCCCCACCACTCTCCCCGGCTGGCGACCCCTCGCGGATGCTCTTCGGGACTCTCCTCCCGCCTCGGCGCTCTGGGGACCCACGTCCTCCCGGGCTGCCACAGCCGCCGCCCACCCTGCTCAGCGCCACTCACGGGTTCATCCTGCGGCGCACCCGCCTCCCGACGGCTAGGGGGGAAACTGAGGCTCTGAGGCGTCAGGAGCCGGCCAGCGTGGCCGCAGGGGCAGGGCCACCGGACTGTGAGGCGCTGGCTGGGCCGTGGGAGGAGCCCGGCGTCGGCCGCTGGGGCTGGGGGCCGAGGCGCGCCCACCTCCAGGGTCCCCGGCACGGGAGCCGCAAGGGCCAGGCCTCCTTCGCCCGCACCGACCCTCCTAGCCCGCCCGCCCCCGGGGCGCCGGAGCCTGGAACCAAAATTCTCCCTGCAAACGGAGGAGGCCACCTTCAGCTTCATCGCTGGGCACGGGTGGCGGTCACAGCGCTCCCGGGGTCTGTCACCCTCGCCGGGCGCCCCGGGAAGCGGCGGAACCCACAGGCGGCGGGAACCTGCCACTTCCGGTCCAGCCTTGGCCCCGGGCCGCGTCCACGTATCGGGAGCCTGGGGTCCCCGTTCTCAGGACTGGGCCTGTGTCCCCTCCTCCTGCCCATCCCGGAAACCCGGGGACCTCAGGACCAGGACTTCCTGGAAACGGCTGTACAGAGGGGACGGGGGAATCCGTGAGGGGGATGGAGGGGATCCGTGAGGGGACGGGGGATCTGTGAGGGGGACGGGGGATCCGTGAGGGGGATGGGGGATCTGTGAGGAGGACAGGGGATCTGTGAGGGGACGGGGGAATCTGTGAGAGGACAGGGGATCTGTCAGGGGACAGGGGATCTACGAGGGGACCAGGGTTCTGTGAGAGGATGGGGGGCTTCTGTGAGGGAACGGGGGTCTGTGGGGTGCAGGAAATTCTGTGATTTTTGCTACTTGAGTTCAAATACCTGCTCTTCCTTTTGGACCTGGAGGTCGCCATCTTCCCTGGGGTCTGTATCTTGGTCCTTGCTGACCCCATTTCCAGGGAGCATGCAGAGGCAAATCTCTGTGAATCTTGGCCCTTTGGTGATAGGTGCAGGGCAAGGAGCTTCAGTCCCAGGCTGGGCACCTGCCCAGGACACAACCCCAGAAGAGCCTGGCTGGCCCTGCTGTTTGCAGGCACTTGGGGAGCTCCCGCCCCAATGCTGCTCCGGAGTCTGGGGCCCAGCCCACCCCTGGGGTGGGGCAGAGTCAAGGCCCAGGAGATGGAAGGGCCCCTGGATGCCCGGCCACAGCACAAGTCCTGCCTCTCTGTGTCCTGCGACCCTTCTACTTGGGGCCCCCTAGGCGTTCCGGGCCTGCCAGGGGCACAGCTCACTCATCTTTAAAATGGGAGCCAAGCCCTCAAGTTCCCACCCCTAGAATTCTTGGAGGAACCCATGGCTAAGTATGAAAAGCCCAAAAAAACCAAGGAGGTCCCAGGAGGGCCGTGGCTTCTTGTGCTTGACAAGAGGGCACAAACCAGAAGGGCTTCTCTGCAGAACGGGATCCCCGAGCCTGGCCCAGCCCAGCAACTGCTCTGCGCACTGGACCCAGGCAAAGACCCAGGCCTCGGCTTCACCTACCGCTGGGAATCCCAAGACAGCTGTAGGGACCCACGGCTGGAGACCACCTGCCGTCACTGACTCTCCCAGCCAGTTCCAACCCCCTCCACAGCCAGGACACAGAGGCCTGGGTGAAGAAAAGGAAACACCCCCAAGCTAAAGGAGAAGCCCAGCAAAGGCTGGGCCCCAGCTCTCATGACCCCTGGCAAGGGCACGGTGTGAGCAGGTGCATTCAGGTGTCCAGGCAGGTGCAGGAACCTCGTTTTAACAGGCGGCACCATCGCCGCTCAGCAATCCCTGAGCCCAAGGGCTCTGTCCTCTGCCATGCTGGGGCCTAGAAACACTAGAGGCTGGAGTGAAGTCCCAGCAGGAGGAGGCAGCAGACAAGACCTGCACCAGGTGAGTCAATGGCGAGGCGTCCTTACCCTGCCTGAGCTGCAGCTCCGTTTCACAGATGTGCACGCCGACATGCAGATGGAGGCCCCTCGGTCAAGGTCACAGGGCTCACAAGACATGAAGAGCTGACCCTGGGCAGAAAGTCACCTTCCTGAGCCCAGATCCAGGTGCAGCCCAGGGCTAGGGGCCGGGAGGGGGCCCAGGCAGGAGCAGAAATCCCGGGAACGCAGGGCAGAGCCGCGACAAAGGCTGCAGGCCCACGTGGGTGGAGAGGCTCGGAAAGGATCCAGCCTCAGACCACAGCCCCCGCCACACTGCAGCCCTTCCTGGCTGGAGTGGCCTCCACTCTGCCTGCCCCTCCCCAGGGCTCTCCCCATGTCGGGACAGGAGGGGCTGGCACTAGGGCCCTCGCCTGCATGGATGAACCAATGAGGGAGAAAAGGAGGGAGTGAGGGAGGGAAGGAGTAAGTAGGGAGAGAAAGCAGGCCTGAGTTCCCACCTCTACTGCTACCTCAGCCACCCCTGGGCTCCAGACCTATGGAATTCTTATGGAATTCTCTCTTCCCCACCTGGCTTTTCTGCCCCATCACTTTAATGGACACGGTATTACACCAGACGACTTTATACAAAAAAGAAAAATGGAGCATTGTCGCCAGCATCTCATGGAAACAAATACATGTTACATTGCCACACGTCACATCCAATGCACATTCCTGGGCAAGGCGCTGTAACCGGTGCAGATCTGGACAGCAGCCCACAGGCCCAGGCAGGGCCCCAGCAGGTGTCCAAGGAACAGGAACCAGCTTGCAACCACCTGGCCCTGCACTTCCCCTCCAGCCTCCAGGCTGCCCTGACGAGGCTGAAAACAGCACCATGAAGATGAGCTGTTGAAGATAATCCTTCGTAAGAACCTTCCAGCAGCACATGGACAACAGACGCCAGCCGGCCGCCAGTCCACAGATGGTCCTCGAAGAACGCGGGGTCAAGATTGAAAGCAACCTCGATGGTTTGTCTCGTGGGCCTGGAGGTGGTGGAGGGGCCAGCCCGGGCAGGGTATGGTGAGTGCTGCACATGGACACACCAAGACAGGTGGGCTCCCTTCTTGGATGAAACTCTTCATGGTCTTCTGGCTACTCTGACACTCCTCATCCGCTCCAGGGAGTGGAGCCTGCAGGAGGATGTCCTCGGCCTAACCCCCATAGGTGCTGAAGTCCGAGGTAGGCAGGCATCCCACGGGTGCCACCATGGAGGCAGGTCCAGGGACCCCACCCAGAAAGCTCTGACCTCCGTTTCCACCCAACACAGCACCGCATGACCTGGCAACCAGGGTCTAGACTCAGTGCTAGAAAAACGTACCACAAAACGCTTCTCACGTCCACGGGTTTTGTTGGTGGTATTTTTTTTTTTAATTTTGGATCAACAAAAAAAGAACATAGCAGGCTCTCAGGTATACAAAACAGGTAATATTAGGTAAACATACAAACTTCACCTTTACAAAAAAACAAACCACACACACACATTTCTGTTAATACAGGTAAAGCACAATATCTTACCAAAAATAAAGAATTTGGGTTCTGTCCAAACACTGGCAGCAGAGGGAGTGACCGCCACCACGGCACCAGGGCACACCAACAACACAGACAGAAGCGGCAATGCATCTCACGTGCCGCGTGGGAACACAGCATTCTAGGTGTGCACTGCGGGGAACAAGTTGTCACTCAGCCACAAACGGGCTCTGGGGCAGGTGCCGCAGGGACGGCGTACGATTGGTTGACGCATAGTTCTTTCAAAATGGCTTAAATTAACAAATAAAGCAGGGTAAGGGAGAAACACAAAGCCAGAAACATTTAGGAAATGATGCATAGGTAGGTATACCATGTTTATTTTAATACATCTCATTAGTTTGCATCTTGCTAGGAAAAATACCGTCGCACTGTCCTGACAGTTACAGCAGCCTGTGTGTTATCGGTGTAAATGTCATCCAAGAGATAATTAAAAAAAAAAAAAAAAAAAAAAAGCTAGCCAAAGAGTAAAAAGGAAAGCTTAATAATCACTTTATGGTGTAAAAAAAAAAAAAAAAAAACAAAAAAAAAAAAAACAAAACAAAAACAAAAAAAAAAACCACTTAAGGCTCTCAGGAAGGTTTCTGTATGGGCTTAAATACTACAGCGAGGAGGTGTGGTTTCTAAAGTTCGCGTGGCGGTTTCCAAGACATTCCTGCTTCCTGCGGGCCCCTGCAGAGCCCACCAGCACCCCTCTGGAGTCGTTCCCAAAGCAGGCTCTGCATCCTCGGCAAAAAAGCACCTGTGACCACCCGGACAGAAATCCAGTCTGCTGAGACCTCTGCACTTCCATCCCACGGGGCGACCCTCCATCTCATCGAGTTTAGATATTTTTGTGAGTCCGTTTTGTTTTTGTCATTTGTGGTTTTGTTTTCTCTCTCTCTTTCTCTCTCTCTCTTTTTGACAAGGAAGCTTCTTACTGCTTCACCGAGTGCTACAATACTTGCTTTGATGTCACATTAAACAAATGTGCACTGTCTCTTTGTTCTCCCGAGTGTTCTCGGACACAGTTTTTCACGGAGGAGAACAAAGACCGCACACTGGCAATAAAGCACCGTACATAGTAGGTTCAGGAATGTAACACGCCATGTACATCCATGTCCCAGGAAAGGGCTGCGGCTCATCCTCACCTCACATCTGCAGGGAGAAGGGAAAGACAGACACTGAGACCACCGACCAAGTGAACCACCCAGCACACACATGGCTGCATAGGAGGAAAACAGGGTGAAAACATTTAACCCAATCAGGGGCACACAGGGATTTCAAGTTTTCAAGAAATTTCCAGAATCACATTTGCCACATTGGCCATGTTGCAGTACCCTGACAGGAATTGGGATTAGGCTCACAGCATCTCACAGAACATGTCTAGAGACCAAGCCCCATTCTCCCATTGTACAGATGGGGGAAACTGAGGCCAAGAATGGCTCATTTGCCCTTCTCTCTGCCTTCCTTTCTTCCAGCCTAGGGCTTAGATGTGATTTCTGGAGCTCTGGCAGCCACCTTGGGCCATGAGACAACCCTGAGGATGGAGGCCACCAGCCAGACAGAAGAGTCTGCACCCAGGCAGACCTATGCTGATCGTTTAAGAACAATTCTTCCACATCCCATGTGGCCTCTCCATCGCACACTCCAACACGTGGGCTGCCTATAGGCTGAACATGAGTACCAGCCAGGCATGGGACAACAGGAGTGCCAGCCTCTCACCATGGGGTCTGTCACCAGCAGGCCCATGGAGGCCAGAGCCTAACGCTCTGTAGAAATGGGACCCACAGGCAGGCACAAAACCACCCACCAGGCCACACTTTCAGCAAACAAAGCCAAGGCTGACCAACAGTCCTGGACTGCTTCAAAGACCCGCCCAAGTGGACAATTTCCTCCCAAGAGGCTCCTCATGAATGGACCTCACCCGCAGGCCCAAGTCCCACATTGCAAACAGGAGCCAGGGTTCTCAGACACCCTATCTCTGAGATCCTCCTCTCTTCTAAAGAAACTATTTGTTTTGGCCACCATGGAGTCCCACGTGCCAGGAGGGGGAACCAGGCCAGACAGGGCTCCAACTTTCCCAAGCCAGACGGGCCAATGCCAAGGACCAGGAAGGCTTGAAACTGCCTCCTCCGTGATGATGGCGGCTGCCCAGGTCCCACCTCCATCTGGGAAGCGACATGTCTTGCTAGGAGACATTTCCCAAGCTCCCTTGCAGTGGAGGGATGGCAGCTGAGAAAAACACAAAAGTCACTGGGTGGGATTTCCAGGATAGCTCTCTAAGGGTGTTATTTTGCCCTTCCCCCCCCCCCCCGCTCACTCCTTCTTCCAGCCTGGAGCACAGATGTGGTTTCTGGAGCTTTAGCAGCCACCTTGGGCCATGAGGCAACTGCAGATGGATGCCACTAGCCAGACAGAAGGCGGACACTGATGATACCTCAAGACTACCCTCCCTGCTCTGCAATCCCACCCTTAGATGAAAGTCATGAAGCTCGATCTTATCTCAATCCCTGTGCTGTCTGGTGTTACTAGCAGCCAAATGCAATTTCCAACACAGTAGCCAACAGCCCTGCACGTTTATAAAGGATTTCCAGATATATTCAGCCTCCAACAGTCCTTATCTGTAATCTCAGTTAAGCCTCAGTTTTTTCATCTGTCAAATGGGGTGGGTGATCCCAGAGTGGCCAGGCGCTCAGAGCTGCCCCACCGCTGCTCAGGTCGCCCAACCTGTTCCATTCATGTGCAATGCTCCTGCATCCCCAATCAACGACAAAGAGAAGGACAAAGCTGGAGGCAGGCTCCCAAGCGGGAGTGAGCCACGGGCCAGGGCGTTCTGCGAGGCAGGAGCGGACGGGGAGCAAGGAGACCCAAGCCCAGCAGACACCATCAAGGCCAATCAGGGCCACATCCCCGCCGCACCCGGCGAGACAGGAAGCGTGATTTGCTGGTGTGATCAGTCAGTTGCACCTCCCCGCCCTGCAGGACTCAGTGTGTCCGGCAGACAGTCCTACCTGGTTGGCTGCTTTAGGTGGGTTTTAACCTTTTTCTTTTCCGTTTTTTACCTGACTCCCTAGGCCTTCCTGTTAACAAAAGGGCAGGGCGGTGAGTGGGCCGAGGGACGGCCGTCGGGGTGAAGAACTGAAGCAACAAATACCTACGGCATTTGTTTATCTTTCCAGAAGAGAAGGCCAGCACCCTGGCACCGAGAAACTTCTGAGTCCCCTCATGCTCCCAGGGCCCAGCCATAGCAGGGCACAGAAGCCATTCTGCTCCTGGGTGGAGTCCGCGTGGCGGGGTGAAGGAGAGACCCCAGCCAGCCAGGGCAACTGCAGTCCTCGAACCTGCTCCTCCCGCCCACCCTGGCAGGAGGCCCTTCTGCAGATTCTTCTCAGCTCAGCCCCGCAGCCCACTAATGAATTGGGTGTCTTATGCACTCCCAGCCCCTCTCAGTGAGACCTGAATCTCCTCTCCTGCCAGTGCCGCAGCTTGGGCCACCCTCCCCACCGGACACCTGCAGGTGTGGGATCCGTCTCCCCCGCAGGCATCTGGCCCGGGAGCAGGGCAACGAATCCTTCAACAGCAGCCCAGATGCTCACAGCAGTAAGCGTTGCGCTCAAGGGGGCCACCTAACACCCCAAAAGCAAGGCTCTGAAGACCTGTTCTCCAACACCGATGCCGACGAAGGCAGCCACTCACCCGTGTCCTCTTCCCGATAATCCGGATTCAGGCTTGTGGTCGCGCAGGCGCACTCCAAATGCTCCTCTAACCTCACCTGGACTTCTTTTAATTTTGGCTTCTTCCTGACGTATTCCACCTTGGCCACCTGCCAGAGAGAACAGAGCCCGGCCATGAATGCCTGCATGGAGCTTCGGACATCACGACGTGCTGGGAGCCGGGGACAGGCTGAGAGGGAGGAGAGAGCAGCCTGACCCCTGACCTCCTCCCAGAAACACTACCTTGTGGTGGGGAGTGTAGCAGTACCAGGTGAAAAACCTACAAGCTGCAGTGCAGTTTTGTGTGTGTGTGTTTTAGTTTTTTCTGAGTAGGGTCTCACCCTGTCACCTAGGCCAATCATAGCCTCTGCAGCCTCAAGCTCTTGGGCTCAAGTGATCCTTCCACCTCAGCCTCCCACCTGTAAGCACAGGCCACCATGCCCAGCTAATTTTAAATATTTTTTTTGTGTGGAAGAGATGAGATCTCGCTATGTTGCCGAGGTTGATGTTGAACTCCTGGACTCAAGTGATCCTCCTGCCTCAGCCTCCCAAAGTGCTGGAACTTCAAGTGAGAGCCGCCGCGCCTGGTGTTGGAGCATGGTATTTAGCAGACTCATCCTATTTTTGTTTAAAATAAACCCAAAGGTTCACGTGTGCCTGGGGGGGCTGAAGGATGCACACTGCTAAGGTGTGGAAGTTTGGGAGTTCTGGGGTGCAGGTGGCCAGGGAAAGTGTTTGCTTGTGTGTGGATGTGCAGCTGGGAAATGTTTTCAAATGATCACGTTGTTTTTAAATACATTTTAAAAGCCAGGCTGAGCATGGTGGCTCACGCCTGTAATCCCAGCACTTTGGAAGGCCAAGGCGGGAGGATCACTTAACTCCAGGGGTTCAAGACCAGCCTGGGCAACATAGTAAGACCCTGCCTCTAAAAACAATTTAAAAATTAGCAAGCCATGGTGGCACCTGTAGTCCCAGCCTACTTGGGAGGCTGAGGTAGGAGGATCGCTTGAGCCCAGGAGTTTGAGGCTGCAGTGAGCTGGTATCACACCACTGCACTCCAGCCTGGGCAATACACCAAGACCCTGTCTCTATTAATATTAAAAAAAAATTTAAAGCCATGGCCTAGGAATGGGGGGTTCGTGGCTGTATCCTAGCCCAAGGTTGCTGTGGACTTGAGCGTCCAGATGATAATCCCAGCTGCTGGCCTGATGAGGGCCCCACCTCCCCGCCGGCCCCAGGCAGCAGGGCCAGCAGACCCATACCCAGGGTCCCCTCATGGCTCCCCCAGGTCCGAGGCTCTCCTTGGGCTCGGAGAGGCCTGACCTCGGAAACCAGGGCCAGGGATCCTGGGCCATCACCGAGGCTACACAAGATGATCCAGGAGGAGCACAGGCCAGCAGGCCGTGGCTATCAGGCACAGGCAGCTCAAAAGCGAACCAGACCTCAGCTGGGTTCCCCTCTTCGGACTGGACTTTGCCTGTCTGCGAGCCACGCCTGCCCTCAATTCTCCAGGCACAAAACCACAACATGGGGGTCCTGCCTCCACAGCCCCTTCCCCGGGGAGCTGCAGGCAGACAATGGCCCAGTCCAGGCCAGAGAGGGGAGCTTCAGGCATTCAACAAGAGAGGCAAGAAATCACACACACACACACACACACACACACACACACACACACACATAATGCACATATAGGCCCTGTCACGGGAACACAACTCCACCCCACACACACACCTGTATAATGCACACACATACCCTGTCATGGGGAGGCAACTCCACCCCCCACCAGTCATGCATGTGTAATGTACACAGGGGCCCCATCGTGGGAATCTTACTACACACACAGAGTGCAAGCACGCACACGCCTGGCATCAACAGACCCCTAATACACAGCCAGGGACTGCATGAGTAGAGTATTGGCTCTCCCAGCCCAAACCCCAGCACTCATTTCATCCTCCCAACCATGCTACAAGGAGGCAAGACTGGCACCTCCATTTACAGAACAAACTGAGGCGCAGGCAAGCTCTAACTAAGCCTGTCCCTAATTGCTAGGCTGTCCCACCTGCCCCCTGGAGCACACACCAGGGAATAGCCACCACCTTCCTGCCCTCCCAGGCCCTGGGGAGCTGAGCACCCAGCAGGCGCTCCATCTGTGCCCACGGAACCAGCCCTGCCGCATGCAGGGTCTAAATGCAAGAACAGCCACTATGGATCACCCACTTCACCCCTCACGGTTCATGGGGAAACTGAGGCTAGAAAGGAAACGGAGGCCGGGTCACCCCCTGAGCACAGGGGCGTGGGGGAATGCACGCTGCTGGGTGAATGAGGAGACCTCAGCCCAAGGCCAGATGCCCCCAGCCCAGTGGCCCTGCCTCCCAGGCAGTCAGGAGGGTGAAGGAGGGAGGAGGGGAATGTTTCCCAACCTTCTTGGGGGGAAGGGGGGACTCCAGACTCTGGAGACTGGGCATCAGCAGGGCCCCCAGGGAGAAGGTCAGCTCTGCACCCTGGGACCAGGCAGGCTCCGAAGGTAAGCCGGTCCCTAAGGCGCTGGGGACCAGGCTTGTCCGAGGCTGAGTTAATGGTTAACCCACAGTGCAAAGGGTGCCTGCAGGCGTGTGAAGTGGTCTGGGCTGCCTGGGGCGTGAGCAGACAGCCAAGTATGAGCTCAACAGTTGCAGGGCGTGGGGCGCCTGGGGTCAGGAGCCAGCTCAGAAACAGGACCTGGCCTGGGAGGTTTCGCTACGTCACAAAGCGTGAGAGAAAGCGGCCAGGACACTGCCGCTTCCTACATGGGGCTCCGTTCCACTCGGGAGGCCTCAGATCAGCCTCCACACTCCCGCGGCAATCTGCCCCTTTCCCCAGGACAGAATCCTCCAGAGAGAGGCCTCCGCAGGCCGTGCACACACTTCCACCTCCCATCTGTAAAACGGAGACCAATCACACCCACCCAGGAGTTGAGGAATAAATGAGGCTGCACATGCAGAAGGCCCCAGAAACGAGGACAAAGCCAGCCTTCAAGAGTGGGCTGCCACTGGCGTGGATTCTAATCCAGAGCCCCAAAACCAACCCACCCCCTGGTCCCCAAGCTCAGCACAGTACCACCACCCACCCACCACAGGCAGAGAGTGGGTCTAGAGCCACCCTCCTGTTGAGGGCCTGGGGTCGGAGAGGCCCGGCCCGAGGATGAACTGCAGCAAAGCCCCAAGAGGAGCAGCAGGGCCACCTGGGACCTCAGCCACCCCCAGCCCTGCAAGCATGTCCTCAGCCCTCCCTGAGTCAAGAACTGCCCAGGTAGTAAGTAACTAGGGATCCCAGTGCGCAAAACCAGGCCCAGCCCCCTCCTGCCTCAGCAGGGACCGAGTTCCTTCCTCCCCTCCCCTGGAGGCCCTGGACACAGGTCCCAGCAGGAGGAACAGCACCAGCCTCACACCCTGCCATCTCCCAGGCTCGAAGCACCCATACTCTGCTGCTCCCACCCACCCCCAGCCTCTGCAGGGGTGGCCAAGTGAGGCATGGGGCAGGTGGGCTCTGAAATCTGGGTTCGTGGGGATGGGCTCGGGCAGGGCGCCCTGTTCTGCTCCCGGCCCTGACCCTCCGGATGGCACAGCCTCTTTGGTCAACAAGCAGCCTCACCTAGTTCCCTCGGCAGGGCAGATACCAGGGCCTGGCTCGGCAGAGACCGCAGGCCCGTCTGGCCAGACACCAGACGCCCAGGCGAGGGGCAGGCTCGCTCTCAACCACTCGAGATGGCCGGCCACCGCGGGCGCGTGGGCTCCCAGGACACAACAGAAATGCCACCCCTCTGGGCACCGTGCGAAAGGCACATGGCACGGCCGCTCGTCTGGGAACCCACTGCCTCCTCAGACAAGCCCGTTTTTATCAAACAAAAACAAACAGCGATGATTGCACCTGTTTCTGAGTATGCCAGGATTCCGGGCCGTTCCGCCACCTCTGTCTGGCCAGGAAATAGCTACATTTTTCTCCCAAGAACACAAAATGAATATTGGATTCTCACAAAAACCTCCTCCATAAAAGAAGGCCAAGTCCAAAGAACAGACTACAATGTCCTCAGGACCCCCACGGGGGGTACCCCGGCCCCCAGGCCCCAAGCCGAAGCCCAAGTGATGGGGGGGGTCCCCATGTCCCTCCCCTTTTTCCGTCCCAGAGATGTGGGCTGCACCTTATCACACCAGACATTCCGATTCCCCACGGCTGAGTTCATCTGCGTCGTAAGCCGCCCCACCTCAACACTCCCGGCGCGAACTCACCCAAGACTACAACCCAGGGATGCCGTCACCCCTCTAGACCTGGGATGCCGAGTCCCTACTGCTACAAAGCCCAGAAGCTGCAGAGACCCCCTGAGGAGGGCTTGGGACAGCCACTCCCTGCGGGGGACCCCACCCCAACTCCAGGTTACGGCCTGACCCTTTCAAGGCTCCAAGACAGAGTATTAGCCATGAAAGACACCTGACTGGACCGCACGTGCCCGTCACTGTAACCCTCACAGCTACCCTGTGAGGACACCATCGTGGTCCATTCTAGAGATGAGAACACACAGCACAGACAAGGGAAGCCCCTTGCCCAGAGTCACACAGCGTTGAATCTCCATCCCTAGCCTGCACTCCTTCTCACCTCTTTCACGGAAAGAAAGCCTAGAGTCCAGAGCCCTGGCCCCACCGCCCCACAGCCCCACCTGGGTGTCTCTCGACAGAGACTTGGAATGTCACTCAATCCAGATGCTGACTTGGGTCATGAGGACCCCAGCTGGGTGCGGTGGCTCACGCCTGTAATCCCAGCACTTTGGGAGGTCGAGGCGGGCAGATCACCTGAGGTCAGGAGTTCAAGACCAGCCTGACCAATATGGCGAAACCTCATCTCTACTAAAAAAATACAAAAAATAGCCAGGCGTGGTGGTGAGTGTCTGTAATCCCAGCTACTCGAGAGGCTAAGGCAGAAGAATTGCCTGAACCCGGGAGGTGGAGGTTGCAGTGAGCTGATATCGGGCCACTGCACTCCAGCCTGGGCAACAGAGTGAGACTCTGTCTCAAAAAAAAAAAAAAAATCCCTCAAGTCGGGCGTGGAGGAGGTTCATACCTGTGATCCCAGGAATTTGACACCAGCCTGGCCAACAAAGCAAGACCCTGTCTTTATAACAAAGAAAAAAAAAGAAGATCCTGCCTCCTTCAGCACTGCCCCCATATCCATTAAGAATGGAAGCAATGCCCAGACCTCAAGCTCGTGTAAGAGGCCCCTGCCCAGCCTGGCTCAAGAGGACCTCCACTCCGCCCACCTAGAGACTCCTGCACCAGACCCCAGAGAGTGGACAGAGTCGTGGCTGGGAGCTTCTCACCCGTAACACCCCAGCCACTCTGTTCCAGGGAGCAGAGGCCCATCCCAAGCACCAGGTGAGCACACACCTTCTGGAAGCCTCCAGCACAGCAAGGTGGGCTCAGAGCCAGCTCCGTCCAGGCTAGACCCCTGCAGTCCTCGGGCTGGCATCTCATCCCCATGGTCCACGTTCAGGCCCACACTCCTGTCCTACCCCCGAGGCTTGGGTCTGGGGGAGAGTCGGGCGTCCAGGCACCAAGAGCTAACTGTGCCAGGCAGAGTGCAAGGAAACACCCACCCAGCTAGGGACCCCGGCCAGTCACTCCCCCAGGGCTGCCGGTCAGTCACATCCTGGTGATCCCAGCAGGGTCTGTGCCAGGCAGTGACACTCCCAGCTTCACTACCATCCATCTTCTAACAAGAGACCTCTGAATGTTGACCGGAAAGGCATAAAAACTGGAAATGGGGGATGCCATGCCCATCCTGGGTGGACAGACTTTGGGGGCCCCTCCCGGCCAGCCCCAACCCCTTTGACCTCAGCTGACCCCATCCATGCCCACTCACAGGCACAGAGTCTGAGGCTCTGGGGCCCATCTCCTCGCCAGGTTGACAGCCGCCTCCATCCGCAGCGGCAGGACCGGTCTCTTGGCTGAGCCTCCAAAATGGGCCTCCTGTTCCCTCTGACCTTTGTCCCCTCAGCCAAAGCCCCCTGGGTCCAAAGCCGGATGTTTTCCTCCAACCCTCGGATGGGTGGGCAGGGAGAAGACGCCTCCCAGAAGCGGGAACATGAAGGGGGCCTGGGTCTGAGGAGGTGGGAACTGGGCCGCCAGGCTCTGCTGCAGGACACAGCCCTGAGGCCTTAGGACACCCTGTCCCGGCAGATGAGACCCAGAGGGAGAGCCCTGGTCCTGGCTCTACCACTGCACAGAGCAAAGCAGGGGCCACTCCCAGCGGGGAACTGGCCCTCACCCCCAACACTGCACTGGCCAGAGGGTGCTGGAAGCCTCTAGACCCCACCCAGCCTCCTCAGGGGGCCGGGGGAGGGAGAGAACACTGCCCTGTAGGGCCAAGCCCTCCTATCCTCACCCCATGACAGGCCAGGGTGGGAAGGGCAGGGGCTGCACAAGGCTGAGCCATGGGCTGAGAGCCTCTCCCCGTACCTCCAAGCCTCCCCCAGCACCCAGAACTGACATGAGAATCTCTAATGAGAACAAGACCACAGGCATCCCGGACTCAGAGCTCACAAGGGCCTCCAAAATATAACCAGGGAGGATGCCAAGGCCCACCGAAAGGCAGAAACTGCGCCCCAGGGAGGCACACAGGACAGAGGGGATGGTGCTGGGCTCATGCCAGGGGGGCTCATGCCAGGGGGACCCAGCCACACCTGGACCTGGAGGCCTGAGTTAGGCCCTCCCCTCCCCTCCTTCCCTGACCCCCCGGCGGTAAATATCCTGAGGACAGAAGAGTGCCGCAGACAAGCACTCCCAGGGCCCTGGAAAAATCTTGGGGCTTCAAAAGGGGAGTGAGTGGCCTTGGAGATCCCGGGTAGTAAGATGTGGAATCTGCTTACTCAATACCCAGCACCTCAGAGGACCAAGTCCCCAGAGGCCAAGATAAGTCCCAGTTATGGGTCTAAAGTGCCCGGTCGTGTGACGAGGAAACGACCCGGCTGGCTGCAAAGTCCTTCCCGGAGAACCTTCTCCCCGCCGCCCCATCTCCCTCCGGGGCCTAGGAGTCACAACAGTGGGGGGCGGGGGTGTGAAATAATTCTTTTCTAAAGTTAAAGAATGGTTACTAATGTAGCCCCAAAACTTAAATCCTCAAACATCATTTCAGTGACCCCATATTCCAGGAAAAGCAGGCTCAGCTGTCACCAAATCCTCAGCTGACTTGAGCCCAGGGGGTCCAGAGCAGGCTGGGCAACACAGCGAGATCCCCGACTCTGCAAAGAATTTAAAAATTAGCCAGGCATGGTGGCATGCACCTGTAGCATTCAGGAGGCTTAGGTGGGAGGATAGCTTCAGCCTGGGAGTCCGAGGCTGCAGCAAACCATGATCGCACCACCACACTCCAGCCTGGGCAACAGAGCAAGAAGCTGTCCCAAAAAAAAAAAAAAAAAAAAAAAAAAAAATTCTCAGCTGAGGCCAAGCCAGGAGGCTCTGAGTCAAAGCAACAGCCTCCTGGACTAGGGGCCGCACCCGCCTGTGCCCACTGCTCAAACTCATGGGTCCTGCAGGTCAGGTGGGAGCATCAACAGCACTTTAACCCAACTGAAGCCAGTTTCCAGGGAGAAGAGCCCTAAGAGAGCCCATCCCTCCCAGATGGGAGCCCCAGGGAGGTGCCAGCCCCAGCCAGGCCTCACAGAAGCTAGAAGATACCTTAGACACTCACCCTGCAACCCCATCCCGAAAACGGGAGACTGATGCCCCAACAGGCAGGAAACCTCCCTTGCAAACAAGATGGCAGCAGCCTCGGCTCTCCCAGAAGGGCCAGGCCCTGCCTCAGACCCATTGCACAGGTGAGGAAAATGAGGCCAGAGAGGCGCAAACACAGGCCAAAGCCAGCCCACCCAGGGCGCTGCATCCTGCAGGTCTCTGGGCACACTTCCCTGAAAGCAGGGAGAAGGGGCCCAGCCATGAGCCCCAGGGCCTCAGCAACGCAAGAAGACCTTCAGCAAGTTCACCCGGGTGCTGTTCCTCCCCCAGCGCAACCCCAGGGAGGAAGGCCCTGCTGTGGCAGGAACGCCAGCACCCCCAGGATTCTTACGCTGAAATCCCAGATGAAGGGGACGGCGTTAGGAGGTGGGGTGTCTTAAGGTAGCCATTAAGTCCTTTTTTCTCTTTTTTTTCTTAGAGACGGAGTCTTGCTCTACTGTCCAGGCTGGAATGCAGTGATGCCATCACAGCTCACTGCAGCCTCAACCTCCCGACTCAAGGGATCCTCCCACCTCAGCCTCCAGAGTAGCTGGGACGACAGGCACTTGCCACCACGCCTGGCTAATTTTTGTATTTCTTGTAGAGATGGGGTCCTGCCATGTTACCCAGGCTGGTCTTGAACTCCTAGGCTCAGCGATCCTCCAGCCTCAGCCTTCCACGGTGGCTGGGACTGCAGGTGTGAGCCACCTCGCCTGGCCCGATTAGTTTCTAGGGTAGAGGCTTCATGAATGGAATTAGTGCCCTTCGAAAGCAGCCTAGGGAGCATGTTCATCCCCCGCCCCTCACACTGATGGCAGAGCGAGAAGGTGTCATCTATGAACCCAGAAAACACGGCTCCAGCGGAGACACAGTCTGCCGGCGCCCTGATCTTGGACTTCCAGCCTCCAGAACTTTGAGAAATACATTTGTTGCTAATCAGCTCCTAGTGGATGGAATTCTGCTAAAGCAGCCTGAAGAAGGCAGGCACCACCCCCAACTTAAAGAAAGAGGGGCTCACCCTGGGATTCTATGGAAGGAAGTCTGCTGTCTGGCCTCGAGCCCACCCCAAGCACTCCTTCTCCTTCTCCTGGGCTGCTTTAGGGGGGAAGCCGGGGGGGCCCTCCAAAGGTCAGGCACTTCAAAAGGCAATGCAGGCTCTGAATATCCACCCCCTACTCCTCCTGCCATGCACCTCGGCCCCCACTGAAGAGCCCGCACAGGACCCTCCAGGGCCCGGGGACGCCAGACAGCTTCCGGCTAAGCAGCTCGACACCTCGCAAGGCCCAAAACGGCCCCCGCACTGTGGTCTAGGGCGTGGAAAGGAGGCCAGGCTCGTCGCCAGAGCAGCAGAGCAGAAGCCCCGGCCGGCCCTGCCTTTCCCGCACCCCCAGGTGCTCCTTCTCCTCCCTGGGCCTCAGTGTACCTGCCAGGGAGATGGGAGCGCAGCCGTGCACCCCCACCAGCCACACCAGGGGCACCTTGTGGCCTCCCAGGAGGGACCCTGGCAACCCAGTAGGGGCGACCCTCAGGCCTGCGTGGGGCAGGGCTCACCTGGATGCTGCAGTGTTGGATGCGTGAGGGACCCTGGCTGCTTGGTAGGGGCGGCCCCGGGCTCGGGTGGGGAGGGGAGGGGAGGGGCAGGGCTCACCTTGACGCTGCGGTGGTGGACGCGGGAGGGACCCTGGCTGCTAGGTAGGGGCGGCCCTTGGGCTCGGGTGGGGAGGGGAGGGGAGGGGAGGGGAGAGGAGGGGAGGGGCAGGGCTCACCTTGACGCTGTGGTGGTGGATGCAGGAGGGACCCTGGCTGCTTGGTAGGGGCGGCCCCGGGCTTGGGTGGGGAGGGGAGGGGAGGGGAGAGGAGGGGAGGGGAGAGGAGAGGAGGGGAGGGGAGAGGAGAGGAGGGGAGGGGAGGGGAGGGGAGGGGAGGGGAGGGCTCACCTTGACGCTGCGGTGGTGGACGCGGGAGGGCTGGCACTTGACACTGCTCGTGTTGCAGCAGCCGGTGCAGCGTTTCACCTCCACGCACGGGGGCCAGATCAGGAAGTTGGCGGACGTGGGGTCGACCTGACTCCGAGGAATCTCGTAAATGACCGTCCTGGTCTTGCAGACAGCGGGGACAGCTTCCTCTGCAACGGCGGGGGCACAGTGAGCGGGGACCGGCCTCTGCGACCACGGCCCCACCCCAGGGCTGAGGCGGCTCCAGCTGGGCCTGGGGGGCAACCAGGGTAAGCCACAGGCCAGGATTCCTCCCAGGCAGCAGAGGCTGAGCTGGGAGCAGAGGCTTAGGGGCTGGGTGGGCAGGAGCACCACACATCCAGAGGAGCCCAGCCCGGTGCCTGCAGGCTGGAGGGACCTGGACAGGTGGGGCCAGTGGCTCGGAGGGGAGGGGAACTTAGTCCAGGTGGGGCCAGTGGCTGGGGGTGGGGAGAGGGGAACTTAGTCCAGGTGGGGCCAGAGACTGGGGGTGGGGAGAGGGGAACCTAGTCCAGGTGGGGCCAGAGACTGGGGGTGGCAGGGGCAGAGGGGAACCTAGTCCAGGTGGGGCCAGTGGCTGGGGGAGGAGGGGGCCTTAACAGTGAATCCTACAGCACTTGCTGCATGCTCTAGCCTTCAAAAGTGGTCTGAAGGGTGCAAAATGCAGACCCCACAGCAAATGTCACCTGGGGAGGGCCTGCTTGCATCAGCTGGGACTAGCCAGCCACACATGACACTTTAAGGTGGAAGATACAAAATCCATCTTCATGGAGGAAACCACAGCTCAGAGAGGGGGGTCCACCTGCTCAGGGCCCCAGAGCCATGAGCAGCACCAGGGCTCAAACCCATCAGGTGGGACCCCCGAGGACGCGGGACTTGGGTAGAAAGCAGGGACTGGCCCCTGAACTCCCCAAACCTGCTAGTTCCTCCTCAGGGGGCTGGAGGGCCATGGGGCTGTCCTGTAAGAAGGGACAAAATATCCCCCAAATGGACGCGGGGGTGGAGCCCTGGAGCCAGGTGTGAGTGGGGCGGGGCACACGGGTGTGGTGAGGGTGTCGGGGGGCAGCCGCCGGACACAGCACGCGCGTCCCCACCAGTTCAGCAGCCGGCGCAGGAGCACGATGCCCACACTGCGAATTGGAAATTAGGCGCGACCACGTTTCCGGCAAGGCTCCTGGGGACAGGCCCCGACAAGACAGGGCGCTTAAGGAATTTATGATGGCTCTTCTCTCCTGGAAGCTCTCTTGGCCCAGACCAGGACTCCAGGAGGAGCAGGCGGGCTGGGGCAGGAGACACCCTCGAAGGAGGGAGGCCTCGGGAGAGGCCAGAGCCAGAGGCACCAGGGCCAGGCCTATTTTAGGGAGGAGGGAACGGGTGGCTTGCCTGAGGCCACTGCGCTGGGAGAGCGGGCAGCTCCTCCCCACCCGGCCCTGCCCTGCCCATCGCGGCCTCCTGGACTCACCCTGACCCGGCCCTGCCCTGCCCATCGCGGCCTCCTGGACTCACCGATGCTTCTCTTCCTCCGAATGGGCAGGGGCCGCTTCTCGGGCACATGCTTAGTGGCATGGACCCCGTGAGCTCTCAGGCTGGTGTCCAAAGAATCCTCACTCCCTGCAGGCGGAAGGAGAACACCGTGAATGCCCCAGGCCCGTGCGCTGTGCCCTGGGCCTGTCCAGCCGCACTTCCCACAGACCAGCTTTGGGAGCCACTGGGGAACAGGCACCTGGCGGCACAGCCCCTCACAGCTCCCGCCATTAGGGGCCCTCCAGGAGAACCTCGATTCCCACCAGGGCTTTCCAGAGATGCAGGGCATGAAACACTGGAAACCGCAGAAAACGCCCCGTTAGCACAGAGGTCCCCACATTCAGGGGCCCGTGACGAAGCGCAGGGCCCTTCGGGGAAGAGGTTGCAGGTGGTCTCCCCTACGGTGCCTCCTCCAAGGTAGCCCAGGTGAGGGCTGCCCCGGGGCAGGAGGGGCCTGAGGCCGCCCAGCTCCGTGCACCTCCCCGAGGGGCACAGGGCTAAGCCAGGCCCCACCTCTGTCTGGGGGCTGGAGCGAGGGAGAAGCAGAGGCCGCTGAGATTTCTGCAGGTGCCTGTACGTCTCCCTCCCTCCCCCTCACTAAAGCACTCCTGGAAGAAGTGGCCTAACCTCTGAGGGGCACTGGAAGCCGCCAGACTGGGCTGCGGGCCAGACCCCACTCATTCCTGAAATGAGTCTACTCTAGGGCCAGCGGCCATGAGGAGAGGCAGGAGGGCACGTGGCCTCTCGTGGAGGCTACACGGAGGAGTTCCCGCAGCCTGACAGAGGGAGGCGGCCTGCGGAGAGGGGTTGAGAGAAGCTGGCATCTGCGAGCCGTGTTTACAGCCAGGCGGCCAGGTGCAGGTGGGGCAGTGGCCCAGAGCCAAGACCAGCACTGACCGGGGAGCAGAACTGAGAACCTATCCCCGCCACCCCACCCAGCTGCACACACCACCCCTTCACAGGCGCTGACGGCTACAGCAGACAGGCTGGGGGAGTCTCAGGTCTCTCCAAATCCCGCAGTAGGGAGAGGACCCACAGTCCTGCCCATGGACACACTGCCCGCACCTGGGCACCGCGGGTGGCTCTGGGCCTCCTTGCCTTGGCCCCCTGGTCCCAGCTGGGGAGTCTCTTCCCATCTCCCTCCATCCTGCCCCCCCCACCATATAACCAAGGGTGAACAGGCGCGGAGACAGTGAGCCTCACAGCCAGGATGCTCCAGAGGCACAGAGATCTCCCTGCCCCCTCCTGGGAAGCTTGGGAAGTCCCGGTCACCAATCCAGACGGCTAATGGGCTCTGCACCTCCTGGGTTCAGGACTAGCAGCCCAAAGTGTCTCTCCCCAGCCCATCGAGGCATCCGTGACTATCCACAAACCAACCGGAGAAACCTCAGCTTCCTCCGCACCCCCGAGGAGCCTGCGGATTTAAAATGAAGCCCGCAAACCTCACAGAAGGTGTCAGGCAAAGACGAAGCTCGCCCGGAGCCCAACTTTTTACCGAAAATGACTCAATGTTCCAATGACACTAATTTTTTTTGAGACCCAAAATAAGATCAGAACAGAACTACTCATGCAGTAAGAATTTCCCATCAACCAACTGTTACAAGCAGCATTTCTTTTCATGAAAAAGTGACACTTATGAATCACATCCTGGTGGTGGCCATCTTGCCATGGCCAAACCAAAGAGTAACGGGTCCGTTCTCCACTCGTAGGAGAAAATTCAATAACACCAGCTCCCATTTTCCGATGCCTTGTGATAGCCACGTTTGCATTAGCTGCTTTACCAATGACTTAGCTTCTGAGTGTGCGGTGGGTGCTATCACTTCTTCACATCCGAGGAAACTGAGGCCCAGAGAAATATAACAGGACCAGAAGTGGCTCGCAGGAGACTCATGTGGTCTGCGTCCACAGAGCACAGTCCCCGTGCCCCGCCACCCTCTAGCCCTGGCTTAATAAACAGAGAAGACGGCAGCCGTGCTAGCTCATTGACCCCCAGAAAGCCTGAGCTGGCAAATTTCTTGAGACAAGGGACAGAGGGGGAATAGCTCCCAGTCTACCAAGCCCACCCTTTGCTCCCAGCTCAAGATGCCGAGAGTGGACCACGCTCACCAAAGCCGCCCACAGCTCACCAAACACAGCTCTGAGCAGCCCAGGCCCAGGTGGCCTGGCCGGCAAGAATCACCCCTAAAACTGCTCCCAGGACAGTTAACCAGGAGGCTTTCCCTTTTGTCTTTTAGGCACAGATGTCCCAAGGACAACTCCAGGACAGGGAGAATCTCCCAACCATCAGTCCTGGTCTGGCATTACTGGCCCGAGATGGGGCTATTTACGTTATCAGCCGCTCAATGAACCACGGGCGCCAGGCCAGACCACTTTGGGGAACAAAGCTCCCCAGCTGCCACTGCACACAGGACAAACAGGCCCTAAACGCGGGCTGCCGGTCATTAAAAGACCACATGCTGGCCTCTGGATCTAAAAGCCACAGGTGAAAAGCCTTCACTCTTCACTCCAGCACACCCTCCGAATGAAACGCTTGGGCTCCGGGAGGATGGTGAGGAATCCCACTACCCGTGCTCCTCCAGCCACAGTCAAGGAGCGGCCAAGACCCCAGACGGTGCCTGGCTCAGTCTCCCCAACTGTACAGTGGGACGCAGCCTGCATGCTGGGAGGAGCCAAATGCCAGTCACAAAGCCCCACCCACCTGGAGGAGGAGTCAGCATAGCTGGGGCGCACCCCTGGGATTCCTCAAAGCCTCTTTTCTGCTTCCTACAGCGTGGGCCTTAGAGGCACCTAATGCCAAGAACATCAGCCTGGAAGGGTTATAAAGGGACTCCGAGGGAAAGTTCGTTGCGTTGGGTTTCTCCCAGCACCCAGCCCCTTCCTCATGAGCCCCTGCACTGTCCCCTGCCCCTAACAGACCAGAAGCACCTCTGGATTGAAAAGGGAGTCCAGGACCCGGAGGGATGCTTACCCAATGAGAACTGACCTCAACCAGTTTACAACCCTCCCTACGACAGAGAACGGGAGTTGAAGAAAAGACACCCCCTACAAGCTGGAGGAGCAGCCGGTGCCTCTCCTGTCCTCAGGCGAGAGACTGTGGGTTTCTCTGGTTCTGTTTTCAGCCACACCTGGGGAGGGGACTGGACAGGACCAAGGAGGCCCCCCTATGTTACAAAAGGTCCCCCACCAGGGGCAAGAGAGGAGGTAGATGCCACCCCCATATTCTCACACACAAAGCCTCCCAGACACTAGGAGAATCCTATTCAGACCCCAAAACCTCTCACGGACACAGGAGGGCTGAGATCCACTCTGCATTCCCTGGGGCAGGAGGAGAGAGCTCCTGGGACATGACTGCAGAGGGAATTTGAAACCGGCCAGGACTAGCTTAGGGGCATCCTTGTTTTTTTCTGTTCGGACCCTACGACCTAGAAGCCCCCGGGTGAGGAATGCCATCAGCATACCCCACGAAGCTGCAATGCTAAAGGCGATAATGGGTGGGGGTGGAGGAGGCGGGGCGCCAAGACCAGAATAAGAATAGTCCCAGCAGAAAGTGAATGGCCCATTTCCCTGCAGCTTCCAAAGCCAGTCCCACGAGGAGGCCCAGCTCTCCACAAGCCTCCCCTTCTGCTAGCACCCCCCCCCAGAAAAAGCCCTGAAACCTTCTCCAGGAAGCAGCCCCCCCCCCCCACTTTTCCAAACCCATCCAGGACCAGCGAGATTCAGGCAAGGGATTCCCCCCCACAAACCAGAGCCAGATCCTTTTCCCTAGAGTTATCCACTGAGGGATCCGGTCAAAATCCCCCCGCCCAGCTGTGCTGTGGGAGTGAAACTCTACCGCACCCCCCACCCTCCGCCCCCGATAAGGATCAGCCCAGGGATTTCCTGGGTCAAGAAACTACAGAAACCATCGGCCTTGTTAGAAAATGGTTTTGGCATGAAACGAAAATAGTTCAGGCCTCTCCACCACCATAATTAGGTACAAATTTCCAAATGACTAGACCATGTGATTTCACTTAATCCCCGCATGCCCCCCCTTTTTCAGAGTCCTTTGCAGGGAGAGAAGAATCTTCATGTCACGTAACTTCTTCCAATTCTGCTGCCTTTAGTTACTCTTTTTAACAAGTTCATCGCAGAGCCCCTTTTTAAACCAGGTTAAGGCTCCGACTGGAGTTCCCAGGCCGAGTGCTCATTTTGAAAAGAGCGCCACGCACGCCTGGAAGAGAGACCTCGCCTTCTAGGAAGGGGCTCTCTAGCCCTGAGCGGGCGGGCGGCCACCCTACACCCTCGCCCCTCCCACCCACCCGTGGTCCACCGGGGTCCCCCGGGGTGAGAGGCCCCTTTAACCCTTGCCAACCCGCAGCAAAACTCTGTGCTTGCAAACAAGCTGTGTTCTCTAGTGGCCCGGCCCCAGGGCCCGAGGGTGAGCCGCAAAAATAGCCCCCAGGCAGCAGATGCGTCCAAGGCTTTTCATTGGGTCGTGAAAACAGAAAGACACCGGCTTCTGCAGCCACAGAGGCCCAGCCCTGCGGCAAGAACGCGGCACCAGCTCGCAGGGATTACAGAGGGGGCCGGGCCCTGACCCGGGGGCCGCCTCCGCCCGCCCGCCCGTCGGACCGGGAGCCGCGCCTGCCCTTGGGGCCTCGCTCCGCGGGCTGCCCGCCCGGCGCACGGGCCAGGGCTCTGCGCCCAGGGTCTGGGCCGGATCCTGCCGCTCCCCCGGCCCGAGGGCAGGCGCGGGGCCCGCACACCTGGCGGAGGCCGCGGCTGAACTTTGTGTGACACACGCGGCGTTTTCCTTAAAGGCGAAAACAATCCCGGGGCGAGCGAGCAGCCCTCGGCCGCCGCTGGGAGAGAAAGTGGAGACTGGAAGAGAAACTCCTGACTCATCCGCCCGGGCGCTTATGGCTGGGGATTGGATTCTGACCTTTCGGTGCGCTCCTGCGCGGCGCCCCGCCCGGCCCCAGCTCGGGGCGCACAGGCCGCCCGCCCGCGCCCTCCCCGCGCGCGGAGGGAAGGGGCGCGATTTACCTACGGAGTCTATCTCCAGGAGTCGCTGGAGGTCCCGGATGCTGTGGATCTGACTGCGGGCCAGCCTCTCGATCACCTCGCGGGGGATCTCGGCTTCCTGCAAGCAGAGGCCACACGGTCAGCGCCCGCGGCCCCGACCCCGCCGGCACGCGCCCCCGGCCGCCAGGAGCGCCGCCGCCCCGGGCCCGAGGAGACCCCGCGAGCGCCGGCCGCAGTCCCCGCCCCAGCCCCCGCGGAGCCCTCGCCCCGGCCCTGGAACCAGAAGCCGGGGGTGGGGCTGGAAGAGACCCCAAATTCTCCACCCGCATCCATGTTCCGCCCTTTGCAAAATCAAAGCCCCCCCCCCTTTATATTTTCAGACAAAAGCCCCCGCACTCCGGCCCCTCCACCCGGGGTGTCAGTTACAGAAGGTCTAGGGGGCAGCGAGGGGGCCGAAAGTTTCTGATTTAATAGTGAGATCAACATCTAGAAAGATCAAGTTAAAATGCGTCACGGGTCGGCGAGAGTCACGGCAGCCCTAACACTTTAATCCAGGCAGGGCTTAAATTTCACGCCCCGGAATCCCGGGCCGAACCCGTGGAGAGGTCTCTCCGTCTCACAAACACACGCACGCGCGCGCAGACACACACACGCGCACACACATCTCACTCACACACTCGCCCCACCCCGGGCTCCGGCCCAGCCGCGGCCCTAGCGCCGACTAAGACGCCCAAATCCAGCCGGCGGCCGGGAGAAGAAGCCTCCAGGGAAAGCGAGGGTTAAACTTCCACCTCGCGCAGCTCTCCGTGCCCTGCGGAGACCACCCTCACCTCTGGCCTCCCCCACTCCCCTCCCCGATTTTTAAGGAGAGTCGGGGGTCGCTGGGGAGCCTGAAGCACTAAGTTCCCACGACGGGGGCTGTGGAAAGTCATTCATCACAGCAAAGCTCCCGGGGATGGGGATGGGGATGGGGATGGGGGGGCGGGGACGCCGCGGTGGGAGGGTGCGGACGCCTGGCCCAGCCCCAGCTCGCCTCGCTCAGCCACCTGTAAGCAGGCCCGGGCGGGCGGGACTGCGCCGGCCCTGAGCCCCGCCGGGCTTGGGGACTGGGAACCGAGGGCTGCAGCTTGGCGCTGCCCACCCTGCCCGGCCAGGGGCTTCCGCAGCAGCCGCCCCTACCTATTTATCCGCCGCCCTTCTCTCCTCCCCAGGCTCCGCCGGCTCACACACACCCCCTTCCCCGCTCCCCGCACCCCGCTGCTGCAGCGCCCGCTGCGCCCCAGCTCCCCTTCCCCGGAGAGGACACTGCGCCCCCCGAAGTTTCTGCCCACTCGTCCACCTCGCTGCTCCCCGGTCCCCCCGAGGCAGAGCGACCGACGCAACACGCTGGAAACTCCCCACACACACTTAGGCATGGCAGAAAATAGAACCCAGTTGGGAAAATCTAAACATCGACCACCCTGGCAGGAACCAAAACGCTCTCTGCAGAGCCCGTGGCGCCCCAGCCGGCGGGGGGTGTGCGCCGGAGGAGCCGGCGCAGGGACGGGGCGCGGGGGCGGCACCAACCTCGGCCAGAACATGGGCGAGGTATCCGCAGCCGAGGAGCAGCAGGCAAGCCAAGGTCCTCATCGCGTCCCGAGGCGCTGGCTGCTCGGAGGAGAGGCGAGGCCGCGGGGCGGGCGCTCCAGCCGGTCTCCTGTGGCGGCGAAATTCAGTACCATCCCTTAGGGAGCGCGGCCCGGAGGAGGGTGGCGCGGGGAGCACGGAGCTGGCGGAGCGCGCCCGGCGCGAGCAGTGAGTGCGGAGAGGCAGGCAGCGCCAGCCAGGAGGAGGAGAAACAGGGAGTGCGCGCCCGCAGCGCGGGGAGCCTCCTGGGCCGCCGGGTAGGGGGTGGGGACGGAAGGGGCGGAGGGCGGGGGCTGGGCTTCTTCCTCGGTGCGTTCCCGGTGCTGGCCGCCGCCGCGCTCGCTCCCCGCGCTGGCTTCAGGAGCGACCCGGCCGGTAATTCTGCATATTTGCGGACATCAGCCCCAAGAAGAACTCCGGAGGGAGTCTGGGGCCGCCGCCGCCGCCGCCGCCACACCGATCACCTGCCTGGACGCCTGGCCCGGCCCCGGCTGCGAGCTGCGAGCCGCCCTGCGCGCCCACCGCCGGCCCCGCGCTCGCCTCCGGCCTCCTCTTGCAGCCGCCGCCCGGCCGGGCACAGCGCGGCCCAGCACCCCCTCCGCGGCGCGCCCTCGGCTCCGGCGCCGCGCTCCGCCCTCCGCTCGCCGGGGCCGGGCAGCGCCCGCGGCCGAGCCGCCTGGCAGCCACCACCCGCCGCCCGGGGCCTCGCTGCGCCGCCCGCGCGGGCCTGAGGGCGGGCGCAAGGCCGAGTCGGCGCCTCCGCCGCAGCCGCCGCCGGGAGAGGAGGAGGAGGAGTAGGCGCAGGCCCGGCTCGCCGGAGTTGGGCGGGCTCCGCAGGGCGCGCGTGTGGAGCCGGCCGGCGGCGGGGAGAGGGTTATAGCGCCGCCGCCGCGCCCCTCCCCCGCCCCCGCCCCCGCCCCCCCCCCCCGCCTCCCCCGGATTCCGGGCCTGGGACCCGCACCTCGGAAGCGCTCGGGGTTCGTGCGGACCCGGCAGGGCCCGGGCGCCGCCGCCGCGGCAGGGAGCACACACGCGCTCGCGCAAGCAGCTAAATCCATCAAAGCCCCGCGCCCGGCTCCGCGCCGGGGCTCCGCGCCCCTCCCTCGAGCTTGCCCACCCTCCAGTGCCAGCTGCAATCCTGCGGCACCGGGTGGGGAGGGAGGAGGCCGCCGCAGAAGCGCCGCCGTCGCCGGCTCGCCTCTCTCGGGCCCCAGCGGCGGCAGCGGGCAGCGCCCAGAGCTGCTGCGCCAAAAAGGGCCAGAGAGCCGGTCCCCGCCCCCGCCCCGGCGCTCCGGCCGCTCTCCACGGTTCGGATCCAGGGCCCCAGCCTTCCTCTCTCCATAAAAGGAGGGGGAGTCAGTCTTTGGGGAAGGAGGGGGGCGGGTTTGGGGCACTCACCTGGCGGCTGCCACGCGCCCCCGCCCAGGATCCGAGGCCTGGGGCATCTGAATGAGGACCCTCCACCCACATTTCCACTTGGGAGCGAGCTCCAGTCGGGGAAAGGGCCTGCAGCCCGCCTCGTCCCCACCCTGGGACCCCGCGCCCCCCAGTCCCCCACTCCCGCGCCGAAGGCAGGGCCGCGCCCTGAGCCGGGAAGTCGAGGGGATGGAAGGGAAAGGAGCCACCGGTGAGGGTCCCCCGGGTTCTGAGCCTCCCGCGTCGGGATCCGTGGGGCGCACAGAGCGCCACCTCCGGCCGAGGCGCAGCTCAGAGCGCGATGCGGGGGAGGAACGCGCGCGGAGGCCGAGGTCTGAGCGTGGCTAGACGGCTCCCACGCCGAGAAAGGGCGGGTGCGCCTGGGCTGGATGGATTTCGCCTCCCTAGACCAGGAGGGATTGGACCCTGACTACAGGTCCAGGTGCTCGTCAGTGCCCTGCCAGGGGGTCTACGCGTCCTGGTACCGGGTCCAGCGGGGTGGCGTGCTGTGCAGACCCCGAGGCTAGACGGCCTAGGCCCCTGGAGCCCAGGAGACGCTTCCTTGGGTGAGCAGCGGAGAATCCCGCCCGGCCCAGCCGTCACCCCCAACCCTGTCGATTAAACCCCTGCCCCCGTCGCGGTCGCCCTCCCTCCAGACAAAGGCCGTTAAGGCGCAGCCCCGCGGGCGGTCTTTCATCCCCAGCTAGGCCAGCTCTAGCATTTCAAAGGCCGAATCCGGAGAGCGCTTCGGGGGCTCTCCCCTTCCCCCAAATATTTGGGGAGCGACGCCTCTCCCTCCGCTCCCAGTGGGTCGCGTCTACACGCGCCCTTCCACACACCTGCAGGCCCCCTCCCCACGTCTCTCCCTTCCGTTGGCCGCAGCCCCACACCACGACCCCCGCGGTCAAGCATGCCCTCTGGGTGGTCAGGACCAAGCGGGACCGGGACAGAACCAGGGGAGCCTTGGAAACGTGGAGGAGCCCCTTAAAGCCAGGCCTTGTCCCTCCAGGGGGAACTTGCGGCTTGGGAGGGGACACCCACTGCATGGCTTCTGGAAAGAGCCGGACTCGCAGGGCCAGGACGCAGGCCGGACCCCGGCCTCATTCTTCGGCCAGTTATCCCGGAGTGGCGCGCATCCTGTCTTCCTGGGCCTCGGACTGCTCGCGCGCAGAGGGGGCCCGAGGACACCTCTGTGGGGTTAGAGGACTCGGTAAGACGGTGTGGAAGGCAAGGAGGAAGGTCGCGTTGTATTGGGGATGGGGTACCCGTCCCTCCCAGCTTGAGGGATCCTGGGGGTCCTCGCCGCCTCTGAGGGCCTAGATGGCTGCTTCCCTCGGCTCCCCTGCCCGGCCTGGAGCTACGGGTGCGCCCAGCTAGAGTTTAGGGCCACCTGGGGACGTGCAAGGGGCGCTGGAGCGAGGCGGGGGCTGGGGCGGGGCGTGGGTGCTTCACCCGCGGGGGACGCAGAGCTTAGGCGAAAGCGGTGCAGGCATCTCTCTAATCGCCGGCCGCTATTAAAAATAAAACCGCGACCCGTCGCCATGGCGACCACAACAACAGCGGCCGCGCGAGGGAGGCGAAAACTTGTGCAGCCGCGCGACAGCCGCCTTCTGGGGAGACTCGGGGCACGACGCACCCGGCGTGGGACTGGGACCCCCCTGCCCGGCCCCGCCACATTCTCCGCCGGATCCCCGGAAGACACAAGGAGACGTGGACCCCCACAGGCTTTTTTGGGGGGATTGGGCGTTGAAACCGCAGGGCTGACTTAACCAAGAGGTCACCGACTTGGATAAAAAACCCACGCCCGCGCGGACCCCCCTCCCCGGCCTTCGTTTCCATTCAAACTCCCAGCGTCCTCATTGCAGCCCCTGGGGAGGGGGACGGAGGGACGAGGTGGGTTTCAGGTGCTCGGCCCAGGAGGGGACGGTGCGACCCGGGCCCCGCCGGCGGGTTTTGCGCGCGGAGGCTGCGGCACCTGCCCCGCCCGCCCTGCCGCGATCCTTGCAGACGGGGGCGGTCACATGCTTCTTTCTGGCCAGGAATCGAGTTTCACTTCCAGCCGCTATTAGTCGGTTCACACAGTTCACTGCAAACATTTGATAATGAGGCTAAATATACTCCCGCGTCGGAGGAGGCGTGGGCGTCCCCGCCCAGGCCCGGGAGACAGAGGCGCTGACCCCGGGACAGAGCCTGGCTTTGTGCGGGAGGCAGACGCGCCCCGCGCGCCGCCCCCGAAACATTCGCACCCCATGCTGAGGCGCGCGTCTGGGAGTCCGTGGGCGCCCCGAGGTGAGCCCGGGGCCCCTGGCGGAAGCAGCGGGGAGCTCCCGGCGGGTGCGGGGAGGTGCTGGTGGGAAGCAAGGTGCACCTGGCGGCCTGGGATGTCCGGTCGCCCCCGGAGCCGGTGCATCCGGCCTCTCCCGGCGCGCCCCGACGTGCCCGCGGGCTCATAATTACCGTGAGTCAGGTGCCCCAAATAGGCCGAGCGAGGGGGGCCGTCGCGCAGCAGGGGCGGGTGGCCGGACGTCTGCCCGGGACTGGTTGCCTCCCGCCCCTCCCCAAGACCCTGGCACCCAGGGAGGGCGGGAAAGGCCTTGGCCATTCCTCTGGGTAGGGGACTGGAGAGGGGAAGAAACTTTCGCCGAGTCCAGCGCTGCCCCCTCATACCCATCCCCACCCAGGCTGCGTGTCCGGGGCCCCTCCGGGGCTTGGCACCAGCAGGCACGCAGCGATCGCCGTCGTTGTTATTTAGTAGTAGTAGTAACGGCTGACATTTACAGCGACGTCGATGGCGCCAGGTGCCAAGCTCTTTCCTTGTATAATTTCATGGACACTCACGCATCAACTCTAAGCGAAGACTTGGAGCGGGGCTCAGCACCCCAGGGGTACCTCTGCAACCTCGGTAAATATAGACTATCCTCAATTCGCAGGGGCATTTGTACGTGGGGTGTACAGGCAGGAACAGGAAAGACGCTGTGGCCACCCAGGAGTAGGGGCGGCAGCCAACACCCCCTGGATCCCCAGTTCCAAGGTGCAGGGAGGGGGGCAGAGGCCAGTTCCCTCCGCTCTCTGCCCCTTGACCTTGGCCTTGGTGAGCTCTGTCCCTAGACTGCCCTGGGTGTCTGTTCCCTCATCTGAAAAGCGTGAGGCCCACAGCCGTCACTGCACACAGCTGCCGTCACTGCACACAGCTGCCTCCACTGTCGGGAAGCCTCCCTCCTGCCCACCTGCCCAGGAAAAGCTGCGCTAGCGTGCCCTGGGCAAGCGCCCTGCTGGCCACCTGCCTGCACCTGGGTTGGGGGTGGGGGGACCAGCTGAGCACCCAAATCCTGGCCTCTGCCCCCAGCGCCAGAGCAGATTTCAGAACAATTTGTAATGACGAAACCCCACGTTTCCCTTTATCTCTGGGCAAGGCTTTCTTCGTCCTAGGCAATTAATCCAAAAGCAACACCAGCCGAGTGGGCTGGACTCCTTGAAGATCAAAACTGCCCAGCGCAGGCATTAATTAAGTCATTATCTCAGGCCCCCAGCGACTAGGGATCAGGCCTTTCCAGTTCACACTCTCCAGAAAGGGAGATAACTGCCCCGCCAGCAGGGTGGGAAGGCTCTCTCTCCATGTTGTTTTAACTCCCTATTAAATCATTTTATTTTAAATACACAAACAGAAATGAAGTTGAAAATAGCACAGGAGCCCACTATCACTGTGTGAACATTTTGTGAATGAAGACATGTATGAAAGGATGTTTGGAGGCTTCAAGAAACGAAAGCCGAGAGTCTAGCTAGACCAGAGCCATCCAGCCCAGGAGCGATGGCCACGTGTGGCCGCTGGACACGAGAGACGTGGCCAGTCCAAACTGTGCAGTGCGGTAAGGGCAGAACACATGCCAGCTTTCGAAGGCTTAGTAAAGAATGCAAAATTTCTCAATTGGGAATTTTTGTATGAATTTCAGGTTGAAAAAAACATTTTGGATATATGGTGTTAAATAAACATGATTACAATGACTTTCGCTGTCAGCCTCCCGGAGGCTCATTTTGCTCCTCTGGGCCACAGCCAGCTCAGAGGGTTGCTCTAGGAAATATCTACACGTTCTTGAAGCACAGGTTTATGTGCCAGGCACTGTACTAAGTGCTGGGGACACGGCGTTAAGACCAGGCCCTCACGGAGCCCTCACTCTCTGAGGAGGAACAATAAGTCAGAGAGCGCGCGAGTGCAGCCCTTCAGGCAAAGGATTTCAGGCCCAGGTCAGGAAGGCCTTGTCTGAGGAGTCTGAGAAGAAGTCAATTGACAACAGCTAGAACATCTAGGTCAGGCACTCCAGGCCGACACGACAAAGCAGGTGCAAAGGCCCCAGGGCGGGAACCAGCGTGGCTTGTTCACAGAACAAGGAGGTAGATCGCTTGCCCTTGGGACCAAAGGAAGGCTCTGGATTTTATTCTAGGGGCAGTGGAAGCCGTTGGAGGGCCTCAGGCAGGAACACAAGGTGTCGTGGCAGAAAGGAAGAAGGGGCCGGGCACGGTGGCCCACACCCGTCATCCCAGCACTTTGGGAGGGAGGCCAAGGCAGGAGGATCGCTTCAATCCAGGAGTTCAAGATCAGCCTGGGCAACACAGCAAGACCCCGTCTCTACTAAAACCCTAAAACTTAGCCAGGCTTGGTGGCATGTGCCTAAGGTCCCAGGTCCTCGGGAGACTAAGGCAGGAGGATTGCTTAAGCCCAAGAGTTTGAGGCTGCAGTGAACTATTATCACACCACTGCACTCAGCCTGGGTGACAGAGTGACTCTGTCTCAAAACTAAATAAATAAACAATAATTGTGTTATTCTGTCTCCATTTCTCGCATACTGAATTTAAGGTGGACTCAGCCAGCGGGTTCAGGCCCAGGGTCTGTCCTGCAGCTACAGTCAGGGTTGGTGGCTGCAGCTGTCATGGGGGAGCGGTGAGGTTGGGGGAACAGGGGGGCTGGCCTGCATCCCCCACTTTCAGGTGGGCTCAACTCCGTCTCGTGGCCTATTGGGGGCCAGCATGGGCTTCCTTACAGCATGGAGGCCTCCAGGGTCAAGCTGCCTCTGGGATGGCAGAGGGCTTTGTGTTCGTGCTCCCACGCCCACAGTGGAGGCAATACACCCTTTCCAGATCTAGCAGTACAGGTGCGCAGCACCACACCTCTGTACGCTCTCAGCCTAAGCTGTCCCCAGCCCTCCTGGCCTCTGGAGGAGGGGACGCAGAAACTCCATCCCGGACAGAGGGAGAGCCAGTGTGTGCACAGGCAGCTTCTAACACTGCTTCGTGGTTTCACACGGCTCCCTCATGGAGAAGGGGCTGGAGGAGGACAGGGAGGTGTGCAGTCATCTGGGTGACATATGAGGGTGGCTGGGCTTCCAGATGGCTGCAGTGGAGACCGTAAGAAGAGTGCACGAGGTAAGGCTTCCGAAACGCCCAGCAGGTTCCTGGCAGCTGCAGACAACTCAATTCTTAGCACTTGCCAATAGCTGGGGTGTAAACACTCCCGCCGTCGCTATTTCGGGCTATGCTCCTTGCCTCCACTGGGTCTGGCTCTTAAAACAGCAAGAAAGCAACTCGGAAGCTGAGTCAGCCCCGTCTCTCCACCGTGCCCACAGATCCTTCCCTGTTCCAGAGCTCCCGTTGGCAGCCAGCTGGGCTTCTCAGGGGGCATCTCCAGTCCTGTGCAGTCAGAGAAAACCAGGGAAGCATCTTGATCTCACCTAGAAATTAAGGCCATCACATCCAACACCTGCATTTTACAGGTGAGGAGGCTGACATTACAAGTAGTGGTGGTGGTGACATTTGAACCCAGACCCCTGTCCTCCGGGGCCTGTTTCCCTGGGAGCTGCGGACTCTGCGTGGAGACACAGAAATAGAGACCCAGATGGCTCCCGTAGAAACAGAGTCACCCCCCAGGGCAGCTGGAAGGGAGTGGGAGAGGACAGGTCCTCAAGGGCCTCTGCTCTCCACTTCCCTCCCCGCCTCGCCGTGTCCTCTCCCTTCCTCTCTCCAACCCCTGCAGGGGGAGGCCTGGCTGGGAAGAGACGTTTTCTGAGTAGATGTTTTGGCTGGGCAGACTGAGCTTTGAGAAGCAGCCAGGCCGAGCGGGGCTAGGGAGTGAGGGCATTGGGGAGCCTGAACTTTAGTGACCACTGCCCCTCCCAGGCCAAAGCCGCAAACCCCTCCCATCCCCAAGGGCTTCAGACTCAAGGCCCAAGTTCCTGCATGTTGGATGTGAATTCCGAGTTCCAAGGTGGGGCAGGCGTGGGCCTGAGTCATCCGGCAGGTCACTGGGGTCACCCGGTTAAAGCCCAGGCCAACCCCAGAGCGCTTCCCCTGGGCGCTGCCCACAGCCTCTGTTCCTCTCGTGACCGTGGATGGTTGGGAGCAGCCTGTGGTCCCTCATTCCATCCGGTTTTGAGGGCCTCACCGCTGTCTAAAGGTGCAGGTTAGACATCGGGAGAGGCGAAGGAGCCAGGCCAAGCCCCCGCGCCCCTGACCTTCCTCGGCCTCTGCTGAGGGAAGAGGATGAGACGCCGGCCCTGCCCCATGGAAAAGACCCCAAATCGGGGTGACCAGCACCTCCCTTGAGCAGAAGCACAAATCTGACCTTCACCAGCAGGGCTGAGGTGGAGGGGACCCGAGCTCATGGGGCAGAGAAAGGAAGTGGCCTGTCGCGGCCAGAGAGAGGGGCAGCCAGAAAGCCACATGCATGTATGCATGGGAAGCACAGAAACTTCTAGAACAAAGAAAGTATGTGGGTGGGAGGGGGAGGAGGAAGGTTAAGCATACTGTACTTTTATTTATTCATTTGAGACAGGGTATCTCTCTGTCACCCAGGCTGGAATGCAGGGGCACGATCTCAGCTCACTGCAATGCCCACCTCCCAGGTTCAAGCGATTCTCCCACCTCAACCTCCCGAGTAGCTGGGACTACAGGAGGGTGCCACCACGCCTGGCTAATTTTTGTATTTTTAGTAGAAACAAGGTTTTGCCATGTTGGCCAGGCTGGCCTTGAACTCCTGGCCTCAAGTGATCTGCCTGTCTTGGCCTCCTAAAGTGCTGGGATTACAGGCGTGAGCCACCACAAGGCCAACCATATCTTAGAGCCACAATAATCAGAACAGTGTGGCACCCATGTGACCAGAGACCCCAGAAAAGGCTCTGTTGTAAATGAAGAATTTTAAAAGACATTGAAAGGATTGTGGATTAAATGCAGTTGAAGCTGTTCTAAAAAAAAAAAAATCTGATGAAATCCTCATTTTACCCCACACTAACTTCAGATGTATTAAAAATTAAGTTTATATATATATATTAAAAGGTTCAGGGATAAACTTGTACCACGTGAAGCAAGGATAGGCACACATCCCCTGCCACATTCCTGCCAAAGATGTTTAGCCCTGATCGGACCTCAAGGAAACAAGGAGACAACCCAGACTGAGACACATTCCACTTAACACCTGGCCTGACCTGCAAAAACATCATTGCCATGAGAAAAGCACCAGAGGGCGACCGTTCTAGACTAACAGGAACTTAAAAGACCTGACAACTCAATGCCATGTTCCATTCTTGATGGACTCCCACATTCAAACCAGCAGGCAGCTCAAAAGCTGATTGGGACCACTGGGGAAATATTAGATTACTTTATTGTATCACTGTTGAGTCCTTTGGGTGTGCTGATGGTGTGATGGTGGTGCAGGAGGACCTCCTTGTTCTTGGGTGATGCCATGGCAGTTGGGGTAAAGTGTCATGATGTTTGCAGCTTATTTTCAAATGGTTGGGAGGGGAATATAGATGATGGACAGACAAATGATGAATAGATAGATGATTGATGGAGGGATGGATAGATAATGAATGGATGGATGGATACATGGTGGATGAATGGATGCATAGATGAATGAATGGATGGATGGATTATGGATGGATAGGTGATGAAGGAATAGATGATGGACAGATGGGTAGATGATGGATGGATGAATAGAAAGATGGATGGATGGATAGATAATGGATGGATAGATGATGGATGATGGATGGATAGATGATGAATGGATGAATGGATACATGGTAGATGAATGGACGCATAAATGAATGGAGGGATTACAGATGGATAGGTGATGACGGAATAGATGATGGACAGATGGGTAGATGATGGATGGATGATGGATGAATAGACAGATGATGGATGGATGGATAATGGATGGATGGATACATGATGGAGAGATTGATAGATGATGGATGGGTGGATGATGGATGGACAGACACATGATGGATGAATGGATGGATAGACAATGGAGGGATGGATACATGATGGATAGATGGGTGGATGAATGGATAGAAGATGGATTGATGGATATAGATACATGATGGATGGATGGATAGGTGATAATGAATAGACAGATGATGGATGGATGGATAGGTGATACATGGGTAGATGGGTGGAGGGATTGATAGATGATGGATGGATAGATGATGGATGGATAGATGGACAGAAGATGAATGGATATATGATGGATGGATGGATGGATGAGTAGATGGATGGATGGATGGTAGAGTGATAGATATAGGTAGATAAATATAGAGATAGATATAGATAGAAATGAGAGATAAAATGGGGACAACAGGTGAATGAGGTGAGGGGTATACAGCTGTTCATTGTATTATTCTTATGACTTTTCTGTAAAATTGAAGTTTTCAAAACAAAAAGTGGTGGAAAAAAGCTAATTCCTATTTCCTAGTTTTCCCATAGTTTATCAAACTTCTAAAATGGAGAGAACGTTCAGAACTTAGAAAGCACAGAGCAAACCCCAAATAAAAGACTAGAAGGAGTGTTACGTTTCATGTTTTATTATTTTTAAAAGGCTCTCCAAACCTTTTTATTTTATTTTTTGAGATGGAGTTTCACTCTTGTTGCCCAGGCTGGAGTGCAGTGGCACGATCTCGGCTCACTGCAACCTCCACTTCCCAGGTTCAAGTGATTCTCCTGCCTCAGCCTCCCAAGTAGCTGGGATTACAGGTGCCCGCCGCCACACCTGGCTAATTTTGTATTTTTAGTAGAGATGGGCTTTCTCCATGTTGGTCAGGCTGGTCTGGAACTCCTGACCTCAGGTGACCCGCCTGCCTCGGCCTCCCAAAGTGCTGGGATTACAGGTGTGAGCCACCGCACACGGCCTTTCATGTTTTAAGTTTAAAAAAAAGACCGTTGGGTTTGACAGTGTAGACAATCGAAAGATCTCGTAAAAAATTTAAAATCTAAACAAATGGAATCCTTTAGTTTTGCGTTACACTTAATTTCCAGTGTCCCTGTGTTCTTATCTGCATGTACAGAACAACATATTTGCCACATTTTTAAAGCACATTTATATATCGGGGTCTCTGCTCATGCTCAGAAAACCACTGATGATGTGCAGGAGAATCACAGCTGGGAAGAAACACAGGAGGACCTTTTCCTTCATCACCAACCATGCCCCCCCCCAGCCTCCACCCCCGCCCCGAGGGAGAGGCCTGGGGAGCACAGGCTACTTTCTGAGCTTCCGGAAGTTGCAGGTCAACCTGGCGGCAATTTGGCACCAGGAGCCACCAGTGTGGCCGCGGCCCCTGACCCTGTAATCCCACATCGGGCACCCAGCCTAAGAAAACGACACGTTTGCTTCAAGGGCTCAGAGCACCAGGATTTAAAACAGCAACTAGGAACAACCTAAGATCCTAGGTGCTCCGAGATCAAGATGCCAGAAAATAAATCAAATCAAATCAAATCCCAGGCGCAAACGGCCCTCGTGTTCTTACCCCTCCTCTCGCTGTTGGAAATCGCGGCTCCATTTATGGGTGGACAGAAAGACAGCCTCCTAGCACCGGGCTTATAGCTTCCACGCCCTGTTCTTCTCCAAGCCCTCGCCCGGCGCTGCCCGGTCCTCAGGGCGCGACACGACGCTGCCCGCTGAGGCGTCAGAGCTTGGGGCTGCTTGTCACGTTTCCTCCACACCCAGCGTCCGGATGCTCTGTGATGTGTTAATGTTACTTCTCTAAGAATCACTGTTGCTTCTGGGGTTTTTTTGTTTCTGTTTTTGTTTTGAGACGCAGTCTCGCTCTGTCACCCAGGCTGGAGTGCAGTGGTGCAATCTCGGCTCACTGCAACCTCTACCTCCCGGGTTCACGCCATTCTCCTGCCTCAGCCTCCCGAGTAGCTGGGACTACAGGCGTCCGCCACCACGCCCGGCTAATTTTTTTGTGTTTTTCAGTAGAGACAGGGTTTCACCATGTTAGCCAGGATGGTCTCGAACTCCTGACCTAATGATCTGCCCGCCTCAGCCTCCTGAAGTGTTGGGATTACAGGCGTGAGTCACGGCGCCTGGCCCCAGAAATGCTGTTGCTTCTGTTTTATAAGAGGCACTGGGGCATGAAAAGCTATATCTCTGATGGGGCTGTGTGCCTGGCGGGTCCTGCCTGGCTCTGGCCCCCAGGTGCCCTCTGAACGGACAGTGCTGCCTGGGGACGCCCCTGGCCACACAGGCCAGCCCCCGCCACTGGGCCAGCAGAGCTGGGCTTTAGAGTTGACCTCCTGCCGACTGTGTGACCTCAAGCAACTCACGCTGACGCCCTGAGCCTCAGTTTACCCGTCTGGGATGCGATGACTGCCACTCCAGTGCTGCTGTGATGGGAAAAACAGAAGCCGTGCTGAAGACCCTCCCGGCCCCTGCAGACTTGCCACCAGCCTGGTCCCTGTTCCGCCAAGCCTGGGAGTGGGGCCGGGCAGGGGCAGGCGGGGCAGGGGCAGGGGCGGGGGGCGGGGGGCGGGGGCCAGGGTGGCAGGGGGTGGGGGGCAGTGCTCAGCGGGTGGGCTGGTTGGGGGCGTGGCTGTCCTGTGACGGTGCCGTGGCTCGGTGGGCTGGCCTCAAGGGGAGGCTGGAGGGTCTGGGTGACTCCTCTTCCTGGCTGAGAGAGACTGCTTCACCCACACTGCCCTTGGGGGCCAAGTGAGGTGTGGGGGCAAATGGCTTTCTTGTGAAACAGACTCCGAACACCCTGGGGTAGGCACCAAACCATGCTGAGGAATAAAGAGCTGAGAAGTGGGAGGGAGACAGTAAACTGAAGGAGAATAGGAAAGAGGAGGAAAAGGAGGTGAGCAGGGAGGTGAGCAGGGAGGTGAGCCACGAGGTGGGGGGTGAAACAGAGAGAGGAGGTGAGGGAGGAGGTGAGCCCCAGGGTGGGGTGAGAGAGGAGGAGACAGGGGAGGTGAGGGGGACAGGGGAGGTGAGGGGGACAGGGGAGGTGAGGGGGACAGGGGAGGTGAGGGGGACAGGGGAGGTGAGGGGGACAGGGGAGGTGAGGGGGACAGGGGAGGTGAGGGGGACAGGGGAGCCACGAGGCGGAGGGTGAAACAGAGAGGAGGAGATGGGGGAAGTAAGCCACAGGGTTGGGGGTGAGACAGAGAGGAGAGGGGGTGAGAGAGAAAGGAAGTAAAAGAGCAAGAGAAGGTGAGAGAGAGAGGAGGTGAGAGTCAGAGAGGGAAGTCCCCAGCCCCGTGCCCACTCCATGGCTGCCTGGTCTTTCCCCTCAGCCCACGCAGAGAGCAGGGGGAAGCTGGTCCTCCCACCCCAACGCCCGTCAGGACCACGCTCACATCACTGCAGCAGACGGGACTGCATACGTACAGCATGGTGCCAACCAGTGGGACATGGAGACACCATCTCTCTGACCCCCAAACAGAACCTGACGTGCGCAGGTGTCCTAAACCAGCAGGACTCCCCAGTAGGCCCTGCAGGTGCAAGATCGAGCTCCAGTTTGCGGCTGAGGAGACCCATTGACGTCCACGCTCATGGTGGCCCTGACCTGGGAGCTCAGGGGGTGAGGCCAGGCGGGGGAACTCCTGTGTCCTTGCTGAAGTTCTGCGTTGGGGGCTGGTGACCTGACTGCTTAGCCTCCTGCAGGAGGATCCAGCTGCCCGTCATCTCCCACCTGTGAGTTTCCAGACAGGAAGAGAGAAAGCCACAGCCCACCCCACCTGGGTCTATCCTTAGACATCATGACCCTTGGCTGTAATGACAAGAACCCAATGCATTCTGGCCCAAGAAAGCAAGAGAATGCATTGGTCTATGTACCTGTTGAGCTCAGGAGTGAGCAGTTTCAGGCATGGCTGGATCAGGGCCCTCGGCCCGTGTCTTCAGAGCTGTCTCCTGCCCTCATCTCCCTTTCACGGCGGCAGGAAAGCAGACTAACACCCTCGCTGCCCCAGACTCTTGGAGTGGCTGGATCAGGCACTGGGACCTCGTCTCCCTTTCACAGCAGCAGGACAGCAGACTGACACTCAGCCTCACACTCACTGCCCCAGACTCAGAGCTGCGAAGCTGCATCTCACTGGCTAAGTCTGGGCTCGTGCTGCCCCAGGTCAGTGACCATGGTTGGGGACAATGCTCTGCTTGGCCAGATCTGGACACAGCACCCAGGACCCCTAGGGTCACCAATGAGAAATGGCCCCCGGCCCTCCAGGCAGAAGAGAACACCACGCTCCTCCCTTCCCAGGCCTGCCTGAGGGGACTTCCCTGTCCTCACCCAACTGCAGCTCCCGCACTGTCCTGGCTGGGCGACCTGTGACCCCTGGCAACTGTAACCCCAGACATAGCTGGCGAGCACTTAGCTGGAGCACTGAGGCGTGGGGTGGGAGAGACCTGGGGCTCAAACCTCCCCTCTGAGTGACCTCGGCACACTCTTCCTCCTTGGGGTCTCACCCCCTGGCCATTGGGCGAGGATTCGGGTGAGCAGTGGGTGAGCTCTGAGGTCCCTCCCTGTCTGGACCACTGGAGAAGCCATTTTGGCCTGGGGCTGTTTTTCTGGACAGGAGAGAACAAAATACATCAGATAATCTTATCCTCGCCTCGCTGTGACCCAAGGTGCACCTCTGGGCTGTGGCACAGACTCCCCTCTGGTGGGATAGCATCCCCCTGCCCCTGCGTGGAAATGGCAGAAACCAGGCTTCCCCCAGCACCCGGGACGTCCAGTCCCGCGGGGTGCCAGACGTGGGTGGAGGGAAGGAGGGAGGTGGCAGCTCCGCCGCTGGCTGCTGTGCACCTTGGATGGGTTGCTTTCGTCTCTGAGCCCCGGTGGCCTAAAGGTGATAAGGCGCAATGCAGCCCACGTGGCTGCTAGTGAGGGCTGTTTACAGGAACACCGCAACAGGCTCAGCACAGACATGGTGCGTAGCCCAGGGCAGCTGGCACTCGTCCTGGCCTGGGGGAGAGGGCTGTGTGTGATGAGGGGTGCACAGACCCACTGCCTGGCATACAGCAGGTGCCCAGTGAACAGGAGCAATTCTGCCCCACCCTGGTGGGACAGGAGCCCGGTCAGTGCCCTGCTCTTCACAGCCTCGTCTGTTGGGCTGGACAGCAGGCAGCCCCCTGAGCCGCAGGTGCCCGGTGATCCCACCTAGCACAAGCCAGACCTTCCAAGCCCTCAGCCGCAGCCAGGACCACAGCGCACCCCTCATCCTCGAAATCCAAAATAATCCACACAGCAAACTGTGGTGTCCAGAATGATCCCCAGATCTGCTGACTGTAAACTTCTGGGTGAGATTACCAGAGAGGGCCCGTCACTCTGTCTCCCCACTCATCTCGCTATCTCTGTATTGCTGTTTCTGTTCTGGTCTCTCCCCCCGGTCTCTGTCTCCCTCTCTCTCCATCTCTCCCCATGTCTCTGTCTCTCTCCATCTCTCCATTTCTCTCTCTCTCGCTCGCTCACTCTCCCCCTTGCTTTGATAGTGTGATTTAAGACACTTCCATTCAACAGTATTTTAAGTTTTTGTAGCAACAGGATCTTGCTAAGTTGCCCAAGCTGGTCTCCAATTTCTGGCCTCAAGCTATCCTCCTGCCTCAGCCTCCCAAGGTGCTGGGATTACAGGGGTGAGCCACTGCGCCCGGCTGCATTCAACAGTATTTATTTTGCACGTACTGTGTACTCTGTGTCCACCCCGTTCTAGTCAGGGGACGCAGCAGGGACACAGTCCCACCCTCATGGGACTGGACATCTGGAAGGTGAGGATGGGTGACAAACACGTGAACCAGGGGCTTAACCTGCCTGTTGGACAGTCTGGCTATTTCAGCTGATGCGTTCAGCTCCAGAAAATAGAAACTCAGCCCAAACACAGTCAGGGATCTTACTGGGAAGCCCAGAGGCGGGATTCAGGAGAGGTCTGATCAAGGGTCCGGCTCCACATCTTGGTCCTCCTCTTGGGTTCCCTCATGGTGACAAGACGGCTGCCAGGAGCGGCTGGAGAGCCCTGGTTCTCGTCAGCAAGAAAGAGTGCGAACCACCCGTCTGCCTACCGGTAAGATCAATGAAGCTCTTTCTCAGAACGCAGTCCTTGGCCAGGGGGCTGAGATGCCCACTCCTGAACTGCCATCCGACCCATGGATCGCCTGTTGTGAAGAGCGCCACGACCTCGCCAGCACTGACCCCTCTGGTCAGTTCTCTTATCTGATAGGACATCACTGCAGCATTGCACACCTGCCCCCGATGTGCCGCCTTCTCCTGTTTCAGGACCCCCAGCCCTGTGTTCTGGAGTCAACCCCGGCTACTCCTTCCCGGGCTCCTCTTTTCTTTATTGTTTTATCTTGTGAGACAGGGTCTTGCTCTGTTGCCCAGGCTGCAATCACAGCTCACTGCAATTTCCACTTCCCAGGCGTAGGTGATGCTCCCACCTCAGCCCCACGAGTAGCTGGGACTACAGGTGCAAGCCACCACACCTGGCTAATTTTTGTATGTTCTGTAAAGTTAGGGTCTCACTGTGTTGCCCAGGCTGGTCTTGAATTCCTGGGCTCAAGTGTTCCTCCCGCCTCGGCCTCCCACAGTGGTGAGACGCCAGGCGTGACCCACCATGCCTGGCCCGGCTCCTCCTCTTCACCCTGGAGGGTCCAGAGCTCACTCTTCACCGTCTTCTCATGGGGGCAACACTGCCTCCGTCCTGACAACTGGACTCGGGTCCAGCTCTGCCCAACACCTCTGCATGGGTGTCTAAAGACAAGCTGATCTCATTATGGCCCAAACAGAGCCCCAAACCCACAGCGCCCCAGCTTCGTCCCCCAGGCAACAATGACACCACCTCCCAGCCACCCAGGCCAGCAAGGGGCACCCGGCCTGCACCTTCCCCCTCACCTGGTGCCTCTGGTCTGGGGGAACCCCTGTTGACTCAACCTCTGAGCCTCTCCCAAACCTAACCAGGTAGAACCTCCACCTGGCCCCACCTCTTCTCCAGGGATAACTGTGGCCTCCCTTCAGCCTTCTCCCTGGATCCCCTACGGTCCTAGAGTGAGCCTTAATTTTAAAACCTAAGCCAGCCGGCTGGGTGCGGTGGCTCACCCCTGTAATCCCAGTACTTTGGGAGGTCGAGGCGGGCAGATCACCTGAGGTTGGGAGTTCGAGACCAGCCTGATCAACATGGAGAAACCACGTCTCTACTAAAAATACAAAATTAGCCGGGCGTGGTGGTGCATGCCTGTAATCCCACCTACTTGGGAGGCTGAGGCAGAAGAATCGCTTGAACCCAGGAGGGGGAGGTTGCAGTGAGCCAAGATCGCGCCACTGCACTCCAGCCTGGGCAATGAGAGTGAAACTGTCTCAAAAAAAAAAAAAAAAAAAAACCCTAAGCCAGCCAGGTCACAGCTCTGCTCCGTGGATACCCCAAAAGCCCAAGGAAAAGGGAAATCCACCATAAGACGGTAAAAGGAACCCCTGGCAGGAGAGGTGAGGGGCTTGGCTCCTGAAGACACCGCCCTTGCCAAGTCTGGGGCCTTCCCCTGAGTTACAGAGCACTTCCCTGGCAGATCACAGGTTAAAAATAATTCTGTCCTCCCTGCCCGGGCTCTTGTTGGAGGAGCTGATGGGGGCAGAACCCAGACCCACCTTCCATTAGCAAACCTCAGGGGCTAGGTCTGGCCTGGGCCCAAGCCAGCCCCACCTGGTCCCTAGGGAGCTCCTAGGAGGCAACACCGCCGGCTCTTGCTTTTCAAAGCCATTGTGGTCTTCTGGCCCGTCGGCGAGGCCGTGTGTGAAACCCAGCAGGAGGGGTCTCCAGGAACCACAGGGTGTCACCCAGAGTGTCCAACAGAGACCCCAGAATTCCAGAGAGGCCGTGAGGTACCACGGATGAGGGTCACTCAGCCCTGACGGCCCGGGGTCCAGAGTCTCCTTCTAGCCTGTTCCTGGATGACAGCCACGCTTACCCTCAGTATCCCAGAAATGATAACATTTGCTGCCATGGTTCTCTATTGCTGCCTAATAAACCACCTCCAAATGCAGAGTCTCAACCCAACAGTGAAGACCTCATGACAGGCACCATGGCCCACGCCTGTGATCCCAGCACTTTGGGAGGCCGAGGCAGGAGATCATTTGAGCTCAGGAGGTTGAGTCCAGCTTGGGCAACACAGACCTCATTTCTACAAAAAATTACAAAGTTAGCCAGGCGTGGTGGTGCGTGCCTATAGTCTCAGCTACTTGGGAGGCTGAGGCGGGAAGATGGCTTGGGCCCAGGGGTTGAGGCTGCAGTGAGCCGTGATCGCACCGTTGTACTCCAGCCTGGGCAACAGAGCGAGACCCTGCCTCAAAAACCAAAAACAAAACAAATTCATGACTTCACGGTGTCTGTAGTTCAGGAATTCAGAAACGGCTTCCCCGGGATCCTGTGGACCAGGCCGTGGTTGTTAGGTGTCGGTTTCTCACCCTGCAGCTGCTTGAGTGTCCTCACAACATGGCGGCTGGCATCCCGGGGAGCAAGAGGCCCAAACAGCAAGGCCAAAGCCACCGTGTCTTCTCTGACCACTCCTGGGAAGCCCCACCCCAGCACAGGCCCTGTCAATGCAGGAAGGGCTATGGGAGGGCACAGACATGGGGAGGTAGGACCTCGGGCCCACCTGGAGGCTGGCAGCCACCCTTGACTTAATGCTGCAGTGAGGATGAAATGAGCCAATGCCAGTGCCTGGCACATGGGGGAGTTTTCTCACCACTGGGCACCCCCAGCTTCTCCTCGGGAGACTTGCAGGGGCCTAAACTCATCCATATTCACTTCCAAGAAGTGGGCTCCGTGAAGCCTTGCCGAGCCGGGGAAGCAGCGACGGAGGGTGCCTAGGTGTGATGGAGGGTGCCTAGGTGTGATGGAGGGGGCCTGGGTGTGGTGGAGGGGGACCTTGTTCAGGGGCCAGGGGGCACTCACCTTCATGGTGCTGGAAGCCCCCAGGGACAGTGAGCCTGGCTTTCACCCTCCTGAAGAGTCCCCCCCCCAAAAAAGACATTGGCCAACCCAGCTCCCAGGCTTTCACTCTCCTGGTCCCCGCCAAAAAAAGACATCGGCCCACCCGGCTCCCAGGTGGGAGAGGGACCTGATCCACCTCCGGGGCCAGCCTGCCAGGGACCTGGCCTTACCACGACTGCCCTCAGCGTCCTCAGCTGTGAAGTGGGGCTGATTTGCCTACACTCCAGGGAAATCAGGAATAGAGAGAGTGAGTTAATCCATGGAGAGGGCTGGGAACAGCGCTGGGCACAGGAAGCACCAGGAAATCGACTCCCCCACCAGGCTGTGGCCCTCACTCACACGCCCCCCTCCCTCCACGCCTGGCCGCCGGCCTTGGGTGCAGGGAACACACCCACCCCAGCTCCGTGGTTGTGGGCGGCCCGGCCAGGCCCTGCTTAGGTTCTGGGGTGCACTGCAGGGGTGCACAGCAGGAGTGCGCTGCGGTGGATCAGGGCCGTGGAGGGCCCAGCCTGGGGCTGACCTGACCAGAGCCCAGGGGAGCCGGGGTCCCTGGAGGAGGGCGCCCCTGGTCCAGGGGCTGCAGAGGAATCTGAGGCGGCTTCCAGGAGGAGGTGGCATTTGAATCCAGCCTTGAAAGACAGCAGCAGCTGTCCCAGGCCTGGAATTTCCTCTTCCCATGCAGCCAGGCCCCACCCCTCTTATCTGCCTCCTCGGGGAGCTGGATCCCAGGGACCTTCCCGAGAAGGGCAGCCCAGCCTGGCCCCACCCCACCCCAAGGCCGCAGGCTGTGTCACCCGCCTGGAATGCACTTTCCAGTCCTCCCCTCCCTCCCCCATGCCAGCCCTTCACTTCCTGACCCAGCCGGCCAGGCCAGCCCCCAGGCCTCAGAAAATCTGGGGGCCCCCCCGGGCCTGTCACCCCAGAAAGGTGGGGGGAAGGGGGCACCCCCTAGACAGGAGGAAGGAGCTCCTGAGAGTCTCACCTTACAACCTCCCCATGGGGACAGCAAGCCCTCAGTGTCCCCTCCTAGGCCCCCAAGGAAGCCAGACTTGCTGAGAGGAACACAACTCACACATCCCCCCAGGGCCCCCACTTCCTCACCAACCCAATGGGGGCTCTAGGGGCGTCAGCATCCTGCGGTTTCTTAAAGACGCTGGCGACCCTCCTTCACTCCGGTGGCTCCTCCAAGCCTCTCTACAGCCCAACTGGACAGATGGGCATGGCCCCAAGGTGTTTCGAGCCAGCCAGAGTCCAGAGCTGGGGTCCCCTCTCGGGCACAGTTGCCCGCCCTACCCTTTCCTTCCCCATCCCTCAGACTGGTAGGGTCCCAGGAGCCGGCCTGGAGGTCAGACCAGGAATGCCCAGAAGCCAGTGGAGTCAGCAGGGCTCTGAGCATTCCCCACACGGGACCCTGCCTGCCACATAGGACCCCGCCTGCCACACAGTCACCTCCCCAGGCCCTGAGCTCAGAGCAGTTGCCCTCTGTCGCCTGCACAGGGGGTCCTGTCTGCCTCCCCTGGACTTGGAAGGACCCTTCCAGCTGGCGGGGGGCTCCCGTTTGGGGACAAGTGCCTCAGCTACGCCGGTGGAGCCTTGGTGAGGAACCCCTGTGCCCCCACTCACTGCGGGCAGAGGCACCACCTCTGGGGGCCGGTGTGAAGCCAGACTCCTAGCCAGCCCTGCAGCCTGTCCCAGGGGCCAGTAGAACCGGGAGGGGGCCGGGTGTGTAACTGCCTCCTGAGGCCGGCGAGTAGATTCCTGAGGCTCAGGGCGGTGCCCTCCTCTACCTGCCCACACACTCCAAGGGAGCTTCAGTCCCCACCTGCCAGCTGGAACAGGGGCTCCCTGAGGGCCCGAGTCCCCAACGCTAACACAGGAGGCACCAGGGAGCGTCTGCGGAATTAAACCAACACTCTGTGTGCACGTCACACGTTTAGCGGACACAGGCCCAGGCTCCCTACACTGGGGTCCCCGCCCCTGCTCTCCGGCGTTCCGAGCCTAGACGTGGAGGTGAACAGACACGTGGCCTCCTGCGCCGGGGGTGGGGTGGGGTGGGGTGGGGTGGGGTGGGGTGGGGTGGGGTGGGTGGTGAGGGGGTGTGCAGGGCTGCCTGGATGCACTCGGCCTAACGGCCCGGGAAGAGCCTGGGGCCTGAGAATTCCAGCCACCACCACCCCAGGGGTGCCGCCCACTGCTCACAGGGCCACCCACACCTCTAGCCACCTCATCGGGCCTCCAGGCGGCTGCCCTGTGTGGTGTGGGGGGACTCCCAGAGGGAGTGAGCCCGCCCTCCTAGGAGAAGCCTGGCCAGGTTCCAGTGGGGTGGTGGCCCGGCCCATAAACAGGAGGGGTTTATGGCCCAGTGACAGGCAAAACTGGTGGGGCAAGCCCAGGCTAGATCCCAACCCTGAGCCAAGGACAAGAGGATTCCAGAGTGGGAGCAGGAAGGCAGGGGTCCGTGGAACCAGCCTGCTCCCCTGCTCCCTACGGGCCTCCTCCACCCTATCTCAGGGACCCAGGCCCCAGTCCCAGAGCACCCAGGGGCCACCCCCACCCCGTCCCTGGCCAAGCCTCACCCCCTCCAGAGCGGCCTGTCACCACCTCGGGGTGGGAGCAGCCTCTCTGCTCTCCATCAATGCGGAGAGTTGATACCAGGGTTGTCTACCTTCATGAAAGTTACTTGTTGTGATTTCTTCGGCCTACAGAAAAATATAAACGTGGGCTCCTAGGAGCACCAGCACATGACCAGGACCTCGTCCTTCTAAAGCGTGTAAAGTTTGCTTTACTGTATTGACAGCAACAATAATCAGACCAAAAGCAAGATGACAAGACTCCTTCTCACTCGGGTAGTTCGGAGGAGCAAAGTGTGAGAGGCCCAGCGGGGCTGCAGCCTCAGCTCTGATACCCCAGCCAGACCCGCTGTCTCCCAGACTCAGTTTCCCCACCCCGCCTAAGGTCTCCGGGGCTCCTCCGCGCAGCGATTCCATTCCTTCTGACCCAGGCTGCCTCTGCAAGAGTCCCGTCTGGGTTTAGAGTTGGTCGTACATTCATTCATCCAACATCTGAGTGTTCCCTGTGTGCATGGCGCACAGTGTGGCCAGACACACACTCTGGTGTAGAGGAACCAGCCGGCCTGTGCCCGTATCATGAACGCCGTAGCCTGTCCCTGGGACTAGACAGCCAATCAGGCGTTGTGCGCAGCATAACTAGCTTGATGCCTGCTGACCCCCAGCCAGAGCTCACCTGGGTCAAGAGTTCCTGGACCCTGGAAGGTGTGGTGGTTTGAAAACAGGACCACCAGTCCCTTGATCTCTCACATCAGCAAGTGGGGGTCTGTGTCCCCCTGGATCCAGGCAGGCTGTCTCATCATCAACCACAGACTGTGCTGGAAACAATGCTCTGTGGCCTCTGAGACTCGGTCGCAAATGGCCACGCAGCTCACACCCTGCCTGCTGGAACAGGGGCTCCCTGAGGGCCCGAGTCCCCAACGCTAACAGCTGGCTGGAACCAGCTGGCTTTTGGAGCCCTCAGACGTCTCGAGGGAAATCTAGCTCCACTAGAGCCACCATGCTGGGAGGAAGCCCAAGCCACACAGGATGTAGGCGCCGCCCCACCCAACCCCAGGGAGCCCGCTGAGCCCCCCACCCCCACCTGCAGGGAGCTTGCTGAGCCCCCTCCCCCACTCCCAGGGAGCCCGCTGAGCCCCCCACCCCCACCCCACCCACAGGAAGCCCACTGAGCGCCCCCACCCACCCCGACACCCAGGGAGCCCGCTGAGCCCCCTACCCCACCCCCAGGGAGTCTGCTGAGCCCAGACCCCAAGCATCACGGAGCACACAAGCGCCACTCACCGGGCCCTGTCTGAGGTCTGCAGGGCAGCATCCGTAGTGAACATGAGGCGTCTGTTTCGTGCCACCACGTTTTGGAGTGTGATGCACACAGCAATCACCCGACAGATCGAGGAAGGGCCACAGGACAGGCTGCGTCCATGGAGACGTTTGCCGCTTTTCCAAAACTGGGGGCCGCTGAGAGGCACCTGGGCGTCCCTCGTCAGGGAGTTCTCGGGGCCAGCCACAGGTGGGGAGACGCTTGGCTTAGGTAATAGGAGGATAGGAGAGGAGGCCTCACTTCCAGCTGCTGTGCTCAGGGTGGGGCACGCAGAGGCCTTGAAGAGTAGGAGCAGGCAGTATTCCAGGATGACTGCAGGCCCACCGGGCCCACTGGGAGCTGAAGGACATGGCGCACACAGCAGAAGCTCCGGGAGGCACATGCCGGACGTGGGGAGGGCCCAGTTCCCATCACTGTTGGGTGTGACAGAGACGTCATACGCGACAGCAGCTCCACAGCCGTGAATGTCCTCTGCACCAGACCCCATTCAACCAGCTCCACCTACACAGTCTCGCGTCAGCTCACCCCCAACCCCACGCAACCAGCTTCACCTGCGCAGTCTCGCGTCAGCTCACTTCCAACCCCCTGCAACCAGCTTCACCTGCGCAGTCTCGCGTCAGCTCACCTCCAACCCCACGCAACCAGCTTCACCTGCGCAGTCTCGCTTCACCCTCACCTCCAACCCCCTGCAACCAGCTTCACCTGCGCAGTCTCGCGTCACGCTCACCTCCAACCCCCTGCAACCAGCTTCACCTGCGCAGTCTCGCGTCAGCTCACCTCCAACCCCCTGCAACCAGCTTCACCTGCGCAGTCTTGCTTCACTCTCACCTCCAACCCCACGGGGCAAACATTATGACCCCACTTTAGAGATGAGCAGTGTCAGAGGAGTTAAGGAACGTGCCTGGGGCCACACAGCAAGGAAGAGCTGGGACTAGGGTTTGAGGCACGTTAGGTGACCGTGTAATTCTCTGCTTTACCCAGCACAGCGCACGCCAGCCAGCCCGGGCAGGGCCGCAGCATCCCAGGCCGGGGATCGCCAGGCTCCTTTTCAAGTGCATTTCTGAGATACAACAGTCAATTTCCCCAACTGCGCAAGTGAAAACAATGTTTGGCTAAGGAGGCTGGTGAGGGGCTGACAGTCTTAATTCTAAGGGACGTCTCCAGCGGTGACACGGGGCTCCGTCCCCAAGCAGACCCCCTGCTGGGATCAGTGGAACCCGACCCAGTGACCTTCTGCCTGGCTGAAGAAAGCCCTATGGGTGGATTATACAACGCGCTGCGTGCCTGCAAGATCTGACTGTAAAGCTGTTCCCATGAGCAGCCTCTGAGAGCCTTCGTGGCCCCCAAGCAGGCCAGGGGCAGGCCCAGACTGAGGGGTGAGGGGAAGGCCTCCCTGCACTTGGTGGAGAAGTTAGAACCAGACGAGAGGAACCCTCGAGGAAGGGAAATCCTTTGACCAACTGGAGGTGGAGCTCGGGTAGGAAAGTTAGTCACCAGCCGCCTAATTTGGTCACATTCCAGGAGGCAAGAGCGGCCCAAGAGGGGAGAGAGAGGTCAGCGTGGCTGGTAGCTCTGGAAGGGGCAAGGATGAGCTGGACTCTGACGAGGCCAGGGCAGGCCCACAGCCCATCTGGACCGGGGAGTCTCCTAGGCCAGAGCCCTTGGGGCCGAATGGAGCTCCGAAGGGTGGGGCCCAGGATCCCGGAGCCACCCCTGCCGAGGGCCTCCTGGCCCGACCTCCAGACATGAAATCACCCCCAAGTCCCAGGCCCCATATGGCAGGGCCTGCCTGTCTCCCCAGCGTGGCAGCCGGGGGGCCCGGGAGGAAACTGCCTGGCCTCAAAGTGAGTCACCCCCGCCGGCTGATTCAGCCACCCTGAGCCAGGGGAGGTGAGGCCGGGACTGTCCGTGGTCTGGAGGGGCCTCGGCCAAGCCCAGTCCCCAGAGGCCAGCTCACCCCAGCAGGGCGCGTGGGCCGGTGCCACTGTTCAGCCTGGGACCCCTGCCGAGCCTCTTACGGCCAGTAATTAGCTCATTCCACCAACAGCCTGGATGGGTCGTGACACCCATCTTACAGACGGGAAAGCTGAGGCCCTGAGAGGTCCAGGCTTGGGGTCCATATCGGGCAGGGCTGGGCAGCCCCAGGCAAAGCCCCTGCATCTAGAATAGTGACAGGAGCCTACAGTCACCTGCTGGCTTCTGGACCCAACAGAAAGTCCACCCTGCTTGGAATCCTTTGGCTAGAATTCCAGCCTCTGGAAAACTGTCTTTCTGGGGAAAGCTAGGCCACCTCCCAACTGCCAGGAATGTGTGAAAGGGGCTCAGACTGTAAAAGGAATCGGAATGAGTGAACAAATGAAGGAATGAACTAATGAATGAAGAAATGAACGAATGGCTAAAGGAATGAATGGACAAACATGAATGAATGAATCAACAGATAAACAAATGAGCCAGTGCTTTGTCAGGACAGCAGGTGTATGAGTCCCCACTGGTCTGCCTCCTGCCCCAGGGGAAGCGGTTTCCCTGCCCCCATGGCCAGCAAGGGGCAGAGGCCAGCGAGGTTGTCCATCCTGGATGTTCTCAGTGGTTCCAGGCCGAGTCCTGGGGACCCACCCGAGGGCCCAGTGTCTGCTGTGTCTGTCAGAGACTTGGCTGGTGGCACCAGACAGGCAGGTGGGGCCCAGGCTGGCCGAGGAGCAGCGTTTCCAGTTACACCTGCCTTCTGGGTGGCCCTAGGCCAACCTCTGCACGCTGGAACCTCTGTTTCCTCATCTGTTCCTTGCACGGGACCTTTTGCTATTTAGCAGCCTCCCTTCAGGCCCACAGGATGCTGGGAGTCAGGCTGTGCAGGGCAGGCAAGGGGTCCGAGGCTTCCGGGCGGCCTCCCCCAGGCAGGGAAGCCTCTGACTCTCTCTGGGGCTGAGCCTGCCTAAGGTCACTCGTTTCTCCCCACACCACAGCCCCCAGACCCAGCCCTTGCCTGGGCCCCACCTGAGCTCACCCCAGGTAAGACTTCCTGGGTAAGGTAAGGTTCCCACTTCGTTCTCTTCCCGACACACTGGAGGGGGGATGTGCATTCCTAGGCTATATCAGAGCAGAGAGGGCGAGGCACAGAGAGGCCAAGGGGTTTGCCCAAGCTCACACAGCAAGGGCAGAGGGAAACTTGGCGGGGCCTGCAGGGCTTCTGTCTGGGTGGTGTTGGGGAACAGGGGCTGGAAAGGGGCCTCCACGGGGCTTCAGGACAGAGAAGGGGGTGCCCCCACTAGAACGTTAGCACCAAGACAGCTGTTTTCTGCTATATCTCTAGGGCTGAGTTCAGCGCCAGGCGCACATCAGGAGTTCTGTAAACACTGCCTGGCCACCTTGGAGCAGGCAATGATTTTTTATTTTTATTTATTTACTTTTCTGAGACAGGATTTCACTCTGTCACCCGGGAGTGCGGTGACATGATCATAGCTCACCACAGCCTCCACCACCTGGACTCCAGCAATCCTCCTGCCTAAGCCTCCTGAGTAGCTGAGACTACAGGTATGCACCACCACGCCTGGCTATTTTAAACAATTTTTTGGGGGGGGGCATAGGGTCTCACTATGTTGCCCAGGCTCGAACTCCTGGCCTCATGCAGTCTTCCCACCTCCGCCTCCTAAAGTGCTGGGATTACAGGCATGAGCCACCTCGCCTTGCAATTTTTAAAATAGGACGTTGAACCAAAAAAAAGGTGGATAAATTGGACTCTATAAAAACTAAAGACTTTTGCTATTTAGAAGACATCATTTAAGAACATGAAAAGGCCAGCTGCAGGCTGGGAGAAAGTATTTGCAGTGTGTGCGTCTGACGAAGGAGCTATGTCTAGAATACACAAAGACCTCCTCCAGCCCAGTGATAAGAAGACAGCCCAATTTCTGTAAATGGGCAGATTTTGAGCAGACATTTCACGAAAGAAGATCTGCAGTCAATACAGACATGAAGAGATGCTTCACGTCGTCCGTCATCAGGAAATGCAATTACAACCACGGCGAGATACAACTACACCCATCAGAACTGCCAAAATTAGAAAGCCTGATTACATCAAGTGCTGGTGAGGATGCGGGGCACCTGCGACGCCCCCACACTGCTGGCGGGAAGGCAACGTGATGGGGCCACTTTGGAGAAGGGTTCGGCAATTTCTCGTAAGTGAAACACACACTTACTGTGCGATCCAGCCCTTCCATGCCTCAGTATTGACCCAAGACAAGTGAAAACATATGTCCTGGCTGGGCGCAGTGGCTCATGCCTGTAATTCCAGCACTTTGAGAGGCCGAGGGGGGAGGATCACTTGAGCCCAGGAGGTTGAGACCAGCCTGGGCAACATGGTTAGACTCTGTCTCTACAAATGATCATTAAAAAAAAAAATTAAGCTGGGCATGGTGGCACATGCCTGTGGTCCCAGCTACTCAGGAGGCCGAGGTGGGAGGATCGCTTGAGGCCAGAAGTTTGAGACCAGCCTGGGCAACATAGTGAGACCCTGACTCTACAAAAAATTTAAAAATTAGCTGGGCATGGTGGTGACTGCCTGTAGTCCCAGCTGCTTGAGAGGCTGAGGTAGGAGGATCACTTGAGCCCAGGCAGTCAAGGTTGCAGTGAGCTGTGATCACACCAGTGCATTCCAGCCTGGGTGGCAAATGGAGACCCTGTCTCATAAAAAACCACCCCAAAATACAGAGAGATGGGTGCACCCTTCACCCAGTTTCCCCCAGTGGTTTAACATCTTGCTAAGCTACCCCAGCATATCACAGCCAGATCTCAACATGGATGCCCGAGCCACAGAACAGCTACGGCTGCCTTTTTATTTTTATTTTTTGACAAAGTCTCGCTGTCGCCCAGGCTGGAGTGCAGTGGCGGGATCTTGGCTCACTGCAACCTCCGCCTCCGGAGTTCAACCGATTCCCCTACCTCAGCCTCCCAAGTAGCTGGGACTACAGGCATGCACCACCACGCCTGGCTAGTTTTGTATTTAGTAGAGATGAGGTTTCGCCATGTTGGCCAGGCTGGTCTCCAACTCCTGACCTCAGGTGATCTGCCCGCCTCTCCCAAAGCCCTGGGATTACAGGTGCTCACCACCACCCCCAGCTAATTTTTGTACTTTTTAGTAGAGACAGGGTTTCACCATGTTGCCCAGGCTGGTCTCAAACTCCTGACCTCAGGTGATCCGCCCACCTCAGCCTCCCAAAGTGCTGAGATGACAGGCGTGAGCCACCGCGCCCGGCCCCAGCTGCCTTTTTATAGCCACACTGCCTCCTCCTCAACTGCTGGCCCTGATTTTGGCATCCGCAGAATGTCGTGTAAACGGAATTGCAGAGTGCACGGCTTCTTTCCCTCAGCATCGTTCCTGACAATTCCATCCTGGTTGCTGGGCACACTGCTAGTTCCTTTTCGGTGCCGAGTAGCATTTCGGAGCATGGATGTACCACGGTTTGTTCCCCCCGCTGAAGGATGCCACGGTTGGTTCCAGCTTGAGCCTCTCTGAGTCAAGCTGCTGTGTTCATGAGTGTGCGGGTCTGTGTCTTCACTCTCTGGGATAAATGCCCAAGAATGCCATGTGATGTGTTGTATGGTAATTGCATGCTTAGTTTGGATTTTTGTGTTGTTAAGAAACTACGAACTATTTTCCAGAGTGACTGCCCCATCTTATGTTCCCAGAAGCAATGTCTGAGTGATCCTGTTTCTCTACAGGACAGAGTGCTGCTGTGTGTGGTTTTTTTTTGTTTTTTTTTGTTTTCTTTTTAAGGCAGGATCTCACTCTGTCACCCAGGCTGGAGTGCAGTGGCATGATCTCAGCTCACTGCAACCTCCGCCTCCTGGGTTCAAGCGATTCTCCCTGCCTCAGCCTCCCAAGTACCTGGGATTACAGGCGCCTGCCACCACACCTGGCTAATTTTTTTTGTATTTTTAGTAGAGACAGGGTTTCACCATATTGGCCAGGCTGGTTTCGATCTCCTGACCTTGTAATCCGCCTGTCTCGGCCTCCCAAAGTGCTGGGATTTCAGGCATGGGCCACCGTGCCCGGCCTGCTGTTTCTCATTCTAGCCATTCTGATAATAGGTGTGTGGGGGTGTCTTACCGTGGCTTTAATTTGCATTTTCCTACTGGCTGGTGGTCTGACATCTTTCCCTGTGTTCACTGCCGTCCGCATGTCCTCGTGGGGAAGTGCCTCTTCATAACCTAGTTGGATTGTTTGCATTTTATGGTTGAGTTTTGAGAGGTTTTTTTTTTTTTTTTGAGACGGAGTCTCACTCTGTCACCAAGAAGGGAGTGCAGTGGCACCGTGTCGGCTCACTGCAACCTCCTTCTCCTGGGTTCAAGCAATTCTCCTGCCTCAGCCTCCCGAGTAGCTGGGATTACAGGCACCCACCAAAACATGCCCGGCTAGTTTTTATGTTTTTAGTAGAGATGGGGTTTCCCCATGTTGGCCAGGCTGGTCTCGAACTCCCAACCTCAGGTGATCCACCTGCCTCGGCCTTCCAAAGTGCTGGGATTACAGGCGTGAGCCGCCGCGCCCGGCCGAGTTCTGAGAGTTCTTTAACGATTCTATGTATTGGTCTTCTCTGCGATACACGTGGTTTGAAAATGTTTTCTCCCAGTCCCTGGTTCGTATTTTCATCTTCTTCACGAGGTCTGTTGCAGGCACCAGTTTTTAATTTTGATGAATTCCAATTTATCAAATCTCCCTTTCATGGACCGGTGTCAAGTCTAAGAGCAATTTCCCTATAGTTTCATATTTAAGTCTGTGATCCATTTTGAGTTAATTTTTGCATAAGGTGTGAGACTTGGGTCAAAGTTCCTTTGTGTTTGGCCTATGGATGTCAGAGCCTGAATCTCCCAAAGTTTCTCTCCTGCAACCCTTATTCACTGTTGTTTATTTATTGAAATATTTCCTGCAGGCCTACCCAGTGCCCAGCCTGCAAGAGATCCCGGGGGCTTGAGGTGCATGAGTGAGCTGTGCCTGCCCTTGGACCCCAAGTTTACCATCCCATCCAGAGGTTGAGGGCACCCTGGTCCTGGATACACCCCAACCCCTCCCGGGGCAGCCTTGGGATCTGGGTGTCCACGTCAGGGCCCACGAAAGAGCCACAGGGAACAGAGCCACCCGGGACCACGGTGAGACATGGAACCTCACAGTACAGAGACAGGGAGCTGGGCCCCGTCTACTTAGCCACCCTGGGATACGGCGTGGGCAGCACAGACCCTCCTGTATACTGACAACGCTCATATGAGAACGTCTGGATACACAGGGCTACACACGGACCCTCCTGTATACTGACAACGCTCAAATGAAAACGTCTGGATACACAGGGCTACACACAGACCCTCCTGTATACTGAAAACGCTCAAATGAGAACGTCTGGATACACAGGGCTACAGAGAGTGGACGGGTGGCTCCTTGGGCTGGAAGCAGGAGCTGTTGTTTAACAGGTGCAGAGTTTCCGTTTAGGAAGATGAAAGGGCTGGACATGGACAGTGGTGATGGCTGCACCGCGGTGTGGATAACGCCACTGCACTGCACACGTAAAAGTGGTTAAAATGGTAAGTTTTGTGTTATGTGTATTTTACCACCATAAAAAAAAGAAAAACCCTTATCTACAAAAGACTTCAGACCAAGGCCTCCCGAGCCGGGAAGAGGTACTTCATTGCACGTTTAATGCTTCATGCAGTATTCAGAGCAGAGATAAGGGGGGGGATGGCTCACAGGTCCACAGGGACGTCACAGGCACAGGCGGGACACGGCGACGTGGCCGGGGCTGGGTGGGGAGGGGGACCCCACGCATCGTAACCGCCAGCAGGGGAGGGGCTGCAACGAGCAGCCTCGGACCAAGGACAGCCTCCCCGGGACGCACGGGACAGGAGCAACATCAGGTGAACTGCAATGACCTCGCTTGTCTTTCGGGGGAACCCAGGAATCCCCTGGGAAGCTTCTCTGCACTGGCCTCACCCTTTCGGGCCTGGCTGGCTCACGTCATCACTGCGGGATCCAAGACACATTTAAGGGACAAGTCGGTTGAGCGGGTCGGGGCGTGTGGGGCCCGCGGCTGGCTTGACTTCTGCTTTCCCCCAACATCAACTTGCCCTGGGTGGACTTTCTAAGAAAGGTGAGGACGGCCTGCTGGAGTCCCGCCAGCCCCTCCCAAAGGAACTTCGAGCCCGGCCCCCCCTACTGGGGTCTACCTGCGGCCGCGGCCCTGGCTCCCAAGGCAGGAGCCCCGTGTGTCTTGGCGCCCGGCTTCCTCTCCAATTAGGGGCAAGATCAATCTCACAGCTCAGAGACTCTCCCACTCCGGCATCCGCAGCAGGGCCCCCGGGGGAGGTGGGGGTGCGGCGGGGTGCAGTGGCGCGGGCAGGGGTACACATTTGCGGGAGGGGCCTTGACTTCTTCGGCCTCAACTCCCTGCTCTCAGCCTCATCTCCCCTGGGGGGCAGCCCCTTTTGACACACTTGCCCACACTCAGACCTCAATCTGGGGGACCTGACCTCACAGGGTCACCAGGCCCCAGGGGCAACGTCCTGGCCTGGTTCTGGGGAGGACCGATCCTCAAGCATCTCCAGGAGACTGGCAGGGGTGGGGTGGGCCCCCCAGGAGAAGCCCACAGAGGCAGCCGGGGAGGCGTGTGGGGAGGAAGCTGGCCTGTCCCTTCCTTGATCTTGGGATGCATTTTGTCCGCTTGTCCTTTGATTTGGAAATGCACAAGGTGATCATTTATTCCAAAAAGTGAGTCCGGGGAAGGGGCAGTCCTCACGCTGCCGGGACCCAGCCCCACCCGGCCCACACCTCACACAGCGGCTCCCGGGCCCCCGACACAGACGAGCAGGGCACGGCCACCACACTGGGGAGCTGGGGCTGCAGGGCGGGAGCTGTGCTCAGACGGTGAGGGAGATGAAGCTGTTGTAACGCTGAATGTTCCTCTTGAGGATCTCAGAGCAGGGCCCCAGCACACGCTCGAAGCGGGGCCGGTCCAGCTTCACACACTTGAGGGGCCCCCGGGCCACGACAGTGGCCGCCCGGGGCCGGTTCAGCAGCAGTGCAATCTCCCCTGGGGGTTGAAGAGAGAGGTCAGGGCTGGGCCTGGGGGTCCTGAGGCTGCAGCAGGGAAAGATTATGTCCAGGACCCTGGAAGCGGCTCCCTTTTAAGGATAGGATGTGCCAGGCACACGTGAATTTCAAACAAACTTGTAGCATAAGTATAGCCCGAGAACTATTTGGGATATACTTATGCTAATGAATTGTTTATTATCTGAAATTCACGTTCAGCTAGCCATTGTCCTGCACTTTTTTGGGCAATCCTGCAGGAATGCCCAGGTGTGCCCAGGCCTCCCTTAGGACCCAGACCCCCAGCTGCAGGAATGCCCAGGTGTGCCCAGGCCTCCCTCAGGACCCAGACCCCCAGCTGCAGGAATGCCCAGGTGTGCCCAGGCCTCCCTCAGGACCCAGACCCCCAGCTGCAGGAATGCCCAGGTGCACCCAGGTAGGCCTGGGCCTCCCTCAAGCCCACCCACCCCCAGCTGCAGGAATGCTGGTGGCTGATGGCTACACTGTGCCCCCTCATCCCAGAAGCAGGAGGCTGCCTCCCCCAAGGTCATGCCCTCTGGGGGACCCCACGTCCAGGGCTCGTTGCTCCTGGGGACCCAGACCTGGCCCTGGGACTTCAATTTGGGGGAACAGGACTGAGCCTTCTGTTGCAGCCACACTGGGGCTCAGCCAAGCCCCACTACAAGGCCCCAGGGAAGCCCCCCAGCAGCTCCTCACCTCCAGGCCCCTCCCGAGACCCCAAATGAGATGGCCACAGCCGTGCGAGGGAGGGGACGCCCACTGGACTCACCGAAGTAGTCAGAGGGTCCCAGGCGCCCCACCTCCACGTACTCCTCATTGGGGGACCGGCGCTGCAGCACGGACGCGGTGCCCTGTGGGTGGAGGTGGACAGACGTGAGTGCCAGCCAGGCGGGTGCAGGGTGGGACACACGTGAGGGGTCACCCCACAGGGGGTCACCACCCAAACCCCCACCTCCCACCCAGGTCCTTCTCCCAGAGCCACTGCCGACACCACGTCACCACCCAAACCCCCACCTCCCACCCAGGTCCTTCTCCTGGAGCCACTGCCACCACCACATCACCACCCAAACCCCCATGTCCTGCCCAGGTCCTTCTCCAGAGCCACTGCCACCACCATGTCACCACCCAAACCCCCACCTCCCGCCCGGGTCCTTCCCTCGGAGCCACTGCCATCACCATGTCACCACCCAAACCCCCACCTCCCACCCAGGTCCTTCTCCCAGAGCCACTGCCACCACCATGTAACCACCCAAACCCCCACCTCCCGCCCAGGTCCTTCTCCAGAGCCACTGCCACCACCACGTCACCACCCAAACCCCCACCTCCCGCCCGGGTCCTTCCCTCGGCGCCACTGCCATCACCATGTCACCACCCAAACCCCCACCTCCCACCCAGGTCCTTCTCCAGAGCTACTGCCACCACCACGTCACCACCCAAACCCCCACCTCCCACCCAGGTCCTTCTCCAGAGCCACTGCCACCACCACGTCACCACCCAAACCCCCACCTCCCACCCAGGTCCTTCTCCAGAGCCACTGCCACCACCACGTCACCACCCAAACCCCCACCTCCCGCCCAGGTCCTTCTCCAGAGCTACTGCCACCACCACGTCACCACCCAAACCCCCACCTCCCACCCAGGTCCTTCTCCAGAGCTACTGCCATCACCACGTCACCACCCAAACCCCCACCTCCCGCCCGGGTCCTTCCCGCAGAGCCACTGCCACCACCACGTCACCACCCAAACCCCCACCTCCCGCCCGGGTCCTTCTCCAGAGCCACTGCCACCACCACGTCACCACCCAAACCCCCACCTCCCACCCAGGTCCTTCCCGCAGAGCCACTGCCATCACCACGTCACCACCCAAACCCCCACCTCCCACCCAGGTCCTTCTCCAGAGCCACTGCCACCACCACATCCAATGCTGCTGCTTCTCCCGTTCCCGGCACCTGTGACCAGGGCATCTGAGCACCGCGGGACCTGCCCAGAGACCACCGTCCGGCCTGGCCCAGCTCCCATTTTTGTTCAGACACACAGCTCCTCGAAATGGAACTCACTGGCCCCCCGCACCTTTGCCGAGGCGAGCGGAGGAGCCGGGAGGGGACGCGCTGGGACCTTCCCTGGGGGTCGGTATCTTTGTCACAGGGCTGCCGGTCTCCAAGCTGACCTTGGACCAACTCTCAAGGACTGGGAGCTCATCCAGCCATCCCGGCCTCCCCGGGGAAAGGGGAGGGGGGCGCTGTCTCAGGGTCACATGCCTACTAAGCTCCCTCCTGACCCCCGACACGGGGAAGTGGGGAGGGGTCTGCGGGTTGCCCAGATCAATGATTAACACAGAGGCCGTGGGCAGCATATCACAGGGCACCGCCGCAGCACGTGCTACGCACAGATGCAGCCTGCGGACGGCGGGGCTGGGGTAGCTGAATGTCCCCTGGACTCTGGTCCCTCCAGGGCCCCAGGTGTGGAAACCGCGGCCTGGCACAGGGAAAGCGTGGGCTGTGTGGCCAGACGGGGCTGCCGTGTCACTGTCCCCCCTGAGACTCCGCCTGCCGGGAACCTAGGAATGTCCCGCTGACACTAGAGCCGCTGGGAAGACACACTAGAGAAGCTTCCTCTGAACAGCCGGGGAAACGGTCTGTCCTCAACACCAAACACCCTCAGCAGGTGTTGATGAATGTAGCTCTGTCGCCGGCCCTGCACGCCGCCGGCCTCAGACACTCCCCGAATTCCACTCTGAGCAGCTCTCTCTGCACCACGCTCCGACCGGTCCCTAGTCCCCGGAGGCAGGGCCCCGCGTCTGCCGCAGAAGTGCAGCACCTGCGTGAGGAATGTCACCATCCCATTTTACAGCCGGGGAAGCTGAGGCCCAGGAAGGTGGCAGCACCTGCAGCCTGGCCCTCCAGGGTCCGGAGACGGCACCATCCGGGTACCCAGGGATCACGTCCCCACAGCCCCAGCCGGCCTGGCAGACGGCGGCCCTCTGAGAGCAGCTGCTCTTGGAGAACAAACACTTCATTTCAAGGTGGGCTCGGTTCACCCTGGCTCACCCAGACCCAGCCTCAACAAATGCCAGCCAGGCTGTACCTGGGTTAATGAGTAACTCCCCACCTCATCAGTCTGGGAGAGATGTGGGTCAGGAGACCCTGCTGGTGCCCGCCACGCCTAGAATCTCCAGGCACCAACTGGCAGCCCCTGTGACAGCCAGACCGCTGCCCTGGCCCCTGATCCGGCCGTGGGGCCACTCGGCTCCCAGGCCTCTGCCGTGTTTATGAATCCAGCTGATGGATGAGCAGGACGTGTAAACAACAGACCGGGCGGCTGAGTGCCGCCACTGTGGGCAGGGGGAGACAGGGAGCGTGCCCTCAGCCGGGTGCCCACAGACTCAGACCCCGGGCGCTGGAGAGAGGGAAGACTCCGTGGGCCCCCACCCACAGGAACAGCTCCCAGCTCTCCTCCCAGTCCTGGCACTGGCTCAGGCCAGACCCGGGCACAGCTCTGGGCTCTGAGGCCCATGTGGGGGCAGATGGCGGAGGGTGAAACTCCTGGGCTCTGAAGCCACCGGCCCCAGCCTTCCCATAGGTGAGAACTCTGCTTCCTGGTCTTCAAAGCTGTGGCCACTCTGAGAATTCGGTGCGAGAAAATTTGGTTAGCTGGGGTCTGGAGCAGGCCAAGCCCCCGCACAGGAGAGCCGCTGTGAGCGGCGTTATTTGTCTGGACAGCCCATCACGCTGACCTTGCGGACAGACGTCATCGATGCTCCCTTTGTGGCCATTTTTAACACTTTCTGTTTCACAGCTGGGATTATTTTCCTCTCTCAGAATCCAGGCGATGAACCTGACGGCCTCTGGTTCACAGGATTACTTGGTGAAACCTGGGTGTGGAGCAATGTTCAGGTGCTTTTGACCCCAAATAGCAGAAAACCCAAATTGAGGCTGGTAAGGTCTAATAAAGGCCACGGATCCCACAGAGCCAGAAGACAGGGGAGGCCACGGATCCCACAGAGCCGGAAGACAGGGGAGGCCACGGATCCCACAGAGCCAGAAGACAGGGGAGGCCACAGATCCCACAGAGCCAGAAGACAGGGGAGGCCACGGATCCCACAGAGCCGGAAGACAGGGGAGGCCACGGATCCCACAGAGCCGGAAGACAGGGGAGGCCACGGATCCCACAGAGCCGGAAGACAGGGGAGACCACGGATCCTGCAGAGCCGGAAGACAGGGGAGGCCACGGATCCCACAGAGCCGGAAGATAGGGGAGGGCTCCCAGGCCCATTTCATGGCTCGGAGGTGGCAGGGACCCAGCCTTGCTCTTGCTTCCTGCTCTGGGACCTCGGGGAGGTGCAAGGTCCTCAATCAGGTCCCTCATGGGGGCACAGAGGCTGCCGTGGCTCCGGGAGTCACCACAGGCCACCCCTACACCATCAGCAGAAAGACAGAACCTACCTCTTTCTCCTGCACTTCTCCCCTCAGCAGTGAGAAACCCTTCCAGAAACTCCTGGAAACATCCCCTCACTCCTCATTGGCCAGAGAGGGTCTCACGCTTGCCCTAAACCAGTTGCTGGGGAATATGACCCATGGGACTGGACGTGCCCCGCTCTGGGGAGGGGCTGAGGATTGGGATTCTGCCGGCAAGGAAGCGGCAGGGATGGGTCCGGGGAGCCCCCACGGGGCTGCTGTGCCGACTGCTCCCGGACACACCACACTTTGTCACTAGTCACGCTGTCTGGATGCAAGAGCACACTGGCCGTGCTCGGTGGTCTCTGGAATCCGGTTCTAAGTGGTGGCATCTCCTAGAGGCCATTTGGAAATCGGCAGCATAATTACCACACGGATGACTTTTTTAATTGGAGGCATTCTCACTCTTCACACGCCCTGATAGGAAAGGATGCACAGGTACCTTCAGGCTGGACCCTCCTCTGAGGCTCTGGAGAGATGTGTTTTGTAAACCTCTGCTGTCTTTCCCTCCAGCCCGACCAGGGAGGGACTGACCACTGTCTGGGCAGCTGCTGCACCCCAGACCTTCACATGCCCCCTTTTTCAGGGCCCCAGCATGTTGTGGGGGGCATGAATTTCTCCACTTCGCAGATGGAAGCCCAGAGAGGTTGAGCAACTTGGCCAAGGCCACACAGTCAGAGTCCCGCTGCCTCCACAAGCAGATGACATCCAGCCCTACCCGAAGGCTGCAGTCACCCGTGGTGGTGGCCAGCACACCTGGCTCACAGGCCCTGTTGCAGGAGGGGTGCTGCGAATTGGCAGACGGGAGCCCGGGAGGCAGACCCAGGCAGCGTGGGCTTGCATCCAGGCCCCCCACCTCAATGCATGACCAGATGCCCCCGCTCCGGGGACTCAGCCAGGTACAAGCCGTCTTCATCCCTCCTATGCTCATCCCAGCAGTGCGGCCCCTCCGGGCCCCTGTCTCCCTCTTGCATATGCCCCGGGAGTGGCCAGCACGAATTTTGCTTCAAGGACGCTCGGCTCCTGGCTGTCTCCAAGCTCCCAGGCACCCCCAGGCCACCCTGCACCCCTGAAGCCTTTGTGAGAACCACCATGAAGCCCCTGACCAGAACACAGCTCAGGTGGGGGCATTCGTGCTTCCCACCAAGAGTGACTGGACACCCACCACGTGCCAGGCACCGTTTTAGGCCACGGAGGAAACTTCTGGAAACCGACCCCTCAGAGGCATCCCAGAGGCCACCAAAGCAAACCCACCCACCCCGACCCCAATCACCCCCAAACACAGCTTCACTGAGTTTCCACTGCGACGTGGGTTTGCCTGATGTGAATGCAACCCTGCAACCGGCGGCCTTCGGATAATTAGAAGGGCCTCTGGGGACGTCCAGGAACGGAGTCACATAAAGGGGTAAAACACCGTCAATAACGCGGAACAGTCTTCCGCACGGAGTCATTCTGCTTTTGGAATTTGTATTCTTAGGAGTCACTGCCAAGACGGCCGGCAGGGGCCCCACCCGTGAGGCAAAGGGGTCGGTCCCCGAGGCGTCCGCGTTCATCCCTCCCGGAAGGGGCTGTGGCGCGGCTGGACAGGAGGGGCCGAGGCCAGAGGAAGGTGTTTGGTGCCTGTGGATCGGGAACAGTTCCCCACGCACCTCCGGCACGTCGACCCTCCACCTTTAAGGTCAAGTTCATCCTTTCACCTTCTCCAAACACACCCCAGTAGAGCTGTGTCTTGAGCTCAGATGCCATGTTTCTGGAATGGAGAGGGGGACGCTGCCTCTGTCCCTGGGGCCGGGAAAGTCTGCGTCATAAAAGACACAGGTGCCTCCCCCGGCTCCCAGGGTACTGAAGAGTCCCCGTGCAAAGCTACCAAGTTCACGTGAACTAGACGCGGCCACTCAGCTGCCCCTTGCCCTCCCACAGCCGACCCCCACCTCTGACCTCCTGAGCTGCAGAGAACCAGGTGCGGCCCCTCCCACCCCCGGCCTGGGCCGGGCAGCTTCCGTTTCCAACCAGAGTCGGGGAGGAACTGGGAGGAGGGGAGCGCGGTCTCCTCAGCGGAGTCTGGTGGCCCCGGGACTCCCTCCTCCTGCCCTCCCATCTCCACCAGGATCAGCAGCCAAGGAGGGAAAGAGGCAGGACCCTCAGAGCCCAGCAGACCTGGGTTCGAATCCCTTCCTCACGTCTCAGCCGCGTGACACCCGTGACCAGGCCCCTGGTGGAGCCACGACTCGGGAGGGCCACATGGGACAGACACCCACCCACCTGACACACAACCATCACTTCTCAAGAAAGGGAGACATTTCTCCGTTCTTTCCACCGCACTGTTGCAGGGACTGTTTGTTACAGCAGCTCGGCCTCTCTCCCTAGCTGATACACCACCCTGCACACTGACGGTGGTGACAGTCCCCGTCCTGTGCCTGCGCACCCATGGACATCTGTGCCAGATGCCTGAGTCCGACAGCAGAAAGACAGGGAACAGCAGAGGAGGGAGAAACAGGATGGACATGGACCAGGAGGGGCAGGGGTGCCGACCTCCAGCTGGCAGAATCCAGCACTCCCACGACATGGGCGGCCGCCGCAACCACCACGTACCCTCAGTTTCCGGGAGGCCCAGCTTGAGACGCACCACGGTCTCTCAAGCTGTCGAAACCTCTGGAAATAGACACTCCTGTCCAACTCCACTTCCCAGACTGCCACGAGGCAGCACAGACGCTCTCAGGAGGATTGAGAGTCTGGGTTTTTTTGGGCTGGAAAAACATGCTTGCCAAAACTCTAGGTCATACTCCCCAAATTTTCTCACTATTGATTCTAACCCGACTCTAAAAATAACCCAGTGGCACAAACCTGGGAGGAGACGCCGCAGAACGTCCTGCCCTGGCCGTTGTCCGCAGCAGGGGAATCACAAAGGATTCATTTTCCTTGCGACTATTTTGATTTTTTAAAATTTCCTGCAAAATCAGCTCAGACGTAGTGGCTCACGCCTGTAATCCCAGCACTTTGGGACGCCGAGGTGGGAGGGCGGCTTGAGGCCAGAAGTTTGAGACCAGCCTGGGCAACATAGTGAGACCCCATCTCTTAAAAAAAAAAAGAAAAAAAACACAAAAATGCTGGGGTGTGCTGGCATGTGCCTGTGGTCCCAGCTACTCAGGAGGCTGAGGTGCGAGGATCGCTTGAGCCCAGGAGGTCGAGGCTGCAGTGAGCCATGATTGTACCACTGCACTCCAGCCTGGGTGACAGAGCGAGACCCTGTCTCAGGAAAAAAAAAAAAAAAAAAAGGAAGGAGGAGAAGGAGGAGGAGGAGGAGAAGAAGAAATAATAAAATTTCCTATAAAATCAAAACCAAAATCAACTTTTTGATTTTCTACAATGGGCAGGTATGACTTTGATCAGAAGGAAAACCAGGCCAGGCGTGGTGGCTCACTCCTATAATCCCAGCATTTTGGGAGGCCGAGGTGGGCAGATCACCTGAGGTCAGTAGTTCGAGGCCAGCCTGGCCAACATGGTGAAACTCTGTCTCTACTAAAAATACAAAAATTAGCCAGGCGTGGTGCGCGCCTGTAATCCCAGCTACTGGGGAGGCTGAGGCAGGAGGATTGAATGAACCGAGAGGGGGAGGTTGCAGTGAGCCGAGATTGCGCCACTGCACTCCAGCCTGGGCAACAAGAGCGAAAGTCCATCTCAAAAAAAGAAAAAAAAAGAAGAAGGAAAACCAGCCAAGGTCTTAGCATCAGCTTCCTTGGAAGGGGCCCCGGCTTCCTGTCCCTTGTCACAGCCTCCCTTGCCCGGCCGTGAGCCTCCAACGCTTCGGCTCAGAGGTCAGTCGGATCACAGAACTGGGGGCAGACGGGGAGACAGGGTCCCTCCCTTTGGGTCCAGTGCTCCAGGGAGAACCTGGTGCCACAGGCGTGGACGGCGGCCCCGTCCCAGCCAGGTTCCCATGGACACAGACCATTTGCCTTCCTCGGAGCTGCCGATGCATCTCCCTTCTGTTTATTCTTCCAGGCTCGCCTTCAGTCACTCGTCTACTGCATTAGGGCTAGGACTACGGCCGTGAACGAGGAGGCCACATCCCTGCCCGGACCAGGACTCGGCACCCAGAGGGGAGGCAGACACAACCCACAAGGCCACAGGTGCCTGACGCCAGGAGAGCCGAGAATCAGTTCAGGGGGCGGCCAGTGAAGGCCCAGCCACCAGCAAAGTGGCCTCTGAGCTGAGACCTCGAGGGCAGGAGGAGCCAGCCGGAGAAGACGTGGGGGCCGCATCCCAGGCCGAGAGAGGGGCTGGTGCCACGGCTGGGAGAAGAGGCTGGAGCAGGGGGCAGGGCCAGGACGGGGGCTCAGGGCAGTCAGAAGGGATCTGCTCCGTCTCAGGGCTGGTGGTCGCACTTCCCCATGCCCGGCAGGAGCCCCGAGTGGTGCAGGAAGGGCTCCCCGATACGAGGGGACCCCGATCTGGGGCCGACGCCAGGGAAGCACCGGAGCCCAGGCCCGCTGTGCTCATAGCCCAGACCAGAGACCGTCTGGACACCCCCCGGGAGGAGACACACTAGGAAGCCCATCTCTTCCTATGCGGGACGCCACACGCGTGTGCAGGCAGTGAGCCGGAGTCTCGAGGCTCGCTGTGGAGTCAGGGAGGCCAGGAAAAGGCACATGCACCCCAAGTCCCTTATGTGAAGTTCTACAAGAGACAAATATATTCATTTTACTTAAATAAATATTTTAGGCTGGGCACGGTGGCTCACACCTGTAATCCCAATACTTTGGGAGGCCAAAGAAGGAAGATTCCTTGAGCCCAGGTGTTCAAGGTCAGCCTGCGCAACATGGCAAGACCCCATCTCTACAAAAAGTAAATTAGCTGGACGTGGTGGTACCTGTGGTCCCAGCTACTCAGGAGGCTGAGGCAGGAGGATCACTGCAGCCCAGGAGTTGGAGACCAGCCTGGCTAGCAAAGCAGGACCCTGTCTCTAATAATGACAAGGTTTGGCGGTGTCCCCACCCAAATCTCATCTTGAGTTGTAGCTCCCATAATCCCCACGTGTTGTGGGAGGGACCCAGGGGGCGGTAACTGAATCATGGCATGGGGTGACGGTTTTATAAGGGGCTTTCCCCGCTTTGTTCAGCTTTCATTCTCTTTCCTGCTGCCCTGTGAAGAGGTACCTTCCACCATGATTGTAAGTTTCCTGAGACCTCCCCAGCCAGGCAGAATCACAAGCGATTAAACCTCTTTTCTTTATAAATTACCCAGTCTCGGGCATTTCTTCATAGCAGTGTTAGAATGAACTAATACAAATAATAATAATAATAATAATAATAATAATAAATATATTTTAAAAGAAACTTTGTATCACGACCATAAATGGAAACTGCTATCACTTTCCATAAATTAAAAAGTAACTAAAAGATTAAGCACAGCTGGAAAGGTGTTCAACACACGAGCTTAACCCAGGCTTCCCCCTGACCTGGCCAGGAACAAATGGGACTGAGGAGGCTCCTGTCCTGCACCTTGGGCCAGGTCATCAGCACCAAAATCGGGCCGCAGACCAAGAGTCGAAGAGTCTGGGTCCAGCCTCAGCTCTGCAATGCACCAGCCAGTCTCAGGCAAGGCCCATAGCTGCTCCAGCCTCAGCTGCCTCATCTGTTATATGGGACAACGCCAACCAATGCTACAGAGCGGCGGTGAGGCCAGATTACCCCAGCTCCAGGAGTTCCAGCACGTCAAACGGGACAGTCATCATGAGGGCGGCGGCCATGAGTGAACGTAAGAGTGGACAGACACCAAATGCCTTCTCAGGGCCACGGGGGCCACGACACGTTCCTCCCTCCAGTGAGACTCCTCAGAGCCTGGAAAATTCAGGCTCACTCCAGTGCCTTTACGTTTCCTGTGCACACATTTCCTGCCTGTGTGCTTCTGGACTTAGGCAGAAGCAGAATCCTATACATACACACACACGTGTGAACACACACACATACACACAGATGCATATTTGTGCACGCAAACACCTGCGCACACACACACTGGTACGTGCATACATGCACACACACCCCACACACAGGCACACAAACACACACACACACACACCTGTGCACACACACACGGGTACGTGCATACACACATGCACACACACCCCACACACATGCACACACAGGCACACAAACCTGTGCGCACACACCTAGGCACAAACACACAGGCACACACGCCTGTGCACACACACACACACACATCCACAGAGGATGCAAGCAGCCCCTGCCTCTAAAGCACTCCCAGGTGCTCTGTGATTTCTCCTGAATAAATAAGCCCCATGGATGCATTTTTATGTTTTTTTAAGCAACCGTTGCAATAACTGTTTTTTCCACATGGAAGGCAATTTCACCTGAAGCTCCCTTCCACCCAAATCCCTTCCTGCTCCCTCAGGCGGTGACTCCTCGGAGCGCTCCTGAGCTGCGTGCAGGCTCCGGGTGTCTTGGAGGTGACCGAGCTGTCCCTCTGCCGTTTGTTTCGGGAGGCTGAGCCACTTCCCCGCAATCATCCCCTGCCCGCTCCTCAGGCCCGGCTGGCCGAGACGGAACTGATGTACGTCACACACCCTGGGCTGCAAACTGTCCTCGGGACGACAGCGAAAACACACTTCAGCGGGCGAGCCGCCCAAGGTCAGCTCCTGTGCCAGCGTTTAATGGATCATCCATGAGGTCTGGGGCCCGGCAAAGGCACGGCCCAGCAGCTTCCGTGGGAAACAAGCCGTTCCCGCGGACGTCGGCGCCAGGGCTTGGGGTGGGAACAGGTGCGGGGCTGCGTCCGCCCCCGCCTGCATGCCAGAGTGAGGCAGGCCTGGCCCCGTGTGAGACGAGCCTTTCCTTCTGCAAACCCAGTTATCCCCTCGGTTGTCTCTGCAGCCAGGCACTGTCCGTCCCGGGACCTACGCAGCTGCCATGGAAGCTCCGGTGGGTGCTCCCGGCGCGGCCGGGGGGTGGGGGTGACGAGATGCCTGTGGCTGCGCCAGCAACCACGGTTAGGTGAGAAGCGTGGAAGGAAAGGGGCATGTGGCTGCCCGGGCCTTGCCCTCAATGCCCTTCTGTGGCCCAGTTACTCCCGGCCATCTGTGTGGGAGTCTCTGCAGGTTCCGGGGAACCAGGGCGAGCACAGGCCCCAGGCTACAGAGGCTCCTGCTGCCTGCCAGGCGGGGAGGTGGGGGCAGCCATTCCTGCTCCAGCCCCAGGCACCTCTCAGGGTGGGTGGGTGGGAGTGCTCACTGCCTGTGGTTTGTGTGGCTTCAACCCCAAGCGTCCCAGTGAGGGCCCTGTCGCCTCCAGCTCCACAGGCCCAGCCCAACTCCTCGTCTGCCCCCATTAGGCATCTCTGTCCACAGGACTCCTCCCAGACGACGGCAGACACCTCCCTCGGCCTCACCTCCCAACCAGGGGTCACCAGCACTGAGGATTCTGCCCCCTGCAGAGCCTGGAACGCGTCCCTTCCAGCCCTCTCCACCAGGCCTGCACTCATCACCTGCAGGTGGGCCAAGCCCCGGCCTCCAGGGCCTCTCACACCCTTTCCTCCATTACTGCCCCTCCATCTGCCTGGTCACACCAGGTTCCAGAAAGAGCTCTTAAAGGGTCTCTGTCACACACAGATCACAACCAATCTGCCCATCATAGCTTTGCGGCCAGCAGCATTTCATCTTCCCTCCAGCTGTTCTCTTCCTCCCTGGATCTTCTTTGCAAGGCCATGGGGTCCATGCCCCCCAACCATGACTCCCTCCACCATGCTGACCCCCGGCCAGGATGTCCTGACCCCAGCTGAGATGCCCAGACACCAGCAGAGATGCCCTGACCCTCGCCCGCCATTTCAGCTGTTGCTTTCTCAGCCAAGTCTCAATCTTTGGATGAACAGACATTGAGTCCTTCCAGGTACTGACCAGGGTGCTGGACACCAGAAACCTAACGGGCGCTGATGAAATCTCCACTGTGACTTCACAGCAACCCCAACCCTTCCACACACCAGCACCTCTCATCCCAGGAGAGCCTGGGCCCGGAACTGACACGGCTTCTGCTTCCTGGGATCAAACATGCCCCCAGCCCTCCAGGCAGCCACCAGGGCAGGTGCAGGTGGGCAGGCACCTAGACCCAACCCGGAGCTGATGCCCCGTGCCCTCGGCCCCCACCCTGAGGGTCCTCTGAGAGCACCTGCCAGGTCAGGCTGCAAGTCCGCCCCAGGACCCCCTCCACGGGATACCCCAGTTTTCTTTTCCAATGAGCCTAAAAACCCTCCACAGGCTGCCTCTGCAGACACCATTCCTTAGGCCAGAAGGGAAAGGAAAGGAAGGGGTGCCACTGCTGAGAGCCCAGGCTGTGCACTGTCCACTCAGCAGGCGTCCAACAGCCCCCCGGCTTGGGTGGGCCAAGACCCACAATGTCCCAGCCCCAGGGGGCCCCAAGCTGCTTCAGCCTCTGCAACCTCTGCACGCTGGGTGTGTGTGTGCATGCATGTGTGCACGTGTGAGTGCGTGCACAGGTGTGTGTATGGGTGTGTTATTGTGTGCACAGGTATGTGTATGCACTGTGTGTGTGCATGTGTGCCAGAACAGAAGTCTGTGTGAGCATGTGTGCACGTGTGCATACATGCATGTCTGTGCGGTGTGTGCATGTGTGTGTGTGCATGGGTCTGCTTGGAGTGTGTATGTACGTGTGTGTGCTCAGGTGTGCATGCATGTCTGTATGTACATGTGTGTACGTGTGTGTGCACAGGTGTGCCTGTGTCCATGTGCACACGGATCAGTGTGTGTGCATGGGTTGTGGGTGTGCATGGGTTGTGGGTGTGTATATGTGCATGTGTGCACACGTGTGCATGGGTGAGTATGTGCGTTGGTGTGCATGGGTGCACACTGGCTGATTATGTTCTAAAGAGGCAGAAAGCACTTTCCAGCCTGGCCCGGCTCCAGCCTCCTCCATTGACAATTCAGCAGCCCCCCTCTGCCCGCTCCCCACTTCCCGTTCTGATCCTGGTGTTCCCAAAGGGTCTCCTCCCTCCCTGTTCAGTCTCCCCACAGAGACCATACCCCACGCAGCCACCACCCATCATTCTGGACCTGGCCCTCAGCCCAGTGGGCCCCTCCGGGTCCAGCCAGAGCTGTGGCTCCTGGACACCCCTGTGGGAACCTGAGACTTGGAATCTGGATGGACGGGAGGTGGGGCCAGGGTGGGACACAGGCCGCCGCCCCCAGCGTCAGCCCATCCAGCCTCAGGCCTCCTCCCAGGTCCTCCCGTGGCTCCGTGGCCAGCCTCAACCTCCGCCGCCAGCCTCAACCTCCGCCCTTGCTCCCTCTGGGAGGACTCTGTGTTCCCAGCAATCCTGGCCCTGTCTCCGTGGCTCGAAGCTTTGCACTGCCTTCCAGGCAAGCCTGTGGCTCGGAGCTTTGCACTGCCTTCCAGGCAAGCCCACGTCCTCTCCACGTGGGCAGTCACACACTCAGGTCCCCGCCCCACCGCATTCAGGCCCTCGACTCCAGCCACAGTGACACCTCTGTGCCTCTGCACACAAATGTTCCCTCAGCCTGGAGGGCATTCCTAGGCCTCTTCCCGCAGCATCCCCAGAAACTGCCCAGGGCGCCAGCACTGACTCCGGCAGTGCCCAGATGCATCTATAAATCCTCACAGCTCAGGGGAGGGGGGATCGGCCGGCCAGGACCAACAGGCCCAGGGCCCAGGGCACTGGCCCCCAAAAGCACTTCCAGAGTGAACTCCCGAGACGAACACATCAGCTTTGGAGGGAGGAAGTGTTGCAGGCGGATGCCCCCCAACCTTGCATCTGGGACGGGAGCCCAGGGGTATTTTTCCACCATCCCTGAGTGGAGATTTATTGAGCTGCCCATTCTGGGAGCCACTGTCTGGGAACCCAGGAGTGACAACTGACAGGTGTTCACATTCACCTGCCTGGCGACTTCCTGGGCTTCCACCCAAGGAGGGGTGATTGGAACTTGCACAGCCAGGAGTGGAAGGAGGGTAAACCTAACCACACGCTTCACTTCATTCCTTCAGGGTTTCGCAGGAGACTGGAATAAGATCGGAATAATTCCAACAGATGCTCCAACCATCCCTCATGGACCACACGCACTCTTGGATGCTGAAGAGCAGGCTGGGGTCTGGGGCAGCCTTTAGGGGCTCTTGGGACCCCAAAGGTGTCCAGCTTGGATGTCTCCAGCAGATCTTTCTGGAAATCTGGGACACCAAGGAGGAGCACAAATGCTGGTCTTACTACTAAGCAATATGTCCCTCGGATCCAAAGGAGAGCAGGTGACCTGGGTGCAGCCACAGCCAGCTGCCACCTCCCTGGAGTCCCTCATGAAGCAATGCATTCAGGGCAGAATCCATTGCTGCCTCAGCCCCCTTCAAAGACCAGGCCCAACACCGCACCAGCTCCTTGGACACTGCCCATCTTCCCAGGGAGAGTCTCGTGCTCAGAGAGGCTATAAATATACGCCGGACAGTCAAGAGTTTCCGTCGCCAACAGAAGAGCTGAGCAAAAGGTGAAATAAACATCCCGTGGCTGCAAATTAATTGATTTTTATCTTGCCTGAATTGCTATTTAAAACTGGTCTGGTGATTGTGGGGAGTTTCTGAAGGACTCAGCAGGACAGATGAGGCACACGGGACGTTTTCTGGGCCCCTGCGCAGCTGCGGTGCTTGACTGGGGTAGCTCAGGCTCCGTGAGGATCTGGACTTCAGACTTGGCCCAGCTGGGTGGCTAAGGACATGCTACCTCACTTCTCCAAGTCTCAGTTTCCCCACTGTAAAATAATATAAACCTATCCAGAATCCACCAGGTTCTGGGGAGATTTAGGCAAGGATGTGGGTACCCCCGGAACACTGCCAAGGGCTTTACCTCTGCAAAAGGCTGGGGGTTATCAGCTGGTGAGGTCTGAACTCATGGAATTTTCCTCTCAGTGCATTTTCTCATCAGACATATTGGGAGGATAATGGTCATTACCTCAGAGACTCGTAAGGATTAAATGAGTTAAATATGGAAATGTTTGAAACAGAGTAAAAGCTAAAAAAGTGTTAGTCACCACCGCTGCCACCTTTATCATTACCATTACCATCATCACTATCACCATCATCACCATAACCACAACCACCATGGCCATCTTCACCATGACCATCATGGTCATCATCACTATCATCATCACCATGACATCATCATCACCATCTTCACCAACTCATCTTCACCTTCATCATCACCATCATCATCACCATATTCACCAACTCATCACCTTCATCATCACCATTATCATCATCACCATATTCACCATTTCATCACCTCATCACCACCATCACCACCACTTCCACCATCATTATCACCATCACCACCATCACCATCACCACAACCATCATCACCATCTTCACCATGACCATTGTCATCATCATCACTATCATCACCTTCATCACCATCATGATCATCACCATCATTATGGCCACCACCATCACCATCATTGTCATCACCTTCACATCACCATTACCACCATTACCTTCATCACCATTGTCATCACATCACCTTCATCACTATCATCACCATCATCAGCACCTTGATCACCATCATCACCATCACCTTCATCACCATCACCATCATCACCATCACCTTCATCATCATCACCATCATCACCATCATCATCATCATCACCATCACCATCATCACCATCACCACCATCATCATCACCATCATTGGTGGCAGCAGCAGCAGTAGCAGCATAATAACAAACAGGCTTGGCTGGATAATTTCTATGAGGGCCACTCAAACAACGGAATATTATTCTGCCTTGAAAAGGAAGGACATTCTGACACCTGCTAGCTACAACATGAATGGCCCTTGAGGACACTACGCAACTGAAATAATCTACTCACAAAGGGACAAATCCTGTCAGATCTCCCTTATAGCAGGCAGTAGAGTTCAAACTCATACAGACAGAAAGGAGAAGGGTGGTTCTACTTTCTAGAACGACTGGGAGAAAGGGGTGGGGAGTGTGACTTTGTTGGGGACAGAGCTTCATCCTGCTAGAATGAAACATTCTGGAGAACATGGATGGGAACCGCCACACAGCAAAATGACCTACTGAATGCCAGCTGAACTGTACCCCTAAAAATGGTCATGAAGGATAATTTCCACGTTATCTGTTTTTTTAACCAAATTGTTAAAAACCAACCCAATTTGAAAAAGGACCTGGCCCCATGGAAACATCAACCCACTCCACCCTTATGGCCTCACCTCATAGCTACGTCCAAATTTGTCATCACATCACCTTCATCACCTTCATCATCATCACCATCACCTCCATCATCATCACCATCACCTCCATCATCATCACCATCATCACCATCATCATCACCATCACCTCCATCATCACTATCACCATCATCACCATCACCTTCATCACCATCACCATCATCACCATCACCTTCATCACCATCACCATCATCACTATCACCATCATCATCACCATCACCTTCATCACCATCACCGCCATCATCATCACCATCAGTGGTGGCAGCAGCAGCAGTAGCAGCAAAATAAAAAACAGGCTTGGCTGGATAAACACAATGTGGGCCACTCAAACAACGGAATATTATTCAGCCTTGAAAAGGAAGGACATTCTGACACCTGCTAGCTACAACATGGATGGCCCTTGAGGACACTATGCAAGTGAAATAAGCTAGTCACAGAGGGACAAATCCTGTCAGATCTCCCTTATAGCAGGCAGTAGAGTTCAAACTCATAGAGACAGAAAGGAGAAGGGTGGTTCTACTTTCTAGAAGGGCTGGGAGAGGGGGGTGGGGAGTGTGTGTTTGGTGGGGACAGAGCTTCAGCCTGGGAAGATGAAACATTCTGGAGATGATGGTGGTGACAGCCACACAGCAAAATGACCTGCTTAATGCCACTGAACTGTACACCTAGAAATGGTCATGATGGTAAATTTCACGTTATCTGTATTTTATCACAATTTTTAAAAACAAAACATTTTTAAAAGGGCCTGGCCACTGGAACCTCAACTCACTCCACCTATGGCCTCAGCTCATACTGCCTCACAGTCTCACCCATGCTCGGGGGTCATGGCCAGGGTGAGGTCACAGCCCCCCGTGCCGCTAAGCACCCCCTCGGTCTGGCCCCACACGTTTCCCACCCCTGTCCTGGAGGCATGGCCGAGCCACAAGGTAGGTGACCTTGTGTCCTGCTCCTGGGGAAGCTGCCCCCTCAGGAGCCTTTTCACCAAGTTCCTCCGGCAGCTGACTCTGGGGAGGGACAGCAGGGCCAGCAGGCCACAGCTGTGGGACTGAGAACCTGGCTGTTGAATCAGAGAGACATGCGTGGCCAAATTTAGAACACAGGAGGACAACTTCCTCCCAGAGACCATTGTTCACCACCTGGAGCTGGCCCGCCCCGGGCATGCGGACTTCCCAGAAGGACCAAGTGCTCAAGGGCCCCGGCTTCACTCAACATCATCAGAAGGTCTGGGAGGAGGGGAGCAGACCACCCCCCACAAGGGAGGGAATGTCCACAACCCACTGCCTGCAGGACCACAGCCACCACGGCCAGCCCCTGCTGCGGGGGGTGGACGACCGTGGGGTGCTGCAAATCGATTTGTCCAGAACTGCGCATCTGTTAGGATGTTCCCAGCCAAAACATCCGTCTTTACGGCAATAGTCTTTGCATGGTGCTTAAGTCTCCTCGCTTTGCTGCCAGGAATCTGGTCAGGGTAATCCGGGACCTTGGAACCAGCCACTGCATTCCACATCTGTCTCGTCTGGGAACGCCTGCGCGGCGGTGCCCCGAGATACGGGTGGGAAACAAGATCTGGAAATGTCTGCAATGGAAAGCCGGGGCCCGCGGGGGGTGGTTCGGTCTCTGGGAGGGGAGGGTTGAGGGAGGGAGGAAGATGGTGCTTTTTAGAGTTGTTATTTTTTTTTTTTTGGTGGGGGAGAGGGTGTTAAACTTTGTATAATGTTACTTACATTAACAAAAAAAAAAATCAGAGAGAAAATATCAAGGCAAAGGCACTTGTCAAAGGAACCACACAAATGGGACCATCCTTTGCTGAAGACGCCTCGGCGTCCCTGTCTCAGTCCGCAAGCGGCATTTTACTTGAAGAAATTACTTTGAAGGTTCTTGTCTCCCAAAGCAGAAACCCTGAGCGTGAGCTGACCAAGGCCTCAGCCTCACACCTGGCCCTCTATCCACGCAGAGAACAGCCTGCCGGCCGCCCCAATTCACATCGAAACTCACTTACGCTGAAAGGCAAGTGAAGACGTCCCATGCCTTTGGGAAAACAGTTGTCCCCTGGAGCCATCTCACAGTTCAGCCGGGTGCTGGGAAGCTCTCCCCGGCCCCCAAGCTGCTGGGCCGAACGTCCAGCTCACTGGGAGAGGGCAGCCGTGACGTGCCCGGGACACAGCCCGTTGTGCCCAAGGCCCTGGGGGAGCTTTGCCTACAAAGGGGGGCCAGGGGGCATGCAGCCCCTCCCCTGCTCCTGGGATGACGAGGCTGCCCTGCAACAAGAGGGATGTGGGTCAGAGCCGGGTGGACCTGTGTGTCCCTCTCGGTCAGCTGTGGCCGCTGGAGCACTCAGGAGCCTGCCCCAGCAGGGTCTGAGCAGAGCAGGGGCACTCGCAGCCCAGGGGAGGGATGCTGGCACCTGGTGGACAGCAGGCAGGGTGAGGCCGGAGTCCCTCTAAGCACCGAGGAAGCTCTCACACCCGTAATGACCCTGGCCAGTGAGCCCGCAGACCCCACGGACAGGGCCACCCCAGGGCCAGACCCCGAGGGCCCTGGAACCGTCACTGTCCCCGCGCAGATGTCCGCATGCACAAAGTCCACACAGGGCCCAGGTGGAGGGCTCAGAGCCCAGCCCCGGGGTTCTGGAAAAGTGTTTCTTCCAGTCCAGCCCAGAAGGAATGTTTTTATTTTCCTGCTAGAGGCCAGGCCAAATGGGCCCCCTTTCAAGATGCGCTGAGATTTCCCTCAGACAGGGAAGACTTGGCACCCACCCACAGTGACCGCTGGGCAGAGGCCAAGCCCGGCACCTCGGCGGATCTCACCTGCCCTGACCCGCGAGAGGAGGGAGGACGCGCGGCCGGTGCAGGTTCCCCCACAGGCACATACTCCTAGGCCTCCGGAAGGTTGACCGCAGGCTCGTGGCAGGGCCCTGAGGCCAAGGGTGGGCCAGGGATTTGGTTCTGAGCACTTCTCACTTGGCTCTCAGAAGAGGCTGTGGTGTCCAGGCAGAATGTTATAAAGCGACTTTCATACCCCCCGTCAAGGAGCTCGGGGGGCCTGGGAGCCTTCCCTGCCCAGGGTTTGCAGCTCCGCTCTTGCGTAGCCTCGCCCCACCCTCCCGCGCTCCTGTGTCCCCGAGGCTGTCAGGATGCCCTCCATCTGGCAGACTCCTACTCCTACTTCAATACCCGTCCCCCCACTGCCTGCCCAGCAGTCCCCGAGCCCTCCCTCATCCCCCGCCGTCCCCTCAGGGTGACTGCCCTGTGCTGTGGCCGGCCTGCTCCTGTCTGGTTTATTCGCCACGTGGCACGGCCCTCGGCAAAGCAGCTGGACTATCTCCCTCCTCTGCAAATCAGCCCCCAACTCCGGCCATTGCGGCCGTCACACCCAGAGTAACGCTGGCGTTCCAACCCCGGTCAGCAGAGCTCTGCAACCGGAGCCCCCCAGACTCACCCTGCCCGCTCTCCCACCTTGGACCGCTGCCTGCAGCCCCCTCCCTCCCGGTATCCAGGCCCCTGCCCCACGGCCCCCACCACCCTCCCTGCAGCCCAAGCGACACCACTCCCAGCACTCTCTGTGTCGGGTCCTGCTTCACGTCTCTTCCAAGCCCTCATGTCCTTCCAAAGCATCTCACGCCCCTAGAACGCCAGCCGGAGAGAGGACAGGGCGTGTCTGCGGCCCACGGCATCTCTCCAGCCCCGGGACCGGAGCTGATGCCTGGGAAACATGTATGGCTTAGGCCCCTGTGGCTCCGGCACTCCAGCAGAGCCTCCTCCAGAAGGCGGCCCCAAAAGAGCGACAAGTAGGAACTGAAAGGGCCACCACAAGTAAGCAGCACCACGAGTAAGCAGCAACGCTTCAAAATGTGGCACCGGCACTGTCCAAGACCCCAGCCAGGAGCCTCGCAGCGCAGGCCGGGTCTGTCCGAGACCCCAGCCAGGAGCCTCGCGGTACAGGCTGGGTCCCAGCTGACCCCACCCGATGACGGGGTGTGCACGGGGTCCTCCAGGGGTGCTGTTTTGCAGGGGTCCCTTTCCTAAAAGCATCCAGCAGCGACCCGTGGATTTTGAACAATGGGCCGTCCCCTGGTTCAGGCGTCGGCGGGGAGGAGGCGCGGGGCTCTGATGAGCCAGGAAAAGTTCCCAGGCCCAAGGGCAGCTTTGCAACGTGTTGTTTTGCAGTTGTTTCAACGTTGTGGACATTCATAAAATTAATTTGCTAAGAGAGGAGATAAATCCACTCTAGCATTCCCATAGCAACACCTCCCAGGCCGCTGCCGCCCCGTATAGGAGGAAGCTGGGGAATTTCGGTCTCGGGATTTTTACGGGGAACCGGCTCCCGGGGTCCAGCTGCCCCCAGGCTGTGGGGAGGTCTCCGGGAGGGGAACTCCAGGGGCCTGGAAAAGCAGGCGTGCGGCCCCAGATGGAGGAATGTGCGCAGGGAACCTGAGATGGTGCCCGGGCGGGCACCGCCCCACCCAGCCCCGGCCGAATGCCGCTCCACTTTCCCGTCCGCGGTGAGGTGACGGAACAGCTGGACCGTCCCCGCCTCCGGGAGCCCGCACAGCCCTGGCACACACTGCCGCCTCTCCGCTAGGCCCTGGACGCCACTCTCACTGGGGAGCGAGCCGGGTGTCCGCCGGAGGCAGGGCACAGAGATGACACTTCTGCTCCCATTGCCACAGGACCGAGGACTCTGTCCCCATTTAGAGCTCCTGGGGCCTGGGGCTGCCCCCCAACCTTTGGTAAGAGCCCCTAGAAATATCCAGCTCCCCTCACCCCGAGGCTGACGGCAGGTGCAGGCCTCACAAGGACGCAGGACGCCCAGGCCCTGGGGCTCAGGGCTCCCGCTGACGCACAGGGTGCGGTGGGTACCATAGCTCTCCATCTCCATGTCTGCAGCTCCCAAGGTTCACAACCCACAGGCCTGCGGAGGAGTGACCGCTCCAGTCTGCTGAGAATATTTTCCAACAGCTGTGGGGATCGGGTGTCTGAGGGGCTGGCAGCTCCCCACAGCTTCAGAGACAGCGGGCGTGACCCCGTGGGGTTGGGGACAAGGAAAAGCAGCCTCCACCCAGGAGGGGCCTGCTCCTGCAGAGAGACCCGCGGGGGTCTCGGGAGTTGGGGTTCCTGCAGCCTGGCCCTGCCTTCCCAGCTGCCTCCATGGCGCCCAGCTCAGCTCTGCAGTGGAGTTGCCCCCGAGGCCTGCAGGTATTCATGCCTCACAGGTGTGAGCAGGGGCTGTTTTCCACACCTGTGCGGGGCTGGGGTCCCCACACCTGAGGGAAATCAGCTCCCAAAACAATCACATCTTCGGGCGGAGTGGGAGCAAGGCACAGCAGGCTGCCATTGCAGACTGGGCCAGCCCTCACTGGCGTCCACCCTGGAGAGCCGAGGGGAGCAGGAGGCCCCAGGTGGAGGGTAGGCGGGAGGAGAGAAAGGTGAGGCGGGAGCTCCGTGGCCCTACAGGGATGAGGCCTCATGCACAGGGCATCTGCGACCCACCAAGGCCGTGATTTACAAAACAATGTGCTTTAGAAACTGCTGGAGGAAGAATGACAGTGAGCAGACAGGGCAGGACGCCGGCCCCAGGGAGAGCGAGGGACCGGCATCTCCTCCACGCGCTGCTTCAAGAAAAACAAACGGCGGCCACGAGGGCAGCCACTGAGCCTCCAGCGCCTGCCGAGAAGCCGCCCCACCGGCCGGGCCCCGCCGCACCTGTCTGATGCTGTCGGTGGCCGCCCTGGACGTGCGGTCCACAGCTGGAAACCGCAATAAGCTGCGAAGCGCGTCGGTTCCGAGCCTCTGATCCCTGCACCCCGGGGTCACACTGACTTACCAAATTTGGCTGATCACAGAGGAAAAGTGAAAAAGATCCAGGTTGCCAAGGAGACCCTTTCAAATACATTTTACAGCGCTATGAAAGCGATACCTTCCCTCGGGTTGAGTTTCGTCCCGGAGGACGTGCAAGGCGCTGTTTTATGTGAATCTGCACAGCCCCCCTCACCTCCCCTCCCGACCCCCACACACTCTGTCAGTGGTCAGGGCACCCTGCGCAGCGCTCTGCTCTCCCCACAGACACCAGCAGGCCCCTCCCCACATGCCCCTCCTCAGAGCCTTTCCGGGAAGCCTGTGCAGGAGCGCGTGGGGGCTCCTGCGGAGGGGCAGCCAGCATCTGACCCCAGCACCCCTCCTGGGGACTCTGCAGAGAGCCTGTAGAACCTCCGGGAAGCAGCTGTTCCCAACACAAAACCACACTGCCGGAGAGCCGGGTGAGCCCCCCAAGATCACGAAAATCAGCCGTAACGGCCTTCAGCAGATGTGCCACTGCGGGGCCTGGCTCCCACAGCCCGCAAAACACCCAAGAAGGTAAAATCCGAGTCGTCAACCAGGGAGTGGACAGAGGGTCAGAAAGCGGAAAACACTGGAAGTTGTGCTCGCAAGACTGGGATCGCGGAGTCGGGCACACCCATGGTGGAGGCACAGCTGGCAGAGCCTCCCAGCTGCGGGAGGCAGCGTCTGCCCCTCGCCGGTCCCCACACCTGTCCTCAGCCGATGACCCCGGCGTGGATGTGGAGGGCGTGGCTGGCAGAATCCCCCCGCCGGGGTGCGGTTGGGTCACACGCGGTGTGCGTGGGGGGCTCCCAGGACGCCCGGCACATACTCAACACTCAGAACACGCCGCGCGACTCGGTGATGCCATCTCCTCTGTTCAGGGGTGAGAACACCGCGCGTGCGGCCTTGATCTGCTCTCTGTGAAGACGCACCCACGATCCACGCCCCCCACACACATTTTCATGATTTTCCTACACGGGTCCTTGGGCTCAGCTGGGAGGGGCCTTGCTCTGCAGTGAATAATGGGTGATTGTCTGAATCAGCCACAGCTACCCATTCTCTCAGTTTCAAGACCATTAAAGCCGAGGCTGCCAACTCAGAAGCCCCCGAGTGCCTGCAGAGACGGCTGAGAAGCCGAGAGCAGGGCAGGGCAGGGGCTGAGAAAGCTGGGAAGCCTTTCACACCAGAAGGGGCATCTGCCTCTCAGCTCCAGCTGGGTAGGGCCAGACAGGGCTGCAGGTCCAGTGTGGCCGGATGTCAGATTTTTAAAGAGAATTAACAGATCCAGATTTTTTTTTTTTTTTGAGACAGGCTCTTGCTCTGTGGCCCAGGCTGGAGTACAATGGCGTGATCTCAGCTCACTGCAATCTCTGCCTCCTGGGTTCAAGTGATTCTTATGCCTCAGCCTCCCAGTAGCCGGGATTACAGGCACCTGCTACCACACCCGGCTAATTTTTGTATTTTTAGTAGAGATGGGGTTTCACCATGTTGGCCAGGCTGATCTTGAAGTCCTGACCTCAAGTGATCCATCTGCCTCAGCCTCCCAAAGTGCTGGGATTATAGGCGTGAGCCACCACGCCTGGCCAGCGACCCAGATTTTTATGTGAAATCTCCTGACTATAAAATATCAACAAGTAATCCAAATGTTTAAAAAAACACTGCACAGGCCAACACAAATTTGTCTCTGGGCCAGATTGAGCCTGTAAGCACCAGTTTCTTGTCAATGGTTGTAAAACCTAGAGCAACTAAAGATATCTGCCTTTCCACCTGTCACCGCAGTCGTCCTGCTGGCGGTGGAGCGGCCGGGAGAGCCACCGCCATTGCTCTGTTGTCTAGGCAAGGAAGGGCTCTACTGACGTACTAATTTCAGTAGCGAGAACTGGTGATAACTGAGAAGCCATTCCTGAAGTCAGCGACTTAAACCACAATTTGTTGTTACCCTTCACAGTTCGGGGGTTGGAGGGGCTCAGCCGGGCGGTTCTCACTCGGGGTCTCCCCTGGGGTTGCATCCAGATGGAGGCAGGGGTGACCTCATCGGAAGACCCAGCTGGCGGGACGTCCAAGATGGCACAGTCATATGGCAGCTGTTGACACTGGGCATTCACGGCTGTGCTGGCTGAGGCTGGGGCTGCGCTGGCTGGGTATGCGTCTCAGAGCACAGCTGCTGGGCCCCAAGAAGAGCATCCCGGGAGCAGGGCTCCCAGAGGCTGTGGTGGAAGCTGTAAGGCTTTGGAGCACCCAGTCTTGGGTAACCTACGACATCATTCCACTGCATTCTGTCTGTCAAGTGTGTACCTAAGCCAGCCCAGCATCAAGGGGAGGGGGTTAGACTCCCCTTTTCCACAGGAAAGACAGCCAAGAATTTGAAGCCATCTTTTTTTGTTTTTGGTTTTGGTTTTGGTTTTGAGACAGGGTCTCTCTCTGTTGCCCAGGCTGGAGTGCAATGGCGCAATCATAGCTCACTGTAGCCTTGAACTCCTGAGCTCAAGCGATCCTCCCGCCTCCGCCTCCCAAGTAGCTGGGACTACAGGCGTGCACCACCACACCCAGCTAATTTTTTCACCTGTCTTATGGTGCTGATAATTTTTAAATTTTTAGTAGAGATGGGGTCTCACTATGTTGCCCAGGCTGGTCTTGAATGCCTGGGCTCGAGTGATCCTCTTCCTACCTTGGCCTCCCAAAGTGCTGGGATTACAGCATGAGCCACCGTGCCCAACAGCCGCCTTTAATACACCAGATTTCAGCTGTCGGTTTGCAATCCTCTCCTCTGCTCACGGGCGAACATGACGCTGGCATCCTCTCCTCTGCTCATGGGCAAATGTGCACGCTGGCATCCTCTGCTCTGCACATGGGTGGGTGTGCATGCTGGCATCCTCTCCTCTGCACACGGGCAAATGTGCACACAGGCATCCTCTCCTCTGCACACAGGTGGGCGTGCACGCTGGCATAGTCTCCTCTGCACACGGGCGGGCGTGCACGCTGGCATCCTCTCCTCTGCAGACGGGCGGGCGTGCACGCTGGCATCCTCTCCTCTGCACATGGGCAGGCGTGCACGCTGGCATCCTCTCCTCTGCACACGGGCGGGTGTGCACGCTGGAATCACGGCTGGGGTCACTCCCCTCTCGGGGCCCGCCAGAGCCTCCTTCAACGCTGGCCAGAATAATCACTTGGGCTGCCTGTGGTTTCATCCTTTCCCTCCTCCTTCTCTCCTTTTAAAGAAGCATCACTGTTGAACGAGTCCTCTACTCTACCGACCGGAAATACTGCCTGATAACGGCTCCCCCGCAAGGACCCCCTTCGTGAATGTCCGTGCAGCCTGCTGTACTTTTAGGTTGGAGACAAGCATCATTCCTTCATGCATTCATTAATTCATTCACACAATGAGCATTCTGGGACGTGGAGACGGAAGTGACTCAGGTCCGGGAACCCCAAATCCACCGTGTGGAGCTCCGTGAAGCTGGCTGCCCTGTCGAGACCTGCCTTGGTGCTTCTTCCAGGTCAGCAGAAATCTCCCGGCATCTCGGATGCCCCAGCCGGCCTGGTGCCCTCTGGCCTCTGCTGTTTCTCCTGCTCTACCCCAGCCTTCCAGATCTTTCCTTATGGTAGAGCCGCAGTGGGAAGCACCGGGAATGAGGGGCGGGAGAGGCCCTGAATGTGCCCCTCAGGGAAGGGTAGTGAGGATTTGCAGGTGCAGGGGCCCGAGCCTGGGTCTCCAGCGAAACACACACTTCCTTCCCGCAGGCTCTTACTCCAGCCTCCTGCTTTTCGGCCTGTGTTCCAGCGGTGGTGAGCATCTTCCAACGCCATCAGCGGCCTCGTCCAACGCCATCAGCGGCCTCATCCAACTCCATCAGTCGCCTCACCCAACGCCATCAGCGGCCCCGTCCAACTCCATCAGTCACCTCACCCAATGCCATCAGCGGCCTCATCCAACTCCATCAACGGCCTCGTCCAACGCCATCAGCGGCCCCGTCCAACTCCATCAGCGGCCCCAGCCGCATTGCTGGGCTTCTGTTGTTTCGAACCAAGACACTGGCTCCCGAATTTGCCGAAGTTGCCAAACATCCACTGGGACTTGAGCTCTTTGCTGACCTCCTGTTTCTTTCCAGCAGCCCCCAGGGCAGAGAGGTGCCCTCCTTCTGGACCCAAAATGATCCTCGTCACTGCCCACAGCTGCGGGTGTTTCGGCGAGGACGGGACCTTAAACTCCGCCACCCTGACGCACGCATTTCCCGATGACAGGTACAGAGTTGGGGCGTGTGCTTAGGGAGCATGCAAGCGTGAGATCCTGCTCACCCTTGAGGGCCGGAGACATGGGGAACATGTCAGACACACGGGAGCATACGTGTAGCTCTGCAGAGCCGGGCAGGTCACCACACAGCCTGGACAGGTCACTCATTCCTGCCCGGGGCCACCTGGGGAGGGGGTTCCTCTCAGGGAGGCCCCAGGCAGAGCCTCCGGACGACGGACGCACTGCCGGCCCTGGGGTTCCGGCCCAGTTCCTGCAGCATGAATCCGAAGGGAGGGGGCTTCAGATCGCCGGGCAGGCCACAGTTCAAACAACCATGGGGCACAGGTGATGCATGTGGGCCCCAAAGTGGGGCTTAGCCCACGAGGGTTCTTGACTTTGCCCAGGACAGGATTCAAGGGCCAGCAGGAGGTGGAATGAACAGCTTTACTGAGGTGGCAGTGTTTGGTGTTACAGCTCGGAGCCGCTCCCGCTAGGCAGTGCGCTGAGGGTAGCAGCTCAGGGCGCTTTTGCAGTCCCATTTATACCCACTTTAAATTATGTGCACATTAAGGGGTGGGTTATACACAGCTCTCTGGTTAAGGGTGGTAATTTTCCGGGTCATCAGACCACATTGCCATGGAAAGGGGCGGGAGCGCCCGGGTGTTGTCATGGCAACGGTAAACTGACAATGGTGCACGGGTGGGCGTGGCTTACGGAGAGTGGCTTGCACCCTGGCCCTGTTTTAGCCAGTCCTCAATTAGGTCCAGTGTCCCAGCCCCACCTCTGGAGTCGAGTCCCACCTGCTAACTCTCAGGCACGGAGTCCCTCGCCGGCACCCGGAATGGGAGTTCACACGCGAATTCCTGCCGTGTCCTCAGGACAGCTGCTCGGCCCACCCAACAGTCTGCGTGCGGCCACCACGGACTGCGGCCCCAGCACATCCCGGGAGCTCCACGGAGCCACCTGTCGCCTGCCTGTGGTGGGGCCGTGGCGTGAGACGGCAAAAATGACTCACACACACATCCAGATAGAGAAGCTGCCACCGTCTTTTTAAAATTAAACTTTTAATTTTGCCATCATCGTACATTTGAGTGCGGTTGTTAGAAATAATATAGAGAGATCCTGCGTACCCTGAATGTATGCGATGTCCCCAACAGTGACCTGCTGTGTACACACAGTGCCACGCCATGGCCGGGATGCGGACGCGGTGCCATCCCCCACCCCACTCCCTCCTCAGCTCTACCCACCCTCGCACGCCCTGTGTGCAGGTTTTGTGCAGGTTTTTTATTTTACTTTTTTTTTTTTTTTTTGAGACGGAATCTCACTCTGTTGTCCATGCTGGAGTGCAATGGTGTGATCTTGGCTCACTGCAACCTCCATCTCCCGGGTTCAAGCGATTCTCCTGCTTCAGCCTCCCAAGTAGCTGGGATTACAGGCATGTGCCACCACACCCGGCAAATTTTTGTATTTTTAGTAGAGACGGGGTTTCACCATGTTGGCCAGGCTGGTCTCGAACTCCTGACCTCAGGTGATCCACCCGCCTCAGCCTCCCACAGTGCTGGGATGACAGGCGTGAGCCGCCGCGCCCGGCCAGTTTCATGCAGTTTTATCACACGTGCAGCTCAGGCACCAGCCACCTACCTTTCTAAGAAGGGAGGCTTTTGATGCTAGAGGGCAGGAGGAATCTCAGTGGCAGGAATGTGAGGCCACAGACCACCCACCCCATGGAGGCCCCGGACGGGCGTGCGGTCACAGGGCAGCACTGACTCCAGAGGGAGGGTGAGGCGGGCAGTGGAAGAGGAGAAGGTAAGAAGTGCCCCTGCCCCAGTGCACACCCAGAGCGCCCACGTGGGAAGCACGTCTCACCTCCGTGATGATGTAAAAGTCGTCCCCAGGCTCTCCCTGGACCACAATTTTCTCTCCATCTTCAAACTGGACGGGCTCCAGCGCATCCGCCACGGTCAGACGCTCCCACTTCTCCAGGGACTCTGTCGGGGGAGGATGAGGACAGGTCATCCCGGGGCCCACGCCCCCACAGCCACAGTCCAAGACAAGGGCCACCGCTCTTCCCGAAAGGTGTCCTCAGAAGCAATCACAACACCAGCTCCGTGACCAGTAAGCTGCATAAGATGAGGCCGTGACGCTGTCCCCCAGCACCTCTGTGCCAGGGGGCCTGGGTTTTCTTGCAGTCAGTGGGTCCCAGACGCATGCAGCTCATGTGCCCTCTTCACCAGTTGCGGAGGGAGCTATTCTGACACTTATCCCTGGCTTAATGTAAATACCCAGCAGTGAAAACTGACTCCAGGTTAACTCAGTATGAAAATACTTTTGTTACTTCAAAAGAATAGAGCTGCTTACATTTTTGCAAACAATGGAGTCCCAGCTAAGCACAAAGCCTACTAAGTGGTTTAAAATAACTCAGAAGCCAGGCACAGTGGGCTCACGCCTATAAATCCCAAGACTTTGGGAGGCTGAGGCAGGAGGATCGCTTGAGGCCAGGAGTTCAAGACCAGCCAGGCCGACATAATGAGACCCCATCTCTACAAAAAATGTTTTAAATCAGCCAGGCATGCTGGTGTGTACCTGTAGTCTCAGCTACTCAGGATGCTAAGGCGGGAGGATCGCTTGAGGCCAGAGTTCAAGACCAGCCTGGGCAACACAGTGAGATCTCGTCTCTACAAAAATTAAAAAATTAGCCAGGCGTGGTGGTGTACACCTGTGGTCCCAGCTCCTCAGGAGGATGAGGCAAAAGGATCACTTGAGCGCGGGAGGTCGCGGCTGCAGTGAGCTATGATCACGTCACTGCACTCCAGCTTGGGAGACAGAGCAACACCCTGTCTCAAAAAAAAAAAAAAAAGAAAAAAGAAAAAAACAGAAAAACTGGCCGGGTGCAGTGGCTCAAGCCTGTAATCCCAGCACTTTGGGAGGCTGAGGTGGGTGGATTGCCTGAGCTCAGGAGTTCGAGACCAGCCTGGTCAACATGGCAAAACCCCATCTCTACTAAAATACAAAAAAAATAATAATAATACATGAATAACAAAATAATTCAGAATGGTAACTGCCCATCGAAAAGAAACACTGTTCATCAGGGGACTGATCAAACAACATGGAACTGCATTTATGTTGCAACATTAAGGCACAGTATACGTTCTACTATTTTAGGTCAAAATGCTTACTTCCCATGCCAAGTTTATCTTTAAATGCTTGCAAACTCAATGTTATCTTTCCGCCCTTCTCACAAGGTCTTCCCTTCCCTGTCTTTATTCATCCCTAACCCTTGGAAGGAAAAAAAATTTACTAACGTCAGATTTTATAAGAAAATAATGATCACCTGATTAACGATTTCTTTTTTGACAAAAAAAAAAAAAAAAAAACAAACGTTTCCTGGCCTATACAAATCAGATGCTACCTATGTAGGTCAGAAGCTAAAAATAAAAAGCAAAGCATTTATTTTACATCTAGGTTAGGAGGGAGATTTCTCTCCTTAAAAATCCCTGTCGGCGCCGTAGGTTGCAAAGGAAAATGCTTCCCACGAACCCCAGGGCCGGGCAGATTCTGCAGCATAGGGAAGGGGGGCGAGGACCCCACAACCAGAGCTGTTTGACCAGCTTCCTAAAAACAGGGTCCGTACCAGCTGGGCGCGGTGGCTCACGCCTGTAATCCCAGCACTTTGGGAGGCCGAGGCGGGCGGATCACGAGGTCAGGAGATCGAGACCATCCTGGCTAACACGGTGAAACGCCGTCTCTACTAAAAATACAAAAAATTAGCCGGGTGTGGTGGCGGGCGCCTGTAGTCCCAGCTACTCCGGAGGCTGAGGCAGGAGAATGGCGTGAACCCGGGAGGCGGAGCTTGCAGTGAGCCGAGATAGCACCACTGACCTCCAGCCTGGGCAACAGAGCAACACTCTGTCTCAAAAAAAAAAAAAAAAAAAAAAAGTCTGTACCAGACAGAAGCTGCTGAATAATTCAGAACCCAGGCGTGCTCCCAAGCAGGCCAACACATCAGTGCACACCTGACAATTAAATGATGCAGGTGATTTTTTAGAGCAATTATGGTTTGTGTTCAGGGTGCAGAATGAGACCAGCATATGAATTTGGAGTGTTTTCTTTACTGGTTTCCTTACAAGGACAGTAATACGAGGCATCTCATTTCAGAAGTCAGCTGCAGTTAGGAAGTTCATTTCCACATATTTGATTAGCAAATGCTTACTCTATTACATTTGAAACCTGTAGTATTCTGAGTTCTAAAAACAAAAATTATCTCCTGGCTACATTAATCTTGGATGAAAACTGACAGAAGAAACCACAGGGAGATGGCACTTTTGGCCCCATTTTTTTTTTCAAGAGACAGGGTCTCGCTCTGTCACCCAGCCTGGAGTGCAGTGGCGTGATCACGGCTCACCACAGCCTTGAACTCCTGGGCTCAAGCGATCCTCCCACCTCGGCCTCCCAAAGTGCTGGAATTACAGACATGAGCCACCACACCCGGCTAACTTTTTAAAAATTTTTTGGAGAGACAGGAACTCGCTATGTTATCGAGGCTGGTCTGGAGTTCATGGCCTCAAGTGATCCTCCCACCTCAGCCTCCCAAGTAGCTGGGACTGCAGGCATGTACCATCATGTCCAGCTAATTTTTTATTTTGCACAGATGGGATCCATCCCCATTCACCATGTAAACTGCAGAATAAACGCAGTCACGTGTCCCAAAAAGCACCTGACAAGGGCAGCCTGCAGCCACAGGACGAGACGTCGTAAGGCTGCGTGCACCTGCCCAGGGGGGAACCCATCGTCAAGCTCTGTGCTGGAATTCTGCAGACTTGCAGCTCCCATGTGGGCCATGCTGATTCTACGGGGTCTCCTGTCCTAGGGGCCGAGCCCTGCGCGTTCAGGAGAAAGCGGGGTCCCAGGAGCATCCAGGCACAAAAGCCGTTCCCAGGTTTCTGGTGTGGGGACAGAAATGCCGAAGCCCACGGCTTCAGGCTCATCCAGGGCCATCCCTCCGGCCAAGCTGCCTGCGGAGACACCGCCCCGCCAGCCACTTTTTGGAGGACTTTGTGCCGATGCTGACTGGGCAGGAAAAGGGAATCGTGCCTTGTGGTTACTCTTCTGGGAGGCCACGGAGAAGCCGGTCACATTGCTGGCTGCTGCATTAATCAGAGGAACATAAATGGGCGGACGGAGGCCACGCGGCCAGGGCGTGCGACGGCCCCTAAGAGCCCGGGACGCAGGAAGCAAGAAGCCACCTCCAGCCGGGGGGTCACCAGCCCTCGCCCGGAGCAGGGAGAGGGTCTCGCCCTTCATGGCCTGCAGCAACCGTTGTCTCGACAGCGCTGGTGAATGAAGGAGTCTGTGGGCACAGGGCTGACTATGCAGTGCCTGGTGGGCACCAGGGGCCGGACCACCCAGGTCTGGCTGAAAGGCAGCGGGACGCCCAGACGGGCGGCAGAGGCCCTGCGTTTGGGATTTTGCAGAGGGAGCAAATGTCCCCCTCTCGGCCCCTATAAAATCTGGCGGACCAACTCGTTTTGTGTTTCCAAGTATGACATTTTCAAAATGGCACTAGAATTAAAACCAGACACAAAGCCACACAGGTGATTCCATTCCCACGAAACGTCCCGAGCAGGCAAATAATCCACAGAGACCAGGAGGGTCCGGGGGCTGCCAGGGCCGGGAGGGCAGGGGGGGTGACGGCTCACAGGGACGGGGCTCTGTCTCGGGTGAGGACGGGGCTCTGGGATGGGAGCGGTGCCGACAACGTCGTGTGTAGACTCAACGGCCCTGAAATGCGCTTCCGGGAAAGGTCAAAACGGTCGGCGTGCTGTGACGTGCATTTTACCACAATGGAAAGACCCGCACGCTCCTTTCTCGACATTTCACAGAAGGATTTCAGAGAGAACAGGGGTCAAAGTCCTCCCCAAGAAGGAACACAGGCACAGCCACACTGCATACACACACGTGCACACACACAGGCGCACACACCCACTCACACATGTGCACACTCACACCCCCCACACGTGTGCACACCCACGCACACACGCACACACCCACAGTGCACACTCACACCCACTCACACACGTGCACTCACACCCACGCACACACGTGTGTGCACACCCATACACACCCACACACGCGTGCACACACCCACTCACACACGTGCCAAACACATGCGTGCACACCCATGCACACACACTTGCACACTCCCAGGTGCACACACACCCCCTCACACGTGCACACTCAAACCCCCACACTCACATGCATGCACACCCATGCGCACACACCCACACACAACCCACACGGTGCACTCACACCCTCACACACGTGCAATTCACACGCATTCTACACACATGCACACACCCATGCATGTGCACTCGCACCCATGCACACTCACGTGTACACCCATGTGCACTCACATGCACACTCATGCACACACACGCACACACACCCCCATGTGCACACTCACCCCCACACACCTGCACGGTTCTGCCTGCTCTAGCCCAAGGAGCCCCCACTGGCCCAGCTGGCGCCATCGCGTATAACTCAGGCTTCAGCAGCGTCTTTCCTGCCAGGCCGTTAAGCAGGCTCACCCGAAGGTGAAAGGGCCCTGGGCACACCTGAAACCCCAGCCTGCCGTTATCCTTCCCGGAACTGAGAGCAATGATGGCGGCGTAGAAAGGGCAGAGGCGGCTCCCAGAGAAACTGCGCTTAGAAGGGAACTAGCACAGGTCAGGGAAAGCAGCTCGACCCAGCTCACACGTGTACCGGGAGCCAACACTGGCTTTCAGCTCTACACGGACTGGTGTGGAGGGAAGGCTGGGGGCGCGGCTCTGACAGCAAAGGGAGAAGCAGACAGGAAACGCACAGGATGGCAGAGACGTTGAGAAGCAGGGCAGCCCCGCCCACGAGAGAGGAGGCAGGCTCTTGGGGTTTGCCAACAAGTGACAGTGTGTGTCATCTGTGCACGTGTCTGTGCGTGAGCATGCCTGTGTGTTGCACCCCAAACCTCCATAATACCAACAACACTCAACTGCCAGCCACGCAGGGAATGGGGAAGAGGCCGGGGTGGCCAGCAGGCGCCCAGATGTCGGGACACACAGCCGTGCAGGGGCGCAGCCACTGACCTAGGATGGAGACCTTGCTGAGGAACTCCTCGTACATCTTGCGTTTCCTCAGCGTGCTGCCCTGTTCGGGAGAAAGTAAAAAACAGACAAGAAGGTGAATCTTCATACCTGGATCATCCTGACGTTTCCAGATTTCCCCAAATGACTCTCAACTTTTAAATGAGACCCTCCAAGCATTCCAAGTCCCCAAAGCCCTCGACGACTCGGAGTCTGCGTGAGCTGCCACGGTGTCCTATGCCCCCCACCTCCCTCCTCCCGGGGGGCTTCTGGAGAAGCTCCCGGCATGGTTGCTAAGTGTCCTGGCTGGCAGCAGAGTTCCCCACCCAGCCAGGACCCGTGGTAGTTCCACACGGTGAGCGCACAGCCAGCCAGAGCCTGAACCCGGGTTTCTAGCCATGAAGGGCAGGGAGCTCATAAACACATCTGGAGAAACTGAGGCCAACACAGAGACTCAAGCACATGACGTAGAAGGGAGAGTGCGGCTGACGTCAGCTAAGACCCTGGATCCAGCCGTGCCTGAAGCTGCCTCGTTACCCATTAAAAGCCGATACTTGACTTCCCTCAACCCTGGGAAAAGCATGCTGAATCATACAATACCAACAAACACGGCCCTGTCAGCGTTATGTGAATTAGAAATTAGAATTCATTCTAGAAACTAGGATTATAAATGTGAATTAGAAAAACACACCCCTTCTTTAAGCACACACATCCCATCAAGCTGATGGGCCCTGGTGCAAACAGGAACGAGGCCCCTGCTCTAGGCAGTCAGCTCCAGCCTGGTGTGCAGAAAGCAGCCTGGGTCTCAGCCCCTCTCAACCCTCTGCCTGGGCCTTTGTACAGTGCACGAACTCCACAACTGTACAGAGCAGCCGCACGGTGGGTACGATTCAGCACTGCACATTCCAAAAACAGAGACACAGAGTCCACCCGGACAGCAGCAAGCTCGACTTTGCTAAAATTCAAATGGTATCATCCACTGACAGAGGCCACGCGTTCGAGTAGGGTGTACGCCGGGATGTGAGTCAGACCGAGAGACGACATGCTAGTGATGAGGTTTTTCCGTGACCCTAGATAAGTCCCCTGGGGTGTGGAGAAAGGAGGGAGGAGGGAACTTGCTGTGTTGAACGCCCACTCCAGGTCAGGGAGGGGGGCTCTTGGACACACTGACCCACATCGACCTCGCAACAGATAACCCTGAGAGGGGAACATACTTTTATCCTTATTTTCCAGAGGCAGAAACTGCAGCTCCGCAGGGCTGAGTGACCACCCTAGATAGGAACCACGGAACCAAGAAGGAAAGCCTAGACTGGGCCCTAAAAGCCCCAAAGCTGCCCCCGCCTCTCAACTTGAATGGGGACGTATTTTACCCCTTCCTGACATGCTGTTTTGCAAATTCCCGTAATGCCCTGAGACAGAAAACCACAGTGAGCAGCATTTACCAGGTGCCTCCCACCTGTGCAACTGACCAAGTGCTGACCAGGGGCACGCAGACACAGTGGCATGTGCAGTTTCTGAACATGTCCCTCCCCTCTCCTCCTTCCTGCTGACTGGCATGTGGAGATGATGGCTGGGGCTGCAGCAGCCATCCTGGGCCCCTGAGGAGCATCAGTAAGAGAAAGCTGGTTCTCGGGCCCCATGGAACAACACACCCACCCTAGACAGACTCCCAGAGCGTGAGAAACAGCCGTGTGGTTTAAGACACTGTTATTTTGAGTATTTCTGTTACACCTGGCATGGAGGCAGCCGGCCCCCAATGATCCTCACTCGCCTCCTGGTGTCCACACCCTGTGTGCTCTGTCCCACGATGAATAGGGCTGACGGATGCAACTAAGACCACGATGAATAGGGCTGACGGATCCAACTAGAGAATGCTAAGGAAATGAGTCTGAGATTTGCAAAGCCAGGTTGTAAAAGATACTGTGGCTCCTGCCCTGCTCTCTCCTGGATCGCTCAGCTGCAGAGAAGCTCAGAGGAGGAGCAGCACCTTCCTGCCACCCTCCAGCCCTGTTGGGGGGAAGCCACCACAGAAATCTCCTCTGCCCCATAAGACCTTCTGATCCCCCCAGCCCGAGGAGGGTTCCAGGCCAGAGCCGAGCAGCTGCTTCCTCCATGACCCACAGGAAATGGAACAAATGTAACACTGTTGACAGAGGCCACTAAGTTTGAGGGGAATTTGTTACACAGCCACAGCTAACTAATACATCCAGCAAAATTTAATCCTAAGGGTAAGGATAGGCTAGGAAACCTAGGTTAAGATAGAAAACTATAAACTCTTCTGAGTCCTGCAGGCGGCTGGCATAACACCCTGCTGCCAGGGACCCTCCCAGCTGCCACAACGCCTGGGGGCAATGGTGAAGGAGGGTCATTTATCCCACCTTCTTTTTTTTTTTTTTTTTGAGACAGTCTCACTCTGTTGCCCAGGCTGGAGTGTAGTGGTGCGATCTCGGCTCACTGCAAGCTCCAACTCCCGGGTTCACGCCATTCTCCTGCCTCAGCCTCCGGAGTAGCTGGGACTACAGGCGCCCGCCACCATGCCCAGCTAATGTTTTTTGTATTTTTAGTAGAAACGGGGTTTCACTGTGTTAACCAGGAATTTATCCCACCTTCTAAGCAACGTATGTAGGAAGGAGATGTCAGGAAAGAGAGATGGACTGGACAGGAGAAGCAAGACCCCTGACACTCAGAGGAGCCCCCCAAATGCCTGTCAGTCTCCCCAAACTTTCTTCTCCTGAGGGGTGCTGTTCAAAGCATCTTCCCATCCACTCCAATCACTCACAGGAATGGAGATCGCAATCAGGCACCACTTGGTGTTTACTGAGTGCCCTGGACAGGGGTGGGGGCTGTGCTCAGGGCTGTGCCCATCACATTGTCACAACTCAGAGGGCCGAGGAGGAGGAGAAAGTGGAGGTGAGTGCTTCGGAGGTGTGTGTCTGAAGTTACCCACTGCCGTGGTGAAGTGGGGGTCTGCCCTGGCCCCGCCTCCAGGGCCTGCGCCTACCCACTGCCCCCTCTCCTATCTCTCAATGCCACCCACAGCCAGATGCAAACTTACTTGTGTCTCCCTTAAAAAGGGACTCCTTGAGCACACCAAAGGTGGCCCCATCACATGGGAAAATGAGGGACCACCACACAGCCCCTTCCACAGTTGGGGGTGGGAAAGAGCAGCCCTGGGGACACCGAGTGAGCATAGGGGAGGCAGTCCGCAGCCCTCCTGTGCAGCCCTCCTGGCTGGGATGGAGCGGGACTCCAGCTGCTGGGGCAGGAGGCCCTGCAGGAGTGGAGCAGAGGATGAAGGAAGGGAGATGGATTGCTGTGGAAGGAAAACAGCTCAAGGGGGAAGGGCTGGAGGAAAGGCACGTGATGTTAAACGCCTGTCCCTGGAAAACTATGACAAAAATGCAAGCTCCAGTGAAATGGGGGAGGAATGGCGCGCAAGTCCCCGAGGCACAGCAGTGACTTGTGTGGGGCTCAGGCCGGGTTGTTTCCACAGTTGCTTATTCTGGGCCCTGGTGGCCAGGCTGACCTTTCCCATGGGCACAGGCCATTTCCGGTAGCGTGGCCCTCCCCACTCGCTCCCAAGCCGCCCTCAGTGTCCAGAAACAGACTCCTGGAGCTGCACCAAGCTTCCCACTCACAGATCAGACGACTGAGCCCAGCGAAGGTGTGGCTTGAGCCCAACTTCCATGATGGGGACAAGGACCCTAAGGACACCCACCCTCCCCTGCCTTCCAGAGCCTCAGCATGGAGGACACAGTGGGCAGTCCACTCAACGTGGACAAGTACAGGTTTGAATGTGTCACCTGCATCATTGGGCTTTGGTGAAATGAGACCATAAAAATCCCTGCCTCACTGGGTCATTATGAGAACTGATTCTCAACAAATGTTATGTTGCTGCTAATGGTGATGGTGGTGATGTTGGTGAGGATAGTGACAGTGGTGATGGTGATGGTGATGGTGGTGATGGTGATGGTGGTGATGGTGGTGAGGATAGTGACAGTGGTGATCACGATGATGGTGGTGACGGTGGTGATGGTGGTGACGGTGGTGATGGTGGTGATGTTGGTGAGGATAGTGACAGTGGTGATGACGGTGGTGATGGTGATGGTGGTGATGGTGATGGTGGTGATGGTGATGGTGGTGATGGTGGTGAGGATAGTGACAGTGGTGATGACGATGATGGTGATGGTGGTGATGGTGATGGTGATGGTGGTGATGGTGGTGAGGATAGTGACAGTGGTGATGGTGATGGTGATGGTGGTGATGGTGATGGTGGTGATGGTGGTGAGGATAGTGACAGTGGTGATCACGATGATGGTGGTGATGGTGGTGATGGTAATGGTGGTGATGGTGATGGTGGTGATGTTGGTGAGGATAGTGACAGTGGTGGTGATGGTGACGGTGGTGATGGTGATGGTGGGGATAGAGATGGTGGTGATGGTGGTGATGGTGGTGAGGATAGTGACAGTGGTGATGACGATGTGATGGTGATGATGGTGACGATAGTGGTAGTGATGATTATAGTGCTGATGATGGTAGTGATGGTGGCAATGATGATGGTGGTAGTGGTTTTTACCGGGTACACAAAAGTGTGCTGACGGGGAAAGTCAGGACATTGCAATTCCAACCCCAGCCTACCCATGACTCCCCATGCCCTTGGACTAGTCTTGTCCCCTCTGGTCTTCGGTTTCTCCATGAGAAGAGTGATTGAAATGAGCAGCTGTTCCGTGTGTCTCTGGCCTGGGCTCCTTCTCTGTCCTCCCAAATTCCTCACCACCGCTCCACGGGTGCCATGTCCACCTTGGTCCTTGTCTGCTTCCCATTGACTAGCAGGGGTATGTCAGGTGCCTGAGCTCAGAAATGGGGTCAGACACCCCTGCAAACAGCTGCTGACCCAGCCCTCGTCCTCAGCAGCCCCCACCACTGCCAAGATTCCTCCTCCTCCCAGAAGGTGATGACGATAAGCACGGCTCACTATGCTGAATGCTCCCCAGCAATCAGGCACCTCCCGAGATCCACACTTTCAGCTGAGCCTACTATTATCTCCACTCTATGGAAGAAACAGAGGCTCAGGGTCGGTGTGGCCTGCCTATGCCCACCGAGCTGCTAAGTGCTGAGGCCAAGAACTGAAACGGGACAATCTTGTTCCAGAATGGATGCTCGCACGGCCAGGCCCCACACTGTCCTGGAGACAACAAGGTCATCCCGAACCTCCACTCACACACTCAGCATCTTATCTGCTCTGGAAGAACAGAAGTGGCATCCACAGAGCACCTACCGTGTGCACGGCACCACGTCATCATGCTGCACCCTCACGTGAGACTGGAGAAGGGCAGCTCAGAGCATGCAACGTGCCCAGGCTGCCCGGGACAGAGAGAGGAGCCGGGACGATCCAGCCCCTGGATGTTGCTTTCATGATGCCAACACCAAGCCCACGGCCCTGTGAGGGTCAGGCAGCTGGGGCAGCTCTGGACATGTTCAATGGCACGGGGCCACTTTCAGACGGAATCTGCTGCAGGGAGAGGGGGCTCAACACCACGCAGAGAGAACCGGAAATGTCGGTGGCCTGGCTCCCTGGGCCCTGCCTCCCCCGGTGCCTGGAGACCAGAAGACAGAGGGGGCTCTGGCACTCTGCTGTGCAGCCCCACGCCCTTCAGGACACTCCAAGAGGAGTGTGGCTCCCACAGCCCTGAGCACCACCGGCCCAGCAAAGGGTGTGAAACCATAAGGGGACTCTGCTCCAAAGTATGTGCACATCAGCACAGCACGGCAGGACTCTGTCGCCCAAGGCACGCACCGGTGAGGAGAAGAGCTGCAGCTGAGAGCACAGAGCTGAACATGGCTGCAGGCCTGGTGGGCACAGCTGGGTGCAGCCACTGGAATCCTGGCCTGGCGGCACTGACCTTGCCACTCCAACGTGTGGCCCTCGCGTGCCCAGTCCAGGGGACCAAGAGACCAGCAGGGTGGGGGCGGGGCCCCGAGAGATGGGCACTTGGAGCCCAAGAGGCCAGCATCCGGGGAGAAAACAGCCCCAGGCCTTGCAAGTCACAGCAGACGCAGACGCAGGAGATGCAGGTGGGAACCCAGCCCTCCCCGATACCCAGGTCTCAGTTTCTCCATCAGCTCTGGGTCAGAGCAGCACTAAAATGGCTGTAAGCCCCAATTTTAGAGTCCAGGGGGTGTCCTATCTTCTGCCAAAGCCCTCCCCAAGGTCCCCTCTTTCTGGCAAAAGCCCACAGCCCAGCAGGTCCAGAAAAACCTCAGGAACTTGGCCCAAGACCAAGACGGTGCAGACGGCACTTCTCCACCCGCTGCGGGTGCCTGAACGAACCGGGCTTCCTCAGTGACAACGATCTTTTCAGAAACGCCGAGCCCAGGCCCGTCGGCAGCAGAAAGTGCCGCGTGTCTGCCCCCGAGAGCGGAGAGCGGGCCGGATGCCCGGGGCAGTGGCAGGCGCAATGACCCAGCCCAGGCCATTTTAGATTTCTGCCAGCCATAAAAAAAGCACTTCTTTTGAAAAATAATTTATAATTCACACTGACTGCCCAGCAATTACGCCCAGCCGGAGGAATGCAAGCGTGTTTTGCCCGGGGAACCTCAGACATTAAAGCCTCGTGCACCCGTCCATCTCTCGCGGCGGGGTGACAGCTGAAGGCTGCCAGGGGCCCCCGGGGGAGGGCCCGGCCCCAAAGACTGCCCCTTTTGGGATCATGTTCCTTCTGTGGCTGAGACGGTCGGTGAGGCAGGGCTGGGAGCTGGCCTCCGAGCTGGCCGGTGGGCACTGGGACCCCCACGTGGGGGCTCTGCAGTGTGTCTGCCGGCATCCCCAAGGGGGGCTTTGTGTGGGAAAAGGCAGGTGACCCCCATTTCCAGGTACAGGGCTTCCTCAAGCCCACGGCACGGGGAGGGCGGGGGCGCTAGAAGTGGCTTCTTAACACCGGTCCCACCCACTTCCCATGAGTCGGCTCGGGGGGCACGGGGCCTGGGTCCCGGCCTCAGCTCTGCCCCATCTTGCCAGCACCTACACACAGAAAGCCTGGAAAACTGGAGCGTTGATAACGGCTGCCAGGTGCAGCAGCTCACGCCTATAATTCCAGCACTCTGGGAGGCCAAGGCGGGAGGGTCGCTTGAGCTCATGAGTTTGAGACCAGCTTGGGCAACATATCAAGACTTCACCTCTATTAACAGAAAAAAAAAGGAAAAGAAAAATATATACAGCAGCCACTTCTCCAGCCTGGAGACGCACTGTCAGTGGGGTGAAATGACTGGTGATGCCTGACCCTCCCCACAATGGCCCCAGATGGCTGCAACACGGCCTCATCCCCTCACACTTCAAAGCCAGGAGGAGCAGATTCACACCACAGCCACACACCCCCAAAGTCGTGAGGTGAAGCCCACCAGAAAGCCAGCCCCGGCTCCCACGCACGGCTGTGGGGTTGGCAACTTCAGTCTGAAGGCACCGCTGTGGAACCCAGCGTGACAGACCCCAGGGCCAATGAGAAGAGAAAGAGGCCCAGGCAGGCGGAGCAGGGGTCGCCAGCTGTGAACGGTGCCCACTTTTCCTCCCACCAGGGCCTCCGTGAGGTGGACTTGCCAGGCAGGTCCCGGCTCTGATCCCCCCATGGATCAGGGTCCCCACGTGCACACTGTGTGACCCTCAGCACATCACGGCTGCCTCAGAGCTCCTGAGCCCACCGTCCCGCCCGAGTGAGGGTGCACACGGGCCCTCCCGGCTGCCGTGGCCTCACGTGGACACTGCAGGGCACTAAGCCCCGGTCGAGGCTCGGGGACCCTCCGTGACCTTAGCAGCGTCCTCGAGGCTACAAGTGACAAACTGCTTGTGCTGAGAAATGGAGAAGCCGCGTCCCTTCCCGGCCCCATTGGCTGTGCGGAGTCACTCCGGACACTGGTCCCCTCCTGGCCCCACTGGCTGTGCCGAGTCACTCCGGACATCGGTCCCTTCCCGGCTCCACCGGCTGTGCCGAGTCACTCCGGACACTGGTCCCCTCCTGGCCCCACTGGCTGTGCCGAGTCACTCCGGATACTGGTCAGCGGGGGCTGAGGGGCGGGGAGGGTCCAACCTCCACCAAAGACTCAGGTTCCAAGGGGGTCTTGGGCTCTGGATACCCCAGCACAGCCTCCACCACAGAATTCTACATCCATTGCTTCCAAACGCTGAGGTCCTGGGTAAGGATCAGGGTGAACAGAGGACTCCAAAGCTTACAAGAAAGAAAAATCAGGCCGGATACGGTGGCTCACACCTCACACCTATAGACCCAGCACTGTGGGAGGCTGAGGCGGGAGGATCACTTGAGCCCAGGAGTCCAAGACCAGCCTAGGTGGCATAGTGAGACCAGGTCTCTACAAAAAACAATTTTTTAATTAGTCAGGCGCGGTAGCACACGCCTGTAGTCCCAGCTACTCGGGAGGCTGAGGAGGGAGGATGGCTTGAGCCGGGGAGGCGGAGGCTACAGTGAGCCGAGATTGTGCCACTGCACTCCATCCTGGGTGACAGTGAGACATTGTTTCAAAAAAATTAAAAAAAACAAAAAGGTAAGAAAGAAAAAGCAAGTCTGGGGAGTGCTGGCCCCGGGCTGGGCCCCTGCCTGGGAGCCTAGAGGTGGGGTCACCCCATCCTTCCTCGGATAAAACGTGAAGCGGTGGAGGAAAGAGACGGGCATCAGGGAGTCTCCCAGATCAGACACTCTGGGATCCTAAACTGGAGTCAGCGTTCACATTTTGGGCGGTGGTCTACTTCCTGGAGACACCAGACCGGGTCTCCCGCGTCCCCCAGGTCCCAGCACGTCCCAGCTCGGGACTAAGGCAGAAACAGGAGCTGTGTGAGGAGCTCGGGGCCAATACAGAAACAGACACCATCCTGCAAATGCTCCCGTCCAAACCAGCCCGGCGCGGCCAGCTATTCTTAGCGCACAGGGACCCAAAATTAAAACAGAGGAAGCGCCAGCTCCCTCAGTGGTTTGGGAACTTCCCTGAATATAAGGTTCCAGCCACAAAAATCCCCCAGCCGGGAGCGACAGGGCGTCAAGGATGGTGGGGAAACGGCTTATGCAACGCCGGGCCAGGTGCGCCCAGAGGAGATGGGAACCGCTGTGCCCTCTTCCTGCCCCAAAACCGCTCCAGCCCCTCTCAGGGGGAGGGTGTCTCAGGGGACCCCTCCCACGCGGCGACAGAGGCCTCCCAGTGAAGGCAGGAGTGAGCGGGTTCAGACAGAAGAGAGGGAGCGTGCAACTCCTCCCAGGAGGCTGCACATCATCTGTTCTGTGTACTGGAGTATCCCCAGCAGCACAGGAGCCCCAGACCCAGGGTGGGCACCCCAGCAATGCCCCACAGGTGCATAAATGAGAAGCTCATGGGGTGCAGAATCTGATGAAACAGCCGCCCCAAAGACTGTGCGAACGCGCCATCCACAAAACACAAGAGCCGGCATCGCCGTGGGGCCGGGACAGGCCAGCGCCAGCAGGACACCGTCTCTCAGCTGGCCCATGGCCATCAAATCCTTGTTCCCCAATCAGACGACGCACTTCCAAGAGGGAAACCCAGGGTTGAACTTGCTCTCCCAGCTCACGGGGCTCCATCCTAAACCATCCCCCAGGACTCTCCCCAGTCCTGCCCTTGGGCGTCCTGGAACTGTGGCTCCCTCCTTAGGAATCACACCCACCCAGGCTGGCCTTCCAGGAGTCAGCCAAGCCCCCTAGAAGACACCAGGCCATTCACCTCCTGCCATAGCAACCAGGCTGGCCTCGGGCATGGAGTGGAGGGAACCATCCCAAGCAGGGGATGGAGGAGAGGCCGAGGACCCCGGCAACACCCACCTGGCTCAACCCCTCCTCGGCCGGGCTGGACCCCGGGACCCCAGGCCCCGAAGGAGAGGGCTCGGAGCAGACGCTGTCCGGGGCTGCATTGGCAACAAGCCCACCGCCACCAGGTTCTGCTGTGTCACCCCCAACCAGCTCAGAGGAGCCCCTGGCCCAGCGGTCATGGCTAGGTAAGGACAGAGTGGAGGGGTGCGGCCACCCAAACCACAGGCGCTGGCTCCTGGAGGCCTCTGCCCAGCGATGGGACAGAAGGAGCTGAGGAGGAGACCTGAGGCCATAAGGGGACACCTCCAAACTATGAAGGAACCCCAAGACCATGAGGGGACCCCCTAGACCACAAGGGGACCCCAAGACCATGAGGGGACTCCCCAGACCACAAGGGAAATCCCAAACCATAAGGGGACCCCTAGACCATGAGGGGACTCCCCCAGACCATGAGAGGACCCCAAATTATGAGGGGACCCCAAGACCATGAGGGGATCCCCTAGACCATGAGGAGTCCCCCCCAGATCATGACGAGACCACCCAAACCACAAGGGGACTCCAAACTATGAGGGTCCCCAGACCACCAAGGGACCCCAGACACTGTGGCAGACCCAGAGCTTCCCAGGATGAATGGCCGCACGGGGTGCTGTCTACGCTCACTGGATGGCCCCAAACCGGCCCAGGGAACTGGGTCCACATCTGGTCACAGCTGCCCTCAAGCTCCCACCGTGGCTCCTGAGCACTCTGACAGGGTGCTTCCTGCAGAAGCTGCGGGTCCTCGGCCTGGAGCCCTCCCCGCCCTCTCTGGACAGCGCCTCACTGCCCCACGCGGGAAGGCCTCCTCATCCACACAGGCCCCTCAGCCCTGGCCCAGCCCTGTGCTGCTGTTCCTCGGCCCTCACGCTCCTGGGCTGCTTCCGGCACCCGGGCGTCCTGCCCTGAGGCTCTGCTCAATGCCACCTTATCAGGGGGGTCTCTGAGGCCCCTCCACGGAACAGCAGTCCCCCCCGCCCCACTCCGTCTGCCTCCACCTGCTTCTCGGCTTGGTCCTTCTCCACAGGAATCACCCTCTGGGGCCGGGTGTTCACGGCCGCCTCCACCAGGACAAGACTCCAGCTGCCCTGCCTGTGTTCCCCACAGACCTGCACCCAGAACAGGGCCTGGCAGGTGGGGTGTGTGCGGGGAGGGCGTGGAGGGTCTCCTCTCCCTGGAAAGGGTCCTCCCCGGGCTCCCCACGAGCTCACCTCCAGGAGCCCCTACAAACACCAGCCGTGGCAGCTGAATCGGCCCATAGCACCCCCGCCGCCCACAGCAAGCACAGGCATACACCCACGTGTGCACACAACACACACAGTACAGGGTACGTGGCTCAGAGTAGATCTGGCCACATATAAGAAAAAAAGCTAAAAGCCCAAGAGTCAGTCCCCACACACAGGAAGCCCGTGGGTGAGCAGCCACCGTGTCGGCAGGGAACCACGCTCCTCACACCTCTTTGCTCCATCACCATGGTGAGTGGGTTTCACGCTCATAGTCACCTCCTGGCCCAACATGGCAGCTGGAGCACCAGCCATCACAACCACAGTCCAGACAGTGGGAAGGAGAAAAGGAGGACGGTGAAGGGGCCTCCCCAGCCACCTGTCTTCTAAGAAGCTTCCAGAATCCCTCCACCCCTTTCCACTCCTCTCACAGGCCAGATCTGTCAGGGAGGTTGGAAGTGTCTTTTCTCCAGGTGCATCCCCACCTTGAATAGAGCTAGGGTTCCCAGGGACGCCTGGCCAAGGGTGGGTGTTGGCCTTCTCTGTGCTTGGGCACCAACTCACCATAAGGATGCGCCGGTAGCTGTCCCGGTCGATCCCCCAGAGCTTGAGGTCCGTCTTGGCTTTCACGGTCGCAGCCCTGGGGGTGCCGTAGATGAGCGCCAGCTCCCCGAAGCTGCCTCCCTCGCTGATGTTGGTCACCCACTCTCCGTTCACGTACACCTTTGGGGAGCAAGAGAGAGAAGTGTCACGGGGGCCAGGCAGGGTGACCTCCTCTGCATCCCATACAGAAAGTCCCCCTTAGCTCTCTCCAGAAGAGGGTCCCCGCAGGGCGGGGCACAAGCCCTTTCGCTTGTGGGCAGAGCCCTGCGTTCCCCAGCAATGGGCCTGTGGACCCCAGTGCTCACCCCACCCCCAGCCCTGCTGAGAGCCACGGTGGGACAGCATCAGACCTCCACAGCAGGAGGGCCCAGCCGCCAGTGCCAATGAGACAACCACACCAGAGGCGGACGCACCCGGCCCCCGCTCTGCGGCACAGCGGCCCCAGCCTGACTCCCAGGCAGTGTCTGATTCAATCCGTCAACTTCTCACTCAGCCTCTCTGGGCCTCAGTTTCCCTAGCTGCACCGTGATGAGCTGGAGCCTGTGATCCCCACGGGGCTCTGCTCTGGGGACCTGTGTGCTTCCTCTCCACCCCAGGCCATTCCTCTGTCCCCACCTCCACCAGCACACACCACTGGGCCCCGAAGGAGCCGGGCGGCCTCAAGTGCAGACCTCTCCTGCCAGGGCCTCCCTCCCTACAGGCAGCGCCTGAGCTCCTCGGGCTGGAGTCTGAATGGGCGCCCTATGGCTGGGCGCTGCGGCCGAGCTGCGCCTGGGAAGGAGCCCAGACAAGATTCCCTTTCAGCCCGGGTGGGCCGCCGCCCCCGCACAGGGTGCCTACTATGCATTGAGCATCACAGTTGGGTCCGTGCAAGAATGGTGCAGATTGTTTATTATGCAGTGATTATGCAGATTCCGTTACTATAAATTGACACAATACACGCTTTATCCCCTCTGGGTGTCAATGAGCTTAAAGAATAGTTCCCATTGGCAAAGCAGTTCCCATTGGTTGCATATCGGGAAAGAATGGATTGCAATGAATCATGGAATCAATTCTTACTGAAATCAATGACTCATTATCTGGATAATAACTGAGGCACAGAGTCTTCTATCTGAAAGAAAAGGCCACGCAGGTGTAACTCCACAATTAGGTACAAGTGAGCGCTGGGGAGAACTGGTCGACCACGAACTTTCGGAGGCACAGGGGCGACTGCTGTGCAAAGGCAGACTCTGCCTGGCGGGGATGTGGGGATCATCTCCACCTGGCCCACCAGGCTCCCCAGTTCCTGGAGGGAGGCTGGAGCAGGATTACGGGGCAGAAGAAACACCAGCTTCCCCCCAGTGATCCCCTCCAGGAATCAGAAGACGGCCGTCCTTCCACGGAGCCAGAGAGTACCCACCCGCGCGTGCAGGGATACGTGGAGGAGGCAGCAACTCCAGCGTTTTAGGGGCGAGGGGACCTCAGAGAATGCCCTCCAGAACCTCTGCCTCTTGCTTCTCAAAGGGGACCCAGAGCTAGGGGAGGACTGGCGATGAAGCCGGGGGAAGGGCCTGCGATGGCCGGGGCACAGCCTGGCCTGCGGGCGATGAAGCTGGAGAGGGCCTGCAATGGCCTGGGCACAGCCTGGCCTTCCGCCTCGCAGTGGACACTCCCACTTTGCCTAAGGTTTTGTCAAAACCAGTTTATGGAGGCAGAACTTGCAAATAGGAACGTGCCCAACTCTTGCAGCACAGTGAGTTTCACATCGCTCAGATCGGGGCCTCACAAACTCCCAGGGGACTCTTCCCCAGAGGGATCCGGAGCTCACCCTGTGGGTCTCACCGTGTCTATCCACGCTGCAGGTGACGGACTCCAGGGTCCACAGCACGTCGTGCTGCCAGGAGCATCCCTGTACGTGACATGCACGCCTGGGGTGGCAGTCGCCACTGGCACAGCTTCAGGAGGCATTCTGCACTAAACACCATCACCCTCCAGCACCCTCCAGACTAAACACCATCACCCTCCCTCCAGCACCCTCCGCACTAAACACCATCACCCTCCAGCACCCTCCACACTAAACACCATCACCCTCCCTCCAGCACCCTCCACACTAAACACCATCGCCCTCCCTCCAGCACCCTCCACACTAAACACCATCGCCCTCACTCCAGCACCCTCCGCTCTAAACACCATCGCCCTCCCTCCAGCACCCTCCACACTAAACACCATCACCCTCCCTCCAGCACCCTCCACACTAAACACCATCACCCTCCAGCACCCTCCACACTAAATACCATCACCCTCCCTCCAGCACCCTCCACACTAAACACCATCACCCTCCAGCACCCTCCACACTAAACACCATCACCCTCCAGCACCCTCCACACTAGATACCATCACCCTCCAGCACCCTCCGCACCAAACACCATCACCCTCCACACTAAACATCATCACCCTCCCTCCAGCACCCTCCGCACTAAACACTATCACCCTCCCTCCAGCACCCTCTGCACTTCTGTTCCGATGCAGGGGCCTCTTGCTGAGCCACGAAAGCAGTGTGGACTCAGAAGATGTGAATCTGAGGTCGGGAGGGGTTTGCTTGACATGGGAGAGCCAGGGAGGCGGGTAACATCTTGTGCCCAAGGAGGTGAGTGAGCCTCTTGGCCCCTTCAGGGAATGAGGACACCACCCCCTCGAATGGCTGCCCAGGCAAGTGGCAGGACATCCCCCTGCCTTGGCAAAGAGGATGGGGGCTCTGGGAGCAGAGAAGGGTGAGTCTCCACAGAGCCAGCCCGGGACGGCCGCACCTCCCAGCTTTCTGGGATTCTGTCTCAAAGCGGGGATCCGTGGCTGCTGCCGCTGCAGGCAGGACCCAGGGAAGCTGGACCAGGACGCGCTGCCCATGAGGCCTGGAGAAGCCCAAGGCCTCCGAGAGCTCCCTCCGCAGCCTCAGAGGAAGCCATTGTGCGGGTCCCACAGACGGCCAGGGCCACACTGTGCTCGGCCGCCCGGAGGACAAAGGGGCCATCCTTCTCAGGACACTGGCCACTGTCACCACTCCCGGCGCAGTGCGGGCCCCACCCCAGCTGGTACGCAAAGGGGCTACTTCTTGTTGTGTTTCATTTTTTTGTTTTCTCTCTTTTTTTTTTTTGAGATGGAGTTTCGCTCTTGTTCCTCAGGCTGGAGTGCAATGGTGCGATCTCGGCTCACCGCAACCTCTGCCTCCCAGGTTCAAGCGATTCTCCCGCCTCAGCCTCCCGGATTACAGGCAACTGCCACCACGCCCGGCTAATTTTGTATTTTTAGTAGAGACGGGGTTTCTCCATGTTGGTCAGGCTGGTCTCAAACTCCTGACCTCAGGTGATCCACCCACCTCGGCCTCCCAAAGTGCTGGGATTACAGGCGTGAGCCACCACGCCCAGCTTCTCTTCTTTTAAAAGAAAAAACAATGGGGGTCCCCCGCGGGGCAGCATTTACACCCCACCATCACTGCAGCTTCTCTGGCGCCGAGCTCACACCTGGCTCTGCCCTGCCCCCTGCCCACCTTCACTCGCTCACCCTCTGTGTTTAGAAGTCAATGGTGGGACAGAGGTGCCAGGAGCTGGGGGAGGCACATGGGCAGGCCCCCCATTCACCTTCACTCGCTCACCCTCTGTGTTTAGAAGTCAATGGTGGGACAGGGGTGCCAGGAGCTGGGGGAGGCACACGGGCAGGCCCCCCATTCACCTTCACTCGCTCACCCTCTGTGTTTAGAAGTCAATGGTGGGACAGGGGTGCCAAGAGCTGGGGGAGGCGCACGGGCAGGCCCCCCATTCACCTTCACTCGCTCACCCTCTGTGTTTAGAAGTCAATGGTGGGACAGGGGTGCCAGGAGCTGGGGGAGGCGCATGGGCAGGGAGTGTGTAATGTGGACAGAGCTTCAGTTTAAGAAGACAAGAACATTTGGGAAATGGACAGTGGTGACGGTTGTAAAACAACGTGAATATTCTTAATGCCACCGAACTGCACAAAATGGTTAGAATGGTCAGTGTGGTGTGTCTTTTACTACAATTAAAGTAGGGCCGAGGGCAGTGGCTCATACCTGTCATCACAGCACTTTGGGAAGCCCAGGCGGGAGGATTGCTTGAAGCCAGGAGTCTGAGACCAGCCTGGGCAACACAGCAAGACCCCGTCTCTATGAAAAACTTTAAAATTAGCTGGACGTGGTGGTGCACAGTGGTAGTCCCAGCTTCTCGGGAGGATCGCTTGAGCCCAGGAGTTCAAGGCTGCAATGAGCTATGATCACGCCACCGCACTCCCAGCCTGGGCGACAGAGCGAGACCCCATCTCAAAAAATTAAAAAACGAATTTTAAAAACACACAGAACACAAGACACAACCTGAATAACATCTGATCAGATCACCAAGCTGAGGCGCCCTGCTCCGGGGTACACCCAGCTGCCTGGCGGTGCTCCCCAGCCCCCCAGAAAGAGCTCTTCCCCCAGACGTGTTGTGTGAAACCGAGGGAAGCCCGGAACGGCCAGCGTCAGTGGGGACGTCGTGATGCCTGGGACGGGGAGCAAAAAGAGGGAGTCGGGATAACGGGCCCAAAAACAATCAGGGGAAGAGTCGAGCCCCAAACAGGGCTTGGAAGGGAGCTACGTTCCCAGGCCTGCAAAGTCAGCAGCTGAGTGTCCTTTTAAATAGAAATGCTATGTTCCATGAATAAAATACATTGGAAGATATTTTTATACTTAGAAAAATGGATTATAGCTCTTGGCAACACACGGACGGCAGCAGGCACTTTCGGAGTCTCTGGAAAACCGTAATTCAAACTGAACCTGGTGCTCTTGGCATTTTGTCACCTGGCCGTCCCCCTGGACGCTGCTGGTCAGAGGGCAGCGTCCACCCTGCAGAAGTGGGTGACGTCCACCTCCAAGCTCTGCTGGCTTAAAGGGCCAGGGCCAGGTCCTTGAGGGGACGGCTTCCTGATGGGCCTCCGGCACTTGGCCAGCGCAGTTAAATACCCACGGCAAACGGCCGTCCCTTCCCGCCACGCAGAATAAAACCAGGGAAAACCGCTAGCCTCAGAAACCCACTCGGACCCTGGGTAGCCGTAGTCCTGCAGCCCCGAACCCAGGGTACATCCATCCCATTGCCCCAGGGAGGCGATTTACAGAAACCAGCAAACAACATGCAGCACCCAGGGTTCACACAGCAGCTGGATGGGGCTGCCTGGGGCTGCCATGCGGCCGTTCCCCCGGGTGCTGTAATAACAGTAATTATTATAATACATATGCCCATAACTCACCCGGGCTACCCAACATGCCACTTTTTCATTCCAGATTCCTTACTGAGCATCCTTTGATTCCCTTAAATGTGGCCTTCACCCACACGGGCCCTGCGGATTTACCCTGCATGCGAAGGGCCTCCCACATCACAGGAGGGCCCCTGCAGGCAGCTCCTGCGCCCGGCCCCGCCCGGCCCCGCCGGGCACTCCCTGACGCCCACCCCTGCCCTGGCTGGAAAATCTGAAGTTGATGGAGGTGCTTGGTGTTCGTGCACAGCCGCCTGGGACTCACGGGACAGCCCCATAAGTCACAGCCGGTTCCCGCAGGGGGCCCGGCCATCCCACGTGAGCCTGTAGCCAGGAAGTGGGCATCCACCCACGGGGCTCAGACATCCTGGCTCTGGAGGGCCGGGTCCAGCAGAGGCCTTAAAGCTGCCTTTGTGCCTGACCCGGGGGGGCTGGGGAGGGGTAGGGACGGGCAGGGGGAGGCGCAGGGACGGGCAGGGGGATGGGGAGGGGGAAGGGGAGGGATTTGCCAGGACAATATATTTGGGGAACTCCAGTTACACGAGGGTGACCTCACTCTTTCCTTTCTCAAAATTGCCTCCCAACGTCCCCGGGCCTGGCGAGAAGCCAGGCAGGACGCCACGACGCGTCGTGTCTGAGAGAAAACCGTCTCCCCTCCACTCAGGCTTCAGCCCCGACCCCACGCTAACTGGGCCAGGGCAGGGGCTGGGCTGGGAGGGGACCCAGTGAGCTCAGGGCTGGAGGAAACGGTCCCTGCTTTGAAGTGGCTCCGGCACCGGCCTCTCCCACCACCCTGTCATGTATGAAGGAGTTACAGACGGCGGCGGGGGGAGGGGGGGTCTGTCCTGCTGGAAGGACGGAGGGAAGGGAGATGCCTCACTGAGTCCAGAGGTCGAGGGGTGGGTGGGGATTCTGCGAGGATGAGGAGGAGGAGGAGGAGGTCCCGCCAAGGTCAGCCGGGGCAGCAACACCTCCCGGCCCCTTTGCCGAGGTCCTGGCCCAGGTGGGGCTCCCGGGAGCCTGGAGGCCAACGGCGGAAAGACAGGGACCTGATCCCTCCAGCAGTCCCAGCCGCCGGCCCCTCACACCCTCACCTCTCCCAGGAAGTCCTCAGCATGCTGCCGGCTGGGGCCTGGCGCTGGGGCAGGAGGGTGGCCACCCGCGCTGAAGATGAGGACAAGCCCGGGGCGTGGGTGGTGGGCGTTTCCTCTGTGGGGTGGACGAGGCTCTTGCGGTGCGTGTGTTGGGGACATGAGACGGGGCGGGGCAGCTGCCAGGCGGCCAATGGCTTCCACACCAGGGGCCAAGAGCAGAACCCCAGGAGGGTTATCTCAGTCTTCCCGGCAGCAGTGAGCTCTGTTCGTTTTTCTGAGTAATATGGAAATGGCACGGCTCAGCCACACAAGGGCCTGGGCAAAGGTCACGGCCAGCAAAGAACACAGCCTGGGTCCTCTGAGTCCCGAGTCCACGCGATCCTGACCCGTCCACCACCCTCCTCGAGACACGACAAGTTAGGCGGGAACATAACCTGGGAGCCCCATGTCGGTTTCAGGCTCCACAAGGGATCTCTGGGTAAAGGGTTTGTCTCTTCCACATCTGTTCATTTAGGAGAAGCAAAGAACATGGAAAGCAGAATTCCTGGGGGTGGCCTCAACCCCAAGCCCTGCCGATGCAAACCGGCACCTTGAAGATGCCTTTGGAATTTAACTGGAAGATTTGAATGACATGGGCAGACACAGAAGAGGGAGAAGCATTCCACAGGGGAGGAAAGGCCTCAGTGGGGACCTATGGAGCTCCCAGGCCCACCGCAGGGAGGCAGGTCCTCGGTCATCTGCGGAGGTCAGTATCTATCAAAGCCCAGCCGCAGATAGATGAGCTGGGCCTGGCGGGGTCTTGTAGGATGTGTAGGAGTTTGTGAGGCAGAGCAGGAATGAAAGCAGAGGGGACAGGAGGGGCAGAACCAGAGTCAGGACATTCATTGGCTAATTTCCTGTTCTTGGTCCCTCTCCCCCATTAAGCCACAACCTCCCCCACACCAGAGCAGGCACCAGGTCCTCCTCGTCACAAGTGCCAGGCATAAAGCAGGCACTCAATAAACATCCAGGAAGGAGACGGCAGGGGAGGAGGCGACATGATGACTCCAGGACCCAGAGTGGAGGTGATGGGGGAGGAGGTGACACCAGGACCCAGAGTGGAGAGGGCAGGGGAGGAGGTGACACGGTGACACCAGGACCCAGAGTGGAGGGGATGGGGGAGGAGGTGACACCAGGATCCAGAGTGGAGAGGGTGGGGGAGGAGGTGACACCAGGACCCAGAGTGGAGGGGATGGGGGAGGAGGTGACACCAGGACCCAGAGTGGAGAGGGCGGGGGAGGAGGTGACATGGTGACACCAGGACCCAGAATGGACAGGGCGGGGGAGGAGGTGACACGGTGACACCAGGACCCAGAGTGTGAACTAGAAGAGGGGCTATAAGTAGTAGCATGAGATTTGGGGCTGGGATAAAGCGGTGGGTCCAGTCAGGAAGCTGCCCATCCCATACCTCCCGCAGAGGTGGCTCTGCCTTCAGCACTGCTGACCACTGGGCAGGCCTGGGCTGCCAGGGTCTCTCTGGGATCAGCCCTGCCCCATCTGCTGGGGGCTGAGCCCCATTCCCTGCAGCCCCCCATCAGGCCCTGGTGTCTGGATACCAGGCACAACGGGGCCACCTCCTGGGACGGGCCCAGGCCCCAAGACGATGCCCGGCTGGGATGCTGGCCGCATCCTCCTCTGTCTTCTCTATTTCCTGGGCTAGGCTTTTTTTAAACTCGAAGCAAAGCCAGCAGGAGATGACTCTGCGGCCTGGCAGCTGAGCCCAGGGTTGACCCGCCAGTGCCGCCCTCCAGCCTTCCCCCTCCACACTTCCTCTGAGGCCGGGCAGTACCCGGGACCTTTGGCACCTGCCTCAGTTTCCATCTCTAGGGGAGACAGGAGCACCCCCACTCCCTGACACAAAGGTCTGCCCCAGAGGCCCTGTCTAGGGGCCCAGCCCGTGGGTTCCGGCTCAGGACAGAGCACACCAGGGAGAAGAGAAACTGGCTCTTTCTCCGCCTGCGCGGGCCAGGCCCGAGGCACGTGCCCCCCACGGGGAGGCGGGACCCCTGAGTCATTTCCTGTGCTATCAGCTCCGGAAGCAGAGTGGGCCTGCTCAGGTTCCCAGAAACACAGCGCGATGGGGGACAGACTCCGCGGCTGCCACGGAAACAAATGAGTAAATGCCCTCCCCAGAATAGCGTGGCCGGGACAGAGGCACAGCCACCGGAGGCCAGACCTCGAAATAGCTCGTGCTGGGCAGCCGGGGGTGGCGTTGCCTGCACGGAAGAGTGCGGAGGCCACCTCCTGGGGCAGGTGGACAAGGAGAAGGGCAGGCGGACAAGGAGAAGGGCAGGCAGGCATCCCAGACCCAGAGAAGACTCAGCCAGCCTGGGAAGCAGTGACCGTCTCGGGTAGCAGAATCCCCAAAGCGTCCTGCACTGTGGGGGCTTCCAGTCTGTGTGCAGAAAGGCCGTAAAGAGACGGTCTCATGAGATGTCATCACCACGAGCCGCAGAGGGTCCTACGAGGGAGGCGTGGGACATGTCTGCTGATGCCCACTGGGAAGTGACATTTAGCAGAGAGCAGAAGGAGAAGCAGGAGCTAACGGGGTTCCCGGCAGAGCAGGGGACACACACCAAGGCCCTGGGGCCGCCAGTGCAGGCGGATTCCAGGAACCGAGGGAGGATGATGTCACTGAGGTCCTTCCCGCTGACTCCGCAGGGGCTCGGGCCTGATTCAAAGGGAAACAAACTCCTAGCGGGCGTTTTCCCAGAGGCTGCACCATCAGCTCCGCACCAGCAAGGTCAGGCTGCCGTGCGGGGGGCGGCCTGCAGAACAGGAGCCCAGCGGGGGATGAGGGGGCCTCAAAGCCTTCACACCAGAGCACCCAGGCTCTAAACCGGACGGCAGAAGAGATGGGAGCCAGAGGCTCTGGGCAAGACTGGGCTGCGGGGCCAGGGGTGATGTCATGTGCCGTGTGTATGTGTTTATTTACTTAGTTTTATACATATATGTATCTATTTTATACATACACATACACATGGCCTGGCCATCGGGCACGAGACGGGGTCTCCAGCGGAGGGGAAGCTTCTCCTTCCAAAACAGTGGGAGCATCTCATAAAAGATGCTCTTGAGACAAGCGTGGGAAGATGACACAGTGAGACCCGACTCACGGCTGGGACGTTCCAAGCTGGGAGCCAAACGCAGGCGCAAAAGGCAGCCGTTGTTTGATCGTGAAGTCGTCGGTCCTAGGGGGTCTCTAAGCACGTCGCTCTCCCACCCACTTTGAGATGTTAACATCCCATGTGGTGGGTGAGCCTGGTGTATTCATCGGCCTCGGATCTGGAGACGGCGCTGGGTCAAACAGAACCGCCCTGGCCAGCCCCAGCAGTCGCAGCCCGGGGGCAAGCGGAAGACAGCGGCCCTGGAAAACCTGAGGCCGCTGCCGGCACCTGCCAGCATCACCCTTGTTTCCCTCTGCACTTTCTCATATTCCCATATTCTCTTCCAAGAGATAGCAGTTGCATTTCTGGATTAAAACACTAGGAATACGGCACTCAGCGCAGTGTTTGTTGGGGGCCTGGTGCTGCCTGGAGGGCAAGTCTTCACACCGGACATGCAAAGACGCGCTATTTTCCAAAGACAAGTTAGCGACACTCACATCCACTTCCCCTTGATCAACGACATAGAAGTTGTCTCCTTCATTCCCTGTAACAAAAGAAGAAAGTCAACAGATACAAAGTACATCCAGACATACAAGTTACAGTTTCTCTTGCAAACGACTTTCGCAACACTGTTGCAGAGACCCTCGAAGCAACATCCTGGGTGCTACCAATTCTTTTTAATGACAAGATTATACAAACATTGAGATAACTTGTTAAAGAGCCTGTTCTTAAGTTTCATTAGTGAACTTTCTCTAAACAATGAGAGGTGTTTTTCTTTTTGTTTGTTTTTTGTTTTTTTTGAGACGGAGTCAGGCTCTCGGCTCACTGCAACCTCCACCTCCCAGGTTCAAGCGATTCTCCTGCCTCAGCCTCTGGAGTACCTGGGATTACAGGCACCTGCCACCACGCCCAGCTAATTTTTTTGTAGTTTTAGTAGAGATGGAGTTTCACCATGTTGGCCAGGCTGGTTTCAAACTCCTGACCTCAGGTGATCCACCCGCCTCGGCCTCCCAAAGTGCTGGGATTACAGGCGTGAGCCACCGCGCCCGGCCTCACAATGAGAATTTTATGCGTGTGTGTGTGTGTGTGTGTGTGTGTGTATAATTTTATATTACTTTAGTTTTATACATATGTATATATTTTATATTTACTTAGTTTTATACATATATGTATCTATTTTATACACACACATATGTATATATGTGTACATATATGTATACATGTACACACATATGTGTGCACATATACGTGCATATATATGTAGACATATATGCATATTATATGTGTGTATGTATGTACAAGTCTATATATATCCTTTTGAAATTTGAGACAGAGTCTTACTGTATCACCTAGGCTAGAGTGCAATGGCGTGATCTCAGCCCACTGCAACCTCCGCCTCCCAGGTTCAAGCGATTCTCCTGCCTCAGCCTCTGGAGCAGCTGGGATTACAGGCACCCGCCACCACACCCAGCTAATTTTTATTTTTAGTAGAGACAGGGTTTCACCATGCTGGTCACCTGGACCACCAGGCTGGTCTCGAACCCCTGACCTCAGGTGATCTGCCCACCTCAGCCTCCCAAAGTGCTGGGATTACAGGCGTGGGCCATCGTGCCTGCCCTTATGCTATTTTTTTTTTAAGTGCATAGTCCATTTTTCCCCTCTGGACTTTGGCTCCGAGGAGCAGGCAGAACGTACCTTGCTGTATAACAGTCTCCCCAGCGATGTGAGTGACAGGGAACATGGCATCGAATATGTCACTGAAAAGCAAAACACGCCAAATTAGGGCTGCAGGCAGCACAGGGACATTTAAACCCTTCCTCCCCTCATTTCACAGTCTTGTGTAAATCGCTTCACAGTCATTGGGGAAAATGAGAAAATCCATGAGAGTTCAAAGAAGAAAATTGAAATCCTTCATGACCCGAAGGCCAGAGATGGCACCGCCAGCCCTGGGCACACAACCTCCCAGCCCCATTTCTGTTCTGTGCACAGACGCAGTTTGCTGTTTTGGTTTTTACAAAAATGGGGTCATGCCATACATGCATTTTGAACTCCATTTAGAAAAACAAAAGTAACAATAGATTGTGAACATTCTCCCATCGGTAAATACAATTCTACTAGAATACAACCAGCAATCTTGATGACATGTTTTCTGCATTGTTTTCCTTTCAGGGAGAACACTTTCAGTCGAAGGAGCCTGGGACCCTTGACACAGAAGTGACATGTGCATTCGGAACCTCTCTGTGGAAAACACAGACCCTTCATGACACGCAAACTCGAAGCCGGTGAGGCCGAGTCTCAGGGCTGCGCCAACCAGGAAGCCTGGCTGTCCAATGTTCCAAATCTGGATGTGAAATGGACCATGCAGACAGGACCCAAGGGGCATGGGGGAGCTGGCAGAGGCACCCGGGACAAGTGGGGAAGCACCTGTCGGCCAGGAAGGTAGAGAGGCACCTACCCCAGAACACGGTGCCAGCGTCACACTCTTATTAACAGATGCAATAACCACCTTCGGAGACCAGACCCCTCAAAGAGCACTCAGCCCACAATGTGACGCAGAGAAACCAGAGACCCAGGCAGGGAGTGCACCCACGGGGACACTCCGAGGGTGGCCTCCTGCCTGCCCTGATTACTTAAAAAGGAGATTCTTGGAAACCTTTGCGGGCCCACAGGTGCACCCTGACTCCCAGGGATGGGGGCTGAGCCACCCAGGAAACAAATATGAAATCAAAGATCCAGACAGCCCTGACCCTCCTGATTCCAGGGTCCATAAATAAGTCATTCTTAAAATAGTGGTTGTTTTCTCTCTATTTAAGAAGTGCTTCTTTTTTGAGTCCTTGTTCCCAACTTCCCTGGCAACTCAGTTTCCTGTTTCCTCCGGGAGGAAGGCAGAACTGCAGGAGAGGTCAGTGTGTGGCAGGGCTGTAGGGAGGGCTGGGGGGCCTCCACTGTCCTCCCACCTGGGGAGGGATCAGTGTGTGGCAGGGTTGTAGGGAGGGCTGGGGGGCCTCCACCGTCCTCCCACCTGGGGAGGGGTCAGTGTGTGGCAGGGCTGTAGGGAAGGCTGGGGGGCCTCCACTGTCCTCCCACCTGGGGAGGGGTCAGTGTGTGGCAGGGCTGTAGGGAGGGCCGGGGGGCCTCCACTGTCCTCCCACCTGGGGAGGGGTCAGTGTGTGGCAGGGCTGTAGGGAAGGCCGGGGGGCCTCCACTGTCCTCCCACCTGGGGAGGGGTCAGTGTGTGGCAGGGCTGTAGGGAGGGCCGGGGGGCCTCCACTGTCCTCCCACCTGGGGAGGGGTCAGTGTGTGGCAGGGCTGTAGGGAGGGCCGGGGGGCCTCCACTGTCCTCCCACCTGGGGAGGGGTCAGTGGGTGGCAGGGCTGTAGGGAGAGCTGGGGGCCCTCCACTCTCCGCCCATGGGTGGTGGGGCTTGGCCATGCTGCCCCAGCCCCAGTCCCGGGCACCTGGCCCCGGTGGGGACATTTCCTGGCCACGGCCTCCCTGGTGCACGCATCTGCAGGAGCCGCCCTGGCACCGTTCTCTAAACTGCATTTCTTCAAAACCACAAAGTATGGGTTCTCAGAATGAACAGACCTTTAAGAAATCATTTTACAATTCCTCCCTCTTTTTTAAAAAAATATTTCAACTTATAATGGTAAAATATTCCATTAAATGCCTTAAGTAATCAAATGGACACTGTGTACCCCCCACCACCCAGCTCAGGACCCTGCTGCCTCCACCACTCTCTCCTGGAAAACTGTCCAGCATCACAGCTGCGGCTCCAGCCTCCTCCGGGCCCAGGTGTGGAGGGCAAGTGCTGCCTCCACCACCCTTGCTATGCGTCTCCACTTCACACATGGGCATCCGTGACCACACGTGTGCACCCGTGAAAAGCGTGCATTTCCAGTGGTGTCTGCATCATTTGCATATCACTGACAGAAAGATACCCTTTCACAATTCTATTCTCCCTCCTGACCCATATTTTCTGAAATGCACCTGGGTGAAAACATAAATCTGGAAGCTTCTTTGCTCCTTTTACAGCTGCCTAGTATTCTTTTTTTTCTTTTAAGAGATGGGGTCTCATTTTGTTGCCCAGGCTGGAGTATAGGGGTGCGATCACAGCTCACCGCAGCCTCCAACTCCTGGGTTTAAGGTGTCCTCTCACCTGAGCCTCCCAAGTAGCTGGGACTACAGGCACGTGCCACCACGCCTGCTTATTTTTATTTTTTATTTTTTAATTGATGGGTCTCGCTATGTTGCCCAGGCTGGTCTCCAACTCCTGACCTCAAGCAATCCTCCTACCTTGGCCTCCCAAAGTGCTGGGATTACAGGCATGAGCCGCTGCACCCGCCCTGCCTGGCATTCTCTATATGAAAACCCTCGCTCCTTCACCTGTTCCTGCCCAGATGGACGTTTCCAGTGCTTCTGGTTCCTGCCATCACACGCTGGGCCACGATGGACATGACAGAACTCCCCATGAACAGGGGGCAGGTCAATGTGGCTGCACCCCAGTGACTCGAGGCTCACGTTCCACTCACGTGCTTCTACCACAGCCTAAGCAAAGGCAGGGGTGGGCTGAAACCCTTCCTGGGAGGTTTCAGTCTCCAGAGGGGGCTGTTCAGTCCTTGGTATCAATGAAAGCCGACTTTCCACACACCCAGGTGCCTGGGCGTGGCCCCGCTCAGAGCAGCCCCTCCTGGAGTGCCTCTTAAATGAGCCTCACTGGGTTGCTCCGTTGGCCACACAGGTGTCCCTCATCTCCCCAGGGACGGAGGAACACAGTCCCCAACTCTCTGTGATCAGCAGAGCCCAGAGAGCCCAGCCTCGTGTACCAAAAAGGTCTGGGAGCCCCATTTTTCTTCAGAGGAAATGTTAATGCCCGAATGTCACCAGCTCATCGCCGACAAAGGCCTGAACACAAACGTCTCCAGGCAACAGCCCCGAGGTGAGGTCAGCTCTGTCCATGTCCCCCCCGCACGGCTTCACCCTCTTTTTCCACTGTCTGCCCCTTTCACACAAAACCCCCATGGCTTCCTCTTTCTCTCAGCACTTAATGGCATTAAAAGGCCCTGGCCTCTTCTGTCTGTAAAAAACAGTTTTCTCTTCTCATCCAGCAGTCACTCTGGAAGGTTACGTGAAGCTGCTGGCTCAGATTTTAAATCGTCTCACATGTGGGTTGCCCCACCTACCCCATCAACAAACACAGCTTCGCACTTCTGCATCAGAGGCTGTGCTGGGTTCTGGGGACACGGAAGGCCCCCAGCTCTCAGGCCTGGTAAGAGAAAGAAAAACACGAAGACATTCCAGCCGGCCCTTCCTGCGGGGGCCGAGGGCAGAGCCCCTGGTCTGTCTCTTGCTCCATCCTCACCCGCCCCTATGAGGTCAGCACTGCTGTTCCGTCCAGTTTCCAGATAAGGAAACAAGACACAAAGTAACTTCACCCAAGGTCAAGAAGCCAGGAAGAGGTGAAGTCAGGCTGAAGCCCCTATCATGAACGCTCCTCCACGGTCTGGCTTCCCTATAGGGGCAGAGCCCTCCTCCGAGCAGAGCATGTGCCTCCCTCTCGTCCACCCCTCCCTCTCTCTGTCTCTCTCTCCATCTGTGCCCTGGACTGGTCTCTAAGCTGGGGATTGAGGGCCTGAGCGTCTGGGACGGCCACCCCCAGCTCTCTCTGGGCAGGCGTCCAGTAAGGAGCCCCTGCTATTTGGGTCAGGGCTGGCCAGTGGTGCTGGGTCAGGACAGTTTCCAGGAAACGGCCTGTCCCGGGTTCCAGTCCTACCTGGCCTGTGGCTCAGAGATCACAAACCTTTTGAAAGCCCCCGCCCACACCACTCCCGATCCTGATGCCTCCCCCTCCTGCAACACCTCAGTTCCTGTGCTTCTCACTCCACGGATGGCTTCCGCCTCCCACAGCTGACTGAGCTCTCAGATGGAGACCACATGTTCCTTGCAGGCTCTAGTGCCCAGCCCGGGTCTGACGCAGAAGCTCCTCAGCACAATATGGATGGTTGGATGGGTGGGTGGATGAACGGATGAGTGAATGGACACATGGATGTACAGGTGGGTGAGTAGACGAATGAATGGATGGATGGATGGATGGATGGATGGACAGGCGGGTGGATTGAACAGGTGGGTGAGCGGATGGATGGATGGACAAATGGGTGAGTAGATGAATCGATGGATGGATGGACAGGTGGGTGGATGAACAGGTGGGTGAGTAGATCAACGGATGGATGGATGGATGGACAGGTGGGTGGATGAACAGGTGGGTGAGTAGATCAACGGATGGATGGATGGATGGATGGACAGATGGATGGACGGACAGGTGGGTGGATGAATAGGTGGGTGAGTAGAATAACGGATGGATGGATGGATGGATGGATGGACGGACAGGTGGGTGGATGAACAGGTGTGTGAGTAGATTTGAGTAGATTAATGGATGGATGGATGGATGTAAGGATGGATGATGGATGGATGGACAGGTGGGTGGATGTACAGGTGGGTGAGTAGATCAACGGATGGATGGATGGATAGATGGACAGGTGGGTGGATGAACAGGTGGGTGAGTAGATCAACGGATGGATGGATGGATAGATGGATGGACGGACAGGTGGGTGGATGAACAGGTGTGTGAGTAGATTTGAGTAGATTAATGGATGGATGGATGGACAGGTGGGTGGATGTACAAGTGGGTGGGTGGATGGATAGATGGATGGATGGACAGGTGGGTGGATGAACAGGTGTGTGAGTAGATTTGAGTAGATTAGTGGATGGATGGATGGATGGATGTAAGGATGGATGATAGATGGATGGATGGACAGCTGGGTGGATGAACAAGTGGGTGGGTGGATGGATAGATGGATGGATGGACAGGTGGATGGACCGACAGATGATGGATGGGTGGCTATTAGAGGAGAGGAAGGAAGGGAAAAGTGAATGAAAAAACGGATGCCTGGAAGGATGAATGGAAGGATGGCACTGCCTCTTTAAGGGCATTGCAACAAATATCAAAAGCTGCTGGAGTGGCCACCCTTGGGACCCTCAGTTCCACATTTAGGAACTTGAAGAAACAACGGGATGACTATGAAAAGATGTAAAAATATTGTAATAATATTCACCGAAGCACTGCCAGCAACAGAGGCTTTATTAAATAAACGACACTGAAAAGATGTGTGTGTGTAATAATATTCACCGAAGCACTGTCAGCAACAGAGGCTTTATTAAATAAACGACAATGAAAAGATGTGTGTGTGTAATAATATTCACCGAAGCACTGTCAGCAATACAGGCTTTATTAAATAAATCACAGTCCTTCTCAACAACCTAACACCGTGTGGTCATTAAAAATGGTGGTGTAGATACATGTAACAAGGAATAAAGGTGTTCACAGTGTTGCCAGTGAAAATAGGGTGTCGATGAAACTGTACAATTTAAAAACACAACCATAAAGTAAATAACCTAGAGGCTATGCACCGTAAGGCTAATAGCAACTGTGGGGTGGAGAGGGGGTGGGGTTGGGGTCATTTTCATGTGTTTTTTTCTTTTTCTTTTGTTTTTTTTTTTTTGATTACTTGTACTGACGTGTATTTTCTAATTTTCTATAATTACATTGTAAATCTGTGTAATTTTAAAAATGAGGCCGTTCATCATTGGAGAAAACACGACACGTACGCTTAAGGGCAGACTTAAGGCTCTTAACATTTTTAAAGCAACCAAAAGAGGCAAAATGTAGACTTTAAAACACAAAAATGTGCTTTTCTGAGTGTGGCACAGACTCCAAGCCCACAACGTCTGAGGAAGCGTACGGGATCAGAACCAGCAGCTCCGTTCACAGCCAAACTCGCCTTCAAAAGGCAAGGAGATGGCGCGCCAAGCTCAGCCCCTGAAATCACACACGCGGGGTTGAACGTGAGTAACTCAGCCCATCGTTCCGCACTGTGAATCTGCTCCAATACCTGCAGAGACAGGTCCAGCTCCCACTACGAGGGCCCACCGACCAACACGGTACACCGAGGGTGAAAAAGCCACGACCAGGCCCACCTGGAAAACACCATCAGCTCCTAGAAATGCCACTTCCTTCCTCCTCCCGCCGCTCCGGGCCTCCCGAGCCAAGACAAGCGCAGGTTGGGACTTGCACGGGAAAGCTCACCTGAGAATGTTTCCAGAAACCCCTCCCCAGCCTGCAGAGACCTCTCCCGGCCCCAGGACAGGGAAGCCTGCGGAGCCAAGAGGGTGCAGTGCTGGGAGGTCCCCGCAGGGGCAAGCAGGGCTGCCACCAAGCGGGTGGGAGACACCCAAGGACTCGTCCACCACCCAGGGAACCGGACTGTGAGGTTCAGGTCAGCATGGAGGGCGGGAGGCGTGGCGCCCACAGAGGGGAGGGGAGCCAGGCCCAGATGACAGACGCCTGCAGACTCCACGCCCCGCACGCCCGACCAGGACAGGCCAACGCAGGGCTGGGCACTTCTTCGGACTCACAGGAAGCCTCTGTCCATAGTCTGGCTACATCTGCCCAACCTCAGCCACTCAGGACTGTCTACACAAAACACTCAGCAGCATATACGACAGGATGCGCAGAATGACAGATTCAACCTGCCTCATCAGCTCCAAGATGGTGGAACACGGCTAAGACCCAGGTCTTCTGACAAAAGGCTGGGTTGAATGCCTTTCACCTGAGAGAACGCCCCGTTTACATCCCCTCCTCTGAACTTCACCGCCACAGGCCCCATTACTGCCCCACTTCACAGACAAGGAAGCTGAGGCTTAGGAAGCTGACATGGGCCAGATGTGGTGGGTGGCTCATGCCTGTCATCCCAGCACTTTGGGAGACCGGGCACCATAAGGAGGTGAAAGGATCGCTGGGCCCAGGAGTTTGAGACCAGCTTGGGCAGCATAACAAGACCCCATTTCTATAAAAAGTAAAAAAATTGGCTGGGCGTGGCCAGGCACAGTGGCTCACGGCCTATAATCCCAGCACTTTGGGAGGCCGAAGCAGGCAGATCACCTGAGGTCAGGAGTTCGAGACCAGCCTGACCAACATGGTGAAACCCTGTCTCTACTGAAAATACAAAAATTAGTGAGGTGTAGTGGCACACACCTGTAATCCCAGCTACTTGGGAGGCTGAGGCAGGAGAATTGCTTGAACCTGGGAGGCGGAGGTTACCATGAGCTGAGATCGCACCACTGCACTCCAACCTGGGTGACAGAGCAAGACTTTGTCTCAAAAAAGGTAAAAAATTCAGCTGGGCATGGTAGCATGCACCTGTGGTCCCAGCTACTCGGGAGGCTGAGGCAGGAGGATTGCTTGAGCCCAGGAGGTTGAGGCTGCAGGGAGCTGAGATTGTGCCACTGCACTCCAGCCTGGGTGACAGAGCAAGACCCTGTCTCTAAAAACAGAAAGAAGGAGAGAGAGAGAGGCAGAAAGAAAGAGTGAGACAAAGAAAGAGAGAAAGAAGGCCAGGTGCAGTGGCTCACACTTGTAATCCCAGCACTTTGGAAGCCCAAGGCAGGCGGATCACAAGGTCGGAAGATCGAGACCATCCTGGCTAACATGGTGAAACCCCGTCTCTACTAAAAATACAAAAAATTGGCTGGGCATGGTGATGGGCGCCTGTAATCCCAGCTACCCGGGAGGCTGAGGCAGGAGGATTGCTGGAACCCGGGAAGCGGAGCTTGCAGTGAGCGGAGATCGCGCCACTGCACGCCAGCCTGGGAGACAGAGCGAGACTCCGTCTCAAAAAGATAAATAAATAAAAATAAAAAATAAAAAAGACAGAAAGAAGGAAAGAAAGAAGAGAAAAGAAAGGAAAGGAAAGGAAAAAAGGAAGAAAGGAAAGAAAGAGAGAGAGAAAGAAGGAAAGAAAGAAGGCCGGGTGCGGTGGCTCATGCCTGTAATCCCAGCACTTTGGGAGGCCGAGGTGGGCGGATCACGAGGTCAGGAGATCGAGACCATTATGAAACCCCATCTCTACTAAAAATACAAAAAAAAATTAGCCGGGCGTGGTGGCAGGCGCCTGTAGTCCCAGCTACTCGGGAGGCTGAGGCAGGAGAATGGCATGAACCCGGGAGGCAGAGCTTGCAGTGAGCCGAGATCGCGCCACTGCACTCCAGCCTGGGCTACAGAGCAAGACTCCATCAAAAAAAAAAAAAAAAAGAAAGCAAGAAAGGAAGGAAGAAAGGGAGGGAGGGAAAGGGAGAGAGAAAGAGAAAAAAGGAAGAGAGAAAGAGAGAAAAAAAGGAAGAAAGAGGCAGAGAAAGAAAGAAAAATAAAAAAAGAAACAGAAAGAGAGAAAGAGGGAGAGAGAAAGAAAAAGGAAGAAAGAGAGAGAGAGAGAGAGAAAGCAGCTGAGGCTGAGGCTGAGCCCAGGCAGGGGCTGTGCTCTCACCACTGCCGAGACCCTCCCAGGCCCAGCCCTGCCCGCGGGTGCACACGCAGAACACACTGGGTGGGTCTCAGCCCCTCTTGGCTGCAGGTACAGGCCCTGTCTGGTGTAGTGGGTCCTCGCCCCAGGTCCTGGCCCCCTGTGCTGGAGGCAGCCCCCTGGCTCTCACTGACAAAACGAGGTCACTCCGGACAGACTCGCAGGGCCTGGAGAGGTCAGAGATCTCCATCAACCACAGACCACCGCAGATGGGGGACCTTCCTTCCCCCTCCACCTGCCCAGAGTCACGCTTCCACCTCTGGCCAAACGCAGCCACCACCTGTGCCCACCAGGCCTGCCTGGCTCACTTTGTCCTCACTGATCCGGGGGACCAGGGGACCAGCTGGGAAACAGTGATGGAGCCCAGGGTCTCTCCGGAGCTGCGTCCTGCCAGCCGGCGGGGCTCATCCAAGCTAGGCAGGCCTGGCTTCCTCAGGCTGTGGTCCCAGAAGCACGCTCCACCCAGTTCTGCTGTGGCAGCCATCGCACAGCGGCTCCTCACCGGCCACCAGACCCCAGTGCCACGCACCGCTTTGGCTGAGGGTCCGTCGGCCTCCCTCCCTGCTGACGGCTACAACTTCACAGCCCAGCCTTTTCCCTCCACACCCAGCTCTAAGGTGTGGTTCCCAGTCATGCCCGCGGCATCGATGTTTTCAAAGACACATTCAGGACAAGATCTGACCCTTGAAGCCAAAAGCCATCCATGAATCCCAACCTCATGTATTTTTGGGAAAAAAAGTACAAATGGGGTGAAGCGCCTCGGGCCCTTTATTCTCCATCCAATCAAAACAGCCAAGTGCTCATCCCGGGTAATTTAAACAACAAGGAAAGTTTGGGGTTTTCTTGTTTATTTTAAAATCTAAACCCCAACACCCAAGTGCTTTTTTTTTTTTTTTTTTTTGAGACAGAGTCTCGCCCTGTCGACCAGGCTGGAGTATAATGGCACGATCCCAGCTCACTGCAACCTCCACCTCCCAGGTTCAAGCAATTCTCCTGCCTCAGCCTCCCGAGTAGCTGGGATTACAAGCACACACTGCCATGCCCAGCTAATTTTTGTGTTTTCAGTAGAGACAGGGGTTTCACCATGTTGGCCAGGCTGGTCTCGAACTCCTGACCTCATGATCCACCTGCCTTGGCCTCCCAAAGTGCTGGGATTACAGGTGTGAGGCACCACGCAGGACCAAGTGCCTTTTTTTTTTTTTTTTTTTTAAAGAGACCGAGTCTCACTCTGCCACCCAGGCTGGAGTGCAGTGGTAGCATCACAGCTCACTTCAGCCTTGACCTTCTGAGCTCAAGCGATCCTCCTGCCTTAGCCTCCCAAGCAGATGGGACCACCAGCCCGAACCACCACCCCCAACTAACGAAGTGCCATTTTAAAAGCAAGCTAATTTTTGGTGTGCAAATGCATGTGTTGGGCACAACCTATTGCTTAGTCACTTGCTCAGACCCACACTAACATCAGGCCAGCTGGTCAAGTCCCACCCAGCCCTGTAGGTTAAGAACAGTCACACTGGGTGATGGGTCCTTGTCACCGACTGTCACCCTGGTCCATTCCAGATACTCTCCCGGCCCCAGCTTTCCATCTGTTTCCCCCGTCCTGGCAGGAGGCAGAGCCTGGGCCTGTGAACCCAAGGGGTGGCAGCAGGCACTAGGCCCCTCCCGGAGCAGAGCCCAGGACGTGGCAGGTCGGACGGAAAGCAAACCCCTCCTGGGCCCCGCGTAGCACTCACCCAGCTGGAACTCGCAGCCTCTATCCGGGCAAAGGGCTGTATGGGAAAGCCTAGACACCCCGCCCCTGCACAGACACCTCCAGTTTCTCTTAAAACACAGACTCTTGAGCTGTGTTCACTTTCCCCAAGCCTGGAGGCCTCCAGGGAAGCAGAGGCCCCACCCACTTTCCCCCACCCTCCGCCTGGGACCCCCTCACCGCCCCCACCAAACCCAGGACCAGTGCAGGCTCCTCCCCACCAGTGGTAAGTGCCGGAGTGAGGGTGGGAGAGGTGGAGGCAGGGCAAGGTCCAGGAACACAGCCCGCACACCCATATCCCTGCACTCAGCTCACAGGCAGCCACAGCACTCAGACTGGGTCCTGCTGGGGCCACAGGGCAGCAAACCCCGCCGTTCCCGACAGGCCCACAGACCATGCATTTGGCAACACCTGTGTTTCGTGGGACATCCTATTCCAACATCTTTTCTTTAAACCCCAGATGTAAATATGGAGCACTCAGTTCATGCCGCTCTGTGATCTGTTCTTGTTTTGCCTATACATTTATTCCTCTCTTCCCATAGCCCTCTCGGTCTGTGGGCAATTGCTATAAGATACTTGAGGTCTCCCCTCTCGTTTGTATGTTTTCTCTTAAAACATAGAATCTTAAGCTATGTGCATTTAACCAAAAAATGGTATCCTGCTGCAGATTTCATGCTGTTTCTTCTTTTTCTTCAAGGAGTCCACATACTCTAGATCTACCCACGTCACCACATTGCCTGACACGTTGGGGCTGCGGCTTTGAACTGCCGTTTTGTTTGCATTTCCATTTCCCTGATCTCTAAGCTCTGAGCTGCTCTTCAAGGGCTTCTCCTCTGGTTGTGTTTCCTCTTCTGTAAACTTCCTGTTCATATCCTGTGCCCATCTTGATAGAAGGGTTGGTACCTTCTTTCCTGCTGATTTGCAGAAATTCCTTGTGTGTTTTAGATACCGGTTGCTTGTCGGGTTTAGATATTGCAACTATCTTCTTACACGCAGTCACCTGTTAACTTTTTCATGATGTCCTTAATTAGGTAGACATCTTTCATCTGATGTAACCTCTTTTTTGCTTTATGGTTTGTGCTTTGTGGGTTTTGTTTAAGAAAGTGTTTCCCCACAACCAAGTAATGAAATACTCTCCGACATGTCTGCCTGGGCTGCCATCACAGAGCACCACAGACTGGCAGCAAGACCCTGTCTTGAAAAAAGTGAGGTCCTACTGGAGTAGGGTTGGCCCTAACTCAATATGATTGGTGTCCTTATAAAAAGAGGAGACTTGGACACACACAGGGAAAACACAGTGTCCACGCAGAGCGAAGAGTCGGACGAAAGCACAGCAGGGAGGCAACACGGCACCTACAAGCCAAGGAGAGGCCAGGCCAGATCCCCACACACAGCCCTCAGGGGGAACCAGCCCTGCCCACATCTTGAGCTTGGACTTCTGGCCTCCAGAAGCATGAGACGCTTGATCACTGTTGTTAAGGCCAAGTTTGTCCTTCTGTTATGGCAGCCCTAGAAACTAACACAGTGTTTTACGCACAGTTGCTCATTTAATTCTCACAACAACCTTGTGGCATATATGATCATCACTCCCCTTATCCTCACATACAAGTGGGAGCAGGACAGAAGCACAGAGAGGTTAAGGAACCTGCCCAAGGTCACACAGCTAAGGAATGGTGGTGCTGGGATTCAAAACCGGGTGATCTGGCTCCAGAGTCCTTGTCTTAACCACTGCACTAAACTACCTCTTGCATCTATTAAATATGGAGCTCCCATGTGTGCCTGCACCTCCTCTCAGCTCTCGGCCCCACGCCATTGTTCTGCCGTCCCTTCCTGCAGGGCACCTGGCTCCATTTATGATCAAGGCCTCCTGCTGAGCCTCAGCTCTTGGTAGGAGAAGTCCCTCTTCTTTGTGCTTCTGTTTCAAAGATGACTTAGTTATTTGCAAATTTTTATTCTTTCCTTTCCTTTTTCTTTCTGTTGTTTTGTTTTTTGTTTTGTTGTTTGTTTTTTAGAGACAAGGTCTCACTCTGTCACCCAGGCTAGAGTGCAGTGGTGCGATCATAGCTCACTGTAGCCTCGAACTCCTGGGCTCAAGTGATCCTCCTGCCTCAGCCTCCTGAGTAGCTGGGCCTACAGGCACATGCCATCATACCCAGCTACTTTTTTTTTTTTTTTTTTTAGAGATGGGGTTTCTCTGTGTTGCCCAGGCTGGTCTCAAACTCCTGGGCTCAAACAATCCTCCCACCTCAGCCTCCCAAAGTGCTGGGATTACAGGCATAAGCCACCGCACCCAGCTCATTCACATTTCCGAATGTGTTTACTGCCTCACAATATTCCAGCTGCAATTTGAAGTGGAGCTGCTTTGAAGGTAGAGATTAATGTGAGGGAGAAATGACATCATCACGTTGAGTCATTCCACCCAAGAATACAGACCGCCTCTCCCTATTCAGATCGTGTTTTATGTCCTTATAGAGGTTTAAAACTTCCTCCCTAGAGTCTTCTGTAATCTGTTGTCAAGCACATTCCACTTCTCAGTGGCTGTTGCCCTCATGAATGGCATCCTTTCAAATTCTATTCTCCAGTTACTCCTCATCTGTGTCTCTTTTCTCATTCCCTGCACCCACCCAGCCCCTTGGGCTCTTTTTTTTCTCTCTTTCTTTCTGTTGAGACAGATTTAATATCTTCATTGTGATGGGAAGGAATCCGTATTTTTAAATTTTCTTTAAATTGACAAAGAAAAATTGTGTATATTTATTTATGGATTCCTTGGGCTTCTTAATGATGATTTTTGTAAGTTGAGCTTGCACCAACCCTGCTGAACACTCATAAGAATGTAAGAGTTGTTCTGTGTATTCTATGCTGGTTTCCATAGACATGATCAAATTCATCTTCTCTCTACCCTTCCAATTAGGACTCCTCTTATTTTTCTTTCTTTATAGCATTGCCGGGACCTCCCAAGCACAGTTAAACCATGAAAGCCATCAGAGCCTCATTGTGGTCCCTCCCTTAAAGAGCATGTAGCCAAAGATTCTCCATTAGCATGTTTGCTCTGTGTTGGGTATGTATGACCTTTACCAAGTTAAGAAGTGACCCTATTCTTAGTTTGCTAAGAATTTATGCAATAGTTGTTGAGCTTTGTCAAAACCTTTTCCAACACCTATGTGACATGTCACATGCTCTTTCTCTACAATCTACTAATATGGTGATTTACATGGATAGAGTATTCTGAGGTTGAACCATCCTTGAATTCTGGATCATCTCCACCTGATCACAGTACAGTACATACAATGATCTAGCAGCTTCCTCTTGTTTTCTATTTTCTGTAGCAATTTGAGAAGTAAGAATAGACAGTTTGCTGATGTTTGAAAGAACTCAACCAGTGAAACCATCAGAAAGAACCCTTTGGGAGGAAAGGTCTTTGGTTACCATTTCAACTTACTTAATGCTTCTAGATCTCTTCAGGTTTTCTATTTATTCATGTGCCAATGTTGATGGTATTTTCAAAATCATCTCCCAATATTTAAAAATTTACAAAATTCATAAAATCCAAATTGTTGGCTTTCCTTTGAAAAAAGAAAATAAAAAGAAAAGTCTGACAACACAGGGACCTTGTACTCCCAAAGCAAGAATTCAGCTCACCCCCACTTTGGAAGGAGCATGACCATCTCCAATCTGCCACAATTCCCAAGGACTCCACGTTTTCCACTTAATTCCTGAACCCCCAGGATCCCGAGTTTGCAACCCTTCCCTAAGGGGCTCACTATTGAGCAGTGGTGACAGATGCTTGTGTGGGGTGATGTCACAGCAGGTGGGGTCATCCCCATGACAGATGCTTCCTGGCCATCACCTCATCATGTGTGGTACAAGTCCCAACCTTGCCTGGAGGGACCCAGGGGACTGAGTTTCTGAAGAGTTAAGCCATCTGTAAAATGGGCACAGTAACACTCTCAGCCTCTAAAGCAGCAGGGAGGACTCAGTGATCATGAGGCTTGTGAAGCACTCAGCAGAATAAGGGGCTCCCACGGTCAGCAGCTGCTGCCATAGTGTCTGCTGGTTCCAAACCCCATGCAGCCGCTCCCCCAGTGCTGCTAGAAGGGTCACACATGTCCCAGAATCCCCCAGGAGTGATGCAAATGGAGCGGCCCATGCCCCGATCTCAGCCAGTCTCTTCACCACTCTGGCTTTTTTATTCCTTTTTGTTGGCTTACATTGCTAATATATTGTGGAACTGCAGCCAGAGGTGGCCTGACAGGTAAACACCTCCCCGCCCTCACCCATGCAAAGAAACCTGCTGAAGCAAACAGGTTCAGCCAGTTCTCAGAGCCGAGGCCACCTAAGGGGGACAACAGAAAGGATGGGCACCCACAGCCCCTCAAAGCTGCACCTCAGACCCGAGCACCAGGTGCCTGCCAAGGCTGGGCATGCATTCAGAAGAGCAGCGAGGTGAGGGGTGGCAGCAAGGACCCCCGCGCCACACAGGGCCTCCCGCTCACTCCTCCCGCTCCAACAATCTGCATTTCTGTATGTTAGAAATGTCTGCCTGAGGCTAAAAGAAATAAAGAATTTTTGTGACTTTTAAACAAAAGCATCATGACATTGACCTGGGAGAACATGAATGTGCTAGGATCGTATCCAGTAATAAAGAAGGCAAACTGAGTTATTAGCACTTCCAACATGTCTGATCTTTAGTTTTTTTCAACTCTCTATTTTGAAAATCTTTGAACCTTCCTAGGGATGGAAGGGGGATGTCAGAGTCAGGACACGGGTTGTTATTCCCCCTCCCATGATGTCAAAGAGCAGAACACACAGAGGCACATATGCACCAACAGTAGGTCTGCAGAGAATGTGCATATGTGTATTGACAAGGAGCAGACGGGAATGATGAGTGAAGAAAACAGAACATTTACCAAAAAGGACCCCGCTGAAGGCAGAACACTTGTTCCAGCGCATACTAATATGTTTTTCTGACTTCTTATGTTTTTCAACATGACGCTATCCAGGGGGAAAGAGTGGCCTGCTCAGTCTGTCCTCCTTTAGAAGTGGTTCTGAAAGACCTAGACATGCTGCCCTCGCTGGGGAAGAACCTCTCTCCATTGCGGATTTAAACCTTAGGTCAATGTTATTTAAGGAAAGGAAGTGGCCTAAACCCTTGGGCAGACCCTGGGTGCTGGCATCACGGTCCTATCTCTTCTGTCCCAGCCCAAGACCCAGGGTTCCCATCTGCTGGGATCCCAGCGCCCCAGACACAGCATCCTGGCTTGTGTTTAGCCTCTTCCACTGTTTAGGTGAAGGCTTGTTCCGTGACTCTGTTGACTACAAGTTTCCAAAAAATTCTCTCTAAATAGCAATAACTCAGTCCTGGCATCATGGAAAGCAGAGCTCCTGCTCCCGGCTGGGGTGCCAACAGCACGGTGTTCTCAAATCCCCTGGGACCCTCGGCCACACTCTTGACTGTGGGTCTGGTTCCTAACCACAAACATGTGGTAACAACAATTCTCTCTCTGGCCAAACTTTAGTCAGGTTCCAGAACCTTCTTCTAGGCCCATCTGTACTTCCTTGTAAAATAATCCTGCCAAATCAGTTCAGCCAGAACCGATCACCCACCATAATCAATATGTGATCATCTTTGATATCTGATCATCCTCAGTGTCTGATCAGGCTCCTCACACCCACCACCCCATGGGGGATGTCTGGTCACCCTGGCCTCTCTTCAGCAACAATCCTGTTAGGTCAGTGAAGCCAGAACCCCCCAGCCCCTGGTGTTTCCTCTCGGTCATTTTCCATCCACTGCCACTTAGGTGGAAATTCTCACGTTCTCATCTCATATTCGGAGGCAAGCCCAAGCTCCTTCCTCCACCGCAAGACCCCATTGCAGTGATCCCTGTACCTAGTGCAATGGTCCAGAATGAAGTCTTCCATGCCATGCTTTAACACACGTCACTGAATAACGTTTTCTTGGCATTGGAGAGAGAAGCGCGTGAATGGCCAGGGTTCAGGGTATGGAATGAACCTATGGAGTCCCAGAAGGGAGGTACAAGCCAAGTGTCCGCTCTACCCTGTGGATCTAGGGAAGGAGGTGGAGGATGGCAAATTCCTTCTGTACATTCTTGGGCTTCCAACCAGAATTGCTAGTCCATGCCACTGGCCATGGCGTCCAGCCCTGGATGTTCACAGTATCCCCAGATACCCACGCCAGCCCTGAGCTTCTGAATCAGAATCCACTTTGGATGAAGACCAGCACCCGCAGGTTTAGGTTGGTGACAGCAAACTTTTATCTTAAAAATATGCATGCTGACCAAGCATGGTGGCTCACACCTGTAATCTCAGCACTTTGGGAGGCTGAGGCAGGCGGATCACCTGAGGTCAGGAGTTCGAGACCAGCCTGGCCAACATGGGGAAACCCCATCTCTACTAAAAATACAAACATTAGCCAGGCTTGGTGACATGTGCCTGTAATCCCAGCTATTCAGGAGACTGAGGCAGGAGAATCGCTTGAATCCAGAAGGTGGGGGTTGCATTGAGTGAGATCGTGCCACTGCACTCCAGCCTGGGCAACAGAGCAAGACTCCATCTCAAAAAGAAAAAAAAAAAGTGCATGCTCTTTGAATGGGTTTTTCTTTCCCCTAGCATTTCCTCTATAGAAGCAATTTTTAAAATATATAAGATGTGGCTAGCAGGCTGTTTATCACAGAGCTGCTTGTAGCCATGAAGGTTTGAAATATGCAATAGTTGGTGATTGGTTAATTAAGTTACAGAATGGAACACAAGGAGGTATTAAAAAACAGTGATGTGGAGACACATCCACGGAGACTGGATGATGGTCACTATAGGCCTATTAAATTTAAAAATGGGTCATAAGGCAAAATCTGATCAAACTGCAAGGAGAAACAGACAAATGCACCATTATAGTTTAAGACTTTAACGCCCCTCAGCTAGTTATTGACAGATCCAGCAGGCAGAAAATCAGTAATCTAGTTTGAAAAATTATACACAGGAAATAAAAAAAGAGAATCAGTAAGAACATAGATTAACTGAATGGCACCATCAGTTAACAGGAAATAATTGACATTTACAGACTTCATCAAACAAGAGCAGACTACACATTCTTCTCAAGCTCACATGAAACATTTACCAAGAGAGAAAACATTCTGGGCCATAAAATATCCCTGAACAAATGTAAAAGAACAGAAATCATATAGTGCATGCTCTCACACCGGAAGTGAATTAAACTAGAAGTCAGTAACAGAAAGATAGATAGGAAATCCCACAATATTTGGAGATTAAATAACATACTTCTAAATAATGCATGGGTCAAAAAAGAAGGCTCAAGAGAAGTTGAAAAATATTTTGAACGAAATGAAAATGAAAATAGAGCTTATCATAATATGCAGGAGGTAGCAAAAGCAACACTTAGAGGGAAATCTATAGCACTGAATGCATATATTAGGAAAAGATCCAAAATCAACAACCTAAGCTTCCATCTTGGGAAACTACAACAAGAAGAGGAAATTAAATCCAAAGCAACAAAAAGAAAAGTAAGAATAAAAATTAAGACAGAAATAAATGGAATTGAAAATAGGAAAATACTAAAGAAAATCGATGCAGCCAAAGCATCTCTAACTTCAGAAATGAAAGAAGGGACATCACTACAGGTCCCATGGACAAGAGACATCACTACAGGTCCCATGGACAAGGGGCATAACTACAGGTCCTATGGACAAGGGGCACCGCTACAGGTCCTATGGACAAGGGGCATCACTACAGGTCCCATGGACAAGGGGCATCACTACAGGTCCTATGGACAAGGGACACCACTACAGGTCCTATGGACATTAAAAATAAAATAATATTATGAAAAACTCTATGAGACCAGGCACGGTGGCTCATGCCTGTAATCCCAGCATTTTGGGAGGCCGAGGCAGGAGATCACCTGAGGTCAGGAGTTCGAGCCCAACCTGGCCAAGATGGTGAAACCCCATCTCTAGTAAAAAATACACAAAATTAGCTGGGCATGGTGGCAGGCACCTGTAATCCCAGCTACTGGGGAGGCTGAGGCAGAAGAATCACTTGAACCCAGGAGGCAGAGGTTGCAGTGAGCCGAGATCGCGCCATTGCACTCCAGCCTGGGTGACAAGAGCAAAACTCCATCTCAAAAAAAAAAAAAAAAAAAGAAAGAAAGAAAAACTCTATGACTACACATTTGATAACTCAGATAAAATGGGCCAGTTCCTTGAAATACACAATCTACTAAAATTCACACAAGAAGCAACAGATAATCTGAACAAGCTTGTATCTATTAAAGAAGTTGAATCAGTAATTATTAACCTTTCAAAACAAAAAGCGTCAAGCCCAGGCTGGGCACAGCAGCTCACACCTGTAATCCCAGCACTTTTAGAGGCTGAGGCAGGAAGATCACTTGAGGCCAGGCATTTGAGAGCAACCTGGGCAACATAGCAATACCTCATCTCTACTAAAAATTTTAAAAAAATTAATCAGGCCTGGTGGTGCACACCTGTAGTCCCAACTACTTGGAAGGATGAGGCCAGAGAATCACTTGAGTCCAGGAGCTGGCAATTGCAGTGAGCTATGATTGTTCCACTGCACTCCAGCCTGGATGACAGAGACAGACCTTGTCTCTCAGAAACAAAAAACAAAAATAAAAACAAAAAAGGACTAAGCACAGATGTGTTCACTAGTTAATTCTACCAAATATTTAGGAAGAAATAATACCAATTCTCTACATTAGCTTCAGAAAATAGAAGCAGATGAAACACTTCCTAAATAATTCTATGAGGACAGCTTTAACACGAAAACAAATTAATCTGATCTTGGAGGAAAAAAAAAAGGAAAGATAAAGTGAACTTTTTTTTTTTTAGAGACAGGGTCTCTGTCACCTAAGCTGGATTCCAGTGGCATGATCATAGCTCACTGCAGCCTTGACCTCCTGGACACGAGCGGTCCTCCCGCCTCAGCCTCTCAAGTAGCTGGGACTACAGGTACAGCACCATGCTCAGCTAATTTTTATTTATTTATTTATTAAGATGGAGTCTCACTCTATCACCCAGGCTGTGCAGTGGCGTGATCTCGGCTCACTGCAAGCTCCGCCTCCCGGGTTCAAGCGATTCTCTTGCCTCAGCCTCCCGAATAGCTGGGACTACAGGCACCCGCCACCACGCCCAACTACTTTTTGTATTTTTAGTAGAGACAGGGTTTCACCATGTTGGCCAGGATGGTCTCAATCTCTTGACCTCGTGATCCGCCCACCTCGGCCTCCCAAAGTGCAGGGATTACAGGCATTTTTATTTATTTATTTGTAGAGATGGGGTCTCGTCGCATTGCCCAGGCTGGTCTCAAACTCCTGGGCTCAAGCAACCATCCCGCCTCAGCCTCTCAAAGTGCTGGGATTCCAGGCATGAGCCACAGGGCCTGGCCCCAAAAGATAACATTTTAATCAGCACTGGCGGAGGGTAGCGGTGGGGGCCGAGGGATCCAGGGTTCCCTAAGAGCTCACAGGGTCCTTCTGAGGACTTCACTCTCACCTGGAACTTTTACAACACCCATTTTACAGACGGGACACTGAGGCCGAGACTAACTCATGACTCCCCCACGCCTGAGGGTTTGCAAAGGGCAGAGCCAGGTGCGGACCCAGGCGGTCGGACAGCCACGGCCAACGCCACCCGGCACTCTACACGGCTGACCCCCCCAATCCATCAGGACTGCAAGGCCAAATATCACACCGTCCGGGGCACCCCAGTACTGAGCTTGACAGCAGAGGGCACTTCCAATTGTCCCTTCCTAAGGAGGGCACCAACACCCCCCAGGGTGGGCAGGGGCTCGGGCGCTCTCCATCCAGAGCCCCCCGCCCAGCTCACGCCCGCCCTCCCCGGGCACTGGGGGAGGAGGTGAGCACCCGCCACTCAGGCTCAGGCAGCCTGGAAGATCCAGGCCACGACTGCCAGCGCTCAACTCCACTCGGCCCTCACTGGTATTTTCCGAGTGCCCGCTATGTACAGGCAGGTCTGTGCTGGGCGCCAGGTTGCCGGGAAATGGGGCACACACAGCCCCTGTCTCATAAAGGCACCAGCAAAACAGGGGTGAACATCGAATGGGTGGGGCCCTTCTGACTGTCACTCACGGAACAAACACAGGCCGAGGCCTCATCACAGGGGGACAGCGGTGGGGGGAGTGGGACTGAAGGCCCCCCGAACTCATCTCCCCAAAGACCATGCGAAAGGGACCTGTACTGCCTCATAACCAGCCATCCACGGCCACGCGGCTTCCTGTGCTCAGCCACATCAGGCACCCCTGGGGCAGCAAACAGGTTTTGCTATTTGCTCAACCAGACTCAGCGATGGGCTCTGCGGGCACCGGATCTGCCTCTGCATCCCACAGGCTGGACCCAGCCTAGAGCTGGAAACCTCATCAGAACCTCTCTGTGCCGAGCAAGTCAAAATCGGGGACGTGGAGCCAAGGCGAAGGCGGGCACGAGGCGGGAGCCGCCAACAGCCAAGGCATGCTTAGGTCAGCAGAGGGCAGGCGGGGTCCCCTCCAGAGGCCTCTCTCCAGACTGGGATGCAGGATCTTTCTTCTCCAAGGATTTCATTCCTGGAGGAAGAAAAGAGCCCCAGCTGTCTGCCATCAAACCGGGTTGCCGGGCTGGAGCTCCTCCCAGGCCCGTGTGAGGAAGAGCAAAGGCCGGCAGGGGCTCGATGGGACCAGTCGCTCGCTCAGGCCCAGGAAAACCACACAGCTGGGGGCTGTCAGGATTGGACCAGGGTCAGGCCGGCCAGGCGATGGCGGGAAAAGCAGGCCCACTCTGCAGACCTCAATGTCTCAGGTGCACTGCAGGGCAACCCCGCCTACCCCGGGTAGAGTTGGCAAAGCCCACGGCCTTGTCCATTTCACCCCCCTGACCATCTCCCTCCCTCGCCTTTTCCAAGAAACCCTCTGAAATTCCTCGCCCACCCCCAAGTCAGGCTCAAGGACCCCCCAAGTCAGGCTCAAGGACCCCCCAAGTCAGGCTCAAGGACCCCTCAGGGTTCGTCGGGGACGGGGTGGAGGTGCCTGCTCTGCAGCCCACGGCGGGCACTCGTGTTCTGACGCCAAGGTGCTTGCAACGTCCTGTGAGCCCGTGCCACTCCGCCACCGCGGGACGCCATTGCTACACCACCTGTGTGTCGGACATTACAGCCGATGGTGACAGAGCCCGCTCCGTGCAGAAGATGAGAAGCCCTGGAGACATTCCCAAGCCTGGCTGCCTTCCTCAGCCATCACCTCCCAGGACAGGGCACGTTTTCCAGAGTGAAAGGCACCGGGCTCATGGCACAGTGACAGGATTCCAGGCAGCTGGTTCCACTGTAGCCCTCAGACCCTGGCTCCAAGCGCGAGGGCTGGAAAATGCTGCAGGAGCGGGGCCACAGCCTCCCAGGGCGCCACCACCCCAGGGCTGGAAAACGCTGCAGGAGCGGGGCCACGGCCTCCGAAGGCACCACCACCCCAAGGCTGGAAAATGCTGCAGAAGCGGGACCACGGCCTCCGAGGGCGCCACCACCCCAAGGCTGGAAAACGCTGCAGGAGCGGGGCCACGGCCTCCGAGGGCGCCACCACCCCAGGGCTGGAAAACGCTGCAGGAGCGGGGCCACGGCCTCCGAAGGCACCACCACCCCAGGGCTGGAAAACGCTGCAGGAGCGGGACCACGGCCTCCCAGGGCGCCACCACCCCAGGGCTGGAAAACGCTGCAGGAGCGGGGCCACGGCCTCCGAAGGCACCACCACCCCAAGGCTGGAAAACGCTGCAGGAGCGGGGCCACGGCCTCCGAGGGCGCCACCACCCCAAGGCTGGAAAACGCTGCAGGAGCGGGGCCACGGCCTCCGAGGGCGCCACCACCCCAGGGCTGGAAAACGCTGCAGGAGCGGGGCCACGGCCTCCGAGGGCGTCACCACCCCAGGGCTGGAAAACGCTGCAGGAGCGGGGCCACGGCCTCCCAGGGCGCCACCACCCCAGGGCTGGAAAACGCTGCAGGAGCAGGGCCACGGCCTCCCAGGGCGCCACCACCCCAGGGCTGGAAAACGCTGCAGGAGCGGGGCCACGGCCTCCCAGGGCGCCACCACCCCAGGGCTGGAAAACGCTGCAGGAGCGGGGCCACGGCCTCCCAGGGCGCCACCACCCCAGGGCTGGAAAACGCTGCAGGAGCGGGACCACGGCCTCCCAGGGCTCTGTGGGCTGCAATACTTGTTTTCTTTCCACGGCTGCTGCTTCAAAGCACAGGCCGGGCCTTGGAAGTGGAGCGCAGTGGAAGAGCCAGGCACACCCCCACCTCCCCCTTCCAGGACCAGGGCACTTGAAAGGTGTGGAGGGGGCTGGGCCAGGCCAGGCGAAGGTGACCGTGGCTCCTAGCAGGTGAGCAGCTGAGATGTACCTGAGGGCTCGGCCAGCCCCATCGGAGAGGCAAACCCCCAGGCAGGTGGTCCTGTTGTCAAAACTGGCCGGCCGGGAGCTGGAAAACAGGCCCAAACTGCGCCTGTGCTGGCAGGTGGCAGGCAGGCAGCGGGCAGCGGTTGGGGTCCTGGCTGGGGGTGCAAGGTCAGCCTGCATCTGAGGCCTGTGGGTACCCAGGGGGTGGCCTATCCCATTGCCCTGGGGGTCCCACGGCTCCCTGTACAAACTCAGATGCACTTGATTTTGTTATTATTGTTTTAATTTGGTCTGAACCTTTGTTCTAAGTGAAGAGACATAGCTTTCCAAAGGCCATACGGGTGAGGCTGGCCCCGGGGGGATCAAATGCCTCCCTCCTGGCCTCACTGCCAGGCTCATGTTAAAGACGCCCAGGGGATGTGCCATAGGCACTGCATCACCAAAGCTGGAGGCTCCCTCAGGACCAGGGAGACAGACAGGGATTGCAAACTCAGCCACCCCCAGGCCCAGTCAGGTGCAGGGATGGGGAGCACACCCCCCCCACCATCTCCAGGGAGCACCATCACCCAGGTGGAGCAGGGCCCACACGTGTGACCTTCCAGCTTTCAGATAAGATGGAAACTCAGAAGCTCCCTGACCATCGCCTGGTTTCAACAGAGGGCTTGCAGCTGATTCGGATTTTTTTTTTTTTTTTTTTAAAGACAGAGTCTTGCTCTGTCACCCAGGCTGGAGTGCAGTGGCACAATCTTGGCTCACTGCAACCTCCACCTCCTGGTTCAAGCGATTTTCCTGCCTCAGCCTCCCGAGTAACTGGGATTACAGGCACCCTCACCAATCCCGGGTAATTTTTGTATTTTTAGTAGAGACAAGGTTTCACCATGTTGGCCAAGCTGGTCTCAAACTCCTGACCTCAAGTGATCCGCCCACCTTGAACTCCCAAAGTGTTGGGATGACAGGCGTGAGCCGCCGTGCCAGCTTGATTCAAACTGGTTTTCAAGAGCAGTTGTTCAAACAGCAAGATGGAAGTTGACAGTGGCCAGGTGTGGACAGCGGCCCACCTCTCGCCATGTCATGCCATAGACCTTACAGATACGGCACCCTCAGGCCCAGACAGGGGTGGTCGCCGGCCCAAAGCCACTCAGCACCTAACCTGGGATGACTCAGGAAGGAAAACAGGCAGAAGCCGGTCACCTTGGCCAGGCCAGTTCCAGGGTCAGCCAGCACCCAGACAGAAGCCAGTCTCACAGCCCAGCACACACAGCCCGAGGGGGAGAAAACACGGCCCCACAAAGGTGCTGCGTGGAAAAGCCGGGGCACGGTGTGCAGGCCCACCACGCAAACCCAGCCCACTGTCCTCCGAGCACACTGGGGATCCTGTGAGACTCCAAAAGAAGGCGGATGCCAGACGCGGTGCCTCATGCCTGTCATCCCCGCACTTTGGGAGTCCGAGGAGAGGTTCGCTTGAGCCCAGGAGTTCCAGACCAGCCTGGCCAACATAGAGAGACCCCCATCTCTAAAAAAAAAAAAATTGGAAATTAGCCAGGCATGATGCCATGCACCTGTAGTCCCAGCTACTCGGGAGGCTGAGGTGGGAGGATTGCTTGAGCCCAGGAGATTGAGGCTGCATAGAGCTGTGATGGCACCACTGCCCTCCAGCCTGAGCGACACAGCAAGACCCTGTCTCAAAAAAAAAAGCAGCGGGAGGAGAGCACCTTGTGTCCCGATCTAGAAAAATCTCCAAGAGAAACCGTAAAGAGAAAAAGGCAACTGGCACAGCTGTGTGTAGCCCCCAGGAAGACCGAGCTCACGTGTGAGCCAGCGTCTCCGTGTGACCCTCCTGCGCACACGCAACAGAGCCTGGGGGGAGCAGGTGCTGGCCAAGGTCTGTTATCTCTCTCTGCCTTGTCTGTGTGAACCCTGTGTCTCTGTTGCCTCATTAAAAATCATTCCTTTTAAACACTGTGAAATTCTGCCAGACGCCCAGCAGCTCGGCCCCTGCAGAAGGGCGCACATCTTCTCAACCTCAAGGGGCGTGGAGACCACCCACCTCGCCGAAGCCGGCACCGGCTTCGCAGAGACCCGGACTCGAGACGAATCCTCCTGCTGCTGTCTCTCCCATCCACTGCCCCCCAACACAGCCCCCCGAGCCGCAGGCTCCACCGGGGGGGTCTTCCCACTGCCCCTGGCTCAGCTCAGGACGGCCACTGCGTCTGAAGACCACCAGTGTCCCCGCTGCCGGGTCATGGCACTGGTACTCCCAGGAGCCATTCTCTTCTGTGGGGATTCCCTTGTTCCGAGCACACTGGGTGGGGCTGCCTTGGTACAGATGGATCCAGGCCTTCAGGACACTGCGGCCCTCATGATGCTGCTGCGTGTCTGCTCTGCAGGGCACAGGGCGAGGCTGAGCTCACTCCGGTTCATCCTCACACAGAAATGCCACGGAGGCTGCACTCTCTACCGGATGTTCCTGAGCCCCCGGCACTGCCAGCCACACGTGATACAAGCTACAGAGCCATCAGGAGGATTCCGTGGGCCACACCCGCAACAGGTCTGGGACTCTACGGGGCTGTGTGCCCAGCCACAGCCTCAAGGAGCCCCCGACGGCCGGCACCCGTCAGCCCTCCTGAGCCTGGGGCCACACAGTGCCTGTCCGGGAAGCAGACACCAGGTCCCGGCCGGCTCCGGCAAGCCTCCACTTTCTCCTCTAAATCACGGGCAGAGGGAAGCCAGGCGCGCGGGTCGTAGTGAGATCAGCTAGATGGAGTCATGTCGTGCCGACGCCATGCGTGTGAATTCATTCTCTGCTCCCACCACTGCTCCGACTCTGGAATACGCTCAGAAACAAACCCTTCACGCTGTCAAAATCCTCCCCCAGATATCGCTATAAACAGCAAAGACGTGATCTCCAGGACATGATGTCAAATGAAAAACACCAAGTGGAGAAAAGTGTGTCTCGTGTGCAAACATCTATCTAACACAGGCAGGAGGGGCCGTGACTCCATGTGCGTATTTGCTTATTTAAACCACACATAGGCAAATCGACACAGAAAATATTAAGATAGTCACCCACAGGTGAAAGGAAGGGGCTCTGTGCACAGGAGACGGGACCCAGGAAGGCGGCAAGACTTCTGTAATATCCCACGACTTGGGAGCCATATTAGTATTTCATGTAATTATACAAACCAAATTCAGATTTAAAAAGTAATACAGGCTGGGCATGGTGGCTTACACCTGTAGTCCCAACATTTTGGGAGGCCGAGGCGGGAGGATCACTTCAGGCCAGGAGTTCAAGACCAGCCGGGGCAATACAGCAAGACCCCATCTCTACAAAAAATTTCAAAATTAGCTGGGTGTGGTGGTGCATGCCTGTGGTCCTGATTTTATTGAGCTCAGACTCTGTGCTTAATAAGGCAGCTGAATGCTGGGACGCAGGTTGGGCCCGCCTGGCCTCCCAGGTTCCTGAGGTGATTTAAAGGAGCTGCCCACCTTGGAAAAAGTCGGGGAGGGGAGCAGCGAGGACACAGCTCCTGTTCACGGCCTTCCCAGCAAAAGTAAGGAGGCTGTGTGTAATCACGGGAAACAGGCAGACCCAAGACCTTGTAAACCACCTGCCTGGGCTCCTCAGGGATTTGGACCAGGCACAGTGGCTCACACCTGTAATCGCAGCACTTTGGGAGACTGAGGCAGGGGAACTGCTTGAGCCCAGGAGTTTGGGCAACATAATGAGACCCCATCTGTACAAGAAAAAATAAATAAATTTTGTTTTTTTAAAGGGAGTCTAGTTCTGCCTCCCAGGCTGCAGTGCAATGGTGTGATCTCAGCTCACTGCAACCTCTGCCTCCCAGGTTCACGCCATTCTCCTGCCTCAGCCTCCCCAGTAGCTAGGATTACAGGCGCCTGCCACCATGCCCGGCTAATTTTTGTATTTTTAGTAGAGACGGGGTTTCAAATGTGTTGGCCAGGCTGGTCTCGAACTCCTGACCTTGTGATCCGCCCGCCTCAGCCTCCCAAAGTGCTGGGATTACAGGCGTGAGCCACTGCACCCGGCCCAAAAAAAAACATTTTTCAACTTAGCCAGGTGCAGTGGCTCAGCTACTCGGGAGGCTAAGGCGGGAGGATCACTTGAGCCCAGCAGGTTGGGGATGCAGTGAGCTGTGATCTCATGACTGCACTCCAGCCTGGGCAACAGAGCAAGACCCTGTCTCCAAAAAAAAAGAACTGGGACAGAGTTTGAATTTGGGTGGGGGTCAGCTCAGCTCAGGGTGCTGCGTGCAGGGTGAGCGCTGTGCCTGTGATGATTTTCCTGCTTGTTCTTAGGAGACACCCAGTGAAGCATTTAAGGCGTGGGGTCCTGGTGTCTGCAACTTACTGTTTTTTTTTTTTTTAAGGTGGAGTCTCGCTCTTTCACCCAGGCTAGAGTGCAATGGAGCGATCTTGGCTCACTGCAACCCCTGCCTTCAGGGTTCCAGTGATTCCCCTGCCTCAGCCTCCCGAGTAGCTGGGATTACAGGCACCCGCCACCATGTCTGGCTAATTTTTGTGTTTTTAGTAGAGTCGGGGTTTCACCACGTTGGCCAGGCTGGTTTCGAACTCCTGACCTCAAGCGATCCGCCCACCTCAGCCTCCCAAAGTGCTGGGATCACAGGTGTGAGCCACCGCACCCAGCCTGCAACTTACTCTCAAATGATCCAAATAATAAAAAGAGTAAAAATAACAGTATGCGAATGTAGAACACAGAACTGATGAAGCAAATGCAGCACAAATACGTCCCAAAATGCTGAGTGGCAAAGGGTACACAGGGCTTCATGATACTCTCCTTGCAACGTTTCTGTGTGAACTATTTTCAAGGTAAAATTTAAAACAATAAATAAAATTAGGAGATTTCACCAAAAAACCGGACTTCCAGCTTCTCTGGAAAAATCAAGATCTGACACCCTGGGACCCACATTCCACAGGCTGGAAACCAGCTGAGCAGGGGTCCCTGTGGGCCCCAAGGCCCAGCCCTCCCCTGGCAGCTTCCACATCTCAGGACCAGACTGGCCCTGAATGTTCCGGATCTGGGCCAGATGTCATGTTCGCGCCCAGGCAGACTGTGGCATCGCTGCTCTGAAAACAGGGGTCAGAGCAGCAGGCCTGGGCCACAGAGCCTCAGAAGGATCGGAGTGGACGGCAACCTGCCTGCACCCCCCTGGGGCTCAGGGAGCGTCCCCAACACTGACTCCACAGTCCTCTCCTGGCAGACGCACAGCTGGGACCCGAGGGCCCCTTGGCAGCCCTAGGCCTCTCCCCAGGGCACTGGAACCCAGGCCTGGAGCCCGGAAGGCTCGGGACTCCTCCGCTGCCTCCCAGGCCCTCCCAGACTATCCTGTGAACAGCTTAGGAAAAAGGGCTTCTCCCTCCATGATGGCTGCAGGACGGTCTTTGAGCAGGGGAGAGAAGGCACAGCGAGGGAGACGGGGAAGCCTCAGGTTTTCTGGAGCTCAGTGCAAAGGTAAGGAGGTGAATGAGCTTTGGAGGCAGGAGTTGGTCCAAATCACAGCTCCGACACTTACTAGCTGGATGATTTCAGCAGGCCACTTAATCGCCAGGCCTCAGTTTCCCCATCTGTGAAACAGAGCTACGGACAGCAGGTTCACGAAGCATTGTAAAAGTACCAGCACCGCGCCCACACATCCTCCACCGGCCGCGCCCTCACGTCCTCCACCGGCCGCGCCCTCACGTCCTCCACCGGCCGCGCCCTCACGTCCTCCACCGGCCGCGCCCACACGTCCTCCACCGGCCGCGCCCACACGTCCTCCACCGGCCGCGCCCTCACGTCCTCCACCGGCCGCGCCCTCACGTCCTCCACCGGCCGCGCCCACACGTCCTCCACCGGCCGCGCCCTCACGTCCTCCACCGGCCGCGCCCACACGTCCTCCACCGGCCGCGCCCTCACGTCCTCCACCGGCCGCGCCCACACGTCCTCCACCGGCCGCGCCCTCACGTCCTCCACCGGCCGCGCCCTCACGTCCTCCACCGGCCGCGCCCTCACGTCCTCCACCGGCCGCGCCCACACGTCCTCCACCGGCCGCGCCCACACGTCCTCCACCGGCCGCGCCCACACGTCCTCCACCGGCCGCGCCCTCACGTCCTCCACCGGCCGCGCCCACACGTCCTCCACCGGCCGCGCCCTCACGTCCTCCACCGGACTGTGCCCACTGTGCCCACCGGATGCTGGGGCTCCTTCACCAGGGGTGGGGGGTTTCCTGCCAGCCCTGCCAATGAGGGCTGGTCCTGGGGCCCCTCCTGCCCCACCCAGAATGGTCCTTTCTGACAGCCAATGCTCTGCCTCTCTCAACTGCTGGAACACAGTGACCCCAGGTGGCCAGCACCTCCCCAGCCCGTGGCCACTGTGAGGACAGCAGCTCAGACAGAAGCATTTCCACCCTCACAGAGGCTGTGCTGTAGAAGCCTGCTGGGGAGGGGGCCGGCGGGACCTGACGGGTCGGGTCCATCTCTCTGTCTCTGCACCTGCACGCCCCTCCCTCCTGGGTGAGGAATGGGTATCACACGCCAAACTCCCTGCTATCAAGAGCAGCTCCCAGGTGTCTGCAACTTCCTCAACAACTGTGACCCCGCAAACCACGGCGAGTGGGAAAGAACGGCCGTGAGGGAAGGGGCCAGGTGCTGAAGGTGGGGGGTGGGGAGTGCCGGGACAGGCCAAGCTCCAGGACCAGTCAGAAACCTTGAAGGAGGTGAGGTGTGGTGGTTCACACCTAATCCCAGCACTTTGGGAGGCTAAGGCGGGTGGACGGTTTGAGCTCAGGACTTTGAGACCAGCCTGGGCCACACCGCGAAACCCCATCTCTACAAAAACATACAAAAATTAGCCGGGCGTGGTGGTGCACACCTGTAGTCCCGGCTCCTCGGGAGGCTGAGGTGGGAGGATCGCTTGAGCTTCGGAGGCAGAGGTCTAGCCTACATGGTGAAATCCCGTCTCTAACTAAAAATACAAAAATTAGCTGGGCATGGTGGCGCACCTGTAATCCCAGCTACTTGGGAGGCTGAGGCGGGAGAATCGCTTGAACCAGGGAGGTGGAGATTGCAATGAGCCGAGATTGCGCCACTGCACTCCAGCCTGGGTGAAGGAGTAAGACTCTGTCTCAAAAAAACAAACAAACAAATCATGTTTATTAAAATGCTTTATACAGTCTTTAAACCTAAGGAAAAAATAAAATGTTCATTTCCTGATATTTGTAAATCTTCAGTGCACCTTTAAAAGAATCAAGAGCAAATAATGGGCCGGGTGCGGTGGCTCACGCCTGTGATCCCAGCACTTTGGGAGGCCGAGGTGGGTGGATCACCTGAGGTCAGGAGATCGAGACCAGCCTGGCCAACATAGTGAAACTCCGTCTCTACTAAAAATACAAAAAATTAGCCGGGTGTGGTGGCAGGTGCCTGTAATCCCAGCTACTGAGGAGGCTGAGGCAGCAGAATCGCTTGAACCTGAGGTGGAGGTTGCAGTGAGCCGAGATCGCACCACTGCACTCCAGCCTGGGGGACAAGAGAGAGACTCCATCTAAAAAAATAAATAAATAAATAAATAACAGGGAAGATGGGGGCTAAAACAGGCAGCACAGAGCTTGTGTTGGACAATGAGAACCCTGCATGGGGGGCAGCTCCGTGTGGACGCCCAGATTGTCTTCTGCAGCCTCTGAAGTGCATGACATAGAGGAGTGTGTCCTCTTCCTATGGTGCCCCGTGTTCTCATCCTGCCCCGCCGGCGGAGAAGACGCGGGGCAGGACCCTGTGCCCACCTAGCTGGCAAGCACCAGCGTTGTCTGTGTGCCTGGCCCAGGCCCGCGTGGGCACCCAGCAGGCACTTAATAAACACCTTGGAATGAGCCTGGGACTGAAAGCCTAAAATATCTTTAGAAACCCCTGTGAGCTCCTCGACTTGGCACATTTTAATTTGAATTTCAGCCCCATGCCCGGATAAACAGGGCAACGAATGTTTAGCTGTGGAATTGCTTTTCCCCTAAACAGGTCCCGGAGGCATCCTACTGAAGTTGGTGGTGAACACACCTCACATAATTAAAAACCAGTCTGGAGAGCTCCCCCAGCTCCCTTCACTGGGGCTGACAGATCGTCCCCCGGGGGCCTCGGGACAGGTGAAGTCGGCTCAGCAACTCCTCTGTGCACTCAGCCACCTGCCTCTCCCCGAGGGTCTCTCCTAGACACATCACGGGGCACAGGGCTCTCTCCTCGCCAGGCTCAGACATTCTTGCCTACTGGCGACCCTTCCTCAATGCCAGCCAGCCCTGCTAAGAACATTGTCTTCCTCGTAATGACATTGAAAGGAATGAAATGCAGGGGAAACATTTACGAGAAGACGGGCAGGACTTCGAAATACTGCTGAGAAGTTAAAGATCTAAATACAATCTTTATTGAGAAGATTCAATATTGACAAGATGACACCAAACTGATCTATCAATTCAACACACACTCTTACAACTGCTAAGCTGACCCTAAAATTCACATGCGGCCGGGCGCGGGGGCTCACGCCTGTAGTCCCAGCACTTTGGGAGGCTGAAGCGGGCGGATCACTTGAGGTCAGGAGTTCGAGACCATCCTGGCCAACATGGTGAAACCCCCGTCTCTATTACAAATACAAAAATTATCCAGATGTGGTGGTGGGCACCTGTAATCCCAGCTACTCGGGAGACTGAGGTAGGAGAATCGCTTGAGCCTGGGAGGTGAAGGTTGTGTTGAGCCAAAATCGCGCCACTGTACTCCAGCCTGGGTGACAGAGCGAGACTCTGTCTCAAAAAGATAAATAAAAATTTTAAAAAATGAAATTCATACAGAAATGTAAGGGCACTTGGAAATAGCCGAGACAGTTTTGAAAAGGAACGGAGTAGGGGGACTTTGACTACCTGATCTGAAAACCTACTACAAAACCACTGTAATCAAGACGGTGGTGGTATTAGTAAAACGGATTTGTACTGAGAGGCCAGAAATCCACCCTTACATTTGTGGTCAACTGATTTCCAACCAGGGTGCCAAGGCAAGTCAATGGGGAAAGAAAGAGTGCTTTCAACAAATCGTGCTGGGACAACTGGATACCCACTAAGAACAATGAACTTGGACACTTACTCACTCCTCACACAGAAAGTAACTCAAAATGGATGACAGTCCTAAATGTAAGAGCTGAAACTATAAAAGAAGACAAAATCAGAGAAAATCTTCATTAATGTGGGTGAAGCAAAGAGATTTTAGATGTAACCGCAAAAGCATAATTGAAAAAAGATAAAACTGCCAGGCATACTGGCTCACGCCTGTAATCCCAGCACTTTGAGAGGCCAAGGCGGGAGGATGGCTTGAGGCCAGGAGCTCTCAGCCTGCCTGGGCAACAGAGTGGGACCCCATCTCTACAAAAAAATTAAAAAATTAATTAGCCTGGCATGGTGGTGCAAGCATGTAGTCCCAGCTATTCAGGAGGCTGAGGCAGAGAACTGCTCGAGCCCAGGAATTCGAGGCTGCGGTGAGCCATGATCATCGCGCCACTGCACTCCAGCCTGGGCAACAGAGCAAGAATCCATCCTTAAAAAGAAAAAAAGAAAGAAAAACTGGCCGGGTGCAGTGGCTCACACCTGTAATCCCAGCACTTTGGGAGGTCAAGGTGGGCGGATCACAAGGTCAGGAGTTTGAGACCAGCCTGGCCAACATGGTGAAACCCCATCTCTACTAAAAATAAAAAAGTTAGCCAGGCGTGGTGGCATGCGCCTGTAGTCCCAGCTACTCAGGAGGCTGAGGAAGGAGAATCACTTAAACCCGGGAGGCGCAGGTTGCAGTGAGCCGAGATCGTACTATTGCACTCCAGCCTGGGCAACAGAGCGAGACTCCGTCTCGAAAAAAAAAAAAAAGATAAATTGAACTTCATCAAAATAAAAATTTTTGCACTTCAAAAAACACCATTAAGAAAATGAAGACAGCAAACCACAGACTGGGGAAAATATCTGTAAACCCTGTGTCTGGTAAAGGACTTGTATCCAGAACATATAAAGAACACTTACAACTCCATAATAAGACCAAGAACTCAATCTTAAAATAGACATACGATTCGGACAGACATTTTACCAAAGAAGTTAAACGACTGGCTAAGAAACACCTGAAAAGCTGTTCAACCCCATTAGTCATTCAGGAAATGTGAATCAAAACCACAAAGAGGCTGGGCGCGGTGGCTCACGCCTGTAATCCCAGCACTTCGGGAGGCCGAGGCGGGTGGACCACCTGAGGTCAGGAGTTCGAGACCAACCTGGCTAACATGGTGAAACCCCATCTCTACTAAAAATACAAAAATTAGCCGGGTGTGGTGGCAGCTGCCTGTAATCCCAGCTACTCGAGAGGCTGAGGCAGGGGAATCACCTGAACCCAGAAGGTGGAGGTTGCAGTGAGCAGAGATCCCACCATTGCACTCCAGCCTGGGCAACAAGAGCAAAACTCTGTCTCAAACACACACACACACACACACACACACACACACACACACACACAGACACAAATGAAATACCACTTTGCATCCACTAGAATGACTACAATAAAAGACAGACAATACCAAATGCCAGCAAGGATGTGGAGAAATGAGAACCCTCATACGTTGCTGGTGGAAATGCAAAATGGTGCAGCCACTTTGGAAAAGAGACAATTCTTTTTTTTTTGTTTTGAGTCTCACTCTGTCGCCCAGGCTGGAGTGCAGTGGTGCCATCTGGCTCCCTGCAAGCTCCGCCTCCCGGGTTCACGCCATTCTCCTGCCTCTGCCTTCCGAGTAGCTGGGACTACAGGTGCCCGCCACCACGCCCGGCTAATTTTTTGTATTTTTAGTAGAGACGGCGTTTCACCGTGTTGGCCAGGATGGTCTCCATCTCCCGACCTCATGATCCGCCCGCCTCGGCCTCCCAAAGTTCTGGGATTACAGGCGTGAGCCACCGCGCCCGGCCGGAAAAGAGAATTCTTTAAAGGCCGGGAAAAGACCCAGCAATTCCACTCCTAGGAATCTACTCCAGAGAAGTGAAAACGTACGTTCACACAGACACGCATAAGGCTGTTCACGCCGTATTGTTCATAATAGCTCCAAACAGAAAACAACACAAATGATGCCGCATTGTTCATAATAGCTCCGAACAGCAAACAACCCAGATGACGCCGTATTGTTCATAATAGCTCCAAAGCGAAAACAACCCAAATGGTGCCGTATTGTTCATAATAGCTCCAAACTGAAAACAACCCAGATGACGCCGTATTGTTCATAATAGCTCCAAACTGACAACAACCCACAGGTCCATGGCAGGGAGCGGGCGGTGATCAAATTACAGTAGATCCATACAATGGGATATTGTCAAGAAAGTACATAAATGTGCTAAAATATGGATGAACCTCAAAAAACACCCTGAGTGAAAGAAGCCAGACACAAAAGACCACGTATTGAACGACTCTATTTATGTGTTTATTTACTTATTATCACTGTGTTATTTTTAGTCACGTATTGAATGACTCCATTTATTTATGTATTTATTTACTTTTATTATCACTATTTTTTATTTATTTTTAGAGTCACATATTGAATGACTCCATTTATTTATGTATGTATTTACTTTTGTCACTTTTTTTGAGACAGGGTCTCACTCTGTCACCCAGATTAGGGCACAGTGGCACAATCCAGCTCACTGCAGCCTCAACCTCCCGGGTTCAAGGGATCCGCCCTCCTCCCTCCTCCCCAAGTGGCTGGGACTCCAGGCACGCACCACCACACCCAGCTATTTTTTGTAGAGATCGGGTCTTGCTATGTTGGCTAGGCTGGTCTTGAACTCCTGAGCTCAAGCGATCCACCCACCTCAGCCTCCCAAAATGTTAGGATGACAGGCATGAGCCACCGCACCCACCCGACTCCGTTTATTTCAAATGTCCAGAAAATGCAGGCAGATTCATGGTGGACGGGGGTGGAAGTGAGGATTAACCATAAACAGGCACAAGGGAACTTTCTGGGATGATGGAAACGCTCTAAAATTGGATCATGATGATGGTGGCATAATTCTGTAAATTCGTTCAAAGTCACTGAATAGGCTACTTACAGTGGGTGAATTTTATCATATATGAATTCTACCTCTGTAAAGCTGTTTAAGAAACAAACTCGGCCGGGCGCGGTGGCTCACGCCTGTAATCCCAGCACTTTGGGGGGCCGAGGCGGGCGGATCACGAGGTCAGGAGATCGAGACCATCCCGGCTAAAACGGTGAAACCCCGTCTCTACTAAAAATACAAAAAATTAGCCGGGCGTAGTGGCGGGCGCCTGTAGTCCCAGCTACTTGGGAGGCTGAGGCAGGAGAATGGCGTGAACCCGGGAGGCGGAGCTTGCAGTGAGCCAGTGAGCCGAGATCCCGCCACTGCACTCCAGCCTGGGCGACAGAGCGAGACTCCGTCTCAAAAAAAAAAAAAAAAAGAAAGAAACAAACTCTGCCCCCTGCCGCAAGACCCCAGTCAACCCCATTTCCTAAAAACTAGCTGGTTTATCAGGCAGCACACTCGGTTCACCACAGCAGGGCGTGGAGGGGGCAGTGAGACCGTGGGTCGCAGTCATCTGTCCTGGGTTCAAATCCCCGTCCCGCCACCTTGTCTTGAGCAGTGATTTTGCCACTCTGAGCCTCAGTTTCCCCTTCTGTAAAGGATGGATGGTGCTAACCCCGCACTTCACTGGGATGTGGAGTAGTACCTGGAATTCTGTGTACGGCAGAGCCTGGCACATAGCCGGTATTCCATCAAGTGCTGAGCACATTGGCCGTTGGTATGAATGCTATAATTACCTTGAAAATAATCAGACTCTGCCATTGCAAAAGAGAAAGACAACAGTCTTTAATTTTAAACTTCCTGATACTATATTCAGTCACTCTTTCATGCCATCTTCAAACTGCATTGGCATGACAATTTACATTTACAATTTTGGATGAGAAATACCGCAAGATTTACTCACACCTTCCACCTCCCAGGACACACTTTAAAACCATGAGCTTAGGCAGCGCGAGGCACGGGGAATCCCTAAAGGAATAAGACCTGGACCCTGCGTCCTTCAGGGAGGAAAGCGTGAGAACAACTGGACGATCCTTCGCAGCTCACTCATAAAAAGTCATAGCTTTGGACAGGCACAGTGGCTCATGCCTGTAATCCCAGCACTTTGGGAGGCCGAGGCAGGCAGATCACCAGAGGTTGGGAGTTCGAGACCAGTCTGACCAACATGAAGAAACCCAGTCTCTAATAAAAATACAAAATTAGCTGGGCATGGTGGCGCAGGCCTGTAATCCCAGCTACTCGGGAGGCTGAGGCAGGAGAATCACTTGAACTGGGGAGGTGGAGGTTGCAGTGAGCCAAGATTGCGCCACTGCACTCCAGCCTGGGCGACAGAGCGAGACTCCATCTTGAAAAAAAAAAAAGTCGCAGCTTCCTGGAATACCAGCTATTAAAGCCCAGAGCTGCCAGGCAGGAGGTCTGTCAGCTGAGGCGGCCATGTTGTGAGGGAGCTCAAGCCCCCGTGAGGCCTTACACAGATGCACAGGGTTCAGGGTGCCCAGTGGCACCTCCATATTATCCAACCCCCAGCCACTCCCGTCGCCCCAAGTCACACCAGCCTTTCCAGCTGAGGTCCCAGACATCGCGGGGCAGGGACAAGCCATCCACACTGTGCCATTCGAATTCCCACCCACAAACCCGTGAGCATGATGAAATGCCGGCTGCCCAGTGCTACGAAGCTAGGGGCGGCTGCTACACGGCCCACTACACTAAGCCCTAAGTCTTCATCTTGCAGACAAACAGAGGTGCTAAGTCACGGGCCACATGCACCCCCTCCTGTGCCCTCACCTACACAGGCAGGCAGCACAGGGCACCGACAGGCGGGATGTTCAACCTGCGTCAGGATGAACCCTCATATTATAGAATGACTCCCCTGTTCAAGGCATCGTTGAAATGTCCGTGATGCTCTTAAAATCCTGCTGGAATCACTCACTCCCGGCTCCTGCTCCACCCCACACTGTGAGGAGCTGGAGGTACACAATGAGGTGGGGAAACTGAGGCGCGCACATTCGGAACGGGGTTTTGCTCCTCCTTGGGTGTGCAGAGGCTGAGGGGGGTCTCCACGGGAAGCCCTCTCTGCCTGCAGGCTCTTGCATCAGGAGGGAAGCCCCACTCGGACGCCATCCCGGGGTCCAGCATCCCTCCGAGGGCCCACCCTCCACTCCCCGCTGCCAGGGAGCCCTCCCAGCACTGAGGGGGCACCAGTCTGGCCATGCGAGTGCCCACAACTGGAAGGAAGCAATGCAGGGCCGTTCTCAGCCTCAGCAGCTGAGCGTCCACCCCCAGGCCTCCGGACAGGGAGACTTTCAACCCACCAGGGCCTGGGTGGCTGGACCACAGCCCAGCAAAGGGCAAACCCCAGCTCTCCCTCCCAGAGGGCAGGCACCAGGGCCAGACCCTTCCCCCAGACACCTCCCATAGCCTTCCAGGGAAGCGGGCCCCAAAGAGGCTGGACCGGGCAGTGCCGTCGGCCAAAGGGTCCCGTGTGCTGCAGAGCTGAGTCCTGGGCCTGCTCAGAGGCCGCCCAGGCCACCCCGTCTCACGATGGGGAGATGTGAGACCCTGAAAAGGTGACCCAAGACAAGCCTCTTCTCCGCAATGAGCCGTCTCTTCAGCCTCTATAAATAAGGCGCAGTGTGGACGAGTGAGGGCAAAGGGCCCCGTGATTCACTGCAGATCCCTGATTTAGAAATCCGGAAGAGAAATCTGGCAGGGATGCCTCCTCCACCACATCCTCCCCTCACACCCCTCGCGGAGGCCAGAGAGGGCAGCACCCACCCAAGGTCACTCGGCAGGCAGCAGGCACAGCATGAGAACCCGGCCTGCAGCACCCAAGTCCGGTCCTCTCCCTCCTACAGAAAGGAGCAGAGAGAGCCGAAGACGCGGCAGGAGGGATCCAGGTACAGGCGAGACCCAGGTGTTTCTGAGCCAGGCTGCAATGCTTCTAAGATCTCACCTATGCAGATTTCTTAGAAGAAAGATCAATCTCACTCAGTCTACTTGGGCGCAGTGGCTCAAGCCTGTAATCCCAGCACTTTGGGAGGCCGAGGCAGGAGGATTGCTTGAGCCCAGGGGTTCAAGACCAGCCCAAGCAACATAGCAAGACCCTGTCTCTACTAAAAATAAAAATAATTAGCCGGGTGTGATGGCGAGCCCCTGTGGTCCCAGCTACTCAGGAGGCTAAGATGGGAGGATCACTCAAGCCTGGGAGGTCAAGACTCAAAGCCAGTCCCACAGCCGTCACGGACAGGCTGTTTCTCTGAAGCTGTTCAGGGAATAAAGTCTGGGAGGGCCTGGGAGGCAGTGAGACGAGTTCCAAGCCCTCCAGCCTCCAGGCCTGTGTTCCAGTGCCCTGGGGAGAGGCCTGGGGCTCCCAGGGGACCCTGGGATCCCGGATGTGCGTCTACTGGGAGGGGACCGTGAGGTCAGCATGCGGGGGTGCTCCCTGAGCCCCAGGGAGTACAGGCAGGTTGCCGTCCACTCGCCAGTCAGACCCCTCTGGGGCTCTGTGGCCCAGCCCCGATCTGGTCCCTGTTTTCAGAGCAGTGATGCCAGGGTACCCGGAAAGGGCAGGAGCTGACAGCAAAGTCCAAGTGTGCACCTGACCCCACGAGGCCCACAGCTGAGATTCCGGCTCCTTCGTCACCAACATGTTGCTCAGTAACCCCAACTGCACGCTATTTTTTTTTTTAAGAGGCAGAGTCTTGCTCTGCCTCCCAGGTTGAAGTGCAGTGGTGCAATCATAGCTCACTGAAACCTCAACCTCCTGGGCTCAAGCAATCCTCCTACCTCGGCCTCCCAAGTAGCTGGGACCACAGGTGCACCACCATGCTCAGCTGATTTTTGAATCTACTGTAGAGACAGGGTCTTCCTATGTTCCCCAGGCTGGTCTCAAACTCCTGGATTCAAGCGATCCTCCCGCCTTGGTCTCCCAAAGTGCTGGGATTACAGGCGTGAGCCACCGCGCCTGGCCTGAGTGCTACGTTTTAAGAGAACAATTTCAGTGATTCTAGAAGGACGGTGCATAAATTCTAAACCTGGGGAAATCCAAATTCATGAACTTTTCTGCTTCTGCAATTCCAAGTGCCAAGCAGCTCGATGGTGGGGCAGGAAGACACAGAAAATGGTTCCTCCTTCTTCTTGGCCCCGAGCTAATGACAGCTCTGGAGTAACTGAAAGAAGAGCGGAGCTCGTTTCCTAATGGGGCTGCGTGCAGAATCATGGCTATTTCCACACAATTAAACCTTGTTTCCCATAAAAACATCACTTAGAAATGGCTTCACGCTTCTCCCTCTGAACCCCTGAACTCACAATGAGATGCATGAAATCACACGATGATGAAATGGCTCAGAGTGCTCAGCATCCTACGACGGGGCCGCTACTGCACAGGTAATTAAGACTAAGCCATGTTAACCAAACTAAATTAAAACCAAGATTTAAATGCTTAAATTGGCCATCCGCCCGATCATAACAGGAAGAGGGTCCAAATCCAAAAAGGCCATTAGCTGAGCTCACACCCGGCAGGATCACAGGCGAAGGGCCCTGGGCTGAGGGCGGCAGCGGTACACCTGGCAGGGAGCCGGGGGCCCTGGCAGGGGTGACACTGCCCCCCACTCCTGGCCCAGGCTGCTCAGCTTCCACAAAAGTGAAACACCAAAGGGGCCACCCAGAGGTGGGGAAGAAAGGGGCATGGGACGCAACATGGCCGGCCAGAGCCACACAGCCGACCACCTGTCCCCTCTCTCCCACGTCCTACAGGGCGCCCAAACTCTTGTGGCCAAAACCAGCCTGCCTGCCCACCTCCTCCGGGGTTGGGGGCACCAGCAACCCCCAACCTGCGGATCAGCCTTCCTCACTCCCGTTCTCACCCTCCCATGTCAGGTCCTCAGCAAAACCCGTTGGTCTAACCAAGGGCCATCACCCAGTCTGTCCACTGTCCCGTCTCCAGCCCACCCAAGCCAGCATCACCTGTGGCTGGGACAACTCTCCTGGCCTCTCCTGCTGCCCCGTAGCCTCCTCGTCCTCTCCCATCCATGCCCCCTCTATGATCCCAACACCCCCCAGCAGCTCCCACTCCGTCCGGTCTTTAATCCCATAACCATGAATAACCACCCATTTGCTATCCAAAGAGTTTTCTTAAAACACGTACCTCCAGGCCAGGCGCGGTGGCTCATGCCTGTAATCCCAGCACTTTGGGGGGCCGAGACAAGTGGATCACAAGGTCAGGAGATCGAGACCATCCTGGCTAACACAGTGAAACCCCGTCTCTACTAAAAATACAAAAAATTAGCCGGGCGAGGTGGCAGGCGCCTGTAGTCCCAGCTACTCAGGAGGCTGAGGCAGGAGAATGGCATGAACCTGGGGGGGCAGAGCCTGCAGTGAGCCGAGATCGCACCACTGCACTCCAGCCTGGGCAACAACGAGACTTCGTCTCCAAAAAAAAAAAAAAAAAAAAAAAAAACCTCCTCGCATGTTGTTTTTCAGTTAGCACCTAAAATGCTTCATTATGGCCGGGCATGGTGGCTCACACCTGTAATCCGGTGCTTTGAGACGCTGCTTGAGGCCAGAAGTTTGCGACCAGCTCGAGCAACACATCAAGACCCCAGCTCTACAAAAAATTTAAAAATTAGCCGGGTGTGGTGGTGCGCACCTGTGGTCCCAGGTACTTGGGAGGCTGAGGTGGGAGGATTGCTTGAGGCTGGGAGGTTGAGGCTGCAGTGAGCTATGATCACACCACTGAACTCCAGCCTGGGCCACATATCGAGACTCTACCTCCAAAATTAAAAAAAAAAAAATCTTAAACTACGTACCTCTTCACTTGTTTTTAAGTTAGCATCTATAATGTTTCATTACAAGTTTAGGTAGTTGCAAAAAGGAGTAATTTCTGGCCTATTGTGAAAGTTGGTATTTTAACTGCCCTTCTCTCTTTTAAACATAGCCAATGAAATATAAACCCATAGGCAGGGCATGGTGGCTCACGTCTGTCATCCCAGCACTGTGGGAGGCTGAGGCAGGCAGATCACCTGAGGTCAGGAGTTTGAGACCAGCCTGGCCAACATGGCAAAACTCCATCTCTACAAAAATACAAAAATTAGCTGGGCATGGTGGTGCGTGCCCGTAATCCCAGCTAGTCAGGAGGCTGAGGCGGGAGAATCACTTGAACCCAGGAGGCGGAGGTTGCAGTGAGCCGAGATCACGCCACCGCACTCCAGCCTGGACAACAGAGTGAGACTCCGTCTCAAAAAAACAAACAAACAAAAAAATTAGCCAGGCGTGGTGGCAGTGCCTGTAATCCCAGCTACTCAGGAAGCTGAGGCAGAAGAGTCACTTGAACCCAGAAGGCAGAGGTTGCAGTGAGCTAAGACTGCACCATTGCACTCCAGCCTGGGTGACAAGAGTAAGACTCCATCTGAAAAAATAAATAAATAAATAAATGAAATATAAACCCATAGGGATTGGACACTCACCAAAACAAGATATCACGGAGAAAATTTAAGAACTTTTAACATTTGGCCAGGCACGGTGGCTCACACCTGTAATCCCAGCACTTTGGGAGGCCGAGGCAGGTGGATCGCCTGAGGTCAGGGGTTCAAGGCCAGCCTAGCCAACCTGGTAAAACCTGGTCTCTGCTAAAAATACAAAAATTAGCCTGGCATGGTGGCGGGTACCTGTAATCTCAGCTACTCGGGAGGCTGAGGCAGGAGCATCATTTGAATCTGGGAGGTGGAGGTTGCAGTGAGCTGAGATCGTGCCACTGCACTCCAGCCTGGGTGACAGAGTGAGACTCCGTCTCAAAATAAATAAATAAATAAAAATTTAAAAGCTTTTAACATTTAGAATGTTTCCACTGCTCCTTTTCTCCTCGAATGAGTATTTCTAGCCCATTTCCCACAGAATTTATCCCAATGTAAAAATGTTTTAATTTAAAACGTATCTTAATATTTTTTGATCTCCCTATCATGCTTCCTTGTAAAAGACGCGTTGAATGTTTGGAATTATTTTCCCTGTGAACACAAGGTTATAAGCATCATATTTTTCTTCAGGATTTCTTTTTAGTGTTAGCAGACAGTTAACTAAACGTTTATACATTAACATTTTTGGTAAGTAATTATTCAATTGAAGAAGTAAAGCTATTTTCGAAATACATCATTTAGTGTGTTTTATATTTACACTGATTTATATGTAGCGCCTTATTTATTTATTTATTTATTTATTTTTATTTTTTGAGACAGGGTCTTGCTCTGTTGTCCAGGCTGGATTGCAGTGACGACCCTGGGTCACTGCAGCCTCCAACTCCCAGACCCAAGCGATCCTCCCATCTCAGCCTCCTGAATAGCTGCATGAGCCACCAGGCCTGGCTAATTTTTTGTTCTTTGCAGAGATTAGTGTCTTGCTATGTTGCCCAGGCTGCTCTCAAAGTCCTGGACTGAAGCGATCCCCCCATCTCAGCTTCCTGAGTAGCTGGGACCACAGGCAAGCACCACCACACCTGGCTAATTTTCTGTTTTTTTGTAGAGCTTGAGGTCTTGCTATGCTGCCCAGGCTATGTTCACGTGATCCTCCTGCCTCAGCCTCCTGAGTAGCTGCATGAGCCACCAGGCCCAGCTAATTTTTTTTTTTTTTTTTTGTAGAGATTAGGGTCTTGCTATGCGGCCCAGGCTGGTCTCAAACTCCTATGCTCAAGTGATCCTCCTGCCTCAGCCTCCTAGAGCTCTGGGATTACAGGCATCAGCCATCATGCCCAGCCTGTAGTGCCTTGTTTATAAGAAGCATCTGGCCATGCCGTTGTGAGGTGACTGCAATCTGTGCAGGCAGGACCCAGGTGTGTGAGTGAGTGTGCCTTCTCTGATGAAGAGGACAGGTGGCCTCAATGGCAGTTCTGAGAATGCAGACCTGGGACTGTGGACCCTGTCTGAGGGACCCTAGAGGGTCTGCATCCCAAGGGTCTGTGTGCCCTGCTGGAAAACCACAGCCCCCAGAGCCACTGCCACCCCAACTCAGCCCCTCCCTCCCTCCCTGCTCACTCCACCTGATCAGTTCCAACCACGAAAGGCTCTTTCCAGCCCTCCAGCCTTCACACCGGCTGCACCTCCGAACCTCCAGCTCTGGGCTGCAAACACCCCCTCCTCTGGGAGTCATTCCTGGCTCTGGTGCCCTCACCCACTGCCTGCCTGGTGCACTTCTGGCACAGCCTCCCGCCCCTGCACACGTCCCGCCATTGCCACCCGAACAGCGTGGGGCACCTGTGGAATGGAGGCGCAATGGCGGTGGGTGGGGGCTCTGCCTGGGGACAGCCCCTTTTCTGCCTTTGACTGCGCCAACTTCAAGGACAGAGGGAACAGGCCTGAAGCTCAGAGAGGTCATGTCATTTGCAAAGGTCACGTGGCCCACAGGCAGCTCAGAGACGTCACGTCATTTGCCAAGGTCACGTGGCCAGCAGGCAGCAGGCTGGGACCGAGCCCAGAGGCGTCTGAGGCAAAGCTGCTGCCTCCCTCCCTGCCCGTGCTGGCGGATGCCTGCGGGACTCATCCTGGAGCACCCCTGGCTCACCGGCCACCGAGAGCCCTGACTCAGCTTCTTCTGTGCAGCAAAACAGTCCTAAGCATCATCACCTCTCTGGACCAGGAAGCTCAGAGGCACAGAGGCTAGTCCAAGCCATTCAAGCCCTGCTGCCTTCTGGAAGCTTCCCCGGGTTCCTGCTTTGGTGCTGAAACTCCTTCAGGTCTGGAATTTGGGGGCTGCTCAAGAGCAGGTGCCAAATCTACTCTGCCCTGTCTCTGCCTCCTACAGGCACCCAGACAGGACCCAGCATACAGCCAGGCTCCTAGGGGCCTCTGGCCCTCAAGTCCGCAGGGACCTGCCATGAGGGGTGATTGCAAGGGGCAAACCAGGCTGTGCATGTAGCATGCCTATAGGGACGTGTGCCATGGAGGAAGCATGATCCATGTTGACTGACAAAGCCAGCCTGAAAATTCATACGAGTTCCATGTTCCTCGGAAAGGACCCCGAAACACATGATGCCTTACAGAGCTCTTCCACGAGGCTTTAGCAATCTCTGACTCCCAGGGCCCTGTGTTATTTATCACACAGACTTCACGTGTCAACAAAACACTCCCACTAGGAACCTGGGAAACCCCCTGTCAGAAGACAGTTCACACCCGTGCAGCGCTAGGAACCTGGGAAACCCCCTGTCAGAAGACAGTTCACACCCACACAGTGCTAGGAACCTGGGAAACCCCCTGTCAGAAGACAGTTCACACCCACACAGCGCTAGGAACCTGGGGAAACCCCTCTCGGAACACAGTTCACACCCACACAGCGCTAGGAACCTGGGGAAACCCCTCTCGGAAGACAGTTCACACCCACACGGAGCTAGGAACCTGGGGAAACCCCTCTCGGAACACAGTTCACACCCACACAGCGCTAGGAACCTGGGGAAACCCCTCTCGGAAGACAGTTCACACCCACACGGAGCTAGGAACCTGGGGAAACCCCTCTCGGAAGACAGTTCACACCCACACAACGCTAGGAACCTGGGGAAACCCCTCTCGGAACACAGTTCACACCCACACAGCGCTAGGAACCTGGGGAAACCCCTCTCGGAAGACAGTTCACACCCACACGGAGCTAGGAACCTGGGGAAACCCCTCTCGGAACACAGTTCACACCCACACAACGCTAGGAACCTGGGGAAACCCCTCTCGGAACACAGTTCACACCCACACAGCGCTAGGAACCTGGGGAAACCCCTCTCGGAAGACAGTTCACACCCACACAGTGCTAGGAACCTGGGAAAACCCCTCTCGGAACACAGTTCACACCCGCACAGCGCTAGGAACCTGGGGAAACCCCTCTCGGAACACAGTTCACACCCACACAGCGCTAGGAACCTGGGAAAACCCCTCTCGGAAGACAGTTCACACCCACGCAGCGCTAGGAACCTGGGGAAACCCCTCTCGGAACACAGTTCACACCCACACAGAGCTAGGAACCTGGGGAAACCCCTCTCGGAAGACAGTTCACACCCGTGCAGCACTAGGAACCTGGGGAAACCCCTCTCGGAAGACAGTTCACACCCACGCAGCGCTAGGAACCTGGGGAAACCCCTCTCGGAAGACAGTTCACACCCACACAGTGCTAGGAACCTGGGGAAACCCCTCTCGGAAGAAAGTTCATACCCACGCAGTGCTAGGAACCTGGGGAAACCCCTCTTGGAAGACAGTTCACGCTCACACAGGAGACTATTTTGTAAATCTGGAGGTTCTGCCCTAGGGACTGGCAGTCCAGGCTCACCATTTGTGATGTGGGAGTGTCTCGTTTTCCCAGCTTGCTGTCCAGGGTCGCTGGAAGGGATAGAGATTTGGAGCCAGAGACAATTCCCAACCCATTCAATAAGGATTTCTTGGCTCCAATAACTGGTACTCGGGTATTTTGGTTATTTATTGTTACATAACAAACCACCTCAAACAGAGTGCCTTGACAAAAAAATTCACTCTTCCTCATGGTTCTGTGGGTTGATGGGGCAGGCCTCCTCCCTCCCATGGTGTTGGCTGGGATGGCTGATTTCCACACAGGGTGGTTGGTGGTGGCCACCGGCCTGGCACTCAGGGATGCCACTGGCCAGGAGTCCCAGCTCCACCCCCAGGAGTCCCTCCACATGACTGCTTGGGCTTCCCCACTGCATGGTGGCTGGGCGCCAAGAAGGACCCGCTCCCAGTGGACAAGTGCTTCTCCAGCCTCTCCTGGCATCACACTTGCTAATGTACCATTGGCCAAACCCAGCCACACAGCCAGGCCCAGAGCCAACGCAGAAGGAACTACACAAGTGGGGAGCCAGGCCAGTGTCTGAGGCTCTTTGGGGGCCACCAATGTCAAGTACACCATAGGGAACCTTGGGGTGGGTTGAATTCAGGAATTCAACGAGGCCTTCAAAGACCCAGGTTCTGTCCATTTCTGTACTTTGCAGCAGCAGCCTCTTCCCAACACTGCCTCCCAAGCTTCCCATTCACCCACCTCATCGTTCAGAAGGAAAGTGAGGGCTGGCTTCCAGAAGTGTAGTTATCCCCAGGGAGCAAGGTCCCTTTCCCAGAAGCCTTTAGTAAACTCTCTTTGCTTCTCATGGGACCACTGCTAAGCAAGGCCACCTGGCCACTGGACAGGGGCCTCAGGAACTGTCCTGAGCTGGTTGGCTTAGTCTTGGGTTACCTGATCCAGTCACAGTCGTTGATGGATGGACTCATCCAGAATGGGCTAAAATAAGGGCTACTCCAAAAGCTCATGGTAGATTCAATCCCCTCCCAAACCACATGGTGCTACATAGCTGGGGAGGGGTGGGAATAATGGAGAATCAACTCCAACATCCATTGCAGATGATTTCTAGGAAAGCACAACAAGAGGCCAAATGGGTTATATACACTTAATGTGGTGTTATAACTAGTGCTCATCACCCTTATTACCATGATAATTATCATCATCACTATCACCATCATCACCAACATCACCATCATCACCTTCATCACCATCACTACCATCATCACCATCACCTTCACCATCACCACCACTATCTTCATCTCCATCACCATCATCACCATCATCATCCCTTCATGATCATCATCATTGCCGTCTTCATCACCATCTCTATCTTCACCACCGTCACCATCATCATCACCATCCTTATCACTTCACAATCACCATCTTCATCACCATCACCATCTTCATCACGATCCTCACCATCCTCCTCACCATCTTCATCACCATCACCATCATCACCATCATTTCTTCACAATCACTATCATTGCCATCTTCATCACCATCACCATCTTCACCACTATCACCATCATTATCACCATCTTCATCACCATCATCACCATCCTCATCACCATCATCACCATCCTCATCACCATCTTCACCACCATCACCATCATCACCATCTTTATCACCATCATCACCATCCTCATCACTATCCTCATCACCATCTTCATCTCCATCACTGTCATTACCATCATCATTTCTTCACAATAACTATCATTGCCATCTTCATCACCATCACCATCTTCACTACTATCACCATCATCATCACCATCTTCATCACTACCATCACCAAATCACCATCTTCATCCCCTCACTATCACCATCACTGCTATCTTCATCACCATCATCACCATCCTTATCACCTTCACCATCACCATCATCACCATTTACATCACCATCACCATCTTCACCACCTTCACCATCACCATCATCACCATCCTCATCACCTTCATCATCACCATCATTGCCATTTTCATCACCATCAATATCTTCACCATCACCATCCTCATCACCTTCACCATCACCATCATCACCATCTACATCATCACCATCCTCATCACCGTCACCACCATTCTTATCACCTTCACCATCACCATCTTCATCACCATCACTATCACCATTTTTATCACCATTACCATCAACTTTAACATCACCACCATCATCACCACCAACACTCATTATCACCATCACCACCATCAACATCATTGTTATCATTGCCGTTGCCTCCAAGGAATCTCATAACCAAGAGAGGAGCCCAGCACTGGAAACAAACCTCATAGCTGAACCATCTCAGGCTAGACAGGGCCCCTTTCTTTAGAATCAACTAACCACTTACCACTGCCAGTGGTACTGCCCTGATCCCAGAAATCAGCATCTCCTGCCTGGAATTAGCAAAACAACCTCTTAACTGGGTTTTCCACTTCTGCCCTTGTCCCCCTACCTTCTATTCTTAGTGGAGAGCCAGACAGACCCTGCTAAATAAAACATGTAAGAGCCGACATGCTATGCCTTCTAGGGCCTCCCATCTCAGAATAAAAGCCAAAGTCCTTGCAGTGACCCAGAATGCCCTACAAGATCTGGCGCCTCTTCCTCTGTGTTTTCATCACCTGTCAATGGCCTCTTCCCAGGCTCTGCTCTGGCTTCACTGGCCTCCTTGTTAATTCTTGGACAACCAGGCATGCCCCTGACCACAGGGCCTTTGCACCTGCCCTCCTGCTGCCGGCAATGCTCTTTCCCCAGATAAATTCCTGGTTCACTTCCTCTTTCCCCCAGGTATTTCCTCAATCTTCCCTTCTCAGCATGGCTTTTCCAGGCCCCCCTCCAAAACTGCATCCCCATCCCCTGCATCATCTTGTGTTTCTTTTTGGCACTTCTTACTGCCTCATCCTATATTCTAACAATTTATTTCATTTACTCATTGTCTCTTCCATTAGAAAAGAGTTGAGTAAAGCCAGGTATGGTAGGGGTGGTCTGTGTTGCGCATCTTGTATCTGCAGCCCCTCGGGCAGGGCCTGGCCTGAAGGAGATCCTCACTAAACATTTGTTGAATGAATGAGTGAGTGTAGCTTCCATCCTAGTGGAGCACCTCCAACTGCCACATATGATTCAGAGTTGGTTCCCTGATTGATGAGAGCATGCCCCAAGTGAGTCTCTCCAACCTCAGTTACCCTCTGGGTGAAACAGAGCAAATGACGCCCCTACTTCCTGGGTCCATTGGGGAGTTACATGAGACAGCATGTGAGGCTGCTCTCTGGGATACAAGGTCTGCCCCCGCGTAAGTGGTTGGGTTTCTCACTGAGTCAGAAAAATCCATTTATGAGCCTTTGAAAGACAAAGATCCACCTCCACCTCCCCAGAAAGTCATTTTCTCCTTGGGCTCTCCTCCCACTTGTGTCTACATCTGTGAGCACGATTTCCAGCACTGGGCACAGAGGAGATCCAACCAGGATTTACTGGATGGGTGAATGAATGGATGGGTGCCTGAGTGAATGTGTGGAGGGGTGAATGAATGAATGGAAAAATGAATGAATGGATAAATGAGTGACTGAATGGATGGATAAATAGGTGAATTAGTGGATGGGTGGGTGAATGCATGGATGGATGAATGAGTGGATACATGAGCTAATGAATGAATGAATGGGTGAATGAATGGATGATGCATGGGTGAATGTATGGATGCATGAATGAATGGATGACTGACTAGATGAATAGATGAAGAAATGAATGTATGAATGGATAGATAAATGAATGGATAAGTGGGTGAATGAATGAGTGGATAAATGAGTGAATGGATGACTGGATGGATGTATGAGTGAATGTGTGGATGGATGACTAAATGTATGGATAAGGGGGGAATTAATGGATGAGTGAGGGAATGGATGGATGGATGGATGGATGAATGAATGGATAAATGGAACAAAGGAATGGATGCATAAGTGAATGCGTAGATGAATGAATGAATGAGTGAATGGATGAATAAGTGGGTGAATGAATTAATGGATTCATGAGTGAATGGATGGATAAATGGGTGAACAAATGAGTGGATGGATGTGTAAATGCATGGATGGATGAATGAATGAATGGATAAATGTCTGAACAAAGGAATGGATGCATGAGTGAATGTGTGGATAGATGAATGAATGAGTGGATGCATGAGTCAATGTGTGGATGGGTGAATGAATGAATGGGTGAACAGATGAATGGATGCATGAGTGAATGCATGGATGGACGGACGGATGGATGAATGAATGAATGAGTGAACGAATGAATGGATGCATGAGTGAATGCATGGATGGACGGACGGATGGATGAATGGATGGATGGATGGACGGATGGATGGATGAATGAATGAATGAGTGAATAAATGAATGGATGCATGAGTGAATGCATGGATGGGTGAATGAATGAAAGGATGCATGAGTGAATGCATGGATGGATGGATGGATAGATGGATGAATGAATGAATGAATGAGTGAACAAATGAATGGATGCATGAGTGAATGTGTGGATGGGTGAATGAAGGAATTGATGCATGAGTGAATGTGTGCATGGATGGATAAATGAATGGATGGATGAATGGACGGACGGATGGATGGATGGATGGATGGATGGATGGATGGATGAATGAATGAGTGAACAAATGAATGGATGCATGAGTGAATGTGTGGATGGGTGAATGAAGGAATTGATGCATGAATGAATGTGTGCATGGATGGATGGATGGATGGATGGATGGATGAATGAATGAATGGGTGAATGATTCATGCTGACCTCTTCTCCCTCAATACCCCATATTTAGACTCAATTAACTCAGAGGACTTCGTGTCTCTGGTCAAGAAGTAAGAAGGCATTTTTTCACCGTTAGAAAATACAAAGCTATGGGGGTGGTGGACAGGAATGAGGGGCAGTACCCAGCGGCGCCAGGGGCTGAGGCGCCGTTTTGGGCAGTCTGAATATTTGGACATAGCAGCCGACAGGACACCCTGTCCTTCCACAGCTGTTCCTGGGAGTCAAAGCACATCTTTGTTTGTGGGACTCTTAGCAACTGTTGCTTTTTTTGAAGGACAAGCATGAACCAGCTGTCACCACACAAGACGTAAAGCAGAAAATGTCGAGTCTTCAGCAACAGGCTTGTAAAACAAGAAGAAAATAATTGTCTGGGCTCAGGGGCGCTTTCATTTCTTCTCACAGCCTCCACCTCCTCATGAACCAGCGAGGCTTGCGTAATTCCCACTGAGCCCAGCTTTGCAGCAGCAGAAAGAAGCTCAGAAGCAGACCCACCTTCTAAAGAGGCTCCCAATTAAATGCAGAGAGAAATGCAAACCCGACAAGCAAGGCCCACGTCAGAAACACAGGCCGAGACAGCAGCTCCGTGAGCCAGCATATGGACGGCGAATGTGCTACCCCAACCTCACCTATCCACAGTGATGTGATTATGAAGACAAGAAACTAGATCAAAAATTAGCAACTTGGCGGGGTCCGGTGGCTCACACCTGTAATCCCAGCACTTTGAGATGCCAAGGAGGGAGCACTGCTTGAGGACAGGAGTTCAAGACCAGCCTGGGCAACACAGCGAGACCCCCATCTCTACAAAAAAAATTAAAAATTAGCCAGGCATGGTGGTGCACACCTGTAGTTCCAGCTACTAGGAGGCTGAGGCAGGAGGATCACTGGAGCCCATGAGGTGGGGGCTGCTGTGATTTATGACTGCACCACTGTGCTCCAGCCTGGGCAATAGAGTGAGACCTTGTCTCAGAAAAAAACAAAGTTAGCATCTTACACTGAAATATTCACAGACAAAATGATCTGATGGCTGAGGTTTGCTTCAAAATAGATCAGGGTCGGGAGAAAGTGGGAGGGAAGAGAGATGAGAGCAGCCTGAACATGACCTTGTGCTATGGAAGCCGGCGGCTCACGAAAGCCACTCTTCTTTCATATACTTTTGAAGTTTTCCACGATAAAATGTTTTTTGTTTTTTGGGTTTTTTTGAGATAGAGTCTTACTCTGTTGCCCAGGCTGGAGTGCAGTGGTGCATTCTCAGCTCACTGCAACCTCCACCTCCCTGGTTCAAGTGATTCTCCTGCCTCAGCCTCCTGAGTAGCTGGGACTACAGGCACCCACCATCATGCCAGGCTAATTTTTGTATTTTTAGTAGAGACAGGGTTTTGTCATGTTGGACAGGCTGGTCTCAAACTCCTGGCCTCAAGTGATCCACCCACCTCAGCCTCCCAAAATGCTGGGGTTATAGACATGAGCCACCGTGCCTGGCCTAATGTTTTTAAAAAAATATTATCTCGCAGTCATTTGTAAGCTAAGAAAGAGTCACCAACATGGGTCTCATGACACCAGGCAAATAAAAACCTCACACACACAGCACAGACACTCTGCGGAGATGTGCAGGACGGCTCACAAACCATGAGGATGACACAATCCTAAGACGCTGGTCTCTACCAAAACTGCATCCCCACCCCCTGCACCACCTTGTGTTTCTTTTCAGCACGTCTCACTGCCTCATCCTATATTCTAACAATTTATTTCATTTACTTATAGTCTCTTCCATTAGAAAAAAGCTCAGTAAAGCCAGGTACGGTAGGGGGTGGTCTGTGTTGCGCATGCAGTATCTTCAACCCCTCGGGCGGGGTCTGGCCTGAAGGAGATGCTCACTAAACACCTGTTGAATGAATGAGTGAGTATAGCTTCCATCCTAGTGGAGCACTTCCAACTGCCACATATGATTCAGCCCACAGGCACCGAAGTGACCACGAAAGGGGGAGAGGAGGGCACCCACATGGTGGCCGCACACGCCGTCCCGAGCCGGAATATTCTGCGCATGCAGGCAGCTGTGAGGAAGGGAGCTGGGAGCCAATGGGGAGAGGAGAAACAACAACACTGGTGAGGCAAGAAGACGACGGCTGCAAAAACCAGCCCAGGGAGGAAACCCCAGGCCGCGACCATGGACACCGGCAGGACAGCAAGAGGCTGCTTCCTCCACAGCTCTGCACGTCCAGACGCATGGGCCTTGTGAGGGCTTTTGTTTTTGTTTTTGTTTTTGAGACGGAGTCTCGCTCTGTCGCCCAGTGCAGTGGCGCGATCTCGGCTCACTGCAGTCTCCACCTCCCGGGCTTAAGCGACCTGCCACCTCAGCCTCTGGAGTAGCTGGGACCACAGGTTTGTGCTACTGTGCCTGGCCCAGATTCCCAGATTTTTATTACAATAAAAAAATGTAATGTTAAGGAAGAGAAGGGGGAGGAGGAGCTGCCCCCAGTCCTGTAGATCTCCCCAGTGAGCAGAAAATGTTTGAGCCCTTGAGGCACGAGGAGCCAGTGGCCTCTCTCCCTTTAGTGACAAAGGCTCTAGGCTCTCCCAGCAGGAGAGAGGTGCCGCCGCCTTGGGCTCTCCATCCCCTACTCGGAGTCAGTGGGGAAGCGACTCCCCTCCCCAGGACAGTTCCCTCCTGCAGAGAGGGGAGGAGCCCATGAGCCCATCCCAGCCTTCTCCCGGCTCCATGTTCCGGGTTCTGGTTCCACCCAGGCCTGGCATCACCTCCCTGCTCAGTCTCCCCGGGGACATGGGCCCACCGAGTTCCCGTCTACCATAGCTCAATGGGGCCCAAGTCTGTGAGCCTGCTGCCTCTCGACACCTCCCCGGGTGCCACAGGCCCCGCTCCAACGGGTCCAAATACCTACAATCCCTCCCATGGCACAGGTCCCCACCCCAACAGATCCAAATACCTACTCTCCCCCCAGTGCCACAGGCTCCCCACCCCAACGGGTCCAAATACCTACTCTGCCCCCAATGCCACAGGTCCCCACCCCAACAGATCCAAATACCTACTCTCCCCCCCATGGCACAGGTCCCCACCCCAACGGGTCCAAATACCTACTCTCCCCCCCATGGCACAGGTCCCCACCCCAACAGATGCAATTACCTACTCTCCCCCCCATAGCACAAGTCCCCACCCCAACAGATCCAAATACCTACTCTCCCCCCCATGCCACAGGTCCCCACCCCAACAAATCCAAATACCTACTCTCCCCTCCATGGCACAGGTCCCCACCCCAACGGGTCCAAATACCTACTCTCCCCTCCATAGCACAGGTCCCCACCCCAACAGATGCAAATACCTACTCTCCCCCCCATGGCACAGGTCCCCAACCCAACAGATCCAAATACCTACTCTGCCCCCCATGGCACAGGTCCCTACTCCAACGGGTCCAAATACCTACTCTCCCCCCATGGCACAGGTCCCCAACCCAACGGGTCCAAATACTTACTCTTCCCCTCCATGGCACAGGTCCCCACCCCAACAGATCCAAATACCTACTCTCCCCCCCATGGCACAGGTCCCCACCCCAACGGATCCAAATACCTACTCTCCCCCCCATGGCACAGGTCCCCACCCCAACGGGTCCAAATACCTACTCTCCCCCCCATGGGACAGGTCCCCACCCCAACGGGTCCAAATACCTACTCTGCCCCCCATGGCACAGGTCCCCACCCCAACGGGTCCAAATACTTACTCTTTCCCTCCATGGCACAGGTCCCCACCCCAACGGGTCCAAATACCTACTCTCCCCCCCATGGCACAGGTCCCCACCCCAACGGATCCAAATACCTACTCTCCCCCCCATGGCACAGGTCCCCACGCCAACGGGTCCAAATACCTACTCTCCCCACCATGGCACAGGTCCCCACCCCAACAGATCCAAATACCTACTCTCCCCCCACCATGGCACAGGTCCCCACCCCAACGGGTCCAAATACCTACTCTCCCCCCCATGGCACAGTTCCCCACCACAACGGGTCCAAATACTTACTCTTCCCCTCCATGGCACAGGTCCCCACCCCAACAGATCCAAATACCTACTCTCCCCCCCATGGCACAGGTCCCCACCCCAACGGGTCCAAATACCTACTCTCCCCCCCATGGCACAGGTCCCCACCCCAACGGGTCCAAATACCTACTCTCCCCCCCATGGCACAGGTCCCCACCCCAACAGATGCAAATACCTACTCTCCCCCCCATGGCACAGGTCCCCACCCCAACGGATCCAAATACCTACTCTCCCCCGCAAGGCACAGGTCCCTACTCCAACAGGTCCAAATACCTACTCTCCCCCCCATGGCACAGGTCCCCACCCCAACGGGTCCAAATACCTACTCTCCCCCGCAAGGCACAGGTCCCTACTCCAACAGGTCCAAATACCTACTCTCCCCCCCATGGCACAGGTCCCCACCCCAACGGGTCCAAATACCTACTCTTCCCCTCCATGGCACAGGTCCCCACCCCAACGGGTCCAAATACCTACTCTCCCCCACATGGCACAGGTCCCCACCCCAACGGATCCAAATACCTACTCTCCCCCCCATGGCACAGGTCCCCACCCCAACGGGTCCAAATACCTACTCTCCCCCCCATGGCACAGGTCCCCACCCCAGTGGGTCCAAATACTTACTCTTTCCCTCCATGGCACAGGTCCACACCCCAACAGATCCAAATACCTACTCTCCCCCCCATGGCACAGGTCCCCACCCCAACGGGTCCAAATACCTACTCTCCCCCACATGGCACAGGTCCCCCACCCCAACGGGTCCAAATACCTACTCTCCCCCGCAAGGCACAGGTCCCTACTCCAACAGGTCCAAATACCTACTCTCCCCCCCATGGCACAGGTCCCCACCCCAACGGGTCCAAATACCTACTCTTCCCTCCATGGCACAGGTCCCCATCCCAACGGGTCCAAATACCTACTCTCCCCCCAGTGCCACAAGTTCCCCACCCCAACGGGTCCAAATACCTACTCTCCCCCCCATGCCACAGGTCCCCACCCCAACAGATCCAAATACCTACTCTCCACCCAGTGGCACAGGTCCCCACCCCAACAGATGCAATTACCTACTCTCCCCCCCATAGCACAAGTCCCCACCCCAACAGATCCAAACACCTACTCTCCCCGCCATGCCACAGGTCCCCACTCCAACAGATCCAAATACCTACTCTCCCCTCAGTGGCACAGGTCCCCACCCCAACAGATCCAAATACCTACTCTCCCCATGCCTGAGCTCCCCTCCAGTCCCACGGGCACCCACAGCAGAGTCTGAGCAAGTCTCCTGGGACACCCTCCAAGCAATGCTGAGTCCTGGGCCCCAGCCTCCAAAGCTCCCCCCACCACCTGGGGCCCAGGCTCTCACCCTCGGAGCGGCCACAGCAGGGGCCTTCCAGAAGCACCACCCTGTTCATCACCCTCTTCCTTCCTAACATTTTCTGATGCTTTCAAACAGACTGAAACCCAGAAAAGATCTAAGAGTGTTCAATGAACAGACAGGACAGAGTCCTGAAAGAGGCCCCAAGACACTCAGGAACTTAGTCCCCCCTCTTCTTTGCCTGGAAAATCCCTTGTGGATGTGGCTGAAGTTTCACTAGGTCTGATGAACAAGGGCCCACCCGCGGGAAGAATCAGTCACTTCCTCAGTGGTCCAGCAGCAACTATCACACCCATGAGACAACCAGACAATAATCCACTTTTTATTGATGTGTGTTTATTTTTACTTATTTTTCTTTTTGAGACAGGGTCTTGCCCTGTCACCCAGGCTGGAGAGAGGAGTGGTGCAATCACAGCTCACCGTAGCTTCAACCTCCCAGCCTCAAGCAATCCTCCCACCTCAGCTTCCTGAGTAGCTGCAACTACAGGTGCATGCCACCATGCCCAGCTAATTTTTTAATTTTTAGGAGGAGGGTAGAGATGGGGTCTTGCTATGCTGCCCAGGCTGGTCTCAAACTCCTGGGCTCAAGCAATCCCCCTGCCTCAGCCTCCCAAAGTGCTGGGATTACAGGCGTGAGCCACCGTGCCCGGCCCATTCACTTTTAAAATACTGGTCCCTACTAGAAAAGAAAAGGCTCTCGGTCAGGAGGGGAGGGGACGGCTGTGTCCCAGGGTCCTGGCCCTACACAGACCGTGGTCAAACCAGGGTGCATGTGGTGGTCTGGGCAGCAGCGGTGGCCCGAAGCAGGTGGCCACAGCTCTCCGTGTGTCAGATCCTCACCTGGAACTTGGGGACAGTGTTACCACGTGCCCTCAGGGCTGCCATCAGGACAGCGAGACAGCACACTCACAGCTCTCAGCCACACACCTGACCCCAAGCAGAACTCAGGGAGCGTGAGTTACAACTGCCTCCCGAATCGGAGTGGCTTCCTCATTCTGCAGGGAGCAGACAGGTGGGCGTGCAGGGCCTGGTCTCAGGAGGGCTGATCTTTCCCACGGAAACCGTGTGACCTGGGCAAGCCCCCCGCTGTCTCTGAGCCTCAGGGTCCCCCCCGACAAGTGGGAACAGGGTCACCAAATTGCTGACAAGATGCTTTGTATTACAAGGAGCCCCATAGGGCCAGGACCAGCTCGACGGTTACATTCCCCTCCATGGAGGGCCCTCCCCACGCAACCTTCCCTTCGCCTGGCCTCTCTCCACAGACCCCCATCCCCAGCCAGCTGGTGAATTCCTCACACCCGCTGGCAGGCGACGGGGCTATTTTTAGTGACCAGGGCTCAAGAATGGAGCCATGCCAGGACCCATGGCGTCCGTCGGAATGTGAAAGCTGGTGCATCCCTCCTTCTGGTCGCTATGTGGTCCCCGACACAGCACAGTGGCCAGTGCTGCACCAGGGCTTAGCCTCAGGCCTGCATGAACACAGCCTCTGCCCTGGCACCCTCCATCTGAAGGACAGCCCCATTCCCTGCCCGGGGCAGTGGGCCTTCCTGCACCTTCTCTGGGCCTCGGGTCCCCATCCACATACTGGGTGCTGGAGGCAGAGGCCACGTGCAGCATCTCAGCCCCCAGGTCTGCAGGGGCTTGTCAGTGACAACAAAACGTGAACTGGCTAGGGGTCAGAAGATGTGGTACCGGAGACCACACACCACCAAATTCCACAAGTTTCAAAATGTTACAGCAGCTGCTGGGTGTGGTGGCTCATGCCTGCAATCCCAACACTATGGGAGGCTGAGGCCAGAGGATCGCTTGAGCCCAGGAGGCTCAAGTCCAGCCTGGGCAACACAGCGAGACTCTGTCTCTACAAAAACTAAAAAAAAAAAATAGCTGGGTGTGGTGGTGCACGCCTGTGGCCCCAGCTAGTCGGGAGGCTGAGGCAGGAGGATCACTTGAGCCCAGGAAGTCGAGGCTGCAGTGAGCCAAGATCGTGCCACTACACTCCAGCCTGAGCAACGGAGCAAGACTGTGTCTCAAAAAAACAAAAACAAAAATCTCAGGGCACCAAACAGCCAGGACCACAGGCAAGATCCACGCAGGCCACGATCACCTGGGGGAAGTGGTAAGAAAGACCTGAGGTTCTTCTCTCCACTCACAAATCAGACAAAGCAAGAGGGCTTGTTGTCACTGTGGTATTAGATAGCGCCAGCCCTGGAGACCCTTTGAAACAGGCTCCACGGAGAGCTGCAACTGCCCCGCAGCTCCAGGCGCAGGCCACGAGACTTGTTATTAGCTGGAAAACGCTAGGCGTGTGGAAAATGACTGTTCTCTTAAAAAGGTTGTTGTCTTTTCCCGGCAGGTTAATGAGCTGTGTGTGCATTCACGGTGGGCAAGTCAGCCCCAAGCAGCCACATCCCAGCCAGGTCAAAGTCCCAGCTTCTACTCCAAGCTGGGTGGCCCGACGCAGCCTGCTTAACCTCTCTCTGCCTCCCCTGCCAAACGGCAGCCTCGGGGGCCACGGGGGAGCTCTAGAAAGACAACATGCCCGAGGCCCATGGCCCAGGGACTGGCCATTGCATACATCATCTGATGCAAGCTTCAAACCCCAGGCTTCAGCCTCCGTTGAATTCAGCTTCTAAAGCCTCCCGGGCTCACGTGGCCCCTGATTTGCTAACCTCAAGGTCTCCTCTGCTGAGATCCAGCTGGGCTTTCTGCAAATGGAAATCAAATTCTTTGCATGTTCAAGCCATTAAGCATCTCCTCGGATGAGGCCCTGCATTTTCCAAAATGCTAATTTTGTTTTTTTAATGTTGCCCGAAAGGGAAGCAGAAAGTCCCAAAGCCCAAGCCAGAATGGGGAGAGGGGGCCGTGAAGGCTCAGAGAAGCCAGGAGACAGCTCCCTTCAGCTGCCCGTGAATTCGGCAGAAGGGCTTGTTTTTCCCATCACCTGAGGATCCGAGCCAGTTTGTGGAAAAACAGACTGCAGAGATACGCGGGTGGGAGGAAGAGAAACAGCGACAGATAACAGACAGCTGCGCAGGCCAGCGGTGCTGCTCAAGCCAGAGGCCTGTTTTAATTAAAGCAGCAGAGAGCTGGAGCCACTGCCAGGAAGGCCGCCTCAAGGGTGAGGTGCCCTCGCCTGTGCCCGTCTGGCAGCTCCAGTAATGAGGTCCCCGCCGGAGGCCCAACGCACAACACAAACACGCACGGTGCCACCCAATTATCACGTTTCTCGGCTCCCAGGAGCTCAGCGATGCTCCCCCTACAGGCGCCCTAATCAGGGAAAGCCGGGAAGGGACCGGGATAGAACCCAAGGGCCTCCACCTCACTCCCCAAGGCCTGGGACACACGCTCCAGGGACAGCCTTCATGGTCCTGGCACATCAGAGAGCTCCGGAACATGCGGGGCTGCTTCCCTGGGACACACGCTCCAGGGACAGCCTTCATGGTCCTGGCACATCAGAGAGCTCCGGAGCACGCGGGGCTGCTTCCTGAGGCTGCTGAGGTCCCTGGCCGAGGCGTAACTGCCCCGGGCACCCCAGGTAGGATGCGGAATCTGCTTCGCTCCAATAGCTGACACAAGGTGAGAAGGCTGCACCTACCACCACCCTGGGGCCTGCCCTGGGAGCTACTCAACTCTGCAGAGGGGCTGTGCAGGTGCCGTCCCAGGGGATAAGGACACCCCACTCCAGCCCCAGCTGGACAATTGCTGTGTGGGTCAGTGCAACAGGCCAAGGCCCCCTCTCACTGGGTCTCAGAGCTCTGTTCAGTACAGTGAGGTGGGGACAAGGTGGCCTCCTAGGGATCTTCCTGCTGACTGTGGGTGCTGGGAGGCCCGGAGCGGCCTATTCACCAACTCAGGCCCAGGGTGGAGCAGAGAATGACTCAAGGCTACCCCAGCCTCTTTCTCAGACCAAGTACTGAGTGGGGCCTGACTGCGGGGTCTGTCTGGATAGCCGGGCCAGCCTCCAAGGGGCAAGGCACCATCCAGAAGAAGTACCTTCATGGACTCCACTGCCACACAGCCAAAGGGCCACAGAAAGATGGTGATGACAATGACCACAACAGTGATGATGATGGCGGTGATGATGATGATGGTGATGATAAAGATGATGATGGCAATGGTGGTGATGAGGATGGTGGTGGTGATGGTGATGATGATAATGATGGTGATGATGACAGTGATGATGGTGATGGTGGGGATGGTGATGATGATGGTGGTGATAACGATGATGATGGCAATGGTGGTGATGAGGATGGTGGTGGTGATGGTGATGATAATGATGGTGATGATGACAGTGATGATGGTGATGGTGGGGATGGTGATGATGGTAATGGTGATGACTATGATGGTGATGATAATGATGGTGGTGATAACAGTACACACATAGATATTCTTGCTTTATATTCTCACAACAACCTCAAAGTAGGTTTTATTATCTTCATTTGACACCTGAGGAAACTGAGGCTCAGAGAATGTTATTACTTATAAATGACATCCACAACTCTCTCCTTCCAAAAGATGTTTTAAACACACCTTAAATTCTGTGGTATCTGAGTGAGATTGTGTGTGCATGACTGTGTGCATAGGCGTGCCTGGGAATAAGACCACTCCAGCCCAACACCTGTGTGATGGGAACTCCTGGTCCTGTCTCACCCCTGAGCTGTCTCCCTGCAGCTGCAGTTCACTACAGGACAGTATGGACCCCGCTCACTGGCAATGCCTAAATCACCCATTCTCAATCTTCCTTCACCATGCAGGCAGGGTAGCGGCAGGTGCAGGTGATGTGTCCTTACAGGGGAGGGAGCACAGGCTTAGGTGCCCAAGAACTCGAGCTCAAACCCTAGCTCTGCTCCTGAGGAGTTGTGGGGCCTTGGACAAGGACAGGGAAGGAAACTGAGGCTGTGAGGTTGACACTATGCCTCTCACAGATCCTGTGCAAAGGCCCAGGGAAACCCTTCGATCAAGGCCAACTAGCAATACCACCATCCTAGAAGGACAGGCAGGCGGTCTGGGGGAGTTGCAGCCTCCCTCACAACCACGTTGCACTATCTTCCTTTAAATCAAAGGTCTTAAACATAATTTCTACCCTTCTCCAAGCTTACGTATCTCTCGCACAACCTTATGTATCTCCCACACTGTTACGGATCGACAAGAGCAAAGTCACACAGCCTGTGATGATGGGGATATCTGTCTTGAACCTGAACTTGTACGGAGGGGTCATTAGGCCAGCAGGTGTGCAAACCCTGCAGGTGGATGCATCTGCAAAGGATTCTCTGCCGCACTCTTCCTAAGCGGGGAAGCAGAGAGAAGAAGAGCAGGCAGCCTCAAAGTCAGGGGTGTGCCAGACGCCCTGTAAACTTGGAAGGAATTTGGCTTTGCTCGCCAAACCACAGCTGAGCAGAGGCAAAGCTATGAAGCTCAGCTTCTAGTAAACTGGAAAAAGCAAACTATCTGGATGCTGCACAGGGGAGACATCACGTGAAAGGTCCAGAGACAATCCCTCCCCTGCCCACTCCCTCTGGAACCGGTTTCCTGAGCCATCAGCCTGTTTCTTTAGAGACCGTGGCCAGAAAAAGGAGCCCACTGGGGCTTCGATATGGAAAGTGAGTTTTCCTGTGTGCAAAACAAAAGAGCTGAAACCGACACACACACCCTGTGCAAAAGCTTCCTTTTCAAGCCAGCCTTACAAAGAGGAGTTTTTAAGCCAACCATCTGCTTCCTCTGTTTCTTGTCCGCGTAGCTCTCGGATCCAGAGGGGTCAGAGATGGAGGGCGCATGTCGTTCTGATTCTCAGGGCCAAGGGCACAGGACCCAGCACTGGACATAAACAGCTGGGATGGCCCAGAGATATCATTTGACTCAGCTCACACTCAGGGTCCAGGCTGGCCCTAAAATAAGAGCTTTACTGAACCTACCTAGAGCCTGGGAGCTGGGGAGGAGCCCAGAAAGGATTTGAGGAGTTTAGCTGAAACGCAGTTGCCACCAAGAGGGCACAGAAAGGAATGGGAGGCTCTGAGTTCGGTCAGGCTGGAAGGGAAGCACAATCTGTGGTTCCTCAAAAAGCTAAACATGGAACTACCATATGACCCGGCAATTCCATCCATCAGCATCTGCCCAGGAGACTCAAACAGACACCTGCACACCCATGTTCACAGCAGCACTAATCACAATAACCAAAAGGTGGAAACAACCCAAGTGTCCATCAGCAGACAAATGGATACACAAATGGGGTGTGGCCGTGGAGTGGAATATTACTCGGCCCTGAAAAAGGAAGAGAGCATTGATACATGCTATGCTGTGGATGCACCTTGAAAACACTGTGCTCAGTGAAAGAGCCCATCACGAAAGGTCATATATCATGGTTCATTTAAGTCCCATAATGACTTACATGAAATATTTAGAATAGGCAAGCTCATAGAAAGAGAAAGTAAATTGGGGCTATCAGGGGCCCAGGAGGGGGTGATAGGACTGACTGCTGAATAAGTGTGGGGCTTCCATTTGGAATGATGAAAATTTTGGAAACAAAGAGTGGTGATGGCAGCACACCATTGTGAATGTAACTAATGCCACTGAATTAAACACTTAAAAATGGCTAAAATGGGCTGGGTGCAGTGGCTCACACCTGTAATCCCAGCACTTTGGGAGGCTGAGGTGGGTGGATCACCTGAGGTCAGGAGTTCAAGACCAGCCTGGCCAACATGCTGAAACCCCATCTCTACTAAAAATACAAAAATTAGCCAGGTGTGGTGGCGCACACCTGTAATCTCAGCTACTCGGGAGGCTGAGGCAGGAGAATCACTTGAACCCAGGAGACGGAGGTTGCAGTGAGCCGAGATAGCGCCACTGCACTCCAGCCTGGGTGACAGAGTGAGACTCCATCTCAAAAAAAAAGAAAAGGTTAAAATTGCAAACTTTATGTGATATATATTTGCCACAATGAAAACAAGAGCGAGAGAGAAGGCTGGTGGGCAGGTCCACGTGCCATATTTTTTTTTTTTTTTTGAGACGGAGTCTTGCTCTGTCGCCCAGGCTGGAGTGCAGTGGCACGATCTCAGCTCACTGCAAGCTCCGCCTCCCAGGTTCACGCCATTCTCCTGCCTCAGCCTCCTTAGCAGCTGGGACTACAGGCTCCTGCCACCACGCCCAGCTGATTTTTTTTTGTATTTTTAGTAGAGACTGGGTTTCACTGTGTTAGCCAGGATGGTCTCAATCTCCTGACCTCGTGATCCACCCGCCTCGGCCTCCCAAAGTGCTGGAATTATGGACGTGAGCCACCGCGCCCAGCCCCACGTGCCATTTTTTTAGGGTTTGGATGTAAACATTGCACATGCAGGGAGGACAGATGTTGGAAATGAGATGGAGCTACAAGTTCATGAAACCCCACTTCATATTCCTCCTCCCTAGGCACCCAGGGAATGACTGCCCAGCATCCCTGCAACCACGCCAGGCCAGGGGACCAGTCCATGGCCCATGCTCACCTGTGACATGTGACAATTCTGGGCTGAGGTGGTGACAAGCCTGTGCCTCCATGAACATGGAAGCCCGTGTTGATAGCTGAGCCCAAGAGCTAGGCGGCCTGGGCCTCTGAGCTCCCCCATGCCACAGCGTCCAGCAGAGGGGCTCAGGACCGAGGACGGCCTCTGAGCTCCCCGACGCCACAGCATCCAGCAGAGGGGCTCAGGACCGAGGACGGCCTCCGAGCTCCCCCATGCCACAGCATCCAGCAGAGGGGCTCAGGACCGAGGACGGCCTCCGAGCTCCCCCACGCCACAGCATCCAGCAGAGGGACTCAGGACCCAGGACGGCCTCCGAGCTCCCCCACGCCACAGCATCCAGCAGAGGGACTCAGGACCGAGGACGGCCCCCGAGCTCCCCCACGCCACGGCATCCGGCAGAGGGGCTCAGGACCGAAGACGGCCTCCGAGCTCTCCCACGCCGTGGCATCCGGCAGCGGGGCTCCGGACCGAGGACAGCCTCCGAGCTCCCCCATGCCACGGCGTCAGGCAGAGGGGCTCAGGACCGAGGACACGGCATCAGCCCCAGATACCGGAGATGATCGTGGCTGCAGCACATCCCAGCCCATCTTCAGCCAGAGCTTTCCCGACCTCGGCGCTCTCAGTGACCCCAGGCTCATCAGCCAGAAGATGGGGACACAGATTTCGCGTGAGTGGTTCTGTCTGACAAATGGGTCAAGAGCTGAAGCGACCGTCCACCTCCTTCTTCCTCAGGTTGAGGACTTGAGGGTTTCTAAAGGGCCCTGAACACCACCCACCCTCCCCAACCCACCGCTTCTCCGTCCCTCCGTTGCCTTCATCGAGCTCCGCAGAATTCAGATTCTGAAGGTGGGCGTGGATGTCATTTGGCCAGAGCCGGGCTTTTGATAAGCTCTAAGCTCACGGGCTGCCTCTGGAGGGAACAGCTCAGGGGGCTCCCCACGCCCAAACATTTGCCTCTCACTGTGGCTACTTCAAGAGGAACGAGCCATGCAGAGGGACGGGTGAGTTCCAAGAAGCACCAGAACCCCTGGGAACTCCAAGCACATATCTGGGTGTTTGGGTGGGGTTTTGGGGGATTTTTTGTTTCTGCTTTTGTTTTCAGACAGGATCTCGCTCTGTTGCCCAGGCTAGAGTGTAGCGACACAATCTCGGCTCACTGTAGCCTTGAACTCCTGAGCTCGAGCACTCCTCCCACCTCAGCCTCCAGAGTAACTGGGATTATAGGCGTGTACCACCAGGCCCGGGTAATTTTTTTAAGAGATGGGGTCTCACTATGTTGCCCAGGTTAAGACACATATTTGAATCCCAGGAGGACATTGAGATCTCCATTTTCCTGGCTACCCTCCAAGTGATGCCTTGTTCCCTGTGGCCCCAGCACCCCCACAGGCAGCAGGTTCCTGCTGAAATGAACAAAGCTGTCCTACCATGTGTTCACCAGCTCTCCCCTGCCCCAGCCATGCCTGGAACGGGCCCCAGGCCCTTTGCTGCAGCTGTGCCATGCCTGGAACAGCCGTGCTGGCTCTCACCTTTCTGCCCATCCTGAATGAAGCCATCCCACTCTATGACGTGCAGGCCTCTCTCAATGTCCTTCACCACACACCATCTCTAAAAATGTATGTGCTTCATGACTGTGTGCTGCCTGCTCCCCGGAAGAGCCAGCCCCATGAGGACAGCACCCGTTCCCTACCCCCACTGTGTTCCCAGAACCCTGCACGGAGCCTGGCACACAATGAATCCTCTGGAAGTATTTGTCGTCTTAAATTCTGTGGAACCGAATTTGTTTTTTTTTTTAAGATGGAGTCTCGCTCTGTCGCCCAGGCTGGAGTGCAGTGGCATGATCTCGGCTCATTGCAATCTCCGCCACCCGGGTTCAAGCAATTCTCCCGCCTCAGTCTCCTGAGTAGCTGGGATTACAGGCATGCGCAACTGTGCTCAGCCTAATTTTTGTATTTTTAGTAGAGATGGGGATTCACCATATTGGCCAGGCTGGTCTTGAACTCCTGGCCTCAAGTGATCTGCCCACCTCAGCCTCCCAGAGTGTTGGGATTACAGGCATGAGCCACCGCACCCGGCCTTGTTGAACCAATTTTGAATTCAGGTGCAAAGCTGTGCTCCACCCACCGCACTGTTCCCACATGTGGGAATATTTGAGCCAGAAAAAGAAAACGTTGGATGGTCTTCATTACTGTTGCTAGAAATAAAAATAATAGCCAGGCGCGATGGCTCATGTCTATAATCCTAGCACTTTGGGGGGCTGAGGCAGGAGGATCACTTGAGGTCAGGAGTTCGAGACCAGCCTGGCCAACATGGTGAAACCCCATCTCTACTAAATATACAAAAATTAGCTGGGTGTGGTGGCACATGCCTATAATCCCAGCTACTTGGAAGGCTGAGGCAGGGGAATCGCTTGAACCCGGAGGCGGACATTGCAGTGAGCCAAGATTGCAAGACTGCACTCCCGCCTGGGCAAGAAGAGTGAAACTCCATCTCAAAAAAAGAAAAAATAATTTTTTTTTAATTAGCCAGGCATGGTGGTGCACACCTGCAGTCCCAGTTATTCAGGAAGTTGAGGTAGGAGAATCACTTGAGCACGGAAGGCCGAGGCTGCAGTGAGCTATGATGGTGCCACTGCACTCCAGCCTGGGTGAGAGAGTAAGGCCTTGTCTTTAAAAAAAAAAAAAAAAAAAAAAAAAAAAAAAAACACACACACACAGAATGGACAGCTGGTCTGTGTGGCCAGCAGCTGTGGACCAGGGACCTCCCGCTTCAGGGCTGACTCTGTCTGCAAAGAGGGAGCTGCAGAGGCTCTAGCAAGGCGCAGCTGGGACCAGAAAGGGCTCTCTCTTCCTCAGGGTCCCTTCGTGATCTTCCAAACTGAATTTTCAACCGGGTGAACGTAATATCCGTTCAAAAACGACATTTCAATTGCATTGTAAATTGATGTTTAAATTCAAGTTAAAATAAATTCAAGTTAAAATAGTCTTCAGCTCAGCCGGGCGCGGTGGCTCACGCCTGTAATCCCAGCACTTTGGGAGGCCGAGGAGAGTGGATCACAAGGTCAGGAGATCGAGACCATCCTGGCCAACACAGTGAAACCCCATCTCTACTAAAAATACAAAAAATTAGCCAGGCATGGTGGCGGGCGCCTGTAGTCCCAGCTACCTGGGAGGCTGAGGCAGGAGAATGACGTGAACCTGTGAGGCAGAGCTTGCAGTGAGCCGAGATCGCCCCACTGCACTGAAGCCTGGGCAACAGAGTGAGACTCCATCTCAAAAAAAAAAAAAAATAGTCTTCAGCTCTTCAGTATCTGACTCCTCCTGGTGACCAGGTTCACCACTGCCAGGCAGACACCTCTGTGCACGTATCCCAGGGCCGCTGTGAGCAAGTACAGCAGGTCCTGAAACAACAGAAACGTATCGTCTCTGCAGTTCTGGGGCCAGAAGTCCAGATCCAGGATCAGCAGGTGGAAATCAAGGTGCCACAGGACCACGCCCTCCAGAGGCCCCGGGCAGGCCCCTCCTCGCCTCTTCAGGTGGCTGCGGCCCTCCTCGGCGTGTGCCACATCTCACCAACTCCTGCCTTGTGTTGCATGGCCTCTTCCCCTTCTGTGTGTGGCATCTCCTCCTGCCTCCCCTTAGAAGGCACAAGTGATGGCATCAGGGCCCTCCTGGGAAACCCAGGGCCACCCGCCCACCTCGAATCTCACTTCATCACATCTGCAAAGTCCCTCTCTGCCACTCAAGATGACACATCCAGGTCCCAGAGACTAGGTCGTGGGTATCCTGGGGGGCCTGGACACCTCCCAGGATGGAGTAGCCATGCCCAGCTACTCCAGCCACACCCAGCTACTCCAACCATGTCCAGGCTAATCCTGAATTCCAGCCACACCCAGCTACTCTAGTCACATCCAGCTACTCTAGTCATGCCCAGCAACTCCATCCATGCTTAGATACTCCAGCCATGCCCAGCTATTCCAGCCACACCCAGCTACTCTAGCCACATCTAACTACTCCAGTCATGCCCAGCTACTCCATGTATACCTAGCTACTCTAGCCACACCCAGATATTCCAGCCATGTCCAGCTACTCCAACCAAACCCAGCTATTCCAGCCACACTCAGCTATTCGAGTAGGCAGCCATGCCCAGCTACTCCAGCCAAACCCAGCTATTCCAGCCACACCCAGCTACTCTGGCCACATCTAGCTACTCCATCCATGCCTAGCTACTCTAGCCACACCCAGCTACTCCAGCAACACCCAGCTATTCCAGCCACACCCAGCTACTCTAGCCACATCTAGCCACTCGTCATGCCCAGCTAACTCTCTCCATGCCTAGCTACTCTAGCTACACCCAGATACTCCAGCCACACACAGCTATCCCAGCCATCCTCAGCTACTCTAACCACTGCTCAACCACAGAAGCAACAGGTGTTCCTGCTTGGGGTAACTGGGCACCCTGGACCCAAAGTATCCAGCCTGAACCAGCCACATGCTCTGGATAAGATAGGGTATTTCAGCATGATGTGAGTGGCTGGGTGCCAAGACCCTTGAAGGCCACTCCTCTGCACAGCCCCTGCCACCCTTTCTGAGTGAGATTCCAGCAAAATGTATCAAAAGCCTGTTAAAAACACACACACCAACACCCATCGGGATCTTCACAGGCCAATCTCTGACCCAGCAACCTGAATACCAGGAGTCTCCTGCCTAACCACAGCATCACTACTCACGGAAACATCGGAGCACGGAGAAATCAGAAGCCTCCCACGTGACCTTGGCAAAGGCAGCAGTTCATAAACTCTGATTCATTCTTACAATGGAACGCTGTGCAGATACGCACAACAATTAGATCTGTACTTATATGGAAGGACTTCCTAGACCCATCACCCCATCACTGGCGAGGAGCACAGCAGAGAACAATGCGTCTAGTGTGTTCCCAGGGTCCCCACCTGCACTCACGGGCACACGCCTGCAAACACACAGGGCGGCTGGAGCCCCCACCAGACCACCACACCGTTGCCCTCCGGGAGGGGGAGAAAAAGACACTTTCTCTTTGTATTTTATACATATGGAGGTCATTTAGATTTTATATAGGACTAGTATCAAAATATGCTCAGTTAATGTAATAAAGAATTATAATTTGTCAAAAAATTGTTTTAAAAGAGAGAATTTTCAATATGTTACACATCCTTTGATCACATCAAGGAATTTATCTCAAAGAAAGAAACGAACAAGTACTCCAAGATGAAAACACAAGGATGACCACCCAATGTTCATAAAGTTAAAAATGCAGGCCGGGCGCAGTGGCTCACGCCTGTAATCCCAGCACTTTGGGAGGCCGAGGCAGGTGGATCATGAGGTCAGGAGTTCGAGACCAGCCTGGCCAACATGGTGAAAACCCATCTCTACTAAAAATGCAAAAATTAGCCGGGCGTGGTGTCGGGATCCTGTAATCCCAGATACTCAGGAGGCTGAGGCAGGAGAATCGCTTGAACCCAGGTGGCGGAGGTTGAAGTGAGCCAAGATCATACGACTGCAGTCCAGCCTGGGCAACAGAGCAAGACTCTGTCTAAAATAATAATAATAATAGAGATTTAAAAAATGCAAACAGCCGCAGTAGGAAAACAGCTAATTCACATAGAAATTGACAGCACAAGACAACTGCAGCACGCTAACTGGCATGGAAAGGTGTTGAGGACGCCCCGAGTATGGGAAAACAGGGTAGAATGAGATGCTGTTACCGACGGGATCTGTGCACAAGGGCAATCCTTAACGCCTGTCCCCCAAATATCCCCAAGGATCATCCCTAGGCATCAGATGGAGACATTTTTGCTTTCAATCTTTTCAAAATTTTCCAATTTTTCCAATTATGTCTATGATCAACATCCCCACACATGGCGTCCAAGCCCCTTCACGCTCAGCCCTCTCCCTGAATAACCCTGACCTCCTCTGTCCCCTCACTGCGACCCTGCAGACCTCATCTGCTGTCACCTCCTGCCTCAGGCCTCCGAGCTCCCGGCACAGGCAGGAGCCGCAGGAAAGGTACATCCCGGCCCCATCTCCCCAACGAGGCTGTGAGCTTAGCAACGGCAAGGTATATCCATGCATGCGGAAGAGGCCGGAACACGAAGCCCACGGTAATCACACCACCTGTGCCTGCCTAGGTATAGCGCGCGGGGGAACCGCAGATCCAGACCCCCTATTTGAGGAAGGCAGCCGGGCCTTCCCAGAGCAGGGACTCAGCTCGGCAGCAGGGCAGGTGCACGCAGCATAGTATTTCGGGAAGCCACCCCTGCGTGGTGAGCCCACGTTTCCTGAGAGCTGTGACACGCTTCTCCTGGCGCCGAGCGTTCTGTATTCCATGGCCCATGAGTCAGAGAAACGGCAAAGCCTCCCTGGAGGCCGGGGAGGGCGGCGGTGATTCCCAGGAGAGCAACGGGGGCTGCCTACCTCCCCGAGGGCAAGGAGGGTGGTGGTGATTCCCGGGCAAGCAACGGGGCCTGCCCACCTCCCGGAGGGCAAGGAGGGCGGTGGTGATTCCCGGGCAAGCAACGGGGCCTGCCCACCTCCCGGAGGGCAAGGAGGGTGGTGGTGACTCCCGGGCAAGCAATGGGGCCTGCCCACCTCCCGGAGGGCAAGGAGGGCGGTGGTGATTCCTGGGCAAGCAACGGGGCCTGCCCACCTCCCGGAGGCCGGAGAAGGCAGCTGTGATTCCCAGGCGAGCAACGGGGGCTGCCCACCTCCTGGAGGCCAGGGAGGGAGGCAGTGATGCCCAGGCAAGTGGCGGGACCTGCCCACCTCCCGGAGGCCGAGGAGGGCGGCGGTGATGCCGGGGCAGGGGACGAGTCTGCCTACCTCCTCTCGTTGTCATCCAGGTGAGCGAAGAGCACGTTCTTGGAGATGGCCTTGGCCAGCGCAGTCATGGTTTTGTAGTCCTTGGGAATCACCTGAAGCGGAGCCAACACATCACCGTGTGAGCCACCCTGGCCTGATGCTGTGACGCGGCCTGAAATCTCCCTACTCCACCCTCAGCCTGCTGTTATCAGGCAATGGTACAAATATGCAATTTGAAGTTTAATGTGTATTTCACCACTGTTTTTTTCTAAACAGAGTCTTGATCACAGCTCACTGCAGCCTCAACCTCCTGGGCTCAGGTGCTCCTCCCACTTCAGCCTCCCAAGTAGCTGGGACCACAGGTATGCACCACCACACTTGGCTAACTTTTTTATTTTTAGTGGAGATGAGGTCTCACTATGTTGCCCAGGCTGGTCTCAAACATCTCAGCTCAAGCAATCCTCCCATCTCAGCCTCCCAAAGTGCTGGGATTACAGGTGTGAGCCACCGCACCCAGCCTCTTGTTACTTTTGAAATGCAGTCACGTGTCACGTAATGATGGGGAAGCGTTCTGAGAAATTCATCATGAGGCAATTTCATCATCATGCGAACATCACAGAGCAACAGACACAAGCCTAGCTGGTATAGCCTAACTATGCACTGAGGTTATAACATGATAGAGCCTATCGCTCTAGGCTACAAATCTGTACAGGATGTGGCCATCCTCAACACTGCAGGCAGCTGTAAGACAATGCTAGGTGTATCTAAACATATCTACACAGGCCGGGCACGGTGGCTCACGCCTGTAATCCCAGCACTTTGAGAGGCCGAGGCAGGCGGATCGCCTGAGGTCAAGAGTTCGAGACCAGCCTGCCCAACATGGTGAAACCCCATCTCTACTAAAAATACAAAAATTAGCTGGGAAAGGTGGTGGGCACCTGTAATCAGCCACTCAGGAGGCTGAGGCAGGAGAATCACCTGAACCCGGGAGGTGGAGGTTGCCATGAGGCAAGATCATGCCACTGCACTTCAGCCTGAGTGACAGAGGGAGAATTTGTCTCAAAAAAATAAACAAATAAACATATCTACACAGAGAAAAGGTACAGTAAAAAATATGGTATCATAATCTTACGGAACCACATATATGCAATCTGTCAACAACCAAAACGTGGTCATGTAGTGTGTGCCTGTATGCAGTACACTGTTACTGGCTGCAGTCACCCCACCGTGCAAAGATCTCAAAACCCATTCCTCCCGTCTGTCTGTCTGTCTGTCTGAAACTCTGCACCCTTTGATCAACAATTCCCCACTCCCTCTCTGGATGAATGAGAAGCACTACGAACATTTCAGATGCCAGGATATCCCCCGCTTAAAATGAAACCACGCAGGAAGGTCATTCGGGCCACAGTGAGACCTCCTGTTGTGCCTGGGCCACCCAGGAAGTCCCTGTCTGTCCAGGTGCAACTGCGGACCACGCAGGCTTAGGTGTGCTGCGTGTAACGCAGAGAGCCCCTGTGCAGACGTCTTTGAGAGACAGCAATGAAATCTCCTAAAAAGCCACTCCAGTTCTAACAGACTTTTAAAAATGTAAGTGTTGGATGGGCGTGGTGGCTCACACCTGTAATCCCAGCACTTTGGGAGGCTGAGGCAGGTGGATCACCTGAGGTCAGAAGTTCAAGACCCGCCTGGCCAACATGGTGAAACCCCATCTCTACTAAAAATACAAAAAAATTAGCCAGGCATGATGACAGGCACCTGTAATCCCAGCCAGTCAGGAGGCTGAGACAGGAGAATCACAGGAACCTGGGAGGCAGAGGTTGTGGTGAGCTGAGATCATGCCATTGCACTCCAGCCTGGACAACAAGAGTGAAACTCCATCTCAAAAAAATATATATAAATGTTTTGTTTTCAAATACTTTCTATTTACAGAGAAATTGCAAAGATCATTCTCGTGCACCTTGCAGTTCCCTGATGTTACTACCTTACATCCTATGATGCATTTATCACAACTGGGGAAGCCATGTCGATACATGACAGACACTGAGCTCCACACCTAATCTGTTCTTCCTTTGTTTGGCCTGAATGGCCTTTTTCTGTCCCAGGACCCCGTCCTGTCTCCCCCGTGGCCTCCGGTCTGCAACAGTTCTTCACACTCTCCTCGTGTGCCGTGAGCAGGGCTGGTCAGGCATTCTGCGGAGCATCCCGCAATTTAGGTTTATTTGAGGTTCTTCTCGTGGTTAGACTGAAGTTCTGGGTCTTGGGGAGGAAGACCCCAGAGGTGGAGTGCCCTAATAAATTTTTAACAATGCTTGCGCTAGCTTTAATTAGCTGATTATAAAAGTATTAAGTACTGCGGAAAGGAATGGGGTGTGCGTGTTTAGGGAATAGAGTCTCAGTTCTGCAAGGTAAGAAGGTTCTGGAGATGGTGGTGGTGATGATTCCACAACAATGAGAATGTGCTTAACGCCACTCAACTGTGCACTCAGAAATGGCTAACAGGGTACTGGGGACTGACTTGTGTCTCCCCAGAAATTCACATATGGAAGCCCTAACCAGCCATGCTATGGTATTTGGAGAGAGGCCTTTGGGAGGTGGCTGGGGTTGGATGGGGTCATGAGAGAAGGGCCCTGAATAATGGGATTTGTGCCTGTATAAGAAGAGACCAGAGATGCTGGGCATGGTGGCTCACGCCCGTAACCCCAGCACTTTGGGAGGCCAAGACGGGCATATCACAAGGTCAGGAGATTGAGACCATCCTGGCTAACACAGTGAAACCCCGTCTTTACTAAAAATACAAAAAATTAGCTGGGTGTGGTGGTAGGCACCTGTAGTCCCAGCTACTCGGGAGGCTGAGGCAGGAGAATGGCATGAACCTGGGAGGCGGAGCTTGCAGTGAGCTGAGATCGCACCACTGCACTCCAGCCTGGGGGACGGAGCAAGACTCTGTTTCAAAAAAAAAAAAAAAAAAAAAGAGAGAGACCAGAGAGGCTGCAGGAGCATGGGAGGCACACAGCCCAGGACAGAGCCTCTGCTCACTCCAAGGACCTGGATGCCAGCGAGTCCCTTCCCTTCCTGAGCCTGTGAGGAACCTAAGGCCGCCATGGGGCTGCAGTGACCCCACACAGAGCTGCTCCCATAAATTTGAGCTCAGCTCATCTGGCAAAGACAGTAGCAAACCAAGCCCACCCAGAACTGCCTCTGCCATCACCCACATAGTCCTCCCTCCAACCAGGATGACACTGAGACCCCCAGGAGGATGAGGGTGCCCCGTGGGCTTCCAGGGAGCTCACAGGTGACAGCCACGTGCCGAGGCCTGGGGACAGGAACCCCGTGACCCGTGAGCCTCACCTTCCTGACGTAGGACACGGCGTCCTCCTCGGTGTACACCTCGGCACTCACGCCTCCTCGCCGGCGGCGGGCCTTCACCACAGGGTTCGGGGGGGTGGGCGACACCTCCTCATCATGGGAGTCCGACTGTGAGTTTGACTTTTGCCGCGCCAAAATCTGCCTGTTTTCTTCCTGTGTGGGAGAGGAAAACACAGAAAGGAAGTAAGAACCTGGCTGTCCCGGCCAGGCACAGGGCCCATGCCTGTGATCCCAGCACTGTGGGAGGACTAGTGGGAGGATCGCTTGAACTCAGGAGTTGGACATACGGTTAGGCTTTGTGTCCCCACCCAAATCTCTTTTTCTGTCCCCACCCAAATTTCACTTTGTGTCCCCACTCAAATCTCATTTTGTGTCCCCCACCAAATCTCATCTTGAATTGTAATCCCCATCATCCCCATCATCCCCACTTGTCCAGGGAGAGACCAGGTGGAGGCGACTGAATCATGGGGCAGTTTCCCCCTTGCTGTTCTCGTGATAGTGAGGGAGTTTTCACAAGATCTGATGGGTTTCCAAGGGACTCCTCCCCCTTCACTCAGCACTTCTCCTTCCTGCTGCCTTGTGAAGAAGCGGCTCTGCTTCCCCCCTGCTGCCTTCTGCTATGATCATAAGTTTCCTGAGGCCCCCCGAGCCATGCAGAACTGTGAGTCAATTCAACCTCTCTGTAAACTACGCAGTCTTGGGTGGTTCTTTATAGCAGTATGAAAATGGACTAATACACCCTGTCTCTATAAAAAAAAAAAAAAAAAGAATTAGCTGTAAGTGGGTTCACCTAAAGTTGCAGTTCCTAAGAACCTGTCAACATTTCTGTGTATGTACCAGTTTTGTGAGACATTAAAAAATAAAGTGGGTGAGGCTCTCCAGGTAATTTTTATAACTGCCTGCACATCCACAATTATCTCAAAATTAAAACTTTAATTTGCTTTTTAAAGTGAGTGAGAGGCTGAACTGGTGTGGGGTTTATGGAGGCTGAGATGACAAGCATCTGGAGGTCTGCTGGGAGGAGGGGACTGGAAGTTGAGCCCCGAGTCACCGTGGAACGACCATGGTTGTGTCCTCCACGTGGGCTGGGGTTGCTCCGAAGCCCACCCTGCCTTGAGCTGTGGATGGCAGGATGCACCACCACTGCAGACCTTGCTCCTGCCCACAGACAAGTGCTTCGACCACTGTCCCCAGCTCTTCAGCCACTCTAAACCTCATGCATCCGGCATGGTCTTAGCCAGCCTGGGCATTTCAATCCCACCAGGGCCAATGTGCCTTTCCTCCTGCACCTGGAGGACCTGAGTTTGCATAACCTGCAGCCTAAACACTGACCTCCACCACGCTCAAAGGTGGGCTTAGGACCAGAGGCAGGGGGCTCTGTGGTCTGAGGACACACCGGGCCCTGAGCTGAGCCCCTTTCTCACTGCAATTCTGCCTCTTTGGGAAAAGGGTGAATGAAGTAAGGGGAGGGAGGGAGGAAGGAAGAAGGGAGGAGGGAGCAGGGAGGAGGGAGAGGAGAAGTCAGGAATCAGCAGGGCCAGGCAGCCTGGAGAGCCCAGGAGCTCAGTCCTCGTCCTAAGGCCACACCGGGTAGCTCACAGGGACCACAGATGAGCACACTCCTTTCCTAGAGTGCTGTGTGACCCTGAGTAAGTTGCTTGACCTCACCGGGACTCATCTGTGAGGGGAAATGAAGACACATGTCCCTGGCATCGTAGTAAGAAGAGACTTCAGGCCAAGTGCGGTGGCTTCAGGCTGGGTGTGGTGGCTTCTGGCCGGGTGTGGTGGCTCACGCCTATAATCCCAGCACTTAGGGAGGATCATTTGGCCCCAGGAGTTCAAGACCAGCCTGGGCAACATAGTGAGACCATAACTCAAAAAAAATTTGTTGGCCAGGCACGGTGGTTCACGCCTGTAACCCCAGCACTTTGGGAGGCCGAGATGGGTGGATCACGAGGTCAGGAGATCGAGACCATCTTGGCTAACACGGTGAAACCCTGTCTCTACTAAAAATACAAAAAATTAGCTGGGTGTGGTGGCAGGCACCTGTAGTCCCAGCTACTCCGGAGGCTGAGGCAGGAGAATGGCGTGAACCCGGGAGTGAGCTTGCAGTGAGCCGAGATCGTGCCACTGCACTCCAGCCTGGATGACAGAGCGAGACTCTGTCTCAAAAAAAAAAAAAAATTGTTTTAAGGAAAAGAGATTTCAACCTGTCCTAACAGATATGAATGGCTCTGTGTGCAGAAGCAATGCTGGCTCACATGACCTGAGTGTTCACCTTGGTCACTCATGCCCTATTCAGCCTCGAGGTGGGTGCGGCCCCCAACCCCTCACACAGATCAGGCACACAAGGCCCTCGCTCTCCCTCCCGGCCTCACCCTGATCCATCCCCTGGCTTTCCTGCCGGTCCTCTGAGGGCTTTGGTCCCCCACAGCTCGGGAGCTTCCCGAAAAAAGATGGCGGCCCTATCAGGCAGGGCCTTGCGTCATGGACCAGGAGGTGGAGGAGGAATTCAGGGGCAACCAGGCCAAGTTCCCTACCAATGCCTTCTGACATCCCAAGACCCAGACGTGCCCACCTGTGACAAGGCTGAGACCACGGCTCTGAGATGCTCACTCTCCAGGGGTACAGGAGCTCTGGGGTCCTGGGGTCTGACAGATGCAGACACCACGTGAATGCCAAGGCCGGGGTGCCACCAGCCCTATGTCTGGGTATCCCCTTCCTTGACTTTCAAAAACCATCCCTTTAAGCAAATGGTTTGCTTATTGGTTCCAAATATTGAACCCAAGGATTTCTGAGAATTGGCCATTTAAAGTCAGCCAGGTGCACCGGTCCAGGTGGGTGAGGTGATCACCAGATCACACCAAGGTAGAGGATGCAGGAGAGGAGTCTGAGACCCCAGCCCGCCCTGGCTTCCTGCGGACTCTGTAGCCATTCCTCCTGTTCCAGGAACCTCCAGTAAACAAATGACTGTCTCCCCAGCCTGTTAAAACTGGGACATGGGTGGGAGCTCCTGCTGAATGCCAGCCGCCATCCATCCTGTGGGTGGTGGACATGAGTGAAGGGTCCCCACAGACCAGAGTGGGCCTGGCCGGCACCCACATGGAGCAGCGGGATGCAGTCACAGAGACGCCCTGACCAATACCGGCCTCAAGCCCCACTCCTGGCCCACCTGCCACGTGCCAGGCACGGCACCCACTCCCCACGGAAGGGCAGCCTGGAGAGCTGCTTGTTGCTCCCTCAGAAACAATCCCACCCGCTCCTCACCCAGCCCGATGTGGCCGTCTGTCAATCACAGCCAAGGGCAGTTTCCCCAGAGGCCCCCACTTCTTCTGCAGCTGATGCCCACCTCCATGTGTGCCAATGCCCACCTCCACGTGCACTGATGCCCATCTCCGTGTGCCAATGCCCACTTCTGCATATGCCAACGCCTACCTCCACATGCACCAATGCCCACCTCCACACGTGTGCTGATGCCCTCTGTGTATGCCGATGCCCACCTCCATGTGCTCCAATGCCCACCTCCACGTGCACCAATGCCCACCTCTACGTGTGTGCTGATGCCCACCTCTGTGTACACCAATGCCCACCTCCATGTGCTCCAATGCCCACCTCCACGTGCACCAATGCCCACCTCTGCCTGTGCCAGCCAATTCTGTCTCCTCAAACACCTATCAGATGCTAATTGCCCAGCCGGGAAGACGCTGAGTACACGGGGATTGCCGGGTGAAGCTTTATGCGATCATTTAAATATATCTTGACGGAGCTTCCCCAAAAAAAATGGCAGATGGAAAGTGCACGTTTCCTCTTTTCCCTCTAGCGACCTCTCGAATGACAGCAAAATAAAAATATATGCATATATACATCTACCACAATGACCAGAATGGCAGGAACGCTATCTGAGATTTCTGGAAAACAGACAATGACCTGAAGCATGGAATTTGACATTCAGACGAAGTACGCAGCAGCCCGGGGTATGTGAAGCAGGTTCTCCCGGATCCACGGAGGGAACGGTTCTGCTGCAGAGCCCCACAGAGCAGAGGACAGAGGTGGTGAAAGTCATCAAGATCCAGACCCAGGACCACAGGAGCTCGGAAGCCTGGGAGCCAGGCAGCCCCCCAAGGCCAGGAGCCCAGGTGTCCTGTGGCTGCTCCTTCTCTTCCCTTTTACAGTGGAAATTCCCAAACTACACAAGAGTAGACAGAGTAATACAATGAATCACCAAACGTCCATCACCCACCCTCAACCATTATCAAAATGGAGCCAGTCCTATTTCATTTCACCTCCACCCACTTCACACAGACACACACACACACACACACACACACAGAGGATGGAAGCAAATCTCAGATACAGCATTTCATTTTAAATACTTCAATATCTAGCTCTAAAATACACTTGTTAAAACATAACCACAATCCCCATTACCATCTGCCATGAGTTGGATGTGGTTTGTCCCTCCTGAAATTTGATCCTCAATGTGGTGATGTTGGGAGGTCCATGAATGTAACCTTTTATATTAATTAATATAATTCATGTTACACATATAACATACACATAACAGTAGGAAGATACAACATGAAAATATCTTAAAAAGAGACAAAGACAGAGAAAAACCATGTCTGTATATACATATATATAACATGTTATATATATATACACACACATATAACACGTTTTATATATACATATATACGTATATATACGTATATATATGTATACATATATATATACGTATATATACGTATATATACGTATATATACGTATATATATGTATACATATATATATACACATATATATATATACATACATATATATATATATATGTATATATATACCAAAAACATTCCAGGAGGCTCAATATCTGATTAACAGCAGTTCCAGAAAGTAAAATAAAATAGAAACTTGTCAGAAATAAAAGAAAAATTTCTCTAAACTGAAGAACATGAGTGTCTTGGTTGACAGAGCCCACAAGATTTTCAGTCCTAGTAAAAGGATCTCTTACACTGTACTTCCAGGGATAAGAATTTTCCAAAAGCTCCCATAGAGAAAAGTCAGTTCACCTACAAAGGACTGACAATAAGAATGGCTCAAACTTCTCAAAAGAAACACTAGATACTAGAGGACAATGAAACGAAGCCTCCAACATTCTGAAGGAAACTTCCTTTCAACCTAGACTTTTATACCCAGCTAAACTAGCATTCATGTTTGTAGTTATAACAAAGGCATTTCCCCAGTATACTTGATCAATACTTTTTAACTTTCAGAATTTACTTACAAAGCATAAAAGGCATAATTCTAGTTTTTTAAAAAATATATAAATATTATCAATATGGACAATGCAAAATGAAAAGTTCAGATAACAAAAACATAATAAAATTTTGAAAAGGAAAGCTAAGCAGGGTGGATATGTGAAGACCTTTGCCTTTTAAAATGGAGAATCGGCCAGGTGTGGTGGCTCACACCTGTAATCCCAGCACTTTGGGAGGCCAAGGTGGGCGGATCACGAGGTCAGGAGATTGAGACCATCCTGGCTAACACAGTGAAACCCCGTCTCTACTAAAAATACAAAAAAATTAGCTGGGCGTGGTGGTGGGCACCTGTAGTCCCAGCTACTCGGGAGGCTGAGGCAGAAGAATGGTGTGAACATGGGAGGTGGAGCTTGCAGTGAGCCGAAATCGTACCACTGCACTCCAGCCTGGGCGACAGAGCGAGATTATGTCTCAGAAAAAAAAAAAATGGAGAATTAAAGAATACAGTTCACAATGAAATTGTAAAGGGGTTAGTGTATCATTTAAAATTTAGGATTTTAGAAAGGAAATAGTAAAAGATTTTAAAATGGTGATACAACTATACTGGGAAGATGGAGAGAGAAGGTGGGGTCATCTGGCATTGCCCAAAGTCAACAGAGGGTGCTGAAAATTTTAGTTATTATTTACTACCACTCTGACCCAAGCCAGCATTCATCTCTCATCTAGAATATTGACATGGTTGTTCTTGCAGTTAGAGATTTTATTAAAGTATAAATCAGGTTTTTACTCCTGTTAATGACTGACTAGGTTGTTTAGATTGAGCTTTCTGGAGAGATCAACTAGAAAACCTTGATGAAAGGTTAAAAACATATTTTTGAAAGCATCAGAGAGCTACCACAGCAGAGAAGAATTAATTACAAGGCCAATTTCAAGGAGAAGACAGAAACCCAGAGAGATGAACACAGCAGTTGGAACCACAAGAAGTGTCTACAACAAGCAGCCGAGAAGCTGACAGGCTGAGGTTTCAACACATTTGCAGAGGTAGGAAAGATCAAAACTGGAACTTATGGCCTGCCTAGGAAAAGAAATCCTAGTAAATCCTCCAGATTTTGTGCTTTGGCCCAGAAGATTTTGTGTGGACACTAGAAAGAAAGATGAGCTGGGATTAAGCCAGCCTCCCTGGGACTGAATCTCAGCTCAAATCATCTCAGTCCCTAATTGGATAAGGGTGATCCAGGATTACTAGCACCCCTAGGCTAGCCATTTTTCCAAAGCAATTATACATTCTCTCAAAAGGAATATATCAGCCTCAAATTTTCTCTTTAATTTTTCATATGTAATGTTGGGAACTCAATCAAAAACAACTCAGATACAAAGAGACAAGATCATGTAATCAAAACCCAGGAGAAGCAAAAGACAATACAAAAAGATCCCCTCAGGGGATGCAGATCATGGAGTTAATGGACATAGACTTTAAAATAATTATGCTCAGTATGTTCAAGGAAATAAAAGATGAAATTGAGAACACTGGCACGAAACTAAGAAAAAAAACTATAAGGCACGTGGAAATGCTAGAATCAAAAAAACATAAAAATTGGAACTAAGAACTTGGTGGATGGGTTTAACAGCAGATGAGAAACACAAGGGAAGAAATTAATAACCTGGAAAATAGATGAAAATATCCAGACTGCAGTACAAAGACAGGAAAGGAAAGCAGCTACAGAAAAGTGCTGAAGAGCATGTGGACTATGGCAAAAAGCTCCAGTTTATGTGAATTCGAGTTCCAGATGGAGGGGAGAGAATATGGCAGAAGCAACGTTTGAAGAGATCATGATGAAGAATTTTCCTAAACTAATTAAAGACATCAGGCCACAGATTCAACAAGAACACAAACTCCCACACAGGATAAACCAGCATAGCGTGGTAAACCGCAGGAGCTAAAGACAGAGAAGAACCTAAAATGCAGCCAGAAAAAAAGGCATTACCGGCCGGGCATGGTGGCTCATGCCTGTAATCCCAGGACTTTGGGAGGCCGAGGCAGGCGGATCACCTGAGGTCAGCAGTTCAAGACCAGCCTGGCCAATATGATGAAACCTCATCTCTACCAAAAATACAAAAATTAGCCGGGCATGGTGGCAGGCACCTGTAATTCCAGCTCCTCGGGAGGCTCAGGCAGGAGAATCATTTGAACCCAGGAGGGAGAGGTTGCAATGAGCCAAGATCATGCCACTGCACTCCAGCCTGGGCGACAAACCAACACTCCACCTCAAAAAAAAAAAAAAAAAAAAAAAAGCTGAGCACGGTGGCTCACACCTGTAACCCCAGCACTTTGGGAGGCCAAGGCGGGCGGATCACCTGAGGTCAGGAGTTCGAGACCAACCTGGTTAACATGGCAAAACCCCATCTCTACTAGAAAAATACAAAAAAAGTAGCTGGGCGTGGTGGCATGTGCCTGTAATCCCAGTTACCCAGGGGGCTGAGACAGGAGAATTGCTTGATCCGGGAGGTGGAGGTTGCGGTGAGCCAAGATTGTGCCACTGCACTCCAGCCTGGGCAACAGAGTGAGACTCCATCTCAAAAAAAAAAAAAATACAAGACAGATTGCACACTCCCCTGCCCACTGGAACCCTCCAATGGCCTCCGATCTGAGTTGAAACAGAATTGTTTATGTCAGCCAGCAAGGCCCTGCGTGATCTGCCCTCAGCCCCATACCCCTCACCTGCCCCAGGGCTCTCTGCTGTCCTCCCACACGAAACACACTTCCGCCTTTCACTTGCAATTATCTGCCAAGGACAGCCTTCCTCAATGTCTCAGGGCTCCCTCCCTTCCCTCCCCAAGTCTCCACTGAAATGTGACCTTCTCAGTGCAGGAAAACCCTCCCAATACGCCTCTCCTCCCCCTCCAGAGCTCTGCGGTCCTCTCAGCAGTTACGTATTGCTGTGAGCAGCAATCTCACAGTTACCTATCTGACGTATTTTGCGTCTTAACCATGGTTATTGTCTGTCTCCCTCACTAGAATACTGCCTGGGCTTGATTCACTGCTAAATCTCTGGTGCTTAAAACAGCGCCTGCATACAGTAAATGCTTAATACATATTTGTTAAATAAATATCAAAGAGGCAAGATCATGTGATCAAAAATCAAGAGAAGCAACAGACAATACAAAGAGATCCCCCCAGGGGAAGCAAATCATGGAATTTGTGGACAAAGACTTTAAAATAATTCTGCTCAGTATGTTTGAGGAAATAAAAGACAAAATTGAGAACACTGGAACAGAACTAAAAAGAAAAAAAAATTTTTTTTTTTTGAGGCAGAGTCTCGCTCTGTCACCCAGGCTGGAGTGCAGTGGCGCGATCTCGGCTCACTGCAAGCTCTGCCTCTGCCTCCCAGGTTCATGCCATTCTCCTGCCTCAGCCTCCCAAGTAGCTGGGACTACAGGCGCCCACCACCACACCCGGCTAATTTTTTGTATTTTTAGTAGAGACGGGGCTTCATCATATTAGCCAGGATGGTCTCGATCTCCTGACCTTGTGATCCACCCACCTCAGCCTCCCAAAGTGCTGGGATTACAGGCGTGAGCCACTGCACCTGGCAATGTTTTTAAAGCCAAATGGAAATGCTAGAATCCAAAAACATAATAATAAACAAAAAAATTATTTCAATTTTTGAAGAAAACAAAATTTGAAATTCACATCACAGAGTAACCCAGGATACATTAAAATTGTAAACACTTTCCTTCTTTTCTTACTTAGTATTTTATCTAGACTTTGACTACAACCATGCAACAAAAGAAAAAGATGGGGAGGATAAGGAGGGGAGGGGGAGGAGAGCCTGCATATAAAAAAAGACCCAAAGAGAAGACTTTTTTTTTGAGACAGAGTATCGTTCTGTTGCCCAGGCTGGAGTGCAGTGGTGCAATCTCAGCTCACTGCAAGCTCCGCCTCCCAGGTTCACGCCATTCTCCTGCCTCAGCCTCTCGAGTAGCTGGGACTACAGGCACCCACCACCAAGCCTGGCTAATTTTTTTGTATTTTTAGTAGAGAACTGGGTTTTACCATGTTAACCAGGATGGTCTCAATCTCCTGACCTCGTGATCCGCCCGCCTCGGCCTCCCAAAGTGCTGGGATTACAGGCATGAGCCACCGCGCCTGGCCGAGAACACAGTTTTTAAAGAGCTGAGGGAGGGAGGCCAGGCACGGTGGGCTCACGTCTGTAATCCCAGCACTTCGGGAGGCCAAGGCAGGAGGATCACTTGAGGCCAGGAGTTCGAGACCACCCTGGGCAACATGGTGAAACCCCGTCTCTACTAAAATACAAAAATTAGCCAGGCGTGGTGGTGTGCTCCTGTAATCCCAGCTACTCTGGAGGCCGAGGCAGGAGAATCGCTTGAACCCAGGAGGCAGACGTTGCAGTGAGCTGAGATCATGCTATTGCACTCCAGCCTGGGTGACAGAGTGAGACTCTGTCTCAAAAAAAAAAAGAGCTGAGAGAGGAAGGGAGCGAGGGCTGAAAAGCGACGGCTGGGTGCTATGCTCACTACCCAGCTGCTGGGGCCATCCATACCCTAGACCTCAGCATCACGCCGCATCCCCACGTAACAAACCTGCACACGTACCCCCAAACCTAAAATAAAAGTTGGAAAAAAAGAAATTAAATAAGAAGCCATTAACAACAACAACAACAAATTTCAAGTGCTGAGCTATTGGGATCAGGGTGGAATTTCTTCAGCTTCGTGCATGTTGCTGTAATGTTAACACAACACAAACAAATTGGAAGGAACTATGTCATAATAAAAGTAAACTACTGTGTGCCACTGTGCAGACATAAATACCACTAAAACCACCTAAATAAATAACAAGTCCCAGAAGGAATGCCCCCACCAGCTGCACACCCAGAAGACGGGGCTCCTCAGGAAGGGGCTGGTGCTTCTCAGACGCTCAGAGGCCTGATGCCTGGGGCTGTAAAAAAAAACAAAAAAACACAACACCCAGCAGTCCTGTGTCCAGCTGCACAAATGGGTGCCAGCTCCAAGGCTGACCGGTCTCCACTGCATCCTCCTCAGCGGGCCTGGCGGCTGGTGTCTCCACTGCCAGCCACCACAGGCTCCTCTCAGCCTGCACTTGGGAATTCTTCCCAGCGGCCCATCGGCTCTGCTGCAAATCCTACCCGAAGGGTCCCGCGCCCACCCACACTGGCCAGTCCGCTGCAAATCCTACCCACAGGGTCCCACGCCCACCCACACTGGCCAGTCCGCTGCAAATCCTACCCGAAGGGTCCCACGCCCACCCACACTGGCCAGTCCGCTGCAAATCCTACCCGAAGGGTCCCGCGCCCACCCAAACTGTCCACTGCGCTGCAAATCCTACCCAAAGGGTCCTGTGCCCACTCAAACTGGCCAGTCCACTGCAAATCCTACCCGAAGGGTCCCGCGCCCACCCAAACTCGCCAGTGGAAATGGGTTTCCATCCGTGAAATGAGCCTGCAGGTGATGGGGAAACTCGGCCAGGCCAAGATCAGGACCTCTCTGCCAACAGAGATATCTCCTCTAAAAGCAGTGAGATTCCAAATCCCCTGCCTGGTCAGGAGGGGTGCAGGAGGGTGGCTTTGATGGAGAGGGAGTGCCTCCACTCCCACGGATGAAGATGCAGGCAGGGCCCCCCAGCGCACCACAGCCATCCAGGGAGAGCAAATGAAGAGGAGAGCTGGGCATTACCAGTGGATCCATGTCCACACGCCCTTCCGCCTACACGCAGTCCTTTCGGACAGCCCAAAGTGAGGTGGACGCCCTGCCGTGTGCTGAATGGCATGTGGCCTCCGCCCAGGTCTCCAGGGAGCTGTTGGAAACCCAGTGCTGTGACCTCACACGGTCAAAAGCAGCTCCTCGTGGACAAAACCCCGGGGAGGGGAATCCAGGGTGCTGAGGGGATGGACCACAGGGCTCTACAAACACCGGCAATCACCTCCTGCGGAGGACGGCGCATCCCCTGAACTCCCTGCCAAGTAAACACCTCATCACTCTCCGGTCACCATGACAACGGGCCATCTCACAATCTCTCAGAATGGCACAGACGCCTCCCTGGAGCTGCGAGTCCCTTGCTCACATCCATCCCCAGGCTGAATCACTGGGAGACGGAAATCAAGGGTGAGACGCTGCAAATACTTTCTCAAACCTTTGCATCCTTCTAATCGACCTCAGGTATCGGCTGTATGGGACCCGCTCTTAGGGAAATCATCACATCGTCATCCACTGCTCCTACACAAACCAGGAGGTCTCACTAGAAATGGCAGGTGGGCCAGGCATGGTGGCTCATGCCTGTCATCCCAGCACTTTGGGAGGCCAAGGCAGGCAGATCACCTGAGGTCAGGAGTTCGAGACCAGCCTGACCAACATGGTGAAACCCCATCTCTACTAAAAATACAAAAATTAGCCACATGTGGTGGCGCACGCCTGTAATCCCAGCTACTTGGGAGGCTGAGGCAGGAGAATCGATTGAACCCAGGAGGTGGAGGTTGCAGTGAGCTGAGATCGCGCCATGGCACTCCAGCCTGGGCAACAAGGGCGAAGCTCTGTCTCAAAAAAAGAAACAGAGAGACAGAGAGACAGAGAGAGAGAGAGAGAAGGAGAAGAGAAGAGGAGAAGAGAAGAGAAGAGAGAGAAGGCAGGTGCATCACAAGTGAGGGGCTCTGGGCCTTTGTAGAAATTACTAGAAATAGTAGCAATAATAGAGTCGGCAGGAACCTGAAGCCAGGGAGTTGAGAGAGGTTGGTTGGGACCGCTCCCCTGACGGCAGTGCAAATTGTTTATATCAACACTGAGGCCCTGCAGTCGCCCGGGAGAAACAGAAACCTCAGGCCAAACTGCGCTCATACCAGAGTAATTTTTCAGCAGTTCACATTGCCTCCTGAAGGTTGGGGAGGCAGGAACACAGCCGGAGACCGACCCGGGCACTCAACGCACGTTCAGTCAGGGAGAGGGCAAGAGGCAGGACAGCCCTGGACAGGGAAGGGCAGGTTCTCAACCCCATAGTAGGAAAACCTGGGGCTTCATCCCAGATGCCCTGCAGGCTGGAGGGGGCTGAGAAGAGGAGTTTGTTTGAGCAGGTGAGTGGGACTTTTTTTTTTTCTTGAGATGGAGTCTCGCTCTGTTGCCCAGGCTGGAGGGCAGTGGTGCGATCTCGGCTCACTGCAAGCTCCGCCTCCCGGTTTCACACCTTTCTCCTGCCTCAGCCTCCCGAGTAGCTGGGACCACAGGCGCCCACCACCACACCCAGCTAATTTTTGTATTTTTATTAGAGACAGGGTTTCCCCATGTTGGCCAAGCTGGTCTCGAACTCCTAACCTCAAGTGATCCTCCTGCCTCGGCCTCCCAAGGTGCTGGGATTACAGGTGAGAGCCAGTGGGTCCTGTCGAGCTTTTTTTTTTTTTTTTAATTGAGGTAAAAGTCACATAACTTAAAGTTAACAATCAACTGTATTAAAGTGCACAATTCAGCCACGTCGACACATTCACCGTGCTGTGCAACCACCACCTCCATCCAGATCCAGGACCTTTGCAGACCCTGTGCCATTCAGCAGCTGTCCCCCGACACCCGCCCCAGCCCCCGACAGCCCCGAATCGACTTCCTGTCTCTGTGCAACTGCCTGTTCCTGCTACTTCACAGAAGCGGAATTGCGCAGCATTTGGCCTGTTGCGTCTGGCTCATTTCACTGGCATTACGTGTCCCAGGTTCGTCCGCGCTGTGCTGCGTGTCAGGTGATTCACTCCTTTCTGTGGCTGAGGGACTTCCCTTGCGTGGAGAGGCCACACTGTTTGTCCTCTCGAGCTGACGGACGTGCGAGGTTTTCACATCGTGGCTCCTGTAAGCAGTGCTGCTCCAAACGCTCATGTAGAGGCGTGTGTTTGAAGACCTGTTCTCAATTCTTCGGGCTGTGTACCTAGGAGTGGCACTGCTGGGTCCTGTGGTCACTGCATGTTTAACTTTCCTGGGAAATGCCAAGCTTCCTTCCACTGTGGCTGTACCAACTCACATTCCCGACAGCAGCGCACAAGGGTTCCATGTCCCCCACACCCCCACAACATCCATCTTATGTTTCATTTTTGCTTTTGTTTTTAATATGGACAGCATGCATTGGGTTTGGGATGTACTGCCTTTGCGATAACCGCGAGACCTGGACTCGGCCGGGCGTGGTGGCTCACGCCTGTAATCCCAGCACTTTGGGAGGCCGAGGTGGGCAGATCACGAGGTCAGGAGATGGAGACCATCCTGGCTAACACGGTAAAACCCTGTCTCTACTAAAAATACAAAAAAATTAACTGGACTTGGTGGTGTGCGCCTGTAGTCCCAGCTACTCGGGGGGCTGAGGCAGGAGAATCACATGAACCCGGGAGGCACAGCTTGCAGTGAGCTGAAATCGCACCACTGCACTCCAGCCTGGGCGAGAGAGCGAGACTCCATCTCAAAAAAAAGAAAAAACAGTGAGACCCGGACTTGGGAATGGCCCACAGAGGGCTAGAGTTTAGACCCGGGACCAAGACACAAGCTCCAGGGTTTAGACCCCGGACCAAGACATCAGGTCTCGTCTGGACGCTCAGCTCCAACAGATCCCACAAAGCCAACCCCAAAGAGACTAGCCTGGAGTCAGAGTAGCTTGCCAAGGAGAGAAGGATGTGGGGCCTCCTTCCCCTAATGCCCAGGCCCCAGGCGATGTGCCTGGCGAACTCCTACATATACTTTAAAGCCTGTTTCAATGCCACCTCCATAGGAAGTTTTGGGTCCCCTTCCCCTTCCCCCACCCACCTCCAGTGCATTCTGCTCAGACCTCTGTGAGAGCTCACATCACGTGTTCCCAAGATGATGTCTTGCACGAGTTCGTTACTGCCCCCATCTCAGAGACACAGTGCCAGGTGCACTCAAGAACCAGGTGAAGGGCCGGGCATGGTGGCTCACACCTGTAATCCCAGCACTTTGGGAGGCCAAGGTGGGTGGATCACCTGAGGTCAGAAGTTCGAGACCAGCCTGGCCAAAATGGTGAAACCCCATCTCTATTAAAAATACAAAAATTAGCCAGGCGTGGTGGTGGGCACCTGTCATCCCAGCTACTCGGGAGGCTGAGGCAGGAGAATCGCTTGAACCCAGGAGGCGGAAGTTGCAGTGAGCTCGTGCCACTGCACTCCAGCCTGGGGGACAGAGCAAGACTCCGTCTCAAAAAAAAAAAAAAAAGAACCAAGCGAACAAACGAGAAATGAATGAGCAAATGAACAAAAATGTAGTCGGGACAGAAGTCGGAGCCCCACATCCTCACGCCATATAAACTGTCATGACCAGACGACCGCTCAGCTACTCACAGTCGCTCTGTGATCGGCAGGTGCAGGGATGGTTTTGGGGCTGAAGACGTGGGATCAGAGGTGGCCGGCGAGAAAGGCAGGATGATCTCTGCCAACCGCAGCCCAGAATGTGCCCCAGAATCGAGTAACCCAGCCCTGGGGATTGTCCTGGTCCTGTCCCGTCCCACACGGGGATGAAGTACAGACGTCCAGCCCAGAAAAGAAAATATCTGGGCGGGTCCTGGGGTCGGGGTGGAATCTAAGAGAGAGCCCCGTGCCGGTCAGGAAGGGGTCAGTGGTGCTGCCTTCCCAAGCCTAGACTTGTGAAGCGCCATCTGAATTACGATGACCTCGTGTTCCATGATGGAGACTGCAGTGGAGGCAGAAACAGTTTCAAGTGAGATGGGCGAGGTCACAAGACAGAGCCCACTGGAGTCTGCAAGCTACAGGAATTGTGACCAAATAAAGTGCCTCAGCCAGCCACCGGTGGGGTCAATAGGGCTTGTTTTTTTTGTTTTTTGTTTTTTTTTTGAGACGGAGTCTCGCTCTGTCGCCCAGGCTGGAGTGTAGTGGCGTGATCTCAGCTCACTGCAAGCTCCGCCTCCCGGGTTCATGCCATTCTCCTGCCTCAGCTTCCCGAGTAGCTGGGACTACAGGTGCCTGCCACCATGCCCGGCTAATTTTTTTGTATTTTTAGTAGAGATGGGGTTTCAGCGTGTTAGCCATGATGGTCTCGATCTCCTGACCTCGTTATTCACCCCTCTTGGCCTCCCAAAGTGCTGGGATTATAGGCGTGAGCCACTGCGCCCAACCCTTTTTTTTTTTTTTTTTTTTTTGAGATAGGGTCTTTCTCTGTCACCCAGGCTGGAGTATAGTGGCGTGACCATAGCTCACTGCAGCCTCGACCACCCAGGCTCAAGCAATCCCTCCATCTCAGCCTCCTGAGTATCTGGGACCACAGGTGCACCACCACCAGTATGCCTGGCTAAATTTTTTTATTATTATTTGTAGAAATGGTGTCTTGCTATGTTGCCCAGGCTAGTCTCAAGCGATCCTCCTGTCTTGACCTCCCAAAGTGCTGGGATGACAGGCATGAGCCACAGCACCCGGCCCCAATGGAACTTTTTTTTTTTAAAGAAAGATGGAGTTTCACTCTTGTTGCCCAGGCTGGAGTGCAGTGTCGCGATCTTGGCTCACTGCAGCCTCCGCCTCAAGGCTTCAAGCAATTCTCCTGCCTCAGCCTCCCGAGTAGCTGGGATTACAGACATCAGCCACCACACCTGGCTAATTTTTGTATTTTTAGTACAGACAGGGTTTCACCATGTTGGCAAGGCTGACCTCTCAAACTCCTGACCTCAGGTGACCCACCTGCCTCCATCTCCCAAAGTGCTGGGATGACAGGTGTGAGCCACCGCGCCCGGCCTCAATGGGACTTAGCTTTTGAGATCCATGCTAAAAGTAGTTTACTTCATAGAGGAGAGACTGGCCCAGGGCCTCACGGCTCCGGCAAGGACCCTGGGCTCTCCCTTTGCAGGAACCAGAAGCCGCTTCTCTTCAAGGAACGAGGTTGGGGTCCCAGTCTCTTGGCTGAAAGAGCTTTGCCTGTCCAGGCTCGACGGGACTTCCCATCTTTGGCAGGTGAAGAATCAGACTAGGCAGGATACAGGTGGTTCCATACACACAGGCCGCTTCAGGAGGCCTTGGGAGAAAGGGGGACAGCGAGCAGGGCCCCTCCCCAGGGCTGCATGGGGGTGACCTCTCACGGGCTCTGCCTGTGCACATGCCAGGCTGCTCTTCCCCTTCCCCTCTTGGGATTCCGGGAAAGCCTCTCATTTTGCAGCCCCCACTTCCTGTCTCCTGTTTTCATACTGATGCATTGTCTGAGCTGCAGGACGGTCGAGGTCGTGGGGCCGGGACAGGCTTTCCAGGCCAAAGCCATCTTCGTAACAACACTGTGGGAACAGGGTTTCCAGAAAGCTCCGTGGCCAGAATGTGCCCCAGAATCGAGGAACCCGGCCCTGGGGATTGTCCTGCTCCTATCCCGTCCCACAGAGGGGGATGAAGTGCAGACGTCCAGCCCAGAAAAGAAAATATCTGGGCGGGGCCTGGGGTGGGGGTGGAATCTAAAGAGATTTCCTAGACCCAAGTTTATCCTCCCGAGAGAAGCCTACACGCAGGGATTACAGGCAGATGGAATTCCTCAGTCCTGCCTGCGGCCCGGTTCTCGCTCCTGTGGGGACACAGCCTGCCCCGTCCCACTGAAAGGGTTTTCTGAGAGGCGGCTGATCCACCCCGCCTGATGCCTTCAACGGAGGGCGTCTAGGCTTCCACGGGGTCATCCACTGCGTGCCGGGCAGGCATGAGTGGTGTTTCTGGACCACCTCCTCCGAGCAGTTCCATGAGCGGCCCTAAGACAGCCCCTCTGCACTCTGTGAAACCCTAAATCTCAAGCGCCAGTTGTATTTGAGGACCAGGGGTCTCCAGGAGAGGGCTCACATGGTACCAACCCCAGGCCAGGACCCATAAGCCCACCTAGCAGCGGCAAATCATCCCCAGCCATGAGGCGGGGAAACTGAGGCCCAGAGAGGGTAAAGGATTTGTTCAGGGGAACCCAACCATTCAGTGGCAAGGTTGGAAGAGAAACGCAGGTCTTCAATCATTTACTGAGCACCTATTGTGTACCAGGCCTCACATAGAGAGTATAGCAAACAAGGGAAGGCGAAGGAAAGGAGAAAAGAGAAGGGAAGAGAAGGGAAGGGAAGGGAGGGGAGGGGAGGGGAGGGAAGGGAAGGGACGGGAGGGAAGGGAAGGGAAGGAAGGGAAGGGAAGGGAGCGGAGGGGAGTGGAGGGGAGGGGAGGGGAGGGAAGGGAGCGGAGGGGAGGGGAGGGGAGGGAAGGGAAGGGAAGGGAGGGGAGGGGAGGGAAGGGAGCAGAGGGGAGGGGAGGGAAGGGAATTAGAAATTAACAGGCTGGGCAGGGCACCATGGCTCATGCCTGTAATCCCAGCACTTCGGGAGGCCAAGGCAGGTGGATCACCTGATGCCAGGAGTTCAAGACCAGCCTGGGTCACATAGGGAGACCTCATCTCTATAAAAATATTAAGAAAATTAAAAATTAAATTAATAAAATAAAAATAAAAATAGAAGATGAAGATGCAAGTCCCAGTGAGGCTAGGGGCAGAGTGTACACAGGAGGGTGTGAGCACAGGCGAGAGCCCTGCTCACCCTCAGAAGCAGATGGCATGACTCTATGTGTGCACATCTAGGAAAGTACGTGTGCATGTGTGTCTAGGTAAGTACGTGTGCGTGTGTGCATATCTAGGTACGTATGTGTTAGTGTGTGTCTAGGTAAGTACGTGCGTGAGCATGTGCACATATGTGTGAACATGTACATATCCAACTAAGTACATGTGTGTGCACATCCAGAGAGGTACATGCATGTGACCATATGCACATCTAGTTAAGTACATGTGTGAGCGTGTACACATGCATGCAAACACACCCCTTACATCCACCACTCTCGGAGTAAACTGAGTATGTCCAGGTGTGCGCACAGCTATGCATCTGGGTAAGTGCGTGTGTTTTAATGCATGTGCACACACGACTCCACGTACCCTCCTCCTCGGTGGCAACAGTACATCCTTGCCTGTGTGTGCATGTGTGTGCATCTGGGCGAGTGTGTGTACATGTCACTCACACACACTTGCACTCACTCCCTCACCCACCATGGCGGCTGTCTCCCCACCCCACCTCTCCCCACGCAGCAGCAGCAGCTGGTGATTCAGCCTCTCCCTCCTGGAGGGCAGCACCCCAGCTCCAGCCTGCCACACACAGGGGCACCAGCCTTGCAGGGCAAAGGCGGAGAAGCCTGAGTTCCTAGGACGGAGGATGAGAAAGAAGCAGAAGGGGGGGTTCCACCATCAAAGCCAACCCCAGGAGAACCCTGCACCCTGCCCCAGCACGCCAGGGGCCAGAGCCCACAGGCAAGGTGGGAAGGGTGTGGCCTCAGAGGCATGCCTGGGTTTGCGCCCAGCTCCATGACTCTCCCTGGCTGATGGTGGGGAACCCACGTTCTCTCTCCAAGCACCCGTTTTCTCATTTGTAAGATGGGAATGTAAATATCTCATCTGGCCAGGCCTGCGTGAGAATTCGATGAGATAAAGTATGCAAAGCACCACGTGCCATATCTCGGTGTTCCTGCACTGGGAGGCACTGAGTCCCAAAGCAGGAAGGCACTGACGGTTAGGGCCCCTCCCAACGCAGGAACAGCCGGGGTAGGAAGGGCAGAGGTCACAGCTGGAGGAAGGAGTGGGCAGTTACCCCCTCAGTCCATCACACACTGTCATGCTCACCAAGTAGTGAGCTAGGAGGGCCAGAGGACACTAAAGACCCTCCCTCCCTGCAGAGCTGGGACTTGGGGTTGAAGCTCAAGCCGAGATCTCCTCCTCTGAGCTCACCCAAGACAGGGTCGTGGTGAGAGGCTCTCTGAGGAAGCAGCCGTGGCCCTAAAGCAAGTGCTGAAGAGCGGCCAGCTGCAGGAGGGGTGGGGAGGAAGTTCCAGGTGACAGGACAGTGCTGGCCGGAGCCCGTGGGTGGCCATGGGCTGCAGTGGAGAGGCAAGCAGGAGCCAGACCCCGTGAGGCAGGAAGGAGCTTAGATTTGTTAGGAGAGCACTGGAAAGGTTTGGGAAGGTTTTAAGAAGGGGGAGCAGTTCAATTTGTGTTTCTGGAAGATGGCTCCAGCTGTGACTGATATGGAAAATGGAGCTCGAGGCCCGATGGGAAGCAGAGAGGCTGCTGCAGTCATTCAGCCGAGGGGACAGCGGCGTGGGCGGGGGAAGGGGCGGCAGGGAGAGAAACAGGCATATCTGTGTGCCAGAGGTAGGATCTCTCTTGCATGGAGAATGTGAGAGAAACCCCAGAGGAGAAAGGACAAAATGGGGGTCCCCGAATTCCATGAACTGATACGAGTGTGAGGTTCAACCCCAAGTTTCGTATGCACAGAACACAGAGAACCACAGAAAAGGTGCTGAGGACTGAGCTGCAAGCAAAACAATGTCCAAGTCCCAGACCAGCCCCCAAGCGACCCACACAAGGGTGCGCCCAAGCAGCACCCCAAAGGCTTGGAAACGGAACTCATGTTGGCATCGTCACCCACCAAGGATGAGAGAGAACTTGCAGCATGGACCTCGTCAATTGATTTCCTGCCAAAACAAACAAAAATATCAACATTCTCTCTCCATAGGATTTTAATGGGATTCAAAGCTTGACAACATAATATAGAAAATGTCCAGGATATAATCCAGTTCCTTGACAAATTATTCAACATATCAAGAACTAGGAAAGTCTGGCCAGTTCTCAAAGGAAAAGACAACCCATGGCTGACAAGCTTCAGATGCTAGAGATGACGGGATTATCAGGTTAACACTCTAAAGCAGCAATTTTAACTATTTTCCATGAAGTGAAGGTGAATACTCTTGGAATTGGTGGGGGAATCAGCAAAGAAATCAAATTTATTTAAAAAAAAAAGGAAGAAGAAAGGAGGAGAAGGAGAACAGGAGGAGGAGTAGGAAGAGGAGGAACTACCAAATAAATTTAGAACTGAAAAATAAATACAAATTTTAGAACTGAAAAATAAAGTAACAGAAAATCTTAAATTCACTAGATGGGATCATTTGCAGAATGGATATGACAGAGGAAAGACCTTGTGAGTTTGAAGAGAGATCAACAGAAATCATCCCACCAAAAGGACAGGTGGGCAGGGCATCGTGGCTCACGCCTGTAATCCCAGCACTTTGGGAGGCCGAGGTGGATGGATCACCTCAGGTCAGGAGTTCGAGAGCAGCCTGGCCAACATGGCTGAACCCCATCTCTAAGTAAAATACAAAAATTAGCTGGGCATGGTGGTGCGCATCTGCAATCCCAGCTACTCGGGAGGCTGAGGCAGGAGAATCTCCTGAACCCAGGAGGCAGAGGTTACAGTAAGCCGAGATCGCACCACTGCACTCCAGCCTGGGCAAGAGAGCGAGACTCTGAAAAAAAGAAAAGAAAAGAAGGAAGGAAGGAGAGAAGGAGGGAAGGAGGGAGGGAAGGAAGGAAGGAAAGAAAGAAAGAAGGAAAAAAGAAAGAAAGAAAGAGAAAGAAAGAAAGAAAAAGAAAGAAAGAAAGAAAAGAAAGAGAAGAAAAGAAAAGAAAAAGAAAGAAAGAAAGAGATTTAACAGAGCCTCAGGGACTTGCGGGAAAATATTTTAAAATCTAACATTCATGTCACTGGAGTCCCTGAAAGACAGGAAAAAGAGATTGGTACAGAAAAATATATTTGAAGACATGATGGTTGAAAACTTCTCAAATATGTTGAAAGGTATAAATATTCAGATTCAAGATCAAAGGAAAACAAGAGAAACTCAAAGAAAATCAAACTCAGACACATTGTACTCAAACTCTGACAAACTAAATACACAGGGAAAATCATGAAAGAAGCCAGAGAAAAGAAACATAAAGCAAATGAGGGTTCAAAAGGCTGATTTGTCATCAGAAACCATAAAGAACAATGGGAAGACATCTTTAAACTGCTGAAATAAAATCACTCTCCACTCAGAATCCTGTATCTGTAAACATGTCCTTGTCCTTCAGGAATGAAGGCAAACCAGAGAGATTCTCAGATGAAGGAAACTGAGAATCTGTCACCAGCAATCCTGCTCTAAGAGGAATGCTAAAGCGAGTTCTTCAGGCTGGTGGGGGAAATGATCACAGAGGGAAAGAAAAACACTTCAGGAACCACGGAAGAGTGACAGAAATGGGAAATACCCAGGTACATCTTCTAGACTATTTGCCCCTCTTAAATTACTGAAAATACGTGAAAGTGTTAAAAGTAAAAATTATAACATTGTCAAGGGAGTGGGGGAAAGTTCAACATGTGTAAAGATGATACGTACAACAACCAGAAATAATAAGGGGAAGGTAAATGGGCCTATGTGATGGAAAACTTGTATGTTTTACTTGAAATGGTAAAATATCAACTCTAAAAAGTCTGTGTAAAGTTATGTATGTATATTATAATGCCTATAGCAATCACTTAAAGAAAAACAGTAAAAAAGACAGTAAGTACTAAAAAATAATCAAATAATCTAAAAGAAGGAAGGAAAAAAGAAACATAGGAAAAAAAACAGAGAAAACAAATAGAAAAATAATTAAATGGTAGACCTAAATCCAACCATATCAATAATTACATTAAATGTACATGATCTATACATGAGGTAAGATATATAAAAGTAACCATCTTAAAAAATAATGGTTGAAAACTTGCCAAATTTCTTGAAGGACATAAATTAACATCAAGATTTGCAAAGGGAAACCAGACAAACTCAAAGAAAATCATATTAAGATGCATCATAGGCTGGGCGTGGGGCTCACACCTGTAATCTCAGCACTTTGGGAGGCCGAGGCAGGCGGATCACGAGGTCAGGAGATCGAGACCATCCTGGCTAACACGGTGAAACCCTGTCTCTACTAAAAATACAAAAAATTTGCCGGGTGTGGTGGCAGGTGCCTGTAGTCCCAGCTACTCGGGAGGCTGAGGCAGGAGAATGGTGTGAACCCAGGAGGCGGAGCTCGCAGTGAGCGGAGATTGTGCCACTGCACTCCAGCCTGGGCAAACGGGGCAAGACTCCGTCTCAAAAAAATAAGTAAATAAATAAATACATAAATAAATAAATAAAGATGCATCATAATATATACTATACTATATATACTATATGTACTACATATATAGTAATAAACAGTATTTTCTTTTTAAAAAGTGGATAATCTAAACACACCAATTAAAAGACAGAAACTGTCAAATCATATAAAAAAAGAAAACCAAGTATATGCTATCTATAAGACACACACTTTACTGATATAGCTAAAATAAGAGGATAGAAAAAGATTAATCACACAAATCCTAATAATGTGGCTGTATTAATATCAGATAAAGCAGACTTCAGAACAATGAAAATTACCAGGAACAAAGAGAAACATCGAATAATGATAAGAGGGTTTATTCACATGAAAACATAGCAATCCCAAATGTATATGCAACTAATAACAGAGCTCCAAAACACATAAAGCAAAAACTGATAGAATTAAAGGAGACACAGACAAATTATAATTGGAAGTTTCAATGCTGTTCTTTGGTAGTAGGTATAGCAAGGGGCCAAAAAGAATCAGCAAGAATGGGCCAGGTGCAGTGGCTCATGCCTGTAATCCCACCACTTTGGGAGGTTGAGGTGGGTGGATCACGAGGTCAAGAGATCGAGACCATCGATCTCCTGTGGCTAACACAGTGAAACCCCATCTCTACTAAAAACACACAAAAAATTAGCTGGGCGTGGTGGCAGACGCCTGTAGTCCCAGCTACTTGGGAGGCTGAGGCAGGAGAATGGCACGAACCCGGGAGGTGGAGCTTGGAGTGAGCCGAGATCACGTCACTGCACTCCAGCCTGGGCAACAGAGCAAGACTCTGTCTCAAAAAAAAAAAAAAAAATCAGCAGGAATGCAAAAGACCCTAACCTGAACAACCCCTCAAACAACCAGACCTAACCAACATTTCCAGAACACAGCACCCAACAGCAGCACACAGTGTTTCTAAGGGCACGTGTGATATTCACCAAGATAAAGCATATGATCAGCCATAAACCACACCTTAACAAAATAAAGATTCAAAACCATATAAGCTATGTTCCCTGACCATAATGAAATTAAACTAGAAATAAATAACAGAGAGATATCAAAAAAATCCCCAAATATTTGGAAATTAGACAACAAATTTCTAAATAAGATGAACCAAAGAGGAAATCTCAAGGTAAAATGGAAAATATTTTGAGCTAAATAGAAAATGAAAATACAGCACATCAAAATCTGTGAAATATAGTTAGAACAGTGCTTTAGAGAAAAATCTGTAGCATTATATATTTCTATCAGATAAAAAGCCTTAATCATCTAAAATTTCACCTTAAGAAATTTTATGAAGAACAGATAAAACCCAAAGACTGAAGAAGAAATGAAATAATAAAAATAAGAGGAGAAACAGATAAAATCTAAACAAAAATAGACAAAATCGATGAAATTAAAATCTAACTCTTTGAAAAGATCAGTAAAATTGATAAACTTCTAGCCAGACTGATCAAGCAAAAAAGAAAAGCCAGAAATTACCGTCTCAGGAATGAAAACCATCTCAGAAAACCACCTCAGGAATGAAATAATACAAACACTACAGACATTAAAAGGATGAGGTAATATTACTCTATATTGATAAATGTAACAACTTAAATGAAACGGAACAATGCCTTGAAATACACAAACTATGGCCGGGTGCGGTGGCTCACGCCTGTAATCCCAGCGCTTTGGGAGGCCGAGGCGGGTGGATCACTTGAGGTCAGGAGTTCGAGAGCAGCCTGTCCAACATGGTGAAATCCCGTCCCCACCAAAAATACAAAAATGAGCCAGGCGCGATGCCTGTAATCCCAGCTACTCGGGAGGCTGAGGCAGGAGAATCACTTGAACCCAGGAGGGGCGGGTTGCAGTGAGCTAAGATCGCACCACTGCACTCCAGCCTGGTCAACAAAGCAAGACTCTGTCTCGGAGTAAATAAATAAATAAACAAGCCACATACTAGAAGAAAATATTTTGTAAATTAAATATCTGACAGTTTATAAAAAATTCTGAAACTCAGTAGTAAGAAAACAGACAACCTAATAAGAAAAATGGACAAAATACATGAACAGACACTTCACCAAAGAAGATATTTGAGTGGAAAATAAGCGTATGAAAACATCCTCAACAACTTTAGTCATCAGGAAATGTAAAATAAAACCACTTTAGGGCCGGGCGCAGTGGCTCACGCCTGTAATCCCAGCACTTTGGGAGGCTGAGGCGGGTGGAGCATCTGAGGTCAGGAGTTCAAGACCAACCTGGCCAACATGGTGAAACCCCATCTCTACTAAAAATACAAAAACTAGCTAGGCATGGTGGCACATGCCTGTAATCCTAGCTATCCGGGAGGCTGAGGCAGGAAAATCGCTTGAAAATCACCTGAACGCGGGGAGCAGAGGCTGCAGTAAACCGAGATCACGCCATTGCCCTCCAGCCTGGGTGACAGAGCAAGACTCTGTCTCAATTAAAAAAAAAAAAAAGAAAAAAGAAAAAAAAAAACATTTTAGGTGCCACCATATACCTATTAGAATGGCTAAACGTTTTTTAAAACTGACAGTATCAAAGGCTGCCGATACTGAGGAACAAGAATCACGGCTGCTTGGAACACGAGATAGGACAGACATTCTGGAAAACAGTTTGGCAGTTTCTTATAAACATACACTTACCCTATGACCCAGGAATCTCACTACTAAATATTTACTCAAGTGAAATAAAAACCTACTTCCACATTAAAAACCTGTAAGACGAATATTTATAGCAGCTTTATTTGTAGTTGGCAAAAACTGGAAAGGATCCAAGTGTTCCTAGACAGGGTACAGGACAGACAAGCTGCAATCCATCTATGCAACAGAACACTGCCGGCAATAAAAATGCAGGACCTGTTGATGCAGAAAAACACAGATGAGGCGGGCACTGTGGCTCACGTCTCTAATCCCAACACACTGGGAGGCCGAGGCAGGTGGATCACCTGAGGTCAGGAGTTCAAGACCACACTGACCAACGTGCTGAAACCCCGTCTCTACTGAAAATATAAAATTAGCCGGGCGTGGTGGCAGGCGCCTGTAATCCCAGCTACTCGGGAGGCTGAGGCAGGAGAATTGCTTGAACCCAGGAGGCAGAGGTTGCAGTGAGCTGAGACTGTGCCACTGCTCTCCAGCCTGGGCAACAAGAGTAAAACTCTGTCTCGAAAAGAAAAACAGATGAGCCGGGCGTGGTGGCTCACATCTATAACCCCAGCACTTTGGGAAGCCGAGTGGGGAGGACCGCTTGAGCTCAGGAGTTCAAGACCAGCCTGGGCAACATGGCGAAATCCCGTCTCCACAAAAAATACAAAAATTAGCCAGGCATGGTGGTGGGCACCGGTACTCCCAGCTACTCAGGAAGCTGAGGTGGGAAGATGGCTTGAGCCTGAGAGGTGGAGGTTGCAGTGAGCTGAAATCATACCACTGTACTCTAGCCTGGACAACAGAGCCAGACCCTGTCTCAAAAAAGAAGATTGATGGTGTCATTTTGGATAATCTTCGGAAAGATCACATCTTGCTGGGGAAACTCCCACGCTGTGTTTTGCCATCAAATAAGGAATTTTTTTTTTTTTTTTTTTGAGACGGAGTCTCGCTCTATCACCCAGGCTAGAGTGCAGTGGCGCGATCTGGGCTCACTGCAACCTCTACCTCCTGGGTTCAAGCAATTCTCCTACCTCAGCCTCTCACTGGGACTACAGGCACCCGCCACCATGCCCAGCTAATTTTTTTTTTTTTTTTTTTTTAGTAGAGACAGGGTTTCACTGTGTTAGCCAGAATGGTCTCGATCTCCTGACCTCGTGATCCGCCCGCCTCAGCCTCCCAAAGTGCTGGGATTACAGGCATGAGCCACCGCGCCCGGCCCAAATAAGGAATATTTTATCTGCTTAAGTCTCCACCACAGAAGAACTCACTCACGAAGGCCAGAGCACCAGAGGCCCAGCCCGGACGGCACTCCAAGAGCTGGGCCATCCCTGCTGGCCTGTGTTTTATCCCAGGTGCTTTATGAAAGCCTCACAAACATGCACCCTGCTTGGGATACAAGTGAAGAAAAATCCTCCATCAGGGGCTTCTGCCCTCCACTCAGCCCTGGCTGGCCTCGAGGGGGTGGCCCAGACCTCACCCTCTCCACCAGGGCTGCCGCCCTACCCAGAGGCACACTTCCCGGTTCTATTGTAAACATTCCACAGCACCTCACTGGTCCAGAACACGCAGCAGGAAATGAGACTCCATGGAATTTTAGGGCCCTGTTAGCTGGTTTATATTTGGGGATCTCAGCTCCATTTGAGAATCCATCGCAAGCTAAGAGGAATTCTTCCCAGTTAAACGCACCCACATGTAGAACACGCATGCAACTTCAAAGACTTCACTAAAGCTCCCCAATGCCTGTCCCTATCAGCTACTGCAGAAAACAAACAAAAATCACCTGCAATCGTGCCCTGAGACGCCACTCTTTTCAACATTTTGGCGGACGCCCCTCAGATTTTTTTCTTTGCATATAACACATTATTGTCGGCAACCCTTTCGACAAAAATGGAATTGTACCATAGATCCTGTCTTGCAACCTGCTATTTTCACTCAGCAAAGGCTTGCTGTTGGAGGAAGGCCTGAGAAAAATTGCCCTGCCCACGCCCAAGAAGGCCGCTGGGATCCGTGAATCGTGTCCCCAGAAATAGACATTCTGGAGTCCTAACCTCAGAACCTCAGAACCTCAGAACCTCAGAAGTTGACCTTACTTGGAGGCAGGGTCTTGACGGAGGTGAGGAAGTTACAAGAGGTCATTGGGGTGGCCTTGGTCCAGGATGACTAGTGTCCCTATGAGAAGGGGAAATCTGGACACAGACACTGTCAGGGGGCAGAACACCATGTGAAGATGAAGGCAGGACCCGCGATGCGTCTACCAGCCTGGACCACCCACAATCGCCAGCACCACCCGGAGCTGGGGGAGACACAGAACCTTCTCCCACATGGACCCAGAAGGAGCCATCCCACCACACCTTGGTCTCAGACTTCCAGCCTGGACCACCCAAGATGATCACCAGCACCACCTGGAGCCGGGGGAGACACAGAACCTTCTCCCACACGGACCCAGAAGGAGCCATCCCACCACACCTTGATCTCAGACTTCCAGCCTGGACCACCCAAGATGATCACCAGCACCACCCAGAGCCAGGGGAGACACAGAACCTTATCCCACACGGACCCAGAATTAGCCATCCCAATACACCTCAATCTCGGACTTCCAGCCCGGACCACCCAAAATCGCCAGAACCACCCAGAGCCGGGGGAGACATAGAACCTTCTCCCACACGGACCCAGAAGGAGCCATCCCAATACACCTCGATCTCGGACTTCCAGCCTGGACCACCTAAGATCTCCTTCTCCCACACAGACCCAGAAGGAGCCATCCCAATACACCTTGATCTCAGACTTTCAGCCTCCAGAACTGTGGGAGGAGACATTTCTGTTTAAGATGCCCGGTGTGTGGTACAGTCATCCCCTGGTATCCATGGGAGATGGTTCTAGAATCTCTAAGGATAACCAGAACCCATGGATGCTGAAGTCCCTGATATAAAATGGTGTCATATTTGCATGTAACCTACACACATCCTCCCATATACTTTTTTAAAAAATTTATTTATTTTTGAGACAGACTCTCGCTCTGTTGCCCAGACTGGAGGGCAGTGTTGCAATCAGCTCACTGCAACCTCCGCCTCCCTGGTTCAAACAATTCTCCCGCCTCAGCCTCCCAAGTAGTTGGGATTACAGGCACATGCCACCACGCCCAGTTAATTTTTGTATTTTTAGTAGAGATGGGGTTTCACCACGTTGGCCAGGCTGGTCTCCAACTCCTGTGTGCAAGCGATCCACCCTCCTGGGCCTCCCAAAGTGCTGGGATTACAGGCATGAGTCACTGTGCCCGGCCCCAATTTTTTTTTTTTTTTTTTCTGAGACGGAGTCTCCCTCTGTCGCCCAGGCCAGAGTGCAGTGACGCATCTTTGCTCACTGCAACCTCCACCTCCCGGGTTCAAGCCAATTCTCCTGCCTCAGCCTCCTGAGTAGCTGGGATTACAGGTGCGTGCCACCACACCCGGCTAATTTTTGTATTTTTAGTAGAGACGGGGTTTCACTGTGTTGGTCAAGGTGGTCTCAAACTCCTGACCTCATGATCCACCTGCCTCGGCCTCCTAAATTGCTGGGATTACAGGTGTGAGCCACCGCACCCACCAGCCCCAATATTTAATACTAAAAAAAAAAAAAAAAAAAAAAAAAAAGGAAACAACTCAATTGTCCATTCACTCACGGAGGAAAGGTTGAAAAACCTTAGTATAACATTATGCAGTCACTTAAAGAGAGGTCTTTAAAGAATATATAAAAAATGAAAAATACAAAATACGAATTGCATCTATAACGTGACTGCAACTAAGACTTATGTACGTATGTATCCACGTATGCATGTATGTATGTGTGTGTATGCATGTGTGTATGCATGTGTGTGTGTATGTATTTCTTTTTTTTTTTTTTTTTTTGAGACGGAGTCTCGCTGTCGCCCAGGCTAGAGTGCAGTGGCGCCATCCTGGCTCACTGCAAGCTCCACCTCCCAGGTACACGCCATTCTCCTGCCTCAGCCTCCTGAGTAGCTGGGACTACAGGCGCCTGCCACCTCGCCCGGCTAATTTTTTGTATTTTTAGTAGAGACGCGGTTTCACTGTGTTAGCCAGGATGGTCTCGATCTCCTGACCTCGTGATCTGCCCACCTCAGCCTCCCAAAGTGCTGGGATTACAGGCGTGAGCCACTGCACCCAGCCGTGTGTATGTATTTCTGAGACAGGGTTTCGCTCTGTTGCCCAGGCTGGAGTGCAGTGGTGTGATCATGGTTCACCACAGCCTCAAACTCCTGGGCTCAAGTGATCCTCCCACCTCAGCCCCTGGGTAGCTGGGACCACAAGCAGGTGCCACCACACCCAGCAAACTTTTTAAATGTTTTTGAGAGACAAGGTCGAATTCCTGACCTCAAGTGATCTTCCCACCTCGACCTTCCAAATGCTGGGATTACAGGTATAAGCCACCGTATCTGGCCTACAACTACGTTTTTATAAAAACATTTGAGGGGGAATTCGGTGGAGAGGACTACAGAGCGTTTTTATCTCTTCTTTCCACTTCCGAACTTTTCAAATTTCCCTTAATAGGCATATGCATTACTTTAAAATGTTTTTGCATGGACTGCTTCCAAGGGAAGAGTTATATTCACTCCTTTGGGTTAGGACTATGTGATCACAGGAGGCCCCTGTCGAAAGCATAAACACCGCCGGATGGGGACCTGGTGGCTCACAGGCACTCAAAGGCAGATCTTAGCCTGAACTGGGCTTCCCAAGTTCCCATTTGGTCCCCAGGAGAGATGGGCACAGGAGATAGTTAAGTTGTGATAAAAGGACCAAGAGGAGAAACATTAGGTGATACGCAGACAGCCTGGGGTGGGGCCCAGAACAAGGACAGGAGGAGCCCACGGCGAGGGGGAGGGGACACAGCAGGAGGTGTCACAGGGGCTCCTGTCCCGGCCTCCACTTCCCAGGCACGCACGTCTACGAAAAGAGCCCAGATGCAGGAGGCCAGGAAGGGGGTGAGAGGCATCATTCCCGGAGAGAAGACCGTGAGCAGGCCTGAGCTTCTCCCCGACCACACGTGCCGAAGGGTACTTTCCTCTCCCACTGCTGCAAGATCAACGTGGAATTCGACCTCAAACCCCACATCACCTTAGCCATGGGAGCTATTTTCTTTTTCCTTTTTTTTTTTTTTTTTTTTGAGACGGAGTCTCGCTCTGTCGCCCAGGCTGGAGTGCAGTGGTGCGATCTCAGCTCACTGCAGCCTCCACCTCCCGGTTCAAGCAATTCTCCTGCCTGAACCACCCCAGTAGCTGGGATTACAGGCGCCGCCACCACACCCAACTAATTTTTGTATTTTTAGTAGAGAGGGGGTTTCGCCATGTTGGCCAGGCTGGTCTCGAACTCCTGACCTCAAGTGATCTGCCCGCCTCGGCCTCCCAAAGTGCTGGGATGACAGGTGTGAGCTACCCCGTGGGAGCTATTTTATCCCAAGTGGTGACAGCATCTGTAACTAGGCTGAAAACTGTCGGTGAGCCCCACAAGCTAGCGAAACACCTGGACCTAAAACCCTGAACCTCCTTCCAGGAGAGCTCTGAAGACCTGGAACCCCCTGGAAGCCGAAGGGGGAATTCTGTGGCTCAGAGGACCCCACCTAGAGGCATGAATCTCGGGAGACCAAACAAGGGACGGTGGGCCCCAGGTCGGCCTCTCTCCCCGCGCTTCTGGAAGGACCTGCAGGACGGCAGACAGTCTCTGGGGCACCCAGCCTTCGAGGACCACGGGACAGAGGGAAGGCTTCCCCGGCTGCCGCCTCTGCCCCAGGACACGTGCGAAGGGAAGCAGCGGGCGGCGGGGGCCACTCACCTTCTCCAGCTTCTCGAAGTGCTCCCGGAGGAACTTCATGGGGCGTTCGGGCTTGGAGATGCAGAGGTGGACGATACAGTCTTTGAGGACCTGCTGGATCCCGTGCAGCTGCACGTACAGCTCACAGCCCTTCAGGCTCTCGTCCTCCTCCGAGGGGCAGGCGGGCGGGGAGGCCATGGCGAGGGTGGCTGCTTCCTTCCTGTCCAGAAAACACACAGATCCCCAGGCCTGAGAGCTGCCCGGGGCTGCGCGCCGGATAAACGCAGGCGGCGTGAACCAGGCTTCTCCCAGGAGCGTGGAAGAAAGTCACTGATTCTGCATTTGTCAAAGATCTTTCATTCTGTGGGGCCAGGTGAGGTGTTAAACGTGACGGCCCCCAGAGCCTTCCCTCCCCACAGACCCCCGGCAGGGGTGGAGGGGGCTCAGGCAGGGGGGGAGGGGGCTCAGGCAGACAGGGGTGCACGCGGCTGAGAAGCCCCTTCTGCAGTTCTGAGGATTCCGGGTGGGAAGAGTGGGGGGGCCCGGCGCCCTGAGGGTCCAGCCGGGGGGTTCCAGGGCCTCGTCCTCCTCCATCCCCCCTTTTTGGGGGCACTTATGTGAAATGTGAATGCTGGGGGCCCCTGCGCGCGGCCTCAGGGGAGGGGGAGATGAGGGTGAGACTGTGGATGGGCTGGGGCGGCCTCTGCACAGGAAAAGACAGAAACGCAGGTAAACAAGGGAAGCTGGCGGTGGTGGGGGGGTGGGGTGCGGGAGAACAAATGCGGCGGCCGCGCAGCGAAGTCACCATGGCCAGGCCAGGCCGGCACCGCACCGCGGGGCGCAGGACCCCAGCCCCCCGCCACGCCGCCCCCGGAGTGCCCAGACCGCCGGGAAGGCGCCCACCCAGAGACCCCGCGCCCCCCGCCCCAAACCCGGCCTCAGCGCCGGCGAGGACCCTCCCGGGACCCCTGACCGGGAGCCCCAGGCCCGGCCCCGCCCCGCGCGCCCCACTCCCGGCGGGGCCGAACCCTTCCAAATGTCCGCATCCCCGGGGGGCCTCCCAGGCCCGGGGCTCCCGGCGCAGACCCCAGCCCGGCCCCGCGTACCTGGATGCGCGGCGCCCGAGGCCAGGAGGCGGCTGCGCGGGGACGCGGGGCGCGGGGACGGCTGGCGAGCGAGCGAGCGGGTCCCCGCACTGCAGCGGCGCCGCCCTCCACGCCCGCCCCCGCGCCGCGCGCAGCTGCTGCACCCCCAACGCCGCCCGCGCGGGCCTGCAGCCCGTCTCCCCCCGACCGCCTCCCCGCGGGGCCCCCAACCCCGGCCCCCACCCCCGGCTCTCCCCGCCCCCGCCCCATCCCCCACCGGCGCAGGTTCAGGCCATCGCTGCCAGGACCCCCCGCTGTCGCCGCCCCCCGCCCCCTCCACTCAGACTCTGAGTCGCCCACTCCAGCCGGTGCAGGCCGCGGGGCCGCCTCTGATGGCCTGGGCACCCCCCACTCCCGCCCCGTTCACGACCACCGCGGCTGCCTGAGCTGCTCACACCTAGGGGATCACATCCCTGCCTCTGCAGGACACCCGGTACCCAGCAAGCACGCCCGTTCCCTGGGGTCTCACTCTGCCTTAGCGGCCAGAGAGGGTGGCCAGGTGGGCCCAGCCCCGCTTCCCCAGGTGACTCCCAGCGCTTAGGCGCACCAGCTTCACCCCGATGCCCAGTGGGAAATCGGAACCCTCCTAAATTCTTTCCCACCTTTCTTGGGGATCCAGAGGTCACGGAGGCCTAGGAGGAGCCTCTTGGTGACGGTCCTAACCCACAAGCCCAGCCCTGCAGGAAAGGGAATCAACCTCATCCTCCTACCGCACACCGTTGCCCCATCCTGCCAGGGTGGCGGCGGCAGAAACTCCATCTTCCCTCCCCAGAGGCTCCAAATGCCAGGAGAGGGGTAGGCAGTTCCAGCTGTGAAGGAGATGATACCTGCCTCCCTGTGCACACTCACCTGTCTACCCCCGGGGTCCTCCACCCACCTGCCCAGCCCCCGGATCCTCCACCCGCCTGTCCAGCCCCCGGGTCCTGCACTCACCTGCCCGGCTTCCCTGTTGCCTACTCACCTGTCTCCCACTATGCTGCCCCATCTTCACCTGTCTCCCACTCACCCGTACACACCATCTCCCACTCACCCGTCTCTTGCTCACCTTTTCCACACTCACCTGTACACAGACACCATCTCCCACTCAGCCCTCCCATGCTCACCTGGTCCACACTCACGTATACACACTCACCGTCTCCCAGTCAGCCCTCCCATGCTCACCTGGTCCACACTCACCTGTACACACTCACCGTCTCTCACTCAGCCCTCCCATGCTCACCTGGTCCACACTCACCTGTCCAGCTTTCTTGTTCATTGCTCAGCTGTCTCCCACTCACCTGCCTGCACAGGCACTACACAGGTCACCAGCCCTGCCGAGCACATTCCCCAGCAGGGCTGACATTGCCTCAGCCTCTTCCTGCCAGGGTGAACGTAAACCAAGCAGGCCACCCTCGGGGGTCAAACACGAAGGTCCTTGGTCCTCAGCCCTCACCCTCAGCACCCACTGGCCCCAGCCCCGTCTCAGGCAGACCTGCATTTGTCCTGAGACTTTCTTAGGGATCCAGGCCTGGTCTCTGAATTAGAACTCCATCCCACAACCCACTCAGACCTCTGGCTCTCCCAGCCCTGGCCTGCCTGGAGCTGCTGCTGACCAGCAGTACCATCACGTGCTCCCCGCGGCCCCTCCACTCCCTCCTCCTCCTCCTCCAATTACTCCTGCTCCTCCAGGGTAGACTGGTGAGGACAGCAAAAAAGACCCAGGTGCCACCTAACCAAGGCGACGTCTCGCTTCGGGGGGCAGATGCTCCAGGCCTGGCTGCTTCTCTCCCGGGCTGTCCTGGGGTTCTCTGGAGACTCCCTGTAAAGACTTCCCCCACACCGTGCCTCTAGAGGAGAGTGGAGGCACCTCTCTGGCTGACCTCACAGGACAGCCCTCTGATCCCGAGGCGCACACACAAGCCCTCCTTCTGCTGCAATACCTCCTCAGGCTGAGCCTCCTTGCCTGCGTCCTTTTGAGACAAGGATCTCCCAGGTTTGGGGGCTGGCAGCATGCACGTGGCCAGCCAGACATGCGGCCCCTGGCCCCACTGAGCTGTGACGTCTGCTGAGCTCCTCTCCTCATTGCCACGACGGCAGCTCCCACTGCCTCTCTCTTTCACACTTTTCCCCGCCACTCAGATCCCTGTTCCAGTGGCCCCCACCCCACACAAGGACTCCCTCTCCAGACTGGCTCTGGTAGGAGTGCGAGGCGTGGCCCCCACCGCCCCAACCTGCAGACAAGTTTCTGCCTGACTCCCAGGCCTCTCTTGCTTCAGCCTTACTGGCTTGAGCCAAGGACAGACGCTTCCTTAGTGTCCTGCTCACTGTCTGATCATTGCCAGAGGATGAAATCAACACAGAAGTGGGAAGAAACAGGATCCTAGAGAAATGGAGCCACGGCCGTCCTCAAACCAAACCTGAGGCCCTTCCCGTATCTGGACTTCCCAATTATGTTCATCAATAAATACCTTTGGCCGGATGCGGTGGTTCACACCTGTAATCCCAGCACTTTGGGAGGCCGAGGCAGGTGGGTCACTGGAGGTCAGGAGTTCAAGACCAGCCTGGGCAACATAGCGAAACCCTGTCTCGACTAGAAATACAAAATTAGCCGGGCATGGTCATGCACGCCTGTAATCCCCAGCTACTCAGAAAGCTGAAGCAGGAGAATCACTTGAACTCCAGTGAGCCCAGATCGTACCACTGCACTCCAGCCTGGGCAGCAAAAGAGCGAACGAAACTCCGTCTCGAAATAAATAAATAATAAATAAATACCTCGTACTACTGCCTGAGCCCGTTGGCTTTTTGCTTTTTGTTAGTCGCCACTGAGGACATCCAAGTGAATACACCACTGATCTGACACAATCCCCCCAAAACACACACTGACAACCCCATTAAATGCTCCTGGATGAAGACACAAAGAGGGGTCTGGTGAGCTCAGAGGAGCTGCGCTTGGTCATCGGACCACGTGGACCTCAACAGGTCGGTCGCCACCCTGCCACACGGTGACAAACCCTGACGTGTGACACTGTGCCCAAGCAGCTATGCCCTCAACTGAAAATGTGCTGCTGGTGACTGGGTTACCCATTCAGAAGTCCCAGTAAATCACATATCTTCCCATAGGGAAGGACCTACCCCCTGGGGTAGGTTATTTTTCTCAGCAAAGGTATTCACATTTCTAAGCCCTGTGGGGTCTTACTTCACCCATAGAATGTGCCTGTAGGATTCATCATGACTAAATGTACTTACAGTGACCACGCTTTGCAGAACTCCAACCAAAGAGCCACATTTTATTTTTTTTTTTTGAGACAGAGTCTCATTCTGTCACCCAGGCTGCAGTGCAGTGGCGTGATCTCTGCTCACTGCAAGCTCCGCCTCCCGGGTTCACGCCATTCTCCTGCCTCAGCCTCCCGAGTAGCTGGGACTACAGGCGCCCGCCACCGCGCCCGGCTAATTTTTTGTATTTTTAGTAGAGATGGGGTTTCACCGTGTTAGCCAGGATGGTCTCGGTCTCCTGACCTCGTGATCCGCCCGCCTTGGCCTCCCAAAGTGCTGGGATTACAGGCGTGAGCCACCGCACCCGGCCTAGCCACATTCTTTATATATTTTTTTTTTTAAATCTTTTTGTTGTTGTTTTGAGACAGGGTCTCACTCTGTCGCCCAGGCTGGAGTGCAGTGGTGTGATCATAGCTCACTGCAGCCTCAAATTCCTGGGCTCAAGCCATCCTCCCACTTCAACATCCAGAGTAGTTGGGATCACAGGTGCACACCGCCACACCTGGTACTTAAAAACATTTTTTTTTTTTTTGTAAAAAAAAAAAATCTCACTATGTTGCCTAGGCTAGTCTCGAATTCCTGGCCTCCAACAATCCTCCCACCAGCTTCCCAGAGTGCTGGGACTACAGGTATGAGCCACCGCACCCGGTCCGAAGCCACATTCTTTTCCCAATCACCACATACCTCGCACTTCTAAACTTTGCTCTGTCAGCTCCAATTCACCCTCCAAGATTCAACCAAAACGTTACACAGGGAAATTCCCTAAGGCGCCAGCACTGCCTCTGGAGGGCCCGGGGCTCCCAGGACTTCTCCTTGGTAGCTCTTATTACACGTGCAATTGAATAATGACGGCAAGGCTGCCAGCTTAATTGCTGTCTCCCCTGCTAGGTCAAAAGCACCAAGTATGCATGGATGGTGTTTGTCTTATTCTTTATTCACTCTGCATGGCGAAGAGACCAACACAGCTATTTTCTGGGGTGCAGAAAGGAAACAAAGATGCTTTGTTAAGCTGCTCTGGCCACTGGGGAGGCTGCAGCATGTCGTGGTTTGAGGTGGGATCTGTAGGTGGGCTTCCTGGGTGCGGTTCCTGAGCCTTCCCCAGCCAGCTGCATTCACTGCGCAACGTCCGTATGCTCCCTGAGCTGAGGATAGAGGAGAAACTGCATGTGATTGTGGCTGATGGGAGAGGCCACTCATCCTCAAATCTAGGTGGATATACGAGGAATGAGGACTGAGAGGCTGAGCATGGAGCACGCAGCACATAGTAGGAGCCCAAGAACCGTGAACAGTAATAATTATTCTCCAGCCGGGCGCAGTGCCTCCCACCTGTAATCCCAGCACTTTGGGAGGCCAAGGCAGGCAGATCACCTGAGGCCAGGAGTTCGAGACCAGCCTGGGCAACATGGTGAAACCCCATCTCTACAAAAAATACAAAAATTAGCCAGGTGTGGTGCCGTGCCTGTAGTCCCAGCTACTTGGGAGGCTGAGGCAGGAAGATCACTTGAACCCAAGAGGCAGAGGTCATAGTGAGCTGAGAGCATGCCACTCCGTTCCAGCCTGGGCAACAGGAGTGAAACCCAGTCTCAAAAAAAGAAAGAAAGAAAGAGAGAGAGACAGAAGGAAAGAAAGAAAGGAAAAAGAAAAGAAAAGAGAAAAGAAAATAACAATGTGGCCAGGCATCGTGGCTCATGCCTGCAATCCCAGAACTTTGCGGGGCCAAAAGAGGAGGATCACTTGAGTCCAGGAGTTCAAGACCCATCTGGGCAACAGAGCAAGACCCTGTCTCTACAAAAAAATACAAAAATTAGCCAGGCATGGTGGTGCACACCTGTAGTCCCAGCTATTCAGGAGGCTAAGGTGGCAGGATCACCTGAACACAAGAGTTCGAGGCTGCAGTGAGCTATGATTGCGCCACTGCACTCCAGCCTGGGCAACAGAGTGAGACCTTGCCTCAAAACCACACACCCACACACACAATGTTCTCTAATATTCAAGTTTTGCATTGTTCACTATGTAGGTAAGGGATGCAAAATTTCACGGGAAATTTTGCCACAAACCTCAATAGTCTTCTCTACACATGGCTCCTGGGTGTGGCAGGCACTCTCAGATGGCCACAGGGTCCCCACCTCCCAGTGCTCATGGCTTGTGGGGTACCCTCCCCTTGAGTGTGTGTAGGTCCTGAGGCTCACCCCTGCCCGGTGGGGTACAGCAAAGGTGAGGAGTGAGCATCACATATGATTCATGGCAACATCTGCCTTGCCAGGGGACTCTCTCCCTTGCTGGCTTTGAGGAAGCCAGCTGCCCTTTCATCAGTGGCTGTAAGAGGACCCCGTGGCCAGGAGCTGAGGGTGGCCTCCAGTCCACAGCTAAGAAAGTGAATGCTGGAAACAACCAAGTGCACTTGGGAACGGTCCCTTCCTCAGTCGAGCCTCAGATAAGAATGCAGCCCCAGCATGGATTGCAGCCTTCAGAGGACCCAGTAAAGCCATGCCTGGACTCCTGACCCACAGACAGCCGGCCCCAGGCCTTCACTGGGGGAAGCTTTATAGATACACACACACACACACACACACACACACACACACACACACATACACATATATACATACATATATATGTATGTATGTATATATATATATATATCTCCTCCTGCTTCAGCCTTTTTTTTTTTTTCCAGAGTCTTGCTCTGTCACCCAGGATGGAGTGCAGTGGCACAATCTCAGCTCACTGCAACCTCTGGCTCCTGGGTTCAAGCAATTCTCCTGCCTCAGCCTCCCAAGTAGCTGGGATTACAGGTGGGCACCACCACTTCCAGCAAATTTTTGTATTTTTAGTAGAGACGGGGTTTGACCATGTTGGCCAGGCTGGTCTCGAACTCCTGACCTCAGGTGATCCACCCGCCTCAGCCTCTTAAAGTGCTGGGATTATAGACGTGAGCCACTGCACCTGACCTGACCCATTTTTAAGTCTAGAAAATGTGCCTTCATTATCCCTTCAAATACCTCCTACTTCCCACTTTTCTTCTGCCTTCCTGGGACATCTATTCAACAGATATTAGCATTGTTGCTTCTGTTCTCCATATCCCTGACCTTTTCTCTTACATACTTCTTGTTCCTGTTTCATTTTGGTAACATACAGAACTTCATCTCTTTTATAGGCTTTTTTTTTTTTTTTTTTTTTTTGATGAGATAAGGTCTCGCTCTGTCATCCAGGCTGGAGTGCGGTGGCATGATCATAGCTCTTGGCAGCCTCAACCTTCCTGGCCCAAGTGATCCTCCCACCCCAGCCTCCTGAGTAGCTGGGATTACAGGTGCACCCCATCACACCCAGCTTATTATTTTTTCTTTTTCTTTTGAGAAGGAGTCTTGCTCTGTCACCAGGCTGGAGTGCAGTGGCCTGATCTCAGCTCCCTGCAACCTCCGCCTCCCAGGCTTAAGCAATTCTCCTGTCTCAGCCTCCCGAGTAGGTGGGATTACAGGTGCCTGCCACCACACCCGACTAATTTTTGTATTTTTAGTAGAGACGCGGTTTCACCCTCTTGGCCAGGCTGGTCTCAAACTCCTGAGCTCAAGTGATCCACCCGCCTTAGCCTCCCAAAGTGCTGGGATTACAGGCATGAGCCATTGTGCCCGGCCATAATTTTGTATTCTTTTTGTAGAGATGGGGGTCTCACTATGTTGCCCAGGCTGGTCTCAAGCTCTTGGGCTCAAGCAATCCTCCTGCCTCAGCCTCCCAAGTACCTGGGACTACAGGTGTGAGTCACTGCATCCAGCTAAGTTTTAATATTTCTTTGTAGCGACGAGGTGTCACTATTTGGCCCAGGTGGACGTGAATGCCTGGCCTCAAGTGATTCTCCCGTCTCAGCATCCCAAGGCCTGTTTCATTTGTTGTAACGTGTTGGCCCTCCTGTCCTACTGCCCTGCTTCTGTCATCCAGTTTATAGCTATTCCGTCTGGCAGTGTGTCTGGGGAAAGAAGAGAGGTCATGACCCCTCTGGGTATTCATGCAGTTGCCACCACAATCCAGGTACTATACTGTACCAGCTCCACAAGGCTCCCTCCTAGTGACCCTTAATAATCACGCCACCCCATCCCTAGCCCCAGGAGATCAGTCATCTGTTCCCCATCTCTGTTACTTTATGGATGTCATACAAACAAAACCACAAAATATCCCTTTGGGATTGGTTTTCATCTGCATAATCTTTTAGAGGTTCGTCCAAGTTGCGTGCAGCAATTCTTTCTGAGTAGAATAACTGTCTAATCTCCATGTGTGAAGATTTTCCTGCTATCTGCTGTTGATGGTAAGTGTGATTCCATTATTGTCAGAGAAGGCGTTCTGTGCAAGTCTTTTTTTTTTTTTTTTTTTTTTTGAGAGGGAGTTTCACTCTTGTTGCCCAGGCTGGAGTGCAGTGGCACAATCTTGGCTCACTTCAACCTCCGCCTCCTGGGTTCAAGTGATTCTCCTGCCTCAGCCTCCAGAGTAGCTGGGATTACAGGTGCGTGCCACCACACCCAGCTAATTTTTTGCATTTTTAGTAAAGACAGGATTTCTCCATGTTGGCCAGGCTGGTCTTGAACTCCTGACCTCAGGTGATCCGCCTGCCTCGGCCTCCCAAAGTGCTGGGATAACAGGTGTGAGCCACCGCGCCCAGCCCTCTGTGCAAGTCTTCTACATTTGCTAAGGTTTGCCTTATGGCCCAGGATATGGTATATCTTGGTCTCTGTTCTGAGGACACTAGAAAATAATGTGAATTCTGCGATTGTTGAGTGGTGTGTTCTGCAAACGTCAATTAGATCCTGTTGGTTGATGGTGTTGCTCTGCTATACCTTAATGACTATCTGCCTAGTTATTCTAGCAGCTGCTGAGTTGGGGGCTGAAGTCGTCAACTGCAACAGCAGGCTTGTCTCTTCCTCCTTTCAGCTCTATCAGTTTCTGCTTTATACATGTTGAAGGTCTGTTGTTTGCTGTACACACATTTGGGATTGCTGTTATCTTCCCAGTGGGTTCTTTTATCATTATGTAATGTCCCTCTTTTTCCCAAGGAATTTCAACAGCCACTCCCGCTTTTTAAAATTTATGTTTACATGATACTCTTTTGCCATCCTTTTACTTTCAATGTGCCTATGTTATTATGTTTGAAGTGAGCTTCAGCATATAGTAGACATCATACAGTTGGGTCATGTTTTGTATCCACGTGGCGAACCTCTGTCTTCTAATTGGTGTGTTTAGGCCATTTACATTTAAATTAGTGATATATTAGGGCTTACGCTTGCCATTTAATCATCTGTTCTCTCATGCTTTACTGTGGGATACCTGAATGTTTTTTAGAATTCCACGTTATGTTTTTGAGGATATCACCATATACATATGCAACCCATCGGTCTATCGGCATCTATGATTTTCCACCTTGAGTGAGTGGACAAACCTTCCTTCCACTTAAGTCCCTAACCCTTCTCACTGTTAAATACCTAGCTGTAGATATTTCCTCCACATACATCACACACCACATGAGTGTTGTAATTTTTGCTTCGATCATCAAATATGATTAAAGAAACTCATGAGGTGAAAGATGGTCAGTGACATTGACTTCTATTTTTATCCAGTCCATTGTCTCAACTTTCTGGAGGCCCCAGCCCTCTTCTGTTAAAATTATCTTTCTGGGCCGGGCACGGTGGCTCACGCCTGTAATCCCAGCACTTTGGGGGGCATTGAGGCAGGTGGATCACCTGAAGTCAGGAGTTCAAGACCAGCCTGACCAACACGGAGAAACTCTGTCTCTACTAAAAATAAAAAAATACTCGGGCATGGTGGCACATGCCTGTAATCCCAGTTACTCGAGAGGCTGAGGCAGGAGAATTGCTTGAACCTGGGAGGCAGAGGTTGCAGTGAGCTGAGATCATACCATTGCACTCCAGCCTGGGCAACAAGAGCGAAATTCCGTCTCAAAAAAAAAAAAAATTACCTTTCTGTTTACAGGGTATCCTTTATGCATTCCTTAAAGGTAGGTCTGCTAGCAATAAATTCTATTAGTTTGCCTGTCTGAGAACATCTTTACTCCTCTTCCATTCCTGAAGGATAGTTTTGCTGGGTAGAGGACTCACAGTCAACAGCTCTTTCCCCTTTACAGTTGAACAATGGCAGGTCACTTCTTTCTGGCCTTTTGTGGTTTTGGTTAAGAAATCTGCCTTCATTCAAACTGGTGTTCCTCTCTAGGCAAGGCATTATTTCTCTCTGTCAGTTAGTACTTTTCCTCCTTCTGTCTTTAGTTTCCAGGAGTTTAATTGTGATGTGTCTTAGTATGGGGTTTTTGGAGGGCTTGTCCTATGAAGCCTTGTTGAGCTTCTGGAATCTGTGGATTTATGTTTTTCATTGAATTGGGGGAGTTTTCAGCCTTTTTTTTTTTTTTTTTTTTTTGAGATGGAGTCTTGCTCTGTCACCCAGGCTGGAGTGCGGTGGCATGATATTGGCTCACTACAACCTCCACCTCCTGGGTTCAGGCAATTCTCGTGCCTCAGCCTCCCCGAGTAGCTGGGATTACAGGTACCCACCACCACACCCAGCTAATTTTTGTATTTTTAGTAGAGATGGGGTTTCACCATGTTGTCCAGGCTGGTTTCAAACTCCTGACCTCAGGTGATCTGCCCGCCTCGGCCTCACAAAGTGCTGGGATGACAGGCGTAAGCCACTGCACCTGGCTAATTTTTCTATTTTTAGTAGAGATGGGGTTTCACCATGTTATCCAGGCTGGTTTCAAACTCCTGACCACAGGTGATCTGCCTGCCTTGGCCTCACAAAGTGCTGGGATGACAGGCGTGAGCCACCGCGCCTGGCTAATTTTTGTATTTTTAGTAGAGATGGGGTTTCACCATGTTGTCCAGGCTGGTTTCAAACTCCTGACCTCAGGTGATCTGCCCGCCTTGGCCTCACAAAGTGCTGGGATGACAGGCGTGAGCCACCGCGCCCAGCTGGTTCTTATGACTCTGCTTTAAAATTCTTGGCAGATGATTCCAACATGTGACCTATCTTGGAATTTACATCCGTTACCTTACCATGTTCAGGTTGTGGCTTTCCTTGTTCTTGGTATGACAAGTGATCTCCAGATGTATCCTGGACATTTGGGTTACGATGTTTGCAGACTCCTTGTCCTACTCTATTCCACCAGGCAGTTGCTCTGTTCAGGTCCAGGGTGTAGATTGCAGCCTGTTTTTGTGGTCTGTCATTCCAACAGCAGTTTCGTCTTCAGAGCCCTGGCACTGCCCTCCTCGTCTGCTTTATTCTTCTGGCTCTCCTGGGACTGCTGCTCATTTCCCATGGGTGCTGCCTGCAGGGGTGAAAGGTACCTCCCTGGGCCGCCTGGTGTCACTGGGCTACCTTTTGCTGTGTCAGGACAGAACATGCTCGTTCTGGGTCTCTTTGTGCTAAGAGAGGAAGGGCAGATTTCAGGCTCCTCTGACACTACCTGTGCAGTGCAGACTGTCCACTCGAACCCCAGTTGCACAGCACAGGTTAATGCACCTGCAGCAGCTTTAAAATCGGCCCTGAAAGCAGACTGTGGGGTGAAGGTGGCAGCTACCCTCTAGGTCTCTGTTGGGCGTCCCCTTTCCCAGGGCTTTGGCCAGAGAGAGGAGGCTTTCCTTGGAGAATTTCTGTCTGTGCCTGTTGGCTGTTCTGGGCCACAGGCTTCCCTGGGGACTAGTGCAGGAACACATGAGAGAAAAAGAAAACCCAGGGGACCCACCACCTTGCTATTCCTCCAGTCCAGAGGTCTCCAGCCCGTCTGTCAACTCTCAAGCTCCTTTCCTCGTCGCCTGCTATGTGCAGGGTATTTTGTTGTATTTCAATGGGAGGAGCAAGGAAAAGTGAAGTCCCACCACCGTAATTCAAGCGCTTATTCTTTCTCGTCTTCAGCACTCACTGCCACAGCCTTCCCAGGGCTCCCGACCAATCCGTTCAACGGAAGCCAAAGGGGTCCTTGAAAAATGCAGACTCGATCTTGCCAATGCTCCCACCTTGAAATCCTCAGTCTGCCATGTTTTAGGACAGAGGCCCCCATGGCCTGGCCCCACCCATCTGCTCACTCCCTGCCTGCTCCCCTGTGACCAGGGTCAGCCTCCCTCCCTGTTTGCTACCTGAGGCTGCCGTAACAAAGCACACCAGGCTGGGCAGCTGAATGAAACAAATTTGATTTCTCAAGATCAGGGTACGGGCTGGCTCCTCTTGAGGTCTCTCTTCATGCTCATACTGCATTCTCCCTGTATGCACGTCTATCTCCAAAATTTCTCCTTTTATGAGGACAGCAGTCATATTGGATGAGTGCCCAACCTCATGACCTCATCTCACCTCAATCACGTCTGCAAAGACCTTGTCTCCAAACAGGATCACTTCCTGAACTATGGGGGTTAGGACTTCAGCATATGAATTTTGGGGAGACGCCATTCAGCCCGTAACACTCCCATGAGGCCTTTGCTCATGCTATTTCCTCTCTCTCCAACACTCCCCGTCTCCCACCTCCGCCCTTTCACCTGGCTATGTGACATGGTTTGGCTGTGTCCCCACCCAAATCTCATCTTGAATTGTAGCTCCCACAATTCCCACGTGTTGTGGGAAGGACCCAGTGGGAGGTAACTGAATAATGGGGGCAGGTCTTTCCTGTGCTGTTCCTATGATGGTGAATAAGTCTCACGAGATCTGACGGTTTTATAAGGGGGAGTTTCCCTGCACAGGCTCTCTCATTTTCTCTTTGCCTGCTGCCATCATGTAAGATGTGACTTGCTCCTTCCCGCCTTCGGCCATCATTGTGAGGCCTCCCCAGCCATGTGGAACTGTGAGTCCAGTAAACCTTTCCCTGTATAAGTTACCCAGTCTCGGCCATGTCTTTATTAGCAGCGTGAAAATGGACTAATACACTGTGTTTACTTATTCTTCATATTTCACCTCTGCTACCATTTGTTCAGGGAAGCCTTAAAAGTCTAGTTCAACATCCCTTGACACTCATTCTCTCAGGACCACCACGGTTAAACACATACTAATTTATCCTTCCATTAAGGGCTATCTCATCCTGCAAGACCCTAAGATCTGGGAGAGCAGGGACCATGGCCAGTTTCTACATCATTGTCATCCTGTCCCACATGTTGCAGACAGTGCCTGGTCAAACAAATGCCTGTTGGAGGAAACAATGAATGAAGGTTACTGAATATGCTACATAACAACTTTTCAGAAGTACTGATGGGCCGGGCGTGGTGGCTCACGCCTGTAATCCCAGCACTCTGGGAGGCTGAGGCGGGCGGATCACGAGGTCAGGACATCGAGACCATCCTGGCTAACACAGTGAAACCCCGTCTCTACTAAAAATACAAAAAATTAGCTGGGCGTGGTCGTGGGCACCTGCAGTCCCAGCTACTTGGGAGGCTGAGGCAGGAGAATGGCATGAACCTGGGAGGCAGAGTCTGCAGTGAGCGGAGATCGCGCCACTGCACTCCAGGCTGGGCGACAGAGCAAGATTCCATCTCAAAAAAAAAAAAAAAAGACGTACCGACAAACACCACCATTTTGCAACACGAAGATCAACAACAAAAAAGAAGGTCAAACTTGAAGTTCTGTCCTAAAATTACACACATTCTGCCTTTAGAAAACTCAGTGCATGGTCACAGATGAGAAGTGCCTGGCTAACCAGACTTGGGGACTCCTGGTTTGCAGTGAGTGCTGTCAAACTCGCGTTCTAGGCTGGGCTCACAGCAACTCCGACTCCAAGCTGTTTAGGCGCCTCTGTCTCCACTCAAGTCCACAGTCAAGGTCACTACTGTGAAACACTGTCTTGCTTTTAATTTCCAAGCTGCCTTGTTATTTCTTGGGAGTAGGCCAAGCTAACTTTAGGAGGAACTTAGTTTATAGTTTAACTTTGAAACAAAGATGATAACAGCCCTTTCCTGAAGCCAACCTCCTTCTTGCCTGGGGACCAGAATGCTTTTGTAAGACTAACACATGAGCCACAAGATTAGAAATTGTGGTTTGAGTCATGCAGCTAGAGGCCACAAGATTCCAAACCTCCCCAGTTGCTCCTTAGGATAACACCACTATCATCAACTCTAAGATTGGTGCTCAAGATATTTTTCAGGCTCTGCATTCTGATGCACCAGGTGCCACCACCCACACCACTAATCTGGCTCAACCAGTTCTGTGATCCCACCCAGGAACAGAAGACAGCAAGAGAATCAACTTTGACTCTCCATGGTTTCATCTCCAACCCGACCAATAAGCACTGCCCTCTCCCTGGCCCCCTACCTGCCTAATTATCCTTAGATGACCCATCTCAGGATTTTCAGAACCTGGTTTGAGCAATAAAGCTCCAGTGTCCTTTAGCCAGTTTCTGCATGCAGCCAGTTTCTGCATGCAGCCAGTTTCTGCATGCATTAAACTCTCTATTGCAATTCCCCTGTCTTGATAAATTGGCTCTACCTGGGCAGCGAGTAAGGCGAACCTATTGGGCGGCTACGCCTGAGATCTAATGACAGGCTGCACGTGAAGCCCAGACCAGGCACCTGTCTTACACCACAGGGGGATCCAGTCCACAGAACCAGCGTCCTTCCCTCCTGGAACGGACCTTCCCAAAGCCAGAGGGGCTCTAGGCGGCTCAAACAGGGGCTTCCCGGCTACCCTGGTCCCAGGCGGGACCACTCAGGTTCCTTCTCCAAGCCCCCTAGGCTGCAGGGCAGGCTTCCCTAGGGGCAGGCCCAGGCCTATAGCCCGGGACCCGCATCCCGGGCGAGCTGCACCCTCCCGAGACCTTCCCCATCTGTACAATGGGGACAGGACAAGGCCCAGCAGGCAGGCTGGCGGGGGTTCCGGCGACAGAGGGGGACAGCGGGCGAGCACGACAAGAGCACAGGCCCACGTGCGCACCGGCGGGGAGGAAGTAGCCCGGCGCCCCGCCCGCAGCGCGGACCGGAAGTGCTGCCGTAATCTGCGCTGAGAGTCGCGAAAGCGCTGTTCCCCTTAGTGACCGGCGACGCGGGCAAGATGGCGGCGCTGGGGGTGGCGGAGGCCGTGGCGGCCCCACACCCGGCTGAGGGGGCCGAGACGGCTGAGGCGGTGGAGCTGAGCCGCGCCCTGAGCCGCCTGCTGCCGGGGCTGGAGGCCGACAGCAAGCCGGGCCGGCGGCGCGCCTTGGAGGCCCTGCGGCGCGCGCTGGAGGAGCCAGGCCCTGCCGCCGACCCCACCGCTTTCCAGGGCCCCTGGGCGCGCCTACTGCTGCCGCGCTTGCTGCGCTGCCTGAGCGACCCCGCCGAGGGCTGCCGCGCGCTGGCAGTGCACCTGCTGGATCTGGGCCTGCGCCGCGCCGCGCGGCCCCGCGATGCCCTGCCGCGCCTGCTGCCCGCGCTCGCCGCGCGCTTGGCCGGCCCCGTGCCCGCGCGCCGCCCGCCCGAGGCCTGTGAGGAGCTGCGCCTGGCGCTTGTGCAGCTGCTGGGCCTGGCCGTGGACCTGTGCGGCGCCGCGCTCGCGCCCCACCTGGACGACGCTCTGCGCGCGCTGCGCTGCTCCCTGCTCGACCCCTTCGCCGCCGTGCGCCGCGAGAGCTGCAGCTGCGCCGCCGCCCTGGCGCAGGCCACGCCCGGTGAGCACCCCGGGCCCCGCTCCCACACGCCACCCCACACTCTCACCCCCACCTCCACCTCCGCGGCCCCTCTCACAACCCCCGCGGCTCGGCCCCGCCCCCCTCCACGCCCGCACCCCCCAACATCCCGGACCCCCCATGCGCCGCTTCCCCCACCCGCCTGCCCCAAAGCACCCCGCCCGGCCCCCTCCTCCCACCACCACTGCTTCCCCTGCCTCACGTCCCGCCACCAACGCGCCCTTCAGCTGCTCCCTTGTCCTCTACCCCCATGTACCTGTTTCCTGCGCTGCCACGTGCTCCTTGCCCCGTGACCCCTGTTCCTGCTTGGCCCTCACTCACCTCACTCCCCTGTCCCCTTGCTCCCCGCCTCCACCCTCCACGCCCCAAGCCCCGCCCCCCACCTGCCTGCTCCCTGTGCCCCCTCCACCTGCCTATCCTGTGCCATCCTCCTCCTTGCACGCCGCCCTCCCGCGACCCTCACCTCCCACCCTCCTCCCTGCCTGAGCCCCCTCCACCCCACCCGGGCCCACGAGCCAGCGCTTCTGTCCAGATACCTGGAAACCACCGCAGAAATTCCTGTTAGGCGGTTTGGGGTGGGGTGTGCCCTGATAGCTGCCCCCTTTCCTTCCCTCGGGGGCTTGCAGGACTTGCACCTGGTTGAGGGCACGCGCTTTGAGACTCTGCTCTGGTCATTTCACTTTCTGTCCCATTCATCCTACTCCCCTGCCTTTCCGCTCTGGCTTGGACCACTGTCCTAAGTGGAAGGAGGCCGCTTCTCCCCTCCACTTTATAACGTTCCCCATCTTTTTTAGAGCTCTGATCTGATCCGGTCGTTCCCTTTCCTTAGCTGGCCATTCCTGCAGGGTCTTGCCCTTTCCCTCCCCTGGCTGGGATGTGGAATGATAGCAGGCGCCTGCTTCCTGCTGGCGGGAAGGCTTTCCGAAGGAGGGAACACTGATGCTATAAATCCGTGGGCGGTAGGGAGCAGGAAAGCAGTGAGGGATCTGGCCAGCTCAGGCCGTCCCAGTGATGTCCCAGTGATGGTCTGAATGTAGTGGGAAGTGCAGGGGGTGTCAATAGAAGTGATAGACCCGAGTTCAGGTTGTTAAAAGATCACTGCAGCTGCGTGGAGAATAGATTCCAGAAGTAGAGGAAGAGCTGGACTTGGGGAAATGCCGAGATTTCCACGTTGGTTAACTTTGGATTTCACATGGTCCAGAACTCCTGTGGAGCTTGGGGAAGAACCTTGGGCTGGATGGACATGGCCATTGAGAATTCCTGGCATTTAATGTATTTCTTCTTCATCCTCAACCACTTCCCTACCCAGTCTGTACATCAGCCCCACGAGCTCCCTCCCTGGACCGTAGGTTCCACAGGACAGCACTGTGCCCATCTGTGCCCCAGCCCCAAGCGCAGCCTGCTGGGGTATGTGCTCACTGGTTGCTGTGGGGTGAGGGACTGTGCCTCTGCCTGGAGCATCCCCTCATCTCCAGCACCTCTGGCCTTCCTCTCCCCTGGGTGGGGGGCCTCACCTCTGGTCTCGGTCACACTGGGCAACGGCAGAGAGGTTGAGGCGCTCACCCAAAGTCTCACTGGAATAGCCGTTTCCCAGACGGGCCCCAAGTAGTGCAGAGCTGAGGCAAGAGGCGGCCTGGATGCCAGAGACCCTTTGGTTCTGACTTTTTTTTTTTTTTTTTTTGAGACAGGGTTTCACTCTGTCTCCCAGGCTGGAGTGCAGTGGGGCGATCTCAGCTCACTGCAACCTCCGCCTCCTGAGTTCAAGCGATTCTCCTGCCTCAGCCTCCCAAGTAGCTGGGATTACAGGCGCCTGCCACCTCTTGTTCTGACTTTCTGCGGGGACTTTACAAATAGGAAGTGCAGTGGCTTTGCCTGGAGTGGTGCTGGCCCAGCTTCCTGGAGGAGCCTGGGGTCTCGTCTCAGGTGGGGCTGGGAGTGTGGCCTCGCCTCTGTCTTCTGGGCTCGGCTTCTTTCCTCTGGCCAGTGTCCCCGTCAGGCCTCCACCTTGGCTTCAGCAGGTCCAGGCTCTCTGGTCTTCAGCCACAATGGGTTTGCACCCCCAGCCTTTCCCCGCTGGTCCTCCTAAGCCTCTGGGTTGCACAGGTGTCATCAGGGTGGGACGCTTGTCCCTGAGCCTCTTCCTGTGCCGGGCGGTACAGAGCTCTCCTTGGCAGCCTGGATTGTGTACTGTTCATGCAGCAAGGACCTGGCGTAGGAGAGGAAGGGAGGTGAGGAACTCATAGGCAGGCAGCCGTCCTCTGGAAGCCCACAGAGCTGGGCGAGGCGTGTGGGAGCAGCTCTGGTAACTGGGGGCCTCCCTGTCCCTCAGACCACTTCCACATGCAGTCGGAGTCTCTGATCGGGCCCCTGATGCAGACCATCTCCCACCAGCACTGGAAGGTCCGTGTGGCCGCCATTGAAGCCACAGGCGCAGTGATCCATTTTGGCAACGGGAAGTCCGTGGACGACGTGCTTTCCCATTTTGCTCAGCGACTGTTTGATGACGTCCCGCAGGTAACTGGTGTTTCTCCTGGACAGTCTGTTCCTCTCTCCAACACAGGCGGGCTGACGTGCTGTTTTTAACTAACTCACTTGTTCTTTTTTCAGAGTGCTGTATGCACCAAATGTCCTTTCATTATTCCTAGTCACAGGACGTTCCTGTTCACATCTTGGAAAAACTAGAAGAGAGCTGAACTGTTTTAATGTTTGATGTTATGAATTCCAAGGATGTTAGAAAGGATGACTTGTGTAGTTATTGTCTCTTAGGCACAGTGTGCACTTCAGCAGTTGCAGAAGGTTCCTTAGTGCTCCCATCCATCAAGACGCACTTTCCCGAAAAGCCACCATGGTTGGTGGACCTGGACTGGGAGAAGAGTGGAGTCGGGGTTGGTTTGTTGGGGATAATTATGTCGTTGGGCTTTGGAACCCACCAAGAGACGGGCAGGCAGGCAGGCAGGAGTCCTACAGATGGGGCTGAGTGTTGGCTTTACTGCTGGCAGAATCTGGCCTGGAGGGCATGTCTTGGATCTGAGGCCCCAGTGACTTGCTAAAATGCTACACACTGTGGCCACCGGGGAAGCTGAGTGACCTCTGATCTTTCTGTCTCTGAGTTACCTGTCATCGTAGTCAGACATGTGATCTTTTGTGTCTGGCCTCTTCACTGTGCATGGTTCCAGGTTTCAGCCTTGAAGAGGTAGGTTTCCTGATGAGAAATGGCTTGAAGGTGGTGAGTTGAAGAGTCACTCGGGGTATTCTGGGGCCAGGATGGAAGCCCTGACTCGCTCCCTCGTCTGTGCTGCTGGGGTCCACCCGTAGGGCCGGCTCCAGGTGTGACATAGCACCTGCTCAGGACACCCCTGCTTTGCCTCCATGGCCAGGCTTCATTCTCCGGCTCTCTCCCTCCAGCAGCAGAGTGGCTGCCTAGGGGCTGTGCGCAGAGACACAGGGGGACCCTTTCCCACCAGGAGCCTTTGTTCACCCCCCTTGGTCTCATCAGGCCAGCGGAAGTTGAGTCACCATGTACGCTGGCCGGCCCCTCCTGGAGCTGGCGTGGGTTCGGCACCAGGCAGCACAGAGGGCCCCTGAGGACATCAGGCTCTGCCCAGTGGGGAGAAAGTGGGCAGAGTGCGGGGTCAGTGTCCATGCTGCCCGGCACTTGCAGCAGGCACTTCTGGCACTGGCTAAATATTTGGGCTGCGGAGGGCAGTTCAAGGGGCCAGGGCAAGAACAGAGCCCAGCAAGAAGTGCAGGCGGCCGGCTGGTTTTTCTCTCCCACCTTCCTTAAGCCTGAGGCAGAGCATGGCCCACAAGGAAAGTGGAGTCTGTGTCATGGGCCAAGTCTTACTCCTCAAAACAGTGTGATGACTCTGTATGGAGAGCTCTGTGTGAATACTGAAGCTCCATAGCTGATAGCTGTCGGTGTAAGCCTACTGTCACTGTCTAAAAATAACCATCACTGTCTAAAAATACCGTCACTGTCTAAAAATACCATCACTGTATCGATAGCTGTCTGTAAATACTGGAACTCTGTGGAGCACGCTCTGTAAATACTGGAACTCTATTGCTAGCTGTAAACGGTGTAACTCAGTATAACTATACCGTAACTCTAAAAATACCATAACTATGTGTCGACAGCTGCCTATAAATGCTATAACTGTATTGGTAGCTATGTATAAGCAGCCTACTCTGTATCAATAGCTGTCTGTTAGAAAGCTGACATCACATTGTTGATCTAAAGCAAGCTTGTCCAACCTGCGGCCCGTGGGCCACATGCAGCCCGGGACGGCTTTGAATGCTGCCCAACACCAATTCATAAACTTTCTTAAAATGTTACGAGATTGTTTTTGTGATTTTTTTTTTTCTTTTAGCTCGTCAGCTATCATTAGTGTTAGTGTTATTTTATGTGTGGCCCAAGACAATTCTTCCAGCATGGCCCGTTTCTTCCCAATGGGGTTTGCGTCCTATTAGAGACCCTGCACGGCCCTTCACGTGAGTTTCGTGTGGAGTCACGGTGCTGCCCCTTTTACTCTGATCAGCCCTGCGACCCCGTCCTGGAGCTCCATGTGGGCTCCTTGCAGACACCTCCACCCCCTCAACAACCCAGGGACTGGTGCCCTGGGACCCCATCCTCTCTGCACAGAAGGTCCTGACTGCCTTCTGACTCGTAGGAAACCTTCCAGCAGCCTGCTAGACTCGGCTTAAATCACTGAACTTCACTGGAAGGGCCTGGAAATAACTTCATCTCCTCCTTACAAGGCTCAGAGGCCTCAGAGCTCACTCAGGTAGCACAGCCAGGTGAGCCTCAGAGCAAGGTCAGGACACAGGCGGTCTAGCCGCCCTGGAGCCTTAGGCCCCGGGATGGTGTCTGAAGTTGTGGAAAGGGGGTGTCCCAGTGCGGCAGGGGCTAATGCATCTCCCCACGCTCACATGACTGCAGCTCCGAGCCCAGGACACTGACCACACCCAGAACCCCGGCGAGGCAGGCAGGACGGACGTATGGCCGTGCAGTTGTGAAGCAGGCCTTGAACAAACTGCCCTGTGCCGCCCTCAGGTGGGTGACTCATGGACTTCGCCCTGCAGGGGTGCCCTGGTTGTCGCCAGGCCTGCAGTCGGCAGCTGCTCAGCTTTGCTGCAGTTTTCCTGCTCGATGTGTGCTGCTGGTGAGGCCACCAGGCCTGTTCTTGTCAAGAGAGACCTTCCGGGAGCAACAGATGTTACAGGAGAGACTGGGGATGCATGGACAGCTTTTCAGAGATGAGTGTTTGTCACGTTCCTGCCAAGTACCTGTTTGCCATTTGTATGCCTTCTTTTGAGAAATGTCTATTCAGATCTGTCCATTTTTAAATCGCGTTATTAGATTTTTTTCTATTGAGTTTGAGCTCCTTATGGATTCTGGTTGTCAGTCCCTTGTCAGATGGGTATTTGTGCAGCTGTTTGCTCCCATCCTGTGGGTTGTCTCCTCACTATTGATTGTTTTATTTGCTGTGCAGAAGCTTTTTAACTTGATGTGATCCCATTTGCCCAGGCCATGTCCCAGAGAGTTTCCCCAATGTTTTCTTTTAGTGGTTTCATAGTTTGAGGTCTTAGATTGAGGTCTTTAATCTATTTTGATTTGATTTTTGTACATGGTGAGAGATAGGGGTCCAGTTTCATTTTTCTGCATATGGAGTTCCAGTTTTCCCAGCACCATTTATTGAAGAAACTGTCCTCTCCCCAAGATATGTCCTTGGCACCTTTGTCAAAATAAGTTCACTGTAAATGTATGGATTTAATTTCTGGCTTCTCTATTCTGTTCCATTGGTCTGTGTGTCTGTTTTTATGCCAGTGCCAAGCTGTTCTGGTCGCTGTAGCTCTGTAGTATAAATTGAAGTCAGGTAATGTGATCCCTCCAGTTTTTTGTTTGTTTTTGTCTTGTTTTGTTTTTTGCTCAGGATGGCTTTGGCTATTCAACGTCTTTCGAGGTTCCATATAAATTTAGGATTATTTTTTCTATTTCTGTGAAGAATGTCATTGGTATTTTGATAGGGATTGCGTTGAGTCTGTAAATTGCTTTGGGTAGTATGGACATTTTGGGTAGTATGGACAATATTGATTCTTCCAGTCCATGGAGTATGTTACCATTTTTTGTGTGTGTCCTCTTCAGTTTTCTCATGTCAGTGGTTTATAGTTTTCTTTCTTTTTTTTGAGACAGTCTCGCTCTGTCATCCAGGGTGGAGTGCAGTGGTGCGATCTCTGCTTACTGCAAGCTCCGCCTCCCAGGTTCACGCCATTCTCCTTCCTCAGCCTCCCGAGTAGCTGGGACTACAGGTGCCTGCCACCGCACCTGGCTAATTTTTTGTGTTTTTAGTAGAGACAGTTTCACCATGTTAGCCAGGATGGTCTCAATCTCCTGACTTCGTGATCCGACTGCCTCAGCCTCCCAAAGTGCTGGGATTACAGGTGTGAGCCACTGCGCCTGGCCTTATAGTTTTCATTGTAGAGATCTTTCACTTCTTTGGTTAAGTTAATTCCTAGGTATCTTATTTTGTTTGTAGCTATTGTAAATGGAATTACTTTCTTGATTTCTTTTTCAGATTTGTTAACTGTTGGCATGTAGAAATGCTACTGGGGCTTTTTTGGTGATTTTGTATCCTGCAACTTTACTGAATTTGTTTATCTGTTCTAATAGGTTTTTTGTGGAATCTTTAGGTTTTTCCAAATGTAAGATTATATCATCTGCAAACAAGAATAATTATCTTCCTTTTCAATTTGGATTCCCTTTATTTTTCTTGTCTAATTGTTCTAGCTAGAGCTTCCAGTACTGTGTTAACTAACAGTGGTGAAAGCGAGCATCCTTGTCTTGCTCCAGATTTAGAAGAAAGGCTTTCAATTTTTCCCCATTCAGTGTGGTACTAGCTGTGAGTCTTGTATATGGCTTTTATTGTACTGAGGTGTGTTCCTTCTATACCCAGTTTTTTGAAGATTTTTATCATGTAGGGATGTTGAATTTTATCAATACTTTTCAGCATCACTTGAAATAATCACGTAGTTCTTGTCCTTCATTCTGCCGATATGATGTGTCACATTGATGGATTTGTGTATGTTGAGCCATCCTTGCATTCCTGGAATAAATCTCACTTGGTCATGACAAATGATCTTTCTCATGTGCTGTTGAAACAGTGGAAACTTTGCGTCAGTGTTCATCAGGGATATTGTCCTGTAGTTTTCCTTTTCGATTGCATCTGGCTGGTTCTGGTATCAGGGTAGTACTGGCCTCATAAATTAAGTTTGGAGGTATTCCTTCCTCTTCTAGTTCTTGGAATAGTTTGAGTAGGAGTGACATTAGTTCTTTAAACGTTTGATAACATTTGGCAGTGAAATATTGCGACCCGGGCTTTTCTTTGCTCAGTGGCTTTTCATTGCGGCTTCAATATCATTACTTGTTACTGGTCTGTTCAAGGTTTGGATTTATGATTTAATCTGTGTAGGTCATATGTGTCTAGGAATTTATCCATTTCTTCTAGGTTTTCCAATTTATTGGCATATAGTTGCTCACAGTATAGTTGCTCACAGTGTAGCTGCTCACGGTGTTGCTCACAGTGTCGTTGCTCATATTGTAGTTGCTCATATTGTTGCTCATAGTGTTGTTCTTCATGGTATAGCTGCTCACAGTGTCGCTGCTCACGATGTCATTGCTCACGGTGTAGTTCATGGTGTAGCTGCTCACGGTGTAGCTGCTCACAGTGTCGTTGCTCATATTGTAGTTGCTCATACTGTTGCTCATGGTGTTCTTCATGGTGTAGCTGCTCACAGTGTCGCCACTCACGATGTCATTGCTCACGGTGTAGTTCATGGTGTAGCTGCTCATGGTGTAGCTGCTCACGGTGTAGCTGCTCACGGTGTCATTGCTTATATTGTAGTTGCTCATACCGTTGCTCGTGGTGTTGTTCTTCATGGTGTAGCTGCTCACAGTGTCGCCGCTCACGATGTCATTGCTCACGGTGTAGTTCATGGTGTAGCTGCTCACGGTGTAGCTGCTCATGGTGTCGTTGCTCATATTGTAGTTGCTCATATTGCTCATGGTGTTGTTCTTCATGGTGTAGCTGCTTACAACGTCGCTGCTCACGGTGTAGTTGTTCATGGTGTAGCTGCTCCCGGTGTAGCTGCTCATGGTGTCGTTGCTCATATTGTAGTTGCTGATATTGTTGCTCACGGTTTTCTTCATGGTGTAGCTGCTCACAGTGTCGCTGCTCACGATGTCATTGCTCACAGTGTAGTTGCTCACAGTCTCTAATGATGCTTTGAATTTCTGTAGTATCAGTTGTTTGTAATGTCCTCTTCGATCTCTGATTTTATTTACTTGGGTCTTCTCTTTTTCTTAGTCTGGTTAAAGGTGTGTTGATTTTGCTTGTCCAAAAATCTAACTGTTCATTTTGTTGGTCTTTTGTATTTTTTTTAATTTCAATTTCATTTATTTCTGCTCTTATTTCTTGTCTTCTACTAATTTTGGGTTTGGTTTGCTCTTGCTTTCCTAGTTCTTTACGATGCAGTGTTAGGTTGCTGTTTGAAGTTATCTGCTCTTTGAATGTAGGTGCTAATTGCTATACACTTGCCTCTTAGTGCTGCTTTTGCTGTTTTTGCATATTGTGTTTCCATTTTCATTTAAGAATTTTTAAAATTTCCTTCTTAATTTCTTCATTGACCCACCGGTCATTCAGGAGCATATTATTTAATTTCCATGTATTTGTGTAGTTTCCAAAGTTCTTGTTATTAATTTCTAGTTTCATGTTTTAAGGCTTGTTTCGTGGCCTAACATATGGTCTGTCCTTGAAAATGATCTGTGTGCTGAGGAGAAGAATGTGTATTCTGTAGCTGTTGGATGCAATGTTCTATAAATACCTATGAGGTCCATTAGATCTATAGTACAGATTAAGTCTGATGTTTCTTTGTTGATTTTCTCTCTGGATGATTTGTCCAGTACTGGAAGTGGGGCATTGAAGCCTCTAGCTGTTACTGTGTTGGAGTCTGTCTCTCTCTTTAGCTCTAGTAATATTTGGTTTATATATCTGGATACTCCAGTGTTGGGTGCATATATATTTAAAGTTGTTATATCCTCTTGCTGAGTTGACCCCTTTATCATTATATGATGACCTTTGTCTCTTAGTATAGTTTTCGTCTTGAAATCTGTTTTGTCTTAAGTGTAGCTATTCCTGCTCTTTCTTGCTTTCCATTTGTATGGAATATCTTTTTTCGCATCCCTTTATTTTCAGCCTACGTGTGCCTTTTTAGTGACGTGTATTTCTTGTAGGCAACAGATTGCTGGGTCCTGTTTTTCTTTACCCATTCAGCCGCTCTGTCTTTTGAATGGAGAGTTTAGTCTGGTTACGTTCAATGTTGTTATTGATAAGTAAGGACTTACTCCTGCCGTTTTGTTGTTTTCTGGTTGTTTCGTGGTCTGCTCTTCCTTCCTTCTTGCCTTCTTGTTTTCCTTTTTATGAAGATGATTTTCTCTGGCGGTATGTTTTAATTTCTTTTTTGTGTGTGTGTGTATCTGTTGTGGCGTTTTTTATTTGAAGTTACCATGAGGCTTGCAAATAACATAACCCATTATTTTAAACTGATAGCTGAACACTGATTCCAAAAACAAGCAAGCCAAGAAAAAAATGAATAAAAACTCTACACCTTAATTTTATGCCCTCAGCTTTTTAACTTTTTGTTGTTTTTACTTATATCTTTGTCTTGAAAAGTCATTGTAGTTATTTTTATTTTTATTTATTTATTTATTTTTATTGTTTTATTTTTGAGATGGAGTCTCACTCTGTCACCCAGGCTGGAGTGCAATGGCGCCATCTCAGCTCACTGCAACCTCCGCCTCCCAGGTTCAAGCGATTCTCCTGCCTCAGCCTCCCGAGTAGCTGGGACTACAGGCACCCACCACCACACCCAGCTAATTTTTGTATTTTTAGTAGAGACAAGGTTTCATCATGTTGGCCAGGCTTGTCTTGAACTCCTGAGCTCAGGTGATCTGCCCACCTCAGCCTCCCAAAGTGCTGGGATTACAGGTGTGAGCCACTGCACCCAACCAGTTAGTTATTTTTCATAGGCTCATCTTTTAGTCTTTCTAGTCAAGATGTGAGTAGTTTACACATCACAGTTACAGTGTTACAACATTGTGTTGTTCTGTGTGCTTACTGTTACCACTGAGTTTTATCCTTTTAGATGATTTCTTATTGCTCCTCAGCATCCTTATTTTTCAGATTGAAGAACCCTCTTTAACATTTCCTGTAGGACAGGTCTGATGTTGATGAAATTCCTCAGCTTTTGTTTGTCTGGGAAAGTCTGTCTCCTTCATGTTTGAAGGATTTTTCACTGGATACACTAGGGTAAAAGTTTACTTTCCTTCAGCACTTTAAATATGCCAAGCCACTGTCTCCTGCCCAGTGAGGTCTCCTCTGAGAAGTCGTTGCCAGGCGTACTGGAGCTGCGTTGTACGTGATTTGTTGTTTTTTCTCTTGCTGCTTTTAGAACCCTTTCTTCATCTTTGATCTTTGGGAGTTTGATTGTTAAATGTCTTGAGGTAGTTTTATTGGGTTAAATCTGGTTGGTGTTCTGTAGCCTTCTTGTACTTCAGTGCTGGTATCTTTTTCTAGGTTTGGAAAATTCTTTGATATTATCCCTTTGAGTAAACTTTCTACCCCGATTTCTCTCTACCTGCTCTTGAAGGCCAGGAACTCTTAGATTTGCCCCTTTGAGGCTATTTTCCAGATGCTGTACATGTGCTTCATTCTTTCTATTCTTTTTTCTTTTGTCTTCTCTGTGTATTTTCAAATAGCCCGTCTTCAAGCTGCTCACTAATTCTTTCTTCCACATAGTCAGTTCTGCTGTTGAGAGGCTCCAATGCATTCTTCAGTATGCTAATTCCTTTTTTCTACGCCAGAATTTCTGCTTGATGCTTTTTAATTATTTCAATATCTGTTAATTTCTCTGATAGGATTCTGAATTCTTTCTCCATGTTATCTTGGATTTTGCTGGGCTTCCTCAAATAGCTATTTTGAGTTTTCTGTCTGAAAGGTCACCTATCCCTGTCACCCCAGGATTGGTCACCGGTGCCTTATTTAGTTCACTTGGTGAGGTCATGTTTTCCTGGATGCTCCTGATGCTTGTGGCTGTTGGTCGATCTTGCTAGGTATTTACTGTCATCTTTGCAGTCTGGGCTTGTTTGTACCCATCTGTCTTGGGAAGGCTTCTAATCCATTTATTTTGCTTTTTAGAAAAAAAAATTGAAAAACGTCCTGCTTTTTTAAACTCTTATATGGCAGTTCGGTGTTCAGTGCTGTTTTTGAACTAAAAGAAAAGGGATAATTCGTCTCATGCTAATTGGAATTTGCAGGTTTCTTATGATACTAAGTAGAGACTGATAGAAAAGGTGGCAGTCCGTGAGACTCAGGAGCAGCCCCAAATCCCGGCCCTAGCTGTCCTTGCTATCAGGTGAGATGTTTGAAGCTCCTTTCTGCAAAAGAAGCCTATCTGTGGGTTCCGACAGACAGGTGGCCGTCCTGGGTGGGGCCCCGCAGAGACCCTGGCACACAGTGCAGGAGGTCAGGGAGGAGAAAGCAGCGAGGCCAAACCCAGCGAGTTCAGACTGCTCCCTGGCTGCCGGCCTGGGGCAGAGTGTGCTCAGGCCTTGTGGCCCTGGACGCCTGCCCATCTCCCGGAGAGGGCCCCATCACTGTACACCTGTTTGGGCTGGGGGCTGGCTGCAGTCTGGCTTGTCTCAGCCACGCCCTCTGCCCCATCACTGTATACCTGTTTGGGCTGGGGGCTGGCTGCAGTCTGGCTTGTCTCAGCCACGCCCTCTGCCCCATCACTGTATACCTGTTTGGGCTGGGGGCTGGCTGCAGTCTGGCTTGTCTCAGCCACGCCCTCTGCCTGACAGGCTTTGCAGCATCTCAGCACATGGCACTGGGTGAGCTTGGAGTTTGCCGCTCACCTGGATTAGCGTCGTGGCAGGTGCGGCCGTGGCAGGTGTCGACTGCATTAAACCCTGGGCTGTCTCTGCTCGAGACCTGCCGGCGCCATGGGTGAAGACGACAGTGACAGTTTGTTCTGTGGGGACTCTCTAGCCAGGTGGTGGAATGGCCGTGGAGCTGATTTGGGTTTCTCTTAGTTGTTATCTGGGCATTTGTATTTGTGGTTGCTAGTAAGGCCCTGTGTCAGTTAATGACCCCGGCAAACGCGCCACACATTCCTGTGTCCCCTCGCGTGCTTCCCTGCTGCTCGCACGCCGAGAGTCGCCTGTGCGCACCGCACGGGCAGCGGGAGTCAGGCGCAACGGGCCTCTCCTTGTGTGAACTTGCCCTCCCCTCACGGGACCTTAGTGACGAGCCCTGTCAGTCATTCTTTCCCATCTTCCAGGTGGCAATGAACTTCGGAGCAGTCAGGCCAGGGCCCGGGTCCCAGGCCGGCAGGGGCGGATCCTAGGTGCGTCTGCTTGGCTCTGGGCCTTGTTGGAGCCGGGGCGGAGCAGCCCCTCCTCCGAGTCCCAGCGAGTGACCACGCCATGGGCACAGCTGCTGCTCGGGTCCCCTGCACCTACGACTGGCTGTGAGCGCTATTGCTAATGGTGCATGGCTGGGCAGAGACGCTTCATCCAAAGTGTCAGGAGGGATGAGGCTCCTGCTCCCCACGGCCCAGCCAGGGACTGATGGCACCACGGAGTCGGCCCCTGGCCTCACAGGGGACAGCTCTGTAGCTCGTTCACACCCCAGAGCTCCCAGGATCAGTCTGCGGCTGGCTTCAGCCCCACCGCTTCCTCACCTGGCTTCTTCCTGGCCGTTCCCGCTTCCCTTAAGGAGTGTTGGTGCTGGTCCCCGTCTCAGGCATTGCCCTTTGGGAGCTTGGCTAGAGCACCTGGTGTGTGTGAAGCTGGTTTCTTCCGCCTGCATAGGCAAGGTAGGCAGAGGCCCTCGTGCCCCCTCTTCAGACACCCAGCAGCAGAACTGGGGACCCTACTGGTTTCCTCCAGAGTCCCTGGGCTCTGGGACCAGACGCCTTTGAGGTATGGCCACGGTGCACCACACTTGCTGTAGCCACGGCTCACCAAGCACCCAGGGTGAGACAGGCCCAGCCCGGCCAGGAGGTTTTCATGCAGAAGACTTTGAACACGCTGCACGGCTCAGGTAGCAGCTGGGAGCCTGCTCTCGCCAACAGGACCAGGCCGGGGCACGGGGTATGTGTGTGTGAGCCTGCAGGACAGCAGCATTCCTCTCCGGCCCAGCCAGGAGGGACTGGCGGAGCTGGCCGGGACCCAGGCTTGGTGGCGCCCAGGACCCCGGCCACGCGCCTCTGTCTTGGGGATGGCATCTAGGCGGTGGTAGGTGGCCCAGGACCTGGCCGTGCCTCTGCCTCAGGCAGCGTCCGTATGGCAGCACTCAGAGCCGCACCGTGGCGTCAGCCCCGGCATCCCCTTTGCCTACACGAATCCTTATCCCTTCCTCTCATGCGCAGGTCCGGCGGGCGGTGGCCTCCGTGGTGGGCGGCTGGCTGCTGTGTCTGCGTGACCGTTACTCCTTCTTCCACAAGCTCATCCCTCTGCTGCTCAGTAGCCTCAACGACGAGGTGCCTGAGGTCAGGTACGTGGGCAGGCGGCCGCGGGCCTTGTCTTCCTAAACGGTCATGTGTAGCAGTGGTGGTTTCTCTTTGCTCCCAGTCTCTCACAGAAACCTGCTGGTGTCCCTTTGTCCCTGTGCTCCGAAGGGATGTGCCGTACAGAAGTCGTCTCGTTTTGTAAATGGCATTTCCCATCTTTTTAACATTGGACTGAGTATATCGACAGAGATCAGACGGCCCCCTTTGTGTACTGTCAGTAGAGTGCTCACAAGATGAAGTGGAATTTCTGGTCCACCTTTTCTGGGGTTGGGGAGCTTCCCGCTCTCACGCAATGGGGTCTTTGGGTGACCCGTGTCCTGGCGCAGCCCTGCGGCCTCCCCTGCGTGCCCTGCCCTGAGCCACTGTTGTCTGTCTGTTGTGCCTCAGGCAGCTGGCTGCCAGCCTCTGGGAGGACGTTGGCCTGCAGTGGCAGAAGGAGAATGAGGAGGACCTGAAGGACAAGCTGGACTTTGCCCCTCCCACCCCACCCCATTACCCTCCACATGGTGAGTGACCGCGGCAGAGGGGAGCGCCAGGAGGCGAGCCCTTGTTGGGTGGGAAAGGGGCTTCTGAGCCTGAAGGAAGCTTCAGCTCTTGCAGTTCTGAGCCCAGGCGGCCGCGTCGGAAAGGTGCAGGCGTCTCCCCACTGGGCTGGGGCTCCTGCATCCTGGGCAGAGCACGTCTCTCCTCAGCATCTGGAGAGCCCCCATGTGCCTTGCAGTGACCTCTCCCCTCCTCTGGCCAGCTTTATTTTAAAAAGGCTGTGGGCTTCTGAAAGTGTCCAGCGCACTGCCAGATGGTGTCCGCCCCCCTCCGTTGGCTGTGCACACAAGGGTGCATTGAACTCTGGGTTCCTGGGCAGCTCTGCTGGTGGTTGGGGGGTGTTGGAAACAGTGGGATGAGGGGCTTATCATTTCACCAAGACAGAGCTCAGCACGAGGGCCACGGGTGAGGTGAGGTCTTCTTCATGGTTCCACATGATTTCCAACCTGGGAACAGGGTCTCCTGCTGCGTGGCCTCCCCGCCCTTCCCACATTTGCTCCCTGGCCATGTTGCGGGCACCCATGTGCATCTCTCCGCAGAGCCCAGCAGGTCTGGCTGAGTCTGAGTGGAGGCTCCCAGGTCCAGCCCCAACACATTTGCTCTGCCACGCCGCCGGCCCACCTTGGGCTTCATCTGTTTAGAAACCGCCCTCCTCTCGCGGGGCTGAGTGTCTTCCACTTGCACGCGGTCAAGTGCTTTCATCACTTGAGTCTATCTGCGGGGCATCTTCTTAAAAGTAAATAATAGATACGCACTGACGAGGACAAAAAGTAGGTGAAGCGCAGCCCACATCAGATGCCCAGCCCAAATCAGATGCCCAGCTCAAATCAGACGCCCAGCTCAAATCACATGCCCAGCTCAAATCAGACGCCCAGCTCAAATCAATCAGATGCCCAGCCCAAATCAAGACGCCCAGCTCAAATCACATGCCCAGCTCAAATCAATCATGCCCAGCTCAAATCACATGCCCAGCTCAAATCAATCATGCCCAGCTCAAATCAATCATGCCCAGCTCAAATCAGATGCCCAGCTCCAATCAATCAGATGCCCAGCCCAAATCAGACGCCCAGCTCAAATCAATCAGATGCCCAGCCCAAATCAGACGCCCAGCTCAAATCACATGCCCAGCTCAAATCAATCATGCCCAGCTCAAATCACATGCCCAGCTCAAATCAATCATGCCCAGCTCAAATCAATCATGCCCAGCTCAAATCAGATGCCCAGCTCAAATCAATCAGATGCCCAGCCCAAATCAGACGCCCAGCTCAAATCACATGCCCAGCTCAAATCAATCATGCCCAGCTCAAATCACATGCCCCGCTCAAATCAATCATGCCCAGCTCAAATCAATCATGCCCAGCTCAAATCAGATGCCCAGCTCAAATCAATCATGTCCAGCTCAAATCAATCATTCCCAGCTCAAATCAGATGCACAGCCCAAATCAGATGCCCTGAGAGATTTGCAGTCTCAACTTACTTCCCATGTCACCTCCCTGGCCTAGTTGAGGCGCTGAAGTAGCCCGGGGTCAGGTCCTGGAGGGAAATGTATTCCGTCAAATACAGCATTAAAGTAGCTTCTTGGCCGGGCACAGTAGCTCACGCCTGTATCCCAACTACGCGGGGGGCCAGGGTGGGAGGATCACCTGAGCCCAGGAGTTGGAGACCAACCTGGGCAACACAGCAAGACTCCTACTTTACAAATATTTTAACAAAAACAAAACAAATTAGCTGGGCGTGGTGGTGCATGCCTGTATCCCAGCTGCTCCAGAGGCTGAGGTGGGAGGATCGCTTGGGTCCAGGAAGTTGAGGCTGCGGTGAGCTATGACCACACCCCTGCACTCCAGCCTGGGTGACAGAGTGAGACCCCGTTTAAAACAAACAAACAAACAAAAAACAGTTTCTCATGTCTGGTATTGATGTTTGGTGCCCTGTTAAATCCACGCCTACAGAGCCGTGGCTCCTCCCGAGCCTGTGAATCACAGGGTTGCTTTTCCTCCCGGTCGGCATTCTCCACCTTGCAGCCCCACCCCACGCTGCACAGTTGCTGTACAGGGAAAGCACACATGTTTGGAAAAGGCACAGAAATTAGTTGCAAGCAAGGTTTGTTCTGATGGAGTGAAGCCAGTGAGAACGCTCGATCTTTTTTTTTTTTTTTTTTTGAGACAGAGTTTCACTCTTGTTGCCCAGGCTGGAGTGCAATGACTCAGTCTCGGCTCACTGCAACCTCCAACTTCCAGGTTCAAGCGATTCTCCTGCGTCAGCCTCCCAAGTAGCTGGGATTACAGGCACTCACCACCACGCCCAGCTAATTTTGTATTTTTAGTTTATATTTATTTATTTATTTTTGTTTCAATAGGTTTTTGGTGAACAGGTGGTATTTGGTTACATAAATAAGTTCTTTTTTTATTTTTTTATTATTTATTATTTATTTTTATTTTATTTTATTATTATTATACTTTAAGTTTTAGGGTACATGTGCACAATGTGCAGGTTAGTTACATATGTATACATGTGCCATGCTGGTGTGCTGCACCCATTAACTCGTCATTTAGCATTAGGTATATCTCCTAATGCTATCCCTCCCCCCTCACCTCACCCCACAACAGTTCTCAGAGTGTGATGTTCCCCTTCCTGTGTCCATGTGTTCTCATTGTTCAATTCCCACCTATGAGTGAGAATATGCGGCGTTTGGTTTTTTGTTCTTGCGATAGTTTACTGAGAATGATGATTTTGAATTTCATCCATGTCCCTACAAAGGACATGAACTCATCATTTTTTATGGCTGCATAGTATTCCATGGTGTATATGTACCACGTTTTCTTAATCCAGTCTATCATTGTTGGACATTTGGGTTGGTTCCAAGTCTTTGCTATTGTGAATAGAGCTGCAATAAACATACATGTGCCTGTGTCTTTATAGCAGCATGATTTATAGTCCTTTGGGTATATACCCAGTAATGGGATGGCTGGGTCAAATGGTATGTGGGCGAAGGACATGAACAGACACTTCTCAAAAGAAGACATTTATGCAGCCAAAAAACACATGAAAAAATGCTCATGATCACTGGCCATCAGAGAAATGCAAATCAAAACCACAGTGAGATACCATCTCACACCAGTTAGAATGGCAATCATTAAAAAGTCAGGAAACAACAAGTGCTGGAGAGGATGTGGAGAAATAGGAACACTTTTACACTGTTGGTGGGACTGTAAACTAGTTCAACCATTGTGGAAGTCAGTGTGGCGATTCCTCAGGGATCTAGAACTAATTTTGTATTTTTAATAGAGACAGGGTTTCGCCATGTTGGTCAGGGTGGTCTCGAACTCCAGACCTCAGGTGATCCGCCTGCCTCAGCCTCCCAAAGTGCTGGTATTACAGAGGTGAGCCACCACGCCTGGACCACTCAATCTGTTTTAAAATGTGGAACTTAGACACGAGGCCACTTACGAACTCACTGTTGAACTCACACTCTTGTCTCTGCATCAGTGATGGGAGTGGAATCCCACGCGTGCTGTGGTGCTCTGTCAGTGCCTCTCCCTCCAGCCGCCTGTGGTGGGCTTCTGCGTTGGTCGGACCTTTAAGCTAAGCTGTGGGTTGTTTGCTCCTGGTGATTTCAGCTGGGCTCTCCTCACCAATGAGGAAATGCTGCTCCTTAGAGAGGGTCCAGCCTGTCTGCCTAATTCATGCTACACGGAGCCCAAGCTGCATGGCAAATCGTTCTCCACGTGCTCACTGAGAAACCAGTGGAAGACCCTTCAGGTGTCAGTGGGGCAGGAATGGCAGTCCCCAAGACCCAGGAGGGTCCAGTCCTTCCCGCTGTGCACCGGAGAGGGAGGCGGGGGGTCGGGGGGACTGTTTCTGGAAGGTACGATCTATGATCCTTGGAATGCGGTAAGGGAGAAGACAGAGCGAGGCGCACACGCATACACACACACACACATATTCACATGCATGCACATGTACACACACACCTGTGCACACATGTACATGCATATCGCACACACGTGCACATATGCACACGTGTGTACATGCATATCGTCACACGCGTACACACATCCTCGCACATGTGCACACCCATATACACATCTGCACACGTATACACATACACACCTGTGCACACACGTGTACATGTATATCCTCACACACGTACACACTTATCCTCACACACGTGTACACACATATACACATCTGCACACGTGTGTACATGCATATCACACGTACGTGTGTGTGCACATACATGTACACATGTACATACACATCCTGCCCTACCCCGCCAACTGTCTGGCCCTGCTAGTAGGTTCCCGGAAGGGGCTTCCTCCCTGTGGTGGAAACACAGGCTCTTTGGAGGCTGCCTGATTTAGAATTGGTTCAAGGACTTGGGAATGTTCCTGACTGATAATTACAAAAACACAGTTAGTTATCCGTGCCGAGGCGTAGAGAGTGTCGTTAGGCACAGAACTTTTGTTTCAAGTGGAGCAGAGTAAATTTAGAATTGAATGACAGTCAGTCAGTCGCATAAGCACTACGTTGTGTTAGATTTTTGGCATTTTCTCCTCAAATTACTTTTCTCCAGTCTGTAGATTTGAATTTTAAATACGATTTCTCAGATTTTTTTCTACAGTATTTTAAATGTCAGATCAGAAGATTTTTTGAGTCTCTTCCTCAGAAGTTTGCACTGGCCCTGTATTGCCAAGCACACACCCTCCCTGCCGTCCTGCCACCCCCCGCCTGCCGTGCCCAGGGTCTGTGACGCTCTCCTTACTGTCTTGCCCCCCCCTGCCCGCTGGGCCCAGGCTCTGTGTCCTCACTTTCCCCCGCCCGTCATGCCCAGGGCCTGTGACGCCCTCCTTACCGTCCTGCTGCCCCCCACCCAACATGCCCAGGGCCTGTGACGCCCTCCTTACCGTCCTGCTGCCCCCCACCCAACATGCCCAGGGCCTGTGACGCCCTCCTTACCGTCCTGCTGCCCCCCACCCAACATGCCCAGGGTTTGTGACGCCCTCCTTACCGTCCTGCCCTGTCCAGCGTCTGTGTCATCCCTTTCCCCCGCCCGCCGTGCCCAGGCTCTGTGTCGTCCCTTTTCCCCGCCCGTCGTGCCTAGGGACTGTGACGCCCTCCTTACGGTCCTGCCACCCCCCACCCACCTTGCCCAGGGTCTGTGACGTCCTTACCATCCTGCCACCCCCTGCCCACCCTGCCCAGGGTCTGTGATAGCCCTTCCCCCGGGACCACGCTGCATTCACCCTTCAGGGCTGCAGCTCTGTGAGTTTTGAGCAGCACCGCCTCTGTCCCCTGCATGTGGGCATCTCCACCGCCCAGAACTGCTCATGGGCCCTGGCACTGCTGCTGTGGGCTGCGTCCTGTGTGTCCCTTCCAGGATGTCACTTGCATGAGGTTGTGGGAGCGTGGCCGCTGGCGTCTGCTCTTTCCTCTCTGTGTCGGAGGCTCATGCATGGCACCTGTGTCTGCAGCACTTTCCTTCTTCGCGTGAGTCACGTTCCCTCCCGTGGATGGACCATCTGGTCACCAGCAGGGGCATATTCGGGTCCTTTCTAGTTTTTGGCCATCACAGGTAAAGCTGATGTAAACACTTGCAGACTGGTTTTTGTGAGAGTGTTTTATTGGATAAACACTCAGGCGTGGGGTTGCTGGGCCATAGGTACAGTCCTTACTTTGTTAGAAACTCACCACACACTGTTTTCCACACCCTTCGCGCCATGTCGCATCCCCACGGGCACTGGATGAGATTTCCAGGTGCTGCAGTCAGGCCAGCGTGTGGGGTGGAGTTTGCTGTTTTTAGTGTGTCGGTTGGTGTGCAGTGTTGGCACACGGTGTTGGTGTCCAGTGTTGACACACGGTATTGGGGTTTGCTGTTTTTAGTGTGTCCAGCTGGTGTGCAATGGTGGCACAGGGTGTTGGTGGGGTTTGCTATTTTCAGCGTGTCCGGCTGGTGTGCAGTGGTGGCCCACGGTGTTGGTGGGGTTTGCTGTTTTTACCGTGTCTGGCTGGTGTGCAGTGTTGTCACACAGGGTTGGTGGGGTTTGCTGTTTTTAGTGTATCCAGCTGGTGTGCAGTGTTGTCACACAGGGTTGGTGGGGTTTGCTGTTTTTAGTGTGTCCAGTTGGTGTGCAGTGGTGGCCCACAGTGTTGGTGGGGTTTGCTGGTTTCAGTGTGTCCGGCTGGTGTGCAGTGGTGGCCCACGGTGTTGGTGGGGTTTGCTGGTTTCAGCATGTCCGGCTGGTGTGCAGTGGTGGCCCACGGTGTTGGTGGGGTTTGCTGGTTTCAGCGTGTCCGGCTGGTGTGCAGTGTTGTCACACAGGGTTGGTGGGGTTTGCTGGTTTCAGTGTGTCCAGTTGGTGTGCAGTGGTGGCCCACGGTGTTGGTGGGGTTTGCTGGTTTGAGCGTGTCCGGCTGGTGTGCAGTGGTGGCCCACGGTGTTGGTGGGGTTTGCTGGTTTCAGCGTGTCCGGCTGGTGTGCAGTGTTGTCACACAGGGTTGGTGGGGTTTGCTGGTTTCAGTGTGTCCAGTTGGTGTGCAGTGGTGGCCCACGGTGTTGGTGGGGTTTGCTGGTTTGAGCGTGTCCGGCTGGTGTGCAGTGGTGGCCCACGGTGTTGGTGGGGTTTGCTGGTTTCAGCGTGTCCGGCTGGTGTGCAGTGTTGTCACACAGGGTTGGTGGGGTTTGCTGGTTTCAGTGTGTCCAGTTGGTGTGCAGTGGTGGCCCACGGTGTTGGTGGGGTTTGCTGGTTTGAGCGTGTCCGGCTGGTGTGCAGTGGTGGCCCACGGTGTTGGTGGGGTTTGCTGGTTTCAGCGTGTCCGGCTAGTGTGCAGTGGTGGCCCATGGTGTTTTACTTTGCGATTCCCTAATGAGAGGACATTGGGGCCTTTTCCTGTGCTGTGGTGTGCTTCTGTGCACCCGTACGTCGTCTTTGGTGGCCATTCAGAACTGCCATCCATTAAATCGAGTTCTGTGTTTCTGAGTGCGGAGTTTGAGGACCCCTTCCGTGCTCTGGATGCAGGTCCCTCATCAGACTGTTTTAGGCTCCACAGCCAGGCCTCAGCTCCAGCTCCCGCTCCTCTCCTCAGAGCTCCGGCAGCTGCCGCCCCCATCCCCCCTGCTCTGTTTCCTCCTGCCCCCTACCACAGTGGAGGTGCTCCTTCTCCTCGGTGGACTCGGGCCCTGTGCTCACCTCACCGCTCGCTCCAGGGGCCAGTCTGTCTGCTGCCATCCTCTGCACCCAGAGGCGGTGAGCCAGGCTTAGTGGCTCTGTGAGCACCCAGCGAGCTGATGAGTGGCTGCGTGTCCTGTCTTACCAGCAAGAACGGACAGTCCAACCGTGTGGTTGGGTTGCCGAGTGCGTGAACAGGCAAAGTTCGGTAATATTTTCAGACCACTGCTAATGCAGACGGTGCTCAGAGGTAATGACCTATCAATAAGGAATTCACATGGGCCTGGATCTGAAGTTTCATCAGAGTCCAGTTTTCCTGTTTCCTAAGAAAATAAGGTACACACCATGTGGAAATATAATTCGTACCATATAATTTGTTGTTAGCTTTGCAGACACAGCGTAAGTTTCCATTAACAGCACTGAAACCTCCGCCTTAAAAACCAAGCTTCGTGCTGGGAGGGTTGGGAGGGCACCACTTACCGTCCTCAAGTCGGTCATTTCCCTGAACAGAGTGCCCTTCTCACACGGAAGCACACGTTCACGCCTGGTGTGTATCTGACAATCACACTGCCAGCCGCCAGCAGCAGATGGCTTGGTGACAGCGGCTCCAGAGTCCTTTCTGCTTTGAGATTATCCCTCTGTTAAGATTGTTTTCCTTGGCAATGCCTGAGCGTAAAGGAAAGCGTCTCGATGCTGGTGAGTGGCCGGCCAGAGCTTTTCACACAGGAGGACAGAGTTGGCTCTTCTTAAAGCCTGACTTAGAAGTGAGCAGGGTTCCCTGTGGATGAACGCTGCCACGTGACAGCCTTCCCCCTTCATTCTCCTGTTCTGCCTTGGAGCTCGCACCCATTCTGCTTTGCTTGTGTGTTTCATCCATGTGTTTGGAAAGATGGAAGCTTGAATGGAAATTGTCAGAAACGTTACGTTGTGCAAATGGGCTGGAAAAGCTGGTTAACATTGTTTGAAGCCAGCAAGGTCCCACGAGCATTGGCCCACTCTGAGTTAGCCGGGGGTGTTACAGAAGAAGGAACTTCTTTTTCTTTTTTTGAGGCAGACTTGCTCTGTCACCCAGGCTGGAGTGCAGTGGTGCGATCCCAGCTCACTGCAACCTCCGCCTCCCAGATTCAGGCAACTACTGTCCTGCCTCAGCCTCCCGAGTAGCTGTGATTACAGACGCGCACCACCGCACCTGGATAATTTTTGTGTTTTTAGTAGAGACAGGGTTTCACCATATCAGTCAGGCTGGTCTCCAACTCCTGGCCTCAGGTGATCCACCCGCCTTGGCCTCCCAAAGTGCTAGGATTACAGGTGTGAGCCACGGTGCCCAGCCTATGTCTGCTATAATATTAAGTATAGAAAAACAGGCTTCAGAACCATGTTCAGAAGCATGTGCTGAGTAACAGCGTTTGAGTCCATAAGGACCACGTGGAGGAGGGTGGTCCCCTCTGATAGTAACATTGTGTTTCTCCTTTTTCTGTGTTTGGAAACACTCACTCACTGTCTGTGCTACAGTTTCTGCGTGTTGAGTGCAGTCACCTGCTGCACAGGTTCGTGGCCTAGGAGCCTCACAGGCTATATCGCACAGCCCAGGCATCGCACAGCCAGGCACGTAGGAGGCTGCGCCATCTAGGCTTGTGTACGTCACTGTAGTACGTTCACACGGCAACGAAATCACCCAATGACGTGTTTCCCAGAACGCACCCCCCACCGTTCAGCAACGCTTGACTGTACCAGCGGTCCCCTGCCATTTTGGCACCAGGGACTGGTTTTGTGGAAGACAATTTTTCCATGGGTGGGGCAGGGAGCAGGGTGGTTTCAGGTTGAAATTGTTCTACCTCAGATCATGAGGCATTCAATTCTCATAAGGAGCACGTAACCCAGGTCCCTCACACGCACAGTTCACAGGAGGGTTTGCCCTCCCCTGAGAATCTCATGCCGCCACTGATCTGACAGGAGGTGGAGCTCAGGCGGTCACACTCCTTCACCATCTGCTCACCTCCTGCTGTGGGGCCCAGTTCCTAACAGGCCTTAAACCAGTCCCAGCCTGTGTCCAGGCCTTGCGTACCCCTGCCCAGCACCGGCCAGTATTTCTTTGGAAACACCCAGAAGCCCAGGTGCCCACAAAGCTCTGTTCAGCTGTCAGCAGACCCCTCCCCGGCTGTTCCTGGTCACGCATCTCTCATTTTGCAAACTTTCCAGAGCGGATCGTCATCAGGAAGAAAGGTGCAGCTGGGCGTGGTGGCGCATGCCTGTAATACTGAGGTCAAGAGTTCAAGACCAGGCTGGCCAACATGGTGAAACCCCATCTCTACTAAAAATACAAAACTTAGCCAGGTGTGGTGGCATGCACCTGTAGTACCAGCTACTCAGGAGGCTGAGACATGAGAATGGAGAATTGCCTGAACTCAGGAGGTGAAGGTTGCAGTGAGCTGAGATCGCACCATTGCACTCCAGCCTGGATGACAGAGCGAGACTGCATTTCAAAAAAAAACGAAGAGAGGTGTGTTTGCACCCTGGCTTTTTTGTTTTTTACAAAATGATGACAGGATCATTTAAACAGCCAGCAGAATTTTAATTATTTGGAACTAATTCCATAATACAGGATAAAAACAGAAAAATAACCAGAAAAAGGTTAAAAATGGGGTGTCCTGGTACAAGCTGTTCTTATTAAAACATACCCTTTAGCCTGGATGCAGTGGCTCACACCTGTAATCTTAGCACTTTGAGAGGCCGAGGCAGGAGGGTTACTTAAGCCCAGAAGGTCAGTGCTGCAGTGAGCTGTGATCGTACCACTGCACTCCAGCCTGGGTGACAGAGTGAGACCCTTTCTCTAAAAATAGAAAAAGACCCTTTAAATCCTGACATATCATGGTTTCATTTCTATCTTTACAGTTGTTCTGAATTTTTTTTTTTTTTTTTTTTTGAGATGGAGTCTCACTCTGTCGCCCAGGCTGGAGTGCAGTGGTGTAATCTTGGCTCACTGCAACCCCCACCTCCTGGGTTCAAGTGATTCTGCTGCCTCAGCCTCTGAGTAGCTGGGATTACAGGCGCTCGCCAGCACGACCGGCTTATTTTTTCTATTTTTAGTAGAGACGGGGTTTCACCATGTTAGTCAGGGTGGTCTTGAACTCCTGACCTCAGGTGACCCGCCTGCCTTGGCCTCGCAAAGTGCTGGGATTACAGGCATGAGCCACCGTGCCCGGCCTGAATTTTGAAGATCAGAATCTTTTCATCAAAGTCCCTGAAGGCTTTTCTGTAGAAATCGACAAACTGATTGTGAAATTCTCGTGGGCGTGCAAAGGACCCACAGCTGCCGAAACACTGGGGAGGAGTGAAGCTGAATGGCAGCAGGTCCTGGGTGCAAGACTCACAAAACCACAGTCATGGGGCCACGTGGTGTTGGCTTTCAGACCGATGAGCAGAACGAGAGCGTCCAGAAACAGGCGCCCGCACGCGGACCACTGACTTGATGAAGGCTCAAAGACCATTTAATGGCATCTTTTAATAAGGATACTGTAAATGATAGGATCACTCATACACCAGAAAGTGAACTTGGAGTCAAAAAATTAACCCCAGATGCGTCAGGGATCTGAAGGTAAAGCCCAGAACCGCAGAGCTAGGGCGAAGCCTTTGTGACAGTGGGCCGGGCCACACTTCGTGGGATACGTCCTCAAAAGACCGCAGAGTGATGACGAAGCCTTTGTCACCGCGGGCCGGGCCACGCTTCCCTGGGTGCATCCTCAAAAGACTGCAGAGTGACGACGAAGCCTTCGTGACCACGGGCCGGGCCACACTTCGCGGGATACGTCCTCAAAAGACCACAGAGTGATGACGAAGCCTTTGTCACCGCGGGCCGGGCCACGCTTCCCTGGGTGCATCCTCAAAAGACTGCAGAGTGACGACGAAGCCTTCGTGACCGCGGGCCAGGCCACGCTTCCCTGGGTGCATCCTCAAAAGACCGCAGAGCTAGGACGAAGGCTTCGTGACCGTGGGCCGGGCCACGCTTCCCTGGGTGCGTCCTCAAAAGACCGCTCTGTAACAGGGTAAAGCAATGTGTGGACTTCATCAAAATGAACACTTCTGCTTTTTCAAAGGCCTGTTGAAAAAACGAAAAGACAAACCAAAGACTGAGATGTTTGGAGATGATGTATGTAAGGATTTATCTCCAGAGTATAGGAAGAGCTCTTGAAACTCAGCAGGAAAACAATCCATTTTTTTAAATGGGCAGAAAACAATTTGGAAAGACCCTTTACCAGGGAAGATAGGCGGCAAACAAGCCTGTGAAGAAGACGCTCGGCGTCGTTAGTCATCGGGGAATGCAAAGGAAAAGCACACGGAAATGCCACTGTGCCTCTCGGACTGCTTTCAATTCAAGACTGAGCGTACCGCGTGCCGCTGAGAGTGGGAAGGAGCGCGGACTGGCTCAAACACTTTGGAAAATGGTTGGACAGTTTCTAAAACAGTTAAACGTGCACCTTCCCTGTGGCCCAGCCCTTCCACAGCTGGTATTTGTCCCGGCACAGTGAAAGCCCAGGCCACACAGACTTGCCCTGGACACCATTTGAATGCTTCTCCACAGAGGAGCGGGCACTAAACTGGCATCTCCCCAGAACAGGCCACTTCCCAGGTTCAGAAAGGAGCGGGCACAGGCGGGCCTCAGAAAACGATGCAGAGTGAAAGAAGCGGAGAAGGGAGGAGAGTGAACGAGAGGCTTCCACTTGTGTCAGGCTCTAGAAAGTGCAGCTCAGTCACGGGACAGATCCAGGGGTGCCGGGGTGCCTTGGGGGCTGCAGTGCAGAGGAGCAGAGGAAGCCGGGCGAAGGACGCAGCTGTCACCCCCACCATGCCGATGGCTTCGCAGCCGTGTCTCTCATATGGCGATGGCTTCGAAGGCATGTCTCTCTGATCATATGGGGACGGCTTCACAGACGTGTCTCTCATCATATGGGGACGGCTTCACAGGCGTATCTCTGTCATCATATGGCGATGGCTTCGCAGGCTTGTCTCTCTGATCATATGGGGACGGCTTCGCAGGCGTGTCTCTCTCATATGGGGACGGCTTCGCAGGCGTGTCTCTCTGATCATATGGCGACGGCTTCGCAGGCGTGTCTCTCTCATCATATGGCGATGGCTTCGCAGGCGTGTCTCTCTCATCATATGGGGATGGCTTCGCAGGCGTGTCTCTCTGATCATATGGCGACGGCTTCGCAGGCGTCTCTCTCTCATCATATGGCGATGGCTTCGCAGGCGTGTGTCTCTCTGATCATATGGGGACGGCTTCGCAGGCGTGTCTCTCTCATCATATGGCGATGGCTTCGCAGGCGTGTGTCTCTCTGATCATAGGGGGACGGCTTCGCAGGCGTGTCTCTCATCATATGGCGATGGCTTCGCAGGCGTGTGTCTCTCTGATCATAGGGGGACGGCTTCGCAGGCGTGTCTCTCTGATCATACACGTCAGCACGTGTGGCAAGTGTGTTGTTTGCATCTCTGTGTGGCTCTAAATGTTTGTTTTTTGAGACAGGGTCTCGCTCTGTCACCCAGGCTGGAGTGCTGTGGCGCAATCCTCCCACCTCAGACTCCTGCGTAGCTGGGACCACAGGCATGCACCACGGCACCTGGCTAATCTTCCTGTTTTTTATAGAGATGGGGTCTTTGCCATGTTGCCCAGGCTGGTCTTGACTTCCTGGGCTCTAGTGATCCACCTGCCTTGGCCTCCACAGGGCTAGGACTGCAGCCGTGCACCGCCTCTGTGAATGTTCTGAACGACGGGGCATTTGTCAGCTTTGCGTCCACCCCAAGACTTGTTTTGAAATGGTGAGGTTGAAACTCACAGGTGTCCCTTAAATGTGATGTGCGGTAACTTGAGTTGTTGAGGTTTTGCTTGTGAATTTCTCATTCTTCTTTCCCTTTTTCGTTCCAGAGCGCCGCCCTGTGCTGGGCTGCCGGGAGCTCGTCTTCAGGAACCTCTCCAAGATCCTCCCTGCCCTGTGCCACGACATCACCGACTGGGTGGTGGGGACCCGAGTGAAGTCGGCACAGCTGCTCCCAGTGCTGCTGCTGCATGCCGAGGACCACGCCACGCAGCACCTGGAGGTCGTCCTCCGGACCCTGTTCCAGGCCTGCACCGACGAGGAGGCAGCCGTGGTCCAAAGTGTAAGTGGCCGTATTCCAGTCGTGGTCGCGGAGCTGTAACTCGAGCTTAAGATCCCGCCTCTGTGGTGTGCGGGGCCCGAGGCTGTACTGTAGCCAAGACAGCGTTCCCCTCACCCCCGGGCCGCAGGCCCTCCCCACACCCAGCCCCTGGGAACAACTGATCTCCTTTCTGTGCCCGTAGGTAACAGCGTGTTGAGGGTGAACCCTTCATGCTCATTTTCAAGCACACTCGGGGGTGCAGTGCCAGGTGCATGTTGTGTAGACGTGTTGTGTAGACGTGCCGTGCACCAGACAGACAGGGCCCGGGCTGCTGACACAGGACCGAGATGCCCAGCGTTCAGCATTGACATCTGGACTGTCCTGAGGGCCCTTCCAGGCCTCGCAGGGGCTGTGGGAGCACCCAGACGGGGGATGATGGCACAGCTTCGGGTGTCCTGCGAGTGGTGTCCCTGGTGCAGTCCTCTTTCTCACTCCCTGTCCACACTCGGCTGCTGGTTATCGCCTCGTCACCACTGGGTACGCACGAGGGAGTCCCATGCTCAGGCCTCTCCTCCTCACTAGGCCGGGCCACGCCCTGCGCTGACAGTCACCACCATGAGGACTTCACACCCACCTCACAAGGATGCTTCCTAGTGCTCAGGAGAACAACTAAAGCTTTGACTTGAGATTTCAGTTGAAAATATCCTCATCTTGAACCTTAAATTCCATTGCAAGGTAGCCTGGCCAGCAGCTTTTACTTCTAGTGGTCCAGGTCACTGTTACTAGCCCAGCGTAGTGGCGTGCACCTGTGGTTCCAGCTCCCGGGAGGCTGAGGTGGGAGGATCGCTTGAGCCCGGGAGTTTGAGGCCTCAGTGAGCTATGATTGCGCCACTACTCTCCAGCCTGGGCGACGGAATGAGACGCTGTCTCAGATAAAACAAAAAAATCTAAATCATTGTGACTGATTTAAAGTAAATGTTCCAGGTTCCATGTTATTTACATGTCATGTTTCTGCTTTTCAAAAACTACCGTGAATTTAAAATTGTCTGTAGTTCTCTGTGGAACCTACAGGAGAGCAAGAGACACGGGGGTGAGGCTGAGAGGACGAGAGACGTGTGTGGGATCCGCTGTGGAATCCCACGGTGCAGAGGGGCTGGTGTGTGTGTGATCCACTGTGGAATCCCACAGTGCAGAGGGGCTGGTGTGTGTGATCCGGTGTGAAATCCCACGGTGCAGAGGGGCTGGTGTATGTGTGATCCGCTGTGGAATCCCACGGTGCAGAGGGGCTGGTGTGTGTGTGATCCACTGTGGAATCCCATGGTGCAGAGGGGCTGGTGTGTGTGTGATCCGCTGTGGAATCCCACGGTGCAGAGGGGCTGGTGTGTGTGTGATCCGCTGTGGAATCCCATGGTGCAGAGGGGCTGGTGTGTGGTGTCCACTGTGGAATCCCATGGTGCAGAGGGGCTGGTGTGTGTGTGATCCGCTGTGGAATCCCACAGTGCAGAGGGGCTGGTGTGTGTGTGATCCGCTGTGGAATCCCACGGTGCAGAGGGGCTGGTGTGTGGTGTCCACTGTGGAATCCCACGGTGCAGAGGGGCTGGTGAGTGTGTGATCCACTGTGGGCTTCCACGGTACAGAGGGGCTGGTGTGTATTGATCAGCTTAGTGATGGGAAGGTTGGGTCACTGGTGTCCGATGAGGGGTGTGTGGTGAACCCCACAGCTGGGACACAGCATCCTTTGGGCCAGACTTCACTGCCTGGGAGGCGTGTCCGGCTCGCTGGCCTCAGGGACGTTCTGAGACCACACCCGGACCCTTGTACCTTTCCTGAGGGCTCTGAGCATGTGCCAAGGACTCACTCTGCCTAACACGGGGCTCTGTCTGGTGCACGGCTGTGTCTGGGAGGCCACGGCGCCGAGAGCAGGAGCCCGGCTGAGACCCTCGGGTTTGGCTCTGAGTTTTCTCATGTTTCTTTCTCGCAGTGTACCAGATCCGCAGAGCTCGTCGGGACGTTTGTCAGCCCTGAGGTGTTTCTGAAGCTGATCTTATCGACGCTGAAGAAGACGCCCTCTGCCTCCGGCCTCCTGGTGCTGGCCTCCGCCATGCGGGGTTGCCCCCGAGAAGCCCTCCAGCCGCACCTGGCAGCCATCGCCACAGAGCTGGCACAGGCCCACATCTGCCAGGCATCTGAAAACGTAAGAGCACTTGGGAGATGCGGGAGTGGAGAGGAGGAGCCTCCCCTGCCCGGCCGTCAGCCATCGTAATGACATGTCTGTGGGTTGCCCTGTGCCGCCAGGCTGGGCTGTCGGAAGCACCCAGCGACGTGTCTGTGGGTCCGCCCCGTGCCGCCAGGCCGGGCCATCGGAAACACCTGCAGTAACCGGAGTGCCCTCGCTGATAGCCCTTGTTCCGGGGCCTCGTCCTGGGCTGTGCAGAGCTCCAGCCCCAGCCCCAGCCCCAGCTGCAGGCGGCCGCTCACGTTTACATTCGTTGCTGCCCCTTTCTTGGCCACACACCACAGTTCACGTGTTTGATGACTCAGGAGGCGTCCATGGCCGGGACCCTCTGGCCCATGCTGCTGGGGGTAGATGTGGGGTCCACGTCATCCCACCCCTGAGGAGCGTGGTCGCACGTCCACCATCCCATCCAGTCCCCAGGGTACCTGCACAGATCGCACGTCCTCAGGGGGCACTGACAGCCTGTTCCCCATCAGCCCTGCCTGGCGTTCCGATCTGTGCTTCTCACAGCCCAGCTGAGGATTTGCCAGAGACATTTGTTTAATTTTAAATTGAGCAGCAAATCCTTGAGCTCAGAAGCTGGAACAGCCTGGGTAGTTGGGCTCAATTGTTTGGAATAATCCATAGTTGTATTCCATGGAAGAAGAGGTGATGGCTTTGCTTTCATTTGAAGGTGAGTGGTCCCTGTCAGTGTGTGTGTTGGACTCAGCACCCCAGATATTTCTGGGACACAGGGCTGCCCCCACCAGGCGGCCGTGCCATGCAGGGCGGGCCTCAGCTCACCCCTGGAGGCACTTGCTCCGGCTCGATCGTTTCCGGCGGCTTCTATGGCCCCAAAGCTGGCCTGGGGCACGGGGACTTGCCACTGTGCTCTCAGCCCGGCCTGTCCTGTGTCAGGCTCCCTCTCCGTCCTCAGAACGAGAGGTGGGGCTGTTGACAGTCATTTTTGTAAACTGTTTTAAGAAACCTGTAAGCAGTTCCTGGAATACATAGAGGGAAGGAAACGGAGCTGGGGTAAGGAAGGGAGCGGGGGAGGGGCCCGGGCCGCGTGCTCATGGCATTTCAGCCATGCTTCAGCTTTTCCCAAAACCCGTTTTTAACACATCATCGAATGTGTGTCAGTTCTCCACTTTCCTTCACCCACGAGGGGTTATGAGGATGCCTTTGATTTCTGTATACAGATTTGCAAGCCAGAAGCATTTTTTCCTAGAAGGGCATAACTTGAAAATGTGCACAGGTGCCTAAATCCTTATCTCACAAACTTTATAGCAAAGAAAGTGTAGTTTTCACATCTCCATGTTGGTTACAGGAAAACGGAATTGTGTCATCCCACAGTTGTGCATTTGGCTCCCCATCTTCCAGTTTTATCGAGGAAAAATTTAATCACAATCTTTCAAACAGAGACGTCTTTCTGACAAAGTCCAGTCACACGGGACCCCTGGGAAGCCAGCCTCAACCTTCCAGGCTGCGAACGTGTGTCGGCCCTTTGGCCAAGGAGCCAGTCACAGTGAAAACCCAAGACGTACATTTCACTCCTTTCTTGTTTTTATTTTTTTGTTTTAGGTTGATCCTCCCACCTCAGCCTCCTGAGTCACTGGGACTACAGGTGTGCACCACCACACCTGGGTAATTTTTTTTTATTTATTTTTATTTATTTACTTTTTGGGACAGAGTCTTGCTCTGTCACCCAGGCTAGAATGCAGTGGCGCAATCTTGGCTCACTGCAGCCTCCGCCTCCCAGGTTCAAGCGATTCTCCTGCCTCAGCCTCCCAAGTAGCTGGGATTACAGGCATGCACCACCACACCCGGCTAATTTTTGTGTTTTTAGTAGAGACGGGGTTTCTCCATGTTGGCCAGGCTGGTCTTGAACTCCTGACTTCAAGTGATCAGCCCACCTCGGCCTCCCAAAGTGCTGGGATTACAGGTGTGAGCCACCGCACCTGGCCCCATTTTACTCCTTAACAGACTTAAATTTTTGGCAAGAAAGGGTGAAGGTACTCAGGTCTCAGTCAGAATCAGGCCCGTGGTTCTGTGCTCTTCCCACGCCCCTGTGCTCTTCCCGCGGCCGGCCGGGCTTTGTGTCATGTCATTTGGGAAGTCGATTATGTTTCCCACAGCTATTCTCCAGTAGCTATGAGAACAGGTTGAAAATGTCTTTCAAGAACAAACCGAAATTGTTTTAAAAGCTCGTGTTTAAACAGAGAAGTCCGTGTAAATGTATTCTAAACTGAGCCTGGCTTCACTCCCTGCCCTGGGGTTCACAGGAAATCTGGCTTTAGCAGTAGGTACTTCCAGGTGTCTCGGGCCCAGTAGGTCCCCTAGAGCTCGACAGACGGGAACTGGAGTCTCCTGGGAAGGAGTTTAGGACAGGTGTCTAGAGTGAGGAAATGGGTAACTCACCGATTTGCTTCTCACACAGGGAAGCCAGCAGTTGTGGGATGCCATTGCCATTGTTGAAATAGGAGTCTCTTGTGCTTTTCTGAATTAAAAACCTTTGCAGTCTTAGATAACATTGTTTCAGAAAACAATGTTTGAAATAGTATTTCAAAAAATACTGAGAATTATTTCCTGCTGTATCTTTTTTCTTTTTCGTTCTGTGTGTGTGCGTTGTATGTAGGCAGACACTGAAAATTGTCTGGTCAAATATAGAGAAATCTATAAATGTGAAGTCTTGTCACTTCCTCAGAGACGGTGCTGCGTTCGTGGCAGGAGGGTGGTGCTTGCTGCAAAGGATGCCTGATTCCCTGTTTGTTCCTGTGCTTGGAGGTGTGGTCAGCCAGGAGGGGCTGTGTCTTCTAAACGCACCTGCCTTTTGATTTTAACCGAAAAGATGATCGCTCCTGAAATGTACATGACAGGTCATTCTAGAAACTAGCCAGATATTGTCCTCAGAAGTCAGCCAGTTAGTACAGGCCTTAGAGAAATTGGGCTGTGGGAAAAATCAGGAATGGAATAAAAACAAATCTGTGGCTTCTGTGGGAGTTGGGGCCACGACAGGGCCACACGGCTCCTCCAGCTCCGAGGGAGACGGGGCCGCGCGGCTCCTCCAGCTCTGAGGGAGACGGGGCCGCGCGGCTCCTCCAGCTCCGAGGGAGATGGAGCCATGCAGCTCTGTGTCTTCTGTGGGTCAGGGCGGGGCCGGGGTGCAAGGACAGAACGCTGCTGTAGTACAGTGGGAGTGTTTTGTTTAGTCTTCCATGATTTACGTCAGTGGGGAATGAGGCTTAGAGTTTTAGAGCTGATTAGGAAATTTAGAACCAACCCATTGTCTAGCCAAATAATTACCAAACTTCTTTGAACTTGCACCCCCATTAGTAAAAACAGTTTTTAAGCATAGGCCTCCAATATATGTACACTGTTGATAAATCACGTGTTTAAATTACATGGCCACGGTCCTGACTCACTCTGTACTTTATGAAACATACATAAAATAGACATTAGAGGGACGTTATAAGAAGTAAATACAGGCCAGGCGTGGTGGTTCTTATCTATGATCCCAGCACTTTGAGAGGCCACGGCAGGAGGATCACTTAAGGCTAGGAGTTTGAGACTGCAGTTAGCCACGATTGCACCACTGCACTCCAGCCTGGGCGACAGAGCAAGACCCTGTCTCTAAAAAATAAGTTAAAATTTATTTAGAAAGAAGTAAGCACACGCAAAGCCTTAGGAATTCTTGGGTCCAGCACACGCCTGCTGTGTTGCGGGCTTCAGAGCCTGGCTGATTCACAGTGGATGAGGCTGGAGCCGGGAGGGGAAGCCATTCATCCAGCGCAGCCGTAGGTGCAGAGCTGAGACTCCACCTCCCCGTCAATCAGTAAACATGTTAAGCCATAGAATTTTATTTGTCTTAAAACTTGGTGTTATAGAAAAGCTCAAAAATGCACAGAAGAGGGGCAGGCAGCAGAGCGACTGCCAGCTTCAGCGCTGACCAGCCCTTGGCATGCGTGTTCTGCCTGCCTGGGGCCACTTTTCTTTTTAACTTTGGAGGGCGGGGAGAACTTGGGCATGTTGTAAAGCAGATAATGCAGTGCGCCGTCATTTCCCTCACAGGTGCCGTGTGCATCACTAACGCAGCTTCTCCACCACATAGCTCAAGTGCCTGTTCACATTTCACAAAATAAGCACAGATTCCTTAGCTCCCAGTCTGTGTTCAGTTTTCCCATCAACAAGCACGCCCTTTTATGGTTGACATGCCGGCACCCTACCTCCAGCGCCTGGGGGCTCTCCCTGCAAGGGCTCTCCCATGGCTGCTGCCCCTCGTGAGCCGTAGACTAGGAGCCCCGGGCGGGCTCTGTCGGCCCTGACACTGGGGCCGGAGCGGGAGCCCTGTATTAGTCCATTCTCATGTCGCTAATAAAGATCTACCACAGACTGGGTAATTTATAAAGAAAAAGAGGCTTAATGGACTCAAAGTTCCACATGGCTGTGCAGGCCTCACCATCATGGTGGAAGGCAAAGGAGGAGCAAAGTCACGTCTTACGTGGCGGCAGGCGAGAGAGTGTGCAGGGGAACTGCCCTTTATACTAACATCAGATCTCGTGAGACTTAATATCAAGAGAACAGCACGGGAAAGACCCACCCCCATGATTCAGTTCCCTCCCACAGGGTCCCTCCCAGGATACGTGGGGATTATGGGAGCTACAGTTCAAGATGGGATTCGGGTGGGGACACGACCAAATTGTACCAAGCTCTGACGGTGCTGCCGGTCTCTTCCAGGACCTCTACCTGGAGCGCCTGCTGCTGTGTGTGCAGGCTCTGGTGTCTGTGTGTCATGAGGACTGTGGCGTGGCCAGCCTGCAGCTCTTGGACGTGCTGCTGACAATAGTGGCCCTCGCAGGTGCTACCGGCCTGAGGGACAAGGTAAGGCTGACAGTGGTGGCTGCTGCTTGACCTAGCGGAGCTCACAGCTGGAAGGCATCTCTAAGTGAGGTGAACTGTCTCCTATGCATCCCCTCTGTGCTTGACCAGCAAAGACCAGGGATTGAGAACCTTGCGGGTGAGTCCCCGGGCAACGGCCTTCGGGGCAGCTCTCCAGCTGCCAGTGTATTCTGGCATCAGGGAGTGGAGACAGCTGTTTAATGTTAGGGTCTTCAGCAAAGAAGCAAACAAGAAATAAGACGTAACCTTTAAACCTGCGCACTTGAGTAGGGTTTAATAGTGCACATGTCGCTGGGCGTGGCATCTCACGCCTGTAATCCCAGCACTTTGGGAGGCCGAGGTGGGCGGATCACCTGAGGTCAGGAGTTTGAGACCAGCCTGACCAACATGGTGAAACCCCGTCTCTACTAAAAATACAAAAAATTAGCCAGGCGTGTTGGCATGTGCCTGTAGTCCCAGCTACTCAGGAGGCTGAGGCAGGAAAATTGCTTGAACCAGGGAAGCAGAGGTTGCAGTGAGCCAAGATCGTGCCACTGCACTCCAGCCTGGGCTGAGCAACAGAGCGAGACTCCGTCCAAAAAAAAAAAAAAGTGCATGTGCATGTGTGACTGAGTCGAGAGAAGATACCGTGATTTCCCGCTCTCATTGCAGCACAGCGTTCAGAAGTACTTCTCGCCCATGGGCTCCCTGTTTATGCCCAAAAATCATCTTTTTTCTTCAGTGGAGTCTCGCTCTGTCACCCAGGCTGGAGTGCAGTGGCGCGATCTCGGCTCACTGCAACTTCTGCCTCCCAGGTTCAAGTGATTCTCCTGCCTCAGCCTCCTGAGTAGCCGGGATTACAGGCGCCCACCACCATACCCGGCTAATTTTTATATTTTTAGTAGAGACAAGGTTTTGCCACGTTGGCCAGGTTGGTCTCAAGCTCCTGACTGCAGGTGATCCACCTGCCTCAGCCTCCCAAAGGGCTGGGATCATAGGCATGAGCCACCGCACCTGGCCATTATGCCCAAAAATCTTTTAACCCCAACCTTCTAATGGGCTTCTAGGGCCCCTGGAGGCCCCAGTATCTGTCTGCCTCTCTGGAAGCTGAGACTTAGTTCCTCCTCCCATTCTGTCTCTGTGGACAGCCCCTCTCGGCAGATTCTCTCTCTGGGAGATTTACGGCCTGAATGTACTATGGGGAACCTGGTGTGGAGGAGGCTGCTGCCCTCCCCTTCCTTCTTGGGGCCTCTAAAAACAAGCTTCCCAAGGGGCGTGTGTCTCAGCAGATGCTGTCACTGTTAGGGCCTGAGGTACCAGCAAAAGCAAAGTCTTTGCCTGCTGGTCATGGGGGACGAAGCCAGGTAGCCCCAGATTCAGACTCCAGGCTTGGGGCAATGGCCACCGGGGAGCCTCAGCCCTTCCTCTGTTCCTAAGCCCCCAAGGAGAGCAGCCAGCTAAAAGTAAAAGGTGGCCAAGGTTATCATCTCTGTCTGCCCAGTTACTTTTACCTGGAGGTCTGGTCTGCTGGGCTTAACTCTTTAAGCCACTTGCCCGCCCCTCTCTGCTCCTCACCACCTCAGAGGAGCCCTGCCTGCCCAGGCGGACACCACGTCCGTGTAAGCCCCAGGACCACCTGTGCTGTGTGCATCCCAGTGTGCACAGTGCCTGCTTCATGATTCGCTGCAGAGACGGCGTTGGTGTGAACGGGATCAGGGTCTCGCCCTGCACCCGCGGCTCTCGCTCTCCTGCACCCTGGGCGGGGCTCCCTGTGGCAGCCTCCCTCCCGATTATCCTGGCAGGCCCGGCCTGTGTGGTTCTTACGCGTGAGGGGGATAGTGAGTCCCAGCAGGCAGGCAGGCTTGAGCCCTGAGTGTTGGAATTGTCTCAGTCTCTGACTTGTAACCTCCAGGCACAGGAGACGATGGACTCACTGGCCATGGTGGAGGGTGTCAGCAGCTGCCAGGACCTCTACCGCAAGCACATTGGTCCCCTCCTGGAGCGGGTGACCGCGTCGCACCTTGACTGGACCGCACACTCGCCGGAGCTCCTGCAGTTCAGTGTCATCGTCGCACAGTCAGGTGAGCCGTCCCGACAGCTGGCGTGCCGTGCCTGGCCCCACTCAGGCTACACACCTGCTCCCCCAGGTGCTCAGCAGGTACCAGCGCCGACCAGCTGAGCTGTGGTTCACTGAAGCGTGTTGTTAAAAGTACCCAATAGTCACTCTTGCCTGGGGAGAAGCAGCATTTTAAGGAGCATCGCATTGAAGACTGTGGGACGCAGCTCTTCCACTTGGCCCGGGCACACGCTTTCATGTGAAACCTTCAAAGTGTGCTTTTCCGTGGCCTGTTTTGTAGCCTGGCTTCTTAAATACGTCTGGATTTTGTTGCAGAATCTAGATGTCTAGCCGCATGGGTGCTGTGTGTGTGACATGGGGGCCTTAGCCCCAGCCCCTCTGAGACCAGCATTTCTGTGGTTCTCTTTGAGCCTGCGGATCAGCCACTTTTCCTGGGATGGACAGTGTGGCCCAGTGGGGCTTCAGCGCGGGGCAAGATCCACTGCAGAACCCTAAGGAGACGTCCGCTCAGCAGCCATAGTGCCTTGGGACACACGGCCCGCGCTGCTCCACGGGCCGTGAACTCGCCGCGGTAGCTCTTCCTCGTTTGCCTCCCCGGCCCTCCCGCTCCCGCCTGCAGCTCCGAGTGCCCCCGCCTCCTGTTGGATGTGTGCACCAGGGTGGTCGTGCTCTGCATCTGAGGATGCTAAGATCGTTCTTACACAATCTCTGTGCCTGGTAGGGACTCACCTTTTTTTTCCTGAGACTTGGAAAAATACCCAAAATTGTTCTTTGTCAGTTGCATTCAAAACTGTTTCCAAATTAGAAAAGAAAATACTGGCTGGGCGTGGTGGCTCACGCCTGTAATCCCAGCACTTTGGGAGGCTGAAGTGGGAGGATCACTTGAGCTCAGGAGTTCGAGACCAGCCTGGCCAACACGGCAAGAGCTCATCTCTACAAAAAGATGAAAAAAACCGCACGTGCACCTCTGAATCTAAAATTTAAAAATAAATAAAATACAGTTAGCCAGGCGTGGTGGTGTGCGCCTGTGGCCCCAGCTACTCAGGAAGCTGAAGCGGGAGGATCCCTGGAGCCCAGGAGTTCGAAGCTTCAGTGAGCTGTGACTGCACTGCTGCACTCCAGCCTGGGCAACAGAGCAAGGCCCTGTCTCTAAAACCAAACAAAAAACAAAGCTGGCGATTGCTGACGTGCACTCGGGGCATTAAACACTTTATGCCAGACGCTGCTCTGCAAGCCTTAGGGCCGTCAGCTCATCTACCCTCACAGCCGGCCTGTGTGGTGGGAACTGTGACCCCGTTTCACAGACAAGGAGGCAGAGCACAGAGAACTCCCGAGGCAGCGACTCCAGAGCCTCCCTCAGCCCCTCTCCCACGGGCCTCTTGGATGGGGGCCCAGGGTGTTGCATTTCAGATTTTTACTGAATGTTACTCCTAACAACCTCTTGCACCAAATTACTCCAGCCTTCACCTCACAGTCCAGAAAATTGGGCACACAAACCCCGAGAGACGTGGCTTGCAGTGAAGCCAGGACTTGCATTTACTGCAGCTCTGGTGGCTTCTCCACCATCTGTTCTTCCTCTTTGCAGAAGCATTTCTTATGGTGTTGGCGGAACTGATTGGCAGCTTGGAACACACATCTCTTTGGGCCCACATCTCCTGTCATTCACTGAAAGGCAGGAAGACTGCAGTATGCCGTTCAGTGTCAAGAGCTGGGTATAAAACTGTATGGGTTTTTTTGTTTTTTGTTTTTTGAGACGGTCTCACGCTGTCACCCAGGCTGGAGTGCAGTGGTACGATCACAGCTCACTGTAGCCTCAAACTTCCGGGATCAAGTGATTTTTCTGCCTTAGCCTCCTGAGTAGATGGGATTGTAGGCATACGCCACCTGGCTACTTCTGTATGTTTTTCTAGAAATGGGGTCATATATGCTGCCAGGCTAGTCTTGAACTCCTGGGCTCAAGCGATCCTCCTGCCTCAGCCTCCTGAGTAGCTGGGACCACAGGCACCCACTACCACGCCTGGCTAATTTTTGTATTTTTTGTAGACATGGGGTCTCTTTATGTTGCCCAGGCTGACCTCAAACTCCTAGGCTCGAACAGTCTTCCCACCTCACCCTCCCAAAGTGCTGGGATTAACAGGCATAAGCCACCATGCCTGGTTTAAAACTGCATTTCCCAATGATGATTATGTTCTCTGAGCCCCATCTGAGCGCACACATGTGTGGTGCTCTTGGGAGTCGGGGGCACAGCCTCAAATATAATACAATATTTCCAACATCGTGTCCTTGGAATACAGATGATTTTTATTTTCTTCTTTATTTTTTTCTATGTTTTTCTAAGCTTTCTCTAATGAGCATGCACTACTGTAATAAACAGAAGACAAAAGGATTAAAACAATTTTTTAATAGGAGAAATTTTTAAATTTCTCATTTACAAAAGTTCTATGGGAAGATACCTTTTAAATTTTAATTATTTTAAACATACAGAAAGGGATAATTTCTAAACTTTGAGAGGATGGGGGATCTACAAAGACATTGATTTGACTATATACATTTGAACCAAAATAAAAGGAACATAGACTTAGGAAAATATTTGCAATAAGGATGACAGTGTGAGATCTTTGTTACATAAAGCTGACACAAAATGAGAACAAAAGCATTAAGAGTTGGGCACGGTGGCTCACGCCTATAATCTCAGCACTCTGAGTCCATAACCGAGCAGCCTGCTCTGATGATAGAGGCTGAGGCAAGGAGGCTCACGTGAGCTCAGAAATTGAGGCTTCAGGGAGCTGTGATTGTACCACTGCACTCCAGCCCGGACAACAGAGAGAGACCATGATTCCAAAAAACAAAAAGCATTAACTCCCAAACAAACAGGCAAAATATCCACATTTTATAAAAAAGAATTAATACAACTAATAAGCAAATAGAGTGGGAACTATCCAGCCCTTCTAGTGATGAGGAAATATGAATTAAAGACTGTAGGGTCCCGCTGGGCGTGGTGGCTCACGCCTGTAATCCCAGCACTTTGGGAGGCCGAGGCAGGCAGATCCCGATGTCAGGAGATCGAGACCATCCTGGCTAACATGATGAAACCCCGTCTCTACTAAAAATACAAAAAATTAGCTGGGTGCGGTGGCGGGCGCTTGTGGTCCCAGCTACTCGGGAGGCTGAGGCAGGACAATGGCGTGAACCCAGGAGACGGGGCTTGCAGTGAGCCGAGACTGTGCCACTGCCCTCCAGCCTAGGCGACAGAGCGAGACTCGGTCTCAAAAAAAAAAAAAAAAAAGACTGTAGGGTCCCATTTCTTCATTTATCCAATTAAGTGAAATAGCTGCTGCCTAGGGTGGCTGAGCTGGGAGTGCCAAGGTGCTTTTGGAAAGCCGTGGGACGCTGCGCATCTGGAATTGCCAATGTCTTCACTCCTTTCATCCAGCAATCACATTCATGAGAATCTATCCTTCCAATTCTAATTATGGAAAAAGCTATGCACCCAAAAATATGCATCGGGGCATAATTTAATAGAAATTGTAAGTGACCCAAATACCTCATACGAAGTTAAATACATAATGATATTTCCATAGAAGAAATGCTCTGGCAACCATTAAAAACAATTATCCTAAGCCTTTATAGCAAAATGGGAAGACAGGTGTGGTGTGATATGGAGGGAAAGTGAAGCCAGTGCAGAAGTGTCCGTGCTGCAAGCAGGAACTCGCACTGGGAGGGGAGACACGTGATCAGGGCGGAAGTGTCCGTGCTGCGAGGCGGAGCTGGCGCTGGGAGGGGAGACACGTGATCCGGGCGGAAGTGTCCGTGCTGCCAGCAGGAGCTCCCGCTGGGAGGGCAGACACGTGGTCCGGGTGGAAGTGTCCCTGCTGCGAGCAGGAGCTCACGCTGGGAGGGCAGACACATGGTCCGGTGGAAGTGTCCCTGCTGCAAGCAGGAGCGCTAGTGCTGGGAGGGCGGACACGTGGCTCCGGGCAGAAGTGTCCGCCAGCAGGAGCGCTCGTGCTTGGAAGGTAGACACGTGGCCCGGGCGGAAGTGTCCTTGCAGCGAGCAGGAGCTGGCGCTGGGAGGGCAGACACGTGGTCCGGGCGGAAGTGTCCGTGCAGCGAGCGGGAGCTCGCGCTGGGAGCGGAGACAGGTGATCTGGGCGGAAGTGTCCATGCTGCGAGCGCTCGCGGCTGGGAGCGCAGACACGTGGTCCAGGCGGAAGTGTCCATGCTGCAGCAGGAGCTCGCACTGGGAGGGGAGACACGTGATCAGGGCGGAAGTGTCCGTGCTGCGAGGAGGAGCTAGCGCTGGGAGGGGAGACACGTGGTCTGGGCGGAAGTGTCCGTGCTGCGAGCAGGAGCTCTCGCTGGGAGGGCAGACACGTGATCCTGGCGGAAGTGTCTGTGCTGTGAGCCGCAGCTCACACTGGGAGGGAAGACACGTGGTCCGGGCGGAAGTGTCTGTGCTGCGAGTGGGCGCTCCGGCTGGGAGGGCAGACACGTGGTCCGGGCGGAAGTGTCCGTGCAGCGAGCAGGAGCTCGCGCTGGGAGGGCAGACAAGTGGTCCAGTGGAAGTGTCCGTGCTGCAAGCAGGAGCGCTAGTGCTGGGAGGGCAGACACGTGGCCCAGGCGGAAGTGTCCACGCCTACCTCGAGCAGGAGCGCTCATGCTGGGAAGGCAGATGGGTGGCCCGGGCAGAAGTGTCCGTGCTGCAAGCAGGAGCGCTCATGCTGGGAAGGCAGACACGTGGCCCAGGCGTCAGGTTTGAACATTCTTGACAGCAAGTGGCTCACCCGTCAGCGTGCTTCTTTTTCCCATCCCAGGAGTTGGACTTGACCTGTGGACATTTGGCTGTTTTCTTTTTGTTTTTAAGCCAGAAACACTGTCTTGTTTCCAGTTTAAGATGTAGAGAGGGTGAAACAGTCAGAAACTGGGTCAGAAGCAGCGTGGTTCTCGTGGCAGGGCGGCACTTGGCCCAAGACTCGTGCTCTGGCGGGAGGCTCAAGTCAGGCGTCCCAGCAGCTTCGGTGCAACGCCTCCTGCCCGGCTGCGTGGGGAGGCCCTCCAAGACACCAGCTGGTCTCACCGCGAGGCCTGACTTCGAGCCAGAGCAGCGAGTACATTGCGTCTCCGTGTGGCAAGGGCAGGTGCGGGGGTCTCAGTCCACTACCGAGCAGCCTGCTCTGATGACTGGCGGCGCCAGGGAGAAGGCTCACATCGCGAGGTCCCCAGCAACGGCTCAAGGTGACTCACAGTTGCTTGGATAAGCCAGTGGACGCTCCCTCTACACTGGCCCGGGGCCAGAGCGCCTCCTTCTGCGGCCCCAACCCAGTCCCCACCCTGAGCCTTCAGCTCCTGGGCCTGCAGGCTGAGCCTGGCAGGAGACGCTGCAGGGACTCTCAGAGCTGTCCTTGCCCTGTCATTCATGGAGACTTACAGGGAGGCGGGGCGGCCCTACTGCAGTGGGGACCCCTTGGGGCGTAGGATGCACAGTGCAGGCGCCCAAGCCTCGCGCCCACCGGAGAGCAGCCACGGTGCAGGAGCTTGGCCCTGAGTGTGGGCGGGGTGAGGGCTGCAACGCTGAGAAGCAGATATTAAAGAAGTTCTTTCACTGAAACAATTGATTTTGGTCGTTGTTTCAACTATTGCTTGACTTTAATTTTTCAAAAAAATTTAGAAAAGTTTAAGAAAAATGGAAGGTTGTTTTGTTTTTGAGATGGAGTTTTGCTCTTGGTGCCCAGGCTGGAGTGCAATAGTGCGATCTCAGCTCACCGCAACTTCCGCCTCACGGGTTCAAGCAGTCAAGCAGCTGGGATTACAGGCGCCCACCACCACGCCCAGCTAATTTTGTATTTTTAGTAGAGATGGGATTTTTCTCCATGTTGGTCAGGCTGGTCTCGAACTCCCGACCTCAGGTGACCTCAGGTCACCCATCTTGGCTTTCCAAAGTGCTGGAATTATAGGCGTGAGCCACCACGTCCAGGTTTTGTTTTTGTTTTTGTTTTTTTGAGACATAGTCTCACTTTGTCACCCAGGCTGGAGTGCAGTGGCACGATCTCGGCTCACTGCAACCTCCACCTCCCAGGTTCAAGTGATTCTCCTGCCTCAGCCTCCCAAGTAGATGGGACTACAGGTATATGCCACCATGCTAGGGTAATTTTTGTATTTTTAGTGGAGATGGGGTTTCACCATGTTGACCAGGCTGGTCTCAAACTCTGGACCTCAGGTGATCCTCCCTCCTTGGCCTCCCAAAGTGCTGGGATTATAGGCATGAGCCACCATGCCTGACCAAATAGGTTTTCATATGGAAAAACGTGATTTTGGGGGGTTAAAATTTTCTGCTGCTTTTCTGTGATAATCACCTTACTGATTGAGAAAGAGGAAGCGGGGAGGTGGTGGCCGATAGTGCCCTCTCCCAGGTGGGAGCGCCTGAGCCTGGGCCTGTGCTGGATGGGGCCTCCTCCCGTCTCCTGAGGGCCGTGCACAGGAGCCTCTGTTGTGTCTTACAGGCCCTGCCCTGGGAGAAGCCCTGCCACACGTCGTGCCCACGCTGAGGGCCTGTCTGCAGCCCTCCCAAGACCCGCAGATGCGCCTGAAGCTGTTCTCCATCCTGTCCACCGTGCTGCTCAGAGCCACGGACACCATCAACTCCCAGGGGTAGGTCCGGGCTCTGCCTCTGCACGGCCCCCAGCTGGGGCCTGGGCCAGGGGTCCCCATCTCCCTCCCCAACAGCTCACTGAGCAAGGGGGTTCCCACCTCCTTCCCCAACACTGCACTGCGCAAGGGGTTCCCCATCTCCCTCCCCCACACTGAGTCAAAGGTGGGCCGGGGGTCCCCACCTCCCTCCCCCACGCCGAGTCTAAGGTGGGCCGGGGGTCCCCACCTCCCTCCCCCACAGCACTCTGGGTGAGGGTTCCCCACACCAAGTCTGAGGTGGGCGTGTGCAGTGACCCCTGAGCTTAACTGGCCTGGAAGCAGCTAGTCCATCCTCACTGGGTAAACACAAGCTCTCGGCAGGGAATGCACAGAGAAGCACTAAGTCAAAGTCATCTCCGTGTGGTCATTAAAATTCCAGTGAATGAAAAAGTTTTAGGGAACATTAACTGTTAATGGCTTATGTATTAGCTGTTCTCTGTTTTAAAAGCCTTTGGGCACTTTTCAAACCTAACAAACAACTGATTGAATTTCTATTGATGGTCAAAGTGGTAAAAATACCTCTTTGTTATCTAAGACAACTTTTAGGTGGCATTAAGACCCCGAGGGTCTAGGGCCTCCAGGTGTACGGCTTTGAAGTAAGGGCAAGAAGCATGGGTGCCCTCTAGGAGCACTGGGAGGGACAGTGGAGGAAGAGGCCCCGCCCGGGTGCCACTGCTGAGGCAGCTCTTAGGGCCCTGCCACTTACTTTGCTCAGAGCAAAAGGTGCCGTCAGCTGGGTCCTACCCCCGCCTGTGCGGCTGGATCTGGGCTGCGTCAGCACCGGGACCCGCCCCAGCAGCACATCTGTCAAAGCGGAAAGCAGTTCACACACCAGAGCCTCATGTGGAAAGAGTCCAGGCGCTCAGACTTTTCTCCTTCATGACCCTCATCTCTGCTCTCGGGCCTCAGCCCGCCTGTCGTACTGCAGGAAATTTTGTTTCCTGCTTGTCTTCAAAGACTTCAGGGCTTAGAACGGACCATAGAAAGATATGAACCGAGAGCCGTGGCAGCTGTCCAGCTTGCAGGCTGATATTTGTGTAGATGCCATGCAGATAACACAGCAGGGTCCAGGCCCTTCCCTCTGGAACTCACACTCGGCTGTATTTTGGGAGGAACCGCTGGGCAGGTTCTGCCCAGGAACAGTTAACTCTGCAGAGCACAGTTTCCACATCTGGGCTGAGTTCCCAAAGAAAGTGCGCCTAACAACGTCTTGTGGAAGGCGGTTGGCGTCAAGAGAAGTAAAGTGTTCAGATGGCAGTGATTTTAATGAACTTACTAGCTATTTTAATAGGAAAGATTTTTTTTTTTATCCGTTTGGTTTTTATTTTTAGAATCATGAAATAGCAAGTTGGCTCTGCTGAAGTAGAAATGGTGGGCGGGGAGTCGCCACTGACCATCGTCTGCGCAGAGCACCTTCCTGCTGACCGCAGCTGTGAGCGCCGGCTGTACGCAGGTCCCTGCTGTGCGGGTGCCCAAGAGGGCTGAGGGCTGCGTCTGCCATGGTGTCTCCACCTTGGACACCATGAATCATGAGAGGTTCTCAGGGCTGCCTCCCACAGGCTTTCTGTGTCTTACCTGGGACACTCGGGACTAGTTGTGTTTAGGTTTTCTTAAAATTCTGTAGTAATTGCATTGTAGAGCATCCCTAATCCGAACTTCAGAAATCCAAAATGCTCCAGTGAGTATTTCATTTGAGCATCATGTCAGTGCTCAGATATGGTCAGACCCTGGAGCACTTTGCATTCTGAAGTGAAGGATGCTCAGCCTGCGTCTGACAGAAGCTCCAGAGAAGTGGCTGCGAGTTCAGGGCAAGAGGCTCCTGGCTTTGAGGCTGCACCGTTTCTGGAAGTCAAGCCCCACAGTGGACCTCGAGTCCCTCTGTGAATAGGAATGTGCTCGGGCAGGGAACCCGGAGCACCAGCCGCTGGGCCCCTCGTTCCCCGGCTCTGCAGCGTCTTCGGGTCCTGTGGGTCTGGCTGTGCCCAGCCCTGCTGCCCGTGGACTATAGTGTCTTGGGGTCCTGCAGGCCTGGCTGTACCCGGCCCCAGTGCATGGTGGCAAGTGCCTGTGATCCCAGCTACTCAGGAGGCTGAGGCAGGAGAATCACTTGAACCTGGGAGGCAGAGGTTGCAGTGAGCGGAGATTGCGCCATTTCACTCCAGCCTGGGCAGCAAGAGCGAGACTTTGTCTCAAAAAAAAGGAACGTGCCTCATTCAGTGGTTCGATGGTGGTTCTGATCAATGCCCAGAAGTTCTGATGGAGCTTCTGTCAGACACAGGCTGAGTATCCTTCACCCCAAAATTAAAAAAAAAAAAAAAAAAATTTAAAAAAACCTAAGCACTCCTAGGTGGCGCCCGTGTGGCACGCCTGGCCCACACTTGGACCCCACACCCTGAAGGCCAGGACTTCCAGGCCATTTCATGTGGTGACCATGGAGCAGGCGCTGGGTTCGTTCATTCCAGAGAGCCCTCTTGCAAGTCACGGTGCCGAAAATGGCAGCTCTGCTTAAAAACGAACCCACGCCAGAAACCTCGCGGAATGCGTGTAAATCACACCACACCAACGTCACTTTCCACATCTGCTCATCTACCTGGCTGGTCCCAACATGGCCCCTGCCAGGAGCAAGCCGGTGGCGCCTCCAGAAGAGGAAGGGACGCTGTGCAGGCTTCACGGACGCTGGAGGGCTGCGGGCTGTGGAGCTGGTCTTGGAGACCAGAGCCACCTTTGAAACATACCGTGGTGTTGGGATGTCACTAATGAGTGTGTCATTTTGCTTTGAGTTTGTCTTGGTGGCACTTTGACCTGACTGGTCACCATCAGGACGAAGTCGCCGACAGGGTGGGAACTGCCCGTCTCTCTGAGCTGTGGCCCTTGGGTCCCCGGACCGCGCCTGTGGCCCTCCCATCCCGCCTCTGTGAAGCCGCAGCGACTGTCCTTGCTGGACAGAGGGTTCTGTGGCTGGAGAGACTTGGCCTTTTTCTGGGGGAGGGATGCAGATGGGAAAGGGGCTCACTGGGTGCTGCCGACACCACCGCACCTGCCCTAGCCCAGGCGTCACTCAGGCCTCCTTTTGAAGCTAGGAGCGGCGAGGGGCTGAAAGTGCACCCTCGGCCCAGGGCCTCTGGCTCGCCTCTGGAGAACAGGACCTACGCGGGCCGCAGGAGAGGCCAGGGGCACAGGCACCCCTGTCTCCCCGGTAGGGTTGGGCCTGGAGGAACCTCCCAATTCGCACTGAGAAGCAGCTCCTGAGAGGAGGAGGGGCCTCGTGTTTTGGGGTCGAGTTCGTTTTCCTGTTTGGCTCCCCCCTCAGCCCCATTCATCCCTAGTCTGAAACGTTTCTTCCGAGCACCTGTCCGGTCTCCTCATCCACCCTCTCCGTTCCGGTTCCAGGCAGTTTCCCAGCTACCTCGAGACGGTGACAAAGGACATCCTGGCCCCCAATCTGCAGTGGCATGCGGGGAGGACAGCCGCGGCCATCCGCACGGCTGCCGTGTCCTGCCTCTGGGCGCTCACCAGCAGCGAGGTCCTGTCGGCAGAGCAGGTACGGGGCTCCCTGCGTGCTCGGTGGACACCGGCCGGGGACTGCGCAGGCTTCCTGGCGCCCGGCAGAGCTCCCGCAGCAGGAACTTGGGCAGGCAGCAGCTGCACCTCCACCTGGGGCCCGTACCCCAAGAGGCTCTCCCCACACTGGCGGCGGAAGGGCAGGAGCCGGCGGCCGGGCTGCGGTTCAGACAGCAGGCGGGAGAGCGGGAGCCAGGCCGCGGGCCCAGCCAGCCCGGTCGTGCTGCGGGTTTTGCAGCCGCTCATGAGCGTGCGGTTTCTCGGTTTCCGGCCCAATGCTGGCTGCAAGACCAGGAGTCGAATCCCAGGATCCAGGCCAGAGGACGGGCCTGGGCTTTCCGCATCGTTTCTATGAACACCTCCGGCTGGTACCAGGTGTCAGAAAACAGACACTGATGCCCGCCCGCGTCCTGGTCGCCGCCCGGCGGGAAGGCGCTGCCCTGGGCGCCCGTGCAGCATCAGCGCCACCTCCTGGTGCACGCGGGGTGGTGCGGTCGGTGCTCCAGCCGAAAGCCCCACGTCCTTGGGGCCCAGGCGAGCCATTACCCTGGTTTAGGGTTAGTGCCTCACCTAGGAGTTGTGAACAGTGTGCGTATTTTCTAAAAATCAAGTAAGCAAGTTAAAAATTGCTCAAAATCTAAATTTTACAATGAAGATTCAAGCCTACTTTTTAGGTAAAGCTTTCAAGCCCCCTAAGTCCTTCCAGGCAGGAGTGCACGGATGGTGAGCACCCCCACCCCACCCCAGGACAGATGTGAGTCACGTCGTATGTGTTTGCTGATTGCAGATACGGGACGTGCAGGAAACACTGATGCCCCAGGTCCTGACCACCCTGGAGGAGGATTCGAAGATGACGCGACTGATCTCATGCCGTATTATCAACACGTTCTTAAAAACCTCGGGCGGCATGACGGATCCAGAGAAACTCATCAGGATTTATCCTGGTAGGACATTTCTGTTGTTCACAGCCTGTGTATATGCAGTCAGCCCTCCGTGTCCCTGGGTTCCGTTTGCATCCATGGAGTCACCCAAACTCAGATCAAAACTATCTCGGGCTGGGTGTGGTGGTTCACACCTTTAATTCCAGCACTTTAGGCAGGAGGGTTGCTTGAGCCCAGGAATTTGAGACCAGCCTGGGCAACATAGCCATACCCCGATCTCAACAAAAAATTTAAAAATTAGCCAGGGCTGGTGGCACACACCTGTAGTCCCAGCTACTCAGGAAGCTGAGGCAGGAGGATCGCTTGAGCCCAGCCTGGGCAACAGACCAAAACCTTGTCTTTAAAAGTAGGGGTGTGTGTGTGTGTGTGTGTGTGTGTGTATGGCTACATATATACATGTTTGTGCATTTATACATACAAATACAAATTTGTACTTACATTTGCATATATAAATATGTATGTATTGGGGGGCAGAATTCCACAGTTCCAAAAAGCAAAGCTTGAATTTGTTGGGCACCAAGTACAACGTTGAACCCGCATGAAGAAAGCATCATGTACACATTGCATTCGGCCTTAAAACAACATTGGACCCTCGTGAAGGAAGCGTCGTGTGGACGTTGCGTTCTGCCTTAAAACAACGTTGAACCCACGTGAAGGAAGCGTCGTGTGGATGTTACATTTAGCGTTAAACGTAATCTAGAGACAGTTTAAGGTGTGCCGGAAGATGTGTGTGGGTCATGTGCAAATACTATGCCTTTTTTTATCAGAGACTTGAGCATTTGAGGATTTTGGTATCCTAGAGGAGGAGGATTCCTGGAACCAAACCCCACAGATACCAAGGGACGACTGTATTTAAGTTTGATGGTGGCTTGTTTTATAGAAAAAAAGCAGAAAACGTGGCCGGGCACGGTGGCTCACGCCTGTAATCCCAGCACTTTGGGAGGCTGAGGCAGGTGGATCACAAAGTCAAGAGATAGAAACCATCCTGGCCAAAATGGTGACCCTGTCTCTACTAAAAATAAAAAAATTAGCTGGACATGGTGGTGCGCGCCTGTAGTTCCAGCTACTCAGGAGGCTGAGGCAAGAGAATCGCTTCAACTCAGGAGGTGGAGGTTGCAGTGAGCCAAGATCGCACCATTGCACTCCAGCCTGGGTGACAGAGCCAGACTCCATCTCAAAAAAAAAAGAAAATAGAAAATGCTCATCTTTGACTTCTGTTCAAGTTGGTACTATGAGAACAAACAGCAATGACAGATGAAATACCACAAATTAAACGGCACAGCAAGAAGCAAGGCAGAGGTCTCCAAACCAGCACTGGGTGGGGGTGACAAGGCTCAGCTTCCACGCGGCCGGGAAGGGGGACCTCAGGGTGGGGCGGCTGGAGCTGCCTGTGGGGAGACGGGGCCGGGCCACCCTGCAGCAGGACCAGGGGCACAGCCTCAGTGTCGCCGCCTCCTGGAGCCCAAACCCCAGACCAACCCCAGGTGAGAGCAAGCACTGGGGAGGGGAATGGGGTGGTTGGCTTGAAGCCCCCGAAAAGCAGCAGCACTGAACAGAGTCATGAATTCAGAGAGCCCCTCACTCAGGGCAGCCTGCACACAAACCCCTCAGGACAGGGCCCCCGCCACCCAGGCCATGGGCCAGTACCTGTCCGGGTCCTGTTAGGAACCAGACTGCACAGCAGGAGGTGAGAGGTGGGCAAGCGAAACTTCATCTGTGTTTACGGCTGCTCCCCATCTTTTGCATTACCACCTGAGCTCTGCCTCCTGTCAGATCGGCAACGGCATTAGATTCTCATAGGAGCACAAATCCTATTGTGAACTGTGCACGCGAGGGATCCAAGCTGACGCTCCTTATGAAACTAATGCCTGATGATCCGTCACTGTCTCCCATCGTCCCCACATGGGACCGTCTAGTTGCAGGAAAACAAGCTCAGGCCCCCACTGATTCTACAGGATGATGAGTTGTAGAATTATCTCATTATATGTTACAATGTAGTCATAGAAATAACGTGTACAATAAACGTAACGCACGTGACTCATCCTGAAACCATCTCACCCCCTGGTCCATGGAAAATTGTCTTCCATGAAACCAGCCCCTGGTGCCAAAAAGGTTGGGGACTGCTACCTCAGAACACCGAAGACCCGGCGCTAAGGGCAGCCTCGCACCCAGCCCGGGAAGGAAGTGCCGATAATAGAACCACCTCAAAGTTACCTTTATTGAGGCGTGTTTAAGATCCTCAAAAAGCTAAAAGAACAACATCCACTAAAAAACAAGTTGAGAAACAAGAAGACAAGCAGGAATAAAGAACAGATGGAAACGGAAGCGATCGCTGGGAAGTCCGGAGTGACACGGAATGGTGTGCTGGCACTACTTTGAGGAAAGGAGTTACCCAGCGAGGGAGAAAGGGGATGGGGTGGGCGGGAAGCGGCCACTCAGGCGTTCCTGATTAGCTCTACTTAATGTGATTATCTATATTTTGTGTATTTATGCCAGAAATGTTTAGCAGTTTTTAAAAGATGGTTCTTGCTAATTCCCGGAAATGAATGGAGTCATCGGAACTTCACACTCTGTGTACTGGGTCAACTCTAGACTGAATGTGGCTGAAAACAAAGTTAGTGACGTGAAAGCCAGGAATGTGGAATTCCTCAAGATCACGAGACAGAGAGGGGTGCAAGGCCTGGAGTGGGCGAAGGACACGGGACGGGGAGGGACGCGGGGCCTGGAGCGGGCAGAGGACACGGGATGGAGAGAGGTGCCGAGTGGGCCGAGAGGCTCCCGGGCTTTTCTGAATCCCAGGAGAAGAGAATGGAGGAGAGATGGTGCCTCAGAATCTTCCAGAACTGGAGACAGACATGAATTTTCAGATTCACAGTACACACGGCGCTGGGCAGAAAAACCGCCGCCTGCTGAACTCTGAGGTCCGGGGGCCTTTGTCACTCATTCTCTCACCTTTGCTTTTCTGTTTTTATTCTTTAGTAACAAACATCCTGTTCCCACTGACTCTGGAACAAGTTCAGTCCATGCGATTGTTGGGAATTCACTCACTTTTTAAAACAGGAGCTGGCGGAAAGGCTGCACGCGTTTGGGCATCTGAGCGCATTTGGGCATCTGGGCCACGGCCCCCTGTTTATTTTCACTACAAAAGGTTCCTTGAGAGGCCCCTTGCCTATTAGTGCCAGCTCTGGGCTTCCCAGGGTGAAGTGTTGGATGAATCATGGCCTCCTTGGTGGGGAAGGAAGGATGTCCTGAGTTGGGAGCACAGACATCCAGGCCTCCCAGGACAGACAGACACAAACATGAACAGCAGACAGGCCAGCGTGAGCCGATTCTGCCTGGCTTAGTCGTGCATGAAAGGAACCCTAAACTGGTACAAAAGTGGACCTGCAGGCCATCCAGGGAGTGACCATCGTAAAAACACAATAGCCAGTGCCACTCTGTGTACTTCCATAGTCGACCGCGCCAGCAGGAGGCCTCGGAGGATCCTGTCCGGGCCCATAGATGTTTGCTAGCGGGACAAGCTTGGGTGAGTTGAGCATCTGACTCCGTCCTTCCTCCTGAGACACGTGCAGCGAGGGCACCCACTGTGCAGCGAGGGCTCCCGCCGTGCAGTGAGCATACCCCCTGTGCAGTGAGGGCACCTGCCGTGCAGTGAGCATACCCCCCATGCAGCAAAAGCACCCCCCATGCAGCGAGGGCTCCCGCTGTGCAGTGAGCATACCCGCTGTGCAGTGAGGGCACCTGCCGTGCAGGGCTGCTTCAGGGTTTGGCACCATAATGCCTGGATGTGCTCCGTGGCTTCCTCCTTGGTGCCTGTGTTTGGTGGCTGGAAGGCCCAGCACCCTCAGGGCCCAGAACCCTCAGGGAAGTGCCTGGGCATCTGCCAGGAATTAACCCACTGGGTCCCACTTGTCTCAAAGCCTGGCTTGGTAGGATGGCCTGAACTTTGGATGTTTTTCATGCCTTTCGTTACATAGGATCCTCTTGCTGAGGGTGGATCATGCCCTCCACATTGCAAAAGCATCAGAGACCCAGCCCACCCTCGCGTCTGCAGCGGGAAGATGGGCCTGGTGCCAGGCGCGGGCAGCCGCCCCTCCCAGCGTCGGGAAGATGGGCCTCATGCCAGGCATGGGCAGCTGCCCCTCCCAGCGTCGGGAAGATGGGCCTCCGGGTGGTTTTGCGACTCAGTCATCTGCGAATTTCCGGATGCTGCACAGAAGGGGGTGCCAAAGTTTTTTTAAGATGATGTAAAAAAAGCATAAATTTGATAAAAATTATGTCCATTAACCTCATAAGTTTCTACCCATCGGGAAGGATCATCCTTCTGTTTTCAGCAGCAGAAAACTGACCACAGTAGGGGGTTGTCTGTCACTGAGTCCTCAGCTCTGGTGGGAGGGCAGGGTCAGAGCTGGGCAGGGTGGCCAGCTCGGGGATCTGAGCATCTGGGAGCAGGAGGTGGAGGGCCAGGTGAGCACACAGCTGCGAGGAGGTGGAGGACCAGGTGAGCACACAGCTACAGCTACAGGGAGGCTCTGCGCCTGCAGGACAGGTTATTACAGGGGCCGCAGCAGGGCCTGGGCCGCCTCCACTCTGTTGGCTGGGGTTCAGGGGTCCCAGGTCGCCAGGAGCACCTTGCATGTGGCTCGGGATGCACGGAGTCTCCCGTGAGGTGTGGGTTTCTTAGGACCCCAGGGCAGGTGTCCCATGGGAGTATGAACTAAATGCCTTTGTGGACGTTTAGACGTGAAATGTCTGCTCTAGACTCACACACCTGTCTCGCTCCCTCCTTCCAGAACTCTTAAAACGCCTAGATGACGTGTCCAACGATGTGAGGATGGCAGCCGCCTCCACCTTGGTCACCTGGCTGCAGTGTGTCAAGGGTGCCAACGCAAAATCCTACTATCAGAGCAGTGTCCAGTACCTGTACCGAGAGTTGCTGGTTCACCTTGACGATCCAGAGAGGGCCATCCAGGATGCAATTTTAGGTGAGACTCCGACGGCTTGGCCTTCGTTCCGATGCCTGCTTTCGGCGCCTGCCACGGGCATCTGTAGCTGAGCCGTGTGACCGGCCACAGGGCCCTGGGGCACAGGAGGGGCCTCAGCTCCGGCCTGGCACACTCTTGAGTTCTTGGCAAACCCTGAGAGCGGCTGTCTTTGTGGTGATAGCTGCTGACATTTCCTCTAACAGAAATCAAAACTGAGAGTATTCTAGAATACTTGTTAGTTGTTTAAAATAACAATAGTAAGCCCAGTATATATTGACACAGATGGCTTGTGTTTTTGAAAAATACTTTCCAAAACAAAATCATCTGCAAGAACGATTTTTGCAAATGTCTTAAATGTGTAGCTTGATGGAAGACACTGGACTTTCACATCTTCCATACAGTCAGTCATGATGTGTATGGCTCTGGCTGAAATACGTGGAAAATAATCTGGCCTCGCCTGTGGCTTCAAGTGTAGTTGGACAAAAGAAGAGTATTTTAGTAGCCTTTTCAGATAGGCGTGGGACTTCTTCAATACCACGCCAACAGCGACACAGGCCGTCCCTTGAAGGTCACTCACAGCACAGGGCCTGAGGCCACACACCACAGAGCCTTCCACGCTCAGTGCATTAAAATCCGCTGGTCCATCTCACACTTGGAATGTAACGATTTGCTTTTTTTTTTCTTTTTTTTTTTTTTGTTTTGTTTTGTTGTTGGTGAATATAATGACGTTGTTCTTTTTTTTAATAAAATTTGTATTTTTAATTTTTGTGGGTACACATAGGTGTATATAAGGCATGTGTGATACTGTGATACAGGCATGCAGTGTGTGTAAATCACATTGGGGAAATGGGGTCCCCGTCACTTCAAACACTTACACTTTCTTTGTGTTACAAATAATTCAGTGATACTTTTCGTTATGTTTAAATGTGTGATAAATTATTGTTGACCATAGTCACCCTGTTGTGCTATCAAATACTAAATCTTACTCATTCTGTTTTTGTACTCATTAACCATCCCCACCTCTTCCCCCGGCCCCATTCCTCTTCCGAGCCTCTGGGAGCCATCCTTCTGCTCTATCTCCATGAGTTGAATTATTTTTATTTTTAGTTCCCACAAATGAGAATGTGCGGAATTTGCCCTTCTGTGCCTGACTTATTTCACTTAACATAGCGACCTCCACTTCCCTCCATGTTGATCCAATGACTGGATCTCATTTCTTTTGTGGCCGGATAATATTCCACTGCGTGCGCTCCACGTTTTCCTTCTCCCTTCATCTGTCCGTGGACACCCCGGTTGCTTCCACACCTTGGCTGTCGGAACAGTGGGGCATTCGGCGTGCGCGTGCAGCTCTCCCCCATAGCTGAATTCCTCTCTTTTGGGTATTTGCCCAGAAGTGGGATTGCCGGGCTGTATGGGGCTCTATTTTTAGTTTTGGAGGGACCTCCAGACTGTTCTCCCAGCGGTGCTCATTTACATTCCCACCAGCAGCGTGAGGGTTCCCTTGTCTCCACATCCGCGCCGGGACTTGTTTCCGCAGCCATTTTAACTGGGGTCAGAGGATGTCTCACTTGTTTCTATGTGCATTTCTCTGAGGAGCGGTGGTGGTGGGCACCTTTTCAGACGCCTGTTTGTCATTTCCATGCTGTCTTTTGAGAGCTGTCTGTTCAGGTCTTTTACCCATTTTTAATTGGATTATTAGATTGTCTGCTATTGAGCCTGAGCTCCTCATATATTCCAGTGATTAATCCTTGTCAGGCGGCGGTTCTAAGATACAGTCTCCCATCCCGTACCCGCGGGCTGTCCCTGCGGCTGTACTCTGCTCATTCTTCCCTTTGCTGTGTGGAAGCTTTGGGCCTGGATGTGCTGACTTTGCCTTTTGCCTCCTTTGGAAAATACTTAGACCTTCCCCGCGCAGCTGCGTCCGGTTTCCCGGCGTGGCTACATCCGGTTATGCGATGTCGGATCTTCCTGGTGTGGCCGCCTCCCGTCGCGCAGCGTCAGAAACTCGGATCTTCGCGGCGTGGCCGCCTCCCGACACGCGGCGTCAGAAACTCGGATCTTCCTGGCGTGGCCGCCTCCCGTCGCGCGGCGTCAGAAACTCGGATCTTCGCGGCGTGGCCACCTCCCGACACGCGGCATCAGAAACTCGGATCTTCCTGGCGTGGCCGCCTCCCGTCACGCGGCGTCAGAAACTCGGCTCTTCGCGGCGTGGCCGCCTCCCGTCACGCGGCGTCAGAAACTCGCATCTTCCCGGCGTGGCCGCCTCCCCTCACGCGGCGTCAGAAACTCGCATCTTCCTGGTGTGGCCGCCTCCCGTCACGCGGCGTCAGAAACTCGGATCTTCCCGGCGTGGCCGCGTCCCGTCACGCGGCGTCAGAAACTCGCATCTTCCTGGTGTGGCCGCCTCCCGTCACGCGGCGTCAGAAACTCGGATCTTCCCGGCGTGGCCGCGTCCCGTTACGCAGCGTCAGAAACTCGATATTCCTGGCGTGGCCGCCTCCCGTCACGCAGCGTCAGAAACTCGATCTTCCTGGCGTGGCCGCCTCCCGTCACGCAGCGTCAGAAACTCGATCTTCCTGGCGTGGCCGCCTCCCGTCACGCAGCGTCAGAAACTCGATCTTCCTGGCGTGGCCGCCTCCCGTCACGCAGCGTCAGAAACTCGGTCTTCCTGCCATGGCCACCTCCCATCCGGCGGCATCAGAAACTCGGACCTTCCTGGCGTGGCCGCGTCCCCTCACACAACGTCAGAAACTCGATCTTCCTGGCGTGGCCACCTCCCCTCCGGCGGCATCAGAAACTCGGATCGTCCTGGGGTGGCTGCTCTTGTTACGCAACGTCAGAAACTCTCCTGCGTGGGCACCAGGCTCAGAAGAGTCCGGCTTGTGGTGGCAGGGCCAAGCTTTGGCTCATTGTGATTTTTTGTGTGAGAGCTTGACTTGTATCCTCGGCCACAAACCCTGTCGGTTGTTCTGGGAGTGAGGGACTTGGGCCGTTCACTTTCACGCCGTGCTCTGCCAGATCCCGCGTCCGCACAGCCAGGGTGGGTGCACTGCTCGTCCGTCCGCCATTCTTCCTGGGAAAAGCAGCTCTGCTGCACGACCCTGGTCCTCCGTGTGAAGCGGTGCACCTGGTGCCCACTCGCGGGTGTAAGCCGTGTGCGTGAGGGTGAGTGTGGCAGGTGAAGCCGTGTGCTCGAGGGTGAGTGTGGCAGGGGGCGTGGGCCTCAGCTGCTCCCGCATCTGCGCAGGTGTGAGCACAGTGACGGGCAGGCCGGGCATGCTCTGCGTGCGACCACATGCCTGGCTTTGACTCACAGACCCTCTGAAGGGTCCTGGGGACCCCGAGGGCCTTGGAGCCCATGTCGGGAGCCCCTGCCTTGAGTCGTGGAATCAGGTTGTCAGCCAGTGAGGGAGCCCCAGAGCCCATTGATCCACGGCGGGGCCCGTGGTCTCTCCAGGTCACGGAAAGAAGCTGCGAATTGGAGACCAATTGGAAATTGTTTAAAAGGAGGACAGCAGCTCACGTGCAGGCCTCGCTGGGACAGCCCATCCTGCCAGATCCACGCAACGCCCCCAGCTCCCCACACTCCCTGGCAAATCCCAGCCCTGCCTGCGCCCTCCCAGCTCTCCTGTCCTGCACTACACACCATCAACCCGAGTTCTGAGCTTCTCCTACTCTCAGCCTCAGCCTCACTCGTCCTCAGGACCTTGCTCTAGGCCGAGGAGACCAGTGCCCCTGTGCACCAGCTCAGCCTGCAGCCCCGGCCCTCTCGCCTCCCCAGGACTGCACAGGGCATCTCCCTTCCCCACTGCACGGTACAGGCCATTCTTTCTCCTGTCTTTAAAAAAACAAAACACAGATGCCCTGTACGCCGCCCCCACCTCCCCCACCTCCCCCACCGCACATCCGCCTGGCAGCAGGCTCCCTGGAAGCAGCCCGCCTTACCCCTCCTCGAGGCCCTGGGCCCATGGCAGGCATCTGCAGCCGTCCACCTGCCTGCACCTCTGAGCAGCGCCAGGCACAGCTGGCGGCCACGCACCCTCCTCTGGCTGCGGGACGCCCGTGCTCAGTCTCTTGGTCTTTCCCTCGCCCATGTGGGCCCCTCACTGCTCCTCTGCTGTGTCTGCACCGCTCCCTCAGAGCTCTTCTCCTGGCCTCAGCTCCACACACAAGTGCAGCTGCCTGGTGCCGAACCCTGGGCCGCTACCCCCCTCCCTGACTGCCTGCCGGGTTCCGCCACCCTCAGTGGCTCAGTGGCCATCTGTCCTCAAGACTGAAGGCGGAGACCTTGAGGTCCTCCTGGACCCCCTCTTAACTCCCAGCAGAATCTGATAGACTCCCCAGCCACTGCAGCAACCTCCCCATCCTCTTCCTGCCTCAGCTAGACACGCCCAACCCTTTCTGGCCCCCACCCCTGCAGCTCCCACTGCCCCCATCACACACACCACCACGAGCCCCTGACACGTTTGCCTTCCTGATTTTCATCATCGGCCACTGCTTCCCGATGAACCCTCCGTAAGCATGGGTTCATTTCCGGCTGTGTCGGTGATGCCTGGCCCGTGGGAGGTTTGCAGTCACTGCGGCAGGTGAATTGGCATCCGCAAATTGGATAAGAAAGTCGCCTGTTTTTCTGAGCCTATTTGCTCCTGTGAAACCTGTTTCTAAGCCCAAAAATGCCACCTGAAGACTCTGCAGGACATCATTTCATGGTCTGCCCACAACTGCCAGGAGGCGATTTTCAGTTCTTTGAATGCACGTTGTGACTGCCGTGCACCCACCCAGCAGCATCAGGTTCCTCATATTCACATAGTGACCATGCAGCATCAGGTCACTTGTCCACGTTGTGACTCAGGTCATTCGTATCCACATTCTGACTGCCGTCCACCCGTCCAGAGTGTCAGCTTACTTATATCCACGTTATGACTACTGTGCACCCATCCGCTGCATCAGGTCGCTCGTGTCCACACTGGGACTGCCGTGCACGTGGCCAGCAGCATCAGGTCACTTGTATCCACATTATGATCGCTGGACACCCATCCAGCAGGATCAGGTCATTCGTATCCACATTGTGACTACTGGGTCCCCATCCAGCAGCGTCAGGTCATTCGTCCCCAGATTGTGAGTCGGGTCACTCGTATCCACATTGTGACTACTGTGTCCCCATCCAGCAGCGTCAGGTCATTCGTCCCCACATTGTGAGTCGGATCACTCGTATCCGCATTGTGACTACTGTATGTCCACCCAGCAGCGTCAGGTTATTTGCAGATGCTTTTACAGATGCTTGAACTTCACTACAAAGCCAATTTGCACGAGAGGTAAGATTGGTTTCATGTTTGTTTCTGGCATGTTCAAGGTGTTTTTCTGTTTTACAGAGGTCCTCAAAGAGGGCAGCGGGCTGTTCCCAGATCTCCTGGTGAGGGAGACGGAGGCCGTCATCCACAAGCACCGCTCGGCCACCTACTGCGAGCAGCTCCTGCAGCATGTGCAGGCCGTGCCAGCCACACAGTGACCACGCTGGTTTCAGCCACGGCACACCCTTGTCCCCACCTGAGCCAGAGTTTGTGGCCTTTAAATCTCATAAACAAGGCACCTCTGTGCCAGCAGTGAGACTGTGACAGCAAGAATGTACTCCTCAGGACACCTGCCCACTCTTTCCCTGGAATAACAGCCTCTGAGTGGATTCTGCATGTTATGTGATTTGTTCTGTTCATCGAGAGGGCTCCCAAACATCTGCAGCTGATTTGAAATTAAAAGTAAGTCGCAGCCGCTCCTCCCGCAGCCACTTCAGCAGCATCTTAGATTTTAAGCCTCACGTGCGCAGCTGGTTCATGAACTATTGGCTGCATCCTGCTTAGGTGCCCACCAAGAAGGTTTTTACCTACTTAACAAAAAAGAAAGAAGCCAAAGTGATTAGAAAGAAATGAAATCTCTTTTTGGGTTCTGTCTACTGAAATTTAATATCTCAGTGAACAGACTAAAAGGAATTTAGAATCCTAACAACTTATCAGATTTCTCCTGTTTTAAATATACTGGGACTTTAAAGGTTATATGTCCGGTCACCGTATGTTTTAAGTCGGTGTTAATGCTAACAGTGTTGAAAACAATATTTCATGAGATCTAATTGTGGTTGCCCCTATAGGTAGCAGGAAAGTAAAGTTGCATTTCCCTCTCGCACATTCTACACCCAAGTGCCTAAAAGATCTCATTGTAAGTGGGTAGTGTTACCGGAAGCCATTGTGTTCACACGGGGGAAATGCCGTATATATTTTTCAACAAATATTAACGTTTATACTTTCATGTTTGAAAATTTAATTAAAAATGTTTGTTTTAATGATTGTGTATGCCTGACTTTGTGAGTTGGTAACTAACCGACATGTCAGGCAGGGATCCCAGCCTCTAGAATTCCAGAGTTCCTCTGTGGGGTGTCGTAGTGCCCGCTCTGGACACCAGGGGGCAGGAGCTCCCAACACGTTCGGGGAACACCCCTGGTAAGGAGGGCCCCATAGGACTCACCTTGAGAGGGGCTGGGGCATCAGGGTGAGGGCAGGCCAGCCTTGGGGGGGTGTCAGGGTTGGGGGAGGTCAGCCTTGGGGGGCATCATCAGGGTGAGGGCAGGCCAGCGTTGGGAGGGGTGTCATGGTTGGGGAGGTCAGCCTTGGGGGGTGTCAGGGTCGGGTGAGGTCAGCCTTGGGGGGCATCAGGGTGAGGGCAGGCCAGCCTTGGGGGTGTCTGGGTAGGGGGAGGTCAGCCTGGTTGGCAGGTGGGGTGTCCAGGTGCAGAGAGGTCAATCTGGATGGGGGTTGGTTTCAGAGTTGGGGGACGTCAACCTTGATGGAGGGTGTTTTGTCTGGGTGGGGGAAGGTCACCTTTGGGATTGTCTGGGTGGGGGAGGTCAGCCTTGGGGGAGGTCAGCCTTGGGGGTGGCTGGGGTGTCCAGGTTGTGGGAGGTCAGCCTGGGGGGGACGCCGGGGTGGAGAGGTCAGCCTTGGGGGGTGTCTGGGTTGAGGGAGGTGAACCTCGGAGGGTGTCAGGGTTGGGTGAGGTCAGCCTTGGGGGGTATCTGGTTTGGGGGAGGTCAGCCTTGTGGTGTCTGGGTTGGGGGAGGTCAGCCTTGGGGGGTGTCTGGGTTGGGGGAGGTCAGCCTTGGGGGGTGTCTGGGTTGGGGGAGGTCAGCCTTGGGGGGTGTCTGAGTTGGGGGAGGTCACTCTTGGGGGGAGTCAGGGTGGGAGGAGGTCACTCTTGGGGGGTGTCTGGGTTAGGGGAGGTCACCCCTGGGGGGTGTCAGGGTTGGGGGAGTTCAGCCTTGGGGATGGCTGGAGTGTCCGGATTGGGAGGTCAGCATGTATAGCTGAGCCTGCCCCATGGACTCACATCCCCTGCCCTAGACACCCTCGCCACCCTCTGGTCCCCTTCAGAGTTGCACCGTCATGGCTGTTCCCTGCGCCAGCTTCTGTAACTCGTGGCCACAGGGATTTCGGGGGCCCTCAGGGGTGGTCTTCCACCTCTTCCTTGTGTGCCCTTTGACCTCTGTGGCTTCTGCCACATCCTTGAAGAGCCCTCAAGAGCCCCTGGGTCGGTGGTCCTTGGTGGCGATGGAGCCAGTGGCAGCAGCCTCACCTGGAAGCTTGTTAGAAAGGCACATTGCAGGGCCTCAGGCCAGACCTACTGAGGCAGAGACAGGTGGGCCGCAGTCAGCCCTGCAGGTGATTCTGAGGCTGCGGACTGGGAGGACCCCCACCTGTGCACCAAGCAGTTCCCATCCAGCTCCCATCCAGCACGAGGCTCCGTCGTCTGTCTCTGTCACAAGACCCAGAAATGAATGGCAGGGAGCTTGCCCGAGAGGACACACGTGTGAGGGGCCCCTCGACCCCTCGGACGCAAGTGCACCAACCCCTGGGCCGTCCCTCGCCCTGCATGCTGGGGCCACAGCATGGGAAGAGACATCAGCGCTGCCGCTCCGTCTCTACACATCTGTAAAGGGAGCTCCCAGGGACCTGGCACGTCCACAGGTGCGTGTGTTCAGAGAAAGACGGAAACCCAGCCTACAAGGGTTCACAGACACCCAAGAGGCATTACGTCCCTCTCCACTTAATTCTTTGAAATGTTGATAGGCCGGGTGTGGTGGTTCATGCCTGTAAAATCCAGCACTTTGGGATGCTGAGTGGAGAGGATCACTTGAGCCCAGGAGTTCGAGACCAGCCTGGGGAACAGAGGGAGACCCCATCTCTACCAAAAATTTTTAAAATGAGCCGGGCGTGTTGGTGGCCCATGCCTGTAATCCCAGCACTTTGGGAGGCCAAGGCGGGCAGATCTCTTGAGGCCAGGAATTCAAGACCAGCCTGGACAGCATTGGGAAACCCCGTCTCTACAAAAAAATTTTAAAAATGAGTGGGCATGGTGGCGCACACCTGCAGTCTGAGCTACTCAGGAGTCTGAGATGGAAGAATCACCCGAGCCTGAGAAATCGAAGCTGCAGTTACCCAAGATTGCACTCACTTTTTTTAAACAAGTGAGACCTTGTTTAAAAAAAAAATTTTGTAAATCATAAATGAGTGCATTAATACAACATGTACTTTTTTTGTCTTGCCTCTTTCACTCATCAGTTTTGATGTCCATCTATGTTGGGGTGTCCATCAATAGTTCATTCCTTTTTGCTGCTGCGTAATATTCCATTCTATAGATAAGCCACAGTGTGTTCACCCACTCAGCTTTTGACGTGTGTTTGAGGTCTTTCCAGGTTTTGGCTATTACAAATAAAGCTTCTTCCAACATTTGTGTACATGTCTTTGTATGGATAGGTACTTTCATTTCTCTTGGATAAACATCTAGTAGAATGGCAGTCATGGTGGATGTATACTAAATTTTTAAGAAACTACCATTCTATTTTCCAGAGTGGCGGGACCATTTCCACCAGCCCTGTGCAAGAATTCCAGTTCCTCCCATATTTGCCAACACTAGCTAATCAGTTTTTAATTTTAGCCATTTTAATAGGTACATAGTTGTATCTCATTATGGTTTTAGTTTGCATTTCCCTAATGTCTAATGAGGCTGAGCATCTTTTCATATGCTTATTTGCCATCTGTGTATCTTTTTTGGTGAAGAGTCTTTTTAAATATTGACATGGTTTGGCTGAGTGTCCCCACCCAAATCTCATGTTGAACTATAATTCCCAGTGTTGAGGGAAGGACCTGGTGGGAGGTGATTGGATCATGGGGATGGATTTCTCCCTTGCTGTTCTCATGATAGTGAGTTCTTATGAGATCTGGTTGTTTAAAAGTGTGCCTTCTCTCTCCCGTCGCCATGTGAAGATGTGCCTGGTTCCCCTTCACCTTCTGCCATGATTGGAAGTTTCCTGAGGCCTCCCCACCCATGGAGAACTGTGAGTCAATTAAACCTCTTTTCTTCATAAACAAGCCAGTCTCAGGTAGTTCTTTATGGCAATGTGAGAACGGACTAATACAAATATCTTGCCCATTTAGACAAAACTGGGTTGTGTTCTTCCTGAATATTGAGAATTCTTCATATATTCTAGGTACAAGTCCTTTATCATATATCTATGATTTGCAAATATTTTCTCTCATTCCATAGCTTGTCTTTTCATTATTTTAACAATGTCGTTTGAAGAAGATAAGCTTTTTATTTTGAATGAAGTCTAATTTATCAATTTCTTTTTTAATGGATTGTGCTTTTGGTGTTGTATCTAGGAAATCTTTGCCTAACCCAAGGACACAAAGTCTTCAGTTCCTGAAGCTCAAAAAGCTGTTGTTGCCAGGCACAGTGGCTCACGCCTGTAATCCCAGCACTTTGGGAGGCCAAGGTGGGAGGGTCGCTTGAGCCCAGCTTGGGAATCATAAGGAGACCCTGTCTCTCCAGAAAAAAAAAAAAAAAAAACTAACCTGGCATGTTGGTGCATACCTGTAATTCCAGCTACTCGGGAGGCAGAGGCGGGAGGATCTCCTGGGCCTAGGATGTTGAGGCTGTAGTGAGCTACGATTGCACCACTGCACTCCAACCTGGGCAATCGTGCGAGACCCCATCTCAAACAAACAAACAAAAAGCTCTTGTCATAGGCCAGGCACGGTTGCTTATGCCTGTAATCCCAGCACTTTGGGAAGCCAAAGGCTGGTGGATCACTTGAGGTCAGGAGTTCAAGACCAGCCTGGCCAAGATAGTGAAACCTCATCTATACTGAAAATACAAAAATTAGCCGGGGCTGGTGGTGGGCGCTTGTATCAAAGCTACTCAGTAAGCTGAGGTGAGAGAATTGCTTGAACCCAGGAGACGGACGTTACAGTGAGCTGAGATCACGCCACTGCACTCCAGCCTGGGTGACAGAGTGAGACTCTGTCTCAAAAAAATAAATAAAAACAACTCATCTATTTGTTCTTACCTACACTGTGATTCAAAGGCAATTTCTACTTCCCTTTGTAATCCCCTTTCTGTGACCTAAATGAAGAGCTGAGGTTACTGGAGGGTGGGAGCTGGTTGGTTGAAGAAAAAACACTCACCTTTTTGTAGCCAAAGACAGCCTTCTATATCAGTATGGGATGATCTCCAAAACACATTGTTAATTTTAAAAAACAAGGAGCACAGGCTGGGTGCGGTGGTTCACGCCTGAAATCCCAGCACTTTGTGAGGCCGAGGCGGGCAGATCACGAGGTCAGCAGTTCGAGACCAGCCTGGCCAACATAGTGAAACCCCGTCTCTACTAAAACTACAAAAATTAGCTGGGTGTGGTGGCGCATACCTGTAATCCCAGCTACTCGGGAGGCTGAGGCAGGAGAATTGCTTGAACCTGGGAGGTGGAGGTTGTGGTGAGCCGAGATCTTGCCACTGCACTCCAGCCTGGGCGACAAAGTGAGACTCCGTCTGAAGAAAAAAAAAAAAGGGAGCTGCTTCTTTTGCTTAGGCATAAAAAATTTCTGGAGGGGACAAAAGAAACCAGTTGAACAGTGAGGCCTCTGGAGAAGGGACCTGAGTGCCCCAGGGACTGGAGTGAGAGTCCAGTCTTTACCTCTTGGTACCATGGAATTTACTCCTCTCGGTTCCATGGAATTTACTCCTCTCGGTACCATGGAATTTACTTTTAGTGCACGTATTTATTACCCAGTCAAAAACAACTCTGCTGAGACTAACCTGTAATCGAAGCCTCACTGACACCTGATGCTGTTCTCGGCTCACAAGTCAGCACACTTGTTTCTTCTGTATCACGAACCCCTGTCCCAGGGAAGGGTGTTCAGGATGTCAAAGCAAAAGCTTTATCAGAAAGTTGTCTTGGGCAGGGTGTGGTGGCCCACGGCTGTAATCGCAACACTTTGGGAGGCTGAGGCAGGAGGATTGCTTGAACCTGAAAGTGGAGGCTGCAGTGGGTCTTGATGGCATCATGGCACTCCAGCCTGGGTGACAGAACAAGACCCCATCTCAAAGCAAACAAACAAAACTTGTCTTATTGAGAAATGAAAATGCAGAGACTTGTAGCCAAGTGCTCATAGCAGCTTTATTCTAGCCTCAAATTGGAAAAAACCCAAATGTCCATCAACAGTCCATCTGCAGTATAAACAAACTACAGTCTATCCAGACAACAGAATACGATTCTGTAGTCGAACGACAGGGCACACTGCAACGGAGACAGCTCCCACAGACACCAGGCCAGTGAGGAAAGACTGTATCTCATATAATTTATATGGAACTCGAGAACAGGCAAAGCTGTTCTATAGTCCTTTCTTTTTTCCTCTGAGCCAGGGTCTCACTCTGTCACCCAGGCTGGAGCACAAGGGTGCCCTCACAGCTCACTGCAGCCCCAGCCTCCCAAGCTCAAGCGATCCTCCCGCCTCAGCCTCCGGAGTAACTGGGACTACAGATGCACACCACCACCCCCAGCTAATTTTTTATTTTTAGTAGAGACGAGTTCTCACTATGTTGCCCAGACTGGTCTCGAACTCTCCGGCTGAAACGAACCTCCTAACTCAGCCTCCCAAAGTGCTGGGAGGACAGGCATGAGCCGCTGTGCCCAGCCTACTCCTTTTTAAATCACCGAATCAATGATGACTATATGGAGGCTCTTTATGTTTATTATATTATTCTCTCTACTTGTGTATGTGTGAATTCTGCATGAGTTTTTATAATGAAAAAATCACACTTCAAAAACAGTCACCTGGCTAAGCATGGAAGACACAGGCTCAGCCTGAGTGCTCTTGGAGGCTCTTCTCCAGGTGGGAGCAGGCCGGGCGGTGTCCCTTTTACTGAGCACTTGATTTTCCACTACCAGGTGTCTCCTCACTAGCCTGAGAACTTAGTTAAATTTTCTTTAAAGATAAATCTTTCATCCTAGCCAGAGCAATCAGGCAAGAGAAAGAAATAAAAGGCATCTAAATTGGAAAATAAGTCAAATTATCCCCATTTGCTGATGATATGATCATATATCTAGAAAACCTTCCAAAAAGCTCTTAGATGGGATGAATGCAGTTAAGCTGCAGAATACAAAATCAACATACACAGATCAGTAGTATTTCTGTCCGTTAATAATGATCTAGTTGACAAAGAAATCAAGGCAATCACACTTATAATAGCTACAAAAAAATAAAACACCAGCCGGGCGCAGTGGCTCACGCCTGTAATCCCAGCACTTTGGGAGGCCGAGGCGGGCAGATCACAAGGTCAGGAGATAGAGACCATCCTGGCTAACACGGTGAAACCCCGTCTCTACTAAAAATACAAAAAAAAAATTAGCCGGGCGTGGTGGCGGGCGCCTGTAGTCCCAGCTACTTGGGAGGCTGAGGCAGGAGAATGGCGTGAACCCGGGAGGCGGAGCTTGCAGTGAGTGGAGATCGTGCCACTGCACTCCAGCCTGGGTGACAGAGCCAGACTCCGTCTCAAAAAAAAGAACGAGATCCTGACTTTTGCAGCAACATAGATGGAACTGGAGGCCATGATCTTAGTGAAACAAGCCAGGTGCAGAAAGTCAAATACCACATATTTTGACTCATGAGTGGGTGCTAGAAAATGTGAACACGTGGACATAGAGAATGATAGACAGTGGAGACTCAGAAGGGTGAAGGGAGAAAAGGGAGTGGATGATGTAAAATGACTTAGTGGGTACAACATATGATATTCGGGCGATGGATCCCCAACAGCCCTGACTTGACCAGTATCCAGAATGCAATCTATGCATGTAACGAAACTGCACTGTACCCCACGTTCTTACAGCGATAGAATATTTCTCCTGACTTCTCCCCATTTTCCAGAATTCTATTTTTTTTCTTTTTTTTTTTTGAGACAGAGTCTCGCTCTGTCACCCAAGCTGGAGTGCAGTGGTGCGATCTCGGCTCACCGCTACCTCCACCTCCTGGGTTCGAGCAATTCTCCTGCCTCAGCCTCCTGAGTAGCTGGGATTACAGGCGCATGCCACCACACCTGGCTAATTTTTGTATTTTTTGTTTGTTTGTTTAGTAGAGATGGAGTTTCACCATGTTGGTCAGGCTGGTCTCGAACTCCTGACCTCGTGATCCACCCGCCTTGGCCTCCCAACGTGCTGGGATTACAGGCATGAGCCACCGTGCCCAGCCCAGAATTCTATAAATAGCATTGTCCATCTGATGTCAGAGAGAGAAACAATCCCTGGATGTTACTCAGGCTGGTGGGCTATGAATACCATGGTTTGTTGTTGTTTTGAGACGGAGTCTCGCTCTGTCACCCAGGCTGGAGGGCAGTGCTGCAATCTCAGCTCACTGCAACCTCTCCCTCCTGGGTTCAAGTGATTCTCCTGCCTCAGCCTCCCAAGTAGCTAGGGCTACAGGCGCCCACCACCATGCCCAAATGATTTTTGTATTTTTAGTAGAGATGGGGTTTCACCACATTGGCCAGGCTGGTCTCAAACTCCTGACCTCAAATGATTCACCCACCTGGGCCTCCCAAAATGCTGGCATTACAGGCGTGAGCCACCGCGCCCAGCCTTTTAAAAGCATTTTAAGAGGTCTCAGGCAGTGCCTTTCACAGAGAGGAGGCTGCAGCCTCCACGCAGGCCTCACCCTCTCCGCCTTCTTCCTTTGACCTCGGCATGTCCTTGATGTTGTACCCAAGGGTCTGTGCCGCTCTCCTGTGACTCTTCTTACAAGCAAATGATGGCTCCAGGAGCTGGCCTGGACCCTGAGGCCTAGAACCTGCCCCAAGGGGAAAAGCACCTGCTCATTTGTGTTTAGGCATTTACTCAACGCTTCTCTTAATGTCTTGGAAAGTGTCACTTAGGAGACAAGGCAGTGCTCACTCTTGGCTGACAACAAGGTAACTGTAGACAGAAGAATCTATTATTAGGCGTCTCCATGTTCTCTTCCTAGCTCATTGCTGGCACTGTCATCCTTACGTTAGTTTCCTTATATTTTGTTTTCTTTTCTTTTTTCTTTTCCTTTTTTTTTTTTTTCTGGAGACGAGAGTCTTGCTCTGTTGCCCAGTCTGCAGTGCAGGGATCCGGGTCCAGGGGATGTCTCTGAGCCCCCAATCCTTTACGGGGCCTTTTCCTGGGGTCCCTGTGGGCTCCATCCCGGGATGCAGGACAGAGATGTGGGATGCGGAAGGGTTCCCCGCAGGGATCCAGGTCCGGGGGCAGGAGGAGCCCAGAGGGTGGCACCATCACGCAAAGGCCTCCAGAGGCGTGGCCCGGGACAAGCACAGCGCCAGCCGCCTGCGCTGCCAGGGCAGGGTCCACACCCACAGACTGTAACCTGGACCCGGGCAGGGCGGGGTCCACACCCACAGACTGTAACCTGGACCCAGGTGGGGTCCACACCCGCGGACTGTAACCTGGACCTGGGCAGGGCAGGGTCCACACCCGCGGACTGTAACCTGGACCCGGGCAGGGCGGGGTCCACACCCTTGGACTGTAACCTGGACCCGGGCAGGGCGGGGTCCGCACCCGCGGACTGTAACCTGGACCCGGGCAGGGCGGGGTCCGCACCCGCGGACTCTAACCTGGACCCAGGCAGGGCAGGGTCCATCCACACCCACAGAATCTAACCTGGACTGGGGCAGGGCCTAAACCCAGGGACTCTAACCTGGACCCGGGCAGGGGAAGGGTCCACACCCGCAGACTCTAACCTGGACCAGAGCCTGGGAGGGTCCACACCCGCAGAATCTAACCTGGACCTGGGCAGGGCAGGGTCCACACCCACAGAGTCTGTCTAATCTGCAGAGGACAAGGGTGGGGTCTCCCACAGAGCCAGCCTGAGGGGTGGGTGCACCTGAGGGGTGGGCGCACCTGAGGGGTGGGCTCGTCGCCCTCTGCCTCATGCTGGCAGGACCCGAGAGGCCTGGGAGTGCTGGGAACTGAGAAACAGTCATCACCAATTAAAAGTCCCGCTGCCTTTTATTAACACCATGCGTCACCCTTCTGTACAATATCAGTGAGAAAACACTCGCCTAAAAAAAACCTTTTGTTGCTCTAAATTCTAAGCTGAACAGTTGCTGCAATCGCCAGTGAGTTTTAATACAGCTTCCGATTAGCACATTTTAATTACCCTTTATAAACATGCTCTAAGTGAAAGTCAATTCAGACAATGTCCAGTGAGGCAGTGGGATCCCATCACACACGGACTCACAGCGCACACTACTCCAATATTTAGGTAAATTCATGGCCGGGCGCGGTGGCTCACGCCTGTAATCCCAGCACTTTGGGAGGCCGAGGCGGGTGGATCACGAGGTCAAGAGATCGAGACCATCCTGACCTACATGGTGAAACCCCATCTCTACTAAAAATAGAAAAAAATTAGCTGGGCGTGGTGGCGGGCACCTGTAGTCCCAGCTACTCGGGAGGCTGAGGCAGGAGAATCGCTTGAACCCAGGAGGTGGAGGTTGCAGTGAGCCGAGATCGCGCCACTGCACTGCAGCCTGGGTGACAGAGTGAGACTCTGTCTCCGAAAAAAAAAAAAAAAAAAAAAGACTTTTAGGCCTTCAGTATTTAAAGGAGGAAAGTGGGCTGGAGGGGAAACAGGGACGGTGTGGTCACATTGTTGAATCCTCAAGTTTCAAGAGAAAAGGAACAGGCAGGGGAAGAGCCGGTGCTCCAAAAATCCACTCTTTACAAAAGAGAAGGTGAACCTGGAATGCCTTACCCGTGGATATTTAAACTTTTTTTAATTTTATTTATTTATTTTTTTATTATTATTATACTTTAAGTTTTAGGGTACATGTGCACAATGTGCAGGTTAGTTACATATGTATACATGTGCCATGTTGGTGTGCTGCACCCATTAACTCGTCATTTAACATTAGGTATATCTCCTAATGCTATCCCTCCCCCCTCCCCCGACCCCACAACAGTCCTCAGAGTGTGATGTTCCCCTTCCTGTGTCCGTGTGTTCTCATTGTTCAATTCCCACCTATGAGTGAGAACATGCGGTGTTTGGTTTTTTTGTCCTTGCGATAGTTTGCTGAGAATGATGATTTCCAGTTTCATCCATGTTCCTACAAAGGACATGAACTCATCATTTTTTATGGCTGCATAGTATTCCATGGTGTATATGTGCCACATTTTCTTAATCCAGTCTATCGTTGTTGGACATTTGGGTTGGTTCCAAGTCTTTGCTATTGTGAATAGTGCTGCAGTAAACATACGTGTGCATGTGTCTTTATAGCAGCATGATTTATAATCCTTTGGGTATATACCCAGTAATGGGATGGCTGGGTCAAATGGTATTTCTAGTTCTAGATCCCTGAGGAATCGCCACACCGACTTCCACAATGGTTGAACTAGTTTACAGTCTCACCAACAGTGTGAAAGTGTCCTATTTCTCCACATCCTCTCCAGCACCTGTTGTTTCCTGACTTTTTAATGATCGCCATTCTAACTGGTGTGAGATGGTATCTCACTGTGGTTTTGATTTGCATTTCTCTGATGGCCAGTGATGGTGAGCATGTTTTCATGTGTTTTTTGGCTGCATAAATGATGTTTAACCTTTTATCTGTAGCACCCTGCTGAGGAGCAAAAGGAAAGGCAGTTTCTCACTTGGCCCCGCTTTCAGCTTAATGTTTTCCTTCTGGCAGAGTGAACTGGGGACCTCAGTTGTTATTTTCTTCTCAAAGAGGAAGAAGGAGTTTCAGATGATCCACTCTGGATGTCATGTTTTGAAGGAGCAAGTGTATTACATAAAACACGATCACTCTGTCTCACAAAAAGACTCAAAAAGTAGAAATAAAAGTGAGAACTCCCACTACTTAGTGAAAATTCTCAAAGTGGGGGATACGGAAGGAGACCGCTACTACCCCTGCTGCCCTCCTCCCTGCACCTTGCCTAGTTCACAAGACAGGAGGAGAGAAGAAGCAAAAAGTTAGAAAAAAAAACAAAAGTAAGATAAATAGCCAGACAACCTTGGCACCACCACCCAGCCCTAGGAGTTAAAAAAAGTAATAATAATAACATCAACCCCTGAGCTAAACTACTTGTGTTATCTGTAAATTCCAGGCACTATGAAAAAAGCATTGTAAGACTTTCTGTTCTGTTAGCTGATGATGCTGCCCCCAGTCACGTTTCCCACGCTTGCTTGATGTATCACGACTCTTTCACGTGGACCCCTTAAAGTTGTAACCCTTTAAAAAGGCCAAGAATTTCTTTTTCGAGGAGCTCAGCTCTTAAAACGCAAGTCTGCCGACGCTCCCGGCCGAATAAAAACCTCTTCCTTCTTGAATCCAGTGTCTGAAAAGTTTTGTCTGCGGCTCATCCTGCTGCAGTATGACAGTGAACCACCTGGACAGGCGAGGGCGTCCCGTCAGAAGACCAGTGAGAATGCAGCCAGCACAGGGCCGCGGGGTTCCTCCATCTGCCTGCGGCCCAGGAAACCTTCCAGCCCAGATTCTTTCCCTCCCGGGGCAGGGCTGGGAGCACGGCCCCGTGTTCACCACCCATGGATCCCGCCCCTCCAGGGATGTGCTCACATAACAGCCACTTTGTGCCCGTCCAGACTGGAAGACTTGCCGTCACTGACAGGTGCTCCAGGCTAGCAGCCTCTGCATGTCTGAATGTTTATTTACAGTATGCGATGGCCAGGCACAGTGGCTCATGCCTGTAATCCTAGCACTTTGGGAGGCCGAGGTGGGCAGATTGCCTGAGCTCAGGGGTTTGAGACCAGCCTGGGCAACACGATGCAGCTCCATCTCTACTAAAATACAACAAATTAGCCAGGTATGGTGGCGTGCACCTGTAGTCACAGCTACTTGGGAGGCTGAGGCAGGAGAATTGCTTGCACTCGGAAGGAGGAGGTTGCAGTGAGCTGAGATCACGCCACTGCACTCCAGCTTCGGCGACAGAGCGAGACTCTGTCTTAAAAAAATAAAATTAAAATAAATAAATAAAAGAATGGAACAAAGGGGCCATGTGCAGGGGCTCATGCCTGTAATCCGAGCATTTTGAGAGGCTGAGGCAGGCAGATCATTTGAGGTCAGGAGTTTGAGACCAGCCTGGCCAACATGGTGAAACCCTGTCTCTAGTAAATATAGCCAGATGCAGTGGCTCACGTTGTAATCCTAGCACTTTGGGAGGCTGAGATGGGTGGATCACTTGAGGTCAGGAGTTCGAAACCAGCCTGGCCAACATGGTGAAACCCCATCTCTACTAAAAATATAAAAAAATGAGCTGCTCGTGGTGGTGCGCACCTGTAATCCCAGCTACTTGGGAGGCTGAGGCAGGAGAGTCGCTTGAACCAGGGAGGCGGAGGTTGCAGAGAGCTGAGATGGTGCCACTGCACTCCAGCCTGGGCGACAGAGCGAGACTCCATCTCCAAAAAAAATTAAATAAATAAATAAATAATTTGTTAATAGCTCATTCATCCCACCAGGGAAGAGATGGCTTCCAACAAGAAGACAAGCACTAACAGACAAAATCGGGACCCAGAAGCAAGCAGGCTTGTGGATAGAGCACAGGCCCCGCTGAGGTCCGGCACCTTGAAGGAGGTGGAGCACCAGCTCCCAGGGGCCTCTGCTCCTGACCACACCAAGACCGTCGTTTACAGCAGGGGTCCCCAACCCCCGGGCCACAGAATGTGGCCTGTTAGGAACCAGGCCACATAGCCAGAGGTGAGCAGCGGGCCAGCCAGTAAAGCTTCATTTGTATTTACAGCCGCTCCCATCGCTGACGTTACCGCCTGAGCTCCACTTTGTCAGATCAGCATCAGCATTCAGTTCTCACAGAAGCATGAACCCCATTGTGAACTGTGCATGAGAGGGATTAGGTTTCACACTCCTTATGAGAATCTAATGCCTGATGATCTGTCATTGTCTCCCATCACCCACAGATGGGACCATCTAGTTGCAGGAAAACAAGCTCAGGGCTCCGACTGACTTTACATTTTCAAAGTTGTAGAATTATTTTATTATTGGCCAGGTACAGTGGCTCATGCCTGTAATCCCAGCATTTAGTAGAGACAGGGTTTTGCCATGTTGTCCAGGCTGATCTCGAACTTCTAACCTCAAGTGATCCTCCCGCCTTGGCCTCCCAAAGTGCTGGAGTTACAGGCATGAGCCACCACGGCTGGCCATATATTTTAAATTCTTTATTGAAATAACTTTAGGGCTGGGCGTGGTGGCTCACACCTGTAATCCCAGCACTTTGGGAGGCTGAGGCGGGCGGATCATGAGGTCAGGATATCGAGACCATCCTGGCCAACATGGTGAAATCCCGTGTCTACTAAAATACAAAAAATTAGCCAGGCGTGGTGGCATGTGCCTGCAGTCCCAGCTACTTGGCAGGCTGAGGCAGGGGAATCACTTGAACCCAGGAGGTGGAGATTGCAGTGAGCCGAGATTGCGCCACCGCACTCCAGCCTGGTGACATAGCAAGACTCCGTCTCCAAAAAAAAAAAAAAACAGAAAAAGGAAGGAAGGAAGAAAGACAGAAAGAAACTTTACACTTCTTAACAGAAAAATTGCAAAAATAGTACAGTTCCCATATATACACTTTGCTCAGGTTCTCCTGGTGTTAACATTTTACATGACTGTGGGACAGATATGAAAAGCAGGCATTGGCTGGGCATGGTGGCATGTGCCTGTAATACCAGCACTTTGGGGGACTGAGGCAGGACGCTCACTTGAGGCCAAGAATTTTTCTTTTCTTTTTTTTTTTTTTTTTTTTTTGAGATGGAGTCTCGCTCTGTCGCCCAGGCTGGAGTGCAGTGGTGCGATCTCCACTCACTGCAAGCTCCACCTCCCAAGGTTCACACCATTCTCCTGCCTCAGCCTCCCAAGTAGCTGGGACTACAGGAGCCCGCCACTACGCCCAGCTAATTTTTTTTTTTATTTTTAATGGAGATGGGGTTTCACCGTGTGTTGGCCAGGATGGTCTCGATCTCCTGACCTCGTGATCCTCCCGCCTTGGCCGCCCAAAGTGCTGGGATTACAGGCATGAGCCACCATGCCCGGCAAGGCCAGGAATTTCAAGACCACTCTGGGTAACAAAGCAAGACTGTCTCTACAAAAAGTTAAAAAATGAGCTGGGCATGGTGGTGCACACCTGTAGTGTTAGCTATTCATGGGGCCAAGGTGGGAGCATCACTTAAGCCCAGAAGTTCGAGACTTCGAGGCTGCAGTGGGTAGCAGAATGAGACTCTGCCTCAAATAATGATAATAATTTACAGGACTTAAACCTCTGTCTCTTGTCCCACCAACTTTGGACAGTATCTTTCCTCTGTTCCCCGGAAGATGAGGGTCCCATCCTTTCCTCTTTCTCTCCCTCCCACCCACCTCCCAACTCATAACAGCTGGACAGTTGCAGTTCCAGAGCCAAGGTTACTATTTATAGTTAGAACAGATGGAAAATATTCACCTTTTTCATGGTTTACATGTAGATTGATGCCAAAGACTAAAAATAAATCCGCAGTATTTTCTGATTATGGCTATATATATTTTGAGACAGAGTCTGGCTCTGTCGCCCAGGCTGGAGGGCAGTGGTGCGATCTCGGCTCACTGCAACCTCCACCTCCCGGGTTCAAGCGATTCTCCTGCCTCAGCCTCCCAAATACCTGGGATTACAGGCATGCACCACCGCACCCAGCTAATTTTGTATTTTTGGTAGAGACGGGGTTTCACCATGTTGGCCAGGCTGGTCTTGAACTCCTGACCTCAGGTGCTCCACCTGCCTTGGCCTCCCAAAGTGCTGGGGTTACAGGCGTGAGCCACCACGCCTGGCCTATTGTAATTATATATTTTGATGAGTTTTTGCAAGTATATATAGTTATGTCATCACAATTACCATCAAGATATAGAACATTTCTGTTACCTCTAAAAGTTTTCTTGAGCCCCTTCGAAGTCAAACCACACCCTCGCTCCCGGCTCTGGCAACCCTGAACTGCCTCTGTCACTGTAGATTAGTTGTCTTTTTTATGTAAGTGGAATCATACAGTATGAAAAAACATTTTTTTTTTTTGAAACAGAGTCTTACTCTGTCGCCCACACTGGAGTGCAGTGGCGCCATCTCCAGTCACTGCAGCCTCCGCCTCCCAGATTCAAGCAATTTTCCTGCCTCAGCCTCCCAAGAAGCTGGGATTACAGGTGCACACCACCACACCTGGCTAATTTTTGTGTTTTTAGTAGAGATGGGGTTTCACCATGTTGGCCAGGCTGGTCTTGAACTCCTGACCTCAGGTGATCTGCCCGCCTCAGCCTCCCAAAGTGCTGGGATTACAGGCGTGAGCCACCGTGCGCGGCCGTTCTCTGCTATTTCTGAATCTCCTTGCTCTCGCTGGAAGGAGTCCTTTTGTCTCCTGGTCTCTGGTCCTTCTCTTCTGGGCTGCTGGTTTTCCTGGTGTCTCCCAGTTACGAATGGAGACCTTGCTTCATCCTCCAGGTAGCTCACCTTCCTCTCCGGCCTCTCTCAGAAACAAAGAGGTTGACGGGAAGCCTCGTGTCCAAGGGGAGGGTTTCCAGGTGTCCAGCCTTGTGAGGCGTGGAAAGGGAAGAGGCATTGGGAACCTCGCCAGATGCCAGACTGAGGAAGGAGTGGCTTGGGGAGCCTGGCCCTCTCGAAAGCCCTCTGGAGCAGTTGCTCCGTGGATCTGGTTCCTTGACTGGGGACGCTGGCCAGCCGCCAGTTGCCCCGTGGCCTCGGTATGGAGGATCATGGGTTCCAGCCGGGAGCTTTGTTTAATCCCCACGGTGCCAGCCCCACCCCCAGACTTGCCACGCGCAGCCTCAGAGGCCGCCTCCACTCAGCTCCGGGGTGCCTATTCTTGTCTGGTGCTTCCGCCTGGCCCCTTCAGACACCCCCCACTCTACTGCTTCCCCACTCCCTGAATTCCCTCCCCCACCCTCCCCACCCACCAGTCAGTGCCGTGAGGCCCCGGGTGGGGAGGAGAGACACTGCCTGGGCCCGGTTCTTCTCCCGGTGAGATCTCAACTTCTGTCTGTGGACAGGCGAGACCTCCACGTGTGCTGTTAGGTAGAAAAAGCAGATTACAGGCTGGACGAAGTGGCTCACGCCTGTGATCCCAACACTGTGGGAGGCTAAGGCGGGAGGGTCGCTTGAGCCTAGGACTTTGAAACCAGCCTGGGCAACACAGTGAGACCCTGTCTAAGACCAGCCTGGCCAACGTGGTGAAACCCCGCCTCTACTAAAAATACAAAAATTAGCCGGGCATGGTGGCGTGTGACTGTAGTCTCAGCTACTCGGGAGGCTGAGGCAGGAGAATCACTTGAGCCTGGGACGCGGAGGTTGCAGTGAGCCGAGATCGCGCCACTGTACTCCAGCCTGGGTGACAGAGCAAGACTCCCTCGAAAGAAAGAAAGAAAAAAAGAAAGAGAGAGAGAAAGAGAGAGAGAGAGACAGAGGAAAGAAAGAAAGGGAAGGAAGGAAGGAAGGGAGACACAGAAAGAGAAAGAAGGAAAGAGAAAGAAAGAAAGAGAAAGAGAGACAGAAGAAAGAAGGAAGGAAGGAGACAAAAGAAAGAGAAAGAAGGAAAGAGAGAAAGAAAGAGAAAAAAAGAGGAAAGAAGGAAGGAGACAAAGAAAGGAAAGAGAAAGAAGGAAAGAGAAAGAAAAAGAAAGAAAGAAAAAGAAGGAAGGAAAGGGCAGATGACAACAAGGCATCTCCAGCATCCACTTTTATGAAAATACACATATATGTTCATGGGAAAGTCACAGAACAAACAAAAATGTTTACAGAAGTCACCTCTCGGTGATAGAGTTGAAGTGATCTGTGTTTGTTTAAAACTTTTTAAATACTTCTGTGTGTTTTCTAAAAAACTTTTTGTTTCCTCTCGGGAGCCAAAACATAAACATTGTTGTTAGGAATGTGGCAGTTTGCATCGTGGCTGAGGCGTCGGGTTGTGGAATCACTGGGATCTGGATTGTTTGTTTGTGACACGGTTTCCCTGTGTCACCCCAGGCTGGAGTGCAGTGCTGCCGTCACGGTTCACTGCAGCCTTGAACTCGTGGGCTTGAGTGACCCTCTCATCTCAGCCTCCTGAATAGCTGAGGCCACAGGTGTGTGCCATGACGCCTGGCTAATTTTTTCTTTTCATATATATATATATATTATTATACTTTAAGTTTTAGGGTACATGTGCACAATGTGCAGGTTTGTTACATATGTATACATGTGCCATGCTGGTGTGCTGCACCCATTAACTCATCATTTACATTAGGTATATCTCCTAATGCTATCCCTCCCCCCTCTCCCCACCCCACAACAGGCCCCGGTGTGTGATGTTCCCCTTCCTGTGTCCAAGAGTTCTCATTGTTCAATTCCCACCTATGAGTGAGAACATGCGGTGTTTGGTTTTTGGTCCTTGCTATAGTTTGCTGAGAATGATGGTTTCCAGCTTCATCCATGTCCCTACAAAGGACATGAACTCATCATTGTTTATGGCTGCATAGTATTCCATGGTGTATATATGCCACATTTTCCTAATCAGATTAAGTAGAGATGGGGTCTCGCCATGTTGCCCAGGCTGGTCTCGAACTCCTGGGCTCAAGCAATCCTCCCACCTCAGCCTCCCAAACTGCTGGGATTAGAGGCATGAGCCTGCACACCTGGCTGGATCTGGATTTTTGAGTGTTACCTCCCACTTAGGAGCAGAGTGAGCGTAGACAAATCGTTTCTCCGGGCCTCAGTGTCCTCGTGTGTCACAGAGCTGTCCGACTGTTCAGTAAGATTGCAGTGCAAAGAGCCCTGAAAACTGCTGGCCCACAACAGGAAGCGCCCAGTAGACCACGGCAATGACGACGCTTCATCTTCAGACAGAAAAGAAATGGTCAGGCGGGCACAGTGGCTCGTGCTTGTAATCCCAGCACTTTGGGAGGCTGAGGCAGGAGGATCGCCTGAGCCCAGGAGTTTGAGGCTGCAGTGAACTATGATCACACCCCTGCAATCCACCCTGCATGATAGCGAGACCCTGTATCAAAAAAAAAAAAAAAAAAAAAGACAGTGTTTGCCCCAACAAACGCCAGGCTTTATATTCAGACTTTAATATTCAGACTTGTCATGTAATTTCCTCTGAACTCCCAAATAAACAAAACGTGAAATAAATAAGGCTGGCCAGGCTGGGTGCGGTGGCTCACACCTGTAATCTCAGCACTTTGGGAGGCCAAGGCACACGGATCACTTGAGGTCAAGAGTTCGAGACCAGCCTGGCTGACATGGTGAAACTCCATCTCTATTAAAAATACAAAAAATTAGACGGGTGTGGTGGTGCGTGCCAGTAATTCCAACTACTCACGGGGCTGAGGCAGGAGAATCGCTGGAACCCGGGAGGCGGAGGTTGCAGTGAGTCGAGATGGTGCCACTGCACTCCAGCCTGGGCAACAGAGCAAGACTCTGTCTCAAAGAAAAATAAATAAAAATAACAAAATAATAACAAAATAAAAAAGAAACTGTTAAAAACAAAACAAAGGGCCGGACGTGGTGGCTCACGCCTGTAATCCCAGCACTTTGGGAGGCCGAGGCGGACGGATCACCTGAGGTCGGGAGTTGGAGACCAGCCTGGATGTGAAACCTCATTTCTACTAAAAATACAAAAAAATCAGCCAGGCGTGGTGGCGCGTGCCTGTAATCCCAGCTACTCGGGAGGCTGAGGCAGGAGGCTGAGCTTGAATCTGGGAGGCAGAAGTTGCAGTGAGCCGAGATCGCACTATTGCATTCCAGCCTGGCAACAAGAGTGAAACTCCGTCTCAAAAACAAAAAAAGAAAGAAAGAAAGAAAACAAAAACAGAGTCGGGACACTCGGAGAGTCAGCGGAGCTCCTGGCAGCCCGAGCCGCTCTGCCCCCGCCTGGGGTTTGTTTTCCAGAAGGCGTTGCCTCCACTGAGGACCTTTCTGGAGGACGCAAGTCATAAAAACGTCCCCACCCTTGACCCAGCAGTTCCACTTCCGGCAATTTATTCTAAGGAAACCCCAGGACAAGAGGGCAAAGGTGAGTTCAGGGATGTTTCTCGGAGCGTGATTAACGGCGAGCTGGACGGGACTGAGCGTGTTCATTCTGGGGAGAGCTGTCTCCAGTCACGGCAAAAGGCAGCAAGGCCAATTTACTCAGACAAATGAAAAAGCCTGGTCACAAAAGCCAGTCTGTTGTGACTCCATTTTGTCTAAGGAAAAGAAGTATGTTGGCCGGGTGAAGTGGCTCACACCTGTAATCACAGCACTTTGGGAGGCTAAGGAGGCTATAGGTGCCCACCACACCTAGCTAGGCAGATTCCTTGAGCCAGGAGTTTGAGACCAGCCTGGGCAGCAGAGCAAGACCCCGTCTCTACAAAAAATAGAAAAATTAGGCCAGGCGCGGTGGCTCATGCCTGTAATCCCAGCACTTTGGGAGGCCAAGGCGTGTGGATCACGAGGTCAGGAGCTCAAGACCAGCCTGGGCAACAGAGCAAGACCCCGTCTCTACAAAAAATAGAAAAATTAGCTGGGCATAGTGGTGTGTGCCTGTAGTCCCAGCTACTTGGGAGGCTGAAGTGGGAGGATTGATTGAGCCCAGGAGGTCGAGGCTGCAGTGAGCTATGATGGCACCACTGCACTCCAGCCTGAGCAACAGAGCAAGACCCTGTCTCAAAAAAAAAAAAAAAAAAAAAGCCAGGCACGGTGGCTCACACCTGTAATCCAAGCAATTTGGGAGGCCGAGGCAGGTGGATCACGAGGTCAGGAGATCGAGACCATCCTGGCTAATACGGTGAAACCCCATCTCTACTAACAAAATACAAAAAAATTAGCCGGGCGTGGTGGCGGTCACCTGTAGTCCCAGCTACTTGGGAGGCTGAGGCAGGAAAATGGCATGAACCCGGGAGGCGGAGCTTGCAGTAAGCCGAGATGGTGCCACTGCACTCCAGCCTGGGTGACAGAGCGAGCCTCCGCCTCAGAAAAAAAAAAAAAAAAAAAGGGCTGGGCGCGGTGGTTTACGCCTCTAATCCCAGCACTTTGGGAGGCTGAGGCAGGCGGATCATGAGGTCAGGAGATCGAGACCATCCTGGCTAACATGGTGAAACCCCGTCTCTACTAAAAATACAAAAAAAAATAGCCGGGTGTGGTGGCGGGTGCCTGTAGTCCCAGCTACTCAGGAGGCTGAGGCGGGAGAATGGCGTGAACCCGGGAGGCGGAGCTTGGAGTGAGCTGAGATTGCACAACACTGCACTCCAGCCTGGGCGACAGAGCGAGACTCCGTCTCAAAAAAAAAAAAAAAAAAGAAAAAAAGAAAAGAAAAAGGATTATGTGAGGTCATAGTGCAAAATATGAACACTGGCAATTTCTTATGGGCCACCATAATGATGTCTAAAAGTGTTATTAGGCCAGGGCTGGGCGCTGTGGCTCAAGCCTGTAATCCCAGCACTTTGGGAGGCCAAGGCAGGCGGATCACAAGGTCAGGAGATCAAGACCATTCCGGCTAACATGGTGAAACCCTGTCTCTACTAAAAATACAAAAAAAATTAGCCGGGCGAGTGCCATGTGCCTGTGATCCCAGCTACTCAGGAGGCTGAGGCAGGAGAATGGCATGAACCTGGGAGGCAGAGGTTGCAGTGAGCCGAGATCGCGCCACTGCCCTCCAGCCTGGGTGACAGAGCGAGACTCCGTCTCAAAGAAAAAAAAGTGTTATTATAATCCCAGCATTTTGGGCGGAACACTTAAGGCCAGCCTGGCCAACATGGAAAAACCCCATCTCTACTAAAAATACATTTAAAAAGTAGCCAGGTATGGTGTGCACGCCTGTCATCTCAGCTCCTTGGAAGGATGAGACACAAGAATTGCTTGAACTCTGAAGGCAAAGGTTGCAGTGAGCCAAAATCATGCTACTGCACTCCAGCCTGGGCAACAGAGTGAGACCCTGTGATATGCTTTGGCTGTGTCCCCACCCAAATCTCATCTTGAATGGTAGCTCCCATAATCCCCATGTGTCATGGGAGGGACCCGGTGGGAGGGAATTGAATCATGGGGGTGGGATACTCCTGTGATGTTCTAGTGGGAGTGACTAAGTCTCACGAGATCTGATGGGTTTATTTTATTTTATTTTTTTAGATGGAGTCTTACTCTGTCACCCCCCAGGCTGGAGTACAGTGGCACGATCTCAGCTCACTGCAAGCTCCACCTCCCAGGTTCACGCCATTTTCCTGCCTAGCCTCCCGAGTAGCTGGGACTACAGGCGCCCGCCACCACGCCCGGCTAATTTTTTGTATTTTTAGTCGAGGCGGGGTTTCACCGTGTTAGCCAGGATGGTCTCGATCTCCTGACCTCGTGATCTGCCCGCCTCGGCCTCCCAAAGTGCTGGGATTACAGGTGTGAGCCACTGCTCCCGGCCGAGATCTGATGGTTTTATAAAGGGCGGTTCCCTGCACATGCTCTCTTGCTGCCGCCATGTAAGATGTGACTTTGCTCCTCCTTCACCTTCACCATGATTGTGAGGCCTCCCCAGCCATGTGGAACTCTGAGTCAATTAAACCTCTTTTCGTTATAAATTACCCAGTCTTGGGTATGTCTTTATTAGCAGCGTGAGATCAGACTAATACAATCTGTCTCAAAAGAAGAAAAAAAATTCTATTTAGTGTTAATTTTTTTCTCTTGACACTGACGGTTGTTGTTGATGTTTTTTCAGCAACACATATGTATTGCTGGTCAAATGGAAAAAGAATAAAACGTAAAACCAGTTGCCAGGATGACAGCTGCTCTTCTCTTTAGCAAAGCTCTGCTCCAGATGCCCAGCAGTGTTGCCCTGGGACCCAGCTCTCCTGGGTCCCTTTCCTGGGTCCTGGGCTCTGTCACTCTCTCTCCTCCCTCCAGCCTTGTCCTGGGCAGGTTCCCAGCAGCACATTCCCAGGCGGGTCAGGGGCCCTTCTGGGCTCCCCTCCCAGAGACACTCCTCTCATCAAGACACAGGTGCAGTTTGCCACCCTCTCCCTTCCGGCCCCTGGAGTCACTATTTTCAAATCTGCCATTTTCCCTCTGAACAGGGTACATACAGTCTCAAACAGGTGGATTTTACAACCAAGCGGGAGGATTTTGCCCACAGGAAGACCTTGGAGGTGGCTGCCATCCAGATGGCTCGGGCAGCCCAGCTGACCTGCTGCAGAGGCCTTCCTGGAGGGTCTCGGGCATCGGGGTGTCCACACTGCATCCTGGACAAGAGTGAGCCTCCGTCTCTGGGAGACACGCTGAGTGGGAGCCACACGTGTACCCTGGAGGAAGGCCTTCTGTGTTACTCAGCTCTCACATTGCTGTAAAGAAAGACCTGGCCAGGCGCAGTGGCTCATGCCTGTAATCCCAGCACTTTGGGAGGCCGAGGTGGGTGAATCACAAGGTCAGGAGTTTGAGACCAGCCTGACTGACATGGTGAAACCCTGTCTCTACTAAAAATACAAAAATTAGCCGGGCATGGTGGTGCGCACCTGTAGTCCCAGCTACTCAGGAGGCTGAGGCAGGAGAATTGCTTGAATCTGGGAGGTGGAGGTTGCAGTGAGCCGAGATTGCGCCGCCACACTCCAGCCTGAGTGACAGAGTGAGACTCTGTCTCCACAAAAAAAAAAAAAAAAAGACAGACCTGAGGCTGGGTAACATATAAAGAAAAGAGGTTTGCAATATGGTTTGGCTCTGTGTCCCCACCCAAATCTCATCTGAATTGTAATTCCCATCTGTTGAGGGCGGGACCTGGTGGGAGGCGATTAGATCATGGAGGCAGTTTCTGCCATGCTGTTCTTCTGATAGTGACTGAGTTCTCACAAGATCTGATGGGTTTTTTTGTTTGATTTTTTTTTAGACAGAGTCTGGCTCTGTCGCCCAGGCTGGTGTGCAGTGGCACAATCTCTGCTCACTGCAACCTCCACCTCCTGGGTTCAAGCAATTCTCCTGCCTCAGCCTCCCAATTAGCTGGGATTATAGGTGCCCACCACATCTGGCTAATTTTTCTATTTTTAGCAGAGACGGGAATTCATCATGTTGGCCAGGCTGGTCTGAAACTCCTGACCTCAGGTGATCCGCCAGCCTCAGCCTCCCAGAGTGCTGGGATTACAGGCATGAGCCATTGCAACCAGCCAAGATCTGATGGTTTCAAGCCAGGCGTGGTGGCTCACGCCTGTAATCCCAGCACTCTGGCAGGCCAAGGCGGGTGGTCACCTGAGGTCAGGAATTCAAGACTAGCCTGGCCAACATGATGAAACCCCGTCTCTGCTAAAAATACAAAAATTAGCTGGGCATGGTGGCGGGCGCCTGTAATTCCAGCTACTCGGGAAGCAGAGGCAGGAGAATCACTTGAACCCGGGAGGCGGAGGTTGCAGTGAGCCGAGATTGTGCCATTTCACTCTAGCCTGGGCAACAAGAGCAAAACTCCATCTCAAAAACAAGCAAATAAAACAAAACAAAGAGATCTGATGGTTTCATAAGTGTTTGGCAAGTTCCTCCTTCACACACTTCTCTCTCTCACCTGCCACCATGTAAGACGTGCCTGCTTCCCCCTCCCCCACGACTGTAAGCTTTCCGAGGCCTCCCCAGCCATATGGAACTGTGAGTCGATTAAACCTCTTTTCTCGGCCGGTCACGGTGGCTCACACCTGTAATCCCAGCACTTTGGGAGGCTGAGGCGGGTGGATCACGAGGCCATGAGATCGAGACCATCCTGACTAACACAGTGAAACCCCATCTCTACTAAAAATACAAAAACTTAGCCAGGCATGGTGGCGGGCGCCTGCAGTCCCAGCTACTTGGGAGGCTGAGGCAGGAGAATGGTGTGAACCTGGGAGGCGGAGCTTGCAGTGAGCCGAGATCGCGCCACTGCAGTCCAGCCTGGGCAAGAGAGTGAGACTCCATCTCAAAAACAAAACAAAACAAAACAAAACAAAACCTCTTTTCTCTATAAACGACCCAGTCTTGGGTAGTATCTTTACAGCAGTGTGAAAACAGGCTAATACAGTTTATGTGGCCCACGGTTTTGCAGGCCGTACAGGAAGCAGGGCAGCAGCATCTGCTTCTAGCAAGGCCTCAGGCTGCTTCCACTCATGGCAGAGGTGAAGGGGCAGGTGCATCACATGATGACAGCAGGAGCAAGAGAGGCCGTGAGGAGGTCCCAGCTCTCGCACGAACTGAGTGAGGGTTCACTTATCACCAAGGGGATGACGCTGGGCAATTCATGAGGGATCCGCCCCCATGATCCAACACCTCCCAGCAGGCCCCACCTCCAGCAGCAGGGATCACATTTCAACCTGAGATCTGTAGGGGACAAACATCCAAACCACATCCGCCTCTCTCCTGGGCCCTCCAGGTGTGGCCATGGCAGGGCAGGCCCAGCATTGCCAGATATGATTTTTCAAGAGAAGCTGGAAGTCCAGATTTTAAAAATATATTTTTTAAGTCCTTTAATTTTTTTTTTTTTTTTTTTGAGACAGAGTCTCGCTCTATTACCCAGGCTGGAGTGCAGTGGCGCTATCTTGGCTCACTGCAAGCTCCGCCTCCCAGGTTCATGCCATTCTCCTGCCTCAGCCTCCCAAGTAGCTGGGACTACAGGCGCCCGCCACCACGCCTGGCTAATTTTTTGTATTTTTTAGTAGAGACGGGGTTTCACCATGTTAGCCAAGATGGTCTTGATCTCCTGACCTTGTGATCCGCCCGCCTCGGCCTCCCAAAGTGCTGGGATTACAGGCGTGAGCCACTGCGCCTGGCCAAGTCCTTTAATTTTTAAATATTGGCAACTCGTTTATTTTTGTTTGTTTGTTTCTTTTGTTTTGCTTTGCTTTTTTTGAGATGGAGTATTGCTCTGTTGCCCAGGCCAGAGTGCAGTGGCATGATCTCAGCTCACTGCAACCTCTGCTTCCCCAGTTGAAGCAATTATCTTGCCTCAGCCTCTCAAGTAGCTGGGACTACAGGCATCGCCACCACACCTGGATAATTTTTTTTTTTTTTGGAGACAGAGGAGTCTCTCACTATTGCCCAGGCTGGAGTGCAGTGGTGCGATCTCGGCTCACTGCAACCTCTGCCTCCCGGGTTCAAGTGATTCTCTTGCCTCAGCCTCCTGAGTAGTTGGGAATACAGGCGCATACCACCATGCCCGGCTAATTTTTTGTATTGTAGTAGAGACGGGTTTCACCATGTTGGCCAGGATGGTCTCGATCTCCTGACCACGTGATCCAACTGCCTCGGCCTCCCAAAGTGCTGGGATTACAGTCGTGAGCCACCGCGCCCAGCTGCCTCCTTTTATAAGGATACATATTGGATTCAGGGCCCACCCTAAGCCAGGATGGTCGCATCTCTAGATCTTTACCTTAATTATATCTGCAAAGACCCTTATTCCAAATAAGATTGCATTCTGAGGCTGCAGGTGGACACATCTGGGGGCCGCTATGCATCCTGCTGCTGTTTAACAGACCTGCCGAGAGATGACCTAAACCCCAGGGATCAGCTAGGTAAAAGAGCAGGCATCCTAAAACAAAACAGAACAAGGTGCCACCCAAATATCCCTGTCCCTGCTTCCTCGTTTCTCTTGAAAGACCTGTCTGTCCTGCCTCGCTCTACCTGCCTCCTCTGTTCTCTCCAGAACCCATCCTTACCATCCTGCCAAAATAACTCCCACCAAGGCCGCTGTCGCCGCGACTCACTAAAGCCCTCACTAAAGCCCAGCAATGGCTCTGTGGCCAGGCTGCACCCTCCTGTCCCCTAACGTCCTCCCCAATCCTGTACCCTCTCATCCCCCACCATTCTCCCCACAAATCCCAGCTACTTGGGAGGCTGAGGCAGGGAACTGCTTGAACCTGGGAGGTGGAGGTTGCAGTGAGCCGAGATCGCACCACTCCACTCCAGCCTGGTGACAGAGCGAGACTCCGTCTCAAAAAAAAAAAAAAAAAAAAAAAAAAAAGAAGGCCAGGTGAGGTGGCTCACACCTGTCATCCCAGCACTTTGGGAGGCCAAGGGGGGAGGATCGCTTCAGCCTAGGAGTTTCAGACCAGACTGGGCAACATGGCAAGACCCTATCTCTACAAAAAGTTAATAAAATTAGCTGGGCATGGTGGTGGGTACCTGTAGTCCCAGCTACTCGAGAGGCTGAGGCAAGAGAATCACTTGAGTCCAGGAGTTTGAGGTTACCATGAGCCGTGACTGTGCCACTGCATTCCAGCCTGGGTGACAGAGCAAGGCTCTCTCTCAAAACTAAGCAAGCAAATAAATACATACATAAGTAAATGAAACGCTCTTCAGGGCCCAGCATGCATGTCTGCAGTCTACAGTGAGTTCAAACCCTCTGTCAATGCTGGGAGCATCTGTGTATGGATTTTGGATTCTGTGTATTGGGAAATCTGGCTGAGTTCAAACTCTGTCAATACTGGGAGTGTCTGTGCATGGATTTTGGATTCTGTGTATTGGGAAATCTGCCTGAAATCTGTTACAGCTCTCCGGCAAGTTCCTTTCACCACTCCCCACAGTCTCACACACTGAAACCACAGCAGGGGCCGCCCTCACTCACCGCAGGGGACAACCACCCACCAAAAACCATTTCCTCTGCGGATGCTTCCCGCCCAAAGAAGGAACCAGAAGCAGGCAGGATGGGGAAGCAGCTGGTGGAGAAGCCAAATTGTTTCCTTAAGAGAAAGGGATTTACGGGAGGTGGAGGTTGCAGTGAGCCAAGATCGCACCACTGCACTCCAGCCTGGGCGACAAGAGCAAAACTCTGTCTCAAAAAAAAAAAAAAAAAAGAGAGAGAGATACGGATTTCCTGAGCCTCCAGGAGGTCGGCTGGGTAATTTTCCTTCGTCCGACTCTCTCCCTGGCCATTGCGTAGCCACCTCATCCAGATGGCACGAAGCCTCCGGGCTCGGGTTTCTGACTCGTCTCCCAGGAGCCGGTTTCTGTTTACCGCTGAAAGGCACGCCTGCTGCCAAATTTGAGGTGTGAGCTCACCGAGAAAAAAGCACTGTGCTCCCCCGGGAGCTTTGCAAAACGGGCCGCTGCTGCCCTCCGTTCTGCAGCAGAGATGGTGGCCTTGAAGACAGCGAGCCTGCCTACGGGGTCGCTGCGTCCGGTCTCACTCCAGCCAGGCTGCCGGCCTGGCCCCTGCCTCCGTTTCCCTTGCTTTGAAATGTCAGTGGCTGCACTACCTGCTCCGTCCTGCTCTGCAGTGCTGGGAAGATGGGAAAAGCCTTAGGAACTGAAGCCCAGCCTGTTGTCCAATGTCCTCTTCTGAAATGAGGACAGTTGGCCAGGCCAAAGAAAACAGACCCAAGCTGTGTTTCGGGAGACACAGAAGCCCCCCAGACTCTCCTACCTGCTTGTTCTTGTTCCTCCCTTAACCCACTCCACGGACCGGGGCCTTACGGGGAGGCCGTACTGGCCCCAGGGTGGGCAGGGTGGAGGCCAGCCTTTTTGGGGGCACGATCCTAGTATTTGAATGTCCATCTTCTCTAGTGACAGACCCAGGCGGTGGGTTCTGGCACGGCCATCTGCCAAAATCTTTCCCCCAAACAGATGTGTCTGTTTAAAAAGGAGATCTAATGCAGGCTTTTAGCAGCAATGTAAGGTCCATCAGAGTTAATGCTTGGTTTAAAAAAAAAAAAAGTAGTCAGATGTGGTAGAGGGTGCGGGGGGACGCTGAGGCAGAGGATCGTTTCAGACCAAGAGCTCAAGACCAGCCTGGGAAGCCGGGCGCGGTGGCTCACGCCTGTAATCCCAGCACTTTGGGAGGCCGAGGCGGGCGGATCACGAGGTCAGGAGATCGAGACCATCCTGGCTAACACGGTGAAACCCCGTCTCTACTAAAAATACAAAAAATTAGCCAGGCGAGGTGGCAGGCGCCTGTAGTCCCAGCTACTTGGGAGGCTGAGGCAGGAGAATGGCGTGAACCCCCGGGGGGCAGAGCTTGCACTGAGCCGAGATAGCGCCACTGCACTCCAGCCTGGGCGACAGAGAGACTGTCTCAAAAAAAAAAAAAAAAAAAAAAAAAAAAAGACCAGCCTGGGCAATATAGTGAGACTCCATCTGTACAAAAAGATTTAAAATTAGCCAGACATGGTGGTGTCTGCCTGTAGTCTCAGCGACTCAGGAGGCTGACGTGGGAGAATGGCTTGAACATGGGACGGCGAGGCTGCAGTGCGCTATGATCATACCACTGCGTGATCACTCCAGCCTGGATGACAGAGCGAGACCCTGTCTCTAAACAACAACAACAAAAAGCAAAACAAAAAGGAAAAAAACAGGAGTTCCAGACCAGCCTGGCCAACATGGTGAAACCCCGTCTCTACTAAAAATACAAAAATTATCCGGATGTGGTGGTGGGCACCTGTAATCCCAGCTACTCAGGAGGCTGAGGCACAAGAATTGCTTGAACCCGGGAGGTGGAGGTTGCAGTGAGCCGAGATCGTGCCATTGTACTCCAGCCTGGATAACAAGAGCGAAATTGTCTCAAAAATAAGTAAATAAATAAAGGCCTTATTGGCCGGGTGCGGTGGCTCATGCCTGTTATCCCAGCACTTTGGGGGGCTAAGGTGGGAGGATCACTTGAGGTCAGGAGTTCAAGACCAGCCTGGACAACATAGTGAGACCCCCATGTTTACAAAAATATACCAAAAAAAGGCCGGGTGCGGTGGCTCACACCTGTAATCCCAGCACTTTGGGAGCCCGAGGCAGGCGAATCACGAGATCAGGAGTTCAAGACCAGTCTGGCCAACATGGTGTAACCCTGTCTCTACTAAAAATACAAAAAATTAGCTGGGGGTGGTGGCAGGTACCTGTAATCCCAGCTACTGGGGAGACTGAGGCAGGAGAATCGCTTGAACCCGGCAGGCAGAAGTTGCAATGAGCCGAGATCGCGCAAATGCACTCCAGCCCAGGCGATGGTGAGAGACTCCGTTTCAAAAAAAAAAAAAAAAAAAAGCCAGGCGCGCCTGTAGTCCCAGCTACTCGGGAGTCTGAGGTGGGAGGATCACCTGGGCCGGGGAGGTTGAGGTTACAGTGAGCTATGACTGCGCCACTGCACTCCAGCCTGGACAACGGGAGGGAGACCTTGTCTCAAAAAAAAAACAAAAGAGCAAAAAAGGTGAACATGATTGTATGTAAATTACACTTCGTTTTAAAAGTGCAAAGAACAAATCAGTATTTGCAAGACGCGGTGCAGTCCCCAGCACGGAGAAGAGAACCTGCGAATTCCACGCGGGAAGAGCCGGCGTTTCCATCAGCAGGGGCCCTGCAGGAGACCTCGCGTGCAGACCCCACACATTCCCCAGAAGGGCGCCTGGGGAGGAGGGGCCGCGGGAGGAGCCCGGCCTGCGAGCGCCTGCGCACGCCCGGAGCGGCGGGGAATTGGGGTGGGGGCGGCGGCCAGCAATGGGAGACGTGCGGAAGGCCAAGGAGGCACTGGCCGAGGTGAGCCCCGTCGGAAGTGGGGGCTGCCTCCCGGAGCCGCAGCTGCCCCTCCCCCAAGACGCGGACGCCCTCCTGGAGATTCAGACCCTCTCATGGAGATGCAGACCCCTCCCCCGGATCCAAACCTCTCCCCAAGATGCGGACGCCCTCCCCCAGATGCACACACCTTTCCGAAGATGCAGACCCTTCCCCCAGATGCAGACCCCTCCCCAACGTAGACCGCGTATCTGAGGGGCAGAGCCCTCCGCGATGCAGACCCCTCCCCCAGGTGCAGACCCCTCCCCCAGGTGCAGACCCCTCCCCCAGGTGCAGATCCCTCCCCCAGATGCGGGCCCCTCCCCCAGATGCAAACCCCCCCCAGCAGGTGCAGACCCCTCCCCTAAATGCGGAGCCCTCCCTCAGATGCAGGCCTTTCCCCCGAATGCAGTCCCCCTCCTCCAGGTGCAGCCCCCATACCGGGACGTGGCCTCGCCCGTCCCACCCCGTGACGCATCCAGGCCCCTCCCCCTCCCTCCCTCTCCCCCTCCCCTTCCCCCGCCTGGAGTCCTCCTCGCCCCTCCGCCCGCGGCCCGTAGCCGCCTCGTCATTGGCCAGAACGCTTCGGGTGGCGCGCTCGGGACTGGTGAAGGCCTGCGTTGCTCCCGCCCTCGGCCCGGGGCGCGGCCCGCGATTGGCTGGCGTGGGCAGAGCGTCTTCTCGGGCCTGGGCGGCGCAGACGAGGCCTGAGGCGGCGGCGCGAGGCAGGTGAGCTCCCGGCGGGCCGGGCCAAGGGCACCCCGGGGCGGGCGCCGGGCTGCGGGGACGCGAGGCGGGGGCCCGGGGGCCGGGGGGACGCGGGGTCGCGGCCTGGGCGCCCTCAGCGCGGGCTGCGCCAGGGCCTCCTGGGCCAACGGCTGCCGCCCCCGCCCGTCCCGCGCCCCGCAGCTACCCCGGCCCGCGCAGGTGAAGACGCCCGGAGACCCTGGCGGTCGTGGCGCAGGGGTCCTGCTCCTCCCCGGGGTGTCGCCAGCCGGCTCGTGGCGCGGGGTCGGGGGCGGAGCGGGGAGAGGCGCGGGAGGCCGCGGCGGGCGGCCCGGGCTGGGCGTGGAGGAGCGTCCTCCCCGCGTTCTCAGGCCTCGGCCCGGGCTGCCCGCCTGGACCCCGTTGCGGGGTCCCAGCCCCTGGAAGTAGCGGCGGGGCCGTGGGTGGGGTGGTGGGAAGACGGTTTTATTTAAGAGGGGGGGTCTCGCTGTGTTTCCCAGGCTGGTCTCGACCTCCTGAGCGCGAGCTATCCTCCCGCCTCCGCCTCCCGAAGCGCTCGGATCACAGGCGTGAGCCACCGCGCCCGGCTGATAGTCGTATTTTTTGTAGGGTTGTGGTCTCTCCATGCTGCCCAGGTCGGACTCCTAGGCTCAAGCGATCCCCTCGCCCCAGCCTGCCTGGAGGCGCGCGCGTGGTCTCCGCGCCCTGTTGCGCCTTCAAAGTGCCCAGAATGGTGTCTGGTGCAAAATAAGCAGCGGCGGGGAACACCTTGCCACTGTCACCGTCATGGGGAGGATTTCTCCCGGCTCCCCAGGGCTCCCCAGGACAGGTGGGCGGTGCGGTCCGAGGTCTCTGCTCTCGCTTTGCAGCTTGTGGTTGCTGCGTCTGGCTCTGATTCCGGGTGGGAAGCTGCCCATAATTGTGTCTTCTAAGCTTCAGTCATAGTATTGCCCATGAAGTGCTTGCGGCTCTAATTGCTAAAGCTTTGTATGAAGGCTTTTGTGTGTAATCTGTTTTTACTCCCTACATCTCCACTGTGGAGAAACACCGTGTGTTTTGGTTTATCTCATCTGTTGTTGGACACTTGATAGTTTTTTGAAGCCTTTAGTTTTCTCAAATTATTTCTCTAATAATTTCCTTTTCTTTGTTTACCCTTTTTTTCTGACTGTTCTGGAAATACTACTGTTTGGGCTGGAAGGCTTGGGCTGGCTTTATAATTTTCTTGTCTTTCTCCCATTTAATGTTTGTTCTACTTTCTAGATTTCCTCTTTTTCTTCCAGTATATCTATTTAGCATTTTAGTTTGGCCATGGTATTTTAAATTTCCCAGAGCTGTTTTTTTTTCCTCCTTTAAAATTTGTAATATGTTCTTACTTCATAAATGGAGTATCCTCTCATTCACCTGCTTTTTGTTTTTGATTGTGCTAAAATACACGTAACGTAAAACAACATCACCACCTAGTTACATAACTTTTTCATCATCCCAGATGGAAACCCTATACCTGTTAAGCAGCCACTGCCCATTCTTCCGTCTCCCCAGGCCCCGGCAACGGCTAATCTGCTTTCTGTCTCTCTGAATTGGGCTGTTCTGGACATTTCATGTAAATGGAATCATACAATATGCAGCCGCTTGTGTCTGGCCTCTTTCACTTAAGATAATGTCTTCAGAGTTCACGCATGTTGTAGACTGTATCAGTATTCCATTCCTTTTTATGACTGAATAATTGTCCATTGTATAGATATACCACATTATGTTTATCCTTTAGTCTGTTGATGGACACTTGGGCTGTTTGCACCTGTTGGCTAGTGTGAGTAATGCAGCTACTATGAACATTTGTGGATGAGTTTTTGTTTGAGCATCTGTTTTCAATTCTTTGGTTATATACCAAGGAATGGAGTTGCCAGGTCATATGGTAACTCTGTGTTTAGCTTTTTGAGGAACTGCCAAACTGTTTTTCACAGTGTCCGCACCATTTTACATGTCCATTGGCAACAAGTGAGTTCACTTTCTCCACATCCCCCCAACACTTAGTTTCCAAAAAGGATGACCATGCTAGTGGGTCTGAAGTGGCGTCTCATTTGGCTGTGATTTGCATGTCCCTGATGACCAGTGAAGTTGAGAATTGTTTCATGTTCATGTTGGCCGTTGTGTATTTTTGGAGAAATTCTCATTCAGGTCCTTCCCCGCTCCCCTCCCCCCCTTTTTTTTTTTGAGACGGAGTTTCGCTCTGTCGCCCAGGCTGGAGTGCAATGACAGGAACTCAGCTCACCGCGACCTCCGCCTCCCGGGCTCAAGCGATTCTCCTGCCTCAGCCTCCCGAATAGCTGGGATTACAGGTGCCTGCCACCACACCCGGCTAATTTTGTATTTTTAGTAGAGATGGGGTTTCTCCATGTTGGTCAGGCTGGTCTCAAACTCCCGACCTCAGGTGATCTGCCCGCCTCGCCCTCCCAAAGTGCTGGGATGACAGGTGTGAGCCACCGTGCCTGGCCTCTTTCTCCGTTTTTAAATTGGGTTGCCTCTTTTTTTTTTTTTTTGAGTTGTCAGAATTCTTTATTCTGTATACTAGACCCTCATTAGACATATGATTAATAAATACTTTCTCCCAGTCTTTGGATTGTCTCTTCACTCTCTTGTTGGTGTCCTTTGATGCACAAATTGATGAACTCTAAATTGATTAACTCTAATTTTTCTGTTTTTTCTTTTGTTGCTCATGCTTTTGATGTCATACCTAAGAACTCTGCAAAATCCAAGGTCAGGAGGATTTGTCCTGTGTTTTCCTTTAAGAGTTTATCATTTTAGCTCTTGTATTTAGGTTTTTGATCCATTTTGAGTTCATTCTTGTGTATGATGTGTGGTAGGTTCTGACTTCGTTCTTTTGCACGTGGATTTTGTTCAAGCATCATTTGTGACAAGACTGCTTTTTCCCTATTGAGTGGTCTTGGCACCCTTGTCAAAATCAATTGATTAGATGTGTGGGTTTATTTTTGGACCCAGTTCTGTTCTGCAGGTCTGTATGTTTTTATGCCAATGCCACCCTTTTTTTTTTTTTTTTTGAGATGGAATCTTGCCCTGTCGCCCAGGCTGGAGTGCAGTGGCGTGATCTCGGCTCACTGCAACCTCCGCCTCCCAGGTTCAAACGCTTCTCCCGCCTCAGCCTCCCAAGTAGCTGGGATTACAGGCGCCCGCCACCACACACAGCTAATTTTTGTATTTTTAGTAGAGACAGGGTTTCACCTTGTTGGCTGGCTGGCCTTGAACTCCTGACCTCATGATCTGCCCACCTCGGCCTCCCAGTGCCATACTATTTTGTAGTAAGTTTTGAAGCTAGGAAGTCGGGGTCCTCCAACTTTGCTTTTCTTCTGGAAGATTTTTTACTATTTGGGACCCATTGCAGTTCCATATGAATTTAAAGATCAGTTTTTCCATATTTGCAAAAAAGACCATTGGGGTTTTGATAGAGATAGTATTGAATCTGTACATCACTGTGGGGGTACTGCTATCCTAACAGTACCTAACAGTCTTTCCATCCATGTACATGGAATGTCTTCCCATTTATGTAGGTTGTCTTTAATTCTTTCAACAATGCTTTGTGATTTTCAGTGTACAAGTGGTGCACTTCCTTGGTTAAATTTATTCCTAAGTTTTTAATACTTTCTGGTGCTATTGTAAAATGAATTGTTTTCCCAATTTCACTTCCAGATTGTTCATTGCTAGTGTGTAGAAATGCAACTGACTTTTTATTGATCTTGTATCCTGAAACTTTGCTGAGTTTGCTTGTTAGTTCTAACAGCAGTTTTTTTGTTGATTCATTAGGATTTTCTAGATATGAGATCATGTCATCTGAGAATAAAGATAGTTTGACATCTTCCTTTCCAATTAGTATGCCTCTTGACTGATTGCTCTGGGGAGAACTTCCAGTATAGTGTTGAAGAGCAGTGGTGAAAGTGGCCGCCCTTGTCTTGTTGCTCATCTTAGGTGAAAAATTTGAATATGACATTCACTGAGTTTTTCATAGATGCCCTTTATCATGTGAGGAAGTTCCCTTCCATTCCTGGCTTGTTGAGTGTTTTTACTATGAAAAGGTGTTGGAGTTTGTGAGGTGCTTTTTCTGCACCAATTGAGATGATCACATGGCTTTGCCTAATTGCTTCTTGAAAAGATTGTGAGTATTCAGTTTCTCCTGTATTTTGGTTCCATCTTACACCCTCACTTCCAATTGTAAACTAGTGCCACTATTTTTGGAGCCTTCTGGGGGTTCCATGATCAAAGTTAGATTGTTCTTCCATGTTCTCCATTGCATGCTTATGACTCAACTTCTTCTGGCCTAAGTCAGTTTTTATTCATCTATCTAGCTCCCCAAAATGTATTGCTATTTTCTTTTCTCCCTTTCATTTTGTTCTCAATGAAATATGCCTTTAAAAAATAGCCCTTTCTCAAAGGGGTATGTGGAAGAGAGTGGATGCTAACATCTATATTCAGCACATCTTTTTTTTTTTTTTTTTTTTTTTTTTTTTGAGACAGAGTCTTGCTCTGTCGCCCAGGCTGGAGTGCAGTGGAGCGATCTCGGCTCACTGCAACCTCTGCCTCCCATGTTCAAGTGATTCTCCGGCCTTAGCCTCCTGAGTAGGTGGGACTACAGGTGCACGCCACCACGCCCAGCTAAGTTTTGTATTTTTAGTAGAGACAAGGTTTCACCATGTTGGTCAGGCTGATCTTGATCTCTTGACCTCGTGATCCGCCCACCTCAGCCTCCCAAAGTGCTGGGATTATAGGCGTGAGCCCGGCCTGGTGACCTGTTTTCAAAGAACGCTGATATTTAATGGGGTGTGTTGTCAGGTCATAACCATTGTTTCCTGGTCCTGAATTTATGATGATCGAATGGTCTCCTAGTCTGCTTTATAGTGTCTCCAGATTCTGAAAATAAATCCAATTCAAATCTGCTTACAGTAAATGCCAGGGAGTGTTTTTTTGTGGGAGAAGTAGTGATGGGATGAAAGCATCCTTCAGCGTTCAACCCTTGCCCTTACCGCAGCGTTTCAGGGTGAGGTGAGAGTCCTGGAATTACCTCTCCTGGAGGCTGTTGAATTGCATGTCATAACGCCCACTGGTGATTCCAGTTAAGCGGTCCTGAACACAGCGGGAAAGGGAGTTCCCACATCGGGGTTCATCAGGCAGATTGGAAACAGGACTATCTAGGCAGTAGGCCCAGTGTCGTCGGCCTCACCTTTCCCTGTGCGTATTTGGTGGGGTGGTTGTGCTTGTGTTGCCCTGCCAGAGGGTTGCAGTGTTGTTTCATTGATTGAAAGCCTGCCCTCGTTTTCTTCTTCCCCTTGCTTCCTAAATGTGGAGCTCGTTGCTATTTTGGACTGCTCACCCACTTGATTTATAGATAGAGGAGACCAGGCCTGCTACATCACATTTGAAGCAGTTTGCTTCCACTGGGATAAAATAAACTAGGAAGTGTCAGATGAAAATACAGAAAATGATGTTGCTTCTTATAATACACTGTTTATATAATTGTATGTTCTAATTGTTGCTACTTTATTAAGCATCTCTTGTAATTTATTAGTCAGTTTTACGGTTTAAATTGTGTCTGTAATTAAGCATGCTTGTTCTGTTGGTACTTTGGTTTTCATTTAGTCGCTTAGGGGCATACAGTGAATGGCTGTAGGTTGTGAGTTTAGGCGGTAACATCTGTGTGACAGACACTTTTGACATTTGTGCAGAATTAAACTGTAGGTCTCAGACAAGCAGCGTGGATGTCATCACATCCAGGTGCCGGGTTCCCTGGGTCCCTACGGTGGGGAGACACCCCTCGGGCATGTGTAGTTTGAACACAGAGCAGCCCTTTGGTCGCTTTGTTCTCAGCCATTCTATTTATTTTGATTTTTAATATTATTGTAAGATGTGAGCTGTATCTGCAGTATGAAAAACAGATGATTTTATTGCTACAAACTGAAAAGTATTCACCTTGAGCCTGGTACTTGGTGCTGGGGAGAACAGAGCGCTAGAAGGGTGATCTGGACGTGGTGTGGATGTGTATTCCAGAACATGTAAGACCGTGAGACTGCTGTTGACAATTACTGTTGGGAATGGAGCAGCTGACATACCTGTTCCGGTTAGACGAGGAAGCATATGAAGGCCTGAACATGCCGGGAGGAAGAATGAGAGGCCCAAGCGCAGCACACACAGCCCTGTGGCCACCCGCGAATTCCCGCACACACACGGCCCTGTGGCCACCCGTGAATTCCCACACACACACGGCCCTGTGGCCACCCGTGAATTCCCACACACACACGGCCCTGTGGCCACCCGCGAATTCCCGCACGCACGTGGCCCTGTGGCCACGCATGAATTCCTGTACAGGATTTTTCCGGAGCGTAGTCAGGTAAGGAGTAGAGAGCGGTGGAGACTGGAGGATTGTCAGCTTAGTGGCAAAGCGAGCAGGGTGCGTGGCGTGGAGAGCGCCCCCTTCCAGTCACGTGCAGCGTTCACTTGTTCTCCAGGCAAGGATTAGAGCCGAAGGTGAATGAGGCACAGTTCCTGCCGTCACAGAGTTCAAGGGCCGCTTGGAGAGAAGGACTCATTGAGAAATAATCATTATGATTTGTGTTCCTGCTGATCACCAGTGAGTGCTAGAATTGACAGTAACTGGGGTAGGATGAGGCCCATGGGGGCTTCCTGGTGGTGGTATCTCTGCTGAACATTAAGTGTGAGGAGAAGTTAGCTAGGCAGAGTTTGGGGTGTAACTAGACCAAGGAGATGCGGAAGGGGATCAGGAAATAGGAGGGCACCTCAGGCAGGAGGACATTCATTGCAAGGAAAGAGTGGAGGAGCGGCATGTAAATGGGTGGGGAGGAGAGGGTTCCCTGGAGCCACGGTGGATTCTAAGGCACGGATGGGAAGTGAGGAGGGAGAAGTAGCAGCATTTGCACCAGTGCCGTGTGTGCAGGCAGCCATGGGGGGAGTCTGTGCGAACAAGGTAGGCAGATTTCTCTGTAGATGGGTCATTCAGGTGGTTTTCTCAAGGATTGGCTTGAGAGGCAAGACTGGAGCCAGGGAGACGGTCAAGGCACTTGCAGGGAGCCAGCCAGAGGTGGCATGTCAGGGCGGGAATGGAGAGGGGGCATGGGGCACGCGCCCTGGGGAGGGAGGAGCAGGCCTGGGGCGTGATTTGGACCTGTGAGCCTGCCTGACATCCAGGCGGAAATGCCCAACAGGAAATAAAACGATGCCTGTGTACCAACTGGAATTACAGATGGGTTACATGAATTATTAATGGCTTGCAGTATAAACATCAAAACAGTAAGAGTAGGAGAGTCCGTTGCAGACCATGCTTGTGTTCTTGGCTTAGGGAAAGTCTTTCTAAGAAGTGGGACATGAGTGAGGGAAGGGAAAGACCAGACATGGTGTGGCCAAAGTCACCTGGGTGAAGTTAAGGACGGGAGTATCCCTGCCATGTAGTAGTGGATTCATATCCTTATGTGTATGTGGTCCAGTAAAACAGAAGAAGACAGATCTCCGCACAGGATGAGAAATACCCCTGGCTGAGAAACACAAAAAGATGTTTCACGTCACTGATAATTAAGGAAATGCACATGAAAGCTGTGTGAGCCTCTGGGTCCAGACCCAGCACGGGCTCTGCAGGAGGAGGATGCTGAGTGTGGCTGCAGCACATCCCTGCTTGAGGGCCGCTGGCTGCAGATGAGTTCTCCAGGAGACATTTGGTTGGCGGTCCCCATCGTACTGGTTATAAGGAAATTCTGTGCACTCTAGGTTTGAAGCAAATACAATGAAACTATTTAAACTATTTAATAGTTTTGTCTTCCTAGACGCTTTGCAGTAATATGTATAAACTAAATAATTTGGCCTTGGGCTTTTGCTGAAACACTGTGATGACCACCGTTCTGTAAGAGGAAGTGGGGTTTGTATTAAAAAGATTCAGTGCCCTTATGGTAAGGAGATGTGTGCACGTGATCATCGGTCTTCTGGTAGAAGTCGTCGTTTTCTTTGACACTCAGCTGTTTTCTTGATGTTCAGGCTAGATGGGCTTGCTTACCTTTTCCTGTTGTTTCATCATTTCCAAAACAAGTGAAGAAACGTTGCATCTTGGCTAGGAACTATCTGTCGATATGGCTTTGCTGCTGATGGGGTGTGCTGGGAGGCAGTCCAGAGCAGGGCGGGTGCGGGGTGGGGGCGTCCGCTGGCTGGGTGCTCCAGGGGTGCTCGGAGGAGCAGCTTCTGTTTCTAGCCCCTGTGAACGTGTCCACACCTCACAGCTAAGGCAGTGGGAGACCTTGAATTGGACCCCAGAGGACTGTCTGCCTGTCCTGCCTCACAAATGAAGATGAAATTTGTTTCTTTTTGAAAGTGATATTTATTACGATAATTTTTTTTTTTTTTTAGGCGGAGTCTTGCTCGGTCACCCAGGCTGGAGTGCAGTGGCACGATCTCAGCTCACTGCAAGCTCCACCTCCCGGGTTCACGCCATTCTCCTGCCTCAGCCTCCCGAGTAGCTGGGACTACAGGCGCCCGCCACTGCGCCCGGCTAATTTTGTTTTTGTATTTTCAGTAGAGACAGGGTTTCACTGTGTTAGTCAGGTTGGTCTTGATCTCCTGACCTTGTGATCCGCCCATCTCGGCCTCCCAAAGTGTTGGGATTACAGGCATGAGCCACCGCACTTGGCCTATTATGTTAATTTTAAAAATTATAAAACCAATACCTGCTCTTTAAAAAAATTTTCAAACAGCCTGAAAGGGGTTAAATGACAAGTAGAAGTTCCATCCGCCCGAATTTACTCAAATCTAGTGTTATTTTTCGAGAAGTACTAAAAGCGTGTTCACTTGTGTGTATGCGTGTATAAAATATGTGGCATACAGCCCTTTCAAATATTTTTAGGTTGTAGTCATTTATTTCTGATTTGTTGTTTTGAATAATCAGTTCATTTTTAAGGATTCTCAGTCAGGGTAAATCATCCGGTTTTCATAAACCAACAGTTGTTTTTCTTCCTCTAAATGAAATTGGAGATGCAATGCCAATTCTTGTTTATTATGTTGTAGAAGTAATTACATGAGCATGATCTTTGGAAAACATCTATTTCTAAGACAGTTTCTTTTTATTTTTTAATCTGCAGGAAAAATAATGTTTTTATTAGTCTCTACATTATTTACTTTCAATAATATGAAGATCTAAGGACGATAATTATGTTAACATTTAGTACTGGTTTTTTTTTTTCCAGAATTTTAGTTTTAAATAATTATTTACAGTGGACTTAAGAAACAAACCGGGCTGGGCATGGTAGCTCACACGTGTAATCCCAGAACTTTGGGAGGCTGAGGAAAATCGCTTGAGGCCAGGAGTTCAAGACCAGCCTGGGCAACATAGGGAGACCCTGTCTCTAAGAAAATAAAAAGATTAACCAGGTGCCGTGACGCGCCCCTGTGGTCCCAGCACTGTGGGAAGCTGAGGCTTGAGCCCAGGAGATGGAGGCTGCAGTGAGCTGTGATCACGCCCCTGGCACTCTAGCCTGGGCGACAGAATGAGACCCTGTCTCTTAAAATACATACATAAGAAAGAAAGAACAAAGAAACGAACTGCCTGATGTCAGGCTAGCTGCCGTTTGACAACCCTGGTCTGGGGTGCTTAAGGATGAGCGAAGATGAGGATTGAGCGAGCATGTGTGTCTGTGTGTGTGCGCCTGTGTGCTCATCATGCCCCGCTCGGTGTCTCTCGGGAAGGTCCCTGAGGGAAGGATCTGGCGAAACATCGCTGCCCAGCCGGGTGGAGCAGGCGTCCACTGCTGGTAGGCCCTGCCGAGGCCGGGGGCTGCAGCTCTGGGTGTCCCTGTGGACGTGGGGCTTGTGGCAGATGGCGCTCTGGGAGGAGGGGCCTGTGTGTCCCCCCGTGGATCAGTGATAGACTGACAGAGTTTTGCAGGTTTGAGTCGTAGGTGTGACTGTTGTTTCAGGAGGTAGGCTGCCATTTTAAACCAAGGCTTGCGGGATCCGTGTGGGCAGGTTCCCCACGGTTTCTGATGGGAACGCTGCGTCTCACTGGGCTCCCTCTCAGTGTTAGTCCACATCGTCAGTGACCAACGCTGGGGCACAGGAAATGCAGCCTGTGCATTGTGCTAATGTCTGTAAACGGTGCCTTTGCAGGAGATCCCATTGTTCATGAGTGTTTCGTAGAAAATAATTATCAACTCGGTATTGACGGTTGCTGTTTATAGGCTGAAGGGAAGTGCTGCCTGCAGGTTTTAAAGTTTGCCTTTTCCAGTTTTCTTTAGAGCTGATAGCATTTCCTGAGAAAAGATGGTGTGTTGATTTTATTTCAGAACACTCAAGGTTTGTTTTTTGTTTTTGTTTTTGAGATGGAGTCTCGCTCTGTCACCCAGGCTGGAGTGCAGCGGCAGATCTCAGCTCACTGCAACCTCTGCCTCCCGGGTTCAAGCAATTCTCATGCCTCAGCCTCCCAAGTAGTTGGGACTACAGGCACGTGCCACCACGCCCGGCTAAGTTTTGTAGTTTTGCTAGAGACGGGGTTTCACCATATTGGCCAGGCTGGTCTCAAACTCCTAACCTCAAGTGATCCTCCTGCCCGCCTTGGCCTCCCAGAGTGCTGGGATTATAGGTGTCAGCCACTGTGCCTGGCCAGACCCATTTAGTTTTGTTCTGTTTTCAGCCTTGTATGAAGATTTTTCAACCATGTTCTCTGGATTATTACTAGATTAGTACAGATATTCTGAATAGTAGACTCAAGTGATATGGAGAGTAGGACTAAAATCTAAAGTCCGTTTTTTTTTTTTTTTTTTTTTGAGATGGGGTCACGCTCTGTCCCCCAGGCTGGGGTGCAGTGGCGCAATCTCGGCTCACTGCAAGCTCCACCTCCCGGGTTCACGCCATTCTCCCGCCTCAGCCTCCCGAGTAGCTGGGACTACAGGTGCCCGCCACCACGCCCGGCTAATTTCTTGTATTTTTAGTAGAGATGGGGTTTCACCATTCACAGGATGGTCTCGATCTCCTGACCTTGTGATCCTCCCACCTTGGCCTCCCAAAGTACTGGGATTACAGGCGTGAGCCACCGTGCCTGGCCTAAAATCCATTTTTTACCAAAGCATTCAAGAAAAAAAACTGAGCTGTATATTTTCGTGTCTACCATATAATATAAATTATATACTGTAAAAGGTAAATGGTATTAAAAGAGAAACCTAGTATAACTTACGTAGTTTTTGTTTGTTTGTTCGTTTGTTTTTTTGAGACAGAGTCTCACTCTGTCACAGGCTGGAATGCGCTGAAATATGGGCTCACCGCAACCTGCGCCTCCTGGTTCAAGTGATTCTCGTGCCTCAGCCTCCCGAGTAGCTGGGATTACAAGCACGCACCACCACACCCGGCTGATTTTTGTATTTTTAATAGAGGGGTGGTTTCACCATGTTGCCCAGGCTGGTCTCGAACTCCTGACCTTAGGTGATCCACCCACCTCGCCCTCCCAAAGTGTTGGGATTACAGGCATGAGCCACCCCACCTGGCCTTATCTAATTTTAAAACCCTGCTAGGATATATATGTATGTTTTTGTTTTTGTTTTTGTTTTTTGTTTTTGTTTTGTTTTGTTTTTTGAGACAGAGTCTCACTCTGTCACCCAGGCTGGAGTGCAGTGGTGCTGTGTTGGCTCACTGCAACCTCCATCTCCTGGGTTCAATCAGTTCTCCTGCCTCAGCCTCCTGAGTAGCTGGGATTACAGGCGCCCGCCACCACACCCAGCTAATTTTTATATATTTAGTAGAGACGGGGTTTCACCATGTTGGCCCCGCTGGCCTCGAACTCCTGACTTCAGGTGGTCTGCCTGCCTCTGCCTCCCAAAGTGCTGGGATTACAGGTGTGAGCCACCATGCCCGGCTGGATGTATATATTTGTAAAGAAACCTAAGCCGTAGGTTTGAAACCAAAGTTTGCAACCTTAACAGAAGCCCTCTACTTTTCCTGTTTTTGTGAGCTTGTAAGCTCTCTTGGCCACCAGCAAACACAAGATAAAAGGGAGAGACTTTGTCTGGGTGACAGGCATCCCTGGCCGCTGTCTCCTGAGGTGTGTGCTTCTCTAGTGTCGATGGCTCTCCACCCGTCCATCCTCCAGAAGCCATCTCGTAGGAGGACCAGCAGGGATCTTCCCACAGTCCCCTCTGTGCACACCTGTGCTGAGCCGGCCAGCCTGAGAACCCATGTCCAGGGCTTTCTGAGGCCCAGCTCCTATTCTCAGCATCCTGCACAAAGCTGGGTACCAGTTAGTCCGTTTCCTTCCACCAGGCCAGGGACACACACTCGTGTGGAACACAACTCTCCCAAAGCCATGCCAGGCATGACACTCAGGGCAGGGCAGCCAGGGAGGCACAGATGCCAGCAGGAGCATCACGCCTGCAGACCGCACATCTATGCAGAATGTCAACTTCAGATTCTTTCCAGGTTTTTCTGATGCCATTGAAAACATGCTGGATCCGTTTTTCACTTACTGTGTGGTTACTGATCAGATTATAAATGCAAAAAACATCTCCCTTGAGTCTCTCAGACAGGTGACCGAGGCAGCCTCCTCTTCACATGGGAAGGCTCTAATGTTACATTTCAGTTTTAATTAGCAGCGATGTAATGGAGACTGGGAATGGTGTTGTGAAAATGCTGAGTACTCTTTGGCGGTCAGTAGAGCTGGTCTCAGAACCATGCTTTTGCCTGCAGGTGTGCCGGCGAGCAGTGCAAGGGCTGGGGGCTCCCGCCTGCTGGCTGAGTCCTAGCTGTAGGGCTCATCGGTGGACCTTTGCCTTTCATTTAGGGTAGGGTGAACAAATCTTTTGTCTCAGGAATTGCACACCCAGAAGAAAAATAACTGGTTTTTTTTTTTGTTTTTTTTTTTTGAGATGGAGTCTCGCTCTGTCGCCCAGGCTGGAGTGCAGTGGCGCTATCTCGGCTCACTGCAAGCTCCGCTTCCCAGGTTCATGCCATTCTCCTGCCTCAGCCTCCCGAGTACCTGGGACTACAGGCGCCCGCCACCAAGCCCAGCTAACTTTTTGTATTTTTAGTAAAGACGGTGTTTCACTGTGTTAGCCAGGATGGTCTCGATCTCTCGACCTCATGATCTGCCCTCCTCGGCCTCCCAAAGTGCTGGGATTATAGGCGTGAGCCACCGAGCCCGGCCATAACTGTTCTTTTTTAAAATTTAAAACATCGGCCATATCGCTTTACTCTTCAAAATAACCGCAGCTGACGCCTGAGTGCTTGTCACCTGTCAGGCATTGCCTGAGGTACACAGTTTCATTTAATCCTTTTTTGACTTCATTTTATTTTATCCTATAATTTAATATTTGATTTCGTAAAGGACTAAGGATGAAATTTAAAATCTTCCATTTCCAAATTTAAAATGATCCGTGTCGTGGTCTGTTAAGGGGGAAGGAGGAAGGAGGGAGTGAATGAGACTGCAGGGTGGGGAGGGGAGTTGGGGAGCTCTGGGAGCCTCTCACCTGGCAGCAGGCCTGTGGCCCATGTGGGAGAGCGCAGAGCACCTGCCTTGGGGACGCTGGGGCACATTGTCACAGCCTCTGCTGCCGCTGCCTCGCAAGGTTCTGCTTGGCATGAGCCTGGGCTTCGGCGCTTGTCAGGGTGGGGTTATTTTCTAGGCTGAGAGATAATGGCCAGGACATTTCCCTAGATCCTGGACAGGTGTCATTACGCGGGGACTGCATCAGGGTGGGTAAGGAACCCTGTTACCTCGTTTCAAAGTGTTAGGAAATAGAGAAAATGATAGATTCCGCATATTTTGTACATAGATGCATTTTACTGGGGAACATAAACTTAAAATTCACGTGATTATGAAAGTGAAATCAGAATGATGAAGACAGATTAAGGGTCTGTAATCACAGACTCCACATCCTCACTTCCTCAGCACCTGCTGAACCTGGAGTGTGACCTCTTTTCCCTACCATCCCCATCTTCCTTGCTTTGCTTTTCTCTGGCCTGGCTGCCCTAATGGCCTTATTGCTAAATTAGCCCAACATCTGAGCAGGAGTGGATGTCCATAGAACTACTGAGTTAGCCCAGTGTCCCCCAGGGTGGGAGCGGGAGTGGGTGTCCATAGCACTGAGTTAGCCCAGTGTCCCCCAGGGTATAGCGGGAGTGGGCGTTCGCTGAGCCCAGCTTTGGGTTGTTGCTCGGCAGTGCAGGCAGAGCCCATTGTTGCATTGCTGCTGGGCGGGGCTGGGTTCTGCAGAAGCTGCCAGAGCAGGCCTGCGCACCTCAGGAGCCCAGGCATGGTGTATAGGTGGAGGGTAGCCTACATTGGATCCAGGCCAAGGCCCTGTCCTGTGCCGGGCTCCTCTGCGTGTGGGTTGAATCTAGATTTAGGTGTTGGTTAAAGTAGGTAGACAGGTGGGAGAGAGACAGTTAAACAGGTATTAACTATTACGTGGATTAAGTGATCACAGTTAGTTTTATTTGCAAAAGGCTGTTGAAGCGTAAGTTCCTGGAATGCCGAGCAAGTGTGAACTGGACTTGCCGAGCCTGTGTCTGGGTCGGACGCTGGGCTGGGTGTCCCTGGAAAGAACAAGAGTTTTGAAACGTGCTTTTTTTTTTTTTTTTGAGATGGAATCTCGCTCTGTCACCCAGGCTGGCGTACAGTGGTACGATCTCGGCTCACTGCAAGCTCCGCCTCCCGGGTTCATGCCATTCTCCTGCCTCAGCCTCCCGAGTAGCTGGGACTACAGGTGCCCGCCACCACGCCTGGCTAATTTTTGTATTTTTAGTAGAGACGGGGTTTCACCGTGTTAGCGAGGATGGTCTCGATCTCCTGACCTCGTGATCCGCCCACCTCGGCCTCCCAAAGTGCTGGGATTCCAGGCGTGAGCCACCGCACCCGGCCGAAACATGTTTTAAAATGCAGGAGTTTCATCATGCTTGTCGATACTTGTAGGTGTAGTACAATTTTTATATGTAAACAATGGTCTTTATTTCTGTGATACTTTATTTCAAAGAAGGTAGCATGAATTAAAGTACTTTTGGCTTGGTTTATGGAGCTCAGTTATTTGTACAAAAGTGTCTTTTGTCCAGGAGGTTCTTTTAGTTATATCTCCCTCAGATATTTCAGCAGCCGACTGTGATTCACATTGCTTCTACGAGGACTTTTTGAAAGTCAGGGTGTGTGCATGTGAGTATTTTTAGCCAGAGGAAAGTATGAGTCATTCCAAATAAATCTAGATGACAACCTGAGAAACAATATACTCAACACTTTCTAACCTAAAAAATATCCTGTTTTTTGGTGAGGAAAAAAGTGTAAATAGTGCCTTAAGCTTTTTTGTTATTCACCCTGCAGTTTCTTTTCTGATTCTGAGATGCTTGTGAGAGCTTCAGCCATCTAGGAACGCATACGCTGCTGCTTGACCACGCTGTAGCAGGTAGTTCTATTTTAGTTAGTAAAATAAAAACTGATTTCAGAAGACCGAGAACATTTTGACACAGTGAGGATTTAAAAACACATCTTGAAGAGAGCTCTGAGTTTCTCTCCGTGTTTCTTGGAAGGTGCCCCTGGTTTCACGAGTCAGCCACTTTAGGGTTCCCCTGGTCTTTTTCTCAGGATATATGAGGGGACTAGATTATGATAGAAGTGTTCCTGGGCTTGTAACTATGGAAACACTTGTCTCGTCTGTTTAGAAAACACTGCTGCTGGCCGTGTTTCCTGTGAGTTTTGAGGGTGACCTGAGTTGAGTTGCGTGTAGGCAGCTCAGGTTGACTGAGACAGGAATGCGCTCGATTTCCTGCCCGTTAAAACACTCTGCATTTCTTTCCCGCCCTCTGCAGTATGGTTTGAAGTGGTGAACATGGATTTTTCTCGGCTTCACATGTACAGTCCTCCCCAGTGTGTGCCGGAGAACACGGGCTACACGTATGCGCTCAGGTGAGTGTGCACCTGCACGTGGGGTCCTGGCCTTGCAATGCCCACTCGCTGTCGCGGTGGCGTGGACCTTAACAGGAACTCCATAGTACTACCGACTACATGCTGTATTTTGAAGGTGAAAAAAAATAATAAACTGTATCTTATGGCTTTAGAGGTGGTTTTTTCTTACGGCTTTAAGGTAAACTGAATCTGTTCATCCTGGTGACTGGGTGGTTAGTCATCGCACATGGCTTGCTGGCTTCGACCCCACCCAGGTGGTTGTGATGTTGAGAAGATGTCTCTGTGGTGATGCCTGGTGTTTGTGAGAACGTATCAGTGGCTTGGTATTTTTAAGTTAACAGAAATAACCTGGAAAATTATTTCCCATTTCAAAGGAAACATCATAGAACAGCGTTGAAGCTCAGGGTTTTGAGAACACAACTTTTGTCTGAGGCGGAGTTTTCTGCTTTTATTCATATTCCGATCCACTGAACCAAGACATTGGAGTCTGAAGAGGCGCTGCCCTGCCCCTTCTGCTTTCAGTTTTCCAAGTAGAAAGAGCGACTGAAACGAAGTTTGCGTTTGATGACATTACGGGTCAGCAGCAAGGGAAGGTACACAGCTAGACGGGCCCGGATTTGATCAGCAGGTTGGAAAACTTGTGCACCCAGCAGATGTTTAAGGCACCAGGAAAATGCTTGTGTAATTTTTTTCAGTGGCTTATCCTTTTTTTTTTTTTTCGTTTTTTTGGAGACAGAGTCTCACCGTCGCCCAGGCTAGAGTGCAGTGGTGCAATCTCGGCTCACTGCAACATCCGCCTCCCAGATTCAAGCAGTTCTTCTGCCTCAGCCTCTGGAGTAGCTGGGATTACAGACGTGCGCCACCACGCCCAGCTAATTTTTGTATTTTTAATAGAGATGGGGTTTCACCATGTGGACCAGGCCAATCTCGAGCTCCTGACCTCAGGTGATCCACCCACCTCGGCCTCCCAAAGTGCTGGGATTCCAGGCGTGAGCCACCGTGCCCGGTCTCAGTGGGTTATCCTCTAAAGGGTGAAAATGTAATGGAAACTGTAAGAAAATTAGAAAATATTTTAAGAAAAATACTTGTTACCAGCATTAGTCAGAGCTCACATTCGATGATCGAGTTTTTAATTCACAGTTCTAGGTCCATCACACTTCCATAGCAACACACTCTGTTTTCTAAGAGTCCTGTAGTGGTGAGAACAGAACGGGCAGGCCAGCTCAGGGGAGACTGCTGCTTCCTTCAGACCGTGCAGCATGAAACAGTGATTTGTGGTCACTTATTTTTGCTTTTCTGACCTATTTTAATAGAGTTTTTAAAATGCCTCTGTTTCTTTACCTTGGGAGAGCAACACTTAATTTCACTGAAATTCACAGCCTTCCTTCAGTGAGACCTGTGGGCAGACCTCTGTGGCAGCTGGAGTGGGAAATGCAGAGGGAAGGTGGGCAGGGGCTGGCCGGAGTGGTTGTAGGCTGGGCTGGGAATTTAGACTCTTGGTGGGCAGGGGCTGGCTGGATGGTGTAGGCTGGGCTGGGAATTTAGACTCTTGGTGGGCAGGGGCTGGCCGGATGGTGTAGGCTGGGCTGGGAATTTAGACTCTTGGTGGGCAGGGGCTGGCCGGATGGTGTAGGCTGGGCTGGGAATTTGGACTCTCGGGCACTGGGAACTCCTGAAAGGATTTAAAGGTGGGGGGCTCTCTGAGGTTGCTGCAGGATAGAGGTCAGGGGCTGTCCAGGAGATGGCCGGAGTGCCTCGGGGAGGTCCAGCTCTGGATCAGGACCAGAGGGAAGGACCAGCCGCCTCACCTGAGTGGAGGCCCGTGGAGCACAGCCGGAGACTGGAGGTGGGGGCCTCAGGGCTGGTCTGGACATCAGTGCCTGGGTCCTCCTGGTCCTGGGCTGGCCTCCCGCAGACCTTGCCACCTCAGCTGGCCGGCCTTGCGTTGGGTCCTTACACTCTTCTCTGCTTCCTTTCCTTTGGCTCCTCGTAGCCCTGACCTCTTTTCTGAAAGTTCCCCTTGTCTTGCAGCCCTCCCCGCACAGCTGGAAGGTGGAGCGGCCGTTCCTGATGGCTTTCTGTCTCCATCACTACCCTTGTCTTGATTCTTAGCAATTTCAGTAAACACTGAAAGGATAGTCCAGCATTCTGGCCACTCACTTTCTTTAATTAAATTTTTTTTCTCTTTTGGGGGCCAGGCGCAGTGGCTCACGCCTGTAATCCCAGCACTTTGGGAGGCTGAGGCGGGTGGATCACTTGAGGTAAAGAGTTCGAGAGTAGCCTGGCCAACATGGTGAAACCCCGTCTCTACTAAAAATACAAAAATTAGCTGGGTGTGGTGGTAGGCTCCTGTAATCCCAGCTACTTGGTAGGCTGAGGCAGGAGAATCGCTTGAACCCAAGAGGTGGAGGTTGCAGTGAGCTGAGATCGCGCCACTGCAGTCCAGCCTGGGAGACGGTGTGAGGCTCTGTCTCAAAAAGTAAACAAAATAAAATTTTTTTTCTCTTTTGGAAAATGATAATATGCAGGTTGAGAGAATAGTGACAAGCCCATTTGCCGGCCACTGGCTTCGCCAGTGATGCATGCGGGTCTTCCGCCCCCACCCAGCACTTCGGAGCCTCTGCGACTGGTGCTTCAGTTCACGGGTTCCCCAGCCCGCTGTCCTGCACCAGTGGCCTGGCACTCTCCTCACTGGGACAGGGTGGGCCCGAACACTTACTCTCAACTTCCCCTGGAACTTCACTGGATTCTTTAAAGCCAGTCTCTAAAAGATAATGATATATTTAAAATAACCCAAATACCACTATCATCCCAGTCATTTAAAAGGGCTTCTTAATGTATTTAGTCAGTGTTCCAATATCCCAGATCCTTGAATTTTCTCTTTCACAATTAATTTTTTTTTAAATTAGCCTAAACAGGATCCTCATGTTACATTGGGTGATTTCCCTCTTAAATCTCAATCTGTAATTCTTGTCAACTGGTAGTTAAGTCTGGAAGTGCAGTCATTCTTTGGTTTCTTTCTTCATTGGCGTGACTCTGTGACAGATGGTGTTACGGGATGTTGCTCCCTGTCACAGCTTGAGTCTGTGCTGTCTGACGTGTCTCCTCTGTTAGCGCTGAGGCTGATGGATGTTGTCAGCTTGACCCACCCGCAGTAAAATCCAGCCATTGGTGATGGTTGCCTTGAACTTCAGGGTCAGAGGAGGATGTTTCCCGGAGCCCTCGGAACCAACGTGCTGCTGCCCATGCTCAGATCCAGGGGGGCTGGAGACATGAGGGTCCCACCATCCAGCCTCTCATGGGGGTGTTGGCTGTGGAAGCCGAAAGAAGAGAGTTTCCAGAATGGGGGACTTGTCAGCAGGGGCAGATGCTGCTGGACAGGCGGGAAGAAGGGGCAACTCAGCCATGGAGGCCGGGGGGCCTGGCAGAAGCCGCTTCAGAGCCTCCACGGGGCAAGGAGCGAGCCGAAACTAGCCGGCGCTGCAACCTGTCGGCTGCTGGGGGAGGTGGAGAGGCGTGGCTTTGAGGGGAAGTTGTTTTTTACCGTGGGCTGAGCCAAGCGTGTGTCTAGATGCTGGTGGTCAGGAGCCAGTAGAGAAGCTGAAGATGTAGGAGAACGAGGAAGGGCCTCCTGCAGAGAGAGAGGAGGGAAGGAGGAACTCCATCCAGAGCACGCAGGCTTGGCTCGGGATTACTTTTCCATCGCAGCAGGCAGGAAGGGTGTGTCAGGGTAGAACATGAGTAAACGTATGAATAGGTGCATAGGAATAGATTGATTATGCGGAATTGGCTCATGGAGGCTGGCAAGGCCCAAGATCTTCAGGTTGAGTTGGCAAGGGGAGACTCAGGGCAGCCGATGGTGTAAGTTCCAGGCCAAGTCCAGAGGCCCAAGACCCAGGAGAACCACGGTATAGTTCCAGTTTGAAGGTCAGCTGGCTCATGGAAGAGCTCATGTTCTGGTTTGAGTCTGAAGGCAGTTTGTAGCTGGCGTTCCAGGTCCAGGCTGTCCAGCAGGAGGAGCTCCTTCTTACTGAAGCCTTCGTGTTCTGTCCAGGCCTTCAGCTGACTGGAGGGCAGTCTGCTTTCCTAGTGTTTTAATTTAAATGTTACTGTCATCCAGAAATAACCTCACAGATACACTCAGAATAATGTTGGAGCAAATATCTGAGCGCCCAAGGCCCAGTCAGGTTGACACATGCAGGTAACCCCTGCAGAGGGAAAGGATGGGCGCGGTCAAGGAGGAGGCAGTTTTCTGATGGCATCTGGCTTTTCTGGGAAGAAAAATGCAGGGCATTTCTGACAGAGACCGAGAGCTGGAGGGAAGGAGGTGGTGACGTCAGACGTGGGGCGGATGGAGGGGGTCTGAGAAGGCCATTGAGGGCTGGGCACACATGGCCCCCGACGCATGGATGGCCTGAGGACCTGGGGACTGCGAATCATGACGCACTCACACCTGCAACATGGTGAGCTTGGGAGAAAGCGTCTAGGCCCACCCTGTCCTGGCAGGGAGAGTGCCAGGCCCCCTGGGGCAGCAGGACAGTGGGCTGGGGAACCCTCGTGAGCTGAAGCCCTGGTTGCGGAGGCTCTGAAGTGCTGGGGTGAGCAGGGTTCCGTGGCTGGAAGAGCTGGGGCGAGCCGGGGTCTGTGGCTGGAGTCGGTGTCAGGGCACAGCCGTCACACTCTGAGCAGCGGTCTGAAGCACGTCAGTCTCAGACACGTGGACTGTGCCGCTTTTGGTCCGGCTCCCCTGAGCTGAGTTAACCTCGTGTGCCTTTGTCGGGCAGGTGCTGTGGGTCCAGGGATGCTTGGTATCTGTCTCTGGTTTTCAATTGGAGTCAATTTTTTTCAATCTTTTGATACAAAGTACATCTAAATAACACATTTTTAAAAGAACAGTGCATAACTAATCAGAGAGAGACGTTAAGGCCTAGTGGTCTTAAAGGTGAGATCTCTTATCTTCAGAGTTTTTGTCAGTCTTGTCTCCTTGTTCTGTTACTTAATTCTCTCTAATCCTAGACTGGAGACCTCCGTTTGAAATTTTATGTTCCCCCAAACATTGCAGAAAAGGTAATAAAGTGCTTTAATACGATAGCCTACTGGGCTGTGTTGATTCCTGGGATGGTGCTGGGCCAGCATCCGTGTCCTCCTGTCTCCACTGGACACTGGTGTCCTCCTGCAGGGCTCTGGGCATACCTGTCTGTAGGAACCATGTTATGGATGGTGGCTGGGTTCACAGGTTTTCTTAAACTAGAATCACAATTGTGTAAAATATTCTGCTAGAAACAAACCCTTCTTGAGATGACACTGAAATTCTGTCTGGCTTCATAACAGTCATCAGCATTCAACATAGCTTAGTGCAGTCTCTCTCTTGTCCCCACCTCAGCCTCTAAGTTAAAGAAGAACCTCTTTCTTAAATTGTGTGTAGTGACTCAAAGCAGTTTGTATTAACTTACTGTTGGTCATGAACGTATGACAGGGTCTAGCTCTGTTGCCCAGGCTGAAGTGCAGTGGCACAGTCATAGCTCACTGCAGCCTCAAACTCCCAGGCTCACGCAATCCTCCTGCCTAGGCCTCCCTAAGTGCTGGGATTGCAGGCGTGAACCACTGTGCCTGGCTCATCTTTTTATTTAATTACATTAGTTGAATAATTATATGGAAGGTATTGGAAGTGACTGTCTTTTGGTCACAGGCTCAAAGCAGTTGTGAATTGTCTGAAGCCTTTAGATAAATTCTAAATTTAGAAGGGGAGCATTGACGGCCCGATCACTTGGCCTCCTCTCCTGCGTGGATTCATTCTACGGCGCACTGGTGTATTGGATTAAATCTCACGTCCGCGTAGTGTTGACGAGGAAACACACTCTGATGTGTTTATAGCAAGGACGTAGGTGGGGACTCAGGGCTCTAGCATATGCCCTCAAGCAGTTCTTAGGGTGAGTTGTAGACGCTGGGCCCCAGCATCTGGGAATGTGCTGTCCTACATCTGATGTGAAGGAAGAGTGGCTGGGGCAGATGTCAGGAGCCCATGCTGGCTGACCTGTGTGCCACCGTACGTTTGCTTTAGAGTGAGGTTGTCACCCAGTAATAGTTGCTCTTGAAAATCCACAGTACATTGCACTTTCAGTTTATGGTTTGTTCATTTTGTTTCAGAATGGGGGCTATAAGCACTGCTTACCTCTGATGAGCTTTTTCCTTCTAGTTCCAGCTATTCTTCAGATGCTCTGGATTTTGAGACGGAGCACAAATTGGACCCTGTATTTGATTCTCCACGGATGTCCCGCCGTAGTTTGCGCCTGGCCACGACAGCATGCACCCTGGGGGATGGTGAGGCTGTGGGTGCCGACAGCGGCACCAGCAGCGCTGTCTCCCTGAAGAACCGAGCGGCCAGGTGAGCACCGCTGCACTTCCTCTCCATCTGATCTCTAACACCAGTTAAAACCAAGCTTCCATACTTTTTGGTCTGTAAAGCCGCACCCTGTCTCGAGCTTAAGGATATGTGTGTGTATGTGCGTGTACAGACACACAAACCTGTCATATAAAGTGGTAGTTTGCTGCAAATAAAGACTGAAAGGAACTCTGGAATCTGTGTGGCTTGTCTAGTATTGATGTTCTGCTGTTCTTGTTTCAAGTTCTCTTCGCTGGTGCACGCCACGTGCAGTGCCAGCACTCAGGTCTGGAAGCTTTGTGGTCCTGTGGTGGGAGCTCAGCTACAGCTGTCCTACCACATGTGTAAAGAGGAAGGAATCTTACAGATTACACATGCTGTCGTGGACGATCTCCGTGTCCAGTTCATTCTTTTTTCTGGAGACGGAGTCTCGCTCTGTCGCCCAGGGTGGAATGCAGTGGCACGATCTCAGCTCACTGCCTCCTCTGTCTCCCGGGTTCAAGCGATTCTACTGCACGCAGCCTCCTGAGTAGCTGGGATTACAGGCGCCCGCCACCACGCCTGGCAAATTTTCCTTTTTTTTTGAGACAGAGTCTCACTTCGTTGCCCAGGCTGGAGTACAGTGGTGGCGTGATCTTGGCTCACTGCAGCCTCTGCCTCCCGGGTTCAAGAGATTCTCCTGCCTCAGCCTCCCGAGTAGCTGGGACTACAGGCACCCACCACCACGCCCAGCTAATTTTTGTATTTTTAGTAGAGACGCGGTTTTCACCATGTTGGCCAGGCTGGTCTCGAACTCCTGGTCTCAGGTGATCCGCCCATTGCAGCCTCCCAAAGTGCTGCGATTACAGGCGTGAGCCACTGCGCCCGGCCCAGTTCATTCTTTAGGTCTTTATTAAAAATCTGTGTGTTAACTGACAAATACATAAAGTTTAGGTTATTTACCTATATTTGCGTTCGTCGAGTTCATTTGATCTCTGAACTCTCCACGTGCCCACTTCTGTGCAGAGAAGGAACAAAAGTCTACAAGATCTTTGTGCCATTTAGGGATAATAAAAGTGACAGCTTTATGTTGCTCATGTAAGAATAAGAGCTTCCGTTCCAGTCATCTTTCTCTCGAGAAGGAAGACGGTGGCTGTTAAGAGCGATGGCGGAATGGTTGATGGGTGGAGAACTGCCTGGGATCTGAACAGCCACTCCCAGCCGGTGGCTTCCACAGGCACCACAGTCATCTAGGGAGTTCACTGCGCAAAGAGTTCGATTCCCAGCCTCACCCTTGGAGATGCAGGGTGTGAGTTCATGATGCAGCTGAGGACCAGCAGATCCCATTGGGTAGCTCCGTGTCAAGCACCCAGTTACCAGGGTCGCACAGCAGCCCAGTCTCCGTCTCCCAGTGGCGTGGAGAGCAAGTGTGCTGCAGCTGTACTGCCACGCCGCGCTCTGCCGCGCCACGCTCCTGTGGCCGTCGTCCTCCCTCTGCCGGGTGTCACTGCTGCCTTTGGCCTCCCAAGCTTCCTTCGAAGGGGAGGATCTTGTTCATCGTCCTGGGTTCCCCCTACCTGACGGTGGTAACATTCACAGGGTGTTTTCATCTGATGGCTTTCCTGTTGTCATTTGTGGTCAATATGAATGCAGAAATTATTTTTTGACCATCTATTCTTTTTTTTTTTTTTTTTTTTGAAACGGAGTCTCACTCTGTCTCCCAGGCTGGAGTGCAGTGGTGCAATCTCGACTCACCACAAGCTCCGCCTCCTGGGTTCACGCCATTCTCCTGCCTCAGCCTCCCGAGTAGCTGGGACTACAGGTGCCCGCCACCATGCCTGGCTAATTTTTTGTATTTTTAGTAGAGGCGGGGTTTCACCGTGTTAGCCAGGATGGTCCCGATCTCCTGACCTCGTGATCCACCTGTCTTGGTCTCCCAAAGTGCTGGGATTACAGGCATGAGCCACTGCGCCTGGCCCTTATATTTTGAGACAGAGTTTCGCTTTTGTTGCCCAGGCTGGAGTGCAATGGCGCGATCTTGGCTCACCGCAACCTCTGCCTTCCAGGTTCAAGCGATTCTCCAGCCTCAGCCTCCCGAGTAGCTGGGATTGCAGGCATGTGCCACCATGCCCAGCTAATTTTGTATTTTTAGTAGAGATGGGGTTTCTCCATGTTGGTCAGGCTGGTCTTGAACTCCCGACCTCAGGTGATCCGCCTGCCCCAGCCTCCCAAAGTGCTGGGATGACAGGTGTGAGCCGCCGTACCTGGCCTATGACCACCTATTTTTTTTTTTTTTTTTGAGCCGGAGTCTGGCTCTGTCACCCAGGCTGGAGTGCAGTGGCGTGATCTCAGATCACTGCAACCTCTGTCTCCCAGGTTCACTCCATTCTCCTGCCACAGCCTCCCGAGTAGCTGAAACTACAGGCGCCCGCCAACACGCCCGGCTAATTTTTTGTATTTTAGTAGAGATGGGGTTTCACCGTGTTGGCCAGGATGGTCTCGATCTCCTGACCTCGTGATTTGCCCATTTCGGCCTCCCAAAGTACTGGGATTCCAGGTGAGAGCCACCGCGCCTGGCCATGACTACCTATTCTTGTTGTACTTAACACAATTCCATCTTTACCAGCAACTTAGAAATCGTTTTTAGAAAAGGGGAGGATTAAATTTATAAATCACAGATGTTTTTATTTTCAGATCTTTTTTATTTCTAGTTTATTTTAGCTTTTAACCACTTGGGGTCATGGTGCCCAAAATAACCTGGAAACTATTTTGTGTTTACAATTTTAGAGGGAGTTCTTGGATCCCAGCTCAAAAATTCCTTTTTTATATTAACAGTTGATTCATTACAGCAGAAAAGGCATAGGAAAATGGTTTGCCTTAAAATGCTGTTTATTCCCAGATTAAGAGTTTGTGTTGGTCAAATGTAATCATTTTGTATTTGCTAGAAAAGATCTATAAACTTGCTGTTTTTTTTTCTTCTTAGAACAACAAAACAGCGCAGAAGCACAAACAAATCAGCTTTTAGTATCAACCACGTGTCAAGGCAGGTCACGTCCTCTGGCGTCAGCCACGGCGGCACTGTCAGCCTGCAGGATGCTGTGACTCGACGGCCTCCTGTATTGGACGAGTCTTGGATTCGTGAACAGACCACAGTGGACCACTTCTGGGGTGAGTCCCTGCGAGACACAGATTGTCCCGCCTACAGTTGGGGTGTTTCTCAGATTATGCTGGGGAGAGGGGAGGCGGTGGCCAGGTTGTCGGTTTGCATGGATTATGCTAGGGAGAGGGAGGCTGTGGCCACATTGTGGGTTTGCTGCGTGACTGGCTGGTAGGAGCATCAGTTAGGTTCCAGGCTTGTCCTCAGACTTGATCAGGACGCTCCTTGGAAGCTGCTTCCATGTGCGCCTTGTCGGGTGGTCATTGGGTTATGCTAACGTGTAGTGACTAGTTCCAATGGGGAGATGAAGCAGCAGGTAGTAATCTTATAACTCTGTTTTTATAAATGCATTACTTTTGTAGGATGTTTGAACAAAGACAATCCAAAAACTTCAGTGTGTTTCCAAGAAAGCTCTAAGCAGTGAAGCAGCCAGGGTTAGAGAGTTCTTAGAGAATGCTGCAGGGTGAGGCACTGGCGCTCAGACTTGGCTGACGTGGAGTCTGGGCAGTGGGAGCCCCAGCCTGGCTGGCGAGAGCATGGGGTCCCAAGGCTGTGCATGGAGAGGGAAGCATGGTAAGGGGCGCCCAGCCGCTCATCTGCATTCGGTTTATGTTCTGGTTGGCCCTTTTGAGACAATTAGAAGATCCAGATTAGTTCCAGAGATCACATGTGCTAATTTTGGGAAGCCTTGGTATTGGTGTTTGTTCTGTTTTGCTCAGCTAGTGAGAGTGGTTACCAGGCAACAGAGAGGCATCTGCTGCTGCTGAGGCTTGTGCCTTGCTGAGCGGGCTGTGAGAAGATAGATGGGCTTTCCTCTCCTTCCCTCATGTTCTGCTTTCCTCCTTAGGCCAGGTGCTGTGTGTGCTGCCGTCTGTCTGTATTTTCTTCAAGGATAAGCTTTCACCTTCAGTCAGAAGATGGTATCTGCATATATCTGGAGGCATTTTAGGAAATAAACTGTGACCAGTGCCATAATGCTGATTTATTAACCATTGTAACCTTTACATTTTTTAATGGGTTTTGTTCTTATTTGATAAGCTGAGCTCAACAGCAAAAATGTGTGTGTGTGTGTGTTTTTTTTTTTAGGTCTTGATGATGATGGTGATCTTAAAGGTAATTATTTTAGTCCTTTTATCTTCATATACTTTTCAAAATAGAAGTTTTAGTTAAATATCTGCAGACTGTGATAAACAGGTTCCATCTACTGTTTGAAAACTTTAGGTGGAAATAAAGCTGCCATTCAGGGAAACGGGGATGTGGGAGCCGCCGCCGCCACCGCGCACAACGGCTTCTCCTGCAGCAACTGCAGCATGCTGTCCGAGCGCAAGGACGTGCTCACGGCGCACCCCGCGGCCCCCGGGCCCGTGTCGAGAGTTTATTCTAGGGACAGGAATCAAAAATGTAAGTCTCAGTCCTTTAAAACTCAGAAAAAGGTGTGTTTTCCAAATTTAATATTTCCTTTCTGTAAGTCTCAGTGTCTGCACTATTTGTCTTGGAGACTTAAAATTATCCCTTGAAAGCATAAGAAGTACACCCCAAACCAGCTTTGTCCTTCCTGTCCTCTTCTAGTTTACATTTTATGTGGTTAGTAATTTTGTACCTAAAAGTATTTGAAATTCTATAAATTTGGACTTGACGTGAGCAAAAGAAAATTTCTACGTAAGCGAAACTAATAAAACTACAGTCACTTTCAGATGCACACCTTTATTTTTATAAAACGGCACAGATGTTCACACATACTGAAGGAGTGGCTTTGGGACGCTGCTCTGGTCTGTCCTGTGAAGAGTGGTTATGCCAGTGTTCGTGTCGGGAAAACATTTCCCGTGGTCGCTAGCCCTGTGCTTATGGTGATGGAGGGGCCTTCAGAGAACCTGTAGGTCTGGGAAGGACACACGTGACTCTGGTTTGTTCTGGGACAGCAGCAGTCACTGCAGGAAACCCCCTGATGTGGACATGGGCTTCCCTCAGAGGCGACTGGGCAAGAGTGTGGGTGTCACCGCGGGGGGCCTCCTCCTGGGCCTGCAGGAGAGACAGAACCACAGGCCCCTTTGCGGCTTCCAGGCGGGACTGGGATTCCCTGGGGGGCTGGGATTCTGTGCCCTTCATGACTGCCTGGCCCAGGATCTCTCTCACCTGCAGCAGGAAGAGGCTGGGACCCTCGGCCGGGCCGGGTGCTGCCTGGTTCTCAAGCCCTTAGCAGCTTGTCCTTCGAGCTCACGTTCTGCTGTGCCTGGAGGTGCTGGAAGCCTCAGGAGGGCAGGGCCAGGTCTGTCTTATCCACTCCGAGCCTGGCATTGCCCGGGACGTGGGGCGTTTGTCCAGTATTATTCAAATGACCGGACATAATGAAGGATGGCGACAGGACGAAGGCTTCTGCCCTAAGATTTCTCGCATCTCGTTTTTACCATCTTGTCTTCGTGGCCCTCACTTGTGGTTGTGTCTGCTGTGGTGTTATGGACACTGCTAGTGTTAATACAGCACAATAAGAAAGTGTGAAAGGGGCCGGGAAAGGTGGCGGGAGCGGGGCGGCACGTGGGTTCCCCTCACAGCACTGTGCACGGTGCCTGCTTGGGTTCCTCCATGTGGACCAGCACCGCTGAGCGGCCACTCTGCGCCAGGCACTGTTCATGGGTGATCACGGCAGCCCCCTTATTACAGACAAGCAAACTGGGGCTTAGCCAGCTCAGGAGGCTCGCAGGTAGGTGGGGGAGCCTGGAGCTGAACCCAGGCGTCTGACCCAGGTGCTCCCCCTTAGCCACCTGCCTCCATGAGCACTTGGCACCCCAGGGCCCCGGGGGTGCTGCACGTGAGCCGTGGCGTAGCTTAATCGACGCGCACAAGGATTCCGTGTATTCAGTGTTTATTGAGGCTGTGTTTTGAAGCATGCCATTGATAGGTTGAACATAACATTTTTCTTAGAATAAAAGCACATTCCATACACTCTACTATGGCAGAATAAGGAGGTTCACAGATAATTGAGAGAAGCCACCGAAACGTGCTGTTTTCTGAAGGTCTCCCTACGCGTGTTGTAGTAAATGTGTGTCTCTCTGTGACTGACAGTATGCTGGCGGTCAGGGCCCAAGCTCAGCCTTGCGTTTGAGTGTATCTTTAGATGGAAAAGGCGTTGGTGTGGTGTGGATTGTAGCTTCCCGAAACTCATGGCGCCTCCCCTCGGACGTCGGTGTCGTGGCGCCTCCCCGCGGATGTCGGTCTTGGGTGTTTTGGGGGAGAAAACAAGCCCCATCCTTCCCGCGGGGTTTCTGGGCTTCACGCCTGCCTTGCCCTCTCAGACAAAGGCCAGGACTTGTGCGGCCCACACTAGTGTATCGCCCTGTATTAGAGTAAAACATGTTTATCAAAGAACATTGGAAAATCAGACACAAAGAAGAAAATAAAAATCACCTACAAGCTGCCACACCAGAAAAAAAAAACACACTTCCAGAAATTTCCCCTCTGCATACTTATAGTCAGATTGCATGAATTGTTTGCATAATCATATTTACTTAAAATAAGTATAGCTTTCCTTAAGTATAAATTGTCCCTCCACATTTTGTTTGTTTTTGTTTTTTATGTATGTACTAATGGTAATTCTCACTGTAAAGTCTTTCAGTAGTACAGATAAAATAAGTCCTTTTCCCCCACCCAATCCATCTCCTGGGGGAACCACTGCTAATGATAATAGTTGAGTGGGAATTCTTACGCTTTTTAAAATGAGGTAAAATTCAGATAACATGAAATGAACCATTAACGTGTGCGGCTTGGGAGTCGTTGGCCTCCCCAGTGCTGCGTGGCTGTCCCGGGGTTCTCGTCAGCCTCCCCGGTGCTGCGTGGCTGTCCCGGGGTTCTCCTAGGCACCTGCAGGACTGTGCAGTTCTGGCTTTGTCTTTCCTGAAATGCCATCACGGTGTATGCACAGTTTAGCATCTCTTTTCATTTTGTATGTTAATTGAGGTTAACTTTATTCTTTTTGATGCCTGTACAGTTTTTTGTTTGTTTGTTTGTTTTTTGAGATGCAGTCTTGCTCTGTTGCCCAGGCTGGAGTACAGTGATGTGATCTCAGCTCACTGCAACCTCCACCTCCCGGGCTCAAGCGATTCTCCTGCCTCAGCCTCCTGAGTAGCTGGGACTACAGGCGCCCACTACCATGCCCGGCTAATTTTTGTATTTTTCGTAGAGACGGGGTTCCACCATGTTGGCCAGGCTGGTCTTGAACTCCTGACCTTGTGATCCGCCCACCTTGGCCTCCCAAAGTGCTGGGATTACAGGGATGAGTCACCATGCCCAGCCCAACACACATTGTATCTTTTAAAGTGAGAGGTGGCACGTACCTGTAGTCCCAGCTACTTGGGAGGCTGAGAGGCAGGAGGATTGCTTGAGCCCAGGAGGTTGAGGCTGCAGTGAGCTGAGATCATACCACTGCACTTCAGCCTGGGCGAGAGTGAGACCTGTCTCAAATAAATAAATTAAAAAATAGGCTGGGTACTGTGGCTCATGCCTGTAATCCCAGATCTTGTGGGAGGCGGAGGTGGGAGGATCACATGAGGCCTGGAGTTTGAGACCAGCCTGGGCAACATAGCAAGACCCCATCTCTAAAAAAGCAGAAACAAATTAGCTGGGCATGGTGGCATGTGCCTGTACTTCCAGCTACTCAGGAGGCTGAGGTGGGAGGATCGCTTGAGCTCAGGAGGCTTGAGACCAGCCTGGGCAACACAGTGAGACTTCTTCTCAACAAAAAATACAAAACGTCAGCTGGGCATGGTGGCCAGCGCCTGTAATCCCAGCTACTTGGGCGGCTGAGGCAGGAGGATCACTTAGGCCCAGAGTTGAAGGCTGCAGTGAGCTATGATCATGCCCCTGCTAGGCCACAGAGCAAGAGCTTATCTCTAAAAAAAATTAAAAATAAAAATAATAAATAGCAAAGGAGGAGATTCTGGTGCTCCAGTGTCCCATTCTTAAGCTGGTGGGTCAGAGGTACGAAGCAAATGGCTGTTTGGCAGTATCTGAATGTCGTAGTGTATGTGTGAACAGCATTGGAGTGAAGTGGCCACGGCTCGGGTACTCTGTAGATGATTGCTAGTGCGCCAGCGGAGTTGGCGGCCTTCCCCTGGGGGTTACCCCGCAGTCCAGTCTCCGGGGTCCCCTGGGGGTTACCCCGCAGCGCCGTCTCCGGGATCCCCTGGGGGTTACTCCGCAGTCCAGGCTCCGGGATCCCCTGGGGGTTACCCCGCAGCGCCCTCTCTGGGATCTCCTGGGGGTTACTCCGCAGTCCAGTCTCCGGGATCCCCTGGGGGTTACCCCGCAGCACCCTCTCCGGGATCCCCTGGGGGTTACTCCGCAGTCCAGTCTCCGGGGTCCCCTGGGGGTTACCCCACAGCGCCGTGCGCCAGCGGAGTTGGCGGCCTTCCCCTGGGGGTTACCCCGCAGTCCAGTCTCCGGGGTCCCCTGGGGGTTACCCCGCAGCGCCGTGCGCCAGCGGAGTTGGCAGCCTTCCCCTGGGGGTTACCCCGCAGTCCAGTCTCCGGGGTCCCCTGGGGGTTACCCCGCAGCGCCGTGCGCCAGCGGAGTTGGCGGCCTTCCCCTGGGGGTTACCCCGCAGTCCAGTCTCCGGGGTCCCCTGGGGGTTACCCCGCAGCGCCGTGCGCCAGCGGAGTTGGCGGCCTTCCCCTGGGGGTTACCCCGCAGTCCAGTCTCCGGGGTCCCCTGGGGGTTACCCCGCAGCGCCGTGCGCCAGCGGAGTTGGCGGCCTTCCCCTGGGGGTTACCCCGCAGCGCCGTCTCCGGGATCCCCTGGGGGTTACTCCACAGTCCAGTCTCCGGGATCCCCTGGGGGTTACCCCGCAGCGCCCTCTCTGGGATCTCCTGGGGGTTACTCCGCAGTCCAGTCTCCGGGATCCCCTGGGGGTTACTCTGCAGTCCAGTCTCCGGGATCCCCTGGGGGTTACCCCGCAGCGCCCTCTCTGGGATCTCCTGGGGGTTACTCCGCAGTACCCTCTCCGGGATCCCCTGGGGGTTACTCCGCAGTCCAGTCTCCAGGATCCCCTGGGGGTTACTCTGCAGCACCCTCTCCGGGATCCCCTGGGGGTTACTCTGCAGTCCAGTCTTCGGGGTACCCTGGGGGTTGCTCCGCAGCACCCTCTCCAGGGTCCCCTGTCCACTGCCAGCTGGGCTCTTCCCCAAGTGATTATCTTTGGTGTCCATTCTAAAAGTGCCTGAAATGAATAATTTGGCTACCTGACTTATCAGGAAGTAGATATTGGCTTTATGGGAAGAAATAACGCATGTTCATGGTTTTTTAATAGGCGGTGCGTCTTTCTACGTGAATAGGATTTTGTGGCTGGCCAGATACACTGCATCATCTTTTTCATCATTTTTAGTTCAACTTTTTCAAGTGGTTTTAATGAAGCTCAGTTATGAATCAGAAAATTACAAATTGAAAACTCATGAATCAAAAGATTGTGAATCCGAAAGCTATAAGTCAAAAAGCCATGAATCAAAAGGTATTTAAATATTTTTTCCCTCCTTTTTCCACCAATCACACTTTCGCAGTGGAGAAAGTGCTGTGACTTTCCTCGCCAGGCGCCTCCCTCGCTGCCTCCTCCTGTGGTCTTGGTGCTGGCTCTCTCCTGGCTTCCCCCTCTGGATCTTGCATCCCTGGGAGCTTGTGGAACTTTTCGTTTGTTCTGTGTGTGGTTTGGTTCCCTCAGAGCTGATCAGTGTTGAAACATCTTTAAAGTTATTTCTTAAACAAAAAGTTAATGTGCTCAACTTTTGATTTTTATTACCTTTTTAAAGCAAAAACTTTACCTGAGTGGTATTTAGAACCTGTTTTTTCAGAACTTTTTTTCTTTTTGAGACGGAGTTTCACTCTTGTTGCCCAGGCTGGAGTGCAGTGGTGTGATCTCGGCTCACCGCAACCTCCGCCTCCTGGGTTCAAGCGATTCTCCTGCCTCAGCCTCCCAAGTAGCTGGGACTACAGGCGCACGCCACCACGCCCGGCTAATTTTTTGCATTTTTACTAAAGTAGACATGGGGTTTCATCATGTTAGCCAAGATGGTCTCCAACTCCTGACCTCGTGATCGCCCGCCTCAGCCTCCCAAGTGCTGGGATTACAGGCTTGAGCAACTGCGCCCAACCCAGAACTATTTTAAGCAGGCCAATCTTTGTATTGTTTGGGCCACACACACGATTCAGCCAGAGGGTGGGGGCCCTTTCACGTCTCTTCTCGTGGCCCGGGCCCTGTCAGCGGCATTCACCTGTGTGGTAGGAGCCATCGGCTGTGGGAACTCTGTGGAAGTGGCTAGCCTTGCACATCCTCTGATCATGTTGACTTCATCAGGGTGCGAGAAGCACTTGAGCTTGGCGTCGGTGAGTTCCCTAAGCCTCTTTTGCGTGTGTTGCAGCTCATGCCAGTTACTATGGGAGAATGAATGTGAGAGAGGTTCTCAGAGAGGATGGCCACCTCAGTGTAAATGGGGAAGCGCTGTGTAAGTATGGCTTCGTTTTCCTGTGGGCGTCGGTCGTGGAGTTGGTCCCACACGCTGTCATGTTGGGTACTAGCAGTAGAGAATGAACGGCCCGTGTGACATGGTGGTCCTCACTGATGACGACGGGCTGTTGGAGCTGCTGCTTAAGCCCTCATCACAGAAGCTCATAGCCACCAGATCGCATTTGCTTTGATTGTTGACTGTCTCGTGTGTAATTGAGTTTCCCAGTTTCTACAGACTGCCATTGCTATGCACGGCTGAGATGGACAGAGTTTGCTTGTGAATCCGCCACACTCACTGCCTGTCACCACACCTGCAGGCGACGACTGTAAGGGCAAGAGGCACCTCGACGCGCACACAGCCGCCCACTCGCAGTCGCCACGGCTGCCCGGTCGGGCAGGGACCCTCTGGCACATCTGGGCATGTGCAGGTTGTCTCTCGCCCCGTCTCCGTCTCATCTCGCCCTGTCACCATGCTATTTGTGTCTTGTGTGGTTTGTGCTTGGAATTCAAGTGCTTTAAAGTCTTGCTGTAAAAACTGACAGGAATAGTATTAACTTTGGTTTAAAACAGGGTGAATCTCTCTCGAAAAGCTCCCTTGTAAATATTTTTTGGAAGCGGAGTCTCACTCTGTTGCCCAGGCTGGAGTGCAGTGGTGCAATCTTGGCTCACTGCAGCCTCCACCTCCAGAGTTCAAGCAATTCTCCTGCCACAGCCTCCTGAGTAGCTGGGACTACAGGCGCACACCACCACACCCAGATAATTTTTTTGTATTTTTAGTAGAGACAGGGTTTCACTGTGTTAGCCAGGATGGTCTCGATTTCCTGACCTAGTGATCTGCCTGCCTCGGCCTCCCAAAGTGCTGTTGGCATCTTAAAAAAAAAGTTAGTTTCAAAAATAATTGTCTCACCTGCTAATGAATAAACATAAAGCCATTGATTTTTCTTTTAAATTCTCATAAGCCATATTTCTTTGCATGTCAACCATGTTGTAATTACATAGTTGCAGGAATTCACAAGCAGGTGTTAAGTCACTGTGAGGAGATAGCCACCCACAGTGAGAACTGGAACAAAACTTACTTTGGGAGGCTGAGGCGGGTGGATCACTTGAGGCCGGGAGTTCAAGACCAGCCTGGCCAATGTAGCAAAACCCTGTCTCTTAAATTAAAAAAAAAAAAAAACAAAAAAAAACTGGAACAAAACAGATTTCATGAGCAGTTTCCTGCTTTTTGTAATGTGAGGTTTGATACTAAGTTGATTGTGGCACATTCCGTCATCCGGCAGTGCTGTGTTACCATTCTGAAACACTGTTTCACTAGAAAATATTAGCCTTTAGAATAATGTTAGTTTTGGTCTTAATTATTTCCTCGCCTAGCACATATGAACTGCAGGTGTCTATGGAATTTCAATCTGCTTTAAAATATGGTATGATCTTCCCAATATAAATTGTGCTGGCACCAATGGCCAATATTTGTAGGGCGGCTTCCAACCTCCGCCCCCTGGGGTTTTTAGGAGATATCTGCATTTTACACCTGAAGTATCTGCAGGCAGAAGTGAGTGAAAACTATTAAAAAATAGAACTGAGCTTTTCAAATGGTCATGTCAGTGCAATATTGCCAGCACTTACAAGAGTTATTTGGCTTTTCATATTTTTTGAGGAGACTCTTGACCCACCGATGCAGGCTTTGGTGAAGTGTGTGGCTTGGGCGTCCCCACCGTGCTGTCACTGCAGAGGCTGGTCCCTGGCGTCTGTCTGAGGCCACACACGTCTTCCCTGCACAGGTTACTTCTTGCTGCAGATTCTGCGCAGGATCGGAGCTGTGGGCCAGGCTGTGTCCAGGACGGCGTGGTCGGCCCTTTGGCTGGCCGTGGTTGCTCCAGGTGGCTATTTTGGGTTTCTGTGTTGCGTTCTCTCCAGAGCTTCTGGCAGCTAAGCACCTGCACTCGATTTACCTAACCAAGTAAAAATCTCATTTAGGCTCTCATGCTTTGACCCTTGGCGTAACGTGTCTCGTTCTTTATGACGTAGCAATGTTAACTGACTGTACTTGCTGCATGAGCGCCCTTGGTTTCTCTGGGGTTGGGTCTGGGGGAAGTCCGGCTGCCTGAATGCCCGGTGCAGAGAATGCATGGATCTGGGGCTTCCTCTCCTGCATTCTGTCCTGTGTGTTCATCAGCATGATACGTTACTGCCTTGCTTCCTGCCGTGGCGACTAGCATCACCGAACTTCTTCACCTCCAGCTTCATCTTCATGTGCTTCTAGCTTGGCCTTCACAGAAATGGTCCATTTAGGAGCTTGGTTTTCCTAAAAACATTTCCTTAGAATGTTTGGTGTTTTCTCTTGTAGGGAAGGCAGCCTCTGGAGTGTTCTGGTGGCTGGGGATTGGATGGTACCAGTTTGTTACTTTGATTTCTTGGCTGAATGTGTTTCTTCTTACCAGGTAAGGAAATGGATATCATGTCAGCGTGGTGCTTTAAGGAACCAATTTTGTGCCAATTGCAGGCTCTCATTTGATTTGTTATTTTGTAAGGATTTAGCTTATATTTACATAGTGTTTGTATATTTTACAAAAGTGCTTTTATATTCTTATTTTTCAAACCAACCTGTGAGATAAGAAAAGCAGATATCATTAAGGAAAACAAATGTGCAGAGGTGAGGCAGCTGGGAGGGCCTGGGCAGGATGGGGGACCCAGGTCCAGGCTTCTGCCCTGCTGCAGTTCCCAGTGGCATCAGTCACCTCAGAAGGCTGTGATCCGAAGGGGCAGCGACTCAGGGTAGCTCAGGCCATTCCCACAGCACCAGAGAGTTGGTAACGTAGGTCTCAAAGACACCATTTTACATGAAGGTTCTCCTGAAGGCATCAGAAGCCTTGTAGATAAAACCGTAACTGCTTTTCTAATACTGGGGGGGTGGATTTTGCACAAAATTATCTAGAGGGGGAAAACAGATTGGTGAACCCTGACTTTCATTTTTTCTAAGTCAAAGGTTTTCATTGTTACTCCCAGGTGCCTTCGAAACATCTGCAAGTTTTTAGTCTTGCTCATCCCACTCTTCCTTTTACTAGGTAAGTCAAATCTGGCTGAGTTGCCTCCGATGGCTAAGCGGTACACACATATGTGTAACTTAGTGGAAAAAAATGAGCGTGTAAGTCCATGTTTTGAGAAGCGTGGTGTACCTGTGTGTGTGTGGTGGCTCTTCTCTTTTAGCAGGTCTCTCCTTACGGGGCCAGGGCAATTTCTTTTCGTTCTTGCCCGTGTTGAACTGGGCAAGCATGCATAGAACACAGCGGGTGGATGACCCCCAGGACGTGTTTAAACCCACGACTTCTCGCCTGAAGCAGCCTCTGCAGGTAAGAGGGTAGAAAGGCCTCTCAGCTGGCACTGCACATGTGAGGTCTTCAGGGACGTTCCACACTGCTGTGAGCCAGGCACTTCAGTTGGGTGTCCTGTTGTAAGAAGTATTTTTAAATGTCAGATAAGCAAGTCTTTGGAGCTCCTTAAGTGTTCTAGGATAGTTCAAATGCACATTTAAAGTACTCTCATGATTCAGTTAGTTTTAATTTTAAAAACATAATAGTATTCATCACTGTACAAAGTACAGAAAGTATAGAGAAGAAAATGAGAAGCACCCATAGTCAGCCATGTAAGGATCAAACCTGATACTCCGGGTTTCTGTGGATTCCTCCATTCGTGTGCCGTGCGCCCCAGAGCTGGCGTCTTGCTGTAGGACACTGTTTGGAGGTTTAACTGACTCTGTGCTCATGCTTGTTTGACTACCTGGTTTCATTTCTCTCTTGCCATTTCAGGGTGACAGTGAGGCTTTTCCGTGGCATTGGATGAGTGGCGTGGAGCAGCAGGTGGCCTCTCTGTCTGGACAGTGCCACCACCATGGTGAGAATCTCCGAGAGCTGACCACTTTGCTACAGAAGCTGCAGGCTCGGGTGGACCAGATGGAAGGCGGCGCTGCCGGGCCGTCAGCTTCGGTCAGAGACGCTGTGGGACAGCCCCCGAGGGAGGTGGGTGCTGCCGGGCTACCAGGCTCCATGGTGACACCAACGCGCTTCTGGGTGCCATGTTCTCTCCTTTTGGGAGACAGAGGGGACAGGAGAGGTGCCGTTGTGAAAAGGGGTTGCCCTTTCTGTTCTTAGTTGTTGAGAGCAGTGTGCCGGAGAGGGAGTGGGTTTCCCGTCGTCTGCCGATGACCAGGAGCTGTGGGTTCCATAGCGCACATGGAAGTGGTGGGCGGGAGACTTGTGATAACCCCAAGCGGGAAGTCCAGCGGTCGTGGAGAACCGTGGTCTTTCCTGTCCTGTTCTCCAGATTGCCCTCTTAGTGGCAGGTCATGGCGCTCTGTCCCTGCAGACAGGACAGCCGCTGAGATGGACACAAACCGTCTCGTGTGGGTCCCAGACGCACTTCTCGGAGGCAGCCTGAGATGCTCCCACCCACTGCAGGGATCGCGTGGGGGGACCCAGGAACCTCTGCTTCAGAGGATGCCTTCTCTTGTGAAGAAAACAGCCGACAGCTGTTCAGAACCGTTGCGTGAAAACTGAACTGTGTGTGAATTGAATTGTGTGTGGCCTGAGCTCACTTTAGCACGGATTGAGCCTGTTCTTAAGCCGTCTTCCAGCACGTGCCTGTGGGTGTGATCATGGCGGCGACTGGAACGCAGAGCAGGGCTTCCCTCCGAGGCGGTGCGCGCAGCGTCAAACGCTCAGCCCCCGAGCCTCTAGCTCACGTTTGCGTCTGCACTGCCTAGTGGAGGATGCCGCTACTCACATATGGCCGTGTACATTTATGTTCATCAACACCACACAGAATTTTAAAATGCAGGTTCTCACTCGTATGGTCCCATCTCAGGTGCTCAGTAGCCATGAGTGGCTGGTGCTGCCCTGCTGGACAGCACAGATGCAGCACGTCCCACGATGGCCCGAGGGGCGCTGGATGGCGTGCTGGAGACGGCGAGGGCCTTGGGCTCTCACGTGGTCTGGTGTGTCAGTGCACTGGGCTCAGGCCTGTGGTCCCAGCTACTCAGGAGGCCGAGGCGGGAGGGTCACCTGAGCCCAGGAGGTGGAGACCCATGGCCCAGGCTGGAGTGCAACCTTAAAATAAATATATATATAAATAAAGACCTCTGGAGCCAGGGCTGAAATAAGGATATTGTTATGAAGCGGATTATTCCTTTAGGGTCCGTGCCACATTGCGACCACAGATTCTCTGATTGTCGGTATTCCGTGTAGAAACGCCTTGGCCTGATTTGCCAGGTTTTTGTTGCTTAACTTTCTCCATCATTTGTTCACTCCTTCTCTTTCCTAAGACTGACTTTATGGCCTTTCACCAAGAACATGAAGTGCGTATGTCACACTTGGAAGATATTCTGGGAAAACTGAGAGAAAAATCTGAGGTATTTATTTTTGACCTTACGCTTTTTTAAAATAAAAAGAAAATCAACTATGGCTAATATTTTAAAGCCCTTTGGTCATTTAATGTTCCTCTTTTTAGGCTATTTGCTGTTTGTTTTGTGTAAAATGGAAAGAAACACTTGTTCTCTGGTGTGGCAGCGGCTCTGGGGCTCTAACATTGAATCGGGTGTGTAACTCACGCATCCCCGTGTCTCTCGAGGGCACAGAGCAGGGCTGCACACGCCAGGAGGTGGTTCTGCCGATTCCAGGCGGCCTCTGGGTTCCCATCCAGCTCTTTCCGGCTCCAGGGTGCTTCCTCACTGCCACACACCCACCTTGCAGTGTCTTCAGAGGGGGGATAAAGGACCTGAACCTTTTGACAGACAGCACTAGCTTTGGGTGGGAAGGCCGGGACCATTTGTTGCTGGGAATGCCAGGGGAGGGACTGGGCCTCTGTGCTGCCCTCAGCCATGGGGAGTCGGGTCGGGCTCAGGTTCCGGCTCTTTGTGTCTCTGGTGCTTGACACAGAGCCTGGCGTGTCACATGTGCGTGTGTGTATTGAACTACCTTGAGAAGTGTGGTGAGCCTAAGGGTTGTATGTAGCACACCCTTTTGGGAATCTTGGGACCCACTCCTGGACCTTGGACCCTGTGAGATCAGGCAGGTTTACCTGGGAGGGAGAGGTGGGCTGAGAGGAGCAGGCAGAGGCGAGAATGTACCCGCCTGCGAGGGTCTGCGGGGCGCCTCCTCCTGTGTCCGCCTGAGAAGGTCTGTGGGGCGCCTCCTCCTCTGTCCACCCGAGAGGGTCTGCGGGGCGCCTCCTCCTCTGTCCGCCCAAGAGGGTCCGCGGGGCGCCTCCTCCTGTGTCCGCCCGAGAAGGTCTGTGGGGCGCCTCCTCCTCTGTCTGCCTGCCCTGGGCCGGGCTGTGGAGACCTCCATGGAGTGAGACTTGGGGCTGACGCTGGTGCTCAGCGTGGTGCTGCTGCGGATGGCACAGGCCAGCACGGCTCAGCTTCATGTGTGCCTCTGCCGTGTCCCTGTCCTTCACGTTTAGAACACACTCTGGAGGTGTGACAGGGAGCTGACTCCCAACCCGGGTGCTGGTTACAGGAGCTGCATGTTCTGAGCCCGCCAGGCCGTTCTCATGTGATTTGTGCTCCTTTCTGCGCACACGTAATGAAGGTTACTTTGAAATGTTCAATGAACACTTCCTACCTGCCACCCACAGGCAGATCTGGACTTTGAATTAAAGGGGGTATTCCAGATAAATCAATGGAGTTTTAAGTATGTGGTTTTATGAAAAGTTAATATATAACTTATGTGTTTCAGTAGACTATTTCTCATACTTTTTAGGCCATCCAGAAGGAACTAGAACAGACCAAGCAAAAAACAATCAGGTAGGAGGATTTGGAAAACATTCACTTTTGTCTTCGGTGTGTGTGTGTGGTTATGTGGAGCGGCAGCAGAGTGATGAATGGGGGACCCGGGGCCGGCCTCCCCCGAGGGTCACCTGAAGGCCCTGAGGTTCGTGCCGACAGACACTCCTGCTGGGCTGCGTGAGGACAGAGGGGTCCTGCGGGGCTTGCCACATCCCCCTCCACGCGGCGTGGACCTCTGTAGTTAGCACTCTCAAAGGTGCTGTCCGCGCCCCTGCTGTGACCCGGAGGGCTTCATCTCCAGGGTCCTTGCAGGGCCAACCTCAGGGAGTAGGTCAAGGCCCATGTTGCAGCCCGTGCCATGGTGGGTGTCAGGGTGGGCTCTGCACCGGGCCTCCGCTGGCACCGTTGGCATCTAGGTGGGCGGGGTTACAGCTCAGCCTCATCTCTGCTGCTGCTCCTGGACGGCAGTCCCTGGTGGACAGGACACCTGCTTCCAGAACCACCGGATTTGTGCTGGGCGTGTCACGGTGGGCCTCTCCGCGTGGCTGTCGGCCCTGCCGCCCTTGGAATCCATGGCACAGCCGGGTCCCTCTGCAGTTCCTGGGGAAGCTGGCATTTTGCTCCTCACTCAGGGCGGCTTTCTTCCACACGACCACTGATTTGCCAAGTCCCCTTAAGTGGGGTGCTTGCCTCTCACAGGTGTTCCCAACATGGCAGCTTTGTCTTTCTTACTTCATTTTATGCACGCAGCTCGTATTCCCCACAGCCCTCCCCGCCTGTAGATTCGGCAGCCTTGGCTTGGTTGTGGTTTCCCGAGGTCCCCGCGTCTGCACTCGGGAGGGTCCATCCTCTCCTGTGCCCCATGTTCCTCTTCTGTGAGGACAGGTGTGAGAGCTGGAGCACGGTTTTCTCTCCTTCCAAAGCTTTTATTTCAGTAAAAAAGTTGCTTTAACGTGTTAATATGTCAATCCTAAAGTGTTGATCTGGGAATGGGCTTTTTGAGATATGAATTGTTAGTATCTCAACAAGTATGTGTGCCTGTAAAGACCTCAAGTGATCTGCCTGCCTCAGCCCCAAACTACTGGGCTTACAAGCATGAGCCACCGCACCCAGTCCAGAAATAAAGTTTCTAAATGCTTAAATCGTTTTCAGAGAGAGCTCTCACTCGCCACTGAGAAACACTGCTAGCAGCACTTTTGTAGATAGCCTCCTTGTGCAGTGTGAACATTTGTATGTTACAGACATAAACTGATGCAGAAGACAACCTCTCTGGGAACTGTATTTGAAACTGGCATCCAGTTTCCACGTTAGTGTGGCACAGGATGACATCTGTACAGTTGTGACACCCAGGAGTGGGATCGGGTTCCCCTCAGCCTGTGTGTAGTGTGGGAAGCGTATAGGCTGGGAGGCTTGTGTGTGACCCATTCTCACTGTTGGATTCCAGTGCGGTTGGTGAGCAGCTCCTGCCCACAGTCGAGCACCTCCAGCTGGAGCTGGATCAGCTAAAGTCAGAGCTGTCCAGCTGGCGACACGTGAAGACCGGCTGTGAGACAGTGGATGCCGTACAAGAAAGAGTGAGCTTTCTGCATGTTTACTTTTTGTTTTATAATAGAAAGTAAAAGAAAACTTGAATTGATGACTTAGGTTTATTAGCTGTTTAATTTTTTATTTATTTATTTATTTTTGAAACCGAGTCTTGCTGTGGCACGCAGGCTAGACTGCAGTGGCGCGATCTCAGCTCACTGCAGGCCACCTCCACCTGCCGGGTTCAAGCGATTCTCCCACCTTAGCCTCCCGAGTAGCTGGGACTACAGGCATGTGCCACTATGCCCGGCTAATTTTTGTATTTTTAGTAGAGGTGGGGTTTCACCACAATGGTCAGGCTGGTCTCAAACTCCTGACTCCAAGTGATCCATCTGCTTCAGCTTCCCAAAGTCCTGGGATTACAGGCCTGAGCCACCCACCATGCCTGGCCTAAGTTGTTTAATTTCAACTCCCTTTAAAAACTTTTTTTTTTTTTACTATATGTGAACTTTTTAAATATTCCAAAATAACTAATTCAGTGCTCCGTAGACTTCCCCGTTCCAGCACCACTGTGCGTCAGCACCCACCATGCGTCTTCCCAGTCTCCTTGGTATGCGTCCTTGGTGTGCGTGCAGCCCAGGGCCAGCACTGACTTGGGGCTGGGTTGTTGCTGTGTACCTTTCATTAGATAGACCCACGCTGTACCTGCTGCTTGCTCTGTTTCGTGTCGAAACATATCATAGACATTGCTTCAAGTCCATCATCCTTAGGCAGAGGAGAAAATCTAGACATTTAGAGCTGCTTAAGAATGAAAACACAATCATTTGATTGGCAGAAGTCATCAAAGTCAGACAGTAGATTGGTAAAGGCATTTGCAATACGTGTGGTAAGATTATCTCTGATGTGCAGAGAGCCCCTATAATGGGTAGGAAGAGAAGCAGTGGTGACAGAGAAAGCATGCGATAGGCCGGGCGCCGCGGCTCACGCCTGTGATTCCAGCACTCTGGAGGCCGAGGTGGGCGGATCACCTGAGGTCAGAAGTTCAAGACCAGCCTGGCCAACATGGTGAAACCGCGTCTCTACTAAAAATACAAAATTAGCCGGGTGTGGTGGTGGGTGCCTGTAATCTCAGCTACTTGGTAGGCTGAGGCAGGACAATTGCTTGAACCCAGGAGGTGGAGGTTGCAGCGAGCCAAGATCGCGCCACTGCACTCCAGCCTGGGTGACAGAGCAAGACTCCGTCTCAAAAAAAAAAAAAAAAGAAAAAGAAAAAGCATGTCACCGTGCTATCAGGGAGCTGAGTCCTACTGATGGGACTTGCAGATTACAGCAGGCTCTCATCTTTAGTCTGCAGGCCCACGAGGACGATGGCTGCTATCAGCGCTGGCTGAGGCAGTGGGCTTTTCCCTGGCCAGGAGGACTGTCATCAACTACGGCCTCTGGGGGAAAATCTTAGGATATTAACCAGTGACAAATACATGCACTTTTTGAAATGAGCAACCATGCCCTTGGGAATCATCCTACAGAAATAAAGGCACCAGTACAGAGGCCACACAGGCAGGAGGGTCAGCGCTGGGAAGTGTGTGTGGGGAGGAGTGAGGGTAGAAAGCAGCTACGTGCCATTGTTAGGGGGTGTGGGCTAGAGAAGGGTGTGTCCACACGTGGAATGTGGGAGGGCAGCTGTGATGAACGGTCGTGTCCTAGGAGGCTTTGCCCTCTCCTTCACGGTCTGTTGTTACGAAGCAAGAAGAGAAAGGTATACACATATGTGTTTGTGTGCTTAGAAATAACATGGGGTGTATTTAGCTTACATAAAGCTATAATTTAGGTTCATTTATATGACTGTTTTCTCATCAGACCAAGTTTGTTGATGGCAGGGCCTCTCCGATGCACCTGTGCGCCTCGCTGCGGGGTGCCCGGTGGGTGCTTGCGGGATGGACACGCACCTCCAGAGGGTGTGGACATGCCCCACTATGTCCTTCAGCTCCTAGGATGTGGGTCGCACACATCCCACGAGCTCACCTATTTCTGTTCTTTTTAACATGGTCCTGCATTATTGGAGGGGTTATTAAATTTAATATGAAGGAAAACACTGTCACAATGACATTCTAGATTTTGAGAGGATATATAATTCTTCTGAGGTATCTAAGATAATGGACCCGAACAGTGGAAGTGATTTAGTTAAAATAGGACATTTGTGTCCGTCTGCTGTTTTACTAGGTGGACGTGCAAGTCAGAGAAATGGTGAAACTCCTGTTTTCCGAAGATCAGCAAGGCGGTTCTCTGGAACAGCTGCTGCAGAGGTTCTCATCACAGTTTGTGAGCAAAGGCGACTTGCAGACGATGCTGCGAGACCTGCAGCTGCAGATCCTGCGGAACGTCACCCACCACGTTTCCGTGACCAAGCAGCTCCCAACCTCAGAAGCCGTGGTGTCTGCTGTGAGCGAGGCGGGGGCGTCTGGAATAACAGAGGCGGTGAGTCGGCGAGTCGGCGGCAAGAGATGCTTACAGTCCATTCTGTGCTGAGACTGAAGACCTAGCTGTGAGGTGTGGATGTTGATGTCTTGTTTTAAGAGTGGTCTGGCTGGGGTGTGCTTAGCTGACGTAAGTGAGATGAGACGTGCCTGGGCAGTGCCGTGTGTGGAGGGGGCACCTGTGCGGTGAGCTTCAGCTCTTGCTGTCAGTGTCATTACTGAGCTGCTTCTTGGGAGTTCTTTATACTTTGTGAATCTTTTTGTCCCAAAGAGCCCATCTGCCTGTGTGGTGGCCACACCTTCTGCAGTTCCATGAAAGTCTCTCCGTGTATTAGTCTGTTCTCATGCTGGGCAATTTAGAAAGGATCATTGACTCACAGTTGCACATGGCTGCAGAAGCCTCACAGTCATGGGGGAAGGTGAACGAGGAGCAAAGTCGTGTCTTATATGGCAGCAGACAAGAGAGTGTATGCGAGGGAACTCCCTTTATAAAACCATCAGATCTCCCGAGACTATCACGAGAACAGCACGGGAGAAACCCCCACCATGACTCAGTTTCCCCCACCCGCTCCCTGCCACAATGTGGGAATTATGGGAGCTGCAATTCAAGATGAGATCTGGTTGGGACACAGCCAAGCCCTATCACTCAGTAATACCTAAATTCCCAGAATTTCCTGTGTTCCAGGCTTGAATGCTCATCCTTGCTTTATTCGTGTTTTATGGCATCTGGGGGATTTTTCTGGTTCAAAGATTGATGGTGGCCATGGCTGAGACCTGGGGGAAGAGGCCTCGTGCCCTCCCATCTCCATCTGATGGCCTTGGCAGTCGGGCGCAGGACTGGAGTGTGGAGTTGACTTCTGCCATGCCTAGGAACCCTACATAGTTTCCGTTGAGAAGATGCTCTAATGTAAGTGTCTGGTCCTCATCCATGGCACTAAAACCCACGTCTCTCCTCTCCTGTTCTGGTGTTTGGTCTTCCGTCCCTCGTGTCTGTCCAGCAAGCACGTGCCATCGTGAACAGCGCCTTGAAGCTGTATTCCCAAGATAAGACCGGGATGGTGGACTTTGCTCTGGAATCTGGTGGTGAGTAAATAGACGTTCTGATTACTAAGTTAGATGATCACCTGTTAGCAGGGGTGTGCACTTGAGAGGCTGTTGCCTACCCCACTTCCAGCAGTAAGGACTCCTAACTTTTAAACATCTGAGAAAGGGAGCATGATTCTGGGCATGACCCTGGTGTTCTTTCTTCCTGGCCAGTTGTGTTTGGGGGGCACAAGTTCTCCCCTGGAAGGGCTGGGGGTGCATGCTTGTGGCTAAGTCGAGGTTCACAGCACAGAAAGTGTGCTCGACTGTTCACTCTCTCCTGTGCTGTGATCGGGGATTGTTCAGTGCCTTCAGGAGAGACTCAGCAGTGACCACACAGCTCTCCCCGAGGGCGTCCACTCAGCAGCAAGACAGACCGAGAGCAGAAGCAGGCTAAGCAGATGGAATGATGGGGGCTGTGTTTCAGGACCTCAGAGAAATACAAAGGCCGCTGTGGTCGGGGTTTGGGAAACCCTGCAGGGGCACAAGCCTAGGCCAGACCTCTTGGGGCAGATGCATTTGAAAATCAGCATCGCAGCTGAGGAAAGTCCTGGGGTCCACACAGCCCACTCCGTGGTGAGTGGGGCAGCACACCTGGATCAGACACGAGCATTTCCGAAAGAACCGTGAGAGGAGAGCTAGACCTGCTTCACGTCCGCTCAGGGAAGGTGTGCACCACACCTGTTATGGAAATCAAAATCTTGGTTTTCTGAATTTTTTAAATGTAGGATTTGCAAATAGGGGCTGGGGGACTCACATCACTCAGAAGATGCTGTGTTCAGTACACGTTAGTGTGTGGAGGGGCTGGAGAGCCTGCAGGGCAGGAGAGATTTCTAAAACCCACGATGATGTAGGGCTGGGTAGGGACTCTGCCATGTGGTTGCGCAGGATCCTAATCCCATTAGTACGGGAGCAGCTGGGTTTGATTTCAGTCATTTGCCACCCTCTGAGTTCTTTCTGTGGTGGCTGCAGACTGAAGTCGTGATAAAAATGGCTGGATTCTTCCAAATGGTAGACAGACATCAACAAGGCTACTGGTGTGATCGGTGTGTGTTTGTTTAAAATGACCTTTTTAGAATATTAAGTGCTTTTAGTTATATATTTTGAAATTCAGTGATTTAGGAAGAAATTATTTTCCATTAAGAGGCATCAATTGACATGAACCATACAGTTTGGGCCGAGAGATGTCATTTATTCTTAAAACCCTAGTGAATCCTTACAGGTTTGTGTGTACCTCAGAACACTGGTAATCCTGATGAGGCTGCACCGAAGGTTCCATTATTGAAGAAAACATTGATTGACACTTTGTGAGTTAGTTAAAAAGATAATTCAGTGGTTTAGAAATTCACATCTCAATCAGCTACATTAAAATCCCATGGTTTTCCTGTTTAAAACATCAGTTTCTGGCCGGGCGCAGTGGCTCACGTCTGTAATCCCAGCACTTTAGGAGACCAAGGCAGGCAGATCACAAGGTCAGGAGATCCTGGCTGACAGGGTGAAACCCCTTCTCTACTAAAAATACAAAAAATTAGCTGGGTGTGGTGGTGGGCGCCTGTAGTCCCAGCTACTTGGGAGGCTAAGGCAGGAGAATGGCGTGAACCCGGGAGGTGGAGCTTGCAGTAAGCTGAGATCGTGCCACTGCACTCCAGCCTGGGTGACAGAGCGAGACTCCATCTCAAAAACAAAAAACAAAAAAACCCCATCAGTTTCTGCCTCTCCTGCCTGTGGTTCACCAGTGCCAGGGCCCCTGGAGTGCCGCCCTCCCGAGCTCGCCCTTGCTGCCCAGCATTCACCAGCGCCAGGGCCCCTGGAGTGCCGCCCTCCCGAGCTCGCCCTTGCTGCCCGGCGTTCACCAGCGCCAGGGCCCCTGGAGTGCCGCCCTCCCGAGCTCGCCCTTGCTGCCCGGGGTTGTGTGCTGCCTTCACGGCCAACTTGGTTTTTGTTTCTTGGGGGTTTTTTGTCCTGCTTTGACAACAACATTCTGCCTGTCCTGTATCCTACTAAGGGCCAAACTGGACTTGTTTTTTATGCTTCCTCTTATTATTGAGATGTAATTCACACAAAAATTCAGCGTTTTTAAATGTACAGCTCCGTGGCTATTAACATATTCGCGGTGCAGCCATCACCACTGCCTTACCCCAGAATCTTTCTCACCCCAGCTAGAAACCCTGTGCCGCAAGTAGCCATCCTCACAGCCCCAGCCTTTTCACTGTAATTGGTAATTATTGTGACGGAAGGTCTGCTCTTCAGGGCCTGAGAGCTCACCTGCTGGGTGACACCAGGCTCAATCGGATGCTTTATTCTTCATTGAGAAAAACCAACAAAAAGTTCATTTGGAGTAGCTCTCTCTCTAGCAGTAGTGGGGGAAGGCCAGTATTTTAAGAATTTCCCAGTTTCAGTAAGTAAAAATTGTGTGTCCTAAAGCAGTTGTAAACTCTTAACACTCAATTTGAGAAAGTACAATTAATTAAGAAAAGGACTAGTCTAAAAGTAGGAGGTTCTTTGTATATGTAAAAACTTGAGAAGTTTAAAAACACTTTTTTTATCCGAAAATTTTATTAGCTGGTATTAGATAATATCCTTCATCATTTTCAAACTTATGTATTTTAATGGCTTAACTAATTATCTATTTTTTAATTTTTGTGGGTACATAGGTGCACATATTTATGGGGTATATATTTTGATACAGGCATGCAATGTGAAGTAAGTACATCATGAAAAATGGGGTACCCATCCCCTCCAGCATTTATCCTTTGAGTTACAAACAAAAATACTCTAAGTTATTTAAAAATGCACAATTAGGCCAGGTGTAGTGGCTCATGCCTGTAATCCCAGCACTCTGGGAGGCTGAGGCGGGCAGATCACCTGAGATTGGGAGTTTGAGACCACCCTGACCAACATAGAGAAACCCCGTCTCTACTAAAAAAATGCAAAAAAAAATTATCCGGGTGTGGTGGCACATGCCTGTAATCCCAGCTACTCGGGAGGCTGAGGCAGGAGAATCGCTTGAACCTGGGTGGTGGAGGTTGTGTTGAGCCGAGATCGTACCATTGCACTCCAGCCTGGGCAACAAGAGCAAAACTTTATCTCAAAAAAAAAAAAAAAAAAAGCACAATGAAGTTCACTACAGTCACCCTGTTCTGCTATCATATGGTAGGTCTTATGCATTCATTTTTCGTAGAGACAAAGAGTCTCGCTCTGTCGCCCAGGCTGGAGTGCAATGGCGCAATCTCGGCTCGCCGCAACCTCTGCCTCCCGGCTTCAAGCAATTCTCCTGCCTCAGCCTCTCGAGTAGCTGGGACTACAGGGGCGCGTCACCACGCCCGGCTAATTTTCATATTTTTAGTAGAGATGGAGTTTCACCATGTTGGTCAGGCTGGTCTGGAACTCCTGACCTCAGGTGATCCACCCACCTCGGCCTCCCAAAGTACTGGGATTACAGGCGTGAGCCACTGCACTCTGCCTCATTCTTTTTTTCTCTGGACCCATTAACCATCCCCACTTTCCCTGAGCCCCAACTCCCCTTCCCAGTCTCTGGTACCACCCTTCTACCCTCTCTGTCCATGAATTCAGTGGTTTTGGTTTTTAAATAAGTGAGAACATGGGATGTTTGTCTTTCTATGCCTGGCTTATTTCACTTAACATAGTGACCTCTGGTAGCCATCCATGTTTTTGCAAATGACAGGCTCGCTGTATCACCCAGGCTGGAGTCAGTGACGTGATCTCGGCTCACTACCGGTTCAAGCGATTCTCCTGCCTCAGCCTCCCAAGTAGCTGGGATTACAGGTGCCCGCCACCATGCCCGGCTAATTTGTGTATTTTTAGCAGAGATGGGGTTTTGCTATGGGGTTGGCCAGGCTGGTCTGGAACTCCTGACCTCAAGTGATCCACCGGCCTCGGCCTCCCAAAGTGCTGGGATTACAAGCGTGAGCCACTGCACCTGGCCTGCTCTCACTGTTTTTTATGGCTGAATAGTACTCCATTGTGTATATGTACGCCATTTTCCTCATGCATTCATCTGTTAATGGACATTGAGGTTGCTTCCAGATGTGAGCTACTGTAAACAAGCAGTGCTGCACAAAGATAGAAGTGCAGGTCTGCCTTCAGTAGACTGCCTTCCTTTCTGTCGGGGGTGCACCCAGGAGTGGCATTGCCAGATCATATGGTAGCTCTGTTTTTAGTTTTCTTGGGGACCTCCAAACCACTCTCCATGGTGGTTGTACTAATTTCCATCCCACCAACAGTGCGTGAGGGTTCCCTTTCTCCACATCCTCGCCAGCATTTGTTACTGCCTGTCTTTAGGATAGAAGCCATTGTAACTGGGGGGAGAAGAGATCTAATTGTAGTTTTTACTTGCATTTCTCTGAATATCAGTGATGTCGAGCACTTTTCTTGGAAACATTTTAATAAATCCTGAAGTGGTGCAGTACTATTGCTTCCAAAATGGTGGAACTGGACACTGAGACCGATCTGAACTTTGCTTTAAGGTGGCAGCATCTTGAGTACTCGCTGTTCTGAAACTTACGAAACCAAAACGGCGCTGATGAGTCTGTTTGGGATCCCGCTGTGGTACTTCTCGCAGTCCCCGCGCGTGGTCATCCAGGTGAGTGGCCGCCGGTGGCCGGAGCTGCTCCTCTTCAGCATGGACTCGGTTAGTGTTCACGGGTCGTAGGTCCACAGCTCCATGGAACTTCGTAAGATGAACACGTCTGTGGAACTGGTACCACAAGAAGTGGCAGCGTTCCCACACCGAGGAGTCCCCGGTGTCCCCGTGTAGCCTCCACGCTACACATCTGTTGGCTTGGGTTTAGCGTCACACAGATGGGACCGTGTGGCACATGCTGGTCCTGTCAGCCTTCCTCCCTCCCTCTTTTGGGTGTTCCAGCCATGGTGTTGTGAGTGGCAGCTGTTCCTGCTCGGGCCGTGGGTCTTCCGTCACGAGAGTGGCAGCTGTGCTTTCTCAGGTGTTGAGAGACAATAGGTGGGGAGGCCCTAGCTGTCTGGCCTCGGCATGGGCCTTCACCCCCCCATCCCTCCGGCCTTTGCCCCCCGTCTCCCCGGGCCTTCTCCCCCACTGTCTCCCCACCATCTCCCCGTACCTTCGCCCCCACTGTCTCCCCACCATCTCCCCGGGCCTTCGCCCCCACTGTCTCCCCACCATCTCCCCGGGCCTTCGCCCCCACTGTCTCCCCACCATCTCCCCGGGCCTTCGCCCCCACTGTCTCCCCACCATCTCCGTGGGCCTTCGCCCCCCCCCCGCCCCCCGTCCCACCGGGCCTTCACCCCCACCGTCTCCCTGGGCCTTCGCCCACCCCTCCCCGCCCCCTTCTCCCTGGGCCTTCAGTCCCCGTCTCCTGGACCTTCTGCTGTGGTCCTCGTTGTGCACTGCTTTTCTGTGGCTTCATTTAATACTTTATACTATTGGCTGTACAAGTTTAAAGCACTAAAGGATGGAGAATTTAAATAGATTTATTTTGCCTCAATACTCAAATCCTGCCTCATATTCATGACATGTTTTGAAGAAAAATCCAATAATTACTTGTATGTGGAACAACGCCAAGACGGCTTTCACTAGGAAAACACAAGTCCAGCCTGAAAGAATTCATGAAGTGCCTGTGACCTGACGTTGAGGATCACATGGGACTGTCGTCATCATGATCTCGTCCCCAGGCTGCCCCGGCGGAACTGTCCGGTCAGCGTGACTGTTTGGCTTTCTGCAGCCATCAGCACCGCACGGGCTCACCAGCACTTTGCTCCTGAGGGCACAGCCGGAGCCCCTCCTCACTGCAGGCAGACGCAGCCTCTGCTGCCACGAAGCCACACAGCCCTGCGCTTGGCATGCGGCTGCTTTTTCTGTGCCAGCTCACGAGTGCCACCGGCACAGTCTGTGTCACCTGGCAGGGCCAACAGGTTTTCTGCACAGGGTTGCCACAGTGTTCCTGCATGGCGGTCCTGCTCCTGGCCATAACATCCTTCTCACAGGGCTTGGTGATCCTGACCCTCCCAGAGGAGCTCACTGGCCTGCAGTGTTGTCAGTGTGATGCTGGTGGGGATCTGGTGGTGAGAGCACAGCATGGCTTCAGTGTCTTAGAGACTGAGGGAGAGGGTGGAGCTCAGCCCTCCCCTGGCACAGTTCTCTCTCAGAAGGAAGTGCACGGTCACTGGAGGGGCAGACTTCATATAAATCACCAATCACTGTGCTGGGACTGGACTGAGAAACTGTCGGCTCCTGGGAAGTAAAGAGAATGTTTACAGAACATAGGGATAGCAGATATAAGGGACCAGCTCCCACCCCAGGACCAAGGTGGAGCCTCGCCAGAGCGTCTCTCCAGACCGTTGGGCGGAGGGTGTGGCCCAGCTCACTGAACGTCAGGGAGGTTGCTGTGGTGCCACACGGTGGAATGTACCAGCATGCTGGGAAAGCCTGTGCACAACAGGGTGACTCACCGGGCGTTTGGCTGCAACACCCCCAAGAGGGGTACCAGGGAACCTCAGTGTCCACCCAGCACCCTGAGCTGGCAAGGGCTAGGCTTTGGGCTGGCAAAGGGAGAGCAGTTCAAGGCTCAGCTCCGTCTTCACAGCGCGGTAGAAGACGGCTTGGGGGCTGAGGGGCAGTAAATCCACAGCTGGCATAGAGGAGAAGCCGGCGGGTACGTGCCCATCGTTCACCATCTCTTCTAAACACGAATGAAATGCGTGTGTCGTCCTCACACACTGAAGGCAGGCTGCGTGCACGGTCTCCTCCTCCGTTGCGCACAGCAACGTGGCTGCCTGGGCGCAGCGTCTGCAACTTGTCAGTCAGTCCCTGTGTGTGCCTGGGGACGCTGTGCTGCGAACAGTGCTCTCCGGTCACATCTGCCCTGCACCTGGAGGTGGGGGTGCGATCGCAGGCCAGAGGCAGATGTGTGCGCAGCAGGCCGACCTTGCCAGGCTGTGCTTCTGGGGCTGCAGGCTGCACCGTGGCCGGGTTAGGTTAGAACGTGCATTTTCCCAGGGCATCAGCAGCTGACCCTTGATGTTGGTCGGATGGGGGGGCAGTGCTGGTTCCCTGTGGTGTTGGTCGGATGGGGGGGCAGTGCTGGTTCCCTGTGGTGTTGGTCGGATTGGGGGGCAGTGCTGGTTCCCTGTGGTGTTGGTCGGATGGGGGGGCAGTGCTGGTTCTCTGTGGTGTTGGTCGGATGGGGGGACAGTGCTGGTTCCCTGTGGTGTTGGTCGGATTGGGGGGCAGTGCTGGTTCCCTGTGGTGTTGGTCGGATTGGGGGGCAGTGCTGGTTCCCTGTGGTGTTGGTCGGATGGGGGGGCAGTGCTGGTTCCCTGTGGTGTTGGTCGGATCGGGGGGCAGTGCTGGTTCTCTGTGGTGTTGGTCGGATGGGGGGGCAGTGCTGGTTCCCTGTGGTGTTGGTCGGATGGGGGGGCAGTGCTGGTTCCCTGTGGTGTTGGTCGGATGGGGGGACAGTGCTGGTTCCCTGTGGTGTTGGTCGGATGGGGGGACAGTGCTGGTTCCCTGTGGTGTTGGTCGGATGGGGGGACAGTGCTGGTTCCCTGTGGTGGTGTCCCTTCTTGCTGTGCAGGGTGGAGGGCATCTTGCCACGACCAAGGACCATTGACCTTCACCTTTTCTTTGAAGTATGTTGTATGTCTCACCCATTTTTCTTTAAGGTTCTGGTCGTTTTAACTTTTATACAACATATGGGTTGGAGATAGTGGCCCTCTGAGGAGTGAATTACAAATGCCTTTCCCAGCTTATCTTCGGATTTTGCTCATGGCAGTTTCTACCATGTAAAACTTATTTTTATCTCAGTATAATCAGTCTTTCCTCTTCCTGCTGCTAAGTGGGTAAGAGCATGCTCACACTCTGAGTCCTCATGTTTTTCCTTTCCCCAGCCTGACATTTACCCCGGTAACTGCTGGGCATTTAAAGGCTCCCAGGGGTACCTGGTGGTGAGGCTCTCCATGATGATCCACCCAGCCGCCTTCACTCTGGAGCACATCCCTAAGACGCTGTCGCCAACAGGCAACATCAGCAGCGCCCCCAAGGACTTCGCCGTCTATGTGAGTGCCCTTGGCCGACCCTCCTCCTCCCACACCTTCCTGGGAGTTCCCACAGATGAAAGCAAGTGACGTGAGCGCACTGGGGACGGCTGCCTCCCGCTGCCCCTCCGCCCTCTCTCAGATTCGGTGTTGAGGGGAACATTCCAGTGCTTTTCTAGGGAGGGTAACTTAGAAATGGCATATTACCTGATGTCCATTTTACATACAGTACTACACTGACCAAGGTAGACACGCCTAAGAATTTTGCTCCTCACCGCCCTTGCCAAGTTGCCTGTGAAAGGTGTTCTGGCAACTGGATGACGTGGGAGCAGCTGGCTGACAAGAGGACTGCCATGATCCCAGCCCCAGAGAAACCCACCATTCATACTGTGGTATTTTCTGGTTTCTTCACCATGCCTTTAAAAAATACAGTTGAGCCTGGAATCCCAGCACTGTGGGAGGCCAAGGTGGGCGGATCACCTGAGGTCGGGAGTTCGAGACCAGCCTGGCCAAGGTGGTGAAACCGCGTCTCTACTAAAATATACAAAAAAAAAAAAAAAATGAGCCAGGCTTGGTGGCGCACGCCTGTAATCCCAGATACCTGGGAGGCTGAGGCAGAAGAATCACTTGATATAGGAGGTGGAGGTTGCCGTGAGCTGAGATCCTGCCACTGCACTCCAGCCTGGGCAACAGAGTGAGACCCTGTCTTTAAAAAAAAAAAAAAAAAATTACAGTTGAGACAGTAGTGTTTATGAAGCTTTAAAATTTTCATAAAGTATTTCATAAAAGTATTTTTGCCTTTAAAGAAAATTGGCCAGGCGCTGTGGCTCATGCCTGTAATCCTAGCACTTTGGGAGGCTGAGGTGGGTGGATCACCTGAGGTTAGGAGTTCGAGACCAGCCTGGCCAAAATGGTGAAACCCTGTCTCTACTAAAAATACAAAAGTTAGCCAGGCTTATGCGTGCCTGTCATCCCAGCTATTCGGGAGGCTGAGGCATGAAGATCACTTGAACCCAGGAGGCGGTGGTCACAGTGAGCCAAGATTGAGCCCCTGCACTCCAGCCTGGGCAACAGAGCAAGACTCTGTCTCAAAAAAGGAAAGGAAAAAAAAGAGGAAATTGTATTATGAGCATTTTTCCATGGCAGGTACACTCTTTGTGGCCATCCTCAAGTAGCATCAATCCCCCGTGTTTATCTGGCCGCTTCTCCTCTCACTGAGTATTTCTTTCCCTTTTCCGCTTCCCTGTGTGAGCGTCGCTCCTTTACACCTTCACTAATTAATTCCCGTGGACGAGACACTCACAGGTGGCGTCACGGTTTCAGAGGGCAGCAGCATGTTGTACGGCCGAGTCGGTGCACTGTGTTACTAGCATTTTCTTTTTATTTTCTTTCTTTTTTTTTTTTTTTTTTTTGAGACGGAGTCTTGGTCTCGTTGCCCAGGCTGGAATGCAGTGGCGCGATTTCAGCTCACCACAATCTCCGCCTCCCGGGTTCAAGCGATTCTCCTGCCTCAGCCTCCCAAGTAGCTGGGATTACAGGCGCGTGCCACCACGCCCGGCTAATTTTTGTGTTTTTAGTAGAGACGGGGTTTCTCCTTGTTGCTCTGGCTGGTCTCGAACTCCCGACCTCAGCCCTCTTTTTAAAATTTCTGCTAACTTGATAGGTGAAAAACAGTAGTTTATTTAATCTGCATTTCTCTGTATTTCAGATGCATGCTGCCTTTTTTGTAAATTCTAGTCTTCTTTTTGTTCATTTACCTTTTGGGATCTTAGTTTCCTTATGAATATTTGAGCTTTTTAGTATGTAAATAATAATCATGTGTCATTCTGTTACAGACATACTTTCCATTGTTGCTCTTAATTTTGTATTAACACTCAGATGCCCTGAGTCTTTCAGAGGTTTTTATTTTTTGAGACCGAGTCTCGCTCTGTCACCAGGCTGGAGTGCAGTGGCACGATCTCAGTTCACTGCAATGTCCGCCTCCCGGGTTCAAGCGATTCTCCTGCCTCAGCCTCCCGAGTAGCCGGGACCACAGGCGCCCGCCACCACACCTGGCTAACTTTTTGTAGTTTTTAGTAGAGACAGGGTTTCACCATGTTGGCCAGGATGGTCTCAATCTCCTGACCTTCTGATCCACCCACCTCGGCCTCCCAAAGTGCTGGGATTACAGGCGTGAGCCACTGTGCCCCACCCCGTATTTTTATTTCACTGGTGATTATCAGAGGCAGTAGTTACATCTACTCACTCGCTGGAACTTCTTCCATAGCATTTCTTATCCCTAGAAGTCCTTTCCCATTTCAAAATAGATATGCAAATAGTCCCTTGTGTCTTCTGCTAGTTCTCTGACTCGGATAAAAGATAAGATAGAGCTTACTGTTCTAATAAGTGCACAGTCCAGTGGCGTTAAGCCCAGTCACACTGTTGTGCAGCCATCACCACTGTCATCTCCAGAGCTGCTCCATCTTCTAGTCTGAATCTCTGTCCCCATTGAACCCTGACTCCCCACACCCCAGCTTAGGCCGGCACTCGCTCCCTTCTGCCTGCTCTCTTCCCAAAGTCGGTCTTCTGTGGCCCCTCCTCCTGCTGGTGAGGCCTCATCTCCCCGGGCTCAGCAGGTGCTCCAGAGCTTCCACTGTGAGTGCTGAGGGCAGCAGCTGAGCATGGTCTGTGTGTCCGGCGGGGTCACTTCTCTGCCACTCATTAGTGTGTCCTGTTTTGGCCTCAGTTTTCCTAATGTGTATAACGGGGAATCGTGCTGACCTCAGGACATGTCGTGGGTTACATGAAGCCCTCAACAAAACACACCCCTTCCTTCCAGGGAAGGCCTCGTGACTGCCATGGAGGAATGACCTTCTCTTACTGATGTGGAGGGAAACGGTCCTGTTTGCTTAGTGCTGGCTGTGGAAGGGAACGGTCCTCTCTGCTCAGTGTTATTTTTCCATTCGTTCATAATTGTGTATGGTCTTGTTTTCAGGGATTAGAAAATGAGTATCAGGAAGAAGGGCAGCTTCTGGGACAGTTCACGTATGATCAGGATGGGGAGTCGCTCCAGATGTTCCAGGCCCTGGTAAGAACTGGGACTGGCACTGCCTGGGGTCTCTGAGTCCCACAACTTCTCGTGACAGCAGGGCCCAGCTGGCATCAACAGACTGGAAAGCAGCGTGAGGACCATCCTTTGAAAAATGTTAACCTGCGCTTCCTGGCTCTGCGTTAATGAGCCTTTCCATGGCTAATAGCGTTCTCAGTTTTACCCGTGCTTCATGCCCTGTGATACATTACTTAGAAGGATCATATTTAAAAAGTTAACTTCCAGCTGGGCGTGGTGGCTCACGTCTGTAATCCCAGCACTTTGCGGGGCCGAGGCAGGCGGATCACGAGGTCAGGAGTTCGAGACCAGCCTGACCAACATGGCGAAACCCGGTCTCTACTAAAAATACAAAAATGAGCTGGGCGTGGTGGCGCACGCCTGTAATCCCAGCTACTCAGGAGGCTGAGGCAGGAGAATCGCTTGAGCCCGGGAGGTGGAGCTTGCAGTGAGCTGAGATCGTGCCATTGTACTCCAGCCTGGGTGACAGGGCAAGACTCTGTCTCAACAACAACAACAAAAGGTTAATTTCCAACTCAGCTGCTTCCTGTCAGACGTCATATTTGGGGAAGTGATTGGACTTGGGGTTATTAATATGAAATACATGTGTGTGTTTTTCCCACCTTGATTTCAGAAAAGACCCGACGACACAGCTTTCCAAATAGTGGAACTTCGGATTTTTTCTAACTGGGGCCATCCTGAGTATACCTGTCTGTATCGGTTCAGAGTTCATGGCGAACCTGTCAAGTGAAGACACTACTCATTATTTTTGTACATTTTTGTATATACTGGGACAGCGTGAAACACTGGAATCCTTCATGGACGAGGGCATATACAATGATGGGACAGTGCCACACTCCTTCAATAAACGTGGCTGCTGGCCAGAGGACGTGAGCGTGTGACGGGCGCCTTGGCGCCACCTGTTGGGTGCTCACTGCCTCTGCAGGTGCAGAGGGGTCAGCAGCAGGAGAAGCGTGTTGAACACGTGGCTCTCAGACACTCCTTGTTTTTAACGGGAAGCTCTTTGCATTTGCATTTCCTCAACAAAGGAGCAAAGCAGAGGAAGCTGAGAGTCTGGCGTGTTCTTGACGCTTTGGTCTTCAGCCTTGCACTGGCTCTTCTAAAGGACTTTTGGAGGGCAGATAATTTCATCTGTTAAATCCAACACACATTTCTTTCAGGGAAAAACAATGTCACCAAATTTTCAGAGTTCTAAACTCCTTTCCTTCAAGCCGGAATTTTCCTTTTTTCAGCACCAGTAGGTACTAAGTCTCCAGATGGGGAAATAACTAAAATGTGTTTTTCTGCTTTGTTCGCTCTTACTTCTGAGGAAGGTTTCCAGTCAGGACTCGCTGTACCAATATCCATGGAGGAATATGGGAGCGTTTCGCTCTCCTTGTAGGCTGAAGTCAGTCTGACTTGAAGGGGCCTGGTTTGGATCTAAGCAAACACCCAGATGGGGTTCTCTGGTCTCAGCAAGGCTTTTCCTGTTGGGAGTCACAGTAAACAGAAACCCAAAAATCTCATCTTGGGTGTTTTCAGGGCTTGTTTTGAGTTTTGCTGAATAGGGAGCGCAAGACGCCCTGAGCCTCCCTCTCACTGGTGGTGATAAGAGGAGCCGTCTGGTGTGTCAGGGTCACGAACCCGTTACATTTCAGGACGATCCTTTTTCCTTCAGCAGCATTTCTTACTGGCTGTGGCTGGAATCTGCCTTTTATCACAGCTGTCACCATTCTCACGTGATTCTTGTGAGACTCTTTTTGGTTATAATTACTATTTAATATTTAGACTATTTTACTGAGCAGACTTTATAAATGAGATATCTACAAGGCACTTAAAGTGTTACAGATGTTTTACCTTAAGAATTATTTAAGTTGTGTTGGGTTAAGACAGTTTTCAGTGTACCGTAAATGTTGTGTTTTCAGAAAAAGACAAAACGATGGTGCTGACTGGTTTTCTGTATATTGCACAACAGTCCTCAAATACACTGATGTATGAAACTATTCATACATCAAGCAGCATTTTTTTCACTCTCCTTAGAATTGGAACTATGCAGTTAAGGCAGATAAAATGTACAGATGTTTCATATATTACAGGTTACATATATAAATCAAAATTTCCTATATAAAACTGATTTGGGATTTGGGGTGGAAATATTTTGAATATTAATTTATTTTTAAAGATGCAAGATAGGACTTTGTGCAATGTATTTTTGTAAATGCTTTTCAAAATATCTGTCTTTGGTAGTGCTTCTGCTGCTGCCACCAAATTGATAAGATGCTATTAAGAGGTTTAAATAAAGAGTTTTAATTTTTAAAAGGGCATGGGATATAAACAGTCTATTTCTTTTCTCAGTTTGTCTGTTTCTGCCCCTGGGATGTGGGAGGGACTGGGTTTGCTGGTTCTTGTTGGCAAGCTCTGTAGCACAGCCTTTGAATGGTAACCTGTCCTCCAAGGCCTTGAGGCCTCAAGTGTGCCAGGCACCTCTTTCTGTAGGGCACCATTTCCACTTGGAAAACGGACTGAATTACAAGTTGCTTGATGGGCAGAACATTAGGAAAACTGATGCCTTTCCTCAGGACACAGTTTTCATCGCTGCTTCTGTAGCTGAAGGCAGGTGCTGGCACCAGGTCACAGACGATAGCACACACACCACACTATTTTGCACCTGGCTTTTCCCCAGTTACCAAGTGTGTCCCGTAAGAACCTTTTTTTTTTTAACAGCTGTTTTTGTCCATTGTATGCACGGCTGGATCATGTTGATTCAAGCAGGGCCCAGCTTAAAGGCCTTTGTTTCTTCTTTTTTATTATAAACAATGCTAACCTGTGAGAGTGGGCTGACCCTGTAAATCCAACGGAGGAGTCTTCGGACCGAACGGCGAACCGCCTTCAAACCCCAATTCTTACAGCCAAGCCGTTCCCAACCCTGCACGGCTAGGGCTGGGCCTCAGGCCCCGTTTCTAACTCTGACTGGGGTTTGGACCCCGTTTCCGCAGCCTGACAGGGCTGGAAGCTCTAGGCCGACCCAGTTCCCCCTTCCAGCAGGACCCGATCCTGGAGGAGTGAGCCGTCCACCCAGGCACAGCCGCAGGTCCCCAGCCACGGCCAGGGAAGGACCGCAGGTGGCCTTTCAAAGAGGAGGAACGCCCCTCAGCGATCCTAAGAGGTTGTTTCTGTTTGTTTGGAGACACAGTCTGGCTCTGTTACCCAGGCTGGAGGGCAGTGGTGGGATCCCGGCTCACTGCAACCTCCACCTTCTGGGTTCAAGCAGTTCTCCTGCCTCAGCCTCCCGAGTAGCTGGAATTAGAGGCGCCTGCCACCACGCCCAGCTCATTTTAGTATTTTTAGTAGAGACGGGGTTTCGCCATGTTGGCCAGGCTGGTCTCGAACCCCTGACATCAGGTGATCCGCCCACCTCGGCCTTCCAAAGTGCTGGGTTTACAAGCGTGAGCCGCGGCGCCCGGCCCTATAAAAGTATTTTTAATTTATAAGCATTTTACACATTGAACTGTATAGCTCAATGGCTGCTGTTACACCGCGCGCGTGGGGAGGGTCCCACCCCGGGACGCTTCCTGCTCGGGGTCAGCCGCCGCCGCAGCCTGTTTACGCGCAGCGCCCCGCCAGGCAGTTTCGTGCCACCCGCCATTGTGGCGCGAGCCAGTCCCGGCCCCGGGTCACGTGCCGCTCCCGGGCCCGCCCTGGGCCACGTGTTGCCTGCGGACCCGCCTCTGGGCCACGTGTTGCCTGCGGACCCGCCTCTGGGTCACGTGTTGCCTGCGGACCCGCCTCTGGGTCACGTGTTGCCTGCGGGCCCGCCCCTGGGTCACGTGTTGCCTGCGGACCCGCCCCTGGGTCACGTGTTGCCTGCGGACCCGCCCCTGGGTCACGTGTTGCCTGCGGACCCGCCCCAGGTCACGTGCAGCTAGCCGGCGCGCCCGCCCCCGACTGCGCGCGACTCCTCGCGGGCCACCGTAGAAGGGCGTCGGGCGGCCGTCGGGACGGAAGCCGGGAGGCGCTGCCGACCGCGCCTGCGACAGCGTCAGCCCTGCGCGGAGCGCCGGCCCGATGGCGGCGGCGGCGGCGATGGCCGAGCAGGAGAGCGCCCGGAACGGCGGCCGCAACCGCGGCGGCGTCCAGCGTGTGGAGGGCAAGCTGCGCGCCAGCGTCGAGAAGGGCGACTACTACGAGGCGCACCAGATGTACCGGACCCTGTTCTTCAGGTACCCGCGCCCGGCCCTCGCCGCAGCCCAGCGCCCGCCCCCGCCGCCTCCCATTGGCCGCGCCGCCTCGCCCCGCGCCCCCATTGGGCCGCGCCGCTGCCCGTCGCGGGGGCGAGCTGGACCCAGGGGCCGCGGGTCGCCCGGCGGAGGGTCTGGGCCGCGTCTCCGGGGTCTGGCCCTGTGTGGCCCGGCGCCCCCGTTCCCTCGGCCTCTGACTCCCGCCTCGGCTTCCTTCCCCTCTCCTGCGTTCCTCCTCGGCCTTCCCCTACTCCCAGCCTCCACCTGTTCCCTCCTCCGTCCCCACACGCCCCTCGGCCTTCCTCTGTCTCCTCGGCCGCCTCCCGCCTCGTCCTTCGGTCTCTGTCTCTCTCCGGCCGCCTCCCCCGCCCCACCTTGGTCTCGCTCTCTCTCTCTCTCTCTCTGGCCTTCTCCTTCTTCCTTTGCGTCTCTCTCCCCGGCCTCTCCCGGCCCCTCGTCTCTCTGTCCTCGGCCTCTCCTTGCCCCCCGCCTCGCTCTCCCTGGCCTCCCCCTGCCCCTCGTCTCTCTCTCGCCGTCCTCCCCCTGCCCCTCGTCTCTTTCTTCCAGCCTCCCCCTGCTCCCTCCGTCTCTCTCTCCCCGGCCTCCCCCTGCCCTCACTCCCGTCTCTCTACCCTGCCTCCCTCTGCCCCCCGCCTCTCTCCCTGTCCTCCCTCTGCCCACCCCCCGTCTCTCTCTCTTCCTGCTGCCCCCAACCCCGGCTCTCTCCCCAGCCTACCACTGTCCTCGTCCCTTTCGGCTTCCCTCTCCTAGCCTCCACCTCCCCTGGACCTCCCCCACCTCTCCCGTAGTCTCCCCAACTCCGCTTCCTTCCGCCGGGCCTTCACCTGCTCCCCACCCCATATCTCCCTGTCCCAGATCTCCCTGCCCGGCCTCCCCCTCCCTGTTCTCCGGCTCCACCGCCCCTCCCCCACCTCCCTCCACCTCTCCCTTGGCCCCCACCTGTTCCCCTCCCCGTGGCCTTCCCAGATCTTCACCTTCCCCCCCGGCCCCCCGCCTTTCTCTCTCAGGCCTCCCTGCCCGGCCTCCCCCTCCCCTTCCTCTGTCTCCACCCCTCCGGGCCTGCCCCTTGCCTCCCCCACCTTCCCCCCTGGCCTCCACCTGTTCCGCATTCCCCCACCTCCCTGCCTCCCTCCTCCTGGCCTTCAGGTTCTCCAGCCGGGCCCTACACCGGGCTCCGTAGGAAGTCGCTGGCGTTCCTCTCACCGAGGGTCCAGGCTGAGGGTGAAACCGCTTCTCTGTTGACGCCGCCCGGCCTGCCGAACCGAGTCAGCCGCCTCTGGACCTAGGCTCGGTGACACCTGCACGGCCGGTGTAGCCTGGAGGGCGAGCGCGAGCAGAGCTGGCTATGCTGGGTTAACTGCACGCCCCTCGGGACTGTGACCGCTTGGAAGTTCCAGGCTGCTGCGTGGCTTGGTTGATTGTCTTCAGGACTGCTCTGTTCCAGTATTTTTGCTGTCATACAGTTACTGCAGAATGTTCAGTTGTTCTGTGTGTGGCATTCTGTAAATTATGCATATCAGATTATCTCTTATGGTTCAGGTCAGGGAACAGTCTGGCCAGTCACTAGGAATTGGGTCTGTTTTAAAGATCATTTCAGAGGATTTAGTATTTTCCATGGGGTACCTTCTAAACTGCCACAGGGCCGTGAATGTTTTGATATTGTATTTAAGGGCAGTTGGTCTGGCCTTTATACAGTTTGGGCCTGGTTTTCAGGGGTTTTTTCCTTTTAATAAACTTTTTTTTTTTTTTTTTGCGACGGAGTCTCGCTCTGTCCTCTGTCCCAGGCTGGAGTGCAATGGTGGGATCTCGGCTCACTGCAACCTCCACCTCCCGAGTTCAAGCTATATTCTCCTGCCTCAGCCTCCTGAGTAGCTGGAATTACTGGCGCGCACCACCACCCCCGGCTAATTTTTGTATTTTTACTAGAGACGGGGTTTCACCATGTTGGCCAGGCTGGTCTCGAACTCCTGACCTCGCGATCCGCCCACCTCGGCCACCCAAAGTGCTGGGATTACAGGCGTGAGCCACGGCGCCCGGCCAGTAGACTTTACTTTTTAGAGCAGTTTTTGGTTTATAGCAAAATGGAGTGTGGTGTGTCCTGAATTCCCCCTTTGGACAGCCTCCTGCCCCACAGACACCCCCCCCCGAGTAGAGTCCCTCAGGGACCCATCACTCACATCGGGGTGCATGCCTGGTGTGTGGGGGGATGAGGAACCCCATGAGAGCATCACGCAGTGCAGCTCCACTCCCTGAAGACCCTCTGCTGGGCCTAGATTTTAAATATTTTCTTTCCATAGCAAGTGGAATTGTTACCTGGAAAACTCTGGAGGTGCCACTTTGGTTGTAGTTTGCTAGTTCATGTTTGAATTAAACACCGTCTGTCACGCCCAACCTGTGCCTGCGCCCCGCTGGCTGGAATGTAGCCTGGGTAAGCGAGTGGCCGGCACGCCGCGGTGCCACGTGCTGGTGAGCCCAAGCGAAGGTGGACTCAGCAGCCCCAGCCACGGAGTGGATGCCATTTCGTTGCTTAAAACACTTGTTTGTGCCAGGAAATGAGAAAAGAGGAGTGTTTGTGTCGGTAGTTGTCAATCTTAGCTGACCTGAACGGGCTGGGATGAGGTCCTGGCATCTGTGTTTAGTGTTCACATTGTTTGTACGGACCTACTGAGCAGCCCGGGCTCAGGACAGTGCATGTGGGCCCCTGATCGTGGCTTATGAGGAGACATCTTACATGACCTGAAGGGCAGCCTTGTTTCCAGAATTTTCTATTAACCTCAACATAGTATAAATACACACCAGCCAGGCTACATCGCATTTTACTGTTGTGTTGTAGATGCTTTTCTTCTTTGAAAACTGAGCTGTTTAATTGGTTTAGAAAGAGATTCGCGTTCCTCCTTAGATGGAACTACTAATTTTATCTCTGGAAGAAACAAGTCTTTGATGCATGACGTTTATAGCAATACGTTTTTAATGCCAGTTGAATTTGTCACTGAACATTTAGCAGCTCCCAAATGGCACGGGTTGTGATAGCGCCTTCAACCCGATTGTTCTTCAGGGATCAAGGCAAAGGTGTCAGGAGGCACTAAACCGTACAACGCGAGCCTTCCCGTGGGTAGAGGGGCCAGCCATAGAGCTGTGTGATGGGGAACTTTTATGTTGTTCAGCATTCACCCTGATGCCTGCCGTGCCTAGGAATTTGTATATAAATATTTGCCCAATTTGCCGGGCGCAGTGGCTCATGCCTGTAATCCCAACACTCTGGGAGGCCGAGGCGGGCAGATCACCTGAGGTTGGGAGTTCAAGACCAGCCTGGCCAACATGGAGAAACCCTGTCTCTACTAAAAATACAGAATTAGCTGGGTGTGGTGGCGCATGCCTATAATCCCAGCTGCTCCAGAGGCTGAGGCAGGAGAATCGCTTGAACCCAGGAGGCGGAGGTTGTGGTGAGCCGAGGTCACGCCACTGCGCTCCAGCCTGGGCGATGAGAGAAACTCTGTCTCGATAAATAAATAAATATTTGCCCAGTGATTAACCAGCAAAAATGGATCTCCCCCGAAATAAACACAGTGTTCCTTGTTTTGAGCCACTTCTACGGTGACGAGGGATTTGTCAGTTTTGGTTTTCAGTGATGAGTCCCTGGTCAAGGGTGAATTTTCACAGTGAAACGGGGGGTGATGAGCATTCTGCTCCCTTAAGCCCTCTAGACAGCAGGCCCTGCTGGCCGCATGTGACATCGTGAGGTCACCTGGCAGGGGCACGGTGTGGCTTAGCTCGGAAAGCCTGGGCTTTGGGGTCACACGCCACCTCTTACGGGGCCCGGGACACGTTACTGAACCTCTCAAACCTTGGCTTGGAGCCTTTCAAGCCAGGAATGAAGACTGAGTCAGCAGCGGCAGCTGTCACCTCGCTGTCACCCACTGAGACACTGTCGTTGTCTTTCCAGGGTAGAATTCCGTGTGGATTCCCAGCTCTGCTTCAGAGTATTCCATGGGTGTATCGCCGCCAGAGAAGTCACATTCCCCAAGTTACGCTTTTTGTTTTTTGAGACAGAGTCTTGCTCTGTCGCTCAGACTGGAGAGCAGTGGCGCGATCTCAGCTCACTGCAGCCTCTGCCTCTTGGGTTCAGGCAATTCTCGTGCCTCAGCCTCATGAGTAGCTGGGACTACAGGTGCCCGCCACCACGCCTGGCCAATTTTTGTATTTTTTGTAGAGACGGAGTTTCACCTTGTTGGCCAGGCTGGTCTCGAACTCCTGACCTCAGGTGATACGCCCGCCCCAGCCTCCCAAAGTGCGGGGATTATAGGTGGGAGCCATAGCACCCAGCCATTTTTTAAAATGCTTTTATGTCAATAAATATATGTAATTGCACATTTACATTTAAATATTTATGTAAAATGTATAATTTGGTGAGGTCTGACATGAATGAACTATGACCAGTCAAGACACAGAAGATACCACGGCACTGTGGGGCTCTGCAACCAGGCCTCCTCGCCCCCACTCCCACCCCACCCCACCCCATCCCCGGCACCCGTGCATCTGCGGGCTGCACTTAGGTGAGGTGGTGTTTCCTGGAGTTTTACGTATGTGGAATCACAGTGCGCACTTTCTGTCTAACCGCTTGAATTCATTCACCACGGAGGCTGGGAGACTCCTCCTGGAGCGTCCGCAGTTCCTTTTATCGCTGAGTGGTTTTCCCTGTGTGTCTCCAGCACAATTGTTTATCCCTTCAGCTGTCGGGTAAATTTACCAAAAGATACTGTTTGTTGACTTATTTTTAAATATTCTTATGTTTATTTTAGCCTCGGGCAGGTGTGCAGGCTTTGTTGATTTATTTTTAAATATGCTAATGTTTATTTTAGCCTCAGGTCTGTGTGCAGGCTTGGTATATAGGTAAACTAGTGACTAGGGTTTGTCCTACAGATCATTTCAGCACCGGGTACCAAGCATGGGTACCTGACAGTTTTGTTAAAATGGTTTTCTGAGCCTCTCCCTCTTCCCTCAGGCCGGCCCCAGTGTGTGTTGTTGGCCCCTTTCTGTCCCTGTGTTCTCATCATTCAGCTTCCACTTGTAAGTGGGGAAGTGTAGTGCCCGGGATTCTGTCCCCGCATTAGTTTGCGAAGGATAATGGCCTCCAGCTCCATCCAAGTTCCTGCAAAGGGCATGATCTTGTTCCTTTTTATGGCTGCATAGTATTCCGCGGTGTATATGGACCACATCCTCTTTATCCGTCTGCCGCTGACAGGCCCCAGCTTGATTCCATGTCGGTGCTGTTGTGAGTGGTGCTGCAGTGGGCATTTGAGTGCGTGTGTCTTCATGGTAGAACCATTTAGAGTCCTCTGGACATAACCCAGTAGTGGGGTTGCTGGGTCGAACGGTAGTTCTGTTTTTAGTTCTTTTAAGAATTGCCAGACTGCTTTCCAGGATGGTTCAACTAATTTACACTCCCACCAGCAGGTACAAGCGTTCCCAAGAGATGCCATTTTAACTCACAGCCACAGCAGTTGAAGGTGAAGGAGAGGGAAGGAATTGGGAACCCAGCAGGTTGGTGTCCTTGGATATGTGCCCCGCAGAAGTCGGGCAGCAGTTCCTGGTTCGTGTGGTTACGCTAGAGAGAAACTGACCTGGTTCATCTGGTTACGCTAGAGAGCAGCTGACCTTGCCCCATGGATGGCGCGAGTTATGGGCGGCCGACCTTGCCCCGGGGATGGCGCGGGTTGTGGGCGGCCGACCTTGCTCCAGGGATGGCGCGGGTTGTGGGCGGCCGACCTTGCCCCGGGGATGGCGCGGGTTGTGGGCGGCCGACCTTGCCCCGGGGATGGCGCGGGTTGTGGGCGGCCGACCTTGCCCCGGGGATGGCGCGGGTTGTGGTCATCACCTGCTTTCTCCAGACTTCTCCCTGCTGGGACGGGGAGTCATCTCCCAGGCCAACTGGATTATTGGGGCACTTCGGAGCCACCATCCAGGTCTTGAGGAGCCTCAGCCTTGGCTGTAGTATTTGTACATTGGCATTTAGAAACTTGGTGTGGCTGAGACCACAGCCCAGGAGGCTGTGACCTGCAGCAGCTGTCCCCCTGTCTGCCCACACGGTCGTGGGTCTGGCTCTTCCTGCCACTTGGCTCCTCCTGCAGTGTGTTTGCGTGATTTTTTTTATTGCGGCCTCTGACCTTCTTTTGTCTCTTCAGTCATCTAAAGAGATTTTTAAAAGGAAAACGGTCTAGTGTGTGCGGTGCACCCCTAGCCCAGGGCCTAAGAGGAGCGTCTTGTGAAGGAGCTGTACCTGCCGGCTCAGGTCCCTTCTCGGAGTGACTCCTGGCAGAGCAGAGCAGGCCTCAGCCCTCCTTACAGGCGCGTCCAGCCAGCCCTGCGTCCGGGCGTGAGTGCGCTTTAGCTCGCGGCAGTCGGCGGAGGGGTCCTTGTGAAATCTCCTCTGGCCCCCTGTCCCGAGGCACCTGTGTGTGTCTTGAGTATTTCCTCTTCATCCTTCACGTGTCCCTGACAGCTGAACGCGCAAGCCAGCTTCCGTCTGCCAAGAGAGAAGGGCGGGATTCGCCCCATGAGCTCGGTCTTTCTTCATTTGACACCGACAGTCTCGGCCACTAGTTCTAATGCTTGCGTTTCTGTGTTCTGCTTTTTAATGTTTTTGTAAGAGAAGAGCAAAATCAGCTAGATTGTTTGCCCAGACACTTTGCTCTGTGGATACAGATGTTTTGGCCGGCAGAGAGCACCAGCGCTCACTGGCTCTCAGCGCCTGTCAGCAGGCAGAAGCCATTTCCCTATCTGGAAGGCACGTCTGGGTGTCCACATGGCACGGCCAATAGTGCGCAGCATGCAGAGCCGGGCCGGGAGAAGGCCCGGCCATGCCCAGCTGCCCCCCACTCTCCCCGGCCTCGGGCTTGAGAGGGTACCTGTCCTGGCTTAGTCACCTGGAAACCAAAATCCTTCGCAGCTTCCAGAATTCTCCAGTACAGGAGGAGAAGCCGTCCACGTTCAGAGCCGCCTTAGACGGTTTGCCTGTCACCGGCATTCCTGGACCTGGAAACGGGTGCCCCCAGCCAGGCCGGGGACCACTGTGTGCCCAGAATTCTCCTCCCGTCCTTTTTCCCCTTGCCCGGCTCCCAGCTGCCCAGGGAAGAAGGGAGCCGGCTGCAAGGCGCAGTCCAAACCAGGCCGGGGGCCGTGACCATCGGCAGTGCCCCCCAGAGCAGGCTCCTCGTGCAGGAATATGGGTCACTGCCTTCCAGGGAGTCCTTTTTTTCTTCTGGTTTCTAAGTCGCCACCTCTTGCTTTACCTCAGATAGAAGCATCCAGAACGCTGTAGTATCGGCAAAGCAGAAGCTGGTGTGGTGCTTGCTCAGGGTCGGTGCATGCGGTTCTGCCCGTGGCCCCACTGGCGGCATCGTGAGGCCAGGCGTGTCTGGGAGCTTGTTTTTCCAGAGTGCCCTGTGCCAGACGGCTCCCGGCCTCCTCTGAGTCAGTCATGTCCCTGCAGGACTGGAACTAGGACGGCCGGTCACAGAGTCAGTGGTCCTGTCGAGGCTCCTGCTGTGGTGTTGGGGTGGGTCTCCCTCCAGAACCTTCACTGTGCGGGGAGCACAGCAAAACCGGAGGCCTGCCAACGGCCTGCAGGCTGACGGGGGTGCGGGGGCACTTTCTCTCTTGGGTGCGGGCTTTTCCCTCCTGGTGCCCTGCCTCTGTGCAGCACGAAGCGGTCTCCTGTGGGGGGAGGGCCTGTGTGCCAGGCTAATGAGATGCCCGGATGTGGCGGGGCTGTCTGTGTTTGGGGTCCCTGGCTGTGGTGCCTTCTGAAGAGGAGCCCTTTTCTGTGGTTAACTGAGCATCCAACCCTTTGCGTTCTCGGCTGGCCTTCCCGTCCTGGCAACACCAAGGTCATTCTGGTCCTCAGTGGCGTTGCTGTGGCTCTTTATCACCTCCACTGCAATTGGTTTTTGTTTGTTTGTTTTGGGGGGATGGCGCCTCGCTCTGTCATCCGTCTAGGCAGTGGTGCAATCATGGCTTACTGCGGCCTTGACTACCCGGACTCAAGCAGTCCTCCCACCTCAGCCTCCCGAGTAGCTGGGACCACAGGTGCACACCACCATGCCCAGCTAATTTCTGTGTTTTTTGTAGAGACAGGGTCTCACTATGTTGCTCAGGCCAGTCTCAAACTCATGAGCTCAAGCGATCCTCCCACCTCAGCCTCCCAAAGGGCTGAGATTACAGGTGTGAGCCCCCGAATCCGGTGTGCACTGCTGTTTACTTAGTATTTTTCTTTAACTAGATTTATTTTTAAACAAGGCTTTGTCCAAGGACATTTGGCTCGCAGGCACAGAGCTGATTAACTCGTTATGTATCTTTTGATAATAAGGCAGCGATCATTAAGAAAAACGTGTAGCCAATGAAATAACATGTTCTGGGCCCCACCACTGGACTGGGAGGTGCAGCGCATCCAAGCAGAGGCTGCCTCCTGCCCTCCACGCCTGCTGCTCTCGCAGGCAGGGGCTCTGCTGCTTACAGCAGTGCGGCCATCTCGGCTTCTCTCCACATCGTCTGTCACGCGCTGGTCCCCACCATACCTCTCGCCACCCCGTGCCTCTGTCCCCGTGCGGCCTGAGGAGCTCCAGCTTTCCCTGCCAGCGGTGCTCTGGGAGTGGGGACGTGATGCAGGGCGAGCATGATGCAACGGGGCACCCCAGACCCTTCCCTCCCGTGGGGGGAGGGGTGTGGCACGCAGAGGGGCAGAGGGCGGGGACACTGGCCCCGTGGGGGAAGAAGGTGCTGTCACAGCCGTTACTGTCCCCCGTGGGACCCCAGCCTGGAGCCCCCCATCCTTTGGCTCCTGCCTGTGGCCACTCAGCTCTCAGGTGGCCACATGCACATCCCCTGCTCCTTCCCTGCGCACCTGCCCTGCCCAGTGGCCTTTCTGGTCCCAGCTACTGAAACCGGTGAGCTGCTCCAGGGTGAGGCTGCTTTCTGGCTCCTGGTGTATTTGGACACAGATAGGCCCTTAGTGTCCAGAGGCGCCCCATGCAGCCCTCATGGTCAGCAGGACACCCAGGATAGACCCCCTCCACGCAGCACCTGGGCCCTGGGAGCGGCTGCTTTTAGGATGCCACCTGTTCCTGGGCGCCTTGTTTTTAGCTTCTGACCTGAAGATGAGCGGGGGAGCGCGGTGGCGAGGGCACGTGGGCGTGGCTCACGGTCTCCTCTCTGTGGCAGGTACATGTCCCAGAGCAAGCACACGGAGGCCCGGGAGCTCATGTACTCGGGAGCCCTGCTCTTCTTCAGCCATGGCCAGGTAAGCCGTCTTGCTTCCTCCTGCATCCCTTTCTGCTCCGGGCAGGCAAGTGGAGGTGGGAATGACCTCCCACCTCCACTGATGGGCAACCTTGCGCTGCCCTGGGCCTCGGCCACTGGGGCTGTGGGTGGCAGAGGGGCCCAGAGTCCCCCCTGGCTTGGCTGCTCCACTCTCAAGACTGGGGCTCTGCGCTGCGTTTGTGCACGATGGGGCTGAGAGGGCGTTGTGTTGGTATAAACGTCCCCGTCCATTTTCATGTGATTCTCGGCCAGGAGCTCTCTTTTTCGGCGGCATTGCCAAGGGACGTGGTGCTCAGAAGAGACTCCTCAGCACCGGCCGCACTCTGGCTTCTGCTGGAAACCCAGCCTTGTCTTTGCTGTCCTGAACAGGTCAGGGCTTTGTTCTTGATTCTTGTGTGTTGCTTTCTCTTGTAGCAAAACAGTGCAGCAGACTTGTCCATGCTGGTCCTGGAGTCCCTGGAGAAGGCGGAAGTGGAGGTGGCTGACGAGCTGCTGGGTGAGCATCCGGCCCTTCACCCCGGGACCCTGTGACAGCGGCCCCAGTACGCCCCTCCCCGGGTCTCTGCGCTGTGTTTCGTGTCTGCGTTTGGGGGTCTTGTGTGCTGTGGGGTGAACTCTGCTGCAGAGGCAGTTCCCACCCGGTCTCAGTGAGCCAGGCCCCCTGGCTGACCCTGGCGCGAGCACACGGCAGGCTGAGCAGGACCTGCTGTGATTCGTAGGCAGGGCATGACTGGGGCCCTGTCCTCTCCACTGCTCCGATGGACAGTGGCCTCCCCGCCAGCTGGCAAGGTGGGGCACCACTTTGGCTTGTCGGCCTGTCCTGTCGGGTGACGTGCGGTTGGCAGAGCCCTTCTGTGAGCTGCCTGGCTGCAAGTCCCACTCCTAGTCCCTGCTGCTCTGGGAGATGCCCCGGGCCAGAGCCAGGTACCCAGAGCGGCCACAGCTGTTCCTGGACTCCAGCTCCCCACGGCACCTTCCCCAGCCCCCGCCTCGGCCAGGGCGTCCGTCCTTCCTTCCTCGCTGTGCTCTGGGGCACATGGCGCTGGAACTGCGGTGGGCAGCTCAGTGTGGTGGTCCACGGCTCACTCAGGGACGCCCAGCAGGTTCCTCTCCCTGTTAAGTAGTTGCGAATGGAAATCCACTTCTGTGGGGAATGTGGGACAGAGAGCCGGAGTGGCCGTGCGTTCCTCTGATGAGGGTCTGTGCTGTTTGCAGAAAATCTGGCTAAAGTGTTCAGCCTGATGGACCCCAACTCTCCTGAGCGCGTGACCTTTGTGTCCAGAGCCCTGAAGTGGTCCAGTGGGGGCTCCGGGAAGCTGGGCCACCCCCGGCTGCACCAGCTGCTGGCCCTCACCCTGTGGAAAGGTAGGCCTGGGGCCAGGGCAGGCGTGGGCACCTCTCTGCTCTCGGCGTTGATTTGCACTGTGCGTTCCAATACATCAGGGTCACCCACCAGGGCAGAGATGGGGTTTCACCCTGTGGTCACGCGGGCCGGTCCATGGAGACCCATGCGCCATGCTAAGCCCGGGATCAGAGCCACTGCACCCGAGAAGCTGCGAGAAGGGGGGCAGGCGGCCGCCTCTCCAGGCCTTCCCGTGGGACGTTCTGACCCTCAGGGAGGCAGCCGTGCCTTCACGGGGCCTATGCGTGCTGCTGCTCCTTTCTGGAACATTCTTTCCAGCGCTGGGATGGTGCTGTGCCCTGTTTTTCTCCTTTACGCTGACCTCATCTTCTGATGAAGCCTTTGCGGGGATTAATCACCCTGTGGTGGGGTCTGGCTGTCTGCGTGGTGTGGTTGGTGTTTTTAGTTCCAGGTCTGCAGCTCTGAGGCGGGAGTGGTGCTGGGTAGATATTCATTGAGTGACTTGAACGAGGTGCTAATGGGGGTTTAGAAGCGTCCTCCCCAGGGCATTCCCTGGGATGGCAAGTGGCACCAGCGCTGTGAGATGGTTTCCTTCCTGCCGTCAGGCGTCAGGAGGCCTGCTCGGGTCTGCATGTGCCTGGGCTTGGCAGGTGGGGAGGCGGCACCCAGGGCAGCCCCCGCATTGGAAGCTCTAGGAACTTGGATCTAGGCTGAAGGCCTTTGCTCTAGAGTTCCGGATTGCTGAGCTTGGAACAGCTCCTCCTAGACACAGTGTGGCGCGGGAGCAGCTGCATGAGGGCCCACGTACTCTGCACACATCAGCAGCCCATCCGACCTTGTCCCTGGTCATGCGAAACGCATGCCCATCCGACCTCCGACCTTGTTCCTGGTCATGCAGGTTCCGCCTGGGCTGTGACAGGAGGCTCGGCGCCCTCAGGCACCTGGCAGGCTTTCCCGACCTTCTCCCTGAGCGACAGGAATGGGAAGTGAGCAAATCCAAGTAGAATTAGGAGGCTCTCCTCAGAGGAGCCTGGCGGAACCCGGTCCTGGCTGTGTGCCGAGTGGCGGGGCACCCACAGGGAGATGAGCCAGTGCCTATCTCTTGCCTCAGTCTCCCCGTGGTCGCCTCCTTCCTCAGAAGGGGCTGGCCCAGGCTGGTGCCTCCGTGGCCCCTGGAGCATACCTGCTGCCGCCTTCCCTGGCCTCTGGCGACAGCAGGCCTTCCGTACTCCACCTGTCCCCCAGCCAGCATGGCTCCACACAGAACACGGCCGCAGACAACCCTCCTGTGTCCTGCATAGCGAACTGCCACTCTGCGTGGGCCCCACTGCCAGGTTAGGGAGGCAGGAGCTGCCCCCACCCCCTGCCCGGGAGCTGTCGTCTGTCTTTCGGATGAGTCAGGAACAAATGCGTCAACACTGGGTGGCCGCCCTCGCCACTCCTGCGCACGGGCCCTGTGGGGAGAGCCAGGCAGTGGGTGGCGTGGGACAGGTGATGCCCATGCCCAGTACTCAGGAGACCTGCATGGCAGCTCCTAAGATGGGTACAAGCGATCATAAGGAGGGATGTACGTGTCTCATCTCCCCACCCACCACGGGATCAGGTTGAGGCCGTCCAGGGAGTGCATGGGAGGGCTGCGCTCGGCGCATCTGCAGAGATCCCCTGAAGAGGGGCCCTGGCTGCCTCCCACTGGGGTAGGTGCGGGCCCAGGTCCCCGACACCGTGACGGTGCTGTGGGACTTTGATGGACCTCACCCGGGGAGCCCAGGCCTGCTCCACGGCAAGGTGGCCACGCACTGCCTCTGCAGTCCTGAGCACAGGCTCCATACGGGACCTGAGGCCTGGGCTCCATGACACTTGGGCTATGTGCTTCCCTGGTGCTTCCCTCCTGGGGATGAAATCACACCCATAGGTAAAGGTTTGGGAGTGGAGGGAGACAGCAGGAGACAAAGCAAGGGGACGAGGACTCTGGCAGCCACAAAGGCAGCGGGAGGGCCCTGGAGGCTCCTGTTGGGCAGCGCAGTCAGGAAAGGGCCCACTAGGTGGGAGAGGCAGGCGCCTGGTGAGTGCTGAGATCTGCACCACGAGAAGGGCTGGGCTCCCAAGGCATGCATGGGGCCTGGGAGTGGAGGGAGTGTGAGCGGGTGTTAGGACGGGGTCTGGGGCGAGCGGGTGTTAGGACGGGCCTGGGAGCGGAGGGAGTGCGAGCGGGTGTTAGGACGGGGTCTGGGAGTGGAGGGAGCGCGAGCGGGTGTTAGGACGGGGCCTGGGAGTGGAGGGAGCGAGAGCGGGTGTTAGGACGGGGTCTGGGAGTGGAGGGAGCGCGAGCGGGTGTTAGGACGGGGTCTGGGAGTGGAGGGAGCGCGAGCGGGTGTTAGGACGGGGTCTGGGAGTGGAGGGAGCGAGAGCGGGTGTCAGGACGGGGTCTGGGAGTGGAGGGAGCGCGAGCGGGTGTCAGGACGGGGTCTGGGAGTGGAGGGAGCGCGAGCGGGTGTTAGGACGGGGTCTGGGAGTGGAGGGAGCGCGAGCGGGTGTTAGGACGGGGTCTGGGAGTGGAGGGAGCGCGAGCGGGTGTTAGGACGGGTCTGGGAGTGGAGGGAGCGCGAGCGGGTGTTAGGACGGGTCTGGGAGTGGAGGGAGCGCGAGCGGGTGTTAGGACGGGTCTGGGAGTGGAGGGAGCGCGAGCGGGTGTTAGGACGGGGTCTGGGAGTGGAGGGAGCGCGAGCGGGTGTTAGGACGGGGTCTGGGAGTGGAGGGAGCGTGAGCGGGTGTCAGGACGGGGTCTGGGAGTGGAGGGAGCGCGAGCGGGTGTCAGGACGGGGTCTGGGAGTGGAGGGAGTGCGAGCGGGTGTCAGGACGGGGTCTGGGAGTGGAGGGAGTGTGAGCGGGTGTTAGGACGGGCCTGGGAGTGGAGGGAGTGTGAGCGGGTGTTAGGACGGGCTTGGGAGTGGTGTGTGTTCATGAGATGTTGAGGGTTGGTTGTTGGGTCAGTGTGGTGAGAACATCAGGCTGGTTTCTGCTGTTGATCTACATCCGAGGTGCACTGGCCTGGGCCCTGATTATATTGCGCCCTGTAAGTTGCTTCTGGTAGGTGAGAAGGGTCACATGGTAACACTAATTGGTTATCACAACGAACATTAGTGCAGTTGGATTAAGCAGCTCCAAGAGCTTGGAGAATCAAGATGTTGCATAGCTGAGTGACTTTTCCCCGTGGATCTGTTGATTTGGTGCTGCGTGTGAGGCCTGGGCTGGCTCTGAGTCCCTATCAGGACCTCTGCCTGTGGGCTCTGGCTGGGCTCTCCTCCAGGGCGGGCAGGTGGGCTAGAATTAACATGGAGTGTCTTTCCCCCTTTCCTTTTCTGTGTTATATTCGTGAAATGTATTTACATTTTTCTGTCTTTCCTTTGCAGAACAAAACTATTGTGAGTCGAGGTATCATTTTCTGCACTCAGCGGACGGGGAGGGCTGTGCCAACATGCTGGTGGAGTATTCCACGTCCCGCGGCTTCCGCAGCGAGGTGGACATGTTCGTGGCCCAGGCCGTGCTACAGTAGGTGTCTGTGGCTCTTCGGGTCTCGGCTTCCATTGCTGCCTTGGCTGGGCAGCCTTAGAACAGGTCCCCTTGTCCCCTGTCCGAGCCGAGCTGCAGGATAAACTGAGTTCACTCTGGGCAGAGCCCACAGTGCACTTGTCAGCCTGACCCATGATTTTTCATAAGTTTAACCAATGTTAAGAAGTATTTTAGAAACTCCCCCTTTCCCGACGGGCACTGGAGTGCCCTACACACGCCCCTCGCCTCTCGCCCACTGCCGGGAGGCCCTGTGGTCTCTGCTGTACTCAGGCCTGCCTCGGCCAGTTCTTTCCCGCACTATCTGGAAATGCGTGGAATTGTGAGCATCTACCCCGCGGCCCCTCCCGCCAGCTCGCTGGGGCGTCCTGCAGGCCAGGCTCCGGGCGCTGTCTGCTCCTGCGTGGTCCCTTCCGCCAGCTCGGGCGCTGTCTGCTCCTGCGTGGTCCCTCCCGCCAGCTCGCTGGGGCGTCCTGCAGGCCAGGCTCCGGGCGCTGCCTGCTCCAGGGGCTGGCCTTCGCTTCCTTTCTCACGAAAGCCTTACTTGTGCCCGTCAGTTTCTTCCCACAGAACAAATATGGATTTCAAGGCGGGCGTTGGGGATTTGATGTAGGATTTGGGGACAGACATCCTCTGACCTCAGCGTTGCCCGCTGCGGAGCTTTGCCAGGAGCTGGCGTCCGTGACTTAAGTGAAAAGCTGGGTCAAACCCAGAGCTCCCTGGCTCTGCGCTACGCCGTGTACATGTTTTCTCTGGGCTGACAGGGGCCCTGCCCCTGGGGCACTGAGCCCTCCCTGTGGGTCCTCGAACAGAAGCCAGGGTCTGTGCGGCACCCACCAGCTGCTGGGCCATGGCGGAGTGTTCTGGTGCGGGCCAGCGCCTGACCGGTGCGGGCGGCCTCAGGAGAGGAGAGCTTGCTCAGTGCGTCACGTAGTCAGGGCTCAGGCTGGGGCCCGGCTCCAGAGCCTGGTCACATTCCCAAGCTTCATTCTCTTCACCTGTGAATTGCAGGCTTCCCTGGTGTGCCCTGCACATGAGGGAAGACACGCGTGAAGCACTGGGTCCCTCCATGGCCTTGGGCCGCAGGAACCGTGGGCGCACGAGCTTGGGAAGGACATGTCGGAGGCCGGCGCCTGTGCGGGCAGAAGCTGTGTCCTCCAGCCCTTCCACCACCAGCATGTTCTCATTTCCAGGTTTCTCTGTTTAAAAAACAAAAGTAGCGCATCGGTGGTCTTCACGACGTACACCCAGAAGCACCCGTCCATCGAGGACGGGCCTCCGTTTGTGGAGCCGCTGCTTAACTTCATCTGGTTCCTGCTGCTGGCTGTGGACGGGTGCGTCTTGGGATCCTGCAGGGGGAGGGGGCTGTGAATGTGCGGGTTGTGTGTAGACGTGGTGTGGATAGCTGTGTGGGTGTGTGTGCAAGTGTAGCCATGGTGTGGGTAGCCGTGTGGGTATATGCATAGGGTATGAGTGCTGGGTGTAGACGTGGCATAGGTGTGTGTGCAGGTCTGTTGGGTGTAGACATGGTAGTGCGGGTAGCTGTGTGGGTGTATGTGCAAGTGTAGACATGGCGTGGGGGAGTGTAGGTGTTGGGCCTCTGGTAGTGTGGGTGTGTGCAGGTGTGGGGTGGTGTGGGTGCAGACGTCTGGGGGGTTGTGTGCGGGTGTTGGGTATCCATGTGGTGTGGGGGTGTGTAGACGTGTATACAGGTGTGAGTGCAGGTGTAGACGGCGTATGTGCAGGTGTTGCGTGTCTGGTGTGGGTAGTTGGGGTGCGTGCAGGTATGTGTGTTGTGTGTAGACGTGTGGGTAGCTGTGGGGGTGTGCAGGTGTGTGTACTGGGTATAGACGTGGCATGGGTTGCTGGGTGTGTGCAGGTGTTGGGTGTTTGCAGGTAAGTGTTGGGGGCGGGCGTGGTGGTGTTTGCAGGTGAGGGGTGTAGGCGTGTGTGCAGGTGAGTGTTGGGTGTGGGCGTGGTGGTGTGTGCAGGCGAGTGTTGGGTGCGGGCGTGGTGATGTGTGCAGGCAAGTGTTGGGTGTAGGCGTGGTGTGTGCAGGTGAGTGTTGGGTGTAGGCGTGGTGGTGTTTGCAGGTGAGTGTTGGGCGCGGGCGCGGTGGTGTGTGCAGGTGAGTGTTGGGCGTGGGCGTGGTGGTGTGTGCAGGTGAGTGTTGGGCGCGGGCGCGGTGGTGTGTGCAGGTGAGTGTTGGGCGCGGGCGCGGTGGTGTGTGCAGGTGAGTGTTGGGCGCGGGCGTGGTGGTGGTTGCAGGTGAGTGTTGGGTGTGGGCGTGGTGTGTGCAGGTGAGTGTTGGGCGTGGGCGCGGTGGTGTGTGCAGGTGAGTGTTGGGTGCAGGCATGGTTGCAGGTGAGTGTTGGGCGCGGGCGCGGTGGTTTGTGCAGGTGAGTGTTGGGTGCGGGCATGGTGGTTGCAGGTGAGTGTTGGGTGTAGGCGTGGTGGTGTGTGCAGGTGAGTGTTGGGCGTAGGCGTGGTGGTTGCAGGTGAGTGTTGGGCATGGGCGCGGTGTGTGCAGGTGAGTGTTGGGCGCGGGCGTGGTGGTGTGTGCAGGTGAGTGTTGGGCGCAGGCGCGGTGGTTTGTGCAGGTGAGTGTGGTCCTGTTCTGCTCACCCAGCACATCCCTGTGTGTCTCTGTCCCAGTGGGAAGCTGACGGTGTTCACTGTGCTGTGTGAGCAGTACCAGCCATCCCTCCGGCGGGACCCCATGTACAACGAGGTGAGAGCTTGGGGCTGGGGAGGGAGGAGGGGACCCCACGGTCTGGGTCCACCCCCTCTGAGCCCGCTGCCTGTGCCTTGCAGTACCTCGACCGCATAGGACAGCTGTTCTTCGGCGTCCCGCCCAAGCAGACGTCTTCCTACGGGGGCCTGCTCGGTAAGCCGGGGCGCCCTTGTCACACCCACTCCAGCCCTGGGTCGGTGTGGGGTCATCATCTCTGCCCAGGCAGGTCCAGTGCGGTCCTTCACGTGGAAGTGGTTTTCTGATCTTTTAAATGTTTCTCAGTTTACTTTTGTTAGTAGGAAATTATTAGATTTCAGAGTTGAGAATTCTGGCACGGTGGCTCGCAGCCCCGTCTCCACTCCAGAGCTCCCCATCCCTGAGGTGTCTTCCATTTCCTGGCAGGGATCACATCACGTGGCTGGCTGCGTGCTCCCCCGTCTCTCTGTGCGCCATGCTAGGTGGCCTCCGTGAGCCTGGTGTGCCCGGGACGCTGCCAGCCGTCGTGCTGGGGCAGGCAGTGCTGCCGTGGCTTTGGGGTCGCGGCGGGGCGGGTGTCTCACTGTGGGTGGTGGTTCGTGGCACCGCGGGAGAGGCCCCTCACTGAGCCGCCTGCCTTCCCAGCGTCACCTGTCTGGGTTTATTTTAGTGGGAGGTGTGAGGTGGTGACCTCTCCCCACAGATGTCTGCCCTGGTGCAGCTGCGTCCTGTGGCAGGCCCTGTCCTCCCCGGATGCCCCCCCCAGACACCCTGGCCCTCACCGTGCCCCGTGACACAGGCACCTCCACCCCAACACCCGTCAGGAGCGCCCTGACTCTTCTGACTCTCCAGTCGAAACCGCAGCCTGAGCTCCCGTTCCACAGAAGCGCCGTCAGGGCGTGTCCTGAGATGGGGTGACGTCGTGGATAAGAGAGGGTGACACTGCCACGGCCGTGTCTTTGTATTCAAAGAACACGGTGTAACGTCTCGTTTGGGTTCAGGAGACTTTTGGAGCTTTGGCTTTGTACGTACAGAGTAGTTGTTGATTGGATAAAAATCAGATGACAGTGACCGCAGTTGGCCCCTGTGGGAGCAGCCGTTGAAGCTTTGGCACATCCAGTTGATTCATGTGTCACTGTAGGGCGCAGTGTGCTCTACAGCCCCACTTCTCTGCTCAAAAATCTCTTTCCGTGAGGTGGTGTTGGTTCTGTAGGTCCCTCCGTGGCTCCTGTTGGTGGGTGTGGAGGGTGGTTCTGTAGGCCCCCGTGGCTGCTCCATGGCCCCGTTGGTGGACGTGGGAGGGCCGTTCTGTGGAGTCCCCCGTGGCTGCTCCATGTTTGAGTATCTCTGTGGTCGTCGGCTCCCTGGCCTCCAGAGTGTCCTGTCCCGGGGTTCCTGGGTCGTAGACAGTAGCGATGTGAGGCTTTTGCTTGTTCCATGGGACACTGGGACACCTTGTGAGACGTTTGTGGGAAGGAGGGGCTTGGGGGCCTGTGGGAGGCTGCCCAGGCGTGACTGCCACGGTGTTCTTCTTTCCAGGGAACCTTCTGACCAGCCTCATGGGCTCCTCAGAGCAGGAGGATGGGGAGGAGAGCCCCAGCGACGGCAGCCCCATCGAGCTGGACTGAACTGGCCAGGCCACGTGGAGACACCACGGTCGACGACGGCTGGAGGGACGTTTCAGAGGCGAGTCCTGGGTGGCTCCTCGCCTTGGGGGCTCCTGGCCCTGAGGCTGGCGGTGGCCGCATGCCGGCGCGTGTCTGTTTCTGTGCGGCGGCTCAGGGTGGCGCGGCTGCTGCTCACTGTGCTGCTGGGACCCAAGAGTGGGGCGTCGCCCCTGCTGGCCGCCGCGTCCCCCGAGATTGACCCACAATAAAGCACAGGCCTTACCGCGGCGTCACCCTCTCCCACTCCTTTGTTCTGGGTCCTTTCGGGAGGGCTGATGGGCAGCACAGGAGGCCCGTCCTCGGGGGGCTGCGCACATCACGCTCCTTGCCGGGCGTCCGGCACAGCTGCGGTCACCAAAGCAGGTGCTGGCCCTCGGACCTGAGAGCCCAGCCAGGGCCCATGTGGTCTGCAAATGGGAGCGGCTGTTTTTGAACACGGGGTCATTCTGCAGTCAGGACGAACCGGTCCCCGTCGCAGACGGAGTGCACGTGCCCTGCGCCACATCCTCACGCTCGGTGGAGGGACGCGTGCGGCGGGACGGTGCCTACGGGTACTTGCAGCTGTGTCCCATGTGGCATCCCAGAGCTGCGCCCTGCTGGTCTCTGTGAGCGCCACGCTGCTGTGCTGGAAATGCCGCTTTAAAAAGGGATACCGTGGGACTCTGCCCGTCTCTTTCATAACGCAATATTTATTTGTATTGGGTGATGATTGATTCTTTCGACCTAACATTTTGGGTTTTAACCAAATAACCGGTCCAGGAGTGAGCAGCTCCGTTCTGTCAGATGCTACTCCAAATGTTACCAGAACGATGACAAAAGGGGAGACGCTCTATTTTTTCACAGTTAAATGACAGTTGTAGATTGATACGCAGTTGTGCATGGGAAGGGGAAACGCACAGCTTTATTTACTGTAAAGTGGAATTTCAGGAAGGCTTGTGTGAACCGTTGCGCATAAATAAACCCTTTCTACCGGGCTGTGCAACGCTGGTCCTTTCTTGGGCGCTGGTGTGGGGGATCTCTCTCTGCTCTCAGGGCTGTGCCTGGGAGCCCCCAGAGGAGGCGTACCCTGTGGCCAGACTGCCCGTGCGTGGACGGAGCAGAGGGCTATCAGGAAGTCACGTTCACTTGGCTGTGATTTTAGAAATAAGTTTTGTGTAATTTCATCAAAATTCATAAAAATCAAATCCACCAGGTCTGGGTGTCACAGCCTCAAAGAGCAGGCCCTTGGGCTGCAGGGGAGACAGTGGCGCAGAGCCCTGACCCTGTCCTAGGTGCTGACAGGACACCCGTCCCTCCCGTGTGGCACTTGCTTTGAGCAGCGAGTTCGATCCGGAGTGACCAAGGATTTTGTGTGCGGCGTCACTCGGGCTTACCGTGAGACGGCAGGAACAGCCGGCCGGAGCCCCGCAGGCGGCCCCTCGTGGCCCGTGCTGAGCCTGCGCCGCGGCGTCTGCCTCTGCCTGCCTCAGGACTTCGCGGCGGAGTCACGGTCCGTCCCTGTGCCTGCTGCCAGCAAGGGGATGCCCTTCCCCACAGCTGTGTCCACGCGGGGAGGTGTGGACAGCGAGTGAGCGACCACCTTCTGTGCCTGCGCCACCTCCCCTGGTTCAAAAAATTCTTTCCCCCCATTAGAAAGTTGTTCTGTGGTTTTTAAAATGTGACAGTCGTCAGTGTCCTCAGCACACACGTGGACACGTGCACATTCGGGGACACGCACACACTGAGCACGTGCCCACACTTCCACGCCATGGGGAGGGCTGTGGGCACTGCTGGTTTCCCCCGGGGGTGTGTCCAGCACAGCCCAGGGCTCTCCCTGACCCAGGCCCACTCCTCTCACCTCGGGTTAGGACCGTGGCACCTGGTGAGGTTGCGGGGCACTTGCCTGGGGTTTCAGCTCCAAGTGGGGGTACCTCGCCCACATCCTCGTCACCAGCACAGCTGCCTTGGGGACCCCTAGGCTGGGATTGGGAGACCTCTACTCCGCCCTAGAGTCCCAGCTCCTCATTGGAGAAGTGGGATTCAGCATGTTCTGTGTGAGGGCTGAGGGGCCCAGCATTGGGGGGGTGGGCTGGCAGGCACAGGGGACCCCCGACCCGGGATGCATCCCCCACACTGTCCTTCATGCTGAGCTTGGCTTGGCTTTCAGGCTGTGGACTCTGCCCAGGAACTGCCTGGCGGGCCTCAGATGGAGGGGGCACCTGGGGAAGGGGGGCACCTGGGGAAGGGGTGCTGGGGGGCACCTCGGGTAGGGACCGTCTCCCGTGTACAAGGAGCATGGCGCTGTGACTAGCTCAGACACCGTGTCCTCCCTCCAAACCTCAGGGAGCGAGGGCCCTGTCAGGTCCCTGGGAGCAGACGAAGATTCTCCTGAAGCCAGGGAGGCAGGGCCACGTGTTCCCAGCCCAACTTCCTCCCCACTCCATCCTCGGACACACAGCTGGAACCATGCCAGAGCCACATTTTATTCCAGGATGCGACACGGGGCGGCGGATGCCTGGCCTCGGAAACCCCCTCCCTGCCTATGAGGGCTTGTCCAGGGCTCCCCTGGAACACAGCTCAGCCAGGCAAGGCTGGGAGAGGGCTGGGCCCCCCAGGTGACCTGCAGACGCCTCCCCCACCTACATGCCCCACGCAAGGGGAGCCCTGGAGCCCGGCCTGCCTTGACAGGAAGGAGATAGGTGAAAAATAAATACACGGCTGGGCCGCCTGCAGCAAGCGCGACAGTGCCCGGGACCCCCAGGGCCACTCCTGCCTCTGGTGGCCTCACCGCGGCCCAGGCCCTCGTCCCCAAGGGTTCAGACACCACTGTCGGCGAGCACCGTGCTGGGCGCAGAGGCCACGTGTGGTGGGACGGCAGCCTGCTGGCCCCTCCAGGTGAGGACCAGGAGCACAGGCTGTGGCAACTCCAGCCCGGGCAGGGGCCGGGACCTGTGTGGATAATCCACCCAAACACCCCACGGCCCTCATAGCCCCGTGACACACAACAGGCGCTCAATAAATAGTCGTGGAGGTGGGGGGAGGGCGGGGCGGCATGCGAGCAGGGCCCAGTCCCCAGCGGCCGGCAGCTGCCCACCGTGCTGGCCCCAAGCAGGGCTCTGCGCTGAGGCCTGGAAGTTCCCACAGCCGTGGTGGGCGGCTCCTGGGGGCTGTGTCTGAGCTCGGGAGCCAGACTGGGCCCTGGAGGAAAGGGGGCCCCGGGTCAGGGAGGGGCAGGTTGGCTGGGTGTGGTCAGCAGCAGCATGACGGGGTTAGAGATCAGGCCCAGGGCCTGGGCTGCCTGCCTTGAGGTTCCAGAGAAGCATCCTGGAAGCTGAAGCTCGGGCCCTACCTGGCCGCGCCGGGCTGCCCTGAGGAGCAGGTGGGGCCAGGTGGCCTCAGGACGCCAGAGCCCCCCCATCCACGGGTCCCCTCCGTCCAGCCACAGTGAGTCCAATGTCCGTGGTCCTCCAGCCGCACTCGCTAAGGTTTATGCTTGAAGTGCGCCTCCACTGCAACGGAACAGGGTCCAGCGTTGTCACAGCGGCGGGGAGCTGGGAGCCCTTCCAGGCCGCCGGCCGCCCGCCCCCCTCACCTGCGTACTCCTGGGGCAGCATGGGCCTGTCCACCGCCTTCTGGAAGGCCGCCACCCACTCCCTCTGGTCGGACTCCGTCTCGCAGGCAAACAGAAACTTGCGGTCGGGCGTGACGATGGTGATGCCATGTGGCCAGTGGTGGCCCTGGGTGGACGGCGGGAACCCATGCAGCACCGTGTAGCCACTCTCCTTGCTGCCAATGAAGACTTCCCCTCGGGCGAAGGCGTCCTGTGGGTGGGGACCGCACTGGAGGCGGGGCCATGTCCCTTCCAGCCCCGCTTCACTCAGGCCAGGACTCGGGAGGCCACCCGCCCTCCTGGTCACGCATCTGGCAACCCCAGCCAGTGAGCTGCCCTCCCGTGCTGGGGCCACAGCTCCTCCTTACCAGGGGGTCTTTGAAGTACATGAGCCTGCGGTCATCCATGGTGAACCAGCGCTTCCGGAAGCCTTCCGTTTGCTGTGGGTCAGAGAGGGCCCGTGACCGGCAGGTCGCCGAGGCAGGCCCTACATCCAGCTGACCACAGCACACCCCGGAGGGCAGGGCCCAGACTGGCCCGGGTCAGTCACCTCCATTCACTCACGCCTGCCGCTGGCCACGCCCCACGAGGCCTCCGCACACGCCTGTCCTCCAGCCTCCACACGGCACCTCCCTCCTGCTCCTCCAGGTCCCCCAGCCCTCCCTGGGCCCCAGATGGGGGCCCAGGCCTCACTTACGAGCCCTCACACCTGCACTTCTCCTCCGGGACCACCAAGACTCCCAGGATTTGTGTCTCCCTCCCACATTATGCCTCAGGGAATGGCAAGATGTGGGCCCCTGGCCGCGCAGGTGCACGGTCCCGTGGGTGAGGAAGCTGGTCAGACGTGAGCGGGCAGGGAGGGTCTAACCAAAGCCTAGGACAGTGGCCCGAGTCCTCGGGGACCCCGGCCAGGCACAGACAAGGGGCTGTGAGGACCCACCAGACACCAGTTTAAAACACAGGCGGCAGCTGGCAAGGCTGCTGCACTTCAGTCCGAGACCCACCATGGCGTACCCCAGGCCACCCCAGGCCGCACGTGCGGCACACCCACCTTGGGCCCCGTCTTCTCCATGTAGCCTTCCTTCAGGTAGTTCCTGGAGAGCTTTGGCACCAGCTAGGGCAGGACACACCAGGCAGGGGACCTCAGAAGTGCAGCTCAGGCCGAGCCCCTCCCTGGCTGTGCCCCTCTGTGCTCCCCTCACCCCGGGCCACCAGGTCAGGGCCCAGGCCTGGCTTAGCCTCCGCAGGATCCACATTTCTGCCTCTGCTTGCCACCCCTTCCCTCCCCGCTTTCCCCTTTGGCTGAGCTGAAGTTCTAGAGTGAGGCAGGAGGGCTGCAGGCACGTCAGGGTGAGCCCTTGGCCAGTCCCAGGCCCACCCTAGGGCTCAACATCATCCCAGACTCAGGGCACGAGGGCTCCGTCCACCCCCCACCCCACCACCCCTGTCTGCCCTGGAGCTGACCGCAGGGCCGCCACTCACATCTGCGTCGCCGGCCCCTGGGAATGCCACCTGCAGGTAGTGGAAGCGAGCAGCTCGGAGTGCATTGAACCAGTCCACAATCTCCTAGGGGCAAAGGTGGGCACAGGCTTGGGCTGAGGAGGCTGCAGCGCTGGGGTCCCCACAGAGGGGCTGGGGTCCCCACAGAGGGGCCGCTTCCCCCAGAGCCCAGCCCCTTCCTCCTCCCCGGCACCTCAGCTCCCAGCAGTCCTGCCGCAGGCCTGGCCCCTGTGCCCACGCTGAGGCCGGGGCTGCTACACAGGGGCTGCCCCTCTGCGGGAGGGCAGGTGCAGCCTCCCCCGGCGAAGTCCTGAGAAGGGCCGAAGGGCCGAAGGGCCGGGCCGGGCCGGGCTGGACAGGGTCGGGGGCTGCCATCCAAGCTCACTCTGTGGCCCTGGTGCTGCTGGGGCCTGGGCCAACTTGCCTTCCTTTCAGATGGTGCTATTTTTATGAAGATCCTTATTTTGTAGCTCAAGCAAGTCTTGGGGTGGTGGGAGAAGGGAGGCTCATCTGTTTATAAACGCCCTTGGAGCTGTGGCCCCTACCGAGAGTGGGCAGAGAGCAAAACTGCTCTCCAGGGAGCCGCCCTGGTCCTCTGGAGAGCGTGGGGTGGGCCAGCACCCTGGAACAGAGGGCCCATAGCCCAGGCCTGGCACCCAGCCCCACGTCGGGTGCCCTCTGGGTCTAGACTTCAGCCTGGCTGTCCCCTGCCCCTAGACCCAGCGCCCCTCCTGGGGTCTGCCCAGACCCTTGGCCCCATGACATTATAACCTGCGCCCTGGGCCTCCTGTTCAGCCTACAGCCTGGAGCTGGTGACCTCTGGAAAGGTGCCCATCTTTACTCTTGGCTGCACCCTCTCCTGCCCAGGAAGAGCCAGGGAGCCCCATCCCTCCTCAGGCTTCTCCCCAGCCCCTTTGGCCTTGACTTTTGTCCCACAGGCAAAGCCCCCAGCACTGGACCAATCCAGTCACGGCTTCTCCAGCTGGCACCCGGCCCAGCACCAGCTGGAGGATGGTGTAGCCCCAGGCTCCTCCCATAGCAGTGGGATTGCCCTGTCCTCTTCCAGTGGCCCCACCCAGCAAAGCCCCACCCACCCCGACTGCCCCTCATCGGCCTCCAGCCCTGCTTTCTCCTGTGGCCCTTCCTCCTAGGCCACGCCCACAAGCCACACCCACGCCACCCAACCAGCCCGAGGCCCCGCCTCCCCTCCTTCCCCCGCCCACCCTTTCCTCCGGCCCGCCCCGTCCCATTTGGCCCCGCCCTCCCTCCTCCTAGAGGAAGCTGAACCCGTCCACACCACACTGCCCCAAAGGCCTTGGGAATTCACAGCTCCAGGTCCCCCGGAAATGCAGGGGGCTCTAAGCAGAACTGGTTGGAAAATCGCCCCTTTTCCCCCAGCAGGAGATGGAGCCGACTCTGGGGCTCCGGGCAGACGGGGCATGCCTGGTGCACTCCACGCTGGAGCTCTGTGACCCTGCAGGCTGCAGCGGAAACTCCCTCAGCTCCCACAGCTGGGGGCCAAGCGTCTGCCCTGGGCGGGGGGAATTATCTTTGGAGGATCAGGAGTTGGACACCAGCCTGACCAACATGGTGAAACCCGGTCTCTACTAAAAATACAAAAATTGCGGCTGGGCGCAGTGGCTCACACCTGTAATCCCAGCACTTTGGGAGGCTGAGGCAGGTGGATCACCTGAGGTCGGGAGCTCGAGACCAGCCTGACCAACATGAAGAAACCCCGTCTCTACTAAAAATACAAAATTAGCTGGGTGTGGTGGCGCATGCCTGTAATCCCAGCTACTCGGGAGGCTGAGGCAGGAGAATGACTTGAACCAGGGAGGCAAAGGTTGCAGTGAGCCGAGATTGCACCACTGCACTCCAGCCTGGGTGACAAGGGCGAAACTCTGCCTCAAAAAAAAAAAAAGAAAGAAAAGAAAGAAAGAAAAATAAATACTCCAAGAACCAAAGGCTCTCTGAAAAACTAAATGCATGACAGCAGAAACAAAACCCTCAACACAGTGTTGGAGACAAAGTTGAAGAAATTTCCCAGAAAGTAGAAGAAAAATGAACCAGTTTAAGAGCACCAATAACAGGAGTTTCAGAAAATGAGAACAGGGAAAGTGGAGGGAGGAAATCATTAGATAAGAAAGCAATCCCTGACCTCATGGAAACCAGTAACTGGACTGGAAGGGCCACCCTGGGCCTGTACCCAGCACATGAAAAGACGAGGGACCCTTGCCAACACACGCACAGCATTGGAGAATTTCAAAACCGCGGGACAAACGTACTAGGATGGAGGAATCCGTGGTGCAAAGCCTTCAGAATTAGCAGGAAAATTAATTCCAACCTAGAATTCTATATCTAGCCACAGTCTAAGCCAGGCAGGAGGTAGAACAGTCCAAGGTGCCAGGTGACCCCTTTCCCTCCAGGCACATCACTTCTACCAAGAGGAATAAGTAAACGAGAAAGACGTAGGACCCGGGCAGCAGGGCTCCACCCAGGAACCAGATGAGGCTGCAGGAGCGAGATCTCCAGGCCGTGGGAGTCGCAGGCTCCTGGTGCCCGACTGCCTCCAGAGACAACAGTCTGCGGAGAGTCTGCGGCAACACATGGTCAACTGCGGCAAGGAACACAGCCGCTTACTGTGGGAAGAGCGATCACAGCGTGCTCTGAGGCCAGGGGCTGCACCCGACTCGGCCCCCTAACAAACCCAGGGTCAGATGCCAGCGGAGCACGGCAGGCAGGGGACGGGCACGTGGGAGGGGATGGAAAGAGCTGGAACCTCTACTTCCACGTGGGAAGTTGTCAGATGGTGCCTAAAGTGGGTAAATCTGCAGCGACACCGGCAGCTTATTTTTGGATATGGGGACCAATTCCCAACGGGGGTTAGGAGGGACCTCAAACTTCTGTTTCTCAAGATTTAGGAACGATATAGCGCTTTAGACCGTGTGCACACAGACGTGTGATAAACATAGAAACAAGAACCTAAGTAACAAAGAGGCTGGGCCCACCGCTGCGCCCCCTGCAGCCTGGCCCAAAGACAAAAGGATAGCTTTTGTGGGGGTTTTACCTGGGTTCCCCCCAAGCCCTCCAGAGATGCGGGGTACACCCACCCTCCCCGCCGCCACACCAAGGGCAGCCAAAGGAACCCTACCCAAACCACCCCAGAGCCGGCTACCGTCCACATCTCCTCCCCGTAGGACCCCAGTTCCCCCCGAGGTCCCCTCTGGGCATTGTGGGGGCGGTGGATCCTCTAGCCCGAGCTGGCAGCCCCCACTGACAGGGCCAAGCTGGGTGGCCCCAGAGACAGCGTGGTGATCCGGCTCCTGGGCAGCCCGGCCCTGGGAAGCTGCCTTCCTGCACCTGTCTTCCCATGCTGCCCGGCGCCAGTGCCCACACTCCCACACGTCCAAGCACCCGCCTTCCCACGCTGCCCAGCCCGACTTCCCGCCTTCTCATGCCGCCTAGCTCAAGTGCCTACCCTCCCGTACCGTCCAAGCACCCACCTTCCTGCGCCACCCGGGCCTGAGGGCCCACCCTCCTGTGCCACCCGGGCCCGAGTGCTCGCCAGCACCCACCTTCCCGTCCTCATGGTAGATGAAGATGTTACGGGTGCTGTTGTCCTTCAGGTAGGTGACCTGCAGGCCGTGGGGGTGGCCGATCTTGGCCGGCTGGAAGGTGGCGTTCAGGTGCTCGATCTTCATCACGGCCTTGGGCTCCTTGGCCTGAGAAGGGGTGGGGTCTAAGCACCTCACAGGGGCCGTCGTCCAAGCTCAAGGGAGCAGGAAGGGCAGACCCTGTGGGTGCTGGCGGCGCACCTGCTGTGCTGTGTGGCTTTGGGCAAGTTACTTAAGCGCTCTGAGCCTTGGCCTCCCGGTCTGTAAGCAGAAGGTAACAGCACCTCCCTCCCAGGAGTGATGGGGACCTCAACGACACTGTGCAGGTGGCACTTGACATCAGACACTGCACCTCCCTCCCCGGGGGCAGCCCCGGGCCCCACACGGCACGGCAGCTCCCACAGGGGCAGGCCCCAGCCACCAGCCCACCTCCAGCCAGTGCCCGCCACGGCTCAGGGCGGGTGCTTCTGACCATCAGCCCATGGGTCTGGGGCCACCTTGTGAAGACCCCACTGTTCTTGCCAATGTGTTTGTCCTGTCCCAGTCCAGTCTCCCCAGGGTACCTCCAGGAAAACTAGGGGCTTTCTGGGGTCCTGGCTGGCTCCAGAGGGGCCCAGTGACTAGGTTCTCCCTCTCCCACGGCTGGGCCTGAGTTCAGGGGGCCCCGCCCGGCCGCCCAGGCTCCTGGAAAGCCTCAGCTGCCCCACCCTGGGGGACGCTGGGTCCGGCACACAGAGGCTCAGCCCAACACAGGCCGGTTCTCCTGGAGCGTCCCCATCGGGGGGGGCAGCAGGGAGGGCAGCTGCGGATGGACGCGGCCACCACAGGCCCCAGTGTGGGAGGCCGGGATGCCGCCCTGGGACAGGCCCCCACCCCACCCCCGTCTGTGACTCACATCATTTCTGTTGAAATACTTCAGAGCACCCTCTCGTTCTGTCAGCACAAACTTCCGGCTCAAAAACTGCCCGTTGTCCCGGCCACGCTTCCAGAGAAAACCCTCACGGTACCCTGTGGGGGAAAGGGGACACGAGTCGGTGACAGTGGATGGGGGGGAGGAAACAAAAGGAGTGACGATGGACAGGACAGAGGGGACATGGGGAGAAGACACGGGGGACACGGACGGGGGACACGGACAGGGGGAGACGGACGGGGAGAGGGGACATGGAGGAGACAGGGAGATAGGAAGATGGGCAGGGAAAGGGAAAGGGAAAGGAGAAAGGAGAAAGGAGAAAGGAGAAAGGAGAAAGGGAGAAAGAGAAAGGAGAAAGGAGAAAGGGAGAAAGGGAGAAAGGGAAAGGAGAAAGGAGAAAGGGAAAGGAGAAAGGAGAAGGGAGAAGGGAGAAGGGAGAAGGGAGAAGGGAGAAGGGAGAAGGGAGAAGGGAGAAGGGAGAAAGGAGAAAGGAGAAAGGAGAAAGGAGAAAGGAGAAAGGAGAAAGGAGAAAGGAGAAAGGAGAAAGGGAAAGGAGAAAGGGAAAGGAGAAAGGGAAAGGAGAAAGGAGAAAGGAGAAAGGGAAAGGAGAAAGGAGAAAGGAGAAAGGAGAAAGGAGAAAGGAGAAAGGGAAAGGAGAAAGGGAAAGGAGAAGGGAGAAGGGAGAAGGGAGAAAGGAGAAAGGAGAAAGGAGAAAGGAGAAAGGAGAAAGGAGAAAGGAGAAGGGAGAAGGGAGAAGGGAGAAGGGAGAAGGGAGAAGGGAGAAGGGAGAAGGGAGAAGGGAGAAAGGAGAAAGGAGAAAGGAGAAAGGAGAAAGGGAAAGGAGAAAGGGAGAAAGGAGAAAGGGAGAAAGGAGAAAGGGAGAAAGGAGAAAGGGAGAAAGGAGAAAGGGAAAGGAGAAAGGAGAAAGGAGAAAGGAGAAAGGGAAAGGAGAAAGGAGAAAGGGAAAGGAGAAAGGAGAAAGGAGAAAGGGAGAAAGGAGAAAGGGAAAGGAGAAAGGGAGAAAGGAGAAAGGGAGAAAGGAGAAAGGGAGAAAGGAGAAAGGGAGAAAGGAGAAAGGGAAAGGAGAAAGGAGAAAGGAGAAAGGGAAAGGAGAAAGGAGAAAGGAGAAAGGAGAAAGGAGAAAGGGAAAGGAGAAAGGGAGAAAGGAGAAAGGGAGAAAGGAGAAAGGGAGAAAGGAGAAAGGGAGAAAGGAGAAAGGGAAAGGAGAAAGGAGAAAGGAGAAAGGAGAAAGGGAAAGGAGAAAGGAGAAAGGGAAAGGAGAAAGGGAGAAAGAGAAAGGAGAAAGGAGAAAGGAGAAAGGAGAAAGGGAAAGGAGAAAGGGAGAAAGGGAAAGGAGAAAGGAGAAAGGAGAAAGGAGAAAGGGAAAGGAGAAAGGAGAAAGGAGAAAGGAGAAAGGGAAAGGAGAAAGGGAGAAAGGAGAAAGGAGAAAGGGAAAGGAGAAAGGAGAAGGGAGAAAGGGAGAAAGGGAAAGGAGAAAGGGAAAGGAGAAAGGAGAAAGGAGAAGGGAGAAAGGGAGAAAGGGAAAGGAGAAAGGAGAAAGGAGAAAGGGAAAGGAGAAAGGGGGCGGGAAAGGGGACATGGACAGGGGACACGGGGGACATGGACATGGGGGACGGGACATCGGGGACGGGACATGGGGGACAGAGTACATAGGGGACATGGACAGGGGACATGGGGGACAGGGGACACGGGGGACGGGACAGGGGACATGGGGGGACATGGGTCAGATGGTGATGGTGGATGGTTGGTGAGGGGATATGACAGTGGACCAGCGCTGTTGGCTGCAACCCTGGCCCAAGCCAGCCTGAGGACGGCCTGGATGAGCGGGACTCCAGCTGTCCTTTACTGGCCCCCAGGGACCCTCCCCATCCTGAGTGGACATGGCCAGAGCCACCATGGGCAGAGGCAGGGCTGGGTCCAACCTCGTGCTGCCCGGGAGGACCAGGCTGGCCTCCTCCCTCCTCCCTCAGCCGTCCGCAGCTGCTGGGTCCAGGTGGTGCCATCCCCTCTTTTTTCAGGAAAGCTCATCTGAGGGGAGTCCAGCTCAAGCCCTCATCTCCGCCTGTGGCCTCACGCACACCACACACAGCCACAGAAAAGTAGCCCGGGCATCCCCCTGGGAGCCTAAGCACCTGGACACGCCACCTTCTATGGCAAAACACACCGTGCACGGGTGGTTAGGACGCTGCTGTGGCAGACGATCACAGGGGAGGGAGGCAGAGATATGAGGACAGGAGGGAAGGGGACGTGGCCGTGGAAACTGAGGCCAGAGGGGGCCCCAGAGCCCAGGAGCACCAGGGAGAGGCCAGAGGACCCGTCCTGAGCCCAGAACCAGCTCTGCCCACTCCGAGTCTCGGGCCCGTGGGATCGTCCTGGAGCTCTGCCAGAGCTGTGGGAGAACAAACACGTGTGGCTTCACGTCACTGAGCTGCGGTCAGTGACCCACGTGTGGCCACTCAGAGGGGCGTTCCCATCCCCCCCAGGCCCCGCTCCCACTTCTGCTCCCTGTCCGTGGTTCCTATCGTTGCCCGTCCTTTCTCCTGCTCTGGAACTCTGTGTCCTGCGGACTCAGATGCAGCTTCTTCTATGGCCCTGGCTGTCCCGCCCCAACAGCATGTGGCTTGCAGCATCCGTGTCCTGGGCTCCGTCTGCCAGGCCTTGGGTCGCGTGCAGGTCCCGCCGTTGGCAGCAGCTGCGTGGCCAGGGTCGAGCAGGTCCTCAGTGGGTGCAGACTCTCCTGGGATCACGGGGCCGTCTGCCAAGCATCCCCAGTGGGCGCCGCCTCTCCGGAGGTCGCGGGGCCGTCTGCCGAGGAGCCGTCTGCCGAGCATCCGTGGCCCCTCCAGGGGTCGCGGGGCCGTCTGCCCAGTGTCCGTGGGCCCTTCCCGGGGTCGTGGGGCCGTCTGCTGAGCATCCGTGGGCCTGTCCGTGACCCCTCAGTGACTTCAGAGAGCACTTGCTTGGGGACAGCATCCCATCCTGCTGGCCATGTGGCCTGGGAGCCCCGGTCATCTGAGGGCAGGGGCTGCTGACCTACGCCACAGGGACGCGAGGGGGCTGTGGGCTCCAGGCGGGGCTAAACAGCCCCCTGCAGCAGCCAACAGGCCAGACAGAGGCTCAGATTGCAGACACCGCCCATCAGCCCTGACCACCAAAGCCCCCTGCTCCCCAGCATCCCCTCCCCAGCTCAGACAGCCCCATCCCGACACCAGAGACCAGGGGCTATTTTCTCTGCTGAGATGCAAGCCATAAAACGCCTGGCGTTGGGGAGGGGACAGCTGGTGCCCTCGGGGAGGGGGCCCTGGGCTGTCTTGGATGGTGCCAGACGGGGCCTGCTCCCCTCACTGCCCGGAGCTCCCCGCTCCCCAAGCCTCTACAAGGCTGCTGCCCCAGCCCCGTGCGCACAGCAGCAGCCAGGAGCCCCCTTCCCATGGAAGAACCCCCTTCTCCTGCTTCTCACTGTGAGAGCGAGGCCACCAGTGTCCCTCAGACCCAAGTAAGGCCTGCTCAGAACGCCTGTTGACTCAGTGAGCCCCTGCCCAGGCACAGCTGGGTGTCCCCACGGCTCTGCCTCCGACATCAGGACCTCTTTGGACGCGGCGCTTCGTGGCTGAGGGTGGACGCCGAGAAGTGCCCGGGGAGGCATCGCAGCAGCGGGCCCAGCGGCGCTTCCCGGCCTCTGCCGCTCACGGCCTTGTGTGCACCCCGGGGAGCCTCCAAGGCGTGCGTGTCCGTGTCACCAATGCAGACGACAAGTTTGGGCCACCTCGCCCACGGGGGTGGAGCTGGCTGGGTCCAGTGTGTCGGTTCCACAGACCCCTGCCCAGGACACAGCGGGGGCCCCTTCCAGCGACCGGGCTCCCTAGGCCACAGGGTGGGGACGCGCCCCTGCCATGCCCGCCGCGCCCAGCAGGTGACAGCAGTGCTCCGGAAGCGCGCAGGCCGCGGGGTCTGGGAGGCCACTGCCCCTCTGCACGCGCGCAGCTGCTCCGGTGTTCTCGGGGTCCAGACGCCAGCGGGAACCCCGGTCCTCCCGACAGCAGGCGCCAGCGGGAACCCCGGTCCTCCCGACAGCAGGCGCCAGCGGGAACCCCGGACCTCCCGACAGCAGGCGCCAGCGGGAACCCCGGTCCTCCCGACAGCAGGCGCCAGCGGGAACCCCGGACCTCCCGACAGCAGGCGCCAGCGGGAACCCCGGTCCTCCCGACAGCAGGCGCCAGCGGGAACCCCGGTCCTCCCGACAGCAGGCGCCAGCGGGAACCCCGGTCCTCCCGACAGCAGGCGCCAGCGGGAACCCCGGTCCTCCCGACAGCAGGCGCCAGCGGGAACCCCGGTCCTCCCGACAGCAGGCGCCAGGACGCCGCATTCCAGGGGCAATGACGACGCAGGAGTGTATTTCAGGACGGCGCTGGCCACGGTCCCGGACGCGCCCCACGCCCAGTCCAGACCTCAGGCTGAGCCTCTGCTCTCCCCATGCCTGGCCAGCCCCTTGGCCTCGCTGGGGAGGGCCAGGACCTCAGGGGCCTGCAGCCCCCAGTCGGCACCAGCAACAGCCAGTGAGACGGGGCTTCTCCCCACAGAGCAGCCCCTCACACGGCAGCGTCCTGGACAGCCGGGTGGGCTGTGGCCAGAAATGGCCATTTTCTCTTAAAGGACTCGTGAGTCCTGGGGCAGGACTCGACCAGTATTTATCAAACAGCTACCGCGTGCCGCGCCCTGCTGTGAGCTGGTCCCGCTGTGTGTCGGGTCCTATGGTGTGGGGTGGGGGGGGTTCTACTGCACACCAGGCCCTACTGTGTGCCGGTCCCACTGTGTGCCAGGTCTTGTCCCACCTGTGGGGAGCTGGGTCCAGTCCACACCCCATGCCCTGCTCAGACGCCTCTGAGGAGCCCTTCTGCCCACCGCACGGCTAAGAGCAGGAAAGACGTTCAGCATCGCCATGACCCACGAGAACGGCAAAACCAAACCAGTGTGCACACACAGGCGCCCGACTGTGGGCGGGGACGCCGGCCCTTCCACGCTGCCCGTGGGGATGTAAGGTGCCCCAGTCCCTGGAAAGCAGCCAGGCCGTTTCTTCCACCACAGTGAAGCGCGCACATCACGTGCCTCAGAGAGAAGTGAAATCCGAGGAAACAGGAACAGCCTTCACATAAAGCCCACACCCGTTTACGAGGCTTTTTTTTTTTTTTCCCCACCCAGGCTGGAGTGCAGGGGCACTATCACAGCTCACTGCAGCCTTGACCTTCCGGGCTCAAGTGATCCTCCAGCCTTGGCCTCCCGAGTAGCTGGGACCACAGATGCACGCCACCACACCCGGCTAAGTTCTGTATTTTTTTGTAGAGATGGGAGCTCACTGCGTTGCCCAGGCTGGTCTCGAACTTCTGAGCTCAGGTGACCCTCCTGCCTCTCCTCCCACCATACTGGGGTTGCAGCGTGAGCCCCACGCCTGGCCCGAGACTGCTGGGTCTTGGATTTGTCAGAGCTGGGACTGCACTCTAAATAGGATATGCAAAGTAGATGTAAATCACACCTCACGTATGTGATTTATATGCTAATTGTCTTGTAAACTGGGGCAGGGAAGCACGTGGCCCTGCTCTGAGTGACAGCTCACAGGGTGGTGGACCCTCTGGGGTGGGAACTGCATCCCCATATCTCATGGGGCCTCTGGCCTTCCACAGGGAGGGGTGCACCATGGATGGGTGGCCTCTGAGAACGGGGCCGAGGCCCTGATCACTGCACCCCGGCCGTCCCTGTGAAGGGCCTGGACCTGGCTTCCGGCCTTTGGGTCCTAGTGGCTCCTGCCCTCCCTCAGGAGGCAAACACCGGAGCCCACGGCAGAGCAGTGTCTCCTTGCTGGGTAAGGCCTTAGAGTTGAAGGCCTCCTCTGTGAGCCCGCACAGGGCTCCGTCTCTCCCTGCCTGGCCCGTCCACCCACGCTCTCCGACCCATTAATGCACCTTCTCCAGGTTGGTGCGTCTGGGGCCGGCAGAGGCTGAGAACCAGCGGGCCGTATCCTGCGGAGGGCTCCAGGTCCCAGCTTCGCCCTGCGTGGAGCTCTCTCTCCAAACAGCCAGGACAGGGAGGCTTCCCTGTTCCCAGGGGTGAGGCCAGAGGGTGGACGAGGGCTCCTGGGGTCAGCTCTCACCCTGTTCCTATTCTCATATAGCCCCCAGCATGGGGCCCGGCCCCCGACAGGCCTGGAGAGACCCCCCCACTCACACACGGGTTCACAGTTTCCACAGCGCCTTCCTGCCCAGAGTGACGTGTGGATGCCCCCATCCCCGCCAGGCTGCCCAGGCTGCAGGAGGGGCCACCCTCAGGGCCAAGTCAGCCCCAGGGTACCCCCCTCCCCAAGCCCCAAACCCTGAGGCCCCCACACAGGGGCCCCAGCGCCCAAGAACAGCGAACCCTGACTCCTGTAAGACAAACATGCCAGGAAAGGGGCGGGGATCACACGGAGGGCCAGGAAGGGGGCGGGGGTCCCACGGAGGGCCAGGAAGGGGGCGGGGGTCCCACGGAGGGCCAGGAAGGGGGCGGGGGTCCCACGGAGGGCCAGGAAGGGGGCGGGGGTCCCACGGAGGGCCAGGAAGGGGGCGGGGGTCCCACGGAGGGCCAGGAAGGGGGCGGGGGTCCCACGGAGGGCCAGGAAGGGGGCGGGGGTCCCACGGAGGGCCAGGAAGGGGGCGGGGGTCCCACGGAGGGCCAGGAAGGGGGCGGGGGACCCACGGAGGGCCAGGAGCCGACACCCACCCAGAGAGGGGCAATGGGGCAGCCCTACCACCTCTGGCCAGGCCCCAAACACCCGTCCCCCCGAGGGGCAGCCCCACAGCTCTGGCCTGGCCCCAAACACCCGTCCCCTCATGGGCCACGTAAAGCCTCGCGCTGCCTGCGAGGAACGGCTGGTGATGTTCCCAGTAGCGCCCTCGTGCCGCACACCATCGTCCCCACTATATGGACGGGGAAACCGAGGCCCCAGACCTCGTGCACAGCCCCAGCCCCCTCCTGGGCTCCGTCTGCCCTGTGACATTTACGGCAACGGTCGGCCCATCCCTGCCTGGTACCACCAGGAGGGGCCGTCCTGAACCACAGGGGAACCACAGAAGCTCCGACAGGAGCACGGGGTCCGGAGCCTAGAGCAGGAAGCCCCGCGTCTCAGCGAGACCAGGGCCTGGCCCTCAGGACAACATGAGGCATTGTCCAGGCCCCTGTGAAAGCCGCCATTGAGGCTGCGGCCCGAGGCGGGGCCAGCCCGCGGTGGGAGCAGCTGTCACCAGGGTCACCCCCAGGGGCAGGCGGGGGGCAAGTCTGGCTCAGACACAAGGATAAACCCCCACATCTGGGGGAGGGGTGCGGCGCGTCCCCACGCAGTGACCTTGGCCCAGGGAGGCGGCGCAGAGGGTGGGGGAGCCCTGCTGGCTCAGCGGGCTGAGGTTCACCTGGGGCCACAGCGACGCACCTTCCGCTACGCACCGACACCAAGGGCTTCTCCCCCGGTCCTTTGTCGTCAAAGAGCATCTTGGGGAGACACAGCGGCCACAGAGGGGCTTCCCTGCCACAGGTTACTGCAACGTGCACCTCGAGAGGTGTTTCCGCTTCCCTCACTCCTCTTGCATTTATTTTATTTTGATACGGAATCTCGCTGTTGCCCAGGCTGGAGTGCAATGGCGCGATCTCGGCTCCCTGCAACCTCCGCTTCCCAGGTTCAAGCTATTCTCCTGTCTCAGCCTCCTGAGTAGCTGGAGCTATCACGCCAGGCCTATTTATTTATGTTTTAAGACAAGGTCTCTCTGTGGCCCACACTGGAGTGCAGTGGTGCAATCACAGCTCACTGCAGTCTTGACCTCCTGGGCTCAGACCATCCTCCCACCTCAGTGTCCTGAGTAGCTGGGACCATAGGCGCCTCCATGCCCAGCTAATTATTAAACTTTGTCTTGAGACGGAGTCTCCCCACGTTGCCCAGGCTGGTGTTGAACTCCTGGCTCAAGCAACCCTCCCACCTCGGCCTCCCAGAGTGCTGCAATGACAGGCATGAGCCCCGGTGCCCGGCCTTCTTTTGTATTAACTGGAATTCGTGTGCAAAGGCTGCTGGCCTCCTCCCCTTCCTTTTTTTTTTTTTTTTTTTTGAGACGGAGTCTCGCTCTGTCGCCCAGGCTGGAGTTTAGTGGCGTGATCTCCACTCACTGCAAGCTCCACCTCCTGGGTTCACACCATTCTCCTGCCTCAGCCTCCCAAGTAGCTGGGACTACAGGCGCCCGCCACCACACCCAGCTAATTTTTTTGTATTTTTAGTAGAGACGGGGTTTCACCGTGTTAGCCAGGATGGTCTTGATCTCCTGACCTCGTGATCCGCCTGCCTCAGCCTCCCAAAGTGCTGGGATTACAGGCGTGAGGCACCGCGCCCGGTCCTCCCCTTTCTCTTTACTTGTTCCATTCTTTATGTATATGTCTATGGACTTGGGGGTGTGTACCTTGCTCCCCTGTTATAATCCCCTTATACCATCTTCCTTTTGTTGCTCAAATTACTCCCCCAGCTTTAGCCATTAAAAGCTCCTTCAGAGGCCAGGTGTGGTGGCTCACGCCTATAATCTCAGCACTTTGGGAGGCCGAGGCGGGCGGGTCACCTGAGGTCAGGAGTTCCAGACCAGCCTGGCCAACATGATGAAATCCTGTCTCTACTAAAAATATAAAAATTAGCCGGGCGTGGTGGGGGGCGCCTGTAGTCCCAGCTACTCAGGATGCTGAGGCAGGAGAATGGCGGGAACCCGGGAGGTGGACATTGCGGTGAGCTGAGACCGCACCATTGCACCGCAGCCTGGGCAACAGAGCAGGAAAAAACAAACAAACAAAAAACTCCTTCAGAAAAGCCCGGTGGTGATCCTTCCTTTTGGGTGGCCTAACAGAGGGATGGAGTGGGGCTCCGCCTTCCTCAGCCATGGTCCTGGGTGGCGTGGCCCACACACAGGACATCTGGGGCCCCCGCCCTGTGAGAACAACCCGGCCATTTCCACCCACAGCCAAGGTGCAGGCTGTGGGCACTGGGCGTGGCACAGCCTCTAGGAGTTCTTGGTTCCGGCTCATTCCAGGGCAGACCTGCAGCCACTCCTCTGTGCAGAGCGGGAGCCACCTGGCCCAGGCCTCACCTGGCCAACGTGGGGTTGTGGGTGTGGCAGGCCCTTCCCAAGCCCCGAGCTTCCCCTTCCTCCCGGGCCCTGCCGCAGGGACTTCTATATTTCCCTGTGGTCGTGAGGTGTCGCCACTGCCGTGATAAAGGGCTCTGGTGGCAAAGCCAGGGAGCAGGGCAGGAACGCCGCCGGGAATCCCCAGTGCACTCTGGGAGGGGTTGGGAGGCCCGGGAACTGCCAACTGGCGCTGGAGCCCTGTGGAGGAGGCTCTGCCCACGGGGCCGCCCCAGACAGGAGGACACGTCCTCTCCTGCTGCTGCACCCACCCAGACATGGGCTCAGGGTGGGGGCCATGGGGAGGCTCGGGGGGTCCCTGAGGTCTAACCCTGAGCACCAGATGGACACCTGCTCCCTCATCCATCCAGCAAAGGGCAGAACCTAGGGTTCCAAATAGCAGCGGGCAGCTAGGTCTGTGGGAGAGGTGCCCTGGAGCCCCTGAACACACAAGGAGACAGGCAGGGCATCTCACAGGGCCCTGGAACCCCGCCCTGCACAGCACCCAGAGACAGCAGCCTGGAGCACAGACAGTCACCGCCTGCTGGTCCCCAGGCACTTGGCCGTCTGAAGCAGCCAGGCCTTCGTGCCTACTGACCAGGCTGCAGGGGCAGGGTAGAGGGGAGGCTTCAAGGAGGGGTGAGCCCTGCCCTGAGCAGGTGGGTGTCAGTGGGCCCTGAGCACAGGGCCATACGACTCAGCACCTCTGGGTCCCTGGGATCCCAGCAGCCTCCCTGCAGCCGGGGCTCTGGGGCCCGAGGCCCTCTGGCTGGCGTGCCTGGTGCCTCCTGCGCGACCTGGAAGGTGCCGTGGCCCAAGGGAGACAGCAGCCACACACTCTGGAGCAGCCGCAGTCTACGACCCCATGCCCTCTGCAAGAGGCTGCCACCCTGCTGCCAGGTAACACCTGGCCACGGCACTCACGGCACCTTCACAAAGGGCCAGCCCTGCACTCACACCTGCACACCTCGCCTGTGCATCTCACCTGTGCCGCACACACCCGTACATCTCGTCTGTGTACCTCACCCGTGCCTCATGCACACTGTGCACCTCCCCACCATCCTCACACCCATCCAGGGGAGAGAACAGAGGGCACAGCCCATGCGGCCTGGTCTCCACAGGCAGATCATGAGCCTGGTGCTGCGGACGTGGCCGCCCCGCCGGGCCTGGTATGAGAAGCGGCCATTCACTCAGCGTGGGCTTCAGAGGCCGGCAGGCAAGGCCAAGGCCTTGGGCTCCGACCCTGCGAGCAAGCGTGTGCCTGAAAACCTCTGCCCCGACTCTACCCTGCTGGGAGGCCTCTCCCTCCCTCCAACCCCTGCCCGAGGGTCACACGGGAGGCTTTAGCTCATCTCAAATGCTCTCAAGGGAATATCTCAGACAACAGCAAAGGCAGGAATGGGATTCCAGTGGGGCAGGAACAGGATTCCAGTTGGGCAGCCTCGGGCCTGGGGCAGGAGGCGTCTTGGGTCACCAGGCCTGTCACCACCTCCTGGCCCTGAGCCCAATGACACCCATATACCCCTGCAGAACCTACGCCCACTGCCGACGAGACGCTGTCTGCCACCCGCCTGCAGAACCCAGAACCCGCGCCCACTTTCCACGAGACGCTGTCTGCCACCCGCCTGCAGAACCCAGAACCCGCGCCCACTTTCCACGAGATGCCGTCTGCCACCTGCCTGCAGAACCCACGCCCACTGCCCACGAGACACTGTCTGCCACCTGCACGCACCCCCACTTCTGGAGCCCAGACCTGATCTTCCCCAGAAGGGCCACTCCAGGGGCCAGAGGCGGGCACGCCACCTAGGGCGCCACGTTTCCCAAGTCACATCCCGGCCCGACCAGTCAGAGGTGACGAGACAGGGACTTTTTCCAGCACTTCTGTGAGCCACACCTGACCTTTCCTGGCAGCCCGGGAGAGCAGGGATGTAAAACCCAAACTTGCCAAAGGAGGTGGCCACCAGGAGGATTGGTGCCAACCTAGAGACGCAGAACTAGGAGATAGAGGTGCTGAAACCAGGTCCCAACGACACCAGCTAAACCCCTAGATCAAGCTGTGCCCTGTTATTCCAGTCAATCCATTTCCAGTTTTGCTGACACCCAGTGAAGTTGGATTTTCCATCCTTTACAACCAGAGGGTTCTGATACAAGAACAGACACAAAACTCAGTCCTGTGGTCACGCCAGCCCAGCCCATGCCTGCCTCTGAAGTGAGGCCACGTGCCACCTTGCTACAAATTGCTAAGATGTTTCTGCCGAGGGAAACGGAGGGGCTCTGGGGTGATTCTTTGGGGGTTTAAGGCAGGAGTGGAGCGAGGGGTGTGCTGGGTGCTGAGCAGGTCCAGGTGCCCGCGTGTTCATCCCCTGACCGTTTCTTGCTCTCTCCCTCACACACACAGGGATTCTTGAGAGGAAGAAATTGCTGTCTGGGTAGACAGTAATTGAATCAGCGCCTGCACAGGCTGGCTGTGTGCCAAGTGGGGGTTGGGGGGGCAGGAGCTGCCCTGGAGGAGGGCAGAGCCGACAGGACCGCTGCATGAGACCCCAGCCTGACCTGGGGAGGTGCCTTGCTCAGGCCTGGGGCAGCCTCCCACCGGTCACCCCTGCTCACCCCACGCCGCTCCTGGGAGAAAATCCACGGTCCTGACAGAGCCCAGGGAGGTGCACGGGAGGGGGGCGCAGTGCCAGCTCTACCGGGGAGGTGCACAGGAGGGGTGCGCAGTGCCAGCTCTACCGGGGAGGTGCACGGGAGGGGGGCGCAGTGCCAGCTCTACCGGGGAGGTGCACGGGAGGGGGGCGCAGTGCCAGCTCTACCGGGGAGGTGCACGGGAGGGGGGCGCAGTGCCAGCTCTACCGGGGAGTTGCACGGGAGGGGGGCGCAGTGCCAGCTCTACCGGGGAGGTGCACGGGAGGGGGGGCGCAGTGCCAGCTCTACCGGGGAGGTGCACGGGAGGGGGGCGCAGTGCCAGCTCTACCGGGGAGTTGCACGGGAGGGGGGCGCAGTGCCAGCTCTACCGGGGAGGTGCACGGGAGGGGGGGCGCAGTGCCAGCTCTACCGGGGAGGTGCACGGGAGGGGGGCGCAGTGCCAGCTCTACCAGGGAGGGCTGGGAGGGGTTGGAGCACTGGGGGTCAGGGGCTTCTCCACTGAACCCACCTACAACACCAGGACTGTGTTCAGCCATTTCAGGGCCGCCTCTCTTTCACATATTTTGAGACAGACTTTTGCTCTGCCGCCCAGGCTGGAGTGCAGAGGCGCAATCTCGGCTCATTGCAACCTCCGCCTTCCAGGTTCAAGCGATTCTCCTGCATCAGCCTGCCGAGGAGCTGGGATTACAGGCACCTGCCACCACACCTGGCTAATTTTTGTATTTTTTACTAGAAACAGTTTTGCCACGTTGACCAGATTGGTCTCGAACTCGTGGTCTCAAGTGATCCATCCGCCCGCCTAGGCCTCCCAAGGTGCTTCTTTTATTCTTGGGGTGAGATTCACAAATACGATTCATCTTTTTTCTTGTTACAGACACACTCTCGCTCTGACGTCCAGGCTGGAGTGTAGTGGTGCAACCTTGGCTCACTGCAGCCTCCGCCTCCCAGGCTCAAGAGATCCTCCCGCCTCAGTCTCCCAAGTAGCTGGAACCACAGATGTGCGCCAACCACGCCCAGCTAATTTTGCATTTTTTGGTAGAGTCCAAAAAATGAGCAACATGGGGTTTCGCCACGTTGCTCAGGCTGGTCTTGAACTCCTGAGATCAGGAGATCTGCCCGCCTTGACCTCCATATAAAGTGCTGGGATTACAGGTGTGCGCCAACCGTGCACAGCTAATTTTTGTATTTTTAGTAGAGACGGGGTTTCACCATGTTGGCCAGGCTGGCCTCAAACTGCTGACTGCAACGGATCCACCTGCCTCCCAAACTGCTGGAACCACCGGCGTGAGCCACCGTGCCCGACCCTTTTTTGTTTCTAAGACAGAGTCTTGCTCTGTCACCCGGCCTGGAGTGCAGTGGTGCAAACACAGCTCACCGTAGCCTCAAACTCCTGCACGTAAGGGCTGCTCCTGCCTCAGCCTCCCGAGCAGCTGGGACTACAGGTGGTGCCACCATATCCAGCTAATTTTTTCTTTTTTTTAAAGGGAGGGCATCTTAGATGTTGCCCAGGCTTGTTTGACCACCAGTGATCCTCCTGCCTTGGCCTCCCAAAGTGCTAGGATTACAGGCCTGAGACACGGCTCCCGACCTCGTGTTCCGCCATTCCAGGGCAGCCTCTCTCTTACACAAGGGCAGTGGGGGCAGTGCTGGGGTTGCAGGTCCGGGCCCTGGGGGCTGCTTCCTTCCTCACGTGGCCATGCCCAGCAGCACCAAACATCCCCATCCAGCCTTTGGACCCCGCCCTGCCCGTGCTGACGTTCAGAACCAGGCCCTAGGGCTAGGCTTGCCTCCGTTTCCCTGTCGACACGGTGGAGAAAGGGGCACTCAGGAAGCTCCAGTGTGCAGACGCCCAGCTGCCCTGGGGAAAAAACCACTCAAGGCCCACAGTACCCGAGCCCACCTCCTACAGAGCAGACAGGAGGAGGAAGCCAGCCCACCCGGCTGGGGGCTCCAACTCAAAGCCCCAGGGTTTAAATGAGATGCCAGGAGAAGCAGGAGTTGGGGACTGCTGGGGGGCAGAGTTGGGGACTGCTGGGGGGCACAGCCAGAGGCTTGGCCAGCTAAGCAGCACTGGGGAGACCGAGGCTGGGGTGGGGAGACCGAGGCTGGGGTGGGCTGGCCTCCCAGGCCCCCATGGCACTGCCTCCCAGCGCCCACCTCCACAGCCCCGCCAGCCCACGAAGCTCCAAGACGCTGCCTGGATGTTTCTGCCACCCGAGGGCCCCCAAGGGCACCCAGGCAGGCCTAGGGGAGGTGGAGGCCGCAGGCCGGGGCCGCACCCTCCCCACCTGCAGCACAGTGTTGCCACACAGAGGACGCCCTCACGCCCCTCACCCGGGCCTTCAGGTCCTGCCCACACTGCTGGAGACAGGGGTCCCTGCAGGCCACCCCCGAATGGAAGTGCGTGGCCACCACCAGCAGAGGAGGGGCCAGCCACGGCCCCACGAGGTCCCCATGCACCCCACTCCTTCAGGGCTGGACTGTAGACAGCTGTGGCGACCCCAAGCCCTCAGTCACGTCACTCAGAGGGCAAAACAGGTCCGGGGACGCGGGTTCAAACTCACGAGTGTGTTACCCAGGTTAATAATGACTCTGTCCACACGAGAGGGAGGGAGGGAAGGAGAGAGAGAGGGAGAGACAGAGATAGAGAGAGGATGAGATAGACGTGAAGAGAGAGGAAGAGAGACAGAGAATGAGAGACAGACATGAAGAGAGAGTAAGAGAAACAGAGACACAGAGAGATAAAGAGAGACAGAAGGAGGGAGAGAGAGAGAGATAAAGACAGGGGAGAAAGAGACAGGTGGGGGTGGGTGGGAGAGACGGGGAGAGGGAGGGAGATGGGGGGGAAGGGGGGAGAGGGAGGGAGATGGGGGAGGGAGGGAGATGGGGGGAGGGAGGGAGATGGGGGAGGGAGGGAGATGGGGGGAGGGAGGGAAAGAGATGGGGGAGGGAGGGAAAGAGATGGGGGAGGGAGGGAAAGAGATGGGGGAGGGAGGGAGAGAGCCAGGGAGAGGTAGCCGGGAGGCCCCACCCCACCCGGGTGGCCTCACCTGCCGAGTAGGGCTCCTGCTTCTCCGGGTAGATGAACTCCTGTCGCTCGTACTTGGCCCGGATCCACTGCTCTCGAAGGAGCCTGTGGGGAGAGGAGAGACTGAGCCACTGGGCCAAGGCGGCCTCCGACCCAGCACACGCCGCTCTCTGGCCCGGACCCTGGACATCTCAAGAGGCTCATAGGGACCCCCGGCAGACTCGAGCCGCCCCTCTGGGCACAAGATCCCGGAAGAAATGCAGGGTCAGCCTCCTGCCCGGGACGCTTCTCACTCTGATATTAGTTTATTGGTTTCTTGTGCGTTCGGCCCCCGGAGCATCAGGCCTCACGTTCTGCACAAGCGTTCCCGGTGGACGGGCTGGTGCCTCCCCTCTCCTTCCCACCTTGGCCTCAGCTGATGCCCCACAGGGCTGGGGTACAGGGGTTGAGCCAGGCCCCCCCACCCCGAGTCACACGCCCCTGGGCCCTCCCCGACCCTCCCCACCTCGTTGGACCGGATCTGGGAAGTGGCCGCGGCGCCGCCCTCCACCCACCGTGCTGCCACCTTGCACCCCCCGTGCCGCCCTCCACCCGCCGTGCCGCCCTCCACGTGGTTCTGAGACACAGGACGGAGCTATCAGGGCACCCGTCGAGGTCAGGAGGCGTCCGGGGCATCAGGAGAAACTACCGGCAAATACCCAAGAATCCAGGAAGACCCGGGATGAGGAGAAGCCCCCGAGAGTAAAGCCCGGGACGAGGGCCCCCCACGGCACCCACTGAGCCCAGACATCCCTGCCCAGAGCCACCCACCACGGCCTCCCCATCCACCGTGACTCACTCGAGTGAAGCCAATACCATTGCAGAAACCACGACCCACACACAGGCCCGGCACGGCCCAGGTGCACAGGCAGCCGCCCCAGCCTTTTCCACTCCCAGGGAATTACGCGGCAAAGAACAAATAGGAACCCTGTGGCTTCCTGCTGGGCCCACGTGAACAGCCTTGGAGACTGGGCGGGAATCCTCGCCCACAGGATCTGATGGGTGATGGGTCCCAGCTGGGTCTCTGGCCCCTGGCCCCAGGTGTGTGTGTGTCCCCCACCTGCTACAACGATCACCCCAAAATTCGGTCCCCGAAAGCAACAGAAATGTATCATCTCGGTCACGGAGGCCAAACGTCTGAGATCAAGGCGTCGGCCGAGCTGGTCCCTCCAGGTGTTCTGGGGAGAATCTCCTCCAGGGTCCCTCCCACCCCTGGAAGCCGCCAGTGCCCCCACCTCGGCGCCGTCCTCACCTGGCCTTCCCTGTGGGGTTTGGGCCCACCCTACTCCAGGACAACCTCACAACCTTATCTTAACCTGAAGACATCTGCAAAGATCCTACTTTTCTTTCTTTTAGAGACAGGGTCTCACTGTGTCTCCCAGGCTGGGGCACAGTGGTGCGATCACAGCTCAACGCAGCCTCCAACACCTGCACTCAAGGATCCTCCTGCCTCGGCTTCCCGAGTAGCTGGGCTAGAGGTGTGCACCACCACGACTTGGTAATTTTTTATTTTTTGTAGAGGTGGGAGCTCACTCTGTTGCCCAGGCTGGTCTGGAACTCCTGAGGCCAATCCTCCCACCTGGGCCTCCTACAGGGCTGCGATTACAGGTGTGAGCCTCGCGTCCGGCCCCTATTTCCAGATGAGTTCACCTTCACAGGGGCGGCGGGTTAGGACTTTAACACGTCTTTTCGGGGGACACCGTGCAGCTGCCTGAGCCGCTCCGGCTGTGTGACCACGGAGGAGTTGCCCCCTAGCACCCAGCGTCCCATGACCCCAGGGTCACACAGCGGCCTCTCAGAGTCACGGGAGGACCGAAGGCCGCATGTGTGGAAGCCGGGGGCCTGTGGATGAGAGGCAGGTGCCAGGGACGGCTTTGACAACCACGCCTGCCAACGGCCCTCAGGGCGGGGCACCCACAGGGTCGGCAGCCCTGCCCTGGTGCAGAATGGGCCCCCAAGGCTCACACCCGCACACAAGGGCATCCCAGGGCCTGGCACAGAAGCTTCCAGAAGCAGCAGCAGCAGGAGGAAGCCTGGGAGTGAGCACCAGGAAGTCGGGGGCTGGACCCCATCCTGCCCAGCGGAGCCCTCCGGAAGCCCCTCATCTCCTGAAAACCAGTACTGCCCGGAGCCCTCCCGACTCCCACAGCCCTGGAGGGGCCGCACTGACACCCCACGTGGTCACGAGGAGGTGGGCTTCGGGCCACCTGGCAGCCGGGACGGAGAGCCACCAGGAAAGCTCCAGCCACACCTCAGCCCACGCCCCAGGAAGTGCCCCAAGTTCCAGGGCTCAGGGGAGCCAGGCTTCAAGGACCCCTAGGCCACCCCTTCAAGGCCAGGGCCTCAGGGTCAGGTGGGTCCCCTCAACGCAGAGCAAAATGTGAGCTGGGGGCAGGGGGCCGGGCAGGTGCTCAGGGCGACTGCCTCCCCTAGGTGTGGACTCACAGGGGAAGACGCTCTGAGCCCCAGAAGCCACTTCCCCACAGGGCTCCCCCAGCCCAAGATGCCATGGGAGACCCCTCCCCGCTTTCCCCAGGACGGGTCCAGTGGCCACTGTGACCCCCATAGCGGGTGCTGTTCACACAGCTGGCACGTCCATCCCTGAGGGTCCACTCCTGAGTGTGCCTTCTGCCCGAGTTCTGCCAGTTTCCACCGCATGGAGTTCAGGACACCATCAACACCCTTCCTGGAGGCTTTGCCTCTTGCGAAAGTGACCCCCCAGGGCCCCCGGCTTTGCTTCTACGTGGTGGACCAGTGGCTCACCCAGATGGGTTTTTTCCCTTTTTATTACAGGAAAATAGCCCGGGTGGTGTTCACGCCCCCGCCCACACCCCCGCCCACGCACCTGCCTCTCAGCAACACCCCCACCCCCGCCACCCCCGCCCCCATTGTCTATCCTGGGTGTTTCCGAGGCTGCTACCACCTGAACCGCGACCCCATCCTACTGGGAGCCCTGACCCCCGGGCCTGAGTGTGCCTGTATTTGGAAATACCGTGGTTGCAGATTAGTTAAGATGAGGCCACAGGAGCAGGGTGGCCCCCAATCCAACGTGCCCGGTGTCCTTAGGAAGGGGAATTAGGACACAGACAGGTACGCAGGGCCCACGATGTGAGGAAGCACCCCGGAGAGGCCTCGGGAGAAGCAGCCTTGAGCCTCCAGCCTCCAGAGCTGGAAGAAAGTAGATTTCTGTTGCTCTGGGCCGCCGGGCATGTGGTGCTGTGTTCCAGGAGCCCCAGACATGCATGCAGAGCCCTGTCCAGCCCGGACACCTGCTCCACGGGGGGCTTGCTGGGGCTGAGGGCTCCAGGGCTTCGCTGGGATGGGCAGAGAGGAGCCCTCCAGCCGGTGCTGCCAGCAGCCAAGGGCTCCTCCCACAGCTTCCCTCACTCGCCCTGATCACCCCTCACCACACAGGAAGCAGGGAGGGGCCGGTTTCCACCCAGAAGTAAAACCAAGCAGAGCGGCCGCACGACTTTCTTTCCCCGACGTCAAGATAGAAACTGGAGAGCTCTGAGGGTGACACAGGAAGAGACGGGTCCCGGCCTCTGAGTCACAGGCTGGTGCTGAAGATAAAGAGGGCACACGAGACCCTCTGCCCTCCCCTGCGGGTGCAGCCTCCCCTCTTATAGCTGGGCAAACTGAGGCCCTGGGCCTCTGCTTAGCTGGAGGTGGGCACGGTGCTCGACCTGCCTGGAGGGACCCCAGTGTGTGCCGGGAGGCCGCAGGGCATGGCGTGGGGGGCCTTCCAGGACCCTGCTCCGGACGCTGCCCGCCACTCTTAGCTCCTGCGAAGACGCCACCCGGACATCTGTGCAGCAGAGCTTTCCCCTGAAGACCTTCAACTCAGACCCGGGCTTGTCCAGGCTGCACGGAGGCCGTGGGCACCAGCGCTGCTGGGGCTGGGAGAATCTTGGTGGGGGCAGACGTGGGAGGAAGGTGGACGAGTCCCCTGCCCACCTCGCCAGGCTGGACGTTTGGGCCCCACGAGCCACAGAGCCGGACCACAAAATGGCAGGATGTAGGCACCCCCCGCCCTCCAGGTTACACTGCAGGTCCACGCTGCACCCCCCGCCCTCCGGGTTACACTGCAGGTCCACGCTGCACCCCCCGCCCTCCGGGTTACACTGCAGGTCCACGCTGCACCCCCCGCCCTCCGGGTTACACTGCAGGTCCACGCTGCACCCCCCGCCCTCCAGGTTACACAGCAGTTCACGCTGCACCCCCCGCCCTCCAGGTTACACAGCAGGTCCATGCTGCACCCCCTCCCCGCCCTCCAGGTCCACACTGCACCCCCTGCCCTCCAGGTTACACAGCGGGTCCACGCTGCACCCCTCCCCCACCCTCGAGGTCCACGCTGCACCCCCCACCCTCCGGGTTACACTGCAGGTCCACGCTGCACCCCCCGCCCTCCGGGTTACACTGCAGGTCCACGCTGCACCCCCCGCCCTCCGGGTTACACTGCAGGTCCACGCTGCACCCCCCACCCTCCAGGTTACACAGCAGGTCCACGCTGCACCCCCCGCCCTCCAGATTACACAGCAGGTCCACACTGCACCCCCTGCCCTCCAGGTCCACGCTGCACCCCCCGCCCTCCAAGTTATACTGCAGGTCCACACTGCACCCCTGCCATGCCCCAGCATCCACGGCTCATACAGGGATTCACACCCCACCCCAGATAGTGGGTGTCAGCCCTGGGAGTCTCCTCACCCAGGACCCAACAGCAGCAGCCCCTGAGTCCACGAGCACCCCCAGCCCCCCGCACCCATGTCAGCCCCCGGTCCCGACTCAGAACAGCCAGGGAGTGGGAGGAACTTGGAGACAGTGACCCAGGCCACAGAGCAGCTGGGGGCGGGGTGATAAAATAATGTCTTAAAAATAGCTGTGCTGGGGCTCCATGATTCATACCGAGAGCCCGGGGCACGGCCAGGGCAGGGTTCCCCTGTGAGGGCTCAGGGGGAGACAGCAGCTGGCACCTGGGGCCTCAGAATGAGAGTACGGGGGGCCAGGGCGCCAGGCCTGCCCGGGTGGGAAGGGAGAGGTGCATGCACGGGGCTGAGTCGCCAGCCTCGGCCTTCTCAGTGGCGATGTGGGGATTGCAGCTGGACCTGTCTCCAGGCTCACGGGAGGCTCATCAAGAAAACGCCTGCCAAGCACCTGGACGGGGGCCTCGTGACCCCAATAACAAATCAACATGCAGCCAAAGAAACTGAGTCGCTCGTGGCCTGAACACACCTCCAGCCCCTGCTCCCCGAAGACCCCGGGAGGGCCGGTTCATGCTGCAATCCCAGCACTTTGGGAGGCTGAGGCAGGAGGATCGCTTGAGCCCAGGAATTTGCAACCAGCCTGGGCAATGTAGGGAGACCCCGTCTCTATATTTAAAAAAAAAAAAAAAAAAAAAAGGCCCAGGATGGTGTGTAGGGTTGCAGCCGGGAAGTCCGTCCTTCCTCCCCTCTCCCTCCTCCCTCTTCCCTCCGGCCTCCCCTCCACCCTATCCCCCAACCCCCACCCGCCTTCCAGGGGCCTTCGGATCCAGTGAGGACCCCTGATCCCACTGCCCCTTCATGGAGCTCACTGCAGGGGGCACAGACCCCAAACAGGGCCCCGGATGCTGGGGAAGACCCCCTGGTCACTGCAGTCCCCACCAGCAGCTCCTGGGCAGGCAGAGCCCAGGCTGTCTCAGCCCCCGAGTCAGGGCAGAGCCAGCAACGGCACGTGGGCCCCTCATGGGCTGGGAGGCCAGGCGCCCGCCGCTTTCCTGCGGCACTGTTGGCTCACACCCAAACCCTGCACCCAGCTCGTGCTCGGGGTATCTCTGCGGGGTGGGCCCTCTGCTGAGTGGGTTCACGGAGTGAGTCAACGGAGGGCGGTGCCCAGTGAGGCTGGGATTGAACCAGGGCAGGAAGCATGGGGGGCCGGGAGGGCACCCAGTGGGCCAACACGTCTTTCCCCTGTGACAGGTACGAGGGGGTCGGTGCGAACAGTCAGGCTGGGCCCTGTGTGGTTGTCACCTCTCATTCCCACCGTCCGGGCAGATGGGGAGACTGAGGCTTGGAGGGGCGGGTGTTGGTGAAGGCGGCTGATGTGATACCGAGCAGGCCTCATTCCCTCTCTCCACAACCTCCCGATCCCAGGATGCTCAGAGGACTGGGTCTCAGGCTTCCCCAACCGGCCACCGGTACCCACGTCCGCTCCCGCCCTGAGGAGCCAGGGCAGGCCCCGAAACAACAGCCGCCCCTCCCGTTCCCCTCCCAGACCGCCAGGAGCACCTGGGAGGGCCCCTCAGATCCACCCGAGACCCCCAAGGCCTCAGCGAACCTGGGTGGGCTGTAGCTACTGATGCACAATGACCTTCCCAGCCCCACCCCAGCGCCCCCCGCCCCAGAACCAAAGCCCGGTGGTGGCCAGCAGACACAGGCGGCACCTCGGGGTCTGGGGGACGCAGCTGCGGCTGGCTTCTCCCCGACCCTGTGGGCGGCACCCAACTCCCCACCCTGCCGGGTCCTCCCGGGGCCATCTCGGAGCCACCCAGCACTTGACCATGGCCCTGACAAGGCCCCTTTGTACTCACTGGCAGTCGGAGGGCGTGGGCCGGTAGTAGAAGGAGGGTACTTTGGACTCAAACCTGGCTCTCGCGGCGTCGTTCCCGTGGGAGGCCATGAACTGCAAGAGAGGAGGGGCCGGGTCAGAGGCCTGGGGTCCCAGGGGCAGCCTAGGAGGTGCCAGCTGCCCTTGGGGCCGTCACCACAGTGACCCGCAGACCCAAGGCTCTGAGGGCTCCACCAGCACCAGGACGGGAACGCCACCTCCTCCTGCCCCAGGGACACCATTTCTGAGTGATCGACCCTCCCCTGGGACAGGGAAGGAGCCAGCGTCCCTAACGACGGGGTCCCGGCAAAGGGGGCCCAGGGGCCAGGCCCCTTTTGAGGATGGGTCTGAGGTTTGCCCCACCGTTTCAACCCCCAAGTCCACCCACACCGGGTGTCCCGTGGGAGAGAGCTGGCTGCATCCTGTGACCCCCATCTCTGCCCCAGAGAGCGAGGGCTTCCTCGTTCACCCAGCTCCCCAGCTCACATTTAGCAAAGAGCCAACAGGCGCCAGACACGGGGGCCTGGAGATGGGCTGGTGAGCGAGAGACCCAGATGTGGCTAGGACAGAGTCTCTGAGGGGACTCTGCAGGGACACACTGCAGGGACCCAGAACATGTTTACGAAACAGGCTGAGGGAGAAGGAAACGGCGCCGTGAAGGAGGGGAGGTGCTGCAGGAGGCTGTCGTTCCAGGAGGCTCGTGCTCCAGGAGGCTGTCACGCACACTGTGCTCCTGGCAGGCGCAAAGGCCCTGAGGGTGGACGCTGGCAATGACCCTGCCGCCAGCCAGGTATGGTGAGCCTTGAGCAGCAGGAGGGGCCGCCACACCCCACGCCAGCCCCGAGGGCATGGGAGAGGTTCTGCTTGCTATGCTGTAAGCCCCCAAGGCAGCTGCTGTTTGCACCTTCAAGCTCCTGAACACCACTCGCCTGAGGCCGCAGCCAGGCCCAGCCAGACTGAAGTCCCCTGACATCACCCTGCTCCGAGGATCACATGGCAGTAAACAGGGAGGGCCCAGAAGAGCAGCTGGAGAAATCACAAGCAACAAGAGGCTGGCACCAATTTAAAATTCGAAAACCAATGGCTTTTCCATAGAAAACTCAAATACAAGGAGAGATCCTGTCACCAACAGCAACAGGACAAATCACCTGAGTGGCTGGATGAGAAATGTCCCAGGTCTCCAAGGGAAAACTGGCGTGTGCTCCCGAGGACGAGAGCCTCGACCCGAGACACAGGGAGGTAGAAAAATGTCTCCTTATGGGAGTCTACATGTTTTTTATAATAATTGCCAAAAAACAGCAACAGAATTTATTATATTTTTTTACCTAGAAATGGTTCTAAAGTTGAAAAAATTAACAAGGGCCAGCCGGGGACAGGGGCTCACATCTGTAGTCCCAGCACTTTGGGAAGCTGAGGTGGGAGGACCCCTTGAGCCCAGGAGTTCAAGACCAGCCTGGGCAACATAGTGAGACCCTGTCTCTCAAAAAAAAAAAAAAAAAAATTAGCCAGGTGTGATGGCGCACACCTGTAGTCCCAGCTACTAGGGAGGCCGAGGTGGGAAGATGGCCTCAACCTGGGAGTTTGAGGTCGCAGTGGGCTATGGTCGCACCACTGAACTCCAGCCTGGGCGGCAGAACAAGACCATGTCTCCACTGGACACAGCGGCTCACACCTGTAATCCCAGCACTTTGGGAGGCCGAGGCGGGAGGATCCCTTGAGCCCAAGAGGTCAAGGCTATGAGCTATGGTTACACCACTGCACTCCAGCTTGGGAAAAAGAGCAAGACCCTATCTCTGCAAAAAAAGGAAGGTAAAAATAAAAAATAAATAAAAATGGGTAAGGGTTTTTAAAATTACTTTTACATGCATATGTATACTTTTAATTTGTTTTAATGGAGGTGGGGTTCCACTCTGTTGCCCGGGCTGGTCTCAAACTCCTGGGCTCAAGCCATCGTCCCACCTCGGCCTAAAAATGGGGAAGGATTTGATCGGACATTTCTCCAAAGAAGATGCACAAATGGCCACTCGGCCACGCAAAGGCACTCAACACTGTTAGCTGTCAGGGGAACGCAGATGAAAACCTCAATGAGCTACCACCTCTCCCCACTAGGATGGCAAGGTCAAAGTGGCACAGGGGAGTGAGCTGGAGAGAATGTGGAGTGATCAGAGCCCCCGCACGCTGCTGGTGGGAACCTCCGGCTCTGGTGACTAACAGTCTGGCAGTTCCTCAAAACGGTAAACACAGAGTTACCATAGAGTCCAGCGATTCCTCTGCACCGTAAGAGACGCGAAGACGCAGAGACATGCACATGAGTGTTCACAGCACATTCTTCGTGACAGCTGAGAACGGGAACAAGCCCCAGCTCCGTGAACGGAACCACAGATAAACTAAATGTGATCGAGCCACACCATGGAGGGTTCCTCGGCCATAAAGAGGAATGCCGGCCGGGCGCGGGGGCTCACGCCTGTCATCCCAGCACTTCAGGAGGCAGAGGTGGGCAGATCACGAGGTCAGGAGTTCAAGACCAGCCTGGGCAACACGGTGAGACCCCGTCTCTACTGAAAATACAAAAATTAGCCGGGCGTGGTGGTGCACGCCCGTAATCCCAGCTACTCGGGAGGCTGAGGCAGGAGAATCGCTTGAACCCGGGAGGCAGAGGTTGCAGTGAGCAGAGATCGTGCCACAGCACTCCAGCGTGGCTGACAGAGCGAGACTCCATCTCAAAAAAAAAAAAAAAAGAGCAACACAATTCTGACACACGCTACAACCCAGGCGATCCTTGGACACACGGTGCCCATGGAGGAAACCAGACACAAAACACCACGAATCGGCCGCACGTGGTGGCTCACACCTGTGATCCCAGCACTTTGGGAGGCTGAGGTGGGAGGATCGCTTGAGCCTGGGAGTTCGGGACCAGCTTGAGCAACATAGTGACACCCTGTCTCAAAAAAAAAAAAAAAAAAAAACAAGACCACGTATTGCATGATTCCATCTGTTTGAAATGTTCAGAACAAGCAAATCCACAGAGACACAAAGCAGCTCTGTCTACATTCAGTAACGGCTGGGGCGGTGGTGATGGGAGGGGTGGTGAGTACCGGCTGTGTTGGGACGTTAAAATGTCCTGAAGTTAGACAGTGGTGATGGTCGTGCAGCCCTGTGGCTTCACTAAAACTACTGAACTGTACGCTTTACGGGAGTGAATTGTATGTGGATTATACCTCAACAAAGCTGTTATTAAAAAATAACCTTCAGGGTTGGGTGTGGTGGCTGAAGCCTGTAATCCCAGCGCTTGGGAGACTGAGGCGGGAGGATCACTTGAGGCCAGGAGTTCAAGACCAGCCTGGGCAACATAGTGAGACCCCCGTCTCTACAAAAAATACAAAAATTAGCCAGGCGTGGTGGTGCACGTCTGTAGTTCCATCTACTCAGGAGGCTGAGGTGAGAGGATCGTTTGAGCCCAGGAGCTTGAGGCTGCACTGAGCTGTGATTGAGCCACTGCCCTCCAGCCTGGGTGACAGAGCAAGACTGTCTCAAAAAAAAAAAAAAAAAAAAAAAAAACCCTCAGGCAGAGAAGGCCTATTTATGTATGCTATAGACCCTAAAACCACAAAATAAAACGCTGACCACTTTGACTATGTCGAAGTAAAAATTTCCACGGCAAAAACCACCATGAGCAAATTCGAAAGACAACCTAGAAAAAAATGTTTTTGGTATCTCAGATTAATTTCTCTAACATACCAGCAACCCCTAGAAGATGAAAACAGCTAACATTGCAGCAGAAAGGCAGGCAAAGGTGTGAAGAGAGTTCACAGGCAAGAAAACACAGGGCCGGGCGCGGTGGCTCACACCTGTAATCCCAGCACTTTGGGAGGCCAAGGCGGGCGGATCACGAGGTCAGGAGTTTGAGACCAGCCTGGCCAACATAGCAAGACCCCATCACTACAAAATTTTTTTTTTTAATTAGCCAGGGCTGGCGCGGTGGCTCACGTCTGTAATCCCAGAACTTTGGGAGGCCGAGGGGGATGGATCACCTGAGGCCAAGAGTTCAAGGCCAGCCTGGCCAACATGGCAAAACCCCGTCTCTATTAAAAATACAAAAATTAGCTGGGCATGGTGGCACACACCTGTGATCCCAGCTACTCGGGAGGCTGAAGCAGGAGAATCGCTTGAATGTGGGAGGTGGAGGTTGCAGTGAGGTGAGATCACACCACTGTACTCCAGCCTGGGAGACAGTGAGACTGTCTCTAAAAAAAAAAAAGTAGCCAGGCACGGTGGTGTATGCCTGTGGTCCTAGCTACTCCTTGGGAGGCTGAGGCAAGAGGATCACTTGAGCCTGAAAGTTCAAGGCTTTAGTGAGCTATGATAGTGCCACTGCATTCCAGCCTGGGCGACAGAGTCAGACTGTGTCTCAAAAAAAAAAAAAAAGAGAAAGGAAGGAAGGAAGGAGGGTAGGGAGGGACGGAGGGACTGAGGGAGGGAGGGAGGGAAGAAAGGAAGGCAGGAGGGAAGGAAGGACGGAAGGAAGGACGGAGGGACGGAGAGACAGAGGGAGGGACGGAAGAAAGGAAGACAGGAGGGAAGGAAGGAGGGAGGGAGGGAGCGAGGCCCACACAGACCCCTGGCTGCCTGGCCAGGGTGGGGACGGTGCTCAAAGGTGGGAGACAGGGAAGGAGACAGCTCCCTTCTGTGACTGTCCTTGGAAACTGCTGAATGTGTCACTAAATTGTCGAAATACATTAAATAAGGTAGAGACGACCCACGTGTCCATCAGAGGGTGAATGAATAAAGCAAACGTGTTCCATCCACACAAGGCATGTTCTCCGGCCTTGAAAGGAACGAAGCTGTCACACAGGCTGCAGCGTGATGGGCCTCGGGGACCTGGCACCGCGGGAAAGGAGTCGGACGCCGAAGCTCACACGCCGTGCGATCCCGTTTTTAAAAGTCCAGAACCCACAAATCTACACAGAGAGAAAGTGGATTTGCAGCTGCTTTGGGCTGGGCGGGGGTAAGAGCCAAAAGGCACGGACTTCCTTTCTGGGGTGATGAAAATGTCCTAATATTGGCTTCAGCGAAGGTTGCACAACTCTGAATTTACTAAAAAACCTTCAACTGTGCCCTTTACACGGTGAAATGTATGGCTGTGAACGGCATCTCTAGGAAGCAGTTGTTTTAAAAGGTATTATCAAGGAATAGAAAGTAGGGAGAAAAAAAAAAAAAAACATAAAATGTGAAGAAAAGGAAAGAAGAGAAGAATCTTTGGTTCCTGGCCCTTCAACCTCGGTCCGGTCCTCAGCAACGGCCACCTCAGGCCCGTTTCTCCCTTAGGGGTGGGAGCAGGCTTAGCCCCCGGATGTCCCCGCTGACCACCAGCCCAGGAATGGCCAAGGGGCCTGAGTGCAGGGAGCCAGGGGGGGCCCAGTGCAGCTCCCGCCCCACAGAGTCCCCAGCAAGAAGCCGGGCTGAGACCCAGCCCTGCCTGGGGGCCGGGGTGCAGGTGCTCTCAGGAGACAAGCCCCCAGGCCTGCCTGAGATTCATCTTTGGTTTTTATCGCACCAGTGAACGTGCAGACAACAGAATGGGGATGGAATCTCCTTGTGGCCCCCAGCTCAGTGCTCTCCCAAAGGCCCCATCGCACCAGACCTCTGCGGCAGGAATCAGGGGTTTCTTGGTAATACCCACGGTGGGCCCTCCCCAGCCTTCCTCTCCAGCCTTCCTCTCCGGCCATCACCCCAGGCAGATCAGGACAGCACCAAGTTGGCCCCTGTCCTCTCCCGCTGATTACATTTAGGGTTTTTCCAACAACAGTGAACGCCCCACCCCTGGGCCCTTGCCCCGTTTGCCCTGGAATTATGGGGACAATAGCCACGTCTTCTCCCCGAGCCAAGGAGTCTGTGCCCCTGGAGGCCCTCCAGGGACTCAGGGCTGTTTCCTCCAGGAGTGATGGCAGAGCAACTTGGAGACGGGACACCCGTCCCATCATCTTTCTGACATTGGTCCCCTGTTGTCCGGGGAGGGGGATGGTCCAGGGGCCACCCTGCCCATTTTTTAGGGAAGGAAACGGAGGCTCAGACAAGCCCACAGCCTGGCGAAGGGATGGATGTCACATCCCAGTGTCCCCCCCTGGGTCAGTGAAGGTGGGTCGAAGGGCGAAGGGACGGATATCACATCCCAGTGTCCCCCACCCAGGTCAGTGAAGGTGGGTCGAAGGCGGTGAGCCCAAGGTGGGCCGGGGTCCTGAGGGGATTCGCAGGGACGCCCTCAACTCAGGGTGTGGGGGATCACGGCATTAAGTGCAGAAGCTGATTTGGGGTCGCCCTGGGTGGGTCAGGGACTCTGCTGTCCTTGGGTCTTTTTCTGTCTCCCAGGCTGGAGCACAAAGGTGCAATCACAACTCACTGCAGCCTCGAATTCCTTGGCTCAGCCAGGCATGGTGGCTCACGCCTGTCATCCCAGCACTTCGGGAGGCTGAGGTGGGTGGATCACCTGCGGTCAGGAGTTCAAGACCAGCCTTGCCAACATGGTGAAACCCTTCTCTACTAAAAATACGAAAATTAGCCGGGCGTGGTGGCGTGCACCTGCAATCCCAGCCACTCGGGAGGCTGAGGCAGGAGAATTGCTTGAGCCCGGGAGGTGGAGCTTGCAGTGAGCCGAGATCATGCTACTGCACTCCAGCCTGGGCGACGAAGCCAGACTCCGTCTCAAAAAAAAAAAAGAATTCCTGGGCTCAAACAATCCTCCTGCCTCAGCCTCCTGAGTGGCTGGGATTACAGGCACCACCCCCACACCTGGTCGAGGCACTGGGATCCCAGCTGTGATTTCTAACAAGCCTCCAGGTGTGACCCATGCACCAAGGCTGCCTGTTAGAAGCAAATGAGCTACTCCCAACCAGGGGCAGGGGTCAGTGGTGCTGGAGAGCCGGGGGCCGGGGTCAGTGGTGCTGGAGAGCCGGGGGCCGGGGGCCGGGGTCAGTGGTGCTGGAGAGCCGGGGGCCGGGGTCAGTGGTGGTGCAGAGCCGGGGACCGGGGTCAGTGGTGCTGGAGAGCCGGGGACCGGGGTCAGTGGTGCTGGAGAGCCGGGGGCCGGGGTCAGTGGTGCTGGAGAGCCGGGGGCCGGGGTCAGTGGTGCTGGAGAGCCGGGGGCCGGGGTCAGTGGTGGTGCAGAGCCGGGGACCGGGGTCAGTGGTGCTGGAGAGCCGGGGACCGGGGTCAGTGGTGCTGGAGAGCCGGGGGCCGGGGTCAGTGGTGGTGCAGAGCCGGGGACCGGGGTCAGTGGTGGTGCAGAGCCGGGGACCGGGGTCAGTGGTGCTGGAGAGCCGGGGACCGGGGTCAGTGGTGCTGGAGAGCCGGGGGCCGGGGTCAGTGGTGGTGCAGAGCCGGGGACCGGGGTCAGTGGTGCTGGAGAGCCGGGGGCCGGGGTCAGTGGTGCTGGAGAGCCGGGGGCCGGGGTCAGTGGTGGTGCAGAGCCGGGGACCGGGGTCAGTGGTGCTGGAGAGCCGGGGACTGGGGTCAGTGGTGCTGGAGAGCCGGGAGCCGGGGTCAGTGGTGCTGGAGAGCCGGGGGCCGGGGTCAGTGGTGGTGCAGAGCCGGGGACCGGGGTCAGTGGTGCTGGAGAGCCGGGGGCCGGGGTCAGTGGTGCTGGAGAGCCGGGGGCCGGGGTCAGTGGTGGTGCAGAGCCGGGGACCGGGGTCAGTGGTGCTGGAGAGCCGGGGACTGGGGTCAGTGGTGCTGGAGAGCCGGGAGCCGGGGTCAGTGGTGCTGGAGAACCAGGGGCTGGGATCAGTGGTCCTGGAGAGGGGGTGCCAGAGTCAGTGGTGTTGGAGAGGGGGGGCCCAGGGTCAATGGTGCTGGAGAGGGGAGAGACATGTACAGGAGGCCACCAGCCTCTACGACCCTCCCCATCCCCACAGCAGCCCCCAGACCACCACTCTCACCTCCATGCGGCCCTTCGGTCCCACTCACAGCAGTCAGGAAGATCAATGGCTTCCAGACCCCAAGTCCCACGAGTGGGGCTGGGGTGACCCTCCCACCGGGTCTTCAGGCCCCACGCTCCATCCGACCTGCAGCCCCCAGCCGGGGTCTTGTTCCTTCTCCACCTCCCTCGGGGTCTCCCTACGGGGCCCTTCCTGCCGCCTCCAGCATGCGTGGCCCCTCCCTGCACGCCAGGGCTTCCTGGTTGGCTCACACCCGTCTCCCTCCCCATAGGGGCGTCTCTAGGGCCCCACGAAGCATCTGTGGCTGGTGTCCCTGCCTGGCCATGCCAAGTGCTCCGTGAAGCCTCATCAGATGCATGGGTGAGAGGTGGGCAGTGGCTGTGTCACCTCAGAGGCCGCCCAGGGGACAGGTAATGGTGCCCTACACGGCAGCGGGCCGGGGTGCACGTGGACTGCCGTGTAAATGCGACCCTGACTCTGGGTCGTGCCGCGCGGCCTGGGACGCTGCATTCTGTTTCCTTAGAGACAGGGTCTCTTTTACCCTGAGCCCAGTGCTCCAGGTGTGGGGATTTGAGGGGAGCACTCCGGAGCTCCCAGGGCACGGGAATCGGCGACCCGCCTTCGCTCCCTGGCCCACCACACACACCTGGAGCTGCTCACAGAGAGGTTGGACCCGGCACGGGGTGGGTGGAGCAGCCACACAGGCGGAGCCGCTGGAGAGGGGGCGGGGTCCTCGGGTCCAGCCAGCCAGGCCCCCAGAGTAGCCCAAGGCTCCAGGGGCCACAGCCAGGCCGCCCGGCATCTCTGGCTCCAGAGGCCCGGGCTGAGGCCACCCGGGGACTGCGCGGGTCCCCCCGCCCCTCCCCCTCCGTACCTCCACTTGGGCCTCCTCCCAGGCGTCCAGGCGGACGGACTTCACCTTGCTGACCTGGGGGATATTCCGGTGGATTCCCGAGCAGCTCAGGCAGATGAAGACGCCCAGAGTGTAGGAGGCCCAGTCGGGATCTGCAAGGGAAAGCCGGACGTTCACGGAGGCTCAGCCCAGGGACCCCGGAGGGAGGGTGGACGGAGCCTCGAGTCAGGAGCCCCCGGCCATGCAGTGGGGGGGGCTTCAGCGGAGACCCCCGGGTACACCAGGCTCCGTGCGCCCCACAGGCACCTAACCCCAGCTCCCCCCCCGCCCTCTGCCCGGTGCAGACGGGGCTCTCCCCAGACACCCCACGGCATCTGAGGAAGCCGATCTGCATGCACCTGCTCTGCCCCGCGGGTGCCGGGAACCTCCAGCAGAGGCCGGCCCCACAGGAGCCCATGCCCCGGGCTGGAGGGCACCCGGCACTCGTGAGGATGGGTCCACCTGCTTTCCTCGTGTCCGCTGCCCTGGGAGAAGTCTGTGGGCCCGAATCCTCCTGGGTGATGGGGCCAAGATTGGGAAATTCAGATAGGATCTGAGTGCAGGGGGTGCCTCACACCCAACGCGCTGCACACCCCCGAAGGACGGATGGTAGCCGCGGATGACGACGCACCCTGCGTGGGGTGACAGCGCCCGGCGGCCACTAACTTTGCAGGTGTGACAGCGGCGCTGTGGCTTCACCCTGCATGTGGCCTGTCTAGGGATTCCACGTCTCGATGTCTGGTTTGCCTTAAAAGGTCCAACAAAGCTGGACACAGTGGCTCAGGCCCGTAATCCCAGCGCTTTGGGAGGCTGAGGGAGCAGAATTTTTTTTGAGACATAGTCTGTTGCCCAGGCTGGAGTATGATGGCACGATCTCGGCTCGCTGCAACCTCTGCCTCCCGGGTTCAAGCGATTCTCCTGCCTTAGCCTCCCGAGTAGCGAGGCACGCACCACCATGCCCGGCTAACTTTTGTATTTTTAGTGGAGATGGGGTTTCATCATGTTGGCCAGGCTGGCCTCGAACTCTTGACCTCAAGTAATCCACCTGCTCGGCCTCCCAAAGTGCTGGGATGACAGGCGTGAGCCACTGCCCAGGGTGTGGGTGCCACAGCGCAGTCTTTCTGCTGCTGCACGTGTGAAATGTCTCATTCTGAAACGGCAAAATGTGGGGAGCGTCCAGCCCCGCCCTGGGGCGATGGCTAAGAGGGCTGCTGTGTGACTCTCCTGTTTTCTTCTGGCTCCCAACGACCCTTCACAATAAGTCAAGGGAGTGGAATGGCTGAAAGGCACCCTAGAGAGAACAGTCTCTCTGGGGGAGATGAGTCATCTCTGAACTGCTTTTATTTTTAAGTGGAGGCTCTCCTGGGTGAGGCTGGTGGAAATCGAGGCGCTTCCCCACAAGCAGGTGCGGCTGTGGACCCAAGCCTGTTTGGGGAATCATGAGTGGAGAGGACCCCACCCTTCAGGCCTGGCGGAGGATAGCCCCCCTCCCAACGCTGATCGGGGCCCACCCCTGGCTGGTGGGGGACTCCCATGCCAGGCGGCGGAGGCCCAGTGGGGCTGGGGCTGGGCCTGGGCTCTGAGTCACTGCCAGGAGGAGAGGCACCCAAGTGAGCCCCCGGCCGGGGATGGTGCGTGAGAACCAGCAGGCTGAACCTCGGATTTGGGGGTCATGCCCGGCCTCTGGGATTTGGGGGTCACGCCGGGCCTCGGATTTGGGGGTCACGCCCGACCTCTGGGATTTGGGGGTCACGCCCGGCCTCTGGGATTTGGGGGTCACGCCCGACCTCTGGGATTTGGGGGTCACGCCCGACCTCTGGGATTTGGGGGTCACGCCCGGCCTCTGGGATTTGGGGGTCACGCCCGACCTCTGGGATTTGGGGGTCATGCCTGGCCTCTGGGATTTGGGGGTCATGCCTGGCCTCTGGGATTTGGGGGTCACGCTGCACATCTGGGATTTGGGGGTCACGCCGGGCCTCTGGGATTTGGGGGTCACGCCCGACCTCTGGGATTTGGGGGTCACGCCCGGCCTCTGGGATTTGGGGGTCACGCCCGACCTTTGGGATTTGGGGGTCATGCCCGGCCTCTGGGATTTGGAGGTCATGCCCGGCCTCTGGGATTTGGAGGTCATGCCCGACCTCTGGGATTTGGGGGTCACGCCCGGCCTCTGGGATTTGGGGGTCACGCCCGACCTCTGGGATTTGGGGGTCACGCCCGGCCTCTGGGATTTGGGGGTCACGCCCGACCTCTGGGATTTGGGGGTCATGCCCGGCCTCTGGGATTTGGGGGTCATGCCCGGCCTCTGGGATTTGGGGGTCATGCCCGACCTCTGGGATTTGGGGGTCATGCCCGGCCTCTGGGATTTGGGGGTCACGCTGCACATCTGGGATTTGGGGGTCATGCCCGGCCTCTGGGATTTGGGGGTTTTCTGTCACAGCTGTTAGGCTCCCTGATTAATGAAGCCTGTCTCCCCATTAACGTGGGCTTCTTGAGGACCCCAGACCCAGCACCCCCGGATCTGGCACAGAGCTCAGTCCGGAGCAGGTCTCCACGGGAGTCATGAATGAAGGGGCCACTAACAGCCCTACTTCAGCAGAGCCCCTGTCTTCGAGAGAGACCACAGGCTTTCTCCTCACCCCTCAGTCAGTCAAACATTTGCCCAAGTGACCCTGTCTCGGGTACCAGGAGTTTTGCCTGTGCTGAGTAGGGCGGCTTTTGGGAGAAAGAATGCGGTTACAGGATCAGCCGTTGTTTGGTTTTGCGGGGTTTTTTTTGTCTTGTATTGTATTGTTTTGTTTTGAGACAGGGTCTTGCCCTGTTGCCCAAGGTGGAGTGCAGTGGTGCAATCACAGCTCACAGCTCACTGCAGCCTCCAACGCCTGGGCTCAAGCGATCCTCCTGCCTCAGCCTTCCAAGTAGCTGGGACCGCAGGCATGCACCAGCATACCCAGCTAATTTTTAAAATTTTTGGTAGAGATGAAGTCTCTCTATGTTGCCCAGCTTGGGCTTGAACTCCTGGGCTCAAGCGATCCTCCTGTCTTGGCCTCCTAAAGTGTTGGGATTACAGATGTGTGACGCCGTGTCTGGCCTGCAAAGTATTTAGTTACACACACCCCTGGAGAACAGGTGGGGAAGAACCACACTGAAGTCCCAGAAGAGAGAGACCTGACTCCCCCCGGGCTCCGTCTTCTCCCGAAGCCTTGGTGAAAGATGCCGCAAATGCTCGGTACGTGGCTGTGCGAGGGGCGCCCAGAAGGCACGCCAGTCTCCGGGCCTCGGTCTCCTCATCTGTCGGATGGGACAGCACGAGCCACTTACAGGGGTAGCAGGCAACATGAGCCCAGCTGGGAACATCACCGCTCGGGGTGCAGTGGGGGGCCCTCCTTCTCACCGCATGGCAATGCTGTTGGTTCTGCTCCGACAGTGTGGACCACGGACCCAGGCTTCCTGTCTCATGGCCTTTATCTGCCCATCTAGAAATTCTGAGGGAGGCTGAGCAACGGCCACCAACAGCTCCCGCCCAGCCCAGGGTCCAGAATGCCTGTGCCCACCTCCAACCTCACTCGGGTGCTCCGGGACAGGCTGTCCCTCTCCTGGCCTGGAAGGAGGCCTGTTCACAGAACCCAGGGAGCTGGGCCTGGAAGGAGGCCTGTTCATGGAACCCGTAGCAGGAGCTGGACTCTACGGCGTGGACCAGCTGCCTGTTGTTGTAAATAAGGTGTTACTGGAACTCAGCCATGCCCATTTATGAACTGTCTATAGCTGCTTTTGTGAGCGGTCGTTGACTAGCTGTGATGGAGACTCTACGGCCCTAAAATATTTACTGTCATTTTTGTTGTTTTTTGAGACAGAGTTTCGCTCTTGTTGTCCAGGCTGGAGTGCAATGGTGTGATCTCAGCTCACTGCAACTTCTGCCTCCCAGGTTCAAGTGATTCTCCTGCTTCAGCCTCCCGAGTAGCTGGGATTACAGGCGTGCACCACCATGCCCGGCTAATTTTCTATTTTTAGTAGAGATGTGGTTTCACCATGTTGGCCAGGCTGGTCTCAAACTCCCGACTTAGGTGATCCGCCTGCCTCGGCCTCACAAAGTGCTGGGATTACAGGCGTGAGCCACCACGCCCAGCCTACTATCTGTCTTTTTAAGAAAAAGTTTGCTGGCTGCGTGTGGTGGCTCACACCTGTAATCCCAGCACTTCGGGAGGCCAAGGCGGGTGGATCACCTGAGGTCAGGAGTGTGAGAACAGTCTGGCCAACATAGTGAAACCCCGTCTCTACTAAAAATACAAAAATTAGCCGGGCGTGGTGGCGGGTGCCTGTAATCCCAGCTACTTGGGAGGCTGAGGCAAGAGAATCACTGGAACCCGGGAGATGGAGATTGCAGTGAGCCGAGATCGTGCCACTGCACTCCAGCCTGGGCAACAGAGTGAGACTTTGTCTCAAAAAAAAAAAAAAAAGTTTGCCAATGTCTGCTTAGAGGGAAAAATGGGGGTGGCACAGATGAGTGAGCCCAAGAAGGGCTTGTAAGTAGGACTGATAGCTTACAGCCATTACTAATATAGCCTATCTTTGACAAACCAGCTACAAGTGAGGCTAAGGAGTGGTTACAACCTGTCCCGACCTCTTGCAACTGGCACAAGGTCCCCCGGTGTAAAGTTAGAGGTTGTCTGATGCAAACCTGTCACATCCTCCTTGGTATTTGTGTGTGAGCATATACATACGTGCGTGCATACCCACAGACACAACATGAACAGCCTACTGGGGAGGGCTCAGGGAGTTAAATGTGAAGAAATAGAGACACCAGCCAGGTGTGGGTGCTCACACCTGTCATCCCAGCATTTTGGGAGATTGAGGTAGGAGGATCACTTGAGCCCAGGGGTGGAGGTTGCAGTGAGCCGAGATGGCACGACTACACTCCAGCCTGGGTGTCACAGACCCTGTCACACACACACACACACACACACACACACACACACACACACACAATATGGAGACATGACCTTTTACATAAGAATCAAAAGACGAGAGCCAGTTAAATCAAGTGTGTTGGAGACAGGAGCAACACAAGGTTGTCACTGGTAGGGCAGGAAGTTTGTATCATTTTTAAAAAGCTTTTGTGGAGTTTTACTAGGATGACTAAAATTTAAAAGATGGATACTACCAAGTGTTGATGAGGATACAGAGCAAGTGGAACTCTCATCCACTGCTGGTAGAAATACAAATTAGTCCAACCCACTCTGAAAACAGCTTGGCAGTTTCTTACATAAAGATATATCTCCCATATGACACAGCCACCCTACTCCTAGGAATTTACCCAAGGGAAATCAAAATGTAGGTCCATAAAAAGATGTACATCCAACAATATATAAAAAGAGTAATACACCATGATCAACAGGGGTTTTTACCAGTAATGCAAGGTTGGTTTAACATTTGACCATCAATCAATGTCATTCACCATATTTACAGGTTAAAAAAGAAAAAACATACAATTGTTTCAATAGATGCAAAAAATGCTGGCAAAATGCAACATCCTGATAAAATTCTCAGAAAACTAAGAATAGAGGGGAATTTCCCCAATTTGATATAGAGGATTCAACAGATGCAAAAAATGTTGGCAAAACGCAACATCCTGATAAAACTCTCAGAAAACTAAGAATAGAGGGGAATTTCCCCAATTTGACATAGATGATTCAACAGATGCAAAAAATGTTGGCAAAATGCAACATCCTGATAAAACTCTCAGAAAACTAAGAATAGAGGGTAATTTCCCCAATTTGATATAGAGGATCTATGAAACATGTACAGCAAATGTCATATTCAAGGGAGAATGACTGACTGCTTTCCCCCAAGATCAAGAACAGGACAAGAATGTCTGTTCTAACCACTCCTAGTCAACGTTGAGCTAGAGATTCTAGTCAGTGCAATAAGGCAATATAAAGAAATAAAAAGCATCTAGATTGGAAAGGAAGAGCTAAAACTATCTTCATTAACAGACAACATGATTGTCTATGTAGAAAATAGAAAAGATTCTATTAAAAACAACTATGAGAACTAACAAGTTTAGCAAGGTTGAAGGATACAAGATAAATATACAAAAATCTATTGTATTTCTATACACTAGCAACAAGCATTCAGAAATTGAACATTTAAAAATACCATTTATAATAGCATAAAATGTATGAAAGAGGGATAAATGTGATGAGAAATGAAACATAGGACACTGAAAACTACAAAATATTGCTCAGAGAAATTAAAGAAGACCTACAGATTTTGGAAAGAGATAACGTTTTCGTGGGATGGGAGACTCAACATTAATAACACATATATTCTCTCCAAATTATAGATTCAATGCCATCCCAATCAGAATTTCAACAGGATTTTAAAAATAGAAATGAACAAGCTGATTCTAAAATTCATATGTAAATGCAAAGGACCTAGAATAGCTAAAACAACTTAGAAAAAAAAGACAAGGACGGGGAACTAACACTACTTGTTTTCAGAACTCATTAAAAAATTACAGTTATCAAGACAGTGTGGTGGTGTTGGCACAAAAACGGATAAACGGATCAATGGAACAGAATCGGGAATCTAGAAATAAACCCACACATATGTGGACAACTAATTATCGGCAAAGATATAAAGCCAGTTCTGGAGAGAGCGAACAATCTTTCCTACCAACGGTGCTGGAACAATCCGGTATCATCCACAACACAGTAAACAACCATCCCTCTCACCATATCCAAAAATTATCCCCAAATGCATCATGGTGCTAAAGGTAAAACCTAAAGCCATACAATTTTAAAAGAAAACAGGAGAAAAGTCTCCGTAACTTTGGGTTAGGCAAAGATTTTTTTCAGATACAACACCAAAGGCAGAATCCACTGAGAGAGAGAGGAGGAGGAAGAGAGAGGAGGAGGAGGAAGAGAGGAGGAGGAAGGGAGAGAGGAGGAGGAAGGGAGAGAGGAAGAGGAAGAGAGAGGAGGAGGAGGAAGGGAGAGAGGAGGAGGAAGGGAGAGAGGAGGAGGAAGGGAGAGAGGAGGAGGAAGGGAGAGAGGAGGAGGAAGGGAGAGAGGAGGAGGAAGGGAGGAGGAGGAAGAGGAGGAAGGGAGAGAGGATGAGGAAGGGAGAGAGGAGGAGGAAGGGAGTGAGGAGGAGGAAGAGAGAGTAGGAGGAAGAGAGGAGGAGGAAGGGAGAGAGGAGGAGGAAGGGAGAGAGGAGGAGGAAGGGAGAGAGGAGGAGGAAGGGAGGAGGAGGAAGAGGAGGAAGGGAGAGAGGATGAGGAAGGGAGAGAGGAGGAGGAAGGGAGGAGGAGGAAGGGAGAGAGGAGGACGAAGGGAGAGAGGAGGAGGAAGGGAGAGAGGAGGAGGAAGGGAGGAGGAGGAAGAGGAGGAAGGGAGAGAGGATGAGGAAGGGAGAGAGGAGGAGGAAGGGAGGAGGAGGAAGGGAGAGAGGAGGACGAAGGGAGAGAGGAGGAGGAAGGGAGGAGGAGGAAGAGGAGGAAGGGAGAGAGGATGAGGAAGGGAGAGAGGAGGAGGAAGGGAGTGAGGAGGAGGAAGAGAGAGGAGGAGGAAGGGAGTGAGGAGGAGGAAGAGAGAGTAGGAGGAAGAGAGGAGGAGGAAGGGAGAGAGGAGGAGGAAGGGAGGAGGAGGAAGGGAGAGACGAGGAGGAAGGGAGGAGGAGGAAGAGGAGGAAGGGAGAGAGGATGAGGAAGGGAGAGAGGAGGAGGAAGGGAGTGAGGAGGAGGAAGAGAGAGTAGGAGGAAGAGAGGAGGAGGAAGGGAGAGAGGATGAGGAAGGGAGAGAGGAGGAGGAAGGGAGTGAGGAGGAGGAAGAGAGAGGAGGAGGAAGGGAGAGAGGAGGAGGAAGGGAGAGGAGGAGGAAGGGAGAGAGGAGGAGGAAGGGAGAGAGGAGGACGAAGGGAGAGAGGAGGAGGAAGGGAGAGAGGAGGAGGAAGGGAGGAGGAGGAAGAGGAGGAAGGGAGAGAGGATGAGGAAGGGAGAGAGGAGGAGGAAGGGAGTGAGGAGGAAGGGAATGAGGAGGAGGAAGAGAGGAGGAGGAAGGGAGCGAGGAGGAAGGGAGAGAGGAGGAAGGGAGAGAGGAGGAAGGGAGAGAGGAGGAAGGGAGAGAGGAGGACGAAGGGAGAGAGGAGGAGGAAGGGAGGAGGAGGAAGGGAGAGAGGAGGAAGGGAGAGAGGATGAGGAAGGGAGAGAGGAGGAGGAAGGGAGAGAGGAGGAGGAAGGGAGAGAGGAGGAGGAAGGGAGTGAGGAGGAAGGGAATGAGGAGGAGGAAGAGAGGAGGAGGAAGGGAGCGAGGAGGAAGGGAGAGAGGAGGAAGGGAGAGAGGAGGAAGGGAGAGAGGAGGAAGGGAGAGAGGAGGACGAAGGGAGAGAGGAGGAGGAAGGGAGGAGGAGGAAGGGAGAGAGGAGGACGAAGGGAGAGAGGAGGAGGAAGGGAGGAGGAGGAAGGGAGAGAGGAGGAGGAAGAGAGAGAAGAGGAGAAAGAGAGAAATTGACCTCATCAGAATTATTACTATTATTATTATTATTGAGACAGGGTCTTGCTCTGTTGCCCAGGCTTGAGTGCAGTGAGGCAATCATGGCTCACTGCAGCCTCGACCTCCTGGATTCAAGTGATCCTCCCGCCTCAGCCTCCTGAGTAGCTGGGACTACAGGTGCGCACCACCATACCCAGCTACTTTAAAAAACTTTTTGTAGAAACAAGGTATTGCTATATTGCCCAGGCTGGTCTCTAACTTCTGGGCTCAAGCAGTCCTTCCACCTCAGCCTCCCAAAGTGCTGGGATTACAGGCATGAGCCACTTCGCCTAACCAAGTCCCTGTTTTATTTATTTTTCTTTATATTTTTAACCTTTTTTTTTTTTTTTTTGAGACAGAGTCTCACTCTATCACCCAGGCTGGAGTGCAGTGGTGCAATCTTGGCTCACTGCAACCTTTGCCTCTCGGGTTCAAGCAATTCTCCTGTCTCAGCCTCCCAAGTAGCTGGGATTACAGGCGCCCGCCACCATGCCTGGCTAATTTTTGTATTTTTAATAGAGACGGGGTTCACCATGTTGGCCAGGCTGGTCTCAAACTCCTGACCTCAGGTGATCCGCCCACCTCGGCCTCCCAGAGTTCTGGGATTATAGGCCTGAGCCACCGAGCCCGGCCTATTTTTAACAATTTTTAATCTTTAATTTTTGTGGGTACATAAGAGGTGTATATATTTATGGGGTCCACAAGACATTTTGCTACAGGCATGCAATGTGAAATAATCACATCACGGCAAACACGGCACCCATCACCTCAAGCGTGTATCATTTCTTTGTGTTACAAACAATCCAATTACACTCTTTTAGTCATTTTTAAAAGTACAATAAATTATTGTTGACAATCGTCACCCTGTTGTGATATCAAATACTAGATCTTATTCTATTCTTTGTACCCATTAACCATCCCCACTCTACCCACCCTGAGACTCTGTTTTAAAGAAAGATTCAGACCCTGGGAGGGAAGAGCCCGGGGGGGTGACTCTGGGTGACTCTGGGCGATGTCTTAAGGCCTCTGGTCTCTGGGAGAGTGACCTCGGAAGCCCTTGAAGGCACTGAAATAGAAGGTGGCCTTCTGATTTGAGTATGCTGAAGCTCTGCAGGGTGGGCTCACGTGTGTGTGTGCAGGTGTGTGTGTGTGCAAGGAGATGGGGAGCTAGAGTCCCCCAGCTTCCAGTAAGGAAAAAGCCTGGCTGGTCCCCAAGGCAGAAGGGACGGGCTGACCCTTCTGTTTTCCAAGTGACTGAGGCTGGGCTGGGCAGGCCTCCTTCTCAGGCTGCTGGGCATGGCCAGGCCTGCCTGCATCCGCAAATGCCCGCAGCCCATCGGAGCGAAAAGGGGCGGGGCACGCACTCTCAGAGACCCTCCAGGGTGGAAGGGGAGCTGGTCTGACGCCCCAGCAGCAGGGCCCCCACAGGCCCACGCAGGAGAGCCTCTCCCTAAGCCTGGGCTGCACTCCAGCTGCCCCCTCCACTCGGGGCACTGAACCGTGGGGCCGGCCCTGCTTCTGCCCAGGACCACTTCTGGGTTCCCAGGACTGTGGAATTTTGTTCCAAAATGCCTGGAGTCAGCACCCACGGCCTGTGGTGCCCCCAGAACAGGCCACAAGGCCAGCAGGTACACACTGGGCCCAAGGGTGGCTGCGGCATGGCTGATGTGGTGGTGGAGATGGAGGCCCTGAGTGCCAGGTAGGGAGGGGCAGGCCCAAGACTCCAGCCCCCACAAACATCCAGGCTGCCAGCACCGTCTCCAGGAGCTGCCTCCTCCTCGGAGACTGCCCACAGCCGCCAGCCTCTTTCCCTCCCTCCTCCCAGCCCCGCTCTGCCCTACCTGCTCCCAGGACGCCCGAGGTGACTCAGCCGCTCACCATTTCCGGAGCTGGTCTGGGGCACCTGGGCAGGTGAGCCACATTCTTGGGCGGAGCCAGGTGGGGCAGGCGTGTCCCCCAAGCCAAGGCCCAGGCTGGGGCACGGGCAGGGGGAAGGGCAGTAGCCAAGCCTGTCCATGGGGCCCTGGTTCCAGAGACCTTTGCCCTCCCAAGGCTGACGCACAGCAGAGATCCCGGTGCAATCGAGGCCGGGTCGGACGCTGGCTCTGGCCAGGCACGCAAGGGGCAGCCGAGGTGGGAGGGTGCCCTTGTGGGAGGGGCTCCGGTGCCCACCACCCTTCACAGCTACGTGAGGCGGGGCATGCATGGCTGTCCCCCAGGCACACAGCGCCCCACTCCACGCCGGGACCCAGGCCCCTCTCCAACTCCACCTCCGTGTTTTCCGCATATTGTCTCCCAGTTACCCGTGGCCCCTGCAGGGATCCAGGCTCCCGCCGGCCGGTGGATCCCCGCCAGCGAGGCAGTGACCTCTGGAGCTCCTGGGTGGGCTGGCAGCCCACACCTCCTCTCTGCCCAGGCCCCAGGCCCCCACCCCCTCACGCTCACGGGCGGCCCTGGTCCCATTCCATTGTGAGGATGGGGCCCTTTGGCCCTAGGAACAGGCCCTCCCAGGACCCAGATCCGCTGGCCCCTACCCGGTTCAGGGACACGTGCCCCTCTCCTGGATCCCTCCCAGCAGCACCCGGACACAGTCCATTTTCAGAATCCCCCAAGGACCCCCCCAGGCTCTGCCCTGCCCCTGCCCTCCCACCCTCTCTCCCTCCTGGTGCTCCAGCCCCATGGCGGGAACCCCACGGTGAAGGCCATCCCCAGTCCTCCCTGGACCCACCCTGTCCCGGAGCCCACTCTCTGGGGCCCCCACCCCGCGCCCCTCCAGGCTCTTCAGGGCCCTCGCACAGGGCCGACTCCTCTGCGGCCCATCTGGTCTCTCGGCTGTCAAACCCTATTTTTGGAACTCGATAGAGGTGGTGGTTGAACAGCATGGAGAACGTTCTAAATGCCACTGAATTTTCACTTTGAAATGATTAACCTGAGGCCGGGCGGGGCGGCTCACGCCTGCAATCTCAGCACCTGGAGAGGCCAAGGTGAACGGGTGGAGCCCAGGAGTTCGAGACCAGCCTGGGCAACATAGTGAGACACCGCGACTCCATCCTTATGAAAAAATTTTCTATAAAAGGTTAATTTTTCATATGAATTGCACCTCGATTTGGGGTTTTGTTTTTTTTCATTTTTTGTTTTTTTGAGAGAGGGTCTCTGTCACTCAGGCTGGAGTGCAGTGGTGCGATCATGGTTCACTGCAGCCTCGGCCTCCTGGGCTCAGGTAATCCTCCCACCTCAGCTTCCTGAGTAGCTGGGACCACAGGTGTGCACCACCACATCTGGCTGATTTTTTGGTTTTTTTTTTTTTTTTTTTTTTTTAGAGATGGGGGTCTCACCATGTTGGCCAGGCTGACCTTGAACTCCTGGGCTCAAGCGATCCTCCCACCTCAGCCTCCCAAAGTGCTGGGATCACAGGTGTGAGCCACCGCGCCTGACCTTGATTTTTTAAAAAAGGAGAGAGAGAGACATTCACACACTGGCAACCCCTGTCTCTAGCTCGGGCCTCTTTCCTCCAGAGCTGCCCGTGTGGCTGCTGTCCCCTTGGCGGCCACCGTGGCTTCTCACAGAGCCTCACATCGCAGGTCCCTCCCGTCTCCCTGGACACTGCTCCCACGTCCCCATCTCAGCGAGTGAGGTGCTGGCTAAAGGCCTGGGTGTCCTCATTTCTACTCTGCCCACCACACCCCGACATCCCGTTGACCAGCAAATATTTCAAGACGATCCAGGCTTTGACCCTCCCCACACTCACGCCCCGCCCTAGGCCTAGCCACCGCCACCCGGCCTCGGTCACTGCAGCAGCGTCCCACCCACCTCCCGCTCCCGCGCTGGCCCTACCTGCCCTGGACCCTGTGACGCGTCGTGGGCTGGGACACTCCTCGGCTCACAGAATTCCCATGGTTCCCATCCCACCCAGAGTCACAGCGCAGCCCTCACAGCGTCCCCCAGCCCTGCGTGGCCCCACAGCCACCTCTGACCCCGTCTCCCCGCCCTGGCTCTGGGCACACTGGCCTCCTCACTTCTCCTTTGACCTGCGAGGTGCACGGCTGCCCCCACCCCCGACACCACCAGCCCCTTTACCCCACTCCCTCTTCCGGAGGGGCCGTCTCCCTCCTCCACTGAGGACCCAGCACTGCCAGGGACCTGCTCCTCACCCCACACCTTGGCCACCCCACGGCCTGCCCTGAACCCACTCTATTCCAGCTGGGCCTTTCCCGCTCACAACCCCCGAGCCCCAGCCCCCATCCTGAATCTGCAGGACCTGACCCAGCCATGTCTGTCCCTCCCTCCTCACCCCATGTCTGCCCTGCCCCCTTGCCCGGGTGGGATCCCAGGTCCATCAGTGCAATGCCCTCTGCCCCTCACCCCTCCCTCCATCATTCAGTACGGAGCCCACCTCTGTACCCACCGAGGCCTGAGCTTCTGAATGGAACACGCCCTGCAGAAGCGCTCCATGGTGGCCCGAGTTTCGGCTTCCCTCCCCGCCGGCCCATGGCCTGGCCTCGTCCTCCATGAGGAAAACAGTCACTTCCAAAGCCTTCCCCTGCATGCCAGGCCGAGCTCCCACTGCAGGTCTCTGCCCCGGTCTTAGCAGAACTTCTCCAAATGCATCTCCAGGTGCCACGACCCCCTCTGGCCTCTCATTCACCTGCTAAGCTGTCACCACCACCACCTGGACAGTGACTTGGGGTCAGTTTGCTCCTCCCTGACCCACCTCCCAGCCCATAGGTGCCCAGTACTCCTTCCTGAAAACGCGTTTACGGGGCATCCAAGATTCTATGTCCTTTTTTTTCCCTTGAGACAGAATATCACTCTGTCGCCCAGGCTGGAGTGCAGTGGCATGATCTCGGCTCTCTGCAACCTCTGCCTACCAGGTTCGAGCGATTCTCCCACCTCAACCTCCCGAGTAGCTGGGATTTCAGGCGTGCGCCACCACACCCAACTAATTTTTGTATTTTTAGTAGAGATGGGGTTTCACCATGTTGGCCAGGATGGTCCTGATCTCCTGACCTCGTGATCCTCCCGCCTCAGCCTCCCAAAGTGCTGGGATTACAGGCGTGAGCCACCATGCCCGGCCCTCACTCACAATTCTTACTCTACCCTCGGCCCTCCTTGTCCCCAAGTGCCATCACCATCTGTCTGTCTTTGTCTCCCCACCAAGGAACAGCAGATGCTGAGAGTGAAGGGCTGGTCTGGTCCGGTCTCCCTGAGCCCCAGTGACTGCACAGGGCAAGGCACTCAGTACATGTGTACGGAGCGGGGGAAGGCGCCTTGCCCGCCGGAGTCCAGGGTAGGGCACCACTGGAGTTCAGCCCTTGTGGGCCTCTGCCTCCCCCGGGCACATGAGCACATACCTCCTGGCCACACGGCCACGTGCCGCCTCAGCCACCTTGGACCCCACCAAGTCCCTTCCTGTTTCCTCATTCTTTCATTTGCAAAATGGGGCCATGCAGCCACCTGACGGGTGACGGGAGAAGCAGTTGGGGGATGCGGCTGGCTGCCAGGTACTGCCACAGAGCAAGGCTTGGCAAATGCCTCTGAGTCTAAAACGGCAGTGGCCTAGGAGCACAGGGCCTGGGGGCAGGGGCAGTGCCACACCTAACCTGAGATATGTCCAGAGCTGAGGTCTAGCTCACAGCATCTGTGCGTCGGGGAAGCTGGCTGCGGTCACGGCCGGTGCAGCGGCCCAAGGAGTCCACAAAGCAGTAACCTTGGCCCACACCACAGCTCCGGTGCATTTGGAGAGGGGGCCCAGTCTAGGCTGAAGTTGGGGGGAGCCTGGCCAGGGCCTGGGCACCAGGCGCAGGACAGAGGGAAAGGCCTCCAGCTCCTCCCAGCCCTGAGTGCCAGCTCATCGCCCACACCAGCCCTCCACACCCGGCCACAGGGCAGGCAGGCAGGAAGCGGGCACGTGTGACCTGCTGGCCTGTGGCTTGAGTGCAAAACCAGGTAGGGGAAACCTGTCTAGCAGTTCTTCAACCAGGTAAGCACAGAATCGCCATGGGACCCAGCAACTCCAGTCCTGGGTACAGACCCAAACAACCTGAAGCAGGGTCTCAGAGAGACATCTGCACCCTCGTGCTCACACAGCACGATTCACAATGGCCCAGAGGTGGGAGCAGCCCAGTGTCCGCCTGCAGACAAACGGGCACACGCAATGTGGTTCATCCACACAGGGTATGATCCTGTCTTCACATGCAGGGAAATCCCAGCACTCGCCACAGCATCTGTGAACCTGGAGACGTTAGACTGAGTGAAACTGGCCAGTCACAAAAGAATGAATACCAGCCGGGCATGGTGGCTCACACCTGTAATCCCAGCACTTCGGGAGGCCGAGGCAGGCGGATCACAAGGTCAGGAGATCGAGACCGTCCTGGCTAACGTGGTGAAACCCCATCTCTACTAAAAATACAGAAAACTTAGCCGGGCATGGCAGCGTGCACCTGTAGTCCCAGCTACTCGGGAGGCTGAGGCAGGAGAATGGCATGAGCCTGGGAGGCGGAGCTTGCAGTGAGCTGAGAAGGTGCCACTGCACTCCAGCCTGGGCGACAGAATGAGACTCTGCCTCAAAAAAAAAAAAAAAAAAAAATGAATACCGCATGGTTTCACTTCTACAAGGTCCCTGGAGTCATAAGATTCATAGAGACAGAAAGTTGAGGCCAGGCACGGTGGCTCATGCCTGTAATCCCAGCCATTTGGGAGGCCAAGTTGGGAGGATGACCTGAGGTCAGGAGTTCAAGACCAGCCTGGCCAACATGGCGAAACCCTGTCTCTACCAAAAATACAAAAATTAGCCGGGCGTGGTGGCAGGCGCCTGTAATCCCAGCTACTCAGGGGACTGAGGCAGGAGAATCGTTTGAACCCAGGAGGCAGAGGTTGCAGTGAGCTGAAATGGCGCCACTGCATTCCAGCCTTGGGAACAGAGCAAGACTCCGTCTCAAAAAAAAAAAAAAAAAAAAAACAAGAAAAGAACAGAAAGTAGAAGGGTGGGTGCCCCGGACTGGGGAGAGGAAATCTGGAGCCCTTGTTGAATGGGGACAGAGCTTCAGTTTGGGAAGATGAGGAGGTTCTGGAGATGATGGTGGTGGCGGTGGCACGGTGAGTGAACGTGCTCAAGGCCCTGGAACTGTGCACTCGAAACGATGAGAAGGTAAATTATTATTTTTAAAAAATCCGGCCAGGCGCGGTGGCTCATGCCTGGAATCCCAGCACTTTGGGAGGCCGAGGCGGGTGGATCACGAGGTCAGGAGACGGAGACCATCCTGGCTAACATGGTGAAACCCCATCTCTACTAAAAATACAAAAATTAGCCGGGCGTGGTGGCGGGTGCCTGTAGTCCCAGCTACTCGGGAGGCTGAGGCAGGAGAATGGTGTGAACCTGGGAGGGGGAGCTTGCAGTGAGCCGAGATCGCACCACTGCAGTCCAGCCTGGGCGACAGAGCGAGACTCCGTCTCAAAAAAAAAAAAAAATATCCAACCTAGTTGGGCCGCTGCCCTGGGGAGTGAAGGGAGTCTGCCCAGCCCCCGCCCACACTCAGCAGCCTTCTTCCCACCCTCACCCATGCCGGCCAAATTCCTGAAACTGGGAGTTGGAGGTTGCAGTGAGCAAAGATCGTGCCACTGCACTGTAGCCTGGGTGACATCGAGAGACTGTCTTAAAAAAAAAAATTAGCTGGGCATGGTGGCATGGACCTGTAGTCCCAGCTACTCAGGAGGCTGAGGTGGGAGGATTGCTTGAGCCCTGGAGGCAGAGGCTGCAGTGAGTTGAGATTGTGCCACTGCACTCCAGCCTGGGTGACAGAGCGAGACCTTAAAATAAAAAAGAACAAAAGAGCTCAGACACCCCAGTCCTTCCGGGGCATCAGATGGCCTGAGACTCAAAGAGGACAATATGTGTGTTTTTCTTTTTTTTGAGACAGGGTCTCACTCTGGCCTAGGCTGGAGTGTGATCACGACTCACTGCAGCTTCCAACTCCTGGCCTCAAGCGATCCTCCGGCCTCGGCCTCCCAAAGCACTGGGATGACAGGCGTGAGCCACCGCGCCCGGTCCCTGTCCTCTGTTGCGATTTGGCAGGCAGCTCCAAGGATGTACGGAGGCACCCCTCCCTCCCCCAAACCCCCTCCCAGGATGGAGACCCCCACCCAGGTCTTGCAGGACAGTGGGTCCAGGCACGCCCCAACTCGCCCACCTGCCAGGCCTGTGATGAGAGGCTCTCTGGGTGGCCGCCGGGCGAGGCCCCCTGTTCAAGGTCAGGGGAACCCACTATTGGGACAGGTCATGGGGAGAGTTTGGAAGGAGCTTCTGTGGGGGCCGCAGAGACCCCAAGACTGCTTCCCTCACACGGCCAGTGGGTGGGGCCTGCTCAAGTCCACCCCAGCAGCCCCAGGCCTGGCGTTCAGAGGTGGTCTGGGACTGTCTGATGTCCTGCTGTCCAGGTCTGCACCAGCCGTGAGCCAGTGCACAGGACAGTGTTCTGAGGACAGCAGAACGTGCCGGCCACCCCAGCCCCCATCAACACTGGAGTGGCTCCTTGTCACCCAGCTGGGCCACAGCAGGTACAGGAGGCCCCAGAGCAGCTGGCATCAGCAAAGAAGCATAGAGCCCTCGAGGATGTGCCATGGGGTCATGGGGGGCTAGGCAGCCCCCTGCCTCCTGACACCGCCTGTTCCACCCTGTGGCCACAGCCCTGGGGAGCGGGGACAAGCAGAGCGGCCGGGTGTGGCTCATGTCCCCTAAGACAGCTCCCTTTGCAAGGCATCAGTCTCCCTGGCTGTGAAATGAGAGTGACCCCTCACAGCATCCCCCCTCCATGGCGCTACCCGACAGAGGAGACAAGTCACTGAGGTCATGGACAGATTCTGAAAAGGCAGAGGTGCGGCCCTCTACCCGGCAGCGTGGGGCATAGGGACGGCAGAGAACAGCTCTGGGGTGGGCCAGGCTGGAAGCTTAGCAGGTGGGCCGGGCACACCTGCACCCACTGGGAGGGGAGGACCACTGAAGGACCCAGCAGGCCAAGGAAGTCCCCTCTTCCTCCTGCCAGGCTGGGAGGCCCAGAGGGTGGCTGGAGAGGGGCCCTGAGTCCAGAGAAGCTGCTCCCAGGCTGTGTGGCCAGGGAGCAGAGGTTCAGAGGCAAGCCCAGCTCCCCTCCCCGTGGGCCACAGCAACCCCAGGCCAGGCCCTTTCCCACTGGCTTTCCTGGGGAGCGTTCCTGAACAGGAGGAAATAAAGGTCTGTGGGGAGAGAGTCTGGGGTGAGCCAGCCCAGGGGGCCACCCCCACCGCACCATTGCACGGGCCCTGTGGCCGTCCTGTCTCAGGAGACCATGGAAAGGCCGTGGGTCCTGCCTGTCTTTCCAGAAAAGCCTGTCGCTATCTCCCCTCTGGGACACCCCAGCTCCTGATGTGGCCTTTCCAGCCAAGCTGCAGCTGGACAGCAGCCACCACGACCTGGGGCTGGCAGAGACCCCTCCATCCCAGAGGGAATCAGGGACACCCCTTTTTCCGGGGTGTCCAGAGGCTGCATATTGAACCAGGGCCTTGGAGGCAAATGCAAGGTCTTCCCCCGCTCCCTCCCTGGGGGCCTCAGTCACCGCCGGTGAGTTTAGGTTTGTTCCGAGGGGCTTAGACTATTGGCCCCCAGATTCCTGGTGTGCCTGGGGTGGCGGGACTGCTCCGGCGGGGCCCTCTCTCCACAGCGCAGCCGGCCTGGGGCTGACAGCTCCCGAGCAGGGCAGGGCTGGTCTGGGCACTGGGCCCCGTTCACAGCCAATGACAGGACCAGTGGCCTGGAAGGGAGGGACTCCGCGCCTTTGGACTCCAGTGCCTTGAAATCCCACAGACCTGGGAACCGAGTCAGGGATGCCCGGCCGGGAGAACGAACGGGCGGGCGGCGGGTGGACCAGGACCTGCGTCCGGCCCCACCTCTCCCAGGCCTCACCTGTCCTGGCGCCCGCCCCGGAGCAGCCAGGTGCAGGGAGCCGGGGGCAGGGGCGCCGCTCACACCCAGGGACCCCCGGTGCGGGAAGGGCGTGAGGCATGACGTCACCGCGAGGTGGCCCCGGAGCCGGCGGACCCCACAGCCCAGCAGAGACCTCCGGCTGGCGGCCCGTTCCCTCCCTGCAGCCAGCCCCGATTTCCTCTTTCTGTGCGGAGCCCGAGCTTTCGCAACGCGGCGGGCGGTCCGCGGTGACCGTCAGACACGCAGCCCGGCGGGGGAGGGGAGGCGGCGGCAGGGGGGTTTCCGGGGGTCCTGGGGGGGGCCCCCCCGCTGCGCCCGGCCCGGGAAGACGTCCGGGTCCCCGCAGGTGCAGCCGGGCCCGGGCCCCATCCGAGCGCCGATCCGGCCCGGTGTTCAGCGCCGCCACCCCCGCGGCGTCCGCGCTCCCCCGCCCGGTCCCCGGGGCCCACCCAGGACCCGCCCGGCACCCCGCGCCCACCCCGGACCCACCCGGCCCCGCGCCCACCCGGCCCACACCTACCCGGGGCGCCGCAGTCCGCGCAGCGCGCGTTCCCCGGCCGCTGCAGCAGCTCCAGGACCGCCCTGCGCCGCTCCTTGGCCATGGCCGCGATGCGCCCGCGATGCCGATGCCGGGGCCGGGGCCGGGAGCGTCAGCCCGGCTCGCTAGGGCCCCGCGCAGGCCGCCCGCCGCCGCCGCCCCTGCGCCATCCCGGGCGGCCTCAGCCCGCGCGCCGGTTCCGCATTCCCGCCGCCCTCTGGGCTCCGCCGCCGCCGCTCGTGTCTCCGCCGCGGTCGCTGAGCGAGTGCCGGCGCGGGGCCCGGGGCGCACGCTGCGCTCTGGCCGGCAAGGCCCGCGGGCGGCCCCCAGCGGTGCAGGCGAGCGTGTGGCCTCCTCCCTCGGCCGCTCCGGCGCCCCCAGCCCGCGCGCCCCGGGGACCCGCTGGGAAATCGCCCGCCGCCCGCCCCCCATCCGCGCGCAGCGTCCCACCTGCCTGGGCGCGAGGCCGCCCCAAAACCTGGCCGGCCTGGGTGGGACCCTCGTGCCGCCGCGCGCGGTGGGACGGAGCCTGCACACCTACTGTGGGGGGCGCAGAGGGCACCTGCCGAGCCCCCCAAGACCATGGGCATGGGGGTGCTCGTGGAAGGCAGGTGTGCGTGTCCTGTGCTACGGACCAGGACCAGGGCGCTCACACCATCCCTGCCTGGGAGGGACGGCCAGCAGGTGACAAACGCCAGCGTCCCAGGGCACTGAGGCCACACAGGGCCCAGACGGAGCCTCCCCCTGAGACCCACCCAGCCGCCCACCACCCACAGATGGGACCCTCTGGGCACCCCTCCCACTCAGGCAGGCTGAGGGGCCCCGCCGGGACTTCACATGGGGGCTGACAGGTAACAAAAAACCTGGTTTTGATGTCACCTCTTCCCAGACTCGCGTGCCCTTCCTCTGCACACCCCAGCATCTTTTCAAATTCTTTCCATTTTCTTCTTGCAGGGTTAATGCAGTACACCCGGCTGAAAACAAACTGGAACATACCAGACTGAAAAAGGAAAGCCTCTCCCCACTGCCTTCCAGGCAACCACTGTTAACAAATTCCTCAGCACCTTCCAGAACGAACGTCTGAGGCCTGTAGCCTTTCATTTATTTATTCATTTATCGAGACAGGGTTTTGGCTAACGGCTGTAATCCCAGCACTTTGGGAGACCCTGGCGGGTGGATCACTTGAGCTCAGGAGTTTGAGACCAGCCTGGGCAACATGGTGAAACCCCGTCTCTACTAAATACAAAGAAATTAGCCAGGCGTGGTGGCGCATGCCTGCAATCCCAGCTACTTGGGAGGCTGAGGCAGGAGAATCGCATGAACCTGGCAGGCAGAGGTTGCAGCGAGCCGAGATTGCGCCATTGCACTCCAGCCTGGGCAACAAGAGTGAAACTCCGTTTCAAAAAAAAAAAAAAAAAAAAAAAACCAAACAAACAAACTCAAAAAAAGTTCAACTGAACCATGACTTGTTCACCCAGTCACTGGCATAGGGGCATTTAGAGCGTTTTGAATGCATCAGAATCATGGTCTACACAACCTCATCTTTGCAAGAGTTTTGTGTGGATTTGCTCTCAAAGTGGCATCGCTGGGGCAATGGTATGGGATGTGGAATGGCCTCCACTGAGGCTGCACTGACCAGAGTGCCACCAAAGGCACCTGTCCCCCTGCTCCAGCTGACGTGGAATCATGGAGCTGCTTAAGCTCTGTCTACCTGAAGCAGAACGCGGCAGCCCGTTTTGGTCTGTGTCTCTGGGATCTGTGCCCTGTGGCATCACGTGCTCTTTCCCTGTAACCGTTCACATGGGTCTTTCTCCTCCCTCAGACGGGAGGCTTTGGGGTGGGGACAGGTGGCATTTTCATCTCTGGGTCCCTGTGCCAGGCTCGGAATCCACCACACAGCATGAGCTTGGAGAATGTCGCCTAATAAAGACAGACGAACATTAATAGCAGCAGCTCAGCACTAGGTATTAGGAGAAATAGCCTGACTTGTATTTTCTATTTTCTTTTCTTTTCTTTTCTTTTTTTCCTTTTTTTTTTTTTTTTTTTGAGACAGGGTTTTGGTCTATCGCCCAGGCTGGAGTGCAGTGGCACGATCTTAGCTCACTGCAACCTCTGCTTCCTGGGGTCAGGTGATTCTCCTGCCTCAGCCTCCTGAGTAGCTGGGACCACAAATGGGTGCCACCATGCCCAGGTATATTTTTATTTTTTGGTAGAGACAGGGTTTCACCATGTTGCCCAGGCTGGTCTCGAACACCTGACTTCACGTGATCTGCCTGCCTTAGCCTCTGAAAGTGCTGGGATTACAGGCCTGAGCCACCACGCCTGGCTTGACGTGTATTTTCTTTTTTCTTTTTTTTTTTTTTGAGACAGAGTCTTGCTCTGTCACCCAGGCTGGAGTGCAGTGGTGCGATCTCGGCTCACTGCAAGCTCCGCCTCCCGGGTTCACACCATTCTCCTGCCTCAGCCTCCCCAGCAGCTGGGACACAGGTGCATGCCACCACGCCCGGCTAATTTTTTTGTATTTTTAGTAGAGACGGGGTTTCACCGTGTTAGCCAGGATGCTCTCGATCTCCTGACCTCGTGATCCGCCTGCCTAGGCCTCCCAAAGTGCTGGTATTATGGGCGTGAGCCACCGCGACCGGCCGACATGTATTTTCTTATTAAAGCCCCATTTTCAGCTGGGAAGACTGAGGCACGGGGAGGTTCGATCCCTTGCTGGAGGCCACACACCTCAGGACTGGAATATACATAAAACAATATAACAAAGCAACACACCCTAACATAGCCGTTACCCAAGGTCCCCAAAGACGGGGAGGCCATCATACAAGGCATAGAAAAGGCAGCAGGGAGGCCTCAGGGGAGCCGGTGCCCAACAGGCCAGAGCTTCTGGCACAAGCCAAGGCCATCTACTGCCTGCTGTTCCGGGGCCTCCTCCGTGGGGCAGCTCCAGCAGGCGAGTGTCTTGCCTTCTCTGTCCTTCCATCCCGCTAAGGGAACTGTGGCATTGCTCGGGGGGCAGGAGGGCGTGAGGATGAGACAGAGGTGGGTGAACCCCTCAGATCTAAGAGATGTCGGGGCTGAGGGGGATTCTTCCAAAGAGGAGGCTGCTCGGCCGAGATCCGCAAGTACCTGCCTGGACCCGAGAGCACAGCCGTCCTGAAATCCTGCTGCCCTGACTGGCTGTGGTCAGGGCTGGGCGGGGCAGTAGGGGAGCCCAGGACTCAGGAAGAATCCGGAAGGTAACAGCATAGCTCAGGGTGGGCCAGACCCAGACCAGTGCTGGTCAAAGGCTGTTCCGGCCAGCAGCGGCTGGCGAGGGGCCTGGACAGGCGGCGTGCCTGCTCCTGCTCATGCCCAGTGGCCTACAAGCTCTGCTGAGCCTCCTGCCCCTTGTCACTGACCCGCACGGCTGCACCAGGGACCCTGACACTCATTCCTCAAGCATCTCCCTAGTCCAGAGCCAGAGGCAGCCGCCTCCTGTGACCACTCGGCCACACAGCAGACCCTGGGCAGGGGGCTCCCGAGAGCAGGGCGAGCTCCTCCAGCGTCGCCTGAGCACGGGGCCTGCGCGTGGTAGGCCAGCAGGCGACTTTGATTGGAAGCTGGCTCCTCCCAGGCCTGCAGCTGCGGGGTGAGCCTCTCAGCACAGGCAGAAGGGGGCTCTCCCCAGGGAAGGGGCAAATGGACTGAGGCCGGGCTGGGCCCTGCTCTGCGACCATCTTGCCCAACAGTCAGCCGAGCTTGCTCAACCAGGAGCTGCCTCAGGGGAGGGGAGGTTGTGGAGGTTCACTTCCCTCTCCACCCCGCACAGGGGCCGGGGCTAATTCAGTCAAATTATCTGCGCTTGGACAGCGTCTGGCACGATGGCCGTGAGCTCAGTAGGCCGCCCTGCAGGCCAAGCAGGGGTCTTCAACATCCAGGCTCAGCGCAGGGGTGGGCAGCTCCTGGCTCTACCTGCCTCAGCTGTGGGGATGGGGGTCGTGATGTTGGGCCCCCATGTGGCCGGCCCCCTCCAGGGAAGCCCACTGGCTGTGGCCTCCACCCTGTCCTCTGCGACGTGCCTTTGGCCCTGCGCAGACCCTCCTGGGCCTTCTGACTGCTGTGAGGGCCCTGCCACCCCTCGGGCACCTGGAGTAGGAGTTCAGCAGCATACGGATCCTAAAGAGCTCTGCTCAGGAGGGGCTTAAAGGAGACACGGGGATTCCCCAGAAATAGCCACTGCGCCCCGAAATGCAGGGGAGGGGGAACCACCCAGGACCAGAGGTGGTCTCAGCACAATTTTCTGGGAGTGGGGCTAGACCCGGAAACCCCTTTGGAAGCAGGGAGTCCTCAGGGGCCTCCCCAAGATGTCATGCCATGGAGGTGGGTGCACAGGTTGGCTTACTGGGTTTTGGGGCATTTGAACATATCTTTTGCTTGGTTTTCCAAACAGAGATGGGGTCTGGAGTGGAGAAGGGGGTCGTGGAGAGCCATCCCCATAACCGACGGGCTGGTGGCAGGTATGGAGCTGGGCACTGCGCCCGGGCAGGGGTCCTGCCATCCCCCATCCTTTCCTCCCCCGCTGGGCAGCTGGCGTTGGCCTGACCACTCCAGTCACGGCCCAGGTCTCCCCAGGTGCCATCTCTTGAGGCCTGGGACCAGCAGGGTCCTCGGGGGCCGGAATCACGCACTTGGCATGGGGAGGAGGCCCAGACCCGACGCGGGACCCCGGGAGGTGCTCTCCCCCCACCAGCCCTGGCCCCTTTCCGCAGCGACCATCGGGCAGTAGTGTTTACAAAGTTCACACCCAAATTGGTGCAGCCTCAAGAAACAGTTACTTATAAAGAACCCATACAACTCAGTAATAAAAAGGCAAGTGAACCAATTAAAAAAAGGGCAAAGAATCTGAACACATGCGTCCCCAAGGAAGACACACAGCCGCCGACAGGCACCGGAAATATTCAGCACCATTAGTCGTCAGGGAAATGCCAATCACACCAGGATGCAGTGAAGACCTGGCGGGGGGCCGGTGGAGGGAGGCTAGGATTTACAGACAGACAGTGCCGGTGAGGATGGGGGAAGCTGGCCCCTCCCACAGCGCTGGTGGGTGTAAGACGGTGCAGCCGCCCTGGAAAACGGGCTGGCATGGAGCTACCGTGGGACCCTGGAAACCCACTCCCCGGTATGCGCCCGAGGACGGCAGAAAACACGTCCACACGCACCTGGACACGAGTGTTCTCAGCAGCATCTTTCCTTTTCTCTTTTTTTTTTTTTTCTTTTGAGATAGAGTCTCGCTCTGTCACCCAGGCTGGAGTGCAGTGGCATGATCTCGGCTCACTGCAACCTCCGCTCCCGGGTTCCAGCAATTCTCCTGCCTCAGCCTCCTGAGTAGCTGGGATCACAGGTGTGAGCCACCACGCCTGGCTGATTTGTGTATTTTTAACAGAGACGAGGGTTTCACCATGTTGATCAGGCTGGTCTCAAACTCCTGACTTCGTGATCCGCCTGCCTCGGCCTCCCCAAATGCTGGGATTACAGGCATGAGCGCCCAGCCTTATTATTTATTTTTTCAAGATAGGGTCTTGCTCTGTCACCCAGGCTGGAGTACAGTGGTGCAATCATAGCTCAGTGAAGCCTCAACTTCTTAGGCTCAAGCCAATTCTCCCTCCTGAGCCTCCCGAGTAGCTGGGAATACAGGTGTGCGCCACCATGCCCAGCTAAGTTTTGTGGGGTTTTTTGTATCTTGCTACGTTGCCCAGGCAGATCTTGAGCTCCTGGCTTCAGGTGATCCACCTGCCTCAGCCTCTCAAAGTGCTGGGATTACAGGCGTGAGCCGTCATGCCCAGCCAGCGTTACTCAGAACAGTCCCAAATGCAGACAGCCCACACGTCCACCAGCTGATGGGTGGATAAGCCAAGAGTGGTCTGTGCCCACCACAGAGTGCGACTCAGCCGTGAACACACCACGACACAGGCGAAGCTTGAACACACTGTGCGAAGTGACAGGAGCCAGGCACAGAGGAGCAGATGGCGGGTGCTGTGGGAACTGACAGGAGCCAGGCACAGAGGGTCGGATGGCGGGTGCTGTGGGAACTGACAGGAGCCAGGCACAGAGGGTCGGATGGCGGGTGCGGTCACACGCAGGACGTGCCGTTCACGTGAGCCCTGTGCATGCAAGTTCTCGTTCTGAAGGCCGTTTCTCTCGTGTTTAAATAAGAATCCAGCAGCTCTTCCTGCTTGGCTGCATGGGCTGAGCCCATGAGGCCGACTCTGCCCCAGAGTGTAGGGTCCAGCCCTCCGGGGCTTAGCGGGTGTTTTCCCCGTGTGCAGAGACAAGAAGAGATTGTAATAAATAAAGACACAAAACAAAGAGATGAAGAGAAAACAGCTGGGCCCGGGGGACCACTACCATCAAGACGCGGAGACCGGTAGTGGCCCCGAACGGCTGGGCGCGCTGATATTTACTGCATACAAGACAAGGGGGCAGGGTAAGGAGAGCGAATATTCTAAGTGATTGACAAGGTGAAGCAAGTTACGTGATCACAGGACAGGGGTCCCTTCCCTCTTAGGTAGCTGAAGCAGAGAGAGAAGGCAGCACATGTCAGTATTTTCTTCTCTGCACTTACAAGAAAGATCAAAGACTTTAAGACTTTCACTATTTCTTCTACCGCTATCTACTACGAACTTCAAAGAGGAACCAGGAGTACGGGAGGAACGTGAAAGCGGACAAGGAGTGTGACCACTGAAGCACCATAGGGAGGGGTTTAGGCCTCCGGATGACTGCGGGCAGGCCTGGAGAATATCCAGCCTTCCACAAGAAGCTGGTGGAGCAGAGTGTTCCCTGACTCCTCCAAGGAAAGGAGACTCCCTTCCGCAGTCTGCTAAGTAAAGGGTGCCTTCCCAGACACTGGCGTTACCGCTTCACCAAGGAGCCCTCAAGCGGCCCTTATGCGGGCGTGACAGAGGGCTCACCTCTTGCCTTCTAGGTCACTTCTCACAATGTCCCTTCAGCACCTGACGCTATGTCCGCCGGTTATTCCTAGGTTATGTTAGTAATACGACAAAGAGTAACATTAAAAGCTAATGATTAATAATGTTTATAATCATGATTGATAATTGTCCATGATCATCTGTATGTCTAATTTGTATTATGACTATTCTTATTCTAACTATCTTCTTTATTATACTGAAACAGTTTGTGCCTTCAGTCTCTTGCCTTGGCACAATCCTCCGCCCACACCAGAGTCCACTCCAGCCCTCAGTGCCCAGGTGGGCTGATACCATATGCCTTTAGCAGACAGGGAGACTGAGGCTGAGTCACCCATCTCATGGGGGCTTTTGCGGGAATGAGCCACAGGCCTGTCTGTGCCAGAGGCAGGCACGAGATAGCACCCTGCAGAATCAGGCTGGAGAAGCCCCAGAGCCTCACAGAGAGGGAGGCATGGACGCGCGTCAGGAAAGGCGGAGGCCATCTCAGACGGGGCTTGCCTTTCCCAAGGGGCCCTGACTGTGCCCCCCACCCTCACCATCCCCCTCTGTCCATCCGTCCATCATCTATCTGTGCGATCTGTCATCTGTGTCTATATGACCTGTCATCTCTGTTTATCCATCATCAAGCAGTCTCCCTGTCCTCTACCTCTGTCATCTGTTTATCTGCCATCTGAGAATCATCCGTCACCGCCATCATCTCTATCCACCATCTACACACCTATCCTCTCCCAGCGGTTCCCTCCCCTCCCTGACCCCTCCTCCCCACAGTGTGTTTAACACGTAACACTCCTCTCACTCCCACCTGCGATGTGGGCCGCGACCGTCCCGGCCCGTGCAGGACCACTGTGGGCGAGGGGCTGTGACCGTCCCGGCCCGTGAAGGATCAATGTGGGCGAGGGGCCGTGACCGTCACGGCCCGTGCAGGATCAATGTGGGCGAGGGGCCGTGACCGTCCCGGCCCATGCAGGATCAATGTGGGCAAGGGGCCGTGACCGTCCCGGCCCGTTCAGGACAGTGGCCTATAACCTCTGACATGGGGTCACAGGAGAATGCGGCTTCTGCCTTGCCCCTCGCCCCTGCCCCGCCTCCACATACACAGCTGGGCTCCCCTGCAGCCTCCACGCTGCAGAGGCCACGCGGACAGAGCCCAGGAACAGAGGTGCTGGGCCCAGCCCTGCCCGCCCAGGGGCTGGAACCCTCCCCTGGAGGGCAGAGCTCAGTGACTCCAGCCTCGTCACACCTGCGTGTGAACCACCCGGCTGAGCCCAGCTAGCCCCAGAGCCACAGGCGTGGGAGCCGGAAGATGCTGTGTGAGGCCCTGAGTTTGGGGTGGTCTGTGACACAGGGATTGGTATCTGCACTGGTGGCCTCAGAGAATCCCAGCCCCGCCAGCCCCACGTCCAGACCACTCCTCTCAAAGAGAGGCCTCGGTGAAGCAGGATCCCTACCCCAGTGGACGCCCATGAGGGCTGGTGCCTTCCCATGTCTGCCTTGAGAAGAGCTGGGACCCCAGGGAGGGTCTGTGGCTCTGCTGCCCAAAGGGCCCCTACCTGGACCATCCTCCCCCAGCCCCTATTGCAGCCCCCACCAGTGGGGAGACCCCTGCCCCGCCCAGGCTCTGGCTCAGCCCCTGCAGCCCCTCACTGAACCCCACACTTCATAGGCACCTGCCCTGTGCTGCCCTGATCTGGGCCACATCTGGGTCTCCAAATCCCCTGAAAACTGAGCTGGCAGGAGTGGTGGGGGGTGAGTGGGGGGCTGAGGGTGGTGGCAGGCAGGTGTCAGCGGGGGCAGGTGGTAGGAGGGGGCTGCCCAGTCAGGAAGGCCTGGGGCTTCAGGACACACGACCCTGGCCCTAGCCTGTGGCTCCTGGAGCACGGGCCTAACTGCACAAGCCACCGTCCCCGCCGCAGCCGACAGCTACGCACCTGGCTCTGCCTCTGCAGGTGGCCCTCAAGGGTGCTGTGGTGCTGCCGCCGTCCAGCAGGGGCCACCCCCACCACAGCGCTTCTGCTTCCTCCAAAGTCACGCAGCCCCTGCAGGCTAAGAGGGGTGGGCTCCCATCCCCCGCCCCAAAGCACCACGCTCTGCCCGGCCCTGTCTGGCAGGCGGCCCCGCAGACCAACCCCACTGCCCTCAGGGATGACCCCCACCCCCTGGCTCTTCAGAGTGGATGAGTAAGCCCCCAGCCTCCCCTCTGAGTGGGGACACCTGTCGAGGTGCACAGCCGTCCAGAGCCACGAGGGGACCAGACGGACCTGCTGCCGCCCCGGGCCAAGACTGAGCCACCCACACGCCTCACAACCAGGTGTGGGGACAGAAAAATGTCCCTGAAGATGTCTGCATCCTGGCCCCTGGGACCTGTGAACATGGTGCTTACATGGCAGATCGGGTTGTTTGGGACCAAGATGGGGATGGTCCAGGATTAGCAGGACCCGGTGCAGTTCCAAGGGTCCTGAGAGGGAGGCAGGAGGTCAGAGCCGGAGAGACAGGAGCACAGGGGCAGGGGTCGGAGGGATCGGAAGGGGCTGCACTGCTGGCTGGAGGTTGGACCAAGTCCCAGCCCTGACTGAGGTGCCTCGACTCCAGAGAAGGCAGGAAACGGTTCCCCCCAGAGCCCGCTGAGGCGGGAAACGGTTCCCCCCAGAGCCTGCCGAGGCGGGAAACGGTTCCCCCCCAGAGCCTGCCGAGGCGGGAAACGGTTCCCCCCAAGAGCCTGCCGAGGCGGGAAACGGTTCCCCCCCAGAGCCTGCCGAGGCGGGAAACGGTTCCCCCCAGAGCCTGCCGAGAGGACACAGCCCTGTTGGGCTGTTTGTAATTTGAGACAGGGTCTTGCTCTGTCTCCCAGGCTTAAGTGCAGTGGTGCCATCATTGTGCACTGCAGCCTCTATTTCCCAGGCTCAGGCGATCCTCCTGCCTCAGCCTCCTGAGTAGCTGGGACTACAGGTGCATGCCACCACACCAGGGTAAGTTAAAAACAATTTTTTTTTTTTTTTTGTAGAGACAGGGTTTCACTACGTTGCCAGGGCTGGTCTCAAACTCCTGGCCTCAGGCGATCCTCCCACCTTGGCCTCCCAAACTGCCGGGATGACAGGTGTGGGCCATCGTGTCTGGCCTGGGCCCCTTTTGGACTCTGCTCTGGAATAGTAATGCTTGCGGTGCTCTAAGCCGCTGGGCTTGCAGTAATCTGTTACTGTGGCCAGAGGAACCGATACAGGAAGCTTCAGGAAGTCAGTTTGCCTTGCTCCTGAGGCCTGGGTGGAACAGGTCCAGTGCTGAGCTCCGGCTACACGGCCTGTGCAAACGAGGCCCCACGCATCAGCCCTGGGGCTGCAGACCCGACCCTGGGGGGCTCTGGGCCTCCAGGTCAGACCTCCCCTCCTGGGAAGCCACACCGGGCCAGGCCTGCGACCACGCTACCTCCGGTTTACCTCATGCCCAAGGGGAACGCTTGGAAAACGCTCTGGAAATTGTCTTTGGGAGCCTTTTAATAATGTGGCCAGCTTATCATGACAAGCGTCTATGAGAAATAAAATGCATTCTGCACATGACAGATGATGAACTACCCGAAATATCTCGTGAGAAGCTCTGGCAGGAACAGCAGGGTGTCTGGATTCTTAAGCACAACACATTCAGCAGCCAGACCCAGAAACTCAAAGGCAGCGTTGGGAAGCCACTGCACGTTTGTAAGGAGTCAGGTTGTCCACACAATGGCGCTATTTTGGGATTCCGGCTTCTCTGCCTGTGACCTGCTGAAACCATTCATGCCGGCATCATGCCTATTGGAAACTCTTTGAAGTTATTTTGAAACGAGAATCGACTCAATCTATTCCACTATAGTTTCATACAAAGCATATTTTTTTTTCCTCATTTCAAAATAATTTCAGACTTCCAAAAAGTTCCAAAAATAGGACAGTGTGTATACCCAGTTCCCCAAATAACATCTTACATAACACTGGGCCAGCGCTGCCAGTCACTTCGCAGAAGGCTCCTCGGTTTGGGTCTGTGTCTGTTGTCTCCTTGGGATTACATTCAGGCCATGCAGTTGGGCAAGAGAACCAGAGGTGATACCGTGCCCTCAGGGACGCCCCCAGGTCGGTGCGGCCTGTGCGGCTCGCTCCCGGCGGTGGCTGCTGGGTTAAGGGGGCCTCTGCCGTTCTGCTGTGACATGACTGTCTCCTCGGAGGTCACTATGCATCTCAAGGGGAGGTTTCTCAAGACAGCAGACACCTGCTTCACACCACACGTCACCACTCACTTCATGGCAACTGAGGGTTTTTTTTTGAGACGGTTCTGTCGCCCAGGCTGGAGTGTGGTGGCACAATCCCTGCTCACTGCAACCTCTGCCTCCTGGTTTAGGCAATTCTCCCACCTCGGCCTCCCGAATAGCTGGATTACAGACACACGCCACCAGCCCCAGCTAATTTTTGTATTTTTAGTAGAGACAGGGTTTCTCCATGTTGGCCAGGCTGGCCTTGAACTCCTGGCCTCAAGTGATCTGCCTGCCTCGGCCTCCCAAAGTGTTGGGATTATAGGCGTGAGCCACTGGCGCCCGGCCCGCTGAGGGTTGTAATCTGCACCTGTCACCAGTGTGGTTTCTGCAACAGCAGTTTCCTGTTCCCAAAATTTCTTCTATATTAGAATTAATAAGACAGACCTGGCCCTCCCCCCACTGACATGTTTACGCAATTACTTATGTTGTATAGACTACTGGATATCAATTTATTCTGAGGGCTACAGCCCATTACAATAATTAATTTTCTTTCTTTTTTTTTTTTTTTTTTCCTTTGGTGAGACAGGGTCCGGCTCTGTTGCTCAGGCTGGAGAGCAGTGGTACAATCACAGCTCACTGCAGACTTAACCTCTGGCTCAAGTGATCCTCCTGCCTCAGCTTCCTGAGTATCTGGGACTACAGGCGGGTGACACCACGCACGGCTGACTTTTCTTGTTTTGTAGAGACAGGGTTTCACCCATGTTGCCCAGGCTGGTCTTGAACTCCTAGCCTCAAGTGATCCTCCCACCTTGGCCTCCTAAAGTGCTGGGATTGCAGGCGTGAGCCGCTGCGCCCAGCCTGTTTATTTTCACGCTCACACTGCCCCAGGCTGGCCACCGTATGCTCCTTCCCATCCCCCCGTGTTATTTCAACAAGTCTCCTCATCCCAGCAATTCTTCACTCTCTAGCTCATCTGATACCTTCTCTGGCCTGGCCCTGGTTCCTTTTGGTTACAGAATGGTATCAGGGCCAAGACCCTGAGTGCACGGGTCACTGCGTCCAGGCCCTCAAGAGCTGGGAAGCATTTGTGCACAGCCCCTCACAACAGTCCCCCTTACACACGGTTTCAGTTACCCATGGTCAGCCACAGTCCAAAAATACTAAGTGGAAAATTCCAGAAATAAACCATTCATGAGTTTTTGATTCTGTGCTGTTCTGAGCAGCCGTCCTGCTGGGACATCAACCCTCCCTCCGTCCAGCGTTTCGGGCCATCCACGCCACCCTGCCTGCCAGGCACTCAGCAGCCATCTCGGTGATCAGACCAGCCATCGCGGTGATGTGGTGCTTGGGTCCAAGAAGCTTTTATTTTACTTAAGAATGGCCCCAGAACAGGACAGTGGTGATGCTGGCGACTCAGACACACCAGAGAAGCTGCCAAGCGCTTCCTTTAAGGGAAAAGGTGGAAACTCCTGACCTATAAGAAAAACAGCCAGATGCCGAGGTTGCTAAGATCTCCGGTAAGAACACAGTGCCCATCTGTGACATTTTGAAGAGGGAAGCACGAAGTTCTGTCAGTTTTGCTGTCACATCTCAGACTTGATCACAGGTACGTACAGGAAAAAACAGCGCCTGGACAGGATTCGGGACTATCCGCGGCTTCGGCACCTGCTGGGGTCTCGGAGCACACCCTGGCCAGGTGAGGGCGATCACTCCGTTTCTCTATCCAGTTACCTTTGTACGTTAGAAAAGCAGGAGCTCAATACACCTGGCTCTCATCATCCACGATGTATTTCTAGTTTTTTCCATCTCAGAATACAGCTTCAGAATCGTCCACGCAAAAAACAAATTTACTACTTAGAGTACAGTATCTTTCCTGTCTTTCCCACCTTTGGTCGACGGTCTTCCCCACACTCCTGATGGGTCAGAGTGCGGTGCGAGCGGAGAGGCAGGCCCGACCCGGGCCTGGGCACTCCCGACGGCGGGTCAGAGTGCGATGGGAAGAGGCCCCGGCCTGGGCCCGGGAGCTCCGTCGGCATGGTCTGTTGTGTTCCCCTCACATCCTGGTTCATTTACTTTTTGAGCATGTGAAACCCTCTGCCATGACAGCCAGAACTCCACCCCCAGGGGTGCTCGGAGGGGCTCGCGGCCGGCTATGCCCATCAGTTCCAGCTCCTCCTTCTGGATTTCTCGTTTGTAGTTTCCTGTGTCCCTGCCTGTCTCCACTTCACAGTAAGCTCACGCCATATAGCCGCACTGCGTTGGCGAGCTCATGGCACGTGGCCACACCGCGTCAGCGCCGACTCCACGGTGGCTGCGTCACGGCTCACGTGCACTGTGAGGACACTGGGGTTGCTATAGACAGTGCTGGGGCAACCCTGTGCCTACACAAAATATTCTAATAAGAAACAAGACTTTCCATCAACTAGCGGTGATATGTTAATACGTCTGCAGCACTCAGAGGCCTGACAGAGAGCAGACACGGGACAGTGACAGCTGCAGCCGAATCAGGTGGTAGAACCCATGGGTGCAGGGACACAGGGTTGGGCGGGCCCAGCCGCAATAGGTACTCAGTTCTGTGAGGAGGGGAGGGACATGTTTAACCACGAAAGGGCCACCACTGCAGGACAGAAACAGAGGGCCTTTGCTGCAGAGAACTGGAGATGGGCTGAGAAGCCTCAGCCACCCACAGGCAGAGGGACGAGGGCAGCCTGTTTCCCAGAGCCTGAGGTCGGCCAGATTGGTGGCCCCACCTGCCAGGGCTTGGAGACAGCCACTGCCAGGGTCGCCAGAGAGGACGTGACCTGGACCTCCCCACCCCGTCTCCTGCCACCATCCTCCACTGACCAGACAGGAGCCAGCCCCTTTCCGACAGTGCCTGGGAAGGAGACAGGTCTGGCTGAGGCCCCAGATGTGCAGGCACCTGCGTTCCATCCACAGGTTTGGGCCCCGGCTGGCCTGACGCACTGGGTGGACATGGGCCGGGTTTCCGTGACCCACAGGCAACTTTGGCACAGACGGGCTGAGAACTCCGCTCAGGGCCCCTGCCAGGCTGTGCTGCGAACACGTGCCGGGGTCTCGGGCGGAGCTGGCTGGCACAGAAGACAGCTGGTGCGAGCCTAACTGCAAATGGACTCAGGTTCTTTTTCTGTTAAAATACAGGAGTTACTGAAATTAAATACCCAACTTTATAAATACGGTCTGATACAAACCAGAAAATGACCCTTTGATTATGAAGCTACTTGGTGTTCAGGCAAAACCAGAAAGAATCAAGAAGTCAATCCATCCAAAGCCAGAAGGTTCTCACTTCCTACTTTGTGTTCCACTTTTTTTTTTTTTCAAAGGAAATGAACTGGCATATACGAATACAAACACGAAAACATCCTGCTAGGGAATGGTAATTTTCTGATGATATCTGTGTTCAGAAGGGACTGAAATTTATACATTTACCTCTTTGAACTCAGAAAGTATCAGAGGACTGCAACATAAAACCGCCCCATACAAGAGGGCCCCGGCCTCGAAGACAAGGGTCTTGCCCCACGCTCGCCTCCCTCCCAGCTTTGCCGGGAACGCCGTCCCACTCAGGGGTTCAATGCAGAAACACCCTCCTAAGGGAAAACGGGACGCCACTCCCTACCCAGGAGACGCCCCCACAGGGCTGGAGCTTCTATTCGAAGCCCATTTCTAAGGACACCACACGCAGGCCTCAGCCAACCTAAGAGGCAGGATGATGCCCTCCGTCCTGAGAGACCACTGAACACGGCCCAGGGGTCTTCTCATCAAAATTCATTTTTTTGCCTCTGATTTTCCACTAGTCAAGTCTCCAAATCCCAGTTTCTCCAATGGTTCTTGTAGCATCAATTTTCTAAAAGAAAAAGAGAAAGCTGTCAGGGCGGGAGGTGCAGAGAGGACAAGAGGGGCCCTTGCAGGCCCCGGCTTCCCAGCGCACACCGGGGGTCCTGCCACCTCCATCTATGTCCTGGGAGAGTGGCCCCTCGGCCTCGGCCCCCGTGGCTGGTGCCTTCCCCACTGGGCAGAGTCAACAGGACAATGAGGACATGACCACCTAGAGACGTCCCAGGGCCTAAGGCCTGGGGCCTCTTGGGATGTCCAAGAGGGGCAGCTGCACCCGCTGCCCCCAGCACACAACACTTCCCCACGTCCTGCTAAAAGATGTATCTGGACAACAGCTTCACGCTGACCTCTCAGACTTGCTTTGATTGGCAGGATAATGACCCCTAAAGGTGTTCACGCCCTAATCCCTGGAACCTGTGCCTGCCACTGTCCACGGCACCCTGGCAGAGGAGACCTCAGGCTGCCATCCACCCAGATGGAACTGAGACTCAGGTCGACAGTTATCTGATATTTTTTTTTTTTTTTTTTTTTTTAAGAGACAGGGTCTCATTTTGTCTCCCATGCTGGGATGCAGTGGTGTGATCAGCGGTTCAAGTTCACTGCAGCCTTGAACTCCTGGGCTCAAGTGATCCTCCCGCCTCAGCCTCCTGGGTAGCTGAGACTGCAGGTGTATGCCACCATGCGTGGCTAATTTCTTTTTTTCTCCCAGAAACAGTCTCGCTCTATTGCCCAGGCTGGAGTGCAGTGGTGCAATCTCGGCTCACTGCAGCCTCCGCCTCCCAGGTCCAGGTGATTCTTGTGCCTCAGCCTCCTGAGTAGCTGGGAGTACAGGTGCACATCACCACGCCCGGCTAATTCTTGTAGTTTTAGTAGAGACGGTGTCTAACCATATGGGTCAGGCTGGTCTCGAACTCCTGACCTCATGTGATTACCCACCTTGGTCTCCAAAAGTGCTGGGATTACATGCATGAGCCACACTGCCCGGCCAGCTAATTTTTTTTTTTTTTTTTTTTTGAGACGGAGTCCTACTCTGTTGCCCAGGCTGGAGTGCAGCGGCATGATCTCGGCTCACTACAACCTCCACCTCCCGGGTTCAGGCAATTCTCCCTGCCTCAGCCTCCCAAGTAGCTGGGATTACAGGCGCCTGCCACCATGCCTGGCTAATTTTTATATTTTTAGTAGAGATGGGGTCTCACCATGCTCGTCTTGAACTCCTGACCTCAAGTGATCTGCCCACCTCAGCCTCCCAAAGTGTTGGAATTACGGGCGTGAGCCACTGCACCCAGCCAGCTAATTTTTAAAGAAATTTTTTGTAGATATAGGGTTTCACTATGTTGCCCAGGCTGGTCTTGAACTCCTGAGCTCAAGTGATTCTCCTGCTTGGCCTCCCAAAGTGCTGGGGCTACAGATGTGAGCCACCACTTCTTGCCAAAATAATTCCCAGCTGTTTATCGCAGTGCAGCCATCTTAGAGGCGTGAAATTCACGACTCAGCATGACTCTTTATGGGCCCCACACTCTTCAGGACAATAGTTACTATCATGTGAACTCACACATGGTGACATGCCCCCCGATCCTGCTGCGTGCTTTACAGGGATGGCCTCCTTTACCCTCCCCACAACCCAGCCAGGAGGCCCAGCCATCATCCCATGAGGCCCCCACACACTCTGTGCTGCTGGCAGCGGGTGAGGCTGCTCCACCAGCGTGTCTGTGTGACACCCGGTGCCTAAAACTAATCCCCAGGACAGGACGCGAACTTCTAAATCACTGCAGAGGCTTGAGATCTCAGACCACGGTGGTCATCTGAAACACACCTATATTTTCACATCAGGCAAACATGGTCCAAGTCCTCAAGAGACAACTTTAAAAACTCCATTGTGGTCCATTTTCTAAAACAGACACACACGGAGGTTGGAGTAAAGTAATGTCTAGGATTTTAGCACAGAAGGAAAAAGGAAGAAAAGAAATGGCTAAAAACAGGGTGGGTGCCGGTTATGGGAGGTAGACTCCTCAACTTCTGTATGTTTGATGATTTTCATGAACAAATAACCAATCGAAATTCTACGGTCAAAATAACTGACCTTATAGAAAGAGCAGAATTTTTAAAAAGAAAAAAAAAACAACAAAAACAAAAAACAACAAAAGCCTGGGCGTAGTGGCTCACGCCTGTAATCCCAGCACTTTGGGAGGCCGAGGTGGGCGGACCATGAGGTCAGGAGATCCAGACCATCCTGGCTAACACGGTGAAACCCCGTCTCTACTAAAAATACAAAAAATTAGCCGGGCAAGGTGGCAGGCGCCTGTAGTCCCAGCTACTCGGGAGGCTGAGGTGGGAGAATGGGGTGAACCCGGGAGGCGGAGCTTGCAGTGAGCTGAGATCATGCCACTGCGCTCCAGCCCAGGCGACAGAGTGAGACTCCGTCTCAAAAAAATAATAAAAATAAAAATAAAAAAACAATGAAATCAGAACACATGCCCTGAACATTTGCCTAAACATTGCCTGGCCAATCTGCGAGACCACCTGAGGCACTGGCCCTGGCTCCCTTCCTCCCAGCTGTCCTCGGGAGTCTCAAGGGGAAGCTGAGCATGAGGCAGGAGGCCTGCTCACACCCTCACATGAACACAGCTCAATTCACACCGTCTCTAAAGCTTGGCAGCGCCATGGAGAAATTCTCAGTTCCAGTTTTCTAAAGATGCATTAATTTAAGACTAATTTAAACACGTGGCTCCAGCCAGCGTGCTACTTAAACAATCAGAGATGGTAAGAGACAGATTCAGTGTGGCCCTTGGACAAATGTGAGCCCTGGAAGAGCCTAAGCGACAGCCCCAAAGGCAGAACGTGGCCTCACTGAAGTCCACACCGCTGAGAAGGCCCATCATCCTTACGGCCCCAAATGTCCACACGAATAACCCCGAACACACCTGTGTGGCCGGAAAGGCACAACGGATTTTTGCCTTGAGGGAAATGTCTGAGTATGTTATGGGAACATGAAAAGAGCTCAAAGTGGATGGGCGAATTGTCAACCTGTCTTCAGCACAGACACAGCTGTCTGAAGACCGAAATGCTTAGTGAGCTAATCATGGCCTCGAAAAGCAAAAATAAAAGCTCCCACTACCATCATATAATTATATGCTACATGCTTTTTTTTGCATAAGGGATTAGAATAGCTCTTATTTTAAGTAAAAGCTGTGGGGATCATAGCTACGAACGCGTTTGTTTTGTTTAAAAGTGAGCGTTGGTGAGTTCTGGTTACGACAGGAAGAATCATTCATCTTTCATCATTTCTTAAATAGTCTATTGTCCTCCCTGTCACATTCCCAACAACTCAAAGTGGAGCAAAACAACCCAGTGCATATTTTTAACATCTGAGAATGCAAAAGAAAGAAACTGTGTACCCACGACCTTCGGTCTTTTGACTCAGTCAGCATTATGATGCACGATTTGGAAACCTTAATGACAGGTCGGTAGCAACCAAATGTGGAAAGAAAATGCTCTCAGGAATGCAATCATGTATAACGCTATCGCTCAAGAAGAGGTTCCCAAGATTGTGAAACAGCTTTTGGTACAATTTCATCTGATAAGCCTCCATTTCAAGGGCAAACAATTCCACAGTCCTGAAAAACACAAGCTGAATCCCAGGCCTGAAAAAGACACACTGTAATGGCCTTTCAGGAAAAAAAAAGTTTTAATTGGAGTAGTGGGAGGTGGAAATCATAACGCTTAGCTGTACTCACCTCTCCATCCTGCATTCTAAATATTCTTTTGATTCCTTTCTGCACAAAGCATTTTCAAAATTATTGTTATGAAGACACTTCATGAATTTCTCTTTAAAGCTTTTACATTCACCTAGAACGAGAAAGAAAACAGCATGTTCTTTTCAGAGTGAAAAGTGATGCAACCACACAACAGCCTTAAGAGCTGCGCTGCTTTTCCTTTCAAAACTTGTTTCCTCAGGCCGGGCGCAGTGGTTCACACCTGTAATCCCAGCACTCTGAGAGGATCACCTGACCCCAGGAGTTTGAGACCAGCCTGGGCAACACAGTGAGACCCCCATCTCTACCAAAAAAAACCTTAAAAGTTAGCTAGGTGTGGCGCACGTCTGTGGTTCCAGCTACTCAGGAGGCTGAGGCAGGAAGATCGCTTGAGCAAAGGATTTCGAGGCTGCAGTGAGCTTGATCACACCACTGCACTCCAGCCTGGGCAACAGATCAAGACCTTGTCTCCTAAAAATAATCCAGGCTGGGCACGGTGGCTCACGCCTGTAATCCTAGCACTTTGGGAGGCAGAGGTGGGCGGATCACCTGAGGTCAGGAGTTCAAGACCAGCTCGGCCAACTTGGTGAAACCCCATCTCTATTAAAAATACAAAAATTAGCCGGGCATGGTGGCGGGTGTCTGTAGTCCCAGCTACTCGGGAGGCTGAGGCAGGAGAATTGCTTGAACCCAGGAAGCGGAGGTTGCAGCGAGTCGAGATCACACCACTGCACTCCAGCCTGGGTGACAGAGTGAGACTCCATTTCAAAAATAAATAAATAAATGATCCAGCCTGGTCAACATGGGGAAACTCCATCTTTAAAATAAAAAATAAAAAAACAATAATAATTAGCTGGGTGTGGTGTTGCACACCTATAGTCCCAGCTACTCTAGAGGCTGAGACAGGAGAATCGCTTGAACCCGGGAGGAGGAGGTTGCAGTGAGTCGAGATCACACCACTGCACTCCAGCCTGGGCGACACAGTGAGAGTCCATTTCAAAAATAAATAAATAAATAATCCAGCCTGGGCAACATGGGGAAACCCCATCTCTAAAAAAAAAAAAAAAAAAAAAATTAGCTGGGTGTGGCGCTGCACACCTATAGTCCCAGCTACTCTAGAGGATGAGACGGGAGACTCCCCTGAGTCCAGAAAGGAAGGAGGCCGAGGCTTCAGTGAGCTATGATTGCACCACTGCACTCCAGCCTAAGCAACAGAGTGAGACCGTGTCTCAAAACAAAAACAATCAAACCCAAACTTGTTTCCTTCATAAACATGCTGAAAACAACAATGGAAAAAACCCACAACGAGGTAAAGTCAGCCCAGTACGAGGTTAAGGTGCAATGTAGGTGATGGTCACAGGAGAGTTCAGGGTAAAAATTCTTTCATTTTTGCTATTTGAAAATGTCACAATAAAATGTTGGGAAAGAAACAGTAATTCACAGATCGTTTTTCTTTTCTTTTCTTTCTTTTTTTTTTTGAGACGTTGTCTCACTCTGTCGCCCAAGCTGCAGTGCAGTGGCCCGATCTCGGCTCACTGCAACCTCCGTCTCCCGGTTCAAGCGATTCTCCTGCCTCAGCCTCCCGAGTAGCTGGGACTACAGGCGAGCCACATCACACCCAACTAATTTTTGTATTTTTAGTAGAGACGGGGTTTCCCCATGTTGGGCAGGCTGGTCTCGAACTCCTGATCTTAAATGATCCGCCCACCTCGGCCTCCCAAAGGGCTGGGATCACAGGCATGAGCCACCGCGCCCGGCCCACAGATCCTTTTTCGAAGCCTTCATGTCCACGGAGGCAACCCCACCGGAATACGGCCAGAAGCACTGGGAGATCAGCAGCACTTTTGAGCTTTGCAGCAGACATCGCTAGGCACCGTCTAAGCCTCGGCTGCAGCTGCGGGCTTCGTGGCCGCCGAATGCCCCGCTCTGCAAACCCGGGGCACAGACAGCCCGCCGGGTGAGTCAGGGCGGAGCCGGAGACCCGGAAGCCTGACGCAAGGAGTCGGTGTCGCTGCCCTCGTCACGGGGGCCACGGTCCTGCCAGCTCCCACCTGCAGGGTCCATGCCGCAGCAGTGACCCAGGGCTGGGTGGGGCGGAGGGGCGGGCCGCCGTGCCTCAGTTTCCCCGCCTGCACCGCGCTAGATGCCGGCACCCCATAGGGCTCCGCGCTGGGCCGCGACCCAGACCCCCCATCGCAGACCCCTGCCCGCCGACCTTCCGCCGCTCACCTAAGTGATCCAGCGGGAAGCTGCCCTTGTCCGGGGGCCGCGGCTGGAAGCTCTTGGTCCCGAAATTCATGGCGGTCGACATGTTGGCGACTCCGGAGTCTGCGAGCGCCTTGCGAGCGTACGCAGGGCGGCCGGCGGAGCGCCGAGCAGGCACCCCGGGAGCGCCGAGCACGTCGAGCAGGCCCCGTCCCCGCCCCTTGCCCAGGCCCGGCCCCACCCCTTGCCCAGGCCCGGCCCCACCCCCTCGGAGTCAGCAAGCTCCTGAGCCCCGGTGGGCGCTGCCCGGGCTTTCCCGTCCCCTGGGACCCTCACAGCAGTCGGTAGCAGAATCAGCTTTTGGAATTGGTGAGAAACCGAGGCCCAGAAAGGTTCAGCGAATTGCCCGAGGACACATAGCGGTGCCGGCGTCTCTGCATCCCAGGTGTCTGCTGGGGCCTCGGTTTCCCCATCGCACAGAGACCTCATCACGGGGCCCATCCGGGGAGGAAGGCGGCACAGGAGGGACAGGAGAGCCTGTGGACTCGCTGCCTGCGGCTGCTGGAGCCAGGTGACACCACCGAGCAGCTTCAACAACAGGAATGTGCTCTCAGTCCTGGGGTCTGGAGTCCAAGCAGTGGGCAGAGTGGGGGCCCTGGGGACAGTCCCAGCCTCCCAGCTTCTGGGGGCCGCCAGCCTGTGAGGTTCCTTGGCTTGCAGAAGCACCACCTGGTCTCGGCCCCTACGTTCCCATGGTGTCCTGCGCATGTCCAAATTTACTATTTTTATTTATTTATTTGAGACAGGGTATTGCTCTGTTGCCCAGACTAGAGTGCAGTGGCATGATCACGACTCACTGCAGCCTCGACCTCCTGGGCTCAGCGATCCTCTCACCCCAGCCTCCTGAGTAGCTGCGACCACAGGCACACACCACCACACCAGGCTAATTTTTCTATTTTTCGTAGAGATGGAGTCTCCCTATGTTGCCCAGGCTGGTCCTTAACTCCTGGGCTCAGGCAATCCTCCTGCCTCAGCCTCCCTAAATGCCGGGATTATAGGCATGAGCCACCATGCCCAACCTAAATTTCCTCTTTTTATAAGGATAGCAGTCATGTTGGGTTAGGGGCCGTCCCAATAACTTCATCTTAACTAATTATATCAGCAGCAACCCTATTTCTTTGTTTTGTTTTTTAAAACGGAGTCTCTCTCTTGTTGCCCAGGCTGGAGTACAGTGGCTCGATCCTGGCTCATTGCAACCTCCACCTCCCAGGTTAAAGCAATTCTCCTGCCTCAGCCTCCCGAGTAGCTGGGATTACAGGCGCCACCAACACACCCAGCTAAGCTAATATATTTTTTTTCAACACAGAGTCTCACTTTGTAACCTAGACGGGCGTGCAGTGGTACGATCTCGGCTCACCGCAACCTCCACTTCCCGAGTTCAAGAGATTCTCCTGCCTCAGCCTCCAGAGTAGCTGGGATTACAGGCATGCGCCACCACACCCGGCTAATTTTTTGTACTTTTCGTAGAGACGGGGTTTCACCATGTTGCCCAGGCTGGTCTCGAACTCCTGACCTTAAGTGATCCGCCCACTTCAGCCTCCCAAAGGGCTGGGATGACAGGCGTGAGCCGCCGCACCTGGCACCTATTTCCAAAGCAAAGGTCACATCCTAAGGTCCTAGTGGCTTCACCATACGAATGGGGGTGGAGGGTAGTTACAGCTCAACCTAGGGCAGAATGAAAGTGTACTGTAAGCGGTAAGGCCCGGCCTTTGCGTGTCGATGTTGTCATGGCAACAGCAGTCGTGGGAAAGGGCTCAGTGAAGACCCCAGCGTCCACCCGCGGAGTCTCTCCCAGCCCTGAACCTGTACCCACATGCCCTGGCCATGAGGAAGTCGAACACTGGCCCGTTTAGAGCACCATGGGCGGCCCAAGCTCCAGCCTCCACTCACTCATCCATCCCACCCATTTCACAATCACTGGCCAGGCCTTCGTGGTAAGCACAGTGGGTCCCCAGCAACACCGAGTTCGCTGCCTGGCCCCCCGCTCTGGACCCTGGTGACACCTGAACCCACTGTTGCTTAGGAGCCAGTTCCTGCAACTTCCCAGGGGTTGTTTGCAGACAAGGGCTTGGTCAAGGCGGCCCAACAGCCCCCACCCCGGGGCCTGCCCTTCTTCAAGCCTGGCCCAGGCGTCCCCTCCCCATGAGGCTTCCAGCTCTCCCCCTTGCTGGGCCCTGGTGAGCCCGCCCCTCTGCAACGCACACCATTAGATTCCTGCGCCCAAGGTCGGACTCTGCTCTGTGTGCCCAGAGCTGAGCCGCGAGTCTGGCACTGAATGTTTCTGAACCGCAGGGCAGTGGGGACCTCAGGCCAAGGCCCCAAGGAGGGCCCAGGGCTGCAGAAATCTAGTTGTCAGGGCCTTGATTGGCCTGTGGCTCTGGGCCCACTGAAAACTACAAAAGGAAAATTGCAGCTTGTTCCTGTCATATAAACAACTCTTTTTACCCGGTTAGAACCAGGGGCCCACACACTGGGTTACTCATTAATACGTTTCCAGGGCTGTGAACAATGGGAGCTTTTATTACCCAGCAAAGAAGCGCTCACTCACTTGACTGCAGCAGCCGCTTAGCAGTGGAAGGACAGCCCCTCCGTTGGGGCTGCCCTAAGCCTCTCTGTCTGGGAGCCCCGAGGGACCTGTGGCCTGGAGGTGACAACCGGCTTTTAATTGACTGTCACCTGGCAAATGATTATTGCTTTATATGAGATCTTTAGCTGGGAGAGAAGAGGAAAGAATTTTTATGAGCAGTTCACCGGTGTAAAAAGTGGGGAAGGGGCTGGGGGCGGTGGCTCACACCTGTAATCCCAACACTCTGGGAAGCCGAGGTGGGCGGACCACTTGAGCCCAGGAGTTTGAGACCAGCCTTGGCAACATGCTGAAACCCTACGTCTATAAAAAATACAAAAATTAGCCAGGTGTAGGGGCGCACACCTGTGGTCCCAGCTACCCCAGAGGCTGAGGTGGGAGGATCGTCTGAGCCCTGGGAGGTCGAGGCTGCAGTGAACCAAGATCGCACCACTGCACTGCAGCCTGGGCAAAAAAGTGAGACCTTGTCTACAAGAAAAAAGGAAAAGCTCAGAGGAGGGAACGAACCTTGTTTGAGCCCCAGCAATCAAGGTATTGCAGGTATTTCCACCCGGATCCCCAGAGCCTGGAGCAGTGCCTGGCACGCTGGACATGCTCCGTTTATAGCTCGAAGATGAATGAATCCAGCTAAGTAGGTCTTATTATCCTCATCTGACACAGAGAAACAGACTCAAGGGGTCACAGCCCTTGCTGAAGCTTACGTGGCCGTGTTCGCGTTATCTGCCGCTGCATAACAAAGCACCCCAAGCTTAGCAGCAGTCATTACCCGTGAACTTGCACTTGCACTTGGGCAGGGCTTGGTGGAGACATTCCACGAGGCCTGGGCCGGGTTAGCTCCACTTCGGACTGGAGGATCCACTCACGATGGCACACGTGGCTGGCAGGCAGGTGGGCTCAGTGTCATGTGGAAGCCTGGCCACGGTTCCGTGGGCCTGGGTTCCCCTCCACATGGGCCCCTCTACGAGCTGCTGGGCTTCCCCACAGCATGGCGGCTGGGTCCACGGCACAGGTGTCCTGGGGAACCAAGAGGAAGCTGCATCACTGTTTGGGATCCAGCCTCCACTGTGACCACAAGTGCCCACCCAGATTCAAGGAGTCAACTAAAGGAAAATTTTGCTTTCGAAGAAGTAAAGTTAGTTTTATTCAGATTCCTATTGAGCATTGCAATCCGGGAGGGTGTTTCAGAGTTTCAGTTCGACTGCTCCAAAGCAATGTTTCGGGCCTCAGCTTATCAACGGGTGGCGGAGGCTCTGCACCTGCTCAGGGGGTACCTTAGAGCCAAATGCGATCGTCAAAGTTTCGGTGCAAGAGTCCATCTCGTCATAGATTACAGCCACTGATCCTGTCAGACGTTATCTTATGTGCAGGAGGAGACAAGGGCTAGGATCGTTGACCTTATCTTTTTAAAAAACGCAGTGATTTGGCCGGGTGTGGTGGCTCACACCTATAATCCCAGCACTTTGGGTGGCCACGGTGGGCGGATCATCTGAGGTTAGGAGTTCAAGACCAGCCTGGCCAACATGGTGAAACCCCGTCTCTACTAAAAATACAAAAATTAGCCGGGCGTGGTGGTGAGTGCCTGTAGTCCCAGCTACTCGGGAGGCTGAGGCAGGAGAATCGCTTGAACCTGGGAGGCGGAGGTTGCAGTGAACTCCAGCCTGGGCAACAGAGAGGGAAACTCCGTCTCAAAAAAAAAAAAATGCAGGGATTCAAGCAAGAGCCGTGGGCACCTGCGCCATGCCTGCTCAGTCTCTGGGACATTCTTCCAGGGGGCGCGCCCAGTCACTGAGGCAGGGCGCACACTTTTTTCCGCACAGTTGCAAGGATGCCTTAAACTAAATTTCTGGAAACCGGGTCACTGAGCCAAGGGACAGTTCCTTTTTGATGTCTGGTGGATCTCTAGTACACTGCAAAAGCGTCCCGTGAAACTCCACTGGTGGAATGAGCAAACACGGCTTCTGGCCTCTGCTACTTTGTGTCACAAAGGGGGAAGACCACAAGCCCTCCTGTGGAGGGAGAAGCGCAGTGTTACGTTACGCAAAGACAGTGTGGTTGGGAGAATCTGTGCGGCCATCTCTGGAAGCCGCCATCTGCCACAGCCGACAGGTGCGGGCCTGAGTTTGGAACCAGGTCTGTCTGACTCCAGCCCCTCCGGGGGAGCCCACCTACCCACCCACCTCACCCACCCTGCCTCTGATGTCAGGGGCAGGCAGGACCTGAGCCAGCCAATCACAGCACTGCATTCCTCCTGGTCACAGAGATGGCTCAGGCCTGAGTATCTGTCTGGCAGGCCTGGACCAATCAGGTCTGATCAGAACAGTCCCAAGTTCCACTTGAGCAGCCAGGCTGCAGTTGGCACACGTCTCTGCAGGGCGCTGGAGGTCCACCGGACATCAGAAAGCAACAATGCCTTGGCTCAGCCACCTGGTTTCTAGGAATTTATTTTAAGATATCCTTGCAACTGTGCCCATCCTTGCAAGTATGCACACAGATATTTTTATCAGGATGTTCTGTGACAGCCTAAGATTGGAAACAATGTAAATATGCAAATATGCACACCCGGCCATGCCCCCCAGAGCAAGCAACACGTACAGGCAGCCGTTAGAGGAGTACTGTTAATTCCCCAGTAACAGTTACTTTTTTTTTTTTTTTTTTTTTGAGATGGAGTCTCACTCTGTTGCCCAGGCTGGAGTGCAGTGGTGCCATCTCAGCTCACTGCAAGCTCCGCCTCCCGGGTTCACGCCATTCTCCTGCCTCAGCCTCCTGAGTAGCTGGGACTACAGGCGCCCGCTATCACGCCCGGCTAATTTTTTGTATTTTTAGTAGAGATGGGGTTTTGCCGTGTTAGCCAGGATGGTCTCGATCTCCATCTCCTGACCTCGTGATCCGCCCACCTCAGCCTCCCAAAGTGCTGGGATTACAGGCATAAGCCACTGCGCCTGGCCAACGAGTTACTTTTAAAAGAGGGCTGGGCACTGTGGCTCACGCCTGTAATCCCAGTGCTTTGGGAGGCCAAGGCAGGTGGATCACTTGAGGTCAGGAGCTCGAGATCAGCCTGGCCAACATGGCAAAACCCCATCTCTACTAAAAATACAAAAATTAGCTGAGTGTGGTTGCATATGCCTGTAATCCCAGCTACCCGGGAGGCTGAGGCAGGAGGATCACTTGAACACGGGCGATGGAGGTTGCAGTGAGCCAAGATCATGCCACTGCACTCTAGCCTGGATGACGAGAGTGAGACTCCATCTCAAAAAAAAAAAAAAAGAAAAGAAAAGAAAAAGAGGCCGGCCCGGCATTGGCTCATGCTAGTAATCCCAGCGCTTTTGGAGGCGGCCACAGTAGGATCGCTTGAGCCCAGGAGGAGTTGAAGACCAGCCTCTAGACTCCGTCTCTAAAAGAAACTTACAAAATTCCCAGCACTTTGGGAGGCCGAGGCGGGCGGATCATGATGAGGTCAAGAGATCGAGACTGTCCTGGCCAACATGGTGAAACCCCGTCTCTACTAAAGATACAAAAAGTAGCCAGGTGTGGTGGCATGTGCCTGTAATCCCAGCTACTCGGGAGGCTGAGGCAGGAGAATCGCTCCAACCCGGGAGGCGGAGGTTGCAGTGAGCCGAGATCACGCCATTGTAGTCCAGCCTGGCAACAGAGTGAGATTCCGTCTCAAAAACAACAAAAACCCAAAACTTAAAAAATTAGGCCAGGTGCAGTGGCTTACACCTGCAATCCCAACACTTTGGGAGGTCGAGGCAGGAGGATTGCTTGAACCCAGGAGTGTGAGACCAGCCTGAGCAACGTAGCAGGACCTCCATTTCTACATAAATAAATAAATAAAGTTAGCTAGGCTGGGTGGTGCATGCCTGTAGTCCCAGCTATTTGGGAGGCTGAGGTGGGAGGATGGCTTGAGCCCCGGAGGTGGAGGCTGCAGTGAGCCTGTACTCACAGCACGGTAATCCAGCCTGGGCAACAGAGCAAGACCCTGTCTCAAAAACAAAACACACAAAAATCAAAAGTATTCCCTGAATTAATTAAGTAAGCTTTGCTAGGCAGGTAGGACCCCCAGCCTACCCAGTAGTGGCCCTGGTATGAGGCACTCCCTCCCCGCCGCAGCCGCCCAGCCCTGGCCCTGAGGCTGTACAGCAGGATAGAGGTAGTGAGCTCCCCACCACAGGAGGCGTGCAACTGTGCCTGGGGCTTTCCCTCCCAGCTAATCAAGGGGGACCAACCCGGGAGGGGTGAGGGCCTCAGGCTGCCTCGGCTCTGCGGTTCGTACAGGGCATGGGCAACGCCCCAGAGACAGGCTGTGGGGAGGGTCCCGCCTGCTGGCACCAGCTCCAGCTGCCTCATGTCAGGGCAGGCTGTGCAAAGCAGGCCCGGCCGCTTCTGCTGCCAGCAGCCCTCCCACCCCTCACAGCGGTTTAGGAGACAGATGGACAGGGCTCGTAAACCCCGCCACCTGCCACCCGGCAGCCCTTCCATGTTCCTGTCCTAGCTCAGAGGGTTGCATCCCCTGCCCGGGCGGCAGCCCTCGAAAAGGAGCAGGCTGCTACCTGGGGCGAGAACACCCTCAGGGAGATGCAGGTGGTGGCCTGTGAGGACTGTGGGATTTGAGTCCCCTCATGGGCCTCCCTGAGGTCTCACTCCTGTCCCTTGCCCCGTGGGGAGCTGATCAGAGAAGAGCTGGGTGCACACGGATGGGGTTTGGGAGAGGCCTGCAAACCCTGAGCTCCACAGGGTCCCACTCAGAGCCTGTGAAAGGCAGGGGGCTCCCCTCCAAGCCAGGGCCTCGGCCCCAAAGCCCTGTGAATCCCAGTTCTGAGGGGTGGCCAAGGCCAAGGGGCCTGGACTGGCAGGTTCAGCAGAACCAGGGGCAGAACAGTCCACGTGCCACATCCTTCTCTCTGGCCAGGAGACATGGATGCCTGACCCCAGAGGGCCCCCGTCCTGCCCTCCCCTCCCCGGCCCCACCAGGGCCTCAGCCCCACATTCCACGCAGGCCTGCAGCTTTAAGCCATCCGCTGGGGGCTGCCCTGCAAACTGCTCGTTCCACATTCTCGGGGTGGTGGGGTGGGTGGGGTGCGGGCACGCCCTCCCGCGGAGGCCTATAAGGGTGCGGGGGGGACGGGGCCCAGGAGGGGAGTGGAGCCTCACCAGCCACGTCCTCATGGCCCTGCTGCTCTTGCTGTTCCTGGGCCTCCTGGGGCTCTGGGGGCTGCTCTGCGCCTGCGCCCAAGACCCCTCCCCAGCTGCCCGGTGGCCCCCGGGGCCTCGCCCGCTGCCGCTCGTCGGGAACCTGCACTTGCTGCGTCTGTCGCAACAGGACCGGTCCCTGATGGAGGTAAGTCAGGGAGCCCGGGCAGCTCTTGCCGCTTGGACAGCTGCCGTGTCCTGGCCCCCCTCCTGGGGAAGCCCAGCCCGGTTTCCACTGCCTGTTCCCACATGGTGCCGGGCCCAGCGGGGCACGCAGGAGGCCGGAGGGCCCACCCTGCTTTTGGGAGGGGAAAGCCACCCCGTCCCACAGGGAAGCAGACACACTGAGTACGAAGAAGCCCTGGAGGTGCCACCCAGGGCCCGGCGCGGGAGCAGGAGTCTGGAGGGCTCCCTGGAGGCGGTGGCGTCTGCTGAGAGCCCGCAGGAGGCCAGGCTTAGGGACAGCAGAGGGGAGGAGGGCCTGGGCCTGTCGGCTGCCTGCTCAGCCCCCCTCGGCCCTCAGGTGTTCAACAGCAAACACTTCCCACTTTTGAGCCTCTGTTTCCTCATCTGTGAAATGGGAAGAGGACCTGTGCCTCCTGGGCAGGGATGCTGAGGACAGAGGGTACGGGGACACGGCACGGGGCAGCCTGACTAGCACTGTCGCTCTGTCCTCGCTCAGGCAGGCAGGGTCAGTGGGACAGGGCTGACCAGTCAGGCCCGGGCCCTGCCTCCGGCTGCCCCCAACTGCGGGCTGGGGTGCTGCTGGCCGGGCTGTAGCCGAAGACGGATCAGGGTCTCTGGGGGCCGAGCCTGTCAGGCCCTCACTCTGTGCAGACTCTGGCCTTTCAGAATGTGCCACCCCAGCAGACAGCCAGCCCCCGACCTTGCCGCCTGGACTCAGGGCTTGAGCCCCCCAGGAATTTTGGCTAAAAAGAAAATCCCACAACAGCCATGCCAAGCACCAGATGGCGAGAGGGCTCTGTGGGCTCCAGGCTGGGCGCTGCCCCCTCCACCCTGCACCACTGGCTTTATGGCATCTAGGCGTGCCCCCTCCACCTGCCCCCATTTTCCCTCTGTCCCCACCCCTACCCAGCACAGGCCCGGCCTGAGGGGACCTAAGGGGGGTCTTGTGGGTGAGGGCTGCCCGGGTGACCCCCGCCATCCCTGCCAGCTCTCAGAACGCTACGGGCCGGTGTTCACCGTGCACCTGGGGCGCCAGAAGACGGTGGTGCTGACGGGGTTCGAGGCGGTCAAAGAGGCGCTGGCGGGCCCCGGGCAGGAGCTGGCCGACCGGCCTCCCATCGCCATCTTCCAGCTCATCCAGCGAGGTGGAGGTCGGTGTGTGGCCGGCGCTACGGGGCCTACTGGGTGTGGGGGCACCTGGACCCCAGGAGGGGTGGGGGCTCCAGCAGCGGGAGAGGCTCCCAGGGTGGCCTGGGGAAGAGCAGGCAGGAGCTGGGCCTCCGGGCTGGTGCTGAGAAGGGCCAGGTGTCCACACAGCAGGTCAGGTGCTCAGAACCAGCAAGCGGGGTTCTTTTCATCCCAAGTCAAGAGGGGCCAGGGCCAGCCCAGGGGGACGGGAGTGGGGATGGGGGTGAGGGCCCAGCCAGTCTCGCTGCCCTGTCAGCCTGCTCACTTCCTGCCCACTTGCCTGGCGGGGCTGGCTGGGGTGGGAACCTGGGCTCACCACGCACTGTATCTGCCTACAGGCATCTTCTTCTCATCTGGGGCGCGCTGGAGGGCTGCCCGCCAGTTCACGGTGCGTGCCCTGCACAGCCTGGGCGTGGGCCGGGAGCCGGTGGCTGACAAGATTCTGCAGGAGCTGAAATGCCTCTCTGGGCAGCTGGATGGCTACAGAGGTGAGCAGGGGGCCGGGGACGCCCCTCCCCGGGCCTGGACGTGCCTGAGGCCCGTCTCCCTCGCAGGCCGGCCCTTCCCGCTGGCCCTACTGGGCTGGGCTCCCTCCAATATCACCTTCGCGCTCCTCTTCGGCCGCCGATTTGACTACCGGGACCCCGTGTTTGTGTCCCTGCTGGGTCTCATCGATGAGGTCATGGTCCTCTTGGGGTCCCCTGGCCTGCAGGTGAGGAGCTGCCTCCCATCCTTGGGGTGGGGTGGAGCCTGGAGTGATGGGCGTGCAGCAGGAGGACGGGGGCCCCAGTGCTGTCCCCTCTCAGCTTCTCGGCCCTCCCACCTTGCAAAAGGAATCAGATGCAAGGGCCTGAATCAGGACCCATCCGACGTTAGCTGGTCATGTGGCCTCAAACCAGCCCCTGTGCTCTCCAGGAAATGGGGGATCCCCATCTCCCCCACGCCCTCATCAGTAACAGATGCATCTGCTCAAGAGTGGAGGTGGGAGGCAGGCATGGCTTCCCCAGAATTGCGGGGGGCTCCATGTCTGCCCCCCAAGCCCTGACAGTCCAGGCACCTTCCTGCTGACGCCCTTTACAGTGCCCCAAAACCACAAAAGTTCACCCCTCTGATGTTTGGAACTCGTGTATTTCATTTAGCTTCAAAATGTAAAGATCCCCTCTTTTTGGTCCTCATGGTATTTGATGTGCGTTTACCGAAGCCTGCATCTCAGGTGTGATACCTGCATCACGGCTGGACCCAGAGACCACGGGTCCTAGTCCTCCTGGCTTCCCAGAGGCAGGGCCGTGATGGGAGTGAGTGAGCAGCGGTGGGTTCACAAGCGAGAGCAGGGGGCACAGCTTCCACCCGTCCTAGCCAGGGTGAGACCACCCTGCCTGCTGGTGGAGCCAGGCAGGCCCAGAGCCCACCTGGAAGATGGAGGCTGCACGGCACTGCGTGGTCCGGGGCAGCCCCAGGGCAGCAGAGCATTCCCTGGCCTTCCCTGCTGGTGCCAGCTCCTTACCACAGAGACGCCGCGTGGAACTCACTACTGGCGATCGCGGACGCCCCAGGAAGGCGAGTGGCACGAGGTGTGGCGGGGCTGCCACAGGCAGTCACGGAGCACCCGCTGGTGCCAGGCTCACCCCTCAGATACAGCCTCGTGGGCTGGCTCAGTGGCGGCCCTGACTCTCCAAGGTCTGAGGTCTGCTCTGTCTTCCATTCCATGACTCACAGGAGGTTCAAGGTTACTTCCACTGTGGCAGCTGCCTCCCTCCTCCCTCTCCAGGATGGAAGGAGGTCCTGCTGTGCAAACCTGCCTGGCTGTCCCCTTCCGGGACACGGACAGGGGGTTTCCTGGCAGTTCCTGGTCCTCCCTTGAGGGCTAAGGGTCCCCCCGTTCTGTGGCCGCCTCCAGCACATCCACCCAGAGTCCCTGGGCGTGAACACAGCCGCTGGGGACGATCACCGCCTGCCCAGCGTGCAGCCCTGGGGCTGCGTCCTTATCTCCGCTCCTCCTGCCTCCTGCCCAGCTGTTCAACGTCTACCCATGGCTCGGGGCCCTGCTCCAGCTGCACCGGCCCGTCCTGCGCAAGATCGAGGAGGTCCGTGCCATTCTGAGGACCCTCCTGGAGGCGCGGAGGCCCCACGTGTGCCCGGGGGACCCCGTGTGCAGCTATGTGGACGCCCTGATCCAGCAGGGACAGGTGTGTCGGGACCCAAGACCTCCTTGAAGGCCTGTAGGGGTCCTGAGGGACACCCCAGGGGAGCACGGCTGGGGAGGGGTCCATACCGGTCCTGCACCAAGCTCCCTACCTCCTGGCTGGGGGCCTCTCAGAGCCTCAGTCTCCTTGTCTGTGAAACGGGGCATCCATAGTGCCTGCCTCGGGGACGCTGAGGGATGGCTGAGCCCAGATCACCGGGGCATCCATAGTGGAGCCCAGGGCTGGGCTGGGTCTGTGGGGTGGGGGACAGACCCCAGATCATCCCACGAGCCCTGCCCCACGCCTCTGCAGGGGGATGACCCCGAGGGCCTGTTTGCTGAGGCCAACGCGGTGGCCTGCACCCTGGACATGGTCATGGCCGGGACGGAGACGACCTCGGCCACGCTGCAGTGGGCCGCACTTCTGATGGGCCGGCACCCGGACGTGCAGGGTGAGACCCCGGCGCCTGGCGAGACGGCTCCTTCTGCCCCCGGGGGACCCCCAGGGACGAGGGATGGCGCTGCCACCCAAGCGGCCCACCCTTTGCCCCAGGCCGGGTGCAGGAGGAGCTAGACCGCGTGCTGGGCCCTGGGCGGACTCCCCGGCTGGAGGACCAGCAGGCTCTGCCCTACACAAGCGCCGTGCTCCACGAGGTGCAGCGGTTCATCACGCTCCTGCCGCACGTGCCCCGCTGCACCGCGGCCGACACACAGCTGGGCGGCTTCCTGCTCCCCAAGGTGGGGCTGGGCCTCCCTTGCCCCTTCCATCTCCTCTGGGGTAGGCCTCGGCGGGGGTCCAGGGGCACTGGGACGGCTGAGCGTCTGGTGGGTGCCTGATGGCCCAGCGCTCCCCGACCGGAGGCAATAAAGGGCGTCCAGCCAGGAGCAGGAGGGAGGCAGCCCTCTCACCCCACAGCCCAGCACTTGGCCTGGCCAGCAGACCTGGCGCCTCCCTGCATGTCCTGGGGTCCCCTCCGTGTGTCCTGTGGGCATCCCTGTCCATGTGTCCTAGGCGATCCCCTCGGTGTGTCCTGGGGGTCCCCTCTGTATCCTGGGGGGGTCCCCTCTGTGTGTCCTGGGGATCCCCTGTGTGTCCTGAGGGGTCCCCTCTGTGTGTCCTGGGGATCCCCTGTGTGTCCTGGGGGGGTCCCCTGTGTGTCCTGGGGGTCCCCTCTGTGTGTCCTGGGGGGGTCCCCTCTGTGTGTCCTGGGGGGTCCCCTCTGTGTGTCCTGGGGGTCCCCTCTGTGTGTCCTGGGGCGTCCCTCTCCATGCATCCTGGGTGTCCTCTCTATCCTTGGGGCCCCTGGCTGTGTGCCCTGGGGTCATGTGGCCTCCCTGGGTTTGGGTGCCTCACCTGCAAGGTGGGCTAACACCAGGTGTGGTGGGTGTGGCAGGAGCTACATCCTGGAATGAAACTTCCCAACCCAGGCCCCATCCCATCTTCCCCGGGGCCCCTCTCTCTGTGCCCCGGCTGCCCCCACAGGGCACGCCCGTGATTCCCCTGCTGACCTCGGTGCTCCTGGATGAGACACAGTGGCAGACCCCAGGCCAGTTCAACCCCGGCCATTTCCTGGACGCGAATGGGCACTTTGTGAAGCGGGAGGCCTTCCTGCCTTTCTCTGCAGGTCAGCAGCCCTCGGGGCCGGGGTGGGGCGGCACCTCCAGGGCTCCAGGGGTGGGACGGCCCCAGCTCCGCCTGCCGCCTCTGCACCCACCTCCTGATCTCAGGTTCTGAAGGCGGCTGTGGTGGCTGCTCCTGTGCTCCCCTGGGGAGGTCCCCACCCCTCCCCTCCAGGAGCAGGCCTGGTGCAGCCCACTCTGTGCCTGGACATCCCCCGCAGGCCGCCGCGTCTGTGTTGGGGAGCGCCTGGCCAGGACCGAGCTCTTCCTGCTGTTTGCCGGCCTCCTGCAGAGGTACCGCCTGCTGCCCCCGCCTGGCGTCAGTCCGGCCTCCCTGGACACCACGCCCGCCCGGGCTTTTACCATGAGGCCGAGGGCCCAGGCCCTGTGTGCGGTGCCCAGGCCCTAGGAGCTCCCCCAGCCCCCAGGTCCTCCTGACCACTCCCCTCCCAGCCCTGGGTCCTCCCACCCTCTCTCCTCCCACCCCACAGCTCGGACTGCTCTGGGAGGGCCCTGAGGACTCCCACCCTCACCCCCACCCCCACAGGGTCAGCAACTGCTTCCGGTTACACCCAGGACTACCCCTGCCCGACCCTGTGGGACCCCCACCCCTCTGATGCTGTCTGCAGCTCAGTCCCTGCCAGCCCCCAGGAGCGCCTCCAGGGCCCCGCCCACTCTCCCACCCCTGAAGCTGCACTCCCACCCACCTAGCTCCCCCCAGGGCCCCCCAGCACCTACAGCTGGGGCTGCAGGGAGACAACGGGTGGCTGCATCCAGCCAGAGACAGGCGCAGGTGGGTGTCCTCAGCGTGCGAGCCCTGCACCCCCCAGGTCCTGGGACTCCTGCAGACCCCACTCCATTCCCGCTCCTGGAACACTTCCTGCAGCTGTGCCTGGAGGCAGTCGGCCTGCAGTGCCAGACTCTGAGCCAAGCCACTGGGGCCATGCGTATGACTGGTGCAGGGAGGCAAGGCCCACATTCTCCTTCAGAGACAGGCACTGGCGCCAGAGGCTTCCTTGGGGCGGGGGGAGGGCACCTCAGCCCCTGAAGACAAGCAGCACTGCAGTGGCAAAAATGGAAACACTGACCCGGTGCGGTGGCTCATGCCTGTAATCCCAGCACTTTGGGAGGCCGAGGCAGGCGAATCACGAGGTCAGGAGTTCGAGACCAGCCTGCCCAACATGGTGAAACCCTGTCTCTACTAAAAATACAAAAAAATTAACCGAGCATGGTGGCACGTGCCTGTAATCCCAGCTACTCAGGAGGCTGAGACAGGAGAATCGCTTGAACTGGGAGGCAGAGGTTGCAGTGAGCCGAGTTCGCACCACTGCACTCCAGCCTGGGTGACAGAGCGAGATTCCATCTCAAACAAACAGAAGGAAATGTCGAGCCACACAGTGGCACATGTGCTGGGGGCGGTGTGGTCGGCAGTGTGACAGTGGCACGTGTGCTGGGGGCGGTGTGGTCGGCAGTGTGAGTGGCGCGTGTGCTGGTGGCGGTGTGGTCGGCAGTGTGAGTGGCACCTGTGCTGGTGGTGGCGTGGTCGGCAGTGTGAGTGGCGCGTGTGCTGGGGGCGGTGTGGTCGGCAGTGTGAGTGGCGCGTGTGCTGGGGGCGGTGTGGTCGGCAGTGTGAGTGGCGCGTGTGCTGGGGGCGGTGTGGTCGGCAGTGTGAGTGGCGCGTGTGCTGGGGGCGGTGTGGTCGGCAGTGTGAGTGGCGCGTGTGCTGGGGGCGGTGTGGTCGGCAGTGTGAGTGGCGCGTGTGCTGGGGGCGGTGTGGTCGGCAGTGTGACAGTGGCGCGTGTGCTGGGGGTGGTGTGGTCGGCAGTGTGACAGTGGCGCGTGTGCTGGGGGCGGTGTGGTCGGCAGTGTGACAGTGGCGCGTGTGCTGGGGGTGGTGTGGTCGGCAGTGTGACAGTGGCGCGTGTGCTGGGGGCGGTGTGGTCGGCAGTGTGACAGTGGCGCGTGTGCTGGGGGCGGTGTGATGGGACACCTGCTGTCTGAGACGGCCCTGGCCCCCGTCCCAGCGCTGACCATGCACGTGAGCGGCAGGCGGCCCCTCACCGAGAAGAGAGGATAAGCCGTGGCACATTCCCACCTGCGCCACGTGAAGCGGCGCCCCAAGGCCAGGACGTGGTGGCCGGGACACACGGGTGCACGGCAGGCCTCACACTCCCAGGTGGGGCCGCAGGGTCCCTAAGTCATGGGTGGGGCTGCTGCTACGGAGGCTGCTGCAAGGACGAGAAGGGGACGGAGGGATGGAGGCTCGGCTGCGTCCGCTCACCTATTTCTGGGGAAGAGCAGGGAGCGAGTGCTGGCTTCACTATTCTCCCCTCAGACATTTGAAATATGACACTGAAAACTTGAAGGGCAGAAAGAACGGGGTCCTGGCGCCAGGTGGGGCCACGCGACGCCCCGCCCAGTGTGACTGGTGAGCCCCTCTGGAGCTCTGGAGGGTGCGGAACATTCCAGGGCAGGGGCTGTGGAAAATCCCTCCCAGCTGTTGTCAGGGCTCCCGGGTGGGGTGGAGGACTCAGGCCCAGCCCTCCCAACCCTACAGGGGACCCTTGTGCCCCCAACTTAGTCGGCCTCCTGGGTGGGGTGAAGGACTCAGGCCCCGCCCTCCCGGCCCTGCAGGGGACCCTCGGGCCCCCGCCTTACATTGGCCTGGGGTATTCATCTCCTTGGGCCCAGGGGAGCCCGAGGCCCACGTGGGGAGGAAACGCTGACCCTGTCCCGCCCCGCTTCATGGAGGCCCAGCCGACATGAGGGACACCAAGTACAGGGTGATGAGTGACGGCTGAGCTTCCCCTCAAAGCACTAAGACAATAAACATAACCCCAACCCCAACCCTGACCCCGCTCGCCCGACTCACGCGACCTCTCACCCCATCTCACCCAGCGAGATGACAGGGCTCCTCCACGGGGTACAGCCAGGGCCCCCCAAGTTAGGCGGTCCAAATGCCTCATCCTCAAGTGTAAACAAGCCTAGCTTAGTGAAAACAGAGTAAGCAGGTATCAAATCTCCTTTAACTCATGCCCATGGGCGTGGGCAGGGGTGTGGGGCGGGCAGGAGGGAAGGGGGGGGCCGAGTGAGACCCGAACCCCGGAGGTGCCACCTTCTCGACCGGGCAGACCTGGGTGCCCGTTTCTCACAGCTGCACTCAGGCTGCCGGCCAGGTGCACAGGCACGTCCCGGGGGCTTGCTGGGAAATGCCGGGGCTTGGCACGGATGGGACAGGCCACTGTCTACGCCTCATTTCCAAGTGTTTCTTTGTTGCTATTTTTAAAAATGGTGATAAAATACACGTAGAGAAAATTCACCATCAGCCATGTTGAAGTGCACAGTTCAGGGGCACAGGCACATTCACGGCCACCACTGTCACCTCCAGAGCCTCCTCATCTTCCCGGGCTGAAGCCCTGCTTGCGTTAAACACCCACTCCGAGTCCCTCCCCAGTCCTTCTCCTTCCTGGTCTGTGGGTGTGAGGGCTCTGGGGACCTCGAGTGAGTGGGGAGTGGTGGATTTGTCCTGCTTTATCCACGCACCTGCCAATGGGTCCTTTTCAAGGGTCCCAGAGAACTCAGGCAGCAGGCAGCCCGCGAGCCCAGCTTCCTCACGCATGGATTTCGGGAGATGCCTCTGTGGACATCCACCCCATGGTGCCCAGATGTCATGGGAGAGGCAGACACCCCGAACCCCATGGCTCACGACGTGGCTGAACTGCTCCCCGGACGTCTGTCCTCAGCAGCAGGAGGGACGCCGACCCCGGCCCCTGTACCCCCCCGCCTCTAGGTCTCCAGGGAAGGACCCTCCTGGGGTGGGCAGGCTGCTCTTGGCCCCAGATCTGCTTCTGGGTCTGAGGCTGGCCCTCAGCCGTGCTGCACGTGCCTCCCATTACCATCCTAAGTCAAGGCAAAACAAAACCACACAGTCCCCGAGCCATCTGCAAACCTCCCGCAGCAAGCTCGGAGGGTGAGGCCCCCCCACAGTAAGCTCGGAGGGTGAGGCCATCTGAGTGCCGGGCTGGCCGGGCTTAGGAGGAGACCAAGCTTTACCCACGGAGACGCCGTTTAATGGAACCCAAGTGACCCAAGGGAGCTGCCACGCCACCGCTCAACCACACCCACAGGGAACACACATGTAGGGGCCTGGGGCCTTGTCCAGTGCGGGGGTCCTGGTTCAGATGTCCTGAAGCTCCTCCCTCGGAGTGGGCAGCCCCCATTAGGAAACTTCTGGAACCCAGAGGCTGGAAGCCGGCCTCACTCTGGGACCTGGGCCCTCCCCGTGATTGCTGGGGCTCCCTCAGAGCGGGGGTCTTCTTCCCACCTTGGATGCTGAGGGGGAAGGAGGTAAGACACTGGAGGGCTGGGTGGGCTCACCAGGCTTCAGAGGGCAGTGGGACTTGGACAGCTCAGCCTAGCGCCCAGCTGTCTCTCCGGGCAGGTCTCACAAATGCCCCGAGGCAGGCCCATCGCTGGCCAAATTCCCCACCCCTCCTGCCTGGACTCAGTCCCTTGTGAAATCTAAGCAAAGTCCTAGGGTGTCTGAGGTCAGAGTGCATCGGGTAGCTCCTGCTGCATAACAAGCGGGGGAGGGGGTGGCCCATGGCTCTGGACTGCTGGGCCACAGGGGTGATGAGGTGAGGCTTGGAGGAGTCTGTAGGATCCTAACTTTGATGACTATTCAGGGTTTGAGGCTGCACTCAGCTTTATCGCCTGTGAAACCCACGCAGCCAGCAGGGGTACGAGTGCTTCTGAGGTCCCAGTGGGCGGGGGGTGGCCTGACCCAGACAGGGCAGGGGGACGGCAGCTGGAGCGCGTGGAGAGAGCGCCCGTTCCCTGGGAGCCACTGGAGGGCGCATGGCACACGGCGCCCGGCCAGGGCCTGACTGTGACTGGAGCAAGAGCCGAGGGACTGGACGGACGGCAGGTGGCGCCACCTGATCTGTGCAGGGACAGGCAGGGACAGGCAGGCAGAGAAAGAGCCCAGCTGGAGGCTGCCAGCGCTCCAGGGAGAGGAGTGGGGAGCGGACAGCGCCGGCCCGGGCTGGAAGGTCAGCTTGAGGCTCTGGGATGTGAACACTGGGCACCGAGTCATCCAGAAATAAATCCCAGGCACGGTGGGAGGCCGGGGTGGGAGGATCGCTTGAGCCCAGGAGTTTGGGACCAGCCTGGGCAACACAGTGAGGCCCCCCGCTTCTACAAAAAATACAACAATTAGCCGGGTGTAGTGGTAGCAACTGTGTTCCCAGCTACTCAGGAGGCTGAGGGAGGAGAATCGCCTGAGCCCAGGGGGGTGGAGGTGGCAGCGAGCAGAGCTCATGCCACCGCACTCCAGCCTGGACGACAGAGCGGGACCCTGTCTCTAAAAAGATGCCACTCTCTTGGGGGCTTGGAGGGAGGACAGTGCTCTGAGGGTGATTCAGCGGCCGAACCTGTGTCACTCTTGGTGGAGTGAGCAGACGGCACTTGGTGTGAGCTGTTTCTCAGACATCAATCCTGCAAGAAACTGCTCAGAGGCCGCTTCCTCAGAGGGCTGGGTGGGCTGGGGCAGGGGACGGTTTCCGGAAGCCGCACAGTGCTGTGAGAGGTCTCCAGCCTGCTCTGCGTGTTCGCACCCCCAATGTCAGGGAGGGCCCTTTGGCCTGGAAAGCCCAGTCTCCACAGGTCTGCTCACCCCCACAGGCAATGTGATTCTGACTTCCAAACAATGCTCCCTTTGATTATTTAAAAACATTACTTTTATTTTTATGTATTTATTTTTTCAGACAGAGTCTCGCTCTGTCACCCAGGCTGGAGTGCAATGGCACGATCTCGGCTCACTGCAACCTCTGCCTCCCGTGTTCAAGCGATTCTCCTGACTCAGCCTCCTGAGTAGCTGGGATCACTACAGGCGCCCACCACCACACCCAGCTAATTTTTGTATTTTTAGTAGAGATGGGCTTTCACCAGGTTGGTCAGGCTGGTCTCGAACTCCTGACCTCATGATCCGCCCACCTTGGCCCCCCCCAAAGTGTTGGGATTACAGGCGTGAGCCACTAAATTTAGTGCTCACCGCACTAAATTTTTTTTAGATGCCGGCTCTTGCTGTGGTGTAATCACTGCTCACTGCAGCCTTGACCTCCCGAGCTCAAGCCATCCTCCCACCTCAGCCTCCCGAGTAGCTGTGACTTCAGACACATGCCACCATCCCCGGATTTTTTATTTTTTGTTGGGGGGCAGTTTAGCCATGTTGCCCAGGCTGGTCTCAAACTCCTGAGCTCAAGCGATCCTCCCGCCTCTGCCTCCCAAAGTGCTGAGTTACAGGTGTGAGCCGCCGCACCCGGCATGAGTTATCAGTGTGTGGCTTGGTGTTTCTGACACCTGCACACACTTGCATATCTACTGCAGGGGACATTTCTCCCTGAGCTCAGCCCAGATGTGCTTTGTCACAGCCCATCGCTTATGGCCTTGGACACATGTAAAGAGAAAAGCACGCATGCCCACGCTAAGTTTGGCCCCTCACTTGGCACAAATCTTGATCCGCCACCTGGCTTGCTGCAGGTCAGCAGCTGCCCTCTCCACAGTGAGGAGCACTTGCCGAGGGACAGACGTGAGGGACGGACGTGAGGGTCGTCTCCAGGCTAAGGCGGGGCTTCCTTAGCCGGAGGCTTCCTGGCTCAGGAGTCCCGCACAAGCGCCAGCTGAGACAGGGACTCACAGCCCGTTCTCTGGCACACACAGCCCCAGCACATGTGGCCCGACGTGGCTGGCCCCTGGGGTTGCATGGGCGGGTGCCCTCACTGACCTGCACGGGGTAGGGAGACCCCAGGGCATTGCGTGGTTCTCTGAGCCACATTCCAGGTGACTTCTCTGCGCCACCCTTCGGCATCTTTCGCCAGGGAGCCCTGAGGAGCTTGGCACCTTACGATCCACAGAGGTGGGAACCCCTGACAGGAGAGCACTCCCCAGCCGGTGTCAGGGGAGCATCTGTGCTGTCGAAGGGAGGCCCAGGTCTTCAAGACCTTTTCCCACTAATGGTCGGTGAGGACTCAGCAGTACCCACCCCATTTCCCTTTCTGACTCGGCTGCTGGGAAGCTCAGAGCTCTGGTTCCGGATCCATCAGCCCTGCCTTCTGGAGGCTGCTGCCCCTTCTTTGCACTTTGCGGGTCTCCCTCTGCTGTTTGTTTAAGGTGCCTCACAGCATAGGGGCCACTGAGCACCCTGACTGCTGGGCTGAACACGGACCCTTCCCAGCAGCTTCTCTGCAAAGCTGTGCTGCCAGCAGCCGGATCGCAGGCACCGCCTGGCAGATCTGAAGGTTCGTGCTGTGCAACGTGCCTTCCTGTTTGTGAGTTCACCTGACCGACACCAGGAGGGGCTGGACTCCTCGCCTGCCGCCGGCAAGGCCCGCCCTGGGCCAGTGGGGTGCACACAGCAGGCCCTGTGTCGTGGGTGGTCAGAATTTTGGCCACAACAGTTGGGGGACGGGGCTGGATGCTGGCCAAGGAAGAGCAAACAGCCTCATCTCCTTCCCACAGCTTGGTGGGTGCAGAGAGGACCTGGGGACACGGTCCTTAGGGTCTCCTCCGGCCCCGAGTCTCGATGTCCACATAGAGATGGCCTGAGTGGTCAGCCAGACCTGCCCAGACCACATCTTAGCCCAGCCCTGGGTGTCTTCAGGGAGCTAAGGAGGAAGTCACAGTAGACGTCCGTGGGTCACAGTGAGGCCAGTCACCGCTCTGAGGTGCAGGCCCCGAGGGCCACGGCTGAGGAGGCCCAGCCAGGCCAGCAGTGGCCACGGGAAGCCCCAGGCCCTCCCCACAACAACAGCCCGGAGCCTGTGACTCTGCTCTCACAGGGTGAGGCCGGCCGTGCTCCCGCCTCCCGGCTTGCATGCAGCTCTGTGCGTTGGTGGCAGCCAAGGCAGGCAGCCTGACCTCAGCCTCAGGAGCTCTGTTGGGGGGCGGGGCACCCAAGGGGGCACTCAGGGCCTGAGCCAGCGTCCCAAGGCTGCCAGGTGGCGGCTGCAGCTACTTTTCTGCTCCACCGTCAGTTGGGGGAGCACTGAGACGGCAGCACAAACCCCCAACCTGGGCTGGGCAGGAGGCGGCCCCGGGGCAGCAGCACCTGGGTGTCTGCTCTGTGGAGGCCCAGACCGGAGCCACTGGCCTCAGCCCTCCCCGGGGCCCATCCTGGAACAGACTTGGCCTCACAGTGGGGCACGGACCTCCTCGCCATGGCCACCCGGCCCTCCCCGGCAGCTGCCCAGAGCTCTGCGGTCACCACGGCCTTCCCGGTGCCCCGCGGCACCTCACATCACTTGGGGGCAGGGACCACGTGCTGCTGGGAACAGGAAGTGTGTGGCTTGATTCTGTGCGGCCTAAGTGTGTTTCCTGGCAGGGTCAGTCACTGCCAGCGCTGGGAAACGGCCGGCCTGAACGCAAGCGATCAGCCAGCACCCACTGCCAGGAACGCCACACACAGAGCGCCCCCAATGCCATCCTGGGGTGGCCACCAAGGGCGGGGTCTCAGCCTGGCGTGCGCTGGCATGGGGGACACGAATTCCGCAGTCCACAGGCAGGGGACGCACCGCACAGAGCAGGACCCACGGCTGCTGCTGGGTCGGGTTTTATTTCAAATGCAGCCACAGAGGCGGTTTCTGCACAGGTACGTGATCCGACTCCACAAGCTCCCACCAGGGGCTCCCCATGACCCGCAATGACGCTGTGTGGGGTCAAAGGAAAACAGGCCACAGCCAGGCCCCTCGATGGACGCAGGCAGGGGACCAGGAATGCGGCCCACGCAGGGGGATCGGGAATCAGGCGGAAGGTGCAGGTTTGCAGCTGGCGGGAGGAGCCAGCATGCCCCAATCTCTAAAATATTCCCGGTAGAAAAATAGACATTTCCCTCCAAAGCAGATTCCTGGGGCTGGAGGGTCCCTCCAAGGCCAGGGGTCCGGGTGATTCCAGAGCATCCACGCTCTGCGCTGAAGGCACTGAACCTGCCATCACTGTCACAGCCGTCACCGGCCAAGGAGGGTCTGGAGGAGGGAAGGGGCCCTTGCGAGGCTCTGGTGCTGGTGATCCCGGCCCCCACCACCGGAGGAGCTGAAAGCCCTTGCTCAGCCGCTGCCCTGCTGGTGAACCCGGCCCCCACCGCCGGAGGAGCTGCACCCTGTGTGGTCTGAGGCAGCCCTGCACTGGGCAGCGGCCCCGCCCCGCGCTGAACCCACTAGGAGAGCAGCTGCAGCACCTGTCGGATGCGCTGGGCCCTCCCCGGCAGGGGGGGATCAGAGCCCTCCTCATCCAGCTCCCGCATCAGGGCTTCCGCCTTCTGCACCGTCAGCTCTCGGGCCCGGCCCTGCAGCCCCTCCAGGTAGGCCAGCAGGGTGGAGAAGTGCTCATCGGGAACCTGGACGGGAAAGAGATCGAGTTGGTCAGGGGCGGGGCAGGGAGGGGCCGCTGAACAGCAGGAGACAAGACGCTGCAGCCAAGGACACCCGGGCCTCAGGCTTCCGTCCTCCCACTGCGGCCCGAGGGTGTGGGCGGCCTGGCCACAGACCCTGCCCCAGACACTGGAAGAAGAAATGCCTGTTTAGAGGCAGACAAAACACTCAATTAACCTGGGTAAAACAGAAGCCATGTGGGGAGAACATTTCACAAACATCGTAAAAATCCTCAGAAAAACGAGAAAATACGACACAAATTAAACAGGGGTAGGCGGTGATGAAAGGTGCATTCAGAACAAAAAGCCAAGTACGCGCCGGCACTTGGCACGCTCGCCTTTCTGCTCAGGGCGGCAGTGGCCAGGTGGCATCTCTTGGTGGCCTGACCCTTGTCTGCTGGTGGTGGGGGCACCTCTGCACAGGCTCACCAGTCACCTGACAATCTGCTCTGCAGGCACGTTTCCTCAGGTCCCTGTGGCAGCGGCTTTCAACACTGGGCTCTTTTTATTATTGAGTTAGCAGAGTTCTAATTCCATGTGGGACTTGCAAACGTCTCCCATTCTGTAGCAACCATTTCACTTTCCAGCTAGTTCTGTATGCAGTGCAAAGTCTTAGATTCTTTTTTTTTTTTTTTTTTTTTTTGAGCCGGTCTTGCTCTGTTGTCCAGGCTGCAGTGCAGTGGCACGATCTCCACCTCCCAGGTTCAAGTAATTCTCCTGCCTCAGCCTCCCAAGTAGCTGGGATTATAGGCAAGCATTACCACACCTAGCTAATTTTTGTATTTTTAGTAGAGACGGGGTTTTTGCCATGTTGGCCAGGCTGGTCTCGAACTCTTGACCTCAAGTGATCCACCCGCCTCAGACTCCCAAAGTGCTGGGATTACAGGCGTGAGCCACCACGCCCGGCTACACAGTCTTAGATCCTGATGAAGGCACTTTCTCGACTTTTTCCTTTGTCGCTTGTGCTTCTAGAGTCACATTTAAGAAACTGTTGCCTCACCCAAGGGCACGAAATGGACTCTTAGGCTTTCATCTAAGAGTTTTGGTTTTAGCTTTTAAATTTAAGTCTCTGATCCATTTTGAGTTAATTTTTGCATATGGTTTGAAGCTGGGGGCTGCGTGCATTAAGTATCGGCATGTTCGTAAATATGTACGGTTACATATGAAATAAAAATGTATAAGTAAAATGCACATTTGTGTGTTTGTAAATATGTTTAATTACAATAGTGTAAGATAACTTTGCGTGTGTGTGTGTGTGTATACACACATATAAATGGCTAACCAAGGATTTGCCTAACCAAGGATTATTTTTCTGTATAAAAAGTTTTGTATAAAGTTTACTTTTGGTAATAGTAACATATAAATAAAACCACGTAAACTTTGGTTAAAACAAAACAAAACGTGGAAACCCAGTTGTCCCTGGCTCTGTTAAGAAGAGGTTTCCTCCACATGGAACAGGCTTGGCCCGCATGCTGGAATCAGCTGCGCCGGGCGTGAGGGTTTCCAGGCTTCCCAGGCTGTTCCAGTCAATTCTACTTCCACCCTTGTGCCTGCCCCAGTGTCGCGATTACCGGAGCTTGCAATAGGGCTTACAATCGGCTTGCAATAGGGCTTGCAATGTGTATGTCCTCTAACTCTGAGGAGGGAGAGTGGCTTGAGCCCAGGAGGTCGAGGCTGCAGTGAACTGTGGTCGTGTCACTGCACTCCAGCCTGGGCGGGGCCCTGTCTCAAAAAACGCCCACAAAAAAACAAAAACAACAAAATAATGAAAGCAAGTGGCTGCAGGCTATGCCTGGAATGTCCCAGGGCTGTGAGTGGGGCTGGTGGGCCTGCCCCGCTCTGAGAGTCTGCAAACACAGGCACGGCAGGAGAAAACCGCCCCCTGCCCCCAGCGCGCACGCAAAGCCTGGCCTCTAGTAACGTGGGCGCAGGAGAGCCAGCGAGGCAGGAGGCACTGCCCACCGGATGCAGCTCAGCAGAACCGTGGGCTCCTCCAGCCTCACAGGACATGGGCAGCTCCAGCCCGCCGCCCAGCAGCCGGGTTTAGTTCAGAATTCTGTCTCGTTTCATCCTGTGAAACTCTATCTCACATCCTGCCCCTGAAAAGGGCAGCTGCCCACACGTACATGTGTAGACACACATCACGCGCACACACGTGTAGACACACGTCATGCACACACGCACGTGTAGACACACGTCACACGCACACGTGCAGGTGGCCTCCCTAAGGTTACCCCGTGTTGGTTTCTGCCCTGAAGGCCGGCGGCAGGGCTCCTGGAGGAGGCAACGCTGCTCATCTCTTAGAACAAAGGCACCGGGAGACCTGCCCTGCAGTGGGGCCCTGAGGGCGGCCCCTTCAGACTGTGGCTTCTGCTGTCAGGGCCCCAGTGTGCACAGGAGACGTGCCTGCCCCGCCGTGCACAGACCTCAGCCCCCAGGAGACGTGCCTGCCCCGCCGTGCACAGACCTCAGCCCCCGGGAGACGTGCCTGCCCCGCCGTGCACACACCTCAGCCCCCGGGAGACGTGCCTGCCCCGCCGTGCACACACCTCAGCCCCCGGGGGGACGTGCCTGCCCCGCCGTGCACAGACCTCAGCCCCCAGGAGACGTGCCTGCCCCGCCGTGCACACACCTTGTCACTGTCATACATGTGCAGCAGGAGCCACGTCTGCCTCGTCTTCTGAAACCTCCAGTTCTTGTGCTTTTGGGCCCATCTAGGGAAAGAAAGACAAACATCTCAGGGTGCTGGGCAAAAGACTCCCGGGCAGCTGTCTGCCCTGAGAGATCGGGGACGCCTCATCTTAGGAGAGGGAGCCCCACCAGGTACTACACACCAAGGCCTCATGTGAAGAGGGTTTTTGGAGCCCCTCCCCTGCCCGAGGCGAGGAGCCGCAACCCCACGCCCTGCTGCCGCCTGACCAGGAAGCATGTGGACGCCACTCTTACCTTGGCCACCCCGGGGCTCACCACTGACCCCAAGTCCCCGTGGGCTCCCCCACCCCATGGGTCACACGGATTTTACAGGGGGGGAAGGATGAAGTGAGTTTCTCTGGGAGGAAAGGGAGCGATGTAATTGATGATGTATTTTCTACATGAAAATGGGAAGACTGTAAGGAACAATACCCTGAGTCCCAGGCCCTCACAACAAGGGGCCAGTGGGCCTGGGGACGAGCAGCTCCCGGCTGCTAGAGGGGCCGCTCCCCAGGGCCACAACCACCCCGCCCCCGTCCCGCTCCTGCACTAGGGCCTGTGGACATCAGGCAGCTGCGGATGGAGCGAAGCTGGCGCTGTGGGTAGGGCAGGGCCAGGCAGGGTTTACTCCAGAGACCTCCTCCCAGATACGTGTTTCCAGGGCCAGGCAGGGCAGCCGAGCCCAGAAGCCTCCATCAGTGTGCAAGCCCAGGTCTGAAGACTGTAGGCTCAGCACGGGGGAGGGCCCTGTGCCTGTTGTGAGCGCTGCCCAGCTTGCCTGACCCCACTGCCATGTGGGTGAGTGGAGTCCTGTGGGTGTGGAGCCCTGTGGGTGGGGAGTCCTGTGGGTGAGTGGAGTCCTGTGGGTGGGGAGTCCTGTGGGTGAGTGGAGTCCTGTGGGTGGGGATTCCTGTGGGTGAGTGGAGTCCTGTGGGTGGGGAGTCCTGTGGGTGAGTGGAGTCCTGCGGGTGAGTGGAGTCCTGTGGGTGAGTGGAATCCTGTGGGTGGGGAGTCCTGTGGGTGAGTGGAGCCCTGTGGGTGGGGAGTCCTGTGGGTGAGTGGAGTCCTGCGGGTGGGGGGTCCTGCCGGTGGGGAGTCCTGCGGGTGGGGAGTCCTGTGGGTGAGTGGAGTCCTGTGGGTGAGTGGAGTCCTGCGGGTGGGGAGTCCTGCGGGTGGGGAGTCCTGTGGGTTAGTGGAGTCCTGTGGGTGGGGAGTCCTGTGGGTGAGTGGAGTCCTGCGGGTGAGTGGAGTCCTGTGGGTGGGGAGTCCTGTGGGTAGGGAGTCCTGTGGGTGTGGAGCCCTGTGGGTGGGGAGTCCTGTGGGTGAGTGGAGTCCTGTGGGTGGGGAGTCCTGTGGGTGAGTGGAGTCCTGTGGGTGGGGAGTCCTGCGGGTGGGGAGTCCTGCGGGTGGGGAGTCCTGTGGGTGAGTGGAGTCCTGTGGGTGAGTGGAGTCCTGTGGGTGGGGAGTCCTGTGGGTGAGTGGAGTCCTGTGGGTGGGGAGTCCTGTGGGTTAGTGGAGTCCTGCGGGTGGGGAGTCCTGTGGGTGGGGAGTCCTCTGGGTGAGTGGAGTCCTGTGGGTGGGAAGTCCTGTGGGTGAGTGGAGCCCTGTGGGTGAGTGGAGTCCTGTGGGTGAGTGGAGTCCTGCAGGTGGGGAGTCCTGTGGGTGGGGAGTCCTGTGGGTGAGTGGAGTCCTGCGGGTGAGTGGAGTCCTGCGGGTGAGTGGAGTCCTGTGGGTGAGTGGAGCCCTGTGGGTGAGTGGAATCCTGTGGGTGGGGAGTCCTGTGGGTAGGGAATCCTGTGGGTGTGGAGCCCTGTGGGTGGGGAGTCCTGTGGGTGAATGGAGTCCTGTGGGTGGGGAGTCCTGTGGGTGAGTGGAGTCCTGCCGGTGGGGAGTCCTGTGGGTGGGGAGTCCTGTGGGTGAGTGGAGTCCTGTGGGTGAGTGGAGTCCTGTGGGTGGGGAGTCCTGTGGGTGAGTGGAGTCCTGTGGGTGGGGAGTCCTGTGGGTGAGTGGAGCCCTGTGGGTGAGTGGAGTCCTGCGGGTGAGTGGAGCCCTGCGGGTGAGTGGAGCCCTGTGGGTGAGTGGAGTCCTGCGGGTGGGGAGTCCTGTGGGTGGGGAGTCCTGCGGGTGAGTGGAGTCCTGCGGGTGAGTGGAGTCCTGCGGGTGAGTGGAGCCCTGTGGGTGAGTGGAGCCCTGTGGGTGAGTGGAATCCTGTGGGTGGGGAGTCCTGTGGGTGGGGAGTCCTTGGGTGAGTGGAGTCCTGTGGGTGAGTGGAGTCCTGTGGGTGGGGAGTCCTGTGGGTGAGTGGAGTCCTGCGGGTGGGGAGTCCTGTGGGTGAGTGGAGTCCTGTGGGTGGGGAGTCCTTGGGTGAGTGGAGTCCTGTGGGTTTGGAGTCCTGTGGGTAGGGAGTCCTGTGGGTGAGTGGAGTCCTGTGGGTGAGTGGAGTCCTGTGGGTGAGTGGAGTCCTGTGGGTGGGGAGTCCTGTGGGTGAGTGGAGTCCTGCGGGTGGGGAGTCCTGTGGGTGAGTGGAGTCCTGCGGGTGGGGAGTCCTGTGGGTGAGTGGAGTCCTGTGGGTGAGTGGAGTCCTGTGGGTGGGGAGTCCTGTGGGTGAGTGGAGTCCTGTGGGTGGGGAGTCCTGTGGGTGAGTGGAGTCCTGCGGGTGGGGAGTCCTGTGGGTGAGTGGAGTCCTGTGGGTGAGTGGAGTCCTGTGGGTGGGGAGTCCTGTGGGTGAGTGGAGTCCTGCGGGTGAGTGGAGTCCTGCGGGTGAGTGGAGTCCTGTGGGTGAGTGGAGTCCTGTGGGTGAGTGGAGTCCTGTGGGTGGGGAGTCCTGTGGGTGGGGAGTCCTGTGGGTGAGTGGAGTCCTGTGGGTGAGTGGAGTCCTGTGGGTGGGGAGTCCTGTGGGTGAGTGGAGTCCTGCGGGTGGGGAGTCCTGCGGGTGAGTGGAGTCCTGTGGGTGAGTGGAGTCCTGTGGGTGGGGAGTCCTGTGGGTGGGGAGTCCTTGGGTGAGTGGAGTCCTGTGGGTGAGTGGAGTCCTGTGGGTGGGGAGTCCTGTGGGTGGGGAGTCCTGTGGGTGAGTGGAGTCCTGCGGGTGGGGAGTCCTGTGGGTGAGTGGAGTCCTGCGGGTGGGGAGTCCTGTGGGTGAGTAGAGTCCTGTGGGTGGGGAGTCCTGTGGGTGAGTGGAGTCCTGCGGGTGGGGAGTCCTGTGGGTGAGTGGAGTCCTGTGGGTGAGTGGAGTCCTGTGGGTGGGGAGTCCTTGGGTGAGTGGAGTCCTGTGGGTTTGGAGTCCTGTGGGTGGGGAGTCCTGTGGGTGAGTGGAGTCCTGTGGGTGAGTGGAGTCCTGTGGGTTTGGAGTCCTGTGGGTGGGGAGTCCTGTGGGTGAGTGGAGTCCTGTGGGTGAGTGGAGTCCTGTGGGTGGGGAGTCCTGTGGGTGAGTGGAGTCCTGTGGGTGAGTGGAGTCCTGTGGGTGGGGAGTCCTGTGGGTGAGTGGAGTCCTGCGGGTGGGGAGTCCTGCGGGTGTGGAGCCCAGCTGTGCAGCTGCTAGGTGACACGCCAGCCCCATGTGCAGTGACGCAGGGCTCCTGCGTGATGAGAGGGGCCTCCAGGGAGGTTTAATTTTAGTTCCTTTCTTTTTAGACAGCCCCTCGTCGTCTGCTCCCCGGATGGCCGACCCGGCCAGCGTGGGCCCCTGTGAGGTGCACCCGGGCCAGCCAGGCCATGGCATCTGCCTGCTGGGGGCTGTTTTACTGCTGCAGGGCAGAAGTTGGCATCTCAGCTCTGCCACTTTCTAACTCTCCCACCTTGAGCTGCTGCTTTCCACCAGCCTGTTTCCTCCTTGGGAACGTGGAGTGGTGACCCCACTTCACGGGTGTTCCCAGAGCCCACGCACGGTGAGTCAGTCACAGCTGCTCTGCACACTGCCCTCCCATGGGGCCCGAGGCCACAGCACTGCTGGCCCACGGCACTGCTGCCTACGGCCCTGAACCAAGGGCGCCTCTCTCTCACCGAGCCCCCACCAGGCAGACTTCAAGCCAAGCCCATCTCCCTCACCACCGAAGATGAGCCGTCCCGCTCTTGGCCTCGTCACTGGGGGAGCAGACACAGCGAGGGGCGGGTGGGGTGCTCAGTGTCGCCTGTGGCTCCCACGGCACTGGGCGAGGCCTCCTGAGTGATGGCCGCCTCTGCCACCCACCCTGGGGACTGGTCCCTGCGCAACTGCAGACAGTTCACAGGATGCCTGACACAATCCTCTTTCTCTCTGCCTAGGTGGGGCAGCAGACAGGAGATCCCATCTTGGAAAAGGAAAGAGAGCAGTCAGAGGGAAGTCCCTTGTCCCCAGCATAGCGGGGGCCACGGCCACTGCAGGGTCATCTGTCCAGAGCTGCCTAGAGCGTCCCAGAGAGAAGAACCTCCTCCCCTGTGGTACTCACCAGCTGGGTGGAGAACCAGAGTCCCTGCTAGCCTACTGGGCTTTAAAAAAAAGCAGGGGCGGCTGGGAACAGTGGCTCATGCCTGTAAGCTGAGCACTTTGGGAGGCCGAGGGCGGATCACAAGGTCAGGAGACTAAGACCATCTTGGTTAATACGGTGAAACCCTGTCTCTACTAAAAATACAAAAAATTAGCCGGGCGTGGTGTCGGATGCCTGTAATCTCAGCTACTCAGGAGGCTGAGGCAGGAGAATCGCTTGAACCTGGGAAGCAGAGGTTGCAGTGAGCCGAGATTGCACCACTGCACTCCAGCCTGGCGACAGAGTGAGACTCCATCTCAAAACAAACAAATCAACCCACAAAAAGCGGGGACTTCTTGCTGAACCCCCTTCCAAAAGAAAACTGAGCGAGGGTCTCTATTGAGACAGCATCTGAAGCCGGCCCGCAGCCACAGCGTCCACGTGCTCGTAACTGCACCAGGAACTGCCAGCCGCGGTGAGCTGACGACCCAATGCCCATGAAGGCCCGAGCGGGGCTGGCGCGGACAGGGGCCGGGTCTCATGGGTTGGCCGCTCCTCCCATACTTGGAGCTGGGCTGTCCCTCGGCAGCGGGGCAGTGGGCCTGGGTAGGGAAGGACACCCAAGAAGTGTCCCCTAAGCTCCGCTGATGGGACAGTTTGGCCTCTGCTCTGGCCTGTCATTCCAGGGTTCCAGGCCCGGAGGCCACGGGGTGCAAGGAAGCTAAGACACCATGCTGTGCTGGGCAACATGGGGACCTGAGGAGGGTGGGCTTGGGCTGCCCCACGGCAGGAGTGACTTGCTCTCGTCCTCCCGCAGGTGAGTGGGGGACCCCGTCCCGGCTGGATCCGTGTGGCCCGGGTCCCAGTTCCTCTCTCTCCTGTGGGGGCACCACCTCCCGCCTCGAGCAGACCCAGGCAGGGGGCCGGCCCCCGAAAATGGTGAGCTAAAGCCTGCAGGGACCAGGGAGGCAGCGGTCACCTCGCCACCTGCCCCCAACGTGAACACCCAGCAGGCGTGTTCTTTTCTTTTTTCAGTTATATGGAAAGTAAATCTTCAATTTCCTGCGTTAAGCATATAAATAAACTCTTTTTTCTCTTTAATGAGGAACAGGCTTGCCCGCTGACAGCCGTGTGCCTCGCTCGTGTAACTACCACAGTGGACCCAGCAACCCAGAGACCCACAGAAAGTGGAGGGACTGCTTCCAGCACTCCCAAACTTCCGCCTATGCAAGGCCAGAGCAACACGGCTCTGAGCTGGAAAAACAGAGCTGGGTGACCAAGCCTGGGGCCCCTGCTGGGAAAACGAGGGGACAGTCACAGCACAGGGAAAGAGCACACGACGGCCACAGTGCAGGGAAAGAGCACACGACGGTCACAGCACAGGGAAAGAGCGCACGACAGCCACAGCGCAGGGAAAGAGCGCACGACGGCCATACTGCAGGGAAAGAGCGCACGACGGCCACAGCGCAGGGAAAGAGCACACGACGGCCACAGCGCAGGGAAAGAGCACACGACGGCCACAGCGCAGGGAAAGAGCGCACGACGGCCATACTGCAGGGAAAGAGCACACGACGGCCACAGCGCAGGGAAAGAGCGCACGACGGCCACAGCGCAGGGAAAGAGCGCACGACGGCCACAGCGCGGGGAAAGAGCGCACGACGGCCACAGCGCGGGGAAAGAGCGCACGACGGCCACAGCGCGGGGAAAGAGCGCACGACGGTCATACTGCAGGGAAAGAGCGCATGACGGTCACAGCGCAGACAAAGAGCGCACGATGGCCACATTGCAGGGAAAGAGCACACGACGGCCACAGCGCAGGGAAAGAGCGCATGACGGCCACAATCCCCCATCCCACCCTCTGGACCCTCCTCTCCCCAGCCCTGCTGCACAGCTCCCACCAGCCCCAGCTTCACACAAAGCCAGGAGCACCCCAGGAAGGCTGCAGAGAAGATGAACCCTTGAGATGCAAGAACAGCCCAGGGTATGGTCACAGGTCACAGGCCAAGGTCACCGTGTGGGGATGCTGCCCAGCCTGCGACCCGGGTTCTAGGGACGGGGCATGAAGACCCCACGGGCGCTGGGTCGACGTGTCTTGGGGGCAGAGCCTTCGGGGGATCTGGAGGGGAGACCCCCAGGGCATCCTGGAATGGGTGGGGTGCCTCCCAGAGAGATGAGAGGAAACTCTCCACCATGAGGGCTCACCAGAACAATCCGGGGTCTCCTCCACACACAGCCCACCTGGCTGCAGATGGCTTTGCCTCCAGGAGGAACCCCTCGTGGAAAGCCCATAAGATGGCCATGGGCCACGGCGGCCAGCATGTCCTTCCTGAGTCCCAGTCCAGGGCCTCTGCAGGGGGAGGACAACTCGGGCACCTACCTTCACCGCTGCCCCTGGGCTGGGGGCTCTGTGGTGGGCCAGCCGTGGCGTGGCCAGTGGTCCCCAGCAGCCCCCAGGCTGAGGACACTCCCCTGTGGGAATCCCCGGGCTCCCTCTCTTTGGAAAACCCTGAGTTGCCAGGGATACCGTGGGCTCCACACATCCACGTGGGCTCTGATCTGGCAGCCAGATGCGGCTGGGCTTGCGGGCACCCTTGGAGACCCCCAGGAAAGAGGAGAAGCTCCTGCCGGGGTGCCCGTGTCTGTGGCTGGCCTCCTGGTGTGTGGATCCCAGGCCTTGGAAGAAGCTCCTGTGGGAAGGGGCTGCTTTGTTTCTGAGAAGTAAGAGTCCCCCCTCCTCCCACACGCAGGACACAGTGCCTCCGCACAGGACTTGCCGCTGGGGGGTTGCGAGTAGCATGAGGGGGCCACGGGAAGGTCCCAGAGGGGGAGAGGAGGGTGAGGCTGAGGACAGGAGCAGGGCATGCTCCCAGGCACTCAGGACCTTCCCGTGGGGTGCTCGGAGGGTGTGTGATCATGGGAGGGGAGTCAGGGCGCCTCCAGGGTGAAGACCAGGGAGTGGCAGCCACGTGGTGGAGCGGATGGTCCCCCCTCTCCTGCCCACGTCCCCAACGTCCCCCTTGTCTAACAGTCCACACTGAGAGCAGCGGAAGGTGCTGGCAGGCCTGGGGAGGAAGGCGGACAAACCCCGCCCACCCCAGGCATCAGGGCAGGTCCAGAACAGCCACGCCCCGAGGCACCTGCCAGTGGAGACAGGCAAGGTGCAGGTGGCACAGCTGCAGGCCCCAGTCGCCCTCTGCCTCCCACAGGGAGCCTACAGTCCATTCCTGCGGCTGGCACCTTCCAGGCCTGTGTCCACCTGCTCTGCCCAGCCCACACCTTGCCCACACCTGGGCTCGAGACGCTGCACTAACGGCCTCTGAAGCCCTCTCTGTCTACAGCGACTGACCCTGCGGTGGCTTGTGGCCCTGCCTGCAGAGAAGCAGGAGCAAGCGCAGGAGGCAGCAGCCTCACACCACAGCCAGCACCTTGGGTCCCCTGGGCCAAGCGCGTTCTTGGAGCAAGAAAGAGCTCTTGGGGTAGCCCTGGGCACCTGGCCTCAGCCCCACGTTCCTCAGGGAGAGGGAAGCTAAGCCTCCCAGAGAACTGACCAGTGCAGAGACCCATGATGACTCAACTGGTTCCAGCCGGATCCACCCAACGCTATGGCTGAGCTCATTCTATGACCCCCAAGGCAGCCTCAGCTCCGAGAAACAGGAGGCTTGCCCCCATCCCCATTTCCTGAGCCCGGCGCTGAGCCTGGTGCAGGGCAGCCAAGAGCCCCTCTCCTGTAGGTGGAGGACCGTCCTGGGGATGCACACACAACACACATGTCCACACATAAACACACACGTGCATAAACACACACGCACACACGCACATGTACACACGTGTATACATGTACACACGCACATATACACAACGTGTATACACACGCACACACGTAAACACACGCACACACGTGTACGCAACACTCGTATACACATGCACACACGTACACAACACACGTATACACATGCGCATACATGCACACGCACACCCCCTCATGCGAACACACATGCGTGCACACACACCCATGCGAACACACATACACGCACACACACACACATACACATGCACACACGTACACACATGCACACACGTACACGTGCACGTGCACGCAGCGTGCACATCCACGCAGGCCCCGCTGCTCATTCCGCTAGCTGCACAGCCACACTGGGGGTCATCTCTCCGAGGAGGTCATCTCTCCGAGGGCCTCCCACAGAGGTGCGGCTGGAGCCTGTCCTCCCAGGCAGGGCCAGTGCCCCCACAGGACACCCTGCCCCTCAGGGTGACTTCATCACAGGGACCCAGTTCTTGTCTCTGAGGAAGCCAGCCACGTGGACGCCGTGACACCCCTTATTCTAGGTGCAGTCAGCACTCAGGGAGACGGACAGGAACGGGCAGCAGCCTGTGCTGGTAAGCGCCGGGGAGGTGGCCACAGCCCGCAAGGCTGTGGAGCCCACGCCAAAGCCTCTGACCCCTGCAATCCTGCACCGTCCACCCAGCCACGCCGCAGGCACCATCCACCCAGCCACGCCGCAGGCAGCCAGGGAGATGGCACCCTGTGCCCAGCACCCCACAATCCCCGTCTTCCCGCTCTTGGGTGGCAGTGGCGCCTCCTGTCACTGTGAGTGAGGGCTGAAGGCCACCACGAGTTCCCTCCTCCTCACCCCCACGTCCAAGCAGCACCCAGGCCCGTGGATTCTTCCTGTGGTGACGTACACCTGGGGCAAGGTTCACCATCAGACCCATTTCTAAAAGCACAGTTCCAGGCAACCCCTGCACGGGCAGCGGCTCTGCTGCCGCCCCTGAAAGTTCCTGAAGGCTCTGGGCCATTCAGACAGAAAGGGCAGCGGCGGCAGCACAGGCCTGGCATGAACGCTCATACCTCACTGCTCTAGAACCTTCCACACAGTGTGTGCGAGTGAAGGCTTCGACCCCCTCAGGCAGGGGTTGAGACGCACGTCCGGGACAGAACCGCGTGGGGCAGGGCCGCTCACCTGCAGAGGTAGTCCAGGGCCAGTTCGGCCCCCGAGCGCCTGGCAGGCGGGTGCTGGGCCACAAGGCCTGCCTCCCGCAGACGCTGCCTCTCCTCTTTCTTCCGTTCCTTTTTCAGCTTCCTTTCCAGGACCCTCTGCTCCTCTGGGGACAGCTCTGGCTCTGCGTCCAGCCCGGGCCTGAGCACAGCTTCGCCCTGAAAGTCAAGGAACACATTAGGCTTCGGGGATGGAGGGTATCCAGAGACGGGTGCGCTGCCTGGGGCTTCCCGAGCCCACCCTCACCTCAGTAGTGGCCAAAAGCTCTGTCCCCAAGCACTGGGTCTGGCCCCAGCCGACACCATCCTGCTAAGCCTGTGCTACGACGAAGAGACAGACAGGTCACATGAGGATGGCCAGTCCTGCGGGCAGGCGCCAGGTGCCAGGATTAACTGCCCAGAGGCCCCTTCCCCACCCCCGTGGTCCACCTCCCACAGACTCCCGGCTCCCGAGGCTCTGTGAGGTCCTGCCCCACCCCACACAGTGTGGGAAGATCCGGGCCGGCCCCCAGGGAGGGCTGAAGGTGTGCTGGTGTCTGTTATCACACAGGCCAGGTGCTGGCCCCAGACCCGACCCAAATCCCGAGGACGGTGCCTGGGGCCTGCTGCTTTCTGGCAGGTCACTGGCTGCCTGGCTCCCCCTGGGCTGCAGGCTGGGGACAGGGAGGGGGCCAAGACCCCCAAGGGAGGGAGAGGGCCCGCTGTGACAATGTGTCCCCAGCCACATCTTGCCAGGAAAGCACAGGCCCTCCGTCTTGCCCACCCTCCCCTCATTAACAAAAGAAGAGGACGGTGCAAAGCGTCAAAGCCGGGGCAGCCGGGCCACGGGGTGACCATGAGGTGACCCCAGCCGCTGTCCACATGCTTCGTCTTTTTTGGAAAAGTCAGAACATCAGTGTAGACTCCGAGCAAGGCCAGGAGCCCAGGGAAACAGCTAGGGGCGTGGGAATCAACCAGGCAGCGCCCACCGGGAGCTTCCAGGAAGGGAGGCCGGGCACAGCCCACGCCTACGCATCCCACCCCAGGGAGAGCAAAGAAGAGTGAGGCAAGCCCCCCTACATACAGATATATATGCAACCCACCCCCCCGACACAGACACACACATTCACAGACTTCACCCCTACAGCCAAACACAGCCCCCAACCCTCACCCATGTACCCACACCGACCCACACCCACCCACACCCACCATACACCCACACTCACCCACCCACACCCACAGACACGGACACATACCCACACCCACAGACACCCACATACCCACCCACCCATACCCAACACACCCACACCCAGATACCCACACATAGACCAACACCCACACGCCCAGACACCCCCACATGCCACACACCCACATACAACCACACACACCGACACCCACACACATCCAACAAATCCACAGACACCCAGACACCCACAGATACCCAAACACCCACAGACACCCAGAAACACCCACACACCCAAACACGCCCACAGACACCCAGACACACCCACACCCAGACACACCTTCACACGCCCAGACACCCTGACACACCCACACCCAGACACCTGCAGACACCCACAAACACCCAGATACCCAAACACACCCAAACACATCCACACACCATCCCAACATACCCACAGCCACACACGCCCACACCCAGATACACACCCAGACACCCACAAACACCCAGATACCCAAACACACCCAGAGACACCCACAGATGCCCACACACCCAGACACCCACAGATACCCACACACGCCCACAGACACCCACAAACACCATACACACACGCCAACACACCCACAGCCACACCCCTAGAGCCTGCCAGGGGTCCGCAGCAAGAGACAGGGCCTGGGGGACGAGGAGCACCGTCCCTGGCAGATGCCTGGCACAGAGAGGCTGAAGAGTCCCGGTGGGAAGGCCTGGGCCGCCCACACACACAGGCAGGAAGCTCTGAGACCCACCAGGCCAGGCACGCAGGGCTCTGGGGAGCAAGATTTTCATGGTGGGGATGTGGACACCCCCAGGGGAGCCTGGTGACTGACCGGCTCCAACCAGCTCCATGCTCACCTCCTAGGCCCACAGCCGCCCACAGCCGCCAACGGGGCAGGCACAACAACTGGCCCTGAAAGGTAAAAACCCTCCTGGCACAGGCCCAGCCTCGGCCCCCACTCCATGGGCCACGCAGTCCACGGCTGATCACACGGGCCAAAGTCCATAACACTGTTAGGGCTGCACAGGGGCCGCCGCGGTGGCCGAGGGTCTGTCAGCCCACATGCGTGGGGCACCCGGACAGGCCCTGAGCAGGTGGGCAGGGCCCTGTGGTAGGGTCCCAGGTTGGTGGCCAGAGTGGTGAGGACGGGGCCAAGGCTGTGGGCAACAGCAACGTGGGCGCTGGCCTGGGGTGGATGGCGAGGGGAACCCAGGCCGTCCCATATCGGGGCCAAGCCGGGGACCCGCAGGCCCAGCTGTTTCCCGCAGGCTTCCTGAGCGCCCGGTGCAGGGCTGCTTCTTGTGTCAGGCACCAGCCTGGATGCTGCGGAAACAGCTTCCTTCACACCCACTCTTGCTTCTGGCCACCAGCGCTCCCGACCTGGCAGGAGTCACAGCCCAATTCCCGTGTCCCCGAGGGAGCCACTGTGGCCACGAGGTGGGAAGCTCAGGAGTGCCACCCACTGCCCTGGGCTGTGCCTGACACTGGCCGGTGCACCTTTAACTTTTCCAAACTCCTGCTTTCTGTGCTGGGCCTCAACAGAAGACGCAGGGGCAGCTGGAGTGAGGGTGCTGCGCCCGGAGAGCCAGGGGCCTTGGGGGTGCCCGGCTCCACTCTGCGCCATCGGCTGCCCCGTGCTCGCGCTCGCTGCCTTGGGGGTGCCGGCTCCACTCCGTGCCATCGGCCGCCCTATGCTCGCGCTCACTGTCCTGGACCAGGCAATTCCCCAAGGCTGTGACCACGACGTGAGCGACCTCAGCTATCTTGGGATGACACAGGCGGGCCCCGGGAGGGTGTGCAGCTGGAGGGGGCGGGAGGCAGCAGGTCCAGGCAGGCTGGAGGGCACAGGCCGCGGCAGGTCGTGGGGAATGGGAGCAGCGCGGGAGGGTGGTGGGGCCGCCAGGATCGGGCGTGGTAATGCCGGGACCTGCTGCTTGCTCTGCTTGGCCTGCACAGTGTCTGGCCCGGAGAGCACAGGTGAGCAAGGTAGGACGGCTGTCACCCACAGACGAGCAGCGGAGAACTTTCTCTAACTGCCACCCACGTGCCGACCCTCCAAAGAACGCGGGTTTCACTAGCAAATAAGAACGTGGGTTTAATTAGCAAATACTTTTAACAAACTTGACACTATCACATAGAGCTCCCAAAGTTGCCCCAAGGGCTTGTAAATTACCTAAGTACACACCAAAAAATTTTTAAAAGAATCCCAGTGTCAAATAAAAGCCTGTGAGGGCCCCTTCTAGGGACTTGAGTTTCAGGCCTAGGATGCAAAGCCTGGCGCAGCAGCCAGGGGTGACTCCAGGCTCCTGCCGGCTCCAGGATTCTGGGAAGGGGCAGACTTTGGGCCCCCTGGAGCCCCTCTAGGCCCAGTGTCCACCCCACAGACCCTGCAGTCTGGGGCCACTCTTCTGGGAGAGGTGTTGTGGGCGGCTTTGAGCCGACGCTGTCAGGGCAAGAGTCTCTCTCCTAACATGAAGGCTTTCCAACACAGATGGGACGGGCCTCATGGAAGGAAGCACCGGCCTGTCACAGACGTGTGATGTCTAAAGCCGGCGTCTCTGGACCATCCCAGGGCAAGCAGAAAGTCGTACAAAAGTACAGTCACCCTATCTCAATGCTAGGACAGTCTTCAGCATTTCAGACTTGATGAAATACAGACACTCATATGAAGTACAGAAAAATAAAAATTCCAGCCACACATTCTGTCTCCTGCGGTTAGATGTCTTGAGGATTACATTTGAAAATGCATAAAACAATTCAATGTGCATGAAAAGCTTTACGCAGGACCTGCACCCACACAGATAAACTGCGACCCCGAGGACTGGGATGGGGAGGCGGCCAGCGGGCCTGTCACTGCACCTACGCTGTGTATTTCACAACATGGACACTTCCACAGGCTACCTCAAGCAACGCGGCACTCGTGCAGTCAAACATGAAATCCTTACCATCAGGCAATGAAAATGTTCACTGTACTCAACAAATACACTGAAAACAAACCACAAAGCCAAACCCTACAGGCTGGGAGGAGCAAAGTGGATCAGCTGCCACAGCACCTTCCAGAGAAGAGAGCCGTGAGATTCTTACAGAGAAGCTGACACTGTTTGAGAAAATACAACTGCATGAAAACTATGTTTTTCCTTTATGCCTTTAACTCCTGGCAAGAGACACAGAGAAGAAATGACACTAATTTGATTTTAAAAGGTTCCCGTAGACTCGACTGAGGCAGCAGAGACCCAACAGCTCCTTTCCGCCCACCCCACCCGTCCATCTGTGTGACACGGGCCCTGTGTGAGCCGTGCTCCCCAGCGTGAGGCTTCGCCACAACACACTGGCTCTTCCTGGAGATGTCCAAGGTGGGTAACGTGCTAGTCATACCCCAACAAAAAGAACTGGCAAAAATAAAAACCATCATCATTTCCCAGGTTTGTGAATTTAAGCCAACAGGAAACGTGGGACAAACACGCGGGGCTCCATAAAGCCAGCCTGGCACTGGCTCTGGCACCAGGTCCCTGGACTGGACACCAATCTCCACGGTTCCGAATTTTCCTAAGTGATGACTGTGAACACCACATGCACAGAAACGAGCCCTGAGAAGGGGGCCACATTGGCCGCCGGCCACGGCAGCGATCCGGCCACGGCAGCGTTCCGGTTGGTGTCACCCTGTCCCGGCCTGAGCCCAGCTCTCAGATCCGAGCACCAATTCTGTCTACAGCCCCTTCCTGCCTGCGGGCCCTCCCTGCCCTGCAGGGACGGTGCAGTGAGCACAGGTGTGCAGGCTGTGCGGTGAGAGCCCCAGGGCTGGGAGGAGCAGGCAGCCTTGGTCCAGCAGGTCCTGTGTGGGGGCCGCGTTGCCGGGCAGGGCCTGACACGGCTGCTGTGGGCTCTGAGAACAGCCCAAAAGGACAGTGACCCCTGCCCAGTCTCTCCAGCCTGGGAATGACCTTCCCCAGCCGTGGCCTCACACCAGGGAGGTGTGATGGGAAGTGACCTGGGTGGCTCCTGGGTCCCTGCTAAATTGTTTGGGGGGGCTGAGGGGTGAGGAAAGAGAGGTGGGGTCGGGAAGAGGCGTGGCCTCCCTGTCCCTGAGGCATGAGAGCAGGTGTGGGCTCCCCGTCCCCCGGGCATGAGAGCAGGTGTGGGCTCCCCATCCCCCAGGCACCAGCAGGTCTTTGTCAACCTGAGGCTCAGGGAGGAATGTGCAAGTCCCTGTCTCATGAACAGGGTTTGGGCCATCGGAGCCCCTGCAGAGGCTGGGTTCATGCAAGCTGTCAGCTGCCAGTGCCCACAGGCATCCACGCCGCTCTGGACTCAGGGTTTAGAAAAAGTCATCTGTTCCAGCCAGACCTTCCTGTTTCCCCCCAAGTCTAAGGGAGCAGAGCCTTCACCTAAGAAAGGAGGGCAGAGTGGGGAGACCCAGGGCTGACCCAGAGGGCAGGGAGGACCCAGGACTGACCCAGGAGAGCAGGGAGGACCCAGGACTAACCCAGAGGGTTGGTGGGCGGGGCCAGGACTAACCCAGAGGGCCAGAGGGACTGAAGCTGCGGCCTGTGGGCCCCTAATGCCCAGCCCTCGTGGAGGCACCAAGGCAGGAGCGCATCCCAACACCCAGCCCGGGCTTCCTCGGTGGGCAGCTCCTCACCCACGGTGAAGCGAGGCCAAAGGTCATCGAGTGCTGACCGCCACTCTCCTTCCTCCAGGGGCCCCTCTGTGAGCAATGCCCATGTGACACTGATGTCACCTGACCAGACGGAAATACTCCTGACGCCCCTCAGTGACCCTGGACCGGCGTCTGTCTGGGCAGGACCATCTAGTGTCTGAGGTGTCACATGAGGATCCCAGACAAAACACGCTCCCCCTCCGGTGTCACGCCAGCACACAGCAGCACACGCCAGCGCACAGCAGCACACAGCAGCGCACAGCAGCACACAGCAGCGCACAGCAGCACACAGCAGCACACGCCAGCACACAGCAGCACACGCCAGCACACAGCAGCACACAGCAGCACACGCCAGCACACAGCAGCGCACGCCAGCACACAGCAGCACACGCCAGCACACAGCAGCACACAGCAGCGCACGCCAGCACACAGCAGCGCACGCCAGCACACAGCAGTGCACGCCAGCACATAGCAGCACAGCAGCACACAGCAGCACAGCAGCACACAGCAGCGCACGCCAGCGCACAGCAGCACACGCCAGCACACAGCAGCACACGCCAGCACACAGCAGCACACAGCAGCGCACGCCAGCACACAGCAGCGCACGCCAGCACACAGCAGCGCACGCCAGCACATAGCAGCACAGCAGCACACAGCAGCGCACAGCAGCACAGCAGCGCACAGCAGCACACACCAGCACAAAGCAGCGCACGCCAGCGCACAGCAGCGCACACCAGTACACAGCAGCACACAGCACCACACAGCAGCGTACAGCAGCGCACGCCAGAGCACAGTAGCGCACGCCAGCGCACAGCAGCACACAGCAGCGCACAGCAGCACACGCCAGGGCACAGCAGCGCATGCCAGCACACGCCAGCGCACAGCAGCACACAGCAGCACACGCCAGCGCACAGCAGCACACGCCAGCGCACAGCGCACAGCAGCGCACAGCACACAGCAGCACACAGCAGCACACACCAGCGCACAGCAGCGCACAGCAGCGCACGCCAGCACACAGCAGCACACAGCACACAGCAGCGCACAGCAGCACACACCAGCGCACAGCAGCACACGCCAGCGCACAGCAGCACACAGCAGCACACGCCAGCACACGCCAGCGCACAGCAGCACACGCCAGCACACACCAGCGCACAGCAGCGCACAGGAGCACACAGCAGCACACAGCAGCGCCCACCCACGCACCCTGGTCCTCTGCTGTGCATGTCATTGAGGGTGTGGGGTCTGCGGAGAGCCCGGACCACTCGGAAGCCTTGGTCTGAGGGCCACGCGGGCCCAGAGCACCTCAGGCTGTGGGCATTGGGCCTCTGCCTCTGGCCCCAGGCTCAGGCTCCCTGGGGAAGTGGTGGCCGTGCTGCATCAAAGAATGGCAGAGAAAGGACCCACTGTCTCTCAGAGGGAAGATAAGGAGCTCCCTGCTCAAATTGGAGCTGCGGGGAGGGACGCCACCAGCCCAGCCTGCCGTGCCCTGCTGTGCGGGTGAAGGGGCTGCAGGGAAGGACACCACCAGCCTGGCCTGCCGTGCCCTGCTGTGTGGGTGAAGGGGTCACCTGGCCTGGACCCCGTCCAGTAGCCATGCAGGGGATGGTGTGCATGAGGCAGGCGCTGCTGTCCTACGATGTCAGCCGGGTGACGGGGCCAGGGCTCCAGTGTCGCTGCCATCGGGCCCTTGGGGAGCATCCCTGGATGGCAGGGGAGGTGGGGAGGGCTCCACACAGCGGGGTGGAGGACAGCGAGACAGCTACACACCCTCCTGCACCTTCTTCTGGGGAAACAAGACACGGACTCAATGCTTACGAACTTTCCTGGAGGGGAGACTTCTCCAGTGGGATCACCCCAACACGTGAACTGACTGCCGCGGGCAGCCGCGGACGGCGGGATAAGGGGCAGCCGCGGACGGCGGGGAAGGGGCAGCTGCGGACGGCAGGGTAAGGGGCTTCTCTGCCCCCGCCCCCCACTGCACACAAGGCCAGGCGCTCTGGGGCCCAGCATCCAGGGCTCAAAACCACACCCGCCTTGGTGGGATGGCGCCTCGCCTTTCCCATGCTGCGGTAGGAACACCCCATGTTTGTTCGGTGCATTTTATTTTCTAAAATGTGGCAGAAAGAAAATAACTCCAGCAGGTGACAGAAGACCTAGTAGAACTTAGCCCAAATTTAAATAATGACCCAAAGTCCCCACGGGGCTCAGACGTTCCCACACCCTAGGCAGAAATCCCCACTCACACGAGCACGCATACACACGCGTGCACACATACCCCTGCCATCATCTCTGCTCTCTCCATTGAGCCCTGGCTAAGCACCAGCTCCCACCAGGCAGGAAGCACAGGCCCAGGACACGCACACTAGGGCTTGGCGGGTGGGGTCCAAGTCAGGAAGTGAGAGCCGAGGCCCTACAGGAACAGGGGGTTGCCCCTTCAACAGGTAACCCATATAAAAAGTGACTAACGAAAGCACGTCTTTCTTCTCACTCCACAGCTTTGAAACCAGTGTGCATTGTACACGTGGAGCCATCTCAGACCCAGACTCAAAGTCCGCCTGGCTCCGGCCATCAGCCTGTGGCGTCTCAGAGCCTGGCCCCGAGCAGAGAGGAGATGTGATGAGGAGACATGACGAGGGAGTCGTGATGGGCACACCCATGGCCAGCAGGCCCAGCCTGTGCCTCTCGGAGGTCCGCACTTCCTGCCCAGTGGGAGCAGGCACCTGGCGTGGGCTCCAGCTGAGGTGTGCACGCGGGCGGGTGGGGTCCAGCCCAGAGTGTGGTCTTTATGTAAATCAGGGTGGAGCTCAGGTGCACTGGCTCACACATGTTAATCTGAGTGCTTTGGGAGGCCAAGGTGGGAGGCTGGCTTGAGCCCAGGAATTCGAGACTGCAGTGAGCTGTGATCACACCACTGTACCCCAGCCTGGATGAGAGTGAGACCCTCAAAAAAAAAAATCAATAGATCAGGGCTGCGCCCCAGGTCTTCTACCTCGGGGGTGGGTGATAGGCTCGTCCAGCTGGTGGTCCCAGGACAAGCTCTCTGTCCCTCCCAGGTGTTCCATAGTCTAGGACAGTGCAGGAACTGCAGACTTGTCAAGAACTGGGGAGTGGTCCGGGCGTGGTGGCCGAGGTGGGTGGATCATCTGAGTCAGGAGTCCGAGACCAGCCTGGCCAACATGGTGAAACCCCGTCTCTACTAAAAATACAAAAATTAGCCGGGCATGGTGGTGCACGTCTGTAATCCCAGCTACCCGAGAGGCTGCGGCAGAACTGCTTGAACCCGCGGGGGGCAGAGGTTGCAGTAAGCCAAGATCGCGCCATTGCACTCCAGCCTGGGCAATAGAGTGAGACTCTGTCTCAAAAAAAAAAAAAAAAAACGGGGGGGGGGGAGTGAAAGGGAGGGAGGAAGAGGGTGAGGGTTTGGAGGGGCCCAACCAGGCCCACCTGTGGTTGCATGGATCTCTAGCCACCTGCAAAGCCAGAAGGTACCTTGAGCTGACAGGTCCGTGTTGTTCAATGGTTCTATAGGGAAAATCCTGCCCCCATGCCAGGTTGTTGATCACCCACGGTCAATGCTGGAAGGGGCAGCTGCTGCTCTGGGCCAGAAGGAGAGGCTTCCTGGCACCGTGAGGAGGCTGGCCTGGCTGCTCACAGCTCCCGGCAGAAATGCGGAGCGGGGTCCTCACTGCAGCACCCGGGCTTTTCAAAACAGTGAAGCCCTGAGTCCAAGAAGGCAAACCACAGAGCGGAGGTGGCCGTGGGGCTGCCCTGTGGGCAGAGGGGAGGCTGCGCAGGCCTAGTGGCTGCAGGAAGCTCCAGTGGCCGCCAAGAACCTCCAGGCCCATCACCACGAGGAGGGCCCCCACTGCAGCCAGGGCTTCCAGATGGGCAGAGGCGGTGGGAAGCAAGCAGGAAGCGGAGACTGGTTGGCTGTGGCCCTGACCCCTCTTCTCCTGATGGAGTGTGGGGGGCTGGGGCTGCCTGGGGTCACCCACTCAGGTCTCTCACTCCTGCCCTCCCAGGAAGTGGACAGTTCCCACAGCCTGGACCCAGAGGCCCGCAGGCACTGACCGCGGCCCGGAGGCCAAGCTACAGTGCGTTTCCCGAGGGAGGCCACGGGGCACCTGGACGAGGGCAGCTTAGGACGCTCGGCTCTCGTCTCAGGAATCCCAGGGCAGAAGTCCAGCGAGGCGGCAGGTGGCCGGCCCGTCCCCAGCCTCTCTTCCCACTGAGGAGAGATCCAAGGGCCGGCGGAGTGGTGGTGTCTGCTGCTCTGCGGGAACACGGGCACCAGGCCCAGCAGTGCATGGATGCGGCAGGCCCCGCGTGCGATGCCCTGGTCCCCACGACTGTTTCTTCCCACGCCGCGGAGTGCATTCCCTCATGCTCCCGTCCTGTGAACACGCGCTGCAGCCTCTGCCCTCCTGGGGCTCCCTGAGAGAGGGGGCACCCCTTGCTCCCATCACAGTCCTCCTGCAGCCTGGGGCCCCGCCCAGCACGCCCACCAAAGGGGAGGCCCGCTCTCCTGTCAGAGCCAGGACAGCCTCTCCAAGAACTCTTCCTGGGCCCCAGAGAGGAGCCCCCTAGGTTCGCTTCTCGCCAGCCGCTGCCCCATCTTGCGTCTCCACCCAAGGGCCCCTCGGCGCCCCCACCTGGAGCCCCCACTATCGAGATATGTCTGGCGGATACCACACACAAGGGGGCTGTAGCGGGTTGGGGAACAGGCCAACCCCTCCCAGACTGCAGGGACAGCTAGTCTCACACAGCTAAGACCAAGATGATGTAAGGAAATGAATGACAGTAAACCCAGCCCTTACCGAACCCACCTCCCGAGCAGGGAGGACCTGCAGGAAACAGAGGCTCCCATTCCTGTTCACCTCTGATCTCAGGGGCAGACACCAGCCCATCACTGCCGTCTGCTGACCACCCCTGCAGACGGCCTGGGCCTTGGATGTCCTGCTCCTCTGGGCTCCCCAGGCTGTGTGAAACGGAGGAGTGCAGGGGTCAGGACCCCTCGACTTTCTTGGGGGCAATCAGGCCGTTTGTAACGTCCTGATACAGCAGAGCTGGGGACTGGGGTTACGAAAGACACCACCAGGTGGAGCCTTCAGATGGGACCTCCCAGCAGGGCCTCCAGGCTGGGGACCTTCAGGCAGGTACCTCCAGGCTGGGGACCTTCGGGCAGGTACCTCCAGGTTGGGGACCTCCCAGCAGGGCCTCCAGGCTGGGGACCTTCAGGCAGGCACCTCCAGGCTGGGGACCTCGCAGCAGGGAACTCCAGGTTGGGAACCTCCAGGCTGGAGACATTCCAGTAGGGACCTTCTGGTTGGGGATCACCAGGTTAAGAACCTCCAGGTTGGGGACCTCCAGACTGGGGACCTCCCAGCACGGACCCCCAGGTTGGGAACCTCCAGGCTGAGGATCTCCCAGCAGGGACCTCTAGTGTGGACCTCCAGGCTGGCACCCATGGGGCAGGTTTCTTTCTTCTTCCCCAGAAGCCTTTTCATCGTGGCAGTAGGACCTGACCTTGACAGAGATGATATTGCGGATTTCAGTGACTGAACCAGAGTCGGAAGCTGAAGGGCTCTGCCCAGCCTTCCTGTCTTCATCCATTAAGTCTGATCGGCAGTGGTGGCCACCTGGGCTGCTGCTTTGACAAGATGCCAGTAGTTGGAGCTGGGACCCCAGGGAGCACTGTCCATCCACCGCACAGGAGTAGGGCTTCAGCAGCTGTCAGTCATCAATCATTTCCCCATGCTGTTGGATGGGAGAGGGACAATCTGCCAGCCCCAGTGTGACTGGCTTTGCTGCCACCGCAGTGCCCTCTGGGAACCCCGGCAGGTCGGCTGGAGGCAGGACACCACCCCCCTAACCCCTCCCTACTTGTCACCAGACAGAAACCACAGCTCACCAACAACCATACACAAACAGCGCACTAAAAGAAAGCATGCGGCAAAAATACCCGCCCAGCGAGAACTGTGCCTGGCACAGGGAAACACACTGGGATGCGCGCCCTTCCGCGGGGCGAGGCTGGGTTTTGGGGTATAAACTGAGTCCTGGGGAGCAGGAGCCTGAGGGGCACCCAGGGCAGCTCCCTCGGCCTGGGTCACAAGGTTCGATCCTCCGCGGGGGTGGCAGGAAAGCCCAAGTCCCTCGGCACACCCAGGTGACAGCGATGACGGCCCACAGGCGTGGCGCCTGGGCCACATCGGACAGGCCATGTCCTGGAGCACTCGAGGCCCCCTGGACAGGGCAACCAACCCTGAGTCCACCGGAGTCTGCTCGCAGACCACCAGGAGCCCCGCTGCACTGTTCGTGAGCCACGGTGGTGACGGCAGCTCAGGAGGGAAGGACCAGAAGCCTGGCCCCGTCCCACGAGGACAGACGCAGGCCTGCGGGGAGGCATGTCCCCACCCACGGGCGCCTCCTGGACCACGAGCTCCTCTTTCTCCTGCATCGCCTCAGACCCCACCCAGGGGTTCCAAGGTCAGGAGCCTGGTCCCACGTCCCACAGCCCTCTCATGGGGCACCCGTACGGATTCTGTTCCAATTTAAAGAAAACCTTAATCAGATTTGTCACCTCAATTATTAGAATCCCACGGCGTTAACTCACAGTAGTAAACTGCTTTTTCTGAGAAACAAGAGTTTTTTAAATTAAGCCTTTTATTTTAACGCAATCGCAGGTGACGGCCGTCGTGAGGGAACACGGGACGCCCACGTGCCCTCCACCACCTCCTCCCACGGCAACCCTCGCAGAGTAGCCAGGACCACATTCGGATCCGGACTCTGAAATGACAGTCCCACAACCAACAGCATCGATGTGGTCTTCTTAATGATCAGAAACACACAGGGGATTAATTTACTCTTATTCTGCAAAATAAACAAGCTCTCAAATTCTTTAAAGGTGAATCCCCCCCAACCGTCCTCCCTCCCCAGTTACTTCCTCCCTAGGACACCAGTGGAACATCCCATGCTCTCCCCCTTCCATGTTGATACCGAATAAAACACACTGCATCAGAAGACCCACGCATACGAGTCCAGGGGCTGCTACAAAGCGCGGCGACGTCTCCGCGGCGAGCTGGCCACTCCATGGTCCCGGCGCAGACACTGGGGCAGGCGCCGGCTCTGTCGTCGAGGCGCTCACAGGCAGGCACACGTGAGCTCCTGGAGGACAGGGAGAGCGGCCGCCCCGCCCCTGCGGAGCACAGGACGCTTCCTGCCACCCCTGCAGAGCATGGGACGCTTCCTGCCATGGTGCCGTGGCAATGGGTGGCACCTGCCTGTGGCCCCTTCTCAGAAGGACGTTTTAAACGCGTGAGGTCTGATGCACAGCCACAGGGAGACACAGACGAGCAGATGTGGGCATCCGAGTATTTACAAGGTCTGGTGGCTCCTGCAGCCGCGACACGGGCTGAGCGCAAGTGATGTGTGAGGTGTCCCCAACAGATGGCACGGGGAGCGCCCACACCCGCCACCGCGGGGTCTGCGGAAGCTCGTGTCAGCTGGAGGTTAGGGAAGACGCACAGGGGCTCATTCTCCACCCAGGTTCAAACTCCCTGAACTCACGAGACCCAGGCTGAAGACATGGACAGACTCCCAGCCCCAGCGCCCCTCTGACAGCACACCCGAGGCCTCCTGGGAACCTGGGACCCCTTGCAGGGTCCCCCGCAGGCTCCTTCCTAGGAAGGAGGTTCCTGCCCTACTCCACATTTCTCTCCATCCAACTTCCAACTCCTTCCCACTGGGCCCTGGAGAACATGACGAAGACTGTGGGGGCCTCCTCCCAGGAAACACACACACACACACACACACACACACACACACACACACACACACACACACACCAGCAACGCGCCCAGACCCCAATCCCTGGCAGCCCAACTCCTCGTTCTACAGAGAAGGGGTGAGGATCTCCAGGGGTGACTGCTCACATCTCGGCACATGTAGAAGGCAGGGCTGGAGCAGCGGCCCCTGCAGCCCAGGCCAGGGGACTGGAGGCCCTTCCACAGCAGCCCTTTCCTTTTGATACACGGTCTTGCTCTGTGGCCCAGGCTGGACTGCAGCGGCACCATCACAGTTTACTGCAGCCTCGACCTCCTGGGCTCAAGCAATCCTCCCACCTCAGCCTCCCAAGCAACCAGGACTATAGGCATGTGCCACCATGCCTGGCCAGTTTTTAAATTTTTTATAGAGATAGGACCAAGGCTGCTCTCACACTCCTGAGCTAAAGTGATCCTCCTTGCCGGCCTCCCAAAGTGCTGGGATTATAGGCATGAGTTTTCAAACTCCTGGGCCACAGCGATCCTTCCGGCCAGCCTCAAAGTGCTGGGATTATAGGTGTGAGCCCACGGTGCACAGCCCCCACTTTCTTCCTAAAAACCCTGCAGCTTGGCTGACAGTGGGACCTGCCTCCCTACTCCCGCCTGCAGGAGCTCAGAAGCCTCAGCTCAAGAGGAGCCCTTGCCAGAGACGTGGGACCAGGAATGGGCCCCACAGAGCCCTGCCCGTGGGCTTCCTAAACAGCCTGAGTTCAGCTGCACACACCAACGATGTAGGCGGGTTGCAATAAACAGCAAGAAACGGACCCATGGGACAGGAGAGACGCAGGAGCCCCAGGGGACAAGAGAGACGCAGAAGCCCCAGGTGCCTTTGGTGGCCAGTGCTGAATTTCGCAAGCAACATTAGAAACTTTTTATTTCTGCTTTTCTCTTAACCCAAGGGTGAAAATGGAAACCTGTGGTGTGGGGCAGTCTGCTGAACGCTAGGATGAGGGCGGGGAACAAGAGCCACCCTCCCCGCTGCCACCTGGCCCACAAGAGCCTTCCCAGGGGCTCTCCAGTTTCAGCCCCTCCTTGCCGAGCCAGACAGCGCTGCTGGCCTGGACGGGAGGGACACCCAGGCTGACTGAGTGGGGGAGCACTTTTTATAAAGATCAGATCAGGTTTCTGAAAACAAAAAGCCCCCAGATCCTGCGAGCGGCTATTTAGACTTGATGCACACTCCACCATTTCACAGGTATCCATTCCCCAGCGTCACACATGCCCATCCCCAGCTGGAGCACACTCTTCAGTGTGGAGGACAGAAGGAGCAGGCAGAAGACGACCCCGGGGCGCTGGGGGAGCAGGTGCGGGCTCCCACATACCTGCTCTATTCTGGTTGGAGGTGTCACAAGGGAAGGCGTGGAGATGCTGCCAATGGGGACATGCGGCAAATGCGCCCCCTTCGCCCCACACCTGTCAGCAGCTAGCAACAACTCAGTCCTGACTGCTGGAGACCCAGCCCCAGGGGCAGGCAGGTTGGGATCCGCTGCTCAGGAGGCAGCTCTGGGCCAGGGTGGAGGCCGGAGAAGCCAGGCACCTCCCCGCAGAGCTCTGCAGAGGCCAGTCTGCTAACGGCTTCATCACTGGAGTGGCGGCTGCTAAGAGCAAAGCCTGTGCTTGGTACCTCAGGGACCTAAATAAGAACCACTCCCTGTTCCAAGGATCCCAAGTGGGGGGAGGACGAGAAGCAGCTGAGCCTATAGGGCACAGGAAACTCACTGGGGTGTGGGTGCTGGGGACTTGGGTTGGGTGCTGTACTGAGCAAGCCTGTTGTGGGGGGACACTGCTGGCGGTGGGTGACGAGGTGCACAAGTCAGGTCAGGGAGGGGGACTCTGCCCTGGCACCACTGGGGCACAGGACACTGGCTCAGGTGTCAGCTGAGGACCCCCCAGTGTAGGCGAGGGGCTCACAGCCGCTGAGGCCTGTGGACACAGCTCCGTGTATTCTGAGGTCGCAGAGCACAAGAGGTTGGGGGTGTGATACGGACCGACCTCGCCCATCCAGGAGGAATGGGGCTGGTAACAGAGCTTTGTAACCCCTCAGCACCGGTAGAGGTTGCGTGGCTCCCCAGTGGAGCTGAGGGCTGGCGTTTCTTGCTCTGTATTTCCCTGCGCTCTGGAAACTCCTGCATCACCAGCCTTGGGCCCTTCACTGCCTCCCCTGGGCCTCCAGAGGCAGGCTGGGGTCCTCTCCTTTCTCAGCCTCTGTGGCCAGTGTCTGGCACAGGACAGACACCCACCAGGACGCTGCCTGGGACGGAGGGCTCCCTTCTGCCTCCGGCCAGGTGGGCCCCGCAGCAGCTCAAGCTTCAGCTGCAGTGGAGGGAAGAGTGAACTGCTGGGCAGAAGCAGAAGCAGGCCTCCTGGAACTCGTGACCCCAGATCCCAGAGGCCCTGCCCCCTTGCCACCTCCCAGAATGTTGGCAGGGCCTCTGGGTGATTTTCATCCACATGCAGGGGTGTCACATAGGCCCCTCGGCTCCAGCTCCCCACTGAACGGCAGCTTTGTATCCACAGGTAGGGCTGGGCGGCTCCAATTTGAACTTAGGCATATGGACGCTGTCTAACGATTCACGACACTCCTCGTTTCTTTCGCTACTATTGGACCAGTTGAGGGTGGAGCCCAGCTGCACCTGGCATTGCTGAAGAGCCCTCGCAGAGCCAGCGCTCCAGCTGCTGGGCGCGCAACAGCTGTCCCGGGAGGCAAGGGTTCGCACGGCAGTGCTTCTGTGTCGACAGAGGCTGTGCTGCAGCTCCCTGCCAGGCCCGTGTCCTTCCTAGCTGTGAGAACACTAACCTGCCTGGGCTTCACCTGTGGAAGCCACCGCTAACTAGCAGTCGGAGGCGGCGTTGTTTCTAAGACAGGCAGGCAGCTCCGGCAGGAGCAGCCGCTAAGCACAAGGACGGCCAACCACACAAAGCCTGCTTCTCAACCACTCGCAGGAAATCGGCTCACAGTTGCTCCCCATTCTTCAATGCTGATCCTGCCACTTTACTGAAAATCACATTATTAACGTTTAAAAAACGTATGGGAACCATGCAAAGACATCCACGCCCCTCAGTTGCTGCCGCTCCAGCACCTGGCTCCGAAGTCTGTGCAGAAGGCGAGGCTCCCGTAGTGCTCGAGAGGGCCTTGCACGCTCCCCGTGGAGGGAACAAAGCTACGTGGATTTTCCAGCGCGCCGCCCACTTCACCAGGCAGCCTCTGGGCTTCATCCTGCTCGCGTGACAGGTGTGCTCTGTGCTGTCAGGAAACTGCAGGGCTTTGAGTATAAACTGAAAACAGCAAAACTATGTTCTCATCTCAGAGGCCCCTTCCTTCTCACCCCGAGGTCACCTGGGCCCGGAGACACAGCACCCGCCGTGCAGGAGCCTGGAAGATGTTTGAGCAACGAGAAAAAAACCAGAACATGTTACCGCCTCTAAAATGAGGAAATGGCAGGATCAAAATTAAATGTCCGTGAAGTGTATCATCATGTCAATTTTGTTAGTTGTTACACATAGTTTAAAACACTCACATCTGGGAACTAAGTACGGGTTAGGTTTTCTCACTTTGCCACAACTCCTCAGTGAACACAACGAATTCATAAAAATCACTGTCAATTCGGTGAGTTACTCATAAGCAAAGGACTCTGAAGCAACGGTCACCATTCCCGCCGTCTCTGCAGCCGTGAGGCCCAGCAGCAGGCTAGGCAGCCCGGTTCGCGTGTCCGTGCGGACGCCTGGTCCACGGCCCCCGGCTGTGCGCGCAGCAGCTGAGGACGCTCCGAGGACACAGCGCAGGACCAGCACGGGGCCGCCACCTGCCCGGGCCACCGCCTCCTCAGAAGATAAAAGACCTACTCCAAGCACCTCTGCGCTCTCCAACCCAAACCCGGCTGAGCCCCGACGCAGCAGCGGCAGAGCCTCTTGAAGGAGCTGCCGGCCTGCTCCGCCGTCCTCAGGAAGGCTCCCGAGTGAAGCTATCCCAATTGTTTTCATCATGAGTCTTTGCTTTAGTTGACACAGCTTCGCACTAGCACCCACCGCGCCAGTGGGGGCCGCCTTGCCTCAGGCAAGAAAGCCCCTGGCTTCCGAGCGCCCGACGGGGTCCTCTACCCCGGCACAGGGAGGGGCGAGGCGGCGCTGCGGGCGACACAGGCCCTCTCAAGGGTCACGCGGCGGCCGACGACTCCAGCCCACCCAGGGTCCTCAGAGCTCGTGTCTCCCCCGGGGGCTGCTGCATCGCGGCTGGGGGCCCGGTCCGCCCCCACAGCGCAGGGGAGCCTGGCCGGTTGCGGGGCCGCTCGAGGGCTCGCAGTGCCTGCAGGGCCTGGACCCCCACCCTGCCACCCGCGGCCCGGCCCTGCGCCCCCAGGAGAGTAAGTGGGAGGAGGGCGCGGGACCGTCCAGGGCCTGCTCGGGGACCGGCGCGCAGCGGAGCCCCGAGAAGCGCGGCTCGGCCGGCCCGGGGTCTGCAGGGCGGAGCGGGGCCCGCAGCAGCGTCTGGACGCCACGGCCTCCCACGGGAGCGCCCACCTGTCGCCGCGGGGCGGGGCTGGGGCAGGGCCCCTCCCATCCCCTCCCTGCAGCCCGAATGCGGGCCCTGGCCCCGCGCACTGACCTCTGACCCGGCTGTCAGGTCCCGCGGGCACGGACGGCGCCGGGGCAGGGATGCGCCCGCAGTGCGCACCGCCCGGCCCGCGCCTCCAGCAGCCTCAGCGCCTCCACACTGCGCATGCCCGGCCGGCCCGGCGCGGCTGGAACCAGATCCAGCCGGCTGGACCGTGACGCCAGCGCGCCTGCGGGGACTGGACCTCGGCGCGGGGGTGGGAGAGCCGGGGCGGGGCCTCGGCGCTGAGAAGGCGGGGGTGGACCCTGCTGCAGCCCCCACTGCTCCTCCGACGAGGCTCTCTGGCCGCCCGGGTCTCCGGTCCACCTGCGCGAACTGCGGGGAGGGCGCACCCCCGCCCGCGCAGGGCCCCTGCCAGCTGCACGTACTTGCCTCTGACCGCCCCCACCCAGCCCCTATCGTCCCCCTACTTCCCTCATCTCCCCCATCTGCCTCCATTATCCTCTCATCTCCCCCAATCTGCCCCCATAGACCCATCTCCCCCAGTCTGTCCCCATCTCCCCTAGTCTGCCGCCATCTGTCCCTATCGCTCCCCCAATCTGACTCCATGGCCCCCATCTCCTCCAGTCTACCCCCATCTTCCCAGTCTGCCATCTCCCCAATCTGCCCCATCTCTCCCCAGTCTGACTCCATGTCCCCCCATCTCCCCCAGTCTGCCCCCATCTCCCCTGCCCAGGCCCTGCAGGCAGAGGCCTAGCCCTCCCATGGCATCCACGTGTCCAGCAAAGGGGAGGTGCTCAATACCGGCTGGCTGAATACGTGGATGAGTCACGCAGCCTTTTCCTCACCACACAGAGGGCGTCTAGATCTCTTCTGGCTTGTGAGTTCCCTGCCCTGGGACTAAGACTGCAGATCAGTTTTTTTGCTTGTTTGTTTTTGGAGATAGGGTCTTGCTCTGTCGCCCAGGCCAGAGTGCAGTGGCACCATTGTAGCTCACTGCAGCCTTAACTTCCTGGGCTCAAGTGATTTTCCCACCTTGGCCTTCCGAGTAGCTGGGACCACAGGAGTGCACCACTGTGTCCAGCTAATTTTTAAATTTTTTGTAGAGACAGGGTCTCACTACGTTGCCCAGGCTGTTCACGAACTCCTGGGCCCAAGTGATCTTCCTGCCTCGGCCTCCCAAAGTACGGGGATTACAGGTGCGCCACCATGCCCAGCCTAATTTTTAATTTTTGGAGAGATGGGGTCTCACTATGTTGCCTGGCATAGGAGGCTGGAACTCCTGGACTCATGTGATTCTCCTGCCTTGGCCTCCTAAAGCACTGACTGGGATTACAAGCATGCACCACGGTGCCTGCCTTGCAGATCAATTTTATGGTGCGAGGGAGCCGCACTGGCCACCCAGAGCACAGTGAGCCCGGAGGCTGGGCCGGTTCCAGGGCGAGGAGAGGCTTAGACTCCCTCTCAAGGCGTCAGGGTCCAGGACACACTGAGCTCTGGTCGCGGGGCCCTGCTCTGGAGGCCACCCCTGCCTGGGGAGATGGTGTGGGCACCCCAGTCCCCCGCTGAATAAGGATCTGCAAGGCCGGAGTCAGGCCTGGGGCTGGCTGTTTTCCTCCTAGCTGTTTCACCATCTCCAGGCCTGTTCCCATGCAGAGGCCTGCTCTGTGGTGGCAGCGGGGCAGGCAAGGGTGGACTGGAGGCCTCCTGGAGCTGGTGGACACGAGGAGGCCAGGAAGGGATGTCCTGCCCACTGCCTGCAGCGGCTATGCAGCAGTGCTTCCGATTTAGTGTCTCTGCCACTGGTGTCCGCACCCCGCTTTCAGAGAAGGAAGTGTGTGCTCAGTCACCGGTTTCATGGGAGGGACTCAATTCTGGGCCTTCTGAGCCCCAGTGGCCTTGTGTGCTGACTCCCCAGTGTGTCCCCAGCATGAATGCGCCAGCCCACACAGTCACCTGCCTCCATGAACGCGCCAACTCCGCGCATCCACCTGTCTTCCCGAACGCAACGACCCACGCATCCACCCACCTCCATAAACGCGCCAATCCTGCTCATATGCCGTCTTCACCAACGCACCAACTCGCACAGCCACCCGCCTCCACACCTGAGCCCGGGGACCAGGTTTCTTCTCCCCGTAGTTCTGTGCTGGTGGCTCTGGGCTGCTTTGGGAGACAAGGACAAGAGCAGGAGCGGGAGAAGCTGGCCTGGCAGTGGGGTGCAGTCCCCCGGGCTGGGCCACTAGCCCCACAGGGATGGGGACGTGGTGCCGGCTGAGGACCCAGGGGCTTCACTCCACTCCATCTCACGCTTCCAGCTACCCTGCTCTTTGCACTTCACAGAGGGGGAACCAAGCCCAGCAAAGGTGGACACATACCAGCTGCTATGCCTTCCTAGGTCCTGCCCAGTGACCCACCTGTAGGGCTGTGCTGTCCCCAGACCCATGAAGGCACACATAGGCTTGTGGCTTTGGGCAGGTGGGACTCTCTCCCCAGGCAGGCGGGGACTCTCTCTCTCCCGGGGCAGGGGGGGACTCTCTCTCTCTCCCGGGGCACGCGGGGACTCTCTCTCTCTCCCCGGGCAGGTGGGACTCTCTGGGCAGGTGGGGCTCTCTCTGGGCAGGTGCCACCATGCCTGCTTTCCCACAGCCCACACCCCGGGCCCCAACACAGAGCAGCAGGTGCAAGGCTGCTTACTGCACCGGCACATCCAACCACCTCCACAAACGCACCAGTCCATGCATCCACCCAGGCTGAGCTAAGGGCCCCTTGTACCTAGTACAGTCTCAAGGGTGGAGTGGCCAGGAGGGAGCCCTCCCACTGCCTTGGCTTGAAGCATCAGTGGCCAGTGGTCCACACTGAGACCCTAGAGCCCCCTCCCCCAGCAGGTCGGCAGGTCCTGGTCAGGAGGAGGGGCCAAGAGGAAAGGAAGGGCCCCCAGATAGCTGGTGAACTGCTTCCGTACACGGGATGCCGTTCCACACGCTACATATCTGGACAGAACAAGACAAAGATGCGTGCCCATTGAGAGGCTATGCTGAGGCTGTAATAATACTGAGGAGAAAAGTTAAGGGTAGGCTGTTTTTCTGAGATTTAAAATGGTTGGGGGAGGAAGGAAATCAGCGAAACAGCACCACAGGCGGCTCCTGGGCAGAGACCAGAGACCTGCAGGGAGGGCAGAGTGGTCCGGGGGGGCAGAGACCTGCAGGGAGGGCAGAGTGGTCCGGGGGGGCAGAGACCTGCAGGGAGGGCAGAGTGGTCCGGGGGACCAGAGACCTGCAGGGAGGGCAGAGTGGTCCGGGGGGGCAGAGACCTGCAGGGAGGGCAGAGTGGTCCGGGGCGGCAGAGACCTGCAGGGAGGGCAGAGTGGTCCGGGGCGGCAGAGACCTGCAGGGAGGGCAGAGTGGTCCGGGGCGGCAGAGACCTGCAGGGAGGGCAGAGTGGTCCGGGGCGGCAGAGACCTGCAGGGAGGGCAGAGTGGTCCGGGGGGGCAGAGACCTGCAGGGAGGGCAGAGTGGTCCGGGGCGGCAGAGACCTGCAGGGAGGGCAGAGTGGTCCGGGGCGGCAGAGACCTGCAGGGAGGGCAGAGTGGTCCGGGGCGGCAGAGACCTGCAGGGAGGGCAGAGTGGTCCGGGGCGGCAGAGACCTGCAGGGAGGGCAGAGTGGTCCAGGTGCGGGGGGCGGCCAGCAAACACCACCCGGGGAACGGGCCGAGAGTGCGGGGTGGCTGCGAGGACGTGCCGAGGGGGTGAGAGCAACCTGGTCACCAAACCTTCCCCAGGTAATGAGAATTCGCCTTCGAAACCTGGGCCCAGGCACCCCAAGACCATGTGGAACATTCTGAGTCATTCAAAAAAGACATAACTATGTCTGACGCATTCTTTTAATTAACTGCCCTGCTCAGGTGGTCAGTGGGCCCCACTTCCCAGACACACCACGCCCCAGAGAATGCAGGGTAGATGGGCCCCAGATCCAGAGAACTGCTCCCGGCCCACGGGGCTGCCCCAACACGTCCCTCGCACTCGGCCCGCCTGAAAATAAAGTCTCTGAAATGGAACCTGGGGCTGAGGATGAAGCCCCCCGCAGGTGGATCTGCTGTTGGCCAGAGCAGAGAAGGTGCCGTGGAGGCCTCGGCGAGGCTCCTGTCTGCCAAATCACTTTCGTGGCATCACGAGAATCCACTGTGGAGGTGTGAGGGCCAGGAGGCCCTGAGAAGTGGAGGCCCTGGCCCTAAGAGGCCACAGCCACCCACCCACACCGCCAGGCACCCCCAGGTGACAGTGGCCCTCAGAGGCCGCAGCCACCCGCCCACACCGCCAGGCACCCCCAGGTGACAGTGGCCCTCAGAGGCCGCAGCCACCCGCCCACACCGCCAGGCACCCCCAGGTGACAGTGGCCCTCAGAGGCCGCAGCCACCCGCCCACACCTCCAGGCACCCCCAGGTGACAGTGGCCCTCAGAGGCTGCAGCCACCCGCCCACACCGCCAGGCACCCTCAGGTGACAGTGGTGCCCTTGGGCTGCTCCAGTCTGTCCATGACAGGCAGGGGCAGGAAAACCACCCAATCAGCAGGTCCCCAAGAGAAAACACTGGTCGGAGTCGCCAGAAAGCACGATGCTAGGGTACTGCACGTATGTGGGCAGCGCCTCTGCCCCAAGCATCCTTCCTCCAGCCCAGTCACACTGTCTGCCTGACCAATCCTGCACGCTCCTCACTACCCTGCCCGGATACCCCCTCTCTGGGAAACCTGTGAGCCCCAGGTTGCTGGAGGGCCTCTCCTCTGTGCACTCGCGGTGCGGACCCAGGCCACGGACAGTCTCGGCAAGTCCGTTACACACTGAAAGAAGACCTACCACTACCTCGATACGAGGGAACACAGCCCAGCTCGGTCTGTGAAGCTAGTAGAACCCTGATACCCAAACCAGATGAAAACAAAACTACGGACTAATATCCCTCATAAATACAGACGCAAACATCCTACTCAGCAACATGGAAAAAGAGTCACACACCATGCATGACAAGTGGAGTTCACTCCAGAGGTGGAAGGCTCGCTCACTATTTAAAAATCCATTGGGCCGGGCGCAGTGGCTCACGCCTGTGATCCCAGCACTTTCGGAGGCTGAGGCGGGCGGATCACCTGAGGTCGGGAGTTCAAGACCAGCCTGACCAACACGGAGAAACCCCGTCTCAACTAAAAACACAAAAATTAGCCGGGTGTGGTGGGTTATGCCTGTAATCCCAGCTGCTCAGGAAGCTGAGGTAGGAGAATCATTTGAACTTGGGAAGTGGAGGTTGCAGTGAGCCGAGATCACGCCATTTGCACTCCAGCCTGGGCAATAAGTGCGAAACTCCGTCTCAAAAAAAAAAAAAATACCATCGATATAATGCACCCTATCAACAGGCTACAGAAGAAATACGACGTGGTCAAACCAACTGATGCAGGGGGCATGTGACGAAGTTCAAGACCCACGCGTGGTAAACACCCAGGAAATCGGTAACGGAGGTGCCTCCTGAGTGAGGTGAGGAGACACCCAGGAAATCGGTAACGGGGGTGCCTCCTGAGTGAGGTGAGGAGACACCCAGGAAATCGGTAATGGGGGTGCCTCCTGAGTGAGGGGAGGAGACACCCAGGAAATCAGTAATGGAGGTGCCTCCTGAGTGAGGTGAGGCACATCTGCAGGTGCTCCTCCAAGGCCAGGAGCAGGGCAAGGGTGTCCACCCTCCCACTGTCCCCACTGCTATCCAGCATCAGGCTGGCCGGGGGCCACAGGCAGGAAAAGGACCAGAAAGGAAGAAATATAACTCTCTGTATTTGCAAGCGGCATGACCGTTGATGCAGGAAATCTCAGAGAATCTACGAAATAAATCCTGGGACTGTGAGTGGGTTCAGAAGGCATGGGACCGCAGACAGTCAGGGAGCTGGCAATGGGCTCGCGGAAACTGGCATTCCCGTGCTACCACCACCTACGACTGCTCAGCAACAAGGAAATGCTTAGCTGTAAATTTAACAAAACCTGTATGGGACTTAAATGCTAAAAACCACAAAACACTGAAGAAACAAACTTTGAAGAATCCAAATAAATGGAGAGACACATTGTGTTAATGGACAGAACAGACAGCAGAGTCAAGACATAAATTCTCCCAAAATTGAGGTACATGTTTCATGCAACTCCTACCGTAAATTTCAGGGTTTTTTTTTTTGTAGGTAAAGACAAGATTATTCTAAAACGTATATGGAAAAGCAAAGTAACAAGGATAGCTAAAACAGCGCTGAAATACGATGACTAGAAGGAACTGCATGCCTGATTTCGGGACATCGGACAGCTGTGGTGCAGCACGGGCAGTGGGAGACACACAGAGGAACAGAGAACAGTGAACCCAGGAGGTGCCCCATGTTAGCAATGTGATTTTTTCAAAATTTTATTTTAGGTTTAGGGGTGCCTGTGCAGGTTTGTTATACAGGTAAACTTGTGTCATGGGGGTTTGTTGTATAGATTATTTAATCACCCAGGTACTGAGCCTAGTACCCAGTAGTTATTTTTCACCTTCTCTCCCTCCTCCCACCCTCCACCCTCCTTTTCCTCCTCCCTCCTCCCACCTCCACCCTCAAATTCACTCCTGTGTCTGTTGTTCCCTTCTTTGTGCTCATGAGTTCTCATCATTCAGCTCCCACTTATAGTGAGAACATGTGGTATTTGGTTTTCTGTTCCTGCCTTACTTTGCTAAGGATAATGGCCTCCAGCTCCATCCATGTTCCCAGAAGACATGATCTCACTCTTTTTAATGGCTGCATAGTATTCCATGGTGTATATGTACCACATTTTCTTCATCCAATCTGCCATTGGTGGCATTTCAGCTGGTGTCATGTCTTTGCGACTGTGAACAGTGCTGGGCTGGTGTCATGTCTTTGCTATTGTGAACAGTGATGGGCTGGTGTCATGTCTTTGTGACTGTGAACAGTGCTAGGCTGGTGTCATGTCTTTGCTATTGTGAACAGTGCTGGGCTGGTGTCACGTCTTTGTGACTGTGAACAGTGCTGGGCTGGTGTCATGTCTTTGCTATTGTGAACAGTGCTGGGCTGGTGTCATGTCTTTGTGACTGTGAACAGGGCTGCAGTGCACATTTGCATGCATGCATCTTTATGGTGGAAAGATTTATATTCCTCTGAGCGTAAACCCAGTAATGGAGCAATCTGATTTCTGACAAAGTTTGTAAAGGCAATTCCATGGGGACAGAAATCTTTTCAACAAATGCTGCTGGAACAACGGGATGTCCACAGGAAAACAATAAACCTCGAACCAAAGAAGATTTACAGATGGCAAATAAGCATGGGGCCAGACGCGCGACATCCTTTGACGTGAGGGAGCGCCCATGAAAATAGCAGTGAGGCACCGCACACCTGTCACGATAGCCCAAATCCAGAGACCGACATCACCAAATGCGGGTGAGGATGTGGAGCAACAGGAATGCACTCATCGCTGTGGGAAGTGACTGCAAAATGGCACAGTCACTTGGAAGTCAGCTGGTGGTTTCTTACCAAAGTTGGCAAAATCCTGCCACAGGATTCAGCAAATGTGCCCCTTGGTATTCACCCACATGAACTCAAAATTTAGGTTCACATGAAACCTGCACACAGATATTTCGAGCAGTTTTATTCATAACTGCCACAGATTGGAAGCAACCAAGATGCCCTTCAGTAGGGGACTGGATAACTGTAGTCCATCCAGACAGCACAAGAAAGGCTCTGTCATGCCGTGAAAAGACGTGAGCAAGTTTAACAGCATTCTGCGAAGTGACAGGTGCCGGCTGAAAAGGCTGCACGCTGTGGGGTCCCACCGCATGACATTCTGGAACAGGTAGCACCATGGAGCCAGGAAAGGGTTCCGTGGTGGTCAGTGGTGGTGGGGAGGGAGGGATGAATGGGTGGTGCACAGGGCCCTTTTGGGGCAGTGAAGCTGCTGCGTGTGGTGCTGTAACAGTGGATGCACAGTGGATATTCATTTATCAAAACCCACAGAGCATGCCATACCAAGAGGGGCCCCCCATAAGCTGCGGACTTCGGGCGGTTGTGCTGTGGCCATGTAGGGTTCGGGTGCTCGTGCTGTGGCCGTGCAGGGTTCGGGTGCTCGTGCTGTGGCCGTGCAGGGCTCGGGTGCTCGTGGTGTGGCCGTGCAGGGCTCGGGTGCTCGTGCTGTGGCCGTGCAGGGCTCGGGTGCTCGTGGTGTGGCCGTGTAGGGTTCGGGTGCTCGTGGTGTGGCCGTGTAGGGTTCGGGTGCTCGTGGTGTGGCCGTGTGGGGTTCGGGTGCTCGTGGTGTGGCCGTGTAGGGTCATCACTGTTGTAAATGCACTATTCAGGGTGCAGGGTGTTGATAATGGGGGAGGCCGTGCATGTGTGTCAGGAGGGTGTACATGCAAACTCCATCATCTGCTCAATTTTGCTGTGAACCTAATATTACTCTTAAAAAAAAGTCTATTAAAAAAAATCCGATAGGGGAAGATGGCGGCTGCTCCTTTGGAGGAGCGGGATTGAGAGGATCGGGGTGGGGAGACCAAACAAGAGAGACATTTCTGGCTCTGAAGGCGAACGCTTCGCTGGCCATTTAGGAGCTCTGCTCAAAGCCAGACGGCCAAGCGTGGTGGCTCATGCCTGTAGTCCCATCACTTTGGGAGGCTGAGGCAGGAGTATCTCTTGAGCCTAGGAGATGGAGACCGGCCGGGGCAGCATGTCGAAACCCTGTCTCTACTAAAAATAAAAAAAATTAGCCAGGCGTGGTGGCATGCGCCTGTAGTCCAAGCTATTCTGGAGGCTGAGGTGAAAGGATTGCTTGAGCCTGGGAGGCGGAGGCTGCAGTGAGCCGAGATCACACCACTGCACTCCAGCCTGGGTGACAGAGTGAGACCCTGTCTCAAAAAAAAATTTTTTTTAGCAAACCAGTAATAGAAAGGATTTACTTCAGTCTGATAAAGGGCATCTACAAAAAATCTGTAGTTATGTCATACTTAATAGTAAAGGAGAAATGCCTCCTCCCTAAAGTTTGGAACAGTACAATAAGGCAAGAAAAAGAAATGAAAAGGCTTTTAGAACAGAAAGGAAGATGCGGAGCCGAAGCTGGACTGTACTGCTGCCATCTCGGCTCACTGCAACCTCCCTGCCTGATTCTCCTGCCTCAGCCTGCCGAGTGCCTGCCATTGCAGGTGCGCGCCGCCACGCCTGACTGGTTTTGGTGGAGACGGGGTTTCGCTGTGTTGGCCGGGCCGGTCTCCAGCCCCTAACCGCGAGTGATCCCGCCAACCTCAGCCTCCCGAGGTGCCGGGATTGCAGACGGAGTCTCGTTCACTCAGTGCTCAATGGTGCCCAGGCTGGAGTGCAGTGGCGTGAATCTCGGCTCACTACAACCTACACCTCCCAGCCGCCTGCCTTGGCCTCCCAAAGTGCCGAGATTGCAGCCTCTGCCCGGCCGCCACCCCGTCTGGGAAGTGAGGAGCGTCTCTGCCTGGCCGCCCATCGTCTGGGATGTGAGGAGCCCCTCTGCCTGGCTGCCCAGTCTGGAAAGTGAGGAGCGTCTCCGCCCGGCCGCCATCCCATCTAGGAAGTGAGGAGCGCCTCTTCCCAGCCGCCATCACATCTAGGAAGTGAGGAGCGTCTCTGCCCGGCCGCCCATCGTCTGAGATGTGGGGAGCGCCTCTGCCCCGCCGCCCCATCTGGGATGTGAGGAGTGCCTCTGCCCGGCCGAGACCCCGTCTGGGAGGTGAGGAGCGTCTCTGCCCGGCCGCCCCGTCTGAGAAGTGAGGAGACCCTCTGCCTGGCAACCACCCCGTCTGAGAAGTGAGGAGCCCCTCCGCCCGGCAGCTGCCCTGTCTGAGAAGTGAGGAGCCTCTCCGCCCGGCAGCCACCCCATCTGGGAAGTGAGGAGCATCTCCGCCCGGCAGCCACCCCGTCCGGGAGGGAGGTGGGGGGGGGTCAACCCCCCGCCCGGCCAGCCGCCCCATCTGGGAGGGAGGTGGGGGGTCAGCCCCCCCGACCGGCCAGCCGTGCCATCCGGGAGGGAGGTGGGGGGGTCAGCCCCCCACCTGGCCAGCCATGCCGTCCGGGAGGGAGGTGGGGGGGTCAGCCCCCCGCCCGGCCAGCCACCCCGTCCGGGAGGTGAGGGGTGCCTCTGCCCGGCCGCCCCTACTGGGAAGTGAGGGGCCCCTCAGCCCGGCCAGCCACCCCGTCCGGGAGGGAGATGGGGGGGTCAGCCCCCCAACCCGGCCAGCCGCCCCGTCCGGGAGGGAGGTGGGGGGGTAAGCCCCCCGCCTGGCCAGCCGCCCCGTCCGGGAGGGAGGTGGGGGGGTCAGCCCTCCGCCCGGCCAGCCGCCCCGTCCGGGAGGTGAGGGGCGCCTCTGCCCGGCCGCCCCTACTGGGAAGTGAGGAGCCCCTCTGCCCGGCCAGCCGCCCCGTCCGGGAGGGAGGTGGGGGGGTCAGCCCCCCGCCTGGCCAGCCGCCCTGTCCGGGAGGGAGGTGGGGGGGTCAGCCCTCCGCCCGGCCAGCCGCCCCGTCTGGGAGGTGAGGGGCGCCTCTGCCCGGCCGCCCCTACTGGGAAGTGAGGAGCCCCTCTGCCCGGCCAGCCGCCCCGTCCGGGAGGGAGGTGGGGGGGTCAGCCCCCCGCCTGGCCAGCCGCCCTGTCCGGGAGGGAGGTCGGGGGGTCAGCCCTCCGCCCGGCCAGCCGCCCCGTCTGGGAGGTGAGGGGCGCCTCTGCCCGGCCGCCCCTACTGCGAAGTGAGGAGCCCCTCTGCCCGGCCAGCCGCCCCGTCCGGGAGGGAGGTGGGGGTGTCGGCCCCCCGCCCGGCCAGCCGCCCCGTCCGGGAGGGAGGTGGGGGGGGTCAGCCCCCCTGCCCGGCCAGCTGCCCCGTCCGGGAGGTGAGGGGCGCCTCTGCCCGGCCGCCCCTACTGGGAAGTGAGGAGCCCCTCTGCCCGGCCAGCCGCCCCGTCCGGGAGGGAGGTGGGGGTGTCAGCCCCCCGCCCGGCCAGCTGCCCCGTCCGGGAGGGAGGTGGGGGGGGTCAGCCCCCCCGCCCGGCCAGCCGCCCCGTCCAGGAGGTGAGGGGCGCCTCTGCCCGGCCGCCCCTACTGGGAAGTGAGGAGCCCCTCTGCCCGGCCAGCCGCCCCGTCCGGGAGGGAGGTGGGGGTGTCAGCCCCCCGCCCGGCCAGCCGCCCCGTCCGGGAGGGAGGTGGGGGGGGGGGTCAGCCCCCCCGCCCGGCCAGCCGCCCCGTCCGGGAGGTGAGGGGCGCCTCTGCCCGGCCGCCCCTACTGGGAAGTGAGGAGCCCCTCTGCCCGGCCAGCCGCCCCGTCCGGGAGGGAGGTGGGGGGGTGTCAGCCCCCCCGCCCGGCCAGCCGCCCCGTCCGGGAGGTGAGGGGCGCCTCTGCCCGGCCGCCCCTACTGGGAAGTGAGGAGCCCCTCTGCCCGGCCACTACCCCGTCTGGGAGGTGTGCCCAACAGCTCATTGAGAACGGGCCAGGATGACAATGGCGGCTTTGTGGAATAGAAAGGCAGGAAAGGTGGGGAAAAGATTGAGAAATCGGATGGTTGCCGTGTCTGTGTAGAAAGAAGTAGACATGGGAGACTTTTCATTTTGTTCTGCACTAAGAAAAATTCCTCTGCCTTGGGATCCTGTTGATCTGTGACCTTACCCCCAACCCTGTGCTCTCTGAAACATGTGCTGTGTCCACTCAGGGTTAAATGGATTAAGGGCGGTGCAAGATGTGCTTTGTTAAACAGATGCTTGAAGGCAGCATGCTCGTTAAGAGTCATCACCAATCCCTAATCTCAAGTAATCAGGGACACAAACACTGCGGAAGGCTGCAGGGTCCTCTGCCTAGGAAAACCAGAGACCTTTGTTCACTTGTTTATCTGCTGACCTTCCCTCCACTATTGTCCCATGACCCAGCCAAATCCCCCTCTGTGAGAAACACCCAAGAATTATCAATAAAAAAATAAATTTAAAAAAAAAAAAAAAAAAAAATCCAGGCTGGGCATGCTGGCACATACCTGTATTCCCAGCTGCTTGGGAGGCTGAGGTGGGAGGATTGCTTGAGGCCAGGAGTTTGAGACCAGCCTGGGCAACACAGTGAGACCCCCCATCTCTGCAAAAAAACTTTAAAAATTAGACAAGCATGGTGGCACGCACCTGTACTCCCAGGTACTCAGGAGGCTGAGGAGTGAGGATTGCTTGAGCCTGGGAGTTCAAGGCTACAGTGAGCTATGATTGCACCACTGCATTCCAGCCTGCATGACAGAGTGAGACCCTGTCTCAAAAACAAAAAACAAAACCAAAACAACAACCTAAACCTCACAAAAAATGAACTCAAATAGATCATCTATTTAAATGTCAAATGTAAAACTATAAAACTTTGATAAGAAAATGTAGGAGAAAATGTTTGGGACCTGGGAGTCATTGAGGAATTCTTAACCATGACACCAAAAGCAGATCCTTAAAATTAAAAAGAACAAAAAAAAAAAAAAGGATAAATTAGACTTCACCAAAATTAAAAAGAAAACAGCCTTTTCTCTGCAAAACCCTCATTAAGAGGATGTAAGAGATAAGCTATGGACTGGGACAAAATATGTACAAACCACACATACACAAAAGCCTAGCGTCTAGAACACATAAACAACGAGAAGGCGCAGCTCGGAGCAGGGCTGGGAGGATGAGCAAAGGCAGACGTGCCGGCTGCAGCCGCGCTCCGTGAGTGAGTGGCTGCTGCATGCCGGGCCTCCAGCTGACAGTGCCTCCCGGGGTCAACCCGAAGCCAGAGGCTCGGCAGTATGCTGGAGACCCATCCTGGGCACCTCCCACGTTCCCTGTGGGAACAGCTGCTTCTGCAGAACATGGAAAAGGTCCAGGCTGGAAGCTGTGCAGACGGAATTTAGGAAGAGGGAATGGAGAGACTGCAGGAGGGAGGGAGGCCCCTGCACGGCAAGGTGGTGGCCACATGCTCCAGAATAGGACTTGGGCTCCGCACTGCAGGGAACGGGACCTGGGCTCCGCGCTGCGGGGAAGGGGACCTGGGCTCCGCGCTGCGGGGAAGGGGACCTGGGCTCCGCGCTGCGGGGAAGGGGACCTGGGGTCCGCGCTGCGGGGAAGGGGGCCTGGGGTCCGCGCTGCGGGGAAGGGGGCCTGGGGTCCGCGCTGCAGGGGAACGGGACCTGGGGTCCGCGCTGCGGGGAACGGGACCTGGGGTCCGCGCTGCGGGGAAGGGGACCTGGGCTCTGCCCAGGGACTCCACAATTCCTTACTAATGTTACTGCCGTTTATGGGGGCTCTGAACAACACCACGTTTTACTAACACATGCACAGAGTGTCAGATGATGACATGCTGTCTCACTTATGCTAAGGCTCACTCTCATTTTATCATCTGTAACGTCAGGGTGCGCCTTATAATCAACAGGCCACAAAGAAAGTCACAAGCCATACTCACAAGAACTAGGAAGTTCGTTGCAAAATATTCCTTGTCCGTGATCAGCACGGCACACACTATCAGACTCACTCTGCCAACACAATCACTAGAGAAGGTTCATCTCCGAGGGGAACGCCAGCCAGCTTTTCCCACCACTCCCCGCCCCCCCGAGAAAGCCCACGTGCAGACAGACCCAGGCCAGCTGGGCCCCTCTCCAGCTCCTGACCAGCAGCCCCGGATCCCTGGGTGGCGTGCAGCTGACCTTCCGGACCGCCACTCAGAATAAGCAAGAAAGCCTGCCGACCCGCCTGAATGCGGCAGGGGAAGGGGAAGGGCGGCCCCAACATCTCCGTGAGACACGCGGCTGCATCACAGCAGCCTCGGCAGTGCGCGGGGCTGCAGAATCAGGTGCACAACTAGGGCATCCCCCACCCGCAACACACACGGCACACAGGAGCCTCGGCAGTGTGCGGGGCTGCAGAATCAGGTGCACAACTAGGGCACCCCCCACCCGCAACACACACGGCACACAACCACAGAGGCACGGCCCCAGGCCAGGAGCGCACAACTGCCCTCAAATGCCCTCAGCAGCCACGGCACACAGCCACAAACACATGACCCCAGGCCAGGAGCACACAACTGCCCTCAAACACCCTCAGCAGCCACACAGGGGAGGCCACGTCCACGTGACTTCAACCATCAACACTAGACTAGGGTGCAACCGCGAAGCTGAGTCAGGGCCACACGCCCCCCTACGCCCCAATCTGTGCCCACCCTTCCCCCCACCAACTGAGTCTTGTACAGGGGCTGGCCAGGACCCTTGGATACGCAGCTGCAGCCTCTGGAGAGTGTTTACACCTCCAGCTACGAGTACTTATTGTGGTTCAGGTGGAGGGTGGTTCCCTCTGACGATCTCCCCAGGACACACACGAGCTTTCTGCCATTCTCCCTGGCAGGACTGGCCTGCTTGGCACAGGAAGTCTCTGCAGATAAGGCGGTCTGCAGTGACCTGAAAGCTCAGTGGCTCAGAGGAAGCTAACCTCTAGCATTCCCCAGCCACAGAGCACCCCTGTGGGTAGGACCCACAGAGCCTGGCATTACAGGGACCAGACAGCACGGTGCATACTCTGACCAGGGATTCTGAGGTCTTGGGCCATTTATACCATGGAGATAACGAAGCTTACTCTTAGGCGGGCTGCTAGGAGGGCCCAAAGTCCCAAACCCTGATCTAAAAAGCCAGAATACCCCTGGGTTCAAATCCTGGCTCCACGGCCTGCAGTGTGACCTGGGCTAAGTTGCTTAAGTTTTCACAATTAAATTTAAAATGCATGGCCGGGCACAGTGGCTCACACCTGTAATCCCAGCACTTTGGGAAGCCCAGGCAGGCGGATCACTTGAGGTCAGGAGTTCGAGACCAGCCGGACCAACATGGTGAAACCCCATCTCTACTACAAAAAAAAAAAAAAAAATTAGCTGGGCATGGTGGCACGCACCTGTAATCCCAGCTACTCAGGAGGCTGAGGCTGCAGTAAGCCAAGATCGTGTCATTGCACTCCAGCCTGGGCAACATGACAGAAACTCTGTCTTTAAAAAAAAAAAATATTAAAATGCACATGGTGACCTATCTCATTGACGCTAAGGCGTACTCTCACTTTATCATCTCTAATGTGAGGCTGCGCCTTAAAATCAGCAGTATGTCGGAATGCAGTGGGCAGAGGGCCTTCTTTTTAGTAATCCATAAAGTAATGGCATAGCTAACACTAATCAATCGTGTCTTAGGTTTGATGAAATACGGACGTATCTACCTCAAAACAATGGTTGAGGCTCAGAACAGAACCTGACACAGAATACGCCCTCAGGTATCGGTGTTGGCTGCTTGTGACTGACTTTGGCAAGTAAGATCAGTACCCGGCACCTCTGGGCACACAGGGCCCGGGCTGCATCCACTGTGCCAGGGACCTGGTGCCGGGCTGGGCAGCAAGTCAGTATCACATCAGCAGGCGTGGGCCGTGGTGAGCCTCTCCCTGCCCTCCCGCTGGAATAGAAAGCTGATCCCGACGTCCCACTCCGACCCACGGTCAGGAAGCCGTCCTGTCCAGGAAGGTGGCTGAGGTACATCCCTGAACACAGTAGGCCACAGCATCATGCAGCGGAGGGCCAGTGGCCGCTATTCTTCCTGCTGGTGTTCCACTCGGCCCGCAGCTCACAGCAAGTCTATGCGGAACTGTGCAACCCACATGCTTTGATTTTCAGAAATGTTCTTAGATCCTGAACCAGAATGTGCTGCAGGGGGGACTGTTTCACCTCAAAAATTACAGCAAAGTAAATGTCCTTGTTTCAACTTTTCCAATGTTTAACTTGTAACAATAGCTACAAAAGTAATCAGGCAGCAATGTGTTTCTTTAAACGGCTTTCCTGTGAGTGTTCCGTTTACAAAGAAAATCCTAAAACCAGGAAGTAATTGGTGACTTTGGAAACAGCAAGCAAACTTCGGTGAAGAAAGAGGGGCAGGTGTACCTGGAAGGACTAACTTGCAGCCACTCATTTCCTTTGGAGGGCGGTGGGGCCTGCACCCTGCAGATTAGGGTATATTCTGACTCAGCAAAATAGGCACCAGCGCCTGTAAAAAGAAACCGCGCTGGGCACTAAGAGAATTCTCAAAAACTCCCAGAGCCCTGGGTGTGTGTCCTCCCACAGGGAATCTCGCACGAGTTCGTCAAATGGCTGGTCTCAGGTTACACAACCAGCACTGCCTCCACCGCCACCGCCCCCCAACCTCACTGGTCCGAGCGGTTCCCCGCGGTCTAGCCGCGAGGGCGGGGCCGGGGGGCGGAGGCCAGGGCGGGACCAAGGCTGGGGGCGGGGCCAGGCATGGCTGCCGCTCGCCGGCCGGGGGCGGGGCCGACGGTCACGTGTGTACACAGGGCCCGGGCGGCGTGCGCGCCGTGAGCCCCGCCGCCTCCGCCAGCCCGAGCTGCCCGCCCGGCGGCGACTGCGCCGGCCGCCGCCCAGCAAGCCGGTGAGTGGGGCCCGGGAGCCTGGGTCGGGTCGGTGGGGCACACCCCAGTCTCCGCCTGGGGAGGGAGCCAGCCCCAAGCTGCTGTGGCTCCCACGGCGGGCGCTGCGCTTACTGGGACCCGGGTCCTCTGGCCGCTGCCCACTGCGGGGCTCCGTGCCCTTGCCAGGAGGGGACCGCTGTCCTCCGGCCGCGCTCCGAGCTGAGCCCCGGGGGCGGGCTTTCGGTCATTAACCTGGTGATGGCAGCTGAATCTGCTGCTGGCGTAGGCGGCACAGCGCCGCCACCGGCTCTCCCATGTCCGACAGGGCACCACTGATCCTGCTCTCCTGGGCCACTATGGTGACTGCTTTCGGCCCCTTCTGTGATTAGTATTTTAAAGTGAGTTTTGGATCTGTGTCTACATGGAGGTGTCGGATCTGCTGTCAGTTGTCTTGGACAGTTGGCAGGGCATGGGACGGCTCTTTCAAAGCTTCACTGGAAGGCAGTGCTCTCCAGCCGCCAAACCACCACTACCAGCAGCAGAAAACCCACTATTAAGTTAGTATTACAAACCTGGCAAGTCAGTTCTCTAAATTAGGCATAAGTCTATGAATCTTGATGTGACTGGTCACAGTGGCTTATCTCTGCATGCATGCTACGTGGTGGACCAGAGGATAATTCTGTATTCGTCGTCCACAGCCTTTGATCTCTTCCCTGCCCATGAAGATGTACTTGAGTCCTCCATTCCACTTTAAATAGCCAGCTCCTGTCCACACGGAACAGCACGACATCTTTTATCTTTTGCTACCTGCAGCACCTAGCAGAGGCCAGCATTCAATAACAGAGGGCCAAGAGGCTTGCTTTAAAGGCCTCTGCAAACTTGTATGAGTAAAATGGTTCTGACCATGTTCCCAGGCTCCTCACGCATAGTGGTGATGAGATAGTCTACCGTCCTAACTGGGGCACCGTTGAGAGTGAACGGAGGCACTGTTAATAATTAGACGAAGTGCACACTCACAGTACCCATGACCTGCTGTGCAGCTCCTTCAAGAACTACTGTAAGGCCTGGCTCCCCAACCAGAACCCCTGTTGTCTTCCTCAATGAAGAAGGCCTCTGAAGACAAGTGACTTAAGAACATAGTTTATATGTATTGAATACTGTTGTGCCTTTTCACAGAGAAGAGGTCGGGGCCAGAGCAGCTCACTGCCCGACGCCACACACATCCGTGCTGGCGTCCACGTGTCATCCTGCCTCTCTAGCCAGCATGGACATATCCTGAGGATGGAGGACAGAGGAACACAGATTTAGGGCAGAATGTAAATGTGAAAGTTGACTTGGAGTCCCTGCAACTCATAAGCCCCAGTAGGCTGATGAAGAGAGAAGGGCAAAGGGCGCGCACCTCATGTGGGTCTTAGGTTAGGATGTAAAGGCTGATTATGTCTATCATACAATGAATCAATGGCATACTGCACAGATCGCTGCATGGGGAAATATGCTCGTGTAATTTACAGTCGGAAGAGGGACATGCTGCTCACTGGGGCAGGGAGAAGAAGGGGCTCCTCAGGGAGCTGCAGCTCTCACAGCCCCTAGGATGTCACCTGGAATCCTGAAAAAATAACTGCCGCCTGGCCTTTAATGACCCAACCACAGCGAGGTCTTGCCTTTGCAGAAGGAAATTATCACCCAGAGAACCCGGCCGACCGTGTCATGCACACGACGATCCCACGGTGCTGTTTTCTGTCAACAGTGTTTCCCAGCCATTCCCTCCTGCCTGCCAGCTCCTCTGCTCTCCAGGGCTTTCACTAACCCACCTGCCCAACTGACCAGCATTAGGCTGTCCAGTTAGCCCACATCTGTCCAGGGGTCTCAAAGGCTCAGGACCCCAAGACACCATCCAGGTAGCCAAGAGGACAGGGAACCCAGTCTGGAGAGTAGAATAACGTTTCGCTCCAATTTGAGATCCCAAAATGAGATGCTGCCCGGGACCAGAAGTCAGTTTCTTAGGAGCGTGCTGTCTACCCAGGAGCCTCCGTGTGCAAACAAAATACCCCCTTGAGCAGCAGAGGGACAAGGTGGAGGTGGGGCAGGTGTCTGTTCATCCCCACAGAGCCACACCCAGGTCCCTTCCTGCAAAGGCCAAGGACTTTCCCCATTTTAATTGGAACCAAAGCAAGCCTTGCAGACCACTGTCGCTACCACAGCTAGTGTGATGAGGAGAAATAACCTGCTGGCTCCTCCCTGGGAAACAACCAAGGTGGTGATAAGATCTGCGGCTCAGAGCACTTCCCTGCAGGTTAAGGCCACGCCTAGTAAACCGGGGCTCGACTGAGGAGCCCCGGCAGGTGCCAAGCCTGCCCAGAGTCTGCAGTAGAGACTCTCTGTTCTTGGCCATGTCTTTGAATTTCTGAGGAAGTCTTTTTTGTTTGTTTTTGTTTTTCCCTGGTCTGATGTACCTGGAGAGGGAATTAGCCTCACACCCAGTTAGGGAACAAAAAGCCAAGTAAACAAAAGAATGCTGTTCCACCTTCCTCCAGGGAACTGGCGCCCATAGCTGCAGGCACAGGTGCCCAGCCCGCTCACTGGCCCAGCAAGGTGCTTGGTCTCAGGCCCCCAGAGCCCGTCCTGGAGCCGCAAACATGCTCGCTATTATCCATGGAAAAAGAGAGGCATTCTCTTTGTTTATAGTCTAAGCCAAGTCACCTGATTCACTCTCACTACTCTGCAGTTTGGAATTGTAAAAAGCAAAAGGCTACAAAAATCAAAACCATCCACCTATGTAATGAACCATTTCTTATCACAGCCCAGGAAGGCACAGATAGGAATCAGTGTGCGTAAGCTCTCCACGTGGAAACCCTGTGAAAACAGCAGCCTTTCCTAAGCATCTGGCTCCTAGGAGCTGGATGTTAATTGTTGCTAAAGCCTGGGTTCATTACTACAAAAGAAAATAAACATTCCAGAGTCATTTTGAAAGCATTTTGATTGTTCTAGAATATTCACCCAAGGTTGAGCGTCTCATGGTGCATGGCAGGTTCGGCCAGGAGCTGGCCGTGGCCTTTCCACTCCTTTCCTGCCATCCTGAGGATGCAGTGCCTGGGGCCTCGCAGTTCTCTTTCCACTCAAATCTAAGGCTCTAAAGCTTCAACAACTGTCCGGGGACAATAAGAAGCGCTGAGTCCCCATCCTGCCTGCTCTCCTTTCTACTCAGTGGGGAAATTGGATCACTCGCCTTGGTGGATCACTCGCCTTGGGGAAAAGCCTTTTACGTCACTGAATACATCCCCTTCTACGGTTTTCATCCAACAGTCAGCCAGGCTGCTGCAGCACACATAAAAACTTCCCCTGCCTGCAAAGAGCTCCAAGTAGGTGGGAAAGAGATGGATGTGCGGACAGGCTTAACCCAGCAAAGACTGGCGGAGGGGTGTGGAGACAGTGGTCAGGGGTGGGTTCCCGGGGGTACTGATGCCCAAAATAAAATGTCAAGGACGAGCCAGTGTTTGCTGAGAGAACGAGGGGAAGCGAGAAAGGGTGTTCTAGGCAAGGGATCAACATCCGCAAAAGACAGTGTGAAAGAGAGCACCCGGAAACTTCGTGGGGATCACCGGGCGTGGGACTTGCCGGCCCCAGCTCTGACAGGGCCCTAAGCAACAGAGGAAAGAACTTCCCGACTAACAGGGACAGCAACATCAAAAGCGATGGCTTTTGTGAAACTAATTCAGCCACCTTGGAGCAGAGGATTCCTCTGCTGGTTTCTGTTTCTGCCAGCTCTGTGCAGTGCAGGCGCTATGATGCTCTCTCTCTCTCACACACACATACAGGGACCCGGGTGCCTCTCAGGTTGAGAGGGGTGGTCACCATCCCCACACTCAGGCCCCCTCTGTCTCCAGGCCTGCTGCTTCTGAACAGGCCTGGGGCAGTCCATTTCTATTGGGAAACCCTATCAAAGTTAGCCCCGGGTTTCAGCCAAGTTCACCTCACTGCTCACAGACATTCATTATTAACAGACTGTTTGATAGCACTTTGGGCTCTTTTTAAATAAGACATAGGAAGAAAGATGCCAACGTCTCACTTGAAATGCTCCTGACAGCTAGCCTGACGGGGTCCTGTCGCCCCTGTCCACACCCTGCTATGGCCATGGTCTCCACAGCCGCACATGGGCTCCAGACATTTTCACGAGTTATGAACCAAAGAGAACCAAGACCCCTGGAGCAGGTTCTCCTTCTCAGTCCCATGTTCCTTTGAAAGCAATGAATAGAGGCCAGGGAAGCAAGTGTTTATACTCCAGTTTAGTACTAGTGAAACATCGGGAAATTCATTGTGTTGGTATCAAAGCCCCAACTCAGAACATAAAAACCATAAAACTGCAAAGCCTCTGCAGTCTGAGCGTGCGCTCCCCAGGCCTCCGCTGTCTGAGCGTGCGCTCCCCAGGCCTCCGCGGTCTGACCCTGTGCTACCCATGCAAGCGCCACCCACAGGTGCGTCCTGGGGGCTGCCTCCTCCTCCACGTTGGCCAGCAGTGTGGGGTGTGACGGGGCCCATGTTGTTGTCACCCCCACCCTGCCCCACGTTTCCCCTGCACACGTGTCCGTTCACAAAGATTCTGAGCAAAAGGTCACAGAACAGCTTCCTCTGCCCTTTATATGTGGGGAGGAGGCCAAAGATCTGCAGGCGTCATCATTCCAGGCCAGGGCTGGTAACAGGGAGCAAGTGCCGGCACCCTCTTGTGCTTCACATGGGTTGGTTTACTTAACCCTCCTGTCTCATGAAGATTTTTACTAAGCCTGGGGAAACCGAGGCACACAGCAAGGATGTCACCTGCCTGCAAAGGCACCTGTGTGCAAGCCAGGACTGGAAAAGCTCAGCCTGCAGTGCACATGCTTGCTGCCCGCTCCAGAGCCCAGGCCCTTAACCACTTCCTTCCTAGGAAGACGGAGGGCGAGGGAGTTTCTTACAGCGCTTTATGTCAACTCCTGCTGCTGCCCACCACTAATCCAGGCCCCTGCAGACAGCAGGGCACGGTCCTTCCTATTAGCAGGCTTACTACGAAGCCCTGTCTAACATTCCCTCATGTCAGGTAGAAGGAATTAGACCAGAGGTCAAGGCAGCGGCTGGAATCAGTGGTGCTTTCTCAAAGTAGGAAAACAGTTTTAGGACTGTTTTCGGTCAAATTTTGGGCACCACTGTACTGGGTTCTATGACAGAGAAGCCACCAAGGTCCCGTGCGAGGAGCCCTGGGCAGGGACAGCTGAAGCTGTGCACCTGGGCCCTCCTGATTGCCTCCCACCAGCCAGGCCTGGCAGCAGCCAGCAGCCACCCCACCCCACCCCAACAAGGAGAGCTGCCCCACACTGTCGGCCCCCAAAGCTCAGGACACACGGGCCCTCCCAGGTCTCTCTGGCGGGCTAGGCCTTGGCAGGGCCCCCTCAGCGGGCCCCACTCTGAACCGCAAGCACAGGGTCTTCTGCAGTGTGAGACCTGCTGTCAGCACAGGCCTACGGGCTCAGGGCTGTGCAGGGACACAGGGGCCAGCACCACTGGGCACCCTGTCCTTTCCCAGCCTGCCTGTGCACCCTGTGGGCAGTGACTCCTCAGGCACAGTGGCCCAAAGTCACAGGTGGTCTGTCAGGGGCTCTCCAGGGAGCTGCACACACTCAGGTTTAGATCAGGAACAGAACAGATCCCCAGGGCATTTGCTCAGGCTCAGAGCAGAGCAGGGAGCCGTCCACCTGCGGCGGGCACATCCATGGACTTCCAAGCCAACAGGGACAGCTGCCCAGACGGGCTGCCCAAGCCAACCAAGGATCCTGTCCCATCGGTCCCTGTGGCTTGGGAGTCTGGCACTTTTTGGCTTTCGTTTCTCAAGCTGCCCCAGCTTCTCCAAGTCCTGAGCCTGGGGCTCCCAGCTCCGAGCGGATGCTCTGCAAGTGGCGTCCCTGCACCCTGGTGCAGGCGGACGGACGCGGGAGAGCCTGCAAGGAAGTAAGGCCCAGCAGCCTTCCCGGGCTTGGAACGCCGCAGCCTAGGAAGCATCTTCCCAGGAAATCGCAGTCGGAGCCCAGCACGGGGTCTTGGAAGAAAAGACCCCACCTTCTATCCTCACGAGTACGCATTAGGAGTGAGCACCGCTCAGTAGATGACACAGAGGCACAGCTGAGGACCCAGAGACGGGCACACCGGAAACAGCGACATCCACAGGCGCTCGGCAGGGACCAGGAACCCAGAAGGCTTGACGCGCAGGGGGTCTCGGAGAAACTCTACCCCTGTCCTTCCCAGCCTCCTGCTTAGCTGGGCCTCACCCTAGCCTGCTGGAGATGGCGGCCATGCCGTCAGAGAGGGGGATGGACAGATTGGCTGAGGTCACCCCACAGGCCAGCAGAGGCCTGGGTGGGAGTGCGCAGCCCCGCAGATGGCTGCTTATGGGGCCCAGAGGCCACCCCTGCGTCGCAGAGGGCACCAGCACACCCGGACTTCTCGGAGGCTTCATACAGCTCCCAGGCCCTACAAGCAGCGTGTGGGCAGAGGCCCAGGCCCCTTCCTGTCACTCAGAGAAGCTGCTGCTCCCAGAAAACGGGGCGCCAGCCTCCCATGAACACTGTGTCCCAACCCCGGTCCTCTCAGGATTCCTGTGTGGAAATGTCACTTCTGTCTCAGCTCTCTAGGGTGCACCTGGTGTCCAGCTCTGCCCCCTTTCTGCTTAAGCAGCTGCTGGGAGACCCTGAGCCAGGCCGCCGAGGTTCTGAGCTCGTAAGGGGTGCAGCAGTTTCCCGCACAGCGTGGGGAGCACATTTGCTCACGTCTCCCAGGCTGGCTGTACACTCTGAGGCCAGCCCTGGGCTCTGACACTCTCCCGATTCCGCTGGGCTTTCTAAGCCCTCCTCTCCTGTCCACTGCTGGCCCATGGCCCAGGCCCAGCCTTGAAGCTGTAAAGACCTCTCACCCCATCCAAATGAGACTGGTCAGATATCTCCCGCATGTCAGCCGCCACTGGATTGGGAAGGACGGGCAGTAGGTGCAAGGCTGGCCCTTTTTATGAGAGTTATTTAAAAAACAAAAACAGGTCAGGCACAGTGGCTCACACCTGTAATCCCAGCACTTTGGGAGACTGAGGCAGGAGGGTCACTTGAACCCAGGAGTTTGAGACTAGCCTGGGCAACATAGTGAGACCCTGTCTCAAAAAACGTTAAATGAAAACATTAGCCAGCTGTAGTGGCACATGCCTGTAGTCCCAGCTTCTTGGGAGGCTGAGATGGGAGGATCGCTTGAGCCCAGGAGGCAGAGGGTGCAGTTAGCTATGATGGTACCACTGCCCTCCAGCCTGGGTGACTGAGAGAGATCCTGGCTCCAAACAGAAAAATAAAAACAGAAGGAGGAACAGATGAATCCCATTTGTGACATTAATGAATTCTCTTATAGGGAAAATAAAACGATTGAAACTGGGCCATCTTGGACAGCTGAGGCCCAGGCAGGGCCAGCTCCTTCCACCTTCCCAGCCAAGATGCTGCCTGCAGCCCCTCCCCTCCTGGCCCGAGATGCTGTCATTGTCCCTAAGAGACCCTGAGGCCTGCTCCAGGCTGAGTGGGTGAGGAGCCTCTGAGCAGGCGCCTGCGTCGAGGCGTGCCCTCCTGAGAGGCAAGGCTGACCTGCAGCGTCCAGCTCGGCTGGGGACACTCGCCTGAGAAGAGCCCAGTCCTGGGTGCCTCCCTAGGGGAGGGCCTTGGGGCTGCTTGTGCTGGCACCGACGTGGGCCTGGGGAGGGACCTGTGTGTGGGTGGCAGGTCTTGAGGAGTCGTGGGGGAGGGTTTCGGGGGGAGATGCTGGTGGTAACAGTGGGAGGTAGGCAGTGAAACCAGCAGTGTGACTTTGGAGGTGCTGGAGGAGCAGGGCCTGGCGGAAGAAGTGGGGGAGCCAGGAAGGAGCAGCTGCCAGGGACGGCCTGGCCTGGGAGGGTGGCCAGGAACTGGGGGAGAAGCTGGTGGTCAAGCTGGTGGTCTCTCAGTGCAAGGGTGGGGCTGGCCTGGAGGAGAGGCCCACAGGGTCCCTGCTGGCTGAGGGTGCAGTGGCGGGCCCCGGAAGCTGAATATCACCCCCGCCACCGGGCAGGCAGTGCTCAGAGTGAAACGGGTGACTGGAGGGCATGTGCCAGCTCTGTTCCTCAAGCCTGGCCCAAGAGGGACCTGCAGCATGGGGTTGGGGGGCAGGCGGCCCTTCTCTGTGGTCTCTCCTGCCTTCTGAGGGAGCCTCCAGAATCTTTCATCGCCGCCACAACAAACTCAGGCTTTCGTGTAGGAAAAGAGCCCACTTCTGAAGAGGCTCATCTGGGCTTTCTCTCCCAGCCTCTAAGTCTCCCATCACCTGGCTCCCCGTTCCTCTTTCCCTTGAAGGAAGTCAGCAGAGTGCATGGCTGACGGGAAAGAAGGCACAGCGGGCCTGCCCAGTGGGGGGAGAAGCCAGGCCATTGTTCTCCAGTTCCAGGATGCCCTGCTTCCCCAGACAGCCCGGCAGCCAGGAAAAGGAAGTCTCTGGGCACAGAGGCAAGCGGGAGACCACGGACAGGCAAGGAGTCGAAGGCTCCACCCGCCTGGGCCAGGCCAGGCTCCCACAGAACCCCTCTGCGTCCAGGCAGGCACATGGGGCCCAGGCCATCCCCCTCACTCGGACGCAGGTGTGGCGACGGCGGGGGAGGGGCGTCCACAGTAGAGCCCAGAACCTTGCGCAGGACAGGACCCCGGCTAATGTGCCCGGAACAGCTCAGTGACAGGGAGCTGGGTTGGCTGTGAGGGTCGGGCACGCGTCACGAGTCTCCTGTGACCAGGAGAGGTGGGAACACTGGCTCACATGACTCGCCAGGCCCTGGCACGCTGTGGTTCTGTGGGTGCCCCCTGCAGCTCCCAGCCTTCAAAATGTACACCTCGCTGGGCATGGTGGCTCACGTCTGTAATCCCAGCACTTTGGGAGGCCGAGGTGGGCGGATCACCTGAGGTCGGGAGTTCGAGATCAGCCTGGCCAACATGGAGAAACCTTGTCTCTACTGAAAATACAAAATTAGCTGGGTGTGGTGGCAGTCGCCTGTAATCCCAGCTATTCGGGAGGCTGAGGCAGGAGAATCGCTTGAACCCGGGAGGCGGAGGTTGCAGTGAGCTGAGATCGTGCCACTGCACTCCAGCCTGGGCAACAGAGCGAGACTCCATCTCAAAAAAACAAAAACAAAACCAAAAAACCATACACTTCATGCTCACTTCTCTGGGAGCCATGGCTAACAGCCTGCAGGCAGGAGACTCTCAAACCAGCTCCTGGAGGGCACTCCCAGGGACCCTGTTCCTACCACGAGCCAGAGAGGAGGCGGGTCAAGGAGACTTGTCCACCCAGGCGTGGCCGAGGAAGGGGTTTCCTCACGCTCTGCTGACCTGCCTTCCTTCCATGCCTCTCAGCCCAGCTCCTGACAAAGGCGGGAACCTGAGCTCCTCGGCTTTAGGAACGTCCCCCAGAGCCCACGGAGCAGCCCGCCCCAGCTGCCTTCCCTCCCAAGATCTCCAGGTAATGCCTGGTAAAAGGAGGGCTCCAGGGAGAATGTTGGGGCCAACACGCAAAGCGCGTCACCTTCCAACCGGCGGAGAGTGAAGGAAAACAGGTACGGCTCGGCTTGTAACCTTCACTGGAAACAGAAACCATCCTCATCATTGATACCTGGTGAACTGCACAGAGAGCAACCTGCAGCTTTGGAAGTTTATAAATCCTTCAGTATTTGTCAGCTGCCAGTAAACAAAAATGCACACAGGAGAACTTTCCACCTGAACCCCACCTGGAGGCCGGCGTTCCCAGGTCCCGGCTGGGGTGACAGCACGCACTCGAGAGCCGGTTCAGGGCGAGTGGGACGCACGTGAGCGCAGGGAGGAAATGCCAGCAGATCCCACTCCACGTGACCGCCTCCCAAGAATCGAGCCATTCTTAGCCCTGCAGACGCTGGCTGCCTCCCTCTGACTTGGCCTCACGGCGGGGCAGGCATTAGCAGTCCAGGCAGCTTCTCTCTGACTCCCTGCAAGGAGGGGTGCGGCGGGCAAGAGGCTGGCCCCACGCGGTTCCACCTGCAGGAGAGCCCTCGCAGGAGGCTCCGTGTGTGGGGCCGGCTCAGCTTTTCTCTGGCCATGCCCATGTCCCTTCTGTGCACGGAGACACCAGATGCACGTGCTCCCCTCTCTGCTTCCGACCTGAACCTGCCCTCGGCCTCCGCTGTGCCTCTGAGGACTCCTGTGTCCTGTGGGCTGAGTGAGCATGGCCAGGCCTTCGCTCGACAGTAGACCCTTCTGTTGATTTCCTCACGGAAAAAAGGGTTCGTAACCAACATCTCAAGCACACTGAACACCAGGGGCGGCTGCATGGACCTGGACACGTGTCTGCCTGACCTGCCCCCAGGCTCTCGGTGGGATGCCCCGCAGCGATGCAGACAGGGGCCTGCGGGCAGAGGCCACGGCCTCCATGAGCCAGGCTATCAGAAAGGTGGGACAAGAGGCCAGCTGTGCTCAGTTTGCAGTGCGGTCCCGTCCAAGCACGGCCCCTCGTTTCTGGAACCCGGCTGTAAACAGCAGGAGGGAGGGGCGGTGGCGCCTGCCAAGGGAGGCAGAGGCCCTGCGGGGAACTTACCAGAGGAAAACAAGTGCTTGCATCCTGGGGCCCTCACACGCACGCGCAGGCGGCCAGGCGCGCTGCTGATAAGAGCCTGCGGGTTTGCAGAGAAGCGCAGCAGCGCGCAGGTCCTCACCAGAGCTCTGGTGGCCACCTCTGTCCCGCCATGCTGCTCACCGACAGTGGCCAGGGCCCACAGCACCAAGAGGCTTGGGCCACAAAGTAAAGGTGAGAGCCTGTGGTGCCCGCAGGTGGGAGAGGGGACGTGGGGGGCTCTGTGCAGTACAGGCAGGAGAGGGGACGTGGGGGACTCTGTGCAGCACAGGTGGGAGAGAGGACGCAGGGGGTTCTGTACAGTGCCACCGGTGGACATCTCTAAGTAGGGAATGAAGGGGTGCCGAGACAGAGCACACTGAGGGGTCCCGGCCCTTGGCAAGCTCTGTGGGGTGAAGGTGGCCGGCCGGGTGTGCCCTCCTGTCAGTGACTGGAGGCAGCACACAAGGCACACAGTGAGACAGCCCTCCCGCTCCGATCTTCTAATCACAGACCCTGGACAGATCCGGGGGCCCTGGGCGCCCCGTGAGGCCAGGCCAGGCTGCTGACTGACACCCAGTCACAGTGGCCTGTGTTTCCTGGGGACTCAAGTGGAGTCTGGGGGGTGACGTCCCCAAACTGGGCTGCCACTCTGTGACAGCCAAAGCCACGCAGCCTCGCAGGCAGAAGCTGGGGTGTGGAGGACCACGATCCTGAAGAACCCCGTCCTCTGGACCCTGGCGCAGCAGGAGGGGAGAAGCCCGCAGAGGCCCGGACGCCCCCCTCACCGGCCCCCGCCACTGTGCTTGGAGCAGGTGCATCCTGTCTGGAGCTTGTGCTGGCCCGGCGAGTGGAGCCCAGAGCCCATCCCCCACTACCAACATCCCCCAGATTGCTGCCTGCCTGGCCGAGGAGGTGCTGGTCAAGATGTGTTAGTGAGGAGCTAGACAAGATGAGCACGTGAGAAGCAGGGGCCAGGGAGCCTGGACCCAGGACCTGGGGGTGCTGTGGCAGCGCTGTGGCGGCACTGTGGCTGGGCACACCCAGCAGCGGCCTAGCTCTGCATGCCTGTCACCACCTGACCCTCACTGCGGCTGCTGGGCGGCATTCACCAGGATTGCACAATGACCCACACCTCCCGTCCTGCCCACCAGCCTCTGGATGGGAATTCCCACATCTACCCACCCGCCCATCTGCCAGCTGCCTGCATGCCTAGCCACAGGGCCGTGTCTCCTGCTGTGGGGCGCACACTGCTATTGGCACTGGGGACCTCGGGCCCTGGCCCCTCCGTGCTCTCCACCTCCCGAGCCTCCTCTTCCCGCCCTGCTGTGGCCCTGTGTGTGGTGTGGGTCTTGCAGTGGCAGGACTCCAGTGGCGGGTGAGGACCCACTCCCGCAGCCGGCCTCCTCACTGCTCTTGCCTCCGGGCATGGGAACGATGCCGTCTGCTCGTCTGCCTGAGACGCTTTCTACTCCACTCCGAGAGTAGGAGGTCAGCCGGGGCCAAATGACATGGTGGACATCAGGCTTCCCGAGATAGCTGTAGGTCCCTGAGGAATGCCTGTGCTTTGGCGGGGTGGGGGGGTGGGGGTGGCGAAATTCTTACTCTAGGATGGCTCCAGCCGCCAGGTTCTCATTCAGTGACGTCAAGACTGGCTATGTCCCCATGTCCCCAGAGCCTCCTGTGGGCTGCGACCCACAGGTCACCCTCCCTGGAGCCCAGGCTCTGCAAGGACTCCAAGGCACCGGGTCCTGAGCTGCCGGGAGGGAGGGAGGGAGGCTCAGGGCTGACCGTCCACATTGCCTGTCCCTCCCGGCGCTGGCAAGATGCGAACACCACAGACATCTAGTAAACTTCGGGAATCACTGTGCGGGGCCCGTCCAACCAACTCAGGACGACCACCCAGGCCTCGCAGCAGCCCGTGAAGAGTGGGCTCTGAGAATGTGGGGCACACCAGGCTCCCTCTCTGGTCCCCAACCCCAGCCGCTGAAATAAGTGCAGCCACAGCAGCCCCCGGTCACGACCCGAGACGGCCATTTTTCAACGCTCAACTTCACTTTCACAGAAATGCACCAAAGGCAGCCTCGCTCTGTGGTCTGCAGCGATTACTGCACCAGGAGAAGGCACCCCTGTACCTGCAGCACTTCTGGGCCAGGGCTTTGGGACGGGACGCGAGCTGACCACCTGTTCCTTCTTTCCGCAGGGTCGCGGAGCCTCGCCGGCCGCCATGTGGAGCTGCAGCTGGTTCAACGGCACAGGGCTGGTGGAGGAGCTGCCTGCCTGCCAGGACCTGCAGCTGGGGCTGTCACTGTTGTCGCTGCTGGGCCTGGTGGTGGGCGTGCCAGTGGGCCTGTGCTACAACGCCCTGCTGGTGCTGGCCAACCTACACAGCAAGGCCAGCATGACCATGCCGGACGTGTACTTTGTCAACATGGCAGTGGCAGGCCTGGTGCTCAGCGCCCTGGCCCCTGTGCACCTGCTCGGCCCCCCGAGCTCCCGGTGGGCGCTGTGGAGTGTGGGCGGCGAAGTCCACGTGGCACTGCAGATCCCCTTCAATGTGTCCTCACTGGTGGCCATGTACTCCACCGCCCTGCTGAGCCTCGACCACTACATCGAGCGTGCACTGCCGCGGACCTACATGGCCAGCGTGTACAACACGCGGCACGTGTGCGGCTTCGTGTGGGGTGGCGCGCTGCTGACCAGCTTCTCCTCGCTGCTCTTCTACATCTGCAGCCATGTGTCCACCCGCGCGCTAGAGTGCGCCAAGATGCAGAACGCAGAAGCTGCCGACGCCACGCTGGTGTTCATCGGCTACGTGGTGCCAGCACTGGCCACCCTCTACGCGCTGGTGCTACTCTCCCGCGTCCGCAGGGAGGACACGCCCCTGGACCGGGACACGGGCCGGCTGGAGCCCTCGGCACACAGGCTGCTGGTGGCCACCGTGTGCACGCAGTTTGGGCTCTGGACGCCACACTATCTGATCCTGCTGGGGCACACGGTCATCATCTCGCGAGGGAAGCCCGTGGACGCACACTACCTGGGGCTACTGCACTTTGTGAAGGATTTCTCCAAACTCCTGGCCTTCTCCAGCAGCTTTGTGACACCACTTCTCTACCGCTACATGAACCAGAGCTTCCCCAGCAAGCTCCAACGGCTGATGAAAAAGCTGCCCTGCGGGGACCGGCACTGCTCCCCGGACCACATGGGGGTGCAGCAGGTGCTGGCGTAGGCGGCCCAGCCCTCCTGGGGAGACGTGACTCTGGTGGACGCAGAGCACTTAGTTACCCTGGACGCTCCCCACATCCTTCCAGAAGGAGACGAGCTGCTGGAAGAGAAGCAGGAGGGGTGTTTTTCTTGAAGTTTCCTTTTTCCCACAAATGCCACTCTTGGGCCAAGGCTGTGGTCCCCGTGGCTGGCATCTGGCTTGAGTCTCCCCGAGGCCTGTGCGTCTCCCAAACACGCAGCTCAAGGTCCACATCCGCAAAAGCCTCCTCGCCTTCAGCCTCCTCAGCATTCAGTTTGTCAATGAAGTGATGAAAGCTTAGAGCCAGTATTTATACTTTGTGGTTAAAATACTTGATTCCCCCTTGTTTGTTTTACAAAAACAGATGTTTCCTAGAAAAATGACAAATAGTAAAATGAACAAAACCCTACGAAAGAATGGCAACAGCCAGGGTGGCCGGGCCCTGCCAGTGGGCGGCGTGTGCTAGCAAGGCCTGCCGGGTGTGCCGCAGTCACCACAGGGTTCTGAGAACATTTCACAGAAGTGCCTGAGACGCGGAGACATGGCTGGTGTTAAATGGAGCTATTCAATAGCAGTGACGCGCTCTCCTCAGCCACCAAATGTCCCTGACACCCTCCCCAGCCCCCACAGATAACATCAGCTGAGGTTTTTTTCAGTATGAACCTGTCCTAAATCAATTCCTCAAAGTGTGCACAAAACTAAAGAATATAAATAAACAAAAGAAAGGTGTGTTAGGATTTCTGACTGAATACCAGAGCTGAAGGGCCCCCAGGGGACAGAGGGCTGGAGGCTGTGTCACACGGGGTCTGGTGGGAGGGCCAGGGTGGAACCTTAGGCCAGCTCCGAAGGCACCTGGGACCAGCATCCGTATCTCCGCGGCCCTCGCAGCCTCAGATGGGGCCCGGACCGGCCTGTTCCACTTGAGCGAACAGGTCTGCAGTGAGGAGGGTCCATAGTGGGGCGGGTCCGTAGTGGGGCGGGTCTGTAGTGAGGCGGGTCTTAGTGAGGTGGGTCTTAGTGGGGCGGGTCGGTAGTGAGGCGGTTCCTAGTGAGGCGGGTCCCGAGTGGGGCGGGTCAGTAGGTGGTTCTTAGTGGGGCGGGTCTTAGTGAGGCAGGTCTTAGGGGGGCGGGTCCATAGTGAGGCGGGTCCGTAGTGGGGCGGGTCTGTAGTGAGGTGGGTCTTAGCGGGGCGGGTCTTAGGGGGGCGGGTCCGTAGTGAGGCAGGTCTTAGTGGGGCGGGTCCGTAATGAGGCGGGTCTTAGGCAGGCCCGTAGTGGGGCGGGTCTGTAGTGGGGCGGGTCTGTAGTGAGGCGGGTCCGTAGTGGGGCGGGTCTGTAGTGGGGCGGGTCCGTAGTGAGGCGGGTCTTAGTGAGGCGGGTCTTAGTGAGGCAGGTCTTAGTGGGGCGGGTCCGTAATGAGGCGGGTCTTAGGCGGGCCCGTAGTGGGGCGGGTCTTAGTGGGGCGGGTCTGTAGTGGGGCGGGTCCGTAGTGAAGCGGGTCCGTAGTGAGGCGGGTCTTAGTGAGGCGGGTCTATAGTCAGGGGCAATTGTTCCTCGTCAGCCTGGCTGGAGACCTTCCACCCATTGGGATTTTGTAAAACATCTACTTTAAAATGTGGCCGTGAGAAAAGCCCCCATTCCTCCCCACCATCTGTTCGCCTCTCCCCGATTTTCTAGGATTAAAGTATAGGCCTGCAATCCCCTACCTCCAATTCTAAAGCCCACAAAGCTCTGAAAACAGGAAGATGTTCCCCCCAAGTTTGCGGCAAATTCACTGGGCAGCGATCCCTGACCTGAAGGGGTGTGAGAGCTTCATGTCCATGAGGACCCCACCCCTTCTGAAGACGGGCGATGTGGCTGTGGGAGCTGCCCTGAGCGCCCCGGGGTTCTGTGGCACACTTCCTCCCCACAGCCTGAACGCGCTGGAATTCTGAGTATGCCCGGCCCCAGGGACAGTGGGGGTAGGGTGGGGGGAGTGGCACCTTGCAGCCATCGACGTGGGGACGTCACGCTCTGGTCCCAGTCTCCTGGGAATTCAGCCACGAGGTCACTGGCATTATTCATCACGTGCTGCAAGCAGGTCAGAGTCGGCCTCGTGAGGACGCGGCTCTGGGTGGCTCCTGCGGGGAGCTCAGACCCGCGGGACAGGCTCCTAAGCCGTGGGATTAGAGAACAGTTTTCTGAGCTGTTTCTGTCAGTGTTTGGTTTTCAGGTGTGAACCTTTAAAGCCGCAGGCCTGACCTCCCTCCCAGTCCCTCTGGAGCCGGAGCTGGTGTAAGGGCCGCGTCTCTGATGGTCCTGGGCTTCCCATCTCCATGCCTGCGCGGAAACCCTGGCATCCGATGAGGAAGTGATCACACAAGCCCACAGAACCCTGCCCAGCGGCTGGCGCCGTCAGCCCAACCCTCCTACCCCTGCAGCCCAGCTCTGCAGGGTGGGGTGTCCGTGCTTGAACCAGGAGACCCTCTTCCTGGCCGATACTTTCCAGCCCCCCTTGGCTCCACGCTGAGCTCCCAGGAAAGGGGCGGACCCCACACACAGGTGAGGGTGGCACTGGGCTGCCTCTGCCCGGGAATTACACCATCCAACTATCCTCCCCAAAGGCAGGAGGGGCCTAAAATCACTATTTCAATTTCTCAGTGGCTTTGGGTGCAAACTGGCTCATTTCTGTGGGTCTGTTGCAGGGACTGGCCTGCATTCAATACCCCTCATCCCACCCTGCTGGGTGGCCCTGTGGAGGGCCCCAGGGACACCCTGCTGCCTGGTCAGCTGTTTGTTCCTGGTGGGCCCCACACAGGGCAGGCACATGCCTCCAGCGCAGACCCTCGCCTGCTACCTGAGACACTTCACTGTGCACCATGGCCTGCCCCAACCCCCTACCCAGCGAGTCCCCTCCTCATCCCCAGGTTCCCGCCAGCCTCTGCTGCCTGAGACCCTCCACTGAGCGCCAAGGCCTCCGTCCTCATCCCCAGGCTCCCGCCAGTCTCTGTGGCTGCTTCCCAGGAGCTGCGTCGCTGACTGTTCCTGAGACACCTGCTCATCTATATTCTATGTTGCCTTCACCTGGGAAGATTCGGCACCTCCTGAGCCTCCTGCCGCCCCTGAGAGATTCCCAAAGCCTTCACCTCATCACACACAGAACACAAGAACTTGAGCCACTCGGGGCAGAAAAAGGAGCTACTTGTAAAAAGTCAAGGTAGTCATCTGCCCAACTCCCCAGTTCTTCCAGGCAGCCGTCTCCCCAACTCCCCAATTCTTCCAGGCAGCCATCTCCCCGACTCCCCAATTCTTCCAGGCAGCCATCTCCCCAACTCCCCAATTCTTCCAAGCAGCCATCTCCCCGACTCCCCAATTCTTCCAGGCAGCCATCTCCCCAACTCCCCAATTCTTCCAAGCAGCCGTCTCCCCGACTCCCTAGTTCTTCCAGGCAGCCATCTCTCCAACTGCTTAATTCTTCCAGGCAGCCGTCTGCCCAACTCCCCAATTCTTCCCCAGTTTGTGAGACACCAGGATGCGAGTTTTTCAGCGCGTGACGTCCCAGGGTCAATGATATTGCTACCAACACTTCTTGACTACTATAGTTCAAAAATCATTCATCTTATTTTTGTTTATCCACAAAAAAACCTTGCCCTGCTTCCTTAAGTAAGATTCCAGAAAGGGAGTTTAGTTGTAGATTCACTTCATTAAAGTTCTAAGAGTTATTGTAGGAAGCTGGATCTAGTGTGAATTGTGGCGAAGAGATCAGGAAATCTACACACGTCTTCTTTCATACACAGCACACGACAGAGGGAAAGCAGGAATAGTAACCGTAACAGAAAGTATCATAAAATTGGTTATTTCCCCTCGAATTGTACGTCTTAATACTTTCGGTTACCCCTCTGTAGTTCCTCTTTGCAGAAATTCTGTCCACCCAATCACCCAGGAGTGGTTCCACTTCACACACGCCCGGCACGCAAACCATGTCTCCACACGTCTCAAACGGTAGCAGAGGGAGTACCTTGGCTGCTGGCGAAGGAGTAAGCCACGCGGGCTGAAGGAGCAGGCCTGCCCCACACAGGCGTTACTCCTCCCAGAAAAATAAGAATAAAGTCACCATTGACTACACCCCTGAGGGCTTCTGTGGCCCTGAGGATGGAACTGAGGTGTTGGGGTATCCTGCAGCCCTCCCAAGGATTCCGGCAGAAGTGAGAGCACACGTTCCTGCCTCCGCCCTGCTGCACAGGGCAGCCTGGCAAGAGCTGTATGGCGGTGCGCACGGTCCGCACTCCGTCAGGTTGGGAAGTGAAGGAAGAGCAGAGAATCTAGGCAGGAAGCATAACGTGAACATGCCCATTTCACATGTACCCCTACTCCTACCCCTAACCCCTAACTCTAACCAACTTAAACCTCACCTAAACACCCTATTCCTAACCCCCTAACCACCCTAACCCTAACCCTCAACACCCTCATCTGAACCCTAACCCTTACAGAATCGCTCTGGGCCTGCCTGGCTTTGCCAAGCCTGAGCGTGTGAGTGCATCTGACCTGCCCCCTCCGTTCTCTCTGGGCTCCTCCATCCTGTGTCTTCTGGCATCGCTCACAGACCCACGCCCCATCCTGCTCAGCCACCTTGACTCGCTGGGGGACCACAAGATGAACACAGCTCTGACACTGCCAGCTGACCCCGGCCACATCTGGGGCTTCCACGCGACGCTGTCCCCAAACAGCAAATCTTTGGGTACAGATGGGAGGTGTCCTGAGGCTGGGACAAGGACTGGGCAGGGGCTGGCAGCCGGTCTGGCAACATAAGCAAGCCCCTGGCTTTCCCTCTGCTCACTGCCTTGGCTCTCTTCCTCACTCTGTGACTGATCGGGTGCTCCTGAGAAACGGGCTCCCTGTGCTGCTCCTGGGGTGTGCGTCATTTTCCCGTGTCCCGTGTCCTACGGGTTCCAGGCACTACAATTCACTGGTCCACTCTGCTGCTGACAAACATGGGGACTGTTTCCAACTTCAGGCGTTCGTGCACGAAGCGGCGCTGTTCTGCCGTGTCTCCCAGCGCCCACCATGGGCCCCTGCGTGGGGCACTCCTCGGGCAGACACAGCCTCAGCCGCGCACGCTCACCAAGTGTGGTCTCACGTCCTCACCTGCCCTTGGTGCCATGTGTCTCTGGTATTTTGTGCCAAGCCAGGGGAGGATTAAGGCATTTCCCATCTTAATGACGTCTTGGCCTCTCCAAAGAAGCGCCTCTTTAGGGATTCTGCCCACGTTTCTAAGTGATGTAAGGTCCTTCCTGGTTTGATCTGAATGTGGGCCCTTGCCACGGCTCCTTAATCTAACTGTACCCCTGTACCTGTGCTGTTCTCTTTCCACAGAAGGGCGAGCTCTACCACACCACAGAGAAGTCAGAGCTCCGCAAGTCCCCACCTGGAAGATGGAAGACCCCTCAGAAACAGCCTGTTCTTCCCTCTGCAGAGGTGGGGGGCAGGGGGACTAGCCACACTCAAAACTGGCAGCCTCTGAGGGGAGGGAGTCACTTCAACATCTCGAACTTTAGACAGATGTGTGTGCCTCAGGCAGCATACACACACACATACATGCGTGCAAGCATGCACACATATGCAAGCACGCATGCACACACACAAACACACACGTCTGTCTCCTCCCCGGGAACACCGTGACCGGAAGAGGCTTCACACGCGTCGGCTGCAGGGTAGGAGACCCGACACAGCGCCGGGTCCTGATGGGCTGTGACGTGAAGATGGGGAGACCAGGCCCTTAGCAGCCACAGAACAGGCCCCGGAAAGACGCACGATGGCTCCACTCTTGGAAGCAGATGGTGGCTCTGTAGGGAGACAAGGCTTACCTTGCTCCAGGGACTCTGAGGAGACGCTGTGCAGGGAGGCTGCCCCCAGCAGGAGACATGGAAGGTGAGGGCAGAAGGAACAGCGGTGGGGAGCAGGGGCACTGACAGGTTCCAGACCCTGACCCTGAGCTTCCCACAGCGCCTAAACGCAACACCCTGACTCCTGAGAGGAAGGGAGGGAATCCCGAGCTGACCTCACACAGGAGAACCGAAGCTCAAAGCTCAAGTGTCACCCTGAAAGGCACCGGCAGACAAAGGCTGAGTCTCCAGAGCCAGCCCTGCATCCACCCAAACTAGCGTGGTGCAGGGACTCCTCCCTCGGCCGAGTCACCTGGCCCCAGACTGTCGGATGTGGGGCCAGCAGGGACCCTGGGGGACGCCCCATGGACACGAGGGAGACTGAAGCCCAGAGGGTCCCACAGCAGTGAGCAGCCCCTGCTGCCAGGCTCCAGGGCTCCAGAAGCCCCAGCCCACCCCACACTCAGGGCGCACAGAAGGCCCCAGGAGGGAGGGTGGGAAACGCCGGGTCAAGCGAGCAGCATCCGATTCTTTTCTGCAGGACATCTGAGCTGTGCCACACACACTAAGGCTTCTAAAGAGAAAAGACAGCGTTCCCCGCTGTCCAACCCTAATCATCACAGGACGCTTTCTGCAGAGCCCCTTGGGGCACGAAGATTCTTCCCAGCACCAGTCTGAGAAACGATGAGGCCCTGGGCAGGAGGAAACATGGCCCCATCCTGTTCTAGGGGCCACGGCACCCCTTGGGGCCCCTCTCCAGACCCAAGGCTGGACAGGCTGGCTTCCTGCCCAGCTCCAGCCAACTGGCATACACTAAGTGTGCAGCTGAGGTGGTGGGAGGAAGGTAAAACGTACCCCACTTGGCAGCCACTTCCAAAATTAAACATGGTTAACATCTGTCCCCGCTGTCCCAATTCCAGACATTTACCCAAGAAAAATGGGAACGGAAGTCCACACAAGCACCTGTATACAAATGTTCACGGCAGCTTTGCTCATAAGAGCCCAACACTGGAAACAACCCAACTGCACATCAACAGGTGGACAGATAAACAGATGTGGCCTGCGCATCGAAGGAATGCTACTCGTCAGCGAAATGGACCCACCGGGGACAGGCGCGGCAACAGGGTGAACCTCACAAAACATGCAGCTGCGGGGACACAGCTAGATGTGAGCACGTGCAAAGTACTGGAGCCTCTTCAGCAGCTCCAGAGCAGGGAACCCACCTCACCAGCGACACAGCGGCGACGAGGGCCGGGTCTGGGAGGGCGTGGGCCAGGGAGGGGCGACGGAGGCGGTCTCCCTTGCCGGGGTGCTGGTGACACAGCGGCTGCACCTGTCAGAACACGCCAGGGTGGAGACAGGAGATCTGTGTGCTTCCCGAGTACAGATCACGGCTCAGCATCTCATGGGAAAGGGACAGGGCTCTCTTCAGGACACGCAGTAAGATTTCAAGTGCGGGCACTTTTAATACTCCGCGATCCAAAGGCAGCTCCAGGGCCAGCCGCGGTTTCCGGCCTCAAGGGCAGGCTCGGTTCTGGAGCTCCCTCCAGTGGCCGTCGGGGTGCCGTCACTTTCAGGGCCCCACCAGGAGAGCAGGGGCCCCGCCGAGGACCAGAGCGCCTGGACCAGAGGGAGCCCTGCGCGGCCGGCACGGATGCCTCTCAATAGGCGGCATGGGGCCGACACGACTCGGTGAGTTCCCGCCACGGCTTTCGCCGGCAGCCGGCGGCTGGAGGACAAGGAGAATGCGCCGGTTCTGTTCCTGGACAAGCTCCATGGCGCTGCGGGGTCCCGGCCCAGAAAGCCCACCCTCCCCCAGAATTTCCCCAGGCCCACAGAAGGGGACCGGAATGGGAAAAATACCGACAAACGCAGCAACGGTGCGGCCGTAGGTGTCTGCGCATCCGGCGGGGCTCCTACGGGACCCCCACGCCGCCTGGACGCCGCCTAGCAGATTTGGGGCCAGGCTAATTGGGGCCCATCGTGGCCCACAGATGCCAGCTCCGGGCCATGCTGAGGGACAGGGGAGCGGAGGATACTGCCTGTTTCCCGGCGGGGGGCCCTGCTCAACAGCCTTTCCCTTCCCTACAAACTGTCCCAGGATCCCGGGCCATTCCTTCCAGTAAGTTGGGAAGTCCAGGACCAGACCTCAACGTGGAAAAAGCTGGAGGAGAGAAGGGGGGACGAGGGGTTCTACCTGCCCTCTACCTACCTGCCCTCCTACCTGTCTGTCCACGGGATGCCCAGAGGCTCCCAGACCACCAGCCCCAGACCCTTGGTACTGCGTCCCCAGCTGTCTGCCAGGGGCCTGCTGGGGAGGCCGATGCCCATCCCTAAGCCTGAGCCTCCAGCCCGGCACGAGGGAAGGCCCCACATGCCCCAAAGGAGAGGGTTCGGGGCACAATCTTCACAAAGGCTGGAGTGCACCCCAGAGGTGAGGGTTTGGGGCACAGTCTGTTGGCGGAGGCAGGAGTACACCCCAGAGGTGAGGGTTTGGGGCACAGTCTGTTGGCGGAGGCTGGAGTGCACCCAGAGGTGAGGGTTTGGGGCACAGTCTGTTGGCGGAGGCTGGAGTGCACCCAGAGGTGAGGGTTTGGGGCACAGTCTGTTGGCGGAGGCTGGAGTACACCCCAGAGGTGAGGATTTGGGGCAGTCTATTGGCAGAAGCTGGAGTACATCCCAGAGGTGAGGGTTTGGGGCACAGTCTGTTGGCGGAGGCAGGAGTACACCCCAGAGGTGTGGGTTTGGGGCACAGTCTGTTGGTGGAGGCTGGAGTGCACCCAGAGGTGAGGGTTTGGGGCACAATCTTCACACAGGCTGGAGTGCACCCCAGAAGTGAGGGTTTGGGGCACAGTCTGTTGGTGGAGGCTGGAGTACACCCAGAGGTGCGGGTTTGGGGCACAGTCTGTTGGAGGCTGGAATACACCCAGAGGTGAGGGTTTGGGGCACAGTTTTCACACAGGCTGCAGTGCACCCCAGAGGTGAGGGTTTGGGGCACAGTCTTCACACAGGCTGGAGTGCACCCCAGAGGTGAGGGTTTGGGGCACAGTCTGTTGGTGGAGGCTGGAGTACATCCAGAGGTGCGGGTTTGGGGCACAGTCTGTTGGAGGCTGGAATACACCCAGAGGTGAGGGTTTGGGGCACAGTCTTCACACAGGCTGCAGTGCACCCCAGAGGTGAGGGTTTGGGGCACAGTCTTCACACAGGCTGGAGTGCACCCCAGAGGTGAGGGTTTGGGGCACAGTCTGTTGGTGGAGGCTGGAGTACATCCAGAGGTGCGGGTTTGGGGCACAGTCTGTTGGAGGCTGGAATACACCCAGAGGTGAGGGTTTGGGGCACAGTCTTCACACAGGCTGGAGTGCATCCCAGAGGTGAGGGTTTGGGGCACAGTCTTCACACAGGCTGGAGTGCACCCCAGAGGTGAGGGTTTGGGGCACAGTCTTCACACAGGCTGGAGTGCACCCCAGAGGTGAGGGTTTGGGGCACAGTCTTCACACAGGCTGGAGTGCACCCCAGAGGTGAGGGTTTGGGGCACAGTTTTCACACAGGCTGGAGTGCACACCAGGGAGGCTTCCCGCCTCTGGCAGAATCACCGCCATGCTCAGTCACAAACCCAGAGCTGCGTTTGGACGCTGCAGCACACGCTGCGGCCCCAGCAACGGTCCTGCGCACCAGGCTCCTCTCCCAGTAAGGTCCGCTTCTCTGTGGAGCTCAGGGGTCCCTGCAGTGCCCACCTTAGCAGAGGGCAAAGCCTTGAGACACGGATGCTTTGTCCTCAGGTCTCCACTGGCTCCTCAGAACAGGGCCCCTCAGCGCTGCAGTGTGTCACATGTCCCCAGTTTCCCCTCGTGGTGCTCACGCCACACCCCTGGCACGGAGGCTGGAACCCAGGTGTCAGTCCTGGCTCTGACCATGACCTTGGACAAACCACCCCTCAGACCTAGAGCCCTCATGCACATCCCCATGGTCACTGCCACCCGGCAGGGAGCAGGACAGCCCCGGGGGTCTGTGACTGTCCCCGGGACATCAGTCTGAGAAACAGCGCTGAGTTGGACGCTGCCTGGTGTGGACACTCGCCCTCCACAGTCACACAAACTCGGCTTTGCAAAATCAGTTCTCAGTGAAGGAAATAATGTACACAGTGGTCCACTTCCAAGACACAGTGTCTTGCTTGCTTAGGTCAGCAAGCTACAGAAGACCAGGCCCCTGCCTGGGTTGCCGATGCCTGCTTGTCGGCCTCCCCATCCCCAGTCTTCCCCCCAACGCTTAGTTGCCTTCACCTGACCCAAAAACTTTTAGTCTATGACGAAAGTTTTACTCGTCTGCAACATAGCTTGTTTTGTCTGTTCTTATCAGTCTGCCCAGCTACTTAGGTCATAAGTCAAATACCTGAAAAGCCCCTGAGCTGACTAGGATTGCAACGCATTGTGGGCTGCAACAAAATGCAGCAGGACAACCCTAAAAAAACACCTACAGCCCCTGCCCGACAACCAATAGGTGATGTCCGGGAAGACTGTGACCCCAGAGTACTCAGCCTGTGAGGAACCGGGGGAGGGGCCTGCGTACTGGGGGATAAATGGCTTGTTGTGACCGTGCTGGGTGTGCCTGCCCACCAGACACCCGATCTTGCAAGACCGTCATTAAAAGTCTCACGTTTAGGCCGGGCGCGGTGGCTCATGCCTGTAATCCCAGCACTTTGGGAGGCCGAGGCGGGCGGATCACCTGAGGTCTGGAGTTCGAGACCAGCTTTACCACATGGAGAAACCCCGTCTGTACTAAAAATACAAAATTAGCTGGGCGTGGTGGCACATGCCTGTAATCCCAGCTACGAAGAAGGCTGAGGCAGGAGAATCGCTTGAACCTGGGAGGCAGAGGTTGCGGTGAGCCAAGATTGCGCCACTGCACTCCAGCCTGGGCGACAGAGCGAAACTCCGTCTCAAAAAACAATAAATAGCTCTCCCTCTCCCCTCTCCCCTCTCCCCTCTCCCCTCTCCCCACGGTCTCCCTCTCATGCGGAGCCGAAGCTGGACTGTACTGCTGCCATCTCGGCTCACTGCAACCTCCCTGCCTGATTCTCCTGCCTCAGCCTGCCGAGTGCCTGCGATTGCAGGCACGCGCCGCCACGCCTGACTGGTTTTGGTGGAGACCGGGTTTCGCTGTGTTGGCCGGGCCGGTCTCCAGCCCCTAACCGCGAGTGATCCGCCAACCTTGGCCTCCCGAGGTGCCGGGATTGCAGACGGAGTCTCGTTCACTCAGTGCTCAATGGTGCCCAGGCTGGAGTGCAGTGGCGTGATCTCGGCTCACTACAACCTACACCTCCCAGCCGCCTGCCTTGGCCTCCCAAAGTGCCGAGATTGCAGCCTCTGCCCGGCCGCCACCCCGTCTGGGAAGTGAGGAGTGTCTCTGCCTGGCCGCCCATCGTCTGGGATGTGAGGAGCCCCTCTGCCTGGCTGCCCAGTCTGGAAAGTGAGGAGCGTCTCCACCCGGCCGCCATCCCATCTAGGAAGTGAGGAGCGCCTCTTCCCAGCCGCCATCACATCTAGGAAGTGAGGAGCGTCTCTGCCCGGCTGCCCATCGTCTGAGATGTGGGGAGCGCCTCTGCCCCGCCGCCCCATCTGGGATGTGAGGAGCGCCTCTGCCCGGCGAGACCCCGTCTGGGAGGTGAGGAGCGTCTCTGCCCGGCCGCCCCGTCTGAGAAGTGAGGAGACCCTCTGCCTGGCAACCACCCCGTCTGAGAAGTGAGGAGCCCCTCCGCCCGGCAGCTGCCCCGTCTGAGAAGTGAGGAGCCTCTCCGCCCGGCAGCCACCCCATCTGGGAAGTGAGGAGCGTCTCCGCCCGGCAGCCACCCCGTCCGGGAGGGAGGTGGGGGGGGTCAGCCCCCCGCCCGGCCAGCCGCCCCATCCGGGAGGGAGGTGGGGGGTCAGCCCCCCGCCTGGCCAGCCGTGCCGTCCGGGAGGGAGGTGGGGGGGTCAGCCCCCCGCCCGGCCAGCCGCCCCGTCCGGGAGGTGAGGGGCGCCTCTGCCCGGCCGCCCCTACTGGGAAGTGAGGAGCCCCTCTGCCCGGCCAGCACACATGCACGCACATACGCACACGGGCACACGAATGCACGCGCACACATGCACACATGCATACACATACACCACGTGCACAGGGACACACGCACACACGTGCACACACGCAAACACGCACACACGGACACGCACACACATGCACACATGCATGCACACACGCACACAACACGCACACGGACACACATGCACACACATGCACGCACATACGCACACGTGCACGATACACATGCACACGCGAGCACATGAACACGCACACGCGCACACATGCACGCACATATGCACACAACGCACGCAGACATACACATGCACACGCACGCACACGGACACGCACGTGCACACATGCACACACATCCACACGTGCACACATATACACACAACGCGTGCACACGGACATGCACACGGGTGCGCACACGTGCACATGCACACACGTGCACACACATGCACGCACACACACAGCACGCACAGACACGCACACATGCACACACACACAGCACAGACACGCACACGGGCACATGCACACGGGCACACACACACGTGCACACGCACATGCACACACATGCACACACATGTACATGCAGCCCCGAGGCAGTGCCACCGGAGCCAGCCTCATGGAGTAGCCTCCTCCAGGGTAACAGGAGCCATGGGGGGGCCATGAGACTGGATTCCACTCATAGAGGCCCCGCACGCGGCTGTTCAAGCAAAGCCACACTGACATTTCTGGTATCAAATTTAAGTCAATCTTTTAATGACCCTCCCGCACGTCAGCAGCAGATCAGGTGCAATGGCAAGAAAAGCAAGCGAGAAACAGCTGTACAACAACATAGGCTTAAAAATTCTTTTTGAAAGAAACTTTAATAAACGATGCATTGGTGAGTGGTGAAACCGGAAGGTGCTGTGGCCCCGGGCTCTGTGGCACTAGCACTGGTAGTCTCAGGTGCGCTGAGAGGACCAGAGCTCCTTGGAGAAAAGCTGATGTGAGGTGGGCCTGGGCACTGGTGGGGGCAGCTGGGGGGCTCCCACTGGCCACACAATACATTAAAAACCACAAAAACTGATGAGTCCACAGCGACACTCCAAAAAGCAGGCAGGAGAGGGAGGAAAGGGGAGAGGGAGGAGAAGTACCACTGTGAGTCTTCATAGAAGCCACTGTTTCCACAGACCCTGGGCAGGAACAGGTTCAGGAGACGCAAAGGCACCGGGTGGGAGGGGTCAGGAGGGCACCGTCGCCACAGGACGCATTGCCAGGGAAGTCCTATGATGCACGCCCACCTCAGTCAAGTGACCACATTCGGTGTCACCAGCATGGGACAAGGTGGAATGGCATGCCTGCGGGCGACACCACATACAACAGGCAGCCTTGCCCCTGTGGGACTCACCCACCTGAGCGGAGCCAGCCTAGGACACCTTAGAAGGAGGGCTTCGGCACCCAAGACTGCACCCCCAGGCCCAGGCCGCACGGCCGCAGCACAGGCTCTGCACCTGGTCGGCACACGTGGGGAGGCTGCAGGACAGAGCCAAGCAGCTCCGGGCAAGTGGCACCCAACAGTCACCCAGCCACACAGGGGAAGAGCGGGGAGGGGCCCAGCGCTCAGGATGGAAGAGCCCTGGGCAAGGCATCCATAGACACCTTAGACTCTGGCCTAAGCGGGGATCCAAGATGGCCTTCCGATACCCAGACCCTCCCATGCACACAGAGTGCCCCCACCTCCCCATGGTCCTGGAGCCGTAAGCATCCTGGCTGCCCACGGTCAGCACACACTGACCCGCCCACGGTGCCTCTGCTGCCCTTCTTCTCTCGCCACTCCCCATCTGCAGCCCGTGTGCTGAGGAGGGCACGGAAAACGTCCAAAGCACGCACGACTGCAGCGAAGCTCATGAATGCCCCTGCACACACGCAGTGGGGCAGACACCGGTTGGCCCTGCCAGGCCCTGCACACTCACGGGACCACGACTGCTCCTCGGATTTCCAGGGTCAAATGGGGTCCAGTCAAGGAAGGGCTGTGCGTTCTGCTTCTGCGCTTAGGCATATGATTAAACACATTTCATAATTAGATATGATCATTGCATCTGAGACACAGAGCTTTCCAAAACGGTCTGTGGGCTGAAGTTACTGCTTCCCTAAACGTCTGAGGGGCAACACCAGTGCCGCCAGCTAGGCCTGCAGCCCTCCTTGTAGAAAGGCTTTAATTATGGAGTCAATTTCTTTTCTTTCCTTTTTTTTTTTTTTTTTTTTTTTGAGATGGAGTCTCGCTCCATCGTGCCCAGGCTAGAGTGCAGTGGCGCAATCTCAGCTCACTGCAACCTCCGCCCCCTGGGTGCAGGTGATTCTCCTGCCTCAGCCTCCCAAGTAGCTAGGATTACAGGCGTGCGCCACCACGCCTGGCTAATTTTTGTATTTTTAGTAGAGATGGGATTTCACCATGTTGGCCAGGCTGGTCTTGAACTCCTGGCCTCAAGTGAGCCACCGCGCCTGGCCTGGAGTCAATTTCTTTAATCGTTACAGGACTGACAGAGCCTTCAAAAGTTCTTCTTGGGTCAGTATGGTAATCTGTATCTTAAAACAATGTGCCCAGTATTGGCATAAAGTTGTTACAACGTTCCCTTACTGTCATTCTGTTGTCTCTAGAAGGATCTGAAAATGTCCTAGGCCCACCGACCAAAACCAGGTCCTGAAAACCAGGACTGGCAGCAGGAGAGGAAGGCGCTCCTCTGGCCTCTTTCTCACCCACTCTGCAGCTTCACACACAGGAACACCTTACACCCTCCTTCGGTGTGAATTTCAAAATACATACAATGACCAGAGGGCAGCGGAAGGGAAGGGCAGAGAGCTTTCAAGCAACACTGCCCTCCCTCCTCACCTCCTCACCGCATTCCACTCCCGTTTCGGAGACAAGTGGCCGGCAGCTACTCCCCGCGCAGGCAGCTCCTCCGGCGCCCCAGCTGAGCTCCCGCCGCCCCTCAGGCTCTGCTTCCCACCCCCTAATCCCGCTGGAATCTGCCACAGCATCGACCTGCTGCTCCTCAACATCGTAGAGCTTTCTTACTTTCTCACAACTCCTTGAGACACTTTTTTTACTGTGGTTTCCTTCCCCAGCCCATATTTGGTTCTCATGAAAACAGAAGCTCCGTGGAGAAAGCGAAGAAAGTCCTTGAAAGTCGCCTGTTCAAAGCCGCCACTGCCGTGATGCCCCCTGACTCCGCACCCCGCCGCCGTGACGCCCCCCACGACCCCGCACCCTGCTGCAGTGACGCCCCCGACCCCTCACCCCGCTGCCGTCACACACCCCGACCCCGCTGCCGTCACTCCCCACGACCCCCCACCCCGCTGCCGTCACGCTCCGTGACCCCCGACCCCGACACCCTGCTGCCGTGATGTTCCCCCAACCCTGCACCCCGCTGCCGTGACGCCCGCCCCGACCCCGCACCCCGCTGCTGTCACGCCCCCGACCCCGCACCCCGCCGCCGTCACGCCCGACCCCTCACCCCGCTACTGTGACGCCCCCCGACCCCTCACCCCGCTGCCGTCACACACCCCGACCCCGCTGCCGTCACTCCCAACCCCCCACCCCGCTGCCGTCACGCTCCGTGACCCCCGACCCCGACACCCTGCTGCCGTGATGTTCCCCCAACCCTGCACCCCGCTGCCGTGACGCCCGCCCCGACCCCGCACCCCGCTGCCGTCACGCCCCCGACCCCGCACCCCGCCGCCGTCACGCCCGACCTCTCACCCCGCTACTGTGACGCCCCCCGACCCCGCACCCCGCCGCCGTCACTCCCCCGACCCCGCACCCCGCTGCCGTGACACCCCCCGGCCCCCATCCCGCTGCCATCACGCCTCCCGGCCCCCGCACCCTTGTCTGTGTCCCACAGCACAGGACCTGTCAGCGAGCGTCTGGCGCCTTCCTCCCTCCCCTGCAGAGACCCGCCAGGCCCCTCCAACAGGTGCTTTCTAAACTGCAATTTCCTCATCTACAAAAGGACAATCACAACAACGGAACCCAGGGGACAGGACTGCATCAACTACAACCAGACGGCGTAGACGGCAGCACACGGCCCTCGGCAAATCAGAGGTGCTCAGTGACCACAGCCACCATGACAGCAGGGCGGGGCGGGGGGCAAGGAAGCAGCGCTGGGAGACTTGGAGACACCCCAAAAAACGCCTTCCTCAGAAACACTGCTGTGCAAGAACCTGCAAATCCCTAAGGCGTCTGTGTCCGATGGCCCCGGCCCCATGCTCTGAGGTCGCGCAGGTGTCCAAGGCCAGGAGGGGCACCGAGGAGACGAAGAAGAAACAGCACAGCAGCTGGGGAGGTGAGGCCCGCGCCTGGGATGTCATGCAGCCTGCCGAGCAGCCGCTCGAGGGACCCGCCCATGTGTCATCAGCTCTGGCCTTCCTCCTCTCACAGATCAGAGAGCAGAGGGCAAGGTGGGCAGAGCCCAGGGTGGGTGCAGGGCTGAGCGCAGGACAGACGTCCCTCCAGCCTGGTGGCTGCCCCGTGTGGTGAGCGGGAGGACGTGTGAGCTGGGGGGCTCCTCCTTGTGACTGCAGATGTGTGGGCCATGGGAGGGCGCAGAATGGACCAAGAACCGAAAGGTCTGTGCAGGGGCCCTGCAGCATCCCAGGAGCAGCCTTGCCGCCACCTCCATCCAACACAACCCGTCCTCTGGCCTCACTGAATTCTCCTGAGGACCAAACACGGGAGGGGTGTGGTTCCTAGGCCATCTGAGCAATGACAAGCTAGACGGGTGGTTAGAAACAGCCATTTTAGGCCAGGGGCGGTGGCTCACGCCTGTAATCTCAGCACTTAGGAAGGCCAAGGTGGGCGGATCACAAGGTAGGAGATTGAGACCAGCCTCTTCAACATGGTAAAATCCTGTCTCTACTAAACATACAAAAATTAGCCGGGGAAAAATACAAAAATTACAGGCAGGCGCCTGTAATCCCAGCTACTGGGGAGGCTGAGGCAGGAGAATCGCTTGAACTGGGGAGGCAGAGGTTGCAGTGAGCCGAGATCGCACCACTGCACTCCAACCTGGGTGACACAGCTAGATTCTGTCTCAAAAAAAAAATTAAAAAAAAAGGAAAAGAAACAACCGTTTTAGGGCTCTTGAAGCTGACCAAGGCCGCACAACAAATCGGGTCACTTTTTTTTTTTTTTTTGAGACAGAGTAGGAGTCTTGCTCTGTCACCCAGGCTGGAGTGCAGTGGCGCAATCTCAGCTCACTGCAAGCTCCGCCTCCTGGGTTCACGCCATTGTCCGGCCTCAGCCTCCCGAGTAGCTGGGACTACAGGTGCCCGCCACCACTCCCAGCTAATTTTTTGTATTTTTAGTAGAGATGGGGTTTCACCGTGGTCTCGATCTCCTGACCTCGTGATCCGCCCACCTCAGCCTCCCAAAGTTCTGGGATTACAGGCATGAGCCAGCGCGCCCAGCCCGGGTCACATTTATTAAAAAAAAAAACCCTCCTGACCTCAGGTAGGAACAGCAGAGTCTGAGTCACCAAAGCCCGGGGCTGCCACTCTCCAGGGCGCCCCACTCCCAGCTCCAGCGGCTGAGTCCACCAAGCCAGGACAGGCCCAAGGACCAGAGGGCGAGGTGATTCACAGTGGAGCTCGGAAAGACCCATCCATGCCCAGCGCCTTGTCAAAAACCACAGGGGTCTTGGTGACAAGCAATTGAGGGAGGCCAACATGGCAGAGCCAGGGCTGCAAAATCGGCTGGAATAAGCATCAGACCTGCTAGAAGGGTAAGAAGAGCAGTGCAGTGTGGTACATGCCAGGGAGGAGCATCGCCAGGGAGGAGCACCATGAGGGAGGAGCACCACCAGGGAGAGGCAGGCCAGGGAGGAGCACCGCCAAGGAGGAGCAGGCCAGGGAGGAGCACCACCAGATAGGCTGCAAGGAGCACCCTTTCCTGAGCCTGCATGCTGCTCCGCAGGAGGCTGGGGAGCACCTCCCTCCCAGGCATGGGCTCTGGGGAGGAGTTCCCCTGTGGCACCGGTGGTTTCCCATGGATGTGCCACGCTGGTTTTCGGAGCCTGCAGGCGGACTGGGCACCGTGTAAAGAGGCCCGAGAGGGTTCCCCTAACACAGGCAAGCGTCATGCACAGGGCACAAGCACCGGGGAGGGATGTAAGAAAGGTCTATGCTTTCAGTTTCCAACAGGGCTGGCCCTGGGAAAAGCCGCAGAGGGAAGCTGGCTCTGAATTAATGTCCAAGATCTTTTCCTCCACTTGGCAGGGCTCTCTCCCTTCAGGGACCGGTGGCCTTGGCCAGGACTCTTCCCAGCCCAGCGCCACAGCCTTCTCGGGAAAGCCGGGGGAGGAGAGCATGGGGACTTGCACGCCTTGCCTGGCTGGGGAGAGGACCTGCCTTCTAGCCACACTTCCTGCACAGCCCACGCCCAACCCCTGGGTGACGCTCCTGGCACAGGCTTACGGGGTGGTCAGCGAGGGGCTGGCCCCTGCTCTGCAGCCAAGACTCAGGTTACCCAGTGTCCAGTCCGGAGCTCCTGCTGTTCTGGGTACCCTGCTGTTGCGGGCAGAGGGCCGAGACCCCCGGCCTGGGCCAGATGCCAATGCTGGCTCTTAGCTCGAGACTGTACGACAGGGTCCGAGGAAGGCGCTCTTGGGCTTACAAAGGCCTGAGCACTTTTCCCTGGTATTCTTGGGGGCTTTCAGGTCCTATTTTTATTTATTTTTATTTTTTTGAGATGGAGTCTCTCTCTGTCGCCCAGGCTGGAGTGCAGTGGTGCCATCTAGGCTCACCGCAAGCTCCGCCTCCCGGGTTCACACCATTCTCCTGCCTCAGCCTCCCAAGTAGCTGGGACTACAGGCTTCCACCACCAAGCCTGGCTAATTTTTTGTATTTTTAGCAGAGATGGGGTTTCACCGTGTTAGCCAGGATGGTCTCTATCTCCTGACCTTGTGATCCGCCCGCCTCGGCCTCCCAGAGTGCTGGGATTACAGGCGTGAGCCACTGCACCTGGCCTCAGGTCCTATTTGAAGTTGCTCTGGTCCTCCCAGAGTGCTGGGATTACAGGCGTGAGCCACCGCGCCCGGCCCCAGGTCCTATTTGAAGTTGCTCTGGCAGGGCTGCTTTCTGAACGTGCAAGCCCTCAGGTGCCCCGTGCACAGGCACACACCACCTTTTCCCTCTGCAGTACTAAGCTGGCTGCCTCCTACCAGGGCTAGTTTGAATTTTCCTAGGTCACACGGGCAAGCCAGACGCTGCTTACGTGCATTGAGTGTGGTGTGAGCGGCTTCAGACCAGATTCCTGTCTTCTTTACACAACTCTAGGTTTTCTGTGCCTGTTTTCGGTGAGCACAGAACAACTGAAGGAAGCGCGGGACAGACACAAGGGCGGGCCTCGGTGCCACGGCTGGCCTTGGGCAGAGGGAAATGCTTTGTGTACTTTCTCTGGGAAGCAGCAGCCCCAGCGCGGCCTCGGCGTCCTCTGCCGCCAACTGCTCCGTGACCGCTGGGCGTGTGTGCGGGGACATGGGAGCAACTTCACAGTGGTGGGAAGTTTCTCTCCTAAAACGAAAGCTTCTCTATACTACAGATTGGCCCCATTAAATAAAAGAAAATACGGTGTATTTTTACAGCGTTTGGGATTGGAAATGACTGAGATTCACGGTGGCTCTAGTCCTGTCTCCTGAAGACGGAGCTGGACGAGGTCTGCGGACAGTCAGAAAACACGTCAGGGTTTTGGCTCAGCTGCCAGATATGCAGCTATGGTGGGATTTCTGCGGCAGGGCAAGGAAGTGGAGACAGTTCGCGTGGCAGAGCACAGCGGGTGCCCTATAGTGGGCACGCCTGGAGAGCGTATATTTTCACAGGGCCCGAAACCTGAATGGAGGATTCTTTCCACCAGCTGCGGGGTGGGGGGGGGCTCAGGCACATCAGTTTTCCCACCCAGAAGACGAAGGCCTGCGAAGGGGGCCCCATGAGGCCTGGGAAGGGGGCCCCGTGAGACCTGGGGTTAAATCTTCCACAGCAAGCAGGGACCCCAGCCAGGCTCTGCACAAGGCAGGCGCTGCGCTCAGGTGGGAGTCCTGTGAGATGCTCCTGCACCCCACACTCCCGTGACCACAGGCGAGGCCTAACGCCCCCCACGCCGGTTCATCTCGTCTCCTCAAACTCCCACCAAGATGCTCACGACAGGGCCCAAATGCACTCCCGGGGGGTTGGCTAGTCTGCAGGATCACAGGCTGGCCCAGTGAAAACCTGGGCTTCGCTGCCTTACAACCATGCAGAACTCATAGCCAGGCCATGTGCCCACCTGCCCACTGGGACCCCGGGACAGTGCCTGCTCCAGACAGAGGCTGGGAGCTCTGTGAGGGGCACATGGAGTGAAGCAGAGCCTGCGGCTCACCTGTTTGGCTCTGGCTGGCCAGGTGCCCCCTCAAGCCCCAGCTCAGCCTTCCCCCAAACACTCAGCTCCATCCCCCACCCCAGCGGGTCAGGGCTCCATCAAGACTGCTGGTGAATGGCCGGCTGAGGAGGCAGCGAGGCAGCGGGTCAGGGCTCTGTCAAGACTGCTGGTGAATGGCCGGCTGAGGAGGCAGCGAGGCAGCGGGTCAGGGCTCTGTCAAGACTGCTGGTGAATGGCCGGCTGAGGAGGCAGCGAGGCCTTTGGAGAGGGAGGGCCAGGGTCACAAGACCAGCAGGGCACAAAGGTGGCTACGGGAGGAGCAGGAAGTCAACAGCCGCAAACAAACCTCCCAAGCCACTCGAAGCTGACATCCGCAGGCCACAGGGACACACCTGAGGCTGCGGAGGGGCGGCCACAGACCTTCACAGCCATCCTGGGTCCCCAGGCAGGCAACGCCCGGCTGCTCGTCTGCTGTCCACCTCCCTATGGGGACACCTCAAATCACACGAGAATTGTGACCTCAAAAGCTTATGCTGCTTTTGCACAGAAACAGTGACGTGTGAACCATCCTGGGATGGTATGAAAGACAAGCGCAGGTCTGGAAAAGCAGTTCAGAAGCCACTCAACTGTCTACGCTGGGGAGACGGTTTCGTGAGCTACCACCACAGCCTATAACTACTTATCCATTAAAAATGATAATAAAACCCAGGAAGAGGCCGGGAAAACATTCAATAAACCAGCGTGCTGAGGGAATCTGCACAACCCCCCTCCCTGCCCAATGTAGACGTGTGACGGGAAGTGGCAGGGGCAGCAGCTCCTCTGAGGGGCCCCGTGGCAGGCAGGCCCTGGCGGGGGCTGGGAGGGCTCAGGGGCAGGGGTGACTCCCAGATGCCCTCCAGAGGGTCCAGGGCCCTGCAGGAGCCACCAGCCCTCACCACTGGAGTCCCCGGCCTCCCAGCTCTGGGGAAGCAGCCCTGGAGAAGTGGCGCCCATGCTTTCTAGAACCTCTCTGAAGGGTTGTTTAAGCAGCGAGGGCCCATGCTGCCGTCAAGAACACACAATTCTCAAGGTCCCGGCTTTGGGGAGTTCCCCCAGGCCCCGAACCTGACCTTGGCAGCCCCTCTGCGTGGCTCAGGAACGAGTCCCACAAGCCCCTGGCTCTTGGCCGGAAACCGGCCACCAAAACAGACTGTGAAGGGCCAACCCCTCCTCCCAGGGAATTCCAGGGCTCAGTAGGACCCTTTGCTTTCCCTGGGGTTAGAAGGACAGGTGCTGGCAGAAACGCAAAACAGAGTGGCCACTTTGGCAGCTTTGTATGAAGCTAAATGTGCACACACTGTAAGAACCAGCGATGCCCAATCCTAGCGATCCACCCAAAATAAAATTACGCTCACATGAAACCCTGTATGTGAACATTTAAAGCAGCTTTATAATAGACACAATCTGGAAAGAACTCAAATGTCGCTCCCACGATGGCGGGACACAGACCGCGGCACAGCCCCCCGTGCTCAGTGGCGAGCAGCCACGGCCACCTGGTGTGCACGACGTGACACACCATCTCAAGCGCAGGAGGCACGGGGACAGCCAGGCTCGGAGGCTGCACACGCACAGGTGCCACCCGCGTGACGGTCCGGGGAGTCTGATCACGGGAGCAGAGTGCAGCCGCACGGCCGCCAGGTTGGGTGGAGGGAGGGGCTGACCACCCAGGGACGGGCAGAGGAGTCTGGAACAGGACGGTTTGTGCGCTGCCTGCGAGCACCGTGCTTCCACGACTAGATGCCTCTGTGGTGAAAGCCAAAAGGAGTATTTTACTGCACACAAATTCTCAGAAATGATCATCTGAAAACTACAGGTTCTCGGCTAAGGCACCCAGGCTCAGACTGCCGACACATCGTTAAGCAGCTGGGTACCAGCAGCAATGACCTCATCCCTCTGACTCCGTGACCTCGGCTGCAGAGGGTCACGGCGAATTATATACACAGTGCCACGCACATGGGAAGCTCTCAGTGAGAGAGGGTGGGCTGAGAGCCGCTTGGCCTGGGCCCTGCACCTCGTCCCACTCTGCATGAACTGCCTTTGCGGGTAAGGTCGGGGAGAAGGTGCCAGGCTGTCAAGGCCCAGGGTGCAGGGGGCCAGGTGGGAAGAACAGGAAGGCCGGCCGAGCTGGAGCCTGCACGGCCCTGCATTTGTTACTCTGCCTCTTAGACTATGCAGTGGTAGCAGTGGAGGAGGGGGAGCACGCCCCCCACCCGGCAGCCCAGCAAGGCTGCAACCTGCAGCTCCCAAAGGGCTTGGTCCCTCCCCGCGTGCCGTCATCCAGGGCCACCAGGGCCGGGGACGGTGCCGGGCAGTGCCGCTGGGAGACGGGCTTGGTGCCTAGGCCGGGTGGGGGTGAGCTAAGCACACCCAGCCCCGCTCCACCAGACTGACCTTGCCAGGCTGGGATTTGAGAGGGCTTCGGGGATAACTGTGAGGACCCCCTCTCCTAAGACCCCCAAGTCAGGGGGCCATGAAAGGTGGGGGAAGGGGAACCTGTCTGGGACCACTCAGAATTCTTCCCTTTCCTTGTAGAGCCCGAGCCCGGGCAGAAGAACCAGAACAAAACCTAAGTACAAACACGGCGGGCTCGAGCGGGGCTTGGCACGGCGCAGGGGTGGCGGCAAGGGGGCAGCCTGGACTGGAGCCAGAAAGCCTGTGCTGGCATCCGCCACGCGGACGGGGAAGCTGAGACCCAGGGCTCAGGTCACGCTTACGTCGTTTGGTAGCCAGGTACCAGGACCTCATGCCATACACAGCACACAGGCTGTGGAGCTGGAGCCAGTCGAGGAACCTGGAAGCCCCGACCCAGACAAGGCGCAGCCTGGGGGAGGGACAGGGAGGCCTCTCGAACCCATGGCTTTCTTCTGCCCACTGCAGCCTGGGGGAGGGACAGGGAGGCCTCTCGAACCCATGGCTTTCTTCTGCCTGCACAGGGGCCCCTCCTGTCCACGATAAAAGCCCAGTAATAAGGAGAAAGCAGTCAGCAGCCTTCACCTCAGCTCCAGACTCCGTTCTCGGGGCCAAGTTCAGGTGTGTGCCTGTCCCCCCACCCACCAGGTGGCCAGGCCTGGCTATGACCGCACGGGAGAGCAGGGCGGACCCCGCGAACGGGGACAGCACCTGACGGCGACATCCACAAACGCCGCCCCGCAGGAGCACGCACTCCCACACAAAGCGCCTGCAGCTGACAGCCGCCGGGAGGGGACATCTGGACAGCCTCACGCAGCTTTCAGACCTGCAGTCCATGTTAAAAGGATCTTGTTTCCAATTTGCCTTAATTAAACAAACATTCCAAACCACTTCCTCTCAGTCTGACCATTGTTCTTCATTCCATGGTACTCGGAGTCCTGGGAACCACTCATCACTGTCGGGTGCAGGTGGACGTCCCCTCACGGTAAGGTCAGAGTGCTCCCGCCCAGCGCGTGGCTCCGCGGCGCCCTGTGTGCCTGGGGGGTGAGAGAGGGTGGCGGGGGCGAGGTGCTTGTGAGGCACATCACAATGGGGCCCGAGGGCGCTGCGTGCACAGGACTCTACAGCACAGTCTTCATGGGCCGTTGGTCTGAGTTACTCAGAGCAGGGGATGATCCATCCCCACTTAAAGACAAAGTGAATGGGGTTAAACAGGTGCTGTGAGTGGCTGGGACGGGCTCACAGGAGGAGGGGCCAGCATGGGCCACGCACCACACTCTCACCCAAGACCCAAAGCCGGCCAGGCCACCGATGGGCAGAGATGACTGCAGCTTCCAGAATAGTGGGCTTCATGGGGTGGGCATCCCAAAGCATATCACAGCCCCTGGGGGGCAGGGCAGGTGCTGCATGATCCTGGTCCTGTGTCCAGCTCCTGCCACTGCCCCATCTCGTAACCCTCTGGACACAGAGAACGCAGAGAACAGGCAGTGTTCCATGTTCCCACCAAGGGGAAGATCCAGCGCCCGCAGAGAACTAAGGAAGCACCGGGGAGTGTGGTGCTACTGAAGAGAGGATGCGTCATTTGCATTTATCCAAAGAAAGGGTTCACGATGTCTTACGTTCAAACAGATAAAATCAGACTGAGGTGGGGTGGGAGGAGCCTCCCCGAGGCTCCTTGAGGAACTGCCTGGCAGTGACCGAGGTGGGGCTGGGACAATGCCCAGGTGCTGGCCTCTCCTCGGATATTCCGCCATGTGCTCCTGGGGGCGGAGGGTCCCCCAAGGGCAGAGCTCAGCCAGCACCACCCTGCCCACTCTTCTGTAAAGTGCCCCTGGCACGACGCTCCCAGAGAACCCAAGGATGCGCCCAGAATGCTCCCAGCAACCACTGAGGGGGCCCTGCTGGGAGACCCGCAAAACTGCCAATGCCTTGTAGGCCAGCAGCCGCACGCGCCTTCAGTGCTGGAGTCACGCCCAGGGGCTGACGGGCCAGATGGTCTCTGAGTGCAGCAAATTCCGTCTTGTGAGGGAAAGTGATAGAAGATGAGAGTGTGGGCCGGGCGCGGTGGCTCAAGCCTGTAATCCCAGCACTTTGGGAGGGTGAGGCGGGTGGATCACGAGGTCAGGAGATCGAGACCATCCTGGCTAACACAGTAAAACCCCATCTCTACTAAAAAAAAATACAAAAAATTAGCCGGGCCTGGTGGCAGACGCCTGTAGTCCCAGCTACTCGGGAGGCTGAGGCAGGAGAACGGTGTGAACCCGGGAGGTGGAGCTTGCAGTGAGTGGAGTTCGCACCACTGCACTCCAGCCTGGGCGACAGAGCAAGACTCCATCTCAAAAAAAAAACAAAAAAAACAAAAAAAAACACGAGAGTGTGGAGGCGCAGACGACGGGAGCACCTGAGCTTCCGTGCTCAGCATGCTGTGGTCAACTGTGGTCTGCACACACCCACCGTTAACTGGGCCCTCCAGCTGCAGACACCAAACAGGGACAGGACGGCGGCACCGACGCGCCCACGTCCACCAGTGCCAGGCGACACAGCAGAAAACCAGGATGCCCTGCCCCTCACCGCACTGTTTCCGGGCTCGGCAGGCACACACCCTGAATGAAAGGCTCCAACCTGGCGCGGAGCCACGGCCTGCGTGCTTCTGAAGGAACAAGAGAGACGAAGTCACTGTGGGCCGCACCACGTCCTGACAGCAGCTAACCTCCCCAGGCCGGAATGGAACAGATGGAAGACATGGCAAGTCTGTCTGAGGGGAGGTCACAGGATGTCCCTAAAGTCAGGATATGGCACGGAATGCAGAAATTGGAGCAGAGTTCCAACCCCGCCTGCCACTGGTGCGGCAAAACCCGCACACCCCACACACAGCTTCCTTGGGACCTGGGCTCTTTCTATAAAGGGGCTGCTGGTGCATGTCTCCTTAATGCTCCAGGCCTGTGAGGATCGGATGCCCGAGGGTGCTCCTGCATGTCACGCGGAGGCGGGGGACGCCAGCGATGCCCTCCCGGGGGCGTGGGAAGGGGCTCTCGGCCTCCCTTGACTCTCCATCATCAGAGAATGTGTCCGCCTGGCATGTGAGACACGGCGCACTTCTCCGAACCTCGGGCTGTCTTCCAGCATGTGTTAGCTCTAGAATTCCTTCTGCACACAGCTTGATGTCTCCCCTGTAAGGTGGATCCGGCGCGTGGTACTGTGAGCACCTCCAACCAACTGCTCCCTCCCTTGTGCCTATGGGGGAGAAGCGAATGAGCCAGGACTGGGCTAATCTCAGGCAGTGCCGCCCCACCCTTGCCCCTGGTGGACCGCTCCCCTTGAAAAGGAGCAGCAGTTGGTGGGAAGGGAAGCCTCACTCCGCCCAGCAGAGACAAGGGGTGTGTGGGATCTCACAGAACCGTGTAGACCCACGCACCCCCACTGTACAGATGGGCACTGAGGCTCAGGAAGGTTAGAGACGTTGCCCGGTATCACACAGCACGTGGGGTGAGGAAGTGGAACCCGGGCTGGAGCCGGCAACGCTGAAAACCAGGGTTGTTTGGACGGCGACATGCAACTCCCTGAGGGCTCTGCTCCTGCAGAATCAGGGGGACCCATGCTGCTGCCTACCATGGAGGGCATGGGAGAGGACTGGGGATGGGACAGGGAGCAGGAAGGGGTTGCTCAGTCAGTCAGTGCTGGCAGAGGGAGGGGCGCTGGGAAGGCACTGCAGGCCCTGTGTCTGGGGCCTCTCAGCACAAGGACTGGGCTTTGCACGCGAGGACTGAAGGGTCAAAGGCGAGGGCCAAGGTTTCCTACGTGGCATTCACTCGGGAGGGCTCCTGAAGCTGGAGACACACTGCCTTACTTTGTGCGTGTTTTTCTCTATGCATTATCCAGTATTTGGCTATGTGTGCATTTAGCTCAATAAGCAATGATCAGATGAAATTCCCCTTGAAGTTCTTTCCTTTTATTCTATCCTGGGGATGAACAGAAAAATATTTTCACTTCTTAAAAATTCATAACGACATCAGATCCAACAAGGAAATCAGTGCCTGAAAAGATGACTATTGACCCAGGACGCCTCTGGTGTACAGGCCGAGACCATGTGCTCAGAGTCAGCCGGCCCCTCCCAGATCTGCTCCTGGCCAGCTGTGAGGCCGCGGTGACACCACCTCCCTGCAGTCAGTTTCTGCAACCATGAGACGGGGAGAAGGACAGCCCTGCCTCACAGGCTCTGAAGGAGGGTGACCTAAGATCAAGCACGCAGAGCACCGCACAGCGCCCAGCATGCATGTGTACAATGTCACATTCTACACTGAAGGAGGCTGAGACAGGAGGATCTCTTGAGCCCAGGAGTTCAAGACCAGCCTTGGCAATACAGTGAGACCTTATCTCTACAAAAAAATTAAAAAAAAAAAAAAAATTAGCGGCTCGCATCTGTAGTCCCAGCTACTCAGGGGCCGGGGTGGGAGGATGGCTTGAGCCTGGGAGGTGGAGGCTGCAGTGAGCTGAGATCAGGCCACTGCACACTGGCCTGGGCAACAGAGCAAAATCCTGTCTCAAAAAAAAAAAAAGATTTAAAAATCGGCAAAAGGTCTCTATGCCTTACAAATAGTCCACGAGATTCCTGCCATGCCGTCACACATCAAGTATTAAGTAGGTCTTGGAGACGGAAGTTCCTGCAGTCCGGGCCCTGTCTCTTACATCAGTAGCTGTACAGTACAAGTTACTTACCCGCCCAGTGCCCACAGGAGAAGGCTGCGCTCCAAGACCCAGATGCCCCGATCCGCTGACTCTATGCTGCAAGCAGGAAATCTAGGAGTATCGGCCACTCGCCCGCCCAGGGCAGGCTCCCCAGGAAACCCAGGGCACGTGAGTGGAGAGCTTGGGAGCTGAGCTCTTCCTCAGCCGCTGGGATGGGCAGAGAGACCAGAAGCCATGGGTTTGCACTAGCAGGGTGCAGCTATTTTTAAGTGACATGTCTCAGCTATTTCAAGGTTTGAATTTTTATTTTACTTATTTTTTTCTGTACTTTCTCATGACTCACATCTTTCAAAATTGTGTCTCAGGCATTTTTAATGCTGAAATCATCTCAACTTCACAGCTGGTCAAAAAATGTCTAAGAGCAAATCAGCTCTTTATCATCCAAATACAAAAAGGTACATATTAGAGTTGTCAACTTTCTACTGCTGGAAGAAAACTCCACGTTAGTATTTTTCCATTAAAAAATTAACACAGCATTCTGTTTAGGAAATGTGTGTATATTTCCTAAAATACACATCTGAAAGACTTTAAATTGCTATTGCACAGATGCCTTGAGCCCCAGCAGGTCCCGAGGGGCCGAGTGCCCCTGGAGGCCCAGCACCCCACTCTTGCACCTGCACCAGCTCTCCTGGCGGGGAGCAGGTCCCGAGGGGCCGAGTGCACCTGGAGGCCCAGCACCCCAGTCCTCTGCCTGCACCAGCTCTCCTGGGGGGGAGGGGGAAGGGGGGAGCCCACGCAGGTCTCTGAACCACGCCTCAGGCTGCAGCAGCCGCATTACTCATACTCAGCGGACAAAGGATCACTCAGCATTCAATCTCACCACTTCAAAACATTACAGAGGGAAAACGACACCTAGAAGTAGGAGTGAGATTCGCTGAAGTTCCCTTCTGAGGAAGACCCACCCCTCCGCCTGGAGAGCCGGGGCTGGCGGTGCCTGAGGACCCCTTCGGCCTGGACAGCCCACGCGGGCTTGGGGGGCCTCGCTCTGCCCTCATGGGGCGGCCATCGGTTCCCGAAGCGGCGAGTGAAAATTCAAATGGCCAGTAGGGGGCGCACTCGGAAGTGGCCGCCCCGCATGAGGCAGTTCAGCGGCCCCGAGAGTCCGGGGAGGGAGGTTTATTCTCCGCCTGCACGAGACTGTGAAATCCGCAACCATGAGCAGGAGAGGCGGCCCTGGTGGGGAAGAGGCCACCAACATCTGGACGGCAGGTAAGTTCCGACGCTTCTGCAGCGAGCGCGGGAGGAGGGACCTGAGGCACCGCTAACACTCAGAGAAAACTACCGGCTGAGGGTCCCTGGTCTGAATGCTTGGGACCGGAAGAGTTTCGGAGTTCAGATTTTTGCAGATTTTGGAATATCTGCAGGTACAGAATGAGAAAGCTAAATACGAAATTCATTTGTGTTTCATACACACCTTATACACACTGCCTGAAGGCAACTTTATAAAAACACTTTTAACAATTTCATGCATAAAACAAACTTTGAACTGCCTGGACTGCAGCCCGCCACACGAGGTCAGGTGTGGAATTTTCCACTTGTGTCACGACGCTCCAACAGTGTCGGACTGTGGGGCACTCTGGATTTCAGATTTCCAGATGCTTAACCAGTACTCAGATTCCTAAGTTACTTGTCAGAAATGCCTATTTCTTGGGATTACACTTCTCTCTGCAAATGTCTGTGAAATTCCTGTTAAATTCTTTATGGATCATGCACATGCTACTAAGTTAATTATGAAATTTAGTGTTTAACGCAGGTCAGTTGCAAAAACAAGAATATTGCTTGCTTCAACCCAGGAGGACAGGTTATTGCCTAAAAGATACACAACACCTAGTATGATGCCTTCAAACTTAAAGAAAGGTTTGTATCTGTGGGTGAAGAAAAGCAGTTAAACCAGAAACTTCCACAAAAACAAGTCTAGTAGAACTGAGCTGATTGCCAAAGTGTGGGAGAAAAAGGGCCAGCAAAAAAATGGTTAACACTAGCCTTCTGAGGAGGCCGCCCAGAGCCTGGCCAGAGAGGAGCCAGAGAGGAGCGGGGCGGAGGGGGCCTATAAAGCCCTGTGCCAAGGGGCAGACTCACTGGCTCAGAGGGAGGACGCACCCGCCAGCCAGCCGGGAACCTTCCCTCGCGGGCTCCCAGGGCGGGTCTCTTCCTCTCTCTAGCCCTGCTCAGGCATTCGGCAGGTCCAGCAGAGGTACACCTCCTGCAGCGGGTTCCAAGTGCACCTCCAGCCTGATGGGCCTGACCAAGGAGGCTTCCAGGAGCACAGAAGGGGCTGCAACCCAGGTAGGACTCAGCCTCGGCCTGGCGGTGCCATACCACTGACTAGGGGAGCGGGTGGGTGGTGCCACCCAGGCCGCTGTCCTGTTATGGGAACAGCTGAACACAGACCAGACACCTCACCCCCTGGTGAGAGCAGCACCCAGCTTCCCAAACTCAAGGCACAGACCCCTCTCCCCCGGAGCTCCGGTGGTCTCAGCGTGACCGCAGCAGGGGCTTTGCCTGGACGGCCTTTCTAACTCGTGCTGAAAGCAGGACCCAGTATTCCGTCACGTTCTGTCCCAGCAAGAACGTGTCTCACTTCAAGAAAATGAGGGTGCCCACTCTGCCCTGCCCTGCGGTGCCCCAGTCACTCTCACCAACCCTGAAGCCCTGGGAGGGCCACACGCCTTTTGACAGATGCAGACTTAATACAGCTGACTAAAGTGTGGCTTTATTTCTCTATGACAAGCAGAGGAAATCTGAAATGAGGTATTGCACTGTTTATAACTCCATGGCCACCTCCAGTGAGGACGTGGGGCCAGTGGTGAATGGCACACTAGGTTCCTCTCACCCAGGACCACATCAGACACTAGGACACATCAGACACCAGGTCCCGTATCTTCTCGGTGTCTGGCAACGATCAAAAGACTCAATTTACATGGGAAAGAAATGAATGACTCGTTTTTAAACTATTTTTCCCTTGGAGTTCATTTAACAAAATTAGGAAAGAAAATAAACGTTAAGTTGAGGGTTCTGCCCACCTTTAAACTTCCTGCCACGCCACGGTCTAATACGTTCCAAAATTTCTACATTTAAAGAGCAAAACAAGTCCTCTGTGCCGTTTTTAAGAAATTAAATACAGAGGCGAAATGCGGAGTCTTTCAACCTTCCCGACAGAGCCTGAGAGCAGAGGCATTTATGCTGTTCAATGGTATTATCTACTAAAGATGAATCAAGAGTGCAAAATAACCAAAATCAAATTCACCAGCCCCAGCTAAGTGAAGGTTATTCAGTACTTTTAGAATAACTGACACAGAGGCAGTGATTCATCTTGTCTTCCCCACCCGCCTGTTTTTGAGATGGGGCCTCACTGCAGTAGCTCAGGCTCGAGTGCAGTGGTGTGATCTCGGCTGAGGCTCGAGTGCAGTGGTGTGATCTCGGCTGAGGCTCGAGTGCAGTGGTGTGATCTTGGCTCACTGCAACCTCTACCTGCCAGGCTCAGGCGATCCTCCTGCCTCAGCCTCCCGAGTAGCTGGGACTACAGGCGCACACCACTATGCCCAGCTACTTTTTTTGTCTTTTTTTAGTAGAGACAGGGTTTCGCCATGTTACCCAGGCTGGTCTCGAACTCCTGAACTTGAGCAATCCTCCCACCTCATCTTCCTGAAGTGCTGGGATTATAGGCCAGCCTTTTTTTTTTTTTTTTTTTTAAGTAAGTATTTTCAAGCAATAGGTCAACAAATCTCTAGTCTGGTTTTGCAGCACTTCAAAACAATAACCCCTGGCCCGGCGCGGTGGATCACACCTGTAATCCCAGCACCGTGGGAGGCCAAGGCGGGCAGATCACTACAGGTCAGAAGTTCGATACAAGCCTGGGCAACATGGTAAAACCCCATCTCTACTAAAAATATAAAACATTAGCCAGGCGTGGTGGTGCACACCTATAATCCCAGATACTCAGGAGGCTGAGGCAGGAGAACCACTCTAACCCGGGAGGCGGCAGTTGCAGTGAGCCGAGATTGTGCCACTGCACTCCAACCTGGGTGACCAAAAAAAAAAAACATTCAAAACAATAACTCCTAATGATTTCAAAAGGTAAAATGAAAATTCCCAAAGGAAAAACAACTCAAACCCATTTTGAAGTGTTAGTTTACTCCAGGGCACCAGCACCATCTGGGCCAGGTAATTCTCTGCTGGGCTTGGGCACCTGTCCTAGGCACTGTAGGGAGCTGAGCGGCAGCCCTGGCCCCACCAGCACCCCCCTGTGACTGCCCCCGCATCCCCAGAGACTGCCAGTGTCTGCAGGCTGAGACCCCCGTGGCCCGCTGCATAGAGAACTTCCAGGAGCACAGTGACACGGGGCAGGTGACGGGACCCTCCCCACTGGCGGCAGAGCCGGGGTGACACGGGGCAGGTGACAGGACCTCCCCACTCGCAGCAGGGCCAGGGTGACACGGGGTGGGTGATGGGACCCTCCCCACTGGCGGCAGAGCCGGGGTGACACAGGGCAGGTGATGGGACCCTACCCACTGGCGGCAGAGCCGGGGTGACACGGGGCGGGTGACGGGACCTCTCCACTGGCGGCAGAGCCAGGGTGACACGGGGTGGGTGACGGGACCCTCCCCACTGGCGGCAGAGCCCGGGCACCGCCGTGGGCGGACAGCCCACTTCTCCCTCTCTGCAGAGGATAAGCTCGGGAGGGACTCTCTCCCTGGAGTTTCTTCCTAGGTTACAAACAGCATTGCAAAAACATATTAGGTTTTACAATAATTTGTTAAAACATGAAATAAAAACGTACATATTATTTCCCAAAACAATGACCCCTTTCACTCTATATTACGAAAATAAGTTTATTTTTGGTACCTAGAACACAGAACTAGCATGAGGAAACCGCTGAACTTCTGTTTTATCGTAAGAGAAGATTCTGCTCTGATGTCCAGCTTTCTGGACCCACTCTCTCTCTCTCAGAAACACTGGCTTTCCCTTCCTATCTTACTTCTCCATCAGCTGCTGAAATGCATTTTCCCCTCTCCTCACAAATGCCGTTGTCCTGGGGCGGCCGTGCCCATACCTTCATTGCTTCCTGGGCCTGCTCTGTGGCTATAAAGGGAAAAACACCCCTGCCTGTGGGAGTGACTCACGTCCAGCCTCCAGCTGCAGCTGAGCAGCCGTGGGACCTGCAGGAAAGAAGGCCATGTACTTCCCACAGGCGACTCTTCCACCTCAGCTCAACCACAGCCACCTCCCGAGCTCATAAAGCTGAGGTTCTGGCCCTCCCCAGTGCTCCTGACACACCCAGACTCTACAGACACCCGGCCAGGGGAGCCAGGCCTTGTCCCAAAGCTGGGGCCACTCGATGAGACTTCATCCTCTCCTGTTGCTTCTCCAGGTACCCAGAGAGTGAGCAGCTCCACGCGGGACTGTGCACGGTGGCCGACACCCGCAGGGACGCCCGCCGGACGAGCACGCGGAGGGCCCTCGCCTCCACGGATGCACCATGCCGGTGTGAGGAGCATCTGTTCTTCCCACTCTCTGCAGTTAACAAACCCAACCCAAACCACCACAGGTGCTCCTCCTGGGGAGTTTCCTGTCTGACAAATGCCAGGCTCACTTCAAGGAGAATCACGCTTCTTTCTAAAGATGGATTCACCATTTAAAACAGAGCTCTGGGAGCCTTTCGGCAAATCTTGAAAGCTGCACGGTGCAGAGACATGGATGTGACTTCCCAAGCCCGGGGCGTGGGCCTGGAGATGTACCCAGGCACCGCGCAGCCTGCGGCCCCCAACACCACCTCCCCCGAGCTCAACCTGTCCCACCCGCTCCTGGGCACCGCCCTGGCCAATGGGACAGGTGAGCTCTCGGAGCACCAGCAGTACGTGATCGGCCTGTTCCTCTCGTGCCTCTACACCATCTTCCTCTTCCCCATCGGCTTTGTGGGCAACATCCTGATCCTGGTGGTGAACATCAGCTTCCGCGAGAAGATGACCATCCCCGACCTGTACTTCATCAACCTGGCGGTGGCGGACCTCATCCTGGTGGCCGACTCCCTCATTGAGGTGTTCAACCTGCACGAGCGGTACTACGACATCGCCGTCCTGTGCACCTTCATGTCGCTCTTCCTGCAGGTCAACATGTACAGCAGCGTCTTCTTCCTCACCTGGATGAGCTTCGACCGCTACATCGCCCTGGCCAGGGCCATGCGCTGCAGCCTGTTCCGCACCAAGCACCACGCCCGGCTGAGCTGTGGCCTCATCTGGATGGCATCCGTGTCAGCCACGCTGGTGCCCTTCACCGCCGTGCACCTGCAGCACACCGACGAGGCCTGCTTCTGTTTCGCGGATGTCCGGGAGGTGCAGTGGCTCGAGGTCACGCTGGGCTTCATCGTGCCCTTCGCCATCATCGGCCTGTGCTACTCCCTCATTGTCCGGGTGCTGGTCAGGGCGCACCGGCACCGTGGGCTGCGGCCCCGGCGGCAGAAGGCGCTCCGCATGATCCTCGCGGTGGTGCTGGTCTTCTTCGTCTGCTGGCTGCCGGAGAACGTCTTCATCAGCGTGCACCTCCTGCAGCGGACGCAGCCTGGGGCCGCTCCCTGCAAGCAGTCTTTCCGCCATGCCCACCCCCTCACGGGCCACATTGTCAACCTCGCCGCCTTCTCCAACAGCTGCCTAAACCCCCTCATCTACAGCTTTCTCGGGGAGACCTTCAGGGACAAGCTGAGGCTGTACATTGAGCAGAAAACAAATTTGCCGGCCCTGAACCGCTTCTGTCACGCTGCCCTGAAGGCCGTCATTCCAGACAGCACCGAGCAGTCGGATGTGAGGTTCAGCAGTGCCGTGTAGACAGCCTTGGCCGCATAGGCCCAGCCAGGGTGTGACTCGGGAGCTGCACACACCTGGGTGGACACAAGGCACGGCCACGTCATGTCTCTAAACTGCGGTCAGATGTGGCTTCTGGCTCCTCGGGGCCTCGCGAGGGTCACGCTTGCCTGGTCACCCTGGGGCTGCTTAGGAAACCTCACGACTGGTCACCTTGCACTCCTCACACAGAATTGCTACAATCCCAAAGCGCTCGCCCCGCAGGGTCCAAAGGCCAGCGGTGACCAGCCTGTCACCCAGCTCCTCCCCGCCAACCCTGCCTGCCGCTGCACCTGCCTGCCGCTGCAGGAAACATTTCTGACACCGTCGACCAGGAAAGCCACACGGAGAGGCCACTGTGGGTGAAGCGCCTCAGTTACACAGGAACCCTAAAGCAAATCTGCCACCGTGGGGGAACTGACGCTGGAGATGCAAGGTGCTGGTGGGTCTGAGCTGGACGTCGCGGTGTGTCCTCTGTGCCCACGGTCTGAGCTAGCTAGCGCACCGCCGAGTTAAAGAGGAGAAGGAAAACATGCTGCTCTGGTGCACGCCTGAGCGTCCTCCATCTTCCAGGATGGCAGCAATGGCGCTGTGCGGCCTCACCAGGCCCACGAGGAGCAGCAGCGCTCGGCCCGGAGCAGCAGGAAGGCCCCTCTGTGGAGCGCCCGCCGTCTGCTCCGGGGTGGTTCAGTCACTGCTTGTTGACATCAACATGGCAATTGCACTCATGTGGACTGGGACCGTGCGAGCTGCCGTGTGGGTTAGTCGGGTGCCAGGACAATGAAATACTCCAGCACCTGTGGCTGACGAATTTGTTTCTACAGAAATAACAGCTGGGGACAACTGCGGTGATGATGTAAAAACCTTCCCATAAAATGTAAGAAAAGCTGATGAGGCTGGTGACGTTCAGCCTTTGTCAATAAACCTGTCATGTGCGGATCCTTCCGGAGGCTCTGTCTTGGGGGTCTGCCAAGTGGGGTGGGACGTGGGGTGGGCATGGGGCACTCGGGAGAATCCCTCCCCCCTCACAGAAAACACAGCCCTCCCCTGCCACCCTGAAAACTCTCACAAGGCCAGCCTCTGAGTCCGGCCAGCCGGACCTAACCTGGCATTTCCAGGCTGTCCAAAATGCCGTGGGGGCACTTCTGTGTCATGCTTGGGTGCCATGACAAGCTTCCCATGAATGTAGGAGGCAGGGCTCAGCCTTGTCCAGCAGCCTGTGCGACCTAAGCTGCCTTTCTAGAAGGCTCTCGGCCGCGTGCGAGGCCCAAGAGCTCTGCGGCACCCAAGCGCTCCTGGAGCAGCCGGCCGGGAAGGTTCCTGCTCCTTCTCCCATCACCGGGGCTGGATCCTGGCGCTGCTCCCCTCCTTTCCCGCCTCACCCACCTGGCAGCAGCTGTCCCTGATGTTAACAAGGTGCACCTGAACCAGTGCCTGCTTCTCCGTCTTCACAGAAACCTGCGCAGGGCGTCGGGATGTGTGGGTGAAGGGAACTAGCCACCTGTACTACCCCCTCACTTTTCCTGTGTTTGCGGTTCTGGTCTGTTTAAAAGCTATGATACTGTTTTTTATTTGTGATAACATAAAGTTTGATATGCAAACATATTGAAAGGAAAAGGCCAATTAAAGAAAACATCTGCAAAAGAGCAGGGGGTGAACGGGTGCGGCACAATGAAGACTGAACGCAGCCATGTTGAGTCCAGGAAACTCTCTCCTCCTGTCTGTGGGACATAACACAACCACAGTGAGTCCAGGAAACTCTCTCCTCCCGTCCATGGGACATAACATAACCACACATGAGCCCAGGAAACTCTCTCTCCTCCTGTCTGTGGGACATAACACAACCACAGTGAGCCCAGTAAAACCTCTCTCCTCCCGTCTGTGGGACATGAAGCTGTGTGTCGGTGGGTGTGGGAAGCCTGGGTCTCTCAGGCAGGTGGGGCCTGTATTCTCCATGACCCCAGCACCGTGGTGCTGGGCTCCTCAGGAACAGAGCGCTGCCCAGACCGTGGCCTGCAGGAGCGGCCTCTGTGCCCACTTCTATCAGGATTGCTTTCCTCATAAATGGCTCACCGGGAAGCCTGGGAACAGGGCGGCTCCCACACACTAACAGGTCTCGTGGAAGTGGAGATTGCTGTGGGGTGGCCAAGCCAGAAGCCAGGCTCACGTGTGGCACAGTCCTGCAGAACACCGTGCGTGGCTTGAGCCACGACTCAGGCCCGGCGCACCCCTCCCTCTGCCCTTCCAGAGCCTGCCCTGCAAGTCACCCCAGCTAAAAGGACATGGCCATCACACTGACATCCGTGCTCTGGAGCTCCTTCCAGGCCCCAGGGACGAGACTTGCCCTCCTCCCCAGGGATGTACTCGCTCAATGCCCAGGACAGCCAGGCAGCAGCCCCCCAAACCCCCACCCCCCACACCTGGGCGCTGTCTTTACAACAATACCCAGGACAGTCACGCAGCAGCCCCCAAACCCCCCTCCCCGACACCCGGGCACTCTCTTTACAAGATGCATGCTTCAATGAAGCTCCCCTTTTGACCTCAGTGTTGCTGATGGGGAAAAACCATCCAAGTCCCAGAAAGCAGGCGGGGTGGGTGCTCTACCACCAGGCACCCAACTACCTGTCAGGCATTCCCCACACACAGTCCCGTTCACATAGCTTCAACAGGGGCAAGGGCAGACGCTTTAAAATACGCAGACGAGAGACCCAGCATTTCTGACTTCCAGTTCTGACGAGCTGACGTGGGGAGACCCACACGGAACGTGGTCTGGTCCCCACCCCTCACAGCAGCCCCGTGGGGTAAGCGCTGTCCCCACCACACCAAGGAGGCACTAGAAGGGTCAGTCACTGCTCGAAGCCTTAAATGGTGGGTGACACAGCCAGGAATTCAGCCACGCTCTCCTGGCTCAAAGCCCACAAGCTCTGTAGCACTCGGCAACCCCTGGCGTCTAACTGGCAAAAGCACGCCATGCAGAAATCATACAGGGCTGGGGGCCATGGGCATCGAGGGGTCACCCAAGGTCACCAGCCCAACCTCCTCTAAAGCCTGCTGTGCGGGAAGTGCAGGGACGGCAGCAGCGGCAGCGGGGAGGGCTCCCTTAAGGTGATCTGGGTGGGAACTGCGTCTGAACAGAGCCCCAGGCATCAATCAGGGACGGGACTCAACTCATTCCTCCACGTCAACCCACCACAGGGAACAGTGCTGACTGTGGCGTCCTTCCCTCCCTGCCACAGACGCGGCTTCCATCCTGCCCGCACCAGACACCGCTGTTGAGTGCGTGGAAGCGTCACGCCGCCCCACTACGCCGCTCCTCTCCGCCAGGTCTCTTCTGGGGACTTGCCCAAGGCTCTGGGCAGACAGAGCTGACACGCCGCCATCTAGCCGCCGGAAGCAGACTCTTGACCTGTGAAGCTGGCGGCGGCACTGCTCTGAGGCCAGTCACACGAGCGACAGGCACCCAGCAGCCAAGCCACCGGGCTGCGGTAAGGGCAGGTGCAACACTGAGGTCCCCACGCAGTAGAGCCAGCCTTGGACCCTGGGCCCTGGAGTCCCTGACCCTGAGATCCCAGAGCTGGGAGCTGTAGGACAGAGACCAGCAGGCCGGGCAGGGACTCCGTGGGTGCCGCCGGCGCAGCCACACACGCCCTTCTCAAGCGCTTGCCTGGGAGCCAGGGCAAATGTAATTGTTTTTGGCAGGCCCACGGTGAGATAAAATCAAGGCGTCTTAACTGCTCTGCTGTCTCCTGGTAACCCAACTCTCCTACATGAGTGCTTTTTAAACCCAGAAAGAGCTCAAAAGTACATAGCTGCAAGCATGGGAAAAACCCCCGTGTTAGCACTGAACGTGACCTCCTCGTTCTTTGTGCTTAACAATTAACTCTTGACCTCACGAGAGTGACACGGCTTACCCGCCCTTCCCAGGCCCCGCACCTCCCACTCAGTGAGAAGCGGCAGCGGTGGGCTCACTAATGCTCACGCGCCCACTCACCTGCAGTCTTGGGGGGCAGGGTGGGGGAGAGAACTACAAAGAAACCTTCTTAGGAGGGTGTTTCTGTGGCGGGGTGGGAAGCCATTCCAAAGCCGTCCTAGACACCCCGTGAACTGGGCACATGAGGCAATGTGAGGAGGCTCCTGAAGCCGGGGCTCTCCCAGCAGAGGCGGGAGACAGGGCAGGCGAGGGGAGCCCATGGGAACGGGTCAGGGCTGAGGACAAGGCTTAACCCAGACATTGAAAGTAAGAAGCAGCACACAGACTACGCGAGTACGTTTGAACACTCACAGACACACGCTCACATGTTCCAAGCTCTATCTCTGCAGCCCACCTGCACAGGGCCTGGCCCCGAACACTGCCACCCTCCAGAAGGGCCCAGGACTCCGGGAGAAATGGCTGATTTGGGCCGGGGCAGGGAGAGACAAGATGAGCCTGGGACAGGTGATTCTGGTTGAGACAAGAAAGGCTCCAAGAGCACGTCGGGTGACACCCAAAGGACACGGTGTCCTCGCCAAAGCTGGGACAACGTGAGCAGTAAGATGAGTAAGAAGAGACAATCGTGATAGACCATGAAAAGCAGGAGTCTGCAAGTCTACTCCAACAACAAACAGACCTAATATAATTTAAATAAAATGAAAGAATGCATGAATGGGAAGAGTCTCGTTTCTAATAAAGTGCTGGCTGGTAAAGTAGTTGGAAAAGCATCACTCTGCACCTTTCAGAGGGAGACGGGGGCAGGTAAGAGTCACAAATGGAGGGCGAATCTCAGGGGGCAGTGAGGTGCAGGGGACTGCAGAGCCTACCTGTCCCCCACGGATGGCTCATTAGTGCTCGGGGAAAGGTCACCACACAGTGGAGACGGGACAGCCCCTCGCTGGGTGATCACATGGGCAGCACCAACAAGGAGGCCGGTCCAGATGCTACACCCTGAGAAGGGTGCGTCTCGTGCTGTCATCTAGGAACGCACAGCCTGAGTCTCATCAGGAGGGAATGTGAGATAAACAGGAAGGGAGGACGGGGAACCAGGATGCATCAAAAATGTCCATGTGACAAAAGACAAAGGCAGAGCAATCATCCCAAACTCAGAAGGAGGAAAGAGATGTAACAATTCGACACAACAGGGATCCTAGATGGGTGCTCTACCAGAAGGAAAAGAGCGTCGTGAAGGATTTTATGGGGTCAGTCGACAAGAATGGAATACCCCGGGAGATAAAAGTGCTGCCTCAAAGTCCATTTCCCGAGATGGGCAACAATGCCTCTTAGGAAGCCCACACTGGAGTGTGCAGAGGGAAAAGACGGGACTGTGCGAGTCACCCCCAAGAGGCTCCGTGGCGGCAGGATGCACACAGCAAGTGGGGTGGGTGCACAGCAAATGCACAGGACAAACGTTATCCACTCCACGCCCATGGATCAACCTCAAAGAACCGGAAACATGCATCCAAGCAAGCATTTGTTCGTGAATGTCCACAGCAGCACTGTCCACAAGAATCAACACGTGGAAACAACCCAGATGTCCATAAGCCAATAGACGGAGAAACGAAATCAATCTATCCAACAGTGGAATATTACTCTGCCATGAAAAGGAACAAAGCGTGGACCACACCACAGCATGGTGGACCTGGAAATGCCACAGTCAGGAAGATAAAGTCACAGTCAGGGAGATAAAGCAGACACGAGTGGAGACGCCACGCTCGGTGAGATAAAGCAGACACGAGTGGAGCTGCCACGCTCAGTGAGATAAAGCAGACACGAGTGGAGCTGCCACGCTCAGTGAGATAAAGCAGACACGAGTGGAGCTGCCACGCTCGGTGAGATAAAGCAGACACGAGTGGAGCTGCCACGCTTGGTGAGATAAAGCAGACACGAGCACAATGTCCACTGCGTGCGTCCGCCAATGTGAAACGTGCAGGGCAGACAGGTCCACAGGACAGAAGGCTGGGAAGCGGCTGCCGGGGCTGGGGTGAGCGGGGGACGGGGAGCCACTGCTGACAGGCAATGGAGTTTCCCTGGGGGTGAAGAAAACGTTCTAAAATTAGATTGTGGCGATGGCTGCACAAGTCTGTGACTAAAAATCACCGAGGTACACACTTCAGAAGAGTGGATTTCTGCTATGTAAATTACATCTCAGTAAAGCTGCCATTGAGACCACAGTACCCATTCAAGCGCCGGGCTGTGTTCCTGCAGCTGGCCTTCCTTTTCAGAGCCTCACTGTCACGTTCTTGCAGCGGCCTCCCCTTCCGGAGCCTCGCTGTCGCGTTCCTGCAGCCGGCCTCCCCTTCCGGAGCCTCGCTGTCGCGTTCCTGCAGCCGGCCTCCCCTTCCGGAGCCTCGCTGTCGCGTTCCTGCAGCCGGCCTCCCCTTCCGGAGCCTCGCTGTCGCGTTCCTGCAGCGGCCTCCCCTTCCGGAGCCTCGCTGGTCTCTGCAGACCAATTCTGTCCCTCTGAAGCACAGGCCACCATCGGACAGTGCTGGCTAACAGCCGCCCTGTGCTGGTGGGCCACGGGGACGCCAGCCCAACACTCCACACACACTTCGTTAGCAGCCACAAAACATTTCCTAAGAGCGGAAGGGTTTCCGCCATCTGGAATCCTAGACGCCATCCAGCATTTATTGTAAAGCTTCTAATTAAAGCTTTCTCTTCTCGCTCACCGCCTGGTAAGTCGAGCTTTACTTTTCTTCTCCACGGTGGGAAACTCATTACCTGGAGTGTCTTTGGATGTACTTTTAAATTAAAAATGGAGGAAAAGAGCGTTAGTCAAAATTAGAGCTGAACTGACTGAGTCTCTCTGGACTCCCTCAGAAAGTGGAGATGCCAGCTCCGCCTCCTGCAGAGCTTGGTTGCCAGGGCTGGGTCAGGCTGCCTGGGCGTTGCCGTCTGACCTGTGCACAGATGTGGCCAGGTGAGGACACAAGCTGTTGTCTCGTTTGCTGTGTGCTGTTCGCAGACACGTCTCACTAGGCGGTTTGCTCAGAACTCCAGAGGACAAGGGTACGTCATTCAGGCCACGGTGCAGCAGACGCACCTGACGGCGGGGACTCAACCACGGCAAACCCTGAGTAATACCGTGCGGCAGATGCACCTGAGGGTGGGTTCGGAGTTCCAATCTGAGCTATGGAACCTGGGTATGGACAACTGGATAATCCACTTCTCATTTAAGAGGAACATCTGAGCCCCCGTCCCCGTTCTGTGCACCGCAAGCCAAATGGGAGGGAGAGCCTGTGTTCTGGGTTACATGAAGGTTGCCAGGTGGAGGGTGCTGAGTGGAAATGCTATACATGCCACTTGCCTTTTTCAAGCAGGTGCGTTCTCCTGTCCAGCCGGCCACCACTGCACCCTGCCCCGTATGAGCCCTCAGTGGAGCCCCATGTCTCGTTTGCTGGCACTAGGCCTCTTCTCAGGCCTCCTGAAGCTGCTGCCAGCCCACAGGAGCCGACAGAGGCTGGGTGCCGTGTTCAGGCCACTCTCGCTCTTCAGGTCCGGCTGGTGAGCAATTCTCTGGGAGAGAGTGGACACCAGAGGCAGGCAAAGCCACACCTGTGGGTGCAGGCCACACGCAGGCTGCACAGACCCGGGACAGGTCTGAGCTCTGAGGCGTGCGGCCCATCTCCGCGGCAGGAGCTTCTGTCTGAGCCTGGGGAGGAAAAGCCTCCACCTCACCAAGCGGCGTCAGCTGGGGAGCCTGGGCCGTGCGCCCTCAAGAAGCCATGGCTGGAGGCCTTTGCTCCAGACATGACCAGCCCCTGCCTTCCTGGCTCTCTGGCAGGTGGTGAGTCAGCTGACCCAGCTCTAGCGGAAACAAAGTGGGGGCTGGGGGAGGGGCCGTCTGTGAAATGTCCCCAGCCGGAGCCCCTCACTGTCCCCTCTGCCTCCCTGCCTCCCGGCCTCCACAGGGGCTTCTTGTGGTTAAAAAAAAAAACAAAACAAAACCCTTTCTGAGCACTTTACCCATCTCGCCCACAGGCAGAGACGACACCCCGAAAGGACAGCTGCGTCTACATCCATCAGCAAGTCTCCCGGGAACGGCTGAGGGGCAGAGATGGGAGAGGCCACAGACGCAGGCACAGAGCCCCGTGCACCCCTGCTCCTGGCCTAGGCGGGGTCTGCAAAGGCCCTTCCACCGCAGGCACAGCCCGTCAGGGAGGCTCACGCTCCACTCAGAAGGACACAGCCCGTTTCAGGGAACACAGGCCCAGGCGGCCCTGCCACAGGCTCCCAGTGTCATGGTGGCCCCTGAGGTGACACGTGCGCCACGAGGGCAGGCGTGTACGTGCGCACACTCCCGCAGACTCTGCTCTCGCACACACCCAGGCTGCGTTGCTGGGAAACGTCAGCTGCTGCGGTTGGTCTGTCTGATTTCTGCCATTGTCTGGTGGGTGGAGGATGGAGCCTGGGAACAAGGGTTAAAAAGCCAAAGGCACGCAGAACAAACGCCCTGGACGCTGGTGTGCTGCTGAGCCCAGGTACTGGGGTGGACTCCACCTGAAACCTACTGCCAGAAGTCAGCTGCTGGGAGTCCCCAGAGGGGCCCAGCTACTCTCAGAGCAGGCGCGTGCGGCGTCGGACCAGGGGCTGGCTCTGTAGAATGTGAGCATCTGCCAACTGAGCCTCTGAACATGACACAGTGAGCGGCTCCTTACACAGAGCCCCTTCCTTCCTGCTCCCGCCCCTTCCCCGGCTATTCCTGAACAACTTCTAGAGCTCTGCACCTTCAGCCTCCTGTCTGATTCTCGCCGGGATCAGCCTCCGCGCAGCCGCCCAGGTTCCTTGCAGGGTGGACCGTCCCGTGTCCCAGCACCGGGCCCTGCCCACGGCGTGCCTCCTGAGAGGGCCCACTCAGCACGGCCACGGCAGCCTGAACTCCCAGCCTTGGTATCCACGCAGCCCGCAGCTCTCTGCAATGAGGGGCCGGCCGCAGGCCCAGGGAGATGTCAGCTGCCCCAGGCAATCACAAGCAAGGAGGTGCGCGTCGCGGACACAGCACGAAGCCCTGCTCGGCCTCCAGAAAACGAGGCTCGCTCCTGAGTCTTGGCTCGCTGGGCCACCGTCACCCTGCTCTCTGGTTCAAGAGGCAGCGGCCAGGCCAGCCGAGCCAGGAACAAGCTGCAGTGCCTTGGCAGCGTGTGAAATGCAGAAGGTCTTGCCCATAGAAGTCATCACAGCAGAGCGCTCTCCCCACAGGGGCTGGGCAGCATGTCCGCTGACCACAGACCTGGCTTTGGGGCACGTGCACCACCCACGTTAACCATCCAGAGCTACAGGCAACAGCCCAGTGCCAAGTGCAGCCAGCCAGAAAAGAAAAACACACAAAAAAACGGCAAAACACAAACTCCGTCCAAAGTCCACCCACGAGCAAAGCCAACCGCATTATTCAGAGCTGCGTGCCCAGCACACGGCTCTAGAGAGAAGCGAGGAGCTGGGCCCAGCGGCAGTGGCAGTTCCCTTCTCCACCGCGCAGTCCCACTAAAGCTGCGGGCAGCTCTTGATTTGTGTATCTTACAAGAAGAAGAGGAGGGGGAGAAGAAGGGAAAAGTCGGCGTCTGCAGCCACACTCAAGTTCTTCCGCTCATCCACGACTGTGAAGCTCACAGCTCCGGCCACGCTGGCGTTCAACACCAGGTCACTGTCACTTCCACAGGGGACGGTCTTGCTTCTTTGGTAAAACCAAAGGAGTGTTTCAAACCATGCCCACCTTCCATTCACCTGTTTTTAAAATTTTTTTTTTTTTCAGAGCAGGAGCGGACGTTTATTAAAAAGCTTTAAGAGAGAAAGGAAGGTGCACTCGGAAGAGAACCCAGCGGGCGACCTGGAGAACAGGTGACCCACTGAACTGTGATCCTGCGCCCCTTTCCGTGAGGGTGGGCCGCCCGCAGGCACGGTGCCCGCCTCACCCTTGGGAAGTGAGCACGTGTGCTGGGATTGGGAAGTTGCACACGGGCAAGAAAGCAAGCACGGCGTCAGCAACATCAGACACAGAATCAGGGGCTTCAGTAAGAAAAAGGACAGCAGCTCTTCCTTGCAGGAAAATAGAGTCTGGAGGAAAAATGCCCCGTCCCCTGCAGCAGCTTGAACAGAAACACTGTACAGGGAGGTGGGCACACCAGGGAGCGGGAAGAGAGAGACACTCTGTTGCCGTCTAGACCCCGACCCCTTACCCGTGACACGGAGCCCACCACATGTCTGAGAGCAGACCTCTGCAGCGTGCGGGCCGGGGTCTGGATGGGGTCTCCCGGGCCCTCCTCCCTGGCAGCCCCGTCCGGGAGGCGCGGGTGCAGCCAGTTCACACATAAACGGTGTGGAACATCGCAGGCCACAGGGAAAGGCGTTTACGTGGCTATCCAAACTAAACCTCCTCCCACGCCCGACCCTGTGGTAAAAGACAAGTGTGCATGCTGGGCAAGGACGAAAGCTTCATCCCCTGGGCTGAGATTGTCGGGTGAAAGCGTCAAAGTGGAAGTGGCTACTGGAGAAAAACCCTCGCGCAGGGAGGCACAGTCATTCGGCTTCTTTAAGGAAAACCCCAGCTATCAGGCGCTATGCACACAACAGTCGTTAGAATGACCTTACACCCCACAAAACACACAGTCCTCTTGGAGGTGTATCTGCAGCTGAGGAGGCTGTCACCACACGAATTAGCCCTTATTTGTATTTCCATTTCCCAAGTTCAACTGTATCAGGAGACATTGGCTGATGAAACTGTTGACAAAGCCAGACTTCCTGCTACAAAGCCTGACTTCAGAAATTCAGACCACGCTTTCATTATGATCAAATTTAAACCCAACTTCAGAAATTCAGACCACGCTTTCATTATGATCGAGTTTAAACAAAACCAACAGCGACGTCCCCACCCTGCACAGGAGAGGGCTGTGCTCCGTCTCCCGTGTACTCTCATGGCATCTCCCCAGCCCCTGAGACGGGTCTGCGGTTGTCCCCACTTCACGGTGAGACACAAGTGTGCAGAGGGTGCCCAACCCGGAACTAGCTTGGGGGTGGGCTCCCAAGGACCAGGCAGCGTGGAGAGCACCCGGTGGGGCAGGGGAGAGCTGGAAGGATGGAAGGAACCCTGGCCTGAACGGCCCACAGCAGCGCTGGCCCCTGCCCAGGGAGTAAGTTCCCACCAAACTCCAAGCTCTGTGCTTTGGGATCTCGGTGCCACCTAAGCACCAGCCCCGTGCTAGCACCCACCAGGCTCTGCCATGGCACCCACAGGTTTCGCCCCATCTGGTTACCATCTCACACTGCCAGGCGGGACCAAAGTACCTGGGTTGAGGTGGCAGCTATGCTGAGTCCTGAACCGTGGGCAGGGCTCTGTCAGGCCACAAAGGCTCTGGAGAAGGCCAACCTCCACTGTCAGCACCGAGGCAAGGGCCTCAACACTGGATTTATTTACCAGCCTTTAAAAGCATCATCCGCCATGCATGCAGTGGCCCGGGAGGCTGAGGCGGGAGGGTTGCTGGGCCCAGGACTTCGAGGCTGCAGTGAGCTATGATCATGCCTGTGAATAGTGACTGCACTCCAGCCTGGGAAACAGCGAGACCCATCTCTAATGCATTCACGTCATCTATGAGCAGCAAATGAAAGCTCAGACACCTGAGAGGCCGGTGGCTCCAAGGTGCTGCACACCCTGACGCCCGCATGTCAGTACTGCAGCTCCGGGCAAATCACAGCAGAGCTTTCCTCCAGGTCAGCGCAACTGTGTTCCCGAGGGGCCCATGCAGCTTACGTGGAAAGGCCACCCCGTGCCACTCAGAATTACCAGGAGCGCAGCAAGTTTAAACTAGACACTGTTTATGCGCCTGACAGCAGGAGACGTGAGCCGGGTGCCTGGGAAAACCATCTTCAAAGCAACAACTGTTTTCCCAGCTGTGAATGCTCCATCCTGGGAAATCTGCTCATACCACTACAAAAATAATTTTGAAAAGACCGTACAAATATGCAGCCTCATCTGTCCATTCTGGTACTTTAGACCCAAAACTGAAGAACTTTCTGGAGCACACTATCCGCTTAGCCAGTGACTAATATTCTTTACAAACATGAGTGAATGTTATAATGAAATAAGCTTCCTTGAATAAATGTGATGTTAGTTCACTTAACTGAGAACAGTAAGTTCAGAGGCTTCCTTTGAACAGTCAGGAAGTGGAGATAATCGCAGTAGAAGAGAGGGACAGACAGGAAGACTACTCTTCTGCACTCTCTATTTTCTTACTATGTATCGCAATTTTATAAAAGAAAAATAGTTGTCATGAAGGAAGAGGTGTTACAATCCTGGGTAAAAGGGCCAGGGCAGGAGCATGGACAAGCCACAGGCTCTGGGCACCTCTGGAATAAAATCTCACTTCAGCTTAAAATACCAAACGTATACTGTGACCAGCAATTTCAATATGGTGACCAACTGACATGCCCTTCGAACGCCAAGAAGACAACAGCCCCAGAAACAGCTTCAGTCAGGAGACCCAGGGTGCTGGCCCGGTTCTGCCGCCGGCCGGCTGTGGAACAGGCTTCTGGAGCCCGAGGGTGACGCCCCAGCCTCTAAGAGCAGGTGCTTGAGAACAACAGGGGCTGCCTCATGGGGTGGCCTGTGGTTCAGTCTCAAAAGCAGCAAAGGAATCAATGAACTGTGAGACGCTGATCGTTACTCACTCCACAGATTACTGTGGTGACACTATGTGCAAAACCAGGAGGCCAGCCATGCTTTTAAAAATACTTAGAAAAAAAAATTACAAGCATGTGAAAATGTACCAAATATTTCTCTTTATTTTATTCATATTTTAAGACGAAGTCTCACTCTGTCGCCCAGGCTGGAAGGCAGCGGTGTGATCTCGGCTCACTGCAACCTCCGCCTCACGGGTTCAGGCAATTCTCCTGCCTCAGCCTCCTGAGTAGCTGAGATTACAGGCACACGCCACGCTTGGCTAACATTTCTCTTTCTAAATGTTTTCATGTTTTCTGTATTTTTCATAATGGGTGTGTTTTACTTTTAAAAAGAGGAGGAAAAGGCTTTGTTTTTAAAATTAAATTAAGAATGATATTAAAAGACCATGTATAAATCAAATCTATGCTGAGAGTTCGGCCGTGTCAGAAAGACGCGTCCATATCACAGGAACAGAGAGGAGCACACGGAGGGGAGAGGAGAGAGGTGAAGGGGCAGAGGGAGTTGCTTTCCTTGCTCAACTTTTCCTTGTATGATTTCGATGCTGTTTATTTAGGAAACGAACGGGAAATGCAGAGTGTTTCCAAGGCATGCATCATGCAGATGCTGCAGAAGTAGCTTCTACCCGCTGCTCACCGCTCCCATCCTCGAGTCCCGCACACTGCCCGGCCGAGCACTCAGCTGTCGGGCTCTGCCAGCCACGCGGACTCTCCACATGCGGATGCCACCACCAACTTGCCCAACAGAGACAGCCACCTGGTCCCTGCACAGACTCAAGGGTGTGTGTGTCTGGGCATCAGAGGGCCATCCAGACCCAGCCAGAGCGAAACCCCAGAGACACGTCCTTCCAGCGCTTCTGAGGGCCCCTGTGTTCTGGGTGCCGTGTGGGGGAGAGGACAGAGCCAAGAGAGGCCAGGACAGCGTGGCAGGGAGAGGATGCAGGAGGGGATCAACGTGGAGAGGGGCAGGCAGGGGCCAGACTCAGGCTGGAGGGGCCGAGAGCTTCCACAGAGTCTGCTGGCAGCATAGACGGATTGACACGTCAGGAGGAGCCCGGCCCACATGAGCAAAAAGGCAGGCAGGCGGGAGAACAGGTGCAGCCTGGTGAGGGTGACGGGCCTGGGGCAGGCAGAAGGGCCCCACTCAGGGTGTATTTCAAAGGTAGACAAGACAGGGCTTACTGGCTGTGGGGTGCGGCCAGAAAAGAAACCAGAGAAGATGCCGGTGCTGCCGGAGGGAATCCCTGGCTGTGCTCCCAGCTCCCAAAAGACCAACTGACCTCAAGTCTGAATCTGCCGCCCCCTTCCCTCCGTGCTGTTTCTGCAGTGGCGAAGGGCAGCTGGGCCAGGTGAACACACAAAGAGGAAGCCAAACCGTGGTGCAGAGCCAGGCCGGACAGAGGGATGTGGCTCCCTGCCCACCGTGACCACGGCCAGGAGCCCCCAACAGCAGGTCCTGCTGGGACTGCACCAGGCCACGGGGAAGCGCAGCCCTGCCAGCACCAGCCTCCTTGCCTGCCCGCCCAGCATCAGCTCTGCCTGGAAGGAACGCAGACTCGACTCCGGGAAGGAAGGAAGCTCAAATGCTCTGTACTGCAGGACCATGAAGAGAAGCGGGGAAGGGAAAGAGCCACAGAGGAAGCCATGTGTCCATGTGCACTGTGAGCAAGGCCAACACCCACCCGGAAAAACTGCCGCTTAGCCCTGTCTGCAACCCACTATCCCCAAGCTCAGTGGGCACTCCACAGCCCGCCTAGGAATGGGAGAGAGCCCATGATGCGCTCACAGACACCCAGCTATGCACGGGTCAACAAATACGGTCCCATCTGCAAAAAAGAGAGAAAACTGCCATTTACCAAGAACCCACTACACAGAAGCCAGTGACTGTGGAACCACCAACAGACATGACTCTGCCTCCTGCTTCTTAACCCAGGGAAGCTGGTAGCTTCTTCCCACTCTACAGAGAATAAGACCATGAGATGAAGGTTCTGTCTCCCAATCACAGAATTCGCCGTGGCTTCCAACACCATGCTGCCCACAAGCTGCAAAGCACATGCCAAAAGCTCAGTCAACAAGACAGAACTACTGGACAGGGCTCTGAACTCTTTTTGACAATCTTATGAACACTAGGGGTTCTCTCCCCACAACTGTACCACCGTGACGTACAGTCTGCAAGTTCTTCCCTGAATCCCACCAGTGGCCTGCAGGGAAGACCTTCCTGCACTGGAGCCCCACGCCCCGGGAGGAAGCAGAGGAGGGCTGTGTCCCACACTGGAGTCCTGCACCCCTGGAGGAAGCAGAGGAGGGCTGTGTCCCACACTGGAGACCCGCACCCCGGGAGGAAGCAGAGGAGGGCTGTGTCCCACACTGGAGACCCGCACCCCGGGAGGAAGCAGAGGAGGGCTGTGTCCCACACTGGAGACCCGCACCCCGGGAGGAAGCAGAGGGGGGCTGTGTCCCGCACTGGAGACCCGCACCCCGGGAGGAAGCAGAGGGGGGCTGTGTCCCGCACTGGAGTCCCGCACCCCGGGGGGAAGCAGAGGGGGGCTGTGTCCCGCACTGGAGTCCCGCACCCCGGGGGGAAGCAGAGGGGGGCTGTGTCCCGCACTGGAGTCCCGCACCCCGGGGGGAAGCAGAGGGGGGCTGTGTCCCGCACTGGAGTCCCGCACCCCGGGGGGAAGCAGAGGGGGGCTGTGTCCCGCACTGGAGTCCCGCACCCCGGGGGGGAAGCAGAGGAGGGCTGTGTCCCGCACTGGAGTCCCGCACCCCGGGGGGAAGCAGGGGAGGGCTGTGTCCCACACTGGAGTCCCGCGCCCCGGGAGGAAGCAGAGGGGGGCTGTGTCCCGCACCCCGGGGGGAAGCAGAGGGGGGCTGTGTCCCGCGCTCTGCGGGGAAGCAGAGGGGGGCTGCTCTCCTTGGCGGGCCCTGTGGGCAGCTTTGCACCTATCTGCTGCGGACTCCACGAATCTCACGGCCCAAACGCACGGGTGTGCTGACTTGTCAACTGGGGGTTCCCATGAGGCGGGGGCAGTGCAAATCTGCCTGGGGTTCTGATTCTGTGCGGATGGCTTTCTATCCACCCCAGCTTCCCTGCCATGTGTCTCCGCCAGCTAAAAGGATTTTGTACCTCCCATTTTAAGGACAAGTGGCTCTCGGCTAGGAGGGCAGTTGAGTTCCACTCTCTGCCGCCTGAGTGTCTGAGATCACCCGGGTTGCCGTGTCACTGCTGACACACACGCCCCTACCGTGTGCACCCGCTTTGATGCCGATGGGGGCCATCCAGTGTGCACCCCCCTCACTGGAGCGGCTGCTGGGTCTCTTCTTTACCACCTGCTTTTGAATTAACTATGCTAGAAAATTCGGCTGTGATATTTCTCCCAGGCATTTTTTTTTTTTTTTTTTTGAGACGGAGTCTCGCTCTGTCGCCCAGGCTGGAGTGCAGTGCTGCAAACTCGGCTCACTGCAACTCTGCTTCCCAGGTTCAAGCGATTCTCCTGCCTCAGCCTCCCAAGTAGCTGGGATCACAGGCGCCCCACCATCACACCCAGCTCATTTTTCTATTTTTTGTAGAGACAGGGTTTCAACATGTTGGCCAGACTGGTCTCAAATTCCTGACCTCAGGTGATCCACCCGCCACAGCCTCCCAAAGTGCTCGGAGCCACCACGCCCAGCCTCTTCCAGTATTTTTATGTGTGTGAGGCAGAAGGGACGATTTCCCATGTTGACCAATCCACCATATTGACAGAAGTTCCATATATCTGCATTACCTAAACTTTCATGACAAGCATGTATTTGTTTTAAACAATTTTAAAATACCTTAATCCAATAAAAGAATTAAGACCCTTCAAGTGGTCCTAATCCCAACAGGCTGAAAACCACCGGCCTGAAGATCACCTTGGGAATCCAGCCGACACGCGTGGCCCCTGAGGCCCCCCATTCCTGCGTGGTTCCTAAAAGCATATAAAAAACTCTTTCACTGCTCATTTTCGTAAAGGCTACAGTGTAACACTCCATTTCACTTGCAGCTCAGCACGCAGTCGCTCCACACCCTGGGGTGCGGTGAGTTTAGTCTGCAGGTGCGAACACGGAACAGGTGGACATGCCCTCCCCACTCACCTCTGCGTGGGCGACGGAGCCTTTCCCGCCCGCCGGGCCCTCCCCACTCACCCCTCCATGGCCAGCAGGGCCCTTCCCCTCCCCCGCCGGGCCCTCCCCACTCACCCCTCCGTGGGCGGCGGAGCCCTTCCCGCCCGCCGGGCCCTGGGGCAGCACAGCTTCCCGATTCCCACGTGCCTCTGCGTCTCGGCGCCACGGGTGACTTTCGGTCCAGATGCCAGCAAAGACATCTCTCTGTCTACCAGGCAACCACCTCCATCCTCACCTCCTCACGGGCAGACTCTAACTACCTCCGCTCTCTCCACAAATGCCAGTGCGAGCGCAGCCTCGCCGGGCCGTGGGCTGCGTCCAGGGCTACAGTAATGAGCCGGAGGGCAGCGTGGGGAGGACACCAATGCCGGCACCTTCTCCCGGGCCCTCCACGCCCAGACACGGAGGCTACGCAAATCTGCCCCAAGCGCAGAGGCGAGCGGGTGCCCACAGGAGACAGAGGACCTCGCGCCGGCCGAGGCAGGGCTCAGTCCGTGGAAGAGCTCTGGCGGCACCAGCGCATGTGGTAGCAAAATCCCCACGCAGCCGCTCCTAGCTTCCCGCCAGAATACCTCGAGATGCCAGGAAGGAAAGCGCACACACCACCACAAAAGCTAAGCTAAACAATCCGCTGTGAAAATCAGGGAGGCACGTCCTCCGACGACAAGGATGCCGAGCAGGGCTTCCATCTTCATGGTGCGGCTCCGAGAGGAAAAGCCAGCCACCAAAGACCCCTCACCCCTCTCCCCGCGCCGGCACCTCCCGGGCCAAGGTCTCCAAATCTAACGGAGGCTGGGAAGGGCCCCTCAGTGCGAAGGCACGGCCGCCTGGGCAGCCTGAGCGCTCTTCCCGCGCCTCCCGCCACGTCTTCCCATGGCTCCCGTGGGGCAGAGCGGGAGCGGGTGTCGGGGGTTTGGGGAGATCCACCATGGGGCCGCATCCCGAGGGAGCAGACCGGGACACGGGCCTCGCGGGGCCTGTGCGGCCACAGCGCTGTGGGGCGTGGGAGGCCGCTGTCTGTGTAGGGCAAAAGCCATAAACACAAACAGCCCAACTGGAAAAATATTTGAAACATGAAGGATAGATAAAGGCTCTTAGTTTAAGAAGTGTGTTTGCAAATCAGTACAGAAAAGATAAATTACAATAGAAGTGGTTAAAAAAAAAAAAGCAAAAACCACACACAGGCAATTCACAAAAAAAAACCAAATGACCAATATGTACATGGAAAATGACCATCAACCGTAATCTTAGAAGCTGAAATTAAAGCAATCACGCCAGGTGTGGTGGCACACGCCTGTAGTCCCAGCTACTCCAGAGGCCGAGGCAGAGAACTGCTTGAACCCAGGAGGTGGCGGTTGCAGTGAGCCGGGATCGCACCAGGGCACTCCAGCCTGGGCGACAGAGCGAGACTCCGTCTCAAAAGAAAAAAGCAAAAAAAACAACAAAAAACATTTAATGTCTGGCTTGGTGCTTTGCAGTCTGCCTGTCTAATCTGTGGTAAACTTTTGAGGAGGCGGCACCAGATATAACATGTCTCTGTTATTTTTAGAATTAACTGATTAAAATGTTTTGCTATTTAAAATAAATAAATAAAATAAAGCAATCACCAGCTATCACTGCTTCCTGTCACACTGGATCACAACACCCAGGGAGGACACAGGGTAGCAGGTGTTCTGCTGCGGCCCAGGCCTCATATAACCATCTTGATGGCAAAGGTTTTCTCAAAGTGCAACTTTAAGGGAAAGACATAAAATGAAACCAACTACTATTCTCATCCATGGCATAACACAAAGGTGTTGAACAAAACAGTCTTTATTCAAGGGCCTGCTGTTTGTCGTTTTGCTTAAAGTCACAGTTTCTGGCCAGGTGAGGTGGCTCATCCCTGAAATCCCAGCACTCTGGGAGGCCAAGGCGAGAGGATCGCTTGAGCCTGGGATTTCAAGACCAGCCTAGGCAACGTAGGGAGACTCTGTCCCTACAAAAAATACAAAATTTAGCTGGGCATGGTGATACATAAACCTGTGGTCCCAGCTACTTGGGAGGCTGAGGTGGGAGGATCACTTGAGCCAGGGAGGTTGAGGCTACAGTGAGCCAGGATCACGCCATTGCACTTCAGCCTGGGTGACAGAGGGAGACCCTCTCAAAAAAAAAAAAGTTGCAGTTTCCAAGGGCCTCGGGGCGGGTGACACTGAGTGAGGACTCGCTGTGGATGGAAAAGCAAACATGCCCACTGCAGAAATCCTCAGCACACGCGGCTGCTACAGACGTTAACCACGGCGTCATTTCACGGTGGCAGAATCAGTCTTTCTGGTTTCTTCCATAAATTTCTCTGTATTTTCTAATTTCTTTTACATTAATCATGTATAACTCAGGAAAAATAATACACATTACTTTTTTAAAATTACATTTTGCTGAGTTCGTTTCTGTTGACCACAAAGAAGCAGCGCTGGCAAACATCTGGGCTGATCACAGCAGCAATGACAGCATTAGATGGAAATTCCACTGACATGGAAACAGTGGGCTTTCTGGAATATGGGGAAGTGGATCCTGTTTTCTTTGGCCCAGAATGAGGATGGTCAGATCTCCATGGCAGTGAGGAAGGCCGGCGAGCCTCCAGTTTCTCAGCAGTTCTTTGGATCTGACCAGCAGGCTGAGAAAGCCCAGCTTAGAGATGAGAGAGGCCGGCCGGGAGCCCAGTGCCAGCTAACAGCTCACCTGCCCTGCGGCCCGGCCTCCACCTGCTCACTCTGAGAGACGCCTGGCAAGGTGGCTGGGACGGCTACCCCCAAAAGGCTCCTGGAGAAAGAGACCACAGGAGTGCCCCACACAGACAGGGTGAACGAGCCTCCTCGGACAGGAACACCGTGGATGGCCCCACATGAAGCCAGGAAAGTCCCACGGAACCTGGCAGCTTCCAGCAACGATTGGGCCAATAGCACATATCACGAGCCTTGGAAAAGCAAACGAGCTTTAATTCTGCTTCTCCTAATTCCTAGGACATTAATCGGCTGTCCTCTTCGAAACGGGAGTGCTGTGATCCAAATGGCTAAAAAAAAAAAAAAAAAAGAAAAAGCGATCACACCATGTGCCAGTGAGGGTGCGGGGTCCGGCCTCAGCTGTGCTTGCAGTGCGAACGCAAAACGGCACGGCCACTCTGGAGAAGCGCAGCGGCTTCGTAAACATCTAAACATGCATGCACCATGCAACCCGGCAGCCACGTCCTGGGCACTTACCCCAGAGCGATGGAAACGTATGCTCAGGCATATTTACAGAGCTTTACTCACAAAAGCCAAAGCCCAGAGATCCAAATGTTCTTTGCACCGTGGATGAATAAGGGTCTATAAAGCAGCAGCACCAGGAGCCGTGCAGTGCAGGATCCTCCTGTATCTTGACCGCCACAGTGGTGGTTACAGGAAGCTATGCACCTGGAAAAACTGCAGGGCGCACACACACGCACACACCCGCACGTACAACCGTGGACTCTGGACGAGCTCTGTGCGAGGCATCCACGTCGATGTCCTGGGGAAGCCAGGCCACACAGGCCCCTCATGCTTTTTTTTTTTTTAATTTACTAAGAATCTACCGTTATTTTAAACATAAACTTGCTTTAAGAGAAAGTGCGAGTGAGCGCCCTGATGGCACTGGCTTGCTGAGTACTGTGTTTTCACACTGTCCCCCAGCAACCAATGCCCTGAAAGCCAGGAGTGCCCGCTCCCAGAAGGCGCCGCCCGGGCAGCAGCAGCTGCTCCTGTTCTCTGCAGGCTGGTGCTGTTCCTGTTCGGAGCAGGTGTGCGACCCACATGGCAGGGGCACGGACTTGCTTCGACCGTCCACACTGAGAAGATTCTGTAAGCATCACGAGGTGCTGATGGGTCACCACGCCCCACAGGATGCAGAACAGCTGGAATCGGATGGCAGCGCTGGGCAGGGACTCGGAGCTCATCTACTTCACATCTCACGCTCCACAGGACTCCTTCCCGGGCGGCCCTTACGACACCCACCTCGTCCCAGCCCGAGCATTTCCCAGGACAGACTCATTACCTCCTCTTAGACAGCACTGATTTTCCGACAGCGTGCCTCATCCCAAGCCACCACCTGTGCCTGTAATTCCTACCCGCGGGTGCCAGCTCTGACTGCCAGGCAAGGAGCGGTGCAGAAACTCTGAGCCATGGCAGGCTTCGAGGGGCAAAGGGGCTCCAGGACCCGGCCTGGACGGCAGGAGGCCACGCTCTGCTCCGGGGCTCTTCTCAAACTTGTCTCCAGGGAGCGAATGGAGAGGCCCGAGCTCAGAAAGAAGTACAAACCTCTCAGTGGCTCAACTTCCCGTCGACATAGATACTAATTTTATATTTCAAGTTAAATGTCCTCTTGTTGCTCACTGATGCCCTATTCTTCTCCTAATTAACCCGCAGTGCAGCGGTGCCCATGGCAAGCTTTCCCACTGTAGCAAGGACACGGCCCTGATCATTTCCCACAATAAACCCAGAGTCCTGCCAACTTCCCAAGGGGTGCAGGCCAGACTGTGCGGCCACTGGCCCATACAAGGGCCGGGCTGTTCCTTACTCAAAGTGCAACCACTGGGCCTCTTCCACGTGGTAGGAGACGCAGAACTGGAGGCAGAAAGACCTGCTGCCTAAGTGCCACGATCTGTCAGGGCAGAGGCCGCCCGCAGCTGGGGAGTGACCTCAGACGCAGGTCCTAAGCTGCAGGTTAAAGAGGCAAATGCGCCCCTGTCACCAGCGTGAATTGTGGTGAGCCTGGAGAAGTGCTGTTTCTGCCTTGGTTGGACTCGATGTTTAGACTCGGAGAATGAAACTTCAGCCCCCTGGTCAAGTCCCCGGCAGCCTCTGTGGGTAAATCAGCTTTGGTTGGACACGGCTGCCCCCGCTCGGCCGCTCATGGCCTAACGCTGTTCCTGCTCCACAGGCCGTGATGGGCGCGGGGCCCAAGGGCTACCCCCTTCCCCAGCTGGCCTTTACGGAAGGACTGAGGCCAGCTCTCCCATGGGTGAGGGAAAGAGATGGTGATCAGGAACACCAGCAAACCAGGGCTGACAAGAGCAAGGAATCGCCAGGCCCAAACCGCGGGGTGAGCCAGGGCTCAGAAACGAGGGTGGCCCGGGAGCCATTCTGCCCGGGCGATGGGCAGGTGTCTGAGGCCCCACGGGGCAGGAGGGGAGGTGGAGGGGCTCGCAGGAGAGCTGCCCCTGCCCCGCACAAAGCAGCTGCTCTCACAGGGTTGCAGGGTTGGACGTGGGTGGGAGCCATGGTCACTCTGCAGCCTTCCCAGCAACCCCATAAGCACCAAACTCCCTGTGTTAAACCCCTTCCTGTTTGAGATGCCTGTGGGGGTCCTGTTTCGCCTTTGTGGATACCGTGGGCATGTCTGTTACCAGACTGCAGTCCACAAAAGTGAAAGCTCATGCTTTGGCGGAGACAATTCAAAGTCTCTACTTGCTTAAAAATTCTCATCTTTTGAGATAAATAAGATCCAAAAAGATATGCCTCATTTTATAATAAATCTTTGCTGTTTTTTAGGAGTGTTTCTTGGGGAGAGGGAAGAAACTGTTTGATTTTCATCATGTCTGGGTGTTAAATTTCTCCAAACACTTCTTGGGCATTCACTGAGATGAGAAACGGCCCCGGCCCTGCCACTGCCCACCCTTCGGGAAACGCCCCACCACAGACCCAGCCCCCAGGCTCGCCCTCACCGGGCGCCAGGGGATGTTTGCTATTTAACACAGAGAACAGGAAATCAGGAGGCGCTCCCCATCACCTCCCAGGTCAGACGCCATCCACCCTCCTCATCACCAACGCCCACGCAGGATGACTTCACTACAGCTCTACGGACCGGCTTCCATCACCAACGCCCATGCAGGATGACATCACTACAGCTCTACGGACAGGCTTCCATCACCAACGCCCAGGCAGGATGGCATCACTACAGCTCTAGGGATGGCTTCCATCACCAACGCCCACGCAGGATGATGACATCACTACAGCTCTAGGACCGGCTTCCATCACCAACGCCCACGCAGGATGACTTCACTACAGCTCTACGGACCGGCTTCCATCACCGACGCCCACGCAGGATGATGACATCACTACAGCACTACGGACCGGCTTCCATCACCAACGCCCACGCAGGATGACATCACTACAGCTCTAGGGATGGCTTCCATCACCGACGCCCACGCAGGATGATGACATCACTACAGCTCTAGGACCGGCTTCCATCACCAACGCCCACGCAGGATGACATCACTAAAGCTCTAGGGACGGCTTCCATCACCAAAGCCCACGCAGGATGATGACATCACTGCAGCTCTACGGACCGGCTTCCAGCACCGACGCCCACGCAGGATGATGACATCACTACAGCTCTACGGACCCGCTTCCATCACCGACGCCCACGCAGGATGATGACATCACTACAGCTCTAGGGACCGGCTTCCATCACCAATGCCCATGCAGGATGACATAACTACAGCTCTACGGACCGGCTTCCATCACCAACGCCCACGCAGGATGACATCACTACAGCTCTAGGGACTGGCTTCCATCACCAACGCCCACGCAGGATGACTTCACTACAGCTCTACGGACCGGCTTCCATCACCAAGGCCCACGCAGGATGACATCACTACAGCTCTACGGACAGGCTTCCATCACCAACGCCCATGCAGGATGATGACATCACTACAGCTCTAGGGACAGCTTCCATCACCGACGCCCACGCAGGATGATGACATGACTGCAGCTCTACGGACCGGCTTCCATCACCGACGTCCACGCAGGATGATGACATCACTGCAGTTCTAGGACCAGCTTCCATCACCGACGCCCACGCAGGATGATGACATCACTGCAGTTCTAGGACCGGCTTCCATCACCGACGCCCACGCAGGATGATGACATCACTACAGTTCTACGGACCGGCTTCCATCACCGACGCCCACGCAGGATGATGACATCACTACAGTTCTACGGACCGGCTTCCATCACCGACGTCCACGCAGGATGATGACATCACTACAGCTCTACGGACCGGCTTCCATCACCGACGTCCACGCAGGATGATGACATCACTACAGCTCTACGGACAGGCTTCCATCACCAACGCCCATGCAGGATGATGACATCACTACAGATCTAGGGACCGGCTTCCATCACCGACGCCCACGCAGGATGATGACATGACTGCAGCTCTACGGACCGGCTTCCATCACCGACGTCCACGCAGGATGATGACATCACTGCAGTTCTAGGACCGGCTTCCATCACCGACGCCCACGCAGGATGATGACATCACTGCAGTTCTAGGACCGGCTTCCATCACCGACGCCCACGCAGGATGATGACAGCACTACAGTTCTACGGACCGGCTTCCATCACCGACGCCCACGCAGGATGATGACATCACTACAGCTCTACGGACCGGCTTCCATCACCGACGCCCACGCAGGATGATGACATCACTACAGCTCTACGGACCGGCTTCCATCACCGACGTCCACGCAGGATGATGACATCACTACAACTCTACGGACCGGCTTCCATCACCGACGTCCACGCAGGATGATGACATCACTACAGCTCTACGGACCGGCTTCCATCACCGACGCCCACGCAGGATGATGACATCACTACAGCTCTACAGACCGGCTTCCATCACCGACGCCCACGCAGGATGATGACATCACTGCAGCTCTACGGACCGGCTTCCATCACCAACGCCCACGCAGGATGACATCACTGCAGTTCTACGGACCGGCTTCCATCACAGACGCCCACGCAGGATGATGACATCACTGCAGTTCTACGGACCGGCTTCCATCACCGACATCCACGCAGGATGATGACATCACTACAGCTCTAGGACCGGCTTCCATCACCAATGTCCACGCAGGATGATGACATCACTACAGCTCTATGGACCGGCTTCCATCACCGACGCTCACGCAGGATGATGACATCACTACAGCTCTACGGACCGGCTTCCATCACCGACGCCCATGCAGGATGACATCACTACAGCTCTACGGACCGGCTTCCATCACCAACGCCCACGCAGGATGATGACATCACTATAGCTCTAGGACCGGCTTCCATCACCGACGCCCACGCAGCATGACATCGCTACGGCTCTACCGACCAGCTTCCATCACCCACACGCCTTTTTCATTTTGTTTTGTTTTCTAGAGACCAGGTCTTGCTACATTGCCCAGGCTGGCCCTGAACTCCTGAGCTCAAGGGATCCTCCCACCTCGGCCCCCCTAGAAGCTGGGACCACAGGCCTGTGCTTATTCAAAAACAGACAAAAAGGAAGCCCATCGTTCCTGCTACGGGAATGCTGCCAGTGTCACATGCTGCCCATCTTCTCATCCAGAGAGCCACACTATGTTTCCTTCAGAATTCAACTGAGACCAAAACAAGAAAACCACAGCACAACGCTTACCCAGCAAAAATATGAAAACACCAGGCTTCTGGGTTAAGCCAGAAACAAAAAAGTAGTTCTGCTTTGGAAAATGTGAATTATATGGTCATATTAAAGATGATCACCTCTATCATACAACACTGGCTCAAAAGTCCTAGCCGTTGCTAGAAGAAAAACAAAGACGGCATGAACACGAAGTGGAGACACACCTGCCATTCTCTGCAGACCTTTTCGCTTACTTAAAAAACCCGATACAAGAGAATCAATTGACAATAGAATTAGAAAGCTCAGCATCATTGTTAGCTCTAAGATCAACATCCAAATTATCTATAACTTCCCAATACACCATCAATAACCATTATGACACACCAAAGGAGGAAACAGACTCAAAAGTATCAAGAATCCTAACAAGAAACAAGCAAGACCTTTCCAGAGAAAACCATAAAACTTTCCTGAATGACAGAAAAGACAACCTCAATAAGTCGCAAAAAAATGTTCGTGGAGTAGAAAAGCTGATTCCAAAATTCACACAAATAAGAGGCCAAGAACACTGTCCAAAAAAACAATGAAGAAAGAGTTTCTTATGGCCGGGAAAGGTGGCTCACGCCTGTAATATCAGGACTTTGGGAGGCCTGAGGAGGGAGAATCACTTGAGCCCAGGAGTTTGAGACCACCCTGGGCAAGATAGTGAGACCCCATCTCTACCAAAAAAAAAAAAAAAAAAAAAAAAGAGGTACTTACTTTGCTAGATATTAAAGCATATTTTTTTTTAAAAAAACTAAAGTATTAAACAGTGTGGTAAAGACCTCACTAAATAAATTACGGTATAACAAGACAATGGAATACTATGAGACTCTTAAAAAAAAATAGGCTATTGTGGGCTGGGCGCAGTGGCTCACGCCTGTAATCCCAGCACTTTGGGAGGCCGAGGCAGGAGGATCATGAGGTCTAGAGATCGAGACCATCCCGGCCAACATGGTGAAACCCCGTCTCTACTAAAAATACAAAATTAGCCAGGCGTGGTGGCACACACCTGTTAATAGGATATTCTAACCAGGATTCTAAGACAATTCAAATGACAAAAGAACTGTCTTTTCAACAAGCAGAGCTGGGGCAAGTAGATATTCACATGCAGAAGAATGAAACTGTATCTCCACCTTGCACTACACTCAACAATTCACAAAAAACAAATCAAAAACGTAAATGTAAAGCCAGACACAGGGGCTCACACCTGTATTCCCAGCACTTTGAGAGGCCAAGGCAGGAGGCTTGCTTCTTAGATGTGGTATCAAAAGCACCGGCAACAAAAGAAAAATAGATCAGCTGGTCTTCATCAAAATCGAAATCTTAAGCGCCTCAAAGGACATCAAGAAAGTGAAAGAGAAGCCACAGAATGGGAGAAAATACCTGCAAGTGTACTTCCCAGACACACTAGGATATCTAGAATCAGAAGGTCACATATCACAGTGCTGGCGAGGACATGGAGAAAGTGCAACTCTTGGCTGGGCGCAGTGGCTCACGCCTGTGATTTCAGCACTTTTGGGAGGCCGAGGCAGGCTGCTCACCTGAGGTCAGGAGTTCAAGACCAGCCCAGCCAACAAGGCGAAACCCTGTCTCTACAAAAAAATACAAAATTAGCTGGGCGTGGTGGCACATGCCTGTAATTCCAGCTACTCGGGAGGCTGAGAGAGGAGAATCGCTTGAACCCGGGAGGCAGAGGTTGCGGTGAGCCGAGATTGTGTCACTGCACTCCAGCCTGGGCAACAAGAGCGAAACTCCGTCAAAAAAAAAAAAAAGGGGGATAGAATGCTCAACAAAAGATTCTAAGGCAAGTGTATCTTTCTTTTAGAACAAAAGAAGTTAGATCCCTATCACACATAAAACAAATTTAAATTGGTTCTAAAAAATATAAAAGAGAAGCACTTCTTTCGGAAGAAAAAAACAGAAGTCATAAAGAAAAAAACTGACCTTACATCAATTATATCTCAATAAAAAGCTGTTTTTTAAAACCACATACTCAGAATGATGAGACTACACCTATAAGAGCAGCCAAAAATTATACCTCAATAAAAAGCTGTTTTTTAAAACCACATACTCAGTATGACAAGACAGCACTTACCAGAGCCGCCAAGATTAAGAAGCTAGCAGCACCACGTGTCGACCAGTGTGTGGAGGAGCCAGGACCCTCATGCTTCTTTTTTGTTCAACATTTTGGGGTTTTTTTTATTTTTAGACAGGGTCTCGCTCTGTCACCCAGGCTGGAGTACAGTGGTGCAATCTTGGCTCACTGCAGCCTCCGGTGATTCTCCCATCTTCGCCTCCCTAGCAGCTGAGATTACAGGTGCACGCCACCATGCCTGGCCAATTTTTGTATTTTTTATACAGACAGGGTTTCACCATGTTGCCCCGGCTGGTCTCAAACTCCTGAACTCAAGTGATCCTTCTGCCTCGGCCTCCCAAAAGTGCTGAGATTACAGGCACGAGCCACCGTACCTGGCCAGCAGCTTCTCAAAAAATTAACCACGCACTTACTATAGGATCCAGCAATTCCGGTCCTCGGAACGAAAGCATAGAAAGTCACAGATGCAAATGTTCACAGCACATTCATAACAGCCCCAAGCTGGAAACAACTCAGTCTCCAAACCCTAGTAAACGGGTGAGAGAATCTGTGATCATTCCGCACCATGGACTATTTTACTCAGCCCCAAAAATGGATGGACACGGGGCGTAGTGTGGCCGGCAGGCGGCCCATGGACTATTACTCAGTCCCAAAAACGGATGGACACAGGGCAGCAGGGCCGACAGGCGGCCCATGAACTATTAGCCATGAAAACGGATCAAAAACAGATGGACATGGGGCAGCGCGGCTGGCAGACAGCCCATAAACTATTACTCAGCCCCAAAAACGAATGGACATGGGGCAGATGGACTATTTTACTCAGCCACAAAAACGGATCAAAAACGGATGGACACGGGGCAGCGTGGCCGGCAGGGATGAAGGAGGGAGCCGGCCTCCCGCTGCCTACGCGGGCTTCAGGGAGACCACACAAGTTCTCGGGGTCTCAGTTCCCCCACACGTAAGACTGTTCCTCAGGTTCCACCTGCCTTTCAGCCCTGTACATGTATGAGTTCAAAATTCAGTCGGCAGACAACCCGGCATGCAGCAGTCAGACAGGAGAAAATAAAAACAATGTGGTGGGGGTGGGTGGAATTCTACTAAGAAAAACAATTCGGGCTCCCAGGGAGCCTCCACAGACACCAGCCACCACTCAGCCCCAAGAGTTCAATGACACACAATCCCACTGCCAGGGCAGTAATGCTTCTTGGGGCAAAATACCATTGGTCTTAAGTATTTTGGATCAGAGCAAATTCTCAAGGCCATGAAGTTCACGGCCTCATTTGATGGTTTTATAAAGCTGCGGTCTTCATGCTCTAGTAATACACACTGATTTTCAAGATTACAAAAGCAGCAAATCCAGAGCCTCTACACGCCGGTTCAAGCCAAGTAGCCCTGCTCCCTTCCGCTGACCACCACCTGTGCCCCGCGTTCTGGCTGTGCGAGGCGCAAGCCCCACAGCCAGGCGGTCACGCCAGACGGGTTTACAGCCAAGACCATGAAACACCCAGGGCCAGAAAGACTGCACCTGGGAACATGGTACCCTGGGCTTACTGTGGCCCACGAAGCCTTCTGTGGCCACTGCACTCACACAGGGCAGCATGCTGCACCCACCCACTGCACTCACACAGGGCAGCGTGCTGCACCCACCCACTGCACTCACACAGGGCAGCGTGCTGCACCCACCCACTGCACTCACACAGGGCAGCGTGCTGCACCCACCCACTGCACTCACACAGGGCAGCGTGCTGCACACACCCGAGGCCTTGTCTGAGCCCTCATGGTCCTTACACGGCACCTTGACACATGGACCCTGCCCTCGACTGAGGCTCCGCCGGCTCGCAGCCAGCCACAGGAAGGGATCCTGGTCTCTGCTAGTGGGCTCCATGAGGTAACCAGAGTCAGAAACCAGGGGTGAGTCTCTTCCCCAGGACCAGCTGGCCAGGTGACTGAAACCAGCACAGCACCCACGCCTCTGCCCCTGGCACCTCCAGGCTGCTAAGAATCAGCTGTCAAGATGCTCGTGGGGACGGAAAGTGTTGCACACATAAGGGATTCTTACGAGGCAGAGGAAGCCAGGGGGGTTCTGCTGACATGCTGACAGCAGTGGACTGAGGGAGCCCACCTTCCATTTCCAGGCAGCCAAACAGCACTGACAGCAGCAGGGAGGCGGCCAGGTCATCACAGGGGCCTCCACACCAGCAGCCACTCGGCTGGCTCTGCATGGGGTGGTCACGCGTATGCCGCCTTCCCCCGCATACGGCTCCGTGGCTTCAGACAGAAACAGAGAAGCTAAGGGTCCCCTTTAGTGAGACTGGAGAGGCAGGGGGAGGGTGAAAGACAGAAAGACCTGCCGAGTCACATGACCTCCCACCATGTCCGCCGACCCCAAGGGATGCTGGGCAGCAGGCCTGGCTCAGCCGGGGCCCCACAGTCCTCCCGAAGGACATGTGTCATTTGAAACCTCATCCTCACAACCCGCTCAAGTGGGAAACCAGGCCTGGAAGGGTTAAAGGAACGTGAAAACAGAACTCCTAAACCCCAGCTCCCCGGGGAGGGCTTAGCTATGAAACAGGAAGCAGACAGGGCAAACCCTGGGACCCCTCTGGTCCACAAGAGGAAAGGCCCAAGGCGCCAACCCCAGCGGCAGAACCTCCTGCCCGCAGAGCTGAGGAGGACAGAAGCGGCAGGTGCCAGTCCCTCCTAAGACCAGTGGGCAATCATACAGCCCAGTCACCAAGACACGAGACAGGCCCATGGGAGCAACTGTTCCTCCTGCCGGGCCACCACAAGCCGCCCACCTCCCCAGCACTCCAGGCCAGCAGGGCCCTCCGGGATGGGGAGCTCAGCAAACAACACCCAGAGCCGAGACCCTGAGGCCCTGGTGCCCAGGACCGAGGAACGGCCAAACCTCACCAACGCCAGACAGAGGCACCAGGGACTGAAGCCTGGGAGAGTGAGTGCACCCGGCCCAGGAGGCTTCCCGGGCCAAGCCCACAGGCCTGAGTGGGAACCGGAACGCTGAAGGAACACTCCCCAAGGGGCGATGAAGTTCCCATCACTTGGGGACGTGGCGGCGATCCTGGCGCAAGCTCAGAGTGCTCATGCTGTGGGAAGAGGCTGCACGGGGCCCCGGGAGTGGCCGCTGACCCGCAGGCTCCCCAGACGGACGTTGCTGGGAGGACAACACAATGGCCCACGGGGGGACACAGGCTTCTCCATCCTCGATGGTGGATTCCGGAGGTTCATCCAGGATCCACTGGGGGAGGGGAGGGAAGCAGCGCAGTACTTTTCCACACGCTCCCCCGGAGCCCAGGAATGCTGCTCCCCAGGCCCAGCCGCCCACCCTCCTAAGCACTTGGGTTCAGCTTCACAAAACGCTTGAAACTTTTTTTTTTTTAAAACAATTTCCCATGAGAACCAGGGAGAGTCAGCAAGGAAATATCCATATTAGCAGAGACACCCCATTTCACTGGGAGACTGGCTCCCAGACATACAAGAACATGAGCCCCTGAGCCCCCACACTCCATCTGAAAACCCTCCCAGTAGCCCGGAAACTGGCCACAGGGGCATGCAGTTTGCAGAGAATCCAGCTGAAGGCAGCTCCCTCCGCCAGCTCCCTCGGAAGGAACGTGCTGCCGACCCCTGCTGGTGAACCGGGCTCCACCGAGACCGCATTCCCTGGCTTCCCAGGCCCTCTTCCCGCTGCCAGCTCCTCCAAAGGCTAAGGAACCAGCTCCAGGTCGCTTCCCAACGCTCAGCTGGGCGGGCCTGAGACCAACTCCACGCCAGTGGCCGGAAAGCCAAGTGAAAGCTGGTGACTCTGCCGGCAGCTGCGTGTTACAGACCAGCAGAGTCCAGCCCTCAAAGCGTAGCTGGAGGAAACAAAGGCTTTCTTCTTTCCCCTCTTGCTTTCCAGCTTTCTTTTAATCAACACGTATTTTAATAATGAAAAATAATCACATACTTTAAAATAATTACTTGAACCTAAACAAAAGGACAGACACCACTCCCTCACTTGGGCAGGAGTTTTAACCTCTGCCCACAGTCACCGTAAGCCGAGCTGTCTTGGGGGTGCTGCCAGTGACCAGCGGCCTGTGTGGGGATCTGGCTGGAGGAGGGTTCACCAAGAAGGGAGAGCCAGAAGCCTCTTGACTCAACTCAAAAAGTCCAGGGTGACGCCGCGCCCACCAAAGTCGTGTGTGCCTGAGGCTCTGCGGAATTGAGACTGGGCTGAACCACAGAACAAGAGCTCCAGCAGCTCTCGGGAAACCAGCGTCCATCTGGAACCCAAACTAAAAAGCACAACTGGACCTCAGGCTGTGAAGAAGGAGTGAGTAAGAGGCAGTCGGGGGGTGGGGGGGGAGGGGGGAGGGATAGCATTGGGAGATATACCTAATGCTAGATGACGAGTTAGTGGGTGCAGCGCACCAGCATGGCACATGTATACATATGTAACTAACCTGCACAATGTGCACATGTACCCTAAAACTTAAAGTATAATAATAAAAAATAAAAAAAATTTTAAAAAAGCACAAAAAAAAAAAAAAAGAGGCAGTCAGCCTGGGAGACACAGGAATTCAACAGCCTGCGGAGGAGGAGCCGAAATTCAAGGTGAGGCTCAGGTGGAACGCGGGGCTGCCTGCTGACCCGCTGCGCGGGAGCCGCAGGACCTCTGCACCTGCCAGGCCTCAGCCTCCGGGTGACCTTGGGGTGTTCTGCTAGAGAGCCCAGGACAAGCTGTCTGGCTGTGCTTGGGGTGCTGTCTGGCTTCCCTCGCCCGGGGGGTGGCAGTGAGAGACGACCCTCTGAGACAGCCAGGAGCTCCTCTAGGCACACACCCCAGCTTCTCCCCTCCACCCACGCCTGCTGAGCCGCCTGCAGCCACAGACGTGGTGGACGTGATTTCACACCACCTTCCGAGAGCTCAGCACTGCCTCATTGGACAGGATCCCAGAGTGAGCTGGGCCACACCCAGCAACCAGGCACACTCCACCGTCCCGGGCATCCGTGGCTGGGTAGCCCAGGGACCCCTCCAAGCACTGGCTGTGCCCACCTCCTGCTGGAAGCCGCTTTGAAGGGCCCACGTGGGCTCCCCCTTTCCACCTCCCTTTGCACAGCGGCCATTTTCTCATTTCATGAAAAACAGGGCCACCTGCCACCCCACATCTCACAATGGCACACTGCCCCAGGCACGAGACCTCCAGCACTAATCAATGGCAAAGCTTGAACCCTGGTGTCACCCTGGGGAAGTGAACAAATGTAACAAGCCAGCACCGGGCCCCTGCACAACTCAGGGACCCAGTCCACCTGTCACTTACTGATAGAGCTTTAAAATAAATCCTGAAAATATGTGCCCAAACCACAGAATGGTCTCAAAGTTTAAGGACTTAAGCAACAAAGCTACAACACTACTCTTGTTCCCATTTACTCATCTATGTCAGCAAGGGCGCTCAGCACTGAAATCTGACATGAGAACAGGAACAAAGCCTGTGGAAACCCGCTTTCTCTCGAGCAATGACAGCGCGGATCCACAGGTGAGTGTGCCATCCGCAGACACGGAAAGCCCTGCCCTTCCACGGGGTGGTAACACGGGGTGACAATGCTCTTACCACGATGTGACGCGCGCGTCGTCAGATTTCACTTTATGTAGAATCATTTGTGAAAATTCCTAATCTATTATGCTGTTTCGATCAACTGCATGCTCCTAATGGTAAACACAGCTCAATGCAGAAGAGAAATTTTAACACTCAGAACTTGGTGGGTCAAAAAATTTTTTATATTTTCAAATTTAAATGTATATGCATCTTTTTGTGGAAGATAAACATGATACAGTACATAATAAAATACTTTCAAGAATAAAAATGCAGGGCCTGGAGCAGTGGCTCACACCTGTAATCCCAGCACTTGGGAGGCCGAGGCAGGTGGATCACGAGGTCAGGAGGTCGAGACCATCCCAGCTAACATGGTGAAACCCCGTCTCTACTAAAAAATACAAAAAATTAGCTGGGCGTGGTGGTAGGCGCCTGTAGTCCCAGCTACTCAGGAGGCTGAGACAGGAGAGTGCATGAACCTGGGAGGCGGAGCTGGCAGTGAGCCAAGATGGCGCCACTGCACTCCAGCCTGGGTGACAGAGCGAGACTCTGTCTCAAAAAAAAAAAAAAAAAAAAAAAAGAATAAAAATGCAGGCCAGGTGCGGTGGCTCACACCTGTAATTCCAGCATATTGGGAGGCCGAGGTGGGTGGATCACTTGAGGTCGGAAGTTTCAAGACCAGCCTGGCCAACATGGTGAAACCCGGTCTCTATCAAATATACAAAAAACTAGTCGGGCGTGGTGGTGTGCACCTGCAGTCTTGGCTACCTGTGGGGCCGAGGCAGGAAAATCGCTGGAACCCAGGAGATGGAGGTTGCACTGAGCTGAGATCCCACCACTGCACTCCAGCCTGGGCGACAGAGACTGTGTCTCAAGAAAACGAAGAATAAAAATGCATCACTTTAGGAGAAGATGGCTCACGTGTCTTTTCAAGTGAATGGTGGTGGATACTCAAATCTCAACGTTATTCATAACCCGCTGCACACCGTTTAGAAAGTGATACCAATAGGTGATTTTCAAACGGACAATAATCGTGTTATTCGACACGAACATTTCTAGATGTGCATTTTTAAACACAGGCTTTCAGGACACGCCTCTGCACATGCCCAGGTGAGGAGCCGCCCCTCGCACCTTCCCAGGGCCCAACCGAAGGCCTGCTGCAGGCCCCTCACCATCCTGCATGCCGCCACCAAGTCCCCTACACAACACAGCACCCAAAACAGCAGTTTCCTGGCAGCTAAGAAAGGCAGTCATAGGGTTCCAACTCAAAATTTACTAAAATCCTTCTTTGTCCTACAATCGCTTCTGGAAGGCACCAAGCCCCACCACGCCTCCGCACCTGTTCCAGGCTCTGCTCCACAGAGACCAGCAGGCTGAGCCACCCCCTCTCCCTCCAGATCAGATAACAGGTGGATCCCAGAGGGCAGGGCCAGTGAAGCACAGGCGGCCTTACCTTGGAGCCGGCTCCTTCGCCACTTGGTGCAGCCTCAGGGCCCAGCAGTGGCCCCTCTGCTGACGCCTTCTTCAGCTTTTTGTTCTTTTTCTCTGTCACTTCAGGAACTTTTCTCTTCTGTTTTGCCATCCTGCAACAGAGAAAGTAAATTGCTGAAGACAAGGAAATGAAAGGCTTAACTCATGTAAGATTTTTAAATAAAAAGAGGTAGGGCACTCTCCCATTAAAAAAAAAAAAGAGTATTATGGAAAACATATAAAAGTTAAAATAAACTCAAACTCCCACATTTCATAACCTATGGACAACCAACTTGACACATTTTGGTATATTTCCTTTCTGTCTTTTTTTTTTTTGAGTCAGGGCCTCACTCTGTCACCCAGGCTGGAGTGCAGTGGCACAATCTCGGCTCATCCCACCGTCACCCGGGCTGGAGTGCAGTGGCACAATCTCGGCTGATCCCACCGTCACCCGGGCTGGAGTGCAGTGGCGCGATCTCAGCTCATCTCACCGTCACCCAGGCTGGAGTGCAGTGGCACGATCTCGGCTGATCCCACCGTCACCCGGGCTGGAGTGCAGTGGCACAATCTCGGCTCATCCCACCGTCACCCGGGCTGGAGTGCAGTGGCACGATCTCGGCTCATCCCACCGTCACCCGGGCTGGAGTGCAGTGGCGCCATCTCGGCTCATCCCACCCTGTCACCCGGGCTGGAGTGCAGTGGCACGATCTCGGCTCATCCCACCGTCACCCGGGCTGGAGTGCAGTGGCACGATCTCGGCTCATCCCACCGTCACCCGGGCTGGAGTGCAGTGGCGCGATCTCGGCTCATCTCACCGTCACCCGGGCTGGAGTGCAGTGGCGCGATCTCGGCTCATCCCACCGTCACCCGGGCTGGAGTGCAGTGGCGCCATCTCGGCTCATCCCACCGTCACCCGGGCTGGAGTGCAGTGGCGCCATCTCGGCTCATCTCACCGTCACCCGGGCTGGAGTGCAGTGGCGCCATCTCGGCTCATCCCACCGTCACCCGGGCTGGAGTGCAGTGGCACAATCTCGGCTCATCCCACCGTCACCCGGGCTGGAGTGCAGTGGCGCCATCTCGGCTCATCCCACCGTCACCCGGGCTGGAGTGCAGTGGCGCCATCTCGGCTCATCCCACCGTCACCCGGGCTGGAGTGCAGTGGCGCCATCTCGGCTCATCCCACCGTCACCCGGGCTGGAGTGCAGTGGCACAATCTCGGCTCATCTCACCGTCACCCGGGCTGGAGTGCAGTGGCGCCATCTCGGCTCATCCCACCGTCACCCGGGCTGGAGTGCAGTGGCGCGATCTCGGCTCATCCCACCGTCACCCGGGCTGGAGTGCAGTGGCGCCATCTCGGCTCATCTCACCGTCACCCGGGCTGGAGTGCAGTGGCACAATCTCGGCTCATCCCACCGTCACCCGGGCTGGAGTGCAGTGGCACGATCTCGGCTCATCCCACCCTGTCACCCGGGCTGGAGTGCAGTGGCGCCATCTCGGCTCATCGCACCCTGTCACCCGGGCTGGAGTGCAGTGGCGCCATCTCGGCTCATCCCACCCTGTCACCCGGGCTGGAGTGCAGTGGCACGATCTCGGCTCATCCCACCATCACCCGGGCTGGAGTGCAGTGGCGCCATCTCGGCTCATCCCACCCTGTCACCCGGGCTGGAGTGCAGTGGCGCCATCTCGGCTCATCCCACCCTGTCACCCGGGCTGGAGTGCAGTGGCACGATCTCGGCTCATCCCACCGTCACCCGGGCTGGAGTGCAGTGGCGCCATCTCGGCTCATCCCACCATCACCCGGGCTGGAGTGCAGTGGCGCCATCTCGGCTCATCCCACCGTCACCTGGGCTGGAGTGCAGTGGCGCGATCTCAGCTCATCTCACCGTCACCCGGGCTGGAGTGCAGTGGCGCGATCTCGGCTCATCCCACCGTCACCCGGGCTGGAGTGCAGTGGCGCCATCTCGGCTCATCTCACCGTCACCCGGGCTGGAGTGCAGTGGCGCGATCTCGGCTCATCCCACCGTCACCCGGGCTGGAGTGCAGTGGCGCCATCTCGGCTCATCCCACCGTCACCCGGGCTGGAGTGCAGTGGCGCCATCTCGGCTCATCCCACCGTCACCCGGGCTGGAGTGCAGTGGCGCCATCTCGGCTCATCCCACCGTCACCCGGGCTGGAGTGCAGTGGCGCCATCTCGGCTCATCCCACCCTGTCACTCGGGCTGCAGTGCAGTGGCACAATCTCGGCTCACTGCGTCCTCAAAATTCCAGGCTCAAGCCATCCTCCCACCTCAGCCTCCTGAGCAGCTGTAACCACAGGCGCATGCCACCATGCCTGGCTCACTTAAATCTTCTGTAGAGGCAGGGTCTTGCTATGCTGCCCAGGATGGTCTTAAACCCCTTGGTTCCAGCCATCCTCCGCCTCGGCCTCCGCAAGTGCTGGGGCCACTGCCATGAGCCACCATGCCCAGCCCCGTTCGGTCTTTTTTCTGAGTGTTTTTATTTAACATAGCTGCAATCATACATGGATTACATATTCTATATTTCTAACTGGACATGAACACAAAGCGTTTAAGATTAAGAGAAATACCATTTTTAGTGACATTATCATAATTTCCCAAAGGTGAAAATCTGCCTGCTCTCTAATTACTGAATATTTTGAATTGTTTTCACTTTCTCCTATCAGGCTCACTCATGCTCCCCATCAACTAGCAAAGCTGTGGCACCACACGGGCTGCGGGCACCGGTCCTGCCCATCACAGGACACCTGGCACCCTCGGGTGGAGGGGCTCAAGGACCACCGTGAGTCTGGGGTCTCCTCTGAGTGGGCAAGGAGCATGGAGCAGGCCACGTATGAGGGTGGATGCGGCATTCAAGGGGCATGTGGTTAGGCCTCCTTTCTCCAGCACAGCTGTCTCCAGAACACCACGCCAGGACGGAGAAGTCCAGGGACGGCAGAACCCGTGTCCTTTGTGGACTGTGTGATGAGGGAGCCGAAAGAGGCAGCTGAGGCCACCAGACTTGGGAGCCTGCTGGAGGGGCTGGGATAGCAGGCCCTGGGCCCCTGATGGAGGGGTGCTGGTGGCTGTGGCCAGGACCTAAGGAACAACCTGGGGTGGCAGCGGGCAGGGACAAGGCTGCTTCTAGGAGGGAGAAGCAGGGGCCCGGCCCACGCCTGCTGCTGCAGCGAAGCCTCCTGCATGGGCTCACTCATGCAGGACAGCAGGAGCAGAAGAAGCCCTCACCTGACCCCATGCCCCTGTCCCCACCCCTCCCTTCCTATCCCCACCCTCCCCAGGGCCACCCCCTCACCCACACTCCTCCCTACACTCCTCCCCACCCTCCAGCTCCCAGTCTCCTCTGCCGCCCCCACTGGGTGCAGCCGAAAAGGAGCTGAGAACAGAAAAGTGTCCTGCAGAGCCCCAGGCTATGTGGGCCCCGGGCGGGTGGGGGCGGGGGGGTGCCACAGAGGTGCTGGGGAGCCAAGAGACAGGAGCTCAACAACCAGCACACGCGGCATGCACGCTGCTTCACCACGGCCTCCAGCCCGGACGGCTCAGACACACACCCACAAAGGACCACGTCAGTAAGCCAGGGAACACCCAGAAAGCCAGATCCCACCCCAAAAGTAAAACAGTCCAGGCATAGTGGCTCACGCCTGTCATCCCAGCATTCTGGGAGGCTGAGGTGGGCAGACTGCTTGAGCCCAGGAGTTTGAGACCAGCCTGGGCAACATAGCGAGGCTCCACGTCTACAAAACATTTTTTAAAAATTGGCTACGCTTGGTGGTGCACACCTGTGGTCCCAGCTACTCAGGAGGTAGAGGTGGGAGGATTGCTTGAGCCTGGGAGGTCGAGGCTGCAGTGAGCCATGACTGTACCACTGCACTCCAGCCTGGGCAAAAGAATGAGACCTTGTGTTTAAAAAAAAAAAAAAAAAAAAAAAAGAGTAAAGCAGGATAGGTTACAGAAGAGCAGCAGTTTAAAAAGCATGATCATCATGGAAAGGGCCTGGCAGCATTGAGCCCACCTAGGGCCCAGGTGTGGTCTAAATACCCCTCGCTGTGAAAAAGAGTCAGGGGAGGTCAAGACAGGCCTGGGATGCCAGGTGAGGCCAGAAACCAAGGAGACAGTCAAAGAGCAAAGGCCCTGTCCAAAAGGCAGAGCCTGCACAAGGGTTCCCCCCATCCCACTCGGGGCTATCACTGGTAACAGCACATTGGAAGAATATTCCTATTGTGGAATCAGAAAACCCCAAGCCCCTTATTCTTTAATTGAGCCTTATCTTTAAAAAGCATCAGAAGCCAGAGGCTACAGATTTCAATTAGCTATGTAATAAGAAATCTTGGAAGAATGAGATACTGTTGACACAGGGGCTCTGGAAAGACAAGAGACCATGCCAGCCAATTACCTTGTGAGAGAAATAAGAAAAGTTCAGCAAATATTTACACACCCATTACTATAAAAGTTAAGTAAAATCTATATTCATTCTGTAAGTTATCATTTAAAAACTTAATCACTATGTCTATTTGCTAATAAGGGATAAAAGACTTTTCCATATTATGGAAAGGTTCCTTTTAATAGTTCTAAGGGAAAGTGACTCAAGCTTTGAGATAATGAATGTTTGTTATGGAAAATGACGTTTACTTTCATTTACTGTCAACTGATTTTCAACAAGAGTGCCATGACAATTCAGTGGGAAAGACAAATGGTGCCAGGACAACTGGCTACCAACATATAAAAGAATGGATTTGGAGCCCTACCTCACACCATACACAAAACTAACTCAAAATAGATCAAAGTCCTAAATGGAAGAGCTAAAAGTGTAAAATTATTAGAAGAAAACACAGGATTAAATCTTCATGACCTTGGATTAGGCAATGGCCTCTTACATATGGCACCAAAAACACGTGGCAAAAGAAAAAGAGATAATAAATTGGACTACAACAAAATTTAAAATTTTTGTGCTGCAAAGGATGCCAGCAAGAAAGTAAAGAGGCTGAGTGCAGTGGCTAATGCCTGTAATCCCAGCACTTTGGGAGGCCAAGGCAGGAGGATCACTTGAGGCCAGGAGTTCCAGACCAGTCCCGGCCACACAGCAAGACCACATCTCTACAAAAAACAAAGCAAAAAGAAAACCCAGGCTAGGCACTGTGGCTCACGCCTCTAATCCCAGCACTTTGGGAGGATGAGATGGGAGGACTGCTTGAGCCCAGGAGTTCAAGACCAGCCTGGGCAACATGGTGAGGCTCCATCTCTACAAAAAATACAAAAAATTAGCTGGGCATGGTGATGCACACCTGTAGTCCCAGCTACTTGGGAGGCTGAAGTGGGAGGATGACCTGAGCTCTGGAAGTCGAGGTTGTAATAAGCCATGATTATGCCACTGCAACCCAGCCTGGACAACAGAGTGAGAACCTGTCTTTAAAAAAAAAAAAAAAAAAAAAAGACACCACCCATAGTATTGGAGAAAATACCTGCAAATCACTTATCTGAGAAGACACTAGTAACTAGAATATATAAAGACCTCTAACAACTCAACAACAGGAGACAAATAACCCGGTTTTTAAATGGGGAAGGGATCTGAAGAGACGTCTCTCCAAAGAAGATACACGAATGACCAACAGGCACATGAAACACAGCTCAGCATCGGGTCATTTAGGAAATGCCAATCAAAGAGAAACGAACACATCTCCATAAAAATGTGTCCAATGATGTTCACGGCAGTATGTGCCTAATATTCAAGCGGTGGAAACAACCTCCGTGTCTGTGCATCCATGGACGAAGGGGGAAACAAGACGTGGCGTATTCACACAGGGGATACTATTCAGCCACCAGAGGAAATGGGATACTGACATGTGCCACAAGACAATAAACCCAGAAGACACTGTGCCGGGCAGGAGAAGCCAGACGCCCAAGACTCCACACTGCAAAATTCCACTTCTGTGAAAAGCTCAGGATACGCAAATTATACTGACAGAAAGGAGATGAGAGATTATTTAGGGATAGGGCAAGTGGAGGGAAGAGTGGGTGACCACTAAGGGGCACAGGGTTTCTTGTGGCAGAAGGAAAAAGTCTTAAAATTAGATTGTGGTGATGGTTTCACAATCCCTCGATATACTGCAAAAAAAAAAAAAAAAAAAAACTATAATCCCTCTCAAATTATTTACCATAAATTTAAAAATGTAACACCCAAGTGCGGCCAGGCACGGTGGCTCACGCCTGTAATCCCAGCACTTTGGGAGGCTGAGGCAGATGGATCACGAGGTCAGGAGATCAAGACCACCCTGGCTAACACAGTGAAACCCTGTCTCTACTAAAAATACAAAAAAAAAATTAGCCGGGCGTGGTGGCAGGCGCCTGTAGTCCCAACTACTCGGGAGGCTGAGGCAGGAGAATGGCGCGAACACGGGAGGCGGAGATTGCAGTGAGCCGAGATCAAGCCACTGCACTCCAGCCTGGGCGAGAATGAGACTCCATCTCAAAAAAAAAAAAAAACACCCAGGTGCTACTTTACGATAAATAAATAAATAAATGGGAGAAAGATCATTTGCTATAATGTTTGTTGTGAGACAAAATTTAGGCTGGAACACAGTGGCATAATCACAGCTCACTGCAGCCTCGACCACCCAGGCTCAAGCAATCCTCCCAACTCAGCCTCCGGAGTAGCTGGCACTACAGGTGTACACCACCACGTAGCTAACTCTTGTATTTTTTGTGGGAATGGGGTTTCGCCATGTTTCCCAGACTGGTCTCAAACTCCTGAGCTCAAGTGATCCTCCCACCTTGGACTGCTGGGATTGCAGGCGTGAGCCACCACACCTGGCCCCAAAATATATATATATATTTTTTTAATTCGCTGGGCATGGTGGTGCGTGCCTGTAGTCCCAGCTACTTGGGAGGTTGAGGCAGGAGAATCACTTGAGCCTAGGAGTTCAAGGGTGCAGTGAATCACGATCACGCCATGATACTCCAGCCTCGGCGACAGAGTGAGAGACTGTCTCTTAAAAGGGTGGGGGGCAAGGCTGAGCGCAGTGGCTCACACCTGTAATACCAGCACTTTGGGAGGCCGAGGTGGGCAGATCACCTGAAGTCAGGAGTTCGAGACTAGGCTGGCCAATATGGTGAAACCCCATCTCTACTAAAAATACAAAAATTAGCCAGGTGTGGTGGCGTGTGCCTGTAGTCCCAGCTACTCGGGAGGCTGAGGCAGGAGAATCACTTGAAACTATGGAGATTACAGTGAGCCGAGATCGCGCCACTGCACTCCAGCATGGGTAACAGAGTGACACTGTGTCTCTAAATAAATAAATAAATAGGCCGGGTGCGGTGGCTCACGCCTATAATCCCAGCACTTTGGGAGGCCGAGACAGGCAGATCACAAGGTCAGGAGATCGAGACCATCCTGGCTAACATGGTGAAACCCCGTCTCTACTAAAAAATACAAAAAATTAGCTGGGCATAGTGGCGGGTGCCTGTAGTCCCAGCTACTCAGCTACTCGGGAGGCTGAGGCAGGAGAATGATGTGAACCTGGGAGGCGGAGCTTGCAGTGAGCCGAGATCGCACCACTGCACTCCAGCCTGGGCTACAGAGTGAGACTCCTTCTCAAAAATAAATAAATAAATAAATACATAAAGAGTCATCTACCTGCCCTGTCTCTGACTCCTTTCCTTCCCCCATCCCATCAGGCTTTTGCCCCAAACACCCTACCACAATGACACCCACGTGGCTAAATCCCATTGCCAACTCTCAGTATGCAACTTATTTGACCTAACAGCGTTGGACTGTTGATCCTTCCTTCTCTCTTGACAGGCATTTTTCACTTGGCATCCAGCACAGACAGCAGAACTTCTGCTTTTGCTCCCACCTCTTAATCGCCGTGTCCTTGAACACTGAAGGACCCAGGCTTAGTGCTCAGCCTCCTCACTCCCTCGTGATCCCATTCAGTCATGTGGCTTCAAATACCAACTAGACGCTGATGACTTTGTTTCCTCTCTTTACAGTCTCTTATTAACCCTCTCCTTCAACTACACGCCAACTCAACTGTGTATATATATAGCTATAGTTGTATGTATATACATATAGTTATATATATATACATGGTCATATATGTGTACCTAGACATATATACACATATATATACTTGAACTCCTGACCTCTGTTTACACTGTTTATACACATATATCTACATGTGTGTATATATATGTATGTGTATGGCCGGGCACGGTGGCTCACGCCTGTAATCCCAGCACTTTGGGAGGCCGAGGCGGGGAGATCACTTGAGGTCAGGAGTTTGAGACCAGCCTGGCTAACATGGTGAAACCCCATCTTTACTGAAAACACAAAAATTAGCTGGGTGTGCTGGCACCTGCCTGTAAACCCAGCTACTCGGGAGGCTGAGGCAGGAGAATCGTTTGAATACGAGGTGGAGGTTGCAGTGAGCCGAGATCGCGCCACTGCACTCCAGCCTGGACAACAGAGTGAGACTCCACCTCAAAAAGAAATATATATATATATATATATACACAATTTATTTATTTATTTATATAAAATAAATATATAAATATATTTACATAAATATGTATTTATATAAATATATAAAAATATATATGAATATATAAATATATAAGTATATATAAAAATATATATAAGTATATATAAATATATAAGTATATATAAATATATATAAATATATATAAGTATATATAAATATATAAGCATATATAAATATATATATAAAATATATATGTATATATAAATATATGTATAAATATATAAGTATATATAAATATATATAAATATAAGTATATATAAATTTATATAAATGTGTATATAAATATATATACATAAATATATATAAATATATACATAAATATATAAATATATATACATAAATATGTATAAATATACATAATTATAAATATATACACAAATATATAAATATATATAAACATATATAAATATATAAAATATATATAAATATATATAAACATATATAAATATATAAAATATATATAAATATATATAAACATATATAAATATATATAAACATAAATATATAAATATATAAACATATAAATATATATAAACATATATATAAATATATATAAATATATAAACATATATATAAATATATATAAACATATATATAAATATATATAAACATATATATAAATATATATAAACATATATAAACATATATAAATATATAAACATATATAAACATATAAATATATATAAACATATATAAATATATATAAACATATATATGAACATATATAAACATATATAAACATATAAACATAAACATATATAAACATATATAAACATATATAAATATATATAAATATATAAAAATAAATATATATATGCGGATGTGTGTATAAACTGTGTATATATATAACTATATATATAACCATATATATGTACTTATATATATCATCTACACATATATCATCTCAAGCTTAAGAATTCGTAATCAATACCCCTGATCACCCTCCACAAACCTGAGCTTCCTAGTGTTCATCCTCTCCATAAACATCCATCTGATGAGGTTCACATAGTAGCTCAAGCTTAAAACCTTGGTCCATCCATAAATCCTCTCTTTCTCACATACTCGTCCAACCCACCACAAACTCCTGTTGGTTTACCACTGAAATACACCCAGAATGTGACTCCCTTAAGATCCCATAGGTACCCAGTCCAAGCCACCACCTCTCACGATGGCTTTTAAACTCCTAAATCAGATGGTGTGTCACCTCCACTCAAAAAACTTCCCAAGCTGTCCCCTTCCACTTGGAGGGAAAGTCAAGGTCCTTGCCACTTGGTAAGGTCCACACGACTGCCCTGGCCCCTCCTCGCATCTCTGGGAACTCACCTCCTCTTTCTCTCTCTGTTCCCAAATTGGCTGCAGCCACACTGGGCTCCCTGCTGTTTCCCCTGCACCTGCTGTTTCCTCGACCTGGAATGTTCTGGTGCCTCACTCCTCCTCCTGCTTCCTTTCCATTCTCAAAACCCCTGTTCTCATCTTCTCCATGGCACTTACCATCACCTGCTCTGTGCACCTTGTTCATCTGTCTCTCCCCTCCAGAATGGAAGTTCACTAGATCACAGACTTGTCTCCACTTGTTGACAGCTGTAGCCCAATGCCCCGAACAGTGCAGGAGGAACCCAATGAACGTTTTTTAAAAATGAATGAATGAATGACGGAAGGAAGGAAACGGAAAGCATGCTTATGATGGAAAGTGAGGCCAAGCGCGTTGGCTCACTCCTGTAATCCCAGCACTTTGGGAGGCCGAGGCAGGAGGATCCATCGCTTGAGCCCAAGAATTCGAGACCAGCCTGGGTAACATGGTGAGACCCCATTTCTACAAAAAACATTTTTAAAAATTATCCGGGTGTGGTGGCGCGCGCATGTGGTCCCAGCTACTTGGGAGGATGAGGCGGGAGGACGGCTTGAGCCCAGGAGGTGGAGGCTGCAGTGAGCTATGATCACGCCATTGCACTCCAGCCTGGGTGGCACAGCGAGACACTGCCTCAAAAATTGAAAAAGAGAAAGTGGGAGCTGAAAGCCTCGGAGGGCAATCAGGGCGTCTTCAGAGAAAGACAATGAAACCAGAGCCACTGCAAGCCCTGACGGCCTGAAACCTAGGAGCCAGCTGAGTCCCTTCCACTCGCCCGCGCTGAGTTAACCCAGAGGCGGGTGCGGGTGTCGGAGCCCGCGCCGGGACGCACCGGCCGCACCGGCCGCACCAGCCTCCCCAGCACCGCGGACCCCAGGGCCGCCGCCCGGTCGCGCCGCGCCGGGCCTCCGCGCACCCACGTGGAGGGGGCGGAGCCCCGCGGGAGCCCGCCCCGGGGCTCTGGGTCTCCTGGCGCCCTGACCCGCCGGCCACCCCGCCGCCGCCCCACGCGCCTACCTGCGCCCACCTGCGCCCACGTCGCCCACCTAAGCGTGAACAGCTGCGTCGCGGACGCCGCCTTCCGGCAGGGACCCGCGCCCCAGGTAAGCGTTAGTCCCGCCTTCAGGAGTGCGGAGCCTCCCATTGGACGAGGTCTGCGTCCGTCTCTCCGCCGGCTAATGGCAAGCGGCGGCAGCACGGGGGGCGGTTCCAGGACCGGGCGCGGGCTACTGACGCCATCTCTAGAGGCCTAGAGTTGCTTGGAGAGGAGCTGGTTGCCAAGGCAACCCGCCCTGCCCAGAACAAGTGCAGATGACTAGGTTTGGGCCCCGCAGGGCTTGGGGGTCTGGGGTGCAAGCTGCCCCGGCCGGGCTGGCGTCCCGGGGTGGGGCCTCCGCCGAGGGTCCAGGGTATGGAGCTCGGCTCGGAGTCGAAATGGATGAGCTACGGCTATTGGGATCAACAGGGCTAGGACTTAAACTTCGTGCTGAATTTAAAAAATCAGGATAGGTGCTAAAAAATACACAGGGTGGGTAGTGTTATAATAATGCTTGTGTCCGGGAGCGGTGACTCACGCCTGTGATCCCAGCATTTTGGGAGGCCCAGGCGGGCGGATCGCTTGAGCTCAGGAGTTCGAGACCCGCCTGGCCAACATGACGAAACCCCGTAACCCCGTCTCTGCTAAAAATACAAAAATTAGCCAGGCGTGGTGGCAGGTGCCTGTAATCCCAGCTACTCGGGAGGCTGAGGCAGGAAAATCGTTTAAGCCCGGGAGGTGGAGGTTGCAGTGAGCCGAGATCGTGCCACTGCACTCCAGCCTGGGCGACAGAATGAGACTCTGTTTTAAAAAATAAAAAATAAATTAAAAAAATAAAAATTAGCCGGGTATGGTGGCACGTGCCTGTAGTTCCTGATACTCTGGACGCTGAGGTGGGAGGATCGCTGGAGCCTGGGAGATGGAGGCTGCAGTGAGCTATGATCAAGGCACTGCACTCCAGCCTGGGCAACAGAGCCAGACCCCGTCTAAAAAAAAAAAAGAAAAAAAAGCATGCTTTCAAGTCACCCAGTAAGTTAAGTGCTTGGCAGCCGTATCAAGTATGATGTACGTTGCCTCAGGAATCCAAAGGTGACAAGCAAAGAAGGTGCACTCTTCCTTACTGGTAGAAGATTGTATTTGGTTCCTTTTTCTGCATAACAAATTAACCCAACATTTAGCAGCCTAAAAGAACATTTATTTTTTCATGGTATCCGCGGTCAGGAAAGTGGGCGTGGCTAAGCTCTGTGCCTTTGCCTCAAGGGTTCACCAAGTTGTGGTCAAGGTGTCCCCCCAGGGTTGTGGTTTCATCGGAAAGCTTATCTGGAATGATCCACTCCCAAGCTCACACACACGGATATTGTAAGGACTCAGTCCTCCAAGGTCATTAGAGAAGGGCCTCAGCCTTGCTGGCTGCTGCCCAAAGGCCACCCTCAGTTCCTTGGTACATGGGCCTTACCACAAGGAAGCTCACAACACTGCAGCTGGCTTGCCTTAGACGGTGCAAGCACACACAAGAGGAGGCACACACAAGACGCACATCACAGTCTCCTTGCACCCTAATCTCAGAAGTGACTTCCCTAGGCTTTTGCCATATTCTGTTCATTAGAAGTCGGCCGGGTGCGGTGGCTCACACCTGTAATCCCAGCACTTTGGGAGGCTGAGGTGGATGGATCACTTGAAGTCAGGAGTTCAACACCAGCCTGGCCAACGTGGCAAAACTCCATCTCTACTAAAAATACAAAAATTAGCCAGGCATGGTGGCATGTACCTATAATCCCAGCTACTCAGGAGGCTGAGGCATCAGAACCTATTGAACCCGGGAGGCAGAGGTTGCAATGAGCTGAGACCGCGCCACTGCACTCCAGCCTGGGCGACAGAGCAAGACTCCAGCTCAAAAAAAAAAAAAAAAAAAAAGTGAATCATGGCCAGGTGCAGTGACTCAGGCCTGTAATCCCAGCTCTTTGGGAGGCTGAGTCAGGAGGATGGATGGACACCAGGAGTTCAAGACCAGCCTGGGCAAACAGTAAGACCTCATGTCTACAAAAATAAAAATAGAAAATTAGCTGGGTGTGGTGGTGCACGCATATAGTCCCAGCTACTTAGGAGGCTGAGGTGGAAGGATTGCTTGAGCCTGGAAGATGGAGGCTGCAGTGAACTATGATCACACCACTGCACTCCAGCCTGGGTGAAAAAAAAAAAGGAAAAAAGGAAAATAATTTTTTTTCATTTTTATTTTTGGAAATTGATATGGTTTGGCTGTGTCCCCACCCAAATCTCATCTTGAATTGTATCTCCCATAATTCCCATGCATTGTGGGAGGGACCTGGTGGGACATAATTGAATCATGGGGGCAGTTTCCCCCATACTGTTCTCTTGGTAGTGAGTAAGTCTCATGAGATCTGATGGTTTGATAAGGGGAAACCCCTTTTGCTTGGTTCTCATTTTCTCTCATCTGTTGCCATGTAAGATGTGCCTTTTGCCTTCCGCCAAGACTGAGAGGCCTCCCCAGCCATGTGGAACTGTGAGTCCATTCAACTTCTTTTTATTTATAAATTACCAGTCTCAGGTATGTCTGAATAGCAGTGTGAATACTGACTAATACAGAAATGCTGAAAGGACTTGGATGCAATGACATCCCAGTGGCACTGAGCACTCCTGGCACCCAGAACACTGCTCCTAAATACCATCCCCCATGAATACGGACCAGGGCTCCTGGGAGAAATGGCTGATCCCAGGGCTGTGGCAGGGAGAGCTCAAGATGGGCCTTGAATAGGTAAATCTGAACATCCTTTACAAGATAGCCTTGTAAGGCTCTCTGGGGTCATCTTCACACATTCTCAGGCGATACCCTTGTCAGGCTATCTAGGGTCATCCTCACATACTCTCACGTCATGTCTGGCACCCGTCTTTCTTGGTTGTTGAGTCTTCCAAGAACAAGGACTGTCTTTCCATTGATTTGCATCTACTATTGTACCTTTCATGAAACACACATTTTTCTCTTTTCTTCCCAAAATAATACTTCATGAATCATGTTTTAAAGTTTTATCCAATATAGGTCTTACGTATGTCCTAAGTTTATTCCTATGTGTTTTATCTTTATTACCATTGTAAATGGAGTTTTCCTCTTCCATTACATCTTCTGATTATTGTTTGTGTGAATGAAGGTTTTTGATCCTGTGTGTTGGTTTTATATCCTATTATCTTAACTAGGTTCTTTTATTGTTTGAGGAGGTATGCAAGTTTTATAATATTAAGGAGTTATATCACTCATTTCCTACTTTATTGAACACTAAATCATTGACACCTGAGATATGAAACTTTTTTTTTTGAGACAGTCTTGCTGTGTTGCCCAGGCTGGAGTGCAGTGGTACGATCTCGAGTCACTGCAGCCTCCACATCATGGGCTCAAGCAATTCTCCTGCCTCGGCCTCCTGAGAAGCTGGAACTACAGGCGCCCACCACCATGCCTGGCTAATTTTTGTATTTTTAGTAGAGACAGGATTTCACCATGTCAGTCAGGCTGGTCTCAAACTCCTGACTTCAGTGATCTCTCCACCTCCGCCTTCCAAAGTGCTGGGATTACAGCTGTGAGCCATCGTGCCTGGCCGTTACTAGCTGTTTTAATAAGACCATGAACCACAGCTGATCAACCCAACTGTTGCAAAATACTCTTAACCATCTCCCAAGGATCTCTGGCCCTCAAATTGGATTAAGTTGGCTTTTCTCGTTTACAGCAAAGCTTAAAGTGATACCATTTTCTCCACGGTATCTTTCTTCCTACAAACTTCATCTCACACCTTGGATGCTTGTTGTCTGTTTATGCTAGATTCAGTATCTGATGCATCTGGTGTTGCAGAACACTGCATGTGCAGCACTCAGTTCAGCTGTATTCTTGGTAGGCCGTGGAAGGCCAAGACTGGTTGGGTTTCTGACACCTGAACAAGTTTAGGAATCACTGCTTCAGACAGAACTTCCAAGATTTACCGCCAAGAGACCCAGCTGTGTAGCACGATGGAAGATAGGCTTGGCTCCCGCAGAACAGGGAATCAGAGGCTGCGAGTGATGGACAAAGCGTGGGTGCCACAGAAGTCCTGGGGAAATGGGCGAACACCCAGCCAAACGACTGGCCCAAATCACCCCTGCAAACGATCACACTGCTCAGCACTGTGTGCGCTGACCCCGGCTTGTTGAACAGCCGATTTTATCTAGAATCTCATCAACTTTTTACCCAATTGCCATAGAAACAGTAACCTTTCTAATTGCCCTCATTCTCCAGGGACTGTTTAAGTGAAACCAGAAGAGGGAAACGCTGGTCCTCTGAGTGGACTGCTGTTTCATTTTTTTCTTAAGATTCACCACAGCACAACTATCTGCAAAAATAGCTTCAGTGTGGAACGAAACATCCAGAATGAAAAATTACAGAGCTGCTCTAAAAAGCTTTTTTTTTTTTTTGGAGACAGAGTCTCGCCCTGTCGCTCAGACTGGACTGCAATGGCACGATCTCAGCTCACTGCAACCTCCACCTCCCAGGTTCAAGCGATTCTCCTGCCTCAGCCTCCCGAGTAGCTGGGATTACAGGCACGTGCCAACACGCCTGGCTAAATTTTTTTGTATCTTTAGTCGAGACGGGGGTTTCAACATGTTGGCCAGGCTGGTCTCGAACTCCTGACCTCGCGATCCGCCCACCTCGGCCTCCCAAAGTGCTGGGATTACAGGAGTGAGCCACTGCGCCCGGCCAAAAAAGGCCATTTTAAAAGGCATTTCTTGCAGCATCGATTGCAAGAAAATCTTAGCTTTTAATGTGTTCTAAGATGATGTCATAATGTAGCTCAGGAGTGGGTGCAGCCTCAACACTGCATGTCAGCAGAGCCTCCCCATCCCGATGTCGGAACAATGTGAGGTAGAAATCAAAGAACAACATCCTCAAACAAAAGAAATGAAAAACAGGGCCGGGCACTCACACCTGTAATCCCAGCACTTTGGGAGGCTGAGGTGGGAGGATCACTTGAACCCAGGAGTTAGAGACCAGCCTGGGCAACATAGCAAGATCCCACCTCTACAAAAAAAATTAAAAATTACCAGGGCATCGTGGCATGCACCTGTGGTCCCAGCTACTTGGGAGGCTGAGGTGAGAGGATCCCTTGAGCCCAGGAAGTCAGGGCTGCAGTGAGCTGTGATGACGCCACTGCCCTCCAGCCTGGGCAACAGAGCAAGACTGTCTCTAAATAAGACAAACAAATTGAAAAACAGCAAAAAATCTCTCTAACAGCATTCAACTAATATCTCGGCCTAAATACTCTCCTCTTTCCTTTATTCACCTTGTATAATAAACTGTGATTATAAGTTTTTAATATCATTTCAGCAAAATGAAGTAAATCAACATTTATCTGCAAAAACTTCATATGCATCCACGCAGAAAAGTCAGACTAGTTTCTCTGTCACCGGGTTCCCCAGAACACAATGATCCTCTCAACACATCTGCAATATTGAAGGCCAGGCACCATGGCTCACGCCTATAAGCCCAGTACTTCGGGAGGCCAAGGTAGAAAGGTCACTTGAGGCCAGGAGTTCGAGACCAGCCTGGGCAACGTAGTGAGACCCTATCTCTATAAAAAAATATATATTTTTAAATTAGCTGGGCATGGTGGTGCACACCTGTAGTCCTAGCTACTCGGGAGGCTGAGGTAGGAGCTTCACTCACGCCTGGGAGTTCAAGGCTACAGTGAACCATGAATGCACCACTGCACTCCAGCCTAGGTGACAGAGCAAGACCCTGTCTCCAAAGAAATACAGACATTTACAATACTGAGCGGATGTCAAAGATCCTCATTCTTAAGCTCAGCATTTGGAAAACTACAGCAATTTCAGCCGCTGACCTATTTTAGGAACTCATCTCTGAGCTGATCATTCAAGTGCAGTCTTAGGCTTACTGCAAAGAATACATCTGGAAGGTTAATGAAGAGTACATTAAAAAATATCCCCGATCCCTTTTAACTTTGTTAACCTGGAGAAACTGAGTTAGGATTGATGGGCTGGTTATATCCGTCCTTCCTGTGACGCTGGACCTAATTTCTCACCAGGAATACCGGACGCTGTCAACCCTCACTCTGACTTAAAAGGCCTTTTGGGGACATCTTGTGAAAATGTTTTGATACTGCAGCCCGTACACCAGAAAGGGAAGTAGCAGCCAGGCTCCCAGGCTCCTGTCCAAGATGCCAGGCACCAGGGGTGACGGCACGGCCCTGGGCCCTGCACAGATAAAACAGTGATGCCAGCCAAAGCCCAACTCAGGCAAAGGAGAGCCCCCGAGGCAGGGGGCGAGGACACTTCCCGAGACGCGCTTCCCCTGCTGTAGGCAGGTGGGGTGACGCGAGATGCCAGGCGCGGGACTGTGAGCCTGTCCAACCCAGCCAGAGAAAACGTTCAGCATCTGCAAACATCTGCTCCCGCGGCCGCACCAGCCCAGGTCCAAATCTGCTTTTGAAAAGGCAGAGCCTCGGCCGGGCGCAGTCGCTCACACCTGTATCCCAGCACTTTGGGAGGCTGAGGCGGGTGGACCACCTGAGGTCAGCAGTTCGAGACCAACCTGACCAACATGGCAAAACCCCGTCTCTACTAAAAAATACAAAAATTAGCCGGGCGCGATCGCGGGCGCCTGTGATCCCAGCTACTTGGGAGGGGGAGGCTGAGACATGAGAATAGCTTGAACTCAGGAGGCGGAGGTTGCAGTGAGCTGAGATCGTGCCACTGCACTCCAGCCTGGGCAACAGAGTGAGACTCCATCTCAGAAAAAAAAAAGGCAGGGCCAGTGACCTCCACGGTTGACTCTGACACTCCAGCCGGCAGGGCCACGGCCGACTCGCCCGCTCTCAGTGGCACTCTGGGGACACCTTCATTTCCATCAGGTAGGCTTTGGGTTCCATCAACTTTTTTTTTTTGAGAAGGGTCTCGCTCTGTCATCCAGACTGGAGTGCAGTGGCACAGTCATGGTTCACTGCAGCCTTGAGGGCCTGGGCTCAAGCGATCCTCCCACCTCTGTCTCCCGAGTTGGTGGGACTCCAGGCACGCACCACCACACCTGGCTAATTTTTGTATTTTTTGTAGAGACAGGGTTTTGCCACGTGGCCCAGGCTGGTCTTGAACTTCTGGGTTCAAGTGATCCACCCGCCTTGGCCCCCCCAAAGTTTTGGTCTTACAGGCCTGAGCCACCACACCTGGCCTCACTCTTAAGTTTTTTTTTTTTTTTTTTTTTTTTTTTTTTTTTTTAATTAATTTATTTTTTTTTTATTGATCATTCTTGGGTGTTTCTCGCAGAGGGGGATTTGGCAGGGTCATAGGACAATAGTGGAGGGAAGGTCAGCAGATAAACAAGTGAACAAAGGTCTCTGGTTTTCCTAGGCAGAGGACCCTGCGGCCTTGGCCTTCCGCAGTGTTTGTGTCCCTGGGTACTTAAGATTAGGGAGTGGTGATGACTCTTAACGAGCATGCTGCCTTCAAGCATCTGTTTAACAAAGCACATCTTGCACCGCCCTTAATCCATTTAACCCTGAGTGGACACAGCACATGTTTCAGAGAGCACAGGGTTGGGGATAAGGTCACAGATCAACAGGATCCCAAGGCAGAAGAATTTTTCTTAGTACAGAACAAAATGAAAAGTCTCCCATGTCTACTTCTATCCACAGAGACCCGGCAACCATCCGATTTCTCAATTTTTTCCCCACCCTTCCCGCCTTTCTATTCCACAAAACCGCCATTGTCATCATGGCCCATCCCCAATGAGCCGCTGGGCACACCTCCCAGACGGGGTCGTGGCCGGGCAGAGGGGCTCCTCACTTCCCAGTAGGGGCGGCCGGGCAGAAGCGCCCCTCACCTCCCGGATGGGGCGGCTGGCCGGGCGGGGGGCTGACCCCCCCACCACCCTCCCGGACGGGGCGGCTGGCCAGGCAGAGGGGCTCCTCACTTCCCAGTAGGGACGGCCGGGCAGAGGCGCCCCTCACCTCCTGGATAGGGCGGCTGGCTGGGCGGGGGGGCTGTCCCCCCCACCTCCCTCCCGGACGGGGCGGCTGGCCGGGCAGAGGGGTCCTCACTTCCCAGTAGGGGCGGCCGGGCAGAGGCGCCCCTCACCTCCCGGACGGGGCGACTGGCCAGGCGGGGGGCTGATCCCCCCACCTCCCTCCCGGACGGGGCGGCTGGCCAGGCGGGGGGCTGACCCCCCCCACCTCCCTCCCGGACAGGGCGGCTGGCCGACCCCCCCCCCCCCGCCTCCCTCCCGGACGGGGCGGCTGGCCGGGCAGAGGGGCTCCTCACTTTCCAGTAGGGGCGGCCGGGCAGAGGGCCCCTCACCTCCCGGACGGGGCGACTGGCCAGGCGGGGGGCTGATCCCCCCACCTCCCTCCCGGGCGGGGCGGCTGGCCGGGCAGAGGGGCTCCTCACTTCCCAGTAGGGGCGGCCGGGCAGAGGCGCCCCTCACCTCCCGGATGGGGCGGCTGGCCAGGCGGGGGGCTGATCCCCCCAACTCCCTCCCAGACGGGGCGGCTGGCCGGGCGGGGGGCTGACCCCCCACCTCCCTCCCGGACTGGGCGGCTGGCCGGGCGGGGGGCTGACCCCCCCACCTCCCTCCTGGACGGGGCGTCTGGCCGGGCAGAGGGGCTCCTCACTTCCCAGTAGGGGCGGCCGGGCAGAGGAGCCCCTCACCTCCCGGACGGGGCGGCTGGCCGGGCGGGGGGCTGACCCCCCCACCTCCCTCCCGGACGGGGCGGCTGGCCGACCCCCCCCCCCGCCTCCCTCCCGGATGGGGCGGCTGGCCAGGCAGAGGGGCTCCTCACTTCCCAGTAGGGGCGGCCGGGCAGAGGAGCCCCTCACCTCCCGGACGGGGCGGCTGGCCGGGCGGGGGGCTGACCCCCCCCACCTCCCTCCCGGACGGGGTGGCTGCTGGGCGGAGACGCTCCTCACTTCCCAGACGGGGTGGTTGCCGGACGGAGGGGCTCCTCACTTCTCAGACGGGGCGGTTGCCAGGCAGAGGGTTTCCTCACTTCTCAGACGGAGCGGCCGGGCAGAGACGCTCCCCACCTCCCAGACAGGGCTGCGGCCCAGCAGAGGCGCTCCTCACATCCCAGACAGGGCGGCGGGGCAGAGGTGCTCCCCACATCTCAGACGATGGGCGGCCGGGCAGAGACGCTCCTCACTTCCTAGATGGGATGGCGGCGGGGAAGAGGCGCTCCTCGCTTCCCAGATGGGATGGCGGCCAGGCAGAGACGCTCCTCACTTTCCAGACTGGGCAGCCAGGCAGAGGGGCTCCTCACATCCCAGACGATGGGTGGCCAAGCAGAGACGCTCCTCACTTCCCAGACGGGGTGGCGGCCGGGCAGAGGCTGCAATCTCGGCTCTCCGGGAGGCCAAGGCAGGCGGCTGGGAGGTGGTTGCAGCGAGCCGAGATCACGCCACTGCACTCCAGCCTGGGCACCATTGAGCACTGAGTGAACGAGACTCCATCTGCAATCCCGGCACCTCGGGAGGCCGAGGCTGGCGGATCACTCGCGGCTAGGAGCTGGAGACCAGCCCGGCCAACACAGCGAAACCCCGTCTCCACCAAAAAAAAACGAAAACCAGTCAGGCGTGGCGGTGCGCGCCTGCAATCGCAGGCACTCGGCAGGCTGAGGCAGGAGAATCAGGCAGGGAGGTTGCAGTGAGCCGAGATGGCAGCAGTACCGTCCAGCCTTGGCTCGGCATCAGAGGGAGACCGTGGAGGGAGAGGGAGAGGGAGAGGGAGAGGGAGGGGGAGGGAGAGGGAGAGGGAGAGGGAGAGGGAGAGCACTCTTAAGTTTTATACTTCAATACTCCGTCAAATCGAAGACAGAAAACGCAATGCATGAACCAGGCGCCGCCTCTCCCCGCTGAGAAAATGTGCCAGGGCTGTTTGGCCTTTGGTGGGAGAGCTAGACAACGCCATCTAACAGGGACAGCACCGAGCTGACCACCCAGTTTCAAAATTTTGAGCAGTCACAGTAAAACCCAAGTGAAATTCATTTTAATGTTTTATTAACCTAGCATATTCAAAATATTATTTCAACATGTAAATATTTTTTTACTCTTCAGGCCTTGGTTTTATTTGCATTTCTAGAAATATACACACACTTCTAACTCTGTGCTACAAAAATTATACAGCAGTCCCCGTTTATCCTCTGGGGATCTGTTCCAAGCCTCCCAGTGGGTGCCTGGACCCCACTCTACAATAAAGGCAACATGTAAACAATACCTTTAACAGTGAGATATAGATAGATAGATAATTTGGTATTATGTTCAAAGCCCAGTGTGTTTTGGATACTTTTTTTTTTTTGAGACAGAGTCTCACTCCGTGGGCCAGGCTGGAGTGCAACAGCACAATCTGGGCTCACTGCAACCTCTCCCTCCTGGGTTCAAGTGATTCTCCTGATTCCTGAGTAGCTGGGATTACAGGCACCTGCCACCATGCCTGGCTAATTTTTGTATTTTTAGTACAGACAGGGTTCACCATGTTGGCCACGCTGGTCTCGAACCCTGACCTTGTGATCCACCCGCCTCAGCCTCCCAAAGTGCTGGGATTACAGGCGTGAACCATTGCGCCTGGCCTTGTTTTGTTTTTTTTTTTTTTTTTTTTTTTTAATGAGACAGTCTTGCTCTCTGTGACCCAGGCTGGAGTGCAGTGGTGTGATCACAGCTCACTGCAGCCTTGACGTCTCCTGAGTAACTGGGACCACATGCATGCACCATCTGTCTGGCTATTTATTTTTTTTGAGAGACAACGTCTTACTACATTGCCCAGTCCTATCTCAAACATCTGGGCTCAAGCAATCCGCCCACATCAGCCTCCCAAGGTACTGCGATTACGGGCATAAGCCACTGGGCCCGGCTGGATACATCTCAGTTTGGACATTAAATTATCAGAACTTTGTTTCTCAAGACTTTAAAAATTAAAAACATTTTTTCATTAGAACACCTGATCTGCAGATTCACAGTTCACACACCCAGGTTCCTAACGTACCTGTTTTCCACTGACTGAACCAAGTTAGTGGTTTTTAAACTTAACCACACCGAACACTGTGCTGGCTGCGTTTTCCTTGCTCCACAGCACACGAGGCCAGAGGTGCTGCAGACGCAGGGAAGTGGCTTGTCCAAGTGCAGTCCCAGACCAGACGTGTCACCCGGGCAGCTCCAGGTGTAAACCTGAGTCCACCTCAGACCACAGAACCAGGGCCTCGGGGTGGGGTCCAGCACCCTCCCGTAAGGAGCCCTGTGTTTTGACACAGGCTAGGGCTTGGGAACCGCCGGCCTAGGACAGACACCATGAAATAAGCATAGCAACGGTCACATGTCACCCACCGTCAGGGATGTGCACGGCCAGGTGATTGCATTGTCGTGCAAGCATCCTACAGGGACTTACACAGAGCTCGATGGTGCGGCCTCCTCCACACCCAGGCTGTAGGGCATAGCCTGTGGCTCCCAGGCTACAAATGCGTGCAGAGTGCTACTGCGCTGAATGCTGTAGGCCACTGCGGCACGGCGCTGCGTGTTTGTGCTTCCAAACCTAGGCGTGGTGCGGTCCAGCTTGCTGGGAGGATTCCATCCCAGTGTTCTGTGGGACTGCAGGGTGACTAGCTTGTTCTTAAGTTTTTTTTTTTTTTTTTGAGATGGAGTCTTGCTCTATCACCCAGGCTGGAGTGCAATGGCACGATCTCTGCTCACTGCAACCTCTGCCTCCCGGGTTCAAGCGATCCTCTTGCCTCAGCCTCCCAAGTAGCTGGGATTACAGGCATGCACCACCACGCCCGGCTAATTTTTGTATTTTTAGTAGGGACAGGGTTTCATCATGTTGGCCAGGCTGGTCTCAAACTCCTCCAAATACCACAATGTACCCCATCAATATGTACAATTATGTCAATTAAAATAAAAGCAAAAAAGTTTGTCAGATTAAAAAAAAAAGATATAGTGAAAATACAGTATGTTCTGCGATCACCAACATATACACGGTCCGTCATCGACAGAAACATCGTTCCCCTGACTGCAGGTCTGACCACCTTTTTGCAGAACGCCAACAGAATACAAACCCTTCCCGTTACATTTTTAGATGGTGAAAGCAGAAAAAAAAAAGGCAGTGGCTTGTGTTTTTGTGAACTGTCTCAGCGGGACATCTGGTGGGCACAGCTGGATGGCCAGGGCAGTTCAGAACAGGACAGAACTTGGGGGAATTTTGTTTCACCTTATTCCCTGACACCCCCTAAGTTCCCAGGAAATCACTGCACTCTTGATGAGCAGAGCGGCTGTCAGTATAAATCTAACACCAGTATTTACGTTACCCGTGTTCATCACTTCACAAAATCAGACGGTGGTGGAAAGTGTCAGGCCACGAAGGCCGCATCTGTCATCTGAGCCACAAAGGACTGTGCACCTCACTACCCCCCTTCCCTCCCGTTTTGGCTTTCTGCTCTTCAAACCTATAAAACCCAGTCTCCTGTAATCTCTGGCACTTGTGGAAGCCCTAGTTCCTGCCATTGTAGTTTTAAGTCACTTCTGGAAGTTTCCACTGCTTCATCACTGGACAGAGCCATCTTCAACAGGTGGCATTTTGCAACTTTCTTGTTGGTGCTGAAATAGATCCAGGTGCAAAGCAGCTCTCGGGCTTGCTGGCTGCTGACAACTGTGCCTTTTTTTTTTTTTTTTTTGAGATTCAGTCTTGCTCTGTTGCCCAGGCTGGAGTGCAGTGGCACAATCTGGGCTCACTGCAACCTCCGCCTCCCAGGTTCAAGTGATTCTCCTGCCTCAGCCTCCTGAGTAGCTAGGATTACAAGCGTGTACCACCACCACACCTGGCTAATTTTTGTTTTAGTAGACATGGGGTTTCACCATGTTGACCAGGCTGGTCTCAAACTCCTGACCTCAGGTGATCCGCCTGCCTCCGCCTCCCAAAGTGCTGAGATTACAAGCGTGAGCCACTGCGCCTGGCTGAACTGTGCCTGTTTTAAGAAGTTGACCGTGGCAGGGACAAGTGGTCCAGGAAGACACACCTTCTCTCACACAGTGTCCCAGCCCCTTGGAGGTCAGGAACGGGCACGCAGCTGTGCCCTCAAACAATGCGAGTAGCACCTGTGGCCGCCGCTGGACAAGAACCCTCGGCCAGGCAGGTGGATGTCCTTCCCCCTTCTTGGCCAGATAGTCACATCGTTACAGAGGTGACATGGTGAAGAGCGCAAGTGAGCTGTCTGGTGTTTGCTGGTTTTGAACTCCTGACCTTAGGTGATCCACCCACCTTGCCCTCCCAAAGTGCTGAGATTACAGGTGTGAGCCACTACGCCCGGCCTAGTTTGTGTATTTCAGTGGGGAAGTTTCAAGGTTTCAGGCTAACCATCTTCACTAAAATATAAAAGATTAGCCGGGCATGGCAGTTTGGTGCCTGTAATCCCAGCTACTCGGGAGGCTGAGGCAGGAGAATTGCTAGAACCTGGAAGGCAGAGGTGGCAGTGAGCTGAGATTGTGCCACTGCACTCCAGCCTGGGCAATAGAGCAAGACTTCATCCCTTTTAAAAAAAAAAAAGCAAAGCCAGCCAGCATTGAAGCTGGGGATTCCCGTGAAGATGGCCCGGAGGTGCTGCTGGGCCATTAGAAGTATGGGGAGTACCTGAAGGCGGAAGTTACCTAGAGTGGAAATAACCCACACGGCAGTGCAAACGGGAAGGACCTCATCACTTTCCACCAAAAAGAACAAAGAACAGCTCTTTTCAGGTTTGTCTTGATGATGCAGGAATGTTGATCATGTCAGAGGATCTTGGAGGGCAGAAAAGGTGTTTCAGAAACCAGCTGTATGATGCTGCTGCTGCCGAAAGGTTGTGCTGGAGCGAGCTGCTTCTGTAACTTGGGGTCCCAGTCCTGTGTCCTTCATCCATCCTGACGAAGTCGCACCACTGGAGCATCGCGTCACACTGTGCAGTTACACACAGCAACCTTTCCGTGTTCACCAACCAAGAGCTGCAGCACCCCACACAGACGAAATTGCGTTCACATGAGCCGGGTGAACCAGTACCCGAGTCGCTGGGCCAGCCCGCCAGGAGCCAGGGTGAGGAAATCTCCCAACGGCCTGGATTCAGAGACTGTCATGGGTGAGCACCTACAGAGAGGGTGGATGGATCAGCTCAGCCTCCATGTGCTGACCGCAAGAACCCACACAGCTTCCTGCAGGTAAGCAACTACCACTGGCCTGGCCCAGGGATGGACGCCAGACACCACCAGGTGCAACAGTTGAGGCAAATACAGATGCTTCTCGATTTGACAAACATTAGCATTACGAGTTGAATCATGTCCCCACAAGACATGCTGGAGCCCTAGACTCGGGACCTCAGAGTGTGACCTTCTGTGGACACAGGGTCTTTTCAGAGGTCACGACTGTGGGATCACATGACCAGCATCCTTACAAAAAGGGGAAGTCGGGACACACACAGAATGCCATGTGAAGATGAAGGTGGAGACGGGGGTTGTGCATTGACGAGCCCCGAGATGCTGGGGAGACGCAGCCGATGCTCCCCGCAGCCCTCAGAAGGGGCTGGCCCTGCCGACATCCTGCGCCTGGACCTCCAGCCCCCAGAACTGTGAAAGAACCGATTTCTATGGTTTGAGCCACCCAGTTTTTAGTACTTGGTGACGGCAGCAGTGGGCAATGAGAACAACTAGAATCAACTTCAGCATTCAATTTTATTATAGTCCCATCTCCCTCAACAAACAAGATCAGCAGCCAGTGTGGGATGGTGCTCAATGGGGCTCCACTTCCCACTAGAGTGTAAGCTGCTTCCACGCATGCTACTGCGTGCTCCGAGCCATCGCAGCGGAGTCTCTTCTCACCCAGCTTTGATGGTGGGGCGACTCCCGTGTCTGCAGCTGTGGTCCAAAGGGTGTCTGTGCTGGATACAGAAGTTGCCGTGACATTGGGCACATACCATCTGCAGCATCTCTTTCTTCTTGCAGCCCTCTTTTGAGCAACGGTATGTAAAAATCTAAGAGAGCAAAGTGACTTCAACAAGCAATTCTTTTTTTGGAGACAGGGTCTCGCTCTGTTGCCCAGGCTGGAGTGCAGTGGCTTGATCTTGGCTCACTGCAACCTCTGCCTCCTGGACTCAAGTGATTCTCCTGCTTCAGCCTAGTACCTGGTACTACAGGCACACACCGCCACGTCCAGCTAATTTTGTCTATTTTCACAGAGATGGGGTCTTGCCATGCTGCCCAGGCTGGTCTCAAACTCAGCCTCAGGTGATCCTCCCGCCTTGGCCTCCCAAAGTGCTAAGATTACCTGTGTGAGCCACTGTGCTGGCCTTAAATTCTTTAACAGCCTCCGGTAAGAACATTCCCATTTAAACTGGACACAGTTCCTGTCTGCACAGAGTACAGATGCAAAGTTTCATTTGACCATCTCAGTGCAGGTAAGAAGAACATGGGGCTGGACCCAGTGGCTCACGCCTGTCATCCCAGCACTTTGGGAAGCCAAGATGGGTGGATTGCCTGAGCTCAGGAGTTCGAGACAAGCTTGGGCAACATGGTGAAACCCCATCTCCACTAAAATATAAAAGATTAGCCAGGCATGGTGGCGTGGTGCCTGTAATCCCAGCTACTTGGGAGGCTGAGGCAGGAGAATTGCTAGAGGAGGCAGAGGCGGCAGTGAGCTGAGATTGTGCCACTGCACTCCAGCCTGGGCGACAGAGCAAGAGTTCGTCCCTTTAAAAAGAAAGAAAAAAAAAAGCCGGTCAGCATTGAAGCTGGGGATTCCCGTGAAGATGGCCCGGAGGTGCTGCTGGGAGGACAACAGAGAGAGGCAGCCAGGAAGCAGGGAGCGGGAGGGAAGGAGGCCAAGCACAGATGACAGGCAAGCCCCACAGAGGCACTGGCTCCAGGAGCCCTGGGACAGTGGAGGTTGTCCCCATCAAGGGAATATCTATCATGTCCCAGTACCCACCGGTCATTTTTTTTTTTTTTTTTTTTGGTGCCAGGATGTAGGCAGCGATATAAAGTCCTAGGAGTCAGAACTCCAAGAGGGGAAGGCAGTGAGGAGAGTGGGGAGGGTTCCAGCAGCCGGGGGTGGCCCTCCGGCCAAGGCAGGCAGGCATGGCCATGCTGAGCGACCATGCAGGAGGGACCCGTGCAGGGATGCAGGCAGAACACAGGGCGTGCCCACCAAAAGGACAGGAGCACAGCGGGCCAGGAGCAGCCGGGAGGGCATTCCTGTGTGGGGGCCTTGGGGCAGTGCTGGGTGAGCCCCCAGCAAGGGAAGCTGTGTCATGTGGAAGAAGCGGGTGTGCCAGAGAGCTGTGATGTCTCAGAGGCTTAAGAGACCTCCAGAGGCTGAGGGTCCCAGGGCACAGCCACAGCAGGGAGAGCTAGACAGGGCCAGAAAGTGGGGACCAGAGCAAGCTTCCGCACAGAGAATTTTGTGTGGCAGACTAAGGAACACTGATTTTATTCTCTATGTTTGAGACCAAAAGTTATTTGGTTTATGGTAATATAACTGTAAAGTATTGAACATCATATACTAAGATAGTTGGTAACCACCAACCAGGACCCATGACTAGGAACGGATTAAGCCTGACAGCAGCCAGTTCACTAGAGAAGCTCCTTGAGCTGGGCGTGGTGGCTCACACCTATAATCTCAGCACTTTGGGAGGCTGAGGCGGGCAGATCATAAGGTGAGGAGTTCAAGACCAGCCCGGCCAACATAGTGAAACCCTGTCTCTACTAAAAATACAAAAGTTAGCTGGATGTGGTGGCATGCGCCTGTAGTCCCAGCTACTCGGGAGGCTGAGACAGGAGAATCGCTTTAACCCGGGAGGCAGAGGTTGCAATGAGCCGAGACGGCACCATTCACCATGGCACTCCAGCCTGGGTGACAGAGCAAGACTGTCTCAAAACAAACAAACAAACAAACAAACAAATGAAACGCACATGAACAGAATGGATCTAGAAAGCCATGTGAATTCTCCATCTCAGGAGGGAAACTAGTAAATTCCAGTCAAGAAAGACGAACCTGACCTGGGATCCCTCATATTAAAGAACATTTATAAAACTGAAAACTCAGGCCCCTCGCAGTTTAGGACAGGGATAACGCAGCGTTAGGACTCTTCTTTTCTACTTTGTACATAAACTATTGGGAGTAATTTTCAGGTAGCAAACTGACTCTTCCCAAGGAAAAACCAGGCTTCCCAGATGAAGGAACTGAGGCGGGCTCTGTCCTTACCTTCTCTTTCTTCTTCCCAGGGTGAGAGTCACAGTCTCTGTCAATGTGATCACCAACCACCACGTCTGGTATCTGGCCCTTTTTTACTGGGATGGGGGTATTACAGAGTGGGCATACTGGGACGTGAACATCCTAAAAATAACAAAGGTAAGATGGCATCTGAGACTCATGCAACTTAAACTCACAGAAGTTTTAAACGAGTACTCCTGTGCGGCACACTTAAACACAAAGAGAGGACAAAAACCGGTCTCCCGAGCCCTCCGAGAACAAAGCATCACTGGGTCATGGATTAGCGGCAGCCATCTCTAGAATGTGGGCATCAGCTGCCCTGAGGAGTCTAGTGAAGTTTCAACGAATGGACTTCAGCCGACTGCAGAAACCAGCTGGGGCCATCTCAGGCTGGCACCGCCCAGGTGAGAACAGAGCCTGCCCAGACACCTCCACAGGGAGGAGATGGAGGGAAACATGGACCACAAAGACCCTCCAGCTCCCCTCAGTCGCCAACGGCCTGATCCCTTTGCGGTTTCCCCAGTGGCTTCTACGTACACAGAGAGTTGCTTGCGCCCAGATGAGGCCACGTGTACCTAGGGTGAGCTCCCAGGTACTAACGACCGTCACTGGCTGCAGGCCAAGGTTGTGAGGGCTCCAAAGGGGTGGACCGCCCAGCAAGGCTAAAAACCTGAGCTGGGGGCTCCGAAGGGGTGGACTGCCCAGCAGCTGAAGGCCCAGCAAGGCTAAAAACCTGAGCTGGGGGCTCCGAAGGGGTGGACCGCCCAGCAGCTGAAGGCCCAGCAAGGCTAAAAACCTGAGCTGGGGGCTCCGAAGGGGTGGACCGCCCAGCAGCTGAAGGCCCAGCAAGGCTAAAAACCTGAGCTGGGGGCTCCGAAGGGGTGGACCGCCCAGCAGCTGAAGGCCCAGCAAGGCTAAAAACCTGAGCTGGGGGCTCCGAAGGGGTGGACCGCCCAGCAGCTGAAGGCCCAGCAAGGCTAAAAACCTGAGCTGGGGGCTCCGAAGGGGTGGACCGCCCAGCAGCTGAAGGCCCAGCAAGGCTAAAAACCTGAGCTGGGGGCTCCGAAGGGGTGGACCGCCCAGCAGCTGAAGGCCCAGCAAGGCTAAAAACCTGAGCTGGGGGCTCCGAAGGGGTGGACCGCCCAGCAGCTAACGCCCAGCATGGCTAAAAACCTGAGCCAGGGCAGGAATTGATGGAAAGGTCAATGAGAAAACCGAGGTGGCAACCGACATGGAACGGGTGGCAGGTGCTCACGGAATTATGAGCACACCCGTCTACAGCCCGAGCTGGGAGAGTCACAGGTGGTGGTGCTTCCTCATTTGGTCAAATGAAATAAAGTATTAGTAAACGGTCTCCAGCCAGACCCCACCCCATGCTGGGGCAGGAAGGGGCAGTGGGAAGACAAGCTGGGCAGTCTGGCTTAGTCATCCGTGCCTAGTAAACGCAGGGAATGTGAGTCACCCTCCCCACCCACCGTGATGGCCTAAAAATGGCTGGAGGGTCAGACCCTGGCCAACACTGGTCAAAGCACAGAATGCTGGGCCACCCACATTACCACTGCCACCACGGTCAAGTGGCAGAGTTCACTAAAATGACCTGTGACCCATCCAGAGACAAAGTAAACACGGGCTGGGAACCATCTGAAAAGTCAACAACAAGTCTCAAACCTCTGGACTCGGGGCAAGCTCATTTCCTTAGGTCCTCTTTCAGTTTCTGCTGTGTACTCTGGGAGTCACCTAAATACTATGTCAAGGCTGCAGTTATTCAAATCAATAAGCGTATTTACTGCCTTCCTGATTGGCTTCCAAGTCAAATATTAAAATCTTTCTTGCATCTGGTGAAGACACAGCTATGGTGTAACAGCTATGGTGTAACAGATCAAAGGAACCAAGTATTTGAACATCTAAAGTAAGCTTGGAACATAAGGTTACAACTAAGTGACTCCATGAGTCCCTGAAAATAAGATCTCAGTTGTCTGAGAGTCATCCAACAGAATGTCCTGTGAGGGCAGACACGCTCCTCTGTACTGCCTAACAGCAGGCACCTGAAACGAGGCTAGTGGGACTGAAAAACTGGATTTTAAAATTTAATTTTCAATGAGTTAGCCATACGTCGCTAGTCCCTACCATACCAGCAAGACAGTGCAGCTTCAGACGGTGAAGATGAGAATCTTTTGAACAAAGGATCAATTACCTTCTGGAATGCAAACGGACACTTATGTGCAGCGTATGGAAAATGATCTTTACAGAAATCTTGTTTACATGCATCACATTTTACTGGAAGAAAATCTAAAAAACAAAAAACAGGGAAGTGTTTTAACGACTGGAACAAAATACTTCCAGATAGTACTATCAAAGTGTTTACCTACACTAAGTGTTTTAGGCCTATGAGATGGACAGGTCCTCGAGGGCCACACATGTGAAAACAATCCCAGGGTCAGGCTGTCTTCTAGAGACCCCCTATGGCATCGCAAGTATTCCAGCAGCCCCCTGGATCCACCTGGCCCTGCTAGCCAGCCTGCACTCCTGCACCCAGCCTCTGGTGGATGCTAAGTGTCAAACAGAACCTGCACCAGCACAGTTCCCAATACTGAGGAGCCAGGAAGGCCAAGACACAATTATCAGCTAATTAACAGAACAGCCAGCTTTCCCCCAACAAAATACCATTTTCTATTAAGTCTCTTAAAAGTACTCACCTAGCTGCTTGCAAGTCTTTTCTGAACAATGCTTCCCCAAATCAGGAAACTCCATTATGAGAACAGTGCTCAAAACGCAGATGGCGGAGTTAAGTGTCACCTACAAGAGAATCAGAATAGTTAGGAGGAAAGCTGGACTGCCCTTCAGTCACCAGGATTTACAATGTAATTACAGCTAATGAAAGTCAACAAACGCACTGTGTGGGGAGCATTCCATGGAGTTTTAGTACAAATACCAGGTGTCCGCCATTCGTAGTCAACCCCATTAAGAGACACGGACTCCTTCACAGGCCTTTTAATTCCTAGTCTATGAAGCACTCCTTGAACTCGGGTTTCTATTTAAACTCACACTGAGGGGGCGAGAGCTAATTCACACAGCTGCCAGTGATGATTACGACTTTGGTGAATTTTAAGTCACAATTTTATCCATGGAATATACTTGTTCACATAAACAAAACTCTGTTACTAGGTGCTAAATCACATCAGTTGACTCCATTATCCAGAGAAGATTTAACTCTGTCCCTCGCCTCTCTCTTCAACTCCCTTAGGCATTGAATCTTACTGTGAACTTATTCCTCGATGACATCAACCTGGAGTTGATCAGGGAGAAGCGCAAGCTGTTAAGTCACTATGGAAAACAGGCAGACAGCTGGTGAAACTACCGCACTCGAGAGAGAATCAAGGGGCTCACGAGGTCCCCTCCATGATCTAGTACCCACCAGCCCTCCCGGGGCCTTTTCCTGGGGCTCACGAGGTCCCGTCATCTAGTACTCACCAGCCCCTCCCGGGGCCTTTTCCTGACCTTCCCATCAGCTCTCTCCCCACTCCTGGAGGCCTCCTAGACTGTCGCCTAAGACTGGAACACTCTCGCCCATGGCAAACGTCTAGTTATCCCCTCCCGCCTCAGTTTAAAGCCATTCCCACCCTCCCCAGTTCCCTCTATGTTACACGCCCGCTACTTAAGGTGCCCATTAGTCCTTTCCCAGCCCTCCTTCGCCCACAGCTTCCAACTACAGATCCGCTGCTTTACTATTAGCTCCCGGTGCCCGACACACAGCAGGCGTTCCGAAATTGTTTTGTTCAAGGAATTCACAAGAGTTTGATGTGAATCCCCAAATGATTTTGTTCTGGACGCACAGCACCCGTCCTAGGAAACCAACACCCTACCCTGGCGGGCCGGGCCCGCAGCAAGAAAACACACATCTACGTGGCTGTCACTCGGCTGGCGGGTTAACGACCCCGTGCGACCCGGTACTACGGCCCCGATGGCAGGCCCGGCCCCCAGCAGACAGCCGGACTCCCAGCAGACAGGCCGGACCCCCAGCAGCCAGACCCCGGCAGGCCCGGTCCCCAGCAGACAGCCGGACCCCCAACAGCCAGACCCCGGCAGGCCCGGTCCCCAGCAGACAGGCCGGACCCCCAACAGCCAGACCCCGGCAGGCCCGGTCCCCAGCAGACAGGCCGGACCCCCAGCAGCCAGACCCCGGCAGGCCCGGTCCCCAGCAGACAGGCCGGACCCCCAGCAGCCAGACCCCGGCAGGCCCGGTCCCCAGCAGACAGCCGGACCCCCAACAGCCAGACCCCGGCAGGCCCGGTCCCCAGCAGACAGGCCGGACCCCCAGCAGCCAGACCCCGGCAGGCCCGGTCCCCAGCAGACAGGCCGGACCCCCAGCAGCCTGACCTCCAGCAAGCAGCCGGACTTTCAGCAGCCGCACTCCTAGCAGACAGGCCGAACCCCCGAGCAACCTGACCTCAAGGCAGGCCCGACCCCCGGCAGACCCTGTCTGCGCAATCCCGGCCCCGTACCTGGCTCTCGTCGGGGACCCAGGCAGCTGAGGTGAGCAGCAGATGGAAGAGACGTAAACTCAGGTGTCCTCCTCCGTAGTCGGCTCCGGGTAGCTAAGCAGAAAGAACCTCGACACTGGCACCGAGACGCCGTCGGAGGCACACCCACACCCACACCGGAACGCAACATCTCGCTGCCCGCGGCCTACGGGGATTTATCCGCAGCCCCCGGATCTGAGAGCCGTCTGGGCCTTGGGGTTTCCGGGCGCGCCCCGACAACGTCACCCGCAGACCGGCCAATCCCGCCAGGCCGCGGCCCAGTGGCGCCGGCGCACACCGAAGACGACACCAGCCATCCGGCCAATCCCGCCCCGCCGCGCCCCGCAGGCCCGCCCACTCCTCGCTTCTCCACTTCCCTTCTCGAAGTGTCCGGTCGCTTCTCGCAGGCGGCGCGCTTGCTGGGTCACAGTGAGGCGGCTCCGCGCAGGCGCAGCCGGGCGGGCGAGGAGCGGGGAAGCTGACTCAGGGCTGCGGCCGGGGTCCTGCGGGGTAGGAGCGCGAGGCCGGCCTGAGGGAGGAGGCCTAGCGACCCATCCGGCGCCTCCCGCCCCGGGCACCCGCCCGCGGCCGCGCATCCTGCGGGCCCCAGGAGGCCTCCATCTCAAAACAACGTGTTTTTAGGTAATTTCAAACTTAGGGAAAAGCTTCAAGAATAATACCGAAAATGTCAGTGTCCCCAGCACCTAGATCCCCCAGTTAAATCCTTTTCCATTTCACCGCGCTGCCCCCCGCCCCCTGGACGGTTATGTGGCCGCGTGGGGTTGGCTCTGCCCAGGGCCGCGGTCACTGCACAGAACGCCCTGCACGTAAGGGGCTCCGCCTGGGTAAGACCCCGCCCAGCTGGGCAGGAGGAGGGCGTGGGCCCAGGACATGGAGACCAGCCTGGGCAACATAGCGAGACCCCATCTCTGCAGAAATAAAATATTAGCCGGACGGTGCACGGTGGCTCAGGCCTGTAATCCCGGCACTTTGGGAGGCCGAGGTGGGAGGATGGCCTGAGGTTAGTGTCTCACATGTCTGTGTGAAGAGACCACCAAACAGGCTTTGTGTGAGCAACAAGGCTGTTTATTTCACCCGGGTGCAGCCCGGCTGAGTCGGAAAAGAGAGTCAGCAAAGGGCGATGGGATTATCATTAGTTCTTACAGGTTTTGGGATAGACGGTGGAGTTAGGAGCAATGTTTTGCAGGCAGGTGGTGGATCTCATAAGGTACATTCTCAAGGGTGGGGAGAATTACAAAGAACCTTCTTAAGGGTAGAGGAGATTACAAAGTACATTGATCAGTTAGGATGGGGCAGAAACAAATTACAAGGGTGGAATGTCATCAGTTAAGGCTGTTTTCACTTCTTTTGTGGATCTTCAGTTGCTTCAGGCCATCTGGATGTATACATGCAGGTCACTGGGGATATGATGGCTTAGCTTGGGCTCAGAGGCCTGACAGGAGTTCAAGACCAGCCTGGTGAACATGACGAAACCCTGTCTCTACAAAAATAAGAAATGAACGCAGCATGGTGGCATGCACCTGCAGTCCCAGCCTCTTGGGAGGTGGAGGCATAAGTCAGCTGTGAATGCGCCCTGCACTAGAGCCTGGGCAGCAGAGCAGACCCTTCCTCAAACCCAAAAAGCGTCGTGCCAACCAGACCAGATGGTCGCCTAATCAATAGAGACCATGCCCAATCAGGTAAGGACAGACACAACCAGGCATGCTTTTTCTTGTTTTGTTTTTTGTTTGTTGTTTTGAGATGGAGTTTCACTCTTGTTGCCCAGGCTGGAGTGCAGTGGTGTGATCTCGGCTCACCGGAACCACCACCTCCTGGGTTCAAGCGATTCTCCTGCCTCAGTCTCCCAAGTAGCTGGGATTACAGGCATGCACCACCAGGCCCGGCTAATTTTGTATTTTTAGTAGAGACGGGGGTTTCTCCATATTGGTCAGGCTGGTCTCAAACTCCCAACCTCAGGTGATCTGCCTGCCTCGGCCTCCCAAAGTACTGGCATTACAGGCGTGAGCCACTGCGCCCAGCTTGTTGTTTTTCTTTAGACAGTGTCTTCCTCTGTGGCTCAGGCTGAAGGGCACTGGGATGATCACAGCTCACTGCAGCCTCCACCTCCCAGGCTCAAGCCATCCTTCTTCCTCAGGCTCCTGAGTAGCGGGAGCTACAGGCATGCGCCATCATGCCTGGCTAATTTTTGTATTTTTTGTAGATACGGGGTTTTGCTATGTAGCCCAGGCTGGTCTTGAACTCCTGACCTCAGGTGATCCCTCTGCCTCAGCTTCCCAAAGCGCTGGGATTACAGAACATGAGCCACTGTGCCCGGCTTATTGTACAGTCTTTACTCTCGGTTTTCACCAGAGAACTCAAGGGCTGTGAAAAGAGCAGGACCTCACCAGCTGCACGGCGGTGGTGACTGGCTCCATCTTGCTGTCCCTCCCAATCACACAACATCTCCCCTTGAAGGCTCTGCCCAGGCCCGGACTCCCACCTTTCAAGATGTCTGGATCAGTGCAGGACCTCCTCCTTGGCCACATCGCTCTCCTTGGACTGGTTCGTTAACCCTGTTTTACCCACATTTTCTTTTTTTTTCTTTTTCTTTTTTTTTTTTTTTCTGAGACAGAGTTTCATTCTTGTTGCCCAGGCTGGAGTGCAATGACTCGGTCTCGGCTCATTGCAACCTCCGCCTTGCAGGTTCAAGTGATTCTCCCACCTCAGCCTCCCAAGTAGGATTACAGGTACACACCACCACGCACAGCTAATTGTTTTGTATTTTAGGAAGAGATGGGGTTTCATCATGTTAGCCAGGCTGGTCAGGTGATCCATCCGCCTTGGCCTCCCCAAGTGCTGGGATTACAGGCGTGAGGCACTGTGCCCGGCCTGCCCCCCTTTTCTCTTGATGTAAGTGGACATTTTAATCCATAATCTGTAACATTTATGTATTAAGTTTACTACTATCTTTGGTTTGCAGTGTTGACTCACCTGTGGAGTGGTCTGAGCCTGAATGCCCGGGGCTGTGGCCACCGAGTGAACGGGCTGTGCTAAGGGGAATTGCCACCTTGGGAAACCTGTGTAGTTGCGGCTTTTCTGATTAAGTATCAATAAAAGTCTGACCTTGTGAAAAAAGCAAACGTGAGTGGCCCTGCTTATGTTTCACCTTGCGTTGCTCAGTGATAGTTCTGCAAAGTCGCAGGAAACCTGGAATCATCTAATTATCGTGAGTGTTGGTGAGTAACACCCATAGGCACTGGCTCCCGGGGAAATACAGAGTCAGGTTCCTCCGAGCCGCTGGCCACAGCATTTTTGTTAAGCAGTTCATCGTTAACCTTGTTGTACATGTCTCTCTCTCAAGGTTCCTTATTTAATAATGTCTAGTTGATTCATTAACATGGAATTCATGGCCAGTACCTCTGTCACTCATGCCTGACTGAAGTTGATCAGCACGTCTTTTTCTCCCTTAGGCACATGACAGCCTTCTTGCAATCAAGAAACTACGTGTGGCCAGGTACGGTGGCTCACGCATGTAATTCCAGCACTTGGGGAGGCCAAGGCGGGTGGATCACCTGAGGTCAGGAGTTTGAGACCAGCCTGACCAGTATGGTGAAACTCCTTCTCTAGTAAAAATACAGACATTAGCCGGGCATGGTGGTGCACACCTGTAATCCCAGCTACTCGGGAGGCTGCGGCAGGAGAATCTCGGGGGTGGAGGTTGCAGTGAGCTGAGATCGCCCCACTGCACTCCAGCTTGGGCAACAGTGAGACTCCATCTCAAAACAAAACAAAACAAAAAAATTGGCCAGGTGTGGTGGGGGGCGCGGCGCACCTGTAATTCCAGCTGCTCAGGATGTTAAGGCAGAAGAATCGCTTGAACCTGGGAGGTGGAAGTTGCAGTGAGCCTAGATTGTGCCACTACACTCCAGCCTGGTTGACAGAGTGAAGCTCTGTCTCAAAAAAAGAAAAGAAACAATACTAAGTTCTGATTCTCAGACCCCATTCAGTTTTTTTTTGTTGTTGAGACGGAGTCTCGCTCAGTCGCCCAGGCTGGAGTACAGTGGTGCGATCTTGGCTCACTGCAACTTCTGCCTCCTGGGTTCAAGCGATGCTCCTGCCTCAGCCTCCTGCAGATTTTACAGACAGTATCAACAATGTCTCTTTTCCTTTCCGCTCCAGGATCTCATCCACTATCACAGTTTCAGCTTTCCCCAAACTGGAATGTGTCTTTGCAGACGCCCATCCTTATTAAAGGGCAAAGACTTCTCATACACCTAGGATGGATCTTATATTCTTGGCGGGACTGCAGAGAAGGTGCCGTGTCCTGAGTCCTCATGTCAGGGCACAGGCTTCCAGCCAGTTCTACCTGGGTTATGTTTATCTCAATTCCCTGGTGGTATTGGTGTCTGCTGGGTTTTGCCAGAATGAAGACACCGTGTTTTCATTTGTCAGTTGATTCGTATTTTCCAGGAAGACATTCTGAGATTACAGCATTGTCTTAGTCAAGGTGCTGCAGAAGGACAGAACTAATAGGATATATGTACATATGAAAGAAAGTTTATGAAGAACTGGCTCACACCATCACAAGGCAAAGTCCCATGACAGGCCATCTGCAAGCTGAGGAGCGAGGAAGCCAGCAGTGGCTCAGCCGGAGTCCAACAGCCTCAAACGGAATCCAACAGTTCAGGCTTCAGTCTGTGGCCAAATGCCCAGAGACCCCGGAAAGCTACTGGTGTTAGTCCCAGAGCCGGAAGGCCAAAGAACCTGGAGTGTGATGTCCAAGGGCAGGAGGAATGGACAGAAGCATCCAGCATGGGGTAAAGACGAAAGCCAGAAGACTCAGCAAGCTAGCTTACCTACTTTCTTCTGCCTGCCTTGTTCTAGCCGCGCTGGCAGCCGGTTGGAGGGTGCCCACCCCCACTGAGGGTGGATCTTCCTCTCCTAGTCCACTGACTCAAATTTCAGTCTCTCTGGGAGCACCATCACACCAGAAACAATACCAGCCATCTAGCCACCCTTCAGTTCACCATCACAACCATTGTCTTATTCATGAAACTTCTGCAGACCCACCTTAACCTCCATCGGTGACTTCTACCTGAAGCCCTCTGATTGTTGCCCAGTGGTGCTTTTTAAAATAATTTCCATAGTTTCTTCTACACCTTTAGTTGGCATTCTACTGTAAAGGAGAGATTTTATTTTCTTACTCATTTATTTGTTAGTTTATAGTCACCACCATATGGATGCAGAGTTCTGTCTCATTCACTGGGAAGTATTCTATTGCAGTCATGATTTATTTTGATGTTCACATCCCAGAGTTGGTGAGTGAGCGCCCCTTCACGCTGGCTCCCGAGTGCTGACGTGTCCCCGTCCTTCTCTGCACTTTTCCTTACCTCCTGGCCTCAGATATTCCAGGGTCATTTGTTCTCTCCCTGCTCCAACCCTGCAGTCAGCCATCTCCCTAGGGACGTTGGTTCCTTTATGGAAGGTGGCATTTAGAAGCCAGGATTTGGGCTGAGCACTGTGGCTCATGCTTGTAATCCCAGCACTTGGGGAGGCCGAAGTGGGCGGATCGCTGGAGGCCAAGAGTCTGAGACCAGCCTGGCTAACATGGTGAAACCCTTCCCCGTCTCTACTACAAATAAAAAATTAGCTGGGTGTGTTGGCACGTGCCTGTAATCCCAGTTACTCAGGAGGCTGAAGCACCAGAATCTCTTGAACCCAGGAGGCCGAGGTTGCAGTGAGCCAAGATTGCACCACTGCACTACAGCTTGGGTGACAGCGCGAGACACCGTCTCAAAAAGGATAATAATTTAAAAAACAGCAGGATTTGGGTGAGCAGTGCGCTCATTGCTTCTGGGCTCTCTCGGTGGACATAGGCTAGGAATGTAAGATGTATGTGCCTGTGTATATACACACGTCTGTAGCTATGTCTATGTTGCATACATGTGTTTTTCCAAAAACCAAATCCATAACCATGCCTTCAGTTTCAGCCCAACACCTCCGGGCTCTTTCTAGCTTTCTACCTTTCATGATTGTGAATACCTTCTCCAGCAGTGAGAAACCTGGCTCCTTTGTCCTCAGTGGATTTTCTTATTTGCTCAATTTTTTTGTTTTTTGTTTTGTTTTTGTTTTTGAGACAGAGTCTTGTTCTGTCACCCAAGCTGGAGTGCAGTGGCATAATCTCGGCTTACCGCAACCTCTGCCTCCTGGGTTCAAGCGATACTCCTGCGTCAGCATCCCGAGTAGCTGGGATTACAGGCATGTGCCACCATGCCTGGCTAATTTTTGTATTTTTAGTAGAAACGGAGTTTCACCATGTTGGTCAGGCTGGTCTCGAACTCCTGACCTCGTGATCTGGGTGCCTTGGCCTCCCAAAATGCTGGGATTACAGGCGTGAGCCACCACACTCGGCCAAGTCAGAATTTTAAGTTTCATCTTTTTTGTAATTAATTGAACACCTGCATTCAAAGAAACAGAGAAGTACCACCACGCATAAGTAAGGTGGCCATGGCGTACCTAGGTTTCTCAGCCTATCAAGCTTAGGGGCTTCTTTTTACGTGAAGTCCTCCTAAGACAGCCTCTGATAGCTGCCTTGTGGTCAGCAGGGAAGAAGGGCCTTGTAATAGCACGACTCTGCAGGGAGGCGGGCAGCTCTCATGGCCTTAGTTTGCAGACCTCGAGATGTCCACTAGAAAGGAGGAGATCGTGGCTGGCTGCGGTGGCTCACGCCTGTAATCCCAGGATTTTGGGAGGCCGAGGCAGGCGGATCACGGGATCAGGAGATCGAGACCATCCTGGCTAATGTGGTGAAACCCCGTCTCTACTAAAAATACAAAAACTTAGCCGGGCGTGGTGGCGGGCGCCTGAGTCCCAGCCACTCGGGAGGCTGAGGCAGGAGAATGGCGTGAACCCGGGAGGCAGAGCTTGCAGTGAGCCGAGAATTGCGCCACTGCACTCCAGCCTGGGCGACAGAGCGAGACTTCGTCTCAAAAAAAAAAAAAAAAAAAAAAGAGGAGGTCGCAGCGTCTCCAGTAACACATCAACTCCGCAACAAGGGGCCACAAGTGTTCCTCGCCAACGGGTCCCTGCTACGATCCCTATTTTAAATAAGGGGAAACTGAGGCGTGGAGGGGGTAAGAAACAGAGAAGTCAGAATTCAAACCTGGACGACGCCTGTTAGTTTTTTGGGATTACAGGGGTAAGCCACTGTGCCCGGCCACACGTGTTAGTTTTTTGGGATTACAGGGGTAAGCCACTGTGCCCGGCCATGCCTGTTAGTTTTGTAACTCCAGCATTCCTGTCTCTCCTGCATTTGTCAATAGCACTAGTCCTTTGTGGTGAGTTTTTTTTTTTTTTTTTTTTTTTTTTTTGGAGACAGGGTCTTCCTCTATCGCCCAGGAGTGCAATGGTGCGATCTTGGCTCACTGCAACTTCCATCTCCCAGGTTCAAGCAATTCTCCTGCCTCAGCCTCCCGAGTAGCTGGAATTACAAGCACCCACCACCACGTTCAGCTAATTTTTGTGTTTTTGGTAGAGACAGGGTTTTGCCATTTTGGCCAGGCTGGGCTCGAACTCCTGGCCTCAAGAGATCCGACCACCTCGGCCTCCCAAAGTGCTGGGGTTACAGGTGTGACCCACTGCGCCCAGCCTTTTTTTTTTTTTTTTTAATACAGATTGGGTCTTGCTATGTTGACCAGGCTGGTCTAGAACTCCTGGCCTCAAGCGATTTTCCCACCTTGGCCTCCCAAGGTGCTGAGATTACAGGCATGAGCCACCGTGCCCGGCCAGGACCACCCCTTTGGAGTGATACCTCTCCCCAATTTTATGTGGCTCTGGTGGGTCATCCCTCAGTGTCCACTTAACAGTGACAGTGACGTTATGTCCTGCTTTTCCCAGAAGAGTCCCAGGTTATGTTAACTGTTCTAGCAAAATTATTCAGAGCACCCCATTTTCAGTCTCAGAAATGTCTCCATTAGTGTCATGTGAAGTCACCCTAAACGAGGTCAAGAAAATCATCCAGGCTGGGCGTGGTGGCTCATGCCTGTAATCCCAGCACTGTGGGAGGCTGAGGCAGGTGGATCACTTGAGGTCAGGAGTTCGAGGCCAGCCTGCCCAACATGGTGAAACCCCGTCTCTACTAAAAATACAAAAATCAGTCAGGCGTGGTGGTGGCACCTGTAATCCCAGCTACTCGGGAGGCTGAGGCACGAGAATCACTTGAACCCGGGAAGCGGAGGTTGCAGTGAGACCAGATCGTGCCACAGCACTCCAGCCTGGGCAAGAGTGAGACTGTCTCAAAAACAAACAAAAAAACTCCTCTTAGTTCATGCGTGGATTCTGATGCAGGCTTGCAGGGAGACCCTCAGGTGCTGCCCATGAGTAGCTGCGTTGACGGTAGCTGCTTCCTGGCTACCCCGAGGGGCTGCTCTGCAGTCAGGGGAGAGGGGCCGGCTCTCAGGGAAAGGCATCAAGAACCACACTTGAGTTCCTGGATCCGGGCACATCTAAAATTTAGGAGCCCATAAACTCCCGTTTTCACAGAACCTATTTTGAGTTGGGTTCTTGCCACATGCAATCAGAAGTCCTGGCCGACACACAACTTTGGCTTCAGCAGTCTCCCTGGGTGTCCCCACCCCATCCCGTTCCCTGTGTTCAAAGGCGCTTGGGGCCATCCTCCACTGTGAAACTCCCAGACACGCCAGCCCAGCTGCTTCAGGTGTGCGCTGGGAAATTTTCACTCCCTGAATTCCAAAAATGATGGCAGCCTCTGCCTCACCCTCATAAACGCAACGTTTACATTTATTGTCCAGTTGTTTCAGGACGTGGATTTTCTTTGTTTTGCTTTTTTTTTTTTTTTTTTTGAGACAAGAGTTTCACTTTTGTCCCCCAGGCTCGAGTGCAGTGGCGCGATCTTGGCTCACCACAACCTCCACCTCCCAGGTTCAAGCGATTCTCCTGCCTCAGCCTCCTGAGTAGCTGGAACTACAGGCGCTGCCACCACACCTAGCTAATTTTTGTATTTTTAGTAAAGATGGGGTTTCACCATGTTGGCCAGCCTGGTTTGGAACTCCTGGCCTCAGGTGATCCGCCCGCCTTGGCCTCCCAAAGTGCTGGGATTACAGGTGTGAGCCACCGCGCCCAGCCCTTTTTTCTGTCTGAGAACAAGAAGACAGTAAGCTCTGGGGAAAAAACAGGACCCACCTTCATCTTTCTTATCTTTGCTGTGCACTTCTTACAAATATTTGCTGAGGCTGTGAATTATAATTGCAAAAGTAGAATCCACTGTGTCCAAGCAGAAGAGAGGGTGTCATGGGGAGCGGGCAGTGGGGAGTCACCTGTCTGCCAGGCTGGACGGGTGAACACATTCATCATCTTTAGGCATGCGAGCTTCTCCTACCTCTATCCATCCTTCCTTCAGCCCATTTCCCCCGACTTCTGCCACCACCTCCGGGACGTCCTGAAGGCGAACCGGCCTCCCACCTGCTAAGTCCAACAGACACTTCAGCCTGGCTCTCACCAGCCATGGCGGGTTGCCCTCCTACCTCTTGACAACACGCTCTTCCTCGGCTGCAGAGACACCTCCTCTCCGTATTTTCCTCCCACATTAGCAATGACCACACTCAGGCTATGTCACTCATGGTATTTTTGCATCAGAAATGCCATCCTTGGGCCGGGCGCCATGCCTCATGCCTGTAATCCCAGCGCTTTGAGAGGCCGAGCCGGGTGGATCCCTTGAGGCCAGGAGTTCAAAAACGGCCTGGGCAACATAGCAAGACCCTGTCTCTACAAAAAGAAACAGTTTTTAAGTCATTCCTGATTTTACAACGCTACTCTGATCTGAGCCCCTGTGGCCTCGGGATCCCCAGGCGTCTGTTCCCGAGAACGCGGGGCAGAAAGCCTAGTCCTGCACGCAGTACCAACAATGCGGAGTCAGCGGGTTGTTTCGACTTTGTTCTGTTTCCTGAGGGGTTCTGAATAAGGGCCACCCCCTTCCTCCTCTGTGCCGCCATGTTCCCTCCCGGCCACGCCCCCTTGCAACCCCTCCAATCTCCGCCCTGCACCCTGGCAGCTCCCCCTGGCGGCAGCAGCGGGTCTTCGTGGAGTCAGCCCCTCCGCTGCTTGGCCGCTGGGTTTGTCCCTTATTTTAATGGATGCGCGTTGGCTAGGACTGCAACATTGTTTCTTTCTTCCACAAATTTTAGTTTGAAACAGACAGGAAGTTAATTTCCCGTCTGGCTGCCACACCTGCTGGTGGCGTGGACTGCGGCCCTTAGGCTGTTCCTTGCTCGATTTAACCCTGGGAGACATCGAAGCCTTCCCACCCAAGCTGTAGGGAGCTGTTGAAGACCTGGTTCACACGAGATCCTTTGCGGGGTGCAGCTGGGGAAAGCATGATTTCAGCTTGTAAGCTGCATGGAGAATGCAAATGTATGTGTGTGTGTATATATATATGTGTATATATATATATATATATATATATATATATATATATATACTTTTTTTTCTTTTCTTTTTTTTTCTTTTTTTTTTTTTGGAGACAGAGTGTCCCTCTGTTGCCAGGCTGGAGTGCAGTGGCACGATCTCGGCTCACTGCAACCTCCTCCTCCCAGGTTCAAGCGATTCTCCTGCCTCAGCCTCCCAAGTAGCTGGGACTAGAGGTGCACGCCACCATGCCCGGCTAATTTTTGTATTTTTAGTAGAGACAGACTTTCACCACATTGGCCAGGCTGGTCTCGAACTCCTGACGATGTGATCCATCCGCCTCAGCCTCCCAAAGTGCTGGGATTACAAGCGTGAGCCACTGTGCCCGGCCAATGTATATATTTTTTCAAGACAGCTCAACCCAAAGTAGCACCAGCATGGACAGGCCGAGTGACGAAGACAGTGCTGGAGGCACACAGAGGCTGTGGGGGCAAGTATGCGGCCGGCTGGACCTGCGGGGACCCTGCCCGTGGCTGGAAAGGGGACCAGGGGGTCCCTGGGAAACACAGGGCTCTGACCTCTGTGCAGGGTGAGGAAGGGTTTTACCAGCAGAGGGAGAGCTCAGCCCAGGCCCGAAGTCAGCACGACGAGCAGCTGACCCCTGGGATCTTTGAGGAACCTGAAAGTGCTTGATGGTCTTTGTGAATCTGAAATCCGAGCGAAGCGTCAGACCCTCGAGTTTCCCCAGGGGAACTCCGTTAGTCTCCTGGGATTTGATGTATTCACGCTTTGTTCCTTCTGGACCAGTCACGCCCCACGCCAATCTGAGCCGTCGGGGGTTGGCCCTTCCAGGATGCTGTGATTAGGTCTAGGGAATTCCACCTGGAGGGAAGGGTGGGCTGTGTCCTAGGGAATTCCACCTGGAGGGAAGGGTGGGCTGCGTCCTCGGGAGGGAGACAGCAGGTGGCAGGCTTCGGCCTCCCAGGCAGCCCTATTGAAAAGTGAAGCCACCTGGACTTCCTGGGTCAAGTGGGGACTGGGACAACTTTTCTATCTAGCAAGAGGATTGTAAAATGCACCAATCAGCGCTCTGTAAAATGCACCAATCAGCACTCTGTAAAATGCACCAATCAGCACTCTGTAAAATGCACCAATCAGTGCTCTGTAAAATGCACCAATCAGCACTCTGTAAAAATGCACCAATCAGCGCTCTGTAAAATGCACCAATCAGCACTCTGTAAAATGCACCAATCAGTGCTCTGTAAAATGCACCAATCAGTGCTCTGTAAAATGCACCAATCAGTGCTCTGTAAAATGCACCAATCAGCAGGATTCTAAAAGTAGTCAATCGCAGAGAGGATTGAAAAAAGGGCACTCTGATAGGACAGAAATGGAACATGGGCGGGGCCAATAAGGGAATAAAAGCTGGCTGCCACCAACCACCCCCGCCCCCCCCCCCCACCTCTAGCCAGCAGTGGCAACGTGTTCGGGTCCTCGTCTATGCTGTGAAAGCTTTATCCTTTCTCTCTTCACAATAAACCTTGCTACTGTTCACTTTTTGGGTCCGTGCCATCTTTAAGAGCTGTTAACACTCACCGCGAAGGTCCCTAGCTCCATTATCGAAGTCAGGGAGACAACGAACCCACCAGCAGGAACCACCTCCGGACACACTATGTCCCTGCATCCCCGAAGCTCCCGCTACTCCCTGGAATATTCTTTGAAAAGGGTCCCTGTGTCCTTTTTTGCCAGCAACAGAAACTCTAAAAACAGCCACCATTATAGCAATCAATTACCAAACTCTTCTGCTGAGGCCAGGCAGAAAGCAAAGCACAACGGACCTTACCAGGAGGCCCCGCCGCTCCTGTCCAGCCCCTGCCCACTCACTCAGGTGCTCATCACCCCCAGGAGGCTCCACTGCTCCTGTCCAGCCTCTACCCACTCTCTCAGGTGTCCATCACTTCCAGGAGGCTTTGCGCTCCTGTCCAGCCCCTGCCCACTCACTCAGGTGCTCATCACCCCCAGGAGGGCCCCCCTCCCTGCCCAGCTTCCCCCTACTCACTCAGGTGCTCATCACCCCCAGGAGGCCCCACTGCTCCTGTCCAGCCTCTACCCACTCTCTCAGGTGTCCATCACCTCCAGGAGGCTTTGCGCTCCTGTCCAGCCCCTCCCCACTCACTCAGGTGCTCATCACCCCCCGGAGGGTTCCCCCCCTCTGTCCAGGCCATCCCCGCTCTCTCAGGTGGTTGTTGCCCCCGGGGAGGGGCCCTGCTCCTCATCCAGCCCCTCCCACTCACTCAGGTGGTCATCTAGGGGCGAGGTAGACAAAGCCCAGGTACCGACGGCCTTTCCGTCCTCTCTGGTCCCTCTTGGCTGGAGTTCAGGCAGCTAGGTGGCTGGATTCTGTGTTAGGGTGTAGGACAGTGCTAGCCCGGGGTGGCGGGTGCCAGGTCCCTGACATTCCGGGTCTGAGCAGCTGGCAGGAGACTGGGGCAGGAGCCAGCAGTAGCTGCCCTCACCCACAGCACCAGGCTGGCCTGCGTGGGAATCAGAACCCACTGCCTGGTGCTCACAGAGAAGGAGTTTACTCTTCCCCCACCCCCAAAACTGAATGGATTTAATTAGCAGTTTGGGGTTCTCCCCTGTCACGGCTTTGGTCTAAGCTGATGAGGAAACCACAGACTCTCCCACTTTTGTACCCTTTCTTTGATGGGCAAGCGGACGCAGGCGCTGGAAGCCACGTGGCCTGAACCCGGCTCCTCTTGGGGCCTCCCGTGCAGGCCAAACTCCTTTTCTCTGATTGTTATATTATCCCAGAGAGGGCAGAATGGAGCTGGCCGAAAGCTTTTGAACATTGAGTCACGAGTGCAACGCAATGGAGGACTGCGGATATGAAATCTGACAGAGCTGCTGCCGCTGGCCATGCGGCGCCCAAGGGTGGGTGGGGTGTACTCTGTGGCTGTCCGTCATCAGCAGGAGACAGCTGCCCTCTGCCAGGTTGCCGGGGCCGAATTCTCCCTGGCTTCGGATGGCATGGTCCAGGTAGCTGGGGGTGGAAGATTCCGTCCCCTGGATCCACACAGTCACAGCACACTGTTGCCCACTGCATGGCAGCCTTGAGGCCGCCATCTCCTCTATCCTTGGCTCTCACACATGGGGCTCAATCCTGTCTCTTCTCTTTTTTTTGTTTTTTTGAGACGGAGTCTCACTCTTGTCGCCCAGGCTGGAGTGCAGTGGTGTCATCTCAGCTCACTGCAACCTCCGCCTCCCGGGTTCAAGTGATTATCCTGCCTCAGCTTCCCGAGTAGCTGGGATTACAGGCATCTGCCACCACACCCAGCTAATTTTTGTATTTTTAGTAGAGACGGGGTTTTGCCATGTTGGCCAGGCTGGTCTTGAACTCCTGACCTCGGGTGATCCACCCACCTTGGCCTCCCAAAGTGCTGGGATTGCAGGCGTGAGCCACCTCACCCGGTAAACCCCGTCTCTTCTCTAAGGACACATAGGCCCCAGTGTGCCTCCTGCTTCCCCTCCTCCTGCCACATCAGTAGCCATCCACTCTGCACGTCTCGGCGCCTCCCAGAAGCTTGCTCAGAGCACATTAGAAACGCCCGTGATGGAAATCCATTCCTGTTAGGTTTAAGCAGGAAAGAGGATGGCAGGTGCCAGGGTGGCTAAGTGGGCACATAAAGAACCCAGCGACACAGACTCGCAAACGTGACCAGACCCTAGAACCAGGGGAAGAGTGTGCCGTGAAGACAGGCACAAACAAGGCAAATGAGTAATTATGTGGCTGCAGCTTCCGCAGCAGAGCTCGATAAGCAGCGCTAAGCTTCCCCAGCCCCATCCATCCAGGGCCAGGAACCCGGGGGGGAGATGGGCCCGATGTGCCACATCCACACAAGCATTAAAATTGAGTCCCACAGGCACAGGACCCCATCCCTTCCCATTTTCCCTGACAGTCTCTTTCAGGGTAAAGGTATAGAACACAGTTAAGGTTTCTTACCTCCTTCCCCGCAATAATAATTGGCAGTTACTCAGCTCTCTGGGGTGTCGTAAGTAAGGGGCGCACGGGGAGACCAGGCTGCTATCATTAGGAAGTACTGATTTTAGCTGGACTGGACGCGTGTCAGCCAGGAGATGCAGTGAATAGAGTGAGGTGAGAGCACCCCCACTCCACACACCAATTTATTTTTTTTAATTTAAATTAATTTTTTTTTTTGAAACAGTCTTGCTCTGTCACCCAGGCTGAAGGGCAGTGGCACAATCTCGGCTCACTGTAACCTCCGCCTCCTGGGTTCAAGTGATTCTCCTGCCTCAGCCTCCTGAGTAGCTGGGATTACAGGCACATGTCACCACACCTGGCTAATTTTTGTATTTTTAGTAGAGACGGAGTCTCACCACGTTGGCCAGGCTGGTCTCGAACTCCTGACCTCAGGTGACCCACCTGCCTTGGCCTCCCAAAGTGCTGAGATTACAGGCGTGAGCGGCCGCGTCTGGGCCTTGTCCCTGTTTCAGCTAGTCCTCAATTAGGTCTAATGTCCAAGCCCCGCCTCTGGAGTCAAGTCCCCGCTCCCACCTCACTTCCAGGCCCCTGACAAAAGAGCCACGCCACCCGCCACCGCCCGTGGGCTGTGTGTGTTCTTACCGTGGGCCACTGTTCTTCCTACACAGAGGAGTGGACGGCCAGATGCGTGGCCTGAGGCTCTGGCCCGGAGATTTCTGTCCACAGTGTCTTTCAGGGCCACCTCTGAGTGGGCCTGTAACGTGGCAACAATCCACTTTCAGTGGGTGCTCAGTACTGAGCCAACCCACTTGCGAACCAAGGGCGGCTCTGTTCTTCCTCCGTCTGCTGGTCACCAAGTTCCCCTCCCATGACCGCAGGTGGGAACGGGCAGAAGGTACTGGCGTGGCAGTGGAGGGTGGTGTCCCCCCCGCACTCGGACCTGCTTGGGCCTGTCCCATGGACCCTTCCACTCGGAGCCCTGCGGCTGGGCTGCCTGGCCTGTGACTTGTTGGATCTGACGGGGTCCAGCTCAGAAGGGAAGCTCTTGCCACATAGTTGCTTCATGCCCCCTGGCCAGATAGTGCCCTGTTCCGTCTCCGCCAGGGCCAGACGGTTCCCTGCTGCAGGGGACATGGGGCAGGGGACACCTGGCCTTGCTGTGGAGCCTTGGGAATACAGTGTGTTCTCTGGTCGGGCTGTCATGAATTCCACACACGTCTTTTCCCACCCCAGCTACCCCTAGTGCCATGAGGGTCAGCAGGTGTGAGCCACCATGCCCAGCTAATTTCTGTCATTGTTTTTGTAGAGATGGGGTTTCGCCATGTTGGTCAGGCTGGTCTTGAACTCCTGTGTTCAAGCGATCCACCCGCCTTGGCCTCCCAAAGCACTGGGATTCCAGGTGTGAGCCACCACGCCCGGCCGGGACAAAATTTTAAACGCATGCTTTTGTCCTTCCGTGTGAACAGGAACTGCTTCTGATCTCCGTACTGACAGGGATGGGAAAAGGCCCTTTCCAGCTCAGCGGCCAACGTCGCATCCCTGAGGCCGTGTGCCTGCTCCGGGGAAGACGCCGTGCCTGTAGCCGTTTCGGGCTTTGACTTGGTGAGGTCTGCACCATCCTCGGTCGTATTTCATGACTGGTCTTGCTTTTTTGCAGGGGCCAGAATAATTATTTAAACGGGCATGGGATGGGGACCTCTGGATCTTTACAGCTGGCTCAAAGCCCTGCCCGTCTCCCAGGAACACATCATTGCTTTGATTTCTTATCTTGCAAGGGGAGCCGGGGCAGCAGGGGCTGCAGTTTCAGAGGCTTCTGCGTGGCCGTGTCCGCCAGGACAGCTTCCGGGACACCGAGAAACCCATGTGGGCGTTTTCCAGGTACCACGCGCGCCCTCCAGTGGTGGTTGCGGGAATGACGGCTGGTCGGGACCAGAAGACCCACTGGGCACCATGAGCGTTTCCTCCCTAAGCATTAACGGCAGCGTAGACCCCCGTCCAGCCGTCCCTGAAGTGTCCGGCATCTCCTTCGAGGGAGGCTGTAGGGTCCTCTCGTGCAAGGCCCAGGCGCATCGTGACAGCTTGCACGCGCTGTGGTTCGGGGAGGTCTTCCTGCAGGCACTGAGTCACAGGTCAAAGGCTGGCTCAGGTCAGGAAGCCAAGCAAAGCACCGAGACGTTGCCTTGCAGTGGCTTCCCGCCGCCCTCTGGTATCCATTGTTGACTTCTCTTGGTTCGATCTTTAAGTAATATTCTTGTTGGCTGTCTGTCTGTCCCCTAGGAATACCACGTTTTATGAACCATCTTCATAGCCGTCTGCAGCTCCCGCTTCCCCGTCACCACTCAGCCTGCTGCCCTCGCAAGGATTCCACCCACCTGGCTTCTGATGAGTCAGCACTACCACCTGACCCCAATTATTCTGGGGTCCCATGATTTTCATTGCTACTAGGGAAACCTTTCTAGAACCACGTCTTGTATCGTCTGCTCTGGCTTACAGAGGACAGACACTCCTGAGCCCCTTGACAGCACCGGTGCCCCCGGCCAGCCCATTCCTTGTTGATACCAGGTTGCATTCCCCTGGGCCCTCCTGTGCAACGTGGTTGGCTGGCGTTTTGGTTTTATTGTGTTTTCCCGCTGTATGTGGTATCTCCCTGTTAACTGCCCACTTCTCGGAGCCTTCTTTTTTTAAATTTTTTCTTATGGTAGAGACAGGATCTTGCTCTGTTGCCCAGGCTGGAGTGCAGTGGCATCATTACAGCTCGTCACACCGAGGAACCCATGTGGGCGTTTTCCAGTTACCACGCGCGCCCTCCAGCGGTGTTTGCGGGAATGACGGCTGGTCGGGACCAGAAGACCTACCGGGCACGAGGAAGCTTTCCTCCCTGAGCATCAACCGCAGCCTAGACGCCCGTCCAGCCGTCCCTGAAGTGTCCAGCATCCCTTTCCAGCTTTATGTGGTATCTCCCTGTTAGATGCCCACTTCCTGGAGCCTTCTTTTTTAAAATTTTAAATTTTAGAGACAGGATCTTGCTCTGTTGCCCAGGCTGGAATGCAGTGGTATCATCACAGCTCACTGCAGCCTCGAACTCCTGGCCTTAAACGACCCTCCTGCTTCTGCTTCCTGAGTAGCTGGGATTACAGGTGCACCCCACCGTGCCCAGCCAATTTTGTTTTTTAGTTTTTGTAGAGATGGGGTCTTGCTATGTTGCCCAGGCTGGTCTTGAACTCCTGGGCTCAAATGATCCTCCTGCCTCAGCCTCCCAAAGTGCTGGGATTACAGGTGTGAGCCACTGCACCCAGCCAGATCATTTCTTTTCTTTTTCTTTTCTTTTCTTTTTTTTTTTTTTTTTGAGACGGAGTCTCACTGTTTCGAGGCCAGGCTGGAGTGGTGCAGTGGTGTGACCAGGGTGCAATCTGGGCTCACTGCAACCTCTGCCTCCCAGGTTCAAACAACTCTCCTGCCTCAGTCTCCCAAGTAGCTGAGATTACAGGTGCCCACTACCACGCCGCTAATTTTTTGTATTTTTAGTAGAGATGGGGTTTCACCATATTGGCCAGACTGGTCTCGAACTCCCAACCTCATGTGATCCACCTGCCTTGGTCTAACAAAGTGCTGGGGTTACAGGTGTGAGCCACTGCACCCGGCCTCATTTCTTTTTATTGTCAGATAATATTTCCCCAGACGGATGGGCCACACTTTGCTTATCCATTCAACATTTCCCTCTTGAAGGTCACCTTGGTTGCTTCCAAATTTGAACAATGGTGAATAAAACTGCTACAAACATTCACATGCAGGTTTTTGTGTGAATATATGTTTTCAACTCATTTGGGTAGATTCTAAGAGGCACAATTGCCGGATCTGATGGCAAGAATATGTTTAGATCCGTAAGAAAACACCCAAGTGTCATTCTCACAGCCATGATGAGAATTCCTGTTGCTCCACGTCCTCACCAGCATTTGGTGATGTCGGTGTCTGGATTTTGGTCATTCTAACAGCGGTGTGGTGGTTTCTACATTGTCGTTTTCATTGGCAGTTCCCTAAAGACATAAGATGTTGAGCATCTTTCCATATACTTATTTGCCCTCTGTATATCTTCTTTGGCATCTGATACCCTTTATAAGGTCCAACTTATCAATCTTTTATAGATTATGTTTTTGGTGTGGTATCTAAAAATTCATTGCCAAGCCAGGCGTGGTGGCGTGTGCCTGCAGTCCCAGCCACTGGGGAGGCTGAGGAGGGAGGATTGCTTGAGTCCAGGAGTTGGAGAACAGCCTGGGTAATGTAGCAAGACTCCATCTCAAATAATAATAATAAAGATGATAAAAACTCATTGCCAAACCCAGGGTTACCTTGATTTTCTCCTATGTAATCTTCCGGAAGTTTTATAGCTTTGCATTTTATAATCAAGTGATTTTAAGTAATGATCCATTTTTGAGTTAATTTTTGTGAAAGGTGTAAAGCCTGTGTCTATATATATGTATATGTATATATATACACACATATATACTTAATTTAATTTAATTTAATTTTGAGATGAAGTCTCACACCGTCACCCAGGCTGGAGTGCAGTGGCACGATCTTGGCTCACTGCAACATCCACCTCCTGGGTTCAAGCGATTCTCCTGCCTCAGCCTCCCAAGTAGCTGGGACTACAGGTACACGCCACCATGCCCGGCTAATTAAAAAAAACTTTTTTTGTAGAGATTGGGTATCACTGTGTTGCCCAGGCTGGTCTTGAACTCCTGACCTCAAGTGATCCTCCTGCCTCAGCCTCCCACAGTGCTGGGATCACAGGCGTGAGCCACCGAGGCTGGCCTAGATTCTTTTTTTTTTCTTTTTGTATATGCATGTTCACTTGTCCCAGCACCATGTGTTGAAAAGACGATTCTTCCTTCATTACGTTTCCTTTGCTCCTTTGTCAAGGCTCGGCGGACGGTATTCGTGTGGCCAATTTCTGTGCTCTCCCTTCTGTTCCATTGATCTATTTGTGTTCTTTCACCGATATCACTGTCTTGATTATTGTAGCTTCATGTTAAGTCTTGAAGTCAGATGTTATTAAAAGCCTTAAAAATGGTTTCCCTGCACCTGCTAGGGGTTATCAGAATGTAATCCACAACCACTGGTGATGGGTGCTGGTGGCCAGCCTTGATACTGGCTGGCAGGGGCCCGGCTCTAAGCCTCCCCTGCAGAGTGTACTTGCTGGGACCGCTCCTGGCACTGACTGCTGTAGGTTGGGTTCCCTGGAAACAGACTCAGACGGATCATCGCGTGCAGGGGCCTACTGAGGGGTGCATTCGAGGACAGCACCTGGAAGGCCCTGCAGGAAGCTGGGGGGCAGAGGGTGAAGCTGAAATGCAATCCAGTGGGCCGGGCATGGTAGCTCACACCTGTAATCCCAGCACTTTGGGAGGCCAAGGTGGACAGATCACCTGAGGTCAGCAGTTCGAGATCAGCCTAGCCAACATGGCAAAACCCCGTCTGTACTAAAAATACAAAAAAAAAATTAGCTGGTCTTGGTGGTGTGCACCTATAATCCCAGCTACTTGGGAGGCTGAGGCAGGAGAATCACTTGAACCCAGGAGGCAGAGGTTGCTGTGAGTTGAGATCGCGCCACTGAACTCCAGCCTGGGCGACAGAGTGAGACTCTGTCTCAAAAAAGGAACACAATCCAGTGGCATCCTGAGGGCACCCAGGGGCTCTGGAGCTGGGATGTCCCTTCACCATAGTCCCAAATTGAGGCCAAGGGGCTGGGCATCGTCCCTGCATCTCGTAATGATTCCGTGAGACCCTGGGTGCGGAGGCCCCTTTGGCGGAGGGAAGTTCCCTTGCAGAGACAGGCAGCTAGGGGAATAAGCACCTCCGTTTTGCAGGGCTCTGGATGGTGGACTCCAGCACCCACTACCCGCTTCAGATCTCAGCCGAATCTCACTCATCAGAGAAGCTGTCTGCGTTGACAGATGCGGCTCGAGGTTAAGTGGTCCACCCGGGCCGCCTCACGGTTGGGAGGCCTTTTAAGCCAACCTCAAAATCTGGAGGCCTGTCTCACCGTGCAGGGTGCTGATAATGGAGAATTTAAAATTTAATCTATATGTTAAGATACTGTTGGTTTCTTGCCTAACGAGAGAGTGAGACGGGGAGAGAACACTCCGAGTTACCTGAAGGGCTTTCTGTGGCTAAGCTGGTCTCCGGACCCCCGCGAGCCAGAATCCCTTCCTGCCTGGTGCTCTAGCCAGAGGCGGTCATATTGTCAACAATCACATTTTCAGGAAAAGATTTGAATTCCTTAATCAAGCAAGGACAAAGGCTAAGAGACGAACGGTCAATATTAATAGAAGCAAGGATTAGAAATTAGTTGGTGGCTTAACTGATATTTTTAGAATCCACTAGAAAGGGATAAGGAATCTAAAAACAGGAGCGTGGTAAATGCTACATAATTCAGCACCGGATCACGGTTAGCTTAATGTCCTTTGTAAAGAAACGATTACAAATTATGTGGGAGGACTTAGCTGTAAAACTGCTGGAAAAGCAGAATTTGATCAGAGACAGGCAGCCTAGATTTATGAGAAGAAACAGGCCCGTGCGTCGCGTTGGAGATTTTAAAAGATATTATATTTATGACAGACAATGAGGGTGCTTTGTGTGGCCTACATCTGTGAAGAATTTGCTAATACCGGACTTAGAGATTTATTCTGAAGGTAAGTAGTGGGAACAGAGGTAAGAAGAAATCCCGCACCTCCAAAGCCCCACGTCTCCTTCAGGCAGGTGCCCTTTGAACGACACTGGAGGCAAAGCGAGAACGGTCCGTGGGTCGTCTCCCGTGCCGTCCACTCAGCCCAGCACGGCGGGGGGCCTGGTCACGGATTCCTATGCGTGTGAGTGGTGGATTAATCTCGTTTCACCAACACCTGGTCACACAGGAAGCCGGGGCAGTGAGGAACGGCTCCGACATGATGTCGAAATGACCCTCCTCACCCTTTCTTTTCAGTGGAGACAGCAGGGATTTCTGTGTCTTGTAGAGTCCTTGAGGAAGCCGTAGGCCACGGAAGTGTCTGGTCTCAGGCGGTCCTTTGAGAGGCAGCTGGTGAACGTCCCCCAAGGAGACAGAGCCTCTGGGGACAACAGGGGCTTTCATCTGGGAGCAGTGAGGACCCCCGAGGGGGCGTGGCAGGGAGGGGGCAGGACTGCTCAACTGGGCGGCTCCACGGGGCTGTGGGGCCTGGAGGCAGGCAGGCAGGTAGGGCAGGGCCCGAAGGAAAGCGGTATGGGGGCCCGAGGCTTACAGAGCCAGTGCTCAGCGGTTCCCGGAGCAACTCAGGGCCCAGCAGGCGGAACTGAAGGGAGCCACGATCAGGAAGAGGCAGGAACGTCCCCTCCCACCACCCCATCAGGCCTCAAACTGGGAGTCCCCGCTAGAGCAAAAAGACCGGAAAAGGAAATCACCAGTATACAGATTGGGAAGGAAGAAATAAAACTTCTTTGTTCACAAATGACGTGATTGCAGAAAATCCTACAGAATCCAAAAAGGAAAAGAAAAGAAAAACACAATTTTTGGAACTCATGAGCAAATGTAGGGTACAAGGTTATGAAACAAAAGTCAGTTGCTTTCCTATACATCGGTGACACACAGCATTTGAAATTAAAGACAGGCCGGGTGCGGTGGCTCATGCCTGTAATCCCAGCACTTTGGGAAGCCGAGGCAGGTGGATCACCTGAGGTCAGGAATTCAAGACTGGGCTGGGCAACATGGTGAAACCCCGTCTCTACTAAAAATACAAAAATTAGCCAGGTGTGGTAGTGCGTACCTGCAGTCTCAGCTACTCGGGAGGCTGAGGCAGGAGAATCACTTGAAACCGGGAGGGGCAAAGTGGGCAAGGGATATGAAGAGACATTTTTCAAAAGAAGGCAAACAAATGGCCAAAAGGTATATGAATGATGCTCAGCATCACTAATCATCAGAGAAACTCAAATTGAAACCACAAGGCCAGGTGTGGTGGCTCATGCCTGTAATCCCAGCACTTTGGGAGGCTGAGGCGGGTGGATCACCTGAGGCCAGGAGTTCGAGACCAGCCTGGGCAACATGGTGACGCCCCATCTCTACTAAAAATACAAAAATTAGCCAGGCATGGTGGCGGGCGCCTGTAATCCCAGCTACTTGGGAGGCTGAGGCAGGAGAATTGCTTGAACCCAGGAGGCGGAGGTTGCAGTGAGCCAAGATCATGCCATTGCACTTCAGCCTGGGAGACAAGAGCAAAACTCTATCTCAAAAACAAACAAACAAACAAACAAACAAACACTCTCTAAAAAATAAATTAAATAAATGAATAAGTATTTTCTGAATGAGTGAATGCATTTGGCTAAAAACAGAAGCCATGCTCGGAATATTTGGAGGGTTCAGAGTTTGAGACCTGTCTCCTATTGAGCCTGGGCAAGTTTGCTTAGGGCAGGAAATGAACCCCTTTCCTACTTGCATGGGGAACACAATGGTAAGACCGGGCTTGGAGGGAGGGTGGCGTCCATTTAGCTCTGCACACCGTCCCTTACCCCGCTCAGCGTAGACATCACCTCTGCTGCGAACTCCCCCAGACTCAGGGAGCCCTGGAACCACAGCACTCAGCACCCGGATGCGCTGCTCTTGCAGACACAGACCCGTGGCTACTGCCGATGCGCAGCCTTCTGGATAAATCCTATGCACTGGATGACTTGCTCTCCAGGAGCCATGATTTGCTCCTGGGAAACTGGGGAACGAGATCCAATTCTCCTTCGGTCAACACGCTGCCACCAAGTGGTAAGAGGCAGGAAAGACACCTGTTCTAGCAGCCGACCCGGTCCTGGAGGGATGAGAACCTCCTTTACAAAGCTTTACTTTCTTTTCTTTTCTGTTTTGAGACAGGGTCTCACTCTGTCACCCAGGCTGGAGTGCAGTGATACACTGTCAGCTCACTGCAGCCTCCACCTCCTGGGCTCAACTGATCCTCCTGACTCAGCCTCCCCCATAGCTGGGACCACAGACACACACCACCACACCTGGCAAAGTTTTTCTTTTGTATTTTTTTGTAGAGACAGGGTCTCTCTATGTTGCTCAGGGTGATCTCAAACTCCTGGGCTCAAGCGATCCTCCCACCTCAGCCTCCCAAAGTGCTGGGATTAGAGGCTTGAGCCACTGCTCCCCACTGAAGGTTTTCCATTGTGATTTGCTCCTGGGAAACTGGGGAAAAAGATCCAATTCTCCTTTGGTCAACACGCTGCCACCAAGTGGCAAGAGGCAGGCAAGACACCTGTTCCAGCAGTGGACGCCGCCCTGGAGGGATGAGAACCTGAGTCCAGCTCAGCTGGGCCCATGGGAGGCACAAGGACTTTACCTCCGTTCAGGGTGTGGAGTGCCTGCCTTTCCTGGCGATATTGCAAAGCCCAGAGTCAGGCTTTTTTTTTTTTTTTTTTTGAGACAGAGTCTCACTCTGTCGCCCAGGCTGGAGTGCAGTAGCACGATCTCGGCTCACTGCAACCTCCGCCTCCCAGGTTCAAATGACTCTCCTGCCTCAGCCTCCCGAGTAGCTGGGATTACAGGTGCCCGCCACCACGCCCGGCTAATTTAGTATTTTTAGTAGAGACAGGGTTTTGCCATGTTGGCCAGGCTGGTCTCGAACTCCTGGGCTCAATTGATCCTCCTGCCTCGGCCTCCCTAAGTGTTGGAATTGCAGGTGTGAGCCACCACACCTGGCATCATTCCTTTTTTTTCAGACGGAGTCTCGCTCTGTCACCCAGGCTGGAGTGCAGTGGCACGACCTCGGCTCACTGCAAGCTCTGCCTCCCAGGTTCACACCATTCTCCTGCCTCAGCCTCCCAAGTAGCTGGGACTACAGGCACCCACAACCACGCCCAGCTAATTTTTTTTTTTTTTTTGTATTTTTAGTAGAGACGGGGTTTCACCGTGTTAGCCAGGATGGTCTCGATCTCCTGACCTGGTGATCCACCCGCCTCGGCCTCCCAAAGTGCTGGGATTACAGGCGTAAGCCACCGTGCCCAGACTAATTTTTTCTATTTTTAGTAGACACGGGCTTTTGCCATGTTGGCCAGGCTGGTCTCGAACTCCTGACCTCAGGTGACCCACCTGCCTTGCCCTCCCAAAGTGCTGGGATGACAGGCGTGAGCCGCCGCACCCGGCCTCGGGTTCTGTGAGGTTCATCTGTGTGGCCATGTGCAGCAGTTTTCCTTGCTTCCTTATCGTGTAGTATTCCATGATGAGTGCATTTCACACCCACCCGTTCTGTGATGGGCATCTGGGCTGCTTCCTTGGTTTTTTGGTTTGTCTTTTATTTTTTCCCCTAGAGACAAGGTCTCACTCTGTCACCCAGGCTGGAGTGCAGTGGTGCAATCATAGCTCACTGCAGTCTCGACCTCCTGGGCTCAAGCGATCCTCCCACCTCAGCCTGCTGAGTAGCTGGGACCACAGGTGCCCACCACCATGCCTGGCTAACAACTTCGGGAGGCCAAGGCAGGTGGATCACCTGAGGTCAGGAGTTTGAGACCAGCCTGGCCAACATGGCAAACCCCATCTCTACTAAAAATACAAAAATTAGCCAGGTGGGGTGGCGGGCACCTGCAGCTACTCTCAGGAGGCTGAGGCAGGAGAACTGCCTGAACCCAGGAGGCAGAGGTTGTAGTGAGCCAAGATCATGCCACTTTGCTCTCCAGCCTGGGTGACAGAGCGAGACTCCGTCTCAAAAAAAAAAAAAAATTATTTTTTTGCAGCAATGGAGTCTCACTATATTGCCCAGTCTGGCGGATGCTTCCATTTTTTGACTGTTATGAATATCATGCTCTGACCAGCGCTGTTTCTGGGTGGCCACAGGCACCCCCTTCTGTTGGGCACCTGCCCAGGCGTGGAACTGGAGTCTGACATTCACGTGTTCCTGGTTCAGCAACATGCACTGAGAATGTGCCACACACGCGGCCAGCCCTGTCCCAGGGACAGAGCTGGGAACTTCTTTTCCAGCTGCCATTGAAATGGCTGGTGAGGACTGTGGCCTCAGGAGTCAACGCCTCGCTGTGCACCTCTCCCCTGCCTCGGTCTCCCGACCTGCCATGCCCTGAAAGGATGGCGCCTCTCAGCGTGGCGACGCGGACCGAGCTGTCTCCATGGTCATGCTGTGGCCCCGACACCCACGGCCCCTCCGTGGACTTTCCCTGCCGCCTTTTCCGTCCACCCTCCCCCTCCGTGGAGGACTTTCCTTGCCGCCTTTTCTGTCCACCCTCAGCCCCCAGCAGGGAAGACTGGCTGAGCACTGGGTGTCCACAGGCTGTATGTGGACAGGGTCTACAGGGCCCCCGCCAGGTGCAGCAGAGGCAGTTAGATTGTCAGTCCCGGGGTCCATAGTGGTCCGAGCCAGGCAGCAGGATCTGAGGAGAAGCTTCAGGCAGACGGGGGCAGGCACAAGCTGATGTTATCATTGCAACGGGGAAACCGAGTGAAGAGCTGCTGGGGAGTTCAGAGGCCCCCAGGAGTGCCGGTCTCGACCCAGCACCTGCTCCCCACGGGGGCCCTGCAGCCAATCGCCCTACCCGAGCCCCCCGCCTTGCCATGGAAAGTGTTTAATGAACGAGGCCAGGCATAGTGGCTCATGCCTGTAATCCCAGCTGCTTGGGAGGCCGAGGTGGGCGGATCACCTGAGGTCAGGGGTTCGAGACGAGCCTGGGCAACATGGCAAAACCCCATCTCTACTAAAAACGGAAAAATTAGCTGGGCATGGTGGTGTGCGCCTGTAGTCCCAGCTACTTGGGAGACTGAGGTGGGAGGATCCCATGAACTCAGGAGGTCAAAGCTGCAGTGAGCTATGATTAAACCCTGAGCTCCAGTCTGGGTGACAGAGCGAGACCTGTCTGGAAAAAAACAAAACAAAACAGAAAAGAAAGTGTTGAGTGAAAACGTCTTCAGGTGCCTTTCACCTTGAGAGAGGGCACGAGGCTGAGGGCGCCTTCCCGTCCTCCGAAGCCTCCATCCCTCCCCTGGCATTTTGCCTTTCACACTGTAATTTCTTTCTTGAGAATCAGCCGACCGAAATTAAGTCTCCCAAATTCCTGAGTAAGCCGAAAAGCTATTTTTCTTGCAAATCTTAGATGAACATAATTTAATATAAGGCATAAACTAATGCAATAAAGACCATATATTACAGCAGTGGCACAATTAAAAAGCAAAAGCCGACGGAAGAGACTGACAGACAGCGTGTTAACCACAGGGAAAATAAAATAGAAATAAGAGGTAGGTTATATTCTGTGCATAAATAACTTTAAAGAGGAACAATAAATGACTTCTATAACTTTTAATATATGTGTTGGAGATTATTTAATTGCAGTGAAGTAAGAAGTGATAAATTGAGCTGAAATTTTACATGATCGGGATTAAGTTAGTTCCTGGCCAGGCACAGTGGCTCACGCCTGTCATCCCAGCACTTTGGGAGGCTGAGGCGGGAGGATCACCTGAGGTCGGGAGTTTGAAACCAGCCTGGCCAACATGGTGAAACTCCGTCTCTACTAAAAATACAAAAATTAGCCGAGTGTGGTGGCGGGCGCCTGTAGTTCCAGCTACTCAGGAGGCTGAGGCAGGAGAATGGCAGGAACCCGGGAGGCGGAGCTTGCAGTGATCCGAGATCGTGCCACTGCCCTCCAGCCTGGGCGACAGAGCGAGACTCTGTCTCAAAAAAGAAAAAAAAAAAAAGTCGGGGGGGAGATTAAGTTAGTTCCTTAAAAAAGAGACAAGCAAGTAGAATTTTTAGGCACATTTGAGACTCTGGAGATATGCGAGAATGTGTTTTTGTTTGAGTGCCGCAGACCCCAGCAGGGCGAATCCCCCTTCATCTGAAAAGTGCACGTGGTCTTTAAAACTGTTCTTGTCTTTTGAAATCTCTTCAGGTGGAATCTGTTTAGCAAGAAGGAGGAAGGGATGTTGACACACACAACGTGGGTTAATCTACAGAGAATTGTGCTGGATGAGAAGAAGTCAGTCCCAGAGGCTGTGACCCACATGGTTTCATGCCTACGATATTCCTGAAATGACAGCTGTGTAGAAATATAGGTTACGGGCAGCGCGGGGGCTTACGTGTGTAATCCCAGCACTTTGGGAGGCCGAGGCGGGTGGATCACGAGGTCAGGAGTTCGAGACCAGCCTGGCCAACATGGTAAAATCCTGTCTCTACTAAAAACACAAAGAAATTAGCCAGGCGTGGTGGTGGGCACCTGTAATCCCAGCTACTTGGGAAGCTGAAGCAGGAGAATCACTTGAATCTGAGAGGCGGAGGTCACAGTGAGCCAAGATCTCGTCGCTACTGGACTCCAGCCTGGGTGACAGAGTGAGATTCCATCCCCCTGCACCAAAAAAAGAAGTCTGTCTCTATCTTCTCTTTTTGTTTTTTTGTTTGTTTTTTGTTTTTTGTTTTGAGACAGAGTTTCACTCTGTCACCCAGGCTGGAGTGCAGTGGCACAATCTTGGCTTACAGCAAACTCCGCCCCCTCGGTTCAAGCAATTCTCTGCTTCAGCCTCCTGAGTAGCTCGGATTACAGGCGTGTGCCACCACACGTGGCTAATTTTTGTATTTTTAGTAGAGATGAGGTTTCACCATCTTGGCCAGGCTGGTCTTGAACTCCTGATCTCATGATCCACCTGCCTCAGCCTCCCAAAGTGCTGGGATTACAGGTGTGAGCCACCGCGCCCGGCCTCTATCTTCTCTTTTGAGAAGTTTTGAATTTGAATTATTGAGTCTTTGAGTCTGTTTTTGTTTTTGTTTTTCTAGACAGGGTCTTGCTCTGTTGCCCAGGCTAGAGTGCAGTGCAATCGTATTAATAGCTCACTGCAGCCTCGACCTCCAGAGTTCAGGCAATCCTCCCACCTCAGCCTCCTGAGTAGCTGGAACCACAGGCGTGAGCCACCATGCCCAGCGAATTTTTAAATTTTTTGTAGAGTGGGGGCGGTGGGGGGGGGTCTCTATGTTTCCCAGGCTGGTCTTGAACTCCTGGCTCAAGGGATCCTTCTGTATTGGCCTCACAAAGTGCGGGGGTTACAGGCATGAGCACTGCTCCTGGCCTGCCCAGGCTTCTGGGAGTGCCAGAGGCACCTTTTTTCTCTGGCAAAAACTCTAGCTTACTTCTCTTTGACCAAAAAGAAAGAAGCAGGCATCTCACCACATTCTGTACATTAAGATGATTAATCTACCATGACTTTTTAGTCTAAAATGATGGCATTGCTTCCCATAAACCTAACCCTAACCCTAACCCTAAACCTAACCCTCCTCCTGCCAAGGCAGGAGAGTTGCCTGAGCCCAGGAGTTTAAGACTGGCCTGGGCAACATAGGAAGACTCCATCTCTACAAATAATAGGAAGAAGAAGAAGAAGAAGGAGAAGGGGAAGAAGGAGAAGGGGAAGAGGAAGAGGAAGAAGAAGAGGAAGAGGAAGAAGAGGAAGAGGAGGAAGAGGAAGACGAAGAAGAGGAAGAGGAGGAAGAGGAAGAGAAAGAGGAAGAAGAGGAAGAGGAAGAAGAGGAGGAGGAAGAAGAGGAAGAGGAGGAAGAGAAAGAGGAAGAGGAAGAAGAGGAAGAGGAGGAGGAGGAAGAGGAAGAGGAGGAAGAGGAAGAGAAGGAAGAGGAAGAGGAGGAAGAGGAAGAAGAGGAAAAGGAAGAAGAGGAAGAGGAGGAGGAGGAAGAGGAGGAGGAAGAGAAGGAGGAAGAAGAGGAGGAGGAGGAGGAAGAGGAAGAAGAAGAAGAAGGCGGGCAAGGCCTCCTTAGTCTGTGACCCCACCTCCTCCACTGTCCGTGGCGCACCTGGCTAGACGGGCTGTCCACTATGGGCAGCTCTTTAACGCTGAGGTTTGGGGACCCAGGGGATCCTGTAACAAAGTAAGAAAATGGTCTCAGCCAGGTGCAGTGGCTCATGTCTGTAATCTCAGCACTTTGGGAGGCCAAGGTGAGAGGATCGCTTGAGGCCAGGAGTTCAAGATCAGCCTGGGCAACATGGAGAGACTGCCAAATACACAAAAAATACAAAAATATTAGTTGGGCATGATGGCATATCCCTGTGGTCCCAGTTCTCCAGGAGGCTGAGGCTGGAGGATTGCTTGAGCATGGGGAGGTTGAGGCTGCAGTGAGCTGAGCTGACACCACTGCACTGCAGCCTGGGTGACAAGTGAGACGCTGTCTCCAGAAACAGAATAAAAATAAGAAGAAAGTAGTCTCAGGGGAAGGAGACTAAATTAACGATGGGATGTGCTTGATGTAAGGATTTTCTCTCTACAGCTTTGTCAGACCCTGGGTACCCAGGACTGCTACCTGCTGCCAGGGAGGGCGCCCGGTTGCTTAGCTGTCCAGCACCAGCTGAGCTTTGCCATGACCCTGCACGTTGGATTTACTAAATAGACTTATGAAATGTATTTCTGTCTAGCGAAAATGGGGTTTCTTGAAATATTATATTTTTTAGAGTGAATTTTTAGGTGCAGAGAACTATATGCAAATTGCCCCTGGGGAAGTTTATTGATGAGGGAGTCAAATGTAGGCGGCAGTCAAATGTAGGCAGGAATCAAGTGTAGGCGGGAGTCAAATGTAGGCGGGAGTCAAATGTAGGTGGGAGTCAGTCAAATGTAGGTGGGAGTCAAATGTAGGTGGGAGTCAGTCCAATGCAGGACAGAGTCCAGTGGAGGCGGTAGTCAAATGCAGGTGGGAGTCAAATGGAGGTAAGAGCCAAATGGAGGTGGGAGCTAAATGTAGGCAGGAGTCAGTCAAATGTAGGTGGGAGTCAGTCAAAGGTAGGCGGGAGTCAAATGTTGGTGGGAGTCAAATGTAGGTGGGAGTCAGTCAAATGTAGGCAAGAGTCAAATGTAGGCGGGAGTCAAATGTAGGCAAGAGTCAAATGTAGGCGGGAGTCAAATGTAGGCGGGAGTCAGTCAAATGTAGGTGGGAGTCAGTCAAATGTAGGTGGGAGTGAAATGTAGGTGGGGGTCAAATGTAGGCAGGAGTCAGTCAAATGTAGGTGGGAGTCAAATGTAGGCGGGAGTCAGTCAAATGTAGGCGGGAGTCAGTCAAATGTAGGTGGGACTCAAATGTAGGTGGGGGTCAAATGTAGGCAGGAGTCAGTCAAATGTAGGTGGGAGTCAAATGTAGGCGGGAGTCAAATGTAGGCAGAGTCAGTCAAATGTAGGCGGGAGTCAAATGTAGGCAGGAGTCAAATGTAGGTGGGAGTCAAATGTAGGCATAGTTCTAAATGTTTAAGAAAACTCCCATGACCTCTGGAGGCTCTGCTACCTGAGATAACTTGAGATTCACTGGCATACAGGGAGTAACCATCTCTGCCTTCTGGAATGTTCCCATGCCAACTTAGGGGTAAAATTCAGAAGTGAGGCTAGGTGGGGTGGCTCATGCCTATAACCCCGGCACTTTGGGAGGCCGAGGCAGGCGGATCACGAGGTCAGGAGATCAAGACCATCCTGGCTAACATGGTGAAACCCCTTCTCTACTAAAAATACAAAACAATTAGCCAGGCGTGGTGGTGGGCGCCTGTAGTCCCAGCTACACGGGAGGCTGAGGCAGGAGAATGGCGTGAACCCGGGAGGCAGAGCTTGCAGTGAGCCGAGATCACGCCACGGCACTCCAGCCTGGGCGACAGAGCGAGACTCCATCCCAAAAAAAAAAAAAAAAAATCAGAAGTGTATTTCAAGGAAGGGTCAACTTTAGTCCCAGACAAAATTGGGACACAGCCTCCTGCCTTCCTTCCCCCTTGGGCAGCAGCTGCTGTGAGCACCCAGCTGCTCCCTGGAACTTGGACAAAGCGCGTTTGGAACAGAGCTCCAGAGCCGCCTCCTGCAGCCGCCCCGGCCAACACCCAGGAGACTCAGATGTCTTGTTTCCTTCCTAACCCCCAATTCCATCCATCACTGCGTCCTGTTGACCAGGGGTCCCCAACCCCCGCGCCATAGACTGGCACCCATCCATGGCCTGTTAGGAACGGGGCAGCACACCAGGTGAGCAGCGGGTGAGCAGTGGGCAAAGCTTCATCTGTATTTTTTTTTTTTTTGAGACAGAGTCTCACTCTTGTTGCCCAGGCTGGAGTGCAGTGGAACAATCTTGGCTCACTGCAACCTCCACCTCCAGGGTTCAAGCAATTCTCCTGCCTCGGCCTCCTGGGTAGCTGGGATTAAAGGTGAGCACCACCATGTCCGGCTAATTTTTGTAGTTTTAGTAGAGATGGGGTTTCTCCATGATGTCCAGGCTGGTCTCAAACTCCCGACCTCAGGTGATCCACCCACCTCAGCCTCCCAAAGTACTAGGATTACAGGCGTGAGCCGCCACAGCCAGCCCCTTCATCTGTATTAACAGCTGCTCCCATTGCCGACGTTACCGCCTGAGCTCCACCTTGTCAGATCAGTAGCGGAGTTCGATTCTCACAGGATCGTGAACCCCATTGTGAACTGTGCATGCGAGGGGTTAGGTTTCACACTCCTTATGAGAATCTAATGCCTGATGATCTGTCATTGTCTCCCATCACCCACAGATGGGACCGTCTAGTTGCAGGAAAAGAAGCTCAGGGCTCCCACTGATTCTACACGATGGCGAGTCGTAGAATTATTTCATTCTATATCACAGTGTAATAACAGTAGAAGTAAAGTGCAACATAAATCGAATGTGCTTGAATCCTCCCGAAACCATCCCCTGCCCCCACTGTCCGTGGAAAAATTGTCTTCCACAAAACTGGTCCCTAGTCTCAGAAAGGTTGGGGCTCCCTGCTATTGATGACCCCCAGGCATCTCCCCAGCCTGCCTGCAGCTCCCTGTCCCTCTCACCGCAGCCGCCCTGGTCCAGGCCGCGTCCTCTCTCCCCAGCCAACCTGCCTGCTGCTGTACCCCATCCGTCTCACTGCAGCCATCCTGGTCCAGGCCGCGTCCTCCTCCCTAGGACAGCTGTGATGCTTCCCAGCTGGACTTCCTGCTTCTGCCTTTACCCTATAACATCCTTCTTTAACACAACGGCCAGAATGATTTCCTTCAAAAACAGCAATACGATGATGTCATTTGGCCGTTTAAAACTTCCTGTGGCTTCACGTTAGTCAGAGTCTAAACAGGAAAACAGAGCCGCCTTCAGGTTGTGTAACCAAAAGGGAGTTGAAGGTGGGGAGTCGTTTACTAGCTTGGGGCAATCTACACGCAACCTGGGGACATGGGGAGCACCAGCAGGGACCCTCAGTCACCTGCAGAGTGGGGAGGCACCAGAACAAATGGAACCGAGGCCACAGGTGTGCAGGCCCGCACCCGAAACCCCAACACTGTGGGAGGCCAAGGTGAGAGGATCGTTTGAGGCCAGGAGTTCGAGACCAGCCTGGCCAACAGAGAGAGACCCCATGTCTATAAAATATTTAAAAATTAGCTGGGCGTGTTGGCTCATGCCTGTAGTCCCAGCTACCCAGGAGGCTGAGGTGGAAGGATTACCTGAACTCCAGAGGTTGAGGCTGCAGTGAGCTATTAATACAATTGCACAACTGCCCTCCAGCCTGGGCAACACAGAGCAAGACCCTGTCACCCACCCCCCACCAACAAAAAATCAAAAAGCAAAAAACAAAAATGAGCTGAGTGTGGTGGCTTAAGCCTGTAATTCCAGCACTTTGGGAGGCCAAGGCATGAGGATCACTTGAGCTCAGGAGCTTGAGACCAGCCTGGCCAACATGGTGAAACCCCATCTCAACTAAAAAAAATACAAAATTAGCTGGGCATGATGGTGGGCGCCTGTAATCCCAGCTACATGGGAGGCTGAGGTAGGAGAATTGCTTGAACCCGGGAGGCGGAGGTTGCAGTGAGCCAAGATCGCACCACTGTATAATTTAAAAAAAAAAAATTGAAAAAGTAGCCAGGCGTAGTGGCAGGTGCCTGTAATCCCAGCTACTCAGGAGGCTGAGGCAGGAGAATCATTTGAACCTGGGAGGCGGAGGTTGCAGTGACCTGAGATTGCGCCACTGCACTCCAGCCTGGGCGATGAAGCAGAAAACAAAAAACAAAAAACAAAAAAACCGAGGCCACCGTAGCTCCAGTGCCTGGAGCAGGGCCTGCGTTGAGGCCGTGGTGGATGTCGGAGGGTGGGTGAATGAATGAACAGTGAGTTCACTCCACATTGGGTGCCTCAGTCCAGCCGTCCCCGTACACCCGAGGGGCCCCACGCAGCCACACCTGGCTTTTCTCAGGCAGTGGCTCTTCCCACCTGGGTCTCCGTCCTAGGGGTCTGTCGCCCTGATGTCAGGGAGCGGGCGCAGCTCTCAGACGCGCTGGTGTTGTCTCCTAACTCTGCCGCTCCCCAGCTGTGTGGGCCGGTCTGCCCCAGTTTCCTGCTCTGAAGAAGAGAGATTGAGATACAGGTGGCAGCCTCGGAGGGTGATTGTGAAGGGTCCAGGCGGTTCCCGCGTGCAGCCTCGGGACAGGGCTGTGCTGGAGCCATCGAGCTGGAGAGAGAGTGAGCTTCACCCCAGGGCAGCTGTCTCCCCAGACGAGCCCCGCTCTGGGACATTGCATGGGAATCTCAGCTGCTCCGGGATGTTCATTCACCCTACCTCTCTCAGGACACCCTGGCTTTGCAGAGCCCGTGCGTGAGTGTCTCTGAGCCGGGTGCCAGGGGGTGGCACTGTTTGCTCACCGTTGGCCTCTGCTGGCAGCGTGGTGCCCGGCGCGGCGTGAAAGCCCTCGGCCTCCCAGGCGCTTTCGGCCTCACAGGCATCCCTCTGGCTCGAAGTGCTCCTGCTCCCACAAGGCTCAGGAAACCTGTGCTGCTCAGAGCTTTGCGTTTAAAAATCACGTTGTTCTGGTTTGGACCACGCAACTTAGACATTTCTTTCAGGAACTGGATTGGCTGTGGAGGGGCCATTTAGAAATCTTTTATCTAGTCAGTTTCCTTCATCTGTATTTTGGAAATGCAGAGAAGGTGATTGAACCTAGCGGAATCTTGGGAGCATGTCCTTGAACACGGCAGGTGTCCCCGGGACAAACAGGTGCAGCTTTCTGCAGAGGACAGCGATGCCCCGGACAGCCTGGGCTCCCAAGTTCTCCCATGTGCCCCAAGGTGCCGTGCTAGGGTACAGGGGGTTGTGGAGTTTACTCATTCCTGGAGGCAGGTATTCAGCCAAGATCAGCGGTCTTGATGTTGCATAAATGTTGGGGAAGAAATCTTTCTGCTTGGGGAGCTGTTGATTTCAGTATTGGCTCTTAGCTGATAAAAACAGTAGTTCCAGCCAGGCCCGGTGGCCCACGCCTGTAATCCCAGCACTTTGGGAGGCCGAGGCAGGCGGATCACGAGGTCAGGAGATCGAGATCATCCTGGCTGACACGGTGAAACCCCGTCTCTACTAAAAATACAAAAAAATTAGCTGGGCGTGGTGGTGGGCGCTGGTAGTTCCAGCTACTTGGGAGGCTGAGGCAGGAGAATGGCATGAACCCAGGAGGCAGAGCTTGCAGTGAGCTGAGATCGTGCCACTGCACTCCAGCCTGGGCGATAGAGCGAGACTCTGTCTCAAAAACAAAATAAAACAAAACAAAAAAACCCAGTAGTTCCTGCCAGCCAGGTGCAGTGGCTCACACTTGTAATCCCAGCACTTTGGGAGGCCAAAGTGGGCAGATCACCTGAGGTCAGGAGTTTGAGACCAGCCTGACCAACATGGCGAAACCCTGTCTCTACGAAAAGTACAAAAATTAGCTGGGCATGGTTGCAGAAGCCTGTAATCCCAGCTACTGCGGCACGAGAATCGCTTGAACCCAGGAGGTGGAGGTTGCAGTGAGCCGAGATGGTGCCGTTGCACTCCAGCCTGGGTGACAGACTAAGACTCGGTCTCAAAACAAAAACAAACAAACAAAAAACCAGTTCCTACCGTTTATGAAACGCCGCTCGCAGCCTGCCCCTGTGCCCTTCACGCCGTACTTTGTCCCGTCTTCTCAGTGACCCTGCAGGTCAGTGTGGGTGATGGTCACAGACATGAAGCTCAAAGCCGCGAGGGACCTTGCCCAAGGTGTCCAGCCCAGGAGGAGCGGAGCCAGAATTCCACCTTGGGCCGTCTGACCCCAAAGACCGCAGTTTCCAGCGCACAGACTCTCCAAATCATCCTCTCAACTGGAGGAACGTCACCTTCCCTGCAGCCCACGGCACCTTCCTTGATTTTATTACCAGATCCATGGTCCAGCCTGGTGTCTGGTTACTATTTTCCACCTGCTGTAAAGTGATTTGGGGCCAGGCACAGTGGCTCACGTCTGTAATCCTAGCACTTTGGGAGGCTGAGTCAGGAGGATTGCTTGAGCCCAGGAGTTCGAGGCCAGCCTGGGCAACGTAGTGAGACCTCATCCCCACAAAAAAATTAAAAAATTAGCTGGGCATGGTGGTGAACCCCTGTGGTCCCAGCTCCTCAGGAGGCTGAGGCGAGAGGATCACTTGAGCCCAGGAGGTTGAGGCTGTAGTGATCTGTGATTGTGCCATTACACTCCAGCCTTGCAACAGAGCAAGACCCTGTCCCTCTCTCTCTCTCCACACACACACACACACACACACACACACACACACACACCACACACACACACGTTGGGGGGATAGGACTGTGGTCAGCATTTCCAGGATTCACCTCCCAGGGCTGGAGAATGGATGAAGAGGGGCGGGTGGGGGGAACACAGGAGGCTGTGATGAAGAGGGGCGGGTGGGGGGACACAGGAGGCTGTGATGAAGGGGGGGTGGGGGGAACGCAGGAGCCTGTGATGAAGAGGGGCGGGTGGGGGGAACACAGGAGCCTGTGATGAAGAGGGGCGGGTGGGGGGACACAGGAGGCTGTGATGAAGGGGGGGTGGGGGAACACAGGAGGCTGTGATGAAGAGGGGCGGGTGGGGGAACACAGGAGGCTGTGATGAAGAGGGGCGGGTGGGGGGACACAGGAGGCTGTGATGAAGAGGGGCGGGTGGGGGGACACAGGAGGCTGTGATGAAGGGGCGGGTGGGGGGACACAGGAGGCTGTGATGAAGGGGGGGTGGGGGGAACACAGGCGGCTGTGATGAAGAGGGGCGGGTGGGGGGACACAGGAGGCTGTGATGAAGGGGGGGTGGGGGGAACACAGGCGGCTGTGATGAAGAGGGGCAGGTGGGGGGACACAGGAGGCTGTGATGAAGGGGGGGTGGGGGGACACAGGAGGCTGTGATGAAGGGGGGGCGGGTGGGGGGACACAGGAGGCTGTGATGAAGGGGGGGGTGGGGGGACACAGGAGCCTGTGATGAAGAGGGGGGGGTGGGGGAACACAGGAGGCTGTGATGAAGAGGGGCAGGTGGGGGGACACAGGAGGCTGTGATGAAGGGGGGGGTGGGGGGAACGCAGGAGGCTGTGATGAAGGGGGGGTGGGGGGACACAGGAGGCTGTGATGAAGGGGGGGTGGGGGAACACAGGAGGCTGTGATGAAGGGGGGTGGTTGGGGGAACGCAGGAGCCTGTGATGAAGAGGGGCAGGTGGGGGAAACACAGGAGCCTGTGATGAAGAGGGGCGGGTGGGGGGAATGCAGGAGGCTGTGGAATCCTTTACAGTTCACAAACTGCGTTCACATCAGTGACTTTGGTCTTTTGCTTTTTTTTTTTTTTGAGACAGGGTCTCACTTTGTTGCCCAGGCTGGAGTACAGTGAAAAGGTGCAATCACAGCTCACTGCAGCCTCAACTTCTTGGGCCCAGAAGATCCTCCTGCCTTGGCCTCCCCAGTAACTGGGACTACAGGCACTCGCCACCATGCCTGGCTAATTCTTTTTTTTTGGGGGGGTAGAGAGTGGGTCTTGCTGTGTTGCCCAGGCTGGCCTGGGACTCCTGGGCTCAAGCGATCCTCCCGCCTCAGCCTCCCAAAGTGCTGGGATCACAGGCGTGAGCCACCACACCTGCCTCACATCAGTGATTCGGGACCTGAGCTCTTCTTTGGGCCTGCCTGTCCCCTGGTGGGGCGGATGTCAGGTTAAAGGTCACCTCCCCAGCGAGGGCTGTACTTGCCACCCGACATCTCAGAGCCACTCTCTTTTTTGAACCAGGACACCCTATTTTAATTTTCTTTGTACTTTTTGCTGTTTGGTATTTTCCTTTCTATTTAAATGACTATTTTTATTTTCTGTCTCTCTCCCCTAAAATATAAGTTCCATGAGATCAGAAACTTTGTCCTGTTCCCCTAGCCAATCGATAGTCATTAAATGAACCACCAAATTAGCGATTCTCACATCAATAGATGAAAAATAAAGGAGAGACCTCACAGCTTGAGAGAAGAAAATGCATAGTGATTGTTTTAAAGAAATGGCTAAGGCGGGCGCGGTGGCTCACGCCTGTCATCCCAGCACTTTGGGAGGCTGAGGTGGGCGGATCACTTGGGGTCAGGAGTTAGAGACCAGCCTGGCCAACATGGTGAAATCGCATCTCTACTAAAAATACAAAAAATAGCCAGGCGTGGTGGCACATGCCTGTAATCCCAGCTACTTGGGAGACTGAGGCAGGAGAATCGCTTGAACCCAGGAGGCGGAGGTTGCAGTGAGCCAAGATCGTGTCACTGCAGTCCAGCCTAGGAAACAGAGCAAGACTCTATCTCAAAAATAATAATAATAAATAATAATAATAAAATAATAAATGGCTAAATTTTAAGTGCATACATAAACTCTTTTAAGATAGAGTGAGACCGTATTAACAGCGGATTTTTTCCTACAGTCTTACATTTGGGGCCAAGTTGGCTGGAGCTAGAAATTGCACGCATTCTTGTGAAAATCTCACCAACAAAGGAAGGCCTACCAGATACCTTTGAACTGGGCACCAGACCAACGTGGCCATGTCAGCAGCGTCGCTGGCACCATCTGGCCCGGCTGCCCGGTGTTGGAGGGGTTTAAACATTGTTACTGACCCGCATTGGTTGTAACTCTGTTCTTCATTCAGAGACGAGAGTGAGGAGAGGGTTTTCTGGAGTGTTAGAAACACACTTTGGTGAAATGACTTCTAACCCAGCACAGAACATCGACCAGGGTTGTAAAATGAGTACAGAAATCCTTGTAATGTGAGAGGATTACGGTTGCCCATAAATATTTATGGGGTAACAGCAGCTTCTCAGATGTGTCATACACAAGACATCTGCCACCGAGGCTGAAGCCCAGACTAGATAGTTCAACACAGACTCACGTAACATGTTTATTGTTTATGAAGAAAAGCCGTATTTTTTTTTTTGAGACAGAGTCTCACTCTGTCACCCAGGCTGGAGTGCAATAGTGCGATCTTGGCTCACTGCAACCTCCGGCTCCTGGGTTCAAGCGATTCTCCTGCCTCAGCTTTCCAAGTAGCTGGGATTACAGGTGCCTGCCACTATGCCCAGCTAAATTTTTGTATTTTTATCTATCTGTCTGTCTGTCTGTCTGTCTGTCTGTCTATCTATCTATCTATCTATCTATCTATCTATCTATCTATCTATCTATTTTTTGGAGACAGAGTCTCACTGTGTCGCCCAGACTGGAGTACCATGGCACGATCTCGGCTCACTGCAACCTCCGCTTCCTGGGTTCAAGTGATTCTCCTACCTCAGCCTCCCCAGTAGCTGGGATTACAGGCATGCATCAGCACGCCTGGCTAATTATTGTATCTTTAGTAGAGACAGGGTTTCACTGTGTTGGCCAGGCTGGTCTGGAACTCCTGACCTCATGATTCACCTGCTTCAGCCTCACAAAGTGCTGGGATTACAGGCATGAGCCACTGTGTCTGGCCAGAAAAGTCATATTTTTTTTTGAGTTGGAGTCTCGCTCTGTCGCCCAGGCTGGAGTGCAGTGGCGCAATCTCAGCTCACTGCAAGCTCCGCCTCCCGGGTTCATGCCATTCTCCTGCCTCAGCCTCCTGAATAGCTGGGACTACAGGCGCCCGCCACCACGCCCAGCTAATTTTTTTGTATTTTCAGTAGAGACGGTGTTTCACCGTGTTAGCCAGGATGGTCTCGATCTCTCGACCTCGTGATCTGCCCTCCTCAGCCTCCCAAAGTGCTGGGATTTCAGGCGTGAGCCACCGCGCCCAGCGAAAAGTCATATTTTTAAAGTGAAGTTAGGGGCTGGGCGTGGTGGCTCATGTCTGTAATTCTAGCACTTTGGGAGGCAGAAGCCAGAGGACTGCTTGAGGTCAGGAGTTCAAGACCGGCTGGGGCAACACGGTGAAATCCTGTCTGTAACTTTACTTTTAAAATACACAAAAATTGGGCCAGAAGGATGGCTGACACCTGTAATCCCAACACTTAGAGAGGCCGAGGGGGGCGGATCACCTGAGGTCAGGAGTTCCAGACCAGCCTGGCCAACATGATGAAACCCCGCCTTTACTAAAAATACAAAAATTAGCCGGGCGTGGTGGCGGGCGCCTGTGATCCTAGTTATTTGAGAGGCTGAGGCAGGACTATTGCTTGCACCCAGAGGTGGAGGTTGCAGTGAGCTGAGATCATGCCACTGCACTCCAGCCTGGGCGACAGAGTGAAACTCTGCCTCAATCAATCAATCAATCAATCCATAGAAATAAAATACATAATTTTTTTTAAGTGAAGTTTGGGTCAAGGGGCTTATTTTCTTCTAACCTCCTCACCTAGCAAAACTGCTGGCCTCTAAATTCTCAGAAGCCGCCCCGGGCCCCACGGAATTCTAATGAACGCACATTGTCTCCCTGCTAGAGATGAGTCTGTGCCTGTCCCAACAGTGCTGGGTGGTGGCTCCCCGACTCGGGGCCCCCCAAGGGGCGTGCAGTTCTTCGGAGGCTCTTGCCTACGCGCTCCCCGGCCTCCACTTGGCCTCGAGCCTGGGGAAGGCGCCGCGCTTGGCTCTTGAATCTTGCTGGCAGTTTTCCCAAGTTCCACAGAAGCCCCGGTGAGAAGTACAGTTCTGCCTCCTGTTGTTTTGGGCTGTTGTTTACGCGGTCCTGGGATACATATGGCGCATGGAAGCAATTAAGGTAAAGATGCTGAATGGGTCCGTCCCCCAGGGCTCCAGGCTGCCAATCTCCCATCCCAGGGAGGCTCCGCTCAAACCCATGAGCCCCGAGAACGTGCGTGCGTGAGAACAGCGCTCTTCAGAGTGGTTTGGTGTTGTTGCTTCTTAAGATTGATTTTTAACCTCAGCCAACAAAAAACCAGGAGTGGGTGGGGTGTGGTGGCTCATGTCTGTAATCCCAGCACTTTGGGAGGCCAAGGCACACGATCACCTGAGGTCAGGAGTTTGAGACCAGCTTGGGCAGCATGGTGAAACTCCATCTCTATTAAAAATACAAAAATGAGCCAGGCATGGTCGTGGGTGCCTGTAATCCCAGTTACTTGGGAGGCTGAGGCAGGAGAATTGCTTGAACCCAGGAGGTAGAAGTTGCAGTGAGCTAAGATCATGCCACTGTACTCCAGCCTGGGTGACAGAGCGAGACTCCGTCTCAAAAAAGCAACAACAGGCCAGGCACAGTGGCTCATGCCTGTAATCCCAGCACTTTGGGAGGCTGAGGCGGGCGGATCACGAGGTCAGGAGATCGAGACCATCCTGGCTAACACAGTGAAGCCCCATCTCTACTAAAAATACAAAAAAAAATTAGCCAGGTGTGGTGGCAGGCGCCTGTAGTCCCAGCTACTTGGGAGACTGAGGCAGGAGAATGGCGTGAACCCAGGAGGTGGAGCTTGCAGTGAGCCGAGATGGCACCACTGCGCTCCAGCCTGGGTGACAGAGCGAGACTCCGTCTCAAAAAAAAAAAAAAAAAAGAAGCAACAACACAAAAAAAAACCCAAAACCAGGAGTGCTTCCTCTTCCTTGCAAAGTTGTGCAGAAGATGTGCAGCTGTGAATGCTGCAGCTTGGCCATGCAGGCCACGGCCACATTTGCCACTTCTGCAGTGGAAATGATACCGGAGTACTGGGAAGGGAAGAGTGTGAACCCTTTCAATGATACAGGAGGGAAGTGCTGGGTAGAGAAAGGCAGGTCCCTGGCTAGGGCTCCACCCCCATGGACCTAGGTGAGGACAGGGATTTCCTGCCCCAATGTTGCATTTCCCAAGACCACCCTGGCCCGCCATGCCCCCATCCTGGGCCTCTGAAAACCTGAGACCCTAGCGGGCAGACACACAGGTGGCCAGAGGTGGAGAGGAGCACATCGGAGGAAGAAGATGCATGTGGCTGGTCGTCGAGAGGAGCACGCCAGCCAGGAGGGCTCACCGACAGACTCTGGCACGCTGGCCGACCATCGATCCATCAACCGGGGCAGTCAGAGGAGAGCTGGGCCCCCCGAGAGGCCCATCTCCAGGGAAAGACCATCTCCCTTCTGGCTTAATAAAACCACCTCCACTCAATAAAACTTTGCACTCATTCTCCCAGCCCAAGTGTGATCCTTCTGGTACACCAAGGCAAGAACCTGGGATGCAGAAAGCCCTCTGTCCTTGGGGCAAGGTAGAGGGTCGAATTGAGCTGGTTAACACAAGCTGCCTATAGGGCACCCTGGAACACACGCCCACTGGGGCCTCAGGAGCTGGAAACATCCAGCCTTAGACACTGCCGTGGGGTGGGAGCCCCACAGCCTGCCCGTCTGTATGCTCCCCTGGAGGTTGAGAGCGGGGTACTGAGGAAGCGAGACACATCTCATCACACATCCTGCGAGGGGGACAAGGGAACCTTTCCAGTTTCAGAGACGGCCCTGCCACATCGCCCGGGTGCATCTCTGTGGCTGTGAAAGTGAGAGCCGGAGGTCCCGGGGAGCAGAGGTCGTGAGGCCTCTGTGCTGGCTTCTCGGTATTCCTGTCTTGGTATTCCTGGCAGTTTGGTCCCCTGGAGGTGGCCATGTGGCATGGACAGGGGCCTCTATGCAGAGGCTTTTTCAGCAACTGTGCTGTGCTGCCGCCATGGCCACCTCCGTTGTCATCATCCAAAGGCACCTGCCGTCCACAGCACGGAAGCACGCTCAGGCACTACTTTTTTTATTTTTTATTTTTTACTTTTTTCTGAGATGCAGTCTTGCTCTGTTGCCTAGGCTGGAGTGCAGTGCAGTGACCTCACTGCAACCTCCTCCTCCTGGGTTTGAGCGATTCTCCCACCTCAGCCTCCCGAGTAGCTGGGACTACAGGTGCCCGCCACCATGCCAGGGTAATTTTTGTATTTTTACAAGAGACGGGGTTTTGCCATGTTGGCCAGGCTGGTCTCAAAGTCCTGAGCTCAAGTGATCCGCCTGCCTCAGCCTCTCAAAGTGCTGGGATTACAGGTGTGAGCCATTGCACCCAGCCTATATTTTTCTTTCTTTTTTTTTTTTTTTTTTTTTTTGAGATGGAGTCTTGCTCTGTCACCCAGGCTGGAGTGCAGTGGCGTGATCTTGGCTCACTGCAAGCTCCGCCTCCTGCGTTCACACCATTCTCCTGCCTCAGCCTCCCGGGTAGCTGGGACTACAGGCGCCCGCCACCATGCCTGGCTATTTTTTGTATTTTTAGTAGAGATGAGGTTTTACCATGTTAGCCAGGATGGTCTCAATCTCCTGACCTCGTGATCTGCCCGCCTTGGTCTCCCAAAGTGCTGGGATTACAGGCGTGAGCCATTGCACCTGGCACGCCCAGCCTATTTTTAATTTTTTAGAGGTGGAGTCTCACTGTGTTGCCCCGGCTGGTCTTGAACTCCCAGGCTCAAGCAATCCTCCCACCTCAGCCTCCCAATTATCTGTGACCACAGGTGTGTGTCACCTTGCCCAGATAATTTTAAAATTTTTCCTTTGTAGAGATGGGGTCTTGCTATGTTGTCCAGGCTGGTCTCAAACTCCTGGGCTTAAGCGATCCTCCTGCCTCCGCCTCCCTAAGTGCTGGGGTTACAGGCCTGAGCCACTGTGCCCAGCCTGCAAATTCTTTCCCTTCTTTCTTCCCCAAACTGCCACAGTAGTGTCATGCAGAATATACTTAAAACAGAGGGTCCCTAGTTTCTTATTTTTAGTCCCGATGAAAAGAGAATAGCACTTCACTAGTGAGAATCTGTGGAGCAGTAGAAGAAGAAGGTTTACACTATGCAATTACCAAAGTACAATGGCCTGCACTGACTGAAAGCTGACTTGAGAAGCCATTGAATGGGGCTAATTAATATGTGAAAATTCAAATTTGACATATTTGTGCAAAAGAGGTTGTGCAGCAGAGGCCGGGCGCGGTGGCTCACGCCTGTAATCCCAGCACTTTAGGAGGCCGAGGTGGGAGGATCACCTGAGGTCAGGAGTTCAAGACCAGCCTGGCCAACATGGTGAAACCCCCGTCTCTGCTGAAAATACAAAAATTAGCCGGGTGTGGTGGTGCATGCCTGTAACCCAGCTACTCGGGAGGCTGAGGCAGGAGAATCGCTTGAACCTGGGAGGCGGAGGTTGCAGTGAGCCGAGATTGTGCCATTGCACTCCAGCCTGGGGTACAAGAGCAAGACTCCGTCTCAAAAAAAAAAAAAAAAAAAAGAAAAAAAAGAGATTGTGCAACAGAAAGAAGCCAAATCACATTTAACCTAAAGGGGGCAGCAATTTATTCTCTCTAAGGTTGGAAGGAGTGTTCCTCAGAACCACGGGCGCTGAGGGAGATCTGGAAATGTATGTAAGTTACCGTCACAAGGCACAGATACATGGGAAGACATGACACATTCAGATTTTAGCAATACTTATAAACTCCAACAACAGGTGACGGAGGGAAAAGAGCCGCGGGTAAATTTCGATAGTGATTTAGGCTGGCCGAATGTGAAAATTTTCTCTTTAGTATTCAAATTTGTCAAGTAATTTACTCTGAACTCCCAAATAATAAACAAAATGTGAAATAAATAAGACTGGCCAGGTTGGGCGAGGTGGTTCACACCTGTAATCTCAGAACTTTGGGAGGCTGAGGCACACAGATCACTTAAGGTCAGGAGTTCGAGACCAGCCTGGCCAACATGGTGAAAACCTGTCTCTACTAAAAATACAAAAAATTAGCCAGGCGTGGTGGTGGGCGCCTGTGATCTTACCTACTCAGGAGGCTGAGGCAGGAGAATTGCTGGAACCAGGGAGGTGGAGGTTGCAGTGAGCCCAGATCATGCCATTGTACTCCAGCCTGGGTGACAGAGTGAGGCTCTGTCTCAAAAAAAAAAAAAAAAAATTAAGTAAGGCTGGCCAGAGACCCAGGGGAGGGATGCATGCCAGCCACTCCGCCCAGGCACCTCACTCTGTTTTTGTTTTAGATCTGAGCCTTTGAGGCCAGGGCTGGCTGGACAAATGCCCCCAAAACAGCACGTGTGCACTCCTCCATTGGCAGCCAACCGGGCTTTGCTGGAGCTGTGCGTGTGTGCGTGTGCGTGCGTGTGTGTGTGCGTGTGCGTGCGTGTGTGTGTGTATGTGTGTGTGTGTGCATGGCTAAGGATTTCGGAGAGCAAGACAGTTCCCCTGTAACTCTGATTCTATAAAAAATATGCTGCTTGCAGTCAGGGAGCGGGGTTTCTTTCTGCCCCTCCTGGGCTGTGTGAGGGGCTCCGTATTTATTCTGGCAAGCCTCACAAGTGGTGTTGCCGCGAATTTCTGGTAGCGTCTGGGCTCAGCTGTGCTGGGTGGGGCCTTCTTGGGTTCCAGGCCTTCTTGCCGGAGTTCATTTAAAACCATGATTGGTGACACCAGGAAGAGAACAGCACCAGAGCACAAGTCCTCAGCTGCGCATTTTGGTTTAAGAAAATAGATGACCTCCAGGGACACCAAGCAGCGACTTCATTTTAAATAGAACCACCCACAGATTCTGGTGTTACCTGAAAATCTAAAAGATGTAATTATGAGTGTTCATAGCATTAGTTGACAAGGGTCTGAAAATACTGAAGATAGCTTTCTTTCTTTCTTTTTCTTTTTCTTTCTTTCTTTTTTGAGACAGTTTTGCTCTTGTCGCCCAGGCTGGAGTGCAATGGCATAGTCTCAGCTCACTGCAACCTCTGCCTCCTGGGTTCAAGCAATTTTCCTGTCTCAGCCTCCCAAGTAGCTGGGATTACAGGTGCCCACCATCACACCTGGCTAATTTTTGTGTGTTTTTTTGTATTTTCTTTTTTAGAGAGAGTCTTACTATGTCACCCAAGCTGGAGTGCAGTGGCGCAATCTCTGCTCACTGCAAGTTCCACCTCCCAGGCTCAAGTGATTTCTCCTGCCTCAGCCTCCCGAGTAGCTGGGATGACAGGTGCCTGCCACCAGGCCTGGCTAATTTTTTTTTTGAGACAGAATCTCGCTCTGTTGCCCAGGCTGGAGTGCAGTGGTGCCATCTCGGCTTACTGCAACCTCTGTCTCCTAGGTTCAAGTAATTCTCCTGCCTCAGCCTCCGGAGTAGCTGGGATTACAGGCACCCACCACCACGCCCAGCTAATTTTTGCATTTTTAGCAGAGGTGGGGTTTTGCCATGTTGGCCAGGCTGATCTCAAACACCTGACCTCAGGTGATCCACCCACCTCGGCCTCCCAAAATGCTGGCATTACAGGCGTGAGCCACCACGCCCGGCCTAGGCCTGGCTAATTTTTGTATTTTTAGTACTTATGGGGTTACACTCTGTTGGCCAGGCTGGCCTCAAATTCCTGACCTCAGGAGATCCGCCCACATTGGCCTCCCACAGTGCTGGGATGACAGGCATAAGCCACCACGCCCAGCCTCAAGATAGCTTTCGAGGATTGCACAGGAAAAAAAAAAAATCCCAAACACTCAAACAAATTTGATATCCTTCAACTGAAACCAAGTTCTGTGACATCTGTTGCAACCATGTTTCCAAGCTTCAGTCATTCACACGCCCCGCGCTCAGCCATAGCCACATCCCCAGACCACCTGTATGATCAACTATGATATGTGTTTTTTAAACCAATTTGCTCTTTTAGCTTAAATAAATTCACTTGAGATGAAGCTCTACCTCACTGCTGTAGAATTACACTGTTGGGAGGACGGCAGTGCCCCCTGATTTGAGGTTTTGCTTTCTATTGTTTCAGTCTGAAAATGTTACAGTATCTTGGGAGAGAAAGACTACATTCGCGGGGAGGGAGGAGGGATAGCATTAGGAGATATACCTAATGCTAAATGACGAGTTAATGGGTGCAGCACACCAACATGGCACATGTATACATACGAAACAAACCTGCACGTTGTGTACATGCACCCTAAAACTTAAAGTATAATATTAATAAAATTAAAACAAACAAACAAAAAAACCAAAAGAATGTTGATAAACAAGAAAAAAAAAGAAACCATATAATTGGTTTCTGAAGATTGATACTAGTCAGGTTTAAAGAATCCGTTTGATAAAATCCCAAAAAGATAACTTTGTAAGAAGCCAAAATAAACTTTCATGGCAATGCAAAAAAAAAAAAAAAAAAAAGACTACATTCACATAACTTGTATTACACCCTATTGCTATAATTGCTCTATTTTATTAATAGTTGTTAATCTCTTCCTGTGCCTAATTTATAAATTAAACTTTATCATAGGTGTGTATGTGTGCGTAGGAAAATATCTAGTATAAGTAGGTTTGGGACTGTCTGTGGTTTCAGGCCTCCACTGGGGTCTTAGAACGTATCCCCTCTGGATAAGGGGGGACTCCTGTACTCCTGATTTTTTTTTTTTTTGAGATGGAGTCTCGCTGTGTTGCCCAGGCTAGAGTGCAGTGGTGCGATCTCGGCTCATTGCAACCTTTGCCTCCTGGGTTCAAGTGATTCTCCTGCCTCAGCCTCCCGAGTAGCTGGGATTACAGGTGCCTGCCACCACGCCTGGCTAATTTTTATATTTTTTAGTAGAGATGGGGTTTCACCATGTTGGGCAGGCTGGTTGCAAACTCCTGACCTCAAATGATCCACCCACCTCGGCCTCCTAAAGTGCTGGGATTACAGGTGCAAGCCACTGCGCCCAGCCTACTCTTAATATTTTTTTTTTTCCGAGATGGAGTTTCAGTCTTATCGCCCAGCCTGGAGTGCAATGGCGCGATCTTGGCTCAATGCAACCTCTGCCTCCTGCGTTCGAGTGATTCTCCTGCCTTAGCCTCCCAAGTGGCTGGGATCACAGGCACATGCCACCACGTCCAGCTATTTTTTTTGTATTTTTAGTAGAGACGGGGTTTCATCTACTCTTAATTTTTAATGGGCATAGTTGAATTAACAAAATCTATGATGAACTAGAATCTTACCCTCCTCCTGAACCAGACACAAGGACCTTAGGTTTCTTCAGTTGTAACAACCATCCTCTGTGTTACATGTTATTGTTCACCGGCATTTTGTTTCCATCTTGTTTTCAATTTTTTTTTTTTTAGACAGGACTTGCTCTGTTGCCCAGGCTGGAATACAGTGGTGCAAGCAGCTCACTGCACTGGGCTCAAGTGATCCTCCCATCTCAGCCTCCTGAGTAGCTGGGACCACAGGCGTGCACCACCATGCCCAGGTAATTTTTTCTCTTTTCGTTTTATTTTATTTTATTTTATTATTTTATTTTTGAGACGGAGTCTCGCTCGGTGGCCAGGCTGGAGTGCAGTGGCACGATCTCAGCTCACTGCAATCTCTGCCTCCCGGGTTCAAGTGATTCTCCTGCCTCAGCCTCCTGAGTAGCTGGGACTACAGGCATCCACCACCATGCCCGGCTAATTTTTGTATTTTTAGTAGAGACAGGGTTTCACCATGTTGACCAGGATGGTCTCGATCTCGTGACCTCGTGATCTGCCTGCCTAGACATCCCAAAGTGCTGGGATTATAGGTGTGAGCCACCGTGCTTGGCCAATTTTTCTTTTTTCACGATGGGGCTTGCCATGTTGCCCAGGCTGGTCTCAAACTCCTGAGCTCAAGTGATCCTCCCATCTTGGCCCTCTAAAGTTCTGGGATTACAGGTGTCAGCCACTGCACCTGGCCACTTTTTTTTTTTTTTTTTATGTCACCAATGCTTCATGCATCTCAGTTCCCTCTTCTGGAATTTCCTTATTTCCTTAGTAGTTCTTTGTGTTTTTAATTATTTTATTTGAGATACAATGTCACTCTGTCACCGAGGCTTGAGTGCAGAAGTACAATATTGGCTCACTGCAACCTCTACCTCCTGGGCTCAAGGGATCCTCCCACCTCAGCCTTCTGAGTAGCTGGGACCACAGGTGGACCATACCCAGCTATTTTTTTTTTTTGTATTTTTTGTAGAGATGGGGTTTCGTCATGTTGCCCAGGCTGGTCTTGAACTCCTGGACTCAAGCCATGCACCCAACTCAGCCTCCCAGAGTGCTGGGATTACAGGCATGAGCCGCTGCACCTGGCCCGATAGTTCTTTCAGCAAAGGCCTGTTGAGGTAAATGTTCTTGTTTGAAAATGTATGTCCTGGGCTGGGTGGGATGGCTGAAGCCTGAAGCCTGTAATCCCAGCACTTTGGGAGGCCAAGGCGGGCAGATCACCACGTCAGGAGTTCAAGACCAGCCTGGCCAATATGGCAAAACCCCAACTCTATTAAAAATACAAAATTAGCCGGGCGTGGTGGTGCGTGCATGTAATCCCAGCTATTGGGGAGGCTGAGGCGGGAGAATTGCTTGAACTCAGGAGGTGGAGGTTGCAGTGAGCTGAGATCGCACCACTGTACTCCAGCCTGGGTGATAAGAGTGCAACTCCGTCTCAAAAAAAAAAAAAAAAAAGTCCTTATTTCACCTTAAGACAGCTTAGCTGGAGCCTGGTGCGGTGGTCCGTGCCTGTAGTCCCAGCTCCTCAGGAGGCTGAGGCAGGCTGGAGTTGGAGGCTGCAGTGAGGCATGATGGCGCCAGCACACTCCAGCCTGGGCGACAAAGAGAGGCCAAGACTCTACCACAAAATGTTTTTGAAATGGCTCAGCTGGGTGTGCAGACTCCTACACTGGCCCCTGCTTTCTCTCAGCGTTCAGAGGCCTCGTTCTGTCGCGTTTCTGCTTGTTGCTGCCGCTAGGGAGTCTGCCGCCCCTCTCGTCACCCGCCCGTGGGTGACCGGTGTCTTCTCCCTGGAGGTCTGTGAGCCGTCTCCCTGTCTTTGATGGCCTGTGTTTTTTCCACTGAGGCCTGTTTCGGTTTGGATTTTTTCTCATGCATCCTGCTTGGGACTTATGTTTTCTGAGTCCAGGAATATCTATCTTTCATCAGTTCCATAAAATTCTCAGCCCTTCCCTCTGCCTCTGGCCTCTACCCCATTTCCATGTCCTCCCCGAGCACCTGTGAGAGGGACGCAGGTGGCCTCACTGGCCTGCAGGCTCTTAGCTTTCCTGGGCTGCCCTGTTGCTGGCCCTGAGTTCACCTCGCCCTCCTCTCTCTTCTGCCTGTCCCCACCTGGGTTTAGACACAGGAATCCTCTGACCCTCCTTTTCATCCTTGTTCTCTCTCTTCCTTTCCTGCTCCCAAATTACAGCACCCAAAACAATACCTTACTCATCATACAACCACAATAACCATTTGTTGATTTAATTTCATTTTAGGAAATTTCAGGCTGAGTGCGGTGGCTCACGCCTGTCATCCCAGCATTTTGGGAGGCCGAGGCAGGCAGATCGCTTGAGGTCAGGAGTTCGAGACCAGCCTGACCAGCATGGTGAAACCCCGTCTCTACTCAAAATACAAAAAATTAGCCTGGTGTGCTTGTGCACGCCTGTAATCCCAGCTACTTGGGAGGCTGAGGCAGGAGAATCGCTTGGACCTGGGAGGCGGAGGTTGCAGTAAGCTGAGATTGCACCACTGCACTCCAGCCTGGGTGATAGAGGGAGATTCCATCTCAAAAAAATAAATTAATTAAATAAATGAATAAATAAAAGTAAAATAAAAAAAATATCAAACAAATTAACCTGGTGTGGTGGTGGACACCTGTAATCCCAGCTACTTGGGAGACTGAGGTGGGAGGATCACTTGAGCCTGGGAGACAGAGGTTGCAGTGAGCCGAGATTGTGCCACTGCACTCCAGCTGGGGCAACAGACTCTGTCTCTACAAAAAAAAAAAAAAAAAAATCAAACAACAAAAAAAGAAATTTCAGGAAGAAACACCCAGAATTCCACTCAAAAAAGGTTTTCCTTGAGAACGCCATCCAAATAAACAGGATCAGCTTTATAGACTCCTCTCTGAGACGCCCGTGTTTCAGTTGGCAGCCGGCCTGTTTCTTTTAAGCCCGCCCTAATTTATTTTTGGTCCCATGCATAGGAGCCAGTGCTTATTTTGATAACCGCGTTTATGCTTTCAAGCTTTGACAGACAAATCATTGCCCTGGGCTTCCTGGCGGCCACGAGCTCCGGCTCACCTCCCGCTCTGAGGAGCCGCGGACCCTCCAGCAGACCCAGGTCTGTTCTCTGCAATTAGTTATCTTGCAGTTGAGCCCCTCCTGGACAGTTGTCCCTGAAAAGAGAAAAAAGACAAACGCAGGATGTAAAGCCCTTTCTAAACTCTCATCTTCTGTGTAAATGGTAGGAAGCGGTGCTCACTGTCTGTGGGGGTTAAAGAGGCATGTTAGCCACGGTGGGGGGACTCTCTTGGGCTGCATTGCTGGCGCAGGCCCCCTCCAGGCACGTCCTGGCTGCAGGTCCCCAGAGGGGAGTTTCCTAGTCTGGGAGGGTATTCCCAAAGCCCAGAAGAAGCCTCTCTTCACAACATTCCCAGGAAACTCTTCCCCCATCCGTGGGTGCCTCTCATCCCAGCTGCTCTAATTAGACAGGAGACGTCAGCCCAGCACCTCCTGCCCCTCCTTCTCCAGCCTGAGCATAGAAGGCAGGATCGAGCCAGGTTATGGGGTGAAAAGCCAAGCCCGGGCTCTCAGACAGAAGCTGCTTTGCCGTTTGGCCTCATCCAACTCAGGCAACGACTCCCAGTTGTTCCTCGGATAACACGGAGCACGGCGAGGTCAGAGGAAGGGGAGCGGAGTCCCGCCTGCTGGCCGGCTGCCAGGCGGAGCTGGAGCACCTGGGCACCACATGTGCCCTCTGCTCGGGGACCGCTGTTGACCCGACAGGCGCACGTTCCACACCCACACCGTCGCTGCTTTGCTCAGAGGGACCAGGGCTGGAGGCCGAGCTGAGACAGGCCGGGCCGGCTTCCTTTCCGCTGCCCGCCTTTCTCCTCTCTGCACCGCCCAGACCCGTGCGTGGCACCCCTTCCTGCCTGGCAGTGCAAAGGAGCGGCTGCCCGACCTCCGCTTGGTGATTGCAGCAGCAGATCCTGGTGCCCGTGTGGGTTCCTCATGCCTCGGTATCTCTGCTGGAATTCATCTGGGAGAAGCCACAGGAAGAGAACTCCGTTCTCATGAGCAGGTGGGGTTGGGCCATGTCACCGGCCGTCCATGTCATGGTTGGTCCACAGGGTCCCTGGACACAGACACTGGAGAGCTCCCCCGGGGCCCACAGCAGGACTTTCAACTGGCAAACCCACCAGTGTCGTCATTAGAGGAAGAGCCGGCTGCTGGGCACAGATGAGGACCGGTGGGGGCCAGGCACGAAAGCCAAGCTAGCCACACGGGCAGCCAACACGGCCCAGCCCGGCAGCCCCATGCAGGAGGCTCTGGAATGGCAGTGATGCCCTCTCAGCCAGGACTGTCCAGACCAGGGGGATGAAGGCAGCCAGGGTTGCCTCAGGTCCGTTTGTTATTCTTTTTTTGAGACAGGGTGTCACTCTGTCACCCAAGCTAGAATGCAGTGAGGTAAGCACAACATGCTTCAACCTTGACTTCCCAGGCTCAAGGGATCTCCTGCCTCAGCCTCCCAAGTAGGTGAGATTACAGGCACACACCACAGTACGTGGCTAACTGTTTTATTTTTTTCTAGAGATGGGGTCTTGCTCTATTGCCCAGCCTTGTCTCAAACTCCTAGCCTCAAGTGATCCACCCGCCTCAGCCTCCCATTCCTCTTGCTGGGATGAGAGTGGAAGCCCCCATGCCTGGCCTGTTTGTTATTTTATTTTTATTTTTTATTTTTTGAGATGGAGTCTCACCGTGTCTCTCAGGCTGGAGTGTAGTGGCGCAATCTCAGCTCACTGCAACCTCTGCCTCCCGGGTTCAAGCAATTCTCCTGCCTCAGCCTCCCAAATAGCTGGGACTACAAGCATGCACCACTACACCCGGCTAATTTTTGTATTTTTAGTAGAGACAGGGTTTCACTGTGTTGGCCAGGCTGGTCTCGAACTCCTGGTCTCAAATGATCCACCCACCTTGGCCTCCCAAAGTGCTGGGATTACAGGCATGAGCCACCACGCCCGGCTGCTGCTCACTTTAAAATAGTGAATTTTATATCATGTGAATCTAACCTCAATTTAAACTCTTAGAACGACATTCCCTGAAACTAAACTAAAAGAGTAAATCGGTATGTGTTTATTGATCAGAATTAAGAGCATCTTTCTTTGAGCGGAACTTCACCTGAATCTCTCCTAGACAAAGGGAAGCTTTCTTCTCCCAAGACGCCGCCTGGCTAACCTCAGTGCCTCAGTCACAAACTTCTTCCAAGTGTAAATGTGCGTTTGGAGATCACGCTTGCTCTTTCTCTGGCTTGTTTCACATTTGAGGTAATTTGGGATTGGCTCTGATACTTTTTTGCTTTAGAAGAGTAGTAGAAATTAATTAATCTACAACTGCACTGATAGCAAAAGTTAACATAAATTTTAATAAAAACACAACCTCAATAAGCTCCCCCATTCTTCTCATAAATGCAACAGTAGTTTAAAAATTGTAGATTAAAAAAATTAATAAAACAGCTGAGGCTAGGGACCGTGAGGCTCAAATACGGGGACACAGTGTGAGTTTCGACTGCCCGGTGGCGCAGGGGCCCGACAGATGCCCTCCAAGTGCCTTTCCCTCACTCTGTGCGTTGAACATCTCCCTGGGCCTTTAACTAACCCTCTTCTTTTGGTGGCTTATTTTTATTTATTTATTTATTTTTAATTTTTTTTGAGATGGAGTCTCTCTCTGTCACCCAGGCTGGAGTGCGGTGGTGCAATCTTGGCTCACTGCAGCCTCTTCTTCCTGGGTTCAAGCGATTCTCCTGCCTCAGCCTCCTAAGTAGCTGGGATTATAGGCATGCACCACCACGCCTGGCTAATTTTTGTATTTTTAGTAGAGACGGGGTTTCACCATGTTGGCCAGGCTGGTCTCGAACTCCTGGCCTCAGGTTATCCAGCCGCCTCGGCCTCCCAAAGTGCTGGGAATGTCAGGTGCAGTGGCTCACACCTGTAATCCCAGCACTTTGGGAGGCCGAGGTGGGCGGATCATTTGAGGTCAGGAGTTCGGGTCCAGCCTAGGCAACATGGAGAAACCCAATCTCTATTAAAATTACAAAAAAATTAGCTGGGCGTGGTGGCACATGCCTGTAATCCCAGCTACTTGGGAGGCTGAGACAGGAGAATCGCTTGAACCCAGGAAGAAGAGGCTGCAGTGAGCTGAGATAGCGCCGCTGCACTCCAGCCTGGGCGACAGAGCGAGATTCTGTCTCAAAAGAAAAAAAAGAAAGGAAAAACAGAAAGAGAAAGAAAGGAGGGGGAAAAAAAAGAAAAAGAAAGAGGAAAAGCAAGAAAGGAAGGAAGAAAGGAAACAAATTCCAGGTGTGATGTGTGATCACAGAAAAAGGGGGTTTTCCACCAGACGCGGCGTCTGCGGGAAGCATGACTGCTATGGTTTGGAAAAGCACCCGTGTCGGAGCCCAGGGCTTCTAGTCGGAGTCTACTCTGTTGAGAGATTCTCTCCCCGATCAAATGGGAGTGTTTTTGGTAAGATAGAGTTTTTTTTTTTCTTTTTGAAATGGAGTCTCACTCTGTCACCCAGGCTGGAGAGCAGTGGCTTGATCTCGGTTCACTACAACCTGTGCCTCCCAGTTCAAGCGATTCTCCTGCCTCTGCCTCCCGAGTAGCTGGGATTACAGGCACCTGCCACCACGCCGAACTAATTTTTGTATTTTTAGTAGAGACGGGGTTTCGCCATATTGGCCAGGCTGGTCTCGAACTCCTGACCTCGTGATCTGCCTGCCTTGGCCTCCTAAAGTGCTGGGATTACAGGCGTGAGCCACCGTGCCCGGCCTGGCAGAGTTTCTTTTAAAGGTGAGGAGAGTCTACAAATGAAAGCAGTAGGGAAGAGAAAACCTTGGTTAGTGTGGTCCTCATGCAACCAGCTTTCTTCCCTCAATGCCAGAACTAGAATTGGAAATAATTTAAACTTGGCCAGAAATCGGTGCCCTGCCCCGTGGGCAGACACCTGCGTGTCTGGGGGAGACAGAGCATAAGGTGTGAACCGCAAGGCTTCTAAGCCGGGGAATGCAGTGGGACTGAGGTCTGCATAGGGACCCTCAGGGAGCCAGCAGCGGCCCGAAGCCTCCCGACGCCTCCCCCTTGGGGCGCATCCCCGGGAGCCAGGGGGCACCAAGGAAGCCCTGCGTCTTGAGTTGCCGCAGAGAGAGGCGCGGGGAGAGCCTGCCTGCGTTCGGTGGGTGTCCTGGGTCTTGCTGAGGACTCCTTAGAAAGAGGGGCAAGAGCCACCCAGAGCAAGAAAGGCTGGCTTGGGATGAAGCCCATCAGGATGGAAGGAATGAGATCGAGCCCTCAGATTTCTGTTGGGACCTGTTCTACTTCCCCGCCTCCATGGACTTCACGGCTTTGCTGAAACCCGAATTGTGTTCAGCTGTGGCGTTCAGACCTGCCCAGCCGAGCTCAACCTGCACCCAAGACCCTTTTCCTGGGGGAAGCCCCACTTCTGCTGGGGGCCGGTTTGAGAAATATTTTCTTCTTTTTTTTAGTTGCTACGTAATAATTTATATCGTTTTTACTTTATTTTGATCATTAGGCATATTTATTTTGATCATTATGCATTGTATACATGTACCCAAATATCACCCTGTACCCCATATTCGGATATATGTATACAGTGCATAATGATCAAATCAGGGTAATTCTCAGACCCACCACTCTAACATCTATCATCATCTGTGTAGGGAACATTCCAGTTCCACTCTTGGTGGCTGTGATGGCTCATGCCAGTAATCCTAGCACTTTGGGAGGCCAAGGCAGGAGGACTGCTTGAACCCAGGAGTTTGAGATGAGCCTGGGCGACATAGTGAGGCCCTGTCTCTACAAATAAAAAAATTATCGGGGCATGGTAGTGCACACCTATAATCCCAGCTCCTAGGGAGGCTGAGGTGGGAGGATCATGAGCCCTGGAGGTGGAAGTTGCACTCCAGCCTGGGTGACAGAGCGAGACTCTGTCTCAAAAAGCAAAAACAAGGCCAGGTGGAGTGCCTCATGCCTGTAATCCCAGCACTTTGGGAGGCTGAGGCGTGTGGATCACAAGGTCAAGTGATCAAGACCATCCTGGCCAACATGGCGAAAACCCCATCTCTACTAAAAATACAAAAAATTAGCTGGGCGTGGTGGCACACACCTGTAATCCCAGCTACTCGGGAGGCTGAGGCAGGAGAATCGCTTGAACCTAGGAGGTGGAGGTTGCAGTGAGCTGAGATTGTGCCATTGCACTCCAGCCTGGACAAAAAGAGTGAAACTCCGTCTCAAAAAAAACAAAAACAAAAACCAAAACAAATAACCCCCCCCAAAGAAACCCAAATCTGCTTTTGTAGCGTTTTGAAAATGTACAATAAATTACAGTTAACTTGAGTCACCCGACAGTGCCATGGAGCAGTTGAACTTACTCCTCCTGACCCGCTGTGATTCTGCTCCATTAACCAACCTCTCTTTGCCCTCCCTCCCCTCCCCCTCCCGGGTTCTCTTAACACAATTCTCCTCTCTACTTCTACAAGCTCAGCATTTTTTTTTTTTGAGATGAAGTCTCACACTTGTTGCCCAGGCTGGAGTGCAATGGTGCAATCTTGACTCACTGCAACCTCTGCCTCCCGGGTTCAAGTGATTCTCCTGCCTCAGCCTCCTAGTAGCTGGGACGACAGGCATGCGCCACCACGCCCGGCTAATTTTGTATTTTTAGTAGAGATGGGGTTTCATCATGTTGGTCAGGCTGGTCTCAAACTCCCGACCTCAGGTGATCCACCCGCCTCGGCCTCCCAAAGTGCTGGGATGACAGGCGTGAGCCACCGCGCCCGGCCTGAGCTCAGCTTTTTAAGCTCCTACACATGAGTCAGGACAAGGAGTACCTGTCTCTCTGTGCCTGGCTAATTTCACTTAACATAATGAGCTCTAGCCTCACCCATTTTGCTGCAAGTGACGGGATCGAATCCTTTTTCATGGGTGAGTAGTACTCCATGGTGTATATATACCACATTTCCTTTTCTTTTAAATCAAGATCCTGCACAGTATACCACATTTTCTTTATTCATTTGTCTGTTTTCTTTTTCTTTCTTTCTTTTTTTTTTAAACGGAGTCTCGCTCTGTTGCCTCGGCTGGAGTGTAATGGCACGATCTCGGCTCACTGCAACCTCCACCTCCTGGGTTCAAGCGATTCTCCTGCCTCAGCCTCCTAAGTAGCTGGGATTACAGGCATGCACCACCATGCCCAGCTAATTTTTTGTATTTTTAATAGAGATGGGGTTTCACCACGTTGGCTAGGCTGGTCTCAAACTCCTGACCTCAGGTGATCCACCCGCCTCGGCCTCCCAAAGTGCTGGGATTACAGGCGTGAGCTACCGCACCTGCCCCTCTCTTAGTTTTTTGAGGAATCTCCATGCTGTTTTTCGTCACGGCTGTACTGGTTTACATTCCCGCCAAGGGCATATGAGAGCTCCCCTTTCTCCACATCCTCACCAGCACTGGTTATTTTTTGTCTTTTTGATAACAGCCATTCTAACTGGGGTAAGATGATATCGCATTGTGGTTTGGATTTGCATTTCCATGATGATTAGTGATGCCAATCATTTTTTCATATGTTTGTTGGTCAGTTATATGTCTTCTTTTTAGATAGTCTCTTCAGATCCTTTGCCCATTCTTAAACTGGAATCTTTGGGTTTATGCTGTTGAGTTCTTTGTATGTTCTGGGTATTAGTCACTTGTCAGGTGGATAGTTTGCAAATATTTTTTCCCCTTCTGCAAGTTGTCTCTTCACTGCGTTGAAGAGACATAACATAAAATTTTCCATGTTACCCATTTGTTTTTGTTTTTGTTTTTTTGTTTCGTTTTGTTGCCCAGGCTGGAGTACAGTGACATAACCAAGGCTCACTACAGCCTCGACCTCCCAGGTTCAAGTGATCCTCTAACCTCAGCCTCCCAAGTAACTGGGACTAAAGGTGCATTTTTAAATTTTAATATTTTTTATTTTATTTTAATTGACATTTAAAAAAATTATTTTTAGAGTCTCACTCTGTTACGCAGGTTGGAGTGCAGTGGTACAATCTCGGTTCACTGCAACCTCTGCCTCCTGGGTTCAAGTGATTCTCGTGCCTCAGCCTCTCGAGTAGCTGGGATGAGAGGTGGGTGCCACCACGCCTGGCTAATTTTTGTATTTTTAGTAGAGACAGGGTTTCATCATGTTGGCCAGGCTGGTCTCGAACTCCTGACCTCAAGTGATCGGCCCACCTCTGCCTCCCAGAGTGCTGGGATTACAGGCGTGAGCCATCGCTCCTGGCCATTTTCGCTCTTCTTTATTGAGATGCCCCCAAAACCCCCAGATAGATGGCCTCCCTCATGGCCATAGCAATAACCCGACCTGTGCAGGTGGGGCCTGGTAGTCTTGGTGGAAGACCCCGGATGCTGCCTCAAGCTGGGGCCTTTATGTGTGCCATGTACAGGGCAACGAGGTTGCTGCACCCCTCTGACCCCTGGGCACTCAGGGAGGTGGGAGCTTCTCCTGGACTTTGGAACAGCCTGTCCTTCGGGGGAGACAACGAAAGTCTTCTTTCTAGGACAGCTCCCAGCCACCCCCGCACACCACACCAGTCACCTTCTCGTTCACACACCTGAGCTCAGGAAAGCATCGCCCCCAGTTTCTCAGGAAGGTGGCCGCAGGAGCCTCCTGGTGACACAGGTCCTCTTCCCTGTCTCTGTTCTCCTGTGTTTTGTCTGAGGGCTGAGGCATTGACTCATGACCGTTTCCTCCATCTTGAAGTCTGTGGTTCTTCACCATTATACAGAACTCTGTTTGAAAGTCATTTTTTGGGAGGCTGAGGTGGGTGGATTGCTTGAGGTCAGGAGTTTGAGACCAGCCTGGCCAACATAGTGAAAACCTCTACTAAATACAAAATACAAAATACAAAAATATTAAATATTTAGTATTTAGTAGCCCGGCCTGATAATAATAACAAATTTTTTTAATGAAAAAAAATGAGTCACTCTCGTCTTAGTAAGTTTGAGGGTATCTTATTTAGGGGGAAACGAAGCCATAACCAAATGATGCAGAAGTTTCCTAGAGAAGGCAGAGAGAGGTTGGCCCGCCTTTGCCAGTGACCCTGAGCCAAACCTGAAGGTGAACAAGCCAGGTGCCCATTGTCTCCAGCGCACTTTAACAATGCTGATGAAAGCAAAAGAGGCCTTTTCAGCAATGCTGGCAGCCCCGTGAGCAGGGCATGGTTTCGCCGCTCCGTGGGAGTGGCCTGGGCCCCAAGACTCCAGAGACGCTACCATGGGGGAACTCGGTGGGCCTCTTCCAGCAGCCTGCCCTAGCCCGTGTAACCGGGCAGAGGAGGAGAAGCAGGCGGCCCCCGCTCACGCTTCCCACAGGCTATGCTCCCTCTGCTTTGCAGTGGTCCCGAGAATCCGATGGGCCACCCAGCCTCTACTCAGGCCATTGTGACACAGGCCCCCAGCGCTCCTCCTGCCTATTCTGAACGTGGGTTGCACCCCGGGTGCGTTGCAGTGTCAGACTGACCGGCCCAGAGCTGCAATGGCCCAGCGGGAGGTCACGAAGGGGTTCTGAAAATGAGCTGGGTGTGGGGGAGTAGGGGTCAGGAGGGGACCTGGAGTGGCAACCCCTGCACCTGCCATGCAGACGTTCCCCTGCGAGCTGGGCAGCAAGTCTCTCAGACAGAGCACCAAGAAGCTGCATTCCCCCGGTCTCCTGGGCTCACTCCCCTGACCCACTGCTATTAATAGTTGTGTCCAGGGGCCGGGCATGGTGGCCCATGCCTTTAATTCCAGCACTTTGGGAGGCTGAGGTGGGCAGATCGCCTGAGGTCAGGAGTTGGAGAGGAGCCTGGCCGACATGGTGAAACCCCGTCTCTCCTAAAAATACAAAAATTAGCTGGGTGTGGTGGCACATGCCTGTAGTCCCAGCTACTCGGAAGGCTGAGGCAGGAGAATTGCTTGAACCGGGGAAGTAGAGATTGCAGCGAGCTGAGATTGCACCACTGCACTCCAGCCTGGCAACAGAGTGAGACTCCATCTCAAAAAAAAAAAAATTGTGTCTAGGAATGAAAGCTGTTTGCAGCAAGCCAGAGAGAGCAAACAGCTCTCAGGTTCCTGTGTGGGGCCTGGAGACACCCCTGGTGGCTGGGGCAGGCGGGAGAACCGGGAACCTGGGAGACTGAAGGTTTAAACTTCTCTGCCACCTTGGCCCTCACTCACGACGACACCGGTGAGCTCCAGTTCGCACTCATGACCAGTTCTCACACATGACCCTAACTGGGATGTAATTTCTTCTTGCAGACTTGCTGCATATCTCTGTAGACAGATGTCCTATCCCCATCACCCCCGGAACTCACTACCCATGGACTCCTTAACTTGAGGTTACTGTGAACCATCTCAAGTTTCTTGTTTTTCTCCTGGTGGGTGGAATTTGACTGACCTCTGACTCTGTAGGAAGGTCAAAGGCAACAGGAACATTATTCCTTTAGCTATGCCTTTGTTTATGAAATCTTCAGAGCAATTTAGCCACCCTCTGACTGTCACACATCCCTGGGCAGGAACGAGTTGATAAGATGGGAGGGGCCTAAGTCATAATGGAGCAGGGGGGACGTGGGAAGAGCTCCCTTCCGCCCTGCCCCTCACCCCTGCCTCAGTTTGTCTGTGTGTAAGTAGCTGGAAGGGCTCTGCTGAGAATTAATTAACAAATGTCCATTTAATGTTTCTGGGGTAAGTGTCCCTTGGCTACTGAGCAGTGTTAAATAATTGCAACCCTCAAATGACGAGCCATCGTGTCTCTGATCTGGGGGGTGAAAGCGTTGTTACGTGTCTTTTCACAACGACTTTATTTAACGAGAGCTGATCTTTGCAATTTGGTTTATTTTCTCTATCCCTTTTAATTTCAGACTCAGGGGTTATTAGCAGATAACTGCTCATTTCTGCTGTAAATCAAGAAAATACTCATTAGAAGCCCAACGTTGAGATTGTCAGGAGCCGGGGCTTGTAAAGAACTGGGGGGAGGGCAAAATCTAGTGTGAAAATAGGCTAAGTTCAAAAGTATTTTTATTCAGGGAAAACGAAATGGCATTTTCTGAACTGAGCAACCTCTTAAGTTTTTTTTTTTTTTTTTTTTTTTTTTTTCAGACGGAGTTTTGCTCTTGTCACCCAGGCTGCAGTGCAGTGGCGTGATCTCGGCTCACTGCAACCTCCGCCTCCCGGGTTCAAGTGATTCTCCCACCTCAGCCTCCCGAGTAGCTGGGATTATGGGCACGCACCACCATGTCCAGCTAATTTTTGTATTTTTAGTAGAGACGGAGTTTCACCGTGTTGGCCACGCTGGTATCAATCTCTTGACCTCATGATCTGCCCGCCTCAGCCTCCCAAACTGCTGGGATTACAGGCGTGAGCTACCGCACCTTTCTCTTAAGTGTGTTAAACTCCAAATCGAACCTGGTAAGGTAGTAGGAGGACACCAACCCAGCAGATACGGAATTGAGTCCTCAAGACCAGGGAGTGGCGGGGACGAGTAGGCCAAGAGGATCCTCCCCAGGGACCCCTCGGGGGCCGAGCTGGCCACACAGGAGGGGCCGGACTGAGAGGACAGTTGTGACCTTCAGCATGCTGGCAGCCACCCTGCGCCCACAGAATGCAGACACTGCCAGCAGAAGGGGCTGGGGAGATATGAGAACATGTCTGTAGACTCTGAAAAAAACAAGAGTGCTGATGTTTAAACCATATGGCGGGGGCTGAGGACACAGGGACGCAGAGCTCAGCTCCTGGTCCTTCCCCGCCTCCAGTTCCCAGGTAGCATTTCTTCCCTTGTTTCTTTCTCTCGTGTTGATCACAGGAGAAAGTATTTTCAGTCCTCACCCCCCGTTTCCTCATTTTATACTCCTTTCCAGACGGTAGGATCTCTTCTTGCAAAATTATCCTCGCCTAATCCATGGAGACAGAAAGTGGATTAGTGGTTGCCGGGGGCTGGGGGAGGGAGCTGGGGACGGAGAGTGACTGCTAATGGGTGCCAGGTCTCTTTTCGGGGTGATGAAAATGTTCCAGAACTGGATAGGGGTGGTGGTGACGCAGCTCTGGGGATGTATATACAGATGCCGAATTGTATGCTTTAAAAGGATGGATGTGATGGTGCCAGTGATATCTCAATAAAGCTGTTATTTTAAAAATAGGCCTTGGCCGGGCGCAGTGGCTCACACCTGTAATCCCAGCGCTTTGAGAGGCCAAGGTGGGTGGATCACGAGGTCAGGAGATCAAGACCAGCCTGACCAACATGGTGAAACCCCATCTCTACTAAAAATACAAAAAATTAGCCAGGTATGGTGACGCATGCCTGTAATCCCAGCTACTCAGGAGGCTGAGGCAGGAGAATCGCTTGAACCTGGGAGGCGGAGTTTGCAGTGAGCTGAGATCCCGCCACTGCACTCCAGTCTAATGACAGAGAGAGACTCCGTCTCACACACACACACACACAAAATCAGCCTTGCCTGTTGTTACAGTCCTATTACAATTGCTGAGACTGCGTGTCTTCAGCCTCTGGGTGGGAACTCACGTGAAGTTACTCCAGTGGTTCTGTGAGTTGCCCTCAAAGCTTTAATTCACCCCTAGCTTTTGCCTGAACACTCGTACAAGTTGGCCAGTATGGAAGACCCCCTGGTGTCCCATCCAGAGTCCACGTGCTAAAAGCTGCATCTGGGGCAGACACAGGCCTTGGATTTCTTTTCTTTTTTTTAGACAGTCTCACTCTGTTGCCCAGGCTGGAGTGCAGTGGTGTGATCTGAGCTTACTGCAACCTCCAACTTCTGGGTTCCAGCGATTCTCCTGCCTCAGCCTCCCGAATAGCTGGGATTACAGGTACCCACTACCATGCCTGGCTAATTTTTGTAGTTTTAATAGAGACAGGGTTTCACCACGTTGGCCAGACTGGTCTTGAACTCCTGACCTCAGGTGATCTGCCCACCTTGGCCTCCCAAAGTGCTGGGATTACAGGCGTGAGCTACTGTGCCTGGCCAGGGCTTGGATTTCTAAGTTGTCAAATGGGTTTATAAAAATCCTGTAGCAGGGCCAGGCGCGGTGGCTCACACCTGTAATCCCAGCACTTTGGGAGGCCGAGGCAGGCAGATCACAAGGTCAGGAGATTGAGACCATCCTGGCTAACACGGTGAAACCCCGTCTCTACTAAAAATACAAAAAATTAGCCGGGTGTGGTGGGCGCCTGTAGTCCCAGCTACTCAGGAGGCTGAGGCAGGAGAATGGTGTGAACCCAGGAGGTGGAGCTTACAGTGAGCCGAGATGGAGATCGCACCACTGCATTCCAGCCTGGGAGACGGGGTGAGACTCCGTCTCAAAAAAAAAAAAAAAAAAAAAAAAAAAAAAAAAAAAAAAACTCCAGTAGCAGAAAAACTGAAATGTGACTTGAGCCCCAGTCAAAGGGAGATAGGGAGACAGTGAAGACCCTGCTCTTTCTGAATCCTTAGAGCCCACCAGACCCTCTAAAAGGAATAATACAAAGACCCTCCTTTCACCAGATCAGCCGCAGGAAATGGCAGAACTCCCAGAATTGGGCCTCTGGTCCAAGGAGCGCAAGGGTGGAGCATGGAGAGGCCCATCAGGCATGGGAGGTCCTGGCAGAGGGGACTGGGAGGTCTGCATCGGCCTTGCTATGCCCTTTCTTGTTCTTGCAACTTCCTAATTTCAAACGTTTAATGAATTTGAAAAACAAGAAGATAACCCAGGCTGAGTTTGACACTGGAACCCCTTCACCCAGCCTGGACACAAGGTGTCCCCATCCTCCCGGGGACCAGCTCGGCGTCTCCTAGGATGGCTCTGCAGAGAGCATTGCAGAGTCATAGGACAGAAAATAAAAACAGGTCAGTGCTGGGTGAAAAAAGTTTTCTCTGAGCTGGACTCCTAGACTACACTGGCTAAGCACCCATGGGCATCTCAGCACCAGCTGGACTAATGTGAGGCCTCCTGCTGAGGTCCCAAGCCCCGCTTCAGAGAACAAGCCCCGCTTCAGAGAAAGGTGACCTTCGGGTGGCCTGTAGGATGACACTCAGGTGACCTCCACCTTCCTCCTGCCACAGCGGTCAGAAGAAGGCAGCCCTGGGAGGACCCCTCCGCCCAGGAGAGGGAAGATGCAGGCCGCACTGCAGAGACAGGCGGCTTGGAGGCTCCCCTCTGCCCCCAGCCCTCTCCAAGGAGCTGCCAGGCGTCAAGCTACTGCACAGGTCCCAGGGAAAGCCTCGACCCCTTCCTCTCCCATGAGCAGTAGTCGAAGAGGCTGCACGGAGGTCCCGGCCTCCGTGAGGGCGGTGGGTTGGAGAGGGCGCCTGGGGCCTCAGGACCCTGCTCCCTCCCGGGATTGTGGGTTTCCTGCCCCAAGGGTTTCGCGGCGTGGGCATGAGCGCTGGCATCTGCGCGCCCTGAGGTTCGGCCGCTGCGTGGCCTTCTCCGGGAGGTGGGGGGAATCCGAAGAGGTCCCACCCCAGGTTCGGTTCCCGGCTTCCTGGTCTTTGTTTACCAGGCTCCGAGGAGGACCTGCCTCTCTCCTCCCGCAGCCCTGGGCCCCCCACTCGACAGTTTCACATCCAGGGAGGGACAAAGGGGGACGCGGCCGGATTAGCTTTCGCAGCGCGCGGTGCGTTCCCGGGGTGCAGCTGCTTCGGGGCCCCTGCCAAGGCTCCGGCTTCTGCAGGCGGGACTCGGGCTCGGGCCACCACCGCGAGCACTTTCCTGGCCAGCTCCGTTCCCGCCCCATCGGGCCGGGCCGGGCCGAGCTGAGCGGGGCGCGGAGACCGCGGCGGACGGTGGGGAGAGCGCGCGCGCGTCCATCCGATTTCAGGCCTTTGTTGCCGGAGCCTCGTGCCGATGGGTTAATGGGGCAGAAGAGATCGGTGAAGGGCGACAGAAGCGGCCTTTGAAAGAGGGTGTCAGCGCGGGGCAGCGAGACAAAGGCCAAAACACACACGGGCGGAGAGGGACAGATGGGGACGGGCGAGGGAAAACAATTAGGCCGCAAGTGCGGGGGCGGGGCGCGGCTCCATCGTTTTCCAGTTAACCAGGCCTGGCCGGCGCGGGCCCCACGCCCCAGGCTGGAGCGGTGCCGAAGCGCAGAGCAGACCGGCTTCTGCTGCGTGCGCGAGTCCTGCACCCCGGCCTGCACCCCGCCCTGACCCCTCCACTCCGTGCAGGGGGTGGGGGCAGAAGGGGGCAGGGGAGAGGGAGGGAGGGATGGATGGATGGATGGATGAGTGAGTGAATGAATGAATGAATGAATGAATGAATCCCCCTGCCCGTAAATAACAGAAGAGCTGCGTCCCGGTGCCGGGGGTTGGAGCGGAAGGAGGGGCAGGGGAGAGGGAGGGAGGGATGGATGGATGAGTGAGTGAGTGAGTGAGTGAGTGAGTGAATGAGTGAATGAATGAATGAATGAATGGATGAATCCCCCTGCCCATAAATAACAGAAGAGCTGCGTCCCGGTGCCCGGGGTTGGAGCGGAAGGAGGGGCAGGGGAGAGGGAGGGGTGGATGGATGGATGAGTGAGTGAGTGAGTGAGTGAATGAATGGATGAATGAATGAATCCCCCTGCCCGTAAATAACAGAAGAGCTGCGTCCCGGTGCCCGGGGTGGGGGCAGAAGGAGGGGCAGGGGAGAGGGAGGGATGGATGAGTGAATGAGTGAATGAATGAATGAATGGATGGATGAATGAATGAATCCCCTTGACAGTAAATTACAGAAGAGCTGCGTCCCGGTGCCTGGAGTGGCGGCAGAAGGAGGGGCAGGGGAGAGGGAGGGAGGGAGGGAGGGATGGATGAGTGAGTGAGTGAATGAGTGAATGAATGGGTGAATGAATGAATGAATCCCCCTGCCCGTAAATAACAAGAGCTGCGTCCTGGCGGCTGACCGTAGCCACCCCGTGTCTCCCTGCGGGATGACCTGAGAGCGTTTCCTGGAAGCCGCGCAGCCCCTCTCCCGGCCTCCACCATCGGGGCCGCTCACCCTCTGGGGACTCTGGCCCCGGGACCCCGGGATCCAGGCCCGGTGCGCGCGGCTCCGGCCCCGAGCGCGCTGTCCAGGCTGGATCCCCACCAGGCGGCGCTGCGCCCCTCCGAGCCCGCCCGGCCGCGCTCTGCAAACCGATGCTGTTTAATTAACGTGCAAATTGAGTAGATTAAATGACTCTAAATAATTAGCCACAGATCCTACAAACAGGATAACAGATTTAATTAAGCAGCGATATAGATTTTGGAAACTGTTAATGTATTTTTAGAATGGCAGCTCAGATCCTTCACTTTTCCCCCCTAACTTCAAACATGTAACTACGGCCCTCCGAACGTGGATAAATATCTGGAAACAAGATTACGCCTGTTAACTTCAACTAATAGAAATGTGGGTTTAACAGGAACTTGCACGGCTCCGGCGCCGGCGCCGCTGCAGCCCGCGTGGCCCGGGCCGGGCCGGTTCTGTTTGGCTTTGTTGTTCTTGGTGCGCGCGGTCTGGCGCCTGGGCCCTGGGCAGAGAGGGTCAGAACATACAGGAGGAAGGGGAAGGGAGAAGGTGAGTGAAAAATACAATCCAATTTCATTATATCAATCACATTTAATTGGCAATTTGTACGAGCAATGACCGGGCTGGCTTTAGGTAAAACTATTAGACGACAGGCGGATGTGCTACTAAAACTCTTGGTTAGTTAATTAGTGTCTGAACTGCGGAGGGAAAGGATCCTAGATTTACTCTCTACAAAGAGAGAGCAGCCCAGACAATTCATTAGGCAGGCGGCTTGTAAATTAGAGCTAAGTTAACCTGATTTCCCTTAATTAAAACATCTTTTCTCGTTTACGATGTGGATATAAGTAGATCTCCAGGGTTTTGAATTTTCTGCAACAGCAGATGGTCAGCTAGAAGCAGATAATAGTTAACGCTTTCTCTCTACCAGATCTGAACAACGTGAGCCGCCGGCCCATCTGAGGATTAAAAGGAGCCATAACAAAGAGTGTTAACCCTTCGCAGTCTTCCAGCTCCCCAGACTCCAAGGGCGGAGCTGCCCCTGGCCTGGGGGCACCAATAGGGCACCGGTGACCAGGACTGCAGATCCCCTGGACCTCTGAGGCAGAGGGAGAGGGGCCTGGGGTGTCGGGGAAAGTGTCCACGGGCTGTCCTCCGGCGAAGGGGGATGTTGGGAGGAGGGACGCTGACTGCTGCCTGGTGGGCTGGCACAATGAGGTGGCCGCCCCAGACTTCCACAGATGGGGCTCTCAGTGCCTGGCCACTGCCTGTCCCGCCAGCCCTCTGCTTGTCACAGCCTGAGCGACTTTTCCTGTGCCCTCCGGCCTCCAGCCCTAGCCCTGGTGCTGGGGCCCAGCCTGGGGGCGAATGGCTGGCCTGGGCCCAACGGACCTTCACACCTTCTCACACTGTGGGCTGGCACCACCATATAGCTGCTCCCTGGATTCTGGTACCCTCCGAGAGGTGTGGGGAGGAGACCCTGCAGCTGTGGGGACCGTCAGTGGGGTCCTCAGCTGTCTGCTGGTCTAGGTTTCTTCCCTAGTGCAAGAGGACTGGAGGCCTAGGGCCTAGGAGCTTTTAGGCCAACCTCCCCAACAAAGTCAGGCAGGGCCTGGGAAGGGCTAGCGGAGGCTCAGAACATCCCCCTGAACCACCTTCACGGGCTCCCACTGAGACCCAGGCCGGTGTCCATGGCCACAGACTTCAGAGGAGCTAGCGCGAAGGCCAGCTCCGCTTAAAACAACAGAGGAAGGCCCCCCGCCGGGCAGCCCCTTCTCCTCCTGGCCACATTCTGCCACTGGACCCCAGCTGAGTAGCTGGGAGGCTCCGGTCCCTCTGAGCTGGCAAGGCCCCACCGCAAACACAAAGCCGGCCACATCCCTCAGGCCCCTGCCTGCCTCCCCGCCCTGGGAGACCTGTACCCCCACCTCAGCCTGGGTCCGTGGGACCCGCTTTGGCCTGCACCCCACCTGGAGGCCTGGGGCTACCATCTTGGTGGCGTGGGTGAAAGAAGCCACCTGGATCCCGGCCGGGGAACTTGGCCCAAGGGGACTTGGGCTCTGGCCGTCTAGTGGGGAGGCGAGGCGGTTACAAATGGCTCACAGGAGGGTAACGCGGCGCAGATTGAGTTTATAAAATACAAGGCAAACACTGGAGCTAAAATTTTATTGTTGATAAAATATTAACCTCCTTATTACTTTCATCGCACTTTCAAATAAAGCACAGCAAATTAGAAGCAGCCTCTGAAACAAATCCATGGGTGATTAAATCAGGGGATGAGTTAGGAGAAGGGGAAAGTTGAGAAAGAGGAAGATGGAGACTGGGGCGAGGGAGGGGAGGGAAGTGGCAGGCGTGGGGAGGCAGCCTGGGGTGGAAATGGGAGAGGGGCCCTTCCTGGCCTGCCCCGGGAGAGAAGGCTGCAGCAACTCCCGGAGGAGTGGAAAGGCGAGCGGTGGGAAGTGCAGGAGAGAGAGAACTCTGCAGGAGGGAGCTCTGGGGAGTGCAGGGGCGTGAAACAAGGAATCAGTCGGGAGCAAGACGTCTTCAGAAACGGGGGTGTGTGGGGGGCGTAATAAAAAAGCTTTCTCTTGTCTCTTTGTATTGGGTGACATGTTGGAGGTTTTTTTGTGCCTGAAAAAAGTTATAAAATTTGGATTAAAATCTTCAGGCCTATGGGTTGCCTCCTGCCCCTCAATGAAGAATTCTAAAACTGTTTTTACCAGCAGAGAAATGAAGCTGATTTCCAATTCAAATCTCCCGTCTCCCTCTCCCTCTCAGCACTCTGAAGGTGTTGCAGAAATGAAATGGGGGTTATCTGAAGATTTGGTTACATTTTCTCTCTCATTGTGTTAAATTACTAAATTGAAGTTTTATAATAAGGAATAAGTCAAATTGCAAACCCCCATCAAATGGAGCTGTGATTAACAGAAAATGCAGGCAGCGAAAATGCAAATGGCTCCGCACAAAGAGCTTCTCACAAATTGGCGTCACCATTTCTCAAATTATATCATTACTATATTTTGAAAATGTTAATCTGTTGAGCGGATTTCCCGGGGGAGTAGAGTAAATTAGTTCCATTTCCGAACTGCCTCTCTGCTCTGGCACCGAGTCGACAAGCACCTCCGATTTCCTGATTACAATTAGACTCCTGATTTGGGCTCCTTCAAGCATTGATAATTTTCGGCATATTAAGCACGTTTTAGCAAAGGTGATAAGTCAGTTTTAATTGAAATGAAATTATTATTCTGATGGAAGTTTGGTTATTATTATTAAAAAGGCACACTCATTTCAGATTCAGGGTTTTTTAATGCAAGAGAAAAAGATTTTTGAAGGGCATTAGGGTGTCAGGATTGAACGAGGTAATTTGAAGCGAATTACTTTTTTCTTTCTATCAGAAATGAAGTGAATTAAAACTCAAAATCAATCGCCTTCACGTCCCTGCCCCCCCCACCTCCTTCTCTACTCCCCCTTTTGCTTTGACAGAATTACAATTATAGATAATTATGGAGGGAAGTTTTAATTGTCCGGATTAAGAAGGATACAATTTTCCGAGGATCAGAGGGACGTTTTGAAAAGTAGTTTCCTCATAAAATCAAATCAAAGGTTCCAGTTGTTGAAAACATCAACAAAATCTCTTTGCTGGTTAATTGGAATCTCATCCAGTTCAGCAGCGGATCAAATCACCTCCAACAATTAATTTAGATTTAATTCTGTAATTATCAGCAAATCGAGTAATGCGCAAGTTAATTTAGATAGTTAAAAATTAACTTGCGTGAAGTTAATTGAGTAATTAAAACCCTCAACTGCCGCCTATTAATTTGCTAATTAAAAATAAATTTGATTTTGTGTAATTTAAAGTAATATTGACATCAGTGTTGGATGGGCGATTTTATTAGTTTTATCTGGATGGGGAGATGGCTGCAGACACCTGCTTAGACGGCCCCGGGGCTGGCGGGCCAGAGGGGGAGGCGCTCCGGCCGCCCCCGACCCGGACCCGGACTCCGGGCCCCCAGCTGGGCCCAAGCGCAGGAGGCCGGTCCTCACGGTGCGCCCGGGAAGGGAAGGGCCGAGCGGCCTGGAGCTGCCAGAGGCCGCGGCCCGGGCGGGGGAAGGGGCAGGCGGAAGGCGGGCCCCGGAGGTCTCCGGCTGGGCCGGGCGCGCGCGCCTGGGCCCTTTGTCTCGCGCGGCCGTCGGGCCCGGGGCCCCAGCCCTGTGCGCTCGGGGCGAGGAGGTTCCCGGCCGGCCGCAGCCCCGAGCCGAGGCGGGCGCGGAGGATGAGGGGGGGTTTAGGATGCGGCCCCGCGACCCCCGTCCCCCTGGACCGCGGGCTGGACCGGGCCGGGGCGCGTCCGGCAGCGCTGAGACCCCCCACCCCGAATCAAAGTAGCGGCGGCTGCGGGGGCGGCGGGTGGGTGGGGGGGAGCCGAGGAACACGGCGAGGCGAGCGGCGTCCTGAATGCGAGTCGTGTGCGTCTTATTATCAAGTTAATTAAAGCTAGCATCTGACAATGTCACTCGGCTGTAGAAAAAGGGATTTAAATGCAGCGTCTCCCAGGACCGCGTGTCGAGGGCTGCTTCCCATGCAGTTGTTTGGAGGAACAGGGCCCGCGAGGGAGGGGGCGGGGGCGGGGGAGGGGCGGGGGAGGGCGCGGGGGAGGGCGTGGGGGAGGGGCGCGGGGAAGGGCGCGGGGGAGGGGGAGGGGGCGGGGGGACCCTTTAAAGCGACCGCTCCAGCGGCAGCAACTGACAAGGAGGCGATTATGAAATTTTGATGTTGAAAATGGGGGGCGGGGTGGGGGGGTGGGGGCCGAGAGCAGAAGCCGAGCGACTCCCCGCGGCGCCGCCGCAGCCGAGGGCCTCTGAAGAGCTCTCGAGCCGGGCGGGGGTCGTCCCGGCCGCCCCCACCGTCATTAAAGGCCCCTCTCAAACACTCGAGGAGGTTTTCGGAGCGCGAGCCGGCCCGACAGCATGAAAAACACAGGGCGATTGAAATGCGAGCATTGGGACGCACGGAGCCGCCGCGGCGCGGACTCGCTCTTGAGGTCAAGTGACGGACGGATTGTATGCTTCTTCATAATAATATTAATTAAACAATTTGCATGCTAATAAGGTAACAATTATCAGGGCCTCTGTTGAAAGATTCGGGTTATTACAACACGCCAATCTGAAGGCCAGGGGTCAGAGAGTGAGAGGCGAGCGAAATTTCAACTCAAATTAACATTCTGTCAGCTCCAGAAAATGGGATAAATAAAGTCGAATTAATTCATTATAATAAAGAGAGATGGGCGAGGGAGCTCGGCCGGCGCGCGCCCCTCCTCTGCCCTCCCCCCGGGCCGAATAGATTACAGCTCTGTATTCAGAAACACGCGCCGCGCGCATTCCTCCTCGCGAACCCAACAGAAGACCAGGCGCTTGTGGCTGCTGGCGAAATCGAGTCGGATGGACGGAGTTTACATTTAGTATTTATAGAGACAGAAATTAAATTATGGCGAAAAGTAGTGCTCTTGGCCTCTGACCTCGGAATGAATACTCGCAGCGTTTTCCTAGTGAGACTGGAAACAGGGAGGGGGCTCCCCAAATTCCAGGCCGCCTCTCGGTCTCCTGGATTGGCTGGGCCTGGTCCTCAACCCTGCGCCGTCCCCTCCTCTCCCGCAAGGAGAGACAAGAGGGTCATTGAAGTCGGAGTCAGCGTGGATCGGCCCGTCCACGACCTTCAGTTAGGAACAGGGCCAGACTGTGGGTCCAGTCGCAGGGACAGGCAGTCGTGTGGCAGGACGGGGTGGCCTTGCGCCCGCCAACCCAAGCATTCCCCTCCTGAGCGTTTCCGGCACCCCCCACCCTCCCCGGCCCAGGCACGGGCACCTGACCCGGAGGGACGCAGAGATGCGCACGGTCCCGGCCTGCCCTTCCCTCTCACGCGGGCTAGGGCTTGGAGGCCTGGCCCAAGTCACTTACTTACACCCAAAGCCAACTGGTCTGTCACTTTGCCCTGGGGTGGTGGTGGCTCCGCAGACTGGCCCAGCCCAGGCCGGAGCTCTCCTCCTCTCTTCCCCGCCCTGGGCTGGCCGAGGCTCGGGGCACTCACTGCTGGAGAGGTGGCCCTAACCCAACTAGTCCAGCACTGGGGTCCCGCAGCCAAATGCGACCACCCCACTGACAAACTTTTTTACAAAGGAGAGAGATGGACCGACATCCCCTCATTTCTTTCCTTGCTGCCCACAATCCTGATTTGCTGCTTATTTAAGAATATATCCTTTAGTGATTTAGCTTTGAGTCTATCAATATTTTATAGCAGAGAAGGGAGTGACACTTCTCTGAGAACATAATTTAATTATAATAAATGGGTTGGGTGCTTCAGCCCCATCCTTCAGAGGCCGAGTCAGAGCGGATGTATTTATCTTTATTCGAGCGTGTAAGGGGGTGGGGGCGGATCGGCCCCACCCCAAAGTTACTTTTCCCCTCCTGTCCCCATCCCTCTCTCCTCCTCTGCGCCCGGGCTTTATGGGGATGGGGGTCGGGGAGCCTCCGCAGCCCCCCCCACCTCTGTCTTTGTAGATAGGGCGACTGCCAGTCAATCAGAGAGGGCATTAGTTACGCCTCTTTATTGACAGGGTGCTACATTCTGTAGTTCTTCTCTTTCGGGATCGCCCTCCTCCTCCTCCTCCTCCTCCTTCCTCCTCTCCCGCCGCCTGCAGCCGGAGAGGAGGAGATGAGAAGCCTTGTAGTTTTAAATTCAATGTGACAGTTTCGGAAAAGCGGATGATGAATCTCCTATTATTGGATCAGTCTATTTGCCGCTCAATGTCTCTCTGTAATTGGAGCAACATCACTTTAAAGGTTCAGAGAGTACAGCATTTCTGGTGAAAAATCCCCACAACACGGCGCTGAATGTTTTAAAGGGAAATCTATTAGTGATTTGCGGAGGGGCGGGGAGGCGGCGGCTGGCGGGAGGCGCGGGCTCGGGGCCGGCCCCGAGTGAAGTGGGGGGCTAGCTGGGGGCCCCTGCCCCGGGCCCAGGCACCAGCCCGCGCCTGCCCGGCCCTGGGCGGCCCCTCCCTCCCTCCCTCCCTCCCTCCGGCTCCCCCCGCCCCCAGCCCGTCTTGTTGTGACAGTTCCTGATACTGTTTATTGAGGTGCATGTCAGGTATAATTAGCAATCGATATGGAAAACGTTTCCCTGCACCCAGCACGCCTCTGACGTCAGAGCCGATTAGCGCTTCTTATTGGTCCCAAATTCCCCGGGCCGCGGCTAATTATCGGGAGCTTGATGTTGATAAGTAAAGCGCCGGAGTGCGGGCGAAGCATGTGTGGGGCTCCGGGTCCCTGTCTCCGCCGCCGCCGCCCGCGCCTCCCGCCGCTGGCCCGCCCCGGCCCCGGCCCGCGCCCCCGCGCCCCGCCACCGGCCCCGCCGGCCCCCCGCGCGAGATGATGGACGGCCGCCTCCTGGAACACCCGCATGCCCAGTTCGGGGGCTCGCTGGGCGGCGTGGTGGGCTTCCCCTACCCGCTGGGCCACCACCACGTGTACGAGCTGGCCGGGCACCAGCTGCAGTCGGCCGCCGCCGCCGCCTCGGTGCCCTTCTCCATCGACGGCCTGCTCGGGGGCTCGTGCGCCGCCGCCGCCTCGGTGGTCAACCCCACGCCGCTGCTGCCAGCCGCCTGCGGGGTCGGCGGGGACGGCCAGCCCTTCAAGCTGTCAGGTAGGCGCGGCGGGCGGGAGGGCGGGGAGGAGTGCGGCTGGGGGCGGGGGCCCTGGTCCGGCCGAGGCGCTGGGGGGCCCGGGGCTGGCGAAGGAGAGCCGGCTCCTAGGCGGCCGTCTCTGCGCCCCCCCCCCCGGATCCAGGCGGCCAGCGGGTAGCGGGAGGGAGGGGTGGGGGTCGGGCCTGGGCCGGTGGCTGAGCCGCGCTGCGTCCTGTGACTGCCCGCAGACTCGGGGGACCCGGACAAGGAGAGCCCGGGCTGCAAGCGGCGGCGCACCCGCACCAACTTCACCGGCTGGCAGCTGGAGGAGCTGGAGAAGGCGTTCAACGAGAGCCACTATCCCGACGTGTTCATGCGCGAGGCGCTGGCGCTGCGCCTAGACCTGGTCGAGTCCCGAGTTCAGGTAAAGACCCGGCGTCGCTCCCGGATCTGCCATCCGGACCCCAGGCTCTGGGCGCGCCGGGACGCCTTTGTTCCAGGTGGCGAGATATCGTCCCCTTGCCGCGGGCCCGCTTCGCGCTCGCCTGCTGGGGAAGAGTGGAGGGGTGGGGGTTCTGGGGCTCGGCCCCTCACGGACAGCGGGGTGGGTAACTGCCCCCCAAAAGCCTGGGCGGCTTGAGAAGGGCCGGCGGCAGCACCCGAGTCACCAGAACAGCGGCTGCGTCCGAACCGGGAAGCGGCGTGGTGGGTTGGCGGAGGCCGGGCCAAGTGAGGTCTCCAGGCAGGGGCGAGGAGGGGAGGAGGGGCCGGCTTGGCTCCGACCCGGAGGAGAGAGGGAAGGGGACCCCCCCCCGCCCCCGCACCGCCTCAACCTTCCGCGCGAGGCTCTGTCACCCAGCCTGGAGCGAACGAGTCTGTTTACCTTGCGCCTGCAAAATATTCAGATGGAAACATGTATTTATTCATCGCTTTGCAGAAGGGAACAGCTGAGGAAGGGGAGGCAGAAGCTTAAACAGTTAACACATTGAGAAAGTGGGAGAAAAAAAGGTGTCTGAATTTTTAATAATAACCCCGGTCTCATCTTTTTCTTACGACTGTTTTCCCGTAAATTTGCTATCATTTGGAGATGGCTGATGGTATTGTTTTAAAAATACAGTGTCAGCTTGGTGGATTAAAAATTCCAAGATGATTTGTGCATAATTAAATGTTTCCCTGGAGCAAAGAAATCCTCTTTTTCTGCGGTGGGTGCGGTGTGGGGTCCAGGTCTGTGGTGCGGTGTGCGGTTGTGGGTGCTAGGCGTTGAGGCAGACGCTGGCAAAACGCCTGTTTATCACCAATAGCTTTGTCTAAAAAGGTGTGTTTGTCCTGCGCTTGGACCTCCTCTCATGACCTCTTCTGCTTGGAAATCCTTTCATCCAATTTGTTCTAAGTGTCTTAAGTGAAGTCAAGACCCCTCCATGTCTCCCCTAATACGATAATGACTAATTCTTACAGGCAAGGCAGTCCGGAATTCGCACCAAAAAAAAAAAAAAAAAAAGTTTAAAGAAGGAAAAGGCGGTTACAGCGTTGGGGGAGGGCTCGGCTTCATGCTGGAGACCTCCCCATGGACAAGGCTCCCTGCGACAAGGCTGGGCCTGCTATTGTGCAAGTCTCTGTGTGGCCGCGACAAAGAATCCGTATTAACGCGCCCTCCTGGGGAGGGCAGGACTGCCCGAGCTTCCGCGGGGCTCAGACGGATTTGACTGTGTGTGTTTGGTGGCTGGCGGTTGAGTGAGGGTGTAGCGCTGCCGTCCCCGGATGTCCTGTGTGGCTCCCCAGGACAAGGACTGCAGAGAGGATGGAAGAGACGCGATGGGCCCAGCCTCTCCTTCCGGCCTGGTGGTCGCCTCTTGCCTCCCCACCTGCCTTGGCCGGTGGCCCAGGCCAAGGACCGCAGGTTTGGGAAGGCTCCGTTGGCGCCCTGGCCCAGGGTTTGCGGAAAGAAGGCTGTGTTAGCTGTGCCCTGGGAGGGAGGCTGCAGAGGCCCACCCAAGTACGGCTCCCCAGGCCCTTCCGGACGAGAAGCACCCATATTTCCCTTCAAGGGATTCCGCCCCCACCCCCGAAATGTGGGCTTTGACACAGTCTCCAAGGGGCCGAAGACAGGTGTGGAGGGCGGCTGTGGCTCAGCGGTCCAACGGCAGGATGGTCAGCGCCAGGCCGGGCGGGCTGCTTAGAACACGAGCCGTGAGCGGCCAGGAAGGGTGAACAGGGGCCTTGCTCTCTAGCCTCCGGACCAGGAACCCGACGCTCTCCGTCCGGGGCCAGACCGGCCCCCCAAGTAAGGGGCGGCTCCCAGGTCCCCGAGGTGAGAAGCCAGAGCGGGAAGCTGGCCGAGAGGCCCCGTCTACGCGCCTTCCGGGTGGAAAAGGCGCTCGCTGGAACCTGCAGCTCCAGTGGCAAAGCCCAGCTCAGGGCCCGCTCGGCCGCGCGGCTTCACTCCTGCCCCGGCCGAGCGGAGGTTGTGCAGGCCCCTCTGGGGGGAGCGGGGAGGTCCTCGGCCCCGGCGGCCAGCCCGCCGCCTGATTGTGGCTTCCTCTCCCCTATCCGGCTGCTCTAGGTCTGGTTCCAAAACCGCCGGGCCAAGTGGAGGAAGAAGGAGAACACGAAAAAGGGCCCGGGGCGGCCGGCGCACAACTCGCACCCGACCACGTGCAGCGGCGAGCCCATGGACCCGGAGGAGATCGCGCGCAAGGAGCTGGAGAAGATGGAGAAGAAGAAGCGCAAGCACGAGAAGAAGCTGCTGAAGAGCCAGGGCCGCCACTTGCACTCGCCCGGCGGCCTGTCCCTGCACAGCGCGCCCAGCTCCGACAGCGACAGCGGCGGCGGCGGCCTGTCTCCGGAGCCGCCCGAGCCGCCGCCGCCCGCCGCCAAGGGCCCCGGAGCGCACGCCTCGGGCGCCGCGGGGACCGCGCCCGCCCCTCCCGGCGAGCCGCCTGCACCCGGCACCTGCGACCCCGCCTTCTACCCGAGCCAAAGAAGCGGCGCCGGCCCACAGCCGCGCCCAGGTCGCCCTGCGGACAAGGACGCGGCCTCGTGCGGGCCAGGGGCCGCTGTGGCGGCGGTGGAGCGCGGCGCCGCGGGGCTGCCCAAGGCCAGCCCATTCAGCGTGGAGAGCCTCCTGTCCGACTCGCCGCCGCGCCGGAAAGCCGCTTCCAACGCCGCCGCCGCCGCCGCCGCGGGGCTGGACTTCGCGCCCGGGCTGCCGTGCGCGCCGCGGACCCTGATCGGCAAGGGCCACTTCCTCCTCTACCCCATCACGCAGCCGCTCGGCTTCCTGGTGCCGCAGGCCGCGCTCAAGGGCGGCGCGGGCCTGGAGCCGGCGCCCAAGGACGCGCCGCCCGCGCCCGCCGTGCCGCCCGCGCCGCCTGCCCAGGCCAGTTTCGGGGCCTTCTCGGGGCCCGGCGGCGCCCCGGACTCGGCCTTCGCGCGTCGCAGCCCCGACGCCGTCGCCTCCCCGGGGGCCCCAGCCCCGGCCCCGGCGCCTTTCCGGGACCTCGCCTCGGCAGCGGCTACCGAGGGCGGCGGCGGGGACTGCGCGGACGCGGGGACCGCCGGCCCCGCGCCCCCGCCGCCCGCGCCGTCGCCCAGGCCCGGCCCTCGGCCTCCCAGCCCCGCCGAGGAGCCGGCCACCTGCGGGGTTCCCGAGCCTGGCGCGGCGGCCGGACCCAGCCCGCCGGAGGGCGAGGAGCTGGACATGGACTGAGGCCGCGGCGGCCGGGAGAGGCGCGTAGCCGGCCCGCGGCCGCTCGCTCAGGCTCCGACTCACGCAACGAATCAGGTGATCGGCTCTAGAAACACTGCTTTCCCTTCTTTTCTTTTGTTTTCTTTCTTTTATTATTTTTTTTAAGAGTAAACGAAAGTGCTGTATGAATTCGGACCCAGGCAGCAACCACAGGACTGGGGGTGAGACCCTCCTCCTCCCAAGAGAGCAAAAAGGACCCATGGCCCCCAAAAAACCCCACAACGAGAATCCTCAGCCTTGTAAAATGCAAAAATGTCTAAGAATATTTATATATGTACCATTTTTGATAAATAAAGCTGGTCAAACGCAAGTTTTCAGGTCCATCTTTTTAAATTTGCCAAGCGCCCAGCCCCGCCGCCCTTCCCACCTTTCCACGCCTCTCTCCGCGGGTGGGGCCCGGAGGGGGCCCCGCACTTCCCGGGGGTCTGCGCTTAATGCGTCCTTTTGTGTGCGTGTGTGTCTGTGTTTTCTGATTCAACACATTTATGCATCTGCGGCTCCCGGTCCCCGCCCGCCCCGGCGCTCCCCCTCCTACCCCGCGCCGCACACGCACGCTCACATCCGCCGCGCGCCCCCGCGCGCACTGGCACACGCCGGGGCGCGCGGCGCGGGGTGACGGAGCCGGGGGCTGCGAGGGCCGGGCCGCTGGGCTCCTGCAGAGTTTTGATATGAAAGTAATTATTTTCCGGTGGCTGCTGCGGGGACTGGGTTTCTTGCCCAAAGGGTTATTATACATTACCGATTTCTAGTGATATGGAATCACATAAACTTCCTACAATAATAGAATTAGCATGAAAGGCTGGGGTGTCAAATTGAAATTGGAGAATAATAGCGCCGGCAGCTGGGGGAGTGCGTGCGCATATTGGAGCGGAGATGGGGAATCGTGGGGCGGAATTTTCATGAGCTGCACTCTTTGTCAGCGCTCTTGTAGCCGGCTATATTAAGATAGATGCCCAATGATATCCCTCATTGTTCTGTCGCTTATATTGATGTTGCTGCGTTATCAGCCTATTGATCATGTGTCGCCTGTAATAGGACAGGCGCCGCCAACGCGACTCTTTACAAAAGCCGTGCACATTTGTTCTAATAGGGTCCGGGTCCCCAGGGGACCCTTCGGGGACTTCAGGACATCTGCAGCGAAGAAATATTAGCAAACTTGGCTGGAGCCTGCAGCCAGCCCCGCGCCCCCGCCCCTGCCCGCAGCCGCCCCATCCCAAAGTGAACCGCCACCCGTCCTCCATCTCCCCCCACCCCCCCAAAAACCCCAACCCACTGGCCTCAATTTTCCTGGGCCCTGGGTCCTCGTTGCCGCAAAAGCCACCAATTCCCCGAGAAATTGGGATCCCAATTATTAAAACCATTAATTCCAACGAGGCTGAGCACAGTGGAATTATGTTTACAGCCTCGTTAAATATCCCTGATCCCTCCTGGTCATCAGGCCTTTATTTGCAAATAAATTGAAAATAATCTGAAGGACAGCTTTCCTCCTCGCGCGGGCGCAAATGAATTTCGGAGCCCGAGTCCCTTTAATAATATTTACATAATTTTCGCTCAGTGACTCTGATATTTGCTCTCTAGGAGACCGAGCTTATAGGAAAAATAATTAGATCAAAAGAAAAGTGAGAGGGGGAAGGAAGAGCAGGGGAGGGGGCGGGATCCACGGGAAGGAGACCTCTGCGCTGGTTGCCCAACTCTGGGACAGGCCGCCCCCAGTGGAAGCCAGGAGTTGTCGGGGAGGGGACGCGGGGTTCCCATGGAGGTCGCAGGAGCTCGGCCGCAGAGCCTGGCCCTCTGCCCCTACCCCTGCTTCCTGGGGTCCTGCAGCCTGGGCCTCCCCACAGGCCGGCCAGGGCCGCGTCCCAGCAGCGCGGCCTCCAACCCTTTGTCTCCGGCCGGTCCCGTCTGGCCTCTGCGGTCAACTCTTCCTTCTCCCGCCCCCACTCCCACCCCCATTAAACTGTATTTAAAGTGTCATTTAAATTATGAAATTGTGGCAGAAAATTGTGCGTAAAATGCCGGTTATTTTATCTAAGGTGAACAATTTGTCTGGCAGCGATAAATCGCCTCCTTCCTTCAATTTGCAGCTGTTCATTTCGGTGGCGGCTGCACCGAGTTGGGGGGAGGCCTCATGTTTAATGGATTTGCAGTTTGAATGCTGGAGTATCGCTGGCTGCACACCCGTGTCCTTAAGGTGAAATTACTGATTTACTTAAACAGTTTAGCTTTTTTTTCTGAAAGCCCAAAAGCAGCAGGCTGTGTGATTCTAGACAAACTATCAATCGATCTGGTCGAGCCAGCCTCCAGGAGATGTATCCTTCATGAATCATACTTTATGAATTCAATTTCTACCAGGAGAAATTTTCAATTTGAACGCCGGATCATTATGGGAGAGTGTAAATTGTTTTTGCTCTATTATGCATCCGACGCCATCATTTTTCTTTCTAATTACGGAGGTGTCAGGTCGAGCTGTCATGCAGGCGCTGATTTTCAATTTAACTGATCATCATACATTCATTTTCCCATTTGATAAATCTGCTATCTAGACGGCTCGCCATGCCTAGAATATTAAGAGCCGAGCTGCAGAAAGGCCCCGTAATGGGGGGATGTGTATGCACCAATAAGTGCAGATCAGGCAGTTAATTTAGCGCCTCCTGATTCCCCATCTCCATTTCTCATCTCCAATTCTCCAAGGAGAGAGAAGCAGCCCAAAGGCTACAGCCGCTCCTCTCTCCAGCCGAGGAGGAGAGGCAGAGAGAGGGGGAGCAGGAGAGAGGCCGGGAGAGGGAGAGGAGGAGGGGGAGAGAGGAAAAAACACCCTCCAAAACGCTTGTTTTCTATTACACAACTTCCAAATTAGGATATCAAGCTTAATTAATGCTAATTGAGTTCTTCAGTACGTGTTATTTTTATTTAATAGAAACAAATTTGCACAATTAATTATCGACGTAATTTCAAGAGCTTCATTTGCAAGGCGAGCTCTTCTGAATCAACCACCCCGAGTCACCTAATGATTTTTTAATTTTGCAAAAGAAAAAAAAAAAGGATTTCCCCCCCATGCTTGGGTGTGGGGTGCTGTCGTTTTGGGGTGGCAGAGGGGAATAAATAGGGGTCGGTAGGGGGGCAGCAGAGGGATATAGCGAGGCCTCCTGGGCAATGGGAACCACTGTGGTTGTTCTTGGGTCATTTGGTCCCAGAACGGGTTAGGAACCGAGGCCGCGGTGAGGGCGGCCTTCCACTGCGGCTCCCTCCGCGTCCGATGCCAGGAGAGGGTGGGAGTGGAGGACGCGGCCCCCTGCTTCGCTAGGTAGGGGTTCCTGGCTGTTCTAGGCGGCTGCTCTTCTCTGCTAGGTGGTGCCTCTGGGCGGGGAGCAGGGGCCTCCTCCACAACGCGGCCAGGGTCTAGGAGTGCGGGGCAGGAGGTCCCCCTGGGCTGGCCAGGGTCTAGGAGTGCGGGGCAGGAGGTCCCCCTGGGCTGTCGGGTTTGATTGCTTCACGGGCCCAGGTTGTCTAATAAATGGCCAGGCCCTGGCGGGCGCCTTGGCCACAACACCAAGCTTCTGAACACTGCTGTTTGCTAGTCAATCGGTTAGATGCAGACTGGTTTAATTTTGTTGATAAATCGGTTCGTTGGGGGTGGGGACGGGGCGGGGGCTGTGGGGAGTGGGGAGTGAGGAGAGAAGGGTGTTGTTTCTTTGCTGATTTATTTTTAACCCGAGGTTGTACAAGCCCCTGACAGTTTGGATAAATTAGCCAGGCCTCGCAGTCTCCTAATGAGAGGGTATTATTTCGGCACCTCGGAAGGAGCGTGAAAAATGAGAGAGACTCCATCCGGAGGTGTCGGATCGATTCAGGATCAGGGTGTAAATTATATACAACTAAATATCCAGCCGCCCATACCGCTGCTTAATACGGAGCTTAGAAATGCAACATTAAACAAAGATTATGAGAGATCGACGCCTCTGGACCGAGCCCAATTCACTGCTCAGCCGGGTCAGCCCCTGCCCCGCGGGCCGAGGATGGGGAGGGGGCGCGCAAGGAGTGAAAACGGCGAGTTTGGGATGAGAGCCAGGGCCAGGAGGGGAGCCTCGCCCTCGCTACTCCTTCCCTTTCTTCTAAAGCCAGGGAGCTCCCCGCCCAGCATTGCCCGTTCCTTCCTCCCCGCCAGGGCCCAGAGAAATCCGGGCTCCAGCACCGGGCCTCAGTTTCCCGGAAGCGGACTTGGGCCCCGATCCCGGGCCCTCTCCGCCCTTCCCAGGTCTCAGGCGTCGCTGCGTGGAGGAGGCGCGCGTGGCTCCCGGCGCCGATGTCCCGGCCCGGAACCCTGCCCGCCGCTGCGACTCCGGGGCGGGGGTGGGTCAGCCTCGGGGGCGGCCGGGGTGGGCGTGGAGGTGGACGCGGGGCCGCATATTGGGCGCTTGGTTCTGTTTATCTCACTTAGCGGTGGAGGGACTGGAGGGAAGGGGCGGCCCGAAGGGAGGCCTTGGTGGGGCCCAGCGGCTCCCTGGCGCACCCCGGACACGGTGGCCACGAGGAGCCGGGGCTGTGGCCGAGGGCTGCCCGCACCCCGAGACCCTTCCTCGTGGGCCCCTCTGCCCGGGGCGCCGCCCAGAGGGGGCCCGGACGGAACCCCCCGCGCGGGGAACCACCGGGCCGGGCAGAGCTGGCGTGAGTATGGAGGGGGCGCGTGGGGACAGAAACCCCGAGCTGGGAGGAGCGGGGCGCGGGGCTGGCCAGTCTGCGGCTCTCTGGGCCCCGCTGGGCGTCCTCCCTTCCTCCCGGCCGCTCTCTCCTTGCCTTTCCGGGGTCTCCCCGCGCCCGGCGCCCCTCGCCCAGCCGTGACTCCCTTTCCTCTCGGCCGCCCGACTCCGCGCGCCCCTCTCGGCTTTTCCGAGCTGGGATCACCCTCCCCGAGAGAGGAGCGGGCCATTGCCGCGTGTGGGTGTTGCAGAAATGAAAAATCAGTGCAGTTACATCGTAAAATTTGGATTAAGAAGCTTGAATTTAATACACACGCACCACATTTATTAAAGCATTAGAATAATTGAAATTTGCTGCTGCCGCCGTCCAATCTGTTTAAATAATTCTATATGGGTGTCTTGTTGTGATAAAAGATTATCTAGAATTCTATTAAAGGCGCAGGAGCCTGCTTTGTAAATCCTATTTGGGGACTTTCAATAACTATCGATAATCTCATCTGCACAGAACCCCCCGCCTCTCCGCGTTATCGGAAAGTTTGCAGCGTTTCCCGAGCAGCGCGGGCAAGGCCGGACCTGCGGTGGAGCCGGCACCTGCCGCTCCGCCCGGGATTAGGGAGCTCCCGGCTTGTGGGGGGTGCGGGCGGCCGGTGGTCCAGCTCGCCCGCCCCGGCCGAGACGCTGGGCCCGGCCCCCACAGGCTGCGCCTGACGGGACCGGCGGGAGGCCTTTGTTCGCAGCCCGGAGGCCCCAGGCTCCAAACCACACTCGGGCTGCGGGGAGCGAGCGCGGGCGTTGCCGCTAATTGCTGCTAATTTTGTTCCATTAACTTTATTTACTCTTGAACCCCTTAATTGTTTTCCACTTATTTTTAGTAATTTTATAATGCACTAATAACCACCCCCCCCCCAGCCTGCGGACGCCTCCCGCCTCCTCCTCCCCGCTCCCTCCTCGCTTCCCCTCCCTGAGCGCGACCTCCCAGGCTTCCCAGCCACTGGCCGCGGGCTCCGCGTGGCGCTGGCCTCCGGGCACACAGAGAAGCCGCGGGGTGAGCGAGAGCTCGGCCTGGGGCCACGGGTGCCGGTGGGTCCCCCCGGGATTCCGCGGGGAGGGCAGCTGGCTAGGACCAGGACCAGTGTCTCCGCGCCGGAGGCCAGAGGGTTTCTGCTTGCAGGCGTTCCTGCAGTAGGAGGGCGCGCAGAGGCCCAGAGAGGGGAAGGGACTTGCCTAAGATCACACAGCGTCCCAGAGGCCTTACTGGGCAGGGGAGGGGGTGGCCCGGCCGGGCCCTCGCGCGCCGGCTTCTGCTGATTCTTTCTGCGGCCTGATAATAAGAGTCCCGGGGCCGGTCTGCAGAGCCGCCCAGCTCAGGGCTCGGCCGGGCGAGGGCTCCAACTCCCCAAGCTCAGCCCCTTCCCTGGGGAGCTCCTGTCCCCGCGGCCCCCGGCCACGGCCCCCAGGAACCAGCCCCGCGCCTCACCGGTTATTAGACAGCTCGCGAGGACTGTCTGCGAGCCGCCTCTTTCCTGCTAATTATCACTTTATGAAAAGTGTTTCATTAAGAAACTCTGCTTTTGATTAATTATCGACAGAATGCTGACCAGAAAGAAATGAAATTAATCTCTGACCCCGTCTGGGTAACACTGGAAATTCATCACATATCCTTTTAATATTGAAACACAGCGCAGAATTTTAATAGAAAATATTGTTTTTCCAAACCTCCAGTCTTTATTAATGCCCCTGGGCAGGGAATGATATTGCTGGCGATATAGCAGTCTTTGTTCATTTTAAATTTATTAAACATAATGCACTTCATTTTCAAACATTTTACTGTTTCTTTTTAATTTCACTCAGTGTAAGTACAGAATAAAACCTTTTTAAACATTTAAGATATTGAAAACCCATATACGGATATATAACGGAAACGCTCCGGCCATCAAATAAATTTAAGTAGAAGCAATTGTAATTTTAAGCTCCCAAGTATTATCCCCTTCAGACATTAAGGCAGTATCAGTAACCATCAAATGAGAGTGTGTGGAGGAGAGGTTGGGCGGCCCCCGCCCCGGGAGACCTCGCCAGAAAGACCCACCAGGGAGGGTGGGGCTGGCAGCCCCTGGGACCTCTCCTGGCGGCGGGGGCGGGCACTGGCCCCCTCCCTTCCCTTGGCCCCAGCAAAGTCTGTCTATGAAGCCAGAGTGATTGCATAAGATGCCCCCACGTCTCCGGCTCTGTTCACCTGGTCCAGGAGGGACTCAATCCCCCAGGGCACCCCCCCAGAGGGACACAGGGGCTTTCCGGGATCGAAAGGTGTTTCTTCCCTTTCTAAGTCACGTCAGGCCACCTCCGACCCCAGCCGACACGCTACCAGGCCTGCACCATAGAAGTGGGCTCTGAGAGTGTTCCCAAGCCCTGGGGGAGGGGGACTCCCCAGAGATCGTGTCCCCGACCCCTCCTTCCGGGCCCACTGCTGCCATCCCAAACCCAGCCCCCCAGCGTAACTCGCACCCTCATCCCCTTTCCCGAGGAATCCAAACTCCGGTTTAATGAGTCGTGAAGTGTGAGAACTTCCGGAGCCCGCAGCGCCCCTGATGCCAATTCCAGATGTGTGAGTTGGGAGGGGCGGGCCTCCCGGCCCGTGAGCACCCAGCCGCTGCCTTCAGAGCGAAGCATCCAGCACCCAGGTTCCAGCGATCGGGGGCCTGAATTGGAAACAGGCAACTTCTCCACTGAGAAATTACTCTTTTTATTTCTTGCAGTGTTCCTGGTGCCCTATTTCACGGCACCAACAAAAGGAATATTACTTTTAAAACACTATGAAATACCAGGTCCTGTCCTCGGAGCTATTTCGGGGGAATTCAATTTTCGCTGAATGGTGAGAAGCTCCAGCATTTCTTTTGGGGGCTGATGGGTGGCTCAGTGGGAGGAAGAAGAAAATTTTCAGGGATTGTCTTGGCATTCCAGAGAGGCCTGGGGGTGTCTGGGCCACACACTGGCACCCCTGCACCCACCCGCACTCACACAGACACCTGCACACTCTGTGAATGGGTCTTAGATGGGACCAGACACCACGCACGGCACTTTGCAACCGCTGGCCCTTGTGCCATTAGCACTCTATTACCCTGGGCTCAAAGTCTGGCCTAGGCGAGTGACTGTCTACAAGGTTATCTGTTATCTATCATCCGTCTACCAGCAGGACCTGCCCATCCCCTGCCCATCCCCCACGGCCCCCCTTGGCGTCCTAATGTTTGGGAGAACAGTTACTCTGAGCTGATAGGAAAAAAAAAAGTTTGTCTTCCCGTCCTCCCTTCCCTCCCATCTTGTCCCTCTTAGCAAATGTTCCATCCTCAGACCTCATGGGGGACAACTTTGTTTCCAGTGCTGCAGTCGGGCCTGGGAAAAAACAGAATGGGAAAAAACAGAAGACTTTTTGTTGTCGTTGTTGTTACTATTGTTGTGGAAAATTGGAGGCCCTTGGTTGGAGCTGAGATCACTGTCCCCTCTTGCTTCTAACCAGAGCAGTAGACTATTGAGAACAGGCAGCTGGGACCAATGGAAGCACCTTTCAGCACCTCCCTGAAACGCCAGGGCCTCCAGTCCCCAAGTCCTGGAGAGATCAGTCAGGCTTCTTGGAAACTTAGCTGGTGGTTCCATCCTGGTCCTGCAGCCCCGGGCCTGGGCTCCCCAGCTCAGGTGCTGGGAGGCCTGTGGAATCCCCCTTAGTCTGGAGTGGGGGCTACCGGGGTACATGTGGGAGAGATGAGGCTTCTGCTTATCCCCACAGACAAGAAAGAAGCTAGCATACAGTAACTTGGAAATACTATCAGACTCCCCAGTGCCCCTCCTAACACAGTCTTTCTTCCAAGTCCTTCCCTGCGTCCATGCTTCCTCCATCCTTGAAGGTGGAGAAACCGGGTGCAGCCAGGAAGGGCCGCTGGGCAGTTTAGAGGGCCACACCCAGGAGCAAGCCTCTGTCTCACCCAGGCATGGCCAGGGAGGAGCCCCAGAGGGACCAGAAAAGAAACAGCCAAGGGGCATGATCTGTGAATTTAATTTTTCCACTTAAACTAAAGACAAAACAGGCCCAGACTGCGGCTGGCGGTGCCCGTGCGGCAGCGTTCCCAGCTGCCTTCAGTACCTTCTCAGCCTCCTGGCTGCAGCTGGCTAAACCCACGGTGGAAGGTCTCCCTACAGTGTCCATAGTTCACGCCTGCTCTGATCAGGAGATCTGAGACCAGGACAGGGAGAACCCTCACCACTGACCCTACCCAGGTTCCCCAGGCCCCGGCCCTGCAAATACCCACTCTCTCCACTTTCCCGTAAACTACTGCTTACTAGAGTTTAGAGTTAGGACTCTCTGTCTCTCAAAAAAAGGAAATATAACAAAGTGATTTAAAGATAATTAATTGCATTAAACTATTGACTAACTACCTCGCTCAATAGTAATTCATTTAGAGAATATTAAAATCGGAAGAACAATAATAAAATTGATGCCAATTCCCACGGGGAGGGAGATGGCCAGCAAATTGGATACTTTTCTTAATCTGGCGTAAATAATAACACGCCTGCTTCCTTCTCTCTCAGGCCAATTCCCCTATCATTTATTCCAGACTCTAAAGCTGGGCTTCATAATTGATATCAGTTACTCAATGAGTGCTTTTTCATTTGTTCTTGTTATCCGTGATAATTGCGAAGTTCAGCCTCTCGGAATTGGGCCGGCCTGGTGCCTCCAGCGCCGGGCAGGGCGGGCAGAGGCCGGGCTGGGAGGCGGAGGCTCCGCTGCTCCCCTTTTTTCCCGTTGGAGGCGATGTGTCGGGTCCGGACACGACGTGGAGAGGCCACCAGTCCGGTCCTGGGGCGGCGGCGGCCTACAGGGCCGGGTCTTCCTTCTGCAGATGCCGGTTCGAGCCGCGGCCCGATCCCGATCCCGGGAAGAAACGCTCCGTGGCTCGCCCAGGGTTAAGAGCCGCGGTGACAACCCGTTTTTGTTTGAGAAGCGGTGGGTGGAAGCCACGAATCCCACACGACATCTGGGGACCAAACGCCCAGAGTCTGGAGGATGATTTGGGAGAGGAAGGAAGATGGGGTCAGGGTAGGGACACGGCTGGGAAACGGCCCCTCCCGGCGCCTCCCCGACCCCAGGGCAGGGCCCGGGACCACACAGACCCCCGCAGGCCGGCGGCCGGAGCCCTGGCAGCCGGGCCGCCCCGAGATGACGATTTCGTTATTTATTCACTTATTTATTCATTTATAAAGTGTTTACTTAGCTCGGTGCAGATGTAACATCTCATTTACAGCGTGGCCTCCGGGCATAGAAACAATTGGCAACAAAAGAGTAACTCCGGAGAATTAGAGAAAAAACCCACGCAACAACAACACGAGTCGGGGGCGGGGTGAGCGCTCCGGAGAGGCGCTGGTGGGGCGGCGGGGCGGGGGGTGCTCCGAGCCGAGCAGCCCGACGGACGCACCCAGGCCAGGGCTGCGGAGACCCCCGGGCCCGCGTGGGAGCAGCGCGCGGTCCCTCCCCAGGAGGCGGTGGAGGCCGAAGGGAGTCGCCGGGTACCCGGCTCAGGCCGTGTCTGAGCGCCAGGGATGCGCAGAAATGGGAGCCTGGCCGCGCCTCTGCAGCGGCCTTGGAGGAGCCTCTGGAGCGGGCCCCGCGGGCGCGTGGGGTGGGACCTGCTGGAGACCCGCAGGCGGCGGCGGCCAAGCAGGGTCAGGCGGTTGGCACCACAGGTCGCGCCCTCGGCTGCAGTCGGGGCAGCTCCAGGGGGCCGCGTACCTCCCGCTTCACGGCTACGCGTGGGGGCGGCTCCGTCCTGGCCTCACCAGCCTCCCCGGAGCCCCTGCCGGTCCCCAGCCTGGGGGCTCAGGGGTCCCGTTGGGCGTGTGTCCCGCCCGGGCCCCGGTGTGGGGGGCGCGCAGTCCTCAGGGCCGCCTCCCTCCCGCCCCCAGCACAGCGCCCCCCAGCTCTCAGCCGGTCCTTGCGGCCGCGGGATCCCAGCCCCAGCAGCGGGAAACTGAGGCCCGCAGCACCGATGCGCGTAAGGCAGCTCGGATGGGGTCAGAGGGGCGGGAAGGCGGAAGGCGGGCCGCACCCCCCGGACCCTCAGGACCTGGAGCGCGTGGAGGGCGTGGACCACCCCGGATCCCCCACCACCGGGCGTGTCTGCCAAGGGTGTCATTGGGCGCCGCGCAGAAGGGGCTTCCGAGGACCCGCCCCTCCCCCGCAGCCGTCAGGGCGCTGACGGAGGCAGCTGCGCCTGTTTAACTGGGAGCCGGTTGCTTGGCAACCCGAGGCGGCTCATTACCGCGGCCACAGTGATTAACCAAAAAAGAAAAAAAAAAAAAAAAGGAAAAAAAAAAGAGAGAAAAATACAAGGAAGAAAAAAATAGGGGAAAAGCGGGAATATGAAAGTAAAATGGATTATTTAATTAGCTAATTGATAATCAACTTCTTTTTAATTATTCACTTAATTAAAAAAGTGTAACTACAACACTGCCCTCATCAAGCTGCGGTTGCACCAGCAGGGTTTCAAAGCCGCCTCTCCCTCCCCTTCCTCCGCCTGCCCCTGGGCCGCTTGGGGCTGGAGCAACCTTCCTCGTCCCCAGCCATGTCCCCCACCCTTAGGAGGGACTATTGAAAACATATTCTTCCCCAACAGCCGGGACAGCTCCACCCACTGGTGTCCAGGGACCTTCCCGGAGGGGCCTGGGCACTCTGCCCTCCGCCTCTGCCTCAGTTTCCCCATTTCCAGGACCTGATTTCGGTGCTGAGGTGCGTGTAGGCAGGGCAGTTTGGGTCCCCGCCTTTGTGGAACTGGTGTTCTGTGCAGAAGGCGGGCGGGCAGTTGTCCCCTGGAAAACAGGAAAGGAGAGGATAGTGTTTGGGCCTCGGCGCCAGCTGTGAGCACAGCGGGTGGGCATTCCTCACGCAGGCAGCCTTGCGGAGCAGGGAGGTCCAGCACAAGGGTGTGTTCCAAAGGCTCCACTGGTGGCCGGGTTTTGAGTGGGATGAGAAGCTGGAGGATGCTGGGGCTGGGGGGCGTGGCGATACCGTGGTGTCACTCCATCTCCCTGTGGGGCAGGTGCTTGTGGGGCTGAGGGGAGCTGCCTCTCCTAGCACTGTGCTCCCGCTCTGGGCCACCCACATCCAACGCCCGCCTCCCTGCAGGTGCGAGGCCGGCCTGGGCCTCTGGCTGGGCCAGCTCTGAGGGAGCTTTCCGTGGGATGGCTGGGCCTCTGTTGCAGTTGCGACCAATGCTGCGGTTTAAATTCTCCCTGGGTCCAATCCTGCTTCCCTCCCCTAAGCCTCTCGCACACACACCTCGGCTCAGGCTATTCACCGGGAAAGCCACGCGGAGGCAGGGCAGGCAGCGCCCCGCCAGAGACCCCCGGATGGTGGAGATGGTGCGGTGGAGTCGGGACTGCTGGGGGCACCTGCTGATGAGGTGGGAGGGTAAAGCCACGGGGGATGCGGGTTTCTGGACTTGTTCGGGTGGGCGGGGCGGGAGGGGGGTGGGGATGTGGTGGAGGATTTGGGCTGGGAGGGGGGTGGGGTGACCTGGCATTGCTCTCAGCACAGTCCCGGTGGTCCCCTTCTCCTTCCTTGGCCTCCCCTCTTCCTTCATCCCCCCGCCCCCGGGTTCCTCCCAGTCCCAGATTGTACTTTCCCCTATATCTTCCTTCCCACGCTCTCCACGGCCCTGACCCTGGGCCAAGCCCCCTTAGGCTCCTTTTAACCTCTGAAAAGTCAACAGTAGCTTCGTCACCGGGGAGTGCTGGGGTTTTTTCCTTAGAGGGGAAGGAAAGGGGGGGCTGGTGACTCCCCCCTCCCCAACCCGCCCCACCTCCCCACCCCCCCACCCCCCCCACCAGCCATTGGCCTGGACCTGTCCCTTCCCTCTCGGGGTATGAGGGCCTGTGATCACGGGGGTGGGAGGGCTGCTGCTGGCACTGGAAAGCACCCACCGGGACCCCTGCACCCAGGCACGGAGACACTGCAGACCCTGGCAGGGTCCGGGACAGGCCCAGGGCTGGAGGGAGGGGTTCGAGACAGGCCACCCTTCCTGGGGCAGCCCCCCTCCGCTTCCTCCCACAGCTCTATTTAGGGCAGACAGGCCAAAGAGAGCCACGGAGGCGTGTTGGACAGCCTAGCAGCGGCCATGAACCCTGGCACGTTTATCTGCTGGAGCAGTGGAGCCCGGCCTCCCAGGGAGTGAGGCTGGAACCAGAGCCTGGGGGGAGGGACGGAGGGAGGCAGCGCGGCAGCCTTAGGGTCTGGACCGGGCTGAGAGGGGCCTCGCCCTCTTCCTGCCTTCGTCTCTGGTAGGCCATGGCCACATGGGGAGTCCCTAGGAGCCCCAAAGAGCAGCCCCTTGCTGATGTGACATCAACTCCGTGGCAGGGGTGAGGGGACAGATGTGACATCAACTCCGTGGCAGGGGTGAGGGGGCAGGGCTGGGCGGCTCAGGTGTTTTGCTTTGCTTTGCTTTTTTTCTTTTCTGCACGTCTGGGTCATCATCACCAAACCCTTTCCTCTATATCTGTGGTGAGTCTGAAAGTGAATTCCAGTAAATTCCAGCTATCAAAGCTGTTCCATAAGAATATCTTAGCCAAGTCTTATTTGGTCTTCAGGGTGGTTCATTGGGCTGGCGTGGGGGTCACTGTGCCCAGTGCCCAGCAGGGCAGGTGGCAGATTAGAGGTGAGAGGAGCTCAGGGCACAGTCTTTTTTGGAGACAGAATCTTGCTCTTGTTGCCCAGGCTGGAGTGCGATGGTGTATGGATCTCGGAGATCTGCAACCTCCATCTCCCAGGTTCAAGCGATTCTCCTGCCTCAGCCTCCCGAGTAGCTGGGATTACAGGTGCCCACCACCACGCCTGGCTAATTTTTGTGTTTTTAGTAGAGATGGGGTTTCGCCATGTTGGCCAGGCTAGTCTCGAACTCCTGGACTCAAGTGATCCACCCACCTCAGCCTCCCAAAGTGCTGAGATTACAGGCACGAGCCACTGTACCTGGCCGGGGCACAGTCTTTTCGCTGACAGAATGCTCCCCTCATCTATCCCTGGGGAGCTGTCTGGAAGGGCGGGGAGTGGAGCAGTGGTTGGGAAGTGGGGGCTTGCTGGGCAGGACCCTTCATTTCTGCAGGGAGCAACTGCGGGTTCCTACAGATCACCCAGGCTTCCTTGATCTCATCAGCAGCCAGGAGGAAGCAGGAGAAATTCAGGGTTGGACTTCTTGCCCCCCTGACTTCACTTCACTCTGGCCAGACTTCTTGTAGGTAGTTTTGGGGACCTGCATTATGAGTCATACTGGCTGCTAGGTGCCCCACTCTGAATGCTGAGGGGGTGCAGCTGGTCATGGGGTCACCAGGATGTCAGAAGCGTGGCCGAGGGGGCCGCCAGCAGGAGAAGCTGCTGGGGCCTGAGTTCCTTCGGCTTAACCTTGCAGGCCCATGTGGGGCGGTGACGGGGGTGGAGGGAGATACATACGTTAGGGGCTGAACTGTGTCCCCCTAAATTCCCATGTTGGGGTCCTCACCCCCAGGACCTCGGAATGTGCCTGTATTTTGGGATGGGGCCTTTAAAGAGATGATTCGGATAAAACGAGCTCATTGGGGTGGGCTCTGATCTAATAGGGCTGGGGCCCATATAAAGAAAGGAGACGAGGATGCAGACGGGTGAAGGAAAGAACCAGTGAGGGCTCAGGGAGAAGACGCTGTCCGCCAGCCCAGGAGAGAGGCCCCAGGAGAGGCCAGCCCTGCCCACACCTGGATCTCGGCCTTCCAGCCCCCAGGACCATGCAAAGTCAATCTCTGCTGTTTAAGCTGTCCCGTCTGTGTGTGTGTGTTACGGTGGCCCTGGAAAAGTAAGAAGACACGGATTGCAGGAAGGGACAGGCCTGCCACAGGTGAGGTGCCCAGCTACTGGCCCCTTTTTGAATGGGCACCTGGGTGCTGGGACCTAGGGCCCCCACTTTGGGATGGGGGTTCTTGCATCCCAGGCTCTGGTGTCCTCACTGGGGAAGCTGGTCCCTTGGCTTCTCCAAGGTTTGGAGGCCACTGTTTCCCTGAAATACGAAGGTCAGGGTGACCTTTAGCCTCTCTCCCAGGTCAAGCAGCCCAGGACAGTGGGAGGGGTCCCTTGCAGCCCTGTCCGGCAGTGATGGCTGTCCGCCCCCAGCTCCCCTAGGCACGAGGAGGGGGCCCTGGACTTCTCTCAAACCCCAGGCTCTGAGCTGGGACTGAGGGCCAGGGCTGCTTGGTGACATAGAGCCCCCCTGGCAGGCAGGGGCAAAGGTGTGGCACGGCCCTGGCCTCGGTTCCTGAGGAGGGGGCTGGCACGTGGGGTGGCAGGATGTTCCCGCGTCTAGCTGCAGATTTATGTCAATATGGATTATGGAATTTGGTTCCAGTTTTCCCTTCCCTTTCCCCTCCCCTGCCCCGGAACATCGTGGGTATTAGAGCCCTTTGGTTGGTGGATTTCTGCAGCCTGTCAACGAGTGGTGCTTAATTCTCGGCAAATGTCTACTTATCTCACTGTGCAGTGGGCTTAGGCCTCTGAAAGGGACTGCCTGGCTCAGGCTGGGAGGCGGTGGGAGGGAAGGGGGCGGCTGCGCAGGCGGGGGTGGGGCCGTGGCCACAGAGAAGCGAGGGTGGGGCTGTGGGCACGTGACCCACACTTGTGGCCTCTGGGCTCCGTGTCCACACAGCTGTTGCAGCCGGGCTGGCCTCTCCTGCGCGGTGTGACTCCAGGCAGACCCCTTTGTCTTTCTAGGGCTCGGTTCTCCTGTCTGAGTGTGGGTGGCCGTGGGGATGAGGCTGGTGGCTCAAGCGTGAATCCGCACCTTCACCAGGAGGCTAGGCTGTCACCCAGAGCTCACCCCCCTGTCACCTGTGGGCAGAATTCTGTCCCAAGCCCACCTTTAGTTCAGAAAGATGCAGGTGACAGGCATGTGCGAAGCTAAACTCAGGCAAGATTCTGGTCACCCAAGTGGAGCCAAGCCTCCCACCCCCTCCCCCAGGGCAGGGAAAGGAGCAGGTGGGGCAGGGACAAGAAGCAGGTGGCCGGCCTTGCACGCCGGGAAGACCGGCTCCGACATCTTAGAGAGCACTTCCCGCAGGTCTGGGCCTAGGCGGGCTTCCTCAGGGCCCCGCAGAGCTAACGGGGGCCACCGATCATTCAGAGGGGCTTTAGTTCAATGAGCCACGTAGAGGAGGGCGGGGCGGCCTGGCCAGGGATGCCATCAGCTCTGATCTCAGGACTCTGTGAGCTCGCTTGGCCTAGGCAGGACCCAGGCCCCATTCTGCAGAAGTAGGAGCTTCCTGGCCCCCCACTCCTCATCTTCACAGGGGCCTGGGGGTCCCCAAGGTGGGGTGGCCCCTGGCCCTTGGCTCCTGTCTCTCCCTGCCTTCGAACCCCTCCTCCCTGGTTTCAGAGCCACAAAAACCACAAAAGTAGTTCTAAAAAAATTACCCCTTCATTTCATCACTAATCCCGTAACTCCCTTAATTAAGTCAATGGTAGCCTAAATTGTTCTAAACATCTTTTGGGGGATTAAATATTTTAATCATCATTATCCAATGAATATTTGATTATATAGCCAGCATATAGTGAAGAATAAAAATTATAATCCAAAAAAAGGCATTTAATAACACTTTAAACGACCAGGCGTTTGATAAAGGGCATTAGGGGATTAGGTGCTGGATTGAAAGACTGGACTGAGCTTCCCAGTCAAGGACTCGAGCTATCATTTTATTTAAAAAAATAAGACCATGATTTAAAGAAAAGGAAAACAAAAACCCAAGCTGCCGCGTCTTCTCCCGTGCCAGCCCCCTTGCCTGGGTAACAAGGTGTCATATTTGAACGGCTGTTTTGAAATGACTCCTATAAATATCATTGGGTTTGGGGTTTCCGCTGAGTTTCGGGGGAGCCCTTGAGTTGGCTGATGAGGTGCAGGGTCTCCGGGTTAGTTTGGATCGTGAGGGTGCCACGGTGAGGCCCAACACACCCATCTCTGGGACGAGGATGCTGAAGTCTGGGGAGAGCCTGGACTCTTGTGGGTCACCCCTGGTTTGCTGTGCTGATCTGGAGCCTGGACCTCCCCCTCTCCAGCTTGGGCCCCTTCTGTGACCTCAGGTGACCGTCCCAGGTGACCGCCCCCAGCCCTGCCTGCCCCATGCAGTCTGGCGTCTGATGCCACTCACGCCATCCCAGACATGACTGCCCGTCTCCCTGCCTAGCACCCACCATCCCGGAAACAGGGGGCCCCAGAGGTACGGCCCCGCCCCACCCGCACACCTCCCATGTTGCATCTGTGGCAGGCGAGGCTGCGCCGCGGGGCCCCTCTATTGGTGTCTGCTGAAATCATTTGAGACAAAGTTACAGCACAGGCATTAGAGCCACTTTTCAGAGTGAAACATCTGTCATTTAGCTCGATGACGCTACGGGGATGGCGCTTTAGAACAATCTTGTTGCATTTAATTTATTTTCTTCCGGATACTGCAGAGAAAAGGACAACTTCCTAGGTGCTCAGTGTGGACAAATTCCGCTCCTGTGGGGGGAGGAAACCCCCACCCAGAGGCAGGACGTGGCCTCCGTCCCCAGCGGCCCTCCCCACCCACCGCCAGCAGATTGATTTATTCCCCTGCAGGCTGCCGGGGGGCCACCGTGGGAACGCGGCGGACCACCTTCTCAATGCCCCGGGAAAAAGGCGTCAGTCTGCTGGGGCAGAGATGGGGGCCACGTGCACTGAAATCTCAGCGTGGTGGGGCAGGGGTGGGCGGTGAATGCCCATGGGAAGCCTTCCTCTCCCCACTCTGTCATCCCCTCCTCCCAGCACCCAGAGCCTGGTCCTCTGGGACCCGCACGTCCCTCCTGCAGCCCGAGGAAACTGCAGAGTAAGCCCCCTGCCTGGTGTCCCCCCCACCCAGGAGCAACCGCGAGCTCCACCCTTGGAGACGCCCGAGAGTTCAAAAGTCCTTTCCTGGCCTCATGTCCCCTGGCCTGTTGCCATCTCTGAGAGGCTGATAGAGGGGGCCTGTTTTTACATCAGAGGAAGCAGAAACTCAGAGACGTGTGGACACTTGCCCGAGGACACACAGCTGGGCAGGGGCTGACGAGGGATTCGAAGGCGGGCGTGTGTAGCCCTGCAGCCAGAGGCTTCTGCAGTGTGCATCCTCCTCAGGGCGGAGGGGCTGGCCCCAAGGTGCCTGGGAGGATGTGGGAGGGCGGGTGGGGGCTGGAAGGGGCCGCAGCGGGAGGCGCCTGCCTAAGTTCCTGCTTCTCCACCCTGGTCCCTCCTCGTGGGGTCTCAGGGCAGTTCCAGAAGCTCAGGTTTTGGCTTCCTTGTCTCTAATACGGGGGTGCTGACACTGGCCTCAGGGGGGCCACCCCAGACTTCACCTCTGGGTCTGTGAATGCACAATCCTAGGATCTCCCTATCCTGGGGAAGCCCCTCCTCCCCTGCCCTGGGGCGGGGCTGGCCTGGCCTGGGGCACATTCTGGTGACCACAGCTCCAGTCGCCCTCCGGCCTGGGGCCTGCTCTGAGGGCAAGGCTGTGTGGCAGGTGCTGGGCGGAGTTTCCGCAGCCTCTCCTCCTCCAGGCGACATCCTGGTGTCTCCCGGACACTCCTTAACCCCGTGTTGGAGAACAGTGGAAGTCGGTCCTCAGTTCAGGGGTGCAGAGCCATGGGGACAGGAGGGGAGGGGGAGGCACCAGGTGAGCTTCTCCTCATTGTCCTCAGCCAAAGCCCTGGGTTTCCTGGGAGGCCTCCTGCCCTCTCCCCGGTCCCGTGAGGCCCCCAAAGCCTGGCTAAGAGTCAGGAGGAAGAGGCTGAGTGACCGGGGCTGGGGTGCCCAGCCAGTCAGCCCTGCCCCATGGCCAGGCCCGGGTATCTCTCTCCTGAGGTTGGGGTGCTGGGAGAGGAGCAGCCCAGCCCCTCCAGGGCACAGCAGGCTCCCCTTCATCTCATGCTGCATCCTCAGAGGGGGTGAGGGTCCCAGCCCCGCCGGCGGGCAGGTGTCGGTGCAGGGTGCGGCAGTCTGCAGGAAGACTGTTTTCCTCCTGCCGCTCATGTTTGACTCGAAGGGTTGGTTCCAGCCCGGCTGAGCCGGCCCAGGGCCCAGGCACCTCCCAAGCGCTCTGTCTCCCATCAAACGGCATGAATAATTTAGTCTCTAATTAAAAGTGAGGTCAAGCGATGAAAAATGGCTGGACGCATGGTGGCACGTGATGCATTACATTGCTGGCAGATCAGAGGCAGGCGGGCCAGGGGCTCTGGTTTACACACCAAACCTCCAGGGCTTCGGCTCCAGGGGCCAGCAGCTGGGTCCACCCTGAGGGAGAGTCCCCAGGTGAGCGAGAAGCTGCTGGACGGACCCCAGAGAGCCCCCGGCCGGCCCTGCCCCCACTTCACCTCCACCGCGCCCGAGGGGCTCCTCCCCAGCCTCCCAGCCTCCCGCCTTCCCCACGCACACCAGCTCATCCTGCCTAAGTCTGCGTGGTTCCTTCTGGAACACGCGTCCCCCAGGTGTCCGTGTAACGTGCTCCCGTGCTCCAGCGAGGTCTCTGCCGGATGTCACCTTGCCTGCCTGCCCCAGCTAAAATGCCACCAGCCACCTTCTGCGTCCCTGGCCCGTGAACTCCCAACTCATTTCCTCCCCGTACCTTGCCAGCACTTCTGCCTACTTGGGGTTCATTCTAGTTTATATTCGTTTACTTACTTGCTCATTCTCTGGCTCCCCAACTCCAATATAAGGGGAGGGTCTTGGCTTGGTCCCCCTGTGCGTCTGGCACAAAGGATGGTGCCCGGTACACAGTTGGAGCATAATGGAGTCTCCCTGAGCACAGAGTCCCTGTGCGGGCAGGGGCGCAGAGCAGAGGCTGAGCTGTTGGGTCCTGCTGCCTGATCCCTCCGTCTCTCCTGGTCCGTGGGAAGGTGGGATTGGGCAGAGCTCATCCTGAAAGTTCCACCTGTGCCAGGGCACTGTCGCCCCATCCAGGGACTGTCACCGAGGACAGCTTGAGGGCTGCAGCAGTGAGAGGCTGGTGCGGCTCCTGCCCCAGAACAGCAGCCCATGCACCCTACGGGTCGAGAATAACAGAAGGGCCAATGGGTTGGTGGCTGTGCCCCAGGGCACCGGGTGGGCCAGGGTGGACGGAGGGTGCTGCAGGGAAGGGGCCTGGATCCCCAAACCTTGCCCGCTCCCAGCCCACATGAGGTGGCAGATCCCCAGGAGGTGCTGCTGTGTGTCCCCTCCCCCTGCCTGCACCAGGCCCCACCTGGGACCCTGCCCTGCCTCCCCGCCAAGGGGCATGAGCCACTCACTGGGCCCTGTGCAGTGAGCCCTGTCTCATTCCTGTTTTCTAGAAGGGAAAGCCGGGGCTCAGAGAGGTTGGCCCGCTGGTCAGTAGCTGGGAGCTGATTAGGGTCAGGCCCAGCCCCTCCTGTGTGGCAATGAGGATCTGGGCAGTGCAAGGCCCCCCAGCCTTCAGGGACCCCTTCTGTAAAGTGGAGAGGCTGCAGCCTGGGAACAGAGATCACCAAGCTCCCGTCTGCTCCAAGCCCATTGCTCCCCAGGCCAGAATCTCAGCCTGGCCTCAGAGGTACCTAAAACTCTCTTCTGTGGGCTTTGAGTCCAGGGTGCTGTGGTTACCCCCTGAGGCCGCCATGGGGCAGGAGACAAGGAGGAAAACCCTGTTTGGAAGGGCAGGCTGTCAGTGCCCAGGCCGGCAGCCCACCCTACTGCAGGATAGGGGCTGAGGGAGGTGCCCAGGAGCCGGCTCGGGATTCGCACCCAGAGCTCTCGTGCAGGGCACCGCCGCCTTCCCGGCCAGCGGCTCCCAAGTTGGAACCTCTTTTGCATTTTCCAAGCGAGGAAAAGGTGGTGGGAGGAGGGCCTGGTTGGCCCCTGGGTAGCAGACTAAAGATGGATATTTTGTTTGTTACAATCAAGACCTCTGATTTCAGTTTTATGAATTTTTAAAATATTAATTATATTTTGGAAAGTGTGCGGAGGTGATGGCGCACGCCGCGGTTCTGCTTAGACGGCCCCTGTTTCGCGTTTGGTCCAGATTAGCTGCCGAGGAGGAGGTTGAGGCATTTTAATCCACCTTGTTAACTTATTAAATTTTCTTTATTTACATATGGATCCCACTTTCATTAGCATTGTAACAGGTGTTCATTAACAATTTATCATTTGGGAGGCAGAGTGAGACAACATCGGAAAGAGAGACATTGCTACAAAGTTTACTCTTAATTACAAGGAACAGCGCAGAGGGCAAAACACGACGGCTGCCCCCCACTCCACCCCCTGCCCCGCAACCCCGGGACGCCGTTCAGGCCCCAGGGACTCCCAGAAACCCACCCCGTCTGCCTGTTGTGCCTAATCTGGGGTTCTCAGGGAAGAACCCTGCAGAGGGAGCCCGGGCCTGGGAGTCGGGAGATGGGGTCTGTGCACTGAGGCGGGGTCTGTGCACTGAGGCAAGGTCTGGGCTTCTAGGATGTGGTTCTCTGATCCCAAGGCCGGGAAGGACCACCAGACTCTGAACCTGCAGCCTTGAGCTGGAATTCAACTGCAAATTACTTAACCGGTTGAAGTTTCCTTATTCATTTATTTATTAGAGACAGGATCTTGCTCTGTGGCCCAGGCTGGCGTGCAATGGCACGACCATAGCTTACTGCAGCCTTGACCTCCTGGGCTCAGGTGATCCTCCCACCTCAGCCTCCCAAAGTGCTGAGATGACAGCCCAGCCCCTCTTGAAGCTTCCTAGACCTCTTCTCTAAAACCTGTATACAGCTGGGCAGGATGGCTCATACCTGTAATCCCAGCACTTTGGGAGGCCCACATGGGAGGATCCCTTGAGCCCAGAGTTTGAGACCAACCTGGGCAACATAGCAAGACCCTGTCTCTACAAAAATTAAAAAAAACTAGACAGGTATGGTGGCTCATGCCTGTAATCCCAGCACTTTGGGAGGCCAAGGTGGGAGGATCCCTTGAGGCTGAGAGTTCAAGACCAGTCTGGACAACTTTGTGAGACTCCCATCTCTACAAAAAAACATTATTTTTTTTTGAGGTGGAGTCTCACTCTGTCACCCAGGCTGGAGTGCAGTGGCACGATCTTGGCTCACTGCAACCTCTGCCTCCTGGGCTGAAGCGATTCTCCTGCCTCAGCCTCCCAAGTAGTTGGGACTATGGGCATTCACAACTACACCTGGCATTTTTTTTTTTTTTTTTGAGACAGAGTCTTGGTCTGTCACCCAGGCTGGAGTGCAATGGCATGATCTTGGTTCACTGCAGCCTCTGCCTTCCGGGTTCAAGCTATTCTCCTACCTCAGCCTCCCGTGTAGTTGGGATTACAGGTGCCCGCCACCACACCTGGCTAATTTTTGTATTTTTAGTAGAGACGGTGTTTTGCCATGTTGGGCAGGCTGGTCTCAAACTCCTGACCTCAGATGATCTGCCCTCCTCAGCTTCCCGAAGTGCTGGGATTACAGGCGTGAGCCACCGCGCCCGGCCTAAAAATGTGTTTTATTTTTTTAATTAAAAAAAAAATTAACTGAGCATAGTGGCACACACTGTAGTCCCAGGTACTTGGGAGGCTGAAGTAGGAGGATCACTTGAGCCCAGGAGTGGGAGGCTGTAGCGAGCTGTGATTGCACCACTGCACTCCAGCCTGGGCAACAGAGTGAGACCCTGTCTCAACAAATAATAATAAAATAAATTAATTAAAAACCCTGGATGTTAACAGTGGAGGGGCTGTTTGCAGGGTTGTCTGGATGGGTATAGACGGTGCAGGGCTGAAGGGTGACATTCACCCAAAACTGGTTTGTCAAGTGCCTGCTTGACGGGGGCTGTTAGGGAGGGGCGGGAGAGGGGCTGACCCTGCTGCAATCCAGGAGCCCACGGGAGCCCACGGGGAGCCGGGCTATAGGAGGAGCTTGGAGGTTCCCTCAACAGGGCCACTGGGAGAAGGTGGTGACCTTTAAGGGGGCCTAGAGGGTCCTCCTGCCATCCGACTCCCCCGAGGGAGACCCCGAGTGTGAGCAGAGGGAGGGTGGCCAGGCCTCTGCACAGGACAGGCCTCCAGGGGCTTCTGGCTCGTGGCTGTCCCGGGCCTGGGTCAGGAGCTCCCTGCAGCGCGGGTCCTGTGTATGCAGCCAGCAGAGTCCGATGGTCACAGCCTCTTTGTCCCCTGAAAGCAGGGCCTGTGGCCTCCTCCCTCGTGGTGGTCCTGGGTGCAACGTGTGCACCGCCACCCCGCCTGCTGCCCCTGGGCCCCAGGCGCCAACATGCTTGGGGTGTGCGGGGGTGGGGGTGAGTGGAGGGCTGGAGGGGGAGATGGCATGGGCAGTGAGTCTTAGCCCCGGGGGGTAAGGATGGGCGTGGGGTGTGGAGTAAGGTCCCGGTCAGCAGGGCTGGGCTGTGGGTGCCAGCACAGGAGGAGGGGGGCACCCACTGAGGGCTTCTCACCGTCCTCCCGATGGGCCTCTCTCTCCCCCTGCCCCCAGTCCCCAAAGGAGCCCACACCCCTGCAGTCCAGGACTTGAGGCACCTACCGCCCCGTCCCCTCCACTTGTCCCTGGAGAAAGAGCCCAGATGCCCATCAGGCACCCCAGGCTCACCCATCCGGCCCAGGAAACCAAGGCCAGAGAGAGGTGAGGCGGCCACGGTCACCGGGGAGCCAGCGGCCAAGCTAGGGCTGGCACAGGGGAGCCGGTGCATCCAGCCCTGCCCTGACCACGTGTTCTGAGGCTGGATGGGGCAGGAGAAACAGGAGGTCTGCAGTGCGGCAGGTGGCGAGGACACGGCTGTGCCCAGGAGCGTGAGGAGACCCGTGACCCCTGGTCAGGTGCACGGTCCCCTGCAGACCCAGACCGGCCTCGGCGCCCACCTCCCCTCTCCCCGCGGCCGTGGACTCTCCCACTTCTCGCCTTCTGTCCTCGCTGGGAGCAGCGGCTCCTGCGGGTGCCCGGCCTGGCCTCTCCAGCTGCCTCAGATAATCGCCCTCGTAATCACCTTCCCTCACGCTGCTCCTTTAAAACATATTTCCAGGGTGTTTTTCACGGATAGGGCTTTGAATATTCATCTCAGTGCTGACAATTTTTCCTGCCTTGTTACGGAGAGCTGGTGTCGGTTTTTCATTGTATCTTTGGACAGTCGGTTTATTCGGAGCCACTTAAAGGCTCAAAAGTGATTCTCTTTTATAATTTGAGAAGTTTCATGGACCGAACATCAAAGTGATTGGCTGGGAATGTTTTCTGCTGCTCTCCGTCTCCTTCTCCTCCCTCCCTGGCGTTCTCCACCTCCGTTTTGCTAAATTATTAGCAAGACACTCTTCAGCCCCTCACCCCAGCCTTGCTGAACCTCCAGGCCTTGGGGAAGGTCAGGCCCTGCGGTGGTTTTGGCCTCGGGGGGAGGGGGTGATGCCTTTTAGTCTGGAGTTCCTGATGGACTGGGAGGATGGCAGGGGACGGACTGGGAGGATGGCAGGGGACGGACTGGGAGGATGGCAGGGGACGGACAGGGAGGATGGCAGGGGCAGGGGAGGATGGCAGGGACGGACTGGGAGGATGGCAGGGGACGGACTGGGAGGATGGCAGGGGATGGACTGGGAGGATGGCAGGGGCAGGGGAGGATGGCAGAGGACGGACTGGGAGGATGGCAGGGGACGGACTGGGAGGATGGCAGGGGACGGGTTGGGAGGATGGCAGGGGATGGTTTGGGAGGATGGCAGGGGACGGACTGGGAGGATGGCAGGGGATGGACTGGGAGGATGGCACGGGCAGGGGAGGATGGCAGGGGACGGACTGGGAGGATGGCAGGGGACGGACTGGGAGGATGGCAGGGGACGGACTGGGAGGATGGCAGGGGATGGATTGGGAGGATGGCAGGGGACGGACTGGGAGGATGGCAGGGGATGGACTGGGAGGATGGCAGGGACGGACTGGGAGGATGGCAGGGGCAGGGGGGGCTTGCAGAGCATCAGAGGGGCTCTCGGCATGGAACCTTGGACCTGCTGTGGGTCCCGCCCTGTCTCCAGCCTGCAAGGGCCATTTTCTCATCTGTAAAGTGGGTGTCTTGGCTCAGAGCAGGGCCATAAACTCACACAGTCCCAGTCATCAGGCAAGTCTCCTCGATGGGCGGTGCCAGCTGGGTTTGTCAGCAGAAGAGCGCTCCATCCATCATCCATCTATCTATCCATCCACCCACCCATCCATCCATCCGTCCGTCCATCCATCCATCCATCCATCCATCCATCCATCCATCCATCCATCCATCCAGCAGCGCTGTGGGCCCGGCCGTGTTCTAGGGGGTAGGGACGCGGCAGGGAACAAACAGGCAAAGCTCCGGCCGGGCGCGGTGGCTCACGCCTGTAATCCCAGCACTTTGGGAGGCCGGGTCGGGTGGATCACAAGGTCAGGAGATTGAGACTATCCTGGCTAACATGGTGAAACGCCATCTCTACTAAAAATACAAAAAAAAATTAGCCGGGCGTGGTGGTGGGTGCCTGTAGTCCCAGCTACTTGGGAGGCTGAGGCAGGAGAATGGTGTGAACCTGGGAGGTGGAGCTTGCAGTGAGCCGAGATCCTGCCACTGCACTCCAGCCTGGGCAAGAGAGTGAGACTCTGTCTCAAAAAAAAAAAAAAAAAAAAAAGAAACAGGCAAAGCTCTCCATCCGGGCAGGCCACTGCACACGGAAGACACTTCTCCTGGTGACAGGTTCTTAATGACGGGGCCTGGGGACCTGGAAAGCTGGAAAGTGGTTCTAACGGGCATGGCCACCCTCGGAGGCCCCTCGTCTCCTGTGGGGAAGCCCGTCCTGCCCACCATGAGCTGGGCCAAAGGCCCTGAGAGTTAGTGGAGGAGCTGAGCTGGTCCCTCTGGACTCCCAGGGCTGGCACGAGTGTGGGCCAGCCCAACCCTGCTCACCAATTCTTGCGCTGGGCAGGACAGGGCGCAGGGGAGGCCAGCAGCAGGGGCCGCGTCAGGCAGGCAGAGGCCCCAGCCCGGAGTTGCTGGAGCTTTTGTTCTGTGTGGGATTTGCAAGAGAAGCTGGAAGTCTACATCAACCTTTGGAATCTCCTGATTTGCAAATGCTGGCGACTATTTCATAGATGTTGAATACGCCATGTGGCTGTTGGCACAACATTGCGAGGTCCGAATGCCAGGGAGCTACGCATGTATAAATGGTTAAGATGGTGAGATTTATGTTATATATATTTCACCACAATAAAAAAAATACTACGTAGCAAATACCTGCTGGCCAGAGTCACCTGGAGGCTCAGTTTTCAAGCTTGGGTCTCGTCTGTGTTTTTTTTTTTTCCCACTTCACCATTAGTATGCCATCTTCTGGACATTTTAAAAAATTTTTTTCTTTTTTTTTTTTTGAGACAGGGTCTCGCTCTGTCACCCAGGCTGGAGTACAGTGGCACAATCATAGCTCACTGCAGTCCCGGCCTCCTGGGCTCAAGTGATCCTCCCTCCTCAGCCTCCCAAGTAGCTGAGACCACAGGCACACACCACCACACCCGGCTAATTTTTGTATTTGTCATACAGACAGGGTCTGTCACTATGGTGTCCAGGCTGGTTTCGAACTCCTGGGCTCAAGCGATCCTCCCACCTCGGCCTCCCAAAGCATTGGGATTACAGGCGTGAGCCACAGTGCCCATCCTGGACATCATTAACCACAGGTGTGTTTGATAAAAATGTACCCACTGCCGTTGGTCATCGAGGCTGGCCAGCCTGCTAAACCCTCAGGTGCTGACTTCCACCAAGAGAAGTGCCCAGAGCTCCGGGCAAGCGTGGGGAGGGGCCGTGACCTGTGGGCCGCGATCCTGGTCTCAGTCCCAGCTCCTCCCTGCACTCCCCGGAGCTTGCCAGGACTGCAGCCGGCCCTCGTGCCCCCGGAGTTTATTTGCACCTCACTCCTCCATAGCTGCCACCAGCACTGGCGTGATTTTATAATGTTTGCACTTTCAACTATAGCAAGATAAATGGGTGCGATTACCCCGCTCCCCGCCTGGGAACATGTGGCCTGGCATATGTGGGGCCAACCTCAGCAGAAATCCACGTGCACCTCCGCAGGCAGCGCGTCCCCCGCACACCCGCTGCCCGCCCGGCTTTCACTCCAGAATGGCGCTGCCCGTGCCTGTACAGACAGCTGGCAAAGCGTCAGATGGCATTACAATATTTTTACTTATAATCGAGAAAGCAATAAAAATACGCATTTAAGTAGAATATTGCTGTTCTAAAGGGGCTGGGGAAACCTGGGGAGGAAACCAGGTTTTGCCATAAATTCAGAGTCCAGGTTGAGCGTGGGAGGGGCCATCCCAGGCACGTGGGCTGCTGCGGCTGTGCCTGAGCCACACCTGGCGGGCAGGGTGGGGTTCTGTTTGTAGGTGGCTTTGGGGAGATGGTTTCCTCATCTGCGAAGGGGGTCTGCCTGCTCCAGTTCTTCAGGGGTTACTCCTGGGAAGTGGCCCTTTAGAGGCCAGAGACCCCTTAGAGGAGCTGGGGAGGGCTGAGAACGCTTACCCCTCAAAATGCCAACATGGCATTTGGTGACAACCAAACTCAGGGAGTTCTTAGGCCCTCCATAGGACCTCGATCGGACCCCGTCATGAACGTGGGCACTTTTGCAGGCGCCAAAGCTCTGCTCGTCTCCAAGCCCCTTACCTGGCCAGGTACCCCGTTCTGTGGATGAACGGATGGAGCTTCCTGAGACAGCAACACACCTAAAGTCCCGCAAACAGCCGGGGCCCGGCTGGGATTCCAGTCCCCAGCCCCCAGACTCCAGAACCCCAGACCTGCGCTTCTCCCGACAGGAAGGTGTCCCCGCTGAGGCTTACCCGCCTGTAACCTCCCTGGCCACCCACCCTGTGTGCACCCTGGAGGACCCCGGAGGAGCCTGCCATCCTAGTGTCCTTCCGGGGGTGACTTTGAGGAGCACCTGAGGATTTGGATTTGGACAAGCCTCCCAGCTGCCTGCAGGTCCTGCTCTTCCATGGGAGGTGTCAGGAGAGTGAAGCCGGGCCCCCATGCCCCGGCCAACACAACCAGCTCACCCTGCCTGCCTGCAGCCTTGCGCCCCTGCCCCCTGGAACTCTCCCAGCAGCCCCAAGAGAGATGGGGCTGCCATTTGCAGATGGAGAAACTGAGGCTAGGAAGGGTTAGGACGTAACTCAGTCCATTTGCACAGTCGAGGCTGGGCTGGGTACGAGGGTGACCCATGTAAGATCTGGAGAAGGAACTCCTCTGGGCAGGGACCATGGGATCCACCCCACCTGTCCCCAGACCTCAGAGCTGATCGTGCAGCAGCCCAGCCGGGCTGGGTCCAGGAGTGGGCAGAGTAGACACAGCCCCCGAGCTCCTGGGTACACAAATAAACATACTTGGTGCATACGAGCAGCTTCAGGCGCCTGGTAATGGGCGCTGCGTTAACAGTGGAGGGGGTCAGTCACAGGGAGCTGCTTCGGCCAGGGTGTGTCAGATACGGCCCCTTGGAGGAGGCGGCACCCACATACGGAGGAGGCACCATGAGGGATCTGGTGAGAAGCCCTCCCCTCAGAGAACTGTAGGTGCAGAGGGCCCGGACTCTGCCCAGCCTGGAAAAGCCCCAGTATGGAGGTGCCCAGGGCTGGGAGCAGAGGGAGGGGGGCGGGGATGTGGTCAGGGAGGGCGGCAGGGACAGACTGTGCAGGGTTGGGGGGAGATTGTGTAGAATTGGGGAACAGATTGTGTAGGATTGAGGGGACAGACTGTGATGGGTTAGGGGGAGATTGTGTAGGGTTGGGGGACAGACTGTGTTGGATTTGGGGGAGAGAATGTATAGGGATAGAGGGAGATTGTGTAGGGTTGAAGGAACAGATTGTTTATGGTTGGGGACAGATTGTGTAGGGTTGGGGGCAGATTGTGTAGGGTTTTTAGGAGGGATTGTGTAGGGTTGGAGAGACAGATTGTGTATGGTTGGGGGGACAGATTGTGTATGGTTGGGGGAGAGAATGTATAGGGTTGGAGGGAGATTGTGTAAGATTAGGGAGAGATTGTTTATGGTTGGGGACAGATTGTGTATTGTTGTTGGGAGGGATTGCGTAGGGTTGTGGGGACAGATTGTGTAGGGTTTAGGGGAGAGATTGTGTAGGATTGGGGAAGATTGTGTGGGGTTGCAGGAGAGATTGTTTATGGTTGGAAACAGATTGTGTAGTGTTGGGAGGGATTGTGTAGTGTTGGGAGGGAGATTGTGTAGTGTTGGGGGAGAGATTGTTTATGGTTGGGGACAGATTGTGTAGGGTTGGGAGAGATTGTGTAGTGTTCGGAGAGATTGTGTAGTGTTGGGGGAGATTGTGTAGGGTTGGGGGAGATTGTGTAGGGTTGGGAGAGATTGTGTAGGGTTGGGAGAGATTGTGTAGGGTTGGGGGAGATTGCGTAGGGTTGGGGGAGATTGCGTAGTGTTGGGAGAGATTGTGTAGGGTTGGGGGAGATTGTGTAGTGTTGGGGGAGATTGTGTAGGGTTGGGGGAGATTGTGTAGGGTTGGGGGAGATTGTGTAGGGTTGGGGGGACAGATTGTGTATAGTTGGGAGAGAGATTGTTTATGGTTGGGGACAGATTGTGTAGTGTTGTTGGCAGGGATTGTGTAGGGTTGGGGCCATAGATGGTATAGAGTTGGGGAACAGATTGTGTAGCATTATAGGAAGAGATGTGTAGGATTGGGAGAGAGTTGTGTAGGGTTGGTGGGATGGATTTTGTAGGGTTGTGGGGGACAGATTTTGTAGATTTGGAGGGATAGATGGTGCAGGGTTGAGGGGGACAGATTCTGTAGATTTGGAGGGATAGATGGTGCAGGGTTGAGGGGGACAGATTGTGTAGATTTGGAAGGATAGATGGTGCAGGCTTGAGGGGGACAGACTGTGTAGGGCTGGGGGACAGATTGTGTAGTATTGGGTGACAAATTGTGAAGTGTTGTGGGGGATAGATCGTGTAGCACTGGGGGATAGATTGGGTTGGGTATGGGGGAGAGGTTGTGTAGTGTTATGGGAGATAGACTGTATAGGGTTGGGGACAGACTGTGTAGGGTTGCGGGAGAGATTGTGCAGTGTTGTGGGAGACAAACTATATTGGGTTGGGGACAGACTGCAAAGGGTTGGGGATGGAGGGTGCCCCTGCCGCAGCCATTCTGGACCTGGAAGCCTCACACCTCCTCTTGGCCCATTTTCCAGGTCCTGCCTCTTCCTGGAAGCCGTTCTGTCCCCTCTCCTGCCCCCTCTCTTCCACTGGTTAACTCTTCCTGCAGAAGGGGGTCAGAGGCCACATGCCTCCTCCCTGGAGGTGACCTTCAAGCCCCTGTCCCGCTCCTTGATGTGGGGCCTTCATGTGGCTCCAGGTGGGCAGGGTCCAGGCCTTCATCCCTGGGTCCCAGCACCCCACACGGGGCCAGCACAGACCTGCGTGCGGAGGAGCGAATGGGGTAGGGCCCCATAAGGCACTGGGGTCCTGGCTGGAGGTGCAGGTGGTCAGTGGGGGCTGGCATGGACCTCACCGCTGTGCTCTGAGGTCACTACGTACCCTGAGGTCAGCAGGGCCCCTCCTGGCCCCACCCGTCACTTACAAGGGCCCCTGCTCAAGAAGTCACCTGCAGATGCCGGGGACGAGTGGAGGGCGGGGGCGCCGGTGTCCATACGAGGAGAAGTCTGCTCAGCATGGCTCTAGACAGCGGGTGTCCCCACGGGGTGTCCAGAAGCTGCTGCATGGACCATGCATCGATCCCGGTCAGCCTGGGGAGCACCAGTCAAGGGGGCCCCCCAACCCTGGCAGTCCGGGGGAGGAAGAGGAACCACTGAGGTTGGAGGCAGAGGCATCCCTTCGCCCCCAGAGCAGCCCTGGGCTGGGGGAGCTTTGGTGGGGGTGCAGGGTCCCTGTGAGGCGGCCTGGGCTTTCCCAGACCTGCAGGAGACCGAGCTGGGGGATGACAGGGACCTTTTCTGTCTGAGGTGGCCCCTGACATCCTGGAGTGGGCCTGAGACGTCCCCCGGGAGCACCAGAGTGTGCTGCACGAAAGGGGGCTCTAGGAAAGGACGGGCGTCCCACCTGCCACAGACGCACCCTCTTCACGACAGCTCGGCAGCCCAGGCCTCTCTCCCCAGCTCGTCCTGCATCTCAGGACAGAGTCTTCCTCAGGCCACCTTTGCTGCTTTCCTTTAAAAAAAAAAAATTTTTTTTGAGATGGTGTCTTGCTATTTTGCCCAGGCTGGTCTCAAACTCCTGGCTCAAGTGATCCTCTCGCCTCGGCCTCCTGAGTAGCTGGGACCACAGGCACACACCATCACGCCCAGCTAATTTTTTTTTAATTGTTGGTAGAGACAGAGTCTCACTATGTTGCCTAGGCTGGTCTCAAACTCCTGACTTAAGCGATCCTCCCGCCTCAGCTTCCCGAGTAGCTGGGGTCCCAGGTGTGAGCCAACGCGCCTGGCTTACTTGCTGCCCTCCTGGGCTCTGTTTTCTACACAGTGAAGAGAGGGTGGGTGTTGGGGGTCCCGGGGAGCCCTGTAGCAGCTGGGTCTGGGAGTGACAGTGAGGGGCTGCAGCTGAGGAGAGAGCTGTGCCAGGGTGGGCACTGGGCTCTCGTCCTCCTGGGTGAGGGGCTGGGCAGACAGGCCCCTCTCCTCCCTTCTCCTGGACAGAGCAGCACTGCCCTCTGGCCACCTACGTAAAGGCGCTGACGGGGCCAGGTGCCAGGTGCCAGGTGTCTGTGCTGACGCTGGAGTGCCTGGCTGTGTCCTGGGAGCCAAGCAGTGTCCTGGGAGCCTGGGTGAAGGCCCGCGACCCTGGCAGGAGGTCTCAGAGAAGACGGCTCGCCACAGGCCCTCAGAACACCCTCCTGGTCTACAGAGGGGACGCTGAGGCTGGGAGCGGGAATGTGGCTGGTCCCTGCTGCTCCCTCGCTCGCCCCTGTCCCCGAAGCCCCAGGACACCCAGTGGCCCTCTTTGGGCTGGACCCACCCTGGCCACCCTGGCCCTTCCGGCTGCCGGCTGGGGACGCGGGCGTGGTGCGGCAGGCCTGCCTTGATTGTGTCGATGGGAGATGATTTTCAAGGTGAAATTTCTAGTTCACTAGAGTCACTTTCGTTCAAGGCGACGCACAAAATGTCATCCCGGCCTGTTCCGCGTGCAACGCGCTGTTCTCCCATCCCATTTAAATTTTCCCCACTTCCCTCCCTGACACCTGTTTAAATCAATATCTTCCTCTCCAGGTCGCGGGGAGAATGTGCCCAGCTCTCCACACAACGCTTCTCAAATCCACTAAAATCAACACAATAATTGAAATATTTTCAAGCTGATTACACCGCAGCCCGAGGCTAGCCTGGTTGCTAAGGGTGAGCTCCGCGGTTGCTAGGGGGAGTAAATCATCTTGCATTATTTGATTTTTGTTATAGATATGAAACCGCTACTCCCGCGATTAAATGTCTCTCAGCCTAACACCTATGGGACCTGGGGAGAGGGAAGAGAAAGGCTCCAACCTTGACCCTGTCAAATAAATATCTCTAACTTTTTCTGTCCTCAGGCTTCCCAGCCAAACCTGTGTGTGGGTTTTTTTTTTTTCTTCCCTTAACCTGACTTTAAATAACAAAGCTATGGGGACGGGAGATGAAGAGAGGAAAGACTGTCTGTTCTATTAGAGGGTGCTCAGCGCGTGCACGCCCCGACACCTAGCCCAAACCCCGTGCGATGGCGAAGCTTCGCGGAGCTAATAGCCTTCTCGGCGACGGCCACCCCGGAGCCGGTCCCCTCCTGCCGCAAGTTCAGCTCAGACCAGGACGATTCCTTCCGTCCGGGCTCCTGCCCGACCGAGGGAGGGCTGCCAGGTACCTGGCTCCCCAGTGACCCCTGCCCACTCCTGACCTCTTGCTGTCTTGGCGAATTTTCTCCAGACCATGGCGTCCTGGGGTCACCACGTTCCAGGATGGTGGGACCAGAAGGGACAGCAGGGTGGAGCCCCAGAGAAGGTCAGGCCTGCCCCAGTCCAGCCCCTGGACCGGCTCACAGCGCTTTCTGCTGAGGGCAGGGGTCTGCATGGCAGACACTGGAGGTGTCCTCACGCCCCCAGTCTCCAGCTCTCTCAGAGGCAGGGTCCATCCTGAACACCCCTCATGTGGTCAGGCGCCCCCTTCCCCGGCCTCTGCCGGCCCCCACGCTCCCCAGGCCGGCCCCCTCGGAAGAGCATGGGTGTTCCCGGCCGGCCGAGGCTGCCCCAGCTGAGCTGTGAGCACTGTGGAGCAGAGCCGGCTGTTTGCGGCAGGTGGGCGGGTGAGGCTACCCTGCTGGGACCCAGCCAGCTGTTCCCATGAATGAATGTGAGTAAATTAGCAAACAGCACACAAACCTGCCACCTGAATCATTCCTGATGGCTCTAAGTGCCAGGCAGGCTGGGCGGCTCCCAGTCTGGGGCGACCTGGGCACGGTCCTGGGGGCTGCACGTGCTGGCCCCTTCCCCAGGGCTCCCCTGGTCCTGCCCCAGCGGCCCCTCATCCCTCAGCCTGTCCTCAGGGGGCCAGAGTTGACCTTCCTGTCACTGGGCCGCGTCCCTGGGTTAAGATCTTCTTCCCTCTCCCCCAACCCGCCAGGGCAGTGCCAAACTGCGGGACTCAGCCCCAAGCCCCACTACTGCCGCCATGGTGTCCCCACTCCAGGACAACCAGGGCCCTGCCTCACTGCCCTCTGAACAGCCTCATCCTGCGGGGCTAGTTCTGGTCCCTTCTTTTGCTGAAGTCCCCGCCGCCCACTCCAGTGGCATCCGGGCTGCCTGGCCTCCTCTGACGGGTACCACCCAGGTCACAGTGCCTGCTCAGGTGCTCAGCATGCTACAGTTTGCCCTCAGCACCCCTGGGAAGGCCGTCAGTGCAGGCCCTGTCACCTTTTCCCAGGTGAGGTGGAGGCTGGGTAACAGGTGACTACCCCGGTCCAGAGCTTGAGACCGGAGAGGAGCCCGTCCCCTCCTTGCTGGGGCGTCCAGGGCCACAGCAGAAAGTCCCGGGTGAGAGCGTGCTGGCTCCTGGCTTCCAGCCTCACTCGGTGGCCAGGTACCCCTTCCCCAGGTGCTGCCAGCCCCAGCCCTCCCAGGCATCCTGCAGCCCTGGCTCCTGCCAGTATTCCCCAATGGATGCATTCTTAAAGCCATCCTGTCCAGGAACCCAGGATCCCTTTTCCCCACCTCAGCATGGGCATAGCAGGAGCTGGTGGGCTGTGCACTCAGGGCAGGAGATGGACACGGAGGCCCCTGGAAGCAGGTGGACCCCCTTCCTGACAACCCTCTCGGGGCCCACAATTCATCTTCTCAGCTGTCCTTAGAGAACCAAGCACATGAGCTGCCCCCAAGTTCACACATGAGGAAACTGAGGTTCAGCCACTTGCCCAAGGCTGAGGGCAGGGCAAGTGCTTGCCCAGGAACGGCCACGCTGAGGGCAGGCTGCCATGGTGGGGGTGCCCCCAGAGCTGTCCCGGAGCTGCGAGCTTCATCAGAGCACCAGCAAAACCCAAACTCGTCGGGTAGAAAACAAACACTGGCCAGACGCGGCGCTCATGCCTGGAACCCCAGGAACTGGGGAGGCCGGGGTGGGAGGCCCGCTTGAGCCAAAGAGTTCGAGACCAGCCTGGGCAACATAGTGAGATGCCATTTCTACAAAAAATAAAGAAATTAGCTGGGTGTGGTGGCACACGCCTGTGGTCCCAGCTACTCGGGAGGTTGAGGTGGGAGGATCACTTGAGCTGGGGAGGCGGAGGCTGCAGTGAGCTGAGATCGCACCACTGCACTCCAGCCTGGGTGACAGAGTGAGACCCTGTCTCCAAAAACAGTAAAAAATGAAAACATCTATATTTCTTTCTGAGTATAAAATGCCCATTGAGAAGGATCTGGAAAAGACAGAAAAGGATAAAGAAGCAAACCTTGATCCACTCGGAACCACCTGCAGTTAGGAGCAAGCCTAGAATGTTCTGGAAGGATTGAAGCCAGCCTTGTCTGAGGCCCTGGGAAAGTGGCCTGGACATGGGGATGTGGCTGGAGGACCCGAGGAAGATGCTGAAGTCCTGTGTGAGGCCCGGTCTGGGAGCCACGGCCCCTCCCCCACTCAGCGTCCGGCCTGCTGGGGTTTCCTGCCGGGCCTCCCTCAGAGCCCACGGCTCCCCAGGTGGCTCTGGCCCGGGAGCCACAGGCACAACCTAGGCAGGGGAAGCCGCATGCACAATGTTGGCTCTTCCCTTTGCACGCTGGACGGTGGGCGTTTGCCTTGCGCCTTGGGCTCAGGAGGGGCTGGGGGGTCAGGAGTGGCCACAAAGGGGACCTGGCCTTGGCTGTCCACCTCCCACAGACACTGCCCACCTCCCACAGACACTGCCCACCTCCCACAGACACTGTCCACCTCCCACAGACACTGCCCACCTCCCACAGACACTGCCCACCTCCCACAGACACTGCCCACCTCCCACAGACACTGCCCACCTCCCACAGACACTGTCCACCTCCCACAGACACTGTCCACCTCCCACAGACACTGCCCACCTCCCACAGACACTGCCCACCTCCCACAGACACTGTCCACCTCCCACAGACACTGCCCACCTCCCACAGACACTATCCACCTCCCACAGACACTGCCCACCTCCCACAGACACTGCCCACCTCCCACAGACACTGTCCACCTCCCACAGACACTGCCCACCTCCCACAGACACTGTCCACCTCCCACAGACACTGTCCACCTCCCACAGACACTGTCCACCTCCCACAGACACTGCCCACCTCCCACAGACACTGCCCACCTCCCACAGACACTGTCCACCTCCCACAGACACTGCCCACCTCCCACAGACACTGCCCACCTCCCACAGACACTGCCCACCTCCCACAGACACTGTCCACCTCCCACAGACACTGCCCACCTCCCACAGACACTGCCCACCTCCCACAGACACTGTCCACCTCCCACAGACACTGCCCACCTCCCACAGACACTGCCCACCTCCCACAGACACTGCCCACCTCCCACAGACACTGTCCACCTCCCACAGACACTGCCCACCTCCCACAGACACTGTCCACCTCCCACAGACACTGCCCACCTCCCACAGACACTGCCCACCTCCCACAGACACTGTCCACCTCCCACAGACACTGCCCACCTCCCACAGACACTGTCCACCTCCCACAGACACTGCCCACCTCCCACAGACACTGTCCACCTCCCACAGACACTGCCCACCTCCCACAGACACTGTCCACCTCCCACAGACACTGCCCACCTCCCACAGACACTGCCCACCTCCCACAGACACTGTCCACCTCCCACAGACACTGCCTACCTCCCACAGACACTGTCCACCTCCCACAGACACTGTCTACCTCCCACAGACACTGTCCACCTCCCACAGACACTGCCGGCCGGATGGGCGGTGTGGGGATCAGGTGCAGGTGTGGGGACAGGGCGAGGGTGTGGAATGGGGTGGGGACGGGGTGCAGGTGTGGGGATCAGGTGCAGGTGTGGGGACAGGGCGAGGGTGTGGAATGGGGTGGGGACGGGGTGCAGGTGTGGGGATCAGGTGCAGGTGTGGGGACAGGGCGAGGGTGTGGAATGGGGTGGGGACGGGGTGCAGGTGTGGGGATCAGGTGCAGGTGTGGGGACAGGGCGAGGGTGTGGAATGGGGTGGGGACGGGGTGCAGGTGTGGGGATCAGGTGCAGGTGTGGGGACAGGGCGAGGGTGTGGAATGGGGTGGGGACGGGGTGCAGGTGTGGGGATCAGGTGCAGGTGTGGGGACAGGGCGAGGGTGTGGAATGGGGTGGGGACGGGGTGCAGGTGTGGGGATCAGGTGCAGGTGTGGGGACAGGGCAAGGGTGTGGAATGGGGTGGGGACGGGGTGCAGGTGTGGGGATCAGGTGCAGGTGTGGGGACAGGGCGAGGGTGTGGAATGGGGTGGGGACGGGGTGCAGGTGTGGGGATCAGGTGCAGGTGTGGGGACAGGGCGAGGGTGTGGAATGGGGTGGGGACGGGGTGCAGGTGTGGGGATCAGGTGCAGGTGTGGGGACAGGGCGAGGGTGTCGAATGGGGTGGGGACGGGGTGCAGGTGTGGGGATCAGGTGCAGGTGTGGGGACAGGGTGAGGGTGTGGAATGGGGTGGGGATGAGGTGCAGGTGTGGGGATCAGGTGCAAGTGTGGGGACAGGGCGAGGGTGTGGAATGGGGTGGGGATGAGGTGCAGGTGTGGGGATGAGGTGCAGGTGTGGGGACAGGGCGAGGGTGTGGAATGGGGTGGGGACGGGGTGCAGGTGTGGGGATCAGGTGCAGGTGTGGGGACAGGGCGAGGGTGTGGAATGGGGTGGGGACGGGGTGCAGGTGTGGGGATCAGGTGCAAGTGTGGGGACAGGGCGAGGGTGTGGAATGGGGTGGGGACGGGGTGCAGGTGCAGGATGGGGTGCGACTGTGGGATGGGGTGCGGGTATAGGGCTGGGCTTCAGGAGCTGCCCTGGACTCTGCCGCCCCAAAGTCCTCCAGCCTGGCACCCTGGAACCACGCCCCCCACCCACCTCAGTTTCCTCTTTCGTACGGGAGGAGAAGCCCCTGGGGTGCCCGCAGGCCTGAAGTGGTGGGGGTATGTGAGCCCCGCTGGAGGACAGCTAGGAGGTGCTTTGGGTGGTACACAGCAGACGCTCACTGAATGGTGCTGGCCATCCCTTCTGGGCCATCCCTGCAGTCCTGAGGTGTGGACCGGGCATCCGTTGCCCCAGCAGGGCATCTGCTCGAGGCCATGGCCCAGGCCACTACCCTGCTTGGGGGGCACCCCCATCCTTCAGGGTCCACTCCGTGCCCACCTCTGGAAACGTTGGGGACAGGTTCTGTCCCCTGCACTGCGGGCAGCGTCCCCAGCATGGCCCCGCCCACAGCCAGGCACCCTGGGCCGGGTGAGTCCCCGTCAGATGCACCCGGAAGCGCGGCAGCCCAGCCTGGGCCTTAGACGCCGCTCTGTGGTGTGTGTGGGGGGGCCTGCTCCTGACTGGCCTGTGGGGAGGGGTCCTGGTTTCAGCCCACCCGGCCATGGAGGCAGCTGCAGTTGACCGGGCCACTCTGGACGGCCTGGCGGGTGGGACTGAGTCCAGGCTCAGTGTCCTGAGGGAAGGGGCTGAAGCACCGCGTGCTTGGACCCCTGGACACAGGGAGGGCTTTTTCTGTCCGGGGCTGCATGTGTGTGTTGGAAGCAGCTGAAGGTGTTGGGACCCGGCTGGGGAGAGGCCCCAGGGCTGACCTGCATGGGTCCTGGAGCCGGGGGAACGAGGAGCTCTGGCTGGGGGCAACCAGGGAGTTGTCACCCAGGTGTGCCGGGCAGGTCGGGGTGCTGGGGTGGGTGTCTCCCCATATTGTGCCAGGGCTTGGGGCATGGCCTCTGGGCTCTGACAGCTGGGGAGGGCTTCAGGGAAACCTGCCCCTCTAGCCCCGGCAGATGCCTGCCCGTTGGCCCCGAGTCCCCGCCCGCCTCCCCCACCGTGGGGCGGCTTGGAGCCTATGGGGTTTGGCTGCAGGATCCCTTCCTTAGTAGGGGCTCCTCCCGGCAGGGGGACCCGCACCCCAACCACAGACACTGTTTACCAGAACCCCCCCTCCCCCGGACACCCCTGCTCCTGCCCCTGGACATTCTCCTCCTGGCACTTTGAGGGCTTCATCCGTCAGGGGAACCGTTCCCCACGAGCTGGGGATGGCCCCGGAGCCTGTCCTGTTTTCCCGGCGGCCACCTCCTACCCCGCCCGGCTGCGGGGACCCTCTGCGGCCATTCAGCAAAGCCATCTGCCGCCAGCGCCGCGAGTCCCCGGGCAGGAGCGTGGTGACAAGCTCGAGATATGTCAGTGCGGTTATCGGCAGAAGGCAACATCTGCCTACCCTGACATCAACAATGGTAGGCCATTTAGGCTGCGGCCCCCTCCCCGGAGCTGCAGACAACAGCTCCCTGTATTATATTTTCTCACTCAATTAGCACCACCGCCCCGCTGAAATAGAGGCCAATTTACCTATAATGACATCATTGTTAGGGAAGTGGCAGCGGGCTGGGCTGTCACCAGGTTGTGGAGACAGGTCCGTCTCTCTCCACTAACCCTGACGGGAAGGGCCGGGAGCCCGGGGTGGGAAGGGAAGGGGTGCCTCGCGGCCTATCGGCGGCCACCCCGTCACCTCCGACCACAGACATTGTTTCCGACAGTTCTCAGGAGCAGTGTGGCGGAAAATTGAGTCCAGATTCATTAGGTTTTTCAGTGTGCCGCTCAAGTCAGTTAAATTGATACATTTCCTAACGAAATTGAAGTGCTTTGTGCTGCCAGTGGAAAGCCGGGTGACCCGCCTCGGCCCGCTGAGCAGCCGAACGCGCTGACGGATCCATTAGGCCGCTCCCGGCCCCGGCCCCCTCTCCCTCCATTCCTGGCCGGCGCTGTAAATCTCCGCCAATTTCGGTCCTAATCATCATTATAAACCCTTCCTCTGCCCGCTCCCGCGCCTCACCTCGCTGGCAAAACAGCCCCTGGCATGATCATCGCACCGGCCTGCGGGGTCAGCAGCCCCACTGGCTCGCCGGGGCCTGGGCCTGGGCCTGGGGGGCCGGGACTCCAGGTGGAGGAGCACAGCGAGGGGCCCCTGGGCTGCAGGAGGGGCCGGCTCATGTGGTATCAGCCGGGCTCCAGAGAGGAATGTGCGCCCATTCGACAGATGGGGAAACTGAGGGCAGGTCTTGGTTTCCAACTGGACGTTTTTGTTTTTTAAAGGAGGTACATACAGAAAGTCCATACATGTCAAGGGCTCACTGAGATTAGTGTGCAGGCTCAAACACGCTGAGGGAGAAACCGGAGAAACCCCAGATGGAGAAACGGAACATTCCAGCCCCCTAGAAGGCCCCCTTTGCTCCCCAGTTCTGTGCCCCCAGCAGGGTGATGGCTCTTCTGATTTCATCACCAGGCGTGAGCGGGCCCCTTAGTGGAGTCACACGTCTTGTTCTCCTTGGCATCTGGAGCCTTTTGCTGCATGGATGCCTGTGAGATTCACCCGTGCTGTTGCCTGGATCTGTGGCGAGCACCTTTTCAGTGCTGCGTAGTATTCCACCCTGTGCCTTCATCGCCATGGACTCGCCTGTCCTCCTTTTGCTTCCAGGTGGGGCTCTCATGAGCGAGTCCACTGTGCATGCCTCTCATGAGTGTGGTCCAGCCATGAGCGCTCATTTCTTGATTCTTCTCTTGGCCACCCTCACCCTGTCCCCATCCATTGTTTAAAGTGCCATTGAGTGAGTTTTACAAATGTCAGGGTGAGTCCTCCCTCCCTCCCTCCCTCTTCCCTTCCTTCTCCCTCCCTCCCTCTCTCCCTCCCTTCTCCCTCCTCCCTACCTCCCTTCTCCCTCCTCCCTACCTCCCTTCTCCCTCCTCCCTACCTCCCTTCTCCCTCCTCCCTCCCTCCATCTTTCCTTCCTTCTCCCCCCTTCTCCCTCCTCCCTCCCTCCTTTCTTCCTCTTCCCTCCCTCCCTCCCTCCCTCCTTCCTTCCTTCTCCCTCCTCCCTCTCCCTCCTTCCCTCTCTTCTCCCTCCTTCCCCCTCCTTTCCTCCTCTTCCCTCCTCACTCCCTCCCTCCCCCCCCCCAGTAGGAAGGTGGCCGGGCAGTAACCCCGGGCCCACATGAAGAGGGCGTCCAACTGAGGCCAGGAGATCAACTGCATTATGGAGACTGAGTGGACTGCCGAGAATGGGCCCAGATTTCTCACTGTTGAAAAAGCTGATAGGATACAGATGGGGAAGCTGGAATGAGCTCTGCGGTGTTGTTGAATTGACACTGCTGCTGTCCTACACAGGGATGAGGAAATCGGCATAGATGCAGGAGTGTGTGCACCGTGCACACGCTGTATCATCCTACCTGGAACCCTGGAAATGCAGCACCTCAGGGGTGGTGAGCACACCTCGTGCCCAGACCTTGGCTTCTAACTGCCATTCTCTGCCAAGAGGAGCAGCGGCTCAGCTGATTTCCAGTGGGGAAAGCTGAGCCTGGAACGTCTGGTCCAGAAAGTAGAAGAGCGAAGTGAACGGAGGGCACTGGTCCCAGGTCACAAGAGCCAGCCCCAGGGCCCCATGGCCACATTCGGGACAATTTGCACATCCAGATAAATACGAGATCCTGGCCCATAGAATAAAACAGTGGCCACAAGTCCACAGTGACACACACAAAAGATCCCTAAACATGGGGATAGGAGGGAAAGGTGGGCTTTGAACAGCATTTGTCAGCCATCAGAGGGATAGCTGATTGTGGCAGGAGTCAATAGTGGATATTAAAACCGATGGGTGGGCCAGGCGCGGTGGCTCACGCCTGTCATCCCAGCACTTTGGGAGGCCCAGATGGGAGGATTGCTTGATCTCAGGAGTTCGAGAGCAGCCTGGGCAATATAGGGAGACCCCATCTCTCAAAAACAAAACAAAACAAAACAAATTAGCCAGGTGTGATGGCATGTGCCTATAGTCCCAGCTACTTGGGAGGCCGGGGCAGGACAATCACTCGAGCCGGGGAAGTCAAGGCTGCAGCGAGCTATGATTGCACCATTGCACTCCAGCCTGGGCAACAGAGTGAGACCCTGTCTCAAAAAATACAACAAAATAAAACAGAACAAACAAGTAAGACTGGGCACGGTAGCTCACGCCTGTAATCCCAGCACTTTGGGAGGCTGAGGTGGGCGGACCACCTGAGGTCAGGAGTTCGAGACCAGCCTGGCAAACATGGCAAAACCCCATCTCTACTAAAAATACAAAAATTAGCTGGGTGTGGTGGCGGGTGCCTGTAATCCCAGCTACCCGGGAGGCTGAAGCAGGAGGATCACTTGAGCCCGAAAGGCAGAGGTTGCAGTGAACTGAGATTGTGCCACGGCACTCCAGGCTGAGCAACACAGTGAGACTCCATCTCAGCAACAACAACAACAGCAAATCAGTGGACTCTGAGTGAAGCAGACGGCTCTCTGTCATGTGGGTGGGCCTCGTCCAAATAGTTGAAGGGCTGAATAGAACCGACTCATCTCCCCTGAGCAAGAGACCCTGTCTCTACAAATCGATAAATAAAAACAAAAAGTTATAGAAGATATTATGCTCCACGAAAGAAGCCAGACACCAAAGGCCACACAGGGTAAGTATTCTATGCACAGAAAACCTGCCGAACTGGCAAGTCCCCAGAGGACAATGGCGGAGACAGACCAATGGCAGAGACCGATGGCGGAGACAGATGGCGGAGACCAATGGCAGAGTGGTGGTTGGCAGGGCTGATGGGTAAGGGGTCTCCTCCTGGGGATGAGGATGTTTTGGAACCAGACAGTGGTGGTGGTTGCATGCCGTTTCTAAGGGACGAACCGCTACTGAATTGCTGAATTTAAAATGGTGAATTGTATGTGATGTGGATGTCACCACAATCACAATCAAAAGCGACAGGACGGGGAGAATACAGACCTGACCCTGAGTTAAACCGTTCAGGGGAGGGGCGAGGTGACTCATGCCTGTGATCCTAGCGCTCCGGGCGGCCGAGACAGGCAGATCCATTGAGGTTAAGCATTTGAGACCAGCCTGGGCAACTCTATCTCTACGAAAAATACAAAGATTATCCGGTGTGGTGGTGCATGCACCTGTAGTCCCAGTTACTCGGGAGGCTGAGGCAGGAGAATCGCTTGAGTCCGGGAAGCAGAGGTTGCAGTGAGCCTCCACCTCCCGGGTTCAAGCGATTCTCCTGCCTCAGTCTCCCCAGTAGCTGGCATTACACCACACTCAGCTAATTTTTGTATTTGTAGTAGAGACCATGTTGGCCGGGCTGGTCTTGAACTCCTGACCTCAAGTGATCTGCCCAACTTGGCCTCCCAAAGTGCTGGGGTTACAGGTGTGAGCCACTGCACCTGGCCATCATTTTAACCATTTTGAAGTGTACAATTCAAAGCAGTGAGCTATGATTGTGCTACTGCCCTCTAGCCTGGGAAACAGACGAGGCCCTGTCTCAAAAAAAAAAAAAAGTCCATTAAAAAGTCAGGAAACAACAGATGCTGGAGAGGCTGTGGAGAAATAGGAATCCTTTTACACGTTGGTGGGAGGGTAAATTAGTTCATCTATTGTGGAAGACAGTGTGGCGTTTCCTCAAGGATCTAGAACCAGAAATACCATTGGACCCAGCAATCCCATTACTGGGTATATACCCAAAGGATTATAAATCACTCTACTATAAAGACACATGCACACGTATGTTTATTGCGGCACTGTTCACAATAGCAAAGACTTGGAACCAACCCAAATATCCATCAATGATGGACTGAATTAAGAAAATGTGGCACATATACACCATGGAATACTATGCAGCCATAAAAAAGGATGAGTTCATGTCCTTTGCAGGGACATGGATGAAGCTGGAAACCGTCATTCTCAGCAAACTAACACAAGAACAGAAAACCAAACACCGCATTTTCTCACTCATAAGTGGGAGTTGAGCATTGAGAACACATGGACACAGGGAGAGGAAGATCACACACTGGGGCCTGTTGGGGGTGGGGGGCTAGGGGAGGGATAGCATTAGGAGAAATACTTAATGTAGATGACGGGTTGATGGGTGCAGCAAACCACCATGACATGTGTATACCTTTGTAACAAACCTGCACATTCTGTACATGTATTCCAGAACTTACAGTATAATGAAGGAAGAAGAAGAAGGAAGAAGGAGGAAGGAAGAAGGAAGAAGGAAGAAAGAAGAAGGAAGAAGGAGGAAGGAGGAAGAAGAAGGAAGAAGGAGGAAGGAGGAAGGAGGAAGAAGAAGGAGGAAGGAAGAAGAAGGAGGAAGGAGGAAGAAGGAGGAAGGAGGAAGAAGGAAGAAGAAGGGAGAAGGAAGAAGGAGGAAGGAGGAAGAAGGAAGAAGAAGGTAGAAGGAGGAAGGAGGAAGAAGGAAGAAGGAGGGAGGAAGAAGGAAGAAGAAGGAAGAAGGAGGAAGGAGGAAGAAGGAAGAAGAAGGAAGAAGGAGGGAGGAAGAAGGAAGAAGGAAGAAGAAGGAAGAAGGAGGAAGGAGGAAGAAGGAAGAAGAAGGAAGAAGGAGGAAGGAGGAAGAAGGAAGAAGAAGGAGGAAGGAGGAAGAAGGAGGAAGGAGGAAGAAGGAAGAAGAAGGGAGAAGGAAGAAGGAGGAAGGAGGAAGAAGGAAGAAGAAGGTAGAAGGAGGAAGGAGGAAGAAGGAAGAAGAAGGAAGAAGGAGGAAGGAGGAAGAAGGAAGAAGAAGGAGGAAGGAGGAAGAAGGAGGAAGGAGGAAGAAGGAAGAAGAAGGGAGAAGGAAGAAGGAGGAAGGAGGAAGAAGGAAGAAGAAGGAAGAAGGAGGAAGGAGGAAGAAGGAAGAAGAAGGAAGAAAGAAGAAGAAGAGAAGCAGCAGCAGCAGCAGCAGCAGCAGCAGCCAGGAGGACTCGCTGTGATGTCAGGACTGACTGGAGGTCAGGGGACAGCCTGGAGTCGCCCAGTCCTTCAGCCACCGGCCCCCGCCCGGGCCATAGAGCCCCTGGAAGGAGGCCCCACACGCCGCGTGTGCGTTAGGTGTGAAATACTCGTGGATCGGCAGCTCAGAGGAAAAAGCGTGGGAACGGCTTTGCTGATATTTTTCATAATAATTACTTGTTGAAATGATTACATTTTTTAGTGTATTAAGTTAAACAAAGTGTATTATTTAAATTAATTTCACCTGTTTCTTTTTACTTTTTCTGGTGGCCACTAGAAAATTATGTCATGTACGTGGCTTGTGTGACATGTCTTTTGAGTGGGCTGCTCTGGAAAACGCAGAAAGAGACTCAGAAACTCAAGGTAGATGCTTTCAGCCCAGCCTCAAAACAGTCTCCAGTTGGATTAAACTTGTTTGTTAACTGAGGTGAGGTTCACATAACATCCTTTTTTTTTTTTTTTTTGAGACAGAGTCTCGCTCTGTTGCCCAGGCTGGAGTGCAGTGGCGTGATCTCGGCTCACTGCAACCTCTGCCTCCCGGGTTCAAGCGATTCTCCTGCCTCAGCCTCCCCAGTAGCTGGGACTACAGGCACGTGCCACCACGCCCAGCTAATTTTTATATTTTTAATAGAGATGGGGTTTCACCATGTTAGCCAGGATGGTCTCGATCTCTTTACCTCGTGATCCGCCCGCCTTGGCCTCCCAAAGTGCTGGGATTACAGGTGTGAGCCACCGCGCCCGGCCATAACATCATCATTTTAACCATTTTTGTTTTTTTGTTTGTTTGTTTGTTTGTTTTTGTTTTTGAGATGGAGTCTCACTCTGTTGCCCAGGCTGGAGTGCAGCACTGTGATCTCGGCTCACTGCAACCTCTGCCTGCTGGGTTGGGTCAATTCTCCTGCCTCAGCCTCCAAGTAGCTGGGATTACAGGTGTGCACCACCATGCCCAGCTAATTTTTGTATTTTTTAGTAGAGATGGGGTTTCGCCAGGTTGGCCAGGCTAGTCTTGAACTCCTCACCTTAGGTGATCCACCCACCTCAGCCTCCCAGAATGCTGGGATTACAGGCGTGATCCACCGCGCCCAGCCCGTTTGTTTGAGACAGAGTCTTGCTCTGTCACCCAGGCTGGAGTGCAGTGGCGTAATCTCGGCTCACTGGCAAACTCTGCCTCCTGGGTTCAAGTGATTCTCCTGCCTCAGCCTCCCGAATAGGTGGGATTACACCATGCGCAGCTAATTTTTGTATTTTTAGTAGAGACAGGGTTTCACCGTGTTGGCCAGGATGGTCTCCAACTCCTGACCTCAAGTGATCTGCCTGCCTCGGCCTCCCAAAGTGCTAGGGTTACAGGCGTGAGCCACCGTGCCCAGCCATCGTTTTTACCATTTTGAAGTGTACAATTCAATGGCATTAAAGACATTGACAAGGATGTGCAGTAACCCCCTCTATCTAGTTCCAGAACATTCTCAACACCCCAAAGGAAGACCCCAGGCCCATTAACGGTCATTCCCCATCCCCCCTACCCCAGCCCCTGGCAACCACAAGTCTGCTTTCTGTCTCCAAGGATTTCTGTTTTCTGGACGTGGATGGAACCATGCACTGTGAGGCCTCTGTGACTGGCTTCCTGCCCTCAAGGCTCATCCACGCTGTAGCCTGTGTCAGGCCTTCCTTTCTTTTTCATGGCTGAATAATATTCCACTGTGTAGATGAGCCACATTTTGTTTCTCCCGCATCAGCTGAGGACACCTGGGCTGTTTCCAGCTTTTGGCCATTGTGGGAGTTGCTGCCATGAACATTTGGGTCCAGGTTTGTGTTTGATCACCTGTTTTCAATCATTGGATTAAAGTTTTTTGTTTTTTTTGAGATGGAAGTCTCGCTTTGTAGCCCAGGCTGAGGTGCAATGGCATGATCTCGGCTCACTGTAACCTCTGCCTCCCGGGTCCCAGTTCAATCAAGTCTCCTGCCTCAGCCTCCCGAGTAGCTGGGATGCCAGGCATGCGCCACCACGCCCGGCTAATTTTTGTATTTAGTAGAGATAGGGTTTCACCATGTTGGCCAGGCTGGCCTTGAACTCCTGACCTCAGGTGATCTACCTGCTTTGGCCTCTGAAAGTGCTAGGATTACAGGCGTGAGCCAACACGCCTGGCCTGGATTAAAGTTTTAAATGTAACATTATAATGATGGAAACAAGACCAGGATTCTCCCTTCGTCTCTCTGTGGTGTCTTTTATACACTTGAGACCTTGTTTCCGCATCTTCCCTGATAGCCTTCCCTGTCCTCACTGGATGAAAACCTCTGTATGCCGGCCCTGCCTGGGGGCTGCCCGGGGCCCAGCAGGGAGAGTGGAGGGGGCAGGAGATGTGGGCTGGGGCCTTCTATGTGCAGTGAAGGTCCAGGCACCGTTTAGAGCTGGGAGTGAAGAGGGGTGTGGGTGCTTCTGTGAAGGATCTGGGTCCAGATCCAGAGCCGGGCGCAGTGGCTCACGCCTGTGATCCCAGGACTTTGGGAGGCCGAGGCGGGCAGATCAGCTGAGGTCAGGAGTTCGAGACCAGCCTGGACAACATGGCAAAACCCCATCTGTACTAAAAATACAAAAATTAGCCTGGTGTGGTGGCTCACGCCTGTAATCCCAGCTACTTGGGAGGTTGAAGCAGGAGAATCTCTTGAGTCCAGGAGATGGAGGTTGCAGTGAGCCGGGATCGCACCACTACACTCCAGCCTGGGTGACAGAGTGAAACTCCATCTCACAGAATAAAAAAAGAAGGACCTGGGCCCTCTCTGGGGAGGCTATGGGGCCCCAGGGCTTGGGAATTCTGGAAAGTCCCCAGGGCTAATGGCCTCTTGGGGAGTCACCCCAACATCTGCTTTCAGGGGCCTAGGCGGGATCTGGCTGCAGCTGGTGTCACCCTTGGCTGGCCAGATGGGCAGGGTCTGCAGAAGTCCCGGGGACTGGCTGTGGAGCTCAGAGCCGTTGCTGGTATCTGTGGGTGGCCTAGAGGCCGTGGGGCTGAGGAGCGGGTGCTGGGTTGGCTGCCCTTCTGACCTAGTCTCTGCACCTGAAGGTTGTGGGGACCTTTGTGGGGAGAGGGCACCTCTTCAACCTGAACCAGCCCGCAGGGCGGGAGTGAGCGGTGTAACGGCACTGAGCCTGGAGTTCCGCGGGGACCCCTGCCGTCTGTGAGGCTTGGTGCAGATCCCGAGTAGCCCTGCGCCCCTCCTGAGCCCCTGCCCTGCTCAGGGCTGCCCCTGGCAGCTGCAGCCTGCAGCCACTGGGCACCCACCTGGCCAGTGTCGTGACCCAGAGTGGTCTTGACCTGGCCAGGGAGCCTCCTCTGGGAAGTGGGGTCCAGGGCTGAGGCCCCTCCCTCCTCCAGACCTCAGATTCTCTGGTTGTCAAATGAGCACATCCGGCAGTGCATGGGCTTCTCACAGACACACAGGACGGTGGCTGGAATGGTCCTGGGGCCGCCAGGGCTCCCTGCAGGCAGAAGCCACAGGGTTCACTTCAGATGAGCTAGAAAGCTGGGGAGGGGGGTCCAGCGTCTCCACACTCCATCGCTGCTCCTCAGGGGGCCCTTCCCACTCTAAGGCATGAAACCTGGAAACAGACCAAGGCTGGGAAACACGGAGGGGCTCAGGACATGGGGGCAGAGCCTAGGGATGGCCTGCTCGGCCTGGGGTCAGGGAGGGCCACCAGGGCCGGGCCTTAGACATGGCAGGTCCAGGGGACAAGCAGGGAGAAGGGTGACCCAGGGTGAGGGCGGGGGCTCCAAGGCTGGGCCCGCCTCACCCCGGATCACCCTTCTGGGGTGGCCTGAGGTTGCCTGAGCTGGGGCCCAGGGCGTTCCAGGACGGCTAAGAGGCAGGGCAGGCAGGGCTGCTCTCCGGAGCTTCTGGCCTGGTTCAGTCCTGGCTGCAGCTGTGGGGTCCGGGGTGGCCTGGTCTGCTCTGCTGTGTGTGGACTGTGCGGGAAGGTCCCGCTGGGGTCTTTGGAGCCTTGGGAAAGAAGCTGAGGGAGAGGCTGGCTTGGGGGCAGGAGGCCTGGTGGGCTGGGCCATTGTGGTTGAGAGCCGGGCACTGGGGTGTCTGGGGGAGCAATTTTCCTGGCGGCGGCAGCTCTGGGAAGCCGAACCCAGAGGGGCTGTTAGACCATCAAGCACCTCCTCCCTGCACGGGTGGACACCAGTTTACACAGTGCCGGGATGCCCAGATGGAAATTTATGGTGTGCAGGGAAGAACTTCTCACCCAGGTTCCAGCCAGCCGGGTGAGAGAACAATATTTCCCATCGAGGGGACGTGCAAAAGCTCTTAACAAATCGATGGGCTGCATTTAGTCAATAAACCACAGTGCTTTCCAGGGAGGCAGGAGCCCTCCTCCCCCAGTTGTCCCTGGGGCCCCTCAGGCTTCGCCGAGGGTGGGGGTACGGCCGGGCGGGTGGACGCCAAGGAAGCTGGGGAGCCTGGGTCTTATGTCCCCACCCATAGCTCCTGGCCTCAGGGCATCCTCCTGCCCTGGGGTGTGGGAAGGACAGCGGCTTCCCCAGCGGCGGACGCAGGGGCAGCATTGTCGGTGGTGCCAGATGGAGGTTTGGGGCTCACATCTTGCCTTCCAGCTGGGGAGCCCAGGTGCAGCCACCTCTGCCCCCCCAGCCCTGCCTTCCTGGCCACGGTAGCAACCTCTCTGGGGTCCCCAGCACAGCCGCTCCCTGCTTGCCTGCACCTCCCTCCCCAGATCCCCGCTGAGCCTGGCCCTGCCCCTCCAGCGCTGGGCACCTCTCACTCCTTTCCAGGGACCCCCAGGCCATGGCACAGTGTCGCCTGGGGACACACGTGGTGCGTGTGGCTTTTCAGCTGCTCAACACTCACTTCTGAGGCCCCCGCGGCGTGGCACGGCCTGGGCGTTGGATGCAGCAGTGAACGGGACCCACGCGGGGACTCAGGGTATGACGGGCAGAGGGGTAGGTGGGGTGGGGGCAGGTGAGGCGGGGGTGCCCAGCGGTCAGGGAGGGGCTCTCGGGAGGTGACATTCGGCCGAGACCGAGTGACGGTGTGGAACCCGGGCGCACTGGGAGGCACGATCCAGGCGGAGGGAGCAGCCGTGCCAGGGCCCTGAGGTGGGAGGGGCCGGGCGGCCTCAGGCTCAGCGAGGGGCTGAGGGGCCAACGTGGCCGGAGTGGAGTGGGCGAGGGGAGGGAGCGCTGGCCAGGAGAGACAACCACGAGCCACACTTGGGGCTGTTAATTTTCTGGGAACCACATTCAAAAGGTAAAGAAGAAACAGGTGACATTCATTTTTGGCCGGGATACAGCGTCTTGCTATGGGGCCCAGGCTGGTCTCCACCTCCTGGGCTCAAGCGACCTCCCACCTCAGCCTCCAAGTAGGTGGAACAATAGGAAATGAATTTTAATAATGTATGTTATTTAACCAGATATTAATACATCAAAAACATGGTCACTTAAACGTATCGTCAATATAAAAAATATCCACGAGACATTTTACAGTTTTTTTTTTTTAGAGACAGGGTCTTACTCAGGTGCTGAGGCTGGATTGCAGTGGTGCAATCATGGCTCACTGCAGAGTCCAGCTCCCGGGCTCAAGCGATCCTCCCACTTCAAACTCCTCAATAGCTAGGACTTCAGGCTCGTGTCACCATGCCTAGCTAATTTTTTATTTTTTATAGAGACAGGGTCTCACTATGTTGCCCAGGTTGGTCTTCAACTCCTGGCCTCAAGCGATCCTCCTGCCTCAGCCTCCCCAAAGTGCTGGGATTACAGGCGTGAGCCATGGTGCCCAGCCTGCTTCAGTTTTAAAATTTGTATATAAAATAATAAAGTTAAATACAACGGAAAGTTCATTTCCTTAGTTGCGTGGGCTGTGTTTTAGGTGCCCAGGGGGTCACAGACGGCCGGGGGACGGGAGGAGCTCAGGTCGGGGGCAGGCATCGCGTTTGCGGGGATGGATCCTTAACCCAGAGAGGAAGGTGGTTGCTCTGACCTCAGACACTCTTGGAGAAAAAGTGGGCAGAAGCCTCGCAGGTGGGGTCCTGGGAGAGGCTGGGGCCAGCCAGTAGGCCTTGAGAAGTGGCTATGGTTACAGCGTGGCGGTCATCGGTGGGGAGCAGGCTGTGGGCTGGGGTGTGGGACAGTGGAGACACAGGTCTTGAGGCGTTAGCAGCAAAGAACGGCTGAAAAGTGCGGCGGGGGCCTTGGGGGCCTGAGGCTGGCGTTTCTAGGCCCTCCCTGCTCTGATGCTCTGGGGTCCTCCCTGGGAGGCGGCGTCCCTGAGTCCTGCTGACCTTGCCTCCTTCCGGCTTCTCCAGGCCAGGGAGGTGTGGGGAGTGCAGGGGCCAGAGAGCAAGAGGCCTGGATGTCAGGCATCGGGCACTGGCCAGGCTGTGACCCTGGGGGCCCCCGACCTCCCTGGGCCTCAGTTTCCGCCTCAGTCTCGTGGGCATCCAGGCATATTAAAGGTTGGAATGAAGGATGTCTGCCTGTTTGCAAACTGTAGAGAGCAGTGCACACGAGTGTGAGGCAGCAGTGGGCTTGAGCAGAGTGAGGAGGCCCAGGCCTGCCCGCCCCTGCCTCTTGGGCAGCGAGTGCCATGGCTGTCTGCCCAGCTGGCCTCAGGGGATGCCACGTGGCTGGGACGTGTGGCCCCGGCCCTGCTTTCCATCTGGTGTGACTTTGTCTCTCTGTCGACGCCCCCCACCTTCCTGCGGCTCCCACCCTCGACGCCAGGACTGGCCCCCACCACGCCTGGGCAACTGGTGTCCTCGGCAGATCTTCCCAGCAGACAGGACTCGGTGAAGCCTGCGGGGCCACAGGACCAGCCTACTCACTGCCCAGCCCTCAGGCCGGGGGATGGAATCAGGGCCCTCTTTGGACATCTGGGGCCACGCCTGCCACCCTCAGGGGCCCAGGGCAGACAGGTGGGGTCTGTGTGGGCAGCACCCCTACCCCAGCGGGCAGAGTCCCCAGGACGTCCAGGGAAGCTTCCTTCTCACCGTGCCAGGCCCGGTGTCTGACTGGTGAGTTTGAGGCACTGAACAGGCTGAACTCAGAGTGTTGGGGAATCGGGGTCAGAAAAGTCCAGGCAGATCCCTTCAGGGGCTCCCTTGGGGGTCTCACAGGCCAAGGGCCTCCACCCCTGGGCACTAGCTGGGCCATGAGCCACTGTGATGGTGGCCGTGCTGGGCTCTCGGGCTGTGCCCCCTGTTTTGTGGGGCCTGGCTCTCTGTCCTGGCTGGGTGCCACTGGCTTTCTTTGTGTGGGTGAAGCTGTCTAGATTCCCAGCCGGGACTGGAGAGCCGCCTCCCATGGGCAGAAAGGTGAAGTCAAGCTCCTCTCCTCCACGGTCCTCCGGTGCCCAGAGAGGGGAGGGAAGGGCTCGGGGCCACACAGCACACGGGGGTGAGAGGGGGCCCTACTGCCTGCCACGTGCTACCGGGAGTGCGTTGGAGCCTCACGGGCACTGGAGGTAGACACTTCTCCCCATTTCACAGATGAGAAAACCAAGACACAGCCCTGACTCCCCAGCCCAGGCCCTTTCTCAGGCCCCTTTCCAGGCCTCTGCCGTGGGAGGTGCACCTCGTCTCCCCCACATCCCGGCTCAGCCCCCCGGGGGCCGCAGCCCCCCTGCCCACCAGGCTGGTGCCAGGGAGTGCTGGCTCCTGGAAACCCGGAGAAAGCAGACAACTCGTCCGCGTTGTCCTGGAGATGCAGCCGACATCGGCCTGCTTGTCCTGCTGCCAGGGCCGCTGGGGGCCCCATCGATGTCCACCCGGCCAGACACAGCTCCCGTCATTCAATATGGCAAAGTGTGGTGGTGCTGGCTCCGCAGACCCCACTGTGGAGGCGAAAGGTAAGAAGTCAGGGTTCGAGGTTGGGGTTCCGTGAACACAGCCCCGAGACCGGGTGTCTACCCCACCGAGAGGAGGGGTCTCGTCGGGGGGCCTCGCTGAGCCTCCGTGTCCCACCCGGAGCCAGGGTGGGCACCCTCCCGTCCCCGCAGCCCCGGAAGATCTGGCAGGTGGCATGACACCCACCCGGGGGCCCTGGTCACCGGCGCATGGGCAGCAGAGCCTCGGGCCAGACCCTGAGTCGGGAGAGCAGGCGGGAGGCAGCTCTGTCTTCCTAGCAGAAGCTGTGCGTCCAAGGAGGTCCTCCTGGCCGGATTAGCCGTGCCTACGCTCCTGAAGACGCTAAATGGGCAAATTGTCAGGGAGCAGGGCCCGGGCAGGGACACCAGCTCTATTAGCCCCGTCTCCGGCCTAATTAGCCCTAAGACTGCCCTGATTCTCGCCAGCACCGGGAAGTCCTCTAGCTGGGCCTTCTCAGGCCTTCCTGGGCCCAGGGCGCAGCCCACCTCTCCCCCCCGGGGGCTCCTTCCACCCTCCAAACCCACAGATGACTTTTCCTATCAAAACGGGCAATAAAGCCGGCCGGGCCCATTTCTTTTTTCTATTTTGAATTCTGTTAACTGACAATTTAACCTAAAATTCTCTGTATTTCCAGCTTGTACAGCTGTAAATAGAGACTGACAGTTTATTTTCACGTCCCGGCTCGAGGGGGGCGGCGGGGACGGGGGGAACCCATTTGAAATAAATACTTGTGAGTCTCTGACAGACTCCAGACGGGCCGTCGACGCCGCCTGGCAATGTCTGGGACCTGTCACACTCTGTGATCGGTCTTTTTACAAACACAAACGCTGCTGATTTCTTATCAAATGTAAAACCGGCCCGGCTCTTTCTTAAATGGTTACCACGAGCATGAAATTGACATTGTGAATCACATGTGACACCGGCTTGTCTGCGCCGTAATTGATCGGTGCTTAGGAGCAGGCGCGGCTGGCCCAGAGCTCCCAGCCCCACCGCGCCCCCCGCCGCCCGCGGCCCGAGCTTTGAGTCCGGGCCCCAGCAAATCGTTGGCAATGGGAGAAAACTCCAAGAAAACGCTTGATTCATGTACGTTGCGTTTCTTCCCCCTCCGCTGTCCTCCGAGGTGCCAGTTCCAATTTCCACGGTTCCATCATTACGCACATCAAACGGCTGTAATTGGCTGCTACAGAAATTTATCCTCCGAAAGGAGAGAGAGTGGGGGAGAGAGGGCAGGAGAGGAGGGAGCGGCGGAGGACGGGAAATGGTGGCGGTAATGAGATTTTGGAAGCCACAGCGCCACCCCCGAGGTTGGCAGGGAGAAGGGAGAGGCTGGCACGCTCGCAGGAACGCAGCCGCGTTCGGCCTGGCTAGCAAAACGCCGTTTGAAAACAAGTCTGGTGGGGTGTGGGTGTCACACAACAGCCGCAAACACACTGCGCCGGTCCAGGAACAGCCGGCGCCTTTCACAGCCGTCGTCGTCACGGTTACGGCGGGCGACGCCCGCAGACCCCCCTCCCCCTACTTCACAGTGTGCACAGCTGGTGGTGCCCAGTTCCTACCACACCAAGCCAGAGTTGCTCGGGGGTGATCGCTGTGTTGCAGAAGGGGAAACTGAGGCCCGGAGAAGGGAGGTTGCTCGGGAAGCCAATCTGGGGCACAGTGTGAGCCTCCTTTCTCAGGGTTTCGCTTCCGGACGTCCCCGGGAACCCCTCTGCAGCAGCTTGGCCCCACGGTGCCGGCATGTGACCCGCCTCTCTGCCTGCTCCTGCACCCCCATTTCCAGGGCTGCCTGCTCCCTCTGTCGGGCAGGCTCGGCCGGCACCCTGGCAGGTCGTGAAACTTGAATTGGTTTTTCAGGCCATGGATTTTTCCCGAGCTTTCTGGGGCGTGCGAGAGTCTGTAACTGAACAAATCAAAGATCCCGAGGGGCCGCCCTACAGTGTCCCCCCCACCCCCACCCCGAGCCTTTCTCCCTCCAGGGCTGGTTCCTCAGAGCTCACCCATCCCCTTCTGCATCCCCCCGGGCCCAGGACCTGCAGGCCAGGCTCACCCTCTGCCCCGAGTCAGCCCGCGCTGCCCCCCGGGACGTGCAATCCTCTCCATGGCGCGGCGCCCATGCTTGCCTCCTCTGGGCCCCACATGCGGTCCGGCAGCTCCCTGGGCGGGCGTATTTATGTCTCTGTTTTTCCATTTGGATTTTGTGACTGATGAAACAGTGGTGCTTAATTGCACGCACGGCAATGGTGCCTTGTGGCAGGCAGGAGGCAACCTCCCCGGTTCGCCGTTATGCAGCCATCCTCCTGCAACTGGCAACGCTGGGCGCCTTGCCAGGGCCTCCCCAGCACCCCACAGACAGGCAGGAAGCCACCCTGCCGTCCAGATGGGGAAACTGAGACCTACCAAGCAAAGCAGCTCCCTGGCCTGGCCCACATCCCAGGTGCCTAGGCCAGCGCCCCCTTCACCACACCACGTAGCCTCTGAGGCCACCTGAAGCCTCTCGGGAAATCCATCTGTGAGTGGCGGCTGGAAGCTTCTCAGGCCTCCAGAGCGGGAACGCCGAGCTCCTTCTGAGTGCCTGGCTTGTTTTTCTCTCACGGGTGCTGCGATGGATACGCTGCAATAGAATGTGTTTCCTTTTTCGCCTTGGCCCCCAGGAAGCTCAGAGTCAAGTCAGTCTCTCTTAATGACTCTATGGGCACCCAGGGAATGCACCTCTGAATGCTGATCTGTCCAGAGTCACTCAATTGAGTGTTGTGCCTTTTTCTAAGTGTTTCAGATCCTTTGAGGGCGTGAAGTGAAGCTCAGTGAAGCTTGGAACATCCCGAGGGTCTGGCGTTGGGGCCTCTCTGGGGTGCACATCAGCCCCTCCATCCTCTTCACACTTCCCTCTTGCCAGTTGTCCTCCCCAGCAGTTGTGCGCGAGGTCCATCCAGGGGGGCTAGCGCCACAGCGGGCACTATGACAGGGGGGACATTGGCATGAGTTGTGGGAGGGCAGGATCTGGGGAGGGGCGACACACACTGGTGGTGAGTTCAGGGCAACTCCCGGGGAAGCGTTCGCAGAAACTACAGGGTGGTTATTTAGTTGAGGGCCAGCAAACAGGTGTCACCTCTCTTGCCCTTTTCGCTTGAGAACAGCTTTCTGGAGCGCTATGTTAAGGAGTCTGTGGTCCTGTCTCAAAGGCATCCAGTGATTGATTAGTGATGTCTGCAGTCGACAAGGGCGGTGGCTGGGGCTGCCATGGTTTCCCAGTTGGGGCTGAGGTCAGGCTTTGTTGAAGCTGGGCTCACTGGCTGTGCCCACCCCAGCCACACAGACAGGCCTGTCCCGACACCATGGATGGGCAGGGAGGCCATCCTTACCAAAGCAAGCAGGGGCCTGGGGTGGCTGGATTTGGGGCACGGATGCCCAGGTGGGCTTCTCCCTGTAGGCTCGGAATGGGGACTGCAGAGGCAGGGACAGCCTGTCTCATGAGTCCACCCGGGGCAGGCGTGAGGGACACAGCTGGGCTCTGGAGGCCTGGGAGGCCTGGGGAGGAGTCCTTGAGAAGGAACCACGTTGGGGGCCACCACAGGGCAGATGGGTCCCGGGAGGGCTGGACTGGTGGGGAAAGGTGGCCCTGGACAAGTGAGGGGGTGTCTCTCAGCCTCACGTGAGCATCCACGGACACGTGGGGCCCCAACCTGTCTCCTCCACTCCTAGGGGCAGCTGCAGGATCCAGGGAGGGAGGAGGTGTCTCAGGGGCTCCTGGCTTTGTCCTGGGAGTAGGGATGGGGCTCTGCCAGGATGTCTCACGTCAGGGGCTGCTCGGGGCCTGCGGGACACCTCCTTCCTTACTTCCCCTGGGGTTTTACAGACCACCGAAGCCCTGCGGGATTTTCACATCCAGGCAGTGAATGGAGATGACACACTTTGCACTGAACATGTACTGTGTAAGCCTTTCCCGGCGCTGCGTGGCTTGGAAGGCACTGGGGGGCGGGGGTGGAGGCTGGGGGTCCCTGGACTGAGAGCCCCTCTCAGCCATGCTGTGCTGGGCAACCTGGGACTGGCCCCTTAGCCCCTCTGGGTCTTGATTCCTTGTGAAGAGTTTCTGCCCATCCCTTGAGCCTCAGAACGTCCTGGGGTGAAGCACAGCCCCTACTCTTGCTGCCCTGGTAGAAGACGAGGCCCAGAGAGGGGCAGGGCCCGCCCAAGGCTGCACAGTGAGTATGATCTGGAAGCCCCCAGGGCCGGCAAAGGGGTGCAGGGTGCTGGGGCTGAGGTAGTCCGGGGAGCTGGCCCCGCTGGGATGTGCTGGGCCTGAGACAGTCACAGCTTCCCCTGGGCTCCTCTTCTCTCATTTCTTTCCTCTTCCTGCCCCGCCCCTCAGCAGAATCTCTGCCCCCAACACCTACAGCCCCTGCCCTCCTTCTGAGGCTGTGGAAACGGAGTCACAGGGAGGTGGAGTCAGGCAGGAGATGTATCCAGGCTTCCTGACTGCCCGCTCCCTCTTCACGTTGCTTCTCCTGCCATCCGGTGCCCAGCGAGGCTCTGAGAAGCCGGGACACTCTGCCCAGGGACTGCCTCCCTGGCCCGGACCCTGGGGGCTGCGGGGACCTCCGGCGGGTCCCGGGCTGGGCTTCCCCGTCCCACCATCCAGCTGCCCCAGGATGAGCAAGGCTGGCCCAGCATCTCTGAGTGAGTGGGGAAGGGAGGGGAAAGCCAAAACTTTAAGGTATATGAACTGTGAAATTAAATCGAAATACTCAAATAAGGAATCACATAACAACATAAGCAAAGATGTTTACCAGAGCTTGAAGTTAAATACAGATTTTTTCATAAACCCAAACACAAAACACAATAAAGTTCTGTGGGATGTTAAATATAATTTACAGTGGGAAGGATGCTCCTCGCCGTCATAAACCCGCGTGCACCGCGTCACTCCCCGGGCGCCGAGTTCCGCCGGCCTGGCACGGGCTCACGGGCACCCTTGGCCCCCGAGGGGCTGTGGGACCCCGGGACCGGGTGCTCGCTGAGGGACGGCCCTTGTCTGCGGTCATCCCTCCCCTCCTGAGTGGAAGGTGATGCCGTGGGCCCAGGGCTGGCTGCGTCTGCCAGGCATGCCCTGCATTCAGGCAGAACTCGAGGGAGGACTCATCTCCAAACAGAAGAGCGGGCAGCAAGTGCCACTCAGGTGCTGTGGGTCCTTGGTCCCTCCCGGCCCCGCCGGAGCCCCTCCCACCTGCACAGCCAGGTGCCATGCAGGCCTGGACAGCTCCCCACTGGGGAACCCCAACCCGGACCAGGAGATGGGCCCCGGCACCCACTGTCCCCTTGTGGCCCCTCCTCCTGGTCACACCCCTGCCCAGGAGGGGAGCCTCACAGTCATTGACACTATAGTGAGAGTGAGCACCCTTCCCGTGCCCCTCCCGAGGACACCCCTCTTGGCTCTGGCTGTGGAATGTGGAGCTCCCTGGAAACCCACCGGATGGGAAGGGTTGGGGACGGGGAGGGGCTGCCCAGAGCCACATGGTGACTCTGATTAGAGTTGAGTCTCTGCCTTCCAGGGCTCTGGGGAGAACCGGTGATATCAGAGTTCTTGGTGGGGAAAATCTGCCCAGGGTAGTAGCTCCAGAGAGCAGAGTCACAGCTGCATTTCAGGGGTGGGTGTGGGTGCGTGGGTGAGTCTATGGGTGTGTGTGTGTGAGTGGATGTGGGTGCATGGGTGGGTCTGTGGAGGGTGTGTGTGTGTGTGTGTGTGCTTATGTGGGTGCATGGGTGGGTCTATGGAGGGTATGTGTGTGTGGGTGCGTGGGTGGGTCTATGGAGGGTATGTGTGTGTGGGTGCGTGGGTGGGTCTATGGGGCCTGTGTGTGTGTGCCTGTGGTGTGGGTGCATGGGTGGGTCTATGGGTGTGTGTGTGTGTGTGTGTGTGTGTGTGGATGTGGGTGCGTGGGTGGGTCTGTGGAGGGTGTGTGTGTGTGTGTGTGTGGATGTGGGTGTGTGGGTGGGTCTATGGAGGGTGTGTGTGGGTGCGTGGGTGGGTCTATGGGTGTGTGTGTGTGGTGTGGGTGTGTGGGTGGGTCTATGGGGCCTGTGTGAGTGTGTGTGTGTGTGTGTGTGTGTGTGGTGTGGGTGTGTGGGTGGGTCTATGGGGCCTGTGTGAGTGTGTGTGTGTGTGTGTGTGTGTGTGGTGTGGGTGCAGGGGTGGGTCTATGGAGGGGGTGTGTGCGTGAGTGCATGGGTGGGTCTATGGGTGTGTGTGTGTGTGTGTGTGTGTGTGGATGTGGGTGCGTGGGTGGGTCTGTGGAGGGTGTGTGTGGGTGCATGGGTGGGTCTATGGGTGTGTGTGTGTGTGTGTGTGTGGATGTGGGTGTGTGGGTGGGTCTGTGGAGGGTGTGTGTGGGTGCATGGGTGGGTCTATGGGTGTGTGTGTGTGGTGTGGGTGTGTGGGTGGGTCTATGGGGCCTGTGTGTGTGTGTGTGTGTGTGTGTGTGTGTGTGGTGTGGGTGCAGGGGTGGGTCTATGGGGCCCGTGTGCATAGGGTTGTGTAGGAGGTGGGGTATGTCTGACACATAGACCAGGAACCTGTGTTTCTTTGTGTGTGTGTGTGAACGTGAGTATACCTGTGTCCCTCGGGGGTGCCAGGGGTTGGGGTGTCCCGGGCAGCTGAAGACTCTGCATCCCTGTGAGACGGTCCCTGCCCAGGCAGCACCCAGGGGTGCAGTGCACAGTCTGGAAAGGGGGGCCCCTTCCTCTGCCGCCCTGGACCTGGGCTGTGGCACCAACTAGGGCTACAGAAGATGGAATTTGACCTCTCCCCCTGGGCCACCCACCCAGCCCCAGCCTCTGGGGCCCCAGGCCTGGGCAGGGGCCTGTGCACATTCTTCAGGACCACAGAGGGGGAGCAGCTGCTGGCAGCATTTCCATCTTCTCTGTGGTCAGTTCAGGGTGAGGGAGCCTCCCGCCCCTGTGGTTCCGAGGCATGACTGAGCTGGCCTCAGCCCCCAGGTCCTTCCTTGGCTCTCTGCTGCCCCGGGCTGAGGCTGAGTGAGCAGGGGCATGGGGCCTGAGAAGGGACCCAGTCACAGCACGAGCCCAAGGCTGGGCAGTCCTCCCCGGTGCCGGCCCATCGGGGTGCGTTAGGTAGGCTCACGGGGACCAGCCCGGGTCACCAGGTGCCACCTGTGCACAAGGGTGCCGACAGCAGTGTCTCCTTTACCCTCCTGAAGGAGTGTGAGGTGGCACTCTCATCCCCACCCAACAGGAGGGGCTCCCTGGGATGACACCGTGGAAGAGGAGATGCCACAGCCAGAGCTGGAAGCCCGGTCTGCCAGGCCCAGATCCGGGCCCCCTGCGCTGCAAGGCCACCTCAAAGCTCGAGCGGGTAGGCGCCCGTCCGTCCCTTGCCAAACCTGTGCTGTGGGCCAGGCCTGAGCTGGGAGCCGGGGACCCAGAGGACCAGATGTGCCCCACGCCCCTACCCGGGGGCTCCCATCCTGGGGCTGGGACAGAAGAGGCAGTCACAGCCGTGTGGCCAATCGATTTCTGTCCTCATCTGCGGGGCCTGGGAAGGAGCTGGCCCCCGAGATGGGCCACCTGGGTCCCGGGCCTCGGGGGTCCCTGGGACAGCCCGCGTCAGGGTCGACTGTGTCTGGCCCAGCAGGCGGTGTTTTGGCCCAAGGCCCTGCCTCCCGCTGTCTCTCCCATGGCCTCTCTGCTTGGCCAAAAGTCACCTGGTCACTCCCTGGCTCTTAAATTTGCAGGAGGCCGGTGGCATTTCTCCAGACTCCCGGCCTTCCTAATTTATGTGCTGCTGTGGCAGGGAGTATTTTCTCTAAAAACAGGATGGATGTGAGAAAAACAATAACGCCCCCAAACCACACTTAATGGGTGGGTCGCACTGGCTCGTTAGCGCTGAATAATCGGGCTTCAACCACACCGCTGGGGAACAAAAATAAACAAGGGCACTGGGAGAATCAGGATGGGGGGGCTTCCACGCTGGGGGGTGCGCTCGGCACCCAGGTGCGCGGGGTGCAGGGGACGCCGCTTGAGGACTCCCAGCAGCGTGGGACGTGAGCACCCCTGCAGCCGCCGTGCTGGGCACCCACCTTGGGAAAAGGTCGCTGGGAGGTGGTGCTGGTGTGTGTGTGGGAGGGGGTGGTGGCAGGGGCAGGCCAATCTGCCCTCCCCAGGAGGAAACCCTTTGTGGTGAACCTAAAACCTGCTCGGTAACTTAAGCTTGCTTCCTCCTGCCCTGTCCTCAGGAAAGATGGGGAACAGCTGGTCGCCACCCTTTCTCTAATAAATCCCATCAGACTGCATGCTGGGGGAGGGGCCGAGGGGCGATGGGAAAGGGTGGGGGTCCCGCCAGCTCCCCTGTCTGGCTGGACAGAGCGGGACAGGCCCAGCCCCTGCCTCCGAGGCCCGGGAAGATACGCAGATCCCTATCGCACCCCGACTCCCGGTTATCAGAAAGGAAGATCCAAGCGGGGCTTAAGCCCCCGTCACCCCACTTCCGCTGCCTTTGTGCAGGGGGTGGGGGCGTGCGGCACTGAGGGAAGCAGGGGTCCACGGGGAACGGCGTCACTCCTTTCGTGCAGCCAAGTTCCAGGCGCATTGTGTACTGGTCCGAACTTGAGCTCACAATTTGGGATTAGAGCAAATCCGAGTATTTTTCTGCTTGCCTGCCCGCTCCCGGGCGCCCAGAGCCTGCTGGGTAACTGCCTATTATCCGCCGGTTCCACTCCAGTGCCCTCCCCAATAAAACTTTTCATATCCTTATAAACGAACTCGATTGCTGTGTTATAAACATTTACACTGTGCTAACAGATCATCTCCGCACATCAGAATTGGCTAAATTCCCTTTTCCAGATGAATATATTGAAGGAGATTAGAGATATGATAGCTTTTCAGATTGCTGAACCCAGAGAAATTAGTTTAGTGAGCATTTACAGAGGCTAAATTGGAACCATTAAATAGTGGATTAAATTGATGGCACTTTCATTGTCTGTCCTTCGGTACCGCTGTAAAATCAATTAGCCGTCACCAACCCATTCTCCATATAGTGAGATTGTCCTGCTCGCTGGAAGCTGATGCAAAACCTCCCAGCGGCGGCCAGAGATGGGATCACACCTATTAGGTGGGGTGGCCTGAAATAGCATCCGGGACCCAGGTTGCTGCGGAAAGGTTCCCCCCCACCTCCTCGGCCCGGCTGGCACTGCCTGCCTCCGTGGGGACAGCTCTAAACCAGGGGCTGTGGGGACAGGCAAGAGGGAGCCTGGCCTGGCAGGGTTGGGACCTTGTTCTCTGCTCCTTGGGCAGCCCAGTAAGTCAGACTGAAGGTGGCCTTGGCTTGGAGGGCAGGGGCAGTCACAGGGGACTGTGCTGAGGATGATGTGGGGGGCCTGCCTGCACATCTCCAGACTCGTGGGTACACAGGATTTTTGGCATTGCAGCCTCAGGCTGGGGGCGGTCCCTGAGTCTTGGGCACAGGCTCCTGCAGTGCTGGAAGGCAGATACTATTCCTGTCCCCGGCTTACAAAGGGGGAAACTGAGGCTCAGGAGGTTACAAAGCTGCCCCAAGATCTGCAGTGCATCGGAAGCACAAGTCCAGCCTCCTGGTTCTCCCAGCCCGGGTTAGGGGCCGCTGTCCTGAACTGAGACCCTGGGCCATGTGGATTTCTCAAAGGTGAGCGCCATACGGAAGTGCTCGGAGAATGAATGACTTGGGAAATGACAGGCGACGGGCGTGGCACGCTGGTGCCCTGGCCGCCTTGGGAGTAAATGACACCGTCACAGGGGTGCAGCGCCCTGGGGAACCAAGCCTGCAGGTCCCCAAGGAGACCCGGCCCTTCCTTGCCCCAACCCTGGGAAGGGGAATGAGAGCTGCACCCCAGGGGGAGAGGGGGGCTGTGGGGGCCGGGACAGCAGGGGCTCCGCCCTCCCAGCAGCTGTCGAGCACGTGGGGTCCCAGGGGGCCAGGGGGCTGTGAAGGAGGCTTCTCCATGAAGAACCCTTTCCACAAACGTTCCGACAGCGCCCTCCAGCTTGCCAAAGCCTCTCCACGGCGTGACCTCTCCTGTCCCTCCCACCAACCTGGAAAAATCGTTAGCTCCTTCCACAGGCGAGGCAGCAGGAAAGGCTGGGAGCTGCCAAGGTCGGGCAGCGGCTGGGACGTCTCAGCTGCCCCCTCCTGCCCAGGCCTGCGTCCCCCTCCGTGGCCTGGCCTCCAGCTGAGCTGGGGGTGCCCTGGTCGTCGGAACCCTGCCCCAGCTGCACAGGGCTCCGTCGAGCTGGGGAGTCAGTTCTCCCCCAGCAGATCCAGGGTCAGGGCCCAGGGAGTCTACAGAGGTCCGGAGAGGAGGGCTGGGACCGGTAGCCAAGAATCCTGGCCACGTCTGGGTATCTAGGCCCGAGGGTGTGCATGCCAGTGTCTTCCCAGAGTCCGTGCATGTTGGCATGGGCCTGCCTGTGTGCTGTGATGCGGGGGTGCACAGTGTCCAAGGCCTGGAACCCCAAGGGTGGGCCCCCTGCCCTTCCTCCCATCAGGTGGGCTGCGTGGGCCTGACGTACAGGTGCTTGGGGAGGGGTGTGCATGCTGAGGCTGTGTCACATGTACCAGTGCCTCCTCTGCAGCCCCCAGAAGCTGTTTCTGCTCAGACACCTTTGGTGCCCAGGTCAGGGTGGGGCATCTGGGGCCTCAGCAGGTCATGCCCGCTGGGGATGGATAGAGGCTGGGTGATCTTTAAAATTTTCAAAGACCAGTGTGTGGGAAGGATGTTGACTTGAACCCGGTGAAATCAGGCTGGGCCAGGCCTCCCAAGAGCCCTTAAGCCTCCTCCCCTGGTGGCTCAGAAACCTAGAGAGAGGGCCAGGCGTGGTGGCTCAAGCCTGTAATCCTAGCGCTTTGGGAGGCCGAGGCGGACGGATCACTTGAGGTCAGGAGTTCGAGACCAGCCTGGTCAACATGGTGAAACCCCGTCTCTACTAAAAATACAAAAATTAGCCGGGCATGGTGGTGTGTGCCTGTAATCCCAGCTACTCGGGAGGCTGAGGCGGGAGAATCACTTGAACCCAGGAGGCGGAGGTTGCAGTGAGCCAAGATCGCACCATTGCACTCCAGCCTGGGTGACAGAGTGAGACTCCATCTCAACAACAACAAAAAAGAGACCAAGAGAATGGGCCCCTCCCAGATCGCCCCTCTCTGTGGGGCCCTGTCAGGGTCCTGGGGGAGGCCTGCCCATGGACCTACTTTTCTGAGCTCAGGGCAGAGCTTCCTGGCAGGCGGCAGCCCCAGTCCTTCCACCCTCCACCTGCAGTGTTGCGGCACCTGCCTCTGTGCCATCTCAGAACCTGCCCCTGGGTGAGGGGCTGAGCTGCCTGTCCCAGGAAGAGTGCAAGCCTTGCCGATGGGGAGGAGGTAGACAGAGCTTGGCCCTGAGTGTGGAGACACCGAGGCTCCCTCCTGGCTGCCCTGCGCACAGCACAGGGCACACCAGGCCAATTTGCAGGGGTCAGCGGCCCCTACACGCCTGCTCCCAGCCTCTGCAGGGGCCCAGTGTCCTCCCAGCATCCTCCCTGTCCTCACCTTCCTGACCCCTGACCTCTGGCTGCTCTGAGAACTGGCAGCCCCCCGGGCTGGTTGAGAGGCCCCTGTTCCAGCAGATTAACGCCCCCTCCTGAAAAAAAACACAGGGCCTGTTTCATCTGAGCCCGGCAGCTGGGCGGGGGCCTCAGAGGCACAGAGGCAGTGATGGTGGGGGTGGGGGCGCCATCCAGGTCAGCTGGGGCGGTGCACAGAGACGGAGCCCGGTCGGAAATCCGGGTCAGAGGCCACCATGCTGGGCAGGAGCTCAGCGCCCAGGGGAGCGCTGGAGGGCAGAGACCAGCTAGGATGGGCCGGGGCGTCCGCCATGGACCCCACGTGGCATTTGCTGAGCTCTTCCACTGCCTCCTCTGCCCTGCGGCTCCCTAGAGGCCCAGGAAAGGCCTCATTGACTCAATTTACAGATGAGCAAACTGAGGCCCAGGGAGGTGAAGACTTGCCCGGGGCCTTGGGTAACAGAGGGTGCCCCTCTGGTGTTCAAAGCCCAGGTGTCCCACTCATGCCTGGTCGGAGCTGCAGACCATCTGGCCATTTTCTCCTATTTCGCATGGGTGAGCTTTGGCCCAGAGAGGGGCAGAGATCTGCCCGAGGTCACACAGGAAGCTGGTGGCAGCAGGGCCAAGGCATAGCCCGGCCCCCTGCCCCGAACCTGGGCCTCTCCGCTGGGGGCCCCTGAGTCTGTCTCCCCCAAGCCCTTCCTGCGTGGTCAGGCACAGATCACTGGGCCAGGTGGATAAGGTTTCTGGACAACTGGGGGATGGGTACGGTGGGCTCGGGTGCAGGGGCGTGGAGGTAGGGGAGCACATGGGGGCAGGTGAGAAGGCAGGCTGCGGGAAGTTCTCACGCACGGGGTGACCTGGCCTGCCCTGGCTGTGCACCCACGGCCACTGACAACCGCTATTTAGGGTGAGCTGGGCAGTCTGTGCACGTGTGGCCCAGAGGCAAAAGCTCAGTCCCCACCCGGGGAGGGCACAGGGGCCCTGGTCCTCAGGACAGCCCTGCCTCCAGCTCCCGTCTGCTGGTGGGAGGAGGCTCTGTCTCTGGGAAGCCCCAGAGTCTCTAGTTGGGGATTGATTCTCTCCCCTGGGGATCGAGTGCTCAGCAGGACCGTGCAGTGTCTGGAGCAGCCTTGTGAGGAGGGAAGACCCCAGGTAGGGACCTGTAAGCTGAGGCTGTGGGCTCTGCCACCGGCTCACTGGGTAAGCACCTTTGACCCCGTGGGCCTCGGTTTCTCCTTCTGGATGATGGGCTGATGATCCCACCCATCCACCCCCACACACGGAGGGCTGCTGGGAGGAGACGGAGGACAGGCCAGGTCCCAGGCGGGCAGAAGATGAGAATACAGGGTCTGTTGTCATTGTTAACGCTTGTTACAGATGGAGTCTGTCCCAGCCCCAGGGAATGCCGGTGGCCCTAGGGGAGGGGCCTGGGGACCCGGGAGCCTTTCATCGCCTGGGCCGGCTCCAAGCAGTGCTCGTCTGGGGATGATGAATGACTGTCAGCCTGGGTCTGAAGCCTGGGAGAAACCACGTGGAGGCCCAGAGACGTGGGATCGAGAGGAGAGAGCCGCACCCTGGAAGGGCCCCGGCCCGTCTGCCCATCCCTCTGTCCAGGCCGTTATCCTCTGTCCCTAAAAAGAGAATGTGGCAGGAGGGGCTGGGGAATCGCCGCAGGGGCGCTAAGGATATTTCCTTCTTTTTTTCTTTTTCTTTTCTTTTTTTTTTTGAGACAGGGTCTTACTCTGTTGCCCAGGCTGGAGTGCAGTGACACCGTCATAACGCACTGCAGCCTCAAACACTGGGCTCAAGTGATCCTCCCTCCTCAGCCTCCCAAGTAGCTAGGAAAACAAGCACGCACCACCATGCCCGGCCAATTTTTAAATTTTTTGTAGAGATGAGGTCTTACTATGTTACCTAGGCTCATCTCCAATCCCTGGGCTCAAGCAATCCTCCTGCCTTGGCCTCCCAAAGTGCTGGGATTACAGGTGTGAACTGCTGTGGCCGGCTCTAAAAACGTTTTCTAAAAGGCTTGGGCTGGTGGGAGGGAATCCCTGCTGGGCCCGGCTTACTCCATGGTCATGTCCAGCAGATAGCCACCAAAGTCTTAGCCCATTGTGGGATGCTGGGCCCAGGGGTGCCCTGAGGCTTCCAACAGCCCCTGAAGATAGGCTGTGTCCTGGGAGGAGCAGAGCCCACTGAGGTGAAGAAGGAGGTCTCCTCTTCTGCCCTCCCCATCCTCCATAAAGATGGTGTTTATGGTTGTTTGGAAAAACTGGACTGTGGCTGGGCCCCAGACCAAGGCCGGAGTGGCCTAGCTACCCAAGGGGACAGGAGCCTGGCCTCTTAGGAACTTGTTCTGGCATGTCCTGGCAGGAGCTGTGTGATGCTGGGTGGATTGGCACTCTCAGAGCCTGGGTTTCCATCCGTTGGGGGTCACTCAAATCGGGGGTGTAGAGCGCCCAGCACGGCGCCTCCCACAGTGCAGGGCTGCCAGCTCCCGAGTTGGCTGCTCTTGGTCCTGGAGCCCCATCATCACTGACCGCGTTTCCATGGGTAGAGCAGCGTGGCTTCCTGCATGCCAGAAGGGAGAGGCTGGCACCAAGATGTTGTTGAAAACGTGGCTGGGTGCAATGGCTCACATCTGTAATCCCAGCACTTTGGGAGGCCAAGGTGAGCAGATCTCTTGAGTCCAGGAGTTCAAGACCAGTCTGGGCAACATAGCAACACTCCATCTGTACCAAAAAATACAAAAATTAGCCGGGCACGGTGGCACGTGCCTGTAGTTCCAGGTACTTGGGAGGCTGAGGTGGGAGGATGATTTCAACCGTGGAGGTTGAGGCTGCAGGGAGCTATGATTGCACCACTGCATTCTCGTGTGGGCCACAGAGAGAGACCCTGTCTCACACAAGAAAGAAAGAAAGAAAGAAAGAAAGAAAGAAAGAAAGAAAGAAAGAAAGAAAGAAAGAAAGAAAGAAAGAAAGAAAGAAAGAAGGAAGGAAGGAAGGAAGGAAGGAAGGAAGGAAGGAAGGAAGGAAGGAAGGAAGGAAGGAAAGGAAAGAGGAGAGGAGAGGGAACGAAAGGAAAGAGAAAGAGAGGGAGGGAGGGAAGGAAGGAAGGAAAGGAAAGAGGAGAGGAGAGGGAACGAAAGGAAAGAGAGAGAGAGAGGGAGGGAGGGAGGGAGAGCTGGTGTAAATCACAGATCAGCGTGAAAAATTTTGCAGGTCAAAATATGAAGAGAATTGCGGAAGTGATTCAAAGTTCCTCCCCTAGGTGCTTATTAATTTTTTTTTTTTTAGATGGAGTCTCGCTCTGTTGCCCAAGCTGGAGTGCAATGGTGCGATCTTGGCTCACTGCAACCTCTGCCTCCTGGGTTCAAGCAATTCTCCTGCCTCAGCCTCCTGAGTAGCTGGTATTACAGGTGCACGCCCAGCTAATTTTTGTACTTTTAGTAGAGAGGGGTTTTCGCCATGTTGGCCAGGTTGGTCTCGAACTCCTGACCTCAGGTGATCCGCCCACCTCGGCCTCCCAGAGTGCTGGGATGACAGGCGTGAGCCGCCGCGCCCGGCCTCTTCACTGTTGTAGGTGCACAGTTCAGTGGCATTAAGTACATTCACATTTGTGTGCGTCCATCACCACCATCATCTCCAGAACGTTCTCCTCTTCCCAAATTGAAGATCTGTCCTCGTTAAACACTTGCTCCCCACCATCCCCCTGCCCCAACCCCGAGCACCGGCCATCCTACTTCCTGTCTCTGTGGATTTGAGGATCTAGGGACCTCGTATGAGTGGATGGCACAGTCTGTGTCCTGTTGGGTCTGGCTTATTTCACTGACCAAATGTCCTTAAGGTTCACCCACACTGTAGCCTGTGTCAGAATTTCTTTCCTTTTTTTTAGAGACAGGGTCTCGCTCTGTCACCCAGGCTGGAGTGCAGTGGCATGATCCCGGCTCACTGCAGCCTCCGTCTTCCAGGCTCGAGCGATCCTCCCACCACAGCTTCCCAAGTAACTGGGACTATAGGCACACATCACCACACCCAGCTAATTCTTGTATTTTTTGTAGAGATGGGGTCTTGCTATGTTTTCCAGGCTGGTCTCAAACTCCTGGGCTCAAGCGATCCACCTGCCTCTACCTCTCAAAGTGCTGGAATTATAGGCATGAGCCACCGAGCCTGGTCTGAATTTATTTCCTTTTAAAGGCTGAAGATAATTATTAATGACAAAGAGAAAAAAACTTGGAGAAATGCAACAGACATCAGGGTAACAAAGCTGTCAATTAACCTCACCTGCAACTGACAGGCCAGACAGCCCAGCACCCCTGCTCCAAAGCCCCGAGGAGACACAGCATCCTTCTGTTACGTTCCCTGGCAGAAATGCACTGATCATGGGGAAACACCACACGTCCAAACCAAGGGGTGTTTTCCAAAGTAACTGGCCAGTGTCCCTTAGCAAATGTCAACATGTGAACCATCCTTCATTGGTACCCAGAATGAAGGAGGCCAAGGAGGCAGCTGCCTGCGGCGTGGGGTCCTGGGACTCAGATGTTGGCAAGACAACTGATGAGATTAAAATAAGACCTGAGACCCATGTGCATGGTTTGTACCATGGTTTGCTAGAGCAGCTCATAATGTCTTCTGAGAGTTGATTGTTAAATGTTCAGGAATTTTGCAAGCCAGTTGTTAAACCGTTGGTAGCTTAAAATTGGCCTTGGTGGGAGTATTTACACCATGGAAATCGGCAAATGCTATCGAGCAGACCTGGCTTGCATACAATCGGCTACGTAGATGTAAAATCTAGGAGAGGTTGGGGGCAGGTGCACCACTGGCTATGTACACGTTGACTCTAGGAGAAGTTGGGTGCCGGTGTACTGGAGTACTCGGTATTAGTTTGCAAATTGGAAATTATTTCAAACTAAAAAGTAAAATTTATCTTTAAATTATAAAATAAAAGACTGAGCTCATCAGCCTCCTGGGTAGGATCCCTGCCAAACCAGCTCCCTGTCTTCATCCCCTTTGAAGGCATCAGGCACCAGCCAAGGCAGACGAAGACAGGCCTGGTGTCTCTGCCTCCTTCTTTAAAGACACTCTTTCCCCAGCCCCTGGGATACCACCCTCTCCTGATTTTTCTTCTCTTCCTCAGTACCTTTCAGTCTTTTTGTACAGGTTTCAATTTCATTCCATCCACCCACCATCCATCCATCTACCCAATCTCATCCATCCATCCAGCCACCCGTCCATCTATATCCACCCATCCATCCACCCGTCTGTATCCACCCATCTACCCACCCATCCACTCATCCATCCATTCATCCATCCATCCACCCAGCCACCCATCCATCTGTATCTACCCATCTACCCACCCATCTGCTCGTCCATCAATTCATCCATCCATCCATCCATCCATCCAGTCTCATCCATCCAGCCAGCCACCCGTCCATCTGTATCCACCCATCCATCCACCCATCCACTCATCCATCCATCCATTCATCCATCCATCCACCCAGCCACCCATCCATCTGTATCCACCCATCTGCCCATCTACCCACCCATCCGCTCATCCATCAATTCATCCATCCATCCATCCATCCACCCACCCACACACACATTCATCCATCCACTCACCCATCCACCTGCCCGCCCATTCATCCACCCATCCACCCACCCATCCACTCATCCATTCATCCACTCACTCATCCATCCATCCACTCACCTATTTATCCATCCATCCATCCATCCATCCATCCACCCACCCACCCACCCACACATTCATCCATCCACTCACACATTCATCCATCCACTCACTCATCCATCCACCCACTCACCTATTTATCCATCCATCCACCCACCCACCCACACATTCATCCATCCACTCACTCATCCATCCACCCACTCACCTATTTATCCATCCACCCACCCACCCACCCACACATTCATCCATCCACTCACTCATCCATCCACCCACTCACCTATTTATCCATCCATCCACCCACCCATCCATCTATTTACTCACCACACATTCATTGAGCAATTTAAATGCAGGGCATCGTGCTGGTTCATTGTTCAGTAATGAACCAAACAGGCAAAACCCCCTGACCTCATGAAGCTCATGTACCAGTGGGGGAGAAAAACAAGCAAACAAGAGAAGAGATCTATGAATTATATATGAAGGAAGGGAATACATATGGGAGGAGGGCATTTACTCAGGTGGCCAGGGAAGGCTCTTCGGAGAGGTGTCATTTAAGCTGAGACCCGAAGGATGAGGTGGGGATAGTTATGTGGGGTTTGGGGAAGGGCATCACAGGCAGAGGCCATGGCACAGAGGAAGGCCAGTATGGCAGAGGGGCGGGGGGTGGATGAGGTGGGGGTGAGCAGAGCCAGATCTCTAGGGCCTGGGAGGCCTGTTGAGATGTGTGACTCATCTTCTACGTTTAACAGGAAGATGCTGGTGGGATTCAGTCATGGGAGGACATGGATTCAATATGCCCACCATGACTACTTTGAAGAGAAGGGGCCCAAGGGACAGAGCAGAGACAGGGAGACCAGTGAGGAGGGTGTGGGGTATGTCCAGGTGCCCCGGAGAGGTGGGCAGCACAGGCTGGCTGATGGAGGAAGACAGATAGAGCCACCAGGCCTTGCCAATGAATGGATGTACCGAGAGAGGGAGAGAGAGGGGGGTACAAAACCCACTCCCAGGTCCCCAGCCTGAGCAGCCAGGTTGATGACCAGTTCATGGAGAGGCTGGGACACCAAACCTACATCCTGCTGCAAGGGGGATGAGCTTATGTGCAGGACAGAAACCTGGGAATTGCACTCTGCAGCTCACCTGCTGTGGCCCCATCCCGGCCCTTGATGTCCCCTCTCCTGGCTCACCCCCCAGGAGCCATGAACGTCTCCTGCCCCCGCCCTGGCTCCACCATGAACTCCGAGCCTGCAACAGTGTGTCCACCATCTTATCCAGGGACGTGGCAAGGGTCAAAACCAGTCGATGGTGTTCGATGGGGGCCCGATGTGTGGGTTGGACCCTGATATCGGAGGCGCCATGCCTACTGCTTAGCGAACCAGCCCTTAAAACCAGGACTCTCCCATGTGGGGCGATGCAGTGAGACAAGAGGCAACCACGTTGCTGGGGGTGCCGAAGCCAGGCCAGCCCTTATGGAGAGTGACTCGGCAACATGCACTCTGCGCCATGGAAATGCTCAGCACCTCTGACCCAGTGACGCCGCCTCTGGGATGCTCTTCCGGGGGAAATTATCCACAATATGGGGAGAGATTTAAGCCAAAGATATTCATGGCAACATTATCTTTGATGACCAAAAAAAAATTGGAAGCAGCTGAAATGTCCAACAATCGGGGAGTTGTTTAGTAGATTACGACATACACACTCGGTGGAATACTAGGCAGTCATTAAAAGTGCTAATTGCGAAGACTGGGTGGTTATGTACAAACACGCCTACAGCATGATGCCGAGGGAAGCCGTGTATGGAATTAGGGGCACATTAAGGGTGTAATGATGTAAAAAACATATGCAGCCCGAGAACGCGTGGATGAAGAGGATGGCATGAGAGAGTGTGGCACTGAGGCAGCGACGTGGAGCTCATTATCTTTTTCTGTTTTCTGTGAAGTATTACATCACTTTGGTAATCTGAAATATGAATCGCCCAGTAGGATCATGGGTGGTAGGATCATGGGTGAGTCTTGTTTTTCCTTTGTACTTTCTTGGATTTTCTAAATGTTTTCCTATAAAGAGGGTCACCTTGGACCTGCTATCTCAGAGGAGATAAGATGGGGTTTAGAGTAGGGGGGCCTCCTGGGGGTCACCACCTCGGGAGGAGGATGTTGCTGGGGGACATCATTCTCACCGTAGGGAGGAGGAACAGATGTACCCACAGGGCAGGAGGGTGGGGCCAGTCCGTCAGCAGAAATCCTGAGCTCCCCAGGGAAGGGGAGGTACCTTAGGAGGGAGGGGCTCCCCGCCCTTGGGAAGAGTCTCGGGCTGTCACAGAGGGGTCTTTTCCAAAGGATAATGGGTGGTTAGACAGCTGTCAGGTGCACTCTTGGAGAACAACGTGATCAATTGCAGGCTATTTGTTCTATCCCTGCCCAGTGCCCAGGTTTTACCTGCGTCGCCTCACTTAAGCCTCAGAGTGGTCCTGTGAAAATCAACCTTGTTTTTTTAGGAGGAAATGGAGACCTCAAGCAACTTGCTCAGAGTCATGCAGCTGGTCACTGAGTGGGCACCATGGGAGTAGGTCTCCTAGGATTGTGCAGTCCACAACTTAGATCACTGTCCAGGGCCTGCGTCGGGATTCAAATCCAGGTCTACTTGAGTTCAGAGCCTGGGGTTTCCATTGCAGCCTCAGGCCCTGCACCAGAACCTTGGGGCCCACAGAATGAGATGCTTTCCTAGTCACTAGGGAGCTGAGAAACCAAGGAAAGGGAGGAAGGGACAGGAATGACAAGCATGAAGATGATGAAGATGATGATGCTGGAGACAAAGAAGGTGATGACAGAGGTAATGATAGAGTGGATGAGGAGAGCTGCAGCTGAAGATGATGGTGGTAATGGTGGTGATGATGAAGGTGAGGGTGATGATAATGGTGATAGTGGTAATGGTGATAATTATGATGGTGATGGAGGTGATGGTGTTGGTGGTGACAGTGATAATGATGATAATGATGTGGTGGAGGTGATGATGATGATGGTGATGATGGTGATGGTGGTGATGAAAGTGATGTTGATGATAATGGTGATGGTGATGAAGATGATATGATGATGTGTTGGTGATGCTGGTGATGATATTAATGGTGATGATGGTGACGGTGATGATAACGGTGATGATAACGGTGATGGTGGTGATGGTGATGATAAAGATGATAACAGTGATGGTGGTGATGGAGATGGTGATAATGATGGTGATGGTAAAGATAATGATAATGGTGATGGTGATGAAGGTGATGGTGAAGACGATAATGGTGATGGTGATGAAGGTACTGGTGATGGTGATGATGATGAAGGTTATATGGTGATGGTGTTGGTGCTGCTGGTGATGATGGTGTTGATGGTGATGGTGTTGATGAAGGTGATAATAGTGATGCTGATGGAGGTGATGATGGCGATGGTGATGATGAAGGTGATAATAGTGATGGCGATGGAGGTGATGATGGCGATGGTGGTGATCATGATGTGATGACAGTGATGATGGTGACAATCATGGTGACAGTGACTATAATTTATTCAACGTCCTCTATGCACCAGGCACTGTGCTGTCTTTTCAGAGAAGCTATTTGTGTGGTGGGTGCGAATCTGCCTATTTTACAGATGAGACTGACTTGCCCAATGTCACTCAGCCAGTAAAGGGTAGGGCTAATATGTCAGCCTGAGTCCGTGAGATTCCAGAGCCTGGATCGGACCAAGGCTTGAGGGAGGCTGGGGGAGGGGCTAGGGCTGAGGTCTTGGCAGATGGACCCCACTTGCCAGCCAGTGAGTTGTGCGGGAGGAGCGGAAAGCTGGCTGGGCACTGAGCTGTCCACGTGGGGGCTGCCCTAGCTGTGGCCGGCTGGGGAAACCAGCTATGGCCCCTCCCTGGAGGGAATAAGGTCAGGCCAGCAGCAGAGGTGACACAGGGAGTTAGGGGCTGAGAGGTCTGGGGTGCAGATGACCGGACCTGGGTGGGGGTTCACCTACTCCAGGTTCCCATTTTGCAGAAGGGAAGATGAGGCCTGGAGATGGATGGTATCTTAAGCATGTTTCTTCTCATCTATCTATATATAAATAATATGTAATAAATATTTATATATTATAAATTATAATAAATATATATATATTTTTTTTTTGAGACAGGATCTTGCTCTGTCACCAGGCTAGAGTGTGGTGGCATGATCTTGGCTCACTGCAACCTCCGCTTTCCGGGTTCAAGTGATTCCCCTGCCTCAGCCTCCCAAGTATCTGGGACTACAGGCATGCGCCACCACGCCTGGCTAATTTTTTGCATTTTAGTAGAGACAGGGTTTCATCGTGTTGGCCTGGAGGGTCTGCATCTTCTGACCTCGTGATCCGCCCTCCTCAGCCTCCCAAAGTGCTGGGATTACAGGCGTGAGCCACCACGCCCGGCCTCTCATCTATATTGATGATGTGTTGACATCATAGGGGCCTTGCTGGCCAGGGAGGGACTGCCTCTCCTGGAGCTAGCTGATTGCTGGGGGACAGCCAAGGCCCCTGCGACTTTGCCTCTCGTGTGCAAATGCGCCAAGGCCCAGGCTGCACCCACCTCCTCTTTGGGCTGTCACGCTCCCGGGTGGATATTTCCCTGCCCTAAATCACCCAGGCCAGGAAGGTGGTGACATGATGATTATGATGGAAGTGACGGTGGCTATGGCCGACCGGAGGCCACCCCCGCAGCCCAGCACCCTCCACAGTGACCCACACCTCCAACCCCAGGCCTGCCCGCTGCTCACCGGCCCCGATCCGCGTCTTCCCCTCGCCCCTGCGGCCTCCTGACCAAGCCTCTTCCCCTCGCGGCCCTTCATGGCGCGCCATGTGCCCCTCCTCGGGGAACTGTGAGTGTAACCTCTCCTTTCAGGGTGGTTGTTTCCGTGTCTGTCACTCTATCATCCGAGATTCAAACAAACCCAGGTACAGGTTCCCAGGTGGCAGGGGTGGCCCGGGGTACGTGTCCATGCGAGACAGGGCTCAGACACAGATCAGCTTCCTGGCTTCCCACGGGTGGGGCTGAAGTGGGCTAAGCAGAGGCAGGCAGGGACAAGAGGAGGACACACGCGGGCTTCTGGGGAGAGGGCAGGACCCACGCAGGCTTCTGGGGAGAGGGCAGGGGGCTCAGGTGGAGACACACGCATGCTTCGTCTGTACTGGGCTCTGAATTCTGTGCCTCTCCTGCCTGCTGGCGACCGGGGGCCCTGCCTGACTTTGGGCCTGGGGCCTGCTGTGTGAGCCAAAGAGGGAGTGATGTTCTGAGACCTGGGCTTTGGATGCTGGAGGCCAGCAGGGCTGGTGAGGGTGGCAGAGCCTTGGGGCCAAGTCGGGCCTTGGGCGCCCACCTGCATGCTCCCCTTCTTGGTTGAGCCATCGCCCTGCCCAGGACCTGCTTGGCAGCGCCTGAAGGTAACAGAGGGCTGGCAGTCCAAATATGGGGCATTGGAGCCATGGGCTGGGGCAGCAGCCGTAGCTGGGCGGTGTGGGCAGGGGGCTGGCAGGCGCCGGCCGCGGCTGTCTCCTCCAGGGCCTGCTGTTGTGGCGTCTGGCCGCGGCCCAGCACCGCCGTCATCTGGGCTCAGCTCTCTCTGTCCGCGGGGCTGTCTCCCTGGTGGTGCCGGCCCCAGAGCGCATGGCCACAGCCAGCCTGGTCCACCCGACATTGAAGCCTCCCTGTCATAATTGGCAATTTTGTCATATTTATTCACAACAGATCGGGCTGTCAGGAGCTTGTGGGGGCTCTCCGGAGGCCCGCCGTGAAATCGGTTTGAAATGGCGTGTCAGGTTTTTCTCTCCCTGCTGAAGCGACCATCTGGCTGATAGACTCGGCGCTGGGATGATACGCTGACCCGCGGAATCACGGCTAAGCCGCTCCCGGGGGGCCACATGCCGGCTGGGCAGCCCCTCGTGCCACACCTGACCTCCCTGTGGGTTCTGGGAGCCAGGCCACAGGGCAAGGCCTGGGCTGGGCAGGGACAGGGGTGGGCACCAGGCTGGGAGCTCCCCGGGTACCCCACTGGCCCTCTGTGCTCCACTGGGTTGGCACCTTGCCACCACCCCGAGCCCACCTGGCAGACAGAGTGGGGTGCAGGGTGGGGTGGGACGGCTCCTCCCCCTGCAGATCCACAGCCGGGCTTGGGCTTCCACTGGGAGCTGGTGTGCACATGGGTGTGTGTGATCCTGAGCACATGTTTGCACACATGTGTGGTTGCACACAGGCCACACGACCCAGCGCCCCATGTGCACCAACAGATGAGGGTAAGAGACATTCGCTGCCATAACAAGCATCCCCAAGTCTCAGTGGCTGCCCAGATTCAAGATGGAATTTCTTGATCACATGGCAGTTGGGGTTGACCCAAGTGGCTTTGCTCCATGCAGTCATTCAGGCCTCCAGGCGCATTCCTGTGAGCAGCCTGGACCTGCCAGCCTGTGGTTTGTGAGTACCAGTGTCACTCAAATGGGGAGGTGGAGCAGGGGAAAGATGGAGAAGGAGTTGCGTGCGGGAAGGTCCGAGCCGACTCCAGTGCCTTTTGCTTGGTTCTACGGATTTCAGCACTGATGCTGTGGTCCCACGTAGGTGCCAGGAAGGCTGAGAAATGTAGTTTCCTGGGAGCCCTCCCCTTCTGTCATCCAGGCTGGAGTGCAGTGGCACAATCGTAGCTCACAGCAGCCTCGACCTCCTGGTCTCAAGTGATCCTCCCGCCGCAGACCCCTCATGTAACTGGGACTACAGGCTTGCACCACTACACCTGGCTAATTTTTAAGTTTTTTGTAGAGATGAGGTCTCACTATGTTGGCCAGGCTGCTCTCAAAGTTCTGAGACCAATTCTCAAGAACTTCTCAAGCAATTCTCCTGCCTCGGCCTCCCAAAGTGCTGAGATGATAGGCATAAGCCACGATGCCTGGCTAATTATTTTATTTATTTATTTATTTATTTATTTATTTATTTATTTACTGAGACAGAGTCTAGCTCTGTCGTCCAGGCTGGAGTGCAGTGGCGCGATCTCAGCTCACTGCAACCTCCGCCTCCCGGGTTCAAGCGATTCTTCTGCCTCAGCCTCCAGAGTAGCTGGGATTACAGGCATGCGCTGCCACACCTGGCTAATTTTTGTATTTTTAGTAGAGACGGGGTTTCATCATGTTGGCCAGGATAGTCTTGATCTCCTGACCTCATGATCCACCCACCTTGGCCTCCCAAAGTGCTGGGATTACAGGTGTGAGCCACTGCGCCTAGCCTCTGTTGCTAATTATTTTACTTTTATTTTTTGTAGAGACAGGGTCTCTCTTTGTAGCCTACGCTGGTCCGAAATTCCTGGCCTCAAGTGATTCTTCGGCCTCAGCCTCCAAAAGCGCTGGGATTACAGGTGTGAGCCACCGTGCCTTGGCCAGGAGCCTGTCAAGCAGGCCAGGCGTGTGCTTTAGGCATCAGCAAAGCCGTGTCACCGAAAACATCTCTGGGCAGGTGTGGGTGGGAGGGGCCTGACCCTGGGCTGGAGTCTCACCCTGGGCCAGCACTTCGGGGCTGGGATGGGTCAGAGGAGGGGTGGCTGGCTGACGTCGCCTGGTCGTTTTTAACGCTGACAGCCACATCAGGAAAGTCTGTTAGGCAGCGGTGGCGAGAAATTGATTGGTTTTGGAGCAAAGACCAAAAGCCAGGGCCTTGGGAAGGTTGTGGGAACGACGGGGTGGCGGGTTGCCTGGCTGCTCGTTCTCATGTGTGTCTGTCCGTCTGTCCCCCGAGGGATCCAGGGTCAGGGGAGGGTCCAGGTGGCCCCATCCTGCTGCTGAAATCCCCAGCGTGGATTTTAGGGGATACTGGGTGCACAGGGGCCTGCCAGGGATCCAGGTTAGGGTCTGTCTCGGAGCCTCATTGGGGGTTGTGGCTGGCACTTCCCTTGGGAGGCCACTCAGGTTCCCTGCAGCCCCAACCCTCCCACACCTGCTGTCTCCCAGCTGGGCCAGTGTGGGGCCTAGCAGGGCCGGTGCCTGGGGGCTACCTGAGCCGTGTCCATCACACCCCCAGTCTCCCCTCCCCGTGGCCTCCGACCTGCTCTTGGGCCTGGGGGATGTTGCGTCCACACCTGGCTTCTAATCCCACTGTCTCTGCTCACCAGCTGGGTGACGCTGGACAGGTCGGCTCCCCTTTCTGATCCTCAGTTTCTTCCTCTGTGAAGTGGGGAGGAGACCCCAGCCTGCGGGGGCAGGAATCCTGGAGCGCGGAGAGCGTGGTGGATTCCCTCTTCCCCACTGCTCTCCCTGTCTGCACTGGGTGAGCCCTGGCCTTGCGCTGCCTGGAGGGATGTCAGGTGGGCCCTGCTGGCCCTTCCCATGGCCTGGTGTCTCATCTGCCCAGTGCCAGCCCCGGCCACCTGGATGCTGTAGGGGAGACCCCAGCGAGTGTCGGGGGATGGCAGAGAAGCCCCTGCCTCCAGCTGTGGTGGAGTCTCAGGGGAGGCCTGGCTCCTGGCTCGGCCGGCTAAGTGGGGTTTGCGTGTTTGAACTCCGAGCCTGGTTGCTATTTTTCTAAGGATTAGGAGAAGCTGCGGCTCTTCACACAGCGCTACCCAGGCCGAGACAGGCGTCCTCACTGAGCACCCAACACCCAGGCCCACCTGGGGATGGCAAGGGGGGCACAGAGGGATGGCCCCGGGCCTGATGGGAGGGGCGGGGCTGTGGGCGGAATTGGGGGCAGAGGCAGAGGGGAGGCCGGGTCCCAGGCCTCATGACCCCGAGGGCCCAGCGCCTCACTGGGCCTCAGGTTTCCAGCTGCTGAAATACACCGCGGTGCTGACACCATCCCAGCGCCACTCCTGGCTCAGCCCTGTGTTCTGGAGGCGCGCCCAGCCAGCCTCCCTCCCAGCCTCGGTCTCCTCATCTCTGAAATGGGCCGTAGCCCATGCAGGGCTGTAAGGGGGTTAATGTAACTCGGGACATGCAGTGGTCACCCCCAGAGACGCGCACCACCCAGATGGGAGTCTGAGCCCCAGGCCTGGGCACGCCACGCTGACCGGGGCCGTGCTGTCCACGTAAAATGCACACTGAGTCACAGACGCATAGTACGAGAAAAAGAACACACAATAGTTCAGTAACAATTGTGTTTATATTTAGAATATGTTGAAATGATGACTCTTTGGACTATTTAGGACTAAATAAAATATATTCTTAAAAGTAACTTCAGGCCAGGCGTGGTGGCTCACGCCTGTAATCCCAGCACTTTGGGAGCCTGAGGTGGGCAGATTGCTTGAGCCCAGGAGTTCAAGACCAGCCTGAGCAACATAACATGACCCTCATGTCTACAAAAAATAAAAAATTAGCTGGATGTGGTGGTGTGCGCCTGTGGTCCCAGCTACTTGGGAAGCTCAGGCGGGAGGATCACTTGAGCCTAGGAGGTCGAGGCTGCAGTGACCCGAGATGGTGCCATTGCACTCCAGCCTGGGTGACAGACAGAGACCCTGTCTCAAAACAAACCCACAAGCAAAAATCACAGAAAAAGTAGCTTCATCTGTTTCTCCTGGCTGTTTTTGGCTATGGCTTCTAGGAAATCTAAAATCGCATGCTTGCGTGGCTCACACCTGTTTCCTTGGGCAGGACTGCTGCAGCGATGTTTTCACGCCCCCTTTCTTTGCCTCTGTTTATTTGTAAAACTGCAAGGCTGCAGCAGGCAAAATACAGGACCCTCGTGCTCTAAGCTTGTCAGGTTCCAGCCTGGAGTTGGTCAGAGATCTTGAACCGACTCAACTTGCCGGAGGCTCAGTGTTCAGCGTCTCAGACTCTTGGAGGGTAAGGGGCAGGTTGGGGGTCTGGGGGTACCTGAAGCTGGCTGTGAAGGACGTCTAGGAATTGAAGAATGAGGATGGAGGGTGGAAAGCCGGGTGCACTGTGGGCAGGCAGAGTGGGTGGCCAAGGTGAGGGGGGGCACGCGGTGGGGCTGGCAGCGGCCGGAGAAGCCCAGGCTGGAGCTTAGTCCTCTCCCTGTGGGCCCTGGGGCCGTGGAAGAGGTTGTTTAGTTTTTACTCTGAAACCATCTCAAACACAAACAATATTGTAAGAATAGGCCAGGTGCCTTATGCCTGTAATTCCAGCACTTTGGGAGGCTGAGGTGGGAGAATTGCTTGAGCCCAGGAGTTTGAGACCAGCCTAGGTAACATAGCAAGACCCATCTCTAAAAAAAAAAAAAAAAAAAAAAATTAGCTGGGTATGGTGATGGGTGCCTGTAGTCCCGGCTACTCAAGAGGCTGAGGTGGGAGGATTGCTTGAGCCTGGAAGTGGAGGCTACAGTGAGCTGAGATTGTGCCACTGTACTCCACCCTGGGGAACAGAATGGGAGCTTGTCTCAAAAGAAAAAAAAAGTATATATTCTTCCTATGTATAGTAAGAACAGTACAAAGAACTTTGTCTTTCCTGAACCATTTTAGAATGTCTTGTTGACACAAGCTGCATTTTCCCCGAATACATGATACTCATTCTACAAAATCAGGAAACACAGGCTGGGTGCTGGATTGAAGGGACTTTCTTTCCTTTTTCCAGTCCTATTGCAATCATTTTTTTTTCTTTTTTTTCTTTTTTTTTTTGACAGGGTCTTCCTCTGTTGCCTGGGCTGGAGTGTAGTTGTGTGATCATAGCTCACTGCAGCCTCGACCTCCCGGGCTCAAGTGATCCTCTAGCCTCAGCCTCCCAAAGTGCTGGGACTAGAGGCAGGAGCCACCACACCCGGCCTTCTGGTGACTTTCTCGTGGATGTGGAGGGATCTCCCGGGACTTGCTAGGTTAGGTCTTGAAGAGGCTTGACCGGGCGCGGTGGCTCATGCCTGTAATCCCAGCACTTTGGGAGGCCGAGGCAGGTGGATCACTTGAGGTCAGGAGTTCGAGACCTGCCTGGCCAACATGGCAAAAACCCGTCTCTACTAAAAATACAAAAACTTAGCTGGGTGTGGTGGTGTGCACCTGTAATCCCAGCTATTCAGGAGGCTGAGGCAGGAGAATCGCTTGAATCTGGGAGGTGGAGGTTGCATTGAGCCAAGATCATGCCACTGCACTCCAGCCTGGGCAATAGAAGGTGACCCTGTCCCCCCCCCCCCAAAAAAAAAGAGTCCGGGCATGGTGGCTCATGCCTGTAATCCCAGCACTTTGGGAGGCTGAGGCAGGCAGATCACCTGAGGTTGGGAGTTCGAGACCAGCCTCACCAGCATGAAGAACCACCATCTGCACTAAAAATACAAAATTAGCCGGGCGCGGTGGTGGGCGCCTGTAAACCCAGCTACTCGGGAGGCTGACACAGGAGAATCGCTTGAACCCGGGAGGCGGAGATTTCAGTGGGCCGAGATCATGCCATTACACTCCAGCCTGGGCAACAAGAGCAAAACTCCATCTCAAAAAAAAGAAGAGGCCCGCAGCTTCTCTCTTTAGTCTCTTAGGACCCCGTTGCTGGGCCTCCCTAGTTGCCCTGGAAGAAACCTGATTATCTGGGACCGCCGTGCTGTTGAGGTCACCAGTGGGCGCGCAGCTCATCGTCCTGTGTAAATCACCCAGGCCCCTCCTCAGCTCAGCCCCAGCCCTATCCTGGGCAGTGAGGGACTGTGGAGACCGTGCAAGAGTCGCTGGCTGAACCCTGCCCGGATCACCGACCCACAAAATAGATAGAGACCCTGCAGCTGGTGTTGTTCTAAGTCACTCCGTTTTGGGGGGGTTTGTTAGGAAGCAGTAGGTGATCAGAACACAGGCTCACGACTCCCTTCTACTCCTCAGACCCCATTGCCCCAGAAACGCACTTCAGAGCAGAGGGACCCGCACAGAGCCACACGAGACACACCAATGTCACGCCTCTCCCATGCCCCCTGCCCTGCCCGGGCCTCCCCCTGACCCCCAGGACCCCTGCGCTCTGGGAGGTAACAGGCCATTGCAGAGCGCGCCTGTCCTGGGATGTGTCTGCCGTCTCCTCTGCGTTGGTTTTGTAATTTGGAGGGAGCAGCCCAGAAGGACCCTGGTTCCTCTCTGGGGCATCCTCCCAGGTACGCCTGGTTTTGGCTGCGCCTTGACGGACGCTGTTCATTTTGATTCTTTGATTCAGGGGTGTCCGCCAGGTGTCCCTACTGTAAAGTGACTCCCCGTTGAGACTGGATATCCCGTTTGTCACCAAATTGTCCATCTCCCCACTTATTTATTCTCCGTTTCGGTATGGACACCTGTTTCACTCACTGACTTAGAATCTGTGTGAATCATTTTCAACTTGGATGCACAAATGGTCCTAGTTTTGGCTGGAGGGAGCCCTCCAGGAGGTTCGTGTGTCCTTCACGGCGTCCCCGTCCCGTTCTGATACCTGCGTCCTGAGGCGTCCCCCTCACAGCTCACACGCGGGGTTCTGGGAGGGCCCACAGCTCCCGAGGTGTCAAAGTCACAGGACGACTTCTGGTGGGGAGTGCAGGTAGGGGGTGCGGCTCCGTTTCACCCCGACACAATCACACCCACCGATGCCGGCTGGAGGCACATGGTCCTTACAACGGGCCTGGGCCACGCCCACCGTCCCAGAATGTGACCTGTGGGACTCAGAAGGCAGCCCCCAGACAGGCCATGGTGCTGCCCACTCGGTCCCAGGAGGCCTACCTGGCACCTGTCCCAGACACGCAGGTCCAGGGACTGGGAGCAAGGATGTGTGTGCAAATGGGTGTGTGTGCTTAGCATGTGAAAATGGGCGTGTGTGTTAACATGTGCACCCGGGCGAGGGAGCAAGTGAACTTGCAGAGGGATCCATGTGCGTGTCTGTGTGGGTGCATCTGATGTGTGCGTGTCTGTGTGGGTGCATCTGATGTGTGCGTGTCTGTGTGGGTGCATCTGATGTGTGCGTGTCTGTGTGTGTGCATCTTATGTGTGTCTGTGTGTGTGCATCTGATGTGTGCGTGTCTGTGTGGGTGCATCTGATGTGTGCGTGTCTGTGTGGGTGCATCTGATGTGTGTGTCTGTGTGTGTGCATCTGATGTGTGTGTCTGTGTGTGTGCATCTGATGTGTGCGTGTCTGTGTGGGTGCATCTGATGTGTGTGTGTCTGTGTGTGTGCATCTGATGTGTGTGTCTGTGTGTGTGCATCTGATGTGTGCATGTCTGTATGGGTGCATCTGATGTGTGTGTGTCTGTGTGTGTGCATCTGATGTGGGTGTCTGTGTGTGTGCATCTGATGTGTGCGTGTCTGTGTGGGTGCATCTGATGTGTGCGTGTCTGTGTGGGTGCATGTGTGCGTGTCTGTGTGTGTGCATCTGATGTGGGTGTCTGTGTGTGTGCATCTGATGTGTGCGTGTCTGTGTGGGTGCATCTGATGTGTGCGTGTCTGTGTGGGTGCATGTGTGCGTGTCTGTGTGGGTGCATCTGATGTGTGCGTGTCTGTGTGGGTGCATCTGATGTGTGCGTGTGTGTGTGTGTGCATCTGATGTGTGTGTCTGTGTGGGTGCATCTGATGTGTGCGTGTCTGTGTGGGTGCATCTGATGTGTGTGTGTCTGTGTGTGTGCATCTGATGTGTGTGTCTGTGTGTGTGCATCTGATGTGTGCGTGTCTGTATGGGTGCATCTGATGTGTGTGTGTCTGTGTGTGTGCATCTGATGTGGGTGTCTGTGTGTGTGCATCTGATGTGTGCGTGTCTGTGTGGGTGCATCTGATGTGTGCGTGTCTGTGTGGGTGCATGTGTGCGTGTCTGTGTGGGTGCATCTGATGTGTGCGTGTCTGTGTGGGTGCATCTGATGTGTGCGTGTGTGTGTGTGTGCATCTGATGTGTGTGTCTGTGTGGGTGCATCTGATGTGTGCGTGTCTGTGTGGGTGCATCTGATGTGTGTGTGTCTGTGTGTGTGCATCTGATGTGTGTGTCTGTGTGTGTGCATCTGATGTGTGCGTGTCTGTATGGGTGCATCTGATGTGTGTGTGTCTGTGTGTGTGCATCTGATGTGGGTGTCTGTGTGTGTGCATCTGATGTGTGCGTGTCTGTGTGGGTGCATCTGATGTGTGCGTGTCTGTGTGGGTGCATGTGTGCGTGTCTGTGTGGGTGCATCTGATGTGTGCGTGTCTGTGTGGGTGCATCTGATGTGTGCGTGTCTGTGTGTGTGCATCTGATGTGTGTGTCTGTGTGGGTGCATCTGATGTGTGCGGGTCTGTGTGTGTGCATCTGATGTGTGTGTCTGTGCACATTCCTGTGACCACGTTCATGTCGTGGTGGGAGCCTGAGGCTCTGGGGGGGTGGGGGAGGTGCCTGAGAGGGTGAACGTCCTTGCACACGTGCTTGGGTGTGCTCACGCCTGAGCGTGTGTTCACTGAAGTCCTGGGTGTGGCGTGCCCGCCTGCGTGTGTGCACACATGTGCAAGCGTGGGTAAGCATGTCAAGTGCGTGCAAGCGTGTCTGTGTGAGAGAGGCATGCATGTGTGTACAATCATGTGTGTGTGTCCGTGTGTGAGTGCATGCATGTGTGTACAAGCATGTGCATGTGTGTAAGCGTGTGCATGTGCAACCTCAGGTAACTGTCACGTGGGAGGTGCTCATTGTGTCTGAGTGCACACGTGCTTGCCTGCATGTGGACATGTGTGTGCATGGGCAGTGGTGCCCAGAGGGCATGGGAGGGGGCGCTGCAGACCCTGAGGAGCTCCCCACCCCCTGAAGACGCTGACCATTGCCCCCTGACTGTGGCAGTCAGACTCTGCCCCGCAACAGCCTGGGCTGGGGTTGGGCCTGGCCCCAGCTGGACTTTGCTGCCATTGGGGGAGGGGATGCAGCAGACCCGACAGCTGGGGCCGAGTGGGGGGACCTGGTTCCCCCTGGGGCTGAGGCCCCCTCCAGGCTGTTCTAAGGCTGCTCCCAGCTGAGGCAGCAACATCTCCCACCCAGGATTGAGAAGGAGGGACTAGAGCTGGGCCTGGGGGTCAGGCAGAGCTGGGACTGCAGGGCCTGGGGGCTTGCGCTGAGGGGTCTGTGGGACCAGGGGCCTGGGGAGGGGGCCTCCCTGGGCTCTAGAAGCTTCCATGTTCCTGACTTCCATGGGGACAAACAGCTTTGCCTAGGGCTGGTGGGGAGGGCCTGAGGGTGCCACCCACTCCGCCCTGGGGGGAGCCGGCCTGGGGCACGGAGAGGCTGTTTCCGCTCCGAGGAGGCCTGCTGGGCCCCAGCCGTAGGCGCCGCGCTCTCCGTGGCCCGCAGGATGGGAAGGACCATCGATCCTCCAGGCGGGGGGCAGTGGTGCTGGGAGCCACGTCCCCATCGACTGCGCGGTCTGTGCTCAGTTCCTAATTGGCAGGGCCGGCTGCGTGAGTCTGTCTGGGAGCCCAGAACGCTGGCCACTCCCCCCACCGCTTGAGGGGCAGTGTTGGGAGCCAGGACCGGACACTGGTGTCCTGCCCCTTGGGCAGCTGGTCAAGGCCTCCTGGATTTGGAAGGAAAAACTCCCAAAGGAGGGTGGTCAGCGGCTCAGGGGACCCAGTGACGGGGACAACACAAGGGAGGGGTCAGTCCCCCACCCAAACTGAGCCCAGGGCAGCAGGAGCCTCCCACGGGGGCGGGGGACAGACCGGGAGATCAGGAGACCAGGCCTGTGGTGAGGGGCTCGGGAGAAACAGAGGAGTGGATTGCGTGTCGGGAGGAAGGGAGGTGGGGCGGCCCCAGAGCAGGGCCAGGGTTGGGACCATCGCTGTAGGCCCAGGACGGCAGTCACTTCCCTGTGGGGGTGAGGCCCCACTTGTGTCCCGAGGGGAGCCCTGAGGGCTTGGGCAAGAGATAGAGGGTGGCCTGGAGCTGCCTGGAAGATGCTGAGCTGTCCGTCTCTGGGGGGCGTGCAAGGGGAGGCCCTGAGAGGGGACCCTGCCCTGAGTGCGCAGGAGTTCGAGTGGATGAGGCAGACCTCAGAAGCGTCCCCAAGGGCCACTCTGCTGAGCAATTATGACGGCGGGGCCAGAAAGCCAGGCCCTTCTCCCCGGAGAGCCCTCCTGAAGAGATGCTTGCAAGCTGAGGCCCGACGGGGCTCCCTACTCCCTGCCAGGCTCACTGCCTGCCTGGTTGCTGGCCCCTCAACCCAGTCCCCCCAGAATCCAGCTGCCCCCAGTCAGGCCAGCCACTGCCTAGTGTGGCCACCAGTGACAACAGACACCCCACAACCTGAGCCTCAGACGGAGCATGAACCCCGGAGGGCGGCAGGACCCTCCTTGGCCCCCGGACGTGGCAGCCTGGTGTCCAGGTGTCCCTCCCTCCAGCTCCCCCCTGCTCCTGCCCCCAGGTCCCCCGCCCTCCCTCACCCCCGATGCCGGCAGCCCGCCTGGGTCCTGGGAGCCCAGCCCACTCAGGTCCCCCTCAGCCCTCCTACCATGCGGCCCAGACCCCAGGACTCTCGCTGCAGAAGGAAGGGAAGCATTCGCTGAGGTCAGACTATGGCTGGAGAGGCCCCACGCTGGCTGCTGGCCGTGGGCAGGGGCGCTGGGGCCACCTCCTGCCAGCTGGGACCCATCCGTGGGAGCTGACTATCCGCAGCTCTGCCCGGCTCCGTGCTCGGCCACCCCAGTTCGGCAGCTGGACATCGGCTGGGAGGGAGTGCTTGCACCACGGAACCTGGCAAACGCAGCATCCCAGGGCTTTATTTCCTGAGAGCGTTTACCAGCAGCAAGCAACACGCCAAAGCCTTATTTTGCTTCCGGCAAACTTGCCTAGTGGCTCATCTACTCCCATGTTCTGGATGGGGAAACTGAGGCCCAGAGAGGCGCAGGGGTGCCCGGAGCCTGCAGCCATCGCAGAGGGCAAGGTGGCTGAGTTGAAGCTGTTCCTGCCCCTGCCAGACAGCAGGGAGACCCCTGGGCCCCTCCACGCGCCTCCCACCCGGGGCTGGCCAGGGGCACCCGTCTCGCCCACTGCCCCAGACAGGTGCGCGGCCGCCCTGCCCACTCGCGGGCCCGCGGGCCCTGCCGGCCCATAAATCAGCCGCTAATCCTTCCCCTCCGCCGGCCTCTCGTGGGGCGTGATGGATGGGTTCCCGGCCTCGCCGACTGCTGTGAAATCACTCAGCAGCCAGGCAAGCCCCTAAATCTGACGCACAGAGTGTTGAAAGGAAGGATGTCTGTTTTCATAACCTACCTCAGTTACAATAAATATTTAAAATGCACATTAACATCCTCGGGCCGCACAATCGGCCTCTGTGGCCCCGGCCCGTGCAGATTTAATTAGGCCCCGGCTTCCCCTGCCGGCCGCGCTCGCCCGTGGACGGAAGGCCCCTGTTTTCTTAAACTCCCAGCCCGCCATAAATATCGGCCTCGCGCAGCTGAGCTGAAACAGAGGCTTTTTGTCTGCGTGGCCGCCCTCCGCTGGCCTCTCGGCTGGGCCTGGCAGGGAGGGCCCCCAGCGCCAGGCGGTGGGGGCGGCAGGGGCCCGGCGGGGTCTCTGGGCTTGTGAGTGCTGGGGGTGAGTCCCTGGGTGTCCTGGCTGCGGTGAGCCCCGGCTGGGGTCCCCCAAATGCTCCCCAGTACCAGAGGCGTTGGGAAGAGCTGGGGAACTCCAGAAATAAAGGGAGAGCCAGCCTCCAGCGTGGAGCGGCCGACGGGCCAGTGCTGCCCAGTGGTTCTTGTGCCCTGGACCCCAACGGCGGCATCCTGGGGCGGCAGGTACCCCGTCCGGTAGCGCGAAGCCGAGTCGTCAGGGCCCGTCCAGTGCCCTGGGGCCAGGTCCTGGGCTAAGCACCTTCCTGTGACCCGCTCAGAGGAACCCCTGGCAGTGGGGATGGCGTCACCCCCATTTGAGAGATGAGGAGACTGAGGCTCAGAGGGGGGACGCGGCTTGCCCGAGTCACACTGATTGAGAGGGGCAGACCTGGATTCGTCTGCAGCCCAAGCTCTTAGAGACCCCGGTGTGGCCTGCCGGGCAGCCAGCTTGTCCACAGCCTCACTCGTTTGTTCCTTCCTTCCTTCCTTCATTTGTTCATTTACCAGGAGTTTCTTCTCTCTCCCTCGCTCCCACCTGTCTTTGTTTTTTCAGGCATCTGACTCTGCCGCCCCCGGGAAGCGCCTCCCTGGGGCCCCACCCCGCTCTCTGGCTGGTGCAGAGGCTCCTCCTGAATGGGGTACCCAGCCGAGCACAGGCCTAGAGGCGGGAAAGCTTCTGGGGCTACAGGGCACAGGCAGGGGCTGGGAGGGGCAGGGGGTGGAGGGGACACTGGCCTTGGTTCTGGAGGCCCCGAATGCCAGGACGAGGCTGCCTGCCTGTCTCTGGTAGGGTTAGGAGCAAGAAGCGGGCAGAATGGAGATGGGAAGGGGCTGGGGTGGGGCCAGGCTGGCATGGAGGATGCCAGGAGTTCTCCCTGGAGGAGGTGGCTGCAGGGAGTCCCGCTTGCCCTGTCCTCTACTGTCTCGGCTCCCCAGGAAGGCGTCTCCGCAGCCCCAGCCTCACAGCCTCCAGGAGGTGCGGAACTGGCTGAGCTTTTCCAAGCTGTGGACGGGTCCCCCTTGGGCCGGCGAGGACCCCAGGCTGTAAACACACGGCTGGAATCAGCGCTCTGGGCACTGGGCTGAGGCTAAAGGAAGCGACCCAGGCCTGCCTTCTTTGGCCTCATGTGGTGGGGAAACTGAGGCCCAGGCCAGGGCTGCCTAACACACAGGTGGCCGAGTGTGCAGCCCCTGGTACCTGTGAGTATGGCCCTACTAGGAAATGAGGTCTCTGCAAATGACCAGGTGACTGTGGCTATGGGGGGTTCCGTCTAAGGTGACGGCTGTCCTCAGGAGAGGATGTGGCTATGGGAGGTTCCGTCTAAGGTGACGGCTGTCCTCAGGAGAGGATGGGGAAGTCGGACTCGGAGACACAGGGAAGAATGCTTCGTAAAGACAGGCAGAGACCCCGGAGCACCAGGTCTGCATGGTGAGGCCCACCCAGGAGTGCCGGCAGCCCCGGGGGTTGCAGGGGGCCTGGAGCTGGGCCCCCCAGAGGGAGGAGGGAACCAGCCCTGCCAACGCCTGGTCTCGGACTTGGCCTCCAGAACGGTGACGGCCAATTCCTGTGGCCTGAGGCTCCCGAGTTTGCGGCATTTTGTTCCAGCTTCCCACAAACCAGTGCCATGGCTCAGCCTGGGCGCCGCCGGGTGCAGGTCCTTCCGTGACATCCTATAGCTCCGAGGCCGGCGGGAGAACCCAGAAGGTCTCCAGCAGGCCGGGCCTGGGGCTCCGCCCAGAGTTTGAGAGGGTTTTGGCCTCTGGATTGCAAAGCACATGGAGGAGGCTGAGGGGATGGGAGAGTGCGGCCCCCAGGGAGGGGATGGGGGAGTGCGGCCCCCAGGGAGGAAAGCCTTTGCACCCCAGGCCTAGCCCCCCGGCCTGACTCTCCCAGATGTCACCAGGTAGGGGCAGTGTTCAGAGTCCTTTCTTGGGGCTGCAAGGTCCATGGTGTGGCCCAGGGCGTGGGTACCAGGGCCCCCCATGCAGGTCAGTGTGAGGCCAGCTGCGATGCGCGATGCACTGCCCTCCGCCCCATCCAGGTGCCCCAAGGGTACGGCCGGCATTTAAGGGCCCTCGCTTCCTGGGGGTGTGTACGTGGCTGCTGCTCTCCGCTCCCCTGGGCTGGGGTCTCACCGCCCTGCTCCTCTGCTGTCCCTGAGGGCTGGCTGGGTGCTTCCTGGGTTCAAGTCCAGACGCGGCTTGCTGGCAGTGTGGTCAGGGTGGGTCTCCAACTCTTCAACTCCAGGTCCCTGCTCTTTGGACGGGGCCTCTGGGGAGGGCCCGGAATGTGACATTGAGATGTGCTGCCCCTGAAGCACTCCACGTCTCAGTGGCTTCAGATATCGATTTTGCTCACAAACCGGGGACTTGGCAGGGCCAGCTTGTCTCTGCGGCAGCTGGGAGTTGGGGCGGAGGCTGGATCCAGGCAAAGGCTCTTCGCTTCCACGTCGGGTCACGAGGTCCAGGGCTGTGTGGCCTGGGCCTCCTCACAGCATAGAGGCCGGGTCCCAGGGCAGATGGGAGTGGCAGGGCCTTCTCCCACTCCGCTCGGGCACCTCAGAGCTTTCCCTCCCCCACACACTGGCCATTAGAAAGGAGGCACCGAGCCTGCCCATCTTCCAGGCAGGGAAAGCAGAGGTCTCTCTCTCGATGGCAGAGGCCAGTTCCAGACGGGTGTGTGGGAGGGAGATGCAGCCATGGCCGACTTTGGAGAATACTCTCGGACGCATGAGGTGCTGTGGCCACGTATAGTGCTCGGGGTCCAGGCGCGACCCCAACCACTGCCCCTGATGATGCCCCAGCGGCCCCCCACTGCCCCCCAGCCCGCCCTCCTCCAGGCCCTGCCCCTCCTTCCAACCACAGGGCCCTGGAGCCTGCTGCTGCCTCTGCCGTCCCTCCTATGCTCCCCTAGTTCACTCCCACTCTCCCCAGTCACCTCCTCAGGGAAGCCCTCCCTGACCTCCCCAGATCCTCCTTTCACAGCCCCACTCGAGGCTCCTGAGCTTCTTCAGAGCACAGGGCAGGCTGCAGGCCTGCATTATATTGAAGTATTATTATTATTCGATGTCTGTCCCCACACTCCTAGCCAGCCTCCACCCAGACTGTAGGCTCTAGCCCTTAGCATGGGGCCGGCATTCAGTACGTGTGGACACATCATTACCTGTGCATATTCTACACATCATTATATTTTATTATATATGTGTCTGTAATATATCTACATATATTATTCTGTTATACATAAAATGTAAATATAAGCTGGGCACAGAGGCTCACGCCTGTAATCCCAGCACTTTGGGAAGTTGAGACAGGAGGATTGCTTGAGCCCAAGGGTTCAAGACCAGCCTGGGCAACATAGTAAGACCCCCATCTCTACAAAAACTCTTTAAAAAAATTGGCAAGGTGTGGCCGGGCGCAGTGGCTCACGCCTGTAATCCCAGCACTTTGGGAGGCCGAGGCGGGTGGATCACGAGGTCAGGAGATCGAGACCATCCTGGCTAGCACGGTGAAACCCCGTCTCTACTAAAAATACAAAAAATTAGCCGGGAGCGGTGGCGGGCGCCTGTAGTCCCAGCTACTCGGGAGGCTGAGGCAGGAGAATGCCGTGAACCCGGGAGGCGGAGCTTGCAGTGAGCGGAGATCACGCCACTGCACTCCAGCCTGGATGACAGAGCGAGACTCCGTCTCAAAAAAAAAAAAAAAAAAATTGGCAAGGTGTGCTGTTGTGCACCTGTCATTCCAGCTACTCGGGAGGCTGAGGCAGGAGGATCGCTTGAGCTCAGGATTTCAAAGCTGCAATGAGCTATGATCACGCCACTGCACTCCAGCTTGGGCAACAGAGCAAGATCCCATCTCAAAAAACAAAAACAATATATGTATATGTGTATATATATGTATACATATATGTGTATATATGGATATGCCTATATGTATGTCTATATAGAGGTCTAGTAAGAAAGAAGACCACCACCTTTCCTGCTGCCTTCCTTTCCCCACCTTATGCCTAGTTTATAAGACAGGAGAAAAGGAAAAAAGCTAAAAATTGGAAAGAAACAGAAGTAAGATAAATAGCCAGACAACCTTGGCACCACCACCTGGCCCTAGGAGTTAAAATAATAATAATATCAACCCCTGTCCTAAACTACTTGTGTTATCTGTAAATTCCAGACACTGCATGAAGAAACGCTGTAAAACTTTCTGTTCTGTCAGCTGATGCACGTTCCCCCGCTTGCTTGTTTATCACGACCCTTTCACATGGACCCGTTGTAAGCCCTTAAAAGGGCCAAGAATTTCTTTCTTAGGGAGCTCGGCTCTTAAGACACAAGTCTGCCGAAGCTCCCGGCTGAATAAAGCCTCCTTCTTTCTTTCTTTTTTTTTTTTGAGATGGAGTCTCGCTCTGTCTCCCAGGCTGGAGTGTAGAGGCACCATCTCAGCTCACTGCAAGCTCCGCCTCCCGGGTTCACGCCATTCTCCTGCCTCAGCCTCCTCAGTAGCTGGGACTACAGGCGCCCGCCATCATGCCCGGCTAATTTTTTGTATTTTTAGTAGAGACGAGGTTTCACCATGTTAGCCAGGATGGTCTCGATCTCCTGACCTCATGATCCGCCCACCTCGGCCTCCCAAAGTGCTGGGATTCCGGGCGTGAGCCACCGCACCTGGCCTCCTTCCTTCTTTAATCTGGGGTCTGAGGAGTTTTGTTTGAGGCTCGTCCTGCTACATATGTATATATGCATATGTATATATGTATATGTGTATACATGTGTCTATATATGTACATATCTATGCATATATGTATATGTGCATATGTATATGTGTTTATGTACATGCACATATGTATATATGTATATGGAGATATGTATGTGTATGTGTATATGTATATATGTCTATATATGGATATGGATATATGTGTATGTATATGTGTATATGTACATATGTATATGTCTATATATGTATTTGTGTATGTGTATATATGTCTATATATGTATATGTTTATATGTATATGTATATATGTGTATACATGCATGTGTATGTCTGTATATATGTGTATATGTATGTGTATGTATATATGCATATGTGTATATATGTGTATGTGTATATGTATGTGTATATGTATATGTGTATATGTATATATGTGTATAAGTATGTATATGTATAGTATAGTCTATATATGTATATGTCTATATATAGGTACATGTATATATGCATACGTATATATGTATATGTGTTTATGCATATGTGTATATGTATATATGTTTATGTATATGTGTATATGTCTATATATGTGTGTATGTGTGTGTATATGTATATGTGTATGTATGTATATGTGTATATGTATATGTGTATATGTATGTGCGTATATATGTATATAAGAGAGACTTATTGTAGTCATCAGCTGCTGTGATCGTGGGGCTGGCAGGCAAGTCCCAGATCTGCACAACCACCCTCCAGGAAGGGCAGACTGGACGTGGGTCCAGGAGCAGAGCTGCTGTCCACAGGTGGACTCTCTCCTTCCTCTGGGAGCTTTGGTGCTGCCCTTACTGCCTGCAGCTGACTAGACCAGGCCCACCCGGCTAACCAGGGTCATTTCCTGGACCTAAAGTCGCCGGACCGTAGGTGTCCGCCGTATCTACAGGGCACCTTGCACAATGCCAGGGCCAGCGTTTGCTGCAGTCAGTTTGTTGCCCTGTTCCTCGGATGCTGGCGTTGGATGCCGCGGTGAACCCTCCTGGGGGCACTGTCCTGACAGGGGAGCTGGGCACCTGCCCCCCAGAGGGCTCCCTGAGGAGGCTGGGGGCCTGGGAGGCTGGGGGTCGGCCAGGTGGTTTCCTCTCAGCAAGTGGGGGAGGTGAGGTGGTGCTTGACCTTGGAGGGTCTCGGAGGTCGGAGGTCTGTCTAAGACGTCCATTCTGCAGGCATTTATGATTTGCTTACTGTTTGTCAGGCTCTGTTTCTTGCGGGGGCAGTGGAAGGGGTGTCCGGGGGCCTGGAGACGAATAGGGCAGGAGTGATGGGGGTCTGACCTTGTGGCCAGGGGAAATGGTAGAACAGGTGAGGTGGGGTCCCTGGAGTACAACACACAGCGTCTTCCCCTCACCTTCCTACAGGCTGGGTGGGGCTCACGAAGTCCTGCCCCCCAGGGTGGATCGGGAGAGAGAGATGTGGCTTCTGTGCCTGAGAGCTGCCTGCGGGCCCAGGGACATCCCTGCCCTCCTGGCCTCTGCCTTCGTACATGTGAAGGGTGTATGCAGGAGAGAGACAGAGAGTGAGACGGGATCCAGGTTCCCCATCCCAGGCCCCTGCCCTGGGGGAGGAGCAACGTGTGTGGTCTCTAGGGGATCGTGAGCCCCTACGATTGTTTGCAGATCTGTGCACACTGTAAATGTGCACGTGTGTGCCATGTGTATATGAGTGTGTGCATGCGTGTACACATCCACACATGTGCAGCGTGGTGGCCCAGGCCTTCGTGCACCAGCACCCTGGTCCTCTTCTGCCAGCCCCGGAAGCCTGTGCGGTCGCCTCTGACTCCTTCGTGCCTTGGCGCTGTCACAGACAACCCAGAGGCGGGACAGAGGGCGTTGAGCCCCTCCGTGGGTGGAATATCACTGCAGTTAGGAGCCATGTCTCAAATCCTCCATGCGTGATGGCTCAGGTGCGTCTTCCACGCAGATCACTCTGGCAGGGAGCGCGGATGGAGACCCGAGGCTGGGGCCTGCTGGCTTTGCCCCTCTACGCGAACAGAATGGCCTCTGCCCTGCAGGAATCTTGAGTCCAGGAGAGGAGAGTTTCCCTGGAGGTGGAGGTCAGGCCCGGCAGTCAGCAGGCCAAGCTCCTTCGGGCCAGGGCAAGCCGGAGGGCTTCCCAGAGCGGGCACAGTGGACAGCTGAGCAGGCCAGACTCTGACATGAGGTCTGGACAGGCCCTTCCGCCCTTCCGGATGCCAGTCCCCCTGCTTGTCTGACCACTGGCCCGCCTGCCCACGGGGCGGCTGAGATGCTGGCGTGTGCGTGCGCATGTGCACGTGTGTTTGTGTGCGCGTGGGGCTTTCTGACAGCCGATAATTCACAGGCGCCTCCAGAGCCGGCTCCCGCTCCCACCCGCTCACTCCTGTTTATGAAGCGAAGGGTAAGTGTTTAATTAGTCGCCTAATTGCCTGGGTAATTGGAGACGAACTCAGCTCTCCAAGTAATCAGTCGGAACAGCCTCGAAAATATCTGGCCCAATATTCATTAGTGTGGCTTGATCGTTAAACAGTTACCGTGTTTGGTTCATGACAAGGCCCAGCAAACAGCTGCGCGCCCAACAGCCCCCGCCAGCCCTGGCAGACAAACAGCTCCACGCAGACGGACGGACAGCCGGCCAGCACCGGGGCAGAGATGTGAGCGGCCAGCGGGGCACAGACGCGGGCGGCCAGCGGCACCCGCACGTTCCGTCTGTGCCCTGTCCGGCTGCCCTTTCCCCTGGGCCCCCCGGTCTCCCTGGAGCTGCAGAGGCTCCCTCGGTCAGTTGGGCCACCCCCACCCCGCCAGCCTCCTTTGCCCCCAGGGAGCCCGGTGGCTGGGATTCTGGGAGCAGAGCAGAGGCAGAAACCCAAGGCAGCTGGATGAACAAGGCTGGAAGGACGGGGCTCTGCCCCTGCCGAAGAGGGCTGTGACCATCAGCAGCGCCTCCCCACGCACTTCCCTGTATGGGTTACAAAGCAGGTGCACATCCACAGGGCTCTTTTGCTCTGTGTAGTCCTGCAAAGTGAGGGCCAGAAATGTGCCCACTTTACAGATAGGGAAACTGAGGCCCAGAGAGGCAGTGCAGCCTGGGATGGAGCCAGGTCTCTGCCCTTCATCAGCAGCCCCAGGGTCTCTTCTGGAGTCGGGGCTAGCCCATCTGCTTCCTCTCCCCAGAGCCCACCTCCCTGTAAAGAGCGGAGGAAGTGTCTGCCAGGGCAGGGCAGTGGCAGCTGGAGCCCTGGGCCTCCCGTGGAGCAAGACAGCCCCGCAGGCAAACCCACACCCATCTGCAGCTGTGGCTAAGAAGCCACCCGGTGCCCTGAACACGTTCATGCATCTGTTCACTCATTCGCTCACTCTTCATCTCACAGCTATTCTTCGAGTTCTTCCTCGAAGAAGAAGAGCCAGGCACTGTGGCAGGCTGGGCACGCCAGGGAACAAACCAGATCCGGCCCTGCCCCCAGCCAGGTCCCCAGGACATTCTGAAGGAGGAGGGTGTTCAGTGAAGGGCCCACAGGGTCTGCAGGAGGGGCTCCGGGACCTGAAGGAAGAGTCAGAGCCGGCTGGGTGGGGAGGGAGGGAAAAGCATTGGTGGGTGGAACAGCGTGTGCAGAAGTCCCTGAGGCTGCACCGCTGGGGAGGGGAGGGGCTGGGAGGAGCGGGGGTGGGGGCAGCCATGCAAGGTCTCACCCGCTGAAGCAGTGGGCTTCATTCTAAGGATCAGGGGGAGCCTTTGAGGGGACTGAAGGAGGGGAATCGTGCAGTTTGTGTGATATTTTTTAAAGGAGCTCTACAAGGAGGATGGGTGGGGCCCCTAGGGAAGCCGGGAAGGTGCAGCGGTCCAGGAATGGGGTGGTGTTGTGGACTGGAGAGGCCCCTCCACGCCCAGGCTGCACTGCACCTGTTCTGGGCCTGGGAGGGGAGCAGGCTTCACCCCCCACCCCCACCCCTAGCTCCCTGGTCTCTGGCTTGGGGCTGGGAGACAGAGAGAGGGGAAAGCATGCGTTTCCCTGGCTCCCTCTCCTAGGGCTGCCGTGCGGTGAGGGCTCCTTCCTCCTCCAGAGCCACAGCTCCCCCCGCAGCCCCCCTCCTGCCTCGCCCTCAACTATGCCCACCCTTCCTGCTGCTGTGGCCTGGGGCATCGGTGGCCTGCACTGCTAGTCCCAGGACGCTTGCCCAAGTGATCCTCCGGCTACAGCCCTGCCCACACCTCTGTGAACGGCCCCCTCATTAGAGCTCCTTTTCTGCTTGGAGCCAGCCCTTGGCCAAGTTCCATGTTCACCTGACTCCCACCGAGAACACGGCTTTTTGAGGTTCACGCGCTGAGGGCCCCTTTCCCTGCAACAGCAGGCACGTGACTTCGCGGCGATTGCACAGGAAGACCTGGACTTGGAACCAGGAGCCTGGGCTTGGACCCGGCCCTGCTGTGTGACTTTGGGCAGGCCGCTTACCCTCGCTGAGCCTCATCTCCTCAGCTATTGAATGGGTGTAAAAAGAATACCCACAGCAAGGCTGAGGCAGGAGAATGGCGTGAACCCAGGAGGCGGAGCTTGCGGTGAGCCGAGATCGCGCCACTGCACTCCAGCTTGGGCGACAGAGCGAGACTCCGTCTCAAAAAAAAAAAAAAATACCCACAGATGGGGTTGTGGGAAACATAAGCAAAAGCACTAAATAACTGGAAGAAATTAATTTGGGGAGCAGGTTGTAAAATAAATAGCTACTGTTGATGGTGCTTTCAGCAGCTGTCTGGCCTGGTACAGGTCTTTACAAATGTCACCCCACTCGATATAATCCTCCCATCATCCTCTTCCTCCTCCTTCCCCTCTTCCCTCCTCACCTCCTCCCTCCTCCCCCCTCCTCCCCCTCCTCTCTCCTCCTCCCCCTCTCCTCCCCTCCTCCTCCCCCTTCTCCTCCCCCCTCCTCCCCCTTCTCCTCCCCCCACCCCTCCTCTCCCTCCTCCCTCCTCCTCCCCCTCCTTCTTCTCCTTTTTTTAAAAAATTCTCTTACAGGCCAGGCACAGTGACTCATGTCTGTAATCTCAGCACCTTGGGAGGCCGAGATGGGCAGACCACCTGAGGTCAGGAGTTCAAGATTGGCCTGGCCCACGTGGTGAGACCCCATCTCTACTAAAAATATAGGTGGGATGACGCTGTAGTCCCAGCTACTGGGGAGGCTGAGGTGGGAGGATCACTTGAGCCTGGGAAGTCGAGGATGCAGTGAGCTATGATCACACCACTGCATTCCAGCCTGGGCGACAGAGTGAGACCTGTCTCTAAGAGAATTTTTATTTTTTATTTCTTTTTTTTGAATTTTTTTTGAGATGGAGTCTCACTCTGTCTGTGATCCTCCCACCTCAGCCTCCCAAGTAACTGGGGCTACAGGTGTGCACCACCACGCCCCGCTAATTTTTTAAACATTTTTGTAGAGACAAAGTCTTGCTGTGTTGTCCAGGTTGGTCTCAAACTCCTGGCTTCAAGTGATCCTCCCATCTCAGTCTCCCAAAGTGCTGGGATGACGGGCATGAGCCACCACATCTGATCCTTTTTTTTTTGAGACGGAGTCTCACTCTATTGGCAGGCTGGAGTGCAGTGGTGCGATCTCGGCTCACTGCAACCTTCACCTCCCAGATTCAAGCAATTCTCCTGCCTCAGCCTCCTGAGTAGCTGGGACTACAGGTGCACGCCACCACGCCCAGCTAATTTTTGTATTTTTAGTAGAGACGGGGTTTCACCATATTGGTCAGGATGGTCTCGATCTCTTGACCTCATGATCCACCCGCCTCAGCCTCCCAAAGTGTTGGGATTACAGGCATGAGCCACCACGCCCAGCCGATCCTTTTGTTTTAAATGGAGGGAAACTTCACATGACATAACATTAACCACTAGCCATTTCAGAGTGTACAATACAGAGGCACCTAGTGCACTCACAGTGTGCAAGCACCACTGCTGACTAGTCCAAAAGCTTTATCACCCCAAAAGAGACCCCATACCCAGTAGCAGTCACCCCCGCCCTTGGCAACCACCAGCCAGTCTGCTTTCTGCCTCTACGGATTTGCCTGTTCTAGGTATTCCATATCAGCATGATCATATTGTCTGGCTTCCTTTACTCGGCATCATGGGTTTTTTTGTTTTGTTTTGTTTTGAGATAGAGTCTTGCTCTGTTGCCCAGGCTGGAGTGCAGTGGCGTGATCTGGGCTCACTGCAGCCTCCACCTCTCGGGCTCAAGTGATTCTCCTGTCTCCGCCTCCAGAGCAGCTGGGATTATAGACGTGTGCCACCACGCCTGGCTAATTTTTGTCTTTTTGTTTTTGTTTTGTTTTGAGACGGAGGTTTGCTCTTGTTGCCCAGGCTGGAGTGCAATGGCACAATCTCGGCTCACCGCAACCTCCGTCTCCTGGGTTCAAGCGATTCTCCTGCCTCAGCCTCCAGAGTAGCTGGGATTACAGGCGCCCACCACCACGCCTGGCTAATTTTTGTATTTTTTAGTAGACAGGGTTTCACTGCTGGCCAGGCTGGTCTCAAACTCCTGACCTCAGGTGATCCGCCCGCCTCAGCCTCCTAAAGTGCTGGGATTCCAGGCGTGAGCCACCGTGCCCAGCCCCACTCGGCAGAATGTTTTCAAGCTTCCTCCATTTTCAAGCTTCCTCCCTTCTGCAGCCTGTGCCAGTCCTTCCTTCCTTTTTATGGCTGAGTCACGTATGGATAACATCCATCTGCTGGAGCAGCAGTTTTTAATCCTTGTTTTCCAGGTGTAGAAACTGAGTGTTAGAAAGATTTATCTTCTGAGCTCATGGCGTCAAGATGTGAGATTTGGAAATGGTGTGGTGGGGAAAGAGGAAGGGCCTGGAACTTGTTTCCCCCCAACTTTCTGGAATTTTCTCCCTCCAGATTCTACGTTTAAAACTTAGGTATTTTGTACATCATGTTTTTTTTTTTTCTGTTAGTTTGTATTAACTTTTTAAGTTTAAAAAATTTAGGTCAGGTGCAGTGGCTCACGCCTGTAATCCCAACACTTTGGGAGGCCAAAGCAGGTGGATCACTTGAGGTCAGGAGTTTGAGACCAGCCTGGACAACATGGCGAAACCCGTCTCTACTAAAAAATACAAAAAATGAGCCAGGTGTGGTGTTGGGTGCCTGTGATCTCAGCTACTCGGGAGGCTGAGGCAAGAGAATCACTTGAACCCGGGAGGTGGAGGTTGCAGTGAGCCGAGATCACATCACTGCACTCCAGCCTGGGTGACAGAGTGAGACTCTGTCTCAAAGCAAAAAACAAACAAACAAACAAAAACCACACACACAAATAAATTTTTGTTTTGAGATAATTGTAGGTTCACATGCAATCACAAGAAATAATACAGTGTACCCTTTGCCCGATTTTCCCCAATGGTAACATCTATAAAAAAACTATAATGCAGGCTAGGCGCAGTGGCTCACGCCTGTAATCCCAGCACTTTGGGAGGCTGAGGCGGCAGATCACCTGAGGTCAGGAGTCCAAGACCAACCTGGCCAACATAGTGAAACCCTGTCTCTACTAAAAATACAAAAATTAGCTAGGCATGGTGGCCCGTGCCTGTAGTCCCAGCTACTCAGGAGGCTGAAGCAGGAGAATCGCTTGAACACAGGAGGCAGAGGTTGCAGTGAGCTGATATCATATTACTGCACTCCAGCCTGAGTGACAGAGCAAGACTCTATCTCAAAAAAAAAAAAGCAAACCATAATGCAATATCACAACCATGATATTGACACTGATAGAATGAATCCCTTGGACAGTTTTTGTGGAATTGCTGTTGTACAAATACTTCAATATCTCCCGTCATGGGGTTTGTGCTATTGTCGGTATTCACTTTACTTATGCATGTGTTATAAACCTGACATTGTTATTTTTGTTTAAACAGTCAATTATCATTGTAAGACATTTAAAAAATAACAGAAAAATCATGTATTTTCCTATGTACTCACCATTCCCAGTGCCTCTCATTCCTTGTGTAAATTCACATTTCTATCAGCTTGAAGGACTTCCTTTAATGTTTCTCGTAGTACACGTGTGCTGCTGATGAGTTATTTCAGCTGTTGTTTGTCTGAAAATGTTTTTTATTTTTAAAAATTTTTCCACTTAGCCTTGACTTGAAACTCATGAAAATATCTTTATTTCATTGTCAGTTCTGAAAAATAGTTTTGCTGGGTATAGAATTCTAGGTTGGAAGGGTTTTCAGTACTTTCAAGATGTTGCTCCGGTGTCTGGCTTTAATATTTCCACTGAAAAAAAACCTGCTGTCATTCTTATTTTTAACTTTCTGTGTGTTTTATCTCTATGTGTCTTTTCTTTGCTTTTAAGATTTTTCTTGGCTGGGCACAGTAGCTCATACCTGTAATCCCAACACTTTGGGAGGCCAAGGTGGGTGGATCACCTGAGGTCAGGAGTTCGAGACCAGCCTGACCAACATGGTGAAACCTCATCTTTACAAAAAATCTAAAAAATTAGCTGGGTTTGGTGGTGCACACCTGTAGTCTCAGCTACTCAGGAGGCTGAGGTGGGAGGATCCCTTGAGCTCAGCAGGCAGAATCTGCAGTGAGCTGTGATTGCACGAGTGCACTCCAGCCTGGGTGACAGAGCAAGACCCCATCTCAAAAAAAAAAAAAAGCTTCCTTTAAGTAATTTCATAATGATATACCTGCATGTACTTTTCATCATATTTCTTAAACTTGGGGTATGTCAGACTTTTTATCCATGAGTTTATAACTTTGATCACATTTGGTAAATTTTCAGCCATTAGCTCTTCAAAATATTTTTTTCTCTCCCCTCTCCTTCAGGAACTCCAATTACCTACACATTAGGCTGCTTGAAGCTGTCCCACAACTTGCTGATGTTTGTAATTAAAATAAAATGATTTATTCTTCATTCTGAATAGCTTCTTCTGACATGTCTGATCTTCTATCATTGCCATCTAGTGTATTTTTAAATCTAAGACATTGTAGTTGGCACAACTATAAGTTCAATTTGGTCATTTTTATATCTTCTATGTTTCTTTTCTTCCTTTCTTTCTCCTTCACTTCTTTCTCTCTCTCTTCTTTTCCCTCCCTCCCTCCTTTCCTCCCTCCCCTCCCTCCCTCCTCTCCCTCCTTCTTTCTTTCTTTCTTTCTTTCTTTCCTCTCTCTTTTATATCTTCTATGTTTCTTTTCTTCCTTTCTTTCTCCTTCACTTCTCTTTCTTTTCCCTCCCTCCCTCCTTTCCTTCTTTCCTCCCTCCCTCCCTTCCCTCCCTCCCTCCTCTCTCTCCTTCTTTCTTTCTTTCCTCTCTCTTTCCTTTCTTTCTTTCTTTCTTCTTTTTCTTTCTCTCTTCTCTCTCTTTCTCCTTTCTTTTCTTTCTCTCCTCTCTCTCTTTCTCTCTTTCTTTCCTTTCTTTCGTCTCTCTCTGTTACCCAGGCTGGAGTGCAATAGCATGACAATAACTCACTGTAGCCTCAAACTCCTGAACTCAAGTGATCCTCCTGCATCAGCCTCCCAAGTACCTGGGACTACAGGAATGCACCCCCATTTCCAGCTAATTTTTAAAGATTTTGTAGAGACAGGGTCTTGCTATGTTGGCCAGGCTGGTCTTGAACTCTTAGCCCCAAGCAATCCTCCCACCTCAGCCTCCCAAAGTGCTGGGGTAATGGGTGTGAACCACCTCATCCAGCCTACATCTTCCATGTTTCTACTTCACTTTTTGAACATATAGTGAAGCCTGTCTGCTCATTCTAACATCTGTGTCAGTTCTTGGGTCAGTTTCCATTGATCAATTATTCTCCTTATTGTGGGTCATGTTTTTCAGTTTCTGTTAATGCCTGATAATCTTTGATTGGATGCTAGACATTGTGAACTTTGCCTCACTGGTTGCTTGATATTTTTGTATTCCTATAAATATACCTGAGGCTGTATTTTGGGATGTAGTCAGGTTACTTAGAAACAGTGTGATCTGGCCGGGCATGGTGGCTCATGTCTGTAATCCCAGCACTTTAGGAGGCAGAGGTGGGTGGATCACCTGAGGTCAGGAGTTCTAGACCAGCCTGGCCAACATGGTGAAACCCCATCTCTATAAAAATATAAAAATTAGCTGGGCATGATGGCGGGTACCTGTGATCCCAGCTACTCAGGAGGTTGAGGCAGGAGAATTGCTTGAACTTGGGAGGCGGAGGTTACAGTGAGTCAAGATGGTGCCATTGCACTCCAGCCTGGGTGACAGAGACTCCATCTCAAAAAAAAAAAAAAAAAAAAAGGCTGGGTGTGGTGGCTCACGCCTGCAATCCCCACAGTTTGGGAGGCTGAGGTGGGCGGATCACGAGGTCAGGAGATCGAGATCTTACTGGCCAACATGGTGAAACCCTGTCTCTACTAAAAATACAAAAATCAGCTGGGCGTGGTGGTGCATGCCTGTAATCGCAGCTACTCGGGAGGCTGAGGCAGGAGAATCACTTGAACCAGGGAGTTGGAGGTTGCAGTGAGTCAAGATGGTGCCATTGCATTCCAGCCTGGTGACAGAGCGAGACTCAGTCTAAAAAAGAAAGAAAGAAAGAAACAGTGTGATCTTTTCCAGTCTTGCTGTTGTTGTCAGTTTAGTGCATCTGGAGCAGTCTGGTGCTAATTATTCCTCACGACTGAGGCAACACCTTCCTGAACATTCTTCCTAGGGACCTGCAAACAATGAGTTTTTCCATCATGAGTCTGGCTGGGGAGAACACATCTCCCAGCCCTGAGTCAGCACTGGGCATTGGTCTCTAATCCATTTGGATGCTTCTTCCCCAGGCCTTGGACAATTCCCCCACATTCATGCACTGATGAGTTGAACACTTGAGAGGAAGCCTCTGCAGACCTCCCAAGTCCTCACTCTCTGTTCAGGACTCTCCTTTTATGTGCATTGTCCTGCAAACTCAAGCCACCTTTTTCTCTCCAGACCCTTAGCTCTGTCTCCTCAACTCAGGGGATTTGTTGGGCTACACTTGGGTCCCCCTCCCTGCACCATGGCCTGAAATCTCTCGTGATGACAAGACTGTCCATATTTCTCCCCCTTCTCTCAAAAGACAGGGAGCACTGTCTTTTGCTACCTGATGTCTAGCATCATAAAAGCCATTGTTTATTATACTTTGTCTGGTTTTCTTGATGTTTTGGTTGAAAGGGTAAATCTAGTTCCTGTTGCTGTATCTTGGGTGGAAGTCTAGATCCTTGGAAAATTTTTGGAGACTCAGGGTCAAGCCACCATCTCAGAAGAATCAGATCTCAGACATGGACCCTGGTGATGACAATTGAGCCCTGGATCAAGCCATGCCTGAAGCCAGAGATCTACCCCAGACAGATCAGCTCCAGGGGGCAACAAAGTTCCTCTTCTGTTGAAGCCAATCAGGCTGGGCTTCTTGTCCCTCAGGACTCGCAGCTTCCTATTGCACCCGGTGGCTCCCTGGAAGTATGAAATGCTACTGCAGGAGAGAGTGGGAGTGAGTACAAGGCAAATCCAGGCTGGGACAGGTTGGAGAGAGGGGGAAAAGGGGTGAGTTTTGCATCTTTGAATGCCCACACTTACCAGGTGAGGACAGTGAGTGGATCAGGTGTTCCCTATTCCTGACCCTCTAAGGCTTCTCAGAACATCTAACCTGGCCATGCCTCTCTCTGTCCATCCTCTCTCCTGTCCAGCCCTGCGGGTGCCAGCAGGTCCCCACCCAGGGCCTCTGCACCTGCTGTCCCAGCTGCCTGGGCTATTCTGCCCTAGGGTATCCTTGAGGCTCCAACGGCACATTTCAGGGTGCCCCAGAATCCCACAAGGGGCTGAGCATACAGCAAGTTAGTGCCTTTGCCTTCCTGGAGAAACTTAACACTAGGGAAGAAACAAAAGAGAGGGGTTAAAAAAAGAAGAAGAAAGGAGGGCTGGGGCAGATTCCTCAGAAGGTCCCGTGACCCCAGATCTTCCTGGCACCAGCTTCACCGTCAGCCCACTTCTTTGGGGCAGGGGACTGCATGGCCCTGGACCCCATGACTGCTCCCTGCCCCCTGTAAAATATCCCCTTTAGACAGAGAAGCTGGGTGGGGGCAGAGAGAAAGGAAAAATAATTACTTCTTAGCCTCTAACCTTTCCGGCAAGTGACTCGGTAATAAATAATCCCCACGTCCCTCCAGTGCGATCCATCAGCAGGAACTCCTAATTACTTCAGACTCACTTGAAACCGCTTCCAGTCCCACTTTCAAATAAATAAAAAATTAACGTGGATCCGGAGCAGACGCCCGCGTGCAGGACTCCCGACCCGCCTCCCAGGAGGTTTGCCTGAGACGTGTCGGGATGGACCCCCCCAGGGCGGCCTTGTGCTCCAGAGCCACCCCATCAGCGGTTCCACCCTGGACCCAGGACCCACCTGTCCCATCACAGGGCTTCTGTGCAACGACCCCCACCCTCAGCAGGCCGCTTCCTGGGCCGTCCTGTGGTCCCTGAGCACAGCGGTCTCGGGCCCAGGGTCCCCAGCCCAGCACTGGGAAGATGTGCTGGCCATGTCCATCGGCCCCCATGGCCTGGCTGCCTGTCTGGCCCAGCACAGCTCGGCCTTCCCCTTGGGGGCCTCACCGTGACCTCCGTAATTAAGCCTAGGGTTCGGACAAGGTGACCCCAATACCCTGCTGCTCTGGAATTGAGCCCCGTCCCACGGGGGAGCCCAGACTTGCCCTCTGCAGTGGCCTGGGGACCACACCGCCTGTCTCTGTGTCTTAACTCCACCCCATGGCACCTCTGATCACCCCATGGCTGGGGACTTCTTTGGGGGCCTCCTGAGAAGCCCTGTGCCCCCAGCCCTGGATCAGCCCCAGCTGCAGTGGGGGCAGGCAGGGGCCTTCCCTGATTGTAACCAGACAGATGGGGAGGCAGGGCCCCGACCCCATTTCCCCTCCGGCTCCGTCCAAACCTGGGTATGCTACACATAGCCACTGAACCCCACCTGGCGTGTCCACAGCTCCAGCCTCTGTCCCTCAGCTCCATGAGGCCCGGCCTGCACTGACGGGCAGGTGGAAGCCACTCCTGGGCCCGGCCTGCTGGACACGAGGGAGGCGGCTGGGGTGGGAGCTGCCCTCTGACCTCCCACAGCCACAGGTCAGCCCAGCGCGGGCCAGGGAAGGTGTCCTGGAAACAGAAGACCCAGGGCACTGGGAAGGGCATGGAAAGGTTTCTGGGGGGATCCAGGCAGGGGCAAGCAGGGAGAGGGCTCCTGGGGGGATCCAGGCGGGGGTGGGCAGGGGTGTGACCCCAGCGCTCACCTCCTGGGTAGGGTTGTGAGGGTGAGGGGCTGTCGGCGGTGCCAAGGATCTGGGCAGGCCCCACTGAGGCCTGGGCGGGTGTGGAGGGCAGTGGAGGTGGGGGGTGGGGCCACAGGCTGGACCCTCCACAGGAGAATTAATTAAACGCATCTCACTCTGGCACCACCAAGCCATTTCTGCTGACCTCACCAGGCTGATTAATATTTCATTAGCCTTTAGGAGGAGGGAGAGCACTTATTAACCTGCTACGTCAATCTGTCAGTGCTGGTCCTGGCGTCCAGTGTCCCAGGGAAGGACAGAATAAAGATCCGGTGCACCCAGCCTCCAGGGCCTCCTGGATGGAGTGGTCCCCCCATGCTCTGCTCCCCCGAGACTGCCCATGCTCAGTCCCCCGGCCTCAGGTCCTCCCGGGGGCAGAACTGCTGTGCTCCCCATCCCCAGCTATGGCCAAGGCCTTTGCAGCCTGAGCTGGGGTGGGCTGGAGATGGAGGCCTGGAGGATGCCTTCCCTGGGCTGGGGGAGTCCTCTGAGGGCCGTGCTGAGCCTTGCTGCTGCTCTGGGCTCCATACCTGGTGCTGATGTGTGGGGAGGGGCATGGGGAGCCCCGGGATGTAGGGGGCGGCTCTGTGCCGAGGCCCTGGGAGTGGTGTGAATCGGGTGGGGCTGGGTGCCCCAGGAGGTGCTGCCAGCCTACCCAGCGCCTCGAGGTGAAGGCTGAGTGTGTGACCTACACCACCACACCCGGCCGCCCTGCTGGAGCCCAGGCTCCCTGGGGGTAAGCTGCCTGCCAGCACCAGCTCAACTTTGCCTTCTGGGGACCTGCCCATGTTCTACAGGAAGCTGCAAATGCAGATTTTCTGTGAACTTACCTGATTTTTCAATCCTACAACAAATTCCATGCTCTGAAAAGCAGGGTGAGCCCAGCAGCTGTGTGTGGCATGGGGGTCTGTGTCAGCATCCACCACAGCCCCAGCACGTAGTAGGCCCTCAATAAACTCCCCCAGGATGGGAGTTTATTGTCACCCCACTGGCGTGGGTGGGTGACAGTGGAGTTGGCTTTGGCTGTGATGTGGTTTGCCTGTGTCCCCACCCAAATCCCCCCCGTGCCCCCACCCAAATCTCATCTGTGTGTCCACCCAAATCTCATCTGTGTCCCCATCCAAATCTGATCTTGAATTGTAGCCCCCATAATCCCCACTTGTCATGGGAGGGAGCAGGTGGAGATAATTGAATCATGGGGCCAGTTCCCCCATCCTGATACCATTGTGATAGTGAATCAATTCTCATGATATCTGATAGTTTTGTAAAGGGCTTCCCCCTTCGCTGGACACTCATTCTTCTCTCTCCTGCCACCTTGTGAAGAGGGACATGTTTGCTTCCCCTTCCACCGTGACTGTAAGTTTCCTGAGACCTCCCTAGCCATGCTGAACTGTGAGTCAATTAAACCTCTTTTCTTTGGCCAGGCACAGTGGCTCACGCCTGTAATCCCAGCACTTTGGGAGCTGAGGCAGGCGGATCATTTCAGTCAGGAGTTTGAGACCAGCCTGGCCAACATGGTGAAACCCTGTCTCTACTAAAAATACAAAACAAAAAAAAAATAGCCTGGTGTGGTGGCACGCGCCTACTCGGGAGGCTGAGGCAGGAGAATTGCTTGAACCCGGGAGATGGGGGTTGCAGTGAGCTGAGATTGTGCCACTGCACTCCAGCCTGGGTGACAGAGCAAGACTCTGTCTCAGAAAAAACAAAAACAAAAACCAAACAAACAAACTCTTTCGTTTATAAATTACCTAGTCTTAGGTATTTCTTCATAGCAGCATGAGAAGGGACTAATACAGGCTGACTCAGGAGGGGAGTCCCCAGCCGCCGGCTGCCCTGAGGCTGGGCCCCTGCCTGGTCCCCGCCATGCCCACCCTCACCGAGTGCCAAGTCTGCAGCCCTCTGCCAGCTCCCGACTGCCCCTCCCCTGAAAAGGCACGTGGACGTGGGGGAGCTCTTTGGTCTGATCATCAGGGTGCTCCCAGCAGGCAGGCAGGGCTTGCAGGGTGGAGGAGGACCCCTGAGAGCCCAGCAGGAGGTCCCCCGTGCAGACATGCCCTTGTTGAGGGCACGGTGGAGACGCATGTCCATCCCTGGAGGGACAGTGTATTAGGCCATTCTCACACTTCTATAAATAAATACCTGACACTGCATAATTATAAAGAAAAGAGGTGTAGGCCGGGTGCGGTGGCTCACGCCTCTAATCCCAGCACATTGGGAAGCCGAGGCAGGTGGATCACATGAGGTCAGGAGTTCGAGACCAGCCTAGCCCAACATGGCAATACCCTGTCTCTACTAAAAATACAAAAAATTAGCCGGGCGTGGTGAAAGGCAGCTGTAATCCCTGCTACTCGAGGCTGAGGCAGGAACATCGCTTGAACCTGGGAGGTGGAGGTTGCAGTGAGCTGAGATCGTGCCACTGCACCCCAGCCTAGGCGACAAGAGTGAAACTCCGTCTCAAACAAAAAATAAAATAAAATGTAAAGAAAAGAGGTTCAGTTGGCTCATGGTTCTGCAAGCTGTACAGGAAGCACCGCAGCTTCTGCTTCTGGGAGGGCCTCAGGAAGCTTCCAATCATGACGGAAGGCAAAGGGGGAGCAGGCGTCTCATATGGCGGGAGCAGGAGAAAGGAGAGGGTGAACTGTCGCAAGGCCAGGACAGAGATGGATGGTTCCTGAGAAACCCACCCCCACAATCCAGTCACCTCCCACCATGCCCCGCCACCAACATTGGGGATTACAATTTTGCATGAGATTTGGGCGGAGACACAGATCCAAACCATATCAGGCAGCTGCCAGGGGACACCTAGCGTGCGCTGGGGCTGCCTGCTGCTCCCGGCTCTGCCCGCCGGCCCCCAAGACTCCCCAGGAGCTCCGAGCCAGTCACCCCGGGCTAGCTTTCGAGGACCTCTCTCCCCCATGTAGGCAGGCAGCAATGAAATTTTTAAATAAGGCCAAAAAATGAAAACTCCCCCGAGTTTATTAAGTAAAATGCAGGTGGGTAATTACAAACTGGCTTAATTAAAATCCACCCTCTTAGAAAGCCCTGAGTGGGTGGACCCAGCAGGGAAGGGAGACAGGACGGGGAGGGGCTGGCTCACTCCGAGCCTCAGTTTCCCCAGCTGTAAACTGGGGAAGATAATGAGAGTTCCTGAAGGGCTGTCGGGCCTGAGTCACAGCTGTCATCAGCAGGACTGAGCTGAACCCTGAGAAGGCAGGCCTGACCCACAAGAGGGGGCTCAGATGGCTCTGGGACACCACACTCATCCTGGGGGAGGCTCACCTGTAGGAGCCCAGCACTGAGAGTGCAGTGAGGGCCACGGTGTGGTGTGGGAGGTCACGGACCCTCACGGCCCAGCCCAGGCTGTGTCTTGCTTCTGGATAGGGGCACGGTGGATGGGCAGGCTGCGCCGGGCTGATCCGCTGTGAACAGCGGTTTTGGAGATGGTACGTCTTGCAGAGGCATGGCAGGAACCAGCGCCTGGAGGTGCGAATGGCCCAGTCGGCTCAGGGGGACACAGCCTGGCGGGCCAGGGCCGGGAAGGCAGGTGGGCTGCTCCTGATGCCAGGCCGGAAGTCCACCTCAGCGGGGGACGGGGAAGCCCCTTGGAGTTCATTCTTAGTGAGGAGGGGTTTTCCGGTTGCCCCACGGGCCTGTGGTCTGTCTCCGCCTCTCTTCATGACTGGGGCATCCTGGAGCAGGCAGAGGGAAGGGCAGGAAGGCTGGGGGCACGTGGCTGGCATAGCTCGGGTGGTAGTCGCAGGAGCCCATGGGCCCCCCTGGGTGGAGGAGGGAGCCCTGCCCTTGTGGCTTCGGCCCTGGTGGGACCTGGATGGGAGGGTTGGTCCAGAGCCCAAGAACACGGCCAGGGAGTGGGGTGGGGTGGTGCTGTGTGGCTTTTGGTGTTAAGGAAGGGGAGGAAAGGTTGGGCTGGACCAAGACAGAGATGGAAACAGAGACAGAGACAGAGACAGGGAGAGACGCAGAGATTCCCCCAGGGTGAGAGATCAAAGGTGTCCCACGCAGAGACCCAACCAGGATGCCTCCAGCTCTGTGACCCACACCTGCACCTCACAGCCCAGAGGGTGTCACTGGGGTCCCCAGCCCAGGAAGGCAGGACTCCTCACGCCCCCAACCTTCCATCCTGGAGTCCCCTGACTCCAGCGCTGAGACCCACGGCGTCCCCACCGCCCACTGCCGAGGAGAACGCCCTCCCTGTGGACCTGCGGCCGGCGGGCAGCCCCACTGGGGTTGGAGGAAGCTGCGAGGTTGTCACTGGGCCTAATCCTGACTTGGTTGCTGTCTGGATGTGTGGCCCTGAGTGTGTCAGCCGCCCTGAGCCTCAGTTTCCCCCACGCTATGACGATAAGGACACCCGGCCATGCCTGGCACATGAGGGAAGCCTTCACCCCAAGCTCTGGCCCTGGGCTCTGAGGTCCTCCTGTCCCCTGCACCCCAGTCGGTCCCCTTAGAGCAGGGGCATCCTGAGATCCCAGGGCCAGGCCCCCACCCACCTCCAGCCCGTTCCGGCCTCTGCCCACTTGGCTCATAAACCCCTGAGCTTTGATCTTCGATCATTCTGTCCCAGCCGGAAGAGACAGGGGCTACTCCCAGGCCCAGCCACTGGCCCGGGGCCGGGCAGGCCCTCTCGGTCCCCAGCTTCCCCACCCTGCTGCCTCCATTAACCTCTGCACTCAGGGCCGGAAGGGGCGGCTTCCGTTCCAGCCATTCCCACGGCAGGGATGCCACCCTCAGCCCATGTGCGGGGCCCTGTGGGAGAACCCGGGGGCCAGCCTGGGAGAAAGTCCCCTGTGGGGAGGGCAGGAGACAGCCCTGAGTCCCGGGCACCACCTGACCGTCCCACCCCCAGTGGCCATCCTGAACAGGAGTCCAGGGGCCTTGGGTCTCCAAAGACCCAGGCCGGCAGTTCTGCCTCAGAGGGGCCCAGAGCCCCAGCCCCTCCTTTTCACCGGAGTCAGGGGGGCTGCCATCCCCAGGAGGGACAATTCTCTGTTCCATGGGATCCCCTCTGTGGGTGTCGTGGGAGAGACTGAGGCAGAGCCACTTTTCCACCCAAGGCTGCCCTACTTGTGCCCCTACTGCACCTTCCAGGCTCTGAACGCATGCCCCAGCGTAGCTCCTATCCCATGCTGGCCGGGGGCAGCATCTCTTCTACAGCTGTGATGCCTCCTTGGACGGGGGACTCACCACCCGGAATTGCGAGAGAGCTCCTCCGACCTCAGCCTGCCTCTCAGCCCCACCCTCTTCTCCCTGGTTCATGTCTCCATCCCCCTCCTGCCGGCTCCTGGGACCCCACGGTGAGGCCCTGGGCCGTGCCTTCTGCACCTTCCCTTCCTCCAAGGTTTTGTTTTGTTGTTTTTTTTTTTTTTGATACGGAGTCTCACTCTGTCTCCCAGGCTGGAATACAGTGGCACAGTCTCGGCTGACCGCACCCTCCACCTTCCAGGTTCAAGCAATTCTCCTGCCTCAGCCTCCTGAGTAGTTGGAATTACAGGCACCTGCCACCACGCCTGGCTGTTTTTTGTGTTTTTAGTAGAGACAGGGTTTCGCCATGTTGGCCAGGCTGGTCTCGAACTCCCGACCTCAGGCCATCCACCTGCCCTGGTCTCCCAAAGTGCTGGGATTACAGGCGTGAGCCACCACACCCGGCCCTTGGGAGGTTCTTCCACTGATCACAAGCACTGGGTCACACCCTGTCAGAGGCATGGGGCTCCCTTACACTCGGGACAGCAGGGAAGAGGGTGAGGCTGGCCCCGCCTGGCCCTGGGCACACACTGCCCACCGGGACCCCAGACCAACTCTCACCCGGGCAGGAGGTTCCAGCCTGTGCCCTGCACCCTGCTGTGTAACCTGGGCACCCATGAAGGCAGCCTCTCCCTAGTTATCCAGGCACTCAGCCCCTGTGTATGACGGGGTCCATGATTCGTGGGCACCAGGCACAGTGAGGACTGGATAATCGGGGCCCACCCTCAGGCCTGGAGGCTGCGAGCCCCTGTGCAGGGTCATCGCCGGCGCGGGAAGAGCCCAAGGGAACAGGTGCAATGGGAACCCAACGGCTGGTATCTCGGGGAAATCTGAAGTGAGCCCAGGAAGGTGGCCGAGGCTCAGAGCCGGGGCAGGAACCCGTGCAGGGGTAGAGAAGGAGGCAGGGACAGCTGGACCAGGACTGGAGGCAGGACAGAAGTCTGTGCATGGGAATTGGGGCGGGGGACACAGGAAGGTGGGGTGGGGGCTTCCAGCAGGGGAGATTTCTCAGCTTCCCCAGGAGGGAAGGAGAAGAGGGAGCCGGGCCTCCCGATTCTTCCCCCAACCTCCTGCCTCCGCGTGCAGGCAGGGCTGCCCCAGCTGGAGTCTCCAGCACAAGGTGAACCTGCTGCTGAGCCCCTGCCCTCCCTGCAGACCTTGCGGGGAGCTGGGCTCCCGGCTGGCTGTGCCCTTGCTGTGTGACGGTGGGCAAGGGCCTGCCCTCTCTGTGCTCCTGCCCCGTCTGGTTCTGTGAGCTCCATGGGAACAGGGCTACCACCCACCAACCCACTGCAATGCAGATAGAGGCTGGGACTCGGGGAGGCTCCGCCATGGCCCTAAGCGGGGGTCCTGCTGGCCTGCAGACTCTGCCTCCCAGAGCCCCTCACCCCGCCCCCACCCACCATCAGCTCCGTCTGGAATCGACACACTTCCTTCTGAGAAGTGATGCATGGCTTCCCCGTCAGATTTACAAATAACTTCAAATTTTACCGTTTTCTTTCCCTAATGAATTCTCTGAAGCGTGTTCCAGGCTCCCCGGTAATGAGCAGGATGCAGAGGCCTCCGTGCAGCTCTGTCTCCCGGCCTGCCTCGGCGAGGCCCTGCTGAATTAGCCCAGCCCCTCCCGGCGCGCAGCCCGGGTGCACCCTCGTTTAGTGCCCTTGGTGGGAATCCATTGTATTGACAATCTCCACTGGTGTAATTCCTGCATTAGGATTTTGTGCTAAACTGTGTTTTAAAAGCGCTCTGACCCCGATTACCTCTTTAATTGCACTTAAAAATCCAGATTAATTCAGAGGCGAAGTCAGCCACGCTGGGAAGGGGGCCTTGCTGGGCCCACACCACGGATGGTTCCCCGGTTTCTGGAGATGGCCGGTTCCCCAGGGTGGTCTCTCTGCACCGCCTCGAACTCTCAGGAAGCCTCGCTTGGAGCTGCCGGGAAAACCTCTAGCTCTGGGAGACCTGGAAGAGAATAAGAGCGTCTCAGGAGCGCTGAGCTGGTGCTGGCTTCGCGAGCCACGCCACGAAGCCAGGTAAACACAATTGCTGCTGTTCTCATTTTATAGGTGGGAAAGTTGAGGCCCAAGACTATCTCCAGCCCCGAGATCAGCAAGTGGGTGGGTGGAGCTGGGGCAGCTGTGGCTGAGCCTGCTGGGCCCCCAGAAGAGGCTGGGTAGGGCTTTCCGTGGCCTCTGGTCCTTCCTGCCATTCTTGGACCCCAAAGGGGCTCCAGGGTCCTCCAGTCCCACTCTCCCATGTTACAGGTGGGGAGACTGAGACCCACCAGCCACGGCTGTCACTGGGCCCATGGAGAGGTGGTACGCCGGCCGAGGCCAGCTGGGGAGGCCTGTCTCCGTGATAAACACCTGCCCCTCATCCTGCATGCTGGCTGTCCACGGAATGAGTGGGGACCTGGGGGCCGACCAGGCTGGTCCCAGCCCTGGCTCCTCTCCTGACTGCCTTGGACGAGCCCCCTCCCCTCTTTGAGCCTCAGTTTCTCCATCTGAACAATGGAATCCTGATCCTGAGCTTGCAGGTCTGTTGGGAGACGCGGATACAGCACCTGGTGGTCTGTGCGTGGCATCAGGGGACTCGGGGGCCACTGCCCTGGCTGTGATTCCTGCCCCATTCTGCCCAGCCCCGGGCGGGGGTCAGTGAGGTGCTCCAAGCCCTTGGGGTTATCACGAGGCATCCGGCCCTACAGCACAACAGATGTTTTTTTTCCTTTCACCTTCACCTCGTTTGGAGACAATAATACTTCTACGAACATGTGTGCACAGGCTTTTATGTGGATGTGTGTCTTTATTTTTTTCTTTTTATAATAAGAAGTATTATTTTTAATCAAAACAGAGCTGGAGTAATGTCTTCGTTTTTCCTGGGTAGATACGTGGGAGTGAGATCGTTGGGTCTTATGGTAATTCCACATTGAACATTTTTAAAATCTCCCAAACCAGCTGGGGGTGGTGGCTCACGACTGTCATCCCAGTACTTTGGGAGGCTGAGGTGGGAAGATCGCTTGAGCCCAGGAGTTCAAGACCAGCCTGGGCAACATAGCAAGACTGTGTCTCTACTGAAAATTTAAAAAATCATCCCAGCACTTTGGGAGGCTGAGGCAGTTGGATCACCTAAGGTCAGGAGTTCGAGACCAGCCTGGCCAACATGGTAAAACCCTGTCTCTACTAAAAACACAAAAATTAGCTGGGCATGGTGGTGCACACCTGTAATCCCAGCTACTCGGGAGGCTGAGACAGGAGAATTGCTTGAACCTGGGAGGCAGAGGTTGCAGTGAGCCGAGATCGTGCTACTGCACTCCAGCCTGGGTGACAGACTGAGACTCTGTCTCAAAAAAATAAAAGAATAAAAAAATAAAATTAGCCGGGCATGGTGGTGCACATCTGTGGTCTCAGGTCCTCAAGAGGCTAACATGGGAGGATCGCTTGAGTCCAGGAGTTCAAGGCTGCAGTGATCTGTGATTGTACCACTGCATTCCAGCCTGGGCAACAGCAAGACCCAATCTCAAAATAAACAAAAAGAAAGAAGAAAAGAAAAAGAAAAAACTCCCAAACTGTTTGTCAAAGTGGATGCAACCTTTTTCCCTGCCTACCAGCAGTGTGCTGGAGTTCTGACTTTCCAATTTCTCCTCCTCACCAATACTTGTCAATATCTGTCTGCTTTATTTTAACCGTCCTAGTGGGTATGAGGGGCCATCTCATTTTAATTTGTGTTTTCGTGATGGCTGATGGTGAGTATCTTCCTGTGCTTATTGGCCATTTTTATATCATCTTTGGAGAAGTGTCTCCTCAAATCCTTTGCTTATTTCAAAAATCGGGCTATGTGTTTCTTTGTTATTGAGTTACAATAGTTCTTTATATATTTTAGACATAAGTGTCTTATCAGAAATACGTTTTGCAAAAATGTTCTCCCGTTTTGCAGGTGGTTTTTTTCACTTTCTTGACGATGTCCTTTGAAGCACAAAGCCTTCTAATTTTGATGAAGTCCAGTGTATCTCTGTTTTTCTTTTTTCTCTCGTGACTTTCATATCATATCTAGGAAGGCTTGGTCTAACCCAAGATCACAAAGATTTACTCCTGTGTTTTGTTTTCAGAGCTTTATAGCTTCAGCTCTTACGTTTAGGTCTGTGATCTTTTTCTTTTCTTTTTTTTTTTTTTTTTACACAGGGTCTCACTGTATCACCCAGGCTGGAGTGCAGTGGCGTGATAATAGCTCATCCATACCCGCCCACTTGCTGACCTCAGGGCTGGGGATACTCAGTCTCTGGGCCTCAAGTCAAGCCCATGAAGTCAAGGCTTCCCGGGCGCAGGTGATCCTCCCACTTCAGCTTCCTGAGTGGCTGGAACTACAGGCGTGTGCCACCACGTTCAGCTAATTTTTAAGTTTTTTATAAAGATAGAGTCTTGCCATATCATGCAGACTGGAGTGCAGTGGCATGATCATAGCTCACTGCAGCCTCAAACTCCTGGGCTCCAGCGATCCTCCCACCTCAGCCTCCCAAAGTGCTGGGATTACAGGTGTGAGCCTCTGCGTCTGGCCCCTGTGACCTATTTTGAGTTAATTTTTGCATGTGGTGTGAGGCCGAGTCCACCTTCACACTCTTGCCTGTGGACGTCCAGTTGTCCCAGCACCGTCTGTGGAAAACGCCCATTGAATGCCCTTGTTGGAAAAAATCAGTGAACGAGTGTGTTTATTTCTGGTCTCTGAATTTTCTTTTATTCCCTTAATCTGCATGCGTGTCTTTACCCCAGGACCACACTGTGTTCATTACTGCAGCTTTGTAGTAAGTTTTGAAATCTTAGTAGGGGGTGGGGGCGAGGGGCAGCTGAGGGAAAGGCCACAGCCGCTGGAGTCCCCTGGCCCTCAGTTGGGGCCACCCAAGCTGCCCGGCCACTGGAGGCTGGGAGGGGCCCATTCCTGGTGGTCTCGGGACAGGCCTGGAGGCCCTCGGCTGTGGTGAGCCAAGATCTGCAGGGGGACTCGGGGCTGACCGAGCTGGCCCAGAGCAGATGGCGGCTCAGCGCCCAGGCTCAGGGCGTCCATCCTGCGTCCCATGAGCTATGGCTGCCGACCCCGATGGGTGCCGCGCTTTCCAGTTTGCTCCCTCCCGCGTCTCTGCTGACCATCCCCACCTGTAGGTGAGCACACAGAGGCTTGGAAGGTACTGAGGGTTTGTCTCTGCCCTGCAAGTCACACAGGGGAGTCCCCAGTCCCCTGGGCAGCATACGGGCCTCCCACGGGATCCCAACCCACAGCTCCTGGAGAGTCCTTTAGGACAAGACCCTAATGCTGCCCCTGAGGCCTTTGGGGCCTCAAACTCCAAAGAGAGAAGAGGCCATTCCCTGAGCAGGGGAGCCGCTGCGGCCGGGCCTCCTGCCCTAACACGCACGCCCGACGTGCTGAGCCAGTGCAGCGGCCCCACAGGTGCAGGCCCCCGCCCCCAGCTCCACACCATGCCCCCAGTACAGGGCCAGGACCTCCCCAGGCTAAGCTCCCGCTGCGTCCCAGAGGGATGTAAACCCCAGAGGGCCCCAAAGGAGCCCACGTTTGCCCCAACCTGTACATTCTATGCTCAGGTTTATAACCAGAGCTTCCAAGAGGAATCTGGGCAGCCACCGCCCACCCTACCCCACCCCTCCCTACATGGATAGCTACAGGCAGGGCCCAGGCCCCCATCACTCTCGGCCACCGGCACACAGGTCCAGGCCCTCGCCTTCTCCCAGGGCCCCCAATGCCTCTGCCAGGAAGCCTCCCCCACAGGCTGAGTTATTTACTTTCCTTAATAACCTTTTATGAGGGGCCTTGCCGCGGCCTTCAGGAGGACAGGGAACCGGCTTCGAGGTCATCCTTTGGCCGGGATTTTATTAACTTCAAGTCAGGCTCGAGGCAGGTGAAGGAGCCTCTCCTCCACCCCAAAGGGTTGTGAGGCGCTCCAGGTGAGGTGTGACTGCCCTGTTCAATTAAATCCTCCGTCTGCACCTCGGCCTGGGTGGCGGCGGCGGGCAGGAGACCCCGCAGCAGCTTCCGCGCGGCATGTCCCCTGCCCACCGCCTTCCCCACCCACTGGGCTCTGAACAGCAGACCTGGGGTTTCCAAAAAAATCAACTGTCAGCCGCGCGCGGTGGCTCACGCCTGTCATCCCAGCACTTTGGGAGGCCGAGGTGGACAGATCACCTGAGGTCAGGAGTTCAAGACCAGCCTGGCCAACATGGTGAAATCCCGTCTCTACAAAAAAAAAAAGAAAAAAAAAAAGTAGAAAAATAAGCCGGGCATGGTAGTGTGCGCCTGTAATCCCAGCTACTCGGGAAGCTGAGGCAGAAGACGCGCTTGAATCCAGGAGGTGGAGGTGGCAGTGAGCTGAGATTGTGCCACTGCACTCCAGCCTGGGCAACAGAGCAAGACCCCGTCTCAAAACAAAATAATAATAAAAATAAATTGAAATCGAGAGGAACGTTAGACAAACCCGAATTGATGGACATTCTACAAATATCCTGCCTGGACTTTTTGAAAATGTTAATTGCAGAAAAGATGAAGAAAGGCTGAGGGTCCCAGGCTGAAGGAGATGGGAGTGGTGTGCAGAGACAGCACCCTGTGGCCGTGGGCTGGATTCGGGACTCGGGATATGGTGGGATAAAGGGCATGATTTAAATGTGGGCCATGGAGCGGCCACCATCAACAAGACCTTGTCTTATTCTGCTCTAGTTGGTCACAAATGCAGAACCTCGGGCCCTGTCCCTGGCCAACTACACATTTTTAATTTTGCTTTTTTTTTTTTTTTTTTTTTTGAGACAGAGTCTCACTCTGTCACCCAAGCTGGAGTGCAGTGGTGTAATCTCACCTCATTGCAACCCCTGCCTCCTGGGTTCAAGCGATTCACCTGCCTCAGCCTCCTGAGTAGCTGAGATTACAGGTGCCCGCCACCACACCCAGTTAATTTTTGTATTTTTAGTAAAGACGGGGTTTCACCATGTTGGCCAGGCCGGTTTTGAACTTCTCACTCACCTCCAATGATCTGCCCGCCTCAGCCTCCCAAAGTGCTGGGATTACAGGCGTGAGCCACCTGTGTCCAAACCCTGGCTCGTTTCCTTGCAGGGCAATCTGTTTCCTCCTGTGTCTAAGCTTTGTCACCTGCGACATGGAGGTGCCTGAGGCACAGGCCTGTCGGGGATCCTGTATGGCCATGGTGTTGGTGACAGTGCAGGCAGGGGCAGGTTCCCGGCGAGGCTCTCTGAGCCCAGGCCTCTGCAGCTCACCGGGCAAGTACGGTTTCTCCGCTGCCCTGTCCATAGGCGCCACGCCGACCCCAAATCATTTGCACCCAGCACCTCTGTTTGGTGAAGACGATTTTGCAAACAGCAACTAGTTTAGATATCTAGAATGTTTCCCCAAAGCCTAGCACCCTTCAATTCCACCCTTTAATCACAATGAATAAAGCTGCACAGGACGTTGACTTCAGTGACGCAGGCGCTGGGGTGCCATTCTGTGCAGAGATGTTAAGGAAAATGCTTGGGAAACGGTTATAGCAAAGCATCAGCTCCCTCACCCCTTGCTCAGCACTCTGTGTCCAGGCCTTGCAGGTGCTGAGGACGCCCCATACCCAGGACGGCCCACCATGCCCAGGGAGCTCCTCTGCTGATGCCCACTGAGCCGGGAAGCACTTCCGTGCATGGCCCAGCCAGGCGGGAGAGTGCATTTGCTTTCTAGACGGAAGCAGGCTCCTTGCTCACCATCCCACGTTGCCCCTGGTTACCCTCCTCGCCCGGCCCTCTCCACAGTCCTCTGAGCAAGTGGGGGCCATCCCATTGCACGAATGGCCCAGAGCGGTGCATACTTTCCTGAGGCTGCCCAGACTGTGAGGGGTCAGGGGCACAGGGCTTCTGTCTCCAAGCTGCCTTGGGGCTGCTCCCAAGGGTGGGTCTGGCCCTGTCGGCCCCGCAGGCCCGCCTATCCCCACCCCCTGCTCACCTGCCCTGCACCTGCCGCCCCTCCCCTCGGGGCTGCCCCCGTCCCGGTCTTCGGCATCCAGCCTGGGAAGAGCCACCCAGCTATTTACCATGGACTCATTTAAGTTGGTTAATTTTTAATAATGTTGAAATTTCCATGTGAATAATTCAGGTAAATTATTTATTAAAGCGCAGGATAAAGGGACCAGGACAATTACCAGCTGACAGTGTTAGCTGCGGCATGGTGAGGTGGGTGAGGTGGGCGCGGTGCAGGCGGGAGGGAAGGCCTGCGGATGGGCGGTGTCACACTGACCCTCACCCTGGACACCAGGCCTAGGAGGGCTTGGCAGGGATGCCCTCCAAACCCTCTTCTCCCTCCACGGCCCCACTAACAGCCTGGCCACCTGACCCTGCAGCCAGATGGCCCCTGGCTCCCTCCTGAGCTCCATGCACCCACCTCCAGCCGCTTCCCTTACACCCCTGCGGCCCCTCTGGCATGAGGGAAGCCTGGAATCCGTCTGCCGAGGCCGGAGGGAAGTTTTCTATGCACCAATCTCATTCCGTCAGCCCGAGTCAGCCCCATGGCAGTGACTGACCATTGCACTTAGATAGGACACCCTGGACCCTGCGAGGCTCCTGGGGCCTGGCCAGCCTCGCTCCCCACTGCAGCCCGTGGCAGCCACTGGCTCCTCTGTGACCCTGCATGGCTGTTCCTCCTGCTGGCACAACGCTCCCTGAAGCCTCGCCCGCCCCGCCCACCATTCCAGCAGGAAGGGGCGGCAGCCACACCAGTCTGGGCGGTGTCCTCTGCATGTCAGCCAGCCCCTATGGGGTTCTGTGAGTTTGGCCCGACAGGCAGGGCAGGGGCTGCCCCAGAAGGGCCCCTCGACATCGGGAGCTGCCCCTCTGCTGCCCCCTGCCCAGCTGGACAGTCACCTCCACCCTCCCAGGGACTCCTGGCCAGCGCCCAAGAGCCCCCAACTCTGCTCTTTCCACACCCCTTACCCCACCAAGGCACCCAGGCCTGACGCCTCCTCTCTGTGGTCACCTGGGTCACCGTTCACGCCATCTCCTTGCTGCCTCCCGCCTTGTCCTCAACAGCCCTGAAGTCCGTCCTCCACTCAGCTTCTCAGGTGGTTCTCAAAGGTTAACACAACCATGTCCCTCCTGCTCCAAACCCTCCATGGCTCCTGAGTGCCCCTGGAATAGAGCCCAGGCTCCTCCGGGATCTGCAGGTGCCGCCTGCCTCTGCCATTCTCCGTCAGCCCACGTCAAGATGCCCCAAAAACATGAAACCCATCCAGATCCCAAAGTCCCAAAGACACAGTGCCAAAGAAAGTGTAAAACTTCTCAACATTGTGATTCCACGGCAAATGATAGTATTTGGGATAGGTTGAATTACATAAAACACATTATTAAAATTAATTTTACCTGCTTCTTTTGTTTTCTTCCTTCCTTCCTTCCTTCTTCCTTCCTTCCTTCCTTTTTTTTTTTTTTTTTTTGACAGGGTCTTACTGTGTCATCCACGCTGGAGTGCAGTGGTGTGGCCTCGGCTCACTGCAACCTCGACCTCCTGGGCTCAATGGTTTCTCCCATCTCAGCCTCCCAAGTAGCTGGGATTACAGGCACATGCCACCGTGCCGAGCTAACTTTTTTTAGTCTCACTATGTTGCCCAGGCTGGTCTCAAACTCCTGACCTCAAGTGATCCGCCTGCCTCAGCCTCCCCAAGTGCTGGGATGACAGGCGTGAGCCACCGCACCTGGCCTTCATTTTCCTTTGCGGTGCCTGTCACCTGCGTTATTATCATGGACATGTGTGTATCTGGTCACTGCCTGTCCGTGAGCAATGTGAGGACAGGAATGTGTCTGTCGTGGTCCCTGCAGTGTCCTCAGCACACAGTAGGTAAATCTTCAGCGCACAGTAAGCATAGCTTCAGCTTCAGTTCAGGACAATCGTGTCAGCAACACATAGTAGGTGTGCAGCACACAGTAGGTAAATCCTCAGCACACACTAGATAAATCTTTAGCACACAGTAGGTCAATCCTCAGCACATAGTAGGTAAATCCTCAGCACACAGTAGGTAAATCCTCAGCACACAGTAGATAAATCTTCAGCGCACAGTAGGTGAATCCTCAGCACATAGTAGGTAAATCCTCAGCACACAGTAGGTAAATCCTCAGCACACACTAGATAAATCTTTAGCGCACAGTAGGTAAATCCTCAGCACATAGTAGGTAAATCCTCAGCACACAGTAGGTAAATCCTCAGCACACACTAGATAAATCTTTAGCGCACAGTAGGTAAATCCTCAGCACATAGTGGGTAAATCCTCAGCACACAGTAGGTAAATCCTCAGCACATAATAGGTAAATCCTCAGCACACAGTAGGTAAATCCTCAGCACACAGTAGACAAATCTTTAGCGCACAGTAGGCATTTCCTCAGCACACAGTAGATAAATCTTTAGTGCACAGTAGGTAAATCCTCAGCACACAGTAGGTAAATCCTCAGCACACACTAGATAAATCTTTAGCGCACAGTAGGTAAATCCTCAGCACACAGTAGATAAATCTTTAGCGCACAGTAGGTAAATCCTCAGCACACGACAATTGTGTCATCAACACATAACAGGCGTGCAGCACACAGTAGGCATTTCCTCAGCACACAGTAGGTATGCAGTGCCTGCAGGAATGGAGCCCTGGAGGTCTACTGGACGGGGCAGCACTGCAGCTGGGAGTGGAGGAACCTGAAGGAGCAGACTGGGGGGCCCCACGAGGGGCCACGGGACACCCAGGGAGGGTGGGGAGCTGCTTAGAAGAGGTTGGAGCCCAGGGAGGGCCTGGGTGGGACTGTCACGGGGCGAGTGGAGAGATGGGCTGTGGGCCGAGACCCAAGGCTATAAACTGGGAGGGGCCGTGAGCCCGCCCACGGGGAGCAGCGATCCACAGCCGCCTCTGTGGAGCCCGATGTGTCTCAGCCCTTCCTCCCCTACGGGCCTCTCCATTTGCCGCCTCACACGTCTGCAACACCTTCTCTCGGAGGCCTCATAGGAACCCGGGTGGGAGACTGGGTTCTCCCCATTTTCCAGATGAGGACGCTGAGGCCCCAGGCGGCACATGGAGCCAGGGCTCATGCCCAGGTGTGTGCAACCCCAAAGTCCTTACAACCCGGCCCCACACTCCCTCACAGGCAGAGGCAGAAGTACCCCAGAGCCTCCTGCAGCCTCTTCCTGAGCCTGGGAGGAAACTGAGGCAGAGCCGGGCAGTCCCTGCTGTGACCCCATACGGAGCATCTCCCCAGAGGCTGGTTTTGCCCGAGGCCAGGAATCCCAGACACAGACCCCCAACCCACGACTTGGGCGCTGACCTTCCCAGGTGGTCACATGAACAGGTGCTCTCTTTTATGAAAACTCAATGCGTGTGGCCCCAGCCCCTCCCACCCACCCCAAAGCCGTCGGCCTCCTGCGACAGCGGCGCCCTGACTGCCTCCTCCGGCCACGGCCCCTCCTGCTTTAATTACCAGCATCTAGGGCAGCCGGCACGCCAGGCGGCTTCGCACTAATTAAAGTGGGGGCTTTACAGGATGGCGCCGTCCCCCCAGGCCCGGGAGACCTCACAGCGCCAGTGACCCACAGGCCAGATCATTCCCGAGTTAAACAGGCAGAGACCAGGCCTGGAGCCTGCAGCCAGGTAGGTGATGGGTGGAGGGGGGGTGCTGGGAGCCGAGGCTCAACCCCACCCTCTGCTTCTCTGCCCTGCAGCCTTGAGACAGTGACTCCACCCCCCTGTGCCTCAGTTTCCTCCCCCGTCCTGTGGAGAACACCTGGGCACTCTCAGGATTCATCCATTGCTTAGACAAACACCACAGTAGCGAACATTGCTGAGCCCTCTGACCACTCTGTGTCCCCACCTTGCAGGAAAATGGTGGATTCCTGGGGCAGGAGGAGGCAGTAGGGGTTCCCAGAGGGGCAGGAGGGGTTCCCAGAGGGGTGGGGGTCCCTGGCTGCAGTGCCTGGGTGGGCAGCCCTCTTGGGCCCCCTTTATGTGGTTCTGACCTCACTGATCAAACCCTGAGCCCAGGCCGACGACACGGACCCTGAAGGTCCCCAGGGCCCCTCCCTGAGCCTGCAGGCACATCCCTGCCCCACCAAAGCTCAAACCCACCTCTCCTGGAAATCCCCACCGCATGTGCTCTCCCGGGAGCTGCAGAGCTGAGGGGAGAAGTCCGCTGTGACATCCACTGTGAAGTCCGCCGTGAGCCCCTCGGGCAGGCCTGGGTCACACCCCACCTTGTCTCTGGCTCCTAGGGCGCAGTCCAAGGCATGGTTCGGGGCAGGTGACGGGAAGTTTTTTTTTGTTTGTTTTTTGTTTTTGCTTTTATTTGGGAGAGACAAAGTCTCACTCTGTCACCCTGGCTGGGATGCAGTGGTGCAATCTCAGCTCTCTGCAACCTCTACCTCCAGGGTTCAAGCGATGCTCCCATCTCAGCCTCCCAAGTAGCTCAGACTACAAACGTGTGTCACCATACCCGGGTAATTTTTTTGTATTTTTAGTAGAGATGGGGTTTCACCATGTTGGCCAGGCTGGTCTCAAACTCCTGACCTCAGGTGATCCGTCTGCCCTGGCCTCCCAAAGTGCTGGGATTACAGGCGTGAGCTACCATGCCTGGCCAGGTGTCAGGAAGTTTTTGCTGAATGGAATGAGTGAGGGGCCACCCCCAGGGATCCTGGACTGTGCCCACATTAGAGGCACCATTTCGATTTCATGGTGTGGCCCGGGGTGGGGCTGGGCAGCTGAGACAACGCCCATGACGCCAGGGCAGGGCTGGGGTACAGGTCTCCTCAGATCCTGTCTCCCACCCTGCTAGAAAAACACCCCGAGAAGAGCTGATCTGTGGGTGTGGGGCCCACCAGGAGGGAGGTGGGGAGACTGAGGCAGCACAGGGTGGGTGAGGACCAGCCCCTTGGGGGCCTCCTCTCCTAGGGATTGTAGCCTCCCCACCTGGCCCCAGGACATGACTGGCTACTTCTGAGAAGACCCTCAGCCCATTCCAAGCCTCTCTGCCTCTGCTGAGCCCCAGGGGCTCCCCACGAACCCCCTCTCCTCTGCTGGTCCATCAGATGGCTACGGAGCACTGTTTAAGGATGTACAGACGCCCCACACCCCAGGTCCAGATGCCCCATGTCCCGGGTACAGACACCTCACGCCCGGGGTCCAGATGCCCCATGTCCCAGGTACAGATGCCCCACATCCTAGGTACAGATGCCCCACGCCCCGGGTCCAGACGCCCCACGTCATAGGTCCAGACGCCCCACACCCTGGGTCCAGACGCCCCACATCCCGGGTCCAGACACTCTAATGGCCTGTTGCTCACTCCCAAAGGTGTGCATGAAGGGTCTGCATCTGTGTTGGAGGCTGGGGTCAGTGCTGGGGGCGGTGGGCACTCAGTGCAGCCCAGCCAACCTGACTCTGCTCCACGAAGTCATCCAGGACCCAGGATCCTCCCCACCATCGCTCTGAATCGTCTACAGCCTCAGTCCAGCTGAGGGGAGAGGACGGAGACCTCCCGGAAGGTGGCACAGGACACCACGGTGAACATGGCCTCAGCCCTGCACCTGCTGGGTGAGTGGGGAGGCTGCAGCAGGAAGGCCCTGAACCAGGAAGTTGGGGAGAATGCAGGTTCCCCTGGGGCACCCCCCATCAAAGGGCAGAGAGCTGGGGCCAGGCCAGAGCCACCCTCACCGGGCCGCCCAAGGGCTCAGCGGCACCGCTGTGAAGTGGGCATGGGCCCAACCCCTCTGGGAGCAGCGGGGATTCTGGGGCCCTGCCTCTGAGGGTTGCACTGGGGCCCCACGAGAGAAGGCTCGCAGGGAACCTGGGCAGGCCACCTGGGAGGCTGGGGCCAGGCTTCCTGGACCCCACCCCAGCTTCACCACTTACTGGCCTTGGGCAGCTGCCTGGCCCCTCTGAGCCTATCACTGTCCCCATCTGTCAAATGGGATAATAATGATTGCAAAGTGCTGGAAATCGGAATTATTGATACAACAGGGCCACAGTCTCACCCTGGCACTGGTTCATGTTGATTTCTGGCTACGGGAAGGCCTGCACAGGTGCCCTGGAAGTGCTGGGTGCCTGCAGAGGGCCCCGGCCCCCTGGGACAGAGCTGGACTGCAGGTCCCCATGAGGCCATTTCCAGGGAGAGGGGCCCAGCTTGTCCCTAGGTGTAGTGTCCATGGAGACAAAGAGGATCCACTGCCCCCAGTCTGGGGGTCACGGTGACCTGGGGCCCCAGGAGGGAGCCTGAGGGGGGCAGGAGCTTCCCAAGATCCAGCCTCAAAGGCTGAGTCCCTCAGATAATAATAATAAGATTATTAAAAATAATCATCAGGCTGGGTATGGCAGCTCACGCCTGTAGTCCCAGCACTTTGGGAGGCTGAGGAGAGAGCACCATTCGAGCCCCAGAGTTCAAGACCAGGCTGGACAACACAGCAAGATCCCATTTCTATATAATAAAATAAAATTTGCCAGGCGTGGTGGCGCCTGCCTGTCGTCCCAGCGGCTCGGGAGGCTGAGGCGGCAGGATCGGCAGAATTGCTTGAGCCCAGGAATTGGAGGCTGCAGAGGACCATGATCACGTCATTGCATTGCAGCCTGGGTGACAGAGCAAGACCCCAACTCTGAAACACAAATAAACACTTCTAAAAAGAATAACCAGTGGAACAATCAACATGGAGGGAGGCCTTGGTGCCGTGTCTCATTCGATTCTCACCCCCTCCCCAGGAGGGAGGGACTAGAGTATCCTGGTTTCAGAGATGAGGAGGCTGAGGCCAGAGAAGCTAGGTCGCTTGGCTGGTGCTGAGACCTGCCCGGGTTTTGGGAGAGCAGCCTGCAGCCCCCAGGGCCCCTGGCTGACGTCTAACAGCCGGAGCCGGCCACCGGGCCCCACGCCGGGAAGCATCTCTGGGAAAACTCGTCTTACAGATTTGATTTAATCACGGAGTGCTGATTTTTGCAGAGCAGGTCGTGACCCTGGTCATTTTGTGAAAATGAATTGCCTGGGAAAATGGAAATTGTCACTTTATTATAGGATTAAAAAAATTCAATCCCATTTGAATCAAATGGGAAATAGGGCAGGCCCGTGTCCTTCCATCCCCCATTATTAGTGAATTGGGGTCCGTGGGAGAGCTGGGTGGGATTTCATGAACAGGATTTAATTCGATCCTCTACCCTCCAAGCTGGGGTTGCCCTGAGTGGGGGTTTCCAGCAAAAAAACCCACCTCCCCCTTCCCCCACTTTCCTTCCTCAGCCCCGTCTCCCCTCCAAGGGACTTCACAGACTTTCTAGCCAGGGACCCCTCTGCCAGTGCCCCAGGCACAGCGACTCCAGCCCCCACACTGGGCCCAGGCTGGTCCTGCCCCAGGGTGCCAGTCCCCTCTCAGGCCTCACATCCCTCCAACCGGGGCTGCTTCTGCGTGAAGACCCGCCCAAGGGACGCTGAGGGGTGTGTGCCCTGACCCAGGCCAGCATCCGATTGTGTGGTCAGATATGAGCCTCCACCCTCAGGGAGTTGGGAACACAGTCCAGCTCCCTCCCATGGGGCCAGACACACCGGGCGCTCAGCAGATCCCTGCAGGCTGGCCGGCACGCCGAAAGCAGTGAGAAGCTGTGATTTTTATACACTCATTTTGTGTGATGAAAAATGTACCTGGCCTGGCGCGATGGCTCATACCTATAATCCCAGCACTTTGGGAGGCCAAGGTGGGCGGATCGCCTGAGGTCAGGAGATCGAGACCAGCCTGGCCAACATGGCAAAACCCCGTCTCCACTAAAACTACAAAATTAGCCTGGCATGGTGATGCATGCCTGTAGTCCCAGCTACTCGGGAGGCTGAGGTGGGAGAATTGCCCGAACCCGGGAGGTGGAGGTTGCAGTGAGCCGTGATCGTGCCATTGCACTCCAGCCTAGGCAACAAGAGCAAAGCTCCAACTCAAAAGAAAAATGTACCTGAGGTTCTCCATCTCGGTTGTGTGCGGTGGCTTATGCCTGCAATCCCAGCACTTTGGGAGACCAAGGTGGGAGGATCGCTTGAGGCTGGGAAGTCGAGGCTACAGTGAGCTATGATGGGGCTACTGCACTCCAGCCCGGGTGACAGAGCGACAGCCTGTCTCTAAAAAATAAAAATAAGAAAACAAACAAATAGAACACTGGCTGGTCACGGTGGCACGTGCCTATAATCGCAGCACTTTGAGAGGCCACTCAAAGGCAGGAGTTCCAAACCAGCCTGGGCAACATAGAAAGACCCCATCTCTACAAAAAATGTAAAAAATTAGCAGGGCATGGTGGCATGCACCTGTAGTCCCAGCTACTGGGGAGGCTGAGGTGGGAAGATCACTGGAGCCCTGGAGGTCAAGGTTGCAGTGAACTATGACTGCACCACTGCACTCCAGCCTGGGTGACAGAGCCAGACAATCTCTCTAAAAAAAAACAAACAAACAAAAAAAAAACTTAGGCCAGATACAGTGGCTCATACCCTCATACCTGTAATCCCAGCACTTTGGGAGGCTGAGGCGGGCAGATCGCCTGAGGTCAGGAGTTCAAGACCAGCCTGGCCAATATGGCAAAACCCCTATCTCAAAAATTAGCCAGGCGTGGTGATGGGCGCCTATAATCGCAGCTACTTGGGAGGCTAAGGCGTGAGAATCACTTGAACCCAGGAGTCGGAGGTTGCAGTGAGCCGAGATCACACCACTGCACTCCAGCCTGGGCTACACAGCCTGACTCCATCTCGAAAATAAATAAGTAAATATGTTAAAAAATTAAATATAACGAATCCCCACCGTCAGCATTGCTAGGCGCACAATTCAGTAGCGTTAAGCACATTCACGTCCTCGTGCGGCCATCACCACCATCCATCCACATAACATTCTCGTTCTCACCTTCCCAAACTGAAACCCTGCCCCTGGTGAACGCCCACTCCTCACTCCCCATCTCCATCTCCCCTGTGTCAGGCTTCTTACCTGTTCCACGGCCCTGACTATGTTCCATGGACACATCCAGAGCCGAGCCACGCCGTCTGTGTGGGGGCTATGGGAGACGTGTGTGTCCGGACACCCCTCTCCACCAGGTGCTCTCCAGACAGGGGGCGGGCGTTCAACCCACAGAGCCAAACGCTGCCTTCCTGGGCGTGCTGGGACCCGGCTGCTCCATGGGACCAAATGCCCCCCACATTCGTGTGCAAGTAAGACCCCCTGGGCAGGGGCCCACCGCCTGGGGGTGACGACTGTTCCCGGCACAGTAGGAGTGCAGAGGAGGCCGTCTTTGACCTGGGAGAATCCGGGAGTGAGTTGGGGGAGACGGCGGGAACCAAGGCAGGTGAGCTCAGGAGGGAGGCGTGGGGGCGGCTGGGGCTGCCAGGAGTCCACTCTCTACCCTGCAGGGATGGCTGGAGAGGAGCGGGGGCTGACTCAGGAGTGACTCAGGAGTGACAGGTGTTACTCCTGTGGTGAGACCCGGGCTGAGCTCCCTGGTTTACACTGGACCCCGGCACTCACTGGCCGAGAGGGGTGATGGGTGAGCCTCACTCCCCCTGGGCCTCAGTTTCTGGGTCCATCAAACGGGGCTGCTCCCCAGGCCTCCTCCCACTCAGTTTGTCGTCTATGCTCCCCACCAGCTCCGACTACTTCCATGGCATTTATGAGGGAGACCTGGCAGAGTCCAGCACCGCCGGCTGGCGTGGTCACCCACATCTGGGTGGGACACAGGGCTGCCTTGATTGTCTTCCCGGGCAGGTGTCCACAGGGGCCCGGCCACACACACCAGTCGGCAGAGCAGGCGAGAGGCATCTGCCTTCGCCAGAACAAAATAATTAAAAGAGGATTCGGAAGATCAGGCCAGCCTGTCGCTGGGGGAGGCCGAAACTTAACCCTTCCCAGGCTGGGCTGCATGGGCCAGGCCAAGGCCAGTGGGGCAGGCAGGAGCCAGCATTGTATGCCGAGGCCTAGGACCCCAAGGAAGAGGGCCTGGGGGCTTCCCCAGGAGGTACCCACCCTCCTGAAAGCATCCTGCAGGGCCCTCCCCACTGCATCCCCTCTGGGAGCTGCCCTCACCTCCTTAGCTGCTCCACCAACACCTTGGGCTCCTGAAGGCTGGCCCTTGCCTGGGCTCTGTTCAGCTGCAGAATGGACAGGATACTCAAGTGCCTCCCAGCCTGCCAAGCCTCTGCTCCCTTCCCAGGGGCTCCTCATCTTCTCTGCGAGGACTGACATGGTCTGTCGCGGGTGCCCATGGTAGCTGGGGCCAGCCCTCTCCCAGACAAGGGGCAGGCACCAGGCCTGAGGTGGCTGACCGGACACAGGATCACCAGCCTTTACCTTGAGCCACAGCAAAGGGGTAGAGGAGGATGGGGCCTCATGCGCCGAGCAGCGCGGTGACACAACCCTGGTCCACCTGTCCCAACCGCAAACTCCTGCCAGCTTCCTGCTGCACACCTCGCCAGGGGCCCTGTCCCACCCCTGCTCACCAGGGTCTTCAGCTTCCTGGGGCTCATTAACCACCATCCCTTCCTGAATATTTTTGGCTCCAATTAGTCAAAGCTGGTTTTTGTGACTTTGAACCAAAGACCCCAAAAGACACAGCACAGGGAGTGAGAGGAAGGCACGTCACATGCTCTGCAGCCAGGCTGCATGTCTGTTCACCTGAAAAGAACCTCCTGAGGCCCCTGTGTGCCAGGCACTGTTCTAGGCACTGGGGGGATGGCAGAGAACAAGGCAGACACTTGTCCTGAGTGTGCGTTCTACTGGGGCTGGCCAACAAGGGATATGTAAACCACAAATAAATTAGGCAATTTTAAGTAGAAAAGATACTGAGAAAAACGTCCATTAGGAAGGTACATTCTAGGTATCTACTGCTGTCCATCAAACCACCCCAGACTAAAGCAGCGATCATCTTACTGCGCTCATGAACTCTGCAGGTCCAGTTCAGCCTGGGTGCAGAGGATGCCTGCTCGTGGCACCTGCACGTCACTGCTTGAGCTTCCTCACAACATGGTGGCAGGGTTCTGTGGGCAGGTGTCCCAAGAGGACAGACAACAGCCTTTTATGACCTAGCCTTGGAAGTCACTTAGTGTCATTCTGCTGCAGTCATGGCCCCAGATTCCAGACGAGGGAAGATCACCTCCATGTCTTGATGGGCTGGGACCAAGGTCACATGGTCGGAAGAGCACGGGGGAGGGGAAATGCTGCTGCAAGGCAGGGTGGCAGGGTGGCAGGGCAGGCCCCTCTGCAGAGGTGACAGCAGTGGCCAGGAGAAGCCGACTGAGGCCCAGGAGGGTCCGACTGAGGACAGGTAGGGGGTTGGGTTCTGTTCTTATTGCAGTGGGGTGTCCCCTGGATGCCCCACCTTGTGCTGGGCTCTATTCTAGGTCCCGGGGTACTGAGGCAAGGAAGACCCAGTCCCAACCTCAGACCTCATGTCCAGAGGAGTCAGAGAAGCAAAAAGGCGCAGTTCAGGCTATTTCTCTTGGGGTGCTCTGGGCTGCAAAGGACGGAACACCCAGCTCAGCTCACTTGGCTGAGCAACTCAGGGGCTGGGGGGCCATAGCCAAGCAGGCGGACGCTGGGGAGGGATGCTCGATGCCAGGGGGTTCTTGCCAAGCTGGACGTGTATTCATTAACCCCTCCCACCCCATTCTACAGAGGAAGAACGGAGGTGCAGGGAGGTGAGATGGTCGCCCATGACCACAGCTAGCTACAGGCCTGAACTTGCACCCGACACCCGGCTCCACAATTCTTGTGCCTTGATCTGCCTTGGGGAGGGGTGTGGGGTCAGAAAAACACCTGGGTCCGGACGCCCCCAGCCAGTGAGCAGACCCCACATGCACAGTCTCTGCTGACAAGACCCTCGTGCTCTGTAAACGCAGGGCTGCCGTCAGCCAGGCATCCCCGGGGAACCAAGAGGCACACACAAAGCCAGGCAGTCCCAGGGGAGGCCAGCGGTCCCAGGGCACCCAGCCCTGCCCTCCTCAGCTGCCTGCGGGTGCCCTCGGGGCCTGGGTCTGCAGCCCAGATGCATATCCTATCTAGCATCAGGACTGGGCACAGAGAGGTTGCAGAGCCTATCCAGCAGCTCAGGCTGCTTCCCCTACTGTGACCTGATGGAATGCCAGGAAGCCCCAATGCCACCCCTTCAGGCCTGGATCCTGCCCCCGGGGCCCCCACATCCCAGCCCTCCTTCCCAGGAATCCCCTGCTGAAGGACCCCCTTCATCCCGTCCCTGCATCCTAGACCCCACCCTGTGGGAGAGAAACTGAAACCCAGGAAGTTGAACCGTTTGACTGGTGCAGAGCTGGGACACTAACCCAGGATGCCAGCTCGGGCCTCAGCCACACTCGCCGCAGATGCCACCCCTAGCCCTGCCAAGGCCCGGCGCAGACCCTCCCAAACACACACAGCGGGCTTTTATTAAACTTCCTTGTTAATTGCACAAGTAATGCACCAATACATCTGGAGTGAGTTTTAAAACAAATCCCAGACACCATATCATTTCGCTCATAAATACTTCAGTATACAAATGGGGCTTTAAATAATTTGCTGTTTAAATGATGTTTTTTCTCCCGTGAGCAACAGAGTCCATGCTTACAGGCCAGCCGAGGCAGGAAGGCTTCACCCAGGCCGGGTGGCGTCCCGCTCTGCCCTCGGCCGGCTCCGTGCCTGGGCCGTGTTTGTGCATGCGTTCTCTACCATACAGATTTCATTTTGCACCTTTTCTTCTCTTGAGTTCCACATCAGCAATTCCCCAGTGCTGCTCCCAGCTCGAGAAATATCCATCCCAGAGACCTCCTTGGACGCTGCTGTTAGGCTCAATTTTTCGCGGCTATAAACACTGACTGCCCTGAACATCTTTGAGCAGGAGGCGCTGTATGGTTTTCGGATCATTCTCGGAGGAGGGGTTCCCAGACGCTGGACTCCACAATCAAAGCACCCGTCCCCAAATTGCTTTCCAAGAAGACACAAACACTGTTGAAATCCTCGTAAATCATGGTTGTTGGGCAGAGGGGGGTGTGTTCTAATGCAGAGGTCACTCAAGCAGGGGGTGGTGGGAGCACACAGGAGCCAGTCTCCAAGGCCACCAACACCACCTTGCCCGTGGGGGTGACTGAGCACGTTCTTCTGCCTTTCCAGCCTCAGTTTCCCCATCTGTCAAGTGGCCACGGGTTTGAGTGTGCGGCCGACCCTGGGAAGATGGCTCTCCAGGCCTTGGTGGAGGCCGTCCCCAGCCCCAGAGGGAAGACGCGTCTAGCAGTGCCCTGTCCACCTCACTGCCTGCGCCTGCTCTGGAGGAATTCAGAGAGCGCTGGGGAGGGGCCTCCCACCTCTGCAGGGATTGAAGTGTGTTTGTTTTCATTCCCCCTCCCCAGGGCCTCAGCCCTGCCCCCAAGGGAGAAAGGCAGCTTTGCAGAACCCAGGCAGGAAAGCAGAAATCTCAGGGCCCAAGGCCCCCAGCCTGCATCTCTCCCAACCTGCTCCTTTCTGGGGGCCAGAGAGGGGGTGCCACCTGCCCAAGGACACACAGCACCTCTGCGGCAAAGCACCTCTAATCTGCGGGTTCTCTGGTGTCTGAGATCCTGTAACAGGATCTAACCCCATACAGCAGCCCCCCCGTTCCTGAGCGGCCTCCGGTGGCAGCACCTGCCAAGGCCCCACCTCCGGCCCCGTCCTTCCCCAGGCAGGGGCGCCCAGCAGCCGTTTCACAGATGAGGAAACTGAGGCTGAGAGGACCAAGGCTCTCCCCAGGACACCCAGCCGGGCTCTCAGCCAACCAGCTGAACCCCGGGCTGCGCTCTCCCCGCCCCTGCCTGGCGAGTGCAGATTCCCGCCTATTTTCCGACACCCGCCTGCAGAGGAGTCGGGCGCCAGATGGGATCGAACCCAGCAAGGTGAGAAATCCGGGCGGGGTGGCAGATGGGGAGGCCTTCCCCGGGGAACTCCAGGAGAGGGGAGGACAGCGAGGGCCCCGGGCGCGGCCTCTCGTGTGCCCCCAGCCGCGGGGCGCAGGCCCGCAGCCCCCCAGGGGCGCCGCAGCTGTCACTCCGCGGTGAGTGGCGCCATCCGGATCGGAGATGGGCGCGGCTGCATCGCCCCAGGGTAGGAAGCTCATCTTCGGAGACCGCGCGGCTCCGAGCGACCAGGAACGCCCCCTGCGGGCTGCGGGCGGGAGCGCGGACCCCGGCCCATCCCGGACCCCGCCCACCGCGGACCTCACCCATCCTAGGCCCCGCCCATCCCAGACACCGGCCCATCCCTGACCCCGCCCGTCCCTAGCCCCGCCCACCACCGACCCCACCCCTCCAGACCACGCCTATCCCAGGCCCTGCCCACCGCGGACCCCGCCCATCCTGCACCCCGCCCACCACGGACCTAGCCCATTCTTGACCTGACCGGCAGCGACTCCAGCCCATCCTGAACCCCACCTACCGCAGATTCTGCCCGACCCAGCCCACCTAGGACCTTGGCCCACCACGGACCCTGCCCATCCCGGACCCAGCCCACTGTAAGCTCCGCCTATCTCGGACCCCAGCCCATCCCAATTGCCGCCCACTTCATGGTCTCCAGCCACCGCGGACCCCACCCACCGCAGGCCCCGCTCACCGCAGACCACCCCCCAACATCGGCCCCCCCACCCCCACACTGATCCATCGCCCACCTCCGACCCCACCCAGGCTGTCTCAGCCGATGGCCCTGGGACGACTCCAGCACTAATTCGCTGAGGGTCCCCCCACCTCCAGGGCGCCCATTAACCTAAACATTTGTGTGCATTTAATTCCATTTTACAAACGAGGAAACTGAGGCCCGGAGCGTTAGATCACGTGCCCTACTAGGTGGGGCTAGCTGAGACCACTGCGACCCCAGGCAGCCTGTAATGGGATTGCTCCCCCAAAAGGGGCCCTGCTGTGTGGGATATGAGATGGCGGGCAAGGCGGGCAAGGGATTGCAGGCACGTGCTGTGGTGTGGCTGGTGAGGCTGGATTAGCAGGACCGGACCAGCTCATGTGGAGGGGCAGTGTGGATGGTGCAGTGTGGTGAGGGTTGCCCTTCCTTCCTTTGGACAGGGCAGTGGGGAGGTGGAGGCCGGGACGGAGACCCCAGGAGCCCTGGGGACACTCAGGCCAGGCACAGACACTGCCAGGTTTCCTGGACCCCTCCCCATTGCACCTGCTTCGTCTGCAAACTGCTCCCTGTGTGGGCAGAGAGGCCCTGGGGGTGGTCTGGGAGTAGAGACGGAAAACCCTGAGGCTCCCACAGCCAAGCCCCTCCCTGCAGAGAGGGGGCTTCAAAGGTGTGAGACGACAGAGGAGAGGTTGGCAAAGCGCCCCACATCCCCTTCCCTGGCCCACCTCCTCCCAGGGAGAGAGGAAGATGGAGAGGCAGAGAAACCAAGAGAGACAAGGGGGCCAGATCCCAAAGGGAAATGCAGCTGGACAGAGGCAGACAGAGGGACGGGACGGAGAGAGTCAGCGGGAAGAGGTTTCAGGGGAAGATTTTCAAGTTTTTCCTTGGGGTATTTGCACAGAAGGTTTTTAATCTTTGCTGGAACCTGCCTGTGGCTCTGCCCACTTCAGCCAGCAGTGACCACCATGTGACCCACGCAGAGTCGCTGGGCTCAACCCTCCCTGTCAGCCCCAGTGTGGATATGAGCATGGATACCGATAGTTCTGTCTCATGCAGGGCTGGGGCGCTTGGGAGGCTCAAGGCTCCAGCCCAGCCTTGGGAGTCCAGCACAGCCAAGCCAGCCAGCTACACCTGGCCTGGGCCAGAGCTTCGATCATGCAGCCTGCAGAGCTGTGGAAGTGCAGAGGCAAGGAATCGTAGAAAGGATTTTGGAAGTGACATTGACCTCCGCTTGAATGCTTCTGCTGACGGGGAGCTCACTACCTCCAGAGACAGCCTACGTTGTCTCTGGGCATCTCTATGAGTTAGCAAGCACATTCTCATTTTTAGCGGATTCTGTCTCCCTATCACCACCACCTCCCACGTCCAAACCCTTCCCCATGGTTTCCACCAATGACCCCTGGAACCACACACACCGCACACATTTATTTGACAAACATTTATTGAGTGCCTACTGTGTGCTGGACCATAGGCATGAACACGGAGATGAGGCCAGACCTCTTGCGGCTGTCTCCTTAGAAACTGAGGCATGGAGGGAGAAGGGACCCTCCAGGCCTGCACCGCCAAAACCAGAGGAGGCAGAGAACACGCCTCACCTCTGCATCTCCTGCGTGTCAGACCTCAGCCATCATCCCAACAACGTGGTGGGGGGTGTCATGATTATCTTCAATTTCCAGATGAGAAAACTGAGGCTCAGGGGGTCACGGCCCTGGGTCGGGCACCATGCAGGCTGCAATGAGCCATGCCTTGTCTTGGCTACATGATGGGTTTAGGGGTGATCACATGACCCAGTTCAGGCCAGCGAGTCATCAGTGAAAGCAAAGCTGGCCCCCTTTTCCTCTGGATTCAGTTCTGGTCTGGAGCCACGGCAGCTGTCTTGCCATCATGATGGCACTAAGAAAGATGCCAATGGCCGGGTGCGGTGGCTCACGCCTGTAATCCCAGCACTTTGGGAAGCCGAGGAAGGCAGATCACGAGGTCAGGAGATCGAGACCATCCTGGCTATCACGGTGAAACCCTGTCTCTATTAAAATTACAAAAAAAAAAAAAAAACAAAAACAAAAAATTAGCCAGGCATGGCGGCATGCGTCTGTAGTTCCAGCTACTCGGGAGGCTGAGGGAGGAGAATGGCGTGAACCCGGGAGGCAGAGCTTGCAGGGAGCCAAGATTGCGCCACTGCACTCCAGCCTGGGCGACAGAGCAAGACTCCGTCTCAAAAAAAAATAAATAAATAAAAATAGTTTTAAAAAAAGAAAGACACCAACACAGAAAACATCAGAACCAAGAGACAGAAAGACGCTGGGTTACAATGACATCATATGAACTCGGGGAACCCGCCGCTCCTGAAGCTGGTGCCCCTTGGATTTTCACACAAGTGAGAGAACAGATTCCTTCTTTGGCTTAAGCCAGTTTGAATTGTGTTTTCTGTCACCAGCAACCTCAAGTACCCTAAGTTCAAAGAGTTTACTGTCCACAAGAAGAGTTTATTGTCCATAAATAAATGGACACTTGTAAGCATCAGTGTGTGAGTGCTGAGTGGTGGTGGGAGGGCAGGGAGGAAGGCGGGGGCTACGTGCTATTATAACATCTGCTAACACTTATCCCACACAAAGTAAAGGGGTGCACATGAATTAGCTCACAGGATCTTTTTTCTTTTTTTTTGAAATAGTCTCTCTCTGTCACCCAGGCTGGAGTGCGGTGGCATGATCTTGGCTCACTGCAGCCTCTGCCTCCCGGGTTCAAGCGATTCTCATGCCTCAGCCCCGCAAGTAGCTGGGATTACAGGCACAGGCCACCACACCCAGCTAACATTTTTTTTTGTATTTTTAGTAGAGATGGGATTTTGACATGTTGGCCAGGCTGGTTTTGAACTCCTGACTTCGAGTGATCTGCCCACCTCGGTCTCCCACAGTGCTGGGATTACAGGCGTGAGCCACTGTGCCTGGCCGGCTCACTGGATCTTTACAGCAACCCTATGACATAGATTCTGCCAGGATCCCATATCTGAGGATAAATAGTGCTAGCTGCTATGTAAAACAGCCCATCAAAGGCCGACGATTTAACAAAACAGAAGTTTATTCCTTGCTCTTGTCCAGAGCAAGTAGGCGTTTCACAGTCTGCAGGGGTTCGGGGTCCTGAGCTGAACATGTAGGGGGTTCGGAGTCCTGAGCTACTTCCCACATGGGGATCCACCCTTCCTCGGGGACCCGGAACCCACTGGACCTGCCTGGTTGGCCAGTGAGGAAGGAGAGCGGAGGAGGACTCTTGGGAACTCTGAGAAGACTTAGGAGACAGGTCCGAAGTGGCTTCTGACACTTCTGCCCACATTTCATCCACCACAGCTCGCTCACATTTCTGCATCTATCTGCCCAGGAGGCTCGGAAACGTCATCTACCTGGGCCCCCAGGAAGCAAAGAAAAAGGTCTAGTTTTGCTTTGAGAGGTCAACAGGAGACGTCCAAGGTCGCACAGATGGGACAGGACTAAAAGCCAGGCACGACACTTCCGCATAGCTTTCCCTGCACCCTCGGAATCTCTCGAGTGGACTCTCTCCGGGCAGGGCAGTGGCCTGGGGAGGTTGGTCCTTCTAACTCTGGGACGGAGAAACATGAGAATCATGTCAATCATATCACGAGGTACTTGTTGATCGTTATTGCATGATCACCTCCGATTTTCTGACTGGTGCCCTGTTACCTTTAAGTGACTTTGTTGACCCAACCGGTTAGGACTTTTTTTTTTTTTTGAGACGGAGTCTTGATCTGTCACCCAGGCTGGAGTGTACTGGGGCAATCTTGGCTCTCTGCAGCCTCCACCTCCCGGGTTCAAGCGATTCTCCTGCCTCAGCCTCCCAAGTAGCTGGGATTACAGGCTCCCGCCACCACACGCAGCTAATTTTTGTATTTTTAGCAGAGACTGGGTCTTCACCATGTTGGACAGGCTGGTCTCAAACTCTTGACCTCAAGTGATCCGCCCACCTTGGCCTCCCAAAGTGCTGGGATTCCAGGCATGAGACACTGTGCCCACCACAGTTAGAATTTTAATCTGGGGCAAAGGTGGTGGTTTTAAGGTTGTTGTAATTATAAGATGCTGATTTTTTTTTCTCTTTAGGACATAAGCCAGATCAGAGGACCTCCTTTTCCTAGTGGGAGCTTGTATGAGTCTGTTCTTACAAAGCTATAAAGAAATACCTGAGATGGGGTTAATAAAGAAAAGAGGTTTAACTGATGCACGGTTCCACAGGCTGTACGGGAAGCATGGCTGGGAGGCCTCAAGAAACTCACAGTCACAGTGGATTGGAGCATGTCTTTCGTGGCTGGAACAGGAGGAAGAGGGTGAAGGGGGAGGGGCCACACACTTTTAAACAGCCAGATCTTGGGTGTGATGGCTCACACCTTTAATCCCAGCACTTTGGGAGGCTGAGACAGGAGGGTCACTTGAAGCCAGGAGTTCAAGACCAGCCTGGGCAACAAAGCAAGACCCTGTCTCTCTCTCTGTCTGTTTTTTTTTTTTTTTTTTTTTTTTTTTTTTGCTTTGTTGCCCAGGCTGGAGTTCATTGGCATGATCTCGGCTCACTGCCACCTCTGCCTCCTGAGTTCAAGCGATTCTCCTGCCTCAGCCTCCCGAGTAGCTGGGATTACAGGTGCCCACCACCATGCCTGGCTAATTTTTGTATTTTTAGTAGAGACGGGGTTTCACCATGTTGGCCAGGCTGGTCTCGAACTCCTGACCTCAGGTGATCCACCCGCCTCGGCCTCCCAAAGTGCTGGGATTACAGGTGTGAGCCGCCACGCCCGGCCCTGTCTCCTAGTAAAAATAAATTAATGAAAAAACAAACAAAAAAAACCACCAGATATCGCGACAGCTCACTCACTACCACGAGGACAGCAAAGGGGAAATCCACCCCCGTGATCCAATCACTTCCCACCAGGCCCCGCCTCCAGCACTGGGGATTAGAGTTCTGCCTCTGGTCTGGGCAAGGACGCAAACCCAAATCACATTGACTGGCCTGTCTGTTGCAGCGGGAGCGAGCCTGTCTTGCGGGTCTCCTTCTCGGCTCAGACACTTTCTTCCTCTCTCTTTCTCTCTCTCTCTTTCTTTCTTTTTTTTTTTTTTTTTGAGACAGAGTCTTACTCTGTCCCCCAGGCTGGAGTGCAATGGCACGATCTTGATTCACTGCAGCTGCCACCTACCAGGTTCAAGCAATTCTCCTGTCTCAGTCTCCTAGATAGCTGGGATTACAGATATGCGCCACCACGCCCGGCTAATTTTTGTATGTTTAGTAGAGACAGGGTTTCGCCATGTTGGCCAGGCTGGACCTGAACTCCTGAGCTCAGGCAGTCCACCCACGTTGGCCTCCCAAAATGCTGGGATTACAGGCATGAGCCACCACGCCCAGCCTGACACTTTCTTTCTTTCTTTTTTTTTTTTTTTTTTTTGAGACAGAGTCTTGCCTGTCGCCCAGGCTGGAGTGCAGTGGCGCGATCTCCACTCACTGCAAGCTCCGCCTCCTGGGTTCACGCCATTCTCCTGCCTCAGCCTCCCGAGTAGCTGGGATTACAGGTGCCCGCCATCACGCCTGGCTACTTTTTTGTATTTTTAATAGAGATGGGGTTTCACCGTGTTAGCCAGGATGGTCTCGATCTCCTGACCTCGTGATCTGCCCGCCTCGGCCTCCCAAAGTGCTGGGATTACAGGTGTGAGCCACCGCGCCCGGTCCTGGCCCGACGCTTTCTAACGAGACCCTCATTGGTTTGTTTCCTTGGCTTTCCTCTGCTCTCTGAGTGGACGTAAACTCCGCCCATGAGGGCAGGAACCGTGCCTGGTACAGGGCACATGGCAGGAACTCAGGAAATGTTTATTAAATGAATGAAAGAGGAAAATGGCATGAAAGACAGAAAGTGGATAAATTAGACACGGACTGATGTCTGCATTCACCCAGAGGTCCCCCCAGGGGCAGCCCAGGCGGAGATTGCAGGGTGGTGGGAGGCCCTGGGCCCCAAGGGGAGGTGGTGTCTCCAACACACTGTATCAGAGACAGTGGGCAGCCAAGCCCTGCCTCCCCACCTCCCCAGGGCCCCTTCTCAGCCTGATTTTTCTTTTTGTCTTGTTTTATTTTTTGAGAAGGTGTCTTGCTGTGTTGCCCAGGCTGGAGTGTGGTGGAGTGATCATGGCTCACTCCGGCCCCAAACTCTTGGGCTCAAGTGATCCTTCCACCTCTGCCTCCTGAATAGATGGGACCACAGGTGTACACCACCATGCCCTGTTAATTTTTTTATTTTTTGAAATTATTTGCAAAGATGGTGTCTCACTATGCTGTCCAGGCTTTTCTCAAACTCCTGGGCTCAAGCGATCCTCCTGCCTCAGCCCTCCCAAAGTGCTGGGATGACGGGCGTGAGCCCCCACACCTAGCCAGCCTGCAGTTCACAGGACACTCCCTGATGGAGTCTCTCCAGAGGTCCGGCATCCCCACCTCCTTACAGACCAATGTTGCCTGTCGATTTGCAATGTTTTGAAAGGATAGATCCTCTGTTGGGGAAATGGCTACGCTGCCAGCACAGCTGATGGGCCGTAAGCTGGCATGGCCTTTCTGGGGGCTCCTGGGTGACGTGCTTCGGCAGGCTCGGAGGGGCTCTCACCCTGGGCCGGTGAGCATGAGTGCAGGTATCCACCCTGAGAGGATAAAGGTGGAAAGCAAAGTGGTGGGTTCGGGACGTTCACCGCAGTGTTGTTTGTAACAGCCAAAGGCTGGAAATCAGCTGGCAGCCCATCAGAGGACTTGGGTAAGTAAATGGCGGCCATCCACCAGCAGGGCATCGTGCAGGCACTAAACTCAATGCTACAGGAGAATTCCTCGTGGCACAGGAAAGGTCTCATCGTATACCGTTGCGGGAAAAGGGCAGGTCATGAACTGGCAGATAGAAGATTCTGATTTTGTGGAAAGAAAAAAATGGACATGTGTGTGCACAGAAGAAAACTCCAAATGGATTGCTGGTGGGAGTGTAAAATGGTGCAGCCACTGAAGAAAACAGCCCGGTGGCTTCTCAAAAAATTCAACTTAGGGGTGGGTGCGGTGGCTCATGCCTGTGATCCCAGAACTTTGGGAGCCCAAGGTGGGTGGATCACCTGAGGTCAGGAGTTCGAGACAAGCCTGGCCAACATGGCGAAACCCTGTCTCTACTGAAAATATAAAAATTAGCCCGGCATGGTGGTGGGTGCCTGTAGTCCCAACTACTCCCAAGGCTGAGACAGGAGAATCACTTGAACCTGGGAGGCAGAGGTTGCAGGGAGCTGAGATCCCTGGGTGACAGCGCTAGAGCCTGTCTAAAAAAAAAAAAAAAAAAAAAGGTGTCTAGAGCAGTCAAATTCATAGAGAGGAAATGTAGGATGGGGGTGCCAGGGGCTGCAGAGGTGGGTGGGGAGTGAGTTTTCATGGGAACGAAGTTTCAGTTGGGAAGATGGAGCATTCTGGAGATGATGGTGGTGACTGCTGCATAATACTGTGAGTGTGCTTAATGCCACTGAGGATAAATGACGAAGGTAAAATATGCAAACACTGCCCCCTTCCGTGGCCGTGGCATGCACACGCTGCCCCCTTCTGTGGCCATGACATGCAAATGCTGTCCCCTTCCGTGGCCATGGCAGGTGTCTCTGATCGACCACGGCACCTTTTCTGGCCAAGCCTCATGTACTAGTTCCCTACTGCTGCTGTGACAAAGTACCCCAAACTTAGCAACCTGAAACAACACACATTTATTTTCTCTCAGCTCTGCAGGCCAGAAGCCTAAAGTGAATGGGCAGGGCTGGCTCCTTCTGGAGGCTGCAGGGAGGACCTGTTTGCTGACCCTTGCCAGCCCTGGAGGCCCCTTCCTCCTCTTCAAGCCAGCAGTGCCGGGTCTGAGAGCCTCTGACCTCCCTCCCGCTCTGACAAAGACCCTTGCGGGGTGACGTCAGGCCCACCTGGGCAGCCCAGGACCCTCCCCACCTCCAGACCTGCAGCTCACATCTGCGGCCCCTTTGCCAGGTCAGGTGATAGAGGCACAGGTTCTGGGGACCAGGACGTGGACGTCTTCGAGCCATTATTCAGCAGCCCACCCCTGGATCAGCCCCCACCTGGTCACAGCACGTGTGTTCTGATATCCAATATCATGTGGCCCGTGCTATGCGGAGAGCCCGCGTGCAGGGGACAGTCTGTTTTCCTGTTCACTTTCTGAAATCATCTAAGTTTTTCAATGAATAAATTCTTTTGTTTCTCTTATAATCAGATAGATGCTGGATGGATGGATGGATGGATGGATGTAGATATAGATGACAGATAAGTAGATATATATGGATGAAAGATAGAGAATAATCATAGATGACGGATAGATGTAGATATTGTATAAATGTAAATATTGGCTGGGCGCAGTGGCTCACGCCTGTAATCCCAGCACTTTGGGTGGCTGAGGAAGGCAGATCACCTGAGATTAGGAGTTTGTGACCAGCCTGGCCAACATGGTGAAACCCCATCTCTACAAAAATACAAAAAAAATTATCCAGGCATGATGGCAGGGGCCTGTAATCTCAGCTACTTGGGAGGCTGAGGCAGGAGAATCACTTGAATCCAGGAGGCAGAGGTTGCAGTGAGCCGAGATCACACCATTGCACTCCAGCCTGGGCGACAGAGCGAGACTTCATCTCAAAAAAAAAAATGTAAATATTGTTAGATAGATTGGCAGATAGAAGATAGATAATAGAAAAATGATAGATGATAGATAGATAATAAATTATCAATACATGGTAGATAGCAAGATAGAAAGATGATAGGTTATAGATGATTGATAGATTAGATGATAGATAGGTGGATGGATGGATAGGTAGATAGTAGAAAGATGATAGATAGATGATTGATATATAGATAATGGATGAATAGATGGATGGATGATAGATGATAGATTGACAGGTGATAGATGAATAGAAGGATGAATAGATAGATACACAGATATATATATACATAGAAAGATGATAGATTATAGATGATTGATAGGTAGCTGATAGAAGGATAGATGATTGATTAGATGATAGAGAGATAGGTGGATGGATGGATAGATGGTAGAAAGATGATAGATGATTGACATATAGATAATGGATGAATAGATGGATGGATGATAGAAAGATGATAGATTGATAGGTGACAGATGGATAGAAGGATAAATGGACAGATACACAGATACATAGAAAGATGATAGATTATAGCTGATTGACAGGTAGGTGATAGAAGGATAGATAGATGATTGATAGATCAGATGATAGATAGATAGGTGGATGAAGGGATAAATGATAGAAGGATGGTAAATAGATGATTGATAGATGATGAATGAATGGATGGATGGATGATAGAAAGTTAGAAAGATGATAGATTGACAGATAGATAATAGATGACCGATAGATGATAGAAAAGTAATCAATAGATGATAGATAGCAAGATAGATAAAAAGATGATAGATAGATTATAAATGACTGATAGGTAGATAATAGAAAGATAGATGACTGGTAGATTCGATGATAGGTGGATGGATGGATAGATAGATGATAGATAAAAAGATTGACGGACAGATGATAGAAAGAAGGTAGATGATTGATAGATATAGGTGATGGGTGGATAGATGGATGAATGGATGATAGGAAGATGGTAGATATATAGATGATTGATGATAGATGATGGATGAGTGGTTGGATGGATGATGGAAAGATGATAGATGATTGATATAGGGAATGGATGGATGGATGAATGAATGGATGGATGGATGATAGAAAGATGGTAGATAGATGATTGATGATAGATTAGGGATGAGTGGTTGGATGGATGGTGGAAAGATGGGGTAGAATGATAGATGATTGATGATAGATGATGAATTAATGGATGGATGGATGGATGATGGAAAGATGGTAGATTGATAGATGATTGATGATAGATGATGAATTAATGGATGGATGGATGGATGATAGAAAGTTGGTAGGTAGATGATTGATGATAGATGATGAATTAATGGATGGATGGATGGATGATAGAAAGTTGGTAGGTAGATGATTGATGATAGATGATGAATTAATGGATGGATGGATGGATGATAGAAAGTTGGTAGGTAGATGATTGATGATAGATGAATGAATGGAGGATGGATGATGGAAAGATGGTAAATAGATAGATGATTGATATAGATGATCGATGAGTGGTTGGATGGGTGATGGAAAGATGGTAGATAGATGATTGATAGGTATAGGTGATGGATGGGTGGATGGATGGATGGATGGTAGACAGACTGATGATAGATGATGGATGAGTGGTTGGATGGATGATAGAAAGATGGTAAATAGATTGATAGATGATAGAAGGATGGATGGATAGATAGATGAAAGAAAGAAAGAAGATAAATGATTGGTAGATAGACAATAGATAGATAGATGATAGATTGATTGATACACAGATGATAGATAGATAATAGAAAGGCAATAGATAGAAGATAGTAGACAGACAGTAGGTAGATTCTTTTGGGTATGCTGAATGCTGGCCGCAGCATCGTCTCCATGGAGTTCGGGTGGTCCCTGCCCAGGTAGAGACAGAGAGTAAGGGGGGGTCAGGGAGTGCCTCTCGGGGGACACAATGCAGGAGGAGAGAGAATGGGGTGAGGCCAGTGTGCCCAGACACCAGCAAGGGTGGCCGCGGCACGAAGAGCAAGCAGGCAGGAGGGGACCGAGGGAGAAAAGGGCTGTGTGAGGCGGGGCTGAGCGGGCTGGTGGAGAGGCTTCCTCATCCAAGTCCAGGGTTCTGGGGAGTTGGGGGCAGCTGAGCCCCAGAAAGCAGCAGGAGGCAGTATGGGTGCCCAGTGGGTCCTCACTGCCTCTTCGCTGGTCATTCTCAGAGCCACCGTCCCCATTCACAGAAGAGACTCAGAGAAGAGCCTCACTTGGCTCACGCAGAGGGACAGGGCTGAGCCAGGACACCAGCCAGTGCGGTCCTGGGCTCTCCCAGAGACAGGGGGGCTTTAGGGATGTGGAGGGGACAGATGCCTCTTGAGAAGTGGCCAGGATGGGGGTAGAAATGGCTTCAACTGTGGCTGGGTATGGTGGCTCACGCCTGTAATCCCAACACTTTGGGAGGCTGAGGCAGGAGGATCACTTGAGCCCAGGAGTTTGAGACCAGCCTGGGCAACATAGTGAGATCCCCCACAATCTCTACAAAAAATATATTAAAAAATAAAATAAAATTAGTCAGGTGCAGTGGTGCGCAACTATAGCCCCAGCTACTCGAGAGGCTGAGGTGGGAGGATTGCTTGAACCTGGGAGTTTGAGGCTACAGTGAGCCTTGATCACACCACTCATTTCAGCCTGGGCAATAGAGCGAGACCCTGTCTCTAAACACATTTTTTCAATCATACATTTTTTAAAATAAATGTCTTCAAATAGCAGGTGCCAGAGGAGCCAGAGGTGCATTTGGGGTCCCAGAGCCTGGGGCAGCTCATGGGGTCTGGGACCAGCCCTGAGTGTGGGGTCCCAGGCTCTGCCCCCCGAATCCCAGGATGCAGGGAGCCCGCGGCAGCAGGAGTCACCATTTGTCAGGAATTCAATTAGGTGAGAGAGTCGTTATTAATTTTATAGGCTTTCCTGGTCGGAGGAGGCTGTGCTGGGGGTGAGATCCGGGGGCCGCCTCTTCCCTCCCAGCCTGGGGTCAGCCCGCAGAGGCGGTGTGATGGCACTAGTTGAGGTATTAATGAGATGCCTCTAGGTGCAAATAATGGTTTAATAGGTGTTACTTAACAGGAGCACACGCACCTCCCGCACGCACAGATGGCCCGCTGCGCCCAGCCTCCCCTCCTTGTTAGAATAAGTAATTAGAGTGTACGAAGACTCACTTTGACACTTTAATAAAGTACCAGCCATCACCAAGTTGGTATTTAATAAAATAAAATTAAATATTTATTACATTTTTGGTATACATTGTATTTAAAACATATTCATCCCCCACGCGCCACCCCCTCCCAGCCCCCCAAGGGTGTAAACCCAGGGGTGCCCCCTTCTCACCTCTCGGAAGCCATGACTTGGCGAGATGAGGTTGATAATGGGATGTGTGTGGTGGGAGGGAGAGAGGGAGAGACCCCCAGAGGCACCCAGGGAGGAAGACAGGCAAGAGCCGGCCAAGGGGGACAAGAGGGGAGAGAGGCGGCCTGTGGGGTGGTTGAAAGGCACGTGGCCGGAGGCTGCAGAGACGCCTCTGCATTTGAGACCCCAGTCTTCGTTTCTCTGCTTTCCTGTCCTTCCTGCTCACAGCAGCTCAGGTCTCTGCCCCCCACTTCCAGCTTCTGCTTCTTCATTTCCAGCTTCTGCTGCTTCTTCTCCTTCTTCTTTTTTTTTTTTTTTTTTTTTTTGTGGCAGGGTCTCCCTCTGTCACCCAGGCTGGAGTGCAGTGGCACTATCAGAGCTCTCTGCAGCCTCAACCTCCTGGGCTCAAGAGATCTTCCCGCCTCAGCCTCCTGAGTAGCTGGAACTACAGGTGAACCATCAGGTCTGGCGAATTTTTAAATTTTTTGCAGAAACAGGGTCTTGCTATGTTGCCCAGGCTGATCTCAAACTCCTGGGCTCAAGCAGCCTTCCCACGTTGAAGTCCCAAAGTCCTGGGATTACACATTTCCAGCTTTTTATGTATGTATGTATGTATTTATTTATTTATTTATTTGAGACAGGGTCTTGCTCTGTCACCCTGGCTGGAGTGCAGTGGTGCGATCATGGTTCACTGCAGCCTCGACTTCCCAGGCTCACGCGATTCTCCCACCTCAGCCTCCTGAGTAGCTGGGACTACAGGCACACACCACCATGCCCGACTAAGTTTTGTATTTTTTGTAGAGATGGGGGGTCTCACTGTGTTACCCATGCTGGTCTCGAACTCCTGAGCTCAAGCAATCCTCCTGCCTCGGCCTCCTAAAGTGCTGAGATCACAGGCGTGAGCCGCGGCACCCAGCCCACGTTTCCAGCTTCTAATTGTTGGAGCGTGAATCGCCACCAAACTCCTGCCAAGCCAATCCCAAGCTGAGTGTGGGCCTGGGACCCCAGGACGGCGGGGCCCAGGGGCTCACCTCCCGGACGAGGGGCAGGTGTAATTGGGGTGGGAGAGACCCCAAGGCTGCTCCAACTCCCACCACCCCAGTGACCAGCAGGGATCCATCCCATGGATTCAGTAGGGGCCATGGGGACTGGGAAGCACTCTGTGTGTTCCACGAGATGCAGAAACACAGAAAGGCCGAGACGCTCCCAGAGGCTGTGTCCCTCCCAAGAGGAAGCCTCTTTTCTCCTTCCTTCTTCCCGTGCACCCCCAGGCCCTGCAGCTGCTATAAAAACATTTTTTTCCGACTACAAACGATTTTTTTTAAGTTAAGGGTAAGAAAGCAGAGAAGGGGAAGATGCTTGGGGTAAAATGCCTGCATCTGAGAGTGCTGCAGTGTTCACCCCAGAGCAGGAAGCTTCCGGCTGCAGGAGGAGGGCTGGGCACAGACCGTGGGGAGGGTCCACTGGTTTGAATGTGGCACCACCCAGCTGTGAAACATCCGGCCACAGGGACACCAACGACCCCGCCCTCGGCCCCCACCACCGGAGGAGGCGGAATGCAGCTCTCACTCCAGGCAGGATCGTGTGTCATGGTGCCACGTGTGTTCTCCATATGTGTGCAACAAAGACGGCCACCCAGAGCAGCCAGAAAGTGGAACGGACCCAAACACCCGCCCACAGGAGAGTGGACGAGCCACCACGTGGTGGAGTGCTACGCAGCCATGAAAAAGCACAGCCCTCAAGGATGAACTCTGCAAACCCAACACTGAGCCAAGGCGCTGGCCCCGTCATGGGACCCCATGCACGGCGCTCTGGGACCGGCCAGTTTGCAGATGGTGGTGAGAGCCGGCCATCTTCCAGCCTTTTCCGACGTGTGACAAGGGCTCAGCCCAAAGCCTCCCTTCTGAGAGGTGTCTTTGAGGCAGCCCTGCTCCTACCCCCAGTTGCGCCAGACACAACTGCCTCCCTGTGGGCATCACCCTGGAGGGCAGGGGCCCCTACCTCGGGGAGCCCCGCAGAGAAGGATCCTTAGCCCCACTCCATCCTTCTCTGCCGCTGTTCCGCCCCCTGCCCCAGCAGGAACAGTCTCTACCCCTCGTCTGCCTCAGCATGGACAGCCCCAAAAGGCCCCCGCTCCATCCCTTTCTCAGCAGGGTTGGCCTGCAACAGACCAGACATCCAGCCTGCCGAGGAGGGGCAGGGGGTCTTGCTGCCTTCCCCCCGCCCAGTCCCTGCTGCCTCCACGGCCGGACCCCCAGCTTCCGTGGGTGGGAGGCCGCACTGGACTGCGTTGGAGCCCGAGGCCAAGAGGATCATCAGCGACACGGGTTCCATCTTCATGGAGCATTTCGATGTTCTGCTCATCGTGGACTTTTACAATTAATTTTGAAAACTTTAAAGACTGGACCCAAGCCCAGCCAAGTCCGTGGCCACGTCGGGCGCAGGGAGCCAGGGGTCAGGGCTGCGCCTTCCCCAGAGGCCGAGGAGCCCGGGCGGGTCCGGCTGGGGCAGGGGCGCAGGGAGCCAGGGGTCAGGGCTGCGGCTTCCCCAGAGGCCGAGGAGCCCGGGCGGGTCCGGCTGGGGCAGGGGTGCAGATTCTGAGGACGGCTGAGCCCACACAGCAGCACCGCTCAGTGGGACATGGGCCGCGGCGCCTGCTCCAGCCTTGTGCTCTCCTTTCCCTCTCAGTCTCTCCTCTCTCTCCTTGTCTCTGTCTCTGCCTCTCTCTCCTTGTCTCTGTCTCTCTCTCTCTGTAGCTCTGTTTCTCTCTCTCTGTCTCTCCCTGTCTCTCTGTCTGTCTCTCATCTTTGTCTCTGTGTTTCTGTCTCTGTCTCTGTGTCTCTCTCCGTCTCTCCCTCTCTGTCTCTCATCTCTGTCTCTGTGTCTCTCTCCGTCTCTCCCTCTCTGTCTCTGTCTCTCTCCCTGTCTCTCTCTGTCTCTCATCTCTCTGTGTCTTCTCTCTTTGTCTCTGTCTCTCTCTCCCTCTGTGTGTGTGTCTGTTTCCCTGTCTCTGTCTCTATGTCTCCCTCTGTCTCTTCCTCTCCCTCTGTCTCTTCCTCTCTCTCTGTCTCTCTCCCTGTCTGTCTCTGTCTTTGTCTCTCTCCCTGTCTCTCTCTGTCTTTGTCTCTCTCCCTGTCTCTCTCTCCTCATCTCCTCTCTGATGTTTGTGACTGGACTCCTGCGAGCCCCAGCTCAGGGACGGGACCTGCTGACCTCACTGACCACCTTCTGCCCCCGCCTGACCCCGGGTGCCTCACGCGCCATCTCACCCCTTCTTACAGCAGCTCTGCCACCTGGGAGCCATCACATCCCTTCTGCAGACAGGGAAATGGAGGCTGTAGTGGAGATGTGATATCCTGCACCGGCAGGGTGGGTGGAAGGCGGGTGACTCCCCTAGACCCATCTCTTGGCCACCAGCTCCCTGGGTCCCATCCCCTGACCCGTGAGCCCACTCCTGGACACAGGTGTGGCTACAGCAGGTGGGGCAGGCCGGGGCAGGGCAGGCCGGGGCGGGGCAGGCCGGAGGATGTGGTCACCTGGCTGTTAACACCCCCTGGGAGGGTGCTTGCAGATGGGAGGTTGGGTGGGGTGAGGTCACAGCCCAACACTGAAGGAGGGAGGAGGGAGAGGGGTCCTGCCCCAGCTCAGACCCGGCCACTGCCTGTCACATACCCCACCTGTGAGAAACAAATCACACTCGGGCGACCCTTCTCTGACAGGGAGGAGGCCACGGGGTCCTCTCGGACAGAAGGGGAGCAAGCTCCGAGGCTGGAAGCCAGTGAAGGGGGGCCCCAGCCCCGGGTATCACCTGTGCCCATTCCGCCTGCCCGCTGTGAGCCCACTCAGGCCCCCGGCCCCCTCCTGCCTCAGGCCTCAGTGGGGAGAACCTCCTGCCAGCCTCTCAGAACCCCCAACTCAGCAGCATGGCTGGGCCACTGTGTCCCGCTGCGTGATTGGGCCCTGAGGGTCCTCACCTTGCAGACCTCAACGTTTTGTTGACGTTCAACTGTGTGGCTGGTTGTCGGTTTATGTGGCCGGGGTGGGTGACTCTTCCCTGCCTGACGCTGGAGGGGTCTACACACAGGGCCCCGCGTAGACCTCGCACGCCTGGGAGTGTGAAGCCAGGAAGGGACCCCTGCTACAGACCTTCCCACCCTGCCCTGCAGCCTCTGGGATTGAGCGGGTCACCCTCAGAGCCTCCTATGCCGCAGGGAGCCAGGAGAGGGAGCTGGGGGGACAGAGGGGACCCCCCTAGACACCAGAAGGCCAAGTGGCTGCAGAGGCCCCGCCTCCTCCACCCCTCAGGTGTGATGGAAAAGGAAGCTTACAGCTGCCCTTGGCAGAGAAAGGATAAGAACCGCCTCCCTCATCAGTGCCCGTCTGACGGCCCCGGCTCGGGGAAGTCACGCGTCGCTCCTGAGCCACGCACAGATCCCCTCGAAGGCTCCCGAGAGCAGGTGCAGCGGCCGGCAGGTGGACACACCGCCCACACGTGTGCATGGAACACCTGCTCTGTGCCTGCGGCCGAGGAAGTGGGACCCACTGTTTCTCCCTTGACTCACTCTGGGCCCGAAAACTCCAACATTGTGGCCCCACCCCCAGGGTCCTGCTCCAGGCCTGCACCCCGACTGTCTGCTCCCCACAGGAAGCCCTGACCCCACCTCCCTGGGCACCGACGGGTCAGGGGACAGAGTGGCAGCCTCTCCTCCGGGGCCGACGTGTGTGGCTCTGACACGGGGACTTTGGGCTCCAGACAGGGGGCGGGGGACCTCGGGGGTCCTGCAGCCACCCCGGTCTCTACGACTCTACAGAAGCTGCTCTCCAGCCTTCAGTCACGCCTGACACTGCTTCCTTCCCCTGTGCCCGGGGAGCCGGTCCCCAGAGCCACCCTCTGCTGGGGATGGTCCCTGAGCCCCGTTGCCAGGCAACCACCGGGTGCACCCAGGCAACCGCCATCCCGCGTCTGGCCTGGGCTTCGTGTTTCCACCACGTCAGCCCCAGTGCCCGGAGCGGCACCCAGCTCAGGGCCCAGCCAGCCCTCCTGGCCACAGCACCCAGGCAGCGGGGCCCTCAGTCCTCCCCGCCTCGTGTCAGCTGCCAGAGCTGGAGTCCAGGGAGACTGATGTGGGCTCCCCTCCCCAGGCTGCAGACGGGCCTGGGTCACCGGGGCAATGGTGGCCTGGTCAGGGAGCCAGGCATGGTGCTCAAGTCCGTCTCGGTTTGCCCTGTGGGCCTCCTCTTCCCTCTCCCGAGGACAAGGCGGGTGTCGTGGTCACCTCCAAGGGACAGGGGTGCTCAGCCTGCTCTGCCGTCCTTCAGCGTGGAGGCCTTGTAAACTGTGAAACTGCCCCCCGGCCCGTGCCCCAGGTCTCAGCAGCTGTGAAAGCCATGTCTGAGAAATTGTACAAACAGCCACAGCTGTATCCCCATCAAAATTGGTTTCAAAGAGCAATTAGCACTTCATTAATAATCAATGAGGTGCCAATTTACACATCGCCCAAGAACAAATTGTGGATTCAGTTTGGCCAGGACAGGGAGGGCACTGGTGCCAGCCGGGGAGTGGCGAGGAGGGTCCCAGCGTGGGGGAGGGGTGCTGGGCTCCCACAGTGGTGGTGGTAGGAGGGCAGGTGGGGACGCCACAACGCGCCTGTGAATGAACTGATGCCTCCCACCTGTGGGGGCCAGGTGTCTGCAGAGGCCCCATCTCGTGCGCCCCTCGCGCAGGATGGAAAAGGAAGCTTGCGACTGCCCTTGGCTGAGGCAGAACCCGAAACCACCTCCCGGCCGGGCAGTGGCTCACGCCTGGAATCCCAGCACTTTTGGAGGCTGAGGTGGGCGGATCATGAGGTCAGGAGATCGAGACCATCCTGGCTAACACAGTGAAACCCCGTCTCTACTAAAAATACAAAAAATTAGCCGGGCGTGGTGGCGGGCGCCCGTAGTCCCAGCTACTCGGGAGGCTGAGGCAGGAGAATGGTGTGAACCCGGGAGGCAGAGCTTGCAGTGAGCTGAGATTGCGCCACTGCACTCCAGCCTGGGTGACAGAGCAAGACTCTGTCTCCAAAATAAAATAAAATAAAAATAAAAATATAAAAATTAGCCGGGCGTGGTGGCGGGTGCCTGTAATCCCAGCTACTCGGGAGGCCGAGGCAGGAAATCACTTGAACCTGGAGGAGGAGGTTGCAGTGAGCCGAGGTGACGCCACTGCACTCCAGCCTGGGCGACAAGAGCAAGACTCTGTCCAAAAAACAAAAAACAAGCAAAAACAAAAAACTAAAAAAACCACCTCCCTCAACAGTGTCCCTCCGAGGGGCCCCAGCTCGGGGTGGTCACACATTGAGTTACATACGGATCCCCTCGGAGGCTCCGGAGAGCAGGCGCGGCGGCGGGCGGGTAGACACACCATCCACATGTGCGCACGGAACACCTGCTCTGTGTGCGTGGCTGAGGAAGTGGGGCCCACTGTTTCTCCTTTGATTCTCACGGGGTAGGTGAGGCCTTTACTGAGCACCTGCTGTATGCACACCACCCTTCACCCTTCACACAGGGGCTCCCCACTTCACAGCCAAGGATGCGGGGTCCAGTGAGGGGAGCTGGGCTTGACCTCAGACATCTGGGCCCACATGCCAGCATCCCACCATGCACCACAGCACCCCTCACTGTGTCCCCATCCCATCTCTGTGTTTGACCCCTTTCCTAGCACCCAGCAGCTGCTGTCTGTCAGTCAAGGAAGGCTTCTCGGAGGAGGAGGTCAGGTCAGAGGACTACTTTTACCTCTGCTCCCCACAGACCAGGCCTTTGCCACTGCTGTCCCCCTACCTAGCATACCCTCCCCAGCTCAGCGCAGGTTTCCTGGATGTCTTCCCCACTCCACCCCCTGTCCCGCTGGCTGCTCACCATGTTGACACCCGTCTAGGAGGTGGTTCCTCTCACCTGCCCCAGTGTGCAGTAGGTACTCAGTAAGTGCAGCGTGAGGCACTCCATACCAGAGGAAGTCCTGCTGCTGGCCAGGGCAGAGTCCAGCTGGAGACCCTGTGAGGCTGACTTAGGGAAGGGCAGCTGCTGTCACGGTGTACGGTTCCATGACGGGATGGGCACCTGGAGGGAGAGCGCTCCTGGCAGGGGAACAGTCTGTGCCAAGCCCCTGAGCAGAGGCACTGGGGCCTCAGGGCACGCAAGAGGGTGGATCCGGGTAGAGACAGAGGAGAGGGGGCGGGAGAGAGTCAACCAAGAAGGGGTGTGGGTTTCTTCTGGGGTATTAGGCAAGGGATGCAGGATATACCCTGGGGTCCGCGGGCTGCCGTGTGAGGCTGGCTGGGAAGGGACACAGAGGGGCCATGGAGGGGTCTCAGCGTCACGGTGGGGAGCTGAGGGTCACGTGCACCCAGGCATGGCCGTGGGCGGACGGAGAGGGGCAGGGGCAGCGCCGGCGTTCTCAGCACCCCCGGATGTCGTTAGCGGGTAAGGAGACTCCCAGCTGCGGCCACACAGGACTTCTCCGGTTCCACCCTGGTCCTGGCCCCCGCACCGCCTCCCGTCTGCACCCACCACCCTCACCGAGAGATTGAATTTACAACTCACTCTAACACATTTAAATCCATTTATTGCAAAATTACTTTTCAATAATTACATCACCGTGCCGACTGCGTTGCACAATGAAATTAGCATGAGGGATATTAGAGATAATATACAATTATAAGAAATATTGAAATACCTCTTTCCCGTCTGTCTTCATGAGGCCCCGTAGCTTAACTGGGAAGCGGATGCATGTCATGGATGAGACTGGAATACACAGAGTGTAATTTTATAATGTCTTTCGTATAAATTAATTATAACAGTTATAGCAGCTTTGCATTATTGGGTTGAAATTTCCCTCCAGTTGAGCCTATTAGAGGAGAATTAGTGGTCCCAAGCTCCCTGGGGCCACACCAAGGACAGTGGGGGAGGGAAAGGAAGACAGACCTGGGTTTTGGGGTCAGGCCGATCAGAGTTCAAATCTTGGCCCTGCTGTGTGTCTTCAGAAAAGCCACTTAACTTTTCTGAGCCTATTTAAAAAAAAAAAATCCAGGCCGGGCATAGTGGCTCACGGCTATAATCCCAGCACTTTGGGAGGTTGAGGCGGGCAGATCACTTGAGCCCAGGAGTTGGAGAACAGCCTGAGCAACATAGGGAGACCTCGTCTCTACAAAAAAATAGAAAAAAAATAGCTGAGCGTGGTGGCACATGCCTGTAGTCCCAGGTACTCAGGAGGCTGAGGTGGGAGGATTGTTTGAGTCCACGAGGTCGAGGCTGTAGTGAGCCAAGACTGCACCACTGCATTTCAGCCTGGGTGACAGAGCAAGACCCTGTTGAAAGGAAGGAAGAAAGGACAGAAAGGGAGGGAGGGAAGGAAGGAAGGAAGGAAGGAAGGAAGGAAGGAAGGAAGGAAGGAAGGAAGGAAGGAAGGGAGAGAGAATCTCAGGGTTGGCCAGGCACCGTGGCTTATGCCTGTAATCCCAGCACTTTGGGAGGCCTAGGCAGGCAGATCACCTGAGGTCAGGAGTTCGAGACCAGCCTGGTCAACATGGCAAAACCCTGTCTCTACTAAAAATACAAAAAAATTAGGCAGATTTGGTGGCGTGTTCCTGTAATCCCAGCTACTCAGGAGGCTGAGGCAGGAGAATTCCTTGAACTCAGGAGGTGGAGGCTGCAGTGAGCCAAGATTGTGCCATTGCACTCCAGCCTGTGTGACAAGAGCAAAACTCTGTCTGAAAGGAAGAAAGGAAGGAAGAAAGAAAGGAAGGAAGGAGAGAGAGAGAGAAAGAAGAAAGAAGGAAAGAAAGAAAGAAAGAAAAGAAGGAAAGGAAAGAAGGAAGGAAGGAAAGAAAGAAAGAAAGAAGGAAAATCTCAGGGTGCTTCCCACTTGCCATTTGCTCTGCCTGCTCTCTGACTAGCGCCATCCAGCATCCGTGCACTTTGTACCCTCTGTCCATGCCCATGGGCATGTCCCTGTCCACGTATGTGAAAATTTTCACAGCCAGCCTCCTGGCCATGTGCACAGGGGCTGATGTGATACACAAGTTCTACCGGCCAGACCTGACGATGCCTGAAAACCCACCAAAGTCTGGAGAACTCGAAGGGGAGCTTTAGGGACTGAAAGAGACAGCACAAACCTAAATTTCTCAGCAGTAGAAACTTAAATACAGCTAAACCAGTCTCAATCTCCTGGGTTTAAGTGATCCTCCCGCCTCAGCCTCCCAAGTAGCTGGGACCACAGGAGCTCGCCACCACACTCACCACCTAATTTTTATTTTTTTTTTATAGATGGGGGTCTCACTATGTTGCCCAGGCTGGCCTTGAACTCCTGACCTCAAATGATCCTCCCTCCTCAGCCTCCCAAAGTGCTGAGATTTCAGGCATGAGCTAGCCCACCCAGCATAAGTCTTAAGTATGTATTTTTTTCATTTTTTCAATCACATGATAGGAAAATGAATTAAATGTGTATTACTTAATTTATTGAGCCAAACTACTTGTCCTTAATCACCTAGTCCAATGCTAACTGTAAGAGGAGGTGCTTGGTATTAACTGATACATTGAAATTTCATTACAGTTTGATTGATATTTCTTGAAAACTGTCAAAGTGCATCTCCTCAGCCTCTTGAATGTGGTTTGGAAGATATTTAGTCTTGAATATCACGTGAGATAGAGTATTTGCAAGGATACTATATGGGTTGTCTTGATTTCATATAAATCAATGGTGAAAATCATTTTCAAACTAAACAAAAATGAAAGCAGAAACCACAGCAATCCTAATGCTTGGCATCTTGCTGGAGGATGAGATGAGCATGAAGCGTTGGTGTAGTAGTGACCTATGCTGTGTAACAAATAGCACCCAAACTTCGTGTTTAGACAACAGTAAACGTTGATTAGCACTGGAGGTGTCTGAGGGTTGGGAATGTGGGAGAGGCTGCGTCAGGTGGCCCTGGCTCCAGGCTCTCATGAGGCTGCAGTCAGGGGTCAGCTGGGGCTGTGTCATCTGAAGGCTCAACTGGGGCAGAAGGATCCCCATCTAGGTGACTCTCAGGTCCTGCTGGCTGTTGTCTGGGGGCCTCAGCACTTCTGCATGGGCCTCTTCATAAGGCTGCTTGGGGTTTCACATGACATGGTGGCTTCCCTAGAACAAGTGACCCAAAGACCAAAGCAGAAGCCGCAGTGCCTCTGTGCCCTGCACATGAAGTGATGTACCATCGTCTGTCCTGGCCTCCTGTGGTCTCATGGGTCAGCCCTGATTCACACGTGCAAGAGGCTGCACAAAGGTGTGAAGATGCTTGGAAGTGGTAAACCTGGGGCACCTTCTCAACTCCACCCGCCCTGTCTGCAGAGCCCAGGATGAGTGAGACCCACGGGGGCATCTGTGGGAAAAGCCGGTGCCTGTATTTCCTTTCCGGTTGATGTAGTTTGGATGACTGTCCCCTCCAAATCTCATGGTGAAATGTGAGCTCCAGTGTTGGAGTGGGGCCTGGTGGGAGATGTATGGGTCGGGGGGGCAGATCCCTCGTGAATGGCAGGTGTCCTCCCCACAGTAATGAGGGAATTCACACTTTATGAGTTCATGTGAGACCTGGTTGTTTAAAGGAGCCTGGCACCTCCCCCTCCTCCCTCTCACTCTTGCTGCCTCTTTTCCCATGTGACCCACTGGCTCCACATCACCTTCCACCATGATTGGAAGCCCCCTGAGGCCCCATCAGAAGCAGATGCTGGCACCATGCTTCCTGTACAGCCTGCAGAACTGTGAGCCAAATCAACCTCTCTTCTTTATAAATTATGCAGTCTTAGGTATTTCTTTATAGCAATGCAGTAGACTAATGCATAGACACTCATGGTGCTGGCATCCAGGAAAGGCCAATAGTACCTTCCAGGTGGGGATGGAGCCGGGTTGCCCCCTGGGAGCCAGGGCCTGGAGGGGCAGAGCAGGCTGTTGCCAGTGGGCAGGAGGCAGGGCTGGCAGAGGTCTGGGCCTCCACTGATGCACCTGCCCCCCAGCTGTGAGCCCACTCTGGCCACTGCAGGGCAGGGCTGGGGCTGCCTGATGGGTCTGGATGTCCAGTCATTTCTGGAGACTCTAAGATTCCCCAAAATCATGAGGAGCTAAAGGGGGGACATAGGAATGATAGAAACAGCATGAGCGTCACACATAGCACCGCCCGCCTCTCAGAGGCCTGCACTTCTTGGGGTTCTCCGTGACGGGGTTTCGGGGGCATCCACTGAGAGCCGGAAGTGGGTCCTATGGGTGAGATGGGCTGGGGTGAGGTGGGTGTGCCCCATTTCGATCACCCTGGGGCAGATGAAACTGACCCATTCTCAGGAGCTCACAAGGGCAGGGCTGGGGCCCGTGGGGTGCCCGGGCTCCATGGTGGAGACTGGGCCCTGCTGTCTGTCCTTGCAGCTGTTTTAGGGCCGCCGGCCAGTCTTCCTCACCTCCAGATTTCAGATTTTCCCCTCTGCAGCCAAACATTGCTCAGTAAGTGAAAGGAGAACTCAGCCCTCTCAACAGGTCCTGGGTACAGCCAGAGGGATACCCGTGGGCCTGGCAGTGAAGAGAGATGTGACCACAGTCCTCTGAGCCAGGGACCAGGGCCAGGGCCAGGCGGAGGGAGGAAATCATTGCCCTCTCGCTGAGTCTGAAGAGAACTGGGGGCCTGGATTCAGGGTAAGGGGACACAGCATGGCCACAGCGGGAGGTTGGCAGTTCCTCAACGTGGTGGCAGTGGAGGGGCTTAGGATCAGGAGCCTGAGGGGGCACCATGGCGGCGAGCGAGCCAGCCCTACTGTGTACTGGGAGCAGATGCCCCAAGAGGAGTCAGTTCTTTTCAACATAACTCCCTCCTGTGCCTGAGCACCACAGCCAGGCCTGGGTTGGGGTCATACAGGAGGGCGACAGCCATGCTTGGCCAAAGTGATCCAGTGGGAACCCAGACAGAGGAAGCCAGAGACAGTGGAGGAACCGGTGAGGGGCCCCCAACATGGGCAGGAGGCAGAGAGTGGCAGCCAGGATGGACATGGGCCCATCTAAACCTTCTCCTGGATCCTCCCACACCTGGCACAGAACATGTTCCAGCGTGGACCTCCTGAGCAGATAGGAGGGGCCCCCAGAAGAGGGGAGGATGCCCCCAAAGGCAGAGGGCAGGGGTGCAGGGTGGTTCCTGCAGGGAGCAGCCTGGGCTCCACGTGGAAAAGATTCTCCCCCCAACTCTGCCAGTTTCCTGGCCAAGTTTGGGGGCTTTGGGGAAGGCTCTTCAGGCCCAAAGCCAGCAAGCCCCTCATGGCTGGACTGTCAGCATTCATTACCCAAGCCTCAGCTATGTGCTCAGTCCTGTGCTGGGCCTTAGAGGTATAGGGTGGTTCAGGCCTGCCCTGCCCTCAAGGAACTCTGATTACTCTCCCTCACAAGCGCAGGGGTAATCCGGGAAGAATTCCTACAGGAGGTAACCTTTGAGCTGAGTCCGAGAGGCGAGGACTAAGAACAGGTACAGGCATCATGCATTCCCTCCAAGCAGCCCATTTTACAGAGGAAAGGAAATAAACCACTGGCTCAGAGAGATGGGGGGCATTGGTTTCCCTTGCTGCAAAACACAGGACCACAACTTGATGACAAGAAATGACACACATCTAACAACTCACAGTCTCTGTGGGTCTGGATTCTGGCCACGGTTCGGCTGGATCCTCCATGCAGGATCCCACCTGGCTGCAGCTGCATGATGGGATGTGTTCTTGTCTGCAGGCTCGGCTGGGGAGGAATCCACTTTCCCTGGCTGCAGCTGCAGTGGTGGGCTGCATTCTCATCTGCAGGCTCAACAGGGGAAGAGTCTGCCTCCAGGCTCTCTCAGGTTGTGGCAGCCTGCATTTCCCCGCAGGTATGGGGTTGGGGATGCCAGCTTCTCTGCTGGAGGCTGCTCCCAGGACCCTGCCACATGGCCCTCTCTTGCTGTGTGGCAGCCTGGTACTCCACAGACAGCAAGGGAGACATCTCAGAGTGAGTCTGCTAGCAAGGCAGCATCTCGGACATGTAACCCAGCCCATGGGAGTGGGATGCTGTCACCTGCACCCTATTCTATTGTTTAGGTGCAAGTCTTGGGTCCTGCCCACACTGAAGGGGAGGGGACCCCACAGTGGTGTGAACCCCAGGAAGTGGAGATCATGGGGCCTCTTGGGGTCTGTCTGCCACAGGGGGCTTGCCCAGGGCCACACCTCCTGCACTGGCTTCCCAGACCCACCTGACCACAGTGGAAGTGATACGTGGGTCCACCTCCAGCCCTGCAGAATCTGCCCCCACCTGCTCCATCCACCTGAGGCCTCCTCTTTTCTTCCCAGGTGGGTGTCTGGTTATGGGGGGATTGGAGAAGGCACTTGGGGTGCAAGAACCCAGACACTCGAAGGAAGAGGCCAGGGAGGGGTGGTGCAGGCCCCAACGAGCCTGGGCTGCTGTGCCTGCCCTGCGCCACAGTCTGGAGGACCAGGACGTCAGGGGCCGCTGGGGTGGGGAGTCAGGGGGGCAATGCCCCAGTCTCAGCCCCCAGCACCCAGCGTTGTCCACACCTCCTCACAGAAAGCAGTTCCAAGCACAGCCTAATTTATTAATGAGGACGGGAGGCTGCTGATGGCAGCAAACGCTGACCAGTCCGGATCGATGGGGGCCCCGATAGCAGAGTGATTGGCCTGCCGCGTCTGGAGTCTAACTGCAGCGCCGGGCACCTTCCGAGGGGCTCGCGCTGTCTGACTGCACCCCGGAGACCGCCAGGGTTAATTGATGCAGCTGCGTGCTTCCCGCCCACAGGACTTCCGGTGGGATCCCCTGGAGGCTGCTATTAACTAAAGTGTTTAACGAAGTGCTAAAGAAGACCATTTCCAATACGCACTCCAACAGCCAGATTAAAAGAAGAACAGTGTCCCTCTCTGGGCTGTGGGACACCCCCAAATCCCTGGAAGAAGACACGGGAGCCCAGAGCTCTGCTGTTACCCATGCAGAGAAGCACCAGCCTGCAGGCTTGCCAGGCGTCACGTGGCCAGGGGGGCCCGGGGGCAGGCTCCCAGCCTCCTCTCTCAGGCTACCCCTGGGTCTGGGTCCCAGACGGGGCTCTGCTCGGGAGGGTTGGCTGCCCAGGATCCCGCCCAGTGTCGGGGGAAGTGTTCTTCAGTCCTCGGCTGAGTCTGGGGACAGCAGAGCTGGCACAACCCCTCAGCCTCACACTGCACTCTGGGCCTGCACCCCCAGTGGCCAGGCCTCCAGCCCTGGCTGCCAGACCTGCATGACCACTGAGGAAGCAGATCCCTGGACCCATCTCCAGCCCTGAGGAATCTAGACCTCCGGACCTCACATTCACATTTTTCAACTTATTTATTTGTTAAATAGCTAATGTGGTCACAAGCCTTGAGATTTTCAAAGTAGGGAAAGGTCTCTGTGTGCCCCTAAAAGAAGAAAATGCTTCTCAAAATAACCAGAAACCGGAAATGTCCAAACCTCCATGAACAGGAGAATGGGTAAATAAATTGTGCTCTAGTCACACGATGGAATACTATGCAGCAGTGAAAAAGGGCACCGGAGGGGTGCACAAACCACATAGGTGAGTCTCACAGCATAGGAGGCAGCAACTGTGCAATCCCAGTCAGGAAGTTCAGGAACAGGCAGCATTCTGACGGATAAAGTTTCCAGGAAAATGGGCATCTCAGTGTGTCGGGGGATGGGGTATTGTGGGCTGGGAGGGGCATGAGGGAGCCTGCAGGGGGCTGGCCTCGTTCCCGCTGTTGTCCAGGGGGTGGTCACCTGGCCCTGTTCACTTTGTGAAGTTCATTGTGCTGCTGAGGCTGCAGGCACTTTCTGGAATGCGCACTATATGCCAATAATGTATTCACTTGGCTTTCTTAGGGAGAGGAGGTTTACAGAGAAAAATGCTCATCCCACTCTGTCCCCAGCCACCCAGCTCCCCTCCAATAATCAATGTCCATGTCACGTTGTGCTATGGGCCCTTCCAGAGATTCCCCACCCAGCTCCCCTCCAATGGCCAATGTCCATGTCATGGTTTGCTATGGGCCCTTCCAGAGATTCCCCATACCTATGAACGCACACACACCTGCAGATATAACGAGCACCCCGGTGACCATGACGATCGGGTGAGCAGCATGGGCAACGTTGCACCCCAGATCAGCCCGAGAGCAGCCAAGGCCCCCACAGCTGCACACCATTTAGCCAGGGCCTAGCGTCACTCAGGGCCTTTGCCCATCAGTGGAGTTTTCCCAAAATATACACAAACGCATATGCACACAGTTAGCTTTTCTTTCTTTCTTTCTTTCTTTTTTTTTTTTGAGACAAAGTCTCACTGTTGCCCCAGCTGGAGTGCAGTGGCACCCTCTTGGCTCACTGCAACTTCCACTTCCCAGGTTCAAGTGATTCTCCTGCTGCAGCCTCCCGAGTAGCTGGGATTACAGGTGCGCACCACCACGCCTGGCTAATTTTTTGTATTTTTAGTAGAGAGGGAGTTTCGCCATGTTGGCCTCGAACTCCTGGTCTCAAACTCCTGACCTCGGGTGATCTGCCCACCTTGGCCTCCCAAAGGGCTGGGATTACAGACGTGAGCCATTGTGCTCAGCCCAGTTCGCTTTTTGAACTAAAGTAAAATGTTGAGCAGACATTTTCATTGTGTCAGGTTCAGCCAGTGGGAGTTTGGTATGCTAATGGCCCCAAGTGCAGACAGCAGCCATCAGTTAAAGCACCTGGGAAATGCAAATCAAAGCCACGGTGCGGTGTCACTTCCCTCCCTAAGATGGCTACAGTGAAAAAGACAGCAACAAGTGCTGGTGAGCATGTGGAGGAATCAGAATTCTCATGCCGTGCCAGCGGGAACGTGAACCACTGCAGCTGCTGCAGAAAACAGCCTGGCCATTCCTGGAAATGTTCAGGATTGTGTCACCATATGACTCAGCACTTCCAGTACTAGGTTTGAATGGAATTGGGACCATACGGCCACAGAAAAACGTGTACCTGAATGTTCACGGCAGCACTATTCACAAGAGCTAAAAGGTGGGAGCGACCCAGGTGTCCATCTGGGGATGAATATGGATAAACACAAGGTGGTAGATCCACAGAGTGGAATATTACTGAGCCATGAAAAGGAATGGAGCTCTGATACATGCCACAGCCTGGGTGAACCTTGGAAACATTACACAAAGTGAAAGAACACGGACACAAAAGACCACATATTGAATGCTCCCATTTATGTGAAATTTCCAAATAGGCAAATCTACAGAGACAGAAGGTAGAATGATGTTGCCAAGGGGAGGGGAGAGGTAGAAATGGACAGTAACTGCTCAATGGGCATGAGGTTTATTTTAGAGGAGATAAAAATGTTTTGAAATTAGACAGTGATGATGGTTGCACAACTCTGTGGATATACTAAAAAAAAAAAAAAATACTGGGGCTGGGTGTGGTGATTCATGCCTATAATCCCAGCACTTTGGGAGGCCAAGGCAGGCGAATTGCTTGAACCCAAGTGTTCAAGACCAGCCTGGGTAACATAGCGAGATGACATCTCTAAAAAAAAAAATACAAAGATTAGCCGGGTGCGGTGGTGCGTGCCTGTATTACCAGCACTTTGAGAGGCTGAGGAAGGCAGATTGCTTGAGCCTGGGAGTTCAAGATCAGCCTCAGCAACATGGCAAAACCCTGTCTGTACAAAAAATACAAAAATTAGCTGGGCATGGTGGTAGCATGCATCTGTAGTCCCAGCTGCTCGGAAGGCTAAAGTGGAAGGATCGCCTGAGCCCTGGAGGTTAAGGCTGCAGTGAGGTATGATTGCACCACTGCACTCCAGCCTGGGCTACAGAGAGACCTTGACTCAAAAAAAAAAAATCACCAAATTATACATTCTAAAAGAGTGAGTGGGGCCGGGCACAGTAGCTCACACCTGTAATCTCAGCACTTTGGGAGGCTAAGGTGGGCAGATCACTTGAGGTCAGGAGTTCAAGACCAGCTTGAGCAATATGCCGAAACCCCGTCTCTACAAAAACTACAAACATTAGCCGGGCATGGTGGTGCGTGCCTGTAGTCCCAGGTACTTGGAAGGCTGAGGCACGAGAATCCCTTAAACTCAGGAGGTGGAGGTTGCAGTGAACCAAGATCGTGCCACTACATTCTAGCCTGGGCAACAGAGCAAGACTCCATCTCAAAAATAAATAAATAACATAAAATAAGCAAGTGGGTGGTATGGTAGGTGAATTATGTCTTAATAAACTGTTAGAAGACAAAGAGGACCGGGTCACAGGGCCACCAGAGCCAGGCTGGGGCGAAGGACCTGCTTCCGTAGCCAGTGTTGGTCACCACCCAGATAGACAACAGCTCCCAGATTTCTCCAGCAGCCCAGGGGTGAGGTGTGTCCTCATACGGGTGGCCCCCAAGTTATAGGTCAGCAGTGGGGTCTGAAAACACTCTCCTCCCACAGGCCTGATGCCCCATGAACCAAGACCAGATCAGAACAGCCTCTGCTTCCCCAGGTCTCCAGGGGGCTATGTCTACCCGGTCCCCAGACAGCCAACCTCCTGCCCAGCCTGGAGAAAGTGGGGTCAGAGAATAGCTCAGGGCCATTGTGCCAAGTGTAGCCACTTTGCTCACTGTCACTCTGCAGGAAAACTGTGTTCTCATGTGTGAGGGAGTCAGTGAGTAAACTGAGTCACGAAACAGAGCACAGACAGGATTTATAAGAATGGCAGGAGGGGAGCGAGAGAACCCCCACAGGGTCCAGGAACAATGAATGTCACACGTTGTGAGGGCAAACTGGCAGCCAGCAAGAGGTCATTGGGGGCTGGTTGTCCCATTCTTCGGTGGTCTCCAGAAAACCCTGAAAGCTCCACTTGGGTCACACGTGACAAGCCATCTCCGGAAATGCCTTCCAGGATCTGGGCCGGAGACACGATCTGCAGGGCCCAGCACAAAATGAAAATGCCGGGACCCTTGTTCAAAAAGCAGGGAAAAGTGCCATCGAGGTACTAAAATGTAAAGCTTATCTGCTTTCTCCCCCGGTCTCTCTAAACTTGTTAGAAACTATCACTGCAGCACAGAGGTCCCAAAATGTTTTTATTGTGGTAAATATATATGGCCTAAAACTTACCATCTTAACCATTTTTTTTTTTGAGACAGTCTTGCTCGGTCGTCCAGGCTGGAGTGCAGTGGTGCAATCTTGGCTCATCGCAACCTCCGCCTCCTGGGTTCAAGCGATTCTCCTGCCTCAGCCTCCTGAGTAACTGGGATTACAGGTGCGCGCCATCATGCCCAGCTAATTTTTGTACTTTTAGTAGAGACAGGGTTTCACCATATTGGCCAGGCTGGTCTCGAACTCCTAACTTCAGGTGATCCGCCCGCCTCGGCCTCCCAAAGTGCTGGGATTACAGGCGTGAGCCACTGCACCCGGCCCATCATAATCATTTTTAAGTGGACCGTTGAGTGGCATTAAGCACATCGTCGTGGAAGCATCACCGCTATCCATCCATAGAGCTTTTTATCTTCCCAAACTGAAGCTCTGTCCCCACTCAACCCTCACCCCCCAGCTCCTAGGAACCACCTTCCTACTTCTGTCTCTATGGATCTGAGGACTCTAGAAACCTTCTATTGAGGTAGGAGGTGGGACTCGACTCAGAGGCTGGCTGGGCTCAGACTCCAGACCAAATTGAGGACTAGCTAAACGGACCGGGTGGAAGCAGCTTTCCATAAGACACGCCCACCAGTGTGCCATGTCAGTTTACCATTGCCGTGGCAACACCCAGAAGTTACCACCCCTTTCCATGGCAACAACCCAATGACCCGAAAGTTACCACGCTTTTCCCATAAATTTCTGCATAATCTGTCCCTAAATTTGCATAATTAAAGGTGGGTGTAAATGTGAGTGTTGAACTACCCCCGGGCTGCTGCTGTGCATGGCTGCTTTAACACCACCCGCTCACCGTTGAATTCCTTCCTGGGCAAAGCCAAGAAGCTTCTCCGGCTAAGCCCTGATTTGGGGGCTCACCTGCTCTGCATCAATATAAGTGGGACCCTGCAGTCTGTGTCCTCTTGTGACTGGCATGAGCATGATAAGTGCCTTTCCTGAAACTATCCCCTCCTTCGGTGAGGACCAAAACCACCTTTGTAAAAACTAATGGAAGGCCACAAGATAAGAATTATGAGAGGGGTCTGAACTCTGCTAAAATGTAGGCATAGTTAAATGGTAACCAGCCATTGTTCCAGAGATCATGATATTTGTGACTTCCCCAGTTGCTCCCGTAAGTGACATCGCTATTGCCAATGCCTAAGATTGGCGTCAGAGGGGTTTTCTCGACTTCTGTGGACCGCTGAGTTCACCTGGACCCATGACTCAGACCAAGGAATGAATTCAACCCGCCCTGTGACTTCCACCCAGGAATCGACTCAGCGCCAGAAGACAGCTTTGATGCCCTACGATTTCCTCCTCCACCCAGCCAATCAGCATTCCCCGTCCCCTCGCCCCTGCCTGTCAAACTATCCTTGAAAAACCCCAGCCTCCCAGCTACTCGGGAGGCTGAAGCAGGAGAATCGTTTCAACCCGGTCGGCGGAGGTTGCAGTGAGCCAAGATCGCGCTACTGCACTCCAGCCTGGTGACAGAGCGAGACTCTGTCCAAAAATTAAAAAAAGAAAAAAGAAAACCCCAGCCTCTGAGCTTTCAGGGAGGCAGATTTGAATTATAAACTCCCGTCTCCCGCTCAGCTGGCCGTGCGTTTATTAAACTCTACTGCAATCCCACTGTCTCAGTGAAGTGCCTCTGTCTGCACAGTGGACAAGAAGAACTCGTCAGGTGATTAAATTTTACCTTAATTACCATTTTGTTTTTTGAGACAGGGTCTCCCTCTGTCGCCCAGGCTGGAGTGCAGTGGTGCAATCACAGCTCACTGTAGCCTCAACCTCCCAGGCTTAAGTGATCCTCCCACCTCTGCCTCCTGAGTAGCTGGGACCACAGGTGTGCAACACCCCACCAGCTAATTTTTTTTATTTGTATTTTTTGCAGAGATAGGGTTTCACTATGTTGCCCAGGCTGGTCTCAAATCCCTGAGCTCAAGCGATCCTCCTGCCTCAGCCTCCAAAAGTGCTGGGATTACAAGTGTGAGCCACTGTACCTTGCCTTCATTACCTTTTAAAACCCTATCTCTAAATACAGTCCCATTCTGAGGTCTTGGGGGTTATTCAGCATATGAATTTTGAGGAAACACAGTTCAGCCTGTAAGCAGGGAAGAGCAGACAGAGAGCGGGAAAGAACCCAGGTCGAAGACTGCACTTTCCCAGGATGGCTGCAGCTATAGCTACCATCTCACAAGCTCTTCCAGAACCTTTCTCATTATGACGTGCAGTCCAGGTCCTCTTCCCTTGAACCCGGACAGACCTCGGTGACTGCCTCGACCAACAGCTGGAGTGACTTCCAAGGCTAGGTCATCAAAACGCTGGTGAGCCATGTCTGCCTCATTCTCTTGGGATGCTTGCTGCTGGGACCCAGCGGCCATGCTGGTAGGAAGCCCAAGCCGCACTGGAGAGGTCCACCTGGGGAGGAACCATGACCCCCAGGCCACAGGCCACAGCCCAGTTGAGCTCCCAACCAACAGCCGTGTGGGTCAGCTAACTCACTTATGGGCCTTCCAGGTGTGCAGAGCCACCCTGCAGAGCCAAGCCCACATCACATGCTCAAAGTCCATGTCTGCTGCTATTTGAAGCCACTCTACTTGGGGGTGGTTGTTACCTGGCAGTTGCATACTTGCAAACTCACACAGGACTCAAGATCCTACCTGTCACCTGGGGGGCTCGGGGAGAAAGCTGCCCGGTCAGATCCACTCAGGCTCCTGCGCCCAGCACCCCAGGCTTGGTTGCAGTGGAGGCAGATTGGTGGGGAGCCCTCTGCGCTTCCAGACCCCATCTCAACACCTCAGACTGGCAGTGCAGCTCCAGGCAGGTCCAGGAAGCATCCTCATGTGCCAGCAGGCAGCTCACACAAGCACTAGCAGTTTCCAGGGACAGACAGACATAGATTGAGTCCCTGCTGTGTGCTGGAAATTGTGTGAGGAGCCTTCAAACACGACCATAGACAAACTTCTATTCATCCTTTGAAGCCCAGCTAGGGAGTCACCTCCTCTATGAAGGTTTCCCTGCCTGAGAGCCGTGCTGCTCTGTGCTCTGGTACCTGGTCCCAGGTCTTTCACACACAGTAAGTGCTCAACCAGTGTTTGTGGTGGAATCAATGAATCAATGTTCAGTCCAGTGAAACTGAACTGAGTCTCTCAGTCTGCTCTTTTTTACATTTTTAATTTTGTTAATTTTTACTGTTTTCCTTTAAGCTCTGTTGGACGTAATCTCTGTCTGCTCTTAAGGAGAAAAATAAACCCTCACTTCTCAAATGCAAGGAGAACATGGCCAGTGAGTGTCCTGCCAGAGGCACCTGCTTTCCACCAGGGTCAGACAGGAAATCCAGGAGTTCTTCCTGGAGGAGGGGACATCTGTATACTCCTTTTGAAGCATGGGTAGGTTTACCCCACCCAAGATGAGGAAAGGGAGGCTTTTCTAGAGGGAATGAGGCTGCAGGGACAACACTGGAAGGCAGAGAAGTGGGGGCTGCCCAGGGCCTCCAGGAGACACCACACTGGTATATGCCAAATCCAGAATCTGCTGTAGTAGCCCCTGATCTCCCACTGGCCCCCAGCTTCACTACCCGGAGGGTCGATCCGTCACCACCTTCATGTGCACCTGTCGGGAGCCCCCGGGAGTCAGAAGTGGGTGGTGCCGGCGGTGAGGCTTCCTGGACCCCCAACCCCCACCCCAGCTGCGGCTGCTCCCTGGTGTGCACCTGAGGCTGGGCTGATCTCAGCTGTACATCCGCAAACTTCCCGGTGACCTTGGGCTACCCCAACGTCCACCTCTGGGCCTCAGTTTCCCCATTTGTTCTGGGTGTCAGCCGGGCCACGTCCTCATCGGCCTGAAGGAGGAAGCCACAGGCGGTTGTGGAGGGGGTAAACCTGACACGGGGAGGCTTAAGCTGGAGTTGAGGGGGGTCATAGGTGTGACCCCTCCGGCCCCGCGTCCGTGCTGACGTGGCCCAGCCAATGGCAGAGCAGGGCAGAGCCGGGTGGCGCCTGGCCCGGCATCCACACTCCTGGTGAGCTCTGTTTGTTTTCATAACCAATTCAATATTTAAGACCCGGCCAGCCGCGGCCGCAAGCTCTCCAGCTCCCCCTTCCTTTGTCTCTGCCGCTCCCTGCACCCCGCCTCGCACTTCCTCTGACAAACCGTGCGATTCTGATGGAAAATTCATTAGTCGGCTGGTCTCTTTCCCTCCCCTCTCCGTGTTCCCAGGCAGCTCCGCGCCTGGCGTGTCAGCCTCTCCATCCAGATTATCTGGAGACGCCAATTTCAAAGAGACATCTTAATAGTGATGTCAACGAATTAATTAGATGTGTTAATGAGCTAAAAGCAACCCAAATTAAATTAATGCAGTAATAAGCGCAGACAGCAAAATTAGCTCCAATTTCTCTAAATGATTCTGAACTGTACACAACACCTCATCTCGCTAGAACATCACCATCCCCCAAAGCTAATCAAGAACCCGGCGCAATTAACTGCTTAATTACAAACAGGAGCGTGCGCGCGCGGGCACACACACACACACACACACACACACATGCACACACAGGGCAAGAAAGTCAGCAGGCGGAAGGACAGGGCCTGGGTGGGCTTTGGGGGAGTGGGAGCTATGGACCCTCTGAAGACAGTGGTGGTCACCATCACCCCCACCTGTCCTAAACCCCGCAGATGAGAGCAAGGGCAAGAAACCCGGCTTGCTGGGAGCTCAGGTGGTCCAAGTGCAGGATGGAGCTGGACCGAGTCAGGCAGAAATGAGGGACCCTGGGGTCCCCCAGCCCCCTGGGTGTGGTGAGGAGGGGGAGTGGAAGAGGAGTGGGAGGAAAAAGGAAAAAGGAAGGAAGGAAGGGAGGAAGGGAGAAGGAAGACTGGGAGGAGTGGGAGGAGGGGAGGGAGGAGGGGGAAGGAGGAGTGGGAGGAGGGGAGGGAGGAGGGGGAAGGAGGAGTGGGAGGAGGGGAGGGAGGAGGGGGAAGGAGGAGTGGGAGGAGGGGAGGGAGGAGGGGGAAGGAGGAGTGGGAGGAGGAGAGGGAGGAGAGGGAAGAGGGAGGGGGAGGAGGGAGGGAGCAGTGCGAGTTGTTTATTACTTGCATCAGAATCTGAGTTGCAACTAAAAAGCTAATTGTCCAGCCCGCTGATTTCCCACCGGGCAGGGAGAGCTGCTAATAGCTTCGCAAGCGGCTCAGGTATCTGATTAGCTGTAATTGCAGCTACAGACAGAAGAAGGGTGAGGACAGAAGGGGGACTTAGAGGGGAGGAGGGGGCCGAGGGAGACTGGGAACAGAGGCCTGGGTGCCAAGTCAAAGGGAGGCCAGGTGGGTGGCGGGCCGGGGGCAGGGACTAGAGAAGATGAGGGTCAAAGCCGAGGTGGCCAGGCCGGCCGAGGATCCACAGCCGCTCTGAGGACCACCCACCCAGGGCCCCGGGTGACCGCCACCGCCACCATCTAGGCCTCGCTGTCTCTGGGAGTCATCCCGTCTCTGCACATCTGTGGAATGGGGGCGTAGTCTACCTCGCTGGGCCGGCCCTCAAAGGCCAGGAGCCAGGGTGTGAAGAGCTGGACCAGTGCAATACACAGTCAGTGCCAAAGTACAGGGGCTCAAGCACCTGCCCCCCGTGGCCCAGGGTGACCCCTGGACGGGACACCCACCCAGACCCCTGGGATGAGCTGAGTCTCATAAGCGGAGGACACTTTTTGTGAATTTCAGATCGGGGTTATTGATTCCAGAGAAAAGGAAGCCGCTGATCGACTTTGCTATCGAGGGCACCCCAGCCCCAGTGGAGAACTCGTGTCCCCAGAGCGGGGCAGGGGATGCAGGCCCGCCCTCCCTCTGCCACAAGCCCACCCTCTCACCTGCCTTTCTCATTTCTCTGCAGCTTTCTTCCCTCACCGACACATTTATTCTTCCATTGGTTTGTTTTCTAATTTGCGGTTCATTTAAAATAGATCTGTTCCGGCCGGGTGCAGTGGCTCATGCCTGTAATCCCAGCACTTTGGGAGGCCGAGGCGGGTGGATCACCTGAGGTCAGGAGTTCGAGACCAGTCTGAGCAGCATAGTGAGAACCCACCCCCACCCCCACCTCTACAAAAGAAAAGAAAAATTAAAATTAAAAAATTAGGTTGGGCTTGGTGGCTCACGCCTGTAATCCCAGCACTTTGGGAGGCCAAGGCGGGTGGATCACCTCAGGTCAGGTGTTCGAGACCAGCCTGGCCAACATGGTGGAAACCCCTTCTCTACTAAAAATATAAAAATTAGCCGGACGTGGTGGCAGGTGCCTGTAATCCCAGCTACTCGGGAGGTTAAGGCAGGAGAATCTCTTGAACCTGGGAGGCAGAGGTTGCAGTGAGCCGAGATCATGCCACTGCACTCCAGCCTGGGCAACAGAAAAATAAAAAATAAAAAGATCTGTTCCCATCCTTGTTCCAAAGAGAAAGCAAAGCACTGTTGCTCACCAACCTGTCAGCTGCAAGCTGCACCCCTCGTGGTGGGCACCTCACCTCAGGGACCCCAAGACCCCTGGCCTCTGTCCCTGGCTTTGCGGAGCCTTCCCGTGTGCTGCAGCAGCCTGGAGATGCATGTACTCTGGTGTAAGCATGGGGACCCTAGTAGGGGGCATGAGCAGGGGACAGGAAACCTTAGCAACCTGGGGGTGTCAGAGGAGCGTCTCAGGAGGTGGCTTGGAAGGTGGCAGAATGACCAGGTGAGTGCACGGTCAGTCATCCAGCAATAGGAAAGCAAGGGGCTGCCTGAGGGGCTGGCGAGAAGGGCTGGTAGGACCCTGCGCCCACCACACCACTGCACCCCTGGTCCAGGCTCTCCATGTCCCTGTGAGCTCACAGGGCCACAGAGCCCTGCAGATGGTGAGCTGAGCACAGAGGCCCATCCCCAACCCCAGCCCCACAAGGCCGTGCCTGTCCTCAATTCCTGTGGGCCTCCTTTTTTTTTTTTTTTCTTTTTGAGACGGAGTCTCACTCTTGTCCTCCAGGCTGGAGTGCAGTGGCGCGATCTCAGTTCACTGCAACCTCCACCTCCCAGGTTCAGGAGATTTTCCTGCCTCAGCCTCCCGAGTAGCTGGGATTACAGATATGCACCACCACGCCCAGCTAATTTTTGTATTTTTAGTAGAGATGGGGTTTCACCATGCTGGCCAGGCTGGTCTCGAAGTCCTTGACCTCAAATAATCCGCCCACCTCGGCCTTCCAAAGTGCTGGGATTACAGGCGTGAGCCACCGCGCCCGGCCTGGATCTCCATTTTTAAACCTGCACAGTGCGGAGATCGCAAGCTGTGCTTTCATTCTATTTATTTATTTATATTTATGTTTTATTCACAGGGTCTTGCTCTGTCTCCCAGGCTGGAGTGCAGTGGTGCAATCACAGGTCACTGCAGCCTCCGTGCTCCCGGGTTCAAGAGATTCTCCCACCTCAGACTCCGGAGTGGCTGGGACTGCAGGCATGAGCTACCACACCCAGCTAATTTTTTCTAAAGACAGGGTCTTGCTATGTTGCCCAGGCTGGTCTCAAACTCCTGGTCACAATCGATCCTCCCACCTCGGCCTCCTAAAGCCCTGGGATCCAGGTGTGAGCCTCTGCGCCTGGCTAAATCTGTGTATTTAAGGAAAGAAATCCTCAGGGTTTCCGGGCCAGGGGAGACCTGCTGCCACCCAGGCCACCCAAGCCACAGGCCACGCAGATGGAGCCTCACACGGCGCTCACGGCAAGGGGGTGGGGCGTGCCCACCTCTGGGTCACAGCGTGTGACCCCTGCAGGTCCAAGCTCTCAGTCTCAGACCTTGCTTTGTTTTACAGATGGGAGAGTGAGGCGCGGCCAGGGGCCGGTGACCGTCCGGGACAACTCAGGTCCGCGCTGGCCTGCCTGTGGGCTTCTCTCCAATGCCAGGGCCGTCACCTTCAGATGTTGCTATAGGATTTCATCTCCCAGCAGGAGAAAAGGGATTGTTTTGCTTCAGCAAGAGCTCCTAGGAGCTTTTCACTCCCTGAGCGGGGTGAGCCCCAGGGGGCAGCAGGGGCGGGGACAGCAGGGGTGGCAGGCACTGGGGCCGAGGCGGCGTGTGGAGCTAGCCGTCCCCGGGGCCTCCAGACACATCCTCCACCCCGGCCACCCGCAGCCTGCAGCTCCCGACACCGGGCTTCTGTGGACAGGGAGAGCCCTAAGGCATCACACGTGGCCTGCAGCGCAGGTGCTCACCGAGTGCTCACAGCCGCGTGGCCGGGCCCCGGGCAGGCGGGAGGGGAGGGCAGGCCGGGCCTGGGGGAGCTGGGCCGCCGCGTGTCAGGCACACACCTGGCGCTGCCCAGGCTCCTGGCCCATGCCAATTAGAAACTCACTTTACATTATTTTAATTTATCTCTGGGGCCCTGGAACGAAAGTCATGCAATTATTATTATTATTATTTTTTGGCTGGAAACTCCAGCAGCCGTTATATAAATTACGTATAATTGAATACATCAGAGGCTGTTTCCTTTAAACAATCACGTTTTCCCTTCCCTGAGAACGGGGCTGTCCTTCCCTAAGAACTCGGCTCAGGGTTACAATATGAGGGCATCCCGGTCCGTCGAGGAGGAGAGAGGCCTCTGGATCACCCAGGCCATGTCACCCATAGGCAGTGGCCCAAAGAGGGGACAAGAGGCTTTGAAATCAGACCACCAAGAGCTCCAACGCCGGCTGCACCACGAGCTCGCTGTGTGATCTTGGACAAGTTGCCTAACCTCTCTGAGCCTGTTTCCTCATTAGTAACAGCCTCTGCCTAAAGAGGATGATGTCCTGAGACTATGCCTGGGGATCCCTCAGAGTGGCACCCATGTGGAGTGTCCACTTGGCACACAGTGTTGACACCCAGGCCATGGGTGTTTTAAGGGTACCTGGGACTTGTTTTAGTCTGATGTGGTGAGACATGCAGATGTGGAAATGCTGTCACGAGGAGGAAGTTATGATGCTCACGGTCCCCTGGAAACAGGAGACAGAGTTCTCGGGGCCACCCGGGAAGCACTAGGCTGCGTCAGAAGGCAGCCTCTGTAGATGGGGCGAGGGGGAAGAGCATTTCCTGGGGTTTCCTCGGAAAAAAAGAGGCCAGGCTGGGGAAGCAGGCTTAAGGCTGGGGGGCTGGGATAATGTTGGCAGGTTTTGCCTGTAGAGGCCGCCTCTAGCTGCCTGATGCCTGGCCGTGAGTGATTGGGGCAGCTGGGTGGTGGCCCGAGGGTGAGAGCCCACCGAGGAGGTGGCAGAGGTGGGCTGTGGACCGGGTTCTTGCACATATCAAAGGTAAGCTTTCGGGGAGCTGTTTGCTGTCTCTAGGAACAGGAGGCCCCTGAGTCCCCAATGCCCCAGGTGTCAGAGCATCAGAAACATGGAAAATGGCCAGGCACAGTGACTCGCACCTGTCATCCCAGCACTTTGGGAGGGGGAAGGATTGCTTGAGCCCAGTAGTTTGAGACCAGCCTGGGCAACGTAGCAAGGCACCCAATACAAAATTAGCCAGGCGTGCTGACATGCACCTGTGGTCCCAGCCACTCGGGAGGCCGAGGTGGGAGGATTGCTTTAGACCCATAAGCTGAGGCTGCAGTGAGCCATGATTGTGCCACCGCACACCAACCCGGGCGACAGAGCAAGACCCTGTCTCAACAAACAAACAAAAACACGAACAGAAATTTATAGTTCCACAGTCTGGAGGCCAGAAGTCCAAAATCAAGGTGTTGGCAGGGCCCCGTCCCTCCAAGCCCTCTAGGGGAGCAACTGTCCCAGGCCCCTCCCAGCTTTTGGTGGTGGTGATGATGCTTGGAGTTCCAGGGCTGGCAGCCGTTATCACTCCAGCCTCTGCTTCCGCCCTCACGTGGCCCTCTCCTCCCCAGGTGTCTGCCGACACGTGGTTTTTCCTCTTATAAGGACACCAGTCATGTTGGATTAGGGCCCACCCTAATGAGCTCACATTAACTTGAAGACAGCTACAATTGCTCTGTTTCCAATAAGGCCACATTCACAGGTATCAGGAGTTAGGACTTCAACATATTTTTTGGGGGACAATTCAACACATAACATGTGAATTATAGCGCAAGAAAGCTACTTTTTTTTTTTTTTTTTTTTTGAGACAGAGTCTCGGTCTGTTGCCTAGGATGGAGTGCAGTGGCGTGATCTCGGCTCACTGCAAGCTCCGCCACCTGGGTTCATGCCATTCTCCTGCCTCAGCCTCCCGAGTAGCTGGGACCACAGGCGCCTGCCACCACTCCCGGCTAATTTTTTTATATTTTTAGTAGGTACGGGGTTTCACCATGTTAGCAAGGATGGTCTCGATCTCCTGACCTCGTGATCTGCCAGCCTCGGCCTCCCAAAGTGCTGGAATTACAGGCGTGAGCTACCGCTCCCGGCCAGAAAGCTACTCTTTAAAAAAGAAGTTTTGCTGATGAGATGGCTCACGCTTATCCCAGCACTTTGGGAGGCTGGGGCAGGAGGATTGCTTGAGCCCAGGAATTCAAGACCAGCCTGGGCAACATAGTGAGACCCCATCTCTACAAAAATTTTAAAATTAGCCAGGTGTAATGGTGCACACCTGTGGTCCCAGCTATTTGGGAGGCTGAGGTGAGAAGGTCCCTTGAGCCTGGCAGGTTGAGGCTGCAGTAAGCCGAGATTGCACCACCGCACCCCAGCCTGGGTTAACAGCAAGGTCCAGTCTCTAAATAAATATAAATAAAAAATAGGCTGGGTGCAGTGGCCCATGCCTGTAATCCCAGCACTTTGGGAGGCCAAGGCGGGCAGATCACCTGAGATCAGGAGTTTGAGACCAGCCTGGCCAACATGGCGCAACCCTGTCTCTACTAAAAATAGAAAAATTAGCCAGGTGTGGTGGTCTGTGCCTGTAATCCCAGCTACTCGGGAGACTGAGGCAGGAGAATCACTTGAACCTGGGAGGCGGAGGTTGCAGTGAGCCAACATCGCACCACTACATTCCAGCCTGGGCGACAGAGCGAGACTCTGTCTCAAAAAATAATAATACTAAAAATAAAAATAAATAAAAATGAAAAGTTTTAACTAATAAACTATTAAAAGAGAGAGAGAGAGAGAAAAAAAAAAACAAAACAGACCCCATTGTGGGGAGCACAGAGCGTCCCAGTCCACCCTGAGTGACCTCCTAGAGCAGATGGAGCTCGGCTCAGGGAAGGCTTTGTGGCCGTGGCTCCTGGGCTGATCTCTGGACTAATGTTCCGGGGAACAACAGTGATAATAATATCCTGGCCCTGTCTATGTCCCCTCCCTCCCTGAATCACCCAGGCCTTCCTCTAAGCCAGCCCTGGCCTGGCCCTCAGCTCTAACCCCCAGCGCCCCTCCCCACAGCCCCCTGGGGGGCTCAGATTCCGCTCAGAGCCGCGGCAGTCAGGCCTGTCACGTGCCCACATCCCCAACTTGTAAAGTAACAACCCGTCGCACGCACAACCTCTTTGCACCCAAATTGTTCTCTGATCTGTGTAAACTGCAATTGATGCTGTGCCGCTTGATATTAATATCTTTTGTTTGTGTGTCAGGGTTCTGCAGAATCTAATTAAGAAGTGTTCTCTGCGTATCCGGGGTGTTCGAACAATTGTGCGGCGCCGACGATGCAAGCTGTTGACCTGCACAGATAAACCGTGCGTGCGGAGGAATCGGGGGCGGCGGACGGGGTGGGGGGAGTGTACATGGCTGTTCTTTTCTGCTGGGGCGCCCGGCGGGCCCTGCCTGTGGTTCGCCCTGTGTGCGGGCGGTGTGGGCGTCTTTGCCGCAGGGTGCTTGTCGTGGCAAGGGTTCTTTGTGTGTACTTCTGCGTTGACATGCATCACACCCACGAGCACATGTACATGCGCGAGGCCTCCCTGGGCAAGTGACTCCTGTCTCAACAGCCCTTTCCCAGCGTATGTGTTCACCTCCCTCACAACAGCCCTGTGAGGCAGCATCACTGGCCCATTGCACAGATGGGAGGTTGAGGCTGCTGGTGCTGGGGAAGTCACGTGTGGAAAGGCAGACGCTCCAAAGGGTACCAGATAAACCCACCTATTGGGCTCACCCCGGACAGATTATGACACGGGAACAGAGCATGCAGTCCGTCCTCAGGGGTAGGCTAAGCACTGCAATCCCACCGGACAGACAGAAAAACTGAGGCCCAGAGAGGGCAGGAGATTGCCCACCATACGCTGTGGACTGGAGGCAGAGCTGGGCCCTTCCTGACCCTCCAAGCCACACCCTGGGGTCCCTTTGGAGGGAATCACTTAAGCCCAGGTGGGACCCAGAGGCCAAGGCCGACTGTCCCTCCATCTAAGGTAACCTGGCTGTCCAGGGTGGCTTCGGAAGCCCCTGGACCTGGGGTCTTAGCCCCACCCATGGGTAACCCTGGCCCATGCCCACCCCTCTCCAACCTCAGTGGCAACCCCTGGGAAGTAGCGAACACCACGCAGGCACTCGGTAGGTGCAGGTGCTGAGGTCGATGTCACAGCTCTGGGGTCAGGGCCGCTGCCCTGGGATGGGTCTGAGCTGTGCACGGCATTGCCTGGTGCCCTCCCAGCTCAAGGCCTTGCCTGACTACAGATGCTGTCCCTGCCTCGGGCCTGCCTGGCTGACAGCGGGCATCTGGGCCAGCGCTGCAATGCTGCCAGGTAGAAGTGCTCCCTCCAGGCTGGGGGGACCTGCAACTCCCGCCCGGGAGTCCCTCAGACTTGGAGTGCTCTGAAGAAAGCAAGCCAGCGGCCAAGTGGGCTATGGGCCAGGTGCGGGAAGGCTCCAGACCCGGGGCTGCAGGGTTGGAGAAGGGCGCAGCAAAGGCCTGGAGACAGCCTGAACCAGGGATTCAGGATGGAATGGGTCTGGGTCAGGGAGCCAGGGTGACCGTGGGCCGCACAGGCCTGCGCGCGCGGGTGCACGTGCGTAATGGATGCACACGCATGCAGCTGGTGTGCGTGCAGTCGGGCGCACCTGTAACCGGTGCGCACCCCGCGTCTGGCGTGCAAGTGGGAGCACCTGGCCCAGCGCCCAGCGGGGCCTCGCCCGCCGCTTTCTTAGGAAACGCCGCAGCGCCACCTGCCGGCTACGCGGTCTCAGCTGGACGCGGGCGGGGAGGGCGCCGGGCCACGAGGCCCCGCCCACAGCCGGAGGCCCCGCCCCTAAAGACTATCTTGGTGCCCCGCCTCTTCAGACTCCGCCCGATTCCAGGCCACGCCCCTTGTAGGCGTGACCGAGGACGCTGGTACCCGGACCTGGACTTCGCAGGGTCTTGGAGGGGCGGGCAGTGGGGGATCTCCGCTTTGGGTCTCCTGGCTGCAAAGCGAGGACAACTATGAGCCTTAAACGCACACCAGGAGTGTAATAAGAGCATCTGCTGCGTCACTAACTCTTCCCATTTACCGATGAGGAAACCAAGACAGAGAAGTCAAGTCACCTGCCCAGAGTCACGCAGGAGAAAGTCGTAGGCCGGCTTTGAGCCCAGCATCCTAGTTGCTGAGTCTCTGCAATCAACGACTGCCCCCAACTCCTAGTAAATTCATCTTTATTTGTTAATTAATAGTTATTTACGAGAATAAACCCATCCAACCTCCCACCCCTTGCAATAGGTATCTGGGAAGTGATGGAGACAGGCATTCTGAGCTGTCACCAGTATCTTACATGGCCAGAAAGGTGGAGTTCAGGGAGAGGATTCTCAGGATTTGGGGGCAAAATGAGTTAGGAGACCGGACTGGAGTGGGCAGCCACCTCCAGGGCAGGCTGGGAGGCCGGGGCCCTGGGCTGCAGTGAAAACTCACTGAGCAGCCTTCAGCAGGTGCTTGACTCCCCGTGGGCCTCAGTTTCCCCATCTGTACAATGGGTTGGGGCGGGGTGGGAGATAAAACATCACTTTTCTCAGTTCTTCCCCAAACCCCAGACAGTGCAGGATTCCAGGAATCCCTGAAGGTCTGAGCCAGTGCAGGGACTGGGGGCTCAGGGTGGTCCAGCCCCGCGTGGGGTCCTTCCTGGTGCCTGTGGCTGTCTTTGGTGGGAATCCAGTGCCTCTGTCTACGGCAGCCGCATCTCCAGCCACGCCCCACGCCCCCCCCCCCCCCCGCCACCTCCCCCAGCATCTCACTCTAAAGGGGAGGCATCTTGGGTGGAGAGTACCGGGCTGCCAGGGACAGATGGCGTTGGCCCGGGTGTCAACACAGCAGGAGCCCCCGGACCAGCCGGGCAGAATCCACTGCTGTCCAGAGCCTCTGCCAAGCACAGTGGCAGGCCCTGAACTCAGGCTGCACCTGCTGGGTGGGGAGGCCTTGCCGGGGGCCCTGGGGCGGGGTGGAGAAAAGCAGCCTGGCTTGGCCACGTCCCTAACAAGCATGACCTTGGGCAAGTGCGTCCCTACCTCTGCCCAGCCTCCTCCCCGCCTGCCCCCCAACCAGGCCTGCTGTCCTGAGTCTCCTGTCCCTCCCCCAGGACACAGTCACACACAGCTCTACGCACACCTGGCTGTGCCCCCAGCTGGCTGTGTGGCCTTGGGAAAGTCGCTTCCCCTCTCTGAGCCTTGTTAGCCTCATCTGGAAAATGGGCCCAGGTGTGGAGCATAGGAAGGCAGATCTGCAGCCCGGCCTGCACACAGCAGAGTCTCAGGGGCCCTCATGTGCTGGTGATACGGGGGATGCCACGTTACTACTTCATTCCATCCCCACAACCAGCCTGAGGCCCAGGTCAGGTTGCCTTCCATGGTCCCGTTGCAAAGCTGGGGAAACTGAGGCTCTGAGAGGGGAGCCTGAAGTGGGCCTGTCCCTGAAGACCACAGCAGGCTGGACATGCCGTGGGCAGGAGCGGCCACCCTCACTCACTACCACAGGGCACAAAGCACAAACAGTCACACCCCCACACTGACGCATGCACACGCCCCTCGGGGCCACAGATAACAACAGAAGCAGAGTTAGAAACTTCTGTTCTCCATCCTTGGGTGTGGGTGCTGGGGGTGTCAGACCCTTACCACAGCTCAATCCTCAACTCTCCCCAGGGTGAGAAGGCCTGAGACCACAAGGCTCAGCACTGACCATGATGTCCCTTTGGGCTATCACCATATGCCTGACCCCGCCCCTCACACACACACCAAACACACACAGGGGTATCCAGGCTGACATCTGTCCACCCACTTGGTCTTGGTCAGGTGTGCTGCTAGGCTGAGCTAAGTCAGGTACCTGCTTGTGTGTGTTCAAATGCTGGGCAGCCAGGATAACCCTGTGAACATCCACTGCAATTGCTGGATGGGGATGGATGGATGAATGGATGGATGAGTGGGTGGGTGAATGGAGGGAGGGAGGGAGGGAGTGAGGGAGGGAGGGATGGATGGATGGATGGATGGATGGTTAGGAGGATAGGTGGATGGATGAGTGGGTGGGTGAATGGAGGGAGGGAGGGATGGATGGAGGGATGGATGGATGGATGGATGGTTAGGTGGATAGGTGGATGGATGAATGGATGGAGATGGATGGATGAGTGGATGGATGAATGGATGGATGGATGGGTGGGTGGGTAGGTGGGTGGGTGGATAGGTGGGCGGGTGGATGGATGGATGAGTGGGTGGATGGGTGGGTGGATGGATAGATGGATGGATGAGTGGGTGGATGGGTGGGTGGACAGATGGATGGATGGATGAGTGGGTGGATGGGTGGGTGAATAGATGGATGGATGGATGGATGGATGACTGGGTGGATGGATGGATGGATGGGTGGATGGATGGATGGGTGGATGGATGGATGTATGGATGTATGGATGGGGATGGATGAGTGGGTGGATGAGTGGATGGATGAATGGATGCATGGATAAATGGGTGGGTTGATGGGTGGGTGGATAGGTGGGTGGGTGGATGAATGGATGGATGGATAGATGGATGGGGATGGATGGATGGGTGGGTGGATGAGTGGATGAGTGGATGGTTGGATGGATGGATAGGGAGGAATAGATGGGTGAGTGGGTGGGTGGATGGGTGGATGGACGAGTGGGTGGATGGATGGATGAGTGGATGAATGGGGATAGATGGGTGGGTGGAGGGGTGGATGAGTGGGTGGATGGATGGATGGGTGGGGTAGATGGGTAGGTGGGTGGGTGGCTGGATGAATAGATGGGAATGGATGGATGGGTGGATGGGTGGGTGGATGGATGAATAGATGGGAATGGATGGATGGGTGGATGGATGGGTAGGTGGGTGGGTGGCTGGATGAATAGATGGGAATGGATGGATGGGTGGATGGATAGGTGGATGGGTGGGTGGATGGATGGGTGGGTGGATGGATGGGTGGGTGAGTGGATGGATGGGTGGGTGGATGGGTGAATGGGTGGGTGGGTGGATGGATGGATGGATGGATGGGTGGATGGGTAGGTGAGCGAGTGGCTGGATGAATAGATAGGGATAGGTGGATGGATGGATAGATGGTTACATGGATGGATGGGTGGGTGGATAAATGTGCGGGAGAAGGCATGGATGGATGGATGGAGGATGGATGGATGGGTGAGTAATGGATTGATGGATGAGTAGAAAACAGAAACCAAGAGAGGCTGAGGGCACTATGAGTAACCCCCCATTGTTTAGTAGTGGAGAGGGGTTGCTTGCCGGCTGCAATGAGCCCCATTCATCGATGAGGAAACTGTGCAGGAGGCAGGAGGTAACTGGTGCAGGGCCACACAGTGAGCTCTCGGTGGAGCCCAGGACCCTGTCCTCATGGAGGTCCCTGCCTGACCCTAGGTGGCACAAGGCACACCAGTGCCACACAGACCCTCAGAGACCCCAGCTGAGACCCTGGCCTCAGACAGCCCAGGCTTAAGTGCCATACACAGAAGGGGTGTCAGGGGCACCCTCACCTGCACTTCTTGCAGTCCCATCCAGGGCTCCCACCTCCGGATCTGTCCCTCCTCCCCAGCCCTCATTTCCAGCCTCAGTGGCCTTGGGGAACCAGCTGCCCCACCTGGCTCTCCAGACCCCTCTGACAACTGGAGCTGGACACGAGGTGGGAGGGTTCCCCAGCCCCAGGTAATTAAAGCGCATGGTTATGTAGAAGTTTGTAATTAAACACTCGCACATCTTCAGACATCCCAGCATGGCGCCTGATGAATTAATTACGAGGATGCCAGACCCTCAGGTTTTCCTCCTCACTGAGTATGGAGGGGTGGCCCTGAGCCTTCATGTCGGACAAACGAGTGGGGGGCAGGATGTCAGGGGAGCAGAGCCAGCTTCCACCACAGGCCCTTCTCCTGGCCCCTGGCTCTGCCAGCAGCCCACCCCCACCCAAGTACCTAGACCAGAAACAAGACATCCTCCCCAACCGCTCCAGTCTCAAAGCCGTAAGTTCCAGACCCGACGTCCTTGACCAGCACCCACCTGGCCACCACCCCAACTCCTCCCTCAAGCCTCTCCCACACCCAAGTCTTGTCCACCCCACCACCCTAAGGCGCCCACTCTCCCATCCCCTTTCTGCCCCTTCCTGTTGCCCCTTCTCCCGCCTCCCCAGAACCCAGATCCGATGATGCACTAGGAAGGGCACGTCACTTCTGTGGTCTCCCTCCCCAAGCCCAGAACCTCAATCAGACCACGAGAAAAGCCTCAACAAATCCAAGTCCAGGGACATTCTGCAAAATACCTGAGCAACACTCCTCAAAACTGTCAAAGTCACAGAACAGAGGAGCCCCAGGAGATTTGAGCATGCTGTGTCGCGTGGGCTCCTGGAGGTGGAGCTGGAGCAGAAAACGGGTAATAGGAGGCACAGGAAATCGGGGGAGAGTGTGGGGTTTCACGATGAGTCATGTGCTGATGTGGGTTTCTTAGCTGTGACAAACGCACCAAAGTAATGTAAGATGTTAGCATTAGGGGAGACCGTACTGGTGTACAGGAATTCTCTGCGCTGTCTTTGCAACTTTTCTGTACATCTAAATATTTTAAAATAAAAAGGTTCTTTTAAAAAGGGAGTTTGGACCAGGCACGGTGGCTCACGCCTGTAATCCCAGCACTTTGGGAGGCCGAGACAGATCATCTGAGGTCAGGAGTTCGAGACCAGCCTGGTCAACGCGGCGAAACCTCGTCTCTACTAAAAATACAAAAATTAGCCAGCCGTGGTGGTGGGCACCTGTAGTGCCAGCTACTTGGGAGGCTGAGGCAGGAGAATTGGTTGAACCCAGTAGGCGGAGGTTGCAGTGAGCTGAGATCGCGCCACTGCACTCCAGCCTGGGTGACAGAGCAAGACTCCGTCTCAACAAAAAGAAAAAAGAAAAAAGGGAGCTCGGGTAAGAGATCTGGTCCAAACAGGGCACAGTGTTCGCATCTGCTTAGTCCTGGTGATGGGTAAATGGCTGTTTACCCAACAGAATAACTGTTTCCTGTGCTTTTCTGCATTTGAAATGCTACCTAATTAAACATGTAAGAAAGAACAAACCCAGATGGAACGTCACCCCTGCCTGATACTCTCCAAAGGCTTAGTCTTTAGAATCACGTCCAATATTCTCACCCTGCAGACAGAACAAGAACCACCTGGCCCTCCATTCCCGCTCTGATGTCACACAGAGCCTGGCCTATCCCTAGGGCTCCCACAGTCTGCCCTCCACCACCATCTGACGTCACACAAAAACCTGGCCAATCCCTAGGGCCCCCACACTGCGCTCCACCCTCATCTGACTTCACTATAAAACCTGATCGACCCCTAGGGCCCCGCATTCTACGCTCCACCCACAACTGACGTCACACAAAAACCTGGCCAATCCCTAGGGCCTGGCACCCTGTGCTCCACCCCGATCTGACGTCACACAAAAATCTGGCCAATCCCTAAGGACTGGCACCCTGTGCTCCACCCCCCCCCCCCACCCCCCAGTGACGGCACACAAAACCTGGCTAATTCCTAGGGCCCCTGCACTCTGCTCCACCCCCATCTGATGTCACACAAAAACCTGCCAATGCCTAAGCCCCAGCACTCTGTGCTCCACCCTACTGACGTCACACACAGCCTGGCCAATTCCTAAGTTCTGGCACCCTGCGTTCCACCTGCCTCTGATGTCATCCAGAGCCCGGGGCCTTCCCCTTTTGCAGCTTCTGTGAGTCTAGTGCTGGGAGCCCTGTGGGTCGCAGCCAGCACCCCCAGAGGGGTCACCACTGTGTGCCTCACTGAACGTGAGCCTAGTGGTTCACAAAGCCCGCCCCACCCACCCAGGTCAGGGCTCAGGGCTGCCTGTGAGGTGAGCTTCGTTCTCCCATTTCACAGATGGGGAAACTGAGGCAGAGGGCAAACGCATCTGCCCAGTCCATTGAAGTGCTAGCGTTCTTCCACACTGCTCCCAGCCCTGGCTTCTCGCCTGTAAACTGTCTCGGACCAAGAATCCTGCCTGTACGCCCAGCCTGGCTGAAACACAGTCTCAAGGCACTCAGTGTTCCGGGCCCTGTTACCCCTCCAGCTCCCATAACCCCGTCTCCTCCTCCTCCTCGCCCTCCTCCTCCTCGCTGTCTCTGCACCACTTCCACCTGCCCGGGCCTTTGCACCTGCAGGTTCGTACCCTACGGGGTGTGCCCTGCCTTGCCCTGACAGCACAGCACTGCCCGGCCTCTGCTCTTCTCCACCTGCCATGGGCCTTTCACGGGACCTGAGGCCACACGCTCTGTACATGTGTGCGTCTGTGCATTGCCTGTTCCCCTCTGCTGGGAGGTAAGCAGGCCATGGTCTCCATTGCTATACCTGCTCGGAGCAGCCCTGGCAGGTAGTAAGCACCCTGTTCTTGGAAGAAGCCATGTCCAGGTGGGGGGGGCAGGTGTTGGGGGAGGCCTCTGATTCCGGCTAGGGCAGGGGTAAGGGTCTGGCAAGGCTGACCAGCATGCCCACCATGTGCCCCTCATCCCTGAATGCACCCACCTCCTCTGCTGGCAGGGCCAGGTCGCCGCCTCAGCTCCTCCAGGCCTGTTGGAGCGGCAGAGTCCAGAGCTGGCCAGGCTGCAGGAAACCCACCAGTATGGCCAGGTGGCTCCCCTGGTGGCTGCTTCCTGCCCAGCCCAACCTGGCTGCCACCAGCTCCCTCCACCTGCCTGCTCCGTGCAACCCTGGAGGGTCCCTGAACTCCTCGGAGCCCCGGTTTCCTCCTCCAAACAGTGGAGGCTCCTGTGTCCCAGTCCTGGTCTGGAGGAAGTTCCCTTAGCTGGGCCTGGCTGCTGTTCTGGGAGTTCATGGTCTGGGGACATTGCTACCACCTTGCTTTACAGAGCATGATCCAGGCTCCTCCCGGCGGCACCTGTAGTCAGAACTCGCTCCAACACAGGCGAGGAAACAGAGGGCCAGGGGGCAGAAAGGATGACTCGGTGACTCAGTGCCTCTCCCCATCTATTTCTCTCTCTCTTTTTTTTTTGGAGACAGAGTCTCGCTCTGTCGCCCAGGCTGGAGTGCAGTGGTGCGATCTCGGCTCACTGCAAGCTCTGCCTCCCGGGTTCACGCCATTCTGCCTCAGCCTCCCGAGTAGCTGGGACTACAGGCGCCCGCCACCACGCCTAGCTAATTTTTTGTATTTTTAGTAGATGTGAGGTTTCACCGTGTTAGCCAGGATGGTCTTGATCTCCTGACCTCGTGATCTGCCTGCCTTGGCCTCCCAAAGTGCTGGGATTACAGGCCACGCCCGGCCCCATCTATTTCTCTTGTAAGAACAGGCACATACATTTGCACTCAGGAAAAACCTCCATGAGCCGGGTGCGGTGGCTCACGCCTGTAATCCCAGCACTTTGGGAGGCTGAGGTGAGTGGTCACTTGAGGTCAGGAGTTTGAGACCAGCCTGACCAACATGGTGAAACCCCATCTCTACCAAAAATACAAAACTTAGCTGGGCGTGGTGGCGTGTGCCTGTATTCCCAGCTACTCAGGAGGCTGAGGCAGGAGAATTGGTTGAACCCAGCGGGTAGAGGTTGCAGTGAGCTGAGATCGCATCACTGCACTCCAGGCCTGGGCGACAGAGCCGGACTCCATAAAAAAAAAAAAAAAAAACCAAAAACCCGTTCATGAACACACGTGCTTGCATGAACACCCACGTATAATCATGAGTGTGCACACACTCCAGGGTTGGGGGTAACCCAGGCCCTGAGCCTAGCCTCCTTGGCTTAGTATGCACATGTGTGTGATGTGACTGATACGTAACACGCATCCCATGGGCGTCCCGTGCCAGGAATTGAGGGGGCCACACCCTACTCAACGCGGGGGACAGTCTCCGGGCTCCGTGGCTCACGGATGGTGGAGCGTGTCATTTCCCGCATGTGACACAGAGTGCGGACTGTGCAGAAGGCGGCTCTGTGCCTCGGAAGGCAGGGTGCAGAGGCGTGCAGCGCTCACCACGGGGATGCGGCCGGCTCCTGGGACGGGACCTGGAACGCGGATGTGGCCGGATGTTTAGTGGGTGCCGTGCACGGTGTCTGACACATCAGATGTGATGTATACCTCGCACGAAAGACGTTGTGTTCATCAACAAATCAATTCAGTGACACTTTGCTGAGCACCTGCTATGTGCCAGGCCCCGGGTATACAGCGGCGAGTGGACAGATCAAGTCCCTGCCCTCGTCGGGGGTGGTCAGGGAGACCCACTGAAGACTTGGGGAGGTCGGGGCGACCACTCCAGGACAGAATGTTGTGGACAGCAGGGCCATCAGGCAGTGTGCCCGGGTTGTCCGAAACCTGCAGAGGCCAGTGCTGCCAGAGTAAGCAAACGGCAGGGTGTCCCGAGGGCCAGGGGGCAGATGGCAGGCCTTAAAGCCACACAGGTGCCCCATGCCCTGACACAGCCCTGGCCTCTGGGTGACAAGCACCTGAGGGGCTGTCTGTGGTCCCAGGACATGGGAGGCCAGGCTGCTAGAGTCTGAGGACCGGCGGGGTCCTGGGTGCCCTGGTGCCCCTGCACAAGGCTGGTTCCCCATCTTTGGAGGTTTGCTAACTGCCCCCCATACCACAAGACTGGCTGGCCCCGCAGAGGGATGGCAGTGGCACGGAGTGAGACCTGAGGGGGTGGCCAACAGTCTTCAGCATCTGTGCAGCCCAACTCCCATTGTACCAAAGGGAGACTGAGGCTTGAAGAGGATGAGGCCTGGCCCAGACCCTTCAGAAATGGGACAAGCTGCTGGGACGAGCTCTTGGGTCCTCAGTCTCCCTGGCCAGGTGTGCACAGGTAAATAGGCAGGTGTGTGGCTCAGTTGGAGGGCAGGTGTCCCCGGGCTCGGCCAGAGCATTTGGGTGGCAAAAGCTTGGCCAAAGCCACAGCTCCCAGCCAGTCCCCGCTGAAGGCCCCGTGAGGCCAGCTGGGCCGGCCACCCAGGCTCCCAGAAAGGGAAACTGAGGCTCAGAGAGGGCCGCCCCTCGCCTAAGGTGCTCCAGTGCAACTGAGTCAGACTGGGTCCTCAATCTTCCCACCCTGTCCCCCCACCCCAGCCTCTGTGACAGAAAGAGACCAGGGCCCTGGCCAGGGGCCGAATCCCACCCCAGCCTCACTCTGCCCCAACCCCCCAAGGAACAATTTACCTTTCGGAGCTGGTCCAAGATATTAATTAAGATAAATCTACCTCAATTTTGAGATTCTCTTATCATGTAATTTATCAAAATTATGTTAATTATTTCTGTAGGGCAGCAAAATTATTACCTCTTTTGTGTCTGATTTGTATTAATATTCATAATTTAATAATTCAGCATCTTGGCCATCTGGTCCGGGAACAGGCTCCCTTCCCTCCCTCAGTCTGAGCCAAAGCTTCCCCATCACCCCCGCCGGTGTCCCCAGGGCCCCACCCGCCCTGTCCCCGGTGTCTTCCCTCCGTCCAGCCCTGCAGACGCTGCCCCCTGCCCCCTGCCCCCTGCCCCAGCCCTGATGGCCCCGCCGGCCCCGAGGCACAAACAGGTACTCGCACAGGTACATGCACGCCCTCGCCACCCCCGCTTGGCAGGTGAGCCAAGCTGAATTGACATTTTCCACACTTTGTGAGTTTTACACTGTAATTTGACATAATTAATGCCTACATTACTGCTGATAATTTAGCTAGTTAATTAAACTCGGAGGAGATAATTAAGGAAAGGCTACTGCTTGGATTGCTAATTGTTTTTGTCATTATTTCAGGGGGCCGACAGCTGCTGGCTGAGTCATCCTGTTTTGTCAGCTGATGGGTCATGTGACACAGGGGTCCCCCAGGGGCCCCCCACTTCCAGGGGAGGGAGGAGCGCAGCTGGCTACCTGGCTGCTGCCTGGAGCCTCGCCAAGCGCTGCTGGCTGCTCTGGTCTGGCCTCACCCGCTCCAAGCAACGACAGCTTCCCACGGTCCCTGGGGCCTTCTGAGCCCGGCTGAGAGCTCTGGCCGGAGGCACACCCAGGTCAGCCTAAGCCAAGGAGAAGGGGGCACCCCCAGCCCCTGCATCCAACCCTAAGACACGAAGTGGCACCTGGCGGCATCTCAGCCTTCTGCAGTGGTCAGATAAGAAGCAGAACTTTCTGAGCCTGCTGGAAGCAGAATGGATGAGCCCACATTGCAGAGAATGACAGGGAAACTGTGGGAGTAACAGAGAGGGAGAGAAAAGGGGGAGTGGGGAGAGGAAGAGAGAGGGGGGAGAGAGAGAAACAGACTGAGAGAGAGGGAGAGAGAGACAGAGAGGGAGAGAGGGAGAGGGAGAGAGAGACAGAGAGAGGGGGAGAGGGAGAGACAGACAGGGAGAGACAGAGACAGAGAGATGGAGGGAGAGACAGGGAGGGAGCGACAGAGGGACGGAGAGATGGAGGGAGAGAGAGACAGAGAGGGAGAGACAGAGACAGAGACACAGAGGGAGAGACAGAGAGAGGGACGGAGAGACAGAGACAGAGTCAGAGACAGAAGGGGAGGGAGAGACAGAGACAGAGAGGGAGGGAGAGACAGAGACAGAGGCAGAGACAGAAAGGGAGGGAAAGACAGAGAGGGAGGGAGAGAGGGAGACAGAGAGAGGGAGGGAGAGAGGGAGACAGATGGAGGGAGAGACAGAGAGGGAGGGAGAGAGGGAGACAGACAGAGGGAGGGAGAGACAGAGACAGAGAGGGAGGGAGAGACAGACTGAGCTGGGAGTGAGGGGGAAGAGGCGGCAGGAGCAGCACGTGGAGAAGCTGTCAAGCTCACCTTCCCCAGCCCCATCCCGCCCACCCTCCTGGGGACTGGTTGACTCAAGGTCAGAAGAAGGGGCTACGCCTGGGGAGGCGTGTCATTGTCACTGTTGTCCTCACTTCCATGGAAAACGGGGTCTTGCAAAGGTCCCACAACAGGGAGGTGGCCCCAGACCCAGTGCAGGCCTGGGGAGGGCCATGGCGCAGGAGGCTGGCCCAGTGGCTCTGCCCTGGTCGGGGATGGGATGGCAACTCTGCTTCCTGGGCCTCAGCATCCCCACTGACTTCAAGAGAGTGGACGGGGCTGGACAACCCCCAGGCCCCAGCGCAGACGGTGTGGGGAATTGAAGGACATCCCGTCGGCGTGACATCAATGGAAACCAATAGGGTGTTGACTTGGCTCTCAGGAAATTCAAGTCAAAGAGGCTTACACGACCCTGGATTCATTATCCTTCCCAACAAGAAATCTACACATAAGAAGGTTCTAGACTGGCTAATTCAGGGCTCAGTGACACCAACAGGAGGTCAGCAAAGACCCAGCAGCCTTCCCTGTTTCTGCCCAGCTCGTCTCTGCTTGGCGGCCTTACCATCCCTCATGGTCCCAAACTGGCTGCTGTGGCACCGTGAGTCCTGTGTACCACCACAGCACCCCAAATACCAGATGGCATCCAGCAAAGTTGGGGGCTGTGTCTGCCACATAATCATACTATGTTCTTAATGGGAGGTTTCCAGCGGACTTAGAATCCCAAGACTTTCTTCTGCTGAACCCTTGATTTTCTTTCCTCTGCTGGTACCAGCTGTAGCTTGGACCACAACAACTGCCTTTCTCACCACAGCAAAGCACTGCCTCATGGAACCCTTAATCAGTAGATTCTGACTTCAGAAAGAAGGGTTCCCTTAGCAAATCCCTAATTCCTGCCTTGAGCTTTCAGATTGGCTACCTTCAACCTAAACTCAACCCTCTCTCTTTTTTTTTGAGATGGAGTCTCACTGTGTCGCCCAGGCTGGAGTGCAGTGGCACGATCGTGACTGACTGCAGCCTCAAACTCCCAGGCTCTAGCAATCCTCCCCCCTCAGCTTCCTGAGTAGCTGAGACTACAAGTGCATGCCACCATGCCTGGCTAATTTTATTTTATTTTATTTATTTTATTTTTTTTTTTTTTTGACACAGAGTCTTGTTCTGTCACCCAGGCTGGAGTGCAGTGGCCTGATCTCGGCTCACTGCCATTTCCGCCTCCCGGGTTCAAGCGATTTTCCCAGCTCGGTCTCCAAATAGCTGGGATTACAGGTGTGTGCCAGCATGCTTCGCTAATTTTTGTATTGGTAGTTGAGACAGGGTTTCTCCATGTTGGTCGCAAACTCTCGACCTCAGGTGATCCACCTGCCTCGGCCTCCCAAAGTGCTGAGATTACAGGCGTGAGCCACCACACTTGGCCTAATTTTTAAAAATTTTTGTAGAAATGGGGTCTCACTATGTTGCCCAGACTCATCTCAAACTCCTGGGCTCAAGCGATCCTCCTACCTTGGCCTCCCAGAGTGCTGGAATGGCAGGCATGAGCTTCCGCACCTGGCCTCCTGCCCACATCTTGATCTCAGACTCTGGCCTCTAGAAGTCTAACTGTTCCTTGAAGCCCCCCATTTTCGGTACTTTGTCACTGCAGCCAGACATCACTCATGCATCCCCAATATCCATTCCCCACCTCCCCTTTTAGCGGCCACAGCAAGCCCCAGAGGGAACTACATTCCCCAGCATCCCTTGCAGCCTGCCCTGGCCATGTGACTATATTCTGGCCAATGAGGATAGAGCAGGCCACACCTGGTGGGCCCTGGATGTCAGCGAGGGGGTTATATGTCCTTGGTTTCTGCCCCCTGGACCTCACACCCACAGCCAGAGCTGGCGTCGAAGACCACCCTGGTCCCATGTCTCTCCACCTAACGCCCTCCGGGCCCCACCCCACCATCCTGCCCCTCTGACCTCTCCCAGCCTTTCCACTCGGACGGAGTCCATGCCTGGCCAGAACTTGCAACTCTCCCTGGCCTCAGGGCCCCTGCCTGGCTCAGCCGCAGCCCTCCCACCAGGCTGCCTCTCCCTCCCCTCAGCACCCTCCCCAGGGCCCCACGTCCCTGCAGAGCCCCGGCCCCCAGGACTGCCATTCTCTTTATGCCTCCACCAGGTCCTCGAGGACAGGAGCTGGTGGGTCTCTTGCTGGTGTGGGGCTGTGGTACCAGCGGGTGGCCTGGCATGGAGGAGATGCTCAATTAAAAGAACGGAACAAAGGGTCCGGATGTGGTGGCTCACACCTGTAATGCCAGCACTTAGGGAAGCTGAGGCCAGTGGATCACCTGAGGTCAGGAGTTCGAGACCAGCCTGACCAACATGGCAAAACCCCATCTCTACTAAAAATACAAAAATTAGTTGGGCATGGTGGTGCACGCCTGTAATCCCAGCTACTCCGGAGGCTGAGGCAGGAGAATCGCTTGAACTCGGGAGGCGAAGGCTGCAGTGAACCAAGATCGTGCCATTGCACTCCAGCCTGGGTGACAGAGCGAGACTCCATCTCAGGAACAAAAAGGATGGAATGAAGGACGAAAGGATGAACAAACATTTCCGGGAGAGCGCTGACAGCGGCCGAGGCTGCCCACCTGGACCTTCAATGATGTGGCCGTGGGCGGCGTCCACGGGACAGAATCTCCCCGTGACTAGCACCCACTAGTTTCATCCCATGGGGGTGTGTGTGGGCCTGGGTTGATGGGGTCCTGGGGGGACAGGGTCCTGCTGTGAAGCTGGACTTAGCCTAGAGTGTAACAGGAAACCCCAGAGGGCTTCTGCAGGGGCCACCAAAACACTGAGCTCACTTGGGGAGGGTGGGGAGACACGGAGAGTCCTGGAGTCAGGGGCTGGTGGAGGGGAACGCTCAGACCCAGGAAATCGTGTGGGAGAAAACGGACAGGATGTGGACGAGGGAGGGGCTACCATGATGGTGGACACCCCAAAAATGGTGAGCAGGATCTCAGGAGACCCTGCAATGTGCCAGAACACCCCCGTCCACAGAAATGGAACCCGAGCCACAATGAATGGGCCACACCTGCCATTTTCAATTTTCTAGTAGCTGCGTTTAAAAAAAGTAAAAAGAACGAAGCGAGAGCCAGGCACGGTGACTCATGCTTGCAGCCTCAGCTACCTGGGAGGCTGAGGCAGGAGGATCACTTGAGCCCAGGAGTTTGAGATCAGCCTGGGCAACATAGCAAGACCCCAGTTCTACAAAAAAATGCCTGTAATCCCAGAATTTGGGAGGCTGAAGCAGGAAGATCGCTTGTGTCCAGCAGGTCAAGACCAGCCCGGGCAACAGAGTGAGACCCCATCTCTACAAGAAGTTAAAAAATTAGCCAGGCGTGGTGATGCACGCCTAGAGTCCCAGCCACTTCGGAGGCTGAGGTGGGAGGATCGCTTGTGTCCAGCAGGTCAAGGCTGCAGTGAGCTATGATCACACCACTGGACTCCAGCCTGGGCAACAGAGCAAGACCCTGTCCCAAAAATAAATAAATAAATACATTTTTATAATTGCTAGCCTGATGGCTTCTTTTCATCTTAGAGACCGCGAAACCCCCAACAGCTGCTCTCGGCTACCAGGGAAAGGGCCTTGTTGAAGTGCAAAACTGAAGCAGAAAGTCTTTGCTTCCACGCCCGCCCCTGCAGGCCGAGTCCCTGTCCTCTGGGCCTCCAGGCCACTTAGTGTTAGACCCAGCCTCCGTCCCGCTGGCCCCAAGGGTGGCTTTCTGGGACTGTGTCCCCGGGCCTGCCTCTTCTGCTCTCCTCGGCTTTCAATTTGCTGTGACTTGTGTGACTGCATCCTTCTCCCTCTTAAATATTTAAGGTGGCCGGGCGCAGTGGCTCACACCTGTCATCCCAACATTTTGGGAGGCCAAGGCGGGCGGATCACCTGAGGTCAGGAGTTCAAGACCAGCCTGGCCAACATGGTGAAAGTCTTGTCTCTACTAAAAATACAAAAATTAGCCAGGTGTGGTGGCGCATACCTCTAATCCCAGCTACTCGGGAGGCTGAGGCAGGAGAATCACTTGAACCTGGGAGGCGGAGGTTGCAGTGAGCCGATTGTGCCACTGTACTCCAGCCTGGGCGACAGAGCGAGACTGTCTCTCTCTCTCTCTCTCTCTATATATATATATATATAATATTTAAGGTGGCAATTCTTAAAATGGGAACATGCATCTGCTGAAATCCCTCCGCCGTCCCTGGTATATCCTCGGACCTTGATCCCAGCCACCGCCTGTGTGCAGATGAGGCCAAGTCCATCTTGCCAGGCACTGACCCCGGGCCTGCTGCTCCTGCTCACAAAACCAATCGCCCCTTTTCTGGAAAGTTCTCCCCCGTAAGTCGAGACTAGAAATGGCCCATATGGAAATATAATGTTGTTAAAACCACTGATTAAGTTTTACACAACTGTGTGAGAGCAAACGAAAAGGTTTTAGCTTTTTAATTTAAGAAAAGAGGAATGTGATATAATTTCAATTTGTGATAAGATGAGATGTTCTCGATATTGCAGTTTCAATTGGATTATATCCTAACGTGCTTTATAAAGTGTCAGGCCGGCTGCCGACGAAGGGGTGTGTGTGATTATCTTTATTAATAATCCGGTGGGCTGGTGTTTTTTCTATCCGTCTTCATCAGTGTTTCCAGCCCACCTGGGAGACCTCGTTAGCGCAGAATCCAAAACCGTGACCTGAGACGGCAGGGCTGTGATCGTCACGGCAGGCCGGCCCGGGGGGAAACACCTAGGTGGACCGACAGACAGACAGATGGGGTGTCAGGACCCATCACAGCCAGCCAGACAAAGGCCTCTGCCGGGAGGGTCCCCGGGGAGCAGGGCCCTGGGAGTCCAAGCTCCAGACCAGTAGGAGCCAGGGCAGCTTCAGGGTGAGGGAGGTTCACCCAGCAGGAGGCCCGCAGACAGGAGCAGGGCCCGGACGTATGATCTGGCTGTGCCCCTCCTGGCGGGGTCTGCAGGGCCGAGGGGGCCACCCAGAGCTCATGTCCACCTCCCACCTGATGCCCCAGCACCCGGGACCCCAGAATTCCCTGAGCGCACACCCTGAAACCCCCTTCGAGTCCTCCTGAGGCCTTCCCAGCCCTGGCGTGGAGGCTCCCAGGCCCGAGGTGGGAGGCTCCTCCCTCCCAAAGCTAAACAGGGCTTCCGGGGAGGAGAAGTGGGGGGAGCTTCGGGCTCAACTCTCTCCCGGGCCCCACAAAGGTGAGGGTGGGCCTGGCAGGGAATGGCCGCTGGGGAGCAAGCCTGCATGGCAGCCGTCAGCCTCCTGCGTCTCAGGCTCCAGAGGAGACCCCTTCAGCCCCCCTGCGTCTTGGGCTCCAGAGGAGGCCCCTTCTCCATGATTCACCCGAGAGAAGCAAGGCATGGCTGTCCCTGGGGTCCCCGTGAGGCCTTGGAAGGACGTGGAGGGGCAGGAAGAAGCCAGAAGACACAGGAAAAGCTCCTCCTTCCCAGACACCCTCACAGCGGCCGCTCGAGGTTGGAAGGAGGCCAGGCTGCAGAGGTGCAGGCCACAGACATTTCTACCTGGGGGTAACTGTGGGCTTCCCAGAGCCCCCCCACCCAGGGAGCCCCCCAACTGGGGCCGTGCAGCAGAGCCACATGGGGGGCCCTCACTGGGAGGAGTCTGAGCTCTGCTCCCTGCCTCCTCCCAGATGGAGGCCAAGGCACAAGAACCAGGCCCTGCCCACTCCTGCCATGGGGCCCTGGGCACTCCGTGACTCAGTTTCCCCTCCTGTCACAGGGACAGGGTGTTGCCCACGACTCCCTAGTTTCTGTGAGGGGCTTCATGGCACAGGGCGTGGCCATGCCCCCATCGGAGACCCCTCCAACTCTTGCCCCAGCCAGGAGCAGCCCCTCTGTCCCCACCCCAAGCTGGGCCCACCTTGGCAGGCTCAGGGACTGGGAAGGTCCCTCCCCTCTCTGGCCTCAACACCCTCCTCTGAAAACGGGTCTGGGGGTAGCTGAGGTGCTGTGGGAAGGGCCAAGCCAGTTCCTGTGCATCGGGGCGGGGCTGGAGCAGGAGGCCTGGGCAGGGCAGATGGGGCGGCAGGGGTGAGGGGGCCCCACCATGGAAGCGGCTGAGGTCTGCTCTGCATGTCAATTCCCCGCTCCCTGCGGGGCAGACCAGCTATGACATTCCCAGGCCCCGGCCGGGACCCGCAGCTTACACAGATCAGGGTGGGGGGCGGTCTTTGGGCCCGGCCGGGCTGTGCTCATCACTCGGGGCCAGGGCCAGGCTCCCTCTCTGGGCCCCAGGGAACAGGGCAGCCCCCCGTTGTGGGATGCCCGGAAAATCCCCCAAGAGACGTTGTGCTCTCTTCCCGAGTCCCTCCCTGTCCCTCCCCTGCTCAGCCCAAGTCTGGGTAGGGCAGGAGGTGCCTGGTGTGTGCCCGCTGGCAGTGGCTCCACTGCCCACCCCACGAGACCTGATTCAATCCTCCCACCCCGGGCAGGGCAGGGGCAGCCCCGGGGGTCCCACAAGTACGAAACCAGTCAGGCTCAAGCAGGTCTGTCTCCCTGGACCAGTGGACCAGGTAGCAACCCTGGGCCAGGTGCTAGCCCCCTTGACAGGTGAGAAGACTGAGTCCTGGAGTGGCGTTGAGCCCTGGTGTCATTCATTCATTCAACAAATCCTCATCAGGCTCCTGCCGTGTGTCAGGCACTGTTCTAGGCGCTGAGGATGGCGTGGCAGAAAGACGGAGGAGCCGGGACCTCCGGAGGATCCGTCACAGAGAGGAAGCCCAAACAAGCATCTAAACATAGGTGCGTTCCGAGTGTTGGCAATAAACCAGGGTGGCCGTGTGCTCACGCCTGTCATCCCAGCAGTTTGGGAGGCCAAGGCAGGAGGATTGCTTGAGGCCAGGAGTTCAACACCAGCCTGGGCAACATGGCAAAACCGTGTCTCCACAAAAAAAAACTTTAAAAATTAGCCGGGCGTGGTGGCGTGCGCCGGGTGTCCCAGCTACTCGGGAGGCTGAAGTGGGAGGATCACTTGAGCCCAGGAGGTCAAGGCTGCAGGGAGCCGTGATCACGCCACTGCACCCCAGTCTGGGCAACAGAGTGAGACCCTGTCTCTAAAAAGAAAGAAAGAAATCAGGGTGAGGGGCAGGAGCTTCTCCGAAAAGGGCAGTTAAGCAGAGATAGCAGGATGCCAGCTATGTGGAGTGCAGGGGCCCCAGGAGCAGGACCAGCAAATGCAAACGCCCGTGGCCAAGGCCCGGCAGCCGGAGCGGAGGGGGCAAGGGTGACAGAGGTGAGGCTGGAAGAACTCCTGGGAATCAGCCCAAGCCTGCCCTGGCTTCGCAAGGGGTGAACACAAGTCCCCACCAGCTGCCCCCACCCTCCCACAGACCAGTGCCCTGTAATGGCTGGGCTGGCCCCCTGTGCCCGGCCTGGAGGGGCCACTCAAGTCCAAGTCCAAATTCCAAGCATCCCAGTGGAGACTCTGCTTGGTCCAGCCTTGCCTCCCTCCTTGTCCCTCCTGACGCAGCCACACGGGGCCAGTGTCAGCTCCCCACCCCAGAGCTCACCAGAAGGACCACACCGGTCCCTGAGCCCAGAACACTCCTCAATCCAGCCCTTGCTCCCCAGACCTGAGGCTGTAGTATTGAGGCCAGTGCAGATACAGGGGCCGACGGGGATGTGGGTCAGGGAACAGCTCTTCCCCTTCTCTGCGGCCCCACCCACCCCCATATCCATTCAGGAAGACTGGCTGTTCCTAGCCATGTCTGTAGAGAGAAAGCCTCTGATGTGCATGGACTGCCTGCCACGTGCACAGGCACGAGACGCTGGCCCGGAGTCTCTGGCAGGTGTGGGTGACGTCCAGCCAGGCCACTGGGGAACTGCGTGCCTCTGCCCTCCCTGAAAGTTGTGAGGGGTCATCTAGGGTGGGTGGGGCCCGGGCTGAAACTCTTCCACATTGGGGTTGGGGCAGCCTCTGCAGGAGCCGGGCGGCGGCGCAGCCAGCCCCACCTGTGCCCGAGTGGCTGCTCAGGGGTTCCCACGCCCATCCTCACAGCCTCCTGCAGCACAGGCAGCACAGGCATCACAGGGCCTGGCCAACGCCCATGGCCCCAGGGCTGCGTTCCTGCCTGTCTCTCCATGATGGTGTCACCGGGGTCTGCAGGTGCTGGGCCCCTGGTGGACAGCAAGGACATCCCGCAGGGCTGGCTTAGTGCCTGGCAGACCTGACCACTTGTTGCAGGGGCTCTGATCACTGAGCACCAACTGTGTGCCCAGCCTGGAGCGCACCTGGCACCCCAGGGCTGCTTCTGAGGTCCCCAGATGCAGGGGGCTGATGGTGGGGGCGGAAGCTTCCTGGCCCTGCGGTGGGACACCCCCAGGTGTGAGTCCACAGCAGGACCGAGCCCCAGGTGCCCACGCCCCTAACTTGCTGGACAACACTCCCTTCCCGTTCTGGTCTCAAAAATGCTACGCAGCCCCCTGCCCTGGCCCCGCCTCGCTTGCTGTGTGACGTGGGAGAGCCGTAGCCCTCTCCCAGCCTCAGTTTCCCTGTCTGAAAAACGGAGCTATTCCAGGCTCCCGGCTGCCCCTCTCCACTAAGTGGCTCTCTGCCTCCCCCTGGTGGTGAAGAGGCCACACTGCCGCGGGTCAGGCCTTACGACGTGAGCACGGGGCTGAGATCCCAGGGGGACCCACGGGGCTGAGATCCCAGGGGGACCCACAGGCTCAGCTCCGGGACCCGGTCCAGACCGCCCTCCACGGCGTCATGCTCCTAACACAGCAGAGGCCCTGGGGCTTCTGCTCAGAACCACCCCAGGCACCCAGTGCCTGAGGAACGAGGCCACCTCGCTGCACCTGGAAGGTCCCTGCCGGCCCAGGTCCTGACAGAGCCCCTCTCTCTCCATCACCCGCTCCGCCTCACCTGACCCTGACCCCGGCCCCGCCCCAACCTGCCCCACCACACATCTTCAAGCTCCCAAGATCACTGCCTATGCTGTTCCTGCAATAGGGCACACCCTGCCCATCCACCGAGAGACCCCTACTCCTCGACACCCAGGTGAGACCCCCCCCTGCAGAAGTCTCCTGGGGGCTCCAGGGTCCCACTGCTGCCAGCCACTGCCTCCCAGTCCTCGGAGGGCACAGGGAGTTTCCACCAACACACTCGGTCCCAGTGGCCTGACTCCAAGAGAGGCCTCAGGGCCAGGCAAAGCACGACCCCGTTCCCCACTCATTGCTGTGTGCAGGTGACCCATGGCCTCATCTGGGGGAGCCCCTTTCCCTCCACGGGGGCCCCGAGTGGCTGGCAGAAGCAGGGGGTACAGAGGGAGGCAGCGGGGGTCTCGCTGTCAGCAGAGGGCAAGAGAGCACCTCCGTGCTCCTCCACCCTCATCACTGCCCGAGGCACACCGGTGGGCCCCTCTCATCCTCACACGGCCCCCAGGCAGCCTATGTCACCAAAGGCTCAGAAAGGGCAGTGCCCTAGCCCGAGGCCAAAGAGCTGCCAGGAGCAGAGCTGTGACTGCAGAGGCTGTGCTCCATCCGTGCACCCCAGCCCACCCTCTCTTCCATGCCCCACACCCAGCTCACGTTCCAGGAGTCTTGAGACCCTCAAAGGCACAGTGAAGGCCATGGAATGCCACAGGCCTGCCCAGCACAAGCTCCCCAGGGCCCACGCGCACACGGCAGGGGCTCCAGGCTCTGAACCTGCTCTGGCCCTGCTGGGACCCGTGGGGTCCCGACCCCCCCAGCCAGCAGGTGGAGAACACTGGTGCTTTGCCATGGCTGAGGGTTCCCCAGGACCGCCGCAGAGGCTCCTACAGCAGCTGAAACAGCGCAGCAACAAGCAGCTGAGGCCCGCCCCTCCCCGCACAGATGGGCAAACTGAGGCTTACAGGGACGCTGCACTCCTGACTCAGCGCTCCTCCCACGACATCCACTCTCAGTGGGGGTCAGAAAGGATGGGGCACCCCACATCCCGCCCTGGCCACCAGGAAGTCTCCCTGACCAGGGGCCACTGCTTACAATCCCCCATCCCAGCCCCAGTCCTGGGAGAACGAGGTCACAGCTCTCAGGCCACGGATACATGGCGACCCAGCACCCAAAGTCTCCAGCCTGTACCGACGTCTCCTCTGAGGCTCCCACCAGCCCATCTGTGCCAGGAAGCTATGAAAGGGCCCACCTTCGAGGGCCAGGCCCTGAGAGGGTCGGCTCCTGCCCGAGGCCACAGAGCACGTCCGTCCTGCAGGCAAGAGCTGGGAGGCAGGCGAGACCCCAGGCAGGTGCGGGGCCGCCCAGGGGCACCGAGGCAAACACGGAGGCACGTAGGAGTCCGGGGCCATGTGGTCGGTTTCTTTATTGAGACCACAGACGGTAGCGCAGGTCCCTGCTGTCCACATGCCCCTTGTAGGGACAGGAGGCCCTTCCCGAGTCCAAGTCCGAATGCCGGGTCCGGGCCGAGCCCACGGCCCCGAGTACAAGTCCGGGTTCCGGGTCCGGGCCAAGCCCATGGCCCCGAGTCCAAGTCCGGATGCCAGGTCCGGGCCGAGCCCACGGCCCTACTGGCTACTACTGGGAGGGGCTGCTTTTGCTTTTTGGTGACCAGATCTTGGACAAGCGGAACTTGGACTTCTTCCTCTGGAGGCCTAGGGGACAGGTGGACAGTGAGGCCGTGCTCAACGCCGCAGCCGCACAGCCGTGGCCCACACAAGTCCCCCTGCCAGAAACATCCTTCCCTTCCACTGGCCACAATCCGCCCTGGGCCTCCGAGCCTGCAGGAAGCCCTGTGCCCTCCCACGTGAGAACCTGCCCCGACTGGGTGCCCCGGAGGGCTGGTCCCCACCATGACCACACGGTCACCAGCTGCCCCTGGCTCTCTTAGGGGCGGGAGGGAGCTCTCACCCTCAGGGTGAACCTGCCTGTCCTGTCACCAAGGCTGAGGGGGGGACCCGATACCCGCCCCCCCCCCACCCCCAGCTGGAGGCCCGGTCCACCCAGCCAGCCAGCCCAGCACTCAGCATCCCCGGCCCACCCAGCCAGCCAGCCCAGCCCTCAGCATCCCCGGCCCAGTCACCCAGCTTCTCAATCATGTCCCGCAGCATCTGATCCTCCTCTTGTTCCCTGAAACGGGACCAGATGGCCATGAGCGACAATGGCAATGGCAAGGTGCCCTGGAGGGGCCTCCGGACAGTCTCCAGCAGTGGCACCCCAGCCCTGAGTCCCGCCTGGACCCATGCCACCTGCCCCTTCCTGCTGACAGGCCACACCTTGGAACCCTGCCCCCACCAATGCCAAGTCCCTGCCCTCTTCCAGAGCCAGCCCCTCAACAGTGACATGGTACAGGAGGGCCCTGGGCCGACCACACAGGTGACCTGGGACAGAAGGGCCTGGGCCGACCACACCAGTGACCTGGACAGGAGGACCTGGACAGGAGGGCCTGGGCCGACCACACCGGTGACCTGGGACAGGAGGGCCTGGGCCGACCACACAGGTGATGTGGGACAGGAGGGCCTGGGCCGACCACACCAGTGACCTGGGACAGAAGGGCCTCGGCCGACCCATGCCAAGGCCCCGTCACGCTCCCAGAGGGTCTCATAGAGGTGGACTTCAGGTGCCGACCCAGAATGCCATGTGCTGGACCCCTCATGAGACGAGACAGGAAAGCTGTCGGGGACAGTCACACAGTCCGTGCAGGAGCCAGGAGACGCACGTGGCCTTGGAAGTTCAAGTTAAAAACTAAGACTTTGGCCGGGCACGGTGGCTCACACCTGTAATCCCAGCACTTTGGGAGGCTGAGGCGGGCGGATCACGAGGTCAGATCGAGACCATCCTGGCTAACATGGGGAAACCCCGTCTCTACTAAAAATCTAAAAAAATTAGCCGGGTGTGGTGGCGGGCGCCTGTAGTCCCAGCTACTTGGGAAGCTGAGGCAGGAGAATGGCATGAACCCTGGAGGCAGAGCTTGCAGTGAGCCGAGATTGCGGCCACTGCACTCCAGCCTGGGCGACAGAGCAAGACTCTGTCTCAAAAAAAAAAATACAAACAACAAAACAAAACAAACAAAAAAAACTAAGACTTTACGGCCAGTTACGGTGGCTCATGCCTGTAATTCCAGCACTTTGGGAGGCCAAGGAGGGCAGATCACCTGAGGTCAGGAGTTCAAGACCAGCCTAGCCAACATGGTGAAACCCCGTCTCTACCAAAAATACAAAAAATTAGCCGGGCATGGTGGTGCGAGCTTGCTACTCAGGAGGCTGAGGCAGGAGAATCGCTTGAACTCGGCAGACGGAGGTTGCAGTGAGCCAAGATCGCACCACTACACTCCAGCCTGGGCAACAGGAGGGAAACTTCGTCTCAAAAAAAACAAAAACAAAAAATTAGCCGGGTGTGGTAGTGTGCGCCTGTAATCCCAGCTACTCGAGAAGCTGAGGCAAGAGAATCATTTGAACCTGGAAGGGACAGGTTGCAGTGAGCCAAGATCGCACCACTGCACTCCAGCCTGGTGACAGAGCAAGACTCTGTCTCAAAAAAAAAAAAAAAAAAGACTTCAAAAAGTCCCCGATGGCCACATGTGGCCCCTGGCTACTGTACCAGTCAGCATAGACAATAACCGCCTGGTCAGAAAGTTCTACGGGGCTGGCTGACCCTGAGGGCCGGGAGCATGGACCAGGCGACCTGGCCTGGCTGGGAGGGGCCCCCGGCACCTGCCCCTCACCGGAGCCGGTCCTCGTCCAGCGAGTCCACGATGTCACTGCGGTCGTTCACGGTGCTCACGTACTGCTCCAGCAGCTCCTGCTCCCGCCGCCGCTCCTGCAGTGACTTCAGAGCCTCTGTGGGGATGGCTCGTCAGCAGGAGCCCCCCCCACCACTGCCATGCCCCTCACAGGACACAATGTCCCCACCACCCAAGCGCCAGGCTCCTCTTTTGGAGGAAGAAGGTGGGGTCTTGGGGGGATCCGGAGCAGAATGAATGAGTGAATAAGTGAATGAAGGAAGGAACGGCCACGTCAGAGCCCGTGTGCTGGGATCCTTCCCCATCATCTCGCAGAAACACCACTCGCTGCAGAGATATGGACACTGAGGCTCAGGGCGTCGCTGTCCCTGCAGCACAGCAAGGAAAGGGCAGAGGCAGACGGCCTGGGCCTGTGCCCTCAGCCAGGGCACCCTGCATCACGAGACAAATGCCTATGGCTCGCCCTGACTGCTGCTACACTAAATGCCTTGTGCGAATTGATTCGTTTAATCCTCACAACAGCTGCGTGAGGTGGGTGCTACAAGCATCCTCACTTTGCAGAGGATGAAACCCAAGCACAGCAAGGTTAAGTACCTTGGCTGAGGACACACAGCCAGGAGGTGGGAGATTTGAAACTCAAACGTGGGCTCGCCTGGCTCCAGGGAAGGTCTCACCACCAGGACAGTCAGGTGGCCTCACAGAGCCGGCCCCCAGACATCCTGGGCTCCGCGGCATCCCTGGCTGGGGCCCCTTGGCTGGCGCGCGGGGGACGCACCGGGCTTGGCCATGAGCCGGCGCAGCTCGCCCTCGATGTCCAGCTGCTGCTCCTCCAGACGCTGGGCCTTGGACCTGCCGCACAGACACGCGTCTGAGGCCTGACTCTGCCGCCCTGTCCCCCGCCTGGCCCGCCCAGCCCGCAACGAGGTCCTGGACCTGCCACACAGACACGAGTCTGAGGCCTGACTCGCCGCCCGTCCCCCGCCTGGCCCACCCAGACCGCAACGAGGTCCTGGACCTGCCGCACAGACATGCATCTGAGGCCTGACTCTGCGCTCCTGTCCCCCGCCTGGCCTGCCCAGCCCGCAACGAGGTCCTGGCCTTCGAGGAGGGGCCCACGGCTGGGCTCTCACTTGTACATCAGCTCTGACTCCTGTCTCAGCAGAAGCTGCTTCTCGTGAATGAGCCAGAACCAGTCCACCATGAGGCTATCCTCAGCGTCATCTGGGGAGAGGAGCCAGCTGGGGCAGGGGGGCCCGCCAGAGTTCATGGCCCCCAGCCCCAGGACTGAGGGTGTCTGTGGGAGTCGGGCTGGCCCAGGGCCAGGCCGAGGCGCTCACCTCCCTCGGCCGCCCGCAGTCGCTTCTCCAGCTCCACGCCGCGGAGCTCCAGGGCGTCCAGCCGCCTCTCGATGTCCTGCAGCTGCCTCTGTATCTCCTCCGGGGAGAGGTAGTCGGGGTGCAGCTGGGAACGGAGGGGCGGTGAGGATGCCGGAGGGCTGGGCCCCTGCCCGGCTCCCCACCACTACTCACCCTGACTGGGGAGGTCACCGTCTCGCCAGGCAGAGCAGGGACATTGGCCGGGGACAAGGGTCTCCCTGGAGAAGGAGCAGGGTGAGCCTCTGGGACCTGGGCCACCAGGCCCAACGTGACCAGGACACAGCTTGGAAGGAGCCTGACCTCAGCACAGCACAGCTGGCCCCAGCCCTGCCTCCCTAATGCCCCACACGCCCACTGGACTGCCCTGACCCAGCCCCACAGACACCTGAGTGGCCTCCAGGCCCAGCCCCACCCTGCACCCTGCCCTCCTCCAGGTCAGCAACACCCCAGCCACCCCAGTCCCTCAAGCTGCCAGAAGCAGACATTCCATCATCACCATGAGTCTGTAACAAGGTACTCTGAAACAGCTAGGGTCTCTATTCATGAGGGCGGGCCTGGGGCACGGGGCTGGGTCCTTCCTCCAGGCTTTCCCTCCATTCTAGGTCCTGTGAATGCATCCTCCAAAGCCCCAGCAGGCATTGCCTCCTCAGAGGAAGGCTCCCTTCACGTACACCCCAAACAGCAGCGGTGTCTCTGGGGCTGACCTGGTTTGCCCTGAAGGTGAGGTTTCTTCTCCTCCTCCTTCCAGCTCTGCACTCGGGCTTCCTGGCCAGGGGGCTCCGGCCGAAGCCAGTTGTCACAAACGTCGAGGCTGGCAGGGACGGCCAGTCTCCTGCGGCGGGGTGGGGAGGGGGACCTGGCTGCCCCCAGGTGGGGAGACAGAGCCACGCTTCAGAGCAGGGCCACTGGGAGCCTGGGGTCTGTCCCAGCACAGCCAACAGCTCGCTGGGTAGCCCGGCCATCCCCATGCCCTGGGCCTCCCGACTGGCACAGGGTTGGCATCACAAGCCCTACACCCACGTCCTGCCCAACCTGGCCATGTCTCCCCAGGGGGCTAACCCACGGGGCTGCTGGCTGCTCAAGGTCACACAGGAAGTGGCACGAGAGCTGGATATGGATCCAGGGCAGCTATGAGTGCTAGGAATACACACAGAGATGTGTGTGCACACACACGCATCACACACGAACACGGGTGCACACGTGGACACACATGCATCACATTCATGAAACAGATCCACACATGGGTACATGCACCACATACATGAACACGGTTGCACACACATGCATCACACAGATGTACACATGGACACACATGCATCGCACATGAACACAGATGTACACATGGACACATGCATCACGTGTGGGCACACATGCATCACATACACGAACACAGACACATGGACACGCATCACACATGTACACATGCATCACACGCATGAACACTGATGTACACATGAATACACATGCATCACACATCACATACATGAACAGACACATGGACATGCATCACGTGCACATGCATCACACACATGAACACAGATGTACACATGCGCACACATGCATCACGCATGGATACAGGCATCACATACATGAACACATGCACACATGCATCACACACATGCACACATGTACACACAAGCCTGCCCAGGACTACCAGCTTCTCTGGCTGACCGGAGCGCCTCTCCGCACACCCCAGGAGGTGGCACTACAGGTCCAGTCCCGGGGCCCCCACCCAAGGGGGAGGGCCAGCTAGGCAACCCGGGGGCCCCTGGGTCCCGTCCAGGAGTACCTGGGAGGCTGGGTCCTGGGCTGGCTGGGCGTGGGGTCCTGTCAGGCCTCACGGGGGTCAGGGTGATGTGGACACTCCCAGCAAAGCTGCCTGAGACCTTCCTGGGGGCCTCCCCCGCCCTCGGCTCTGCCAGGGCCCGTGGTTCCTTGGGCTTCAGAGTCCTGGGCAGAAGGCATGAGGTCGGAACCCGAACCACCAGCCCCAGGGCCTGGCCCACCTGGAGGGGCTCCCAGGCCATATGCAGACCAGCCGGAGGGAGCAGGTGGCCTTCTGAGCAAATGCCACCTCCCAGCCCACTGACTACACCTGCTGGGACCCTCCTGCAAACACACGTGTCCATCGCTACCTGCCGTGGTGCGAAGCAGATTCCAGGCGTGAGCTCCGGGCCCCACGGGACCCACACATGGGGAGACTCCACCCCAGCTGCAGGCATGGTGCGTGAACCCACACGGGTGCTGCCATGCCCAGGTGAGACACGCAACGCTGCCCCCAAACCAGGGACAGCGGCCCCCATGTCCCTCAGGCAGGGGTGACCTGGCCTCTGCTACTCACAGGGAGGTGCGTCTATCCCTGGATAGGCGTGTCAATCGGTCGATTACATACTCACTGCATTTATTAAGCACCTATGGTGTACCAGGCCCTGGGCCAGCCCCACCCATCCCTAACCTCTCAGCTGGGCTTCTCCTGTCCACGGGCTTCAGATTCGCTCTCCATCCTGCCGGCCCGTCCTCCTGGCCTTCCTGGAGGCTGGTGCTCATGTCTGGGTGGGAGGCAAGGGGTCTGGGTGTGAGGAAGGAGTGCTGGGAATGGGGTGTCTGCAAGGGTGGCTGTGCCTCCCCCTGCCATCTTCCCATAGCCACTCCACCCTCAGACACCCCCACAGCCAGCCGGCCGGGGGGCATCAGGAGCACCGGGCAGGGAGTCAGGGGAGGGGCTCCCAGCTGGCTCTCCTGTGCTGTGTGTCCCTGGGGGAAGCTCTCCCTGCCTCTGGGCCTCAACTTCCCCTTCTGCCGAATGGGTGGGGACGTGGCAGGGTGAGCCCCGTGGACCCTGATCCTCTGTCCACCTGTGCAAGGGGAACACCTGAGCCACGGCTGCCCGTCTGCAGGCTTTCTTGGCTCCTGGGTCCTGCAGGATCCAGCGCGTGGCTTTAACAATGAGAACTCAGCCAAAGAGAAGGATCTGGAAAAACCCTTTGCAGCCCAGCTTGTTCCCTGAGCCCAGCTCGATAAAGCCATGGGAACCTCTAGCTTTTTTCTACACACACCCAGGTGGCAGGGACAGCCAGTTTCCTGCAGTGGGGCGAGGCGGGGGGACTCGGCTGCCCCCAGGTTGGGAGACAGAGCCGTGCATCAAAGCAGGGCCGCCAGGAGCCTGGGGTCTGTCCTGGCACAGCTGACAGCTCACTGCGTAGCCTGGCCATCCCAGTGCCCTGGGCCTCCCAGCTGGCACAGGGTTGGCCTCACAAGCCCTAAGCCCACGTCCTGCCCAGCCTGGCCATGATCACCCAGGGGGCTAACCCCTGGTGGGTGACAGCCAGTTGCCTAGAAGAAAGCTCGCTCCCTGTTCCCGAAAACACGTGAGGCCATAAAACAGGACTGTGTGGTCCAGGGAGCCCCCAGGAAGAGCTCCCAGCCTAGGAGGCACCAGAGCCCTCAGGTCATAGGGCATCGTCACCAGACCACCACCGGGGGGGACGGAGCACAGGGCGCTCTCACCTGGACACCACCAGGGGGACAGGGCATACTGGGACACCAGCGGAGGGGACGGGGCATAGGGCACCGTCACCGGGACACCACAGGGGGGACGGGGCATAGGGCACCATCTCCGGTATGTGGTGACACAGGGTGCCACAGCAACAGCGCGACGTTGTCAAAGCGACAGGCAGGAAGCGCAAAACACCACGGGAGAACAGGAGGCCCCACAGACCACGGCCAAGCCAGGCCACTGCTAGCCACAGGATGTAACTGCCAGACCGAGCTGAGCGGGACGCTGCAGGGCTGGGCTGCAGGCACCTGCAGGACGTGCGGATGGGGTGGGCTGGGTGCCGGCAAACAGCATAGCCCTGAGGACATTTGCAGCCACCACACAGAGAGCGCACCAGGACCCCAGGAGGCTGCGAGCAGGTGTCACGGAGGACAGAGATGAGACGGAGAGGAAGGCGGGCGGGGCTGATGATGAAACCGCACACACTGCAGAGTGCGGCCAGGGGAGAGTCCCAGAGCTGCGGGCCCCCGGGGCCTCCTGCCTCCCAGCCCCTTACTCACCCTGCGTTAAGGTGGTGCTTTTACCCTTTGCCATCGGGGCCTCTGGCTTCGGCCTGGAGCCAGCACCCACCCTGCCGACCCCTGAGGATTCCGCCAAGTTCCTCCTGCCTGCCGGGGGCAACGCGGATGCCTGAGAGGTACTGCTCGTGCTCAGCGGGGCTGGCGGTTCCATCCTCGAAGGGAGGCCAAGCACCCGGGGAGACGAGGACTGTAACGGCTTGGCTAAGGGACTTGCTTGTGGTGCTTCAGTTTTGGGCTGAGAACTGGGAACAGCGGCAGTGGCTGGGGAGGGCCTATAAGTAAAAGCGCAGGCATCAGGCACAGCTGGATCCAGGCGCCCTCCCACCATCACCCGAGGCCGCCCCTCTGCCTCCCTGCAGCTCACTCCCAATGCCCAGCCTCCGGACGGACTCCCACCATCACCCCAGGCCACCCTCCACCTCCCCCACCATTGCGCCAGGCCACCCCTCCGCCTCCCCCACCATTGCACCAGGCTGCCCCTCTGCCTCCCTGCAGCTCGCTCCCAATGACCACCCTGGCAAGGCACAGGCCACAGACACCTGTTTCTGGCATGAGCATATGCTGTGGTTGATTCTCCTCCCCTGTGAAATCCAGTGTTGGCTGAGATTAAAATATCCACCCCCTAAACACACCACCCACCCAGGCTGGAGGCACCTGGGGCTTTGTCAGAGGCTGGGCCGGCCTGGGCTGCCAGGTTCAGTCCCATGTGACACAGTCTCTCTGGCCCCGCCAGACACACAGACACAGGGCCAGACACAAGGCCTCCGTGCCTTCCTGCCTTCCCTCAGGCACACACCAGGAGTGAGGCTGCCAGAGCCTGAGGTGGGGGCACCAGGTGCCTCCCCACCCCCGAGCCAGTGCCTCCATGTCCCCACCCCCCTCGACAACCAGTTTCCCTCCCCCCTTTCCCTTTACACTGGGCTCAGGTGTGCCAGGCCAGCTTCCCCAGAGGAGCTGGGGTCCTCCCCAGCCACACATGCCCCCCGCCCCACCACCTAGGAAGCACTCCCTGGAGCACCCCCGCCACTCATCCTCAGTCCCTAGGATGCCCTGGACACCCCCCAGTGCCAGGAGGAGCAGAGCGAACTCGCTCTTCTCCTGTCTGTGACCACCCCGGAGGCTCTGAGCACCCCCTGCTGACCACTGCGGGGGCAGGAGGCAGTTCTGAGCAGGGGACGCCTGCACCCCACGATACGGGGCAGGAAACGGCGTTGTCAGCCAGGCTGCGACAAGCATTCTTACTCGCTAAGTGACTGTACTTGGTCGAATGGTGACCCCTAAAAGTCATGTCCACTGGGAAGCTCAGAGTGTGACCTTATCTGTAAACCATCTTGGCAGTTATGATCATGTTAAGATGCACTCACGCTGGGTTAGGGTGGACCCTAGTCCAACAACCATGTCCTTAGAAGAGACAGAAGAGGAGAAGACAGACAGAGAGAAGGCCACATGGAAACGGAGGCAGAGACTGGAGGGAGGCGACCACAAGCCAAGAACGCTCAGAGCCGCTGGGAGCTGGAAGAGACAAGGACAGGTCCACCCCTAGTGCCCTGCAAGGGGACGCGGCCCTTCCCCCGCCTCAAGGTCAGACTTCTGGCCTGCAGAGCTGTGAGGGGGTGGATTTCTACTGTGTAAGCCGCCCAGTGAGGGGGTCTTTGGAAACTGATGCAGCGCCCCCCTCTACCCGTCCACGTCATCTGCTCAGGGTCCAGGCACAGGCAGGCGCCGGGCCCAGGCATGGAAGGTCAGGGCCTGGCTGGACTCAGTCAGACAAGGTGATGCTCAGCCCAGCCAGCGTGGGTCCCGCTCGCGACCTGTCCCCGCGTCCACTCAGACCCGCCAGCGTGGGTCCCGCTCGCGACCTGTCCCCGCGTCCACTCAGACCCGCCAGCGTGGGTCCCGCTCGCGACCTGTCCCCGCGTCCACTCAGACCCGCCAGCGTGGGTCCCGCTCGCGACCTGTCCCCGCGTCCACTCAGACCCGCCAGCGTGGGTCCCGCTCGCGACCTGTCCCCGCGTCCACTCAGACCCGCCAGCGTGGGTCCCGCTCGCGGCCTGTCCCCGCGTCCACTCAGACCCGCCAGCGTGGGTCCCGCTCGCGACCTGTCCCCGCGTCCATGAAATGGGCGTAGGACCCTTGGGTTCCAAGGGAGTGCAGCACAGGGGGCCCCGGAGCGGCAGCGCCACCGCACCCATGACGCCCCGAGCACATGCGGACAGCAGCTTTTCCATAAGGACCCGGCTTCCACCACCCTGACCACAGGCACTGCCACCCTGGCTCCTCCTCCCCATTCCCCAGAGAAGGAAACAGGCTGGGGGAAGTGCAGTCCCCAAGGCCACACAGCCAGGGAGGTGCAGCGCCCCCAACCCCTCTGGCCTCCGGGGCCCCGCTGGCTGGTGCAAAGAGGCCATACCCGGGGTCCCTCGGTCCCCACGCGCTCACCTGCCAGGCGCCGGAGCGCCAGCCTCTTCCAGCGCTGAGAGGGCCTGCTTGAGGAAGTTCCGCGCCTGCTCCTTGCTGCTGTCCTTGGATAGAACAAGTGACGGGGTGGGACCTCTGCCAGAAAGGCTGGTGCCGGGGGGCACTGCTGATGTTTGGAAAAACTTATTCCGGGCCTGCTGGGTCCTGGAGGCGGACGGGGTCCAGGCTGGGGGGTCCACCGTGGCTGCAGATGTGGAGCTTGAACTGAGTGTGGTTTGAGGAGCTGCCACTCGGGGGGCTCCCCCACCCTGGGGTGTGGCCGGGCGAGGGTCTGGGGCACTCGGGGGCACGGCGGGATGGGAGGCAGCCGCTGCTGTGCACGGGGCAGCTGACGACCAGCCCATCGGGGAGCTATTGGTCACACGAGGGCGGACTTTCCCCTCCGTGGGAGTGGGGGCCAGGCGGCTCTCAGAGGGCCTGGCTGGGCTCCTCACGTGGACGGACGTGGCGCTGGTGGCTGCAGGGTTGGGTGCAGCTGGAACGGAAGCCCTGGCAGGCGAGTTGCCCGCAGCAGGCTCCCAGGCCGACGGTCTGGCCTTGTTTGCCTCCTGGGCCTTCTGTGGGGAACAGGAGGTCCTGGAATCCACACCCATGGCCCCTGGCTGTCGGGGGACCAGACCCGTCAACTTGGGGCTTGCAGAGGCGGCTGCGGGGAGGTGGCTGGTGCAGACGAAGGTGCCCGGCTCTCCTGTGGCCTTGTAGGCCCCCGAGTGCAGCGTGCAGGAGCACTGCTTACACCTGGGGGAGGAAAGGCACAGGAGCCCCAGCTCGGCACCGCCCACCCCGCCACGCATTCACCACGTGCTCCTGATAGCAGGCATTGCGGACTCCTGTGTCCACTTGCGAGGTTGCTGAACGCCCGCCCCGCCACGCATTCACCACGTGCTCCTGAGAGCAGGCATTGCGGACTCCTGTGTTCCACTCACGAGGTCGCTGATTCATTCAACAAACGCCTCTTCTCAGGGTCCTTAACCACTTACATCACAAACCCCACCAAAAACCTCGTTTGGGGTGCAAACCCCAGAGGGTGCTTGTGCAGGTCAGCAGACACACACCCACAGGCCACCCCAGGCCCCACCTCGGGGCTGACCCACCCTGGCCTCACAGCGTGGGGGATGGAACTGGGAGGACCGGCCCACCCCAGCCTTGCAGAGCTGGGGACAGAAGTAGGGGGAACAGCGCTTGTTTCCTAGGAGCCCCCACCCGGGGTGCAGGGTGGCAGCAAGGGGCTGGGGATGGCCACTGAGTACAACACCAGTGGGAAGGGCTGAGGCACAGAAGGGAGACTGAGGCAGTGTGTGTGGAAGGACAGTCGGGAGGGCATCTTGACGGGGGCACTGGAGGAGGCATCTGGACGGGGGCACTGGGGGACACTGGGGCTTAGTGAGGGGCATCAGGTCCTGGGTGTCTGGGAACAGTAGAACATCTTGGGCTATCAGCAACAGAGCGGGGGGTGGGGAAGAGGGTGAGGAGGCGGAGCAGTAGGGAGAGAAGAGTGAAGAGGGAGAGGAGGGGGGAGGAGGGAGAGGAGGGGGGAGGAGGGAGAGGAGGGGGGAGGAGGGAGAGGAGGGGGGAGGAGGGAGAGAAGGGGGGAGGAGGGGGAAAAAGGGGGAGGAGGCGGAGCAGTAGGGAGAGAAGAGTGAAGAGGGAGAGGAGGGGGGAGGAGGGAGAGGAGGGGGGAGGAGGAAGAGAAGGGGGGAGGAGGGGGAAAAAGGGGGAGGAGGCGGACCATTAGGGAGAGAAGAGTGAAGAGGGAGAGGAGGGGGGAGGAGGGGGAGGATAGAGAGGAGAAGGAAGGGAGGATGGGAAGGAAAGTGAAAGGGAGAAGAGGGAGAAGGGGAGGAGAGGGGAGGAGGCGGGAGGAGGGGAGACGGGGAGGGGGAGGGGGGAGGAGGGGAGAGGGGAGAGGGGAGAGGAACGAGGAGCGGGGAGGAGGAGGCCGGGTGGGAGGCGATGGGAGCTGTGGGAGGGTTCTGGGAGGGGAGGTGCACACTCAGGCGTGCGGGCAGAGGGCAGCCCCACCTGAAGCAGCTCCGGTGGTAAAGCCTCCCGTCGGCCAGGTGCCGCTGTACCAGGTGCACGTGCTTGCCGCAGACCCCGCAGGTGCTGCTGACCAAGCTGCCCGCCAATGCCTGGTCCTGGGGAAGATGCCAGCACCTCTCTGAGCAGCCGTCCACCCAGCCCTCCCTCCTGGTGGCAGCCCACAGGTGGCCGGAAGAGCCCATCTTACAGATGGAGAACTGGCCAGGAGAGGAGCCGCCAGCAGGGCTGCGGTCGGGGTCACACCCAGGTGGGTGGCAGCCCCAGTCCAGGGCCTCTAGCCCAGCCCTGGGGAGAGAGCTGAGGCCCGATGCTAGTGGTCCTTCGGTGGCTGGGGGCCAGGGGACAGATTCCAGGCCTCCTCCTGCCCCATTAGGGGCATGGATCCCATCCAATTCCCACCATCCCGGGAGCCTGGAGTGGCAGTCCAGGCATAGCAGGGGCTGCCAACCACCAGATATTTGCCCACCGCCTTCCACCCCAACTCCGCTTCTGAGAAGTGGGGGTGCCTGGGTTCACTCTGCAGAGCCGGCCTTGGGTACAGGGCATAGCCCAGCAACCCTTCTCTCCCCGGGAGAGAGGTATCCTGGGCCCATCTAGGTTCAAGCTCTGTCCCACCTTTGTGCTCTCCCATCTGTACAAAGTGGGATCACAACCCCTGGCTTGATGGAGCCCTGGAGAGCCCGGTCCTGGCGGCTCTTGCTAAGGCTGAGCCCTGGACTGGGGGAGCCGCACCCCACTCTGGGTCCCGTGGCTTAGGGGCCGCACGTAGTCCCACAAGCCCCTTCTGCACCCCCCGGTGGAAAACCCAGAGAACCAGGGGGAGGGTGGGGTGGGAGCTTACAGTCTTGGGGGGCGGGCCCCCTGCACCCTCATTCCTCCTCTGGACCACAGGGTTTGTCTGGGCTGGAGATAGTGGAGGCTTCCGGGCTGGGGCGGGCGAGGGCAGCTTGGCCGCCTGGACTGGAGCCTTCTTCCCTGACGGCTCCTCCTCAGAGTCCTCCGAGGCCCTCTTCACGCCTGCCATGCCCCCAACTGGAGGAATCAAGCAGGGATCGGGAGGGTCCCAGGCCTGGCTCTGAAAGGGTCTAGTCCCTCCAGAGGTCCCAGTGCCCAGCACAGGCCTTGGTGCCCGGGGGGGACCTGGGGGCCCAGGGCTGGGGAGAGGTAACCCTGAGGGCACTTTTTCTGGCACAGCCCCGGGTCGGTCCCCACTCCTTCCCTCCCCACTCAGAGCCCCAGCTGGAGTCAGGGAAAAGGGACTTTTCTGTTTCTCCAGCAGGCAGGGCAGGCCCTGTGCCCGGAATGGTTCTGGGGATTTCTAAACCCTAGAAGAGGAATGTGGGGGTGGGGGGGTGGGGAGCTGAGCTCTACACACACAAAGGCCGGGCCTGTCCCTCCCCTGCCCAGTTCTATCCGGGGGCCCCACCCTGCCAGGCCAGCCTGGCTTCCATAGGGTCCAAAATCAGGACAGATGAAGGTAGGCCCAGGAGCTGCCCCTGGTCAGCCAAGCCACCCCAGTGGGCACAGAAGCTCAGGGGTCCAGATGGGCAAACTGAGGCCCATGAGGGGCAGGGCGGCAGGAGCTGCTGGTGCACCTGGCACCTTGGGGAAGCAGCGGGGGCAGCTCTCCTGCAGCAGGATGAGGGCCCCGGTCCCTCTTGGTGAAGACACAGCCTGGGGCTTTGCATGGGGCCGGGGTTGGGGATGGGGCGCCCACCAAGGCCTCTTGCTGCTTCACAGCCAGTGCACAGCCCCGGTGCCCATGCCAGGGGCCATTCTTGGGGGGGGGGCTGGGCATGGACCCCAAAAAGTCCACAGGCCTGGGAGCCAGGCCAAGGATGGGGGGCCTGGTCCTGCCTGGCTCGGCGGGCGCGGCAGGGACTCACTGGGGGAGCGGCCGTGGAAGTAGTTGTAATACTGGGACACGTAGGTCAAGATGCTCAGCCGGTCAGGCACCTTCAAGGCCACCATGTCCTCGGCATCCAGCAAGGCTGGGATGCCCAAGTGCTCCTCGGCCACGCGGAAGGCCTGCGAAAGGTGGGAGGGGGTCAGCGGGGCAGCTGGGAGCCCCCTCCTTCTCCACCAGGCCGCAGCTCACCTCGACTCAAAGACACAGTCTTGGAGCCCAAAGAGGCGTGGGTTGGAGGCCGGAGCTGAGTTCTGCTCGCGTGGCCTCCCGGCCTCAGCTTACCCATCATTGCAGCGGGGATCACGGTCCCATCTGCACAGGACTGAGGTCACCAGGCCGGTGGGCGCTCAAGGCCCCGTCCAGGTGAAACCTCAGGGGATCCTACCCTTCACCGGGAGAATCCCAGGCCCCACCCAACCCAGACTTACGCAGTCTTGAAACAGCTCCCTCCAGAGGCAGGGCTGACATTGCTGAGCCCTCCCCGGGGGCCAGAAGGGACACACAGGTCGCCATGTCAGGGCTCCCAGGCAACAGGTGAGGGCCGCTAGAGGCTGAGACAGGGACTCGACAGCCCACGCCGTCCAGCCCAGCAGCCGCCGGCCAGGCATGGCTGTGAGCATGGGAAGTGTGGCCGGCACACTTGAGGAACTGGACTTGTTTATTTATTTATTTTTATTTATTATTATGTTTTTGGAGACAGAGTCTCACTCTGTTGTCCAGGCTGGAGCGCAGCGTCAGCTCACTGCAACCTCCACCTTCCGGATTCAAGCAATTCTCCTGCCTCAGCCTCCTGAATAGCTGGGATTACAGGTGCGCACCACCACGCCCCACTAATTTTTGGTATTTTTAGTAGAGACGAGGTTTCACCATGAACTTGTAATTTTAGTTCATTTTAATTAAGTTAAAGCTTAAGTTCAAATTGTCCCCGTGCTGAGCAGGGCAGTGCCGGCCGGGCAGGTATGACTGTCTTCAGTGCTGACCACTGTCCCCGCTGAAGGCCAGCTCCGGGGGCAGGGACGTGGCCGGGGCCTGCCTGGCACAGCACAGGACATGCCTGCAGGGCGCGTGGTGAGTCTGCCGGTGCCTCTGCCCACGAGGGAGCGTGGTGCTTATTCTGCAGCAGGCAAACTGAGGCTGCACACAGGGAAGGGCCTGGAAGCTGGGGTGAGCAGGGCAGGACTGGAATCCTGGCAGGGCCGGAAGGCAGGTCCCATGTGGTGGGAGTGGCAGCAGGCCCACTGGGACCCATCCACAGCCCCCCACAGCCACCCCCAGACCCTTGTTCTGCCTGAGGCAGACTGGGCTGAGCCCCCTTGCAGTGAAGTAGGGTCCCCAGCCACCTCCTGGCACCTTGCTCCCCAGCTCAGGAAAAGAGGGGACCAGTATGCCCTGGGTGCCAAGATAAGAGGCTATTTCTAGAACGCTAGGGTCACCCAGCCCAGGACGCGTTGCCGGGCTGGTCAGGGAGCCCCCGATTCCCAGGCAGGACTCCCAAGGCAGGTGCAGGGCCTGGGGGGAGTCCCTCGGTCCCTCGGACGTGGGTGGGGCTCAGCAGGCTGGCTAAGCCAGCTGTGAGGCCGGGGCGGGGGCCACTCACCAGTTTATTGTTTTCATAAATATTTTCCTTCTTGAGAGCACTGAAGTTTCTGGAAGATAAAAACATGATGTCCAAAGCAGCTCAGAGTCCACGAAGGGAGGGGCTGGAGGGCCTCAGAGGTCATCTTGCCCAAACAGAGAAACCGAGGCCAGGATGGGGGGCTGTGAAGGAATGAGGTGGCACAGGACCACAGGTGGGCAGAGGCCAGGGCTCCCGGCCCTGCTCCGGCCACGGTGATGCTGCTGGGACCGTAGTACGACATCAGACGGCCCCAGCTTCACCTCCTGTACCCTGACAGGCCGCCCCTCACCAGTGCTCCTGCCACAGTCAGAGGTGGCAGGAAGCAGGCCTGGGAGGTGAGGTCACCAGCCCAGGGCGGTTCAGCACAGCTCAGCTCGGAGGGGGCTCTTCCCATCACAACGCTTGGTGACCAGGTGGGTCGCAGAGGCCTGATGCCCCCAGAGGACCACAGGGAACGGAGGAGAGAGGCTCCCAGGGCAGGGGACGGCACCATATGCAGAGAGGGCCAGCCACGCTGCCCCCGAGGGCAGGACAGGCCCCGGATCCACCTCGTCCCACACATCATCGCTTCTGTTGTTGGAAGGGTGACTTCTGTTCACCCTGCAGTGAAGGGTGTCCTTCTCAGCGCTTCACAAATACCAACCTAAGGCTCACACCCGACCTGTGGAGCAGACACCGGTTATGTCTGCATCTCACAGAGACAGCGGCTCGGGGACCTGCCCCAGGTCACACAGCGGGGAGACAGCTGCCAAGCCCACTGAGGTTACATGGTTCTCTCTTTGGGTGGTGGAGTGCCTTCCCAGGTGCTCAGCGAGGGCCCAGCCTCACCCCTGACTCGCACACTACACCACAGGGATGCAAGGGTCCCGGGAAGTTCCCGAGGTGAGGTCCCCGGCCAGCCTGGACAGCAGGGCCCTTCTGGGGACGCCAAGAGGACAGCCCCACGTGACCTCCAGCTGGTCCTGGGACTCCTGATGGGCACCTTGGGAGGATACCCTGGGCAGAAAACACACCAAGATCCCAGGAGGCCCCAGCCCAGCCCCAGGCCCTCCGACAAAAACCACCAGGCTCCCAGCACGGGCTGCGGCTTCTGGGAGGGAGGGTTGGTTAAATCATGATCTGGAAGCCGGGTGCAGTGGCTCACACCTGTAGTCCCAGCTACTCAGGAGGCCAAGGCAGAAGGATTGCTTGAGCCCAGGAATTCGAGATCAGCCTGGGTAACACACTGAGACCCCGTCTCAGAAAAACAAAAATATAGTGATCGTGACCCGTCTGTCCACGTTGCTGCCTGTGGGGTCCCGGACAGCAGCTGCTGCCATGTCAGCGTGAACTGGACTGTTCTAGAAGCTTCCTGGCCCCACAGAGGGAGCTGGGGCTGCAAGCCGTGTCCTGCCTCACCCCGGCCTGCATGTCTGACCCCGGCCAGCCTCGGTCTCAGGGCCTCAGTCTCCCTGTCTGGGAGGACAACCGCAGCTCCTGGTGGCGAATCTGACGGCCGTAGCTGCAGCAAACAGGAAGGCTGGGCAGGTCTCAAACGGAGAAGTGGGGGCCGAGACCCCTGTGGCCACGCAGCCTGGGCGGCCTAGTTCTGAGCCCAGCCTGCACAGCCCTTGCCAGGCCCTGACCCCCATAAGAATGCTCCGAGGCCCGGACAGTGAGCCCATTTCACCTGTTTCACAGATGGGGAAACTGAGGCCAGGCAGCAGCCACACGGTGGGGTGGGGGCAGTGGGATGGGGGCTGCAGGCTGCCCACCTCTCTCCTTAGGAAGCCCCCGCCCCGTCCGCCTGCAGCCCTGCCGTCCATCAATCTGCTGGGATCCTTGGGAACCCTCCACCGTTTCCAGCTTGGACCCCCTCCCAGGTAACAGGTTTCAGACGGCAGGACCACCCGTCTGCACAGGCGGAGCTTCTGCACGCCGGACAAGATGGGGCGCGGACTCCTCTCCGTGTGGACAGATGACGAGGAGCCCCCTCCCTGGGCTCAGTGGCAGCGAAAGCGGTTTCCGTCTGCTCGGGCCTGGGCCGATGCCTCTGTCTGCCTGGGCTTGTCCCCCGAGAGGGTGTGACCCGAGGGCACGTGGGTGGCTGTCTATGCCCAGGGACTCTGCAGCCATGCTGGGCGTCAGCCTCAGCCCCCAGGGCTTAGGAGCCGGCTCTCCCTCCCTCTCTCCCCGCCCCCAGCCCTTTGAAAGCTCAAGCTCTTCTGCAGACCTTCCCTAGGGTCACTGACCAAAGCGGCCATGTCCCCGGAAAGAATGCCCGGACGGCCGGGAGGGCAGTGTCACAAGTCTGTTTTTTCTCTAAACAAGCAGGAGGAGGAGGCTGTCTGCCTCCCGCACTTGTTTCCGTCCACCCCAGGGGCCAGCAGCGGCTCTGTCCAGTGGGTTTCCCTGCAGGGCCATCTCACCCCCAGACCCACAGTCAGGCTCTCAGAGCTCCAGGCAGATCAGAGCACCCCAGGCCCTCTGGACACACCAGAGCCAGTGCCCACACGGCACAGGTCTGGGCTGCGAGTTCAAGCATCGCGGCCTCAGGATGAGGTTCAAGCTGCATTCGGGGCGTTTGAGGCCTATTCAACTGGGCTGCACCACCCCGGCCGGTCCCACAGCCACCACCCATCCTGCCCCAAGCTCCTTCCCCAGGGCCGGCCCTCCAGCCTCCAGACCATGGCTCCACTCTCCCGGCACAGAACAGCTTTTCCCACACTCCGCCCGATGCACCCGCCAGGCCCTCCCCAGATGCACCTTGCTGTCCCCGAGCTCACACCCCCGGGGCCCCTGAGCAGCTGAGCTCAGGGGCCCGATGCTGGCAGAAATCGCCGCCAGAACCGTCTCGCAAGCCCCACCAACATCGCCAGGTGGAGACCCCACTCGTGTCTCCAGGAGCCCCCCAAGAAAATGACACATTGGAGCCCTAACCTCCAATTCCACCACGTGACCTTATTTGGAGACAGGGTCTTTCTGGAGGTGAGAATTCATTTTGCCTCCTTTGGAGATAAGAGAATTCAAACAGGGTTCTTTGCGGGGAGCCCTGGTCCCATGGCTGGTGTCCTCATAAAAGGGAAATGTGGATGCAGATACAAACTGACAGGGGAAGAGGATGTGAAGGCACAGGGCGAAGACGGCCACCCCAGAGCCAAGGAGAGAGGCCGGGAAGATCCTCCCTCCTGCCCCCAGGAGGGCCCAGCCCTGCTCACACCTCCGTCCGGGACGTTGGCCTGCAGAACTGCGGGAGGACACTTTCCGTTGTTGAAACCGCCCGTTTGGGGGACCTTGCAAGGGCAGCTTGAGCAGGTGGACACCCCTGTCCTTGCCGGACAAAAATGCATCAGCTTCCCCCCACTCAGCAAGTGACCAGCTACCCATGGTGAGACGGCTGGAACTGGGACACAGCCCCAGCCACCGCTGCAAACCTGCAGGCTGTGGGATGGGGGCTGCAGGTTGCCCACCTCCGAGACATGGCATCCTCCAGGGTTTAATCTTCTCTTATTTGAAGCCTCAGAATTAAAATCAGGTATACCATGGCCCGGCTCCAAGACACACACCGTGGGCCAGGCACACAGTCGGTGCCCTATAAATGCGTGTGATGCATTTGTTCTGTGCTTGGTGAGATTTCTGTGGCAGTAACTTATTCTTTCAACACTGGCTGAAGGAATGAATTTGCCGTCTGTGTGTCGGTCACAAGATTTGCCCTGGCCAACTCTCCACCGTGCGTGCCCCTGCCCGGCCACACCTGCCCCCACCACCCCTCTAACTGACCCACGACCATCAACTTCAGCCCATGGAGTCCAGCCGGCCTCTGCCCCGGCGCCTCTGGGGGCTCTTGGGAATGTATACCCCCCTCCAAATTCCTGGGTGGCCGACATCACACTGTTTACTTCCTGGAACAAGATTCCGCCATGGAGTGGGGAGGGCGGGGGGGTGCAGGACTTGGAAGGGAAGGAGCCCCAGCCGAGGCACATCCAGCACATCAGGAGAGAATCCCACGGAGAAGGGAGCAGAGGGAGTGGGGAGAGGCAGGTGGACGGACAGAGAGAGCTGGAGAGAGAGAGGAAGACCCCAGCGGAGATGGTGGAGGGAGGCCCAAGAGAGACAGGGACCAGATGGCACAGTCGGGATGGCAGAGAGGGGACTCGGGGAAGGAGCAAACCTCAGAGACAGCGAGGACATGGCCAGGCAGAGCTCAGGAGAGGAGGGGGTGGGCAGGGGGCGGTGACGACTGGGGAGGGGAGGCCGCAGAGCCCCCACCTTGCACACTGGGCCTCTGGAAGGAAAGTGTGGGGCCCTGGGCAGTCCCCCTGCAGTAGGTGGACAGGCAGCCCCCTCCCGCGCCCGTCCTGGAGGGTTCCGGCCAGAGGCGGCCACAGAGGTCTGGCTACAGGCCCTGGGGCAGGAACAGAAGGCCTCTGTCCACAAGCAGCTTCCTGCTGACCCAACCCCGCGTGGGAGAGGAGGTCAGCCCACCCTCGGCCCTGGCCCAGGAAGTGAGGGCACTGCCTGGGAGCTTCTGGGTGGGGGCCTCTGCGTGAGTCTCTCCCCTGGCCCCCAACAATAGTGGTGTCTCGGGGAGCCCCGCCACCCTTGGGAGCCACTGCTGGAGGGCTCCATGCACTGCACAGCGGCCGCCCCAGCCACCCCCACTTCCTGGCCCAGCCCTGAGCCCGCCTCCAGAGCTGCAGGGACCAGGAAAACTTAAGGGACCCTGCCTTGGAACTGAGGGTGCAGCAGAGACCCAACTTCACGACACCCTCCCAAGGCCTGGCCACAAATCCGACAAATGCCCCCAGCCACGAACCCCAAGAAGGAGGCCGCAATGTTCTCCCACCTGCTGGACGGCTTCCTGCGCCACGCACAACGCCTGCCCTCCCTCCAGCCCTGCTCCCTCCCAGCCCAGACACGCTGTGCCCCCTGCCCCATCTGCCCGAGGGCTGTGCCTGGAGACCTGCTTGGGCCCAGGAATGAAAGGAGCCAGCCCATGGCAGAGCTGCTCCAGCCCCGACAGGCTGACTGGCTGAGGGAGGTGAGGCGGGAGGTGGGGCTGTTTGTTCTGGGTGGTTTCTGAGCTCACCTGGCTGCCCAGCTGCCCTGTGACACCAGTATGGAAACAGCGCCCGGGGGCAGGCGCCCTGAGGCCTGGCTGCAGAGAACCCACAGCCGCAGGTGAGACAGGGCAGGCGGGCACAGGCAGGCTGACCAGGCAGGGGACCCGCCCACCCTGCCACCTCCTGGTGGGCGTGGCTGGGCGATCCTGTTTCCTGGCCGTAAAGCGGAGATTCACGGACACCTCTCTGTACCTGTGGGGCTCCCCAGTGTGGTCACACGTGGCTCAAGGAGCCGGAACATGGTACACAGGAATGTCCGGATCCCCGCCCCCTCCACCCGGGGTCGGTGGGGCAGAGGCAGAACCAGGAGCCCGGGTGCCCCACCTGGCTGGCCTGGCGCCCGAGCTGGTTCCTTCACAGCTGCTCTCCCTGAGGGCCAAGCGGAAGTGCTCTCTGCGTGCAGCAGGAAGGACTAAGGCCAGACAAAGGGAAGGACTTCCTGGTGGCAGAGCTACAGACAGGGAGACAGGACGTCCACCCTTCTGCTGTCAAGGGGTCTTCACTGGAAGGAGAGGGGAATGAGGTGGCAAGGGCGGGGCCTCACACAGAGTCTGACCTCAGAGCTGCCCTGAGAGGACAACCGGTCTGTGCCTGTCCCTCACACGCGTTTCCTCCCTTCCTGAAGACTACTGGGGACAGGAGGGACAGCCAAGGGCTGCATGAGGAGACCTCCACCCCAGCCACCACCTCATCCAGAGGTACGGCAGGGAGCAGAGGCTGAGGGCACGGGATGGGGGTGATGAAGGCACAGAGGCAGGCACGTCCAAAGAGCCAGGGGCCAGGCGCGGCGGCTCACATCTGTAATCCCAGCGCTTCGGGAGGCTGAGGCAGGAGGATTACTTGAGGCCAGGAGTTCAAGACCAGCCTGGGCAATATAGCCAGAACCCATCTCAATTTAAAAAAGAAACAATATGCTGAGTGAAAGTAGCCAGACACAGGCCAGACGCAGTGGCTCGCGCCCATAACCCCAGAACTTTGGGAGGCTGAAGAGGGCAGATGGATCACTTGAGGTCAGGAGTTACACACCAGCCTGGCCAACATGGCAAAACCCCGTCTCTAGAAAAAATATGAAAATCGGCTGGGTGTGGGGGTGCACCCCTTTAACCCCAGCTACTTGGGAGGCTGAGGCAGGAGGATCACTTGAACCTGGGAGGCGGAGGTTGCAGTGAGCTGAGATCGCACCACTGCACTCCAGCCTGGGCGACAGAGCTAGACTCTGTCTCAAATAAATAAATAAATAAATAAATAGATAAAATTAAATTAAAAATAAGAAAATTAGCCAGGCATGGTCCCAGCTACTCGGGAGGTTGAGGTGGGAGGATTGCTTGAGTCCAGGTGTTCAAGAATGCAGTGAGCTAAGACGGTGCCACTGCACTCCAGCCTGGGCGACAGAGCGAGACTCCAACTCTGGAATAAAAGCAAAGGGCCCAGGCACCCATACAAGCGCATGTCCCCACACCCTGGTGCACACCCGACCCCCATGACACTCCGGGTTTTCCATCAGCCAGGGTCTACAGAGGCCCCCACGCCCCAACACCCATGGAAGCCTGTACTAGCTTCTTCCTACTGCCGTAACAAATTGCCACAAACTCTGGGGCTTAAAACACCAGGAATTTGTTTTCTCACGGCTCTGGAGGCCGGACTCCGACATCAAGGTGTGGGCTGGGCCTTGCTGCCTAAGGAGGTTCTCGGGGAGGGTCCTTCCTGCCTCTTCCAGCCCAGGACACCCTTGGCTTGTGGCTGCACCTCTCTGATCTCTGCCTCCAAGGGCACATGGCCTTCTCCTCTGTCCTTCTGCACGTGGGCACCTACTAAGCTCCTACCATATCTACTGAACCCCAACTGAAAGGCCCTTATCTGCAGAACTCCAACCATGTGCTGGTATCTACCGAGCCCAGTTCCAGGCACCAGGGGTGCAGCAGTGAACAAAACAGAGCCCCCACCCTCTGGAGCTGACAGTCCAGTGGGGACAGAACCAAGTCAGCCACAGCTTGGGTAACTCCACACCCACCGGAGCTGGGGGCAGAGGGCCTCCTCTCTCTCCCGCCTCCTTCCTGTTCTGGCCTCTGCACTCTCTGGAGCCACCCTGGGCTTTTATTCATTTACCTGTTCCCTGTCTGTCTCTGTGACCGGAACATTGCTCCCTGCATCTGGAGGCTGAGGGGAACTGGCACAGGACTCAGTGCTGGGTACACAGCAGGTACTCAATAACTGTCAGTGCACTGAGGAGATACACAGCGACCACCGTGCCAGTGCATGCACATGCACCTGTGCTCACCCTGGGCACTGCCCACAGGCACGTCTGAGCCGGCAGGGAGTACAGAGAAGCTCCCCAGGACCAGAGGGCCCCAAATCTCCGGCGACACCAGTGATCCATGAAGCTGGTGGCCAGCAGCCGGTGGCAACGCCTCTCCCCACCCCAGAGGCTTTTCGGGCTGGCCCCAGCTTGGATGCCTGGGCTCAGCCACCAGCCAGCCTCATCCAGGACCCTGCAGCCCCGGGGGTGGGGTCTCGCCTGCCTTCCTCCCCATTCCGGGTCCTTCTCCCAGTCTCCAGGTCCCTGGCCCTCTCCTTCAAAGCTCAGCGTCAGGCTTTCCATGTGGAAGCACGCACCTTGTGCCCAGCATCTTCTGCCTGCAAGGGCAACAGAGGCACGTTCCTGGCGAGGGAGAGCGGCTGCTGCCCAAACGCCAAATGGAAGCCCCTGGTGGCTCCACGAATGCATGTCACAACCTCAGAGCAGGGGCCGAGGCTGTTGCTCAAGACCCCAGCTTCCTGCAGAGAGTGGGACTGGCAGGACAGTGTCCAGGGGCACAGGGGAGGAGCCCCGGATCTGCGCAACGGGCTGGGGCTGTGTGACCTGAGCAAGGACCCCTCCTCTTAGCCTCGGTTCTCTGGTCTGCACAGCTGCGGCCTGACAGAGGCCCCAGGTGCTGCCTGTGGCTCCTCCCAACCCCGAGACCTTCCCACCAAAAACACACTCAGGAGAACGCTTTGCCCAGAAGGTGCCTGGGCTGCAGGTGGCCGTTGAGGGCCCCCCTTCCTGAGCGTCTGGCCCCCAGCCCCGACACACAGATCTCTGTCCCAGCAAGCCTGGTCCCAGTCATTTAGCCAAAGAGCGTTTGCTGAGTGAATAAACAATGGAGCAGGTCCAGGCTCGGGCCAAGATTCAGCAACGGGCAGGGCCAGCTGCCCAGCTACACACGCCAAGACCCTCCTGGGGAGAGACAGCCTAGTCCTCAACCCCTGCCACCTCCTGCTGCTCCCAGAGATGGGGGCTGTTCTCCATCTCGGGCCCTATCACCCGGGGCCTCAGAGGCCCGGCTGGCAGCAGCACCTGGGGTCTGGGGGCTTCCTGCCCTGCACTGGCCGCTCCCCCACAGTGGCCCTGGCCACATCCCCCCAGGGGCCTGAACAGGCTGGGGGAGGGTCAGTGCCCATACGAGGGCTATCCAGGGACCCCATCTGGTGGCCAGGCCCCTGGGCAGTGAGAGCCTCGGAGGGCCCAAAGAGGCAGCTCTGCTGGCCTTTCCCAGGGACACAGAGGGGGACTGGACTGAAGCCAGGGCCCAGGAGCCGCCCTGAGTCACGTCTGACTCAGCCGGCGGGCGGGGGATGCCATGGCTCTGGCCCAGCTGCATTCGGTGTCCGGGCACACTGAGGCCACTGAGGACAGCCTCGGGGGGCTGCACGGTGGGCTGTGCCTGCCCAGTCCCACGCCTCGGCTCCCCATCCCCCAGCCGCCCGGGCCTCAGTTTCCCCGCCCGTGTCAGCGCGCAGCCGAACAGCAGAAGAATCAAAGGGCGCCAGGCAGGACTTACATGAGGTCGGGCCGGTGGCGGTGCAGGATGGCGCAGAAAGCCAGGCCGTCGCGGAACGACGTGGTCATGTTGCAGATATTCACGTCGCGGTAGCCCTCGCACTGCTGCCGGCACCACTGTTGCAGCGCCCTGATGGCCGCCATGTGGGCGGCGCGCCCGCCGCGCGGCGGAACCGCCCTCCGACACCTTCCCGCGGCTGTGCCGCGACCGCCCGGCCGGCGGGACAGACGCTGGGACCGCTACGGAACCGCCAGACCCACGGCGCCCAGCCCCAGCTGAGCCGGACTGAGGGCGACGAGTGCCGGGTCCCTAAGAGAAGCCGAGCCCGGCCCCGCCCCCGCCGGCCCCGCCTCCTTGTAGGCCCCGCCCCCAGCCGCCAAGTCCTGCCTCCGGATAGGCCCCGTCCTCACACCTCCCAGCCCCGGCATAGGCTCCCGCCCAGGCAGGCCCCACCTCCCGACAGGCCCCGCCCCCAGCCGCCGGGTCCTGCCTCCTGATAGGCCCCGTTCCCACGCCTCCTGGCCCCGGCACAGGCTCCCGCTCCAGGCAGGCCCCGACTCCGGACAGGCCCCGCCCCCAGCCTCCAGGTTTTGCCTCCCGAGAGGCCCCGCCCCACGCCGCCCGGCCCCAGTACGGGCTCGCGCCCTAGGCACGTCCCGCCTCCTGGTAAGTCCCGCCCCCACGCTGTCAGGTCCCGCCCGACAGGCCCCGCCCCACGCCGCCTGGCCCCTCCCCAGGCCCCGCCCCGCCGCTGAGGGCCGAGACCCCCAACCGGTGAAGGGGCGCGGTCTGCTTGGGGGTCCTGCCATTCTGGACCCCTGCGGAGACCTGGAATTTTCTTTTTCGCCGCCCCACCTCCCACCACCATCTCACCCCACCGCCATGGAGAAGAGGCAGGAAAGGCCGTTGACAAACGGGGACACTGAGGCTCGAACACCCTGCCCTGTCTAGGGCCTCAGCCCTCGGCAGCCCGGCCTCCCGGGGAGCAGGAGGCGCCTTGTGTTTCAGGGTTTCAAAGGACGTCCGCATCTGGTTTCTCTTTCCAGGCCGCTACATGCCAGCGGGGGTTCCAGGCAAGGCAGAGGTGAGGCCTGGGCATTGCCAGAGGAGAAACTGAGGCCAGGAAGGGGGCCGTGGAGCCGGAGTTGCACAGCTGGCCTGTGCTTTTCTTCTGGGGGCCTGTGGGCAGGATCTGTTCCTGGGGCAGGAGATTCCTCAGGCTGACTTGCAGGGTAGTTCCAATTTTCCACTTTGAGCTGTGACAGAAGAAATAAGGAAAGTCCCTCTGCTGGGGCCCTAAATTATCCCAGACTGGCCCCTGGCCCCGTTATCCTTGGGGAACCTTGTCTGTGGCCACGGGGGCTGGACGAGGGCGGAATCACTGACACCAGCCATGTGAGGGGGGCCTACCCTCCTGGCTGTGGGGCCAGGGCTTGTCTGGGCAGGGCCTGCAGGAAGGAAGGTGTTTTCCCGCAGTAGCCCCTGGCAGGGAGTCAGGGCAGCTTCTCTGTGCCCCTTGGGAGGAGGAGAAACTGAGGTCTTCCAACCCCAGCCAATGGTGCTGTTCCAGATCTTTTCTGAGGCTGGTCCCTGGTGAGACACCGTAGTGTTCATGGCCAGCTGCCTAAGTGTCAGTGAGGCCTGTGTGTAGGTGGTGAGCTCCCCGTCACCAGGGGCATGCAAGCAGCTGCTAGGCAGGGAGCCCTTGTGGCCTGGGAATGTGGCTGGCCCTAACCGCTGCTCCGCCACAGTCCCTGACCTGCGGATGTCAGGGGATATCGTGCCAGCACAGCCGGAGCCGGTCCTGGCACCGGGTTTTCTTGACTCCCAGGGCAACGGTTAGGAGAACCGGAAGAGCTGGAAAAGAAGGGAGAGATCAAGAAGCAGAAGCAGCGGGGCAGTGGGCGGGGGGAATTAGTGGGGGATGGGGGACACAGGGGTGGACAGGCGTTAGGGCCCAGCTCCCTTAAAAGGAGTGGTGTGGGAGGTGGCCTGGGTTTCACTTTTATCGTGAACTTTTACCACTGCACACTTAAAAAGCCATCTCACTGGTCACCCCGTGGCCCATCCTGCGCGGCCCCCCTCTGGCACCAGTGAGCTGGGAGGCAGCATTTGTGACGTTTGCCCACCAGCACCTCACACACCATGTCCCTCCAGGGTCCCCGAAGCCAGGAGCCAGGACACCCCCAAACAAATGGTCCTTTCTCCCCACTGCCCACGGCTGCCACCCTCCCATCCAGACGACCTGTCCCCCCGCCTCTGCCCACAGGGCTGCCTCCTGCCCCTCCAGCCACCACAGTCCACCCTCCCCAGCAGCCCGAGGGATCTTTCTAGAAGGCCTGACCAAGCCCTTCCCCTGCCGGGAGCCTCCCAGGCTGTCCTTCGAATAAAGTCCAGGTTGCTTATCAGACTTTCCGCAGGCTTATCACGCTGCATCTCCCCGGCCGCACCCTGCCACGCTGACCCCAGAGCTTTGCGCCCGCACCGGCCCCCAGCACCCGCCCCTCCTCCTCATCCTCCAAGACCCCCACCCTGAAGCCCCTTGGAGCCACCGAAGGCTCCCAGGGTCCCCATCTGTGCTCCCCAGGGCTGCCATGTGGACTCTGCACACGCCTCCCCCGTCCAACACAGAGCCTCCACCCGGGGAACCCGCTGCCTTCTGGCCTCACTGGGAAACTGCCTTCTCTCGGGCTCAGTTTCCTCATCTGCAAAGTGACATCATGGTCCCCTTCCACCAAGGGCTACCCCACGGCCAGGCACGCAGTAAATGCAGCATGATGTACCCACCCAGGCACGCAATAAATGCAGCATGATGTACCCAGGGGTGGGGAACAGGTAAGAGCGGTGTGAGCTCAACAGGCCCCAGGATGGGGACTCAGATGGGGGCCCAGACTTCAGGCCCTTTAGAAATGATGATGACCTCAGCCTGGGACTAACAGAGAGAGAGAAAAAGGGGAGAAAGAGACAGAGAGAGAAAGAGAGGGGAGAAAGAAAGAGGAGAAGAGAGGGAGACAGAAGATAGAGCAAGAACCTCCCTAGGAAGGACCACGAGAACTGAGACCTGGAGGCTAAGCTAAGTAGGAATCACTTTGTTGGAGAGGAAGGGGAAAGGGCAAAGGGAACAGGAGTTGTAAAGGCCCTGCGGCAGGAAGGAAGACTCGAAGATAGGCTGGTGTCGCTGGTGCAGGGGACTGGGAGGAGGTGCAGGGGCTGCGGGAGGAAGGGGTGCAGGCAGCAGGGCCCGGCTAGGCCCCTACTCCAACTTCTCCCACCAATTTCCATGCCTACATTGTCATTTGATACTTACAGCCACCCTTTAAAAGTGGCTCTGGGCCAGGGGTGGTGGCTCATGCCTGTAATTCCAGCATTTTGGGAGGCTGAGTTGAGACGATCACCCAAGGTCAGGAGTTTGAGACCGGCCTGGCCAACATGGTGAAACCCCGTCTCTACTAAAAATACCAAATTAGCCGGGCATGGTGGCACATGCCTGTAGTCCCAGCTACCTGCAAGGCTGAGGCAGGAGAATCGCTTGAATCCGGGAGGTGGAGGTTGCAGTGAGCTGAGATCACACCACTACACTCCAGCCTGGGTGACACAGCAAGACTCTCCCCACCCTGCCGCTCGCCACCCAAAAAAAAAGTGGCTCTGGGCCAGGTGTTGTGGCTCATGCTTGTAGTCCCAGCTACTCAGGAGGCTGAGGCGGGAGATCACATGAGAACAGAAGGCTGCAGTGAGCTGTGATCACACCAGTGCACTCCAGACTGGGTGACAGAGACATTAATGTGTGTGTGTGTACACATACATATATGGGTGTGGGTTGGCTGTGGGTTTAAAACCCAAGATTGGCTGGGTGCAGGGGATCATGCCAGTCATCCCAACACTTTGGGAGGCTGAAGTGGGAGGTTTGCTTGAGGCTAGGAGTTCAAGACCAGCCTGGAAAACATAGCAAGACCCCACCTCTACAAAAAATACAAAAATGTTAGTCGAGTGTGGTGGTGTACACCTGTACTCCCACCTATCCAGGAGGCTGAGGCAGGAGGATTGATGGAGGCTGAGAGGTCGAGCCTGCAATGAGCTGTGATCATGTCACTGCACGCCAGCCCGGGTGACAAAACAAGACCCTGTTTATGATCTACAAAATAAATGGCTCTATTGATTCTGCACCTCAAAAAACTGAGGTTCTGAGAGGAAAGGAGGAGACTGGAGGGAGGGGAGGAGACAGGAGGGGAGGAGGGAGGGGAGAAGGCCCCCCGTTTCAGCCTGCCCTCTCAGGCAGCGGCCCTGACTCTGACACCAGGTGAGGCCCGGGAGAAGGTCGGCCCAGCTGGTGTCCTACCCAAGTGTACACCCTGGTCCAGGACAGGACTTCCAGGCCAGATGACCTGTTTCCCCACTTCCAGCCTCCACGTGTTCTGAACCCCTCAAAGATGATGGAGGCAGGGAGAAAGGGGTCTCTCAGCCCATCAGGGTGGCAGGGCCCGTGCTGGGGACCCAGGGAGGACATGGCCTGAGGCATCGCTCATTTCAGTCCAAAACATCCACCTTGGCTTGCATTAGCTTAGCTCCTGGGTCCCCAAGAGGCGCTGCAGAGGTGGGGACCCAGGTGCCACACCCGGAGGGGTGGGGCAGGCTTATGAGGGGTTGACTCCTTCCACCAGTGGATTCAACCCTGAACGTCACCTGACCAAGGCTGCTGGGCCAAGCTGGAACAGAATCGGATCCTTGAGTCTGGGAGGCGGAGGCGGTTCGGGAATGCAGAGGGCGTGAGAGAGAACCAAGGGAGGTGTCCTGGCCGAGTGGTGTTTCCCGCGGGACTTCTCAGAGCCTTCATCACCTGATACGCACCTCCACTCTTCCAGGGAGAGGACACACTGCACAGTGGTTCCCAAACTGACTTGCCCACAGGACCCCTGTGGACGGTTGTGGGGCACCACGTCAGCCCCCCTGCAGAGCGTGGAAGGGACGTTGCCCTCCCCACCCCCAAGGCTGCCATCAACCAATGCCATCCCTACTGCCCCCGGCAGGACAGGGAGCTGGAAGCTGTGACACCCCATTTTAAGGGGCCACCCATTAATTAATTAGGCTCCATGAATAATGCATGCCACCTTGGGTATATTAATAGCATATTTATATGGTGTGCTATGGGGAGTATACATTCTCGTCTGAACACCTCACAAATAATTCACGACACCGCTCCTTCCCCAGCCTCCAGGAGATCCTGGCCGGTGCTGCGGCTGGGGCTGGTGGGCTGCTTCCCACAGCCAAATTTTACATTTCATTATAAATGGCTTTGCTAGGCATGTCGGTAACTCGTGCATTTCCATCCACTTTATTATTAATGGCTTTGCTGAACTGTAGCAGCCCAACGCCGCGCACAGTGCGTTATAAATATTTGATCCGGCATCTATGGTCTGCCATTTATCATTTATAACGGGTTACAAAAACATTATAAAACATTTACTGCACATTTATAGATCATTTTCGACTACCACCAAAATGTGTTATAAATACATTATTAATCCTCTCCACGCCATTTATAGGAATCCCTTGTAACGGGGTCCAGACCCACCCCGCCCTCCCCCCCCCCCCCACCTTCAAGGAGCACAGAGTTTGCAAGGGGGCTGACAGGTGTCGCCGGGTGGCGGGACCGGGGCAGAGAAGCCAGCCTGCCTCTGATTGCTGTGTGTCCTTGGCCAGATCATGGCACCTCTCTGTTCAGAGGAGAAAGAGAACAGTGCAGATGCCTGGCCCTCAGCACCTACTGTGTGTCACACAGGTTGTTCACTGCCCCCAAGTCTCAGGCAGTTTTTTGTTTTTTATTTTTTTGAGACGGAGTCTCACTCTGTCGCTGAGGCTGGAGTGCAGTGGCGTGATCTTGGCTCATCGCAACCTCTGCCTCCCGGGTTTCAAAGGATTCTCCTGCCTCAGCCTCCCAAGTAGCTGGGATTATAGGCATGCACCACCACACCCAGCTGATTTTTGTATTTTTAGTAGAGACGGGGTTTCACTATGTTGGCCAGGCTGGTCTCAAACTCCTGACCTCAGCTGATCCACCCGCCTCGGTCTCCCAAAGTGCTGGGATTACAGGTGTGAGCCACCGCACCCAGCCTTGTTTTTATTTTCTGAGATGAAGTCTTGCTCTCACCCAGGCTGAAGCGCAGTGGTGCTATCTCAGTGATCTCGGCTCACTGCAGCCTCCGCCTCTCGGGTTCAAGTGATTCTCCCACCTCAGCATCCGAGTAGCTGGGATTACAGGCGCGCACCACCATGCCCAGTGCATTTTTAGTAGAGACGGGGTTTTGCCATGTTGGCCAGGCTGGTCTCGAACTCCTGACTTCAGCTGATCTGCCCACCTCGGCCTCCCAAAGTGCTGGGATTACAGGCGTGAGCCACCGCACCCGGCCTCAGGCATTACCTTGATGCCCACTTCACAGGTGAGGAATCAAGCTCAGAAAAGGGCAGCGATTTGTCCAAGGCCAGTGGGGAGCAGGCGTTAGAACCCTGGGGTCGGTCCTGCCTCGTGTCACCCACCTGCCCAGGCCTGCAGCCACAGGCTATGGCCCCCGCTGACAGGACTCTGGATGGGGCCCCCGGGGTCCTGGCTGGAATGCTGACTAGGGATGAAGGAGGCCTAAAGGGTGTTTGGGATCCAGCAGCCCCTCCACCGTATCCCAGCTCTGGAGGCCCCTGGGCCCTGTGTCCCCAAGGACTCTATGTTCCCCGGAGCTGGGGCGCCAGCAGTAGCCTGGTGTGCAGAGCACTGTGGTCAGCACCGCCCTCACCAGGCCCCTGCGTTTTCCATCTTAGGGAGGGCGCATGGCTGCCTCCTGGCTCCCTCCCCTCCCAGGGCCCGTCTCCCTACTATAGGATGAGTGCCCGAGGAGCCCTCTGTGTGTCAGGCCTGTCCCCTGTGCCCCCCGAGGCTTGCAGGCTCCTACAGGCCTGGCTTCACAGCAGGAGGACACCAGTGGGAAAAGAGGGCGCCGGACCCTTCCCTCCGCCTGCCCTGCTGGTGGTCAGCCAGAGCCCTGTGCCCCGCTACAAGTGGATGGGCCCAACTCCTCCCCACCGCTCAAGACCCAGCCCGCCATGCCACCTTCCCTCAACAGCCCTTCCTAACTTCCACAGAGAGGGTGCCCACCACACCCTGGCGGAGGCCTACTGGGGTCCAACCCTGAGTCCCCCGTGAGCCCAGCAGGGCCCGCCATGGGGTGTCCTTTTGGGCCTGGCCCAGTGAGGGGGTTTGGAAAGAACTGGGACGTCCAGTTCTGCCTGCCCATGCTCAGCTTCCTACAGGCCACTTCCCAGGACAGAGGGGCTGCTGTCCCCAGAGGAGGCTTCAGCCATACCCTTCTCTTCAGAAGCACCTGGAATGACCCCAACCGCTGGCTGGGCCTGGGCCTAATTGGGTCAGGGGTCTGGGTTGCTCTGAGGAAGGGAGCTGGGGGAGGCCCAGGCCCCCCAAGCAGCTCCTGCCCTGCACCCTACCTGCCACATGACCTCGGGCCACTGTCTGGGCTTCCCGGGGTGAATGGGGGAGACACCTCATGGGGAGACCTGCACTCCTGCTGCCGAGGGCGCTCAGGCCCCAGGTGCCCACACTCAGCCTGTGGCTGCCACCGTCTGGCCTGTTTGAAGGTCAGGGTCCATCCCCAGCCAGAGCTGAAAATGAAACCCAGAAGCACTTGTTTTGAGACTGAAGCAGCAAGTGAGCTTGTCACTATGGCATCCCCCGGCCCCGCCCCGTCCCCGCCTGGAGAAGGCAGCCCGGGACTGCCGGGAACCACTGGGAGGGGCTGGGACCCTGCCTGGCCTGGCTCAGACATACTCCTGGGCCTCCCTCCACTCCTGAAAGGAAGGGAACTGTGGAGTCTGGGCTGGACCCTCTGAGTCCTGGGCTCTAGTGGTCACCCTGGGCGAGGGGCTCACAGCCACAGCCACACAGGAAGGTGCTGATCCCAGATCCTCCACTGTTCCAGAACAGACGGCCCGGGACCTGCCAGCAGCCACCCAGTGGCACAGGGGTCCTGCTGGGTGCCCCACACGGCTGGTTCCCAGGGTCCCTGGGCCCAGTGGCCGTGGTGAGGAACTTGGGGAGCCGGAGGGAGGGAGAGGCCAGGCGTGGATCGTGGCCTGACCCAGGGCTCCCTGGTCCATTTCGCAGCCCCCTGTCCAACCTGGGGTCGGCACCGTCATTCCAACACCCACACTTCTGCTCACACCGGCCCCTGCCAGGTGCCCGCCGCAGGCACAGATTCCAGTCTACCCATTTCTCTGTCCAGGCGCAGTCAAGTTTCCCTCTCAGGCGTCTTCCCCATCTTTCCCAGCACAGATCGCAGAGGCCTCTCACCTCTGGGACACAGAACCTGGGGTCCACCCCGGCAGCCAAGGCCAGACATGCCCCCTGGGGCTCCCCTTATGGTGGGGACAGGCCTGGGACACCCTCTAGAGGTTATGGAAGCCCTTGGCCAGGTAGAGGCTAAGTTTGCCCCACGGGTGCCACAATTGTCAGCCCTAAGGCCCTGGGCCAGGCAGAGACTGTTTGCCCCACGGGTGTCGTAATTGTGAGCCACCAAGGCCCCGGGCCCTGGGATCATCACCCTGGGGTGGGTGGGTGGGGTCTCAGGCACGCCTGGCACATCCTGGCCCCAATTGGCACACACACCAGAGCCGATACCCCTCACCTGAGCCCTTGCCACCCGCCAGGCCAGCTACTTCCCCCGGATGCCTCTGCTTAGCTTAACCTCTGCTGCCTCCTGGGCGGGAGTGAACACAGGCCCAGGCAGCAAGAGGCCCAGAGGGTCCCAGGCCCCAGGATCAGGGCCCTGCCCTCAGCACCCTCCCCATCCTCCTTCCCCATGCCTGGTCCACGACCCCAGCCAACGTCCTGGGGCTCTACCTGTCACAGGCTGCTCTGAGCCAGATACACGCACCCCCATGAAGGGCCCAGGCTTGCACCCAGCTGGGACACACGGACTGGCCTCCGGGCCTGGCAGCAGTGTCCTTCCCTTTCCCTGTCCTCAACCCAGGCACTGGATTCTGGGCCCACAGAGCTCGGACCTCCCTCCCTCCCTGATCAGACCCTGAGGCGGGCAGGCCTCGGCTGGAAGGACCCCCACCCCGCAGCCTGGCTGGAGTGATGTCAGGAGAGCAGAGGACCAGAGGCTGGCGAGGCTGCAGCAGGCTCCGGACTGTGGGGTGTGGAAAGCCAACCTGGAGGAGGTTCCCCAGGAGCCCACAGAGGGTGTAACATCGGGTAAGGGTGGCTCCTGGCTGGAGGGGACGCGGCGACACAGCTGGGGTGTTGCACCTGGGGAGAAGGGTCGGGATCCCGAAGGTGTGGACTGGCAAAGGCCCCACATCCAGGCCCGGGAGAGGCAGCCTGGCCCTCAGGAGGCTGGGGTTTGGGTGTGGGGCATACAGCAGGCACTGGGGCCGGAGGGCTTGGTGGGCCCGTGCTCACTCGGTCTCAGATGAGATCGGGTCATGTCCCCGCCAAGCCCTAGCACGCTTCTGTCCTCTAAGACTCGGATGGACACGGGCCCTGACGTTGATCCCTGAGCCGGCACAGCCTGCACACACCCACCCCGTATGAGGATGCCTCCCTGCATCCACGCCCCACCCCTGGGGGCTGGGGAGGCATCCACATCCCTGCCCTGCATCTGCTGAGCCTCCAGGGCCCTTTCCCACTGCACAAACCTTGGGCCCTGCTTCCACTCAGCCCAGCCCCACCCTGGGGCAGCCCATGGCTCCAGGGCCCCAGGGCTCAAATCTCGGCCCTGCCCCTTATCCGCGCAGAGGTAGGAGAGCCAACCACAGAGCAGGAAGGGCCTCACCCCACACCCCGGCCTGTTAGGCCTCCTCACTGCTGTCCCTGTCCCTAACCCTAACACACATTCAGACCCAGGGCAGAGGTGCCCGCACCAAGGGCCTGAAGGCAACGCACTAAGGGCAAGGGTGGGGGAGGGCGGCCGCGCACAGCTGGGATGGAGGCGGCTCAGCGGCCCATGGGCCTCCAAGTCACTCCCAGAGCAGCCTCCCAGTCCCCCGGAGCCACAGGAGCCAGCTGTGGACAGGCACGCCTGGTGACAGACCCGGCACTGGCTCACCCCACCCGGGACCTGGTCCCCGGCCCTGTGCAGCCTGGAAGAATCCGAGGGTGGGCAGGCGGGTGCAGGAGTGCCCAGGGGCCCGGGCAGGTGGTGCAGGTGTGCAGGCCAGGGGCTGGGCTGGGAGGCTGTGGGCCTGGAGCCCAGCTGCCCCCTTGCTGGGTGCTGTTGCGGGGCATCCCCCAAGGCCACAGCATCACTAGAACCTTGAGGCCTCGCGCCACCTGGGCTTGCAGGAGGGCCTGGGTCAGCTTCTTAGCCACAGCGGCTGGGGTGGAGGGCAGCCGGGGCCTGGCTGACCTGGGAGCACTCATGGGGAACCGGGAGAGCACGGGTCCCATCTGTGTGCTGGAAAGACCCCGGTGCAGCGAGGACAGAGGGGTGGGCGGCTCTAACCCCAACCTGGCTGGGAGGGAGGAGAGTGCACTGCGGGCCAGCAAACAGGGCCCCATGCCAAGCTCCGCCCCGCATGCACTAGGACCCTCCCAGACCCTCCCCTGGGAGCTGGTGCCTGCAAAGGCAGGACGAGCAGCACCACCGGCTACTCGGACTCTTCTGGAATGGGACCCCAACTCAGCTCCCACAGAGGGACGCCCACAGTTGAGGCTCTCAGGGCCTTGTTGATCCTTTTAGTGCAGGAGAGAGAGACCAGTCAGCTGGGCCAGTCCCCCACGCAGCCTGACAAGGCCGGACTCACTCAACAGAGGCCGACCCCGTGGGCAGAGGACTTGAGGCCCGGCAGGGCCCAGGGCCGGCACTCGACAGGGAGACCATGACGTGGGGCGGGGGCGGCCAAGTGGGCAGCATCCCCCGACCCTCAACACCTGCGGGAACTGCTGGCCCAAGGGAGAGCCCAGCCTGGCCCTGGTCTCCACCACCCCGGACCCTGCTCAACTCCCTGCACTGTGGGGCTGGGAAGCCAAGGCCAGGGTCCTTGAGGCTCTCACTGGCCAGAGGGCGACATGGGACACCAGAGAGCACACAGACAGTTCAGGTCGTTTCATTCAAAACCAGCCCAGGCCATGCCCGGGGGGATCCGCCGCTCCGCGGCAGGGCTGTGGCCCAGAAGGTGAATGAGGGCTTGCTGGACGGCCCCTGATGCCAGCGGCCGGCCCGGAGCCACCCCAGGGCTCGGAGTATTGCTCCTGGGCCTGCCTGGCCTCAGGGCTCGGCGCCCTCACCTCCTCGGACAGACCAGCAACGCCCACGCTTCCTGGGCTTTGCCTCGAGGATCCCCGGGGACGGGACGGGCCGGGGCTTGGAGGGGGGTCGGCTGCCACAGGCTCACATCACGGCCTCCATATGCAGGATCCTCAGGGCCTCGGAGATCTGCGCGCTGGGGTCCATCTGGCCGTACATGCCCACCAGGAAGGCCCGGTGGAGCAGCACAGCCGCGTGCTCTGTGGGGGAAACGGGGCCCTGCACGTCACGCTGGCCACAACATCCTGGCCGCAGTGACCAGACCTCGGGACTCCCAAGAGCCAGCCCTCGGGGGACGCACCTCCGGCCTCCCCGAGGGCTGCCAGGGCCCTGGGCGGGGGGCCAGTCCTCACCTTGGCACAGGAGAGCGTACTCAGGCAGGTTCCGGAGGGCCGTCTGCACCACCTCAAAGTCCTGGCTGCCCAGGCAGTACATGAACGTGGGCAGGAAAGCGGCTGCAATGCTGAAAGACCCACACACTTCAGTGGGAACCTCCACCCTGTGCCCACGCCAGACCCCCACCCGACAGGGCGAGCTGAGCCGCCTGGAAGCCTGGTCTGGCCACCAGGCGGGTCAAGCGGTGACCTGGGTTAGCAGGGCCCAGCGGTGGCGGCGGGACAGAGGCCGGCGGTGGCCTCACCTGGGGCTGTTCTGCATGGAGCGCAGGGCCAGGCTGAAGGCGAGGTTGCGGCAACACTCCTCGGCCGAGCTCATCAGCCGCTGCAGGTTGGTCTGACCGGGGGAAAGGTGGGAGGTGTGTGACCAAGGGGTCCAGCCCCCATCAAGGCCCCTTCACCTCTTGGTCTCGTGATGGTTGGCGGCAACGGCAGGGACCCTAGGCCCCTATCCAGAAGGCAGGACGCACGTGCCACTGGCCGGTCCCAGCCCGGGGCTGAAGGCAGGCCTGCTCTGGCGGCGGCTTGACTGTGAACACCTGGGCTGGGGCCCCCACCCGAAGCCCAGCCTCAGAGGACTCCCTGGGGCTCAGCGCGGGCACGCCATGTTGGGGTGGTGGCCCTGCTGGGGTTCCCCAAGGGAGTGGCTCCTCCCAGCTCTCCCTCAGCCCCATCCAGCTCACCGAGAAGAAGCTCAGGATCTCGGGTCTCCGCCGGGACATCTCGTCTATGTCACTCAGAACCTCCAGCAGATCTGACACAGAGAGAGGGCCAGACCAGAACTGAAGGGCCCAGGCAGACCTCTGCCCACCCCACCCCAGCCACCCAGAGGGGGCAAGGCCCCGAGCACCACAGGACAGAAAGCACTGGAAAGCATGAGCCCAGTGACGCCCCAGGCAGTCACCTGCCCCCAAGCTCCACAAATACCCGGCCCTGCCCCTACTAGTGGCCTCCAAGGAGAGGGGTTGACCCCTCACGGCAGCCCCATATCCAGGGTGCTCTTAGCACCAAGTGTCCCCACGGCCCGACTCCATCCGGGCCGCTCAGCCTTGGCTGTCCTCTGACAGCGGCCACCGGTACTGCCCACCCGCTGGTCTTGCCCACCCGCCTGACCTCTTCCTGCTGTACCCCCACCACCTTAGGGGGCTCCCCTGCTTTTTGCTGTGCCTGAAGCAGAGCAGCCACCTCCAGCTCCCCTGGGCCCCTGAGTTTCTAAGGCCCTCTCTGGGGGTGCTCCCCACTGTGAGGAACAGCCCACCCACCCACAGCCCAGCGTGGGCCAGGCTCACGCCAAAGTCAGTGCCCAAATGGCTACTGGCTGCTGCCCGCAGCCCCATGGGACCCAGGGCGCTGACCTGGCGTGGGTGAAGCAGGGCCTGACTCACCCTCCACCGTTTGGCCCCGGGAAAGCCGTTTCATGTAGGGGGCCATCTCGGCCGCGGTCAGAGGGGTGAACAGGGAGACGCTGACCAGGGGCAAGGAGCCGGCTGAGCTCTCCTCTGGAAGACAGTGGCAGTGCTGCAGGAGGGCGGGAGCGGCAGGACGTGCCACACTGAGGCACCAGGACCTGCCCTCCCGAGAGCACGGCGGCCACTGCCCAGGCTCCCAAGGTGCCTGCACACAGCAGCGCTCCACAAATGGGGTGGAGCCAGGAGCCGGGAGCTGCCTTTGGATCCGGCGCATGCACCTCTGCGAGTCTCTCCCTGCTGGGTTTCTCGCAATGTGGGCCAGGACCCACTGGGCACAAGACGGGATGGCCCCTTGGGACCCGGGCCTGGCGCTCTTCCGGCGGCACAGGAGAGACGTGCTGCGGTGCCGTGTCACCTCAGGCAGGGAAAAACCAAGGACAAGCCTTGCCCAGTAGGACCAGGGGAGGCTTCCTGGGGAGGGACACCTCGGACAAGCACTGGTGGATGGTGGATGTGCCAGGGACGGGGGGGTGGGGAGGGCCATTTGCCGGGGCGGGGCGATGTGCCGGGGGGCAGGTGTGCTGATGCTCTGTCAGGCACCAGTCAGTGCTTCGTCCCCTTGAGGTGGGTCAGGGGCCAGCCAGCAAGGTCCCAGGCTCACACAGCCCCCATCGGGACGCCTCGGACGGCCCAGGGCTGGCTGTGCGCTGGGAAAACCAGGCCCTGTAGGACTGTTCCGCAGCTGCTTCCAGCAGCCCCTGGCAGCCCCACTCACCCTCGCCCTCTTCGTCCAGGCCTCGGTCGGTCCTGTCGTCCCTGCTGGGCAGGCTGAGCCCTGCAAGGAGGGATTTCAGCATCACCAGGTCACTGTTGTCGAAGGACAGGTCGCTGGGGAGAGAAGATGCTTTCACCTGGGAGGAAGACGCTGGCAGGAGGAAGGCTGGGTCAGGGGTCAAACTAGGGTGGCATGGGAGCGTGTGGACACAGGCATGCAGGAGAGGCCAGGACGCTCAGAGGGAGGGCCGGGCGGGGAAGCCACATGTGCGTGGAACGGGACAGAGAGCCAGAGAGCTGCAGGGGTGGGTTCAGACGGCTTCGGCACAGGGTGGGGCGGCCTCTGCGCCCTGGGATGAGCACCACGCTCAGCAGCCCTCCCCGGCCTCAGGAGCAGCATATCTGACACGACACGGCCTTCCCAGGAACACCCTCCAGACCCCGCTGGACCCTCGCCGGAGGCCCGAGGCTTCCCTGCAGCCCGTGGGCACTCACTGGAGCGGGTCGGCGTGCTTCTGCAGGAAGGAGATGGCTGCTGGGGCATTGTAGGTAATGTACTTATGGATGAACTGCACAAACTTGTTGATGAAGGCAGCCAGATGGCGGGAGGACTTCCTGTAATTCTGCAAAGCAAAAGCGGCACCCTCGAGCTGCTCTGCCCCGCAGGGCCAAAACAGAGCCTGTGCTCCCATCTGCTCCCAGAGCCTCAGGGCATGGACCCCACAGCCAACGAGCCCCCTCTGCCAACCACTGGGGCGTCACAGGCCCAAGGGTGGCCGGCATGGCCTGTCAGGGTGTGGACATGGCTGTCTGGGGCATGTGCCCAGATGGATGAGGGGCTCGAGGTAGCACAAGCGACACGCAGAGAACAGCACGGAGGGTCTGGGCTGGGCTTCTGAAGGACGTGGGCCCCCCAGGCACGTGAGGGGCAGCAGGCAGGGGCTTCCCAGGGTGGGAGCTGGTCCCCAGGGCAGGTGGCCTGGCCTGGGCCCTGGCTGCAGAGGTCCTCCCAGTCCCTCCGCGAGTGGGTGAGGCAGGCCTGGGCCAGAGCAGAGGGAGTGGAAGGGAGCGCGAGGGCGGGCGGCGGGAGCACACACCAGCAGCAGGCGGATGAAGGACAGAAGGCAGTCCCACAGCGCCCCCTGGTGCTCGCTGCGGAACACGTGCGGCTGCAGCAGCTCCAGCAGGCCCAGCACGTGCAGGAAGCAGCTCAGGTGGTTCTGCTGCCGGAACTCCTGGAAGTTGAGGTGGGTGCGGCCGTGCAGGAGCGCCGCGATCATGGGCAGGTGCCTGCGGGCGCGGTGAGGGCCCAGTCAGCCCCGGCCGGCGGGCTCACCTGGCGCACGTCCCCAGGAAGGCCCCACTGCCTGCCCCGGGAGCCAGACCCCGTGCTGCCCCCCAACCACCCTCCTGCCCTAAGGAGGTGGGGATGAGATCGCCCCTCTCTGAGGCCCACCCAGCTCCTCCCACCTGAGGCCCAGCTCAGTCCTGACTTCCCCCGGTCAAGCTCAGCCCATGGGAACATGCTTTTTTTTGTTGTTTTTGGAGTTTTGCTCTTGTTGCCCAGGCTGGAGAGCCGCAGACCCCCCTGGTTAAACCAGTGTCTGGCGAGGGCAGGGCTTCTGGGACAGCACCTGAGCAGCAGCAGCGGGTGCGCCACCGCCAGCTTCCGGCAGGCCATGCTGGCATCCGCCCCTCGGTTCTCCAACGCCCGGGAGTCGCTGGTGTCCGCAAGGAGCGTGATGAAGCGGTGGATGAGTCCGTCCAGCTGCAGGGAGGGGCGCTCTGAGGCCGGGGCCGCTGGCTCCCCTCACTTGCCCACCCACACTCAGCCTGGCCGCCAGCTGTGGCCGTGATCCACCGCGTGGCACGCCATGAGCAGAGGAACTGGCTCCTTACGGCTTCCATGAGCACCTCGGGAGGGCAGGCAGGCCACAGCCAGCCTCTGGGAAAACCCCATACAGAATAAAAGCAAAGCTCCACACCAAATGATACAATGAGCGGGAAACAAGCCAAAACTACACATCGGCCAAGCAGGCGCAGTGGCTCACGCCTGCCATCCCAGCACTCTGTGAGGCCGCGGCAGAAGATCACCAGAGCCCAGGAGTTCAAGACTAGCCTGGGCAATGAAAATAGCCCTCTCTATTTTCAAAAATACAAAAAGAGTAACTGGGTGTGGTGGCACGTGCCTGTGATCCCAGCTACTCGGGAGGCTGAGGTGGGAGGCTCACTTGAGCACAGGGGGTTGAGGCTGCAGTGAGCTATGATGGTACCGCTGCACTCCAGCCTTGGCAACAGACACCCTGCCTCAAAAACCCTCCACAAAACTGCACATCAAGTGTGATTTCAACAAATAAAATGACATATAAGTGAAAAAAACCACAAGCAGAAATGATTAGAGAAAGTCAGCTGCCCTCTGTGGTACCAGCAGAAGACAGGCTGCAGGTTCCGGCCTGCGGTGGGGAAGCGGGTACGGGAGGCCCAGCTCTCCCCACCAGGGTCACTGGAGAGGAGCAGACGCAGCCGTCCGCCAAGACCCGGGCACGAGTCCCCAGCAGCTGTCACTGCCCCAAACTGAACGTGACCCCACGTCCACCAGCAGGTGAACAGATAAACCAACGGCCGATCCACACAATGGCAGGCCACCCAGTGCCCACAACACCACGACTCTCCAGACTGTGCGAGCAGAGCACCCGCAAGCTCCCTCGGTATAAAACTCAACGCAGACAAACCCACAGGGCCACAGGGCGGCGCGGACTGGGAAGGGGCAAGAGGGGTAGCCGGCGATGGCCATGTACACTGTGGCCTCCGCCCTCCCTCCCTGCCCGGCCAGGGCACCTGGGACGGCGGCGGGGAGCGGCAGAGTTGCGCCCTCACCTTGCAGACGCTGCTGCTGGCAGCCCCTTCGCTGTGCAGTAGGACCTCAGGCACGGGCACCCGCAGCTCCGGCCGCTGTAGGTAGAGCTGCAGGAGAAGGTCTCGGCAGCGCCTGCCCAGCACGCTGGAAGAGGTGGAGCAGGGCTCACCAGGCGGACGGGGCCCCAGTGACAGGGGTGGGTGGACGGGACCAGGCGTGATGGGAACCCACCCAGGGCTGGGCCTCGACCCCCTCCATGGCTCACTCCCAGGCAGCATCTGGGGCCGGGGGGCCTGAGCACCTGTCTCCCCACTGCTGGATGCAGCCTGACAGGTGCTCCGTCACCTTCCTGACACTCTCATCGTCCCCACAGCAGCAGCTGAGCAGCAGGGGCAGCCGGGCCTGGATGAGGCTGCAGGCGGCTGTGTCCCCGTCCTGGCTCCGCGTCTCCGCCTCGGCCAGGATCAGCTCCACCAGGCTGATGAGCTCCGGGCCCTGGACCCGCAGCACCAGCTCCTCCCGCCGCTTCTGTAACGGGTGCCTGCATCAGCCCCGGAGCACCACCGCCTCTCCCGGATGGGCCACCCCCTCTCCCGGATGGGCCACCCCCTCTCCCGGATGGGCCACCCTCCCAAGACCTGCCTGCGGGGTGCGCTGGTCCCGCCCCTGCCAGATGCGAGGAACATGGATGCAGGCCCAGAGGAAGTCCAGAGAGGCAGAGGGGTCGAACCTGTGGGGAGGCAAAGGTTCCAGAGCACGAGGTGTCTCGTCTCAGCATGGGAGATACCAGTCAGAGCCGGCGCTGGGAGATTTCTGGTGAAGGCCAGTATGCGCGCAGCCCAGGTTGGGGACAGGGAGGCGCCCACCTCTGTTCCCGGCTCTTGCCCAGCAGGACTCGGATGCACTGGTGCAGTGTGGGCCAGCTGGACTGATGCGTGAAGAGGGTCAGGAGGTAGGGACGGAACGAGGGCACCTGGGCCTGACCTTTGCCCTGGGGAGGGAGGAAGAAGCCCGGATGGCCTCACCTGGGCCAATGGCAGGCTCTGCTGAAGTCAGCTGACAGCTTCCCCAATGAGCCACTCAGAGAGCCGAGGCTTGGGGTGCTGCCGGTAACACCGGCCCCGTCATGGTGCTGGAGGGCCGCTCCTGGTGGCTGCGCTGCATCTCCCCGCCCCTTCCCACGGGAGCCATGCCACACAGCGGAGGTGCCCGGGGCTCCATGCAGCCTCTCTGGTGAGGCCGTCCCTCCCTGGAGGATGTGGGGAGCCCAGCACCTGCCCTCCCTTCTCCTGGCCACAGCCCCATTCCCTTTGGGAAGATGGAGGCCCCTACATGATCTACAGGGTTTGGCAGGGCCGACCCCACCCCATCCACCCACCCCATCCCCACATCTGGCTGGTCACAGTGCTGGTCCACAGGTGACTGTGACCCTGGCCTGGGTTCTGCTAGGGCCATTGGGGGACCTACCCTTCCTCTGGGTTGCTACAGGGACACATGGCCTGAGAGCAGGGGGGGTGCTGGGGCCCCTGCAAGGCTCGCCCAGGCCAAGGCTGCTGCACTTCAGGTCAGGAAGAGCCTTTACCCTGGGGTGGGTCCCCGTGCTGAAGCTGGGTGCCACCCACCTTCCTCCGGGAGAAGAGCAGCCTGAGCTGCAGGTCGGGGCAGCTGCTGACCACCTCGGGGTCCAGCATTTCCAGCCAGTCCACTAGGAGGCCTGACGAGGGCCCCAGCCGCACGGCCTCCAGGCTGCAGGGAGAAGGTGGCTCAGGGAAGGGCTGGTGCCACCCGCCTGCCCACCCTGGCCGTGTGCAGCACCCCAGCTCACCTGCCACCGTCCGCACCCGGCTTCCCCCCAGCCAGGGGCTCCTCCTCCTGCAGCAGCAGGGAGCTCACCACCACAACGGGCTTACAGGCTGGAAACGGGGAGGCAGCATCCGCAGTGGCAGAGAAGAATGCAGTCAGCAGCTCCTCCAGGTGGGGGGACCTCACCTCGATCAGCCCCTGGAGGACTGCGCAAGGGACAAAGAGACATGTGGGTCACTCCCAGGTCGGGTGGGGGCCGCTGAGTGGGTGTGGGCTAGCCAGGGTGGGGTGTGGGGTGAGCATGTGTGGGACACAAGAGCAGAGTCCAGCCGGAGCCAGAGAGGAGAGTGCAGCCGGGGCCGGAGAGGAGAGTGCGGCCGGGGCTGGAGAGTGCGGCCGGGGCCGGGGCTCACTTTGCTGGGTGCAGCAGTGATCAGGGGCCCCCCAAGGAGGAAGCTCCAACTCATTCTCAAGAGGCCCCGCCCTGAGCCATCTGGGAGGGGACCTCTGTGGGCACTTTCCGGGGACAGTGCTGAGCAGACACTGTCCGTCCCCCACTGGGCAGCTAGAAGGAGCCTCAGGTTTGGGTCTTCCCAGGGCCGCCGTGGCCCAAGAGGATGGTGCCAGGAAGGTACCTTTGCTGATCAGGTCCGGCTCCACGCTGCACTGCTCCCCAGACCTCAGGGTGGCGATGACGGCACGGACGGTGGAGCTGACCACCTCCAGGTCCTGACGGAAGGCCAGGGCCTCGGCCAGGCGCAGGAGCCCCCCTCGCACTGTGGGAGGTCTGTGTGAGTGCCCTGTGGCTCCAGCCCTCACCCCATCGGTGTATCCCATCCAGGGAGGCCCCACGGTAGAAGGGCTCCCCTGGGCCCACGCGGGTACCCACCCCCCAAGCCACTGCCCAGGCCTCGGGGTGCCAGGCAGCTTGGCCACTCTGAGTGAGCCCCTGTCCAGTGCCCCCCAGCCGTCTGCCAGCCCGGCGCGGTCCTCACCATCACTGAGCCTGCGCCCGGCTGAGGCCTGGCTGGCAAGCATCCTGAGCTGTGCCCGCAGGGGCCCGCCCTCCACGCCAGGGCTGTCCAGCCACTGCAGCATCTGCAGGAGCACCTTCAGGAAGAGCGAGGAGAAGCCGGTGTCCTGTGGCACACAGCGCTGCGGGGACAAAGTGGCACGTGGCTACCCTGGCAGAGGACACACGGGGACCCGGCACCCGAGGCCCAGAGCAGGGCCCGTGAGGCTGCTGAGACCTGCCGCGACCGGCACTTGGAGCCTGGGCCAACCTCATCCCGCCTCCTGTCTGAAACGGTGCCTCCCCTGCACGGGCCCAGACGACCTCACAGAGACCCTTTCAAAACCCCCCAGCTGGTGAGGGCTCCCACGCGGTTCAAAGGAAAAAGTAAACACAGACACCAAGTAAAACACAGTCCTAGGTACCAGCAGATGGGGAAAGCAAGGCAGGAGCGCCGAGCCTGGGTGGTGCAAACAGGCGGACGCCGCACTGCCCCCACCTCCCGTCCCGGGGGAATGTTCACTGGAAAAAGGGGACCTGCCGCCACTCCCTGGGGCACTGTCCTTTCTCACTTGGAAACTGAGACCCAAGACCCACAGAGGAGCAGTCACAGGACACCCGGGCCGTCCTGCGGGAGGCAGAGCCCTCACTGCCCTCCTCCCCCGCAAGAGGCCCACGCCCAAGTACCTGGTACTGGCAGAGCTGGCGCAGCAGCGGGCAGGCCAGGAAGTGGCTACGGTGCATGGACATCACCAGGGCACCGCCGTGTGGGGAGCTGAGCAGGGTGGCGAGGGCCTGCAGGACACGCACCGTGATGCCCGGCACCTCGGGGCTGCCCTGGACGACGCGGGCCAGCTCCTGGCCCAGGGCCTGCTGCAGGGCGAGGGCCACGGGGCGGGGACTGGAGCTCTGCCACCGAGGGTCCGGGCTGAGCGGGAAAATCTGGAACGGGGAAGGCCAGTGTCAGGAGGAAGCGGAGGAGAAGGAGGAGGAGCGCAGCGGAGAGGCTAAGCGCCCGGTGCAGCTCCGTGCCAGAACCGCGTCCCATCGTGTCCCTGTTCATTCGTAGCCCCCACCTTGTGGCCTGAGGGGCCCAGGGCCCTTGAGACCTGTGATGTGAAGCAGTGAGGGACCCCAACACCCAGGAGCTGCCCCAGAGAACAAAGGTGTCCAGAGCCTGCCCAGGGACCACCAGGCTCTCCATCAGGAGGTGGTGAGGCCTGCAGGATCCCCGGCTCCAACAGCCAGACCTCAGGCGAGACCTGCAACCTCAGCTTCTGTACACATCAAACCGGGTGCCCCGCGCAGAGGGGTGTGCAAGGATGGCAGGGAGGATGCAGGGCGACCCCCTTCCCCAATGTTGGCCTAGCCTCCATCTGAGAGCATGGGGGTGTTACGTGAAAGCAGCGTGCCAGGGTCAGGCGGTCACGCGTGTAAAGGCCGCTGTGCGTGTGCAGCGTGCCTGGGTCAGGCGGTCACGCAAGTAAAGGCCGCTGTGCGTGCGAGGCGGCAGCGAAGGCTGCACGCAGGAAGAGGGGCTGCAGGTGGAGACCCACATGCAGCAGCAACGCTACCTGGAGGAACATGCCAGCCAGGTCGTCCTCAGGGCCCAGCACCCGGAGCTGGGTCCCCACCCGAATCCGGCCCTGGCCTATGGGCTGCTCTGGGCTGCTCTTTGGTTTGGGTGCCTCTGTGCTGTCTGCAGAGACAGGAGAACTGTCAGTGGCTGGACACTTTCTGACCTGCTTCCAGCGGTGGGAACTGTACAAGCCATGGCGAGTCCTGCCCGGGGACTGTCACCCAGGAGGAAGAGCTCAGACCTGGGCTCTGTGTTCCCCAAGGACCCCAGGTCTCGCTCAGGTCCACAGGGATCTCAAGACTCTGAACAGGAACGTGCATGCTGGCCAGAGGCAAATGCTGCCCAAAGACAGGCTGAGAGTTTCTGTGGGGGCCCCTCTCAGGTGGCATCAGCAAGTGTGCACTGCCCTGTGTGGCTGTGCAGGCCCCGTCCCCCTCCCCAGGCTGGGTCTCTGTGTTGGCCCCACCCCTCCCCAGGCTGGGTCTCTGTGCTGGCCCCACCCCTCCCCAGTACCTCGGCGGGGCGGCAGGGAGGCTGTGAGCAAGGAGTGGAAAGTCTGGCCTCCGGAGGCGCCGCGCTCATGCTGGACCTCCACCAGGTGGGCCATGTAATCTGCAAACCGTAGCAGGGTCACACCTGGGCGCGGCCAGGGGCCAGGGAGCAGGTCCTTCCCTCTCCACAGAAACCAGAGTTGGAGATGCCCCCACCGTCACCAGCACTTCCCAAGGACTTCAGAAGCTGGGTGAGCTCAGTCAGCACTGAGGCCCCAACAGCTCCCTCCAAGCTCAAAACACGGCCCTAGGGGGTGCCTGGCCCCAGGGTTGGGGCAGGCCCAGGCCTCGGCTCCCTCCTGACTGTGCCAGCCTCACCAACCCACAGGTCTAAGCCTGCCCTCGAGTGCCACCCACACCCACCCGACCTCGGATCACCCACCCGCTCGCACCCAGGCCCCAAAAGCCTGGCCGGGCTGGGGCTCGGTCAGCGTGTGTGAACCCACTCCGCAGGTCCCTGGCATCTTACTCTTGTCCATGATGTTCTGCTCCAGAGTCTGGGGGTCGTGGGCCACTGCCTGGTCCAGGAACTGGAGGAGTTTGCTCATGCTGGACACGGGGATGCCAAACGACTGCACGAACAGCAGCAGCTGCTGCGGCTCCAGGTCCTGCAGGGCTGAGGGTGCACGCGCTCCGTAACGCCACCCAAAACCCGGGCAATGCGCACTCGGGACCCCACCCGAGACCTGGGGCTGCCTGTGTGCAGTGACCCCACCCACCTGAGACCCTGGGCCACGTGGGCTCGGTGACCCCACCCAAGACCTGGGGCAGTGCACACTCGGCAGCCCCACCTGAGACCCTGGGCCACGTGGGCTCGGTGACCCCACCCAAGACCTGGGGCAGTGCACACTCGGCAGCCCCACCCGAGACCTGGGGCAGTGCACACTCGGCAGCCCCACCTGAGACCCTGGGCCACGTGGGCTCGGTGACCCCACCCGAGACCTGGGGCCGCACAAGGGGGCAGCGTGTCGGGACCACCTTGCACCCTGGATGGCAGCTGTGTGGGCCCCATCCCCAGGGGTGGGTGGGCGCTCCAGAGGGCCTATGGTGGCACGGCGCAGTACACTTCCGAAGCTGCACGCAGGCTGCTGTGACTATCTTCTCTCAGTGCTCAGGGCGCTCTTGCCCCGAAGCCATCGGTGGCTTCCGGGGGCACACAACAGCCTAGACCCCTTGGCAGTCATGGGTTTCCAGAGCCAGCCCCACTCACTCACCAAGCTGCCCCCAGTGTCTCCTCACTGTGAGCAGGCACCAGCCCTACTGACCTACGTGGGCCCAGGCCCCTTGCTCAGTCCTTGCTGGGGTCCCCGGCTGCAGCTCCAACCCCCAAATCCTTCAGGGACCCACCCAGAGGCCCCACCACTTCTCCTCCTCCTCTCCAACCCCAGACCACTTTCTCTTTTTTCCATCGAGGACCTGTTTCTCACTCTAGACCCCTGAGCCTGACAGTAAGACCCTCTCGGACGGGGCCAGCACAGGCTGCCCTAGGTCTCCTCCCAGGGTCCAGCACAGCCTGCTGTGGCCAGGACATATGGTCTGCAGGATCCCCTGAGGCTACCCGGCCAGTCTTCTCCTCTGCCACAGCCGGAGGCTGCCCAGGCCCACAAGGAGCAGGCAAGGGGCCCGGGACCCCTGAGTCAGCAGCCCCTGCCCAAGCCCAGCCTGGACCGTACCGGCGTCCACCAGGCGGAGCACCTCAGAACGGATCATGCGCAGCTTCAGCCAGTCAGGAAGCAGCAGCGCCTCCTCCGATGTGTCCACCAGGAAGGCGGTGGGCAGTGGCTTCTCCTCCGGAAACCAGATGTCCAGCAGCGCCTGGAACTCGCTGTCGTCGGCTTCAGGAAGGACAACGGGTGAGCAGCCTTCAGACCCACCGGGGCCCAGCCCCAAGCACCGCTGGTGCCAAGGCTAGAGGCACCTCCTCTCCCGAGAAGGAAACTGAGACTTGGGAGGAGCACGGGGCTCCTGTGCTAGGTGAGCACTTGCTATGTGCGGATGCTTTGCGTAGGTGCACGCATTTGATCCTCACAGATGCTGCAGGAAGGCAAGCAGCATCACTGCCATTTTGTCGTGGCCAAGGGGACATGTGCGTGTCCCCATCCAGCCCCTGCCCTCGGGGCTTTGCTTGGCTGGACCAGGTCCCATCCAGCTCTCTGGCTCCGCAAAGCCACTGGGAAACCCCACAGGCCCAGGCCCACACAGGGCCAGCTTCTCCGGCTGCCCTTCCCAAGGGCGACGCCTGTGACTGTGTCTGCCTCCCAACAGGGGTCACCACCCACCCACGTCCACCCGAACCCCAGCATGAGGGTTCCGCCCCCTTCCCCCACTGACAGACACAACGGGGTGAACGTGGGAGCAGTTCATGGTGTCAGCCAGGAGTAAAGGGGAAGGCTGCGGCCGCAGAGGGCACGGCTGGGTAGGCGCTGGGTTCCAGACACTGCGCTGGCCAGAGCGTCCTCAGGGTCACTCGCCTGGGCCCCGGGGAGAGGACCCACTTGCCTGGCAGCCTCATGTCGCACCTCCACACGGTGAAATCCCGAGTTTGCCGCCTCCCAGGCACCGCAGGCCTACACGGTTAGGCTGGGGCAGTGAGGACTCTGACCCCAGGCTGTACCAGGCCCTCCAGCTCAGGGCTCTACAGGCTGGGAGGTCCCACCACGTGGGGATCTCCCACACGTCCACCAAGTGCTCAGAGACACGCGGGACGGACTGCAGCCTCCTCTTTAGGAGAGAAGCCAGGACACAGGGTTGAAGGGCTGGGGGGCTTCCCGCCCAGAAGCAAGGCAAGGATGCGGAAGCCGCTGGGTGTGGTCAGGGCTGTGGCCCACCTGGCACGAAGCTGCCCCTCCCGGGGCCTGTGGCGGCTCACCTCGAGGCGGGCCCAGCGTCAGCAGGATCACCATGGCATGGACCACGAGGATGTGCATGGTGGCTGTCTCCCCGCTGCTCCAGCGTAGGAAGACCTGGTCCTGAGACTCCGACTGTGGGAAAAGAGGTGGAGTCAGGCCGTAAGGTTCAGGGACCCTGAGCCAGCGCCGAGGGTACCCAGCTGGCACCGAGCGTGCCGTGCAGCCTCACCCAGCCGTAGACCTCCTCGCCCTCACCCGGCCGTAGACCTCCTCGCCCTCACCCAGCTGTAGACCTCCTCGCCCTCCTTGCTCTGCCGCATGCGCCTCACGTAGCGTGAGAAGATGGACAACAGAGCGCTCAGCACGGCGTCCGACGCGGCACTCGGGGAGAGCTTCGAGAAGAGGTGGGACATGATGGTGGAGCGCTCCACGACCAGCCGGGCCACGTCCTGGTGTGTGGACAGGGGGGCGTCAGAGGCTCCGAGACAGCTCTGCTCTCCGGCCAGCTGGGGTGACCTCGTCGCAGGCACGCTCTCACTGGGATCTTAAGCAGGGCCCGCGGCACCGCAGACCCTCACTCAGCCGCAGGCCGCCAGGGAAGACGACCAGAGCTGGGTCGGACTCTCCAGGGGGGAGGGAGGACACGACTCTCACAGCCAGGGACAATGACCAGGCCCTGAAAGCGGACGCTGCTGCCCTCTGCCCGGCAGCCACCATCTGTTCACCTATCGCTCATTCCCTGAGGACTCGGGCCACCAACTTTCACTAGGTCACAGCGCAGGTTGTGGACAAGAGAACCGTGATGCAAAGTGAGAAGCAGCCCAGCAGAGAAGGACAGCACCCAGGAGAGAAGATGGGAGTCAGCGCCACACATGTGAGCTAGAGATGCTGAGGACAGCGGGCAGGTGCCCAGCGACCTGGGCCCACAGCCCAAACCCTCCTGGCGTCGGGGAGAAGGCTGATGGCTCAGATTCCACCCTGCTGTGAACAAGGCACCCTCACCCCCGTGGCTTCGCATCCTCAGGGTCTGGGGAGAAAGGCTCCAGGGAGTGAGTGGTGACTAAGGAAGGGACACAGGTGGCCACGGGGTCATAGAAGCCCCAGCACAGCAGCCGTGACGGCCCTCCCACCCTCAATGCCTCCCTGTGGCCCAAGAAGCCGCCAGCCCAGGGCACTGCACCACTGGCCCCTTACCCTCCCCAGGGCAGGGTCTCTGTGCTGACCCCGTCCCCTCCCCAGGGCCACACTGCCGGCTGGCCCCGTCCCCTCCCCAGGGCCACACTGCCGGCTGGCCCCGTCCCCTCCCCAGGGCCACACTGCCGGCTGGCCCCGTCCCCTCCCCAGGGCCACACTGCTGGCTGACCCTGCTGCCTCACCAGGGCCAGGTCGCTGTGCTGGGCCTGCTCCTCCACAGGCGTGTGCTGGGACAAGTAGATCAGGTAGGCGCTGATGGTCTGGGGATCAGTCTCCATGTGGATTGCCTGGAGGGGAGGGTGGTCTGAGCGGCAACAGGGCAGGGCTGCGGCCCTCTCATCTTTCCCTGCCGCGGCCCCGGTCAGCGCCCTCACCTGCTGCAGGGCCAGGGCTGTGGTGCTCCTGACGCTGTCGAACAGAGGCAGGCGAGGCAGGTCCCGCAGCAGCCACTGATAGCCCTGCAGCACATCTGTGTCCCCCACATCCTCCTCCATGGGGGGCTCCTTCTCCTCCCCGTCCCGCAGGCTGCCCTCCGAAAGCACCAGCGACAAACCCTGTGGCAGACACTCATGAGCTGGGCCGGCTTTCGGCAGTGCAGGCAGGGTCTCACCCTGGCCCCGGGAGCACACGCATGGTGCCCTCAGAGCCCCGAGGAGAATGTGGCGCTTGCTTCCCACGGGAGAGGCCGCAGGTAAAAGGGAAAAACGAGACTGAGCTCTTTCTGTTAAATGCTTCTGTTCAAGTTCCTGAAGCCACTCTGGACCCTCCCGTCACCAGCAAGAAAGGAACACCAGGCAGGCGGCAGGGTCCACCTTCACGTTTCACTAGCGCATCCTTCCTACGCAGGGAAGGAACTTAAAATACAGTCAGAGTGCACTGAACACTCATTTGATTTTTACTTTTCCTTTTTAAGACAGGGTCTCATTCTGTTGCCTAGGCTGGAGTGCAGTGGTGTGATCACAGCTCACTACAGCCTCAAGTGATTCTCCCATCTCAGCCTCCCAAGTGGCTTGGACCACAGGTGCATGCTGCCACACCCAGCTCATTTTTCTCATCTTTTATTTTTTGTAGAGATGGGTATCATTATGTTGCCCAGGCTGGTCTCAAACTCCTGGGCTCAAGTGATCCTCCTGCCTCAGCTTCCCAAGTAGCTGGGAACACAGGCACACACTACCACACCTGGCTAATTTTTTCAGTTTTTGTAGAGAGAGGATCTTCCTGTGTTGCCCAGGCTGGTCTCAAACTCCTGGACTCAAGTGATGCTCCCACCTCGGCCTCCCAAAGTGCTGGGATGACAAGAGCAAGCCACTGCCCCAGGCCTACTCATTTTACTTCTTTATTTTTCATTTATTTATTTTTTTTTTTTTGAGATGGAGTTTCACTTGTTGCCCAGGCTGGAGTACAGTGGCACAATCTTGGCTCACCTCAACCTCCGCCTCCTAGGTACAAGCGAGTCTCCTGCCTCAGCCTCCAGAGTACCTGGGATTACAGGCCCCCTCCACCACGCCCAGCTAATTTTTTCTATTTTTAATAGAGACGGGATTTCACCATGTTGGCCAGGCTGGTCTCCAACTCCTGACCTCAGGTAATCTGCCTGCCTTGGCCTCCCAAAGTGCTGGGATGACAGGCGTGAGCCACCGTGCCCGGTCCCCAGCCTACTCATTTTAAACATGAAGAGCGTGCGCAGAAAGACCCGCCCACCACCTCACCTTCATGGCCAGCACGCGGGAGGCCACCTGGGAGGAGCCGAGGCGCCGCAAGAAGTAGTCCAGCACCTCACACGTGGTCTGCTCATCAGCCTTCGGGCCCAGTAGCAGGTCCTGCAGGCGGCCCAGCAGCTGCCGCTGCTTCTGTTGCCTCTGCAGGGAGGAAGGGGCTCTCAGGGGTGCAGGTGACAGGCCAGGCGGGTAGGACGTGGGGTGCGCGGCTGGTGGGCTCAGGCATGGGTTGCCCTGACAGGGGTGCGGGGTGAGAGGCGGGGGGGCTGAGGGGTGGGCGGCCCTGACCTGCCGCTTCTTGGCCTTCTGCTCCTTGCTCTCGCCCTCGTCGTCCTCCTCCCCGGAAGCAGCATCGTCCACAGCATCGTGCAGCAGGAACTCGCACAGACACTGCACGGGCAGCACGTCCAGGGAGCCCTCGCTGGACTGTACCAGGTCCGCCAGCCAGGGCATGGACTGCGAGGAGGCCTGGGCAGGCGACAGTGGCGCCCGCTCAGCACCTTCCAGGCCCAACACCTGCCGCCAGCCCCCCGGGTGACCGCGGAGCCGGAAAGGGCGACACGCAGCAGCCAGCTCATGGGCCCCGCATCCAGGTGTGTCCTGCCCTCTTCTGGCCACCAAGGCCTCCGGAAGGTTCCGGGCCTCCCAAGACCACCATCTCTACCTCCTGGAGCCTCGGCACTCACCTGCCGCTGGATGATGTGGAGGAGAAAGTCAGGGTTTCGGCTGCGGCACAAGAGGTGCCCGAGGCGGAGGGACTGGTTGAGGCTTTTCACTTGATCCAGGATGTGAGGGGGAGGCCTCCGGGGGGGCCCCCTGAGGGCCACAGGGGACACGGTGCGTCAGCACGCCCTGAGCGGATCACCCCCAGAACCCCTCCTCCTCCCATCCCTGCTTCGAGGGGCAGCCGACAGCCCGAGACGGGCAACCCATCCTGACCTGGGATGTCCCCAAGGCCTGGCCCCACAGCAGTAAGCCAGGGACGCGGGGACGGGGCTCCACAGGCCTTTCAGGTTCTGCCGCAGTGCGGTCGGCTCCGCCTGCTCCTTCAGCCTCTGTCCCACCCACACCAACCACCCACAGGTCCCGACGGCAGGCGCAGGGCGGGGCTGTGTGGGCTGCGTACTGGGGGTCCAGGCTGGTGAGCTGCGACAGGAGGAGGCTGCTGCTCTCAGTGATGGTCTGCTTGGTGGACGCGGCCGCCAGGTGCCCCTCGAAGGCCAGGATCTCCTGCTTCTCCCGCTGGGCGGTCTGCAGCTCACGGTTCAGCATCTCCGTCCGGGTCTCCTCATCCGTCAGGGTGCACGGTGGGTAGGAGTAGTTGCTAGGGCCAGACGGGGGAGCGTGTCACCCTGCCCCCCATGAAGGGCTCACTCCCAGTGGGCCACGCTCAGGGTCAAGGAGGGTAAAACCCCTACGGCTGCTGCTGCCTCTGCTGCACAGCAGTCAGGAGCACAGGGCGCCCGGTAGCATCCATGGGGCTGTCAGAGCTGAGACGAGAAGCCGCAGCGCTGCCCAGAGGCGCGGTCCAGCCACTGCCTCGTCCTCCGCAGGCAGCACGCCTGCCCTCACCAGAGCCAAGGCCAGCGGTGTCAGAACCTGGCCTCCTCCCAGGCCACCTCCCCTTCCACGCCACCTACGCTGGGAGCATAGCCTAGTTTGACAGCCATGTAGGCTCTGCCCGCCCCATCCAGGGACAGACCTGCAGGGCAGGGACTCTCTTGCCTACAGAGGCACACGTGGCTTCGGCGTGTTCCAAAACCCAGCTCCCCATGGCCGCTCTAATCTGAGCTCTGTCCCCAAGGCCCCAAAGTCAGTCTGCTCCTTCAGAGGTGGGGGGAAGCAGCTGTGCCTCCCACCTCAGGACACACACGCACCCACTCCCCACAACACACAGGCAGACACACACCCAGTCCCCACAAAACCATGGGCAGACACATGCCCAGTCCTCACAGTGCAACGGCCCCAAACGTACCCGATCCCAACGCCACACACACACACCTGGTCCCCACAATACCAGGGCCACACACACTCCCCGTCCCTATGATGCCACAGCCTCGGGCGCCCCTTCACCTTGGCCACTGCCCTTGGTGTGGTGCCCTCACTGGTGAGATAGGATGCTGGCCCCAGAGCTCATCGGCCCTCGCCCACACTGTGTGGGCACCAATGCTGCCAGGCACAGCTGGTGGTGAGCCCTGGGCGTCTCCTAGGCAGGCTGTGCCGACTCTCGTCCCACCTGCACTGAACTGTCCTTGAGGCTCACCCACTGCTGATCCCACGCAGGGTCACACCTGGCCCACTGGCCAGTGTTAAAGCCCACCTGGCCCACTGGGCCTGGCTCCATCCTGTCTAACCCATCTCTGGCCGGATTCTCTTGCCACGTCCTCCAGCATCGCACCACCCCCAGCCTGCCCAGTCCCCACTCCTGTCGGCAGCATAAGCGCTGCCCAGAAGAGCTGGGGGTGCCTGCGGACCTCCCTGCTGGCCTCCGTGATGCCGCCTCAATCCACACCCCCTCTCCCGGCAAGGGAAAGAGAAGAGAACAAAGTGCAGCAGGCTTAGATCCAGAAGCTCAGGTCCATGAGTCAACAGAAGATGCTAAGATGCTGATGCAGCACGACCCAGGAGACAGCAGGGAACACAGCCCCAGCGGAACGAGACCAGGCCCTGCTCCCCATCCCGGGCCCGCCGAGGGGACGTGCGCACTCACTTGGTCATCACCATCTCCATGAGCATCTTCAGGGTCGGGTACTCCTCCCACGCAGCCAGGCCTAGGGAACCGGAGGGTGTGGGGCTGGCCAGGCTCCCCTGGGCACCAGGCGTGTGACCCCCGCTTCTCCCAGCTCCTCCTCTCATCCCCAGCTGGGCTCATCCCAAGTCCCAACAGACAAACTGCCCCAAAGGAATAAGGACCAGCAGGGCCACGTGTGCGCATGGGGCGGCCAGCAGAGGCTCACCGATGTTCTCTGGGTTGAATGCGGCGACGACCAGCAGGAGGGGCCAGGCCTTCCAGTAGAGGGTAGAGATGGCGAGGTTCGGAGGCTGGTACCTGGAAGGCAGGGGCGCCCCGACTCAGGCCCAGCGCACCAAGCTCAGCGCCAAGGATCGGCCGGGCCAGGTGGCAAAGCTGGGGCAGGGACGGTGCTGGCTCCCAGCTCCTCCCGGGACTGCCCTCCAGTGACACCTGTCCAAGCATGTGCATCAGCCTGGCTCTGGGCTCCCTGTCCAGGCCCGACTCCGGCTCTGTCCTTACCTTTCTAAGTCTCTGTTTCCCATCTACAAAACGGGAGCGGTGGTGGATACATAATAAACGTTCATTAAGTGACAATGATTTTTGTACTCTACATGACATAACAGACACCACCCCAGGAGCCACCGAGATGGAATTATTGTAACGATACAATTAAATCAAAGCACGGGCCCCTCGGGTGAGGAAACGGATCCTGGCTATGAGACAGATGTGAATCGAGGCACTGCCTGGAGCCACATGCAGAGGCTGCTGAGTGGGAAAGACCACACCAGAAAGCAGAGCGGGCAGCACCTGCCGAAGGAGAGAGGCAGGAGAACCTCAACCACAGCATCAGAGAGCACGCGAGGCTCAAGTGCAGTGCGGGATTCCGAAGTGCGTCCGACCAAAACTCCAAACGCTACTGAAAGGGTGTCAGCTCTGCATAAAGGGACGCCCCTGAAAGGGTGTCAGCTCTGCATAAAGGGACGCCCCTGAAAGGGTGTCACCTCTGCATAAAGGGACACCCCTGAAAGGGTGTCGGCTCCGGATAAACGGGAACCCCTGAAAGGGTGTTGGCTCCGGATAAACGGACACCACTGAAAGGGTGTCAGCTCCGGATAAACGGGAACCCCTGAAAGGGTGTCGCCTCTGGATAAACGGGAACCCTTGAAAGGGTGTCGGCTCTGGATAAAGGGAAACCCCTGAAAGGGTGTCAGCTCTGGATAAAGGGAAATCCTCCCACGTGCACGGATCGCAGGGCGTGGCCTCACTGACATGGTGGCACTCCCCAGACTGACCCATGGATTCCACACTGTCTCCCTCGAAATCCCAGTCATCTGTTTTGCAGAAACTGACAAGCTCACCCTGAAATTCACGTGGAAATGAAAGGACCTAGAACAGCCAAAACAATCCTGGGAAAGAACAAAGTTGGAAAACGTACTTCCCAATTGTAAAACTCAGCCCTTATAGAGGATGGACACATAGACGGACAGAACAGACGTGCAGACGGACAGAATGGAGCTGAGTCGAGAGGTCAACCCTCTCACCTACATGCAACAAGAGTCCAGAGGTCAACCCTCAAACTTGGGCGCAACAGGCCACCGACAGGGCGCCAAGACGGCCCAAGGCGCAGGAATGGCCCTCTCAACAACAGTGCTGCGACAACCAGAACCAACCAACAGAATGAAGTGGGGCCCCACCAAACACCACACACCAAGTGGATGACAGACTCCGGAGACTGATCACCAAACTATAACATTCCCGGGAGAAAACGGGAGGAGGGCTTCGGGAGCGTGGGGCAGCCCCAGCGTCCTAGGTACAACGTCAAAGCACACACAGCAGCAGCAGCAGCACGAAGATGATCGGGCCTCCCCAAAGGCGAGCTCTGTGCTGCCCACGTGGGTCCACAGGACGGAAGTGAGGTCCAGGAACAACCCACATGGGTGCGACTTCCGACACGAAGCCAAGAGAACCTCATCAGGGAAAGACAGGCTTTCAACAGCGGTGCCGGGACAGCTGGATGGCCACACACACAGGAATGAAGCCGGACCCCTGCCTCACACCATAAAAACTATGTCACAGTGGCTCAAACACCTGAAAGTAAGAGCTGGGACTATAAAACCCTTGACAGAAAACACAGAATTAAATCTCCACAACCCTGGACTAGGCGATAGTTTCTTAGACATGACACAAAAGCACAGAAACCAAACAAAAATAGATAAAAGTGGATTTGCTCAAAATTGAAAACTCCTGGCCAGGCGCGGTGTGGCTCATCACACCTGTAACCCCAACACTTTAGGAGGTCAAAGCAGGAGGACTGCTTGAGCCCAGAGGTTTGAAAACAGCCTGGGCAATAAAGTGAGGCCCCATCTCTGCAAACACTAAAATTAGCTGGGCATGGTGGCACGTGCCTATAGTCCCAGCTACACAGGAGGCCAAGGCGGGAGGACCGCTTGAGCCAGGGAGGTTGAGGCTGCAGTGAACCGTTGATTGTGCCACCGCACTCCAGCCTAGGTGACAGACAGAGCAAGACTCCGTTCCCCACAAAAAACGGAAAATGCAAACCGAAACAAACGTGAGATACCGTCTCACCCCAGCAGGATGTCTCTGCTGAGAAACACGGGCCATGAGTGCGGGTGAGGATGGAGACTAGGAACCGTCACTCAGCGCTGGCGGGGACGCAAGCGGGAACTCAAGGTGGGGCAGCCGCTGGGGAGGGTCTGACAGAGCCTCAGTTAAACACGTGGCCCAGCAACCCCACTCCTAGCCACCTGCTCAAGAGAACCGAAGACACGGCCACACAGATTTGTCCACACACGCTCACAGCAGCACCGTCCGTCAGCAGGGGAGCGGAAGCAGCAGACATGATCTCTGTCCACACAGTGGGGTGCCCTCAGCCACGAGGAGGACTTTGATACTGCCTCATGCTACAGCACAGGTGACCCCGGAAAGAGCATGCCCGGGGAAGGAGGCTGGTCACAAGATCATGCACTGTAGGATGCCATTTACAGAAAACACCCAAAAGGGCCGCTCTACAGAGGTGACGGCAGGTGAGCAGCTGCGTGGGCTGCGCTGGGAGGAATGAGGAGTGACAGCTGGTGGGAATGGGGTTCTCTTGGGGGAACCAAAGAAGGTTCTACAATTAAATTATAATGAAAGTTGTACAACCTGTGAACATTCTGAAAACATGGAATTGCACACTTTAGATAACACGTACATGAATTCTCTCTCGATAAAGCCGTGAATATATAGAGCATAAACTCGTTGTGTAAAAAATAACGCACACACGTTAAACACAGGAGAAAAAGGTATGACTGAGCTGGAGACACCGGGGAAGACAACGGGGAAACAGCCCACTCAAACCCAGGTAACGGTTGGACTCGGGCCGAGCCAGTCAAGGCCCGTAGTGGCCTCACTGGTCTCTGGGAACAGGCCATGAGCAGGCCCATGGGGAGTGGGGCGCGGGCTTACCCGGGCGGGAGTGGGGAGTGGGGAGCGGGGCGCGGGCTTACCCGGGCGGGAGTGGGGAGCGGGGCGCAGGCTTACCCGGGCGGGAGTGGGGAGCGGGGCGCGGGCTTACCCGGGTGGGAGTGGGGAGCGGGGCGCGGGCTTACCCGGGCGGGAGTGGGGAGCGGGGCGTGGGCTTACCCCGGTGGGAGCTGGATGTTTTCAGGGTGATGGTAGGTGCACAGATTCAGAACGGCGTCGATCAGCTGGGTCCTCCCCACCTTCAGCACCTCCACATCTAAGACCAAGAGCCACACATGGGTTCTGGGGCTGCTCACAGACCATCAGGCACAGGCAGCGAGGGAACCGGCCCTGCTCGGGCCGCGTCGGGGTGGGGTGGGGGATGCCGCAGGGTGGGGCGCAGGCCTGAGCAGGAGAGCTGGGGGAAGCTTGGCTTCTCACTGGGAAACAGGGCACTTTGCTCTCGGGGACACCTGGGCTGGGTCTAGAGAGCAGGCAGGGCTGCCAAGAGAGGGTAGGGAGGTGAGGACGGGGGTGTGGCCGGCAGGGTGGGGACCCGCAAGCCCTCGGGGCAGAGCCACGGACGAGGCGCGAGCTGGATTTACAATCATTCTACCTGTCGCCTAAAGGAGGTGACAGACAGGAAATCTGGCCGTGGCCAAATCACACCGAGAATGCCAATTCCAAAAAATGTGCAAATTCCAAAGAACGGGGCAGTGACTGCACCATTGCCAAATACACGCACGCTTCTGAATTCCCAACGGCAGATGTGGAGAAGGCAGGTCCCCGAGCCTCCCGGGGACCCAGGACCCAGCTGAAGCGCAGCTTTGTGGAGCGCCCCAGAGGTGCGTGCCAGAGCCGGGGTTTCTGCAGGGACGAGGGGAGCAGACCCAGCACAGGCGCCATCCCCTGCAGAAGCCATACCATCCGCCTGCACGGCAGCCGCCCGCTTCACCAGGTGGTCAGCAAGCTCCATGGCGTCCGCAGGCCCGAGCGGGAGCTCCCGGGACAGCCCGATGACCAGGATGCGCATCAGCGTGTCCTCCAAAATGGGCACCTCGGAGCACAGACGCAGGAAGAAGCTGCGGGGTGGGGGAGGCATGACTCGGTGTGGGCTGCCCACACCTGCCAGACCTGAGGGGCCGAGGACAGGCCAGCTTCTCCCTCAGAGCCCACGGGCTGGTGGCAGAGGGCTGCTGCTGCCTCCCACGAGCCTATCCCCTCCAACCTGAGCCTCCCTTTGCAGGACAGGAGCCCTGGCTCTAAGTCTCGCCTGGACAAGGGGAGAAGGGGAGGCTACCCCCACCCCAAGGCCTTTGGGGATACACACACAGTCACTGGTTCCTACAACCACCACACGGAGACTCTGCCACCCCACAGAGGCCTCTAGATGGTTCTTGCCCTCAAGGAGCTGGGGGCCAGGAGACAGAGATAACCCCTACACCTCCAAAGCCTGACCGGAAGGCCGCAGTGAAGGTGAACAGAGCGCCCAGGGCACGAGGTGGGGGCAGGGTGAACTGGCAGGAGCCCCAGGCGGGGCTGGAGGGGAGTGTAGACCAAGAACCCACGGGGTCACCCATGGGGCTTGAAGGGGGACAGAGCTGTGAGGCCAGCCGGCTGGGGAAGGACAGTGTGCGGCTGTCTGGACAGAAGCAGGGGCAGACGGTGCATCTGAGACTGCGTGAAGGGTGGCGTGCCCGTGGACGCCCTGGAAGCAACTGGAAGGCGGGGGTCCGGGGGAGGCTGCGGCTGGGGCTTGGAGTCACGTGGACGCAGACGGCAGCTGAATCCCTACAGTGGCGCTGGGACGCCAGCATGGGAGTGGGAGAAGGGTGGCACCCAGGATTGTGGAGGAGGAGCAGGATGGTGCTGTGACCATGGGAACAGCCGCCCAACTCCCACTGGCCCTTCCTGCCGCAGCCGGCCCGGCACCCCGCAGCCCCGCCCAGCCCGGCACACAGGAGCCCCAGGCGGCAGCGCACTCACTTGCGGTCACTCTCGGGTGGCCAGTTGTCCCACTTGTAGTAGGTCTCCGGCTGCTCTGTGAACAGCACCTTGTGCAGGCTGGGCAGGCAGAGAAGAGCCCTCAGTCATGATGTGGGTGCTCAGGGACCAGCCCCGTTAGTTCCAGGGAAGGGACCCCGCTCCCACGGGCCCCAGCGCTCAGAGGCCGGGCTGCCTGGTGCCCAAGCTCAGCACCTCCTCACAGCACCACCAAAGAACCCAGGGACCACTCACGGGGCTGCCAGGCTGCACAGCGGCCGAACGGGGCTGCCGGGCTGGACAGCCCTTTACAAAATCGCTGCAGAGAAATGCAGCCCCAGCCTGGCAGCCCCACCCCAACCAAGGCAGAGGCTCCACGGGAGGCTCCAATGCACAGGGTGACCTGCCTGGAGCCTAACGGCTGCTGCTGTCCGCAGAGAGGGGACAGACTCCCGTGTGGGGGCCTGGCTTGTCCCGGCTTAGTGGGGTGTGGGGCAGGGGCTGTGCGGGGCCTGGCTTGTCCTGGCTCAGTGGGGTTTGGGGCAGGGGTTGTGCGGGGCCCCGGCTTGTCCCGGCTCAGTGGGGTGTGGGACAGGGGCTGTACAGGGCCCCAGCCGCACCAGTGCACGTAGTCCTTAGGGGCGAGCTTGCTGATGGAGGGGACCACAGTGTGGAGCCACCAGACGGCATCCCGCTGGATGGCGGCAATCTGGTTCTGGAATGAGCGGAGCACTTCCAGGTCTGAAACAGACACGCAGCTTAGTGGCCCATCCGAGCCATGGGCCATGAGGGGCTAAGGCACCCCTGGGGGTCCAACTCAATGCTGGCACTTGGGAGGGGGTAACTCAGGGCACCCCCAGCTTCTGGACGATTCCCAGCTGGAATAACACCCTGGGAGGCATGGAGTGACCCTGACGCGTGCGTGGGTGACTGGAATCCTCCTGTTCCGAGTGACTCGCTCCGGTCAATGGCTTAGAGGGCTTCTGCGGCCCAGCCTTCCTGTGAACCCATAATCAAACACCCGGACTGCCCCAAACACCACCTCCCCTCCCCACTCCCGCCCGTGGCTGGGGCCACCACGCCTGCAATGCCCCCATGCTGGGCCAGAACTGGAGCACACAAAGGACGCTCATGGGAACAGGGTCTGAGCCTGCAGCTGGGGTGAGGCCCGGATGGACAGGAACGGGGACGGCAGCTTCCAGGCTCCGTGTCCCCGAGTAGCCGTGCTGCGGGACCGCTCCTGCCGGGCGCTCAGGGGACAGTGCAGCCTCGGAGAGCCGCCAGCCACCAGCCTGGACCCGAGACCCCCACCAAGCAGGGCCAGGCCACCCCCACATCCTTACTCCTCTTTTCTCCTTTGTCCCAGGCGATGCCGGCCTCCTTCACCTGCGCTGTGATGCCCAGCATCATGGACACGGCCAGGACGTCGGTGATGTGCACCACGAAGCGCTCCTGCAGGTGCAGCACGGGGTCTGTATCCAGAAGGGACACCCGGGAGCCCCACTCCACACCCACGTGGGCGCGGCACGGGGTCTGTATCCAGAAGGGACACCCGGGAGCCCCACTCCACACCCACGTGGGCGCGGCACGGGGTCTGTATCCAGAAGGGACACCCGGGAGCCCCACTCCACACCCACGTGGGCGCGGCACGGGGTCTGTATCCAGAAGGGACACCCGGGAGCCCCACTCCACAAACACGTGGGTGCAGCACGCACACACTTGCACATGCGCACACATACACACACACAAGCAGGGATCCAGAGAGAGAGCCCAGGACCAGTTGGGAGAGGGGCCTGACAGGAGGGGCACCAGGGCCGGTGGCCCACAAGGTCCTAGTCTGGCCACAGGAGGGAGGTTCAGTCAACAGAGATCCACAAAGCCCCGTCCGCAAAACAGGCCACCCCGGCAGGCTGGCTGCGAGTTGGCTGCAGGGACCTGGCATCTCTGTGATCCACCCTCACTGTGCCTTCCAGCGCCAGCTCCCTCCACAGCCCTCGAAAAGTCTCCAACCCAGCCAGGCAGCCCGCAGCCCCACCCTGCCTCCCTGCTCCCGTGCTCCCCTTGCTGCCGGCAGCAATTCATCCCATCCAGCCTAGGGGTTGCCAGTTCCCCTGTGCTTGGTCAGCCCCTCATAGGTCCTCACACAGGACAGAGCCTATGCTACCCTCTGGGACGCGTCACCGCAAACAGCCTCACTCATCCCCGTACCCACGCTCAGCCAGAGCATCCGAAGGGGTGGAGTGTGCATGGGACCCAGGACGAGGGGGATGGCGGCGCGTGGAACCCGCAGTGAGGGAAAGGCGCCCCAGCGGCGAGGGCTGGCACCTTGAACTCCATCTCCAGGTACTGCGGCTCCTTGCGCTCCTGCATGAGCCCCAGGCAGAAGGCCTGGAAGTTGATCTCGTGCTTGGTCTGCTTGATGATCTCCCGCAGCAGGGCCCGCGAGGCCCGCAGGTAGTCGTCCTTGTTGGTCAGCAGGTCCTGGAACACCATGGCCAGGAACTGGGGCAGAGAGAGGCCGCGTGGGAGGCTGCCCGACAGTGCTGTCCCTGTCACAGGCCCCTTCCCGCAGCACCAACAGGTATGGCGCCCGAGGGCGCTGCAGTGGGTCTCAGACAGTGTGGGGTGCGGGGTGGCGGGCTCCTTGCTCTACTGGCTGCCAGCCCTTGGCGAGCAGGGATCACATCTGATTCCCCTCTCTGAGAACCGGCAGGTGGGGAGTCGGTCCTCGTGAAATGAGGAGGATTAATTAACGGAAGCTGGGGGTGCGGGACACCAGGCGGCAAAGCCATAGAAGCGCGTGTGCCATCTCAGCCCACCCGTGCGCCACGGGCTGAACGGAAACCAAAGGCCACCACCCAAGATCTGAAAGGATCTGAAAGGACGCACTCCTGTCTCAAAATGCCAGGCCGCGAAGACTGAACGCGGAGCTGAGAGCGGCTGTGCCTCCCTCGTGTTTCACACTCCATAGAGCCCACCGGGAGGCCTAATGCGCTGGTGGCGATGGGAGCATCTCCCGAGCCCGCTTCAAAGGAGACACGGAAATCCAAGGGTCCTACAGCCAGGGCTACAGGGACCCCTGCTTAACCGAGGGACCCAATGCACAGGAGGCGGGTCTGGGCCAGGCACAGGGGCTCATGCCTGTCATCCCAGCACTTTGGGAGGTTGAGGCAGGAGGATCGCTTGAGCCCAGGAGTTTGAGACCAGCCTGGGCCACATAATAAGACCCGGTCTCCACAAAATTTTTAAAAACTACCTTACTATCCAAAGGCAGGAATGAGCTTGAAAAATAAAAACAGAAGGCAACAGGTCTGGGTCTTAGCTCAGAAACCTGGGTGGCTTTTAAGACTCAATGTGGCTCCCTCCTAAATGGACAGAGTGTCAGTTTCTGAGAAAGACGCTGGGCGCTGTGGCTGCACCCACTCTAGAAACGGCTCAACCTCATGCCCACGTGAGTTTCAAAAGCTCCTTCCCGAGACCGAGGAGCATTCTCCCACGAAGCACTGCCAATCCACCGGCCTCCCCAGACGCCACGTGCCCCTCCAGCCCAGAGCCCCATATTCCGGCGTGGAGGGCAAGGCCAGGGACCCTGGGCCTACCTTGGGCGCCAGCTCTGAGCTGTGCTGCAGTGCGGTATAGAGGACCTGCATGTTGTTCGGGTTCCGGGCGCTGGAGAGCTCATTGAAGATCACCAACTTGATGGTGGTGCCCAGGTTGTCCTTGTGCGCGCTCAGCAGCTCCCTGGGTGAGGTGAGGGTACAGACCCTGTCCCCGCTACGCCTGTGCCCCCACTCCGCCTGTGCCCCCACTCCGCCCGCACCCCCGCTCCGCCCACACCCCCACCCACACCCCCACTCCACCCGCACCCCCGCTCTGCCCCGGCTCGCCACGCACCTGATGCACAGCATGAAGTGGTTGAGGAGGACCTTGGGCTTGAGGCGGATCTTGATCAGGTGTGAGATGACGTCCATGTCTTCGGAACCGTGCGTGTTGCAGTTCATGCAGACGGACATCAGCAGGTCCTGGGCCGGCCGGGTCAGCTGCGGGGCCGAGGAGGGAGCAGTGGGCTCACGGCCACCCCGGCAGGAAGACCACGCTGTGGGGCCACACAGAGCCTGCCCCCACCCCCTGCCCCGCCCACCCCCCCGGGGCGCCCCCGCACCTTGGGGTTCTGCAGCCACATCTCCAGCTTCTGCACCGCCAGCAGCCGCACCTCCTTATAGCCGCAGGTGGAGGTGAGGAGCCGCAGGAGGTTCCTGGAGACGTTGTCGATGGGCTGGCGCCGGTTCAGCTGGTCCCGCAGCATGTCCAGGACATACTCCTCCACGCTCTCCGCGAGCTCTTCGTACCTAGGCCAGAGGAGGGAGCGAGGAGGGAGGAAGGTGGCCCCGAGGCGCCCGCCCCCGCCGCCCCCAACTGGGACCGGGCAGGCACGCAGCTACCTGGGCATGAGCTGGCCCTCCTGCTCGGGGCTCAGCTTCTCCTCCGCGATCAGCAACTCCGTCTGGCTGTCCTCCTCCTCCGTGAGGGAGGGGTGTGGGCTGCTCCCTGCAAACCAAGGAGAGGGCTCCATGCAGCGCCTCCCACCCGCCCATCCTCCCACCCCTCCCCTGCCCTGGGGCTTGGACACCCGCCCTCTCTGGCTGGCCGTGTGTCTCACCTGCACCCAGGTCGCCCGCAACGCGGCCCGCCTCCCCCTGCAGCAGCACGCTCCTGGGGGGCATTCTGGTGTTGAAGGCCGTCTGGATGTTGTCCACAAACGTCTTACAGTGAGGGCTGTCCACCCAGATCCGCTCCCCCAGGGAGTCCTCGATGTACACCTGTGTGGCAGCCACACCCTCAGCCCCGAGCCCAGCCGGGCAGCAGCCAGGTTGGGGAACACCCGCCTGCTGCCCGGGGACTGGGTGCCCAGGCGGCCCTCTCCAGCTTCTGGGTGCAGCAGGGACCGTGCCATCACCACCAGGGCTGTCAGACACAGCCCTCTGGAGAGAACACACTTCTGCTTTTCTCTCGCCCCTGCCCCACCCCGTGGCGCTCTGCCATCTTCACCGTCCCGGGAGAGGACGCTCACCTTGACAAAGATCTCGGGCCAGTTCTCGTCCTCCTCGTAGGCGGCCATGAGGAGGTTACAGGCCAGCACAGACACCAGGCTGTTCCCCTTGGCCTTGAAGTTGATGGAGGCGTCCCGCCGCAGGAGGCTACACAGAGCCTGCCAGGGAGGGCGCATGTCACGTGGGAGCTTCGCTGGCCCCAGAGGCAAAGCTGGGGTGGGCCGGGAGGGACACTTAAGGGGGAGGTGAGGAGGGGAGCCAAGGGCCCCAGCGCTGCTCGCCTCCTGCCAGGGGCCCGGCTCAAACCTCAATGACGCCCTCAGTGGCGAAGATGTTGGGCTTGATCTTGGCCAGGTACATGAGGCTCAGGTAGAGGGTGCTGTCAGGCTTGGCGCGGGTGACCTTCAGCTGCTTCACGGCCCCGCACAGCACGCCCTCGATCCTGTCATCGTTGCCCTCCAGCTCGGCCGCCTCGATCTCATCCAGCAGCACCGTGGGCAGCACTGGCCGGGGCAGGCGGTACGGTCAGAACGGGGCCAGGGCAGGGTCACCCCAAAGCCTCGGGACACCGGGAAGACCACGAGGAACCCAGAGCTCTCAGGGTCGGCCCTGCCAGGGACCAGCGATCCACCCTCAGCAAAGTTCCCACAGCGGACAAGCACCCCACCAGATGGTCCCCTTAATACAACAGGCTGCCCCACAGGCCTCAGCACTAGCCCACCAGCCACTCCAGTCCTGGCTCCGCTGTGTCCCACACGACTACCCCAAAGGCTACAGACATTTCCCAGCAAGCCAGGCCACCTGCAGCTTTACTTTCCACTGAATCGTGGCTCCGTCTGGCGGCTTCTTTCTCACTGTGGACCGCAGCACAGTGGCCCTCTCTCCGCACCCACCCCAGCTCCAGTCTCCAGCATGCCCTTCTTCCCACTTTTCCTCCCTCTTTCCATGGGTGCTCGGCTCACAACCTTCCTCCAGACGAGTGCCTGACCCTCCCACATCCTCTGAGGAGCACCAGGGCCAGCACACACCTTTCCTATCGTCGTGTTTGCCACTGTTGGATCGGAGGTTTTCTCATTTTCATTCTGATTCTTCTCTGTCCCAACAGTTTTTTAGGACTGTGTTTTTAAATATCCACAAACGGCCAGGTGCAGTGGCTAGCACCTGTAATCCCACCACTTTGGGAGGCTGAGGCAGGTGGATCACCTGAGGTCAGGAAATCGAGACCAGCCTGGCCAATACAGTGAAACCCTGTCTCTACTAGAAATACACAAATTAGCCAGGCGTGGTGGTGCATGCCTGTAATCCCAGCTGCTTGGGAGGCTAAGGCAGGAGAATCATGTGAACCCGGGAGGCGGAGGCTGAAGTGAGCCGAGATCGTGCCACTGCATTCCAGCCTGGGGAACACAGCGAGACTCTGTCTCAAAAAAAAATAAATAAATAAATAAATAATAAATAATAAGTAAATACATATCCACACACATGTGGACAGAGGCATTGTGATCTACCTTAACTGCGCCCGGGACAGAGACTTGGAATAAATTTCCTGATGCCGAGACAAGCTGGGGGACAAGTGGGCTGCCAGCATGGAGGGACAGCCTGGGACATTTACCACAAATGGCTGGATGCAGCCATCTCTCTGTTTTGCTGAGAATAATACTATAAAGTGATCTACCACTCAGAATACGCTTTTCATAACCACGTCTCCTCTCATCTTCAAAACCTCCTTTCTACAGGAGGTAGTGCTAAAGATAAATAAAGCACCGAGCCGCCGGCGGCCGAGAGCCCGGGCCAGGATGAGGCCTGTGGTCTCTGTCTTCAATCCCCACCGGCACCAGCTGCCCAGGGACACGCCTCATGGGAGGTCTGAGGCTCGACCTCCTAAAGCAGTCCCCCAGCTGTGCCATCCTGGGCCGTTTGCCCCCAGGGCTCCCTGATGCCAACTGAGTCCAGCACAAACACTGCCCACAGCGCCCAGCCTCAGCTCTCATGAGCGTGTGCTGCCCAGGCCAGGCCAGGCCTCCATTCCCTGGGCACAGTCCATTCTCTGCTTGGCATCTCCCTTTCCTGCCTGCCCCGGTTTCATCGCCTGTGCTTCCAGGCCCAAGCCCATACTGCAACTCCCTGCCAGGCCTCCTCCCTTCCAGGGCCGTCGGGGACTCACTCACAGGCTTGCACTGCAGCAGCCTGGTCCCTCCCTGAGGGCAAGGCCACAGCCCACAAGTCCCCTGGGTCCTGTCTGGCACAAAACTCAGTAACCAGAGGTGGCGCGGCTTGAACAGACACCTCACTACCAAAGTCATCAGGACACTTGTTCTTTTTGACTCCTACAAAGAAATTACCCAAAAGAGATGCTCCCACAGAAACAAAACACTGCAGACCATGAGGCTTGCTGGGGCTGGTGCGATAGCTGCCAGAGCGACTCCCAGGGAGTCACGGAGCCTTGAGAAATGGTCGTTGGGAAAATGGCGCAGAGGGGCAGGGGCGATTCTAGGCACACAGTTAAAGGCATTTCTGCGAGAACGGGACAGTGGTGAAGCTTACATTCCCCCGTTGATGTCCTTACTGTTCTGCTGCTTTTCAACTGAAAACAGGGAGGGGATCAACTCTTCTCTGTTGGTAACCAGGAGGGAAGGAGGAACCAAGTACACATCGCCTCCGCTCAGGTTGAGAGAGGAACGCACCAGGATGGGCAACCTTGAGAACAGACACCTGGGGTGTCGTCACGCCCGGTTTACCCCCAGGGCTCAGACAGTGCCCGTCACAAAGGGGGCGTCCAACAGACACATGAGACAAACAACTCAATAAGGGAGTGACCCGGTTCTCAAAGGGCAGCCACTGGCAGTGCAGGACGCAGATGCACACACGGGATAAGGGCATCTACGTGAGAAGCACTTCCAAGAACAAGCCACAAACATCCGCTCTCCCAAAGGACCTCGGCCATACGGGCAGCACTAGGCCTGGAGGGGGCCTTCCCTGAACACCTGATGGACGGCATGAGCTGAGGGGTGTTCTCGGGGGATGTCCACAGACTCATTACCTTCAATTGGCACCACAGATGGCTCTTTAATCGACGGAGAAATGGCTCGTTTTTCTGCCACTGCAGCCTCAGCCAGGCGCCCCAGGGCACTCAGAGGGGGTGTGGAGGAGAGTTTGGGGCGTTTGGTGAGACCGGTGAGGGCCGAGGCACTGGACAACGCGGCCGCCGCATCCCGCTTGCGCTCAGAAGGCAGGCCGGAAGGGGCTGGCTTCAGCAGGGTGGACGCCGTTTTCGATTCATTGGCCTGACCCTTTGAGCCCAGAGCAATGAAGTCTCCTGGGGGAGGGTGCCCTGCAGAGAAAGGAGAGAGAAAACCGGGCACATTTGCAACACCCAAGATGGAAAAAGACTGACTCTAACCTCCTGTTATGTCAGAGGGGATTAAACAAGGGTCAGAGGAGGCAAGGAAGAAGCCAGAGCTCACTCAGCAGCCTACAGCAGAGCTGGGACCAGCAGGATACGCACAGGTGATGGTGGACAGTCACGTAGCGCTAACCACAAACCAGGCCATCTCTGGTCTATCCAAATTAGTGTGCTTAGTAACCCCCGCCCCGAGTTTCCGCAATAGGTGCTATTACTCTAACTTTACAAGAGAGAAAGGGACACAGAGAGGTTAAGCGACGTGCCCAGCGTCACACAGCAGGCGAGTGGCAAAGTCCGGAGGATCTGAGCCGACAGTTCAGCCGCAGACCCCGTGCTACGCTACACTGTGCTGCCTCCCGCCTCCTGGCTGGGGAGACCTTCCGCTACTGTCGGCCGCCTTGCAGCTCAGCCTGAAACGAGATCACCGGGGTCCCGAAGGAAGTCGCCACTGTCCCAAGCCTCCCAGGGACTCTCAGAGCCGCTGAGGACCGAGAGCAGTGTTTCCAGACCGAATTCCTGGAAACAGCCGCGGCTGCGGAACAACCAAGCCCAACGCAGGATCCGCGGCAGCTGAGATCCCCAAAGACCCCCAAAGACCCCCAAAGACCCCCGGGCTGCAGAGCGAGGAGGGAGACGCACCTGAGGGTTTGGCCGCGGCGCTGGGCCGGCGCACCGTGGTGGGCTTGGCCCGGTTCATCCTGCCCCGTCCCTCGCGGCTCCCGGCGGCTGCGGCGTCACCTGCGGAGGAGCCAGCGTGCGGTCATTCCTTCACTCATTCGCTCGTTCGCTCGCTCATTCGCTCCCTTGCCGCACGGGGCTTGGGCCTGGGACCCGGGGACAGTGGTCCCGCGCCCGCCCGGCGGGGCGATGCTGCAGGAGCTGCAGGGACCCCGCCTCCCAGCCGCCCGGGAGCGGCTCAGTCGGGCGGCAGCAGGCGACGCGGACGCCGGGCTGGAGGCGGCAGAACCAGAAGGGACGGCCCAGAGGCCGGGAGCGGTAGCCGGGAGAACCAGGCGCTCGCCCGGCAATGAGGAAGCGCCCAGGCCGCGGCTCACTTACCTCTGGCCCATCGCGACCGGAGCGCCGCCGCCGCCACCCGGCCACCCCGGAATCGGAAACCGATCTCACCGCCCTCGAGGACCCGACTTCCGGAACAACCGGAAGGAAAACAGTGCGGCGGGAAGCGGGCCCAGAAGGAGGCGCGAGAGGCCCGCGGCGCCGGCCTGATGCCTGCAGCGCCCCATGGCGGCGGGAGGCGGGCTGGCCGGCGCCGCGCGCATGTGGTCCGGTCCAGGTGGGTCGGCGGCGCGGGGCAGGCGCTGGCCTCTCCATTCACAGGTGGTGCTGGCGTTGCGAAGGGACGCACTCCAGGACGCACGGCGGGGAGGAGTGGCGTCAGGGATCCGCGGATGAGTCAAGTGGCAGGTTCTGCACGTCCCGGAGAGCGGGGGCGGCCGGGGCGCAGGCACTGGCGAGGGGGCGCAGCCCGGGGGGCTCCCGGGGAGAGACCCTGTCTCAAATAATAATAATAATAATAATAATAGCTTTATTGAGATAGAACTCGTGTTCCACAAAGTTCACCCTTTTCTTTTTTCTTTTTTTTTTTGGCACGGAGTCTCGCTCTGTCGCCCAGGCTGGAATGCAGTGGCGCGACCTCGGCTTATTGCAACCTCCACCTCCCAGGTTCAAGCGATTCTCCTGCCTCAGTCTCCCGAGTAGCTGGGATTACAGGCGCCCGCCACCATGTCTGGCTAATTTTTTTGTGTTTTTAGTAGAGACGGGGTTTCACCATGTTGGCCAGGCTGGTCTCGAACTCCTGACCTCAGGTGGTCCGCCCGCCTTGGCCTCCCAAAGTGCTGGAATTACTGCGCCCGCCCCGCCCCCACGCCTTTTTTTTTTTTTTTTTAATGGAAACACTGATGGGAACAAAACTCAAAAGACACAAAAGATCATACAGTTGCCAGGTGTGATGCTCATGCCTGTAATCTCAGCACTTTGGGAGACCAAGGCAGGAGGATCGGTTGAGTTCGAGACCAGCCTGAGCAACATAGCAAGACCCCCATCTCTACAAAAAAATAAAAATTAGCTGGGCATGGTGGCATGAACCTCTAATCCCAGCCCTTTGGGAGGCCAAAGTGGGAGTCTGAGACCAGCCTGGGCAACATAGTGAGACCCTATCTCTACAAACAAAAATCAAGAATAAATTAGCCAGGCATGGTGGTGCATGCCTACGGTCCCAGCTACTGAGGAGGCTGAGGTAGGAGGATCTCTTCAGCTTGGGAGGTCAAGGCTGCAGTAAGCTATGATGGTGCCACTACGCTGCAGCCGGCCGACAGAGCGAGACCCTGTCTAAAAAAAAATAAAAATAAAAGGTGGGGGAATCATCCAGTCAAAGGGTCGAAGGTCTCCCCTGACCCCTGAGCAGCTGGTCCCCTCCCCTGGAGTCAGCCTGTGTTCTGATTTGTGCCTGTGTTCCCGGCTTTTCCGTGTGCGTTCAGGCAGCCACCCGTGTGCCTCCCTCTGCCTTGTCACCCTGCAGGTAGCGCACGGCTCCTCTTTTCTGCACCTGGCTTTTGCCACTTAACCACATCTTGGAGATCTGTTCCCAGCAGGGCACTGACTCGAACGCTGCCCCGCCACCGAGGGAGTCCTGAGCACCGCCTGCCCGGTGTGTCCCATCTCCTCATCCAGGGACCGCAAGGCAGAGCTGGTCTCCCTGTGCCCCTGAAGTTGGGTGTGGCCATTTGACTGTGGCCTCAGTGAGGCTCATGGCCCCAGGCTGCAGCCTGAGAACTGCTGTGTGACCCGCCACGGTCTCTTTCCACTCCTGTGGGCACCAGCTGGGTCCCCGCAGGACCCCAAGGGCTCCAGGGCCCTGCACCCTGCGCTGTGTGGGCAGCGAGTCCGGAAGGAGACGTCCGTGGTGCCCATGGGAGGAGAGGCCGGTCAGGCGCGGATCCCTGCCGGACGCCAGGCGGGGGCTGTGCGGCTTCATCCCTCTACAGTTTCTCAATCTGTCCCTCAGGGTAACTCTCTAAGGGGAGGGGAGATCCGATGGGGTAATGCTTCCTCCTCCTGTCACCTGAATGGGAGCACCCTGCACAGAGCTTCCTCTGCCCCGCCACCTGCCTCTCCTCATCCTCTGACCAGCATCACCGCCCCTGCATGCGGGGCCTGTGCCTTCGGCAAATGCCCTCACCCGGGCCCAGGCCAGAACCTCAGGGTCGACCTTGAGAACAACTACCTCCTCCTCCCCCTCCCCCTCCCCCTCCCCCTCCTCCTCCCCCTCCTCCCCTTCCTTCTTCTCCCCCTCCTCCCCCTCCCCCCTCCTCTCCTCCTCCCCCTCCCCCTCCCCTCCTTCCCCTCCCCCTCCTCCCCCTCCCCCCTCCCCTTCGTTCCCCTTCTTCTCCTCCTCCCCCTCCTCCCCTCCTCCCCCTCCTCCTCCTCCTCCTCCTCCTCCTCCTGTCAACCTTGACCACCTCTTCCCCCTTCTCTCTCCTCCTGCTCCTCGTCTTCCTCGTTCTCTAAAAACTCAGGAGTCAACCTTGACCACCTCCTCCTCCCTCTTCTCTTTCTCCTCCGTCTCCTTCCCCTCTTCCTCTTCCTCCCCCTCCTCTACCTCTTTGCCTTCCTCCTCCCTCTCCCCGCCTCTTTTTGAAAACAGCTTTTTTGAGTTATGATTGACGTCTGATAAACTGCAGGTGTGTAAAGGGTGTAAAGGGTGCACACTGATGCGTGTTGACATTCACACGTACCTGTGGCCCCATCCCCCATCCCTTTCAACCCTGTAACGAACATTCCCAAACCACCCCTGACTTGTCCCCAGGCCGCCAGGGCGCCACTTTCTGTCCCTGGAGAGGCGCTGTTTGCTCTTCTGGAGTCTGTGTGAATGAAAGCACACAGTGCACGCTCCCTGGCCAGCTGCTCGGCGTCATTATTCTTTTTTTTTTTTTGAGATGGAATCTCGTTCTGTCACCCAGGCTGGAGTGCAGTGGCGCGATCTCCGTTCACTGCAACCTCTGCCTCCTGGGTTCACGCCATTCTCCTGCCTCAGCCTCCCGAGTAGCTGGGACTACAGGCGCTGGCCACCACGCCCGGCTAATTTTTTTTTTTTTTTGTATTTTTAGTAGAGGCGGGATTTCACCGTGTTAGCCACAACGGTCTTGATCTCCTGACCTCGTGATCCTCCCGCCTCGGCTTCCCAAAGTGCTGGGATTACAGGCGTGAGCCACCGCGCCCGGCCTGGCATCATTATTCTGAGACTTACCCCAGCGTTGCAGGCATCGGTGGCTTCTGTCAGCTGCTGAGTAGCACCCGCCAGATGGATTCCAGATTCCAAGGATGGCTTCTCCACTGATGGCCCGGGCAGGACCACAGGCGTTCCGTCATCCTGGGGGGGTGTGCAGGGTCTGCCCTGTGCTCTTCATCGGCGTCTCCCTGATGAGTAATGATGAGCGTTTTCTCATCTTTTTTTGTCATCCGTGTATCTGCATTATTGGTGTCTGTTCAAATTGTTTGCTCACTTTTTGAAAATATTTTTTATGGCCAGGCGCGATGGCTCACGCCTGTAATCCCAGCACTTTGGGAAGCCGAGGCGGGTGGATCACCTGAGGTCAGGAGTTCAAGACCAGCCTGCCCAACATGGTGGAACCCGGTCTCTACAAAAATACAAAAATTAGCCGGGCATGGTAGCAGACACCTGTAATCCAGCTACTTGGGAGGCTGAGGCAGGAGAATCACTTGAACGTGGGAGGCGGAGGTTGCAGTGAACCAAGATCATGCCATTGCCCTCCAGCCTGGGCGACAAGAGTGAGACTCTGTCTCAAAAAAAAAAAAATTATTAGAAATTTAATTTTTAGGCCGGGTGCCGTGGCTTTTAATCCCAGCACTTTGGGAGGCTGAGGCAGGCGGATCACCTGAGATCAGGAGTTTGAGACCAGCTTGGCCAACATAGTAAACCCCATGTCTACTAAAAATACAAAAATTAGCCAGGCGTGGTGGCGGGTGCCTTTAGTCCCAGCTACTTGGGAGGCTGAGGCAGGAGAATCACTTGAACCCAGGAGGTGGAGGTGGCAGTGAGCCAAGATCGTACCACTGCACTCCAGTCTGGCCAACAGAGCGAGATTCCATCTCAAAAAAAACAAAAAAACAAAAAGATATAATCAAATGTTCCTCCCCTGCTCAGAATTCTCCAAAGACTCTGCTTATCACCCGAACAGTAAAATGAACACCTGTGGTTGTTTCCCACAGCAGCTCTTAACAAAGCACCACAGACTCGGTGGCTTAAAGCCACAGAAATGTCCTCTCTTGCAGTTCTGGAGCCCAGAAGTCTGAAGTCAAAGTGTGGGCAGGGCTGACTCCCTCGGAGGGCTCTAGGGGAGGACGCTGCCTACCTCGACCAGCTCCTGGGGACTCCAGGGGTCCTCGGCTCGTGGCCACATCCCTCCAGCCTCTGCCTCTGACTCCATGTGGCCGTCTTCTCTCTGTGTCTCTGTGCCTCGTGAGGACATCTGTTAAGGGATTTAGGGCCCACCCAGATCAAGGATGATCTCATCTCAAGATCTTTACCTTCATTAGGCCTGTGCGGTGGCTCACGCCTGTCATCCCAGCACTTGGGGAGGTTGAGGCGGGCGGATTGCTTGAGGTCAGGAGTTCGAGACCAGCCTGGCCAACATGGCGAAACCTTGCCTTTACTAAAAATAGAAAAAAATTATCCAAGGCCGGGCGCAGTGGCTCACACCTGTAATCCCAGCACTTTGGGAGGCTGAGGCGGGCGGATCACGAGGTCAGGAGATCGAGACCATCCTGGATAACACAGTGAAACCCCATCTCTACTAAAAATACAAAAAAATAGCCGGGCGTGGTGGCAGGTGCCTGTAGTCCCAGCTACTCCGGAGGCTGAGGCACGAGAATCACTTGAACCTGAGAGATGGAGGCTGCAGCGAGCCAAGATCGCACCATTGCACTCCAGCCTAGGCGACAGAGCAAGACTCCATCTCAAAAAAAATAAAATAAAAAAATAAGTTTATATCTGCAAAGACCTTGTTTGCAAATAAGCTCCCATCCTGTGGCTCCGGTGGACGTGGGCTATGGGGCCACTGTTCGCCCCGTCCCAGCCCCACGCCGAGGACTGCCGGGTCCTGCAGGGTCTACATCTCCGTCTCACCTCCCCCGATGCCGCCCCACCCCGCACCTCAGCCTTCTCACTGTTTCCGGAAGGTGCCTGCCTTTCCATGCGCTGTTTCCTGTGCCCAGAAACCCCCCAGCTGGTCCTGGGACTCCCTGTCCACCCCATTCTGGTCTTTGCTCAAGTGGCCTCCTTCTCTGGTCAGTCACTGATGCCCCAGTCCCCTGCACCTGGATGTCACCTTCATGTCTTTTTTTTTTTTTTTTTTTTTTGAGACGGAGTCTCACTCTGCCACCCAGGCTGGAGTGCAGTGGTTCAATCTCAGACCACTGCAACCTCCGCCTCTGGGGTTCAAGCGATTCTCCTGCCTCAGCCTCCCAAGTAGCTGGGATTACAGGCACCTGCCACCACGCCTGGCTTTTTTTTTTTTTTTTCTGAGAGTCTTGCTCTGTCGCCCAGGCTGGAGTGCAGTGGTGTGATCTCTGCCCATTGCAACCTCCACCTCCTGGGTTCAAGCAATTCTGCCTCAGCCCCCATCAGGAGCTGGGATTGCAGGCGCCTGCCACCATGCCCAGCTAATTTTTGTATTTTTAGTAGACATGGGGTTTCACCATGCTGGCCAGGCTGGTCTCAAACCCCTGACCTCAGGTGATCTGCCTGCCTCGGCCTCCCAAAGTGCTGGGATTACAGGCGTGAGCCACCACGTTCAGCCACATCCAGCTAATTTTTATATTTTTAGTAGAGATGGGGTTTTGCCATGTTGGCCAGGCTGGTCTTGAACTCTTGACCTCCGGTGATCCACCCACCTCGACCTCCCAAAGTGCTGGGATTATAGGCATGAGCCACCGCGCCTGGCCCTTCCTTCATGTCTTTTAAAAAAATGTTTTAGAAACGGGGTCTTGCTCTGTTACCCAGCTGGAATGCAGTGGTGTGATCATGGTTTACTGCAGCCTCAAATTCCTGGGCTCAAGCGATCCTCCTGCCTCAGCCTCCCAAGTAGCTGGGACCACAGGTGCACGCCCACCCCTGGCTGGTCTTTTCCCTGCCTTCCTGCCTGACAGAGCCACCAGCAGAGCCTGATCTGCCCAGTCCCCTGCTGGGTCCAGGGTGGCTCGCCATGTTCAGTGAGAGCCCGTGGACAGGTAAGTGATAACTGTGAATTCTCTGGGGGGAGGAAGCCAGTGCTAAAAGCCTAGGCTGTTAGGAGAGCTGGGCCTCAGCCTGGAGGGACGCCGTCGGGCAGGCAAGCCCAAGCCTCTGACTCCCACCATCCCGGGGTCCTCTTTGCTGTGACCCCAGAGTGCAGTGAGTACCAAAGGTGACCCTGTCCTAGCAGGACCCAACCTCGTGACCTGATCAGTGTGGCAGGTTTGGGCTCCAGGGCACCACTGCGGCCCCCCAAGACCCACCAGCACCAGGGGCTGGGGGCGGCTGGCAGGGTGGGGGCAGGGGGAGCAGAGGCCCGGGTCGGGCCCGAGGGGAGACGGGTGCGGTGGGCAGCCTGCAGCTGCGTGTGGTTTAACTGCCTCGTGCCAGGAAGCAGCTGCCGCTCTCTGTGCAGCCTGGGCCTAGACCGGGGGCTCCAGCCTCCCTTCCTGGACCAAGCGTACCCAGCGCAGACCAGGCCTGGCCTTCCCGTTACACACAGGGGCCCTTGTGGGGAACCTGCGGCTCTTCTCAAGTGACCCCCATCCTGGGGGCCCAGCCCCGGCTCCTCCCTGAACCTCCCTGAAGCCTTCCTTCCCCATCCACCCCCAGGCTAGCCCCTGCTAGGAACCTGGGCGCCCACTTTCTCTACCACCCCCTGGCTGGAACCCCAACCTTGTATGGGGCTCCCATAGGGTGCAGCCCCAAAGACAGACCCACGTCCAGAATTCCAGGTATCCCAAGGACCGGTCAGGCCACTGGCCACTACACTGAGACTCGGGACAGCTGGCCAACCTGGTGAGAGCTCAGCCTTCACTGGCCACCGCACTGAGACTCAGGATGGCTGGTTTCCTCGGGGAGAGCTCAGACCTCGCTGGGCACCACATTGAAACTCAGGACGGCTGGTCTACTGGGGAGAGCTTGGACCTCGCTGACCACTGTGCCGTGACTCAGGGTACCTGGTCTACCGGGGAAGAGCTCAGACCCTTTGGCTTCAAAGAGCGGGGGCCAGTCCCGGTTCCACCCCCAGGCTGCACAGGAGAGAGGTGAACCAACAAAGAGAATCGGGAGCCGTGAGGAAGGGGAAGGACTCTGGGAGGCCCATACCCCCAACATGTCTCCTGTGACCTGCTTCGGATCTCAGGCCCTCCCCACTTCTCTCCTCCCGCAGTGAAAACCACCCCTGCTGGGTCTGCCCGCCTGTCCTCTGGGCCCACCCCTCAAACCTCCGGCTTCCATTGCCCCTTCCCCAGATTGTGCACTCACGGCCCCTTCTTTGTGGGCTCCCTCCCAGGGCCCCTCAGGCCAGCTCCAGGGTCTCCTATAACACAAACATGCCCCTCTCTGCCTCAGTTTCCTTCCCGGGTCCAAGCCCCCGGCCTCCCCACTTTGAGTCCCAGAGCCCCAAGCTTTGTCTCCACAACTCCACTTCCCCGCCGTCCACACGCCTCTCCACTCGCTCCAGCGCCAGGCGCTTCCCTGAAACAGGCGCCGCTCTGAGGACCTCAGTGGCTCCCCCCGGAGTGCCCGGTCCTGTGGCCACACAGAGCACCAGTGCTTTGTGCCTTTGGTCTCCGTGACATGGCGGTCCTGATTCTCTTTTTTTAAATTTAGAGACAGGCTCTGACTCTGTTGCCCAGGCTGGAGTGCAGTGGGATGATCACAGCTCACTGCAGCCTTGACCTCCTGGGCTCACGTGATCCTCCCACCCCCACCTCCTGAGCCACTAGAACTACAGGCGTGTACCACCATGCCTGGCTAATCTTTGTATTTTTTGGTAGAGTCAACGTCTCACTATGTTGCCCAGGCTGGTCTTGAACTCCTGGGCTTAAGCGATCCACCTGCCTTGGCCTCCCAAAGTGCTGGGATTACAGGAGTGAGCCACCGCACCCAGCCCAAGTGCCATTTCTGTTTTTTTGAGACAGGGTCTCACCCTGTCGCCCAGGCTGGAGTGCAGTGGTGCAATCTCGGCTCACCGCAACCTCTGCCTCCTGGGTTTAAACGATTCTCCCACCTCAACCTCCCGAGTAGCTGGGACTACAGGCGCGCACCACCACGCCCGGCTAATTTTTGTGATTTTAGTAGAGGTGGGGTTTCACCATATTGGCCAGGCTGGTCTCAAACTCCTGGCCTCAAGTGATTCACCAGCCTCGGCCTCCCAAAGTGCTGAGATTACAGGCGTGAGCCACCACGCCTGGCCTCATTCTTTACAGGGAAACTGGGGAGGAGGGAGGGCTGGGGCAGGAAGAAGCCAGGCTAAGGGGTACTTCTGTTGAAGCCTCCACCTGACCAGGAACTCTCTCCTGCCTGAGGCTGGGGGCTGCCCTGGGAGCATGCATCAGGCACTGGCAGGGTGGTGCCCCCCAGCCCAGGCTGTTCTGTGGAGAAGAGGCAGCCAGCGGCTGTTCACCATCGCGGGCTGCAGCTGCTGGGCCCGTGCGCCACCTGCACGGGGAAGCCACACGCCCACAGTATCCGCTGTAGGCACCTTTTTTTTTTTTTTTTTTTACATTTTGCAAGTGAGGAAATTTAGAGAACTATGGGGAACGGCTCTGCCCCACACCCAGGATGGGGTCTGGCCTCCAGGGCCTCAGGCCATGTGGCACAAAAGGCCCGGGGAGATGTATGTGGTGTTGAGTTCTGCTGGCCGGCTCACTGGCTGTGCGGTGTTGGGCAGGTTTCCTCTCTGGGCCTCAGTTCCCCCACCTGGAAAATGGGTGCGGCAGACGTCCCGCTCTCCTGGGCTGCTGAGGGGCCTCAGTGAGAAGCGGCCCTGACCCTGGTCCAGGACCCGGGCGCACGGCTGGGCAGGCGGCTGCCACGGTCACTGGAAGTGGGCGCTCAGGGCCAGGGATTGAGAGATTCCGCGTTCCTCTGAATGACAAGTGGCCACAGGGTGCCTAGGGGGCTGGCCGTCTCCCAACCACCCTGCCCACTAAATTTAGAAACTGCCTCATGCACACTGGAAGCTCCTCAGCGCGGTGACGAGTGTCAAAGCCGTGAGTCAGCAGTTATGAGGGCGTCGATGCCCGTGGGGCAGCTCGGAGCCCATCAACGCACCAGTGGAGGTTTTGTTCTCTGCTAAACAACAATCTTATATGGAGGTTTTGCGCTGGATTCTGCCAAGAAGGTGCCCTGCAGCAGGACCCCCTGGCAGCTCAGGAGGTCGCAGGTGGCCCCTCGTGGGCTGGTGCCCAGCCAGACTGGTGCCCTTGTGGCCCGGGCCTGAAGCAGCCCTTTTGGGGCTGATATTCAAGAACCCACCGGGCAGCGAGCCTCCTAACATGCAGACCCCCGCCAGCAAGCAGAAGCTCCGGGGGAGTTGAGTGGGGGAGCAGCTTCTGGCTGGAGACTAGGAAGTGCTTTCCAACAATTGTCTGAAAATAGAACGGCCGGCTCACGAGGAAATGAGTCCCCATCACGGGGAGCGGGAGGCGGGAGCAGGAAGACTGTGGCGCAGGGAGGGGGCCCGTGGCCTCTGACCCCGAGAGACCTGAGTCCTTCCGTTCCTCACCCCTGACATCCCAGACATCCAGGAAAACGCGGCCTAGAAAGCCGCCCTGGGATCATGAGGTCAGGAGATCAAGACCATCCTAGCCAACATGGTGAAACCTCGTCTCTACTAAAATACAAAATAAAATTAAAAAATAAGCTAGGCGTGGTGGCGCGCACCTGTAGTCCTAGCTACGCCGGAGGCCGGAGGCGGAGGCAGGGGAATTGCTTGAACCCAGAGGGTGGAGGTTGCAGTGAGCTGAAATCACGCCATTGTACTCCAGCCTGGGCGACAGAGCGAGACTCCGTCTCAAAAAAAAAAAAAAAAAAAAGAAGGCTGCCCTGGGCTGCAGGTGCCTGCTCTCAAATTCACTGCCAGGAGGAAAGGTGGGTGCTGGTGACAGGACAGCCTCCCAGGCTGGATGTGCTGGGCAAAGAACTGGCCGGGCAGGGAGACACTGCGGTCCCATCTGGAACCTACGCTCTTCTCAGCAGGGCACCCCTTCTCTAAGCCTCAGTTTCCCTTTCTGTTCAGTGAGAGGCAAGCTGCTCTGATGTCCCGGGATTCCGCAGCCCCCACTCTGAAGACCCTCACACGGAGCTCCCACCCCTCCAGGATCCAGGCTTGCCGCTGCGTTTGGCCAGGCCCATGGCGGAGTTCAGGCTGCCGACCTATGGGCTCCAGGGGCGGGAATAAACGCACTCAGCCTTTTTCTAACTGTGGCTTAGAAAAGTTTTCTGGCTGTGGTTTCCCCATCTTCAAAAAGTCATGAATGCCAGGCACAGTGGCTCACATCTGTCATCCCAGCACTTTGGGAGGCCGAGGCAGGAGGATCCCTTGAGCCCAGGAGTTTGAGACCAGCCTGGGCAACATGGCAAAACCCCATCTCTGCCAATAATAATAATAATAATAATAGTAATACAAAAATTAGCTGGGTGTGGTGGTGTGCACCTCTAGTCTCCACTACTAGGGGGCTGAGGTGGGCGGATTGCTTGAGCCTGGAAGGTCCAGGCTGCAGTGAGTTGAGGTTGCACCACTGCACTCCAGCCTGGGCAACAGAGTGAGATCCTGTCTCCAAAAGAGAAGGAAAAGAAAGAAAAATCATGACGATGCAGAATACTCTTGTCAATCACGAAGTGCAGGGCAGATTGAAGCTGGGTGCTCTTGGAGTGTGGGGAGGGGCCAGGAACCCCTGCTGGGCTCAGCGACACAGAACCCCCTGGGTTCTGGGGAATGCAGTTTGAGAACCAGTGCAGTGGTGGGAAGGAACTGAGGAGCAGGGACTGGCACAGGCCCAGCCAGCTTCTCACCCACATTCCAACTGTCTCCCTGGAGAGGCTGAGGCCCTGGAGGGGCATTTAGTTGTTTTTTTTTTTGGTGTTTTTTTTTAATATAAATTTTTTTTTTTGAGGTGGAGTCTTGCTCTTATCGCCCAGGCTGGAGTGTGGTGATGCTCAGCTCACTGCAACCTCTGCCTCCCAGGTTCAAGCGTATCTCCTGCCTCAGCCTTCCAAGTAGCTGGGATTACAGGCACGCGCCACCACGCCCAGCTAATTTTTGCATTTTTAGTAGAGACGGGGGTTTCACCGTGATGGCCAGGCTGGTCTCGAACTCCTGACCTCAAGTGATCTGCCCGCCTCGGCCTCCCAAAGTGTGGGGATTACAGGCGTGAGCCGGCCTAGGCTCTTTGTTTGTTTGTCTTTGTGGTGATGGACGCTTCTGGGGGCACCTTGTGACTGGTGAGCAATGGTGGAGAGGAGGGCAGAGGTCAAGGGCGTGGGCTGGGAGAGCTGAAGGTCAGAGCCAGCATACGGTGGGGCTGTGTGGGGAGGCTCCCTTCTGCGGTGCAGAGCGCTTCTCCTGGAGGGCATAGACCGAGAACCTGAGCTCCAGCCCCTCTGCCCCTGCCTCCTTCCCTCTCCCTTCCTAGGCTGGGAGGAGCGAGGTGGGCAGGCACCTGAGCTAGGACCTTATGCTGCTGGCCCTGTCCAGGGCAGTCCTGATTTTTTACCTTGTGTCCCACTGTCCCCATAAACCATCGAAATCTCCCCGACACTGCTGGGGATTGTACAGGGGATTGTTCACATTTTCTGCAATGAGCCGATACATTATGTTGGAAAGGAGAAAAATAACCTCATGAACTTTCCTTTTATTTTTATTTTTTATTTATTTATTTATTTATTTTTGAGATGGAGTCTCGCTCTGTCACCCAGGCTGGAGTGCAGTGGCGCAATCTCCGCTCACTGCAGGCTCCGCCTCCCGGGTTCCAGCAATCCTCCGACCTCAGTCTCCTGAGTAGCTGGGATTACAGGCGCCCGCCACCACGCCCGGCTAATTTTTGTATTTTTAGTAGAGACGGGGTTTCACCGTGTTAGCCAGGATGGTCTCGATCTGACCTCATGATCCACCCGCTTCAGCCTCCCAAAGTGCTGGGGTTACAGGCGTGAGCCACCGCGCCCGGCCGAACTTTCCTTTAAAAAAACAAAAAAAAAAAAGCCAATACATGTCCCAGGGATTCCAACCCATGTCCTATCGCAGTTCCCAGATGGCATTTCTTTCACTGAGTCGTGCCACAACAAACTCACACCAGATCATGCGTCCTGACTTTTGGCTCAGACATTACAGTCAGGGACAGAGCTTCCCAGGTTGGGTTGGTGCAGTGTGACATTCCCGGGCTGGGGAACCACCAGCATAGGGAGAAGAGGGTGGACTCTCCAGGAGTCCTGACTCCAAGTGCAAATCAGCATTTGTCATCCTGAGGGTTATTTACAGTGGCCATTCGCCATGACCTCTCACGGTTCCGGCTTGACTGGGTGAGCAGAGGGATCTTACCCGGGGGCTTCTGTCCTGCAGGTGCAGACGACACGGCTGGGGCTGGTGCATCTCACCGGCTTCCCGCCTCAGCCTTCCTGCTTAATGCCGGCTACAGGCTGGGACCTGACAAGGAGGGTCTACAGATGGCATGAATGTCCTTACCACATGGTGCTCTTGCTTCCAAGGGGAAGAGGCCCTGGGGACAGTGAGCCATATTTCCGTATAACACAGCATAATAAAAAATACAGGCTGGGTGCAGTGGCTCACACCTGTAATCCCAGCACTCTGGGAGGCCAAGGCGGGAGGATCACGAGGTCAGGAGTTTGAGACCAGGCTGGCCAACATATTGAAACCCCGTCTCTACTAAAAATAGAAAAATTAGCCGGGTGTGGTGGCGGGCATCTATAGTCCCAGCTACTCGGGAGGCTGAGACAGGAGAATCGCCTGAACCCCAGAGTCAGAGGTTGCAGTGAGCCAAGATAATGCCATTGCACTCCAGCCTAGGTGACAGTGAGACACTGTCTCAAAAAAAAAAAAAAAAACCAAAAATAAAAACAAAACAAAAAATGAGCGAGGTGCAGTGGGTCGCACCTGTAACCCCAGCATTTTGGGAGGCTGAGGCAGGGGAATCACTTGAGCCCAGGAGTTTGAGGCCAGCCTGGGTAGCATAGCAAGACCCCATCTCTATTAAAAAATGTATATCCTTATAGATAGATAAGGTTTTTGTTCTGGGTTCCTGGCACCAGGAATTTCCTGAGTGGCAGGAGTGTCTTTTGTTATAACAAGCCACCTATCTGAGTTTCTGCTAATGAGGTGGCTTAGGGTGAAGTCACAGATAGCTCCAGGACAGGGGCTGGTCCCCAGAGGAACCAATCGTATGATTATTGTTCTTATTTTAAATAGAGACAGGGTCTGGCTTTGTCGCCCAGGCTGCGTAATCATGGCTCACTGCAGCCTCGAACTCCTCAGCTCAAGAAAAGCACGTTCCCGTCTCGGCCTCCCAAGTAGCTGGGACCACAGGTGCACACCACCACACTTCCCTGGTTTTGTTTTGTTTTTGAGATGGAGTTTCGCTCTTGTCGCCCAGGCTGGAGTGCAGTGGCGTAATCTCGGCTCACTGCAACCTCCACCACCCGGGTTCAAGAGATTCTCCTGCCTCAGCCTCCTGAGTAGCTGGGATTACAGGCACCCGCCACCACGCCCGGCTAATTTGTGTATGTTTAGTAGAGATGGGGTGTCACCATGTTGGCCAGGCTGGTCTCGAACTCCTGACCTCAGGAGATCCACCTGCCTTGGCCTCCCAAAGTGCTTGGATTACAGGCATGAGCCACTGTGCCCAGCCCCTGATTTATTTATTTTTTTTGGTAGAGATGGAGTCTTGCTAGGTCGCCTTGGCTGGTCTTGAACTCCTGGCCTGAAGCAATCCTCCTGCCTGGGCCTGCCAAAGTGCTGGGATTGCAGGTGAGAGCCACTGTACCCGGTCGCCATGTGATTACTGAGTTGGAACCTTCACTCCACTCCACCTACCCACTCCCGAACTCCAGGGATGGGGAGCTGAAGATAGGGTTAAATCACAACGGCCAGTGGTTTAACCAAGCATGCGTATGTCATGAGACCTGGATACTGAACTCAGAACCACAGGGCTCAGGGAGTTTCTTTTCTCTTTTCTTTTCTTTTCTTTTTTTTTTTTTGAGACAGAGTCTCACTCTGTCACCGAGGCTGGAGTGCAGTGGTGGGATCTCAGCTCACTGCAACCTCTGCCACCCAGGTTCAAGCAATTCTCGTGCCTCAGCCTCCAGAGTAGCTGAGACTACAGGTGCGCACCACCATATCTGGCTAATTTTTGTATTTTTTGTAGAGATGAGGTTTCACCACGTCACCCAGGCTGGCCTTCCAGGTGCACGGGGCTCCTGGATTCAAGCGATCCACTCGCCTCAGCCTCCCAAAGCACTGGAGTTACAGGTGTGAGCCACTGCACCCAGCCACTCAGGGAGCTTCTGAGCTGTATCCTCGTGCCAGTAGGCGAAGCTCCTGGAGAGGGCATGGGTGCCTGTGTGTCCCACTTCCCTGCCTTATGTGGTAAGTCCACATGGCTAGTCCTGAGCTGTACCCCTTATAATAAACTCTAATCACAACTCACAACCCATGAGTTGTCCTGTGATAGCGAATTATCACACTGGATAATGAGTGGGGAGGTCATGGGAAGGCCCACATTTGTCCTCAGCCAAGTGAAGGCCCCCAGACCCCATCCTGAAGCTATCTAGTAGCCTGGGGACCCCTTCTGTGGCTGGCAGCTAAAGTGAGGATAGTGTGGGGGGACCAAGTCCTTAACCTGTGGGTTCCACAGTAACTCCAAGTAGTGACTCGTAGGACACCAGTTGGTGTTGGATGGAGCAGTTTGGAAACAGTCTTTTTGTATTATTTGCAGAGGGATATTTGTGAGCAGTTTAAGGCATATGGTGAACAAGGAAATATCTTCATATAGAAACTAGACGGAAGCATTCTGAGAAATTTCTTTGTGATGTGTGCGTTCATCTCACAGAGTTGAACCTTTCTTTTGATGGAGCAGTTCGGAAACACTCTTTTTGTAGAATCTGCAAATGGATATTTAGAGCGCTTTGAGGACTATGGTGAAAAAGGAAATATCTTCAGATAAAAACTGAAGAGAAGCTTTCTGAGAAACTTCTTTGTGATGTGTGCATTCATCTCACAGAGTTTAACCTTTCTTGGTTAATTTTATGTCAACTTGACGGGGCTAAGGGATGGCAGACAGACGGTATAACAGGTTTTTGTTTGTTTTTTTTTTTTTGAGATAGGGTCTTGCTCTATTGCCCAGGTTGGAGTGCAGTGGTACAATCATAGCTCACTGCAGCCTCGACCTCCTGGGCTCAAGCGATCCTCCCACTTTGGCCTCTTGAGTAGCTGGGACCACAGGCACGCACCACCATGCCTAGCTAATTTTTTGAATACTGTTTTTTTTTTAATTGAGATGGAGTCTCACTACATAGCCCAGATTGGAGTGCAGTGGCACAATCTCGGCTCACTGCAACCTCCGCCTCCCCATTTCAAGCGATTTTCCTCTCTCATCCTCCCGAGTAGCTGGGGTTACAGGTGCATGCCACCACGCCAGGCTAATTTTTGTATTCTTTGTAGAGTAGCTTTTACCATGTTTGCCAGGCTGGTCTTGAACTCCTGACTTCAAGTGATCTGCCTGTGTCAGCCTCCCAAATGCTGGGATTACAGGCGTGAGCCACCGCGCCCAGCCATTTTTTGATACTTTTTTAGAGATGGGGTCTCATTATGTTGCCCAGCTTGGTCTTGACCTCCCAGGCTCAAGCTGTCCTTCTGCCTCAGCCTCCCAAAGTGCTGGGATTACAGGCCCTAGCCACTGCACCTGGCCTAAAACATTCTTTCTTGGGGTGTCCATGAGGGTGTCTCTGGAAGAGATCAACAGTAGATCAGTGGACCCAGTGAAGAGGCGCCCCCCGTCCCCAGTGAGAGCAGGTAACATCCGATCCACGGAGGGTCCAACTGGAACAGAAGGTGGAGGAAGGCTGACTTCTCTCTCTCTCCTTCTCCTGCCCTTGGTCATGAGAGCTGCTGGTTCTTGGGCTTCTGGATCTGGGACTTTCCCCAGTTCCCCCTTGGGCCTTCATCCTCAGACTAGGATTTCCACCATCACCTCCCCTGGCTCTCAGGCCTTTGTGCGCAGGGGAGTTTCATCAGCAGCGTTCTGGGATCTCCGGGTTGCGGACGGACTGCATGAAGCGATTCCTCATAATACGTCTCCCCACATCCCTCTCTCTGCGTCCTCTTGCGTCTGTTTTTCTGGAGACCTCTGACTCATGCAGTTGGTGTTTTGAAAAAACAAACAATTGCCTTTCATGGACCCAACCCTGGACGTCCCATGACATCACCGTCATTGTCCCCTGCTGGCCAAGGCTGTCGTAAGTCGGCCCAGGTTCACGGGGTGAGGGCCCTACTCGGCCTCTTGCTGGAAGAGTGGTGAGGTCACCGTAATGAGAACGTGAGGACAGGAGAGATTGCTACAGCCCTCTCTGGAAAATGCCATGTGTGACATCATGAAAGGTGACGTGGCTGTTGCCCAGGCTGTGGACCGCAAATGTCCGGGAATGAGGCATGTCTCCCGGGTGGTGGACTCCTGGGCGGTTTCAGTCTGGGGCGATTATGAACAAGGCTAGGACAAGCCTGATTTCACCTGCACGCACGTCTATGGGCCACGGTCCTGGCTCTCTGGTCCTCCTGGGAGACCACAATGCTGTTGTATTAGTTTGTTCTCATGCTGCTGAAAAAGACATACCCTGGTTGGGCACAGTGGCTCACGCCTGTAATCCCAGCATTTTGGGAGGCTGAGGCAGGTGGATCACTTGAGGTCAGGAGTTCGAGACCAGCCTGGCCAACATGGTGAAACCCCGTCTCTACTACAAATACAAAAATTAGCCAGGCATGGTGGTGCACACCTGTAATCCCAGCTACTTGGGAGGCTGAGGCAGGAGAATCACTTGAACCTGGGAGGTGGAGGTTACAGTGAGCCGAGATTGTGCCACTGCACTCCAGCCTGGGCGACAGAGTAAGACTCCATCTCAAAAAAAAAAAAAAAGACATACCTGAGTCTGGATAATTTATAAAGAAAAAGAGGTTTAATAAACTCACAGTTTCACGTGTCTGGGGAGGCCTCACAATCATGGCGGAAGGCAGAAGGCGCATCTCACGTGGTGGCAGACAAGAGACAGAATGAGAGTCAGGCCCAAGGGGGTTTCCCCTGATAAAACCATCAGATCTCGTGAGATTTATTCACTACCACGAGAACAGTGTGGGGGAAACCACCTCCGTGATTCAATTACCTCCCACAGGGTCCCTCCCACAACATGGGGAAATTACGGGAGCTACAACTCAAGATGGGATTTGGGTGGGGACACAGCCGAACCGTATTGGCTGTCTCGCCAGGCCCTTTGGAAGAGTCTAATGGAGGAATGTGGAATACCTGACCCAGTGACTGGCACCCAAAAGAAACTCAACCTTGGCAGCTCTTAATTGGCTTCTTGCTGTTGTCTGAGCATGAGGGAAAGGCTGTCACAGAGGGACTTGGGCTTCCCCGGAACAGGTGCCCCAACCCCAGCCCGTGGGTGGAAGATTCTTTGCTGTGGGTCTGTCCTGTGCACGCAGGTGTTGACCAGCCTCCCTGGCTCCCGCTTACTCCACGCCAGCAGCAACTCCCTGTTAGAGAAAAAGAAGACATCATTCAATGATGCTTGTGGAAGATGGGAAGGCAGCCTGGAGCCGTGGGTGATGCCTGTGATCCCAGCCCTTTGGGAGGCTGAGGTGGGAGGATCACTTGAGCTCAGGAGGTCGAGGCTGCAGTGAGTGATGATCATGCTGCTGCACCTTAGCCTGGGCAATAGAGTGAGACCCTGTCTTTCTCAACACAAAATAAAAAACAAAAAAATTAGGCTAGGCATGGTGGCTCACGCCTGTAATCCCAGCACTTTGAGAGGCCAAGGTGGGTGGATCACCTGAGGTCAGGAGTTCGAGACCAGCCTGGCCAACATGGTGAAACCCAGTCTCTACTAAAAATACAAAAAAAGTAGCTGGGTGTGGTGTTGGGCACCTGTAATCCCAGCTACTCAGAAGGCTGAAGCAGGAGAATCGCTTGAATCTGGGAGGCGGAGTTTGCAGTGAGCTGAGATCACGCCATTGCACTCTAGCCTGGGTGACAGAACGAGACTCCGTCTCAAAAAAAAAGCAAAGAAAGAGCCAGAGAAGCCTGATTGGGTTTTGCTCCAGGAGAGAAATTTGGTCACCTCCCCCACCACCGGCATGACAACCAAGGATGCAGGAAGCTGTCCAGGCCGAGGGACCCCCAGAGGCCAGGTCACCACTGGGTGGGAACTACTGTGTTTTTGTTTGTTTTGAGTTTTTTTTTTGGAGACAGGGTCTCGTTCTGGCACCCAGGCTGGAGTGCAATGGCGCCATCGTAGCTCGGCTAATCTTTGCATTTTTAGTAGAGTCGGGGTTTCACCATGTTGGCCGGGCTGGTCTCGAACTCCTGACCTCAGGTGATCTGCCCACCTCGGCCTCCTAAAGTCCTGGGCGTGAGCCATTGCGCCCAGCCGGTCTTTTCATTTGAGAATGCTTTGCAGTTTACAACGAACTTCCCCGTGTCTGGCCCTCAAGTCGATCCTGTTTCTATTTTAGGGATGAGGAGCGGGCTCAAGGGTGGCAGCCGTGCCCTCAGGGCAAGTGGTGAAGCATTGGGAAGTCAGATCCCACCTCCTCCCTCTCCGGGGCTCTTTGTACCTCTCCCAGATTTGACATGCACAGGGACCCCTTTTCCCTCTGCTCCCTGCACAGGCAGAGGTCCCCCGCCATCCCAACAGCCCCAGCCCATCACTGCTTCCTGGGAGGAGCCTGAACACTGGGACCCAGCCAGGGGGCCCCCACACTCCTGGGAGGGCCTTTGTTCAGGTGGAGCCTTCCAAGGGCACAGGACTGAGCCTGCCGCACCCAAGACAGCCCTGAGCATGCAGGCGGACCAGGTCGAGGTGTGGCCCTGCCTCTGCCGAGAGAGTCACATCCCCTCTCCTCCTCACGGGGGCAGGGAGTGCTGGAGACGAAGGGGTGCCGCTGAGCCCTGCCGTCCTGCAGAGAAGCATGCATCGTGTGTGGCGGTCAGCAAGCACCTGCCTGCAGAGGCTGCCCCTTCCCGAGGCGTGGGGTGCAGACACTGGGCCCCCTTTAGCTCCCGGGGAGCCACGCTGAACTTCCCGAGCTCGGGGTGGGATGTGGCCGGGGGTCCTGAAGTCCAGCCTGTTCCGGGCTCCAGTCTCCACTTTTCTGGGATCTGAGTCCCTGGGGGAGAGCCTGTGGGCATCCTGAGGGTAGAACTGTTGGGGCCACCTCTCACACGCCATGCTCAGGGCTCCTGCCTGTCTTCTCCCTGCAGTAGAATTGATCCTGGTGGTCTCCGTGTCCCTTCCTTTCCCCGACCTCAGCCGGGGCCACCTGAGTCCCCCGGGTTACCCTGCATACCTCCAACTCTCAGGAAGAAGCGAGGGTAGGAGGGACCCCACCCCTCCCGGGGCGCCCCGGGCTCATGGTGCAACTGGACTCGTCTCCCTGCAAGAACCAGCCCTGCACCGCTGGGGTCCTGGGGCAGACCCCGCTCTGTACCCCAGTCCCAGAGCCCCGGCTGCCACACCGCTCTTCCCGGGGCAAACAGGGACAGCCTATCCGGGCGTAACTAAGGCTGCCTCTGCCATAAAGCCGTAATCACAGGGACATTCACCAAGGCATGGGGCAAAGGTCTGCATGGCCCCTTAGAACCTGAACCCACACAACCACCCCACGAGGCAGCCATTCTTTCCTCTATCTCACTTTACATTGAATTGTATAGTTTTGAATATGTGGCCTGACGACAGCCAAAAGAACATAAAACGGGTTTTCCAGAGAAGTCTGGTTTCTCACCCTGCCCCGTCCACCCCGCCAAAGGCACCTGTTTCTACTGGCTTTTCTTTTTATTTTTTAGAGACAGGGTCTCGCTCTCTTGCCCAGGCTGGAGTGTAACGGCACAATCTTAGCTCACTGCAGCCTCAAACCCCTGGGTTCAAGCGATCCTCCCACCGCAGCCTCTTGAGTAGCTGGAACTACAGGTGTGCACCATAGGGCCCTGCTAATTTTTTTTTAATTTTTTTGAAACTGAGTCTTACTCTATCACCCAGGCTGGAGTGCAATGGCGCTATCTCAGCTCATTGCAACCTCCTCCTGGGTTCATGTGATTCTCCTGCCTCAGCCTCCTGATTAGCTGAGATTACAGGTACCTGCCACCACGCCTGGCTAGTTTTTTATATTTTTAGTGGAGACAGGTTTCACCATGTTGGCCAGGCTGGTCTTGAACACCTGAGCTCAAGTGATCTGCCTGCCTCAGCCTCCCAAAGTGCTGGGATTACAGGCATGAGCCTAGCTATTTCATATTTTGTAGAGACAGGGTCTTGTTCTGTTGCCCAGGCTGGCCTTGAACTCCTGGGCTCAAGCGATCCTCACACTTCAGCCTCCCAAGCAGCTAGGACTACAAGCATGTGCCACTATGTCTGGCTAATTTTAAAACTTTTTGTAGATATGAGGTCTTGCCACATTGCCTAGTCTGGTGTTGAACTCCTAGCCCCAAGCAATCCTCCTGCCGTGGCCTCTCAAAGTGCTGGGATTACAGGCGTGAACCACTGTGCCCGGCCTCTATTAGCTTCTTCTTTTTTTTTTTTTTTTGAGACAGAGTCTCGCTCTGTCGCCCAGGCTGGAGTGCAGTGGCGCGATCTCGGCTCACTGCAAGCTCCACCTCCCAGGTTCACGTCTTTCTCCTGCCTCAGCCTCCCGAGTAGTTAGGACTACAGGCGCCCACCACGCCCGGCCAATTTTTTTGTATTTTTAGTAGAGACGGGGTTTCACTGTGTAAGCCAGGATGGTCTCAATCTCCTGACCTCGTGATCCACTCACCTCGGCCTCCCAAAGTGCTGGGATTACAGGCGTGAGCCACTGCACCTGGCCCGGCCTCTATTAGCTTCTTGTTCATCCCTCCAGTCTTCCTTGTACTGGTGCAAACACGAATCTACATTTTTCTCTCCTGCCCTTTCTTACACTCAAGGTAGCATATTATACACCAGTTCTGCACCTTGCTTTTTCATTAACAATGTACCCCAGAAGACCTTCCAAATCAGCACGCAGAGGTCTTCTGCTTTCTTTTTCATAGCTGCATAGTACTCTGCTCTGTGGCTTGCTAAGTGACTTAGCTAGGCCCTCAACAATGGCAGCTTGGCTGTTTTCAGTCGGTCACAATGACCATCGATGTCACCGTGGTGATCCTTGCACCTGTCCCTTTTACATATGAACAAGCAGGTGAATGGCACAAGTTTCAGAAACGGGATTTCTGAGGCTGAGTGCTGTAGCTCACACCTGTAATCCCAGCACTTTGGGAGGCCAAGGCAGGAAGATGGTTTGAGCCCAGGAGTTCAAGACCATCCTGGGCAACATAGCGAGACCCTGTCTCTATGAAAAAAATATAAAAATTAGCTGGATGTGGTGGCACACACCAGTGGCCCCAGCTACTCAGGAGGCTGAGGCTAGAGGATCACTTCAGCCTGGAAGTTCAAGACTGCAGTGAGCTAGGATTGCACTACTGTACTCCAGCCTGAGCAGAAGAGACTTTGTCTCAAAAGAAAAAAGAAGAAGGAGGAGGAGAAGGAGAGGGAGGAGGAGTGAGAGGAGAAGGAGAAGAGGGGAGGGGAGGAGGAGAAGAAGAAGAAGAAGGGGGGGGAAAGGAGGAGAAAGGAGAGGGAGGAGGAGTGAGAGGAGAAGGAGAAGAGGGGAGGGGAGGAGGAGAAGAAGAAGAAGAAGGGGGGGGAAAGGAGGAGAAGGAGAGGGAGGAGGAGTGAGAGGAGAAGGAGAAGAGGGGAGGGGAGGGGAGGAGGAGGAGAAGAAGAAGAAGGGGGAGGAGAAAGGAGAAGAAGGGGGAGGAGAAAGGAGGAGAAGGAGAGGGAGGAGGAGTGAAAGGAGAAGGAGAAGAGGGGAGGGGAGGAGGAGAAGAAGAAGGAGGAGGAGAAAGAAGAAAAAGAGGAGGAAGAGGAAAAAGGAGGAAGAGGAAGAAGGAGGGGGAGGAGGAAAAGAAAGAAAAAGGAGGAAGAGGGGGAAGAAGAGGAAGAGGGAGGAGGAGGAGGAGGAGAAGGAGGAGGAGGAGAAGGACAAAGAAGTAGTGGGATTGCTGGGTTCTAGCACAAATCGGGGCCATGGTCTCATGGACAGTGTGGCCAGACTCCTTCCCTGGGGCTCCGCTGCCTGGCCCCTCCACCAGCAATGCGTCCAAGGGCTCGCTCCCTGAGCCGTGCCTTTGGGGCACGAGATCTGATTTGGGGATTCGCCTGGACAAGAAGCAGAACGGCAATGTCTTTCTCTGATGTGCATTTCTCTGATTACAGACACCTTTTCACATGTTTGTCCTGTGGATTTCTTTTTCCGTGGATGATCTATTCACCTCCTTTGCCTTCTTTTATTGGTTGTGTTCTTTCATACACGTTTAGGAGCCCTTTGCCTGGTAGATCTGAGTTGCAAGTATTTTTCCTAGTGTGTGCTTTGTGTTGTGACTTTACTTCCGAGGATTTTTGCCTTGAATCTGTTTTGTGGTATTTAGATTTTTAATCATGATTAGAGTAACCTTTTTCCACTCTGAAGTTATAAAGAAAGTTACATATGTTTTCTTCAAGGCTGGGCACAGTTGCTCATGCCTGTAATCCCAGCTCTTTGGGAGGCTGAAGCAGATGGATTGCTTGAGCCCAGGAGTTCAAGAACAGCCTAAGCAGCCTAGTGAGACCCTATCTCTATTTAAAAATATAAAAGTTAGCTGGGCATGATGGTGCATGCCTGTAGTCCCAGCTACTTGGGAGGCTGAGGCAGGAGGATTGCTTGAGCCCAGGAGGTCCGGGCTGCAGTGAGCCAGGATCGTGCCACTGCCCGCCAGCTTGGGTGGCAGAATGAGATCCTGTTTCAAAACACACACACACACACACACACACACACACACACACACACACACACACACACTTTTTCTTTTTTTGGAGACAGAGTTTTGCTCTTGTTTCCCAGGCTGGAGTACAATGGTGCAATCTCGGCTCACTGAAGCCTCCGCCTCCTGGGTTCAAGTGGTTCTCCTGCCTCAGGCTCCCGAGTAGCTGGGACTACAGGCGTGAGTCACCACATCTGGCTAATTTTGTATTTTTAGTAGACATGGGGTTTCTCCATGTTGGTCAGGATGCTCTTGAACTCCCGACCTCAGGTGATCTGCCCGTCTCAGCCTCCCAAAGTGCTGGGATTATAGGCATGCGCCACCACACTCAGCTAATTTTGTATTTTTAGTAGAGACAGGGTTTCTCCATGTTGGTCAGGCTGGTCTTGAACTCCTGACCTCAGGTGATCCACCCACCTTAGCTTCCCAAAGTGCTGGGATTACAGGCGTGAGCCAGCTTGCCCAGCCAGAACTTAACATTTTTTTACAAAAGGAACTACTAAATGATGAAAAATTTCTGGAGATGGATGATGGCAATGTTTGTACCACAACGTGAATGTACTTAACGCCACCGAACCGTACACTTAGAATGGTTAACTTGGCCTAGTGTGATGGCCACCATGCCCAGCCTATTCACCTAATCACACCTGTGATCTTAGCACTTTGGGAGGCTGAGGTAGGAGGATTGCTTGAGGCCAGGAGTTCAAGACCAACCTGACCAACGTAGCAAGACCCTATCTCTGAAAAAATATTTTTTTAACTTAAAAAAAATGGTTAAAATGGTAAATTCTATGTGATGTTTACTTTACCACAATAAAAAGTAAACTTTGGCTAGGCACAGTGGCTCATGCGTGTAATCCCAACACGTTGAGAGGACGAGGCGGGAGGATCACTTGAGCCCAGGAGTTCAAGACCAGCCTAGGCAACAGAGCAAGATCCTGTCTCTACAAAAAAAAACAAAGAAAATTAGCCAAGCGTGGTAGCACCAGCCCTTGGTCCCAGCTACTTAGGAGGCTGAGGTGGGAGGATCACTTGAACCTGGGAGGTGGAGGCTACAGGGAACTGTGATTGCACCAGTGAACTCCAGTTTGGGCGACAGTGAGATGTTGTCTCATAAAACAAACATAAATAAATAATTCAAAATTTTAAAAATTAGGCTGGATGCAGTGGCTCACGCCTGTAATCCCAGCACTTTGGGAGGCCAGGGCGGGTGGATCACCTGAGGTCAGGGGTTCGAGACCAGCCTGGCCAACATGGTGAAACCGTCTCTACGAAAAATACAAAAATCAGCCGGTGTGGTGGCGCACGCCTGTAATCCCAGCACTTTGGGAGGCCGAGGCAGGCAGATCACAAGGTCAAGAGATTGAGACCATCCTGGCTAACATGGTGAAACCCGTCTCTACTAAAAATACAAAAAAAAAAAAAATTAGCCGGGCGTGGTGGCAGGCATCTGTAGTCCCAGCTACTCAGGAGGCTGAGGCAGAAGAATTGTTTAAATCTGGGAGGCGGAGCTTGCAGTGATCCGAGATCGTGCTACTGCACTCCAGCCTGGCAACAGAGTGAGACTCCATCTCAAAACAGCAACAAGAACAAAAACAAAATTTAACCAGACGTGGTGGTGGGCACCTGTGATCCCAGCTACTCGAGGGGGCTGAGGCAGGAGAATCACTTGAACCTGGGAGGCGGAGGCTGCAGTGAGCCGAGATGGTGCCACTGCACTCCAGCCTGGACGACAGAGTGAGACTCCATCTCAGAAATAAATAAATACAAATTAAAAAATTAAAGAGATAATAAAAGTGTGTGATTAGTAACAAAAGCCTGCTATGGAAAGAATGCATTTGGGTTAGAGGAGCGACACCATGAGTAACGTAAAGAGTCCCGCGGAGATGGCCACAGCTTCTCTGGAGGCTCCCAGCGCATCCCAGGACCCCGAGTGCAGAGTGTGGGCCAGGACAAGGGAAGCACCTTTCCCATCCCCGGGGGATGTCTTTCTGCAAACATCCTGGGGACGTGGGACATTGTCGCTACTGCTGCTGTTGAGTTATTTCTTGGCACCTGTTTCTGCGGCCAGGTTGCAGGCATCACTGTGGCTAGCTGCCCCAGACGGCCGTGTGGGCCTTAGCAAGGAGGGGCCTCCCAGGTGGCCAGTGCAGAACCCGCAAGTGGGGGGGAGAGATGGCCCGGGAGGCTGCCCCCGCGCTCCACAGCAAGAGGCCACTGGGCTGCTGCCTAAATCCCCAGCCACATGGTGGTAAGGACGACACCCAGAAGATGCACAGACCTCCCTGCACTGGCTCCTGAGTCCCACCTGAGCCGAGAAAACAGGCTCCCGGGTCCCACCTGAGCTGAGAAAACAGGCTTCCCAGAACCCCGGGCAGATGCCATGGGTGTCCTGGGGGGCCCTCGGTTGCCCAGGCCTGAAACTCCTCTTCCTGCAGCGCTCAGAGGGGGGCGGGACTTGGGGACCCAGAAGCGTGGCAAGGGGCTCCAGACGGATCCCCTCTCCAGCCTGTCCTCCACCTGTGACAGGAAGCAGAGGCAGCTCCCTCAGGGGCCCGCCCCCACCTGAGGATCCCTCACAGGACTCCTTGGGCCAGTGGTGCCCTAACCCCATCCTGGGCCTGCTGTGTCCCCTGGCAACCACCAGCTGGGGCTTTAGAAGGGGGCTGGCCCCACCCACAGAGGCTGTGATCACTAGCCGCTTATCCCCATTTTTACATTGCTGGTTTGCTTGTTTTGTTTTTTTGAGACAGGGTCTCACCTTGTCACCCAGGCTAGAGTGCAGTGATGAAATCATGGCAGCCTCCACCTTCCAGGTTCAAGCCATCCTCCTGCCTCAGCCTCCTGAATATCTGGGGCCGCAGGCACATACCACCACGCCCGACTAATTTTTGTAATTTTTTTGTAGAGATGGGGGTCTCACTGTGTTGTCCAGGCTGGTCTGGAACTCCTGGGCTCAAGCGATCCTCCTGCTTTGGCCTCCCAAAGTGCTGGGATTACAGGCATGAGCCACCGTTCCCAGCTGGCCTTAATGTTTTTTATGTTTATAGAGACAGAGAATGGGGGAAGGGAGGTTTCGCTATGTTGCCCAGGCTGGTCTTGAACTCCCGGCCTCCAGAGATCTTCCCGCAGGGCCTCCCAAAGCGCGGGGATTGCAGGTGCGCGCGGGGCCAGCGGCCCCCCGGGCGGGAGAGGAGGGCGTGGCCGGGGGGCGTGGCCGCGGGGCGGGGAGGGGGCGTGGCCCGGGGGGCAGGGCGGTGTGACGCGCGCGCCGCGGATCCCGGAAGCGGTGTCAGATGCTGGGGAGCCGGGCGGGCGGGTGCGGTGGCGGCGGGCGGCGCGGGGGCACTTGTTGTTCTTCGCGAAGTCGGAGCCCGAGCGCCAGGCGGCGGCGGCGGCCGAGGGGAGCGCGACAGTGAGCGCCGGCGCGAGGACAGCGCGTGCCCGCGAGGAGCCGCCGCGCGCCCGCGCCCTCCGCGCGACGCCAGGTGAGGGGCGGTGGGGCAGCGGGGCCCGGGCCGCGGCGGGGACGGGGACCGGGGCGCGGGGCCGGGGCTACCTGGCCGCTGAGTCACGGCCGCCTGGGGGCGCGGGCCGAGGGTGGCGGGGTTGGGTGCGCGGGGCCCGAGACCCTCATGCGGCCCGCGGCGCGGCCCGGGCACCTGCCCAGGTGGGCCCCGCCCCGCAGGCCCGGGGGCTTCCCCGGGACGCGAGGCTCTCTCCCCTGCACGTGCCGCCCGGGCCATGCTTGCCGCGCCGGGGGCCCCAGGGCGCGGACCCCAGACCTGGGAGGACGAGGATCCACGCGGGTCGGCGGCGCGCATCGGGCCCGCGCCTTCACACCTGCGGGGGGCGGGGCGGGGCGGGCGCCACGTGCGGGCGGTGCGGGGAGGGCGCGGGCGCGTGGATTCTCCGCGGCTTCCGCCCCAGCGTGGCTTCCGCGTGCGGCCCCGGACTGCCCCCCGCGCTTCCTCCCGGTGACGGGCGGCGCTCTGGCCCAGTGGCTGGGGTCACGCGTGCCCGGGAACGGGGTGGGGGTAACCGGGTCTCCCCACAGGCGGGATCCTGGGACTGGTGTCGCTCTCAGCCGCCCACCTGCCAGGGTTGCTGGAAGGAAGGCCGTGGGGAGGCGGGAGGGGGGCAGGTGACAGTGGCCCCAAGGCTCGTCCCTTTGCTCACGTGTGGGGCAGGGGCTCCGGCCTCTTCCCGCTCCCACTGCGTGAGTTCTTCTGTGCCTCTGTCAAGTTCAGGAAACTGTGTATGTGCCCGTGACTGTGTGTGTCTGCGTCTGCACAGCCTCTAGATCCTGGGGGGTGGGACCAGGCGCCACCGAGAAACCCAGAAAGCCAGGACCCCGCCTGGCCTTGGCCCTTGACCTGGGTCCGCCTGGGACACAGCAGTGGCCCTGCACTGCATTCTCGCGCTCACACCGTGTGTGTCCGTGTTCGCGGGGCCTCCCGTGTCCCTCTCCTGGTGTCCTGCGTCCCTGAGCATGCTGTTTTCTTGCTTCTTAAGTAGCTCTTGTAGCTGAGGCAGAAATTAGATCCACTCACCATTCATTCACCAGGTGACCCACAGGCAGCCAGCCAATCTCTGGCCAGGTGCCTGGCCTTGGGAAGATCCTGAGACTCAAAACGCCCCCCACCGCCCCCCATCGTGGTCTAGGGGATATCTGTGTGGTTCGGCTCTGGCAGCGCCCTTCCCACCCCTCTGATTCTCCAGGGTGGGCTGCCAGGTCTCTTTACTGGCACTGAGGTTTCACCGTCACGGTGTGTTGTTGTAAGGGGTTCTCCAACACAGAGTGGGGTGCCCTATGCAGCTTCTCCAAACCCAATGTCTTCAGGGACATGGAGCATTAAAAGAGCCGTGGGCGGGGTCTGGAGAACATAGGTGGGCTGTGCAGGTGTCTGGGACACACCTACACCCTATTTGGGCGTCCAGTGCCATTTATGAGAACATCTCCCTTTCTTAGGTAACCCAGTAGGAATGTCTGAGTTTGACCTTGGGAGAGGGAGTCTGCTTTTAAAACTAGACCTCTCATTATTCCAAAATAAGACATTTATTAAAGCAGAAAAACCAGGCTTCTCCTGCCTTTTATCCTTGAACCGAGCCAGGGCTTTGAGGGGCTGGTTGCCCGCAGCGTCGACTCCCCAGGTGCTGGTAAACCCGGGAGCCAGCGTTTACCGAGGGTCAGGGTTGTCGGGGCGCCAGCCTTTGTGTGCACCCGGGAGGCTGCTGTTAAGGGAGACCGTCTTCCGGGCCACTTCGCTGTCTACAAGGCGTGTGCTTTCACCCACGGGGCTCAGCGATGGCTGCGTTTGTTTACAGTCTCTGGCAAAGCTGTTTGCCACCCAGACGGAGAAGAAGTTGTGCCTGTTCTTGTCCCAGCTGTTTCTGAGTCTAAAGGTTTCTGGAGTGGACTTTCTGGGTTTCGGGTCCAGTCCACACGGGAAATGGAAATCTGGCCAGCTGAGAGAGGGCTCCGTGTGGCCGCCTTTCAACAGTAAACAGTGACTCACCGCTCCGTCCCCACCCTCCCTGCTCTCCGCGAATGGAAGATGCCTTTCCCCGCTATTTATTTTTGCTTTTTATAAGTCACAGACTCGTCATGTTTCCGCTTTCCTACAGTTTCAGGAAACTGGGAGTGTCGTCTTAAAATCATAGAGTTTTAGAGCAGGTACAAGCGAACTTGAGTGGCCACATGCCCCACCCCCCGACCAGCTGCTGTAGATGAGGAAGCCCAGGCCATGAGGTCTGCTGGCCTGTCCCACAGGCCGGTGGGGTCTGGTGTAGAGCCTTCCTGCTTCTCCGCACTGTGCGTCGGGTGTCCTGGGGAAGGTATTGGGGTGGAGACTGCCCTCTCCCTGCCCTCCCATGCGGGGCCGGCTCATCTCGTACAGCGGGGGCTAGTGTGGGGTGTAGGGAAGACCTTCTCCCTGCTTGCAAGGAGCTCACCATGCCTTGGGGAGGCCCCCTGTCCCCAGAAGGATCTAGAACCAGGCCTTGGTAGAGGGTGCTTGCCTACGCGAGGAGGAGAGCAGTGGGGAGTGTTTCTGGAAGAAGCAGGGCAGGGAACCACGTGCTCTCTGCAGATGGTGATCAGAAACCTGAAACGGCATTGGGGTGGGGGAGTCGGGGTTTGGGAGGAACCCCCAAGACTTTTGACTGCCTGTGGGGCTGTGTGGGGGGCACCAGGATCAGGGTGAGGGCATCCCATTTGGCAAAGCTGTGGTCCAGACAGGAGACGCTGGAGGCCGGAGCCTGGGCAGGTGCTGTGGGTTCAGGCGGGTGATGCTTGAGGGCTGGGATCAAGCCTGGTTGGCGCGTGGATGAGGAAAAGAGAGAGGGGCAGGGGCAACTCCGGTGAATGATGCGGTTGGGGGCTGGGGGGCATCTGGGCCCCCCGGAATGCCCCTGACTGGACTTAGAGGCTGGGAGCGGATTGAAGCCCCAGGGCGGCCGGGGGAGAACAGGATGCTGATGGGGAGCTGGAGGCCGAGGACAGGAGGATGGTGTGGTGGGAGCCAGGGCGGGGACTGGAGGGGGTGTGGTGTGTTCTGCAGTCTGCTCTCTGCTGCTGCAGCTGCCTGAGTCACCTCTGGATGTAGCGGAATGACACAGCTTCCTCAGACTGCAAATGCAAGGTGACCAGACGTCCTCCAAGCCGGGCCGACAGTCATGGCTTGCTGGAGGGCAGCCAGCCAGGGCCAGGCTGCTGGCTGGTATGGGCCGGGCTGCGGGGTGCCAAGTGGGGTGCCTCCCGCATGCTTAGTGGGGCTGTGTCCGGGACAGCCGGACAGTGGGGGCCCTCGCAGTGTAGGACCTCATCCTCAGTAGGAAGGGTGTCTGGCTGGTCTCTGGGACCAGCTGGGCTGCAATTAGTCGGTTGACACCTGTTTGACAGGCACCCACTGGGTACCAGTGCCACAGCGGCCCCACCTACCCTTGCGGCCCAGTGTGGAGGGCACCCGGCTTGGGGTCTCTGGCAGAAAGGCTCCTGGGAGAGGCGGGTACACCTTGGGTGGCCTCTGGTTTTGTGGATTGCACCTGCCGTGGGAGTCACTGGTCGGGGGGCGGGAGGGCGCTTGCTGCTGTGCTGCTGGGTTTCTGAACCCGTGTCTCTCGCACAGAGCTCCCGTCCTCCGTTCCTGGTCTTCCTCCTGCCCCTCCTCCCTCTCCCGCATCCCACATCCTCGGAGACCCGCGGAGAATAGAAGTGGAAGGGCCACTCCGTCTTGGTCAGACTGGCTGGGCAGCTGAGGGGGTGGGGCATGGAGTCTGTGTCATCATTCACCCCTTGGGCAAGAACAAGTGACCCATCCAGAGCCCCCATGCTGGCCTCGTAGAGCGAGCGGCAGCCCCGATGCGTCCTCTCATCTGGGAAGAATCAGAGCCCCAAAGCTGAAATCCCCGTTTCTCTATGGGCATCCACAGCCGGGACCGTTCAGAGGGGTCATCCAGCCGTCAGCTGCTCAACTCACTTTTGCACTCTCTCTTTTTTTTTTTCCTAAAAGATAAGGTCTTGCCCTGTCACTCAGGCTGCTGGAGTGCAGTGGTGTGATCACAGCTCACTGCAATCTCGACTTCGAGGCTCAAGCAATCCTCCCACCTCAGCCTCCCGAGTAGCCGGGACCATAGGCACATATGTGCCATCACAACTGGCTATTTAAAATTCTTTTTTTTTTTTTTTTTGTAGAGATGGGGCCTTGTTATGTTGCCCAGGCTGGCCTGAAACTACTGGGCTCGAGCATTCGGCCTCCGGAGGCGTTGCTATTACAGGCAAGAGCCACTGTGCCCAGTCCCAACTTGGTGGAGAAAATGTTCCCTCCTGGACCCCAAAGCAGGTCCTTCTCAGCTTGTGCCAGCACAGCAAGAGGTGCCAAGGCTGCCAGCCCCCCACTGAGCAGGGTCAGGCCCATGGGTGACCAGTGAGTATTTGCTGGGACTTAAAAAGTTAAAAATGGCCGGGCATGGTGGCTCATACCTGTAATCCCAGCACTTTGGGAGACTGAGGCAGGAAGATCACTTGAGTCCAGGAGCTCGAGACCAGCCTAGGCAACATGGTGAGACCCTGTCTCTACAAAAAAGTTTAAAATTCTCTGGGTGTGGGGGTGCCCACCCGTAGTCCCAGCTGCTCGGGAGGCTGAGGCAGGAGGATCGCTTGAGCTCAGGAGGTCTGCAGTGAGCTGTGATTTCACCACTGCACTCCAGCCTGGGTGACAGAGTGACACCTTGTCTCTAAAATGAAAATTAAAAGGGAAAACATGATCCTCCAGAAGCTGAGGTGGCTGCCTGGGGATCACCTGCTCCTGAAAGCACAGTTCTGGACGACTGACCCTGGGCTGCCTGCCCTGCCGGGGGGAGCCCAGGGCTCTGATCCTCACCCTCTGCAAGGTGCCTTCCTGGGCGGAGCCGCCCTGCCCTGCGCTTTATGGAGCCCAGGCCCTCAGTCTGGATCCTGGAAAGGGGCGCCCGGCGTCCTGGCTCCGTCACTCATCCCCAGCTGCAGCCGCAGGAATTGCCTCTGTCTGAGGCTGCTGGCAGTTCCTTTTCCTTGAGAGGAAGTGATGCCCCCGCTGAGCCTTGTTTAGTTCTGCGTCACGTCGAGGTGTCTGGCCTTGGGTTGAAAACCCTGCCTCTTCCATCCGAAAACCAGTTACCTGAGAGCTGTTCCAAGTTATAGGTGGTGCCGGAGAACTTTGCTGCCCGGCGCTGCTCCCGGGACGTGGGGCGTGAGCGCTGCACCCTTACTTACGTCGGCTGCTGGGGCCCCACAGCGGAAACTCAGACCCGCCCACCCAGGCCCCCGCTGTGGCGCTGAACACTGCACTTCTCTGGTGACCACCGAAACTCAGAGGAGCTCGGGGTGTCGGGTGCTTGTGCGTGGCGATGCTGGTGTTTTGTTAGCTGCTGGGCGTAAGACACAATGCGAGGACGTCGTTCCTCGGGGGCTGCTGGAGGGGAGCTTGGCTGCAGTGCTGACCAGGTGCTAATGCAGTAGCCCCTGCCTTGGGCCCGGGGTAGTGCACGGGCGTCTCTGCGACCCCAGGCACGCTTTCCCCCTGGATGACACCCTAAGGCTGCGTCTCTGGCCCTGGGGTGGGAGCGCTTTCTACATGTGCTCTGGCGGCCCTGGAGGCCATGTGAGGTCGGACAGTTCACAAAACCCCATTTAGGGCAGTCGTCATTTTTAGATCAGTTGCTTTACAAACTTTTTTTGTGCATACAAAACTCTTCTCTGAATGTCCTTCCAAAAGCAAGCTGTCATCTTTCTTGCCTCTGATGTTTAAAGCGACATTAGGTTAAGGCTACTTGGATTTATTCTGTGCATGGTGGGGAGAGGGAGGCGCCAGCACCATCCCATCCCGTGCTGGGTTCCTGAGAGAAGCTTTGCTGCTTGGCTGGGCCGTCCCGCTGCGTCGTCTCTCCAGGCGCGTGGCTGGTCCAGGCTTCCTCGGCAGAGCAGAGTCGTGACCTGCCCAAGGAGGTGGGGGGCAGGCTTGCGAGCACAGCGTGGGGGCCGCCTGGGAGCCCTGCGTCCGCCAGGTCCTCATTCTTCAGAGGGCCCCAGTGCAGGTGTGCCTCGAAGTACTGGGGTTGGAGCGGGGCACAGGCGTGCTTCAGTAGCCCTGGCAACCTTGACCTCCTGGAAGTAGTCAGCCACCCCTCCTGGGGCGCCCCCGGCTACCGTGTGCCTCCGCAGTGTCACAGGGCATCGCGGAGGCATCTTTTTAGTGGAAAGATCCCCACGCTGAACTCTGCCCCTGGCATCTGGCCGAGCCCCACACGTCACCGTGGGTCTGGCCAGACGGTCCTGTCCCCCGGACCTTCCTTTTCCGCCCGGCTGTGCTGCCACGGCGGGCAGTGGGCCCGGGGGCCCAGGAGCGGGTCCTTGCTGGGTGGGAGGCCCGGGTGTGTGGGAATGCGCGCGGCTCTGTAAACATCTGGTGACTCACCGCATAGCTATGTCGTGGCCGGCCTGTGCACTGACGTGCTCGCAGTGGAGCTGGAAGCGGTGCCCGCGGCCCCTCCCTCTGACATGGAAAAGTTTCTCATGGTGCTCCCAGCCGCCGGCATTTGCAGGTCCCCACGGTGGCGGAGGCAGCTGGGCCCCAGCCTCTCCACTGTCACCCTCACCCCAGGACGTGGTGCGAAGGAGCCTGGAGCCCACCTGGCCGTCCCCGGGACCGGCTGGTGCCATCCTGTGCCATCTACGTCAGCGCCCTGAGATCAGCTGGCCTTGGCAGGGGCAGCGGACTCGGCAGCCTGGCGCAGGACCCTGTCTCACCTGTGCGGCCCTCTTGTTGTGGGGGTTTGTGGGTTGCGGGGGTGGGGCCCCCATCGGAGGCAGGGCTGGAGGGTGGAGGGATTTGGGCCCGAGGGCTCCCTGGCCCAGGGTGTGGGGAGGGTCCTGGGCTGGCAGGGAGGACGGGATGCGGTCACCCGCCCCCATGATGCCCATGTCCAGTGGAGGTGCTGACCAAGGACACCCCCCACCGCCGTGTGCTGCTCTGATGTTCCTGTGGGAACCTGTGTCTGGTATTTGGGGTATGGGAGTGGGTGCTGTGAACCCCTGTCCCGCGAGCTGCCCGGCGCCTTCTGCCCGCCCGTCCCGGCCGCCGGGTGCAAATGGGTTTGTTGACTGCCTGCCGGCCTCGTGATGTCTGTGCAACCTGACCTGAAGTCAGGATCGCGTTTGGGCTTCTCGGTTTCCATGACAACCGTGGGGGCTGGCTCGGTCCCAAGGTCGCCATGGCAACTATCGGAGGGCTCATGCCGGGGATGCTTTGGCTGGGTTTTTCATGAATGATTAGAATGTGTGACACAATGCAGACGTGAGGACGGCGGGGGCGGCGGCGGGGACGACTCCCGCCAGACGGTCAAATGCTCGGCAGGGCGGCGGCTCCCCCACCTCCCTGGTCTCTGGCTGCGGCCCCCGGACCTGCCGCCCCTCAGGAACCCCACACCCCCTTGGGCCGCAGGGTCCTCGCTCGGGGGCAGCTTAGGTGGAGGTGGTGATGTCACAGCCGCAGCGGCCAGGGCCGTGGTAGGTGTCCCGTGGCCTGTGGGGAGGGCGGGGCGGGAGGGCGGCTGGGCCTCCACCCAGGCCCACCGTGGGGGATGGCGATGTCAGGGGCTCCCCAGAGGCCCCCTCTCGGGGATCCAGGCTGGGTCCGGAGCACCGGAGCCTTTGCCAGTGTAGGGTCGCTGTCCAGCGGGGCCCCACACTCCTCGGGGCCGGCACAGCTGTCTTGAGGGAGGGAGGTTTTGCCACCAGTCACTTTGGTCCTCGGTACGGGGCACCTTGTGCTGTGCAGGTGCAGACGTCTTCTCTGACCTCAGGGAGAGTCAGAACAGGAAGCAGCCACTGCCGGCGCCTGCTGGTCACCCCACAGTGCCGGCGGCTGCAGCCCAGGTCTGCAGGGCAGCAGGGGGCCGCACCTGGCTGCCAGGCCCTGGGGTGGGGTCCCAGCCGCTCTGTGGAGTGTGCTAGAGTGTGAGGTGCAGCCAGACCTTTCCCTGAACCCTCAGGCAGGGACAGAGGCCGGGCCAGGATGCCTCACCCCCTGGGAAGCCCCTCAGGACGGGCTGGGCCCGGATGGTGCCCCGTCTTGTTTTCATGGTGCTGTGACTGTCCACCCCGGGCTGAGAAGCATCCCTGCATGGGAGGTGGGCACCCTGTCCGGCGCTGCCGGCCCTGACCTGTGCTGGCTTCTCTGCTTGTCCATGTTTTCCAGCTACGAGTTCCAGGGAGCTCTGTCCTGGTGACCGTGCCCGGGTTATGACGACTAATCCCAAACCGAATAAGGCATTAAAGGTAAGGCTGGTTCCAAGCAGGCCCCGTCTCAAGCACAGGCGTGGGAAAGGCCCCCGGCCCGACAGCCCCTGCTATCCCAGGGCCGTCCTGAGCCTGTGATGGAGGCCTCCCTGTTGCCAGGAGGAGGGGGGCTGCTGTGGCCGAGGGATGTTCACAGGAGAGGTGGAGTCAGGATCGGGGACTGTGGTTCCAGGCGATGACTCCCAGGCTGAGGGCGTGGCAGGGTCTGCTGCCTTCCCGCCTGGGCTGTGTGTCCGCCGGGCGCTACTGCATGAGCTCATCCCCTGGCTCCAGGCGTGGGCAGCGTGGCCAGCGTGGCCTCTGGTGAACGCGATGCTCCAGCTCCCAAGGCCCGAGCCCACCTGTGCCTGGCGCTTGCCGCCTCCACAATGGCGTGTGCCTGTGGGCCGGCTCAGTCCCAGCAGCAGGACCCATGCACTCTGGGTCCTCATGGGCTCTGAGGCTGTCGGTAACCAGGAGTGACCGATGTCACCACTGGCTTTTCCCGTTCAGAAAGGGTCCTGTGGGGCCACAGCTGTCACATGGGCTGCCTGCGTGCACAGTGTCCTGTGGTCCCTGGTGCGGATGGCGAAGGCCAGCCCTGAGAGCGCAGGCGTGCAGGGGCACCGCTGGGTTCCTGGCCACCCCAGTGTCGGTCCCAGGCAGACACCCCACGTTCTCCCGCCGCTGACCCCGCACTGTGGCCCCCCAGGTCAAGAAGGAGGCGGGCGAGAACGCCCCGGTGCTCAGCGATGATGAGCTGGTGTCCATGTCGGTGCGGGAGCTGAACCAGCACCTGCGGGGTCTCACCAAGGAGGAGGTGACCCGCCTGAAGCAGCGTCGGCGCACACTCAAGAACCGCGGCTACGCGGCCAGCTGCCGCATCAAGCGGGTGACGCAGAAGGAGGAGCTGGAGCGGCAGCGCGTGGAGCTGCAGCAGGAGGTGGAGAAGCTGGCGCGTGAGAACAGCAGCATGCGGCTGGAGCTGGACGCCCTGCGCTCCAAGTACGAGGCGCTGCAGACCTTCGCGCGCACCGTGGCCCGGGGACCTGTGGCGCCCTCCAAGGTGGCCACCACCAGCGTCATCACCATCGTCAAGTCCACCGAGCTCTCCTCCACCTCCGTGCCCTTCTCGGCTGCATCCTAGTGCCGGCCGGGGGCGGGGGGTGGCGGGCGGCGGGCGGCGGGCAGGCGGGTGGGGGCACACCCCTCGTACCTGTCACTGGGATGCAGACTCTCGACATCCGAGTCCAAGCGCAGGCCCCTCGGGCGCAGGCAGCTCACACCAGGAAGAGACTGTATTGCAGGGTGAAGAGTGGGCTCCCGTGGGCCCAGAGCTGCACGCCGGTCCACAGACACACTCACGCCCGCCACCTGCTCCCCGCAGGATGTGTCTGTGTGTGGGAATTGGTATCTTGCACCCGTGGGAGTCGGGACATATAATGGAAAGGCCCTCGGGAAGTTCCGCGTCCTCTGTGGGGGCTGCCGGAAGACACGGCCCCAGGAGTCAGGCCCCTGTGGTCAGGTCTAGCATGGGGCTTGTTTTCCACTCCTGCTGTAAGCAGCCTTCGACACCTGTCCTGCCACGGCCTCCCAGCCGGTGCGGGAGCCCCTCACTGCCCTGACCGACTCCGCAGTCCCCGGGGAGGAGCATGGATGGTGTGTCGGCAGCTCCGTCCTTCCAGCTGTCCCGTTGCAGTGCCCGTGATCCGCGTCTGCCTTAGCAGGGGCCTGCGTGAGTGGGCACGGTGTGGGAGGTCGCCTGCGTGGGGTGGTGTCTGTGTGTGTGCACGCACGCCTGCCATCAAAGCAGCAGGGCTGAGGGGGTGCAGCTTGCTGGTGTTCACTGGGGGAGGGCCTGTGGGCACACATGGCAGAGAGAGTGGCTCACACGTCGTGAGGTCTCCCCTGTGCTCTGGTGACCCGAGGAGGTCGTGCAGCACAGCGCAGAAGCCCCTGCCCACGGGATCCGGCCCCCCAGACACCGACCCCACAGGCCGTCCCGGATCTCAGCGGACACAGGCAGGAGCGCCCCATCATTTGACGGTGAGCAGGACTCAGGCTGTGTGTCCTGGAGCTACTTCTCACCAACTGTGGTCAGTGCAGGGGGAACGAGGAGGTCTTTTGGGGGCCTGGCGAGGGGAAGGGCTGCTGCAGTCTAGGGAGAGGGGGTGCAGCCTGGGGGATGTTGGTGGACATGGATGTGGAGGTGGAAGGAGGAGGACGTTGCGTGGAGTGGTGGGAGGAGGCGGGAGCCGTGTGCGAGAGCAGGTGGAAAGCCTTGAGGGGCAGGACCAGGATGCAGCTGGCTTGTAGAAGAGCTCAGGAGTGAGCCTGGCACTCCAGAGGGCGCGGCGGGTGGGGAGGCAGCAGGCACCAGTCCAGGAGAGCTTCGTGGACGTGGCTCCTGCGCGCACACCCCCAGGAGCACAGCCACGGGCTGCAGGTGTGGCTGGCCTCAGCACTCAGTCCTCACCCGGAGCCTTTGCCTGCTCCTCCTTCCAAGAGCACTGAGGCACCAGTGGGCTTGGCACTCCACCTTGGGCTTCCTTTTCCTGGAGAGCCGCCTTGAGGGTCCCTCCTGTGACTGGGGTCTCTGCAGCGAGAGCCGCGGGGGTTGCGGAGCCCCTGCCTGGGGGAGCTGGCGGAATGTGAGCCGCCGGCCGGGGGCCGCCACATAAGACCTGCAAGGTGGTGCCTGGGGCCCTGGCTCCTTCTCGGCTGCCCCTGCCCACCCAGTAACAGCCCCCACCAGCTACAGAGCCCAGGCGGGTGCCAGCCACGCTGGGAGGGCAGAGGACAGACAGCCCCGGGGCTGCGACTTGGTTCTGTGTCTACTGTTAGAAGTTGAGTGGGAAGCTGCAGGCCCGCCAGGACCACTGGGTCCCTACAGAGCAAAGGCCTGCGTGTTCCCAAACAGCCGTTGCCCCCGTGGCCGTGGTAGGTAATCCATATTGGATGTCATAAGGACCAGGGGGATATTTAAAGAGAGAAACAGAAAATATATAGAGATATAAAATTATATTCACAGTTTATCTACAGATTTTTCGTAACAATCTTTCTTTTCCAGTTTGATACTGTAAATCTATCAGAGCAGAGCCGGGGGCACGGGCACAGGTGGGAGTTGGGAGCAAAGCGGAGGCCCGGGCTGCCCGCCGTCCCCCTTCATCTCCCCACGGACTGTACCAGGCAGCTGGGCCCCGCAGGACAGGCCGCAGCGGGTGGCCGGTTCTGTCCCGTCTTGGGGTTCTTGGTGTCCACGTCTTGTGGGCCGTGGGCTTCTACCTGCCCTTGGCCTGCAGTGCTTTGCTGGAGAAGGGACTCCCTGGTCCCCAGGGTGGACGGAGCCGCTGTCACCGCCCAGAGCTGGGCCGGGGAAGCACGGTGTGTTCTGCTTTTCTTTTCAGATTGTTGAAATTTCATTGTCATGATTTAATATATGGATTTTTTTATTTAAGAAAAAGACGAGGGACTCTTTGTCACGTGGGTTTGTTTTCTGTCTCCGTGCCTCCGGCTTCCCAAAGAGATCCAGGTCTTTGCGTTTCCAGGGCGTGGGGACCCCGGCCCCCTATGCCGCCACGCCGCCACACCGCCTCACCCTGGCTTCTGTGCTACTTGGCAGTTCCATTTCATTATTTATTTTTTGTGCTGCTTTTTATCATGATATAAATTATTGAAAACAGATCACATGTGGGCCCGTGTCTGGCCGCCGCCGCCCTGCCCCGTCCCTGCGGCCACCACCTAATTTATTGCCGTGCGTCCTGCTGCTGTGACTGCTTTTGTACCTTTGCAATAAAGAATTTTCTGGTTTCAGACCCTTTCGTTGCGTAGCTGGTGCTTTCAGCTGGGGCTTTCTTGGGCCAAGAACCACACCCCCCCCCCAATCCCAGGGGACCCTGCCTGTCCCTCACCGGGGTCAGGATCCGGGCACTACGTGTAAGTGGCTTTCCCGGACTGCTGGGCCGTGACCGTGAGGCTGGGACAGCCACGGGGGAGGTGCTGGTCAGGTGACCACGTCCTGGGCTCAGTCTCTGAGGGTCAGGCCGCAGTCCTGAGTGTCCCCATCTGCCCCACCCGGAGCCCCCTGTCCATGCAGCCTCTCCCTTCCAGTGGAAGGAGCAGAGAGCAGCACGGCTGTCAGTGTTCCCCTTCCCTGGGAGACATCTCGCCCAGCTTTGCTGGACTCTCAGAGGAGCCTGCAGGAAGCTGTGAGCAAGACAGGGTCTGTCTGGGAGCAGAGAGCAAAGCGCCCCTGCACAGTGGCCGGAAGCCCGTGGACTCCTCCGAAAAGCCACGGGCCTGCCCGCATGCCGTCCCCACCCCGCCCGGCCTTCCCCGTTTTTGGGGCTGAGCTGACCGAGGTGTGAACGCTGTTCAGTGCTGGACCACGCAGGGTGAAATCCCAACTCGAGTTTTTTGAGACAGTATCTTGCTTTGTCACCCAAGCTGGAGTGCAGGGGCGTGATCACAGTTCACTGCAGCCTCGACCTCCCAGGCTCAAGCAATCCTCCCATCTCAGCCTCCTGAGTAGCTGGGACCGCCGGCACGCACCACCACGCCCAGCTAATTTTTGTATTTTTTTTTTGTAGAGATGGGGTTTCACCATGTTGCCCAGGCTGGTCTCAGACTCCTGGGCTCAAGCAATCCACTCGCCTTGGCCTCCCCAAGTGCTGGAATTACAGGTGTGAGCCACTGCACCCGATCATAATCCCAACTCGCAGCATCTGTGTGGCCTGGGGCCAGTTCCCTCCTTCCCAGCCTTGCTTCCTGTGAGTTGGGTGTGGAGGTGAGTGTGCAACAGCTGGCACATAGCGCAGTGAGTGTTGAATCTGTGCTGGGGCCACAGCAGCCCGAGCTTGTCACTAGCAATGGCAGGGATGGCACTTTCCCCAGCTAAGTCAGACCTCCCTGCAGCCCACCCTGCGGCTCTGGGCCCAGCCTGCTCCTCCTGGGGGAGCCGACGGGTGTGAGTTGGGGGCACAGAGCCCCAGCCCTGTGTGGGGCTCCTGGAGGCTGCGGACAGACGGGGAAGCTGTGAAAGGAGACACCGCCCCGCCCGGCCATGCAGCCTGCACCCGGGCCAGGCCAGGGCCCCCAGGGCTTCCACCGTTTCTTGTGGATGCTGGGGATTTTCAGCTGGACCATCTCCCAGAGAAGGATACTGAGGCCAGGAGAGGCTAGAGAGCTTGGCGGGTGCGCTGGGCCCAGATACGCGGCTCCTGCCTGCCTCATGGCCTGCTCCTCTGTCGGGGCCTGTCACCGGGAAACCCCTTTTTTAGCAGCGATGACGACACTGGAACCACGCTAGTCTCCGTCCCTCCCGCTCACATGCGCCCACGCTCCCCCTCGAGGCAGGTTGAGCCCCGGCCTGGACCGCCCCACGCTGCCTTCCGTCCACGCAGAGCGGGCTCGGCCCTCAGGGCTTTCCTTCGAGTCGTGTTGGAAAGAAGCAGAAGCAGCCTCACCCGTGGGGCGGAGGCGTCTGAGGGTCAGGAGGCAGGGAGGAGAGAGGGCCTCTGTGGAGCCGGCTGCCTGGTGTCCAAGTCCCTGCTCTGTGACCTCAGGCAACTTGCTCCGTCTCTCTGGGCTCGGTCGCTGTCCCAGCTGGCTTGAGCGTTGAGCATGTCAGTTTCCTGGCACAGTCCTCGGCTGGTCTGAGGGGGCATTTGGCGGAAACTGACTTCTCCCCTGTCCTAAAGTGCAGGCCTGAGGTGTTGCTGACATAGGGGCTCAGCCCCTGACACCTCAGCCTCTGCCGCCCGGAGCCCAGGCGGTGTCTGGGTCTCCAGAAAGGGAGCCCTCGGCCACACACCCTCCAAACGCAGATTTGAGCAACTTGACCCCTATCGGGGTGGCCTTCCCCACGGCAAGGGCAGAGCAGGCCTAGAGCCCAGCCAGTGCCCCCAGCCTCCAGAAACTGCCCCTCGGCAGCAGGTCCCTGGGGACCTGCTGACAGAGTGAGACACGGGGGCCGCCTGGTGGGTCTATTCCTGTGGGGATCCAATAAGACAGGTGGGCGTCTTTGCAGCCGTGCAGGGAGGAGCTCAGCCTATCTTATCAGGCAGCCGGGCTGGGCCCTGCAGACCCACTGGCCTTGGATCCCCATGTCCTCAGCCCAGGAAGCAAGAGGCTGGGAGCTGGCCCTCTCTAGCCCGGACTCCACTGGTCTGTGCCCGCCCTGCTGAGTCCCTCGGAGACCCCAGGTCCCGCTGTTCCTGGTGACCGTGGCCATGGGTGGGGGGCAGCACGGGTGGGAGCCGCGGTCCCGGGGTGGTGCCCACTGGAGCTTCCTGTCTGCTCTCCACGCCCAGTGCCTGAGCCCCCCAGGCCTTGCCCACTTCTGCTGCCCCTGCCCCAGCCCCCACCCAACCTGTGCTGCGGGCCCCAGACACACAGAACTGACTGCCACCTGCAGGCCGGGTCACCGTACTGTCCCCTGACGGGCCCTGGGCCTGGGGGGCGCCCTGCAGTGACACCCCTCGCCCTGGGCCAGCCGTGTGTCCTCCCAGAAGCCCCCTTAGTCCCTGGGCGGCTACTGTTCTTGCGGCCGCGATTTCCGAGGCCACTTGCACGCCTCCAGCTTCCTGCGGGCAGGGCACGCGTCCGAGGCTCCTCAAACCCAGGGCCCCACCTGGCACGTGGAGGAAGAAGAGAAGGGCAGGAGGCAGGTGCCCAGGTGGGAGCCCCCTCTGTGCCCCCTGGGAGTGTCCCCCCCGCCCAGGTACTCAGGGCCCTGCCTTCGTGGCCTTGTCCGCTCGCCGCGGGTGGGGCTGGCACAAGGCCCGTTTTGGAGGAAGTGGAGGCTCCCAGGAGAAAGGCAGTGGCTGTGATCGCACAGCCCAGGCTCTGCCCTGCACTGCCCTGGACCACGAGGCTGCCCACCCCAGACAGGTGGGACCCCTTTCCCGCATGCAGACTCTGAGCAGCAGCCTCCTGTGACCCCCACCGCGTCCTGCTCCTCAGGCTCATGCCCTGCGGGAACAGAAGCCAAGACCCGGTAGAAAATCCAAGGTGTTTAAATATAAATAAGAGCGATTCCCACAGCCCCACGGTGCTGGCCAGCCTCACAGGTGCCCGCTGGTTCTGTGACCCATCCCAGGCACACGCTCCCCTGGCTGGGCGCCTGGCCAGGGCTCCCCTGTGGCTGGCGTGTGGAGACACGTGGGCCCTTCTCCACGTGCCCACGAGGGCCGTAGCAGGCTCCAAGGAGGCCCAGCCCCGGCCAGCCTGTGTGGACCCCGCCGGCCTGCGGCGCCCGGAGCTGCTGACTGTGTCAGAGCCCGGCTGCCCAGCGCCCCGGCGCCCCTCCCTCCAGCTGCCCAGCCTGGGATCCGTCCGCTGTCTGTCTCCTGAACCAGGGAGTCTGACCCACTCACAGCTCCCATGGGGTCCGTGCAGCCAAGGCCCCGCAGCCACACTCACTCTCCGCCCCACAGTGGCTCCTGGGGCTGATGGCTGGGTGATCCCAGGGGGTCCCCAGGCTCTTCCGATTGGCTCAGGTGCCCTCTCCTGCGGTGGCGGGCCCACCTGGGTGCCTGCCAGGGCCATCAGGTGCCCTGACCCCCTGGCTGGAGGGAGGATGGGAAGTGGGCTCCGAGGGCCTCACAGGTGGGCTCTCAGGAGAGGCCCCACCTTTGGCAGGAGTTGGTGGGTGGGGGGACCCTGTTCTTCCCCAGAGGCCTGGGCAGCCTGGGTCCCTACAGCACTGGCAGCCCAGGCCCCCCTACAGGTCCTCCGAGGGGATCAGCATCCGCTTCTCCAGGCTCCGGCTCTTCCTGCTCCCGCCGGAGCCGCCGCTGGGGTGGGTGCCGGGCCTGGGCGCCTCGTGCGTGGCCTGCTGCGTGTAGTGCTGGTAGGCGGGGGAGAAGTTGTGGATGGCGTCCTGCACGATGTCCTGGGGGCTCACTGTCTCCCTGATGCCGCTGGAGATGCTCTGCATGGGTGCCGGGGGGGCTGGGGGAGGGCAGTGTATGAGCCCCACCATCCCCCCTGCACTCCAGCTCCCCGGACAAGTCCCCTCCCAGGATGCCCAGGGCTGTAGCTCCTGCATGTCCAGGTCTGGCCTCGGCCAGCAGAGGGTGGCCCCAGACCCCTGGACCCCAGCCCAGCTTGCTCCACCCAGCACCGGGCCCGTCCCTGGCCAGACCCCTGACAAGGACCACGTCCCCTAGAGCTTCCGAGGGGCTCCAAGCAGCGGAGTACGCCTTTGGCTGGCCTCGGGTGGGCACCCTGGTCTCTCCACAGTGACTGATGAGAAGCCGGCAGGCCACAGGCTGTCTCCGCCCTAATAGGGGGTGTGCCTGGCAGGGGACACCCATCCCCCATCACCATTGGGGTCCGGGACCGCCTGGACCCCACACAGCCCAGGTGCCTGTCCGGAGCCGGATGCCCTTTGCCCGTCTCCCTGCCCAGCGAGCTGGCATTCCTGGGCCTCGAGAATGGCACGGACACAGACACGGTGCCCGGGGCAGGGCTGTGCGCTCCGGGTGCCCCAGCTGGAAGGCAGGGTGTACCTGGTGAATTCTCCTTCTTCTCTGCGTACACCTGGCAGGGGAAGGCATAACGCAGGGCCACGGAGGCGAACAGCATCTCCACGCAGATGATGAAGTTCTGGTAGCCGGCGGCCAGCGTGCCAGCCCCCAGCTTGTTCCCGCCGCTGGTCTCCACCTCCGGGATGACCCCGCACCGCTCCAGGATGGCCAGCAGCAGCCCTGCGGACGCCACGGCCGCTCAGCCCCAGCCCCAGACGGGGTCTGCAGGGGAGGAAGAGGCCCCAGACCCCGCAGCGGCTCCTCTGACGGGTGCTGTGACCCCGTCCGTGTAGTCTCGTCCCACCCCAGGAGACTGAGGTTCAGGGGGGCAGGGCGCCTCCAAAGTCGGGGGTCTCGGCACAGCAGGTGCTCAGGAGCTCTCCCGGGCCCGCCCTGCCACTCCAGCCCCAGATCCTGGGCCCGTGCCCTGTCTGGTGGCCATCCTCCTCTGCCAAAGTGGGCTGTCAGTGCCCTGGCCTGGCCCAGGGCCCAGTGGGGGCCAGGATTCAGGAAACACCTGGTGTGGCCTCTGTGCGACCTCTCTCCACCTGCTGGCGGGACCTCCCCACTCCCCCGTGCTGGCGGGACCTCTCCACTCCCTCATGCCCGCAGGTTCTACCCTGGCTTCCAGCTGACCTGTGCTGCAGCTGGAGAAACTGAAGCACGTGGGGGCTGGGGAAAGGGGTGTGAGGTGACCCCAGGCTCACTGGACTGCAGCCCCCACCTCGGTAGCACCCCTGCCCCACCTGCCCCACACACCTTGCCAGAACGACAGGAAGATGACGGCTTTGATGGTGAGGAACTTGAGGACGGGCTGGAAGGGCCGCAGGAGCTCCCTGGTGGTGAAGTAGAAGAGGAACAGGGCGTAGAGGGCGAGGCTGACGGAGGCGTTGTAGATGAGGGTCACATAGAGGTAGCCGCTGCGGACACTAGGACAGACGGGGGCTGTGGTCAGGGCGGTCCCATGACCCCGCCACTGTCCCCACCCTAGAGCCACCGCCGCTGCACCCTCAGCCTGGTCCCCACCCTGAGCTTGGGAGCATGGGCCCTGCAGGGATCCTGCCCCGATCTGATCCTCACTCCAGGGCCTGCAGGAGAGCGTGGGGAGCTGGGGGTGGCTGGGGGGCCTATGCAGGGGTAGGGCAGGGACGTGGCCGTTCTCCCTACCGGCCCTGCTCCTCCTCGTCCCAGGATCCTGTCCACTGCTCAGGCAGCATCCAGGCTGCCTCTGTCGGAACGCCACCTCCCAACCCCGTCCACCTGGCCACTGCCTGAAGATCCTCTGTGTGGTGGACACACAGGTGTCGTTCCCGTGTGAGTGTGTGCACATAGGTGTGTGTGCATGTATGTCGTGTGCACACAGGTGGGGTGCGCTGTGTGTGTGCACATATTGCGTGCATGTGAGTGTACATACATGTGTGGTGGTGTGTGCACGGTTTGCGCATGTGCTGTGTGCATGTGTGAACATGTGATGCACGTGTGTGATGTGTGCGCACAGGTGACAGCACATGTGTCCCCGTGTGTGAGCATCTGTGTGGTGTTGGTGAGCACCTTGGACCTTCGCAGGGGTCCAAGGGGTGAGCTGTGTGGACCTTCGCAGGGGTCCTCCTTGTGCTGGGTGGCTGCCTGTCTGTTCAGCCAACAGGTCGGGGTGGACCTTGGTCCCCTTGGCCCAGGTGCCCTTAATGCCAAGAGTGCTCAAGGCTGGGCGGGGGCTGGGGCCATCACTGCCTGGCCAGAAGCCCTGGGGTCCTCGGCGCAGATGCTGGCACAGACGCTAGACTCACCCCAGCCGTGTCCTGTGAGGGGAGGTCCAGGCCCCCGGCCTTGGCAGGCACCGAGGTCCTTGTGGAGAAGAAGTGGGTACCTGTCTTGGGCGGGGCCCCTAGCCCAGCCGGACGCCAGGCCTGCCTTGTTGGGCCCCACCGCTGGGCCCCAGGGGACCCAGTGCCCACCTCATGCCAGGTGCCCCCGCAGCTCCCACCTTACTTGAGCCCAGCTGGACGCCAAGTCCGCCTCGTTGGGCCCCACTCCCGGGCCCCGGGGGACCCAGTGCCCACCTCATGCCAGGTGTCCCCGCAGCTCCCGCCTTACTTGAAGTCCCCGTCGTGGTATTTGCCAAATGCCTGGAGGATGATGGTGGTGACGGCCATGACGGGCTTCACCAGGCAGAACTGCAGAGTGGCCTGGGGGCGACGGCACCCGGTGGGCCTGGGGCCAGGTCCCCCAGGGGCCCAGGAATGGGGATTGGGGCAGCCAGCAATGAGCAGCCCCCTGACACTGGGTGGGGTGGCGCTGGGCCGGCTAGGGCCCCTGACGGGCTTGGGTGGGAGGAGGGCGGGCAGGGCTGGGTGGCCCCTCACCTGCTTACAGAAGCGCAGGAACCCGATGGAGTAGGTCATGCCCCGGAGGCAGCAGGTGCCGTACAAGCAGCTGGACCTGCGGGGGACGTCCCTGAGCCGGTGCGGGAGAATGCAGCCCCGGCGCCGCCGGGCTCCCTGTCCCAGGTGTGTGGGGTGTGGGGGCTCTGGGGTGACGGGCTTACTTGATGGGCTTTCCACGAATCTCAGCCATGATGGCGCCCTCGCCTCCCAGGTACTGGAAACACAGGCTCAGGAAGCTGTAAATGACAAAGGCTGCAGGGAGCACAGAGGGGGACCGGCTGTGAGCCCTGAGCTGCACCGGGACCCCATGGCGCCCATCTCACCAGGGCAGGAGGAGGCTCGGGAGGGGCTGAGCCCAGCAGGCCACACAGCAAGAGGCTCCTGATGGACCCCATCCCCAGCGGGGCAGCCTGAGAGGGTCAGGGTGCTCCATCAGGGCCCTGCTTTCACCCCAGGCCAGGGCAGGTCCACCGAGCCCCTCTCACGGAGGCTGTGGGGTCAGTCGTGTGTTCCAGGCCTGCCAGCGCCGCTAACCCTGACTATCCTGGCAGCCCCTCTGACGGGCCGGGAGAGTGGGGTGCCCTGGGGACTGGCCATGGAAGAGTGTGCGTGCACGCAGGCCCCGGGGAGTCTCTCCCTCCGCTCCCCCGACCTGACGCAGCCTGGCGCCCACCTTCGTAGCAGTCCCGCACAGAGTCGAAGTAGACGTAGTACTGGTGGTCTCCGAGGAGGAGGAGGCTGAGCCAGGAGTCGAAGGCGTAGATGGGCACGATGAGGAGCAGGCGGATGATGTAACGTTGCTCCTGTGGCACGGTGTAGGAGCGCAGGTGCAGATAGATCTGGGCGCAGGAGGGGTCGCATGAGAGCCGGGCCCGCCTGGTACCCCTGGACCAGCCCAGGTGAGCCGGGAAGGAGGTGGGGGTGGGTGCAGGAGGGTTTGGGTGAGAGCCAGGTCCACCCGGTACCCCTGCACAAGCCCAGGTGAGCCGGGAAGGAGGTGGGGGTGGGCGCAGGAGGGTTCGCGTGAGAGCCGGGCCCGCCCTGGGCGCAGGAGGGTTCGCGTGAGAGCCGGGTCCACCCGGTACCCCTGCACCAGCCCAGGTGAGCCGGGAAGGAGGTGGGGGTGGGCGCAGGAGGGTTCGGGTGAGAGCCAGGTCCGCCTGGTACCCCTGCACAAGCCCAGGTGAGCCGGGAAGGAGGTGGGGGTGGGCGCAGGAGGGTTCGGGTGAGAGCCGGGTCCGCCTGGTACCCCTGCACAAGCCCAGGTGAGCCGGGAAGGAGGTGGGGGTGGGTGCAGGCCACCAGGCACCTTCTATGTTTGCATTTTCTAGTTTTCTACAATGGGCATCCTTATTACAATTAGAGAAAATAAATTGTTTGCCTATTGTAATTAGATACATACTTTTATACGTATTTACTATAGAAGTACATATAAGTATGAATGTATATGTTAAATACATATTTCTGGTTACAACTAAAAATAATACACATTTGAATAATTGACTTTTTATGGCCGGGTGCAGTGGCTCACACCTATAATCCCAGCACTTTGGGAGGCCGAGGTGGGTGGATCATTTGAGGTCAGGAGTTCAAGACCAGCCTGGCCAACATGGTGAAACACAGTCTCTACTAAATACACAAAAATTAGCCAGGCATGGTGGCGCGCGCCTGTAATCCCAGCTACTAGAGAGGCTGAGGCAGGAGAATCGCTTGAGCCTGGGAGGTGGAGGTTGCGGTGAACCAAGATTGCGCCACTGCACTCCAGCCTGGGCGACAGAGCGAGACCCTTTCTCAAAAAAAAAAAAATATTTTTTTGAGAAACATGGTCTCGCTCTCTTGCCCAGGTTTTTTTTGAGACAGGGTCTCGCTCTGTCGCCCAGACTGGAGTGCAGTGGTACAATCATGGCTCACTGCAGCCTTGAACTCCCGGGCTCGAGTGATCTGCCTACCTCAGCCTGCTGAGTATTGGGACTACAGGTGTGCACCACCTTGCCTGGCTAATTTTTGTATTTTTTGTACAGACAGGGTCTCACTGTGTTGCCCAGGCTGGTCTCAAAGTCCTAGGCTCAAGGGATCCTCCTGCCTCCGTCTCCCAAAGTGCTGGGACTATAGTCATGAGCCACTGCACCTGGCCTAAAATTTATTTTTTAAATTGGCAAATCAAAATTGTATGCATTTACAGTGTGCAGCGCGATGTCTGATATGTGTGTTCGTGGGGAATGGCTGAGTCAAACCCATTAACGTCTCCATTATCTCCCATACTTAGCATTTCTTTGCGGGGAGGACATGTAAAATGTACTCTCTTGGCAATTTTCAAGCATAGAATACATTGTTATTTATAACAGTCACCATGTTGTACAATAGGTTTTTTTTTTTTTTTTTTCTGAATAAGTTCCTTGGGCATGAGTGAGGGTCCTGTTTGTTCTTAGCCTGGGAATGGGAACGCTCACTCATTCCTTCATTCAGCAGGCGTTTCTAGAGCCCAGCTAAGTGTCCAACCCGGGGGACGGAGAGGGGACACGTCCCGGTCCTGGGCTGGGCAGACTCTCAGAAGGCACATTGGCTTTTGCTGTGGGGGCATCCAAAGGATGTGCACCCTTTGATTCCTAAGAATTTGTCCCTCCCTAGGGGCCAGGCACGGTGGCCCACGCCTGTAATCTTAGCACTTTGGGAGGCCAAGGTGGGCGGATTACCTGAGCTCAGGAGTTCGAGACCGGCCTGGTCAACAGGGCGAACTCCATCTCTACTAAAAAATACAAAAATTAGCCAGGCGTGGTGGCGGGCGCCTGCAGTCCCAGCTACTCGGGAGGCTGAGGTGGGAGGATGGCTTAAATCCGGGAAGCGGAGGCTGCAGTGAGCACTGATTGTGCCACCGGACTGCAGCCTGGGTCACAGAGTGAGATCCTGCCTAAAAAAAAAGAAAGCCTGGGAAAAAGTATGGGTGATTATAGTAGTGTTTGCCTTTAAACCTTTCTAGATTTTCCACGTTTTTATTTTTTTTAATTTTTAATTATTATTTTTTTTATTGAGACGGAGTCTTGCTCTGTTGCCCAGGCTGGGGTGCAGTGGCGCAATCTCAACTCACTGCAACCTCCGCCTCCCGGGTTCAAGTGATTCTCCTGCCTCAGCCTCCTGAGTAGCTGGGATTATAGGCGCGCACCACCATGCCCGGCTAATTTTTGTATTTTTAGTAGAGACAGAGTTTCCCCATGTTGGCCAGGCTGGTCTCAAACTCTTGACCTCGGGTGATCCACCCGCCTTGGCCTCCCACAATGCTGGGATTACAGGTGTGAGACACCACGCCTGACCGATTTTCCATGTTTTCTGTGAGGATACAACTCAACTACAGGGTCTTTGAGACAGGGTCAGCCGAGCCTGGGAGCTGGGCGCACAGGGGCTCCTGGGGAAGGCCTTCTGGAGGAGGTGCATGCGTGGCGGTGGGCGAGCAGAGGCTACGTGCACCTGGCCGCTTGGGGTGCAGCTCAGGGAGTTGGGGGAGGTTGGAGGCAGGAACAGACTCTTATCAGTCACACGCTCCCCGATGGTCCCTGGGAGGGACGGCATGACCAGCCATCAGGAGACCTCTCCCGGGGCTGGCGCTGCCTGGCTGGGTGACCTTGACAAGCCACTGTCCTCTCCGGCCTCGGTCCTCCCATGTATAAAGTGAGGGGGATCCAGCCACTCTGTGTCCTGCCTGGGACTCCTCACTCAAGGGTGACTCTGGCGGTGGGCTCAGGGGTGGGACAGGGCCTGAACTCCAGCCCAAGGGGTCTCCATGAGCCCTGTCTTGACTGCGAGGCCCCATGAAGCTAAAGCCACACTACAGCCGCGCACACACAGCCGGTTCCCAGGATTACAGCGGAAAGACGGCCTCCTCCGGGAAGCCCTCTCTGATGGCCTTACAGGAAGGGCCTGCCTCGGCACTGCCTCCGCGGCTCTGCACACTCCAGGCCACACTCATACACGTCTACCGTGGGTTCTGGTTATCTGTTCACAGCTCACTGCAACCTTGAACTGGGCTCAAGCGATCCTCCCATCTCAGCCTCCCAAGTAGCTGGGACTAACAGTGCAGGCCCCCATGCCCGGCTAATAAGCAGTTAATAAACTGTCACTGAGATGCTCCCTCGGAGACTTGTGGCCACCGGTGTCCCTGCCTGCCAGTCTCCTGATGGCCCCCTGCCCCAGCTCACCTACAGATCCATTCCCTACACCAGTGCCCCGTGCACCCGGGAAGCAGCTCTGCCCTCAGCCCAGCCCTCCACAGCCTTCCTGGGCTCCCAGCACCCCCTGAAAGCCACCTCACCGCACTGGGGTCAAGGGCTCTGGACAAATCCCTGCAGCCGTGTGGCCCTCGCGGGCCTACACACGCACTCCCACCCCACCCCTGCGCACACCGCCCTGGCCTCTCTGTGTATCTGAGTCTCTCAGGAGGGTCCTGTCCCTGACTCCCTGCCCTCTCTGCCCAGCCCCTGCCCTCGGGCACCACTTCCTCCTTGCCCCTGCCTGGCCCTTCCTTGCCACAGCGCCTGGCCGCTTCTCTACCTGGGGGCTGTTCTGTTCCCACCTGGGGACTGCTCCGGGTCGGGGGCTGTGTGTGGCTTCGGGCTTGGGGAAGTTGCTTCTCGCCCATCTCCTGCACAGGAGTCCCGGTCCCTCTAACAAGCTGTGACCTTTGCTCCCCAGCTCCCTACAGAGCAAAGTCCAACCCCCTGCCAACCTCCCACCAGCCTTCTCCAGGGTGTCACGCCTCTGGAAGGAGAAGGCCCCTTCCCCTTTCCAGCTATGTGAGCCTGGGAAAGACCTCTGGTCTCTCTGAGACTCAGTCTTCTTGTCTGTGAAATGGGACCACACTGCAGACCTCAGTGAGCCGAGTGACGAGCCTGTGAAATAGCCAGGGGTGCCCGGTGGGCGCTCTGCCCTCAGCCTGGCAGAGATCTCCCCATTTTCAGGCCCAGCTCCCACATGCCACATCCTGGGGAAGCTCATCCCCTCCCCCGTGCCCTGGCCGATCCCACTTCTGACAGCGTCTATAGCAGCGGCACCCAGGGGGACCGGGCTGAGCCACGGCCACGTCCTGTGGAGACCAAGGTCCTGAAGGAGGCTCGGGGGCGGAAGGGCTTACCTGGTGGCAGGTGAGCACCAGGGCAGTCCACACGAAGATCCCCGAGACGCCTCGGGCCAGTGCGGAGGTGAGGAAGAGCCAGGGGGCCCCCTGGGAGCTGTTCCCCATGTGGTCCATCTGCGGCCCAGCTGGCACAGCCGGTGGGGGGCTGGGCTGCGGCCAGTTCGCTGACACCAGGGGGACGCCGGCTGTCTCCAGGATCCCTGAGACATTACTCATCTGCAGAGGGAGGGAGGACACACACCGGGAGGAGTGAGGGCAAAGGTACTGGCTCCCGGCAGCAGGAAGCAGCGGGGGAGGGAGGAGACAGTGAGACGGGAGCTGAGGCTGAGCCACCCACCAGGCCGCACCCCCCACACGGACACCAGCGCCAGGCCCGGCTCCCTCCCTGCTCCGAGCTCAGCCATCGAAGCTCACCCATCAACCACCTGCGACCTGAGGGTCCCACCTCAATTCCCCCTTGTAAAACCAGCTTCCAACTCCGAGTCTCAGGCTTGCAGGGAGCCTGCTTCTTAGGGGACAAAGACCGTCTTCCAGTGGGGCAGAAGAGGGGGAACCCCTGCCGCCCTGCCTGCCCGGGAGGGCTGGGGAGCGGGCGCAGACCAGCACTGCCTGCCCCGGCAGGAGGGGGTGTGCAGCCACCCTCATGGGAGGAGCCGGCCCTCACTGGCTCTGGGACCTGTCCACCCACCTGGGAGCCCGGCTTTGCTGGGGTTCTTGGCAGCCCTGGGTGCCTGTTCCATCTCCCACTAACCTGCTGGGGCCCTGAGTCCACCCTCTCCCACACTCGCAGCCCAGTCCAGCCTCCTCCTCTCCCTCTGGTCTGCGGTCACAGGGCCCAGCTCTACCTTTGCTGGCAGGAAGCACCTGGCCCAGTCCAGGGAGGCCTGGCCTCCAGGGAAGCCTAGCTGGTCATTCTCATGGCCACGTGGCCCCAACTGGAGGCCCCACTGTGGGTGCGGCAAGGCCAGGATCTGAAGGGCTGTGCCAGGCTGGGGCGGGGCGGCCAGTGCCTCACGTCCCCAGTGGCCCACCTGGGCCCCAGGCTGCAGGCCCGTCCCCTCCTGTCCCCTCCCACGGCTGACACCCTATCCTCCCGGTTGTTTGCTGGGTGGCAGCTGGCTCCCAGGAACCTGCTGGCCGCCTGGCGCCCTCACCTGCCTATGCCAGACGGCCAGGCAGCTGCCACCTGGTGGGGACACGTGGGAGAGGTCTGCGGCAGGCCAAGGAGGGCCGGGCTGCAGGAGGAGGGGTGGAGAGCTAATGGTACAGGGTTTCTCTGGGGGGTGACAGGAGTCCTGAAATGAGGTAGAGGCGGCAGGCACACAGCACTGTGGATATACTTACCGCCACCGAATCGTTCACTTAAACCTGGGTAAATTGATGTTATGTGAATTTCATCTGAATTAAAAAAAAAATCCACGCCCCAAGAGATGAGTTGAAAACATTTGTTTTCTGGGCCGGGCGTGGTGGCTCACGCCTGTCATCCCCACACTTTGGGAGGCCAAGGTGGGTGGATCACTTGAGGTCAGGAGTTCGAGACCAGCCTGGCCAACATGGTGAAACGCCGTCTCTACGAAATACGCAAAAATTAGCTAGGTGTGGCAGCGTGCACCTGTAATTCCAGATACTCAAGAGGCTGAGACAGGAGAATCGCTTGAACTCAGAAGGCGGAGGTTGCAGTAAGCTGAGATCACACCACTGCACTCCAGCCTGGGGACAGAGGGAGACTCTGTGTCCAAAAAAAAAAAAAAAAAAAAAAGGAAATATTTCTGGTTTTTGTGGATCAAGGCAGGAGAGGGGGAGTGACAGCCCAGTCCCTGGACCCTTTGGGGTCTGGCAAGGGGTTGCGGGGCCCTGAGGGTCCCTGTCACCCCCATGCAGAGGCCCCTGTGGAGAAAAAACTCACTCACCCCGGCTCCTGGGAGAGGGATGTGGGCCCTCAGCCCACCTCTTGTCCTGTTCTGGTTACGCTTGGGCTCATGCCGCTGGGGCCACCATTACCAAGTCCCGCTCCATGCCCGCAACGGATCCACACACTCCTTGTCCTTCATATCTCCTACCCTCCCACAGCCCTGAGCAACAGGGCTCAAGGGGTTGAGGCTGGAATGACTGGAGCCACTGTTCCCCTTTTATTTTTAATTAATTTATTTTTTGAGACGGAGCCTCGCTCTGTCGCCAGGCTGGAGTACAATGGCGCGATCTCGGCTCACTGCAACCTCCGCCTCCTGGGTTCAAGTGATTCTCCTGCCTCAGCCTCCCGAGTAGCTGGGATTACAGGCGCCCACCACCACACCTAGCTAATTTTTGTATTTTTAGTAAAGACGGGGTTTCACCACGTTGGCCAGGCTGGGCTTGAACTCCTGACCTCAGGTGATCTGCCCGCCTCAGCCTCCCAAAGTGCTGGGATTACAGGTTTGAGCCACCACGTCCGGCCTGTTCCCCTTTTAGAGATGGGAACGAGAGGCGCATCAACGCGTCCAGCATCCTTGAGGGGTCCGTGAGGGGCCCGGGCTGAGGCCCATCCTTCCCTGGGACACCCTGCCTGCTTTTCCCAACTCCTCCACTGACACTGTCCCTCCAGGGAGGCTCCCAGGTGGGGAACAAGCTCAGGAAGTCGTGCCCAGCTCTCAGGCCCGCCTTGCCTAACCTCCCCATCAGCGCCCACCCGGGCCCGGGCCCAGAGCCACAGCATGCACACCCTGGCTGGGCCCTCCTGGAGCCTGCCTGCTCCCCAGGCAGGGACCTTCTGGACCAACCGACCCTGCTCCCGGGTGACTCTGTCCTGCAGCCTCAGGCGTCACCTCTGGAGAGACCATCCCCGCTGTCCCATCACCCTCCTCACTGTGTGTGTGACTCCCTGTCCACCTGTCTGTGTTTGCTGCTGGTCCTCCCTCTGCAGGAGCTGCCAGAGCCTAGAGCTGTGCCCTGTCCATGCTCGGGGCACAGGGCTTGCGGGGTGGGGGCTGTCCTGCTGAGGCGGTGACCCTGTGGGCTAAGGTCTCCCTTTGGCCAGGCAGGGGTGCTGGAAGGCGGTCCCCAACTTCCATCCAGCTGCATTCCCACTGCAGCCACAGGTACTCCTGCCGGCCTCCCACCCGGCCTGCAGAGCCCCAGGCAGTCGGCTCAGCGCGTGTGGATGTCGCCCTCTGGCTGTGTCGGGATCACCGTCACGGACAACTATGAAGTGACGATGGCTGGGGGCCCGTTTGAAGGGTGAAGACTTTGGTGCCTGGGCATGCGCAGAGCTGGAAGGGACCGGGAATCCCCTCATCCAACTCGCTCATGCTACAGGCAGGGAAACTGAGGCCCCAGCCCCTGCTTGATTTGCGTCCAGCCCCCAGCACAGGATGAAGCCTCGGGCCCCTCCCTGGGCTGACGGTGGGAATGGCTGTGCAGACAGCAGGAGGCACTGTGGCTAGATGTCAGCAGGACCGTTTTGGCTGGAGCCAGCAGAGCCAGGCTTCTGGGAGGGCTCTGGCTTCGGGCAGGCTCAGGGCTTGGGCCCCGGACACAGACTGAGGGACCTCCAAAGCTCTGTCTTCCGCCAGAGGCAGATCCTCTGTGGAAAAAGGTGGGGTTTTCTCACAGGGCCAGCTGGGCACTGGACAGGGAGGCCTGCTGATCTCCTCAGCCCACAGCTGTCCCGGCTGAGCCAGATGCGCCAGCTCGGGAACCGTGGACCAAGTGTACTGGTCTGGGGATGTCAGGAGCAGGGCCTGGTCCCCAGGGAGGGGCAGTCGGGAGGTTGACCGCTCTGCCACCTGCTCACAGGGCTCGCCGGCTGATCGAGGCCTCACCCGGTGCTGGTGTCACAGCCTCTGCGCCCGGTCACAGGAGGCGGCAGGGCCGGCTGGGCCTGATTTTTCTGGCGGGGGCGGGACACTGACCAAGCCCATTGCAGGACAGACCTGTCTGCCCAGATCCAGGCGACGGGGCCCTCTGACCATTGTTCACTGCGTCCAGGTGCCCAGAGCTGTGGGGAGGCTGAGAAGCCGCCCAGCCAGTCCCACACCCTGGCCCTGGCACAGCCACCTCCTCCTGCTCTCATGAGAAACCCGGCTGAGGGCCCATGAGCTGTTGCCTGGTTCCAGGCCGGCTGCCCTGCTAGTGCCCACCCCGACCCCCTGCCTGCCCGTCTCTCTGCAGATGCGGACAGGCATGGTGTACCCCCCTGCCTGCCTCCTTCACTGCTGGGTGGAACTCGGGGCGCCCAGGAGCCGCCTCCTCAGGGCTGGCTCATTTGATGTCCCAGGCTGAGCTGCACACTAGGGGGATGAGGTGACCGGTGGGCACCCATCTCAGACACCCGGCTTCCCAGGTCCCGCGGCCCTCCCCTGGGGGCCCTGGCCAGCAGTTCACCAAGGCAGCAGCCCCGGGTGTGAGCAGGGGGTGACAGGGATGGGGCTCCACATCCTCCCGGCTCTGCTTCTGGGATTCCCCCGGCTCCTGTCCACGGGCACGGCCTCCTGAGAGCCGCGTGGGGCGGGCAGGCAGCATGGCCTCCTGGTGACCCACATGCCCCCTCCTCACTGGGGCCGGGGAGCAGCCCCCACAGCCAGGAGGAGCAGGCCCTGGACCACATGCCACAAGCTGGGGCCTGGCTCTGGCTGTGTGAGGTGTCTGTGACCTCAGGCAGAGCCTATGCCAGCCTGGGCCTGTCTCCACCGGCAAGAGCTATGCGGCAGGTCAGGGAGGCCGGGCCAGGGCCTCAGGTTGGCCTCCCTGTCATCTGCCCTTCTAGGGACGTAGGCTGCTGCATGGGAGAGCCAGCCTGGCCAGGCCCTGGGACTCAGCTCCACTGTCTCAGCTGACCTGGCGACCTGGCAGGTCATAGGGGGGCGCTTGCCTCAGCTTCTGACTCTCGAGCAATTCTGTTCTGCCTGAGCCCATCAGCCCCAGATCCCAGGGTGGGGCCGTCCCAAGGATCTGCTCTCTTCCTCCCATAGGTCTCCCGTCCTGTCCTCCGGGGCCAAGCCCCCACCTCCCTGCTCCTGTCCCTGGTCCCTCTGTTGCCCCCATCCCCAGAAAGTCACCCAGGGCCTGCCTATACTTGCCTTCACCTGAGGGAGCTGCCAGCCCTGGGCGTGTACGGGTCGGGGGCACCCTTTCATCTGGAGCCAGGATGGGGGGTGCTCGTCTGGCCTGGACTTGCCAGGCTGGCTGGAGACCCTGTTTGGTGTCCAGGTGCCGTCCTGGGGCCCAGCCTCTGAGGTGGCGGTGAGGCTTAGGGGTTGGCGGACTGTGATTCTCCGAATTTCAAGGTATGTTTTTTTTTTCGAGGAGCCCCCCACCCCATTGAAGTGCAGGGGCTCAGCCTGGACACCATACCCCTCTGGTATGCACCCCCTTCCCCCACACACACACTCTCGCACTCCCACACCCACGCAGCTCACCTCCCTGGTGGCGCTCAGCCTGTCAGGCAGGTTGGCTGCAGGTCTCTGGGCCTGAGGGGGGGGCCAAGGCGGGGTGGGCCTGAAGCTCGGCCCCCGGCCTCCTGGCCTCTGCTGCCGCCTCCTCACAGCGGCGGGCAGCCTGGGTCCCTGAGAGATGATTGCTCCTGAGCAGTGGCCTCTCCCCAGACCCAGGAACTCCTCCCAGCCCCACCCCCTCCCCACCCAGCCAGCCCTACCTGCCTGGGTACAGCTGGCACGGACCACACCCTCCACCTTCCCCCCTGCCCGGATTTTGGGACCCACATCTGTCCACGTGCCACCCCTGCCTCCTGCCATCCCAGCGGGTGTGAGCCTGGACCAATCTCCCTGTCCGGTGGATTTCAGACGTGGGACCACAAGTGGGCTGGGGTCCCGATGCCCCTTCACGAGTGACGCAGCCCCTGCCTCCCCTTCTTTGGCCCCCTCACCCCTGAAAAGTCCCATTCGGGAGCCTGAGGGTGTCGGGACACGGATCGCCACCAAGCTCTGCCCCTGCCCACGCACGCCTGCTACCCGGGTGACTGGAACGTGAGACGCACGCACGAGCTCCTGTGGGCCTGGAAGGTTGGGTCTCCCACCCGGGTGGGGCAGGACGAGCCCCTGTTTGATGGGGGAAGCTGAGTCAGGAGCTGCAGGCCCCTGGCTAATGGGTGGGGGGCAGGGTTGGAGCTGCGGTTTGTTCCCCCTTCCTGGGCTAAACCTTGGGTGGGGGGCGTCAAGCATGGCCCTGGACCCTGATCTTCCCTCCTGTGAAGTGGCCTCCACGGCGCTTCCCCTCCTGGGTGGGCGGGGTGAGGTCAGACGGGCAGGGCAGGTGCGTGTCCCAAGTCCTGTCTGCGAGTTCCATGGAATCCTGCTTAGGAACAGCACTGCTGGCTTCCCTTTCCTTGGAGACCCCTCCCTCCCTCCCCTGCCTTTCCTTCCAGACCCAGTGCCCCCTCCCGTCCTGTGTCCTAAATCATGCCCAGCTAGGGGCAGCTGACCTCTGCCCTCCTCAGGCTGACACCCACCTTGCCAGTGAGCAACTCCCAGCCCAGCTTCGCGCCTTCAGGTGCCGGGGCTCACGGCTTCGTGCAGCCTATTTCGGGGTGTTCTGGGGCCCACGAGAGCAGAGTCTTCATCAAAACATCCCCAGATGTGTGCTTCTTTCTTGCTTCTTCTTTTTTTTTTTTTTTTTGGAGACAGGGTCTCGCTGTGTCACCCAGCCTGGAGTACAGTGGCATGATCTGGGTTCACTGCAACCTCTGCCTCCCTGGCTCAGACCATCCTCCCGCCTCGGCCTCCCAAAGCGTTGGGATTACAGGCGTGAGCCTCGCACCCGGCATTATTTCTGAAAGCGAATCTGAATCCCCAGAGCTCTGGCGCCTTTGGTCTTCTCACAGTTGTTTTGGAATTCACGCATCCTCACTCTCTGCCGGAGCCACCCCTCACCACACACAAGACGGGGTTTGTTGTTTTTCTCGCTGCGATGCCAAACTATAAAACCAGCGTGGCAGGGTGCCTCCCTCAGTCATCTGCACATCATTCCGCTGTCTCTGGTTCATTCCCATCGGTCAGGCCCTCATTCCAGTCTTCCAGTCACTTACCGGGCCTCCTGTTCCAATTCCATTCCCAGGCACTCAACAAGATAGCCGAGGCCAGCTCACTCCGCTGGTCCCCACGTGCCACCGTCTCCCTCCGCAGGTCATTTGTCATCATCCGTCCACGTGGGCCCAGGGCTCTGTCAACCCCCTGGAGAAGCCGCTTGAAATGACAGCCAAGAACAGGGCCCCCACTGGCTCTTCTTGACCTCCAAGGCCCCCAGGTCCACTTAGGAAAAGGGGGTGGTGGGGAGGCTTGGGGAGATTCCCTCGCAGCTGAGCAGAAAACAGTGCTGGACGTCGCACTGTGTGGGCGCAAGGGCATCGCCTTAAAGAGTGAACACTGTCCACTGTCTCGGCCGCAGCGGCTGCCATGGGCCCCGTGTTCATCACTCACAGTGAGCCGTGAGTGTCTGGGAGCTGCGATTCCAGCTGGATCTCTGGGTAAAAACCACAGGCAGCTCATCCTCCTAAAGGAGCAGCAATCCCCAAAGCAGATGGCCCTGCCTGCAACCACAGCTGGCTCCACAGAGCTCCTCGCTGGAGCAGGGGCTGCTCAGGAGTGATGAGGCTGGGAGCGGGCCCAGAAAGCAGAGGGCCGGGGCCCTTCCACAGCTGCCGCCATCTGATTTACAGCACAGGAGCTAGCTGGATGGCGGAGGTGCTTAGCCTTGGTCTGTGTTGTTACCGGCTGCCAGGCGGCTGTGAAGGAGGACCTCGGGAGGGCACTGGGGGGCCAGTCTCAATTATATGCCCGTTTCGGCATCGCCTTCAAGGCGGGTGGCCGTGGGACCCTGCACATGACATGTGGCAGAGCTGTGTGGACATCCCAGGAGCCTCCAGGCAACCTGCCCGCCCCTCCTGAGCCTTAGCTTCTCCACAACCTACCTTTATTTTTTTTACGAAATTAATTTTTTTCTTTATACGCTTTTTTAGATATAGAGATGGGGTTTCCCCATGTTGCCGAGGCTGGTCTCGAACTCCTGGGCTCAAGCAATCTGCTTGCCGCAGACTTCCAAAGTGCTGAGATTACAGGCACATGCCTCCAAGCCTGGCTTTTTGTACTTTTAGTAGAGACGGGGTTTCGCCATGTTGGCCAGGCTGGTCTCGAACTCCTGGCCTCAGGTGATCTGCCTGCCTCAGCCTCCCAAAGTGCTGGGATTACAGGTGTGAGCCACTGTGTCCGGCCTTCATGACTTACCTTTGAAGGGCAGTCATGAGGGCCCAATTAGACAGGACAGGCCTCCCAGGCCTGGCTCTCAGGAGCCAATGCTCTCCTGAAAACAGTCCCGCACCAAAACAGTGCCGCACCAGACCAGCAGGCGTGGAGGCAAAGCCAACCTTGGCCTTGGCAAGAACCATTGCCCTGGTGCAGTTGCGGCGTGAAAGAAAAGGAAGCCGTGGCCGGGCACAGTGGCTCAAGTATGTAATCTCAGCACTTTGGGGGGCTGAGACAGGCGGATCACCTGAGGTCAGGAGTTCGAGACCAACCTGAACAACATGGTGAAACCGCATCTCTACTAAAAATAGGAAAATTAGCCAGGCATGGTGGTGTGCGCCTGTAATCCCAGCTACTCAGGAGGCTGAGGCAGAAGAATCACTTGAACCCAGGAGGCAGAGGTTGTAGTGAGCTGAGATCCCGTCACGGCACTCCAGCCTGGGCGACAGAGTGAGACTCCGTCTCAAAAAAAAGGAAGCCATGAAGGAGAACCACGGGGGCCCCTGACTGGGGGATGGGGGCTCCAGGGCACCCTGCATGGTGATTCCAGCTTCCCCACTCTCTGGGGTGCGGCCTGCTTCCGTGTAAGGAAAATGCGGGGAGCCACTCACGGGGTGAGGATTGAATGGGCAGCCCTGGTGGGAAGGGTGATCCCACGGCCAGTGAGCAGGTCTACTGTTATCGCTAAGGGACAGGTCAGGAAGCACAAGCCGCAGACCCGCATCCGGACTCACACTGGAGCCCCGTCCACGCCGTGTCCCCGCTGGTTACATGAGAGAAGCTGTGGCTCTTCCACAAAACTGTCCGGTTTTTATAGGTGGAGACAGGCATGTATTTAGACAGGCATGTATGTATTTAGACAGGCATGTATGTATGTAGACAGGCATGTATGTATGTAGACAGTCATGTATGTATGTAGACAGGCATGTATGTGTGTAGACAGGCATGTATGTGTTTAGACAGGCATGTATTTAGACAGGCATGTATGTATTTAGACAGGCATGTATTTAGACAGGCATGTATTTACACAGGCATGTATTTACACAGGCATGCATGTATTTAGACAGGCATGTATGTATTTAGATGGGGTCTTGCTCTGTTGCCCAAGCTGGGCTCAAACTCCCAGGCTCAGGCCATCCTCCCCGTCTCAGGCTCCCGAGTAGATGGGATTCCCAGCATGAGCCGCCACACCCAGCGAAAACATCTGACTTTTAGACAAGTGTGAGTAATTATGGGCTAATACCGAATGGCGAGGCTTCTGCCCGGGCACCCGCTCTAAGATATTAACCTGTTGATGTCACACCCTGGCCCCCGGTTCAAGGCTGAGCCCTCGGCAAGCTGCCCCCCGACAGGTCCCCTTCCTCTGGCGGTGATCCTGAGCCGCCCCCCGACAGGTCCCCTTCCTCTGGCAGTCATCCTGAGTCCCCGAAGCCGTCCCGACAGATCCCCTTCCTCTGGTGGTGGCCGAGTCCCCGCAGCCGTCCCGACACACATGCTACCCGCTGGGGCCTCGCTCCTGTGCAGATGCTCCTCCCCTTTTCCTCCCATTGACTCCTTCAAGGCCCTTAAAACTGTGGGCTCAGGTCCCCAAAGAGGCAGACACCAAATGGGACTCAACGTAGGATTTCATGAGGGGCTGGAGACCCCGATGCCAGCCTGCCCGAGGGAGGTTGGGTGGAAGCCCTGGGCAGGGAGTCCTATCTGCCGGGGATGGGTGTGCCTCAGTATCCCCTGGTGGCCCCCCCAAACGCAGACACTGGTGGGGGCAGCGGGCCCCTGCAAGGGGCCCTCAAGCATCGGTGCTTCCTCCAGGAAGTCTAGCAGGATCCCCACATGGGACTCCCCTGCTCTCTTCTTCTCATACTAAGGTTGCCTGACAGCCAACTGGGCTGTGAACCCGCAGGGGCAGGGACCACGGCTGTGGGTGACCCAGCAGGCACCATGGCACTGGGTGCTCAGCAGGTCCTCAATCTCCTGAAGGAGTGAGTCCTTGAAGAGTCAGTTTCCTTCTGTCCCATCTTTAGCAAACTCACCTTCCAAACTCCTTTGAAATCGGACCAGCATCTGAAACGGCCCCTCCCATCCCCTGTCCTCGAGGGTTTCTAATAGCGAGAAAATTGGCCAGGTGTGGTGGCTCACGCCTGGAATCCCAGCACTTTGGGAAGCTGAGGTGGGAGGATCACTTGAGTCCAGGAGTTCAAGACCTGCCTGGGCAACATAGTGAGACTCCCATCTCTACTAAAAATACAAAAATTAGGCGCTCCAGGCATGAGGCAGGCACCTGTAGTTCCAGCTACTTGGGTGGCTTGGCTGAGCATGGGAGGATGGCTTGAACCTGGGAGGTCAAGGCTGCAGTGAGCTGAGACTGCACCACTGCACTCCAGACTGGGCGACAGAGTGAGACCCTATCTCAAAAAAAAAGAAAGAAAAAGAAAATTGCAGGACTTCAGAAGCCATTAGAAATGAGTAGGGGTTAGGCTGGGTGCGGTGGCTCACACCTGTAATCCCAGCACTTTGGGAGGCTGAGGAGGGTGGATCATCTGAGGTCAGGAGTTCCAGACCAGCCTGAACAATATGGTGAAACCCGGTCTCTACCAAAAAATACAAAAAATTAGCCAAACGTGGTGGTGCACACCTACAGTCCCAGCCACTCGGGAGGCTGAGACTCATTTGAACCCGGGAGGCGGAGGTTGCAGTGAGCTGAGATTGCACCACTGCGCTCCAGCCTGGGTGACAGAAGGAGACTCTGCCTTAAAAAAAAAAAAAGAAACAAGCAGGGGTTCAGAATGGGGTAATAGGCGTGACAATTAAAAAAAAAAGAAGAAGAAGAAAAAGGAAAGAAATGAGCAGGATGCATGCCTGTGATCCTACCACTTTGGGAGGCTGAGGTGGCAGGATCACTTGAGGCCAGGAGTTCTGAGACCAGCCTGGGCAACACAGAGACCAGTCTCCATTTAAAAAAAAAAAAAAAGAAAGAAAAAGAAAAAGGGGAATATTCCTTTCTGATTCCACACACACCCTATGCCCGTTTGTTTACAGGTACCTAAGGCAGTAAACCCCCAACTCCCTGGAAGGGCCCACTGGGCGCTCACTTCGCTCCAGAGCCTCGCCTGGTTTCCGCTTCGGGATCCGGTCACCCAACCCAGCTCTCCAGTTGCTGCTGTTTCTCGTGAGACTGTCAGAGTGAAGGGGTCCAAAGCTCCGACTTCCAGCCTCAGAAATCCCAACTCAGGCAGGATCAGCGAAGCGTCCCTCGCAGTGGCTGGAGGGAGAGCCAGGCGGGGCCCAGGCTGCCACTTATCAGGGCTGTAAATGCCACCCTGAGGCCCACGCCTGCCAACACTGCTCCCCACAAGACTAAGTCCTGCAGCCTCAGCCCAGAAGGACCCGCGCCTACCCCCACACGGAGGTCATGTTCAGCCACACCCCAGTGAACCCTGGCGACCCACCCCACAGTGCCCTGCCCTCCCGTGCTCCTCTCTCCTGACCTCTGTGCACGCTGCTCCCTTGACAGAAGCGTCCCCCCTCCCTTGCTATGCAGGATTCAGAGGACAGCGTCTGTCCCCAGCTGCAGCACGGTAACGGGCACACACATTAAGATAGTAAGAGATGTCCGCTGACGGCCACCAGCTTCCCAGCAGGCTCAGAGAAGTTACTGGAGTTGGAGCTGGGTGACAGCGTGCACAGGCCCAAGCATGGGATCCACCCAGTTCCTGGGAACTACGTCCCTCTGCGTTTCTGCCCAACAAGCTTCCCTTCATGAAGCCCATGAAACTGAACTCATGCTGTGCGGCTGCAATGTCTCGCTACTGTTAAGGAGGACAGTGAAGTATTTTGGGATACACATTCGCTTTTAATAAAAAAGAAATTTCCTCCTACAATTGATCCTGCACACGGGGGGGCCATGAGCCACGCCTGCTGACTCATTCCTCCAATTCTCAAACACAAGCAACGATTCAGGTCCTGGTGAGAACCATTCACGACTCCTCCGGGACCTGTTCCACCCTCCCCGTCATGCACAGATGATCTTAGTAACCAGAGTAAGAGTCTGCCTGAGACACGAGTCTTTTTTCCTGGCTCCAAGGGCTAGTGCCAAAGTTCCTCCCTCCACCGGGGAGGGAGGTGAGACTTGAGTCCCTGAGTGGGTGTCTGGGTGTTCACGTGTCCTGCTGAGCAGCGCGGGGCGGCTGCCTCCAGGTCACCACACCTGGCACACCCGGATCACCTCCCTCAGCGCCTTCAGCCCCTCCATGCTTTTGTCCTTCACGGCCACGGCGAGGAGGACTGCTCTGTTTCCAGCTTCTTGAGACACAAACGCTACCAGGTTCTTTGCAAAGACATGGATGAGAGGCTGGTAAAGGAAGGAGAAGAAACCATTTTAACTGCAAGAAACCTGGTTTTTTCCTCAATGCTTTCATGAAGTATCCCTTAGGAACCCAGGCAGGCTTCCCACACCACCATTAACCGCCACATAAGTCCATGCAACTGTGACTCAGAGTTCTGGCAGCACTCAGAACACTCCAGTCACGGGCACACTGCTAAAGACCATCACTCCATTCATTTTCCCAGCGCCTTCCGCAGCCCCGCCTCTTCTGGCTCTCTCTCATCTAAAAGAACCCAGGAAAGAGAAGCCTGCAGAAGCGAGTGCTGTCGAATCTCACGTGTGATCTCCACAGAGCACAGCACAGCCAGCCGCCTGCTCACGTAATGTACCATGGCAGGGGAGGCGGCTCGAATGACAAAACTGCTGCTTCTGCTTGTCTGCTGGATAAAATGCCTGCGGGCTGGACAAAGCATCCACTGAGGGCAAGCAGGGCGCCTTGAGACCCACAAATGCCCGGAAAATGCTATCGCTGTAGGGGTATTTGTCCGCCAGATGCCCCATGTCCTTACTGACAAATCACAGCCACTGGAGAGGTTTATGCTCCTCCCTGGGGGTCCCTTCCTGACCACTTTATTATTATTATTATTATTATTATTATTAAAGACAGAGTCTTGCTCTCTCACCCAGGCTGGAGCGCAGTGGCACAATCATGGCTCACTGCAGCCTCAACCTCCAGGGCTCAAGCCATCCTCCCACCTCAGCCTCCCAAGTAGCTGGGAGCACAGGCACACACCACTAGGCCCAGCTAATTTTTTGTTTCCTTTTCTTTTCCTTTTTTTTTTAAGACCAAGTCTCTATCTGTTACCCAGGCTGGAGTGCTGTGGCACGATCTTAGCTCACTGCAACCTCCGCCTCTCGGGTTCAAGCGATTCTTCTGCCTCAGCCTCCTGAGTAGCTGAGATTACAGGCATGTGCCACCACACCCAGCTAATTTTTATATTTTTCGTAGAAATGGGGTTTCCCCATGTTGGCCAGGCTGGTCTGGAACTTCTGACCTTAAGTGATCTGCCCGCCTCAGCCTCCCAAAGTGCTGGGATTACAGGTGTGAGCCACTGCACCCAGCCTCTCTCTATATATATATTTTGTGTAGGCACTTGTTTTTTTGTAGTGACTTGTGTGTGTGTTGTTGTGTTGCCCAGGCTGGTTTCAAACTCCTGGCCTCAAGCGATCTGCCCGCCTAGGCCTCTGAAAGTGCTAGGGTTACAGGCGTGAGCCACAGTTCCCGGCCAATCCACTTTACCTCATCCTGCCCCAGAAGGACTTTTGTGGTGAGCACAGGCTTGCTGACGTCACTGGCCACGCTGCTGGGCTCCAGGGAGACCAGGGTGCCCATCTTCCCAAACTGGGTCACCACCACCAGGATGTGACTGCTGAAGGCCGTACACACCACCTGGGTGGGGACCCCGCACACCACCTCCGTCTTCTGCTTCGATATCACCAACGGCGTGTCTTCCATGGCGGGGCTCTGCAGTGGCAGCTTTAATTTAGGTTAAAAAGAAAGGGGAAAAAAAGGAGTCAATCAAACAGTACAGCCTTGGGGCTCCCAAAAAAGTAGCACGGGGCATTGAAACGGAAACGCAAGGAGGCCCATTCAAAAGAAGGGGCCAGGCGCGGTGGCTCATGCCTGTCATCCCGGCACTTTGGGAGGCCGAGACAGGACGATCGTTGAGGCCAGGAATTCGAGACCAGCCTGGCCAACATAGCGAGACCCCCATCTCTACCAAAAAAAAAAAAAAAAAAAACCAGCAGGGCGCGCCTGTGGTCCCAGTTACTCAGGAGGCTGAGGCGGGAAGATCGCTTCAGCCCGGGAGGTCGAGGCTGCGGTGAGCCGTGATCACACCATTGCATTACAACCCGGGCGGTAGAGCGAGACCCTGTCCGTAAAAAAATAAAACAGAAGCAGGAGCGGGGCCGCCCATAGAGACCGCGCCTGGGGCTTTCTGGGTTAGGGGATCGACTTGCACGTTCACACTGCCAGGCCGGGCAGTGGCTTCCCGCCCCTCGGCCTCGCCGCCGCCCCGGCCCTGCAGCCGCGGCCCGGGACCCCCACGACACGCGGTGCCGAGGCCGGCCGGGCTACTGGGGACGCAGCCGCCCGGGGAAGCCCGCGGGTACCCGCGCTCACCAAGCCGGCGCCGCGCCCGGAAGTGGCTCTGCGTGCGCCACGCGGGCCCGCCCCGTCCGCGGGTTCCGTCCACCTTCCGGAAGTCAGGGCCGCGGCGCTTCTGGTCCCGGAGACTTGGGGCTCCCGGGCTTCTGAGCGGCTCGGGTTCCGCGCTGCCGGCAGGGCTTGGGGGCGCCTTAGAGCCGAACCCCGTTTTTTCAGGAAAGGGCGCTGCGACCACCCCCGTCCCGGGCCTCAGCCCCTCTGCTGCAGACCCTCGGGATCGTCGCTGGTAGGAGCTCTGTCCCCCGTGTCTGTGTCCAGGACCCCCGAAGCGCCGCGCCTAGGAACCCCCTAGCGCTGGGAGCCCGGCCCTGCTCGACCACGGGCTTTGGGCTGGAGGCGTCATCGTCGCCACAGCGAACGCTTATTTGGCACCGAGTGTCCGCCAGGCATCGCTCTAAGCGCTTTATACCCATAACTCACTTCATCTCAGCCACCCGGTTCCGTAGAAGCGTTTCATCCGCGTTTTACAGACGTGTGCAGGTGCAGAGAGCTCGGCCAGGCTCAGGCGGCGGGCGGGCTGGGGTGGGCTCCGACCGTCCCTCGGGCGCTCCGTGACACGAAGCCCCGGCCAAGGCCAAGAAGGGGGCCAGCCCCACCCTGAAGCGGGATGAGTTCTGGTTCCTCCCAGGGACCCCCTCACTCCCTACTGCTCACTCTCAGTTTCTCCAAGCTGGAAGGTTTTTTGTTTTGTTTTGTTTGAGACGGAGTCTTGCTGTGTCACCCAGGCTGGAGTGCAGTGGCGCGATCTCGGCTCACTGCAGCCTCCGCCTCCCTGGTTCAAGCAATTCTCCTGCCTCAGCCTCCTGTGTAGCTGGGATTACAGGCGTGCGCCACCAGGCCCGGCTAACTTTTTAAATTTTTAGTAGAGATGGGGTTTCACCATGTCGGTCAGGCTGGTCTTGAACTCCTGACCTCAGGTGATCTGCCTTCCTCGGCCTCCCAAAGTGCTGGGATTACAGGCGTGAGCCACCGCGCCCCGCTGCTGGAAGTTTTATTGGTAGGGTCGGACATCTTGGTAGCAGAGGCTGAAAGTGATTGGAGCCTCCAGAGCCTTCCTCGGGGTGGGGCGTTTAACATCCCTTCAGAACCCCACCCTCGGAGGCCTTACTGTCGTTTCCTGACAACCATGTCAAGGCCGTATTTTCTGTCTATATTACCAGAAAGGGGTCCCGATCCAGACCCCAAGAGAGAATTGAGGGCGAGTCCACAAAGTGAAAGCAAGTTTATTAGAAAAGTAAAGGAATTGAGGCAGGAAAACAGGGTCTGGAGGCAGGGAACACTTCAGCTATGACAGGAAATACCCTCTCCATAGGGTGTACACTGAGTAAATGATTTTGTAACTTTATTTCATCCTCTTTATTTACATAGGGCGTACACCAAGTAACCAGTAGAAACCCCTAGAGGGTATTTAAACCTCACAAGTTCTGTAATGGGGCCCTGAGCCTCTATGCTTTGGCCGCCCCCACACCATGGAATGTACTTTCATTTTCAAAAAATTTCTGCTTTTGTTGCTTCATTCTTTTTTTGCTTTGTGCATTTTTTTTTTTTTGAGACAGAGTCTCTGTTGTCCATGCTGGAGTGCAGTGGCGTGATCCTCACTGCAACCTCTGCCTCCCGGGTTCAAGCAATTCTCCTGCCTCAGCCTCCTGAGTAGCTGAGATTACAGACGTGCGTCACCATGCCCGGCTAACTTTTGTGTTTTTAGTAGAGACGAGGTTTCGCCATGTTGGCCAGGCTGGTCTTGAACTCCTGACCTCAGGTGATCTGCCCGCCTCGGCCTCCCAAAGTGCTGGGATTATAGGTGTGAGCCACCGCGCCCGGTGGCTTTGTGCATTTTGTCCAATTCTTTGTTCAAGATGCCAAGAACCTGGACACCCTCCACCAGTAACAGAATAAAGAATGGCTACTCCATAGGCAGAGCAGCATGGGCTGCTGGTTGCCCATTTTTGTGGTTATTTCTTGATGATATGCTAAACAAGGGGTGGATTATTCGTGCCTTACCTTTTTAAACCCTTTAGGGTAACGTCCTGGCATTGCTATGGCATTTGTAAACTTACGGCGCTGGTGGGAGTGTAGCAGCTGGGACGACCAGAGGTCACACTCATCGCCATGTTGGTTTGGTGGGTTTTGGTCAGCTTCTTTACTGCAAACTGTTTTATCAGTAAGGTCTTTATGACCTGTAGCTTGTGCCGACCTCTTATCTCATCCTGTGACATAGAATGCCTTAACTGTCTGGGAATGCAGCCCAGCAGATCTCAGCCTCATTTTACCCAGCCCCTATTCAAGATGAAGTTGCTCTGGTTCAAACACCTCTGACATTTACACCACTGAAGCTCCAAGGAAGATCTTGACTCCCTCTTCTCACCATTTGATGACTTCGTATCCAATCCAAGTCAAGTCAAATGAAGCATGCTCCTTCCAATGATGATTTCTGGAGGCCTAAAATAAAAAGCATGCATACAGAAAATGATCAAAATAGACATAAATCAAGGGGAAATTCATTTTTGAGCATTCTTGCAGCCAGTACACAAAAGGAGAGATGATGAGTTTCATGGTTCTAATACTCAAAAAACAGGAAGCATATCAACTTCCCAGGAAAGTCTAAGTTTCTGTCGGCTCTAAATTTAAACACACATCCACCCACACATACCCCACAAGCAAATTGCCAGTGGATTGCTTTGCCATCTGAAATCTTCAAAAGGTTCACTCGCTTTTATTCACCTGTTTGTGTATTCTCCCTCTCTGTAGGCAAATAGATACAAGAAATCTGATCCTGTCCTCTCAAAGAAAACCCTCTGAAATAAACTTATCACCTTTAAAAAAGGGATGTTGAAGAACAAGATGGATTTTTGTTGTTGTTGTCGTTTTTTGAGATGGAGTCTCGCTCTTGTCGTCCAGGCCGGAATGCGGTGGTGCGATCTCGGCTCACTGCAACCTCCGCCTCCCAGGTTTAAGCGATTCCCCTACCTCAGCCTCATGAGTAGCTAGGATTATAGGCACCTGCCACCACGCCCGGCTAATTTTTGTATTTTTAGTAGAGACTGGGTTTCGCCATGTTGGCCAGGCTGGTCTCAATCTCCTGACCTCAGGTGATCTGCCCGCCTCGGCCTCCCAAAGTGCTGGGATTACAGACGTGAGCACCCAGCCTGGATGTTGTTTTTGATGACACTGCTAAGCACTTATGTGAGGGATTGTTTGGGTGGTTTGGGTCTAGATCTAAGATAAAGACAGTAGGAAAGAAATGAGAGGTGGAAGGTTGTCCTAGGCTGAGGTGGTGGTCCAGGGACTTTCTGGCAGCCTGGATGGATGCCTGGGCAGAATTTATATATCTAGAAGAATGGAAGAGGACCTCATTGCATGCCATTGACTGTTCTCCAGTACCCAAGGGTAAAGGAACTGGAAAGAAAGACTCACTCAAGTGCATTCACATAAAATGGGAATCTAATAGTAATGGTGCCAATTGTGGGGCAAAGAGTTCAAGGAGTTATTTTGAAAAATGAAAAAAAAAGCAAAGTATCTTAAATTTGTCTTATATTCAATAAATTGTCGGTGATAATGCTATGGTGTGTGCATTTGTAGAACCAACAAAGACTTAGTCAAGTGCCGATTTGGTAGGATTGTAATTTTTCCGACAAATTGTATGATCGCTACACACGTTATCCTTCCCATTGTGTGTGATTTTCCCAGCTCCAGGATGAAGAGGATTGGTTTTACAAAAATGGGCAAGGACACCATCAATTTCCCCACAAGTCTCTCTCTCTCTCTTTTTTTTTTTTTTTTTTTTAGACAGAATTTCACTGTGTCGCTAGGCTGGAGTGCAGTGGCAAGATCTTGGCTCACTGCAATCTCCACCCTCCAGGTTCAAGCGATTCTCCTGCCTCAGCCTCCTGAGTAGCTGGGATTACAGGCACCCACCACCACGCCTGGCTAATTTTTGCATTTTTAGTAGCGACGAGGTTTCACCATGTTGGCCAGGCTGGTCTTGATCTCTTGACCTTGCGACCCGCCCGCCTTGGCCTCCCAAACTGCTGGGATTACAGGCGTGAGCCACCGCACCTGGCCACGTCTCTCTTCATCGTTTAATAGTCTCACCCTTTCTTGTTGAAGGACCATCCGGCCATTAGCCATGGGCGTGGCCTCACTCTCAGCCGCCTGACTGTGTAGCTTTGCCAGGGCCTCCCACACTGACCCACTGCTTTGGTCTCCATCTGAGCATCCCTGGCATCCCATTTGTGGGCTTCCTGAAACCGTTTTTTTTTTTTTTTTTTTTTTTTGAGATGGAGTTTTGCTCTTGTTGCCCAAGCTGGAGTGTAATGGTGCAATCTCGGCTCATTACAACCTCCGCCTCCCAGGTTCAAACAATTCTCCTGCCTCAGCCTCCCAAGTAGCTGGAATTACAGGCATGCACCACCACGCCTGGCTAATTTTGTGTTTTTAGTAGAGATGGAGTCTCTCTATGTTGGTCAGGCTGGTCACGAACTCCTGACAGGTGATCCGCCCACCTTGGCCTCCCAAAGTGTTGGGATTACAGGCGTGAGGCACTGTGCCTGGCCTAGATTCCTGAAACCTTATGTCTCTTGGAAGATAGACGGTTTGGCTTTGCAGCTGATGTGCTTTGTATTTCCACAGCCTCACGACACGCTCTCCCATCCTCTCAACAGGAAAGATTCTGAAGCTTGGCGGAGAGGGGTGTGTGAGTGGACACCAGTGAAGTAACGGTTTTTGTGTTACGATGATTTCTGTTTTCCTCTGCTGCCCTGTAATGGCAGGAACTCGGATAGTCTGGTCTTCAGACCAGGAGGACTCCCAGGTATGGCAAATCTTAGATTAGGTAAAACTTTAGGCATCAGAATCAACCTCCTTGGCTGTTAATTTTGAGCAACTTGCCTCAGTTTCTCAGCTTAAAAATGAAGATGAAAAATGAGGGTGCCTGTCTTGTGGGATTTAGAGGGGCAGCCAACACACAGCAGCAATTCGCTGGAACGTTATATGTTCATTATTTTATCTTTTTTTTTTTTTTTTTTTGAGATGGAGTTTCGCTCTTGTTGCCCAGGCTTGAGTGCAGTGGCGCTATTTCCGGCTTATTGCAACCTCCACTTCCTGGGTTCAAGCGATTCTCCTGCCTCAGCCTCCCAAGTAGCTGGGACTACAGGCATGTGCCACCACATGTGGCTGATTTTGTGTTTTTCATAGAGACGGGGTTTCTTCATGTTGGTCAGGCTGGTCTTGAACTCCCATTCTCACGTGATCCATCCACCTCAGCCTCCCAAAGTGCTGGGATGACAGGCGTGAGCCACGGAGCCCAGCCAAGCTTTGGAGTTTTATGTGAACTGAAGTATTTCGTTTAACACCACACAGTAAACACAAAGGAAACCCACCGTTGCTGGGCCGCCTTCCATCATGGCGCAGAATTGAGAGTCGAGCACGTCGCTTTGTTTTCTGCCAAACTTAGCCAAGCTCCGGTCTTAAAATCTTTTCGTTCCTAGCGTGAGGCTTTCTGTCTTTGTTGCAAATATTGAAACCTGCCACGTCACCTCTTGCACTATTTGTTTAGTTCTTTAAGAAATGAAACCTTAATCCATGTACAATTTCTAAAAGCCTTTATTTCAATATTTTAAGAAGTTATTTCCCCTGGCAAAGAAGCCGCCCTGTTGCCCGGTGTGGAGCTCGATGACAAAGCTCATCAGCCTGAGTGGAAGCTCATTCATTATTGCTGCGTTTTCGCTCTTCCAGGAGAGAACGGAGAGCCAGTGTGCTGTGTGTCACGGTCCCTGGATGAACGTTTGTGGAACTGGATTGAATTAAACAAGACGTGCAAAGCAAGTGGTTCACGAGGTAGTGTGGGGGTGTAGGGATGGGGACTGACCCGGGAGGCAGGACACAGCCCAAGCCCTGCCTTGGCCTCACCTCTAACTTGCTGATGACCTTGGATGATTCCCTTCCCATCCTGGGCCTCTGTTTTCTCATCTGTAAAATGGGCAGATTGGCAATGTGGCCTCCAGGTCTGTACTTCTGTGATTGCTGTGTTTCCTGGGGGGTTCCTATCTACTCTCAAGACTCTCGAACTGGGGTGGGGAATGTGGGATCAAGGAGGAAGGGGTGGCCCGGTGGTCCTGCCTGTGGAAGGTAGGGAGTGTGGTAGGGTGGGAAGGTGGGAAGGGCCTCACTGCCCGAAGGTCCTGTCTGTGTCTGTGGGTTAGTCTAGAGGCCTGACTGCATGGCGGGCTGGAGCAGGCAGACTGGACACAGCACGAGCACTTTCTGAATGCCGGAACTTTCCGAGGCCTTCCATGGCAGGTGGGGAGAGCCCTGCCCCAGAGGAACTGAGCCCTGGGCCTGTGGGGCTTTGCATCAGAGATTTCTGCATTTGGGAGGCTGCACTCAGACTGTGAAAGGCTTTTGCAAACCCAAACGGCTGTCATTCTGTAAGTCAAGTTACAACTGATAGCCACAGGGGATACTGCTCAATGCACCTCTGACAGCTAACAAAAAACAGAATGCAAATTCAAGCTAAAGATAAGGCTGGGCGTGGTGGCCCACGCCTGCAGACGTAGCTACTTGGGAGGCTGAGTTGGGAGGATCACTTGAAGCCAGGAGTTTGAGGCCACCCTGGGCAACATAGCAAGACCCTGTCTCTACAAAAAATAAATAAATCAGCTGGGCGTGGTGAGATGCACCTGTAATTCCAGCTACTTGGGAGGCTGAGGTAAGAGGATCGCTTAAGCCCAGGGGTCCGAGGCTGCAGCGAGCTATGATCATGCCACTGCACTCCAGCCTGGGTGACAGGAAAGTAAAGGAATAAAAGGGTGGCTACTCCCATAGGCAGAGCTTCCCTGGGTGCTGCTGACTGGCTATTGTTAGGGTTATTTCTTGATCACATGCTATACAAAGGGCTGAATTATTCATGCATTTTCTGGAAAAGAGGTGAGGAATTCCAAGAACTGAGGCTTCCTCACCTTTTTAGACCATGTTGGGTAACTTTTCGACGTTGCCATGGCATTTGTAAACGGTCATGGCACTGGTGGAAGTGTCTTTTCACATGTTAATGGATTATAATTAGCATGTAATGAGCAGTGAGGACGACCAGAGGTCGCTTTCCTCGCCATCTTGGATTTGGTGGGTTTCGGCTGGCTTCTCTACCACACTCTGTTTTATCAGTGGGGTCTTTGTGACCTGTGTCTTCTGAAACCCGTCCTGCTACCTCCTATCTCAGAGTCATGTAGTGTGTGTAGCCTTTCCTGATTGGCTTCTCCTATTGAAGATACTAATTCAACCAGGTTGTTGCCCACATCAGTAATTAATCTCTTTTTTTTTGCTGGGTAGTATAGTCTATTGTCTGGATGCACCACCGTTTATTTATCCATTCTTCTATTGAAGACATTTGGGTTATATCCAGCTTGGTCCACTATGAATAAAGCCACCATTGACCTTCATGTACAGGTGTTTGCGAGAACATAAATGTTCACTTCTCTTGGGAAATACTTGGGAGTGGGATTGCTAAGTAGCATGGCAGATACGTGCTTAATTCTAGAAGCTTCCAAGCTGCTCTCCAAAGTGTCTGCACCACTGTGCATTCCCTCCAGCAGTGCAGGCACGTCTCAGTTGCTCTGTATTCCTGCCGAACAGACATCTGTCCATCCATCCACCCATCCATCCATCCGCTCATCCATCCATCCATCCATCCATCCATCCACTCATCCATCCATCCACCCACCCATCCATCCGCTCATCCATCCATCCATCCGTCCATTCATCCATCCACTCACCCATGCATTCAGTCATCTATCCATCCATTCACCCATCTATCCATCCACCCACCCATCCATCCACTCATCCATCCACCCATCCATCCATCCACCCACCCATCCACTCATCCATCCATCCACCCACCCATCCATCCATTCAGTCATCTATCCATCCATTCACCCATCTATCCATCCACCCACCCATCCATCCACTCATCCATCCACCCATCCATCCATCCACCCACCCATCCATCTGCTCACCCGTCCATCCATCCATCCATCCATCTACCCACCCATCCATCCATTCATCCACCCATCCATCCACTCATCCATCCATCCACCTACCCATCTGTCCACTCATCCATCCGTCCACCCACCCATCCATCCACCCACCCATCTGTCTGCTCATCCATCCACCCACCCATCCATCCACTCATCCATCCATCCACTTATCCACCCACCCGTCCATCTGCTTATCCATCCATCCATCCATCCACCCGTCCATTCATCCATCCACTCACCCATGCATTCACTCATCTATCCATCCATTCACCCATCTATCCATCCACCCACCCATCCATCCATTCATCCATCCATCCACCCACCCACCCATCCATCCATCCACCCACCCATCCATCCACTCATCCATCCATCCATCCACTCATCCACCCACCCATCCATCTGCTCATCCATCCATCCATCCACCCGTCCATTCATCCATCCACTCACCCATGCATTCACTCATCTATCCATCCATTCACCCATCTATCCATCCACCCACCCATCCATCCGCTCATCCATCCATCCATCCACCCGTCAATTCATCCATCCATCCACTCACCCATCCATCCGCTCATCCATTCATGTATTCACTCATCCACTCATTCATCCATCCGATCATCCATTCATGTATTCACTCATCCACTCATTCATCCATTTACTCACCCATGCATTCACTCATCCATCCATCCACCCACACATCCATCCATTCATCCATCCATCCACTCACCCATCCATCCATTCATCCATCCATCCATCCGTAAGAGAAGTGTTTGCTTGGTCATTCACTCGATGAGCATTTTCTGCTGGAAGCTGATCCAAGGCCCCCTGCTACCACCCCCATGAAGATATAAGACAGACAATAAACAAATGCCTGCAGGTCAAGGCAGAGCCAGGAAAAGCAGAAATGACCCTACTGCCAACAAGTAGAACAGGAAGTAATTTCAAAGAGATTTGAAAGGAAGGAGAAAATGCTCCCCTACGAAGACAGCTGAAAAAAAGAATGAGATGGGCCCGTAAGCAAAGACCTCCTGGAAATACAGGACCTCCTGCCTGGTGGAGAAGGCCAGCAGTGATGCCGTGTCACCAAGGTCGACTGGGGTGGTGGGGCAGAATTAGGTGGGACTTCCAGCTTTCAACATCCACACATATTCTATATGAATTTTTTATAGTTGACATTTTTGTTGTTTTTTGTTTTGTTTTCCACAGGGTCTTGCTCCGTCGCCCAGTCTGGAGTGCAGTGGCAAGATCTCTGCTCAGTGCAGCCTTGAACTCTCAGGCTCAAGAAATCTTCCCGCCTCAGCCTCCCAAAGTGCTGGGATTACAGGTGTGAGCCACTGTGCCCGGCTATAGCTAACATTTTATTTTTACAACCAAAAAAGAAATAAAAAGGGAAAATAAGGAAAAATACTTGCAGTAGTTGTAGCCAGGGAGGTTAGCGTTGGACAGACACACCTGTGAGCCACAGGTGCACCCCAGGAGGGGATTTGAGCGGGGTCCTGGCAGGAATGAGGGCAGGAAGGAGGAGCGACTGGACTGTCTCCAGCCACTGGGAAGCCGCGTCAGGAGGGCATGTTTCCAGTGAACGCCTCTGGGGGGCAGCAGAGGCCACAGAACGCTCCTGTGCAGCGCTGGGGCTGGGCTGGGGCTGGGTCCAGAGTTGGGGAGGGAGGGAGGTGTCTTATTCTCCTCACTCTCTGGTTGGGGGAGGGAGGTCCTCCTCCTCCTCTCCGAAATTATGCATCTTCCTAGGAGGCCAGGAGCCAGTTCATCCCTCTGTCTCTCTCTGTCTCTTTCTCTCTGTCTCTGTCTCTCTCAGCCTGTTTCTCTTTGTCTGACGGTCTCTCTCTGTCTGTTTCTGTCTGTCTGGGTCTTTCTCTTCTCTTTCTCTGCCTACCTCTCTGTCTGTCTGTCTGTGTGCCACTCTCTGTCTCTTTCCTCTCTCTTGGTCTCTTTTTCTTTGTCCGTCTGCCTGTCTGTCTCCATGTGTCTATTTGTCTGTCTGTCTCTGCATCTCTGTCTATGTCTGTCTCTGTCTCTCTTTCTCTTGGTCTGTCTGTCTGTCTCTGTCTCTCTCATTTCTGTCTCTCTTGGTCTGTCTGTCTGTCTCTGCATCTCTGTCTGTGTCTGTCTCTCTCTCTTTCTCCATCTGTCTGTCTGCCTGTCTCCTTCTGTCTCCCATGGCCTGCCTGTCTCTGTCTCTCTGTCTGTCTCTGTCTCTCTGGTTTCTATCTCTCTTGGTCTGTCTCTTTCTCTGCCAGCGTGCCTGTCTGTGTGTGTCTCTCTGTCTCTTTCTCTCACGGTCTGTCTCTGTTGGTTTCTCCGTTTGTCTGTCTACCTATTTCTTTCTGTCTCCTTTGGTCTGTCTGCTGTGCATCTGTCTCTGTCTCTGTCTCCTTTTCTCTCTCTCTCTCTCTGTCTTTCTCTTATCTGGGTCCCTCTCTCCCCATCCAGTCAGCTAATGACAAAGCACTTTGTCTTTGGAAGGTGTTGGCATCTGTAATTGACGTCACAGGCACCTGCTGAGCCTGACCCCGTGCTGGCTCTGCAGAGGTAGCCAGGACACAGGCCCAGCCCGCAGTCCTCTGGGGAGACGGGCCAGGCGCACGCAGGTAGAGGATTATAAATCAGACAAGGACATGACTGTTCAGAATCGGGCCCGGGGAGACAGAAGCTGGAATAGACTGTCAAGGCCATAACAGAAGCGCAGGGCCTGTGTGTGCCGGTGCCGGGTCCTCTGCAGTTGCTGTTATTGGGCCTCAGCCTCAGCTCTGACCTTCCTGGTAGCCCTAGAGAAAAGGGAAACGAGACCGGGCAGCCAGGTTCCTGACTCCCTGTCCTGGGCAAGGAGCCTCCCGGCTGCTCCGCGAAAGCGCCGTGTTCTGAGCTGCTCACAGCCCTGCGGCTCTCTCTGGGGCTTTCTGAGGGTCTCTCTGGTGTCAGGGCAGTGCATGGGCACTCTGTCCAGCACATGTGTGGCAGGCTCACGCTCTTCTCCTGGGACATAGCTCCAAAGGACAGGGCGTTAGGATGGGAGGTGGCCCAGGGACCCCGCCTCCCCCAGGGCCAGGTCTGGGGGCTCCTGGCTGGGATGGTGTTTTATTTTCTTCTATTTTTAACTTAAAAAATGACGATATAAGCACTGCATGTGGTGGCTCACACTTGGAATCTCAACACTTGGGGAGGCCAAGGTAGACAAATTGCTTGAGCCTAGGAGATCAATACCAGCCTGGGCAACATTGCAAGACCCTGTCTCTACAAAAAATTTAAAAATTAGCCTGGTGTGGTGTCATGCTCCTGTGGTCCCAGCTACTAGGGAGGCTGAGGCATGAGAATCGCTTGGGCCCAGGAGGTTGAGGCTGCAGCGAGCTATGATTGCACCGCTGCACCCCAGCCTGGGTGACAGAGCCAGACAGACTGTGTCTCTTAAAAAAAAAAAAAAGTTTTACTTTGCATACAGTAAAATGCACTCCTTTCGTGTTTTGTTCTGTGAGTTTTGACAAATGCAGACCATCTTACAGCCATAACCATGACTGAGACCAGCCTGGCTAACACAGTGAAACCTCATCTCTACTAAAATACAAAAATTAGCTGGGCATAGTGGCGGGCACCTGTAATCCCAGCTACTCGGGAGGCTGAGTCAGGAGAATCGCTTGAACCTGGGAGGCGGAGGTTGCAGTGAGCCAAGATTGCACCACCGCACTCCAGCCTGGGCGACAGAGCGAGACTCTGATGCAAAACAAAAACAAACAAACAAAGACCCCAAACCAACGACGTCCTCCCCCAATCCCCTCACCGTCTTTTGCCGTCAGCCCTCTGCCCGCTGAAGCCCTGACCCGCTCCCTGCCTTGTCTCCAGAATGTCGCCCATGTGAGATTGTACATCAAGTGCCAGCTTGACTTTGGTGGGGGTGAGCTGTACACGTGTGTTACCAGCACATATGTGTAAGTGTGTGCGGCTGTGAGCATGGAAACCTGTGCATATGTGGTGTGTTCGTGGAGGGGCTGTGGGACCTGAGGACTCACCACTGTGTGGCTGGGACCAGCTCTGTCCCTGCCTCTCCGGTCCCTCTGGCCCCTCTGTGCCCACCTGGTCACTGCATTCACCTACACATGCAGCCTCAGCTCCTCCCGTGGTCTCCCTGCTCTTGCCTTTGTTCCTGAGGGAAGCCTGTGGACCCTGTGCCCAACCCATTGTCCATCTTCCTGACTGTCTCTCCTGGTCCATGAGCCGAACACTTTTTATCTTCTTTTTTTTTTTTTAAAGACAGAGTCTCATTCTGTCGCCCAGGGTGTGGTGCACTGATGCGATCTCACCTCACTGCAACCTCCACCTCCCGGGTTCAAGCGATTCTTCTGCCTCACCCTCCCAAGTAGCAGGGATTACAGGCGTACACCACCACGCCTGGCTAATTTTTGTATTTTTAGTGGAGACAGGGTTTTGCCATATTGGTCAGGCTGGTCTCAAACTCCTGACCTCGAGTGATCCACCCGCCTCGGCCTCTCAAAGTGCTGGGATTATAGGCCACCACGCCCATCCTATTTTAATTTTTCTTTTTCTTTCTTTTTTTTTTTTTGACAAAGTCTTGCTCTGTCACCCAGGCTGGAGTGCAGTGGTGCGATCTCAGCTCACTGCAACCTCCGCCTCCCCGGTTCAAGCGATTCTCCTGCCTCAGCCTTCCGAGTAGCTGGGACTACAGGCGCGCACCACCACGCCTGGGTAATTTTTTGTATTTTTAGTAGAGACAGGGTTTCACCGTGTTAGCCAGGATGGTCTCGATCTCCTTACCTCATGGTCTGCCCGTCTTGGTCTCCCAAAGTGCTGGGATTACAGGCAAGAGCCACTGCGCCCAGCCTTTAATTTTTGATCGCAGTAAAATGCACATCACAGAAAATCAGCATCATGACCACGTCCCACTGCAGAGGTCAGTGGCACTCAACACATTTACATTGCTGTGCAACCCTCAGCACCTGTCTCCAGAGCTCTTTCATCTCCCCAAACTGAAACTCTGCCCCCATGAAACCCTCACTCTCCATCCCCCCTGTGACCCCCGGCACCCACCGTTCTGTTTTCTGTCTCTGCAGATTCGATTGCTGTAGGGACCCCGTGGGTGTGGAATCAGACAGTATTGGTCCTTTCATGACTGGCTTATTTCACAAAACCCGATGCCGTCGAGGTCCATCCATGCTGAGGCAGGTGTCTGACTCCCTTCACTCTGTTTGGCTGAGCAGTATCCCATGGTGTGGATTCCCGTGGTGTGGATTCCCGTGGTGTGGATTCCCGTGGTGTGGATGGAGCACACTGTGCTCATTCACTTGCCTGTCGGTGGGCACGTGGGCAGCTCCCATCTCTCAGCTCCTGTGAATAACGTCTGTGGGAACGTGGGTGAGCACCTGCCTCTCAGATCCTGCTTTCAATCCTTTTGGGTGGGGGCTGGGCACGGTGGTTCACGCCCGTCATCCCAGCACTTTGGGAGGCCAAGGAGGGTGGATCACCTGAGGTCAAGAGTTTGAGACCAGCCTGACCAACATGGTGAAACCCTGTCTCTACTAAAAACAAAACAAAAAAAATTAGCTGGACATGGTGGCAGGCACCTGTCACCCCAGCTACTCAGGAGGCTGAGGCAGGAGGATCTCTTGAACCTGGGAGGTGGAGGCTGCAGCGAGCCGAGATCTCGCCATTGCACTTCAGCCTGGGAGACAGAGTGAGCCGCCATCTTAAAACAACAACAACAAATTAATCCTTTTGGGTTTTTTTTTTTTTTTTTTTTGAGACTGAGTTTCACTCTTGTTGCCCAGGCTGGAGTGCAATGGCACGATCTCAGCTCACTGCAACCTCCACCTCCCGGGTTCAAGCGATTCTCCTGCCTCAGCCTCCTGAGGAGCTGGGACTACAGGTGCAGACCACCATGCCCAGCTAATTTTCTTTCCTTTTTTTTTTTTTGAGTCAGAGTTTCGCTCTTGTTGCCCAGCTGGAGTGCAATGGTGCCATCTCGGCTCACCTCAACCTCCACCTCCTTGGTTCAAACGATTGTCCTGCTTCAGCCTCCCAAGTAGCTGGGATTACAGGCATGTGCCACCACGCCCGGCTAATTTTTTAAATATTTTTAGTAGAGATGGGGTTTCTCCATGTTGGTCAGGCTGGTCTCGAACTCCTGACCTCAAGTGATCTGCCAGCCTCGGCCTCCCAAAGTGCTGGGATTACAGGCGTGAGTCACCACGCCTGGCAGGGCCACACTCTTCAACTACAGAGCCCCCACCTCATTGGCACTGGTCCACTCATTGTCCAAATTCATTCGGTCCACAGATATTTACGGAGCATCCCCAGCTGCTGGATGCTGGGACCCACCAGTGGGCAAGAGGGCCGTGCCCACCCCTTCCTGGAAGAGACACTCACTCAGTAAATGCAGAGATTCAGTGTTGGGGTAACCCCAGCACACAGCCCTGAGGGAGGAAGCCCAGTGATTTGATCGGATTTGCTTTTCTCTTCTGCCTCGGATTCTGTCCAACCCCTGGAAGGACCTCTGAGGTGTCCCGTGGCTGGTTCTAGGCCCCATTCAAGCCTCCTCCTCCAGGAAGCCTTCCCAGTCCTGGGCATCTGTAGCCAGCTCGGTGTTTCTCACCTGGGGCCTGGGACGTCTCCCATTCTGAACTGCCGTGTTTTGGGTTTACTGTTCTCTGGCTTTTGGTCCCAGCCGGACGGTGGCCTCTTGTGTTCAGGGACAAGGCAAGGAGCATCCATGCACCCCCACAGTACCCAGGCTGGGTCTGTGCCCGCCAGGCCCCCGGCAAAGCTTGGATGATCCGGGCTGGGCTGTTCTCCTGCTGCTCTCCTGCTGCTGGCCTCGCTGTATCAGCTGATGGCCATCGCGCCTCCTGCACCCGTCATCCCGCCCTGCACGCCCCCGCCACGTGGATGAGCTCCCTGGGGAGTTAATGGCTAATGGAGTCTCCGCTCTCTCTTGTCAAATGCAGCCATCATCCGCTGGTGCTTTAAGGGACTCTCTCCCGTCCCCACCCTATTCTCAGGTGGCTCCTACCGACACCACCTAATGGTGAACCCCAACACGAGGACACAGGCAGTGCCCTCTCAGGACCACTGTGGGTGCCACCAGGCACGACTTCCTAAACACCCACAGAGCAAAAACCTGGAAATTCAGCCGAGGCACTGGGACCCCAACCTCTCCCAGAGTGGCCCCAGCTCCACGGCGTCTGCATGGCTCTGGCCGTGAGCAGAGCAGCCCCGACCTCCGTCCTGACCCAGGGCGCCGGAGCGCCACTGCGGATCTCACCACCACACAAGCCAGACCTGCTAGGAAGCCCTTCCCGGCCACCAGCTCTCGGGCGATGCACACAACAGGGCCTTTTGAATTCCCTGAGGTTAAGGTTCCCCTTGAGTCTCCTGGGCTACAAGCAAATCCCCCGAGGGGAGAAGTCCAGGCTGACACAGCCTCCTGCACCCCTGCCTTGGGAGGCCACACCTCGTTTGCCTCTAGAACCGACGACTGGGGAGCACTGTTTGCAGAGTTCTCTCTCTCTGGGTAAGTTCCGGAGCCACATCTCACTGGATCCACCACGGCCTGGGTGGACGGCTCTCGTGTGTTTATAGCTGGGTCCCTCGCTTGGGAGCTGCCTCCGGGTGGGCGGCCTCTCCAGCCTGTTTGAGTGCTCCACCCGGAGCAGGAAGAGGGCCGTGTGCTCTGGGCAGTGGTTCCTTGGGCACTGCATGGTCCTTGCTTCCCTCCAGGGCCCACCTTCCCTGGCCGCTGCATCCCAGCCGAGGGCAGGCCCCTTTTGCCAGCTGAAGGCAGAAAGGCCGGCAGCCCTGGGGTGGCGGCGGGCAGAGAAACCCCCCGGAGTGGTCTCCGTTCTTCTAAAAGTGATGTTGACCCCCGTGTCGCAGGCAGCTGGCAGGGTGGCAGTTCGATCTGTCGTTACGGGCTTGCACCACTGCGGTCTCCCACCCAGGGAGCAGCTCTGTCCAACCACAGCGAGCCTCCAGCTCCTACCCTCTGCCTGGGCTGGGGCAGAGCCTGGGGTCTGGGTGGGAGAAGCGTGACTCTGGGATGAGACCTTACAAAGCAGGTTCCTCCTGGGAGTCAGCCCGGGTCTAAACGCAGCTGGGCATGAAGGGGTGCCATCGGATGTCGAGTTAGGAGGACGAGAGACCTCCAGCCCCGGCACCCGCATGTCTCTTTGGAAACCAGCTTTGGCTGCGCCCCTGGGGACACTGTCTGCCGTGGCCTCCCGCTCTCCTCCCCGGCACAGGCAGGGGGTCTCCCTCCTCCACCGCCACTCCCTTGGCCTCGCCCTCCCCGCCAGGCACCTGGCTTTTCCCCACCGACCCCCCCGGGGGACTGCGGCCCCCAGAAAGGCTGCACTCTGGGAGCAAAGTGGCCTGAAACCAGAGAAAAGAACGCCGGGGGATTTGGCTTAAACTCGTTAAACCCAATGAACCCTCTTGCCGAACGATCGCAGTCTGCGCCCGGTCTTTTAATCTCGTTCGGGCCTCGGGGTAATTTGTTTAGCTGTGCTGATCAGCTGAAGGTTAATTCAATTGGACTTGGGTTATTTATTTGTGCCCGGATTTGCTAAGTGTCATTGGAGGTACATGAGGTCTTTATTATGGCGGCAAGATGGCTTCATTAGGGTGAGGGCCACTCCCTCCGGATCCGCCCCCTCCCGCCAGCTCCAGGCTGAGGCAGTCTTGGGAGGCTGGAGCCCTGGGAGGCTGGAGCCCCAGGTGCAGTGGCTCTTGTTCCTGGATGCAGGGGATATCTGAGCACTGTGCTGGGAGTCCAGCCTCGCCCAGCTCTGGTGTTGATACTGGACGGTTCTGTCACATGACCTATCCTAACCGAGGCTGAAGGACCTGCTTCCCAGGACCCGTCCCCTCCCTCAGGGGGACCTAAAGGCGTTTTCCCCACCCTGCCTCAGTGTTCCCATTCACACATTGGGAACAGCACCCTGTTCTCCTGCGGCCTCCCAGGCTGGGCTTTGTAGCTGCAGCCCCCACCCCGCCTGGCGACCGGGGCAGAAGGACGCTGAGGTCGCAGAGCGGGCAGACGGGTTGGCCGGGCGGGCAGACCTCCTGCACGGAGCCGGGATCCTTCTCAGGCAGCGGCAGATGATGGATTGCACGTGGACACTGCCTGGGATGCGTGCGACTTGGCAGCCTGCCCCTTTCCTGCCCTGGGATCAGACGCCCTGGCGGGTGTCCTTTTCCTGGTCCCCTGTCCTCCTAGCCTGGGGCGGCGTCTGGAGCGGGGAGGCTCACCCCTGTGCCCACGTCCTCAGGCCACCTGCCAGTCCCTGCCCACCCCGGCCGCGGAGGGGCTGTGGAGACTCAGGGAGTTCTGGGATGGCACAGAGGGCCCAGGCTGGTAGCAACCAAAGCCGTGGGAAATGTGGGAGGGATGGCAGGTGTCCCCCGAGGAGTAGCCCAGGTGCCCCGGAGGCTGCTGAGAGGGTTGAGAGTGCAGAGACGAGGGGCCCAGGGAAGTCTTGGATTCTCTCGCCATCTTCAATGTCGGAGCCCAGACGGGGCAAGGCGAGGAGGAGCCCGGGGCGAAGACGCCACCCACATTCCTCCTTCCCGCAGGCTTCTTCTCCTTCTAGCCCTTCCAGGAGAGAAACCATCCCACAAGTCCAGAGTAGTGGCGTCCCCGGGGCCATGTCTCCTGAGCAAACACTGTTTTCTAGGAGTCCGAGGGGCCTCAGCCATCTAGGTCAATCCCTTTGCAGAACGGTGAAGGAATCTGAAGCCCAGAGAGGGAAAACAATGCCTCCTGGGTCACACAGCCCATCAGGGGCAGGGCAGGGACGAACGGCGAGAAAAGGACCAGCGCGAGAGGAGATCCCCAGCAGTGATTCCTCAGCCAAGCCCAGCGTCTACCCACATCCACACCTCACAGCCACCTGATGGGGAAGGCACCATTGCCCCTTTTCAAAGGTGAGAAAACAGAGGCTCAGAGAGGTTCAGCAACTTCTCCCACAGCTACTTCGTTGTAGAACTGCAGTTCCAGGTGTCCCCGAGCTCTCCCTTCCCGAGCCATCTGCTCCTGCCCTCCTATCCGAGCCCTGGCCCTCCCAGTCAAAGCCGGGTAGTGGCTGTTCAGAAGCCTTGGGGCTAGTCAATCCCAGCTGTCTCGGACCAGGGCCCCCCCCAGGAGGAGACCCTGAAGGATGCAGTTGAGAATATGTGCTTTCTTTGGTAGGTGATCTCAGGAATTGCAGGGGAAAGAGGGGGAGCGTGTTAGTGTAGGCTCTCCGGAGAAGCAGAACCAACGCACAGAGGAGATTTAGGATGAGGAATCTGGTTTATGTGACTCTGGGGGCTGAGAAGGCCCACCATCTGTGTTGCAAGCTGGAAACCCAGGGAAGCCTGAGGTGTGATTCAAACTCAGCTCAGGTCTGGAGGCCTGAGAACCAGGGCAGCCGATGGTGGACATCCAGTCCAGGGGCAAGAGATGACGAGATGTCCCGGCTCCAGTGGCGAGGCAGGAAATGAGGGGTGAACTCCTCCTCCCTCTGCTGTCTGTTCTATTCAAGTTCTTGAGGGATTGGATTATGCCCAGCCACTTGGGGAGGGCAGTCCACCTTCCTGAGTCCACAATTCAAATGCTGATCTAATCCAGAAACACTCTCACAGACACAGTGTGTAGTCTGGGCACCCCACAGTGCACTTAAGTGGACACATAAAATTAACCATCCCAGGGAGTGAGATGGGTAAGGGAAGATGGGCCACAGTGGGTGTGTCTCCATGCCTACCCCCACTGTGGGCAGCTGCTGGAGCACACGCCTCAAAGTCTTCCCTGAGGGAGAGGGAGCTGAGGTGTTTATATCCCAGCTCTGTCAGGCATTGGCTGAATGTCCACACTCCTGGATCACCGCCTCTCATCCTCATGATGTCCCATGGTCCTCATTTCACAAGTGAGCTCTGGGTACATGGGGAGCATCAGTCACACCCTGGGTCAGTACCTCAGCTGTCTCTCACATGACATCCTCATTATCCACACTGCAAAGCCAACCATCCCTATGATGGGTTCATTGTGGATCATGACTTAGTGGGTCAAGAGTTTGGAAGTGGCTCAGCTGGGCGGTTCTTCTGCTCCATGTGGCTGCCAGATGGTACCCTGCTGGTGGGCAGTCTGGTCTAGAGGGTCCATGATGGCTTTACTCACATGCCTGGCATCTTGACAGGGACAGCTGGAAGGCAAGGTTCAGCTGGGACTGTCCACAGAGCTCCTCCCTGTGGCCTTTCCAGCATGGTGGTCTCAGGGTAGCTGGACTTCCTGCATGACAGCTCAGGGCTCCCAGAGCTACTGTCCCAAGAGATAGAAGGTGGAAACTGCCAGTCTCTTAGGCTAGGACCAGAAACCAGCACCCCTGCACCCACAGCCTTTTGGTAGTGATGAAATAAACATAAGATTTATCATTTTAATCATTCGTAAGTGGGATTAAATACATTTACAATATTGTGTAACCATCGGCACTGTCTATATCTAAAACTTTTTCATCATCTGCAATAAAAACTCTGTATGCATTAAACCATAACTCTCCATCCTTCTGCCCCTCTTGCCGCTGGTACCCACCATTTTGCTCTACCTCTATGAACAAGGCCATTTCAGACACTTCACATAAGCAGAATCATACAGTATCAGTTTTTTGGCAATTGGCTTATTTCACTTTACATAATGTCCTCGAGTTTCATCCACATTGCAGCACATGACGGCACCTCATTTCCTTTTAAAAATTTTTTATTTATTTATTTTTTATTTATTTATTTTTGAGAATGAGTTTTGCTCTTGTCACCCACCTGGAGTGCAATGGAGCAATCTCAGCTCACTGCAACCTCTACCTCCTGGGTTCAAGCGATTCTCCTCCTTCAGCCTCCTGAGTAGCTGGGATCACAGGCATCCACCAACACACCCAGCTAATTTTTGTATTTTTAGTAGAGGCGGGGTTTCACCATGTTGGCCAGGCTGGTCTTGAACTCCTGACCTCAGGCAGGTGATCCCCCCCGCCTTGGCCTCCCAAAGTGCTGGGATTATAGGCGTGAGCCACTGTGCCCAGCCTTCATTCCTTTTGAAGGCTGAGTAATGCTCCACTGTGTGGAAGGACCACGTTTTGTGTATCCATTCATCGGTCCACGACACTTGGGCTGCTTTCCCCTTTTGGCTGTTGGGGACGGTGCTGCTGTGAACGCGGGTGAACAAATGACTCAGTCCCCACATGCTCTTGATGGAGCCCGGAGCCCACAGATTCAACGGGAGGGGGAACAGCTTCCTCTCAATGGGAGGGGGGCAAAGAATTTGCAGTCTTTTTTCTGTTCATTTGTTTGTTTGTAGACAGGGTCTTGCTCTGTCACCCAGGCTGGAGTGCAGTGGCACCATCAAAGCTCACTGCAGTCTCAACCATCTGGGCTTAAGCGATCCTCCCACTTCAGCCTCCAGAGTAGTTGGGACTACAGGTGCATGCCACCAAGCCTGGCTAATTTTAATGTTTTTGTAGCAAAGGGATCTGGAGATGCTGCCTAGGCTGATCTCAAACTCCTGGACTCAAGGGATTTTCCCACCCCGGCCTCTCAAAGTTGTTGGGATTACAGGTGTGAGTCACCTTTAATTCCCTGCACCGTGCTAGACAGAGATTGCTGAAGACTGTGTTCCCGGGGCCACATAGCAAATCTGCCAAATGGCAGAGGAAAGGGGAGATAGGGGCCCGGGGTCTGGAGAAATGAGGCTGGGTCTGGGGAAGACAGGTCAGAGGCAGCGTGGCTGGGAGATGCAGCTGGGAGAAGTGGAAGGAGAGGGTGGGCGTGGAGGCTTCCGGAGAGGGGTGGGCATGTATCATCCCTCAGGAGTGGAGAGACTTGGGTTGGGTTCAGAGAAAACCAGGCTGGGGAGAACTTGAGAGCCCAGGCGTGAAGGCTGATGTGTGTCTGGGCTTCACCGCCCTGAGCTGTGTGGTCAGGAGCCATCACTGAAACTCTCAAACATCCTCTTTTATAAGATGGGAATAATAATAGGACCCCTTCAAAGGGCGTCGAGGGAATTCAGAGGGAAAGTCTGTGCATACCTCTGACCTGGCTGTGATATTCATTTTAGGAGTCAACTTGACTGGGGTAAGTGGCGCCTAGAGAGCTGGTAAAAAACATCACTTCTGGGCGTGTCTGTGAGGCTGTAATGGCCAGCCGGGTGGGTCCAAGCTCTCTTCAGCAGTCCCCGGGGCTGGCAGCTAGCAGGTCTTGTGGTCTCTGAGGCCTTGGGGGGCACCTCCCGTTGTTTGCCCCCACCTACATCTGCTCAGAACACGCTTCCCACCTCCACCGCCCCTTCTCCCTGCAGGACCACCTGCCTCTTCCTGCCTCCCCGCCCAGCCTGCCTTTTCCTTGCACGACAGCCAAAATCCCATTCCCCCAAGTTTCCAGAAGGGATCAGCACTTGAATCAGCAGACCAAGTAGACAAGTCCACCCTCCCCAATGTGGGCAGGTGTCACCCAAACCACTGAGGCCTCCCCCGGGACAAAGGCAGGGGAGGGAATTCTCTCTCTTCCTGTGCTGGGACATCCATCTCCTCCTGACTTTGGACATCGAGCTCCTGTTCTCAGGCCTTCAAACTTGGACTGAATTGCTCCACTGGCTTCCCTGGGCCTCCAGCTTGCAGACAGCAGATGGTGGGGCTTCTCAGCCTCTGTGATTCTGTGAGCCGATTCCCATGTAGATCTCTCTCTGTCTCTCTCTCTCTCTCTCTCTGTCTGTCTCTGTCTCTGTGTCTCTGTACACACATGCACACACAGACACACACATATATCCTTTGGTTCTGTGTCTCTGGAGAACCCTGGCTAATCTATGTGCACTTCCCAGCCACCCAGCCTGAGCCAGAGCTGTCTGGGAGGCTGCAGCCTCCCTCGCCGGGAGCCCACATCAGTCAGACGGCTGTGGGTTGGCGGGTGGTGGGGAGTTCCCCTCCCCGCAGCATCCAGCTGGTGGTCCGAGGCGCCGCGGCCCCTCACAGGGCTCTGCCTGCGGGAGGCTGGACTGGTTTCCTTCTTGGGCATCTCAGGATCTCAGCAGAAACTGGGGACTTCCTGAGGTCATGCTTCCGAAGGTGGGACGTCCTCACTGCATGCCACCGGCCGACAGGAAGCATGGCTGGCCCAGCCCTCCGGGGATGGAAATCCACTCTACTCATGACTGGGCAGGAAAAATGGGGCGCGAAGGATGGGAAGAGCCGTGGCGGCCCACCCAGAGACCGGCCAGCTGGCGTCTAGCTACAAGAGGCCATGCAACAGTGGGAGTGGGTGGTGGGGCCGGGCGGGCAGGAGCAGCCCACTCTGCGGGGGTGTGGGGACAGACACGCACTCTATGGAAGTACCTCGGTGGCACCAGGAGTCACTGGGGGCACCCAGCAGGTGCATGCTTAATGCATGATGGGTGAGACGTAAACAGCCAGCCAGGCGGGTCCAAGCTCTCTTCAGTGGTCCCCAGGGCTGGCAGCTGGCAGTGCAGGAAATGGGGTCCCCGAGGCCTTGGGGGGCACCTCCCGTTGTTCGCCCCCACCCACATCCGCTCAGGACACGCTTCCCACCTCCACCGCCCCCTTTCCCTGCAGGGACACCTGCCTCTTCCTGCCTCCCCGCCCAGCCTGCCTTTTTCTTGCACGTCAGCCAAAATCCGATTCCCCCAAGACTCTGCCTCATCAAAGATCCTCTTTCTCATCACCATAATTTTCCATTTGTAGGTTAAGCTGCACCTGGGGTTCTCAGAAATCTGCTAACTCTCTTCCAACTCCCTGAACTCCTCAAACGCCTCGTCCTCCCCTGCTTCTGTTGTTCAGAGGACAGGACGTAGCAGGTGGGGGCGTGGAGAGGGGGCGGCTGGGGAGTGCCTTGTCCGGGAACATCTTCGGAGACCATGTATGGGTAGGGGGGAGCCAGGCTCCTCCATCGAGTCCATAGAACTGTTTACCTGGAAACAGCAAGACCGAGGCAGCTGTGCTCTCACCTTTTTGTCCGTCCTTTCCAGGGGTCTGGAATCTGAGGCTCAGAGCCCTTTCCCAGGAAGAAGAGGGCAACCAGCCCCTTTCAGCATGTCCCGTGCTCCGTGCACCTCTGTGACACCTGGTTACTGTACTCTGAAGCTTCGCACACCCCCGCAGTCTCCATCGTAACCCCAGAAAACCAAGGCTCAGAAGGCGACGGGCCCCAGGGCACCCGGACGGTGACGACGGTGGCTGTGAGATGACAATCTGGGTCTCTGGGATTTCAATTAGGTTTGGAGGATAAAAGGTGTGAATAGGAAGCTATCACACAAGCTAGAACATGCCCGGTCCCAGATCAGGCTGTATTCCTGTGATTTGGTGTGGGTACAGAGGAGAGACTCTCCCTGGGGGTCCAAGTGGACAGTAGCATTGGGGAGGGCATCCCTGGCAGGGGGCATGGCATGGGACAAAGGCTGGGGGGAGGGAGGCTTGGGGCAGATTGAGTGCAGGATGCCTGTGTGTGACCAGGCCGGGCGGCCCCCAGGCCTCGGGGCAGCCAGACCCACCTTGCCTCAGGGCGGTGCTCACAGAGGCTGGGCAGGGAGTTAGCAGGACGCCTGCAGGACCTCCTTGTGAGCCCCCTGCTGGCCAAGGGGAAGGAAGGAGGCCTCTGAACATGGGGAGAGAAGCCAGAGCCCAGCCCTGGCACCTTGGGCCCTTGGGAAGCTGCTATCCAGGCAGGGTGGACTGGAGCCCCCGCAGGAGACCCCCAAGCCCAGAAGCACCTCTGCTGATAGTGCCCCAGGTTCTCTGCCTTTCCGAGATGGTCCCAAGGTCACCACCCCAGAGGGACACAGCCCCAGGCCAAGGGCGCTAGTCTGCCCTCCTTCCTCCCTCCTTCCCTGCTTCCTGCCCCTTTTCTTCCCCCTTCTTCCCCCCTTTTTTCTCCCTCCTCCTTCTTCTTTCCCTCCTCCCTCCATCCCTCTCTCCTCTATGCCTCCCTCCCTCCATCTATCCTCCCTCTTTCCATCTCTCCCTCCCTCCCTCCTCCATCCATCCTCCTATCCATCCACCCTCCCATCTATCCATCCATCCATCCATCCATCCATCCATCCATGCATCCACCTTCCCATTCATCCATTTATCTATTCATCCATCCGTGCATCCATCCATCCACTGTCCCTTCTATCCCTCCATCCTCCCATTCATCCATCCTCCCATTCGTCCACCCTCCTATCCACCCACTCTCCCATTTATCCATCCTCCCATCCGCCCTCCCATCCATCCACCCTCCCATCCATCCATGCATGCATCCATCCATCCATGCATCTATCCATCCATCCATTTATCCATCCACCCTCCCATCCATCCACCCTCCCATCCATTCATGCATGCATCCATCCATCCATCCATGCATCTATCCATCCATCCATTTATCCATCCACCCTCCCATCCATCCACCCTCCCATCCATCCACCCTCCCATCCATCCATGCATCCATCCATGCATCCATCCATCCATCCATCCATCCATCCATCCTTCCATCCTTCCACCCTGCCATCCATTCGCCCTCCCATTCATCCATCCATTCTCCCATCCATCCACTCTTCCATCCATCCATCCATCCATCCTCCCTACATCCACCCTCCCATCCATCCATGCATCCATCCATCCATCCATCCATCCATCCTCCTATCTATCCACCCTCCCTTCTATCCATCCATCCTCCCATCCATCCATCCATTCTCCCATCCATCCACCCTCCCACCCATCCATCCTCCCATCCATCCATCCATTCTCCCATCCATCCACCCTCCCACCCATCCATCCTCCCATCGATCCATCTATCCATCTTGCCATCCATCCACCCTCCCGTCCATCCATCTATCCATCCTCCCGTCCGTCCATCCATCCATCCATCCATCCATCCATCCATCCTCCCATCCATCCACCCTCCCGTTCATCCATCTATCCATCCTCCCATCCATCCTTCCATCCATCCTCCTGTCCATCCCTCCATCCATCCTCCTATCCATCCACTTTCCCATCCATCCATCTATCCATCCTCCTATCCATCCACCTTCCCGTCCATCCATCTATCCATCCTCCCATCCATCCACCCTCCCATCCATCTATCTATTCATCCTCCCATCCATCCCTCCCATCCACTCATGCATTCATCCATCCATGCATCCATGCATCCATCCATCCATCCATCCATTTATCCTCCCGTCTATCCACCCTCCCTTCTATCCATCCATCCTCCTATCCATCCATCCATCCACCCATCCCTTCTCCCACCCATCCACCCTCCCATCCATCCGTCTATCCATCCTCCCATCCATTCACCCTCACATCCATCCTCCCTCCATCCATCCTCCCAGCCATCCACCCTCCCACTCATCCAAGCAGTCCTTGCTTGTCTAGGACTGTAGGAGCTCTGTCAGCTCTGGAGATACGGCAGTGAACAGGACTAGAAAGGCCACTGCCTCCACGGAGCTCCCTGTTTAGTAGAAGAGAAAGAAAACAAGAAACGAACATGCCTGTATTTCTGTGTACATGAATGCTGAGAATCTGGAGAGACCAGCTGGGATGAATTGGAATCCGGGGGCCTGGGTGGTTTCTGATGAAGAGATGTTTGGGCTGGGGCTGCAGCAGGGGCCAAGCTGGCCATGGGATGGAGAAGAGGCCAGTCCTGCCCATGTCAAGTCTGGAGAGGGTGGGGCAGGGGCGAGGGTGAGATAGGGACCTGAACGTTCATTCTGGAGCTGTTTCACAAGCACCTCCAGTGCACCAGAGTCCTGGGACTGGCTGTGGCACGGGCATGGGGTGGGGTGGGATCGTGAGCACCCCTCACCTCACGATCCCCTCGTCCCTTCCCTCACCCGCCGCTGCCCACACCCCCGGCTCCTTCCAGGATAGAGCCCGGAAAACAAGTCGGGGGAGGGAGGGTGCAGAGATCAAGATAAACCCCTCTCCCCAAATCATATTCCAATTCCTCAATTTCACCTCCTCACTCAACAGGGAGCCATCTCTCTAGTTTTCCAGGCCAACCCTTAGGAGCTGGGGATTTATTTGTGCATTTTTAACCCATTGTACAGATTCTGACTCCATTAGCGAAGCCACACCTTGGGGGCCACAGTGCCTTTCGTCTGCAAAGGGGCCCTGCAAAGACCGGTCAGGAAAAATTAATTAAACATTTTAACCTCTCAATGCCTCATGGCTGCGACATTCCCCTCCCGTGTCAGCCAAGAGAGAAACAGCCGTGTTTATCTACAAGCTCCTGGAGGAGCAGAGGCCACTCAGCCCCTGATACAATCTTGGGTGCCGTGTGCGTGGGGACAGTTTACAGCCCCGCATGACAGAAATCAGATATTTAGGGAGATGGAGTGATGGCCTGGCGTTAGTGGGGTCCGACGTGTTCCAGGCTCCGTGCCCTATCCCCAGGGCTCTAATGGCTGTGTGTGGGTGGGGGTGTACTCCACCTATGAGGCGCTGGGAGTCAAATGCATTTATCAGCTTCCTGGAGATTTAAAACCCAATAGCCTCTCTCCTGCCATTGCAGAGAATGGCAACAGTGTACGCAGGCGAAACACGTGGTTCCCAGGGTCCACGCTGCTTTTTCTTCCCCCAGGCCTGCAAATTATTCTCCCCGTGGTCTTTCTGCTTGAGTCACTGACTCTATGCTCGTTTACCAACCAGGTACCCTGTGCCAGGTGCCGTGTCCACGCTGGGTCACCTCGGGGGCCAAGACAGCTGATGGCCGCATCCGGGGGTGTGGACAGATGGGAAGAGGAGCGCACCAGTCAATGCGTGAGCCCATTTCCGGCAATCAGCGCCACGACGGTACCAACGTGGAGGGGCGCAATCGTGCCTGGGCGGGTGGTTCGAGGAGGAGCATCTGAGGAGGTGATGTTTCGGTTGAGGCTTGAGTGCCGAGCAGAAGGCAGGCAGGTGGAGGTCGAGGGAAAAGCATTCTGGGCGGAGGGAACAGTGTATGTAAAGGCTCGGAGGCAGAAAAGGACTCAAATGTTTTAGGGACTGAAAGAGAGGCAGCTTCCTTCAACTGCCAACTGCCATGATGAGTTATTGCAAACTGTGGGACTTAAAACCACAGAAAGTTACCATCCCACAGGTCAGGAGGGAACCAAGGAGTCGGAGTCAGCAGGGCTGGTTCCTTCTTGAGGGTCCTGGCAGCGGAGAATTTATTCCAGGCCCTTCTCCTGCTTCTGGCAGCTGCCAACAGCTCATGGCTGACACACCGCTGCAATCTCTGTTGCTGTCATCCCACGGCCCTCGTCACATGGCCTCTGTGTCTCTGTGTCCTTCTCTGTTCTTACAAGGACATCTGTCATTGGATTTGGGGCCCATCCTGAATCCAGGATGACCTCATCTTGATGTCTTTAATCAATTCCATTCCCTAAGACCAATTCACAGGGTGAAAGGTCCCATGCACAGGTCCCAGGGGTCAGCGCTTGGGTAGCTCTTTTTGGGGTCCCCGTTCACCCCATGGCAGGCAGCACGTGATCTCGGTGGTGAGCCAGGAGGCTCACGGTATGAGACGAAGGAGCCAAGGTGGCGGGGCGAGGCTCCGTAAGGCCTCTGGCCCCTGGCACGGGGTTGGCTGTGTTCAGGGTGCAGCTGGCAGCTGCTGTGGGGTTTGCAGGGGCCTGGATGTGGGCACAGGGAAGAGAGGATGATCCTCAGAGCTTCCAGGGGGTCTGTGGGGGGCAGGGCCTCTCACACTTCATTGAGAGGAAAATGGAGAAACCAGAACTCCTGGGGCCTTTGGGAAAATGGAGCAGTGATGGAGGAAGAAGGGGAGATGCCGCGGGAGGCCATGGGACGTATGGAGGGGATCGAGTGTGGGTCGTGACAGTCCCCGGCTCACGGGTGGGATCCCAGGCTCAGCTGGGCAGAAGGGCCAGCAGGAGGGTTAAGTGTATCCTGAGGCCCGTGGCTGGATAGGATGTCACACTGAGTTTTTAAATTACACTTTTCAAAAACATAAAAGTATTTACCAACCTTGAGGGGCTGCACCTGCTGAGTTCTGATGCCTCCTTGCGGGGGTCATTAAGGAGATGGAGGCTGGTGCAGAGGCCAGTGCGGGGCATGCGCTGTGTGACCCTGAGCCAGCCCCTGCTCCCTCTGGGCCGCCCTTCTGTATCAATTACGAGGTCTCCAGGCCTCCGGCGCATCTTCGTGCCTGTAATTTTCCCCAAAATCTGAGAGAAGCTTCCCACCCACGATTGCCTTCCAGGCCTGCTCTCTGGTGTAAACACGGCCTCAGCTGAAAGGTTGAACTAATGATGAAGCTTCTCTGGATTCATTATGTTCGCCGGGTTTCTCTCCCCTGTGGGAGCTGTGATGTCAGATAAGCAGCTTTTGGAAAGTGGGTAGCCGGGCTGCTGGCCTTCTGCAGGACTGGCCAGGGCAGGCTCAGTGGGTGTCGGCTGCAGAGGGAAGATGTGTCAGAGGGAGGCAGCAGGTGCACAGGTGTGTGGACAAATATGTGGACAGACGTGTGCACAGGGGTGTGGACAGGTGTGTGTGTGTGGACAGGCATGTGCACAGGTGTGTGTGGACAGGTGTATTAGTTTGTTCTCATGCTGCTGATAAAGACATACCCAATACTGGGTCATTTATAAAGGAAAGAAGTTTAACTGGCTCACAGTTCAGCATGGCTGGGGAGGCCTCAGAAAACTACAGTCATGGCGGAAGGGGAAGCAAACACGTCCTTCTTCACATGGCAGCAGCAAGGAGAAGTGCAGAAGTGCAGCGTGAAGCAGGGAAAACTATCAGACTATCAGATCACTTGAGAACTCACTCACTATCACGAGAACAGCATGCAGGTAATCGCCCCCATGATTCAATTACCTCCCACTGGGTCCCTCCCATGGTACGTAGGGATTATGGGAACTACAGCTCAAACTGAGATTTGGGTGGGGAACTACAGCTCAAAATGAGATTTGGGTGGGGACACAGTGAATAGACATGTGTGTGCACAGGTGTGTGGACGGGGTGTGCAGCCTTCAGAGACTCAGAAGGCCAGTGGTGCGCAGGCCCCCGGGGGCGTGACTGGGCCAGGTTGGAGCCCTCCAGGCTGAGCCTGACCTGGCAGGTGTGCAGGGGGTGGGCTGCCCTGCCAGGCGGGTCAGACTTCTGGTTGGCAGCAAGACAGGAGTGTCCTGGGCTGAGTGGAATTCCCAGGCCAAGGGTCTTGCACAGGAGAAAGGGTGGGGGGTGGGGCTGTGCTGATGCAGAACCCCAGAGAGGGGCTCTGGTGGACACCACCCCACCTGTGATGGCCACAGTTTGTGGTGGGAGCAAGGTCTGTGGGGTTCCATGGGTGGGCGGGGTGGTGGGAGGCAGCATCTGTGGGCGTGGGCTTCTGAAAATGCTGATCAGGCGGGTAGGAGGGGTGGCTGTTGTGAGGCCCAGCCCATCCCTGGAGCGACAGTGGGAGGGTTTTGGAGAACCAGACTTGGTGGGGAGGTCACTCTGGAACTGGGATTCAGAGGCTCAGCTGCGGTGGTGCTTGAGGCTGTGTGGGGTCCGAGGAGAGGTGGCTCCCAGCAGGCGAGGCCTCGAAGGGGCTGTGCAGCCATGCGGAAGTCACTTGGCCTCTCTGGGCTGTGTCCTTGTCAACGACTTCAGCTCCCATTTAGCTTCCCCAGGGCCAGGCCCGGGTGACAACACCCCAGATGTGTGGGACTTGTGACCAGTGTGGACCCGAGAGAACTGGGAGGAGGTACAGGAGCGGGGAGCCCGGTCCTGGTGGCTGGGACTATCAGCAGGGAGTTATGGGGCAGGAACAGGGAGAAGCCAGAGCTTCCCGCACCTTCGGGGCTGTGGTCCGAGGGGCTGGGTGCTGGGACGCCTGTGACTGGGGAGAACAGGGCCTGGCAGGGCCTCCCTGGTGAGGCGGGGGAGAGTGGAGGCCCTGGGCGATGCCCGCCTGTTTGCGACATGAGGGTCTCTGGCAGGAAGCCAGGAAGACAAGCCCCTCAGGGTCCTGGGTGTTCAGGGTGTTTGGAAGCCCAGAGAGCTCAAATGGAGGACAGAATCCCCCTGAATGCTGGCGGAGAAGGTCGAAGAGGCCGCAGCTGGGGACATTGTGACCAGAGTGGATGGCCTTGAGCGAGGGCAGCAGGAGCCGTCCCCGTGCATAGGGCAGCGGGGTGGCCGCCGAGTCCTCCGTGGCTCACGTCCCCGCAGAACCTGATCTGCTCGTGAGCTTGGCAAGCATCTCCTGGATTTTTAATTTGTGGGAGAAGCGACCTTTTATATTTCAGATCACATGAAGTTAATTTGCACTCCAAGTTCAAGAGAGCTCCTGAAAAGGTACAAATGTGATTTCTTAACAGCTGTTACTGTCGGGCGCAACATGACAGAAATGATGAGAAGCAAGAGTTCATTTTTAGACAGAGAGGACTGCACGCTCTCTCCCTAGAGCCAGCCCAGGATGGCAGCAATCAGAGAAGAACCCGAGGGAGCCTGAAGGCCAAACACTCACCTTGTGCGATGTCCCTGACCCATAGCTGTCCTGTCTCTGTTTGAATACCTCCAGTGACAGAGAGCTCACTACCTCTAGGAGTGGCAAAGTCTAATGTTGGTTGGGTTTGGTCAAATCTGCTTTTGCTGATTCTGTTCTGCCCTCTGAAGACACACAAAATAATGCCCGTTCCTTGTCCTCAAGGAAGTGGCTCTCTCATCTGCTGCTGACCACCTCTGATTCCTTAAGCACGCATATGTGTGCTGATGTCTGGGTCCAGCCCACCTTGGTCCCTGGGAATGGTCTGGTTTTCCAGTGTCTCTAAAGTGGAGGCCTTGGGACCAACACCATGTTCCTTTTCCTGGTGGACCAGCCAAGATTCCTATCACTTTTCCACTTCTGGGTGCTGTACCCAGCAAGGCGGGGAAGGTCACGTTCATGCAGAGCTTCTGAGGTACCTGTCATCCCGCCTGGGTGTCGGGGAGCAGGCTCTGTTTGTGGGGTGCTGTGGCCAGCGCTGTGGGGGATAGGGCAGGAGAAGCAGCCCGCAGGGGGTTAAATCCGGTGGGTGCAATGGAGTTGGCGGTGTTGGGAGCTGGCGGTTTTAGGATGAACCTGCCAGTCCAGGGTGGGGCTCAGCTGCTACCCAGGGAAAACTTGCCCCGTACACCAGGGCTGAAGCTGAAACAGTCAGATCCTCTTTCTCAGTTATTTGGGGGAATTGGGGACAGTGGGTTTGTCCCTGCTGGTGGCCATGGGGTAGCTTTATTTCCCACCGGATGTGGGAAATCTAAAGTCTGGTTTTCAGAGAAAGGAGAGAAGGGGCCGGGTGTGGTGGCTCACGCCTGTGATCCCACCACTTTGGGAGGCTGAGGCGGGCAGATCACCTGAGGTCAGCAGTTTGAGACCAGCCTAGCCAATATAGTGAAATCATGTCTCTACTAAAAATACAAAACTTAGCCAGGCGTGGTGGTGGGCACCTGTAATCCTAGCTACTTGGGAGGCTGAGACAGGAGAATCGCTTAAACCCGGGAGGCAGAGGCTGCAGTGAACTGAGATCGCGCCACTGCACTCCAGCCTGGGTGACAGAGCCACTGTGACCAGTGTTTCTTTGGTTTTTTCTTCTCTTGTAGAGATGGGGTCTTGCTCTGTCCAGCCCAGGCTGGTCTCGAACTCCTGGGCTCAAGTGATCCTCTCGCCTTGGCCTCCCAAAGTGTCTGGATCACAGGCATGAGTTGCCACACCCGGTCTCCTCATATGACAGAGCAAGACAGAGGGAGACTCCATCTTAAAAAAAAAAATAAAAAAAGTGGAGAAGGAGAGAAGGGGTCAGGGAGGCAGCCAGGAGGGAAGAGTGAAGTAAGAAGCAGATGAAGAGAAGCAGGGTGGGCACACACCCAGAGCCCCCCTGTGTCACCCGCCTGCTACCAGACCCAGGAGGGTCCCGTCGGGGTGGGGGTCCTGGGACTTAACTCCTCCTCCAGCCTCAGCCCTCCCGGTGCCAAGATTCTTCAACGTCCTCGGGATGCACCTCCGCACTGTGGGGCCATCTGGGTCAGCCCGGACGCACCGGCCTCTGTCTGGGTCCCAGTCTTCTCACCGCCAGGCGGGCAGGTCAGCAGACCAGGCAGGACCGAGCCCGTCGCCCGGGGCTCTTGTTGTCTGTGCCATTTCGGTGCCTTTTGTCCTTGCTTCCCGCCGCTCCTTGAGGATGTTTACCGGCTGCTGGGGCCGTGCCTTCCAGGTGAGGCCTCGGTCATTCCAGGTGCAGCCTCGGATCAGGGATGACGGCCCAGGCTGAAGTATCATGATGAAGAGCTTGGACCGAGGGCAGTTAAGGTGTGTGAGTATTCAGATCCCCCACGTGCCCTTCTCTGGAAGGTGCCAGCGACCTGTCCTCTCTGGGCCTCTGTCTTCTCCTCTGTGGAATGGGAATGATGGCGTCCGCACCTCATAGGGCTGCTGGAAAATGGGTCTGGGTCTCGGCTGGAATTTCAGCCAGCGCCGAGGACCAGAGGCCCTGGTTCCTGTCCACGTGGCCTGGGACCCCCGCGGCCCCGCACCTGGGCTCCGGGGGCAAGTGTGTTCGCTTTGAGGACCCAGCCTTGGAGGTCAGATGGCATCCGTTATGGGTTAAATTTTGTCCCCCTAAATTCATATGTTGAAGTCTTAACCCACAGGGCCTCAGAATGGGATGGTATTTGGAGCCCGGGCCTTGAAAGAGAGGGTGACAGTAAAATGAGGAGACTGGGTGTGGCAGCTCACGCCTGTGATCCAGACATTTTGGGGAGGCCAAGGCGAGAGGATCACTTGAGCCCAGGAGTTCGAGACCAGCCTGGGCTGGACAGAGCAAGACCCCATCTCTACAAGAAAAGAAAAAAACAAAAAAACAGTGGTCACAGTGGCTGATGCCTGTAATCCCAGCCCTTTGGGAGGCCATGGTGGGAAAATCGCTGGAGCCCAGGAGTTTGAGACCAGCCTGGGCAGCATAGCAAGACCTCATCTCTACTGAAAAAAAAAAGAAAAATTAGCTGGGCATGTTGTTGCGCCCGTGGTCCCAGTTGCTTGGGAGGCTGAGGTGGGAGGATTGCTTGAGCCTAGGAATTCAAGACTGCAGTAAGCCGTGATGGTGCCACTGCACTCCAGCCTGGGTGACAGAGCAAGACCCTGTCTCAAAAACAAAAGTCCAGTGAAGTTATAGGGGTGGGCCCTAATCCAATCTGACAGGTGTTCTTATATGAAGAGGAGATCAGGACACACACACACACAGAGGCACGACCCTGTGAGGACCCAGGAGGAAGACAGCGTCTGCAAACCAAGGAGACAGGCCTCAGTAGGAACCAGCCCTGCCCACGCCTTGGTCTCGGACTTCAGCCTCCAGGACTGTGAGGGATGAATGCCCATGGCCGGCGTCGCTTGGTGTGTGGCGTTTGTTCCGGCAACCCTGGGAGGCTGGTGCGATGTCTCTTTGGTCTTACTCTCTCCATCGAGACCCTCTCGAAGGCCTGTCTGGGTTGAGGAGGGGGCGTGGAAGATCCTGCCTCCTGGTGGGGAAGGTGTTGGGAGAGTGGTGGTACAGGGGGCGTTGTGGCAGTGGTTTGTGGGCCCCGCCTGCCACACAGCCCCCATAGAGACTGAGAGTCCCCCAGCAGGTCTGAGGAGAGGGTGAGCTCTTGGGTGGGATTCAGGCCGGGAGAGGGGTGGGGAGCAGGGCTGGGGGCTTTAGGCAGGCCCAGGTCCTCAGGACACAGGCAAGGGAGGCCAGAGAGGCAGCTGGGTCTCTGCGGTGGGCCGAGGAGTTCAGGAAGCCCGGCCTGGGCTGGAGAGAGTCCCAGGCTTGACCGGGGCCATTTCTGTAACACTTCAGGGCAGGTGCACGGGGCTCAGAACCCCAGATTGCAAAAATGCAGCCCGGGAGGCTACCAGGAGGCTCCCGCCGCTCAGAGACGGAAGACGGCCCCCGTCACGGCTGCAGCAGGTGCTGCCAGGGACGCTGCTCGGAGCTCCAGGCTGCAGGGACAGGGCCACCCCGGGCCGCCCGCTCGCCCGGCCTGATGTCTCCCACCCGGCACTTTGATCCTCTGAAAGCCTGTAGACCGCGGGCTCTATAACCTCAAGATTTGTGTGCCGGGTGGGTCTGGAGGTCCCGCGTCTCAGCGGATTTTATTCCTCTCATTATTTTGCTTAACGGGCTGTTACTGCTGTGTCAGACAGCATGGAGCGAAAAATCACACTTTTTGGGAGATGTTGTTCAAGAGAGAGACTGGAAAAGCATGACTTAGTGGCGAAGGCTGCAGTGCTGAGCTACCACCTCCCGGAGCAGAGCCGAGGCCCTGAGGTGGGTGAGAGGGAGGTCCAGGCCCAGGGGCCAGGGGGAGCCCACAGCCACTCCTGGGGGGCTCCTCTGGAAGCCCTCCTGGGCAGGCAGGTCTCAGGGTCCCAGTCCAAGCCAGCGCTCAGCTTCAAGACTGGAAAAAACTGAACTTCTCCTTTCTCTTTTCTGTTTCTGCTTCTCCCAAGTCCCTCAGATCCCCTCATTCATTCATTCATTCATTCATTCATTCATTCATTCATCCTTCCATGAATGAAAGGTCTCTTCAGTGTCAGAGGACACAGAAATGAATGAGAAAAAAAATCTCTCTTTTCCTGGGGCCAATAGATGTGGACTTTGCCCTCGAGTACTGCTCTTTAATTCCCTTTCTTTTATCTTTAAAATAAACTCCTTTAAAAACAGGCAGTTCAAGCCTGGGCAACGTGGCAAGACCCCATCTGTATAAAATACAAAAAAATTAGCCAGGTGTGGTGGTACGCTCCTGCAGTCCAAGGTACTTGGGAAGCTGAGGCAGGAGGATCGCTTGAGCCCAGGAGATCAAGGCAGCAGTGAGCCGAGATCGTGCCACTGCACTTCTGCCTGGGTGACAGAGTGAGACCCTGTCTCAAAACAAAACAAAAAACCAGGCAACTCAGATGGTTAAATACAGACATACCATGTGACCCAGTCATTCCACCCCTGGGAATATACCCGAGAGAAATGGCTACATATATCCACACAAGAACTTATATGTGAGTGATCACAGCAGCTTTGTTCATAATAGCCAAAAAGTGGAAATTGCGCCAACACCCCTCAGCTGAAGGCTGGGTGAACACAGGAGCTGGTGTAGCCACGATGGAATATTATCCGACAATAGAAAGGAATGAAGTTCCACACAGGCTGCAGCATGGATGAACACTGAAAATATTAGAGGCTTAGTTTATTATTTTATTTTATTTATTTTTTTTTTTTTGAGATGGAGTCTCGCTCTGTCACCCAGGCTGGAGTGCTGTGGCGTCATCTCGGCTCACTGCAACCTCCACCTCCTGGGTTCAAATGATTCTCCTGTCTCAGCCTCCCGAGTAGCTGGGATTACAGGTATGTGCCACCACGCGCGGCTAGTTTTTGTAATTTTAGTAGAGACGGGGTTTCCACCATGTTGGCCAGGCTGGTCTCAAACTCCTGACCTCAAGTGATCCGCCTGCCTCGGCCTCCCAAAGTGCTGGGATTACAGGCGTGAGCCACTGTGCCTAGCCCAGATGCTAAGTTTAAAAAGCCAGACACAAAATACCACATCTGTAGAATTCCACTCATGTGAAATGCCCAGAATAGGCAATTCCATGGAGACACAAAATAGAGGCGTGGCTGTCAGGGGCTGAGAGGAAGGGTAGTGGGGAGTGATGGCTTAAGGTGTGTGGGGTTTGTTTTTGGGGGTGATGAAAACGGTCTAAAGTTGATTGTGGTGATGGTTGTACGACGCTGTGAATACTCTAAGAAGCGTCGAATTGTGTGCTTTACGTGGGTGAGTTGCATGGCATATGAATTATATCTTAGTAAAGCTGTTCGAAAAATCACAGTGCCTAGGTAGATTGTTAAAAGTATCCGTTATTTTCTGTAGAATATTTAAAATAGTGCCTGAGACATGCTGGATGTTCAATAAATGTTAGCTATTAAAAATAATACATTCCTTTTAAGCACCTGCAGCCCTGCCTCCTCCAGGAAGCCACGGGGCCCTGACAGGAAAGGCCTCTGCGGGGGCTTCCTCAAGACCCCTGCCACCCCCGGTCGGCCACAGCCACTCTCTCCTGCCTTATTTCTGTTTAACTCTGAGTTTCAGGCAGACATCTCTGTCCATGGCTTTGTTTTGTTTTGTTTTTCTGGGGAGAGGGTCTCACTCTGTTGCCCAGGCTGGAGCGTAGTGGTGGGATCACAGCTCACTGCAGCCTTGAACTTCTGGGCTCAAGTGTCTTCCCGCCTCAGCCTCCAGAGTAGCTGGGACCACAGGTACCCACCACCCCCATGCCCAGCCCTGATTTTAATAGTCACCCTGGAGGGTGACCCTTTCTCTTTTCTGTTTCTGCTTCTCCCAAGTTCCTCAGATCCCCTAATTCATTAATTCATTCATTCTTTCATTTATCCATCCATGAAAGCTCTCTTCAGTGTCAGAGGATACAGAAATGAATCAGTGTCAGAGGATGCAGCAGCGGCCTCCTCCTCTTCTCCCCTTCCCTTCTCCTCCCACTCTTCCCCCCCTCCTCCCACTCCTCCTCCCCTTCCCCGTCTTCTTCCCCCTCCCTCCTCCCCTCCCCTTCCCCCTCTTCTTCCCCCTCCCTCCTCCCCTCCCCTTCCCCCTCCTCCTCCTCTTCTTCCCCCTCTTTCCTCCTCTCCCCGTCCCTCCTTCCTCCTCTCCCTGTCCCTCCTCCCCCTCTTCTTCCCCCTCCCTCCTCCCCTCCCACTCCCTCTCGTCCTCCTCTTCTTCCCCTTCCCTCCTCCCCTCCTCCTCCTCCTCTTCTCCCTCTCCCTCCTCCCCCTGTTCTTCCCCCTCCCTCCCCCTCCTCCTACCCCTCCTCCTCCTCCTCTTCGTGCCGGGCACCTTCTGGTTCCCTGCCTCTTTGGAGGTCGCCCCCTTCTTGTCCTCCCTCCACTCACTTATCTGTGACCCCCAAGCTCCCCTGTTGCCCCCCGCCCCTCTAATACAGGTGAGGTCAGCAGCCAGACTCTCCCTCCTCTTTCCTCTTTCTCTCCTCTCTCTCTTTCCTCTCTCTCTCTCTCCCCCACCCCATCTTTCCTCTCTCTCCCCGCTCTCTCTCTCCTCTCTCTTCTCTCTCCCCTCTCCTTTCTCTCTCTCCTCTCTTTCTCTCGTTTCTCTTTCTTCTTTCTCTTTCTTTCTTCTGTGTGTGTGTCTCTCTCTCCGCCCCCGTCACACACACACACACGCACATATACACTGTTGTTTGCTCCCTGCCACAGGTAACGTGGGTGACAGGCATAAATGGTGGTGTTCAGCCCCTTGCAGCTGGAACTGGAATGGGCTCCCGGGCCCCCGGCTGGGGCTGCCCCCATAAAGCATGTTGATTTCTGATCCGGAGGACAGAATGGCAAATCCATTGACCAAAATTTGCAGTTAACATTAAACCGACAGAACGGCTAATAATTCAGATGATATTAAAACTATCCAACTTTGTCTGAGTAAATTAGAAGAATAAAATGAGATTTATTAAGGTCAAAGTCAGCGCAATCTCACAAAAGAGAAGGAATCAGAAATAGAAAAGGAGGAAATTTGGAACAATGGCGGCATAGAGACAGCTGGGTGGTCACCCCTGATGATAAATTAAATCTTAATCATGATAACAAGGCCTCCAGTTGCACCTGGGGAGCTCAAAGCATCTCATAGCTTCCGCTGAGACATCCTGTCTCAGGGACTCCAGGCAACAGTGTGGGGGCGGGGGGCTCTTGGCCTTGTGTGGCCGCTGGTGGTGCTGGCCAGGGCCTGAGCTGGGCTGGGGCTGGGCAAGGGTTGGGCTGGGCAGGGGTTGGGCAGGGTTTGGACTGGGTCTGGGCGGGGCCTGGAGGAGCTCAACGATTTGCTCAAGGCCGCAGAGCCAGGAAGTGGCAGAACCAAGGCTTGGACCTGGAGCTGCTGAATTCTGGAGCCCCGAATTCTTCCAACTGTTCAGCAACTTTCTGTGAGCCCCTGTGTGTGCGAGGCGTGGAGGGTGCCACGATCAAGGCGGTTCCTTCCCCCAAGAGGTGTAGCCCAGGGGAGAGATCGAGAAGTCAGCATGCATTTATCCTGCAGCGATGAGTCCTCCCACAGGCGATCCGTGTGGCTCTGGGGGTGCAGAGTCCTACCACAGGCGATCCCGGGGGCTCCGGGGGTGCAGAGTCCTCCCACGGGGGATCCTGGGGGCCCCGGGGGTGCAGAGTCCTCCCATGGGGGATCCCGGGGGCTCCAGAGGTGCAGAGTCCTCCCACGGGGGATCCAGGGGGCTCTGGGGGTGCAGAGTCCTCCCACGGGGGATCCAGGGGTCTCTGGGGGTGCATGGGAGTCCTCATAATCTCCCCATCCTGGGGGCCCAGGGCAGGCTGGACAGGAGTGGCCAGGAGGGAGCTGGGCCTCGCAGGTGTGATGTGGTGGAAATGTTCCCGGCTGATGGAGCAGCATGTTCAAAGGCCAGCACCCCTGGGGAGCTGCAGGTCTTTCCGTCCAACAGGAACCTGTGTTCAGCTCGAGGGGGACAGTGGGCACCAATGCGACTGGAGAGCTGGAGACAGATGGGGCTTGGAAGTCACGCCAAGGGATCTGGATCTCACCTTGTGGGCACTGGGGAGCCTTGGAGAGGGGGATTACAGGCAGGGCCAGAGGGCAGACTTGGCCTTTAGACGATCTCAGTGACCACCCAATTCAGGGGCTGGATTGAAGGGGTTAATTCCTGCAGCGGGGAGGCTGATGTTTAGAGCATGTCCCTCAGGGCTTGTAGATGAGCGGAAAGAGCCCAACTCCAATAAGATGAAGTAAATAGCAGGGAATTTAGCGGCTCACAGAACTGGGAAACGCAGGCCTTCAGGTTTGGCTGGTCAAGGGTACCACTGAGATCTCCTCTCTGGGTCCCTCTCTTTCTGGGGATGGATTTCCTCCTTGCTGCTGGGGACAGTGGCCACCAGATGTTCTAAACGCCCATCCTCCCAGCATTGTGACCCAAAGGGTGACAGCAATCATTCTGTCTGGGAGAGAATTTCCAGGAAAGACCGAGTCATGTGCCCGAGCTGCTCGGCATGGCCCGGGGGTCAGCTGGTCTCGTGCTGGGGAGGGGTCGGCTCCATGACTGGCAGCTCGGCTCTGGCCACAGTGCACCAGGGATGCTGGGGCAGGTGATGGGCTGGCGTGCTTTGTGCAGCCACTGGTCCAGGCAGTGCATCGGGGATAGGCTTGGGCCTGCATAGGGGGCAGTGGGGAGACAGCTTGGTGAAGAACTTCCAGAGACATCTAGAAGGTCAAATAGACAGGATTTGGTGATTGACCAGATGTAGAAAGAAGGTGGGATCAAGAAATGCTTTCCAGGGCCGGGCGCGGTGGCTCACGCCTGTAATCCCAGCACTTTGAGAGGCCGAGACGGGCGGATCACCTGAGGTCAGGAGTTCGAGACCAGCCTGACCAACATGGTGAAATCCTGTCTCTACTAAAAATACAAAACTTAGCCGGGTGTGGTGGCGTGCACCTGTAATCCCAGCTATTCTGGAGGTTGAGGCAGGAGAACTGCTTGAGGTTTCAGTGAGCTGAGATTGTGCCACTGCACTCCAGGCAGGGCAACACAGAGAGACTCCATCTCAAAACAAAAAAAATAAAAGGAAAGAAAGAAAGAAAAAAAAGAAATGATTTCCAGGGTTCTGCTTTGATCAGCTGGTTAGGCAGTTGGTGTCATTCGCTGTGGTAGGAGACTGAGTAAGGGGAGCGGTTCCTGCAGGGCGTCTGGAGGTGCTGGCCTCCAAAGAGAGACATTTAGGGACCATCCATGGGGGTGGTTATTCGAGGTAAGGTCACAGGTGAGCTCCCCTAGGGAGGGGGAGTGAGTGAGAGGGCAAGAGAGCCTCAAAGTGAACCTCTAGGAGCCCCACAGTTGCGGGCTGGCTCAATCGGGGCTGAGAGAGAAGTCAAGGAGGCAGGAGGAGAAGCGGGGGGCTGGGGAGCTCCGGGAAGAGAGCTTCAAGGGGGAGAAGGTGGGCACCTGTGTCTCAGGTGCCACAGCGCAGCAGGCTTGGCTGGACCTTGGCTGAGTCTGCAGCCTGGCACTGTCTGCCTTCCCCGGCTCCCAGCATGACTTGCAGCTCCTCTTCCCACCACGCCGGCCTGGCACTGGGTCTCCCTTGTGGACCCCACGCACTGGGCTGTCACTGGACTCAGGTTGCCCTGGCTGGTCGTACAGAGCTTGCTGTGCCCAGCCTGGACACCCCCGGAGGTGGCGAGCAGCGGGCATCAGACCTCTCCCGCACCCTTTCGTCTTCCCATGAGTCTGACCACACAGTGCGGGCTGCCCACTCGTGAGCCCCCGGGGGAAGGGCTAACGTTATCTGCATTTTGCACGTGGGGAAAATGAGGCTGAGAAAGGGGTCAGGAGCTGAGGATGGAAAGAGCTAAGATGGGTCTCCAGGAAAGCAGGTTCCCATGCACCGGTCAGCACCCCCCTCCTGCTTCCTGCACCATTCATGAGACCCCTCCATAGGGCTGAGGCCCACCCAGCGAGGGAAACGCCGATGATGAGGGAGGGAGGGACCTCTCAGCGCCCAAGAATGTGACCAGCCTCCCAGGGCGGGGTATCTGCATGGGGACAGGCCTGGGGCCCCCCTGCAGGCCAGACAGAAGGAGCCACTGAGGGCCCAGCTGGCAGACCGCAGCCTGGGGGGTGGGGGCAGCGGGGCGGCGGGGGCAATGGCTCTGAGGGTGGGCGAGGACCAAGTGCCGCCAAGGAGCGATAATGATGGCTTGAGTCAAAGCCGCCCCGCGTCTCGCCCGCGCTGGCATCTCCAGCAGCACCGTGCCAATTAAAGATGAGTTGAGCATATCATTAGTTTCCCAATCGTCAAGAATCTCATTAGGGGAGTCTTAGATCCACCTGAGCAGCTCTGCCGATTGTCCACACTGGAGCTGCCGAGCTGGGGGCAGGGGGAGTTGCTGCGTGTTGATGAGTCGTAGCGGGGTTTTGCCAGGCAGGGCGCTGGATTGAACCGGCCCAGCAGTGCCCAGGGCCTAGGTCTCCTGGCTGACTGGTCAGTGGTCCTCAGCCTGTGTCTCCCTCCTCCAGTGGGGTGATGGGCTAGACTGGTCAGAAATCTACTGGGCGTCAGTTCGGATGCCACATTTCGACCAGACTTGGCTCAGGGGCCATCTCGTCTACCCCATCATTTTATAATGGGAGAAACAGAGGCCCACAGAGGTGGGGGAGCCCCTGGGATACACAGGGGCTGGAAGAGACCCATAGAGCTTGGTCTAATCCAACCCTAAAGCAGATCAGACTCCCATCTCTGTTGTCTCAGCTGAGTGACCATTTCACTTGTGCCTTTTTTTTATTTTGAGACCGAGTCTTGCTCTATTGCCAGGCTGGAGAGCAGTGGTGTGATCTCGGCTCACTGCAACCTCCGCCTCCTGGGTTCAAGCGATTCTCCTGCCTCAGCCTCCCGAGTATCCCAAGTAGCTGGGATTATTGGCATCCGCCACCATGCCTGGCTAATTTTTGTATTTTTAGCAGAGGTGGGGTTTTGCCATGTTGGCCAGGCTGGTCTTGAACTCCTGACCTCAAGCGATCCGCCTACCTCGGCCTCCCAAAGTGCTGGGATTACAGGCGTGAGCCACAATGCCCAGCTGCACCTCGTTTATAACAAAGAGGCCCCACCCTTCCCTTGGCCTCTTGTTCCATCTGTGCCCATCAGGGTCCTTTACTAATGAGTCACAGAGACCTGGCTCAAATTTGCTGAGGCAAGAAAGGAATTTCCTAGAAGTCAGGACTCTGTGGTTTTGCAACAGAAGGAAGGCTCAGAGATCCCAGGACGTCTCCAGCCTCATCCCTGCTGCTCTCAGCACATCTACCTCTGGCCGGGCAGCCTCTTCCTCCTGGGGGGTGGGGATGGGGTTACTGGGGGACAGAGAGCTCCAGAGCCACATGCCATGCCATCTGCCACCGGGCGGGATCTGCGCGTCTTTCTTTAGCCTCAGCTGGGAAAACCCCACGGAAGGACTGTGCATGGCCTGGCTTGGTCAGTTGCTCACCCTGAGTCCATACGGCAGCTTCCATTAGAACTGCCTGGCTGGGGTTTATTCATTCATCTCACGTTCACTAAGACTGGGCTGTGTGTCAGACATTGTTCTGTATCTATCTGGGAGAGGCAGACCATAAACAAGGGAACCAGTAATAAAGATAATTCAGATAGTGATAGGTGCTCTAAAGATGACGAGCAGGCATGCCTGTAATCCCAGCACTTTGGGAGGCTGAGGCGGGTGGATCACGAGGTCAAGAGTTCAAGACCAGTCTGGCCAACATGGTGAAACCCCATCTCTACTAAGAATACAAAAATTAGCCGGGCATGGTGGCATGTGCCTGTAATCCCAGCTACTCAGGAGGATGAGGCAGGAGAATCTCTTGAATCCGGGAGGCGGAGGTTGCAGTGAGCCGAGATCGCGCACCTGCACTCCAGCCTGAGCAACAGAGCAAGACTCCGTCTCGAAAAAGAAAAAAGAAAAGATTATGAGCGGGGTGCTTGAGGGGTGATATTAGCTAGGACGGTCAGTGAGGCCACAGGTAGTTGTGGAGGAAGAACGCTCCGGGCAGAGGGAACAGAGAGTGCAAAGGCCCTGGAGCAGGAACAGGTTTAGTGTGTATCAGAAAGGGGGCCAATGTGGGCTGGGTGCGGCGGCTCACACCTGTAATCCCAGAACTTTGGGAGGCCAAGGCGGTGGATTGCCTGAGCTCAGGAGTTCAACACCAGCCTGGGCTACGTGGTGAAACCCCATCTCTACTAAAATACAACACATTAGCCGGGCTTGGTGACACATGCCTGTAGTCGCAGCTACTCGGGAGGCTAAGGCACGAGAATTGCTTGAATTTGGGAGGCGGATGTTGCAGTGAGCTGAGATCAGGCCACTGCACTCCAGCCTGGGCCACAGAGCAGCAAAACTCTGTCTCAAAAAAAAAAAAAAAAAAAAGAAAAAAGAAAAAGAAAAAGAAAAGAAAGAAAGGTTGGCCCATGTGGCTGTTGGTGCATGATACATTTGAAGCCTGACATTTGAAGTGTCACACACACTTTGTGTGTGTGTGACAGGGTCTTTCTTTGTTACCCAATGTGGAGTGCAGTGGCGTGCTTGTAGATCACTGCAGCCTCAACCTCCTGGGCTGAAGTGATCCTCCTGCCTCAGCCTCCTGAGTAGCTGGGACCACAGGTGCATACCACCACACCCTGCTATTTTTTTTTTTTTTTTTATAGAGATGGGGTCTCACAGTTGCCCGGGCTGGTCTTGAACTCCTGAGCTCAAGTGATCCTCCTTCCTTGGCCTCCCAAAGTGCTGGGATTATAGGTGTGAGCCACTGTGCTTGGCCATCCCTATAAACTTTATACAGTTAATCAGAGGCTGGGCACGGTGGCTCACGCCTGTAATCCCAGCACTTAGGGAGGCCAAAGTGAGCAGATCACTTGAGGTCAGGAGTCCAAGACCAGCCTGTCCAACATGGTGAAACCCCATCTCTACTAAAAATGCAAAATTAGCTGTGCATGGTGGTGGGTGCCTGTAATCCCCGCTGCTAGGGAGGCCCAGGCAGGAGAATTGTTTGAACTTGGGAGGTGGAGGTTGCAGTGAGCCGAGATAGCGCCGTTGCACTCCAGCCTGGGCAACAAGAGTGAAACTCTGTCTCAAAATAATAATAATAATAATAATAATAATAATAATAATAATAATAGTAAAATAAATCAGGGAAGAAGAGGGGGAGCAATGAAAATACACCACGCTTGTGGCAAATTCACCGTCCATCGCTGGGTCCGTTTGCTCTCGGATCCACTTCCTCATAGCTGTTGGGTGCCTATTGTCCTAGAATCATGTAGAATCTAGATTATAGCTCCCTTTAACTACTCTACAGATAACAACTTGAACATCACCAAATGTTTTCACTTTGAGATATTCCTTCAGGTCTGCCCACCAATGAAACAACTGATGCCAGCTGACCCGAAGGACCCCACAAGGAACTGACTCACGAAAGAATGCCGTTTCTACACTCCTCTCACCCCAACCCATCAATGACCCCAGTTACCCAGCCCCTCACCCTCCATGATCCCCTTAAAAACCCCAGTTCAGGGCCAGGCGCGGTGGCTCACGCCTGTAATCCCAGCACGTTGGGAGGCCAAGGTGGGTGGATCACCTGAGGTCAGGAGTTCGAGACCAGCCTGGCCAACATGGCGAAACCCCGTCTCTACTAAAAATACAAAAATTAGCCTGGCATGGTGGCACGCGCCTGAAATCCCAGCTATTCGGGAGGCTGAGGCAGGAGAATCCCTTGAGTCTGGGAGGCGGAAGTTGCAGTGAGCCGAGATCGCGCCACTGCACTCCAGCCTGAATGACATAGTGTCTCGCGAGTGGCAGGCATGATAACAAACTCCGGAGGGTCACAGGCAGGTTCGAGTTGCCATTGCTGGGGTGGTTCTGTCGTGCCAGGAGGCTCTCCGAGACTGGTTCCTGGTCACTGCCTGGTCTGCTGGTGTGAAGCACGTGGGGTGTGCTGAGGGCCCTGGGAAGGTCCTGGCGGAGCTGTGTACCAGCTGTGGAAGTCGACCGCGCTTCCCCTTCAGTTTTATGTATTTATGGAAATGGTTTTCGCCTGTCTTGGCAAGTTATCCAAAGAAACCTGTAACTTCTTACCTTTGATTTTCTAAAGAACAACTACCCATATTTAAAGCTCAGAACCCAGATGCAAAAAATACAGAACTAATTAGAAGAATCGCTGAGCATTGGACGGAACTTCCCAATTCAGAGAAAAAAAATATATGAAGATGCTTATAGGGTGGACTGGCAGGCATACAAAGAAGAGATAAGCAGAATTCAAGAACAGCTAACTCCAAGTCAGATTATGTCTTTGGAAAAAGAAATCATGCAGGAACATTTAAAAAGGAAAGCTTTAATAAAAAAGAGAGTTAACACTGCTTGGAAAACCAAAATGATCTCGTTCAGCTTATAACATTTATGTAGCTGAAAGCTTCCAAGAAGCTAAGGATGGTTCACCGCAGGCAAAGCTGAAGACTGTAAATGAAAACTGGAAAAATCTGTCTGGTTCTCAAAAGAAAGTATATATTCAACTTGCTAAAGATGATAAAATTCATTATTATAATGAAATGAAGTCTTGGGAAGAACAAATGATTGAAGTTGGACGAAAGGATTTTCTACGTCGCAAAATAAAGCAACCACCTTTAAAAGATGGCACTGAGAAGTGTTAGAAGTTCACAATGGATAGGCACAAGAAACCAGCTGGGTCTCAACGCCTGAAGCTATCGTAAAATTAGAAAGGATAAAGTCGGTAAACCTTTTATATTCAATTTCTTTTTCTTCAGGTCATGGACTTCTGCCAGTGTAATACTTGCTTTGGAAAACCCAGATAAAGGTTTATGCAAAATGTATTTTGTGTTTAGGAACTACTGAGGATCAGAGTAATCCATGCAAATGTGAATCATTTTACCTTTGATAAAGGTAAATCAGACTATGAGGTTTTTTTTTACACAGGATCATGACTATGGAAAGAGTATTCTTGTTGCCCTATATTATGGAAGCAGGAGTTTCCTTTTCAAAATTGTTACAAATTGTAGAAGCCACAGTGTTCTGTGATACAATTGTGCATTTTTCAAAAAGCAGCCAGAATTCGTCTAGGTAAATTCCAGTTCCTAGGTATAATTAATATTATATTCAGAGTTGATGGTTATACACATAAGTGATGGCTGGTTTTAGTTGCAACTTTTTATAAAAGGGACTGAGAAATTTATAAACCTTTTTCTCACTTTTTTTCTAAAGTAAAAACTAATAAATTATGTACCAGATCTATGCATATTATTTTATGTTGCATAGGATAAACATTCTAATCTTTAACTTTACATTGCCTAATTATATATTTTAAGATGAAACATTTGTTTTACAGCTTTCCCCCTACCCTTTTTTTTTTTTTTCTGGAGACAGAGTCTCGCCCTGTCGCCCAGGCTGGAGTGCAGTGGTGTGATCTGGGCTCACTGCAACCTCCGCCTCCCAGGTTCCAGCCATTCTCCTGCCTCAGCCTGCCGGGTAGCTGGGACTAAGGCGTGCACCACCGTGCCTGGCTAATTTTTGTATTTTTCAGTAGAGACGGGGTTTCACCATATTGGCCAGGCTGGTCTCAAACTCCTGACCTCGTGATCCTCCTGCCTTGGCCTCCGAAAGTGCTGGGATTACAGGCATGAGCCACCATGCCTGGTGCCTTTCCCTTTTTTTAAGTAAGGAAATATATTTTTTTCTGAATTATTTTCTCTCATGCGAGTATATTGATCCAGAAAGAAAACTTGCATTGTATATATTTTAAAATGAGAAATCTAAAAAAAAGAGAAGTATCCAAAGTCTCTGGAATTTGAAACACTTTGCATAACGTATTAAAGCCTGTATAAGAGACAGCCAACTATGGCCTGTGGACCAAATCCAGCCTGCTGCCTGCTTTCTGTGTCCTGTGAGCTAGGAATTGTGTTTATAATTTTAAATGCTTTGTTTTTAAAGACTTTTATGATACATGAAAATTAACATGAATATTTAGTGTTCATAAATAAAGTTTATTGGAACACAACCAAAAAAAAAAAAAAAACCCAAAACACCCCAGTTCAGAACTCCTTGGGGAGATGGATTTGAGGGTCTCCTCCCATCTCCCTGCTTGGCTCCCAGCGATCCTGAAACTCTTTCTCTGCTGCAAACCCTGCTGCCTCCGCGCATTGGACTGTGACTGCATAACAGGCACTCGAACCTGTGGGCCCACATGCAGCTCTTCCCTCCTGAGTGTGACCTCGGGTGAGCCCTGCGTCCTTGAGGAGCCTCTGTTTCCTCATCTGTGAACTGGGGTCACACCTCCTGCCCTGCAGAGTTGCTGTGACAGTGATGACGTGTGGAGCACCAGCATGGTCTGCCAGCGTGTGGGGCCAGGACAGAACACTTCCCCATTGCTGCTCCCTTGGTGTTTGGGTTCCTGGTCCAGGGCACCTTCCTCCTCCCCCAGCCTGGACCAAGCCCACTCCTGTGTGTGCTTTCAAGTGGACAGGAGGCCCAGGGCAGGGAGGGCAGCCCACGCTTACTTTAAGAATTTCTGACCTCCAGAGACAAGGATGCCAGGACCTCCACTGGGGGCCACCATGGCAAACTTTCCCGCTTTCAGGACACCCCACATGGCCCCCGGGATCTGGCTTTGGGAAGGAAGATGGTGCCTGGATTGCGAAGGCCTTTCAATCTCATGCCCTGCGTCATGGGGTAAATTGTGTCTCCCTCAAATTCATACGCCAAAGTTCTCACCCCCAGGACCTCAGAATATGGCTGTATTTGGAGACAGAATCTTTTTATTTTTATTTTTATTTTTATTTTATTTTATTTTATTTTTTGGAGACAGGGTCTCACCCTGTCACCCAGGCTGGAGTGCAATGGCCCTATCAGGACTCACTGTAGCCTCCACCTCCTGGGCTCAAGCAATGCTCCTGCCTCAGCCTCCTAAGTAGCTGGGACCACAGGCATGCACCACCATGCCTGGCTAATTTTTAAAAATTCTTTTGTAGAGATGGGGTCTTACTATGTTGCCCAGGCTGGTTTTGAACTCCTGCCCTCAAGCAATCCTCCTGCCTCAGTCTCCCAAAGTGCTGGGATTACAGGCACGAGCCACGGTGTCTGGCCAGAGACACGGTCTTTAAAGAGATAATGGAGGGAAAATGAGGTCACTAGGGTGGGCTCTGATCCAATCTGACTGGAGTCCTTCTAAGAAGAGGAGATTAGGACACAGATGCTCACGGAAGGACAATCACGTGAGGACATGGGGAGAAGATGCTGTCTGGAAGCTGAGGAGGAGGCCTCAGGGGATCCAGCCCCACCCACACCTTGATGTTGGACTTCCAGCCTCCAGGATCGTGGGAAATAAACGTCTGTTGTTTCAGCCACCTGGTCTGTGAGAGTTTGTTATGGCGGCCCAAGCAAACTGACCCACCGAGGAATTTCGCTTTTGATCTTATGGGTGGTGGGGTCAGTGGGGGCTTTGAAGCCTTGGTCCCACACAGGGCTGGGGGCTCCTCGGCTGCAGGGTGGAGGGGGCACTCCACGGGGAGAGGCACAGGCTGGGAGACCAGTGTGTAGGAGTGTGTCTGTGTAGGGGTGTGTGTTTGTATGTAGGGATGTGTGTATGTAGGGGTGTGTGTGTGCGCCTGTGTAGATGTGTGTGTGTAGGGGTGTGTGTGTCTGTGTAGGTGTGTATGTAGGTGTGTGTGTATGTAGGGGTGTGTATGTAGGGTGTGTGTGTGTGCCTGTGTAGATGTATGTGTGTGTAGGGGTGTGTGTGTGTGTGTCTGTGTAGGTGTATATAGGTGTGTGTGTGTATGTAGGGGTGTGTGTGCCTCTGCAGGTGTGTGTGTGCCTGTGTGTGTGTGTATGTAGGGGGTATGTGTGTAGGGGTGTGTGTGTATGTAGGGGGTGTGTGTATGTAGGGGTGTGTGTAGGGGTGTGTGTATGTAGGGGTGTATGTGTGTAGGTGTGTGCGTGTAGGGGTGTGTGTACATGTAGGTGTGCATAGGTGTGCGTAGGTGTGTGTAGGTGTGTGTAGGGGTATGTGTGTGTAGGGTTGTGTATGTAGGGGGTGTAGGTGTGAGTGTATGTAGGGGGTGTGTGTTATGAGGGGTGTGTGTGTGTAGGTGTGTGTGTAGGTGTGTGGAGGGGTGTGTGTAGGTGTGTAGGGTGTGTGTACATGTAGGTGTGCATAGGTGTGCGTAGGTGTGTGTAGGTGTATGTGTGTATGTGTGTATAGGGTTGTGTGTGTATGTAGGGGGTGTAGGTGTGTGTGTATGTAGGGGTGTGTGTTATGTAGGGGTGTGTGTAGGTGTGTGTATAGGGGTGTGTGTAGGTGTGTGTATGTGGGGGGGTGTGTTATGTAGTGTGTGTAGGTGTGTGTAGGGGTGTGTGTAGGTGTATGTGTGTGTATGTGTGTGTGTAGGTGTGTGTGTATGTAGGGGTGTGTGTAGGGGTGTGTAGGGGTGTGTAGGGGTGTGTGTAGCTGTATGTGTGTGTAGGGGTGTGTGTAGGTGTGTGTGTATGTAGGGGTGTGTGTTATGTAGGGGTGTGTGGCGGTGTGTGTATAGGGGTGTGTAGGTGTGTGTAGGGGTGTGTGTAGGTGTGTGTAGGTGTGTGTGTATAGGGGTGTGTAGGTGTGTGTAGGGGTTGTGTGTAGGTGTATGTGTGTCGGGGTGTGTGTAGGTGTGTGTAGGTGTGTGTGTGTAGGGTGTATGTACATGTAGGTGTGTGTGTGAGTGTGGGTGGCGCGAGGGTTCTCCAGCCCCAAGTGCGTTGGTAAGAACGCGAGGAGGGGAGAAGGACAGCTGGAACCGTCTGAGCGGCGGGGGAGCCGGTGTGTGAAGCCGGCACCACGTTAGCGGAACCGAGTTATTGAAGGGCCCCACCTGGGTGGAGCCGTGAGTGTGAGCAGCTTCCGCTTCCCCCGGAAGCTGGCGTCGTGCAGGAACCCTCACCCGCCCGAGCGGGGCCCTGGGCCTCCGGGTCACTCTCTGTGGCGGGGTCTGGCTGCGCGTCAGACGGCCTCCTCCAATGCCCGCAGTTGCTGTCGCCCCCAGGCCTGGACCGGGGAGTGAGGGGTGGGCCTGACCGGCCCCTGAGCTCCCGTCAGCCCCCCACGCGAGCCCGTCCTGTGCTGGGGGCAGGGAGATGGGCCGGTGGGAGAGGAGACCGCATCCAGCCCTCCCTGGCCACCTGCAGGGTCCCCACCGTGGCGGCTGCTTTACTGCTAACTCCTCCCGGGGACCCCAAGTCCCCATCGCTCTCGGGGGTCCCCCTCATCCGAACCGCCTCGGAGGAGGGCCGCATCTCACGCGGAGCACCCCTCCACGCCTGTGACCCTGGACTTGCTCTCCCGCCCCCGCCCGGGCCTCAGGGCTCAGGAGGCCGTGATGAAGCCAGCAGGTGAACTGCACCCTGGAGCCTCCGACGGGGCGGCCACGGGCAGCGAAGAACCCGGAAAAACAGGTTCGAGGCAGACACAAGATCCAGGCCCCGGCAGGCTCCGTGTCTGCCGAAGGCTTCCTGGGTCATAGGCGACACCTTCCCGCCGTGCCCTCTTGTGGGAAAGGGGTGAGGGAGCCCTCTGGGGCTCCTTTTATTTATTTTTAATTTTTTAATTTTTTAATTTTTTGAAGTGGAGTTTTGCTCCTGTTGCCCAGGCTGGAGTGCGGTGGCGCAACGTCGGCTCACCGCAAGCTCCGCCTCCCGGGTTCAAGGGATTCTCCTGCCTCGGCCTCCCGGTGGCTGGGATTACAGGCGCCTGCAACTACACCCAGCTAATTTTTTGTATTTTTAGTAGAGATGGGGTTTCACCATGTTGACCAGGCTGGTCTCAAACTCCTGACCTCAGGTGATCCGCTTGCCTTGGCCTCCCAAAATGCTGGGGGTCACAGGCGTGAGCCACCTCACCCGGCCGTGAAATTTGTATTTTTAAACTTTGTATAAATGGTATTTTGCTGTCCGTGACATTCAGCAACTTGCTCTTCTCACCCCACAGTACCCTTCTGAGGTTAATCCGCGTTGATAGAAGCAGGTGTGGTTCATCTGGAATCTGTTGGTGTGAACTGCGCGGCGGCGTCCCCCACCAGGCACCACAGGTGATTCATTCGTTTCCCTGAAAAGGCGCCTGGATGCTGTTTCTAGCTCCCGTTATCCCCAGCGATGCTGCACCTGCCCCAGGACACACGCTAGGGTGGAACCGCCGGGCATGGAGCAGGTGTGGTCTCAACCGCAGGAGAAACAGCCGGGTAGCCTCCAAAGGGACGTGCCACTTGGCGCTCCTGCAAGGGGAGAGGCACTGAGGCTCTCGGTCCTCACCAGCACGTCCTTGTGCCACACTCAGGCCCGGCGGGTGGTGTGGGGGCCGCATCTCATGGAGGTCTCCGTCCACGTTGCCCCCATTGTGACCGCAGCGGGCGCCTCTTGGTAGCAGCCACCGGCCTCTTCTGGGACTCGCCGGAGGGTTTCCACGTCGCCCGCTCCGACGGGGCTGTTCATCTCCCCTTGATCTGTGGGACTCCCCGTCCGTCTCAGGTATGACCCCTTTGTTGGTGATCTGGGTTGCAGATATCCCCTCTGTGTCTGTGGCTTGTCTCGCTGCGTTGTTTATGGTGCGCTTTTGTCATGCAGACGTTTCTAATTTTGCTCTGTCTGGACTTGGCAATCTTTCTGTTCGTGATTTGTGCTTTTGGTGTTTATGTACAAACTCTTTCCCGGTCCAGAAAGCATAAAAAAGTTTGCTTTGTGCGCTGAGGTCTCTAATCCATGTCACAGGAATTTGTGGCGGGTTGGGGCAGAGGCTTTGCTTAGCGTTTTCCATCAGGTGAGCCCATTTCCCCAGATTGACTGCACAGCCCGTGCTCCGCAGGGTCCCACACTGGCCTCTCTGAGAGGCTGTGTTGCTAGACCTCCATCTACTCAAAGCTTCCGGGTGATGAATGGGGAGATTTGAGTTTCTGGAAGCCAAGGGGAGGGGCACAGGATTGCAGGAGCAGAGAGAGGTGAGGAGGGCCTGGGGTGACAGGTGGCTGCCCCACTCATAGGTGGCCAGATCCCGGGGAAGGGGTGGCAGGTGGGGAACTCCTGGGGGGTGCAGTGGGAATAATACAACAAACCAAGACTCAAGACCAGCCTGGGCAGCACGGCGAGGCCTGTCTACTAAAAATACAAGCATTAGCCCGGTGTGGTGACGCAAGCCTGTCATCCCAGCACTCTGGGAGGCCAAGGTGGGAGAGGGGGGTCACCTGAGGTCAGCCTGGGCAACAGGGCGGAACTCCGTCTTTACTAAAAATTCAAAAATTAACCGGGCGTGGTGGCAGGTGCCTGTAATCCCAGCACTTGGGGAGGCTGAAGTGGGCGGATCACTTGAGGTCAGGAATTCGAGACCAGCCTGGCCGACACGGTGGAACCCCATCTCTACTAAAAATACAAGAATTAGCAGGGTGCAGTGGCTGACGCCTGTAATCCCAGCACCTTGGGAGGCCGAGGCGGGCTGATCACCTGAGCTCAGGAGTTTGAGACCAGCCTGGCCAACATGGCGAGACCCTGTCTCTACTGAAAATACAAAATTAGCTGGGCGTGGTAGCAGGCACCTGTAGTCTCAGCTACTCAGGAGGCTGAGGCATGAGAATCATTTGAACCCAGGAGACGGAGGTTACAGTGAGCCAAGATCACACCACTGCACTCTAGCCGGGGTGACAGAGCAAGATTCTGTATCAAAACAAAAACAAATGAAGAAAGGAGACATTCCAAAGGGAAGGACAGCATTCAGGTTCTGTTTTTGGGGTTCTGTGATGATATAAGCATCCTTCATTCCCTCAAAAGCTTCCCATAGGTCTACTGCGTACACAAAGGCCTTGTTTGAGGGTTGGTCTTCAAGGCGGGCGAGCACAGGGCCTCACGTTGGGGCACCCAGCTCCCTGCCAGCCCAGCCTATCCGACCCGTGAGACCTCTCTGCCCTCAGGTCCCCCCGCCCCAGGAAGTGAGGCGTGTGAAGTAAGGTAGGGGAGATGGGGGAGTGGGGTGGAGGCAGTGGGCTTGTGTCGTCAAAGTCAGCCCAGGCTCACCATCTACCTGCTATGCCAGCAAGGGTCCCAGAGGGGCCCAGGCTCACTCAAGGCTACGTGGCAAGTTAGAAGAGTGAGAAGCAGGGCTGGTGAGGCTACTCACACCTATAATCTCACTGCTTTGGGGGTCCAAGGCAAGAGGATCCCATGATCCCAGGAGGTTGAGACCAGCCTGGGCAACATAGCAAGACTCTATCTCTGTAAAATTTGTTTAAAAAATTAGCTGGGGGGGGCATCAGGCGCGGTGGCTCACACCTGTAATCCCAGCACTTTGGGAGGCCGACGTGGGCGGATCACAAGGTCAGGAGATCAAGACCATCCTGGCTAACACGGTGAAACCCTGTCTCTACTAAAAAAAAAAAAATACAAAAAAATTAGCTGGGCGTGGTGGCAGGCACCTGTAGTCCCAGCTGCTCGGGAGGCTGAGGCAGGAGAATGGCGTGAACCTGGGAGGTGTAGCTTGCAGTGAGCCGAGGTCACGCCACTGCACTCCAGCCTGGGTGACAGAGCGAGACTCTGTCTCCAAAAAAAAAAAAAAATTAGCTGGGGGTTGGCAGCCCCAGCACTCTGGGAGGCCGAAGCAGGAGGATCACTTGTGATCAGGATTTCAAGACCAGCCTGGCCACGATGGTGAAACCCACATCTCTACTAAAAATACAAAAATTAGCCAGGTGTGATGGTGCACGCCTATAATCCCAGCTACTGGAGGCAGGACAATCACTTGAACCCAGGAGGCAGATGCAGTGAGCTGAGATCATGCCATTGCACTCCAGTCTGGGTGACAAAGCCAGACCCTGTCTTTAAAAAAAAAAAAAAAAAAAAAAAAAGCCAGGCATGGTGGTGCACACGTGATCTCAGTTACTCGGGAGACTGAGGCAGGAGAATTGCTTGAACCTGGGAGGTAGTGGGTGCAGTGAGTCAAGATCACGCCACTGCACTCCAGCCTGGGCGACAGAGCCAGACTCCATCTCAAAAAAAAAAAAAATATATATATATATATATATGTATATATATAGCTGCGTATGCTGGCATGAACCTGTAGTCCCAGCTACTCAGGAGGCTGAGATGAGAGGATCACTTGAGCCCAGGAGGTCGATGCTGCAGTAAGCTATGATCACACCACTGCACTGCAGCCTGGGTGACAGAGAGAAACACTCAGAAAAAAGAAAAGCTAGGGGCCGACCCCAGACTCTGTGCTCCCAGAGGCAGCTCTGCCTGTGCAGGACAGCAGCCACGGCCGAGGGTGGGGACGCCTGGAGATGCCCAGTGATGCTGCCCCGGCGTCTTCTCCTCCACCCGGCCCTCCTCCTCACTCAGTCCCTGGGCTCACACCTCACACCACGGGGACATGGGGTACAATGCGGATGCTCAGGTAGGAGTTAGAGGCTCGGGCCCCAGGGAAATGGAAGCACTGGAGCCATTGTCAGAAAAGCAGGGGTAGCTGGGCATCTAGGGGCCTGGGTGGGCCGGGAGGTATATTCGTTTGCGAGCAGGGCTGTAGCAGGTGTGACAGAGCAGAGGGTTGAACAACAGGCAATTACTTCTCACCGTGCTGTAGGCTGGAGTCCAAGATGAAGGTGTCCTCAGGGCAGATTCCTCCTGAGGCCTCGCTCCTGGGCTTGCAGACGCGGTCTCCCCCATGTCCTCATGGGGTCAGCCCTGTGTGTCCTGATTTCCTCTTCTTAGAAGGACACCAGTTGGGATTGGATTAAGGCCCACCCCTATGACCTCATCTCATCTTAATCACCTCTTTTCATTTGTTTTTTGTTTTTGAGACGGAGTCTCGCTCTGTCACCCAGGCTGGAGTGCAGTGGCGTGATCTTGGCTCACTGCAACCTCTGCCTCCCAGGTTCAAGCTATTCTCCTGCCTCAGCCTCCCTAGTAGCTAGGATTACAGGCACGTACCACCATGGCTGGCTAATTTTTGTATTTTTAGTAGAGATAGGGTTTCACCATGTTGGCCAGGCTGGTCTTGAACTCCTGACCTCGTGATCTGCCCACCTCAGCCCCCCAAAGTGCTGGAATTATAGGCGTGAGCCACCGCGCCCGGGCTTAATCGCCTCTTTAAAGGCTGTGTCTCCAAACAGAGTCTCATTCTGAGGTTCTGGGGTCAAGTCTTCAGGGTATGAAGCTGGGGGAACACAACAGAGCCCCTAAAAGGGGGCACAGGGATGGAGGAATGTGAGGGGCGGTGGGACCTGGAGCCATTGGCCCAGCCCTTTCCACCTGCAAGGGGCCTGCGGGAGGTCCCATGAATGGGGGTGTGGGTATCACTGAAGATGGGTGTGTGCAGGGTGTGACAACATGTGGGACATGGGACTGCCAGGACAGAGACACCTTGGGGGCCTTTTAAGGGTCAGGGACCCCACACCATGCCATCAGCAGGAAGCCTCAGGGACAGGTGGCATTGAGAACCCACTGCCCTGCCTTCTACACATTAGGAGCCCAGACCCAGCACTGCAAGGAGAAGGGAGGGGAGCTGAGATGGTCAGAGGCTGTTTCCATCGCCCTAGAGAGGCAGAGGCAGCCCACAGCCCGGTTACAGATAATCACGAATTGCCCCTTCCCCAGCACCCCTCAGTTTGGGGCCCGAGCTGGCCCTGCAACATGCCTGTGTCTTGTTGCTTCTCTTGGGGTCCACACATCCACCCAGAGTCTGGGGCAAAGTCACCAAGAAAGACCAGTTCCCTCCAAGCCAGAAACAGGAATTCTTGAAGCCACAGTAGTTAAGAGTTCCCTCGTCCAGGGACACCACCAGCTCAGAGCTAGCGGCTGTACCTGTAGGAAGAAGAGGGGTCTGGGGAAGAGGAGGGATCCCTAACAGGCCAGCTCCCCACTGCTCTCTCCCCCATGCCTTGTCATTGGATCTGAAGCCTGAAAGCTGTGGGCTGGGAGGTGGCGTTGGCGGGGTCTTAGGCTTGAAGGCTTAGCTGTGGGTGTGGAGGGGGAACAGCAGCCCCAGTGTCCAGCCCTTGGGCCCCTTCTCCTCCAGCTCCCTCCAGGAACGGGAGTCCTCCCACGGCGGGATTAGGTGTGGGAGATGGGACCGGCAGCCCCTCTGAGGCCGTCTGAGCCCCGGGGCATGAGGCATCTGCTTCAGACTGTGAGAGGGTTCCACGCAGGTGTGTGGGGAAAGGAAGGGGCCACTGATCGGGGTGAGCGTGGTGGGGCGTCCACCTTACATCTCCCCCCTCCCTCCATTCGGGACTTCACTTGGACATTACCTTCTCTGTGTTTTAAATTTGTATTTATTTTCATTACTTTTAAAAGTAAACAATTTTGTTTTCTGAGACAAGGTCTCTCTTGCTCTGTCACTCAGGCTGGAAGTACGGTGGCACGATCACAGCTCACTGCGGCCTCAACCGCCTGGGCTCACATGATCCTCCTGCCTCAGCCTTCCAAGTAGCCGAGTAGGTGCGTGGCTGGCTGATTTTTAAATCTTTTGTAGAGATGTGGTCTGGCCGGGCCTGGTGGCTGACGCCTGTAATCCCAGCACTTTGGGAGGCCGAGGCAGATGGATCACTTGAGGCCAGGAGTTCAAGACCAGCCTGGACAATATGGTGAAACCCCATCTCTACTAAAAATACAAAGATTAGCTGGGCATGGTGGCAAGTGCCTGTAATCCCAGCTACTAGGGAGGTTGAGGTGGGGAGAATTGCGTGAACCCAGGAAGTGGAGGTTGCAGTGAGCCGAGATCTCACCATTGCACTCCAGCCTGGGCAGGAGAGCGAGACTCCATCTCAAAACAAACAAACCCAGAGACATGGTCTTAGGCTGGTCTCAAACTGCTGGGCTCAAGCGATCTTTCCACCTTGGCCTCCTAAACTGCTGGGATTACAGGCATGAGCCACCGGCACCTGACCCTTTTTTTTTTTTTTTTTTGGTTGTAAAATTCACATAATGTAAAATTTACTGTTTTAGTCACTTCAAAGTGACAATACAGTGGAATCAATTTCACTCACAATGTTGCACGACTACCACCCCCAGCTCTCCCTGGTTCCCAAACATTTTCCCCACTTCCAAAGAAACCCCATTAAACAGTCACTCCTGAGCCCCTGGCCCTCAGGCCCTGGCAACCACCAATCAACTTTTGGTCTCTATGAATTTGCTTCTTCCAGAGATGACATATTAATGGAACCCTATAATATGTGCTTTCTTTGTGTCTGGCTTCTTTCACTTACATCCTAATGTCTTCAGAGTTGATCCGTGTTGCAGTGTGTATCAATACTTTATTCCTTTTTCATGGCTGCATAATATTCCATGGTATTGAGAGACCACATTTTGTTTATCCATTCATCCATTAATGGATATTTGGGTTGTTTCCACTTTTTGACAAGTGCAAATAATGCTCCTATGAACATTTGTGTACAAGTTTTTGTGTGACACCTGCTTTCAGTTCTTTGAGGTCTGTACATAAGAGTGGAATTGTTGGGTTGTATTGTAATGTTCTGCTGAGGAACTGCAAAACCGTTTTCCACAGCGGCTGTACAATGTTGCATTGGCACCAGCTTGTGTGAGGATTCCACTTTCTTCACACCGTCACCAACACCTGTTGCTTCCTTTTTTTTTTTTTTTTTTTTTGAGACGGAGTCTTGCTCTTCCGCCCAGGCTGGAGTGCAGTGGTGCTATCTCGGCTCACTGCAATCTCCGCCTCCTGGGTTCACGCCATTCTCCTGCCTCAGCCTCCCAAGTAGCTGGGACTACAGGCGCCCACCACCGCGCCCAGCTGATTTTTTGTATTTTTAGTAGAGACGGAGTTTCACCATGTTATCCAGGATGGTCTCAATCTCCTGACCTCGTGATCCGCCTGCCTCGGCCTCCCAAAGTGCTGGGATTACAGGCGTGAGCCACTGTGCCCAGCCTGCTTTCCTTTTTTTAAAAAAAGATTATGACAAACCCAATGAGTGTGGCTTGGTCTCTCCCTGTGGTTTTGATTTGCATTTCCCTAATGATTAGCTATGAGCAGCTTGTCATGGGCTTGTTGGCCAGTTGTATGTCTTCTTTGAGGAAATGTCTTTTGAGATACTTTGCTCTTTTTTTTTTCTTTTTTTTTTTTGAGACAGAGTCTTTCTCTGTCATCTAGGCTGGAGTGTAGTGGTGTGATCTTGGCTCACTGCAACCTCCACCTCCCGGGTTCAAGCAATTCTCCTGCCTCAGCCTTTTGAGTAGCTAGGACTACAGGTGCTCACCACCATGCCTGGATAATTTTTGTATTTTTAGTAGAAATGGGGTTTCACCATATTGGCCAGGCTGGTCTCAAACTCCTGACCTTGTGATCTGCCCTCATTGGCCTCCCAAAGTGTTGAGATTATAAGCGTGAGCCACCGCCCCCGGCCTCTTTGCTCATTTTTAAGTTGAGTGGTTTGTCTTTTTGTTCTTGAGTTAAAAGAGTTTTTTATATTATACTATACTATATAGTTCTTTATACAATATTTTGGAGAGTAGACCTCTTATCAGATATATGACCTATATGATTTGCAAATATTTTCTTCTATAAATGTTTGTGTGAGGCAGGGGTCCAGCTTCATTCTTTAAAATGTGGCTCTCCAGCTGTCCCAGCGTCATTTGTTGAAAAGACAATTCTTTCACCATTGAATGGCCTTGGCATCCTTGTAAAAAACCAGTTGTTCATAGATGTATGAATTTACTTATGGATTCTTACTGATCAATACGTTTTTCCTTTTTTTTTTTTTTTTGAGATGGAGTCTTGCTCTATTGCCCAGGCTGGAGTGCAGTGGTGTGATCTTGGCTCACTGAAATCTCTGCCTCCTGGGTTCAAGCGATTCTCCTGCCTCATCCTCCCAAGTAGCGGGGACTACAGGCACCCACCACCACACCCAGCTAATTTTTGTAGTTTAATTTTAATTTTTTTTGAGATACAAGTCTAGATCTGTTGCCCAGGCTGGAGTGCAGTGGTGTGATCTTGGCTCACTGCAACCTCTGCCTCCTGGGTTCAAGCGATTCTCCTGCCTCAGCCTCCCAAGTAGCTGGGACTACAGGCATGTGCTACCACGCCTGGCTAATTTTTGTATTTTTAGTAGAGAAGAAAGAAACTTTCAAACTATTTTCCAAAGTGGTTGTACAATTTTGTATTTCCATTAGCAGCGTCTAAAGAGTCCCGGTTCCTCCAATCTTTACCAGTACTTAATATGGTCAGTCTTTTTAACTTTAGGCATTCTAATAGGTGTTCAGAGCTATCTTATGGTTTTAATTTGAATTTTCCTAACGACTAATGACATTGTATATCTTTTCAGGTGCTTACTTGCCATCTATGTGTCTTTTTGGTGAAGTATCTGTTCAAATCTTTGGCCCATTTTAAAATTCAGTTGTTTGTTTTCAGATCTATGGTTTGCAAATATTTTCTCACAGCCTGTGAGCTGTCCCTTCATTCTCCTTACAGTGAGTTTTAAAGAGCAGAAGGGGCTTGGCGTGGTGGCTCATGCCTGTAATCCTAGCACTTTGGGAGGCTGAGGTGGGCAGATCACTTGAGGTCAGGAGTTTGAGACCAGCTTGGCCAACATAGTGAAACCCCATCTCTACCAAAAAAATTAGCTGGGCACGTTGGCAGGCATCTGTAGTCCCAGCTACTCAGGAGGCTAAGGTGGGAGAATCGCTTGAACCCAGGAGGTGGAGGTTGCAGTGAGTGGAGATTGTGCCACTGCCCCCAGCCTCGGCAATAGAGTGAGGCTCTGTCTCAAAAAAATAAAATAAAATAAAGAGCAGAAGGTCTTTAATTTTGATGATGTCCAGTTTATTAAGTTTTATTTGGATCACACTTGATGCCATGTCTAAAAAATCTTTACCTGTAAGAAAAGAGCGCAGAGATGCTCTTCTATGTTTTCTTATGGAAGCTTTATAATTCTAGGTTTCACATTTAGGTCTATGATCCATTTTGAGTTTACTTTTGTATATAGTGTGAACTATGGACCAAAACTCCTTTTTTGCGTGAACAGATATCCAAACGTTGCAACCCATTTGATGAGAAGCCTCTCTTTTCTCCACTAAGTTGCCTTTGCATCTGTGTCAAAATTAGTTGTCCATGTATATGGGCATCTATTTCGAGACTCTTATTCTGTTTTATTGATCTATTTGTCTGTATTTATAGCAATGCCACACTGTTTTGATCACAATAGTTTTGTCATATGTCTTGAAATCAGGGAGTGCCAGTGCTCCAACATCACTCTTTTCAATGTTGTTTTGGGTCTTCTAGGTCCTTTGCATTCCATATGAATTTCACACTTGGCTTGTCAATTTCTGGAACACAAATAAGAAAAACTGGCTGGGGATGGTGGCTTATGCCTGTAATCCTAGCACTTTGAGGGGCTGAGGTGGTTGGATCACCTGAGATCAGGAGTTGAAGATCAGCCTGGCCAACATGGTGAAACCCCGTTTCTACTAAAAATACAAAAAATTAGCTGGGTATGGTGGCATGCACCTGTAATCCCAGTTACTTTGGGAGGCTGAGGCAGGAGAATTGCTTGAAACCAGTAGGTGGAGGTTGCAGTGAGTCGATATCGCGCCACTGCACTCCAGCCTGGGCGACAGAGCCAGACTCCATCTGAAAGAAAAAAAGAATAGAAAAACCTGTCCCAGGCTTGCACTCAGCCCCTGACAGCTGGCAGGTGTCATGGTTTATATTATTTTCTCTGCAGCAGGGTGGTCTTCCCAGGAGCTTGCCTGCTTCTCCCTGGCATGGCTCCTCTGCCAGCCTGTCTGTCCACTCCCATCTGTCTCCCTACACAGAGACACACGGCCTTTCCCATTACTCACGGAGTTTCTTGGGGCTGGAAATCATCACGTTTTCTCTGCAGTACACAAAGAGCCCAGCAGTGTTGGGTACATGGAAGGTTTTTCCTAAGGTTTTGATAATATTTCCAGACTAATTCTTTATATAATGGAATAAAATCAGTATGCTAGTGGGGATGTCTAATGCTGTGAGTTCCCACTCACCCCATCCACCTATCATTAACCCATCCATTCAGTCATCCATTCATCTACTTGTCTACCCACCCATCCATCTATCCATCCACCCATCTACTCATCCACACATCCACCCTTCCATCCATCCACCTGTCTATCCATTCATCCGTCTATCCATACACTCATCCATCTCTCCATCCATTCATCCACCATCTACCCATCCATCCCTCTACACTCTGTCCATTTAACCATCCACCATCCATCCATTTATCCCATCCACCCACCCATTCATCTATCCATCATCCACCCATTCACCCACCCATTCATCCATCCATCCATCATCCACCCACCCGTTCATCCATCCATCCATCATCCACCCACCCGTTCATCCATCCATCCATCATCCACCCACCCATTCATCCATCCATCATCCACCCATCTACCCACCTATTCATCTATCCATTTACCCATTCACCCACCCATTCCTCCATCCATCATTCACTCATCCACCCACCCATTCATCCATCCACCTACTCATCCACTCACCCATTCATCCATCCACCTACTCATCCACCCACCCATTCATCCATTCACCTACTCATCCACCCATTCATTCATCCATCCATCATTCACCCATACCTCCTTCTATCTTCTTCCACATACTCATCCCAATTTCTGATCAACAACTGTTTTGGACACTGGGCCACAGATGTGCCTTCCAAGACCTAAGTTGCCTTATCTTTAAATGAAAGAGTCGAATGAACCCATTTCCCAGGGCCCTTCACACTCTGGCATTCTTTGACTTCTATGCAGGCACAACCTTCCATAAGAAGGGTGAGGAGCTGGGCCATGTCAGAGAGAAGACCTGATGTCCACTGACGTGGGGCACAGACCGAGATTTCACCACCGTTTCCCTTGCCCCTATTTGAACCAAGGCCACAGGAACTGAGATCCCATCATAGGGGCAAGCATAGCAAACGTCCCAGAAATGGCCCCTATTGGTTGCAGGTGGCTTAACTGGGCATCCAGAGGGTGTCCCTTACTGTCCCGTTCCAGTGGGAGCCACCTGATGACCTCTGCAGCCACGGAATCCACAGTACACTGAAGAAGTAGTTGTTGGGCACAGAGGGCTGAGAGCCAGTCTAAAGGCAGGGCAGGGGCCTCCTCAGGGAAGCCTCAGGCTTGTCTTCCCCCAGGGAAGTGTCCAGGTCCATGATGTCACCGCTGAAGCTGCAAGCCACAGACATGGTCTTTGAGCTGACATCATCATCAGACCTAGGATCCCTGCCCATATGTCCCCCACCTGACCTGTGCACACTCTGCCTCACATGTGCACATTCTTTTTTTTTTTTTTGAGACAAAAAGTCTCGGTCTGTCACCCAGGCTGGAGTGTAGTGGCATGATCTCGGCTCACTGCAACCTCTGCCTCCCAGGTTCAAGTGATTCTCCTGCCTCAGCCTCCCAAGTAGCTGGGATCACAGGTGCACGCCACCACATCTGGTTAATTTTTTTTTGTATTTTTAGTAGAGACAGGGTTTCACCACCTTGGCCAGGCTGGTCTTGAACTCCTGTCCTCATGGTCCACCCACCTTGGCCTCCCAAAGTGCTGGGATTACAGGCATGAGCCACTGCGCCCGGCCACCTGTGTACATTCTATAGCACCTGTGCACACCCCCATCTCATCTGGGCACACTCTACCTCACCTGGGCATATAGTTCATCCTCACCTGTGCACATCCTCCCTTACCTGGGCATCTCACTTGTGGGCAACTTCACCTGTGCACACCCTCATCTCACCTGGGCACACCCTTGCCTCACACTCTTACCTCACCTGTAAGTACCTCCACCTTACCTGTGCGTACCCCTACCTCATCTGGGCATACCCCACCTACCCTGTGCACACCCTAACCTCACCTGTAAGCACCCCCACCTCACCTGTACACACCAAGGCTGCTTACAATCCACACCTGTGTCCCCAGCCAGGCCTGAATATCAGTAGGGCTGCCGAGCAGTGAAGCTGACATCCACGGATGGCCTTCCAGGGTCGGGAGAGGCAGGACCCTGCAAGGAGGGCATTGACCCCTTGCCTCTTCTGCCTCCCCCCACCGTGGGGACCCTGGGCAGTCCTTGACTCCCTGGCAGTGCAGGGCCAGGTGAGACGGCACTGGCTAGGCCCCGGTGGAGGTTTTCACCTCCGCACTTCTCTCTGTTCTTCTGCTCTGTGGCTTCTGCCTCAGTGGGGAGGTGGACAGAGCTGAGCACAAAGAAATCAATGGACTTTCAGGATGAATTTTTAAAGACCAGCAGCAGTGGCACTATTCTAAAGCACAGAGGATTTCTTTTGCAAGAGCAGGGCTTTTTGAGAAAGGAAAAGGTTTTAAGTGAGAACATGGACTTTACTGGCTTAAGCCGTAGAGCGGGGGAGGCTGTGGGGAGCCTCTTTCCTGTCTGAGAGAAGGCAAGGGTTGGACCATGGGGCGGGGGCAGGGAAAGGGTGCCCCAGTCCCTCACGTGGCCACTGCCTGGGTGAAGCCACATGGGGGTGGCTGCTGGGAGACCCAGGGGAGCGGGGGGGGGATGTCAACGTAGACCTGTGCTTGATACACTCCTTAGAAGTCTGGAGAAATCCTCACACCAGCACAGGGGTGTCCCCCAGGGGAGAGGAGCCCCAGCCATGGCTCCGGCAAGCCTGTTGGGGCAGGGGGCAGTTCACGTCCTGGTGGTCCCTAAGAGGTGGGCCGGGCTCCAGCAAGCAGGAGGTCTCGAAGTTAGCACAAAGAGTTCCCAAGGGGTGTTAGTGGACACGGAGGGCAGGGTTCCTGGATAGCTGGGCCAGACTGGCCACAGAACCTGTGGGAGCCTTACCTGGGCCCCATGTGGAGGCACAGGCAGGCGGATGGGGGAGAGGGGGAGGGCGGAGGAATCAGGACAGAGTGAGTGCTGGCCCTGAGGCTGAGACAGCTGGAAGGGGTGGGTGACCCTGAGTGGGCTGGCGACAAGGGTGATTCCTGGGGAAGCAGAGAGTTCCTGCAGAAGGGACTTGGTTCTGCAAACTCACTGCTCAGCTTCCACATGGCCCTTAAGCCCTGCTCCTCTGCGGCAATCTTCCTTCTGTGGGGTTTTTGGGTACCCTCCACCACACTGACTCAGGACAGCCCTTTCCCATGAAGGTCACTGTGGTGGGGAGAACAGACAGCCCCGTTGCCCTGGGAGGCCACAGGTGAGTCCTTGTCACTGCGCTCTGAAGCTGGCTGGGAGGCCCTGAGTTCCCTGACATGCAGCCCCTGGTGGGGGACTTGGGGGTGCTGACATTCATGCAGAGAGAGGGGCTGGGGTCTGGGGTCTCACCATGCATCCCCTAATGCTGCCTGGTGCTGTAGCATTTTCTGGACAAGAAAACAAGCCCTCCCAAACCTGGGCTTCTCCTGGGGGAGCCACCTTTCACTGACAGTGGCACAGGTGCCTGGGTGGGTGCTCAGGCTCTCCCCTCATTCCTGCAATGATCTAGGCAGGCGGTAACCCCCAACCGTGCAGGGTGTCAGAGAGCAGAACCCAGAGGCCCTTCTGTCCCCACCTTCCCCTGCAACTGTGGCCTGCTTGGTCTGAAACCACTCTCATAGCTCTGTATGTGTCTCTCCTCATTGTCTCTCTGCCCAACTCCCGGATCTCCCTCTCCATCCCCGTGTCTCCCTCCAGGCTAGCCTTGTAGTGGGGCTGCTGGGTAGGTGTGGCCAAGGCAGGATTTGGGAAGAATGGGTTGGGGTCAGCTGCCCCGGGTACCTTCTGCAGGTGCTCAAGGCTCTGCAGGAGCTTGTAGAAGTCCCTCCTTCCCAACTCTGTCGCTGTCCCTCTCTCCGGAGCACCCTAGATTCCTGCCCCTCTATGTCTTCCCTGTGTGCTTCAGCTGAGTGAGTGACGCCCCCTTGACTCACTCCTCTCTCAGGCTCTGTCATGACTGATCTTCTCTGAACACCATTGTGGGTCAGGTCATGGGAGCACAGGGATGGATGTGGGGCTGGGAGTCCACTTTCAAGAGTGTGCATCCCATGGCTGGCAGGTGGGCACCAGCTGTCACTGAGAGCTCAGGCTGGGCTATGGGCCACTGTCCTCAGTTCCTGTCCATGTGTCCTCTCCATGGGCTGTTGGGCTTCCTCACATCATGGCAGCTGGGTTCTAAGAACGAACACCCCCAATAAAGCAAGGTGGAGTGCAGGGCACTTAGAAGTCAAGTAGCATCACCTTTGCCAAGTTCTATGGGACGAGGGTCTGCCCAGAGTCAAGGGGAAGGGATGGAGACCCCAACACTTGATGAGAGAAAGGTCAAGGTCACATTGTGAGAAGAGACTGTTGAATGGGAGATATCATTGCAGCTATCTTTGGAAAAGACAATCTGCCACACATCCCCAGAGTGGGTTGGGTTATGTCAGCTCTCTGGGCTCTGCTGTGTGAGTGATGCACCCAGCCAGGGGCCCTCACACCCATCTGGCAACCCCATATGTGAGAACAGGGCCTACAGTGGCCCCAGCAGTCATGGGGATCCTGCAGCCAAGTCCTGTTGCTTCCTAAGCAATCTCCTACCCAAAGCCTCCATGGCCCCTGTTTTCCACATGGAGGAATGAATTTAGCTTTGCCCTGAGTGGGCAAAATCTGGCAATGGTTTAAGAAAAGCTTTAAGTTTGACAAAGTGCTCTCTTACTTACAAATTTAGTTTATTTATTGTTATTTTATTTTGGTTCACAAAGCAAATGGGTATTAGTTTTTATTGCTGCACAACAAATTACTCAGATTACCTCAAAATCTAGCAAATTAAAATAACATGTATCATCTCCCATAATTTCTGGGGTAAATAATTAGGTAGTGGCTTAGCTGGGTGGTTCTGGCCCAAGGACTCTTATGAGGTTGCAGTCAGGAGCAGCTAGACAAGGCTGCATTTATCTGAAGGCTTGACTGGGGCAGGAGGCTCCCTTCCAAGATGGCACCTGCACAGGGCTGTTGGCTGGAGGCCTCAGCTCTTCACCCTGTGGCCCTCTCCATAGGCTGCTTAGGTTTCCTTGTGCCCTGATGACTGGTTTTCCCAGTGTGAGAAATCCGTAGAGCAAGAAAGAAGTGCATTGTTTTTGTGGCCTAGTCTCAGAAGCCACACACTGTTTCTCCCAGGATATCCTATTATTGCATAGGTCTGCCCTATTCAAAATGGGAAGAGACTATACAAGGGCATAAACACCAGGAGGGGAGGATCCATCATTGGAGGCCCTCTTAGAGGCTGGCTGTCCGAGTTTATGAAATGTTTTCTGGATTTTGAAGTACTTTGGAGTTTGCACAGAACTTTATTATCTTACAACTGATTTTTTACATGAATTATCTCACTAACCCCTGAGATATTCCCTTATTTCCTTTGAAGGGACTGGGATGGGGCTTTGCGAGTCATCGTGCCTTTTGTTGTGCCTTTACCTGGGTTTCCAGACTTTGTGGGGCCCAGGAAGTCACCCTGGAGGTGAGGCCCAGCTCCAGGCCCCAGAGATGAGGCCAGAGTGAAGAACGAAAGGGTCCGTGAGTCGGCCCTGGGTCAGAGAGAAGCAGAGCAGGCCAAGGGCCTGAAAACACAGCAGAGTTCATATGGAGGGTTGGGCCCAGGCTGAGGCATCCACCTGGGAGGCCAGGTCTCTGTGTGTCCCCTCAGAGTGTTTGTTTGCCAGACTCACGGTCACTAAGGTTTTCTCCATGAAAATGCAAGCTACGGCTGGGCACGGTGGCTCATGCCTGTAATCCCAGCACTTTGGGAGGCCGGGGCGGGTGGATCATGAGGTCAGGAGATCGAGACCATCCTGGCTAACACGGTGAAACCCCATCTCTACTAAAAATACGAAAAATTAGCTGGGCGTGGTGGCGGGCACCTGTAGTCCCAGCTACTCGGGAGGCTGAGGCAGGAGAATGGCGCGAACCCGGGAGGTAGAGCTTGCAGTGAGCCGAGATCATGCCACTGCACTCCAGTCTGGGTGACAGAGTGAGACTCTGTCTAAAAAAAAAAAAAAAAAAAAAGAAAAAGAAAATGCAAGCTACAGACTGGGAGAAAATATTTGAAAACATTTACCTGACAAAGGACTTGTATTTAAAATACAAGGATGTTTTAAACTTAATAATGAGAGACTAACAACCAATTTTTAAAATGGGTTAAAGAGGGCCAGGCAAGGTGGCTCATGCCTAATTCCAGCACTTTAGGAGGCTGAGGTGGGAGGATCACTTGAGCCCAGGAGATTGAGACCAGCCTGGCCAACATAGTGAGACCCTATCTCTACAAAAAATTAGCTGGGCATGGTGGCATGTGCCTATAGTCCCAGCTGCTTAGGAGGCTGAGGCAGGAGGATTGCTTGAGCCCAGGGGTTCCAGACTGCAGTGAGCTGTGATTGCACCACTGTGCTCCAGCTTGGGTCACAGAGGATGACCCTGTCTCAAAAAAATAAAATAAAATAAAATGGAGCCAAATATTTAAACAGACACTTCTGTAAAGAAGATACACAGGTTTTCAAATAAGTCAGTTTAAGTGGGGAAAAAAAGACATGCAAGCACATGAAAAGACTGAACATTATTAATCATTCAGGAATGAAAAATAAAACCACAATGAGATACCACTTCACACCTACTAGAGTGGCTGAAATGAAGAAGACTGACCTCAGCAAGTGTTGATGAGGACATGGAGCACCTGGAACTCTATGCTGAGTGCTGATGCTGAGAATGCAAGATGGTGCGGCCACGCTGGGGAAGTTTGGCAATTATTAGAGAGTTAAATGTGCACCTACCATAAGAAGCAGCCACTCCACTCCCAGGCACTCACCCAAGAGAGATGAAATCATCTGTTCACACAGAGACAGATATAAGCATACCTGGCAGCTCTATTTGCATATGGCTAGAACACAGTACCCACTTCTCTGGAGTGTTGGGAGGATTTATTAATTAATTTTTTGAATTTGAAAATAGAAGGTCAGGCATGGTGACTCACACCTGTAATCCCAGCACTTTGGGAGGCCAAGGTGGGTGGATCACTTGAGCCCAGAAGTTTGAGACCAGCCTAGGAAAATAACATGGTGAAACCCCATCTTTATAAAAAAATACAAAAATTTGGTGCTGAGTGAGGTTGTGCACATGTGTAGTCCCAGCTCTTGGGTGGCTGAGGCAGGAGGATCGCTTGAACTCAGGAGGCGGAGGTTGCAGTGAGCCGACGTCACGCCACTGCCCTCCAGTCTGGGCAACAGAGCAAGACCCTGTCTAAAATGCCCAGGCTGGTCTCGAACTCCTGGGCTCAAGCAATCCTCCCGCCTCAGACCCCCAAAGTGCTGGGACTACAAGCATAAGCCCCCATGCCCAGCTGGGAGGATAAATTTAGTTGGTGGATGTCAATTCTGTGGCACAGCATGGCAGGCAGGAAGGACTAAGTAACTGCGCCATTATTTTTATGCCTTCCTGTGTTGCTTTCATCCCACTCAACGGATTCAGCTTGCAGATGGGGAAACTGAGGCCAAGAGAGAGGCAGGGTATTTGCAGGATTTGGTCACCAGGTCAGAGTCCAAGCTGGACCCAGCAGGCAGGCCCTGGCCTGTGGACAGCATGTTCCCATTCCTTCCTCCACACTAGCAGAGCCAACACCCTGCTACTGAACCTCCCTCTCAGTTATGGGAGCGGCTGTCTCCAAGCTTCCCTATTAGCTGGCTTAGGGCAGCATTAATTGGGCAGAACCGGGAGTGAATACTCCTCCTGGAACCACCCAGCTAATAAGCTCACCATTGAAGTGTGATGGGAGTACCGCCGGGGAGCCCGTGCTGGGCTGGAGTAATTTAATCCGAGAAGAGAGAGTCATGAGATGCCAGGCCCATCAGCCCTGACGGCGCTGAGAGGAGGGAGGGAGGGAGGAGGCAGGGCTTTGAGCTTCTGCTTTGAAAACCTGAGCCCTGAATTTCCGAGTGAGGACAGGAAGCCAACAGCCTCGCTCCAGTTGCGGATAAAGGAGCCAGAGAGAGTCCTGGTCTTGCCTCATCCCAAAGCCACTGGGGCTGCGGGCTGGGGGAGGGTGATGGGCAGGGCTGGGGAGGGACAGGGGCAGGGTTGGTGTCCAGGTGCGGGTGTCTCTTCACACAGGCTTCCTTGTTTTCTCATTTTTATTTTATATATGTTTTTAAGAAACAGGGCCTTATTCTGTTGCCCAGGCAGGAGTGCAGTGGCCAATTCTAGCTCACTGCAGCCTCACCCTCGGGCTCAAGAGATCCTCCCGCTTCAGCTTCCGCAGTAGCTGGAACTACAGGTGCCAGCACACCCAGCTAATTTTCATATTTTTTTGTAAAGATAGGGTCTCCCTATGTTGCCCAGGCTGGTCTCAAACTCCTGGGCTCAAGCAATCCTCCCACCTTGGCCTCCCAAAGTGCTGGGACGACAGGTGTGAGCCACCGCCACCACCCCCCACATCCGGTGCTTTGGATTATCTGTTGCTATTTAACAAACCTTCCCAAACTCAGTTTCATAAAACAACAGTTCTTGATTCTGCTCAGGAATCCTCCATCTGTGCAGGGCCGGGCAGGGAGGCCTCGTCTGCTCCTCAACACGGTGCAGGGCAGCTCAACGGGGACTAAAGGACCCTTATTCAAGATGGAGCACCTGCTGGACTGGCAGTTTGGTGCCATCTGTGGGTCTCTCCCTGGGGCCCTGGCATCCTCAGAACAGGCTATGTGGGTGCCCACAGCAGGTGTCCCAAGACAGCCACCCAGGTGGGAATGGTATTGTCTTTTGTGACCTCGCTAGGGGATGTCGGTGGGGTCCCCAGGCCTTCTTCTGGGGGATCCAAGAGGCGCCCCTGTATCCCTCAGCTGAGCCCTTCAGCATCAGACCAGCCCAGCCCCGGACAAATTCTCCAAGTTAACAAGTTCAGGGCCGATGATTAAGTAGACTCACAAAGTTGATGAAAAAATCGGGATATAAATAAATATTCCTGGAGATATTCCACCCCCTGCAGGCATGAACTTTGAATAATTGGAGAGAATTATGCTGAGGACTAATCAAAACTTTTTTTTTTCCTTTTGCTAATTACCTCTGGGTTTCATCAGTGTCAGAGTCTAATCAACTCCAGACATCTTAATTGACCCTCGGGAAATGTTAGAAATGGTGAGGGCTTTGGTGTCGTAGGGAAGGGGGGCTGGGAGCTGAGAGGAGCCGGGGGTCCTGGGTCCAGAGCCACCCTGGTCTGGGGTGGGGACTGGTACATGGGTGAGGGGGGGCCTGGTTCTCGGGAGGCCTCTGATCAAGACGGATGTCGCCCTTGCCTGGGCCGCAGCTCAGCTTCCTCCCGGGCTCCCCAGCCCCACGGCTTCAGTCTCATCATCGCCTGGGCTGGAGTTTATCCGGTGAGATGGATGAGGCCAGGAAGGGGTCTGGCACCCAGCAGGGCCGGGGGGAAGCTCCAGATTCTCAGCCAGGAGATTCTTTTTTTTTTTTTTTTTCTGAGACAGGGTCTCCAGTGCAGTGGTGGCGTCACAGCTCACTGCAACCTCACCCTCCAGGGCTTGAGCGATCCTCCCACCTCAGCCTCCCGAGTGGCTGGGACTTCAGGTGCGCCACCACACCCAGCTAAGTTTTGCATTTTTGGGGTAGAGAAAGGGTTTCTCCATGACGTCCAGGCTGGTCTCTAACTCCTGGGCTGCAGTGATCTGCCTGCCTCGGCCTGCCAAAGTGCTGGAATTACTGGTTTGATCAGCCAGGGGCCTCTTGGTGTCTCCAAGTAGAAGGAGGGTTTGGTTTCTTCTCCTGATGGGAATCATTTGCATATGATACAAAATTTCTCTTCCAAAATGTAACTCCAGCAAAGACAGGCCCTGCCTTGGAGCCACTGGCGTTGGAAGCACCGTTTCCTGCCGTGTCTCGGAAGGGGGCGCTGTGGCACGTGGCAGCAGAGCCAGCGCGCTGCAGCCCTCTCTGAGCCCCGGGTGGTCCACCCCTCGGCCCCTGCTGGGGTGGATCACCCACCCCTGTTCTTGGGCATTTTGAAGGCTCAGGAAAGCCTTTGACCAAATTCAGAGGCAAAACTCATTCACCTGGAAATCCGCCCCAATAACCTCTGCTCAGGAAGCCAAATGCCCAAACTAGACCCCTCAGCTTCAAACATCCCCAACCCCAGCCCCCACGCCCAGCAGCCCCAGACCCCATGATGCCAGGAGCCACCACCAGCAGGCCCAGGCTGCCCCCCTCAGTGGGGAGCTGCACCCCAGACTGGGTCAGCCTCCCACCGCTGCAGCTCGGAGCTCCCTGGTCCCCCCAGCCTTGCCCCAGGCCCGTGCTGGCCCATGCACGTGCACTCTGCAGCTTCAGCGGGCCTGGCCTCCCCTCCACCTCCTCTCTTCCCAGCGAGTTACTCTAGCCCTTCTCCAAGCTGGCTACCACCTCGCCTTTCTCCCCCAGCCCACCTCTCCCCTCCATGCCCCACCTGCCCACTGGTCCCCCTCCACTCTCAGCCGAGCTCCTGACGGTGCCCACAAACCCCACCCAGACCTACGCCTTCCCCAGTCTTCCCCTATCTAAGGTCATCAGACAGACACAGAGCTGGGAGCCCTCCCTGCACCCCCTTTGGCCCCACAGAGGGTCCCCAGCTCCGTCCTCTCCCTGCCCCATCTGTCCTCACACTCAGGTACCCTTCCTGGCTCAGAACAGCCGGCTGTTCCCCAGGGTCCCGAGCCCTCACCCTGCCTGCCCCCTGCCCCATGTGTGGCCTTCCATCTGTCCACCCAGCCAGCTCGCCCGGCTGCAGGGTGTTGGCACTTGGTGTCCTTCAGCTGGGGTTCCTCACAGCGTCGCTGCTTCTCACCACCCAGGTCTCGGCTCAAAATCCCTCTCCTGGGAGAGGCCATTCCGGAACCCCAGGTTCAAGCACAGTGCTACCCCCTTCTCCCGCCCCCCAGCTCTTTCCATCGCATTGCCATGGTTGACTTACTTCACTGTCTGAAATCCGTTCTTCCCTCCCCCTCTCTCTCCCTAATTTGCTAAAATGTCGGTTCCACGAGGCCAGGGTTCTGTGCCCTTTCCTGTTGATCCTGGTACAAGAGCCCCGGCCACAGGGCAGGCTCACGGCAAGGCTGTCAGACAGAAGAAGCCGATTTCACCAGCTTCCCGGAGGGGCCAGGGGATGGTCCTGCCTGAGCCTGGGTTCCATTCTTTGGTCCTCTGTGAGTGGCCTCACCAACTGTATCCCAGCCTCTGTTTTCTCATCTGTGAAAGGGGGACAGCTTCCCATGGTGGAGGGAGGTGATGTGCTTTGTAAAACCCCAAGCCCCCCGAGGAGCCTGGATTTGGCGTGCTACCCTGTCCCCCTGCTGTTCTCCCCACATAGACCCCCTGCCCCAGCCGGAATGGCACCCGGAGCTCCAGCGTCAGCCGTGGACATGGTGGGGGTCCCGCTTCCTGCCGAGACCCAGCCCTTACTGCCCTTCTCAAGTCAGGCAGGAACAAGGGGGTGAGGGGACTTTCCTGGGCCATGCAGGAGTGAGAGGCCCCAGGTGGATCCCCACCCCCCACCCTGGAAGAACAGGCATGGCGAGAGGGAACCCCAGACAGTAACACCCCTTCCTCTCCGCAGAAGCCCCTATGGGACGGGCCCTGGGTGCAGCGTCTGCCCTAGCAGACCTGCCCCTGCTCCCACGCGGATACGGGCTTGCTGTGTGACTGTGGGTGTGGCCTTCTCTCTGGGCCTCAGTTTCCCTTCTCTCATCCCAAGGTTGCATTCCATGGGCCCGGGAGCCTTTTTTGGACAGACGCCGTGGTGTGACTCCAGCTGAGCTGCCCCCTTGGCCAGGGCCACCAGAGGCAGCCCCCTGCCTCCAGATCAAGAGCCCACCCACCCTCACGGGTGGCCAGGAGCTGGCCCCTGGCCTGTGGGCCGGCCTGGCTGCCTTGGTCATGGCAGGAAGGATCCATCACTGCTGCCTGATGGATGATCTGAGCCGCCTCCTGCCCGCGCCCCGTGCTGTTTCAGCTGCAGAAAAATGTTTATCACTCGGCACAGCAGCGACCCTCCCTCCCTGCCTGCCTCCCTCCCTGCCTGCCTCCCTCCCTCCCTCCCTCCCTCCCTCCTTCCTTCCCTCCCTCCCTCCCTCCTTCCTTCCCTCCCTCCCTCCCTCCCTCCCTCCCTCCCATGCTACGGACTCCCGGCAGACATCAGGAGGCTTTCCGGGGCTATTTTCATGATTTTAATTTTCTATTCCCCATCTCCTCTCTTCCCCCTTATTACATTTTGGGCTTTTTTGGGCTTCTGGAATGAGCATACGTTTTCCTGGTGATATTTTTTAATAAAAACCATCATTTATGATTATTTTTCTTCCCCGCTTGCTGTCAGCCTCCCCATTGGATTTCATATGAACACGGCTTCCCGCCTGCTTTGCCTCCGAGGGCCTCCCTCTGGCCCCAGGACCCTCCTGTGTCCCTGCCCCAGCCAGCGCTGCTGCCTTCTGCTGACCACGGCTGCCGGTCTTCTGGGCTTTTCTGTTCTGTCCTTCAGATGGGTCTCACCTGCACACTTTTCCTTCCTTCCTCCCTCCCTCCCTCCTTCCTTCCTTCCTTCCTTCCTTCATTCCTTCCTTCCTTCCTTTCATCAGAGTCTCACTCTGTCATCCAGGCTGGGGTACAGTGGCACAATCACAGCTCACTGCAGCCTTGAACTCCCAGGCTCAAGTGATCCTCCCACCTCAGCCTCCTGAGTAGCTGGACTACAGGTGTGCGCCACCACACCTGGCTAACTTTTTGAAGAATTTTTTGTAGAGATGGGGTCTTGCTACATTGCCCAGGCTGGTCTTAAATTCCTGGGCTCAAGCAATCCACCCTCCTCACCTCCCAAAGCACGGGGACTATAGGCGTGTACCACTGTACCCTGCACACCTTTCTTGGTTGCAGTGCACAGAAGGGGCTGGGGACTCAGAGGGAATGGGGCTGCCCTGCAGGCCATGGGGTTCAGCACCCTGTGCCCCCCCACCCCAGACCTGTGGGTTCTGCAAAGCTCCTCACAAGCCAACGGGCTGCCAAGATCATCAAGGAGAGAGGTTTCCAAAAAGACCCCCGTCCTCAAACGCTACCTAAACTGTCGACATTACTCAGTGAAACAGAAGCTGGCCCACCACCGTCTACAGCGAGACTTGGGCAGGTCCTTTCTTCTAGGTTTCCCTGTCTTTATTTGTTTATTGGAGGTGGGGTCTCACTCTGTTGCCCAGGCTGGAGTGCAGTGTTGCAATCATGGCTCACTGCAGCCTTGACCTCCTGGGTTCAAGCGATCCTCCCACCCCAGCCCCTCAAAGTGCTGGGACTGCAGGTGTGAGCCACCACATCGGGCATCCCCATCTTTAAATGGAAGCTAACTTCAGGTTATGATCCTTCCTTCATTCAGCAAACACTGAGGGCCTACTGTGTGCCACACACCTGTCCCAGGGCAGGAACCAGCTCAGATGTAACTCTACCTACCTGCACGTCAGAATCTGTCCACACAGGCTGGGCATGGTGGCCCACACCTGTAATCCCAGCACTTTGGGAGGCCGAGGCGGGCAGATCACCTGAGGTCAGGAGTTCCAAACCAACCTGGCCAACATGCTGAAACTCCGTCTCTACTAAAAATACAAAAATTACCCAGACGTGGTGGCGCACACCTGTAATCCCAGCTACTTGGGAGGCTGAGTCAGGAAAATCGCTTGAACCTGGAAGGCGGAGATGGCAGTGAGCCGAGATCACGCCACTGCACTTCAGCTTGGGCAACAGAGTAAAACTGTGTCCAAAAAAAAAAAAAAATCTGTCCCCACGCTTACAGATGACAGAATGGAGCCCTGGGCTTCTCCATGAAGTTCCTGTGTGACCTAGGGCAAGGCACTGCCATCTCTGAGCCATCCTCGCTTTCCATCTCTGTGAAAGGAAAAGGCTTGGACACGGAGCTGCCCCGCCTCTGACTGGACGTCCCTTCCCCACCCAGCGCCAGAGGATCTTGTGATCCAAGCAGTTGCAACCTCGCCGGGCTCCTGCGGCTCCCGCCAGTGGACCCAAGAAAAGCCAGGCCTGTCTGAGGTCCAGGCATGGTGACCCCAGGTTACCCAGGGTGCTGGAGCCCTCTTCCGTGGCAGGGAGAGGCCACGTGCTCCTTCCTGCTCTGGTTCCACCCTCACTGGCCCCTGGTCCCCGCCTGTTTGAGGAGATCCTGAGGGGGCTGCCGGGAGGACTGGTTCCAACGCTCAGGGCCTCCGCCTGGACTCTGGCCTGCAGGCTTGAGGAGGGAGAGGCCTGTCCTCCCTCACTGCCACTTCTCCCTTATCAGTAGTAGGAGAGGTTACTATGAATATTCATATGGCTCACATGAATATTTATGAGAACACTGCGCCGGGTCTATCTTCTCGCCCTTGGGTCCCTCCATAGCTTGCTAACTCGCTGCACCCACGGGTCTCTGTTGACCCTTGTACTCGAGCCAGCGAGGCGGCTTTCCCTCCACCGACAGAGGTCTGCCCGGCAGCCCCAGGGCTCCCTCACCCCAGGACACCCCTGGGTGGGAATCGTCCCTGGCCCAGGGCTTGGCAGGTGTAGGCCCTGTCTCAGGTCTGACCCCACCTCCTGTGTAAGGGGGAGCCCCTCACCCGGCCTCAGTTTCCCTTCTGACCTCCACAGGTCCTTTTGGCCCTGAAAGGGTTTGGCCAGGCTGATGGGCTCCGGGAACAGCACGTTCTCTCTGATTCTTCTTTCCAATGCTCCATTGTGTGGGGACAAAGCCGAGAAGCTCCGGTTCCCCAGGGGTGTGCCAGGCCAAGACTTCAGGTTACCTAGCACAGGGAACCAGAGGGGCCTCTGGTCAGGTGTCCCCGCTGGCCTCCGGGCCCACAGCCAGGGGCTGCTTGGTCAGCCGTTCCCTGGCACAGGCCAAACCGAGGTGAGCTGGGAGCACTCGGGGCAGGCAGGGGCTGCAGGGGTGGCAGGGGAAGCATTCAGACCCCAAAGCTCAAGGGTGGAGGGTGAGTGGGACCTCCGTGCCCCGGGACGTGCTGTCTGGAGGAAGTCACGCTCCACTGCTCCTGGTGGCGCGATCTTGGACAGGTCACGCTTCTCTGTGCCTTGGTGTTGCTCTCTGCCGTGCCTTCCCCAGGTGTGTTCAAGGTGGGGCCACCCTTGGCAAATGTGGATGCTCTGTGTGGGGGACCCCCCACTCTGAGGGCATTTGGCCATTTGTCCAGAGTGGACCCAGCTGGGGGAGCAGTGACACCACCATGGAACCCAAAGCTTTGAGACTGCAGGGAGGCCAGGCCCTGCCTCTGCCCCAGAACGGCTCCAGGTTACACAGACCACGCGGGGCCTTCCTCCCCCTGGGGGAGCGAGACGTCCCTCCTGCTCTCTGCTGATTTTTGTTTTTTCTTTTGAGACAGAGTCTCACTCTGTTGCCCAGGCTGGAGTGCAGTGGCACCATCTCAGCTCCCTGCAGCCTCTGCCTCCCAGGTTCAAGCGATTACCCTGCCTCAGCCTCCTGAGTAGCTGGGACCACAGGCGCCTGCTACCACACCAGGCTAATTTGTGTATTTTTTAGTAGAGGTGGGGTTTCACCAGGTTGGCCAGGCTGGTCTCGAACTCCTGACCTCAGGTGATCCATCTACCTCAGCCGCTCAAAGTGCTGGGATTTCAGGCATGAGCCACTGTGCCCAGCCCTTTTTTTTTTTTCTTTTTTTTTTAAGCTGGGACTACAGGTGCATGCCACCATGCCCAGTTAATTTTATATCTTTTTGTAGAGGCAGTGTCTTGCCGTGTGCCCAGGCTGCTCTCAAACTCCTAGGCTCAAGTGATGGCCTCCTAAAGCACTGGATGACAGGCGTGAGCCACCACGCCGGGCCTCTCTGCATATCCGATTCTCACTGGGCTTGTGAGCCGTGGGCATGCTGGGTCCCCCTCCCTTCCTGGGTGCCCAGCCTCCCCTCCCCAGGGGATGGACCCTCCTCCAGGGAAGCCAGGGGCCCTTCCTCAGGGATCCATAGACTGGCTGCAATTTTCAAGGAGTGTAAGCCCTGCCCAGCGCCTTCCAGAGAGTTCCAAGACCCTGGGACCCCTGGGGTCATCTTCTCCCGAGGTCTCCTCTCCACTGAAGCATGACTATGATCTGGGAGCCTTACTGAGTCTCTGGATTCTGGGGGCCACGGTGTGAGATCTGATTCCTCCCTTGCAAGTTAGCAAATTAGAGGCTGTGGGAAGTCCTGATCTCTCCACCCGAGCTTCCCAAACAGACGCTGGCCCCTCTCCTTTGGTGCTTGGCTCTGACCTCAGCGGTGGAAGTTCAGAGGGCTCCAGCGCTCGCCCAAGGTCACAGAGCCAGCGAGTGGGGCTCCAGCTGGGGTCTGGGCCCACCTCACTCACAGCCTGAGCTTACAGCCACCATCCGGGGTGGAGGACAGATGGAGGTCCCTCGCACCGGGGCTTTCTGCACGGGCTGACCCCAGCGAGCTTCGTAGCTCGGGCCCAGCCTGCTGGTGTCGTTTGCCTAAATGTGTTCAACCTCGTCTTCCCATGAGACCGACACGGCCACCGCCAACATCTGCGGGGACAATGACAGAGGAATGCCTAATGAGGGCCCGGCGTGGCCCCGCCACGGAGCGCAGGCTGGGACAGATGGTCTATCATTACCCATTTTTATTAATTACTGCTCCCCGTGCTGCGATTGGCTCCAACGGCTCAGGCACGTTGGACGCGCTGTGGCCGCAGCTATTCTGGAAGGAAGAAACGGCCCTTCATTTAGCACAGCGTGCCTTTCCTCCCAGCTTCCTCAGAGGCCACAGGCATTTTTGGCTCAGCGAGGTCCCTGGGGAACTAGGCTGTGCGGAGGGAGGAGTGTGCAGCTGCCACCTGACTGATGAGAAGGGGCGGAGGGGCTGGTGCGGGGAGAGGCAGAGAGCCCCTGTGACTCCAGCCTGGAGCGAGGCCCTGCGGGGAGACCCGGGACCTCTGCAGACCTGGCCCAGACCACATCTGCATCCCACAGGCTTGGGCCGTTGGCCTCAGGGAAACTTGGGGCCCGCGGACCCCGCTGCTGCCACGGAGTTTGTGCCTTACCTGGGTTTGTGCTCGTGGGCGTTGATCTGGGTTGAGGGCCGCAGCCTCGCTCCTGTTTATAGACACTCGGGGTCCCAGCCCAATCTGCCCCAGGGGCTCCCTGAGGCTCTGGGGTCCTACAGACCTGGGTCAGAAGCCCCACACGGGCTCCAGCTTGCAGGGATGCTGGGTGAGTCCCTCCCTGCCTGTGGGCTTTGCACTCCTGCCTGCAGAATGGGGGTGCAGAAGCACCTCCTCATCAAATGCTCAGGTGGCTTGAGTGAGCCGATGCCCAGGGCCTGCCCGCCTTGGGGGATGCCCAGGACACCCACACTGCCATCCAAGTTTGGCTTTGGGCGAGTTCCCAGCTGCCTGCAGCTCTGTCTCCTCTCCGAGAGGCGGTCATGTTCTGCCTGCCCTCCAAAACAAAGGGGATGGAAATGCGTTGGGGTGAGAAGGACCTACCCGGTCAGACCGTCCAGGCTGGGCGAGGACCAGGACGGAGGGCTGGGGCGCCCTGTGAGGTGCTGTGTCTCCCTGCCTGCCAGGACGCCGAGTTCCCCACTGACCGGCCTTCGTATGGGCCCGTTAGCATGGGAGATAATGGGACGTGAAGCACGAGGTTTCTAGTCAATACAGAGGAGCTGGGAGGCTTTTTATATCTTGTTCTGTCACCCTGGCCAGGCGTTTTATCTGCTGCCTGCTTGACAGCCTGTCACAGAGCCAGGCCCTGCCGGAGTCCTGGCCCAGCCTGTCCCGGGGAGGGGGGTGGCGGGGAGGCTGCCTGCGGAGCGGAGCCGGCAGAGCCCTGAGCAGCGCCTGCAAGAGGAGCTCCCGTTGCGGGACCAAGCGAGCCCTTGGCCCAGCTCCACAGCAGGCTGCACCCCCGGAGCCCCCAGCGTGGAGTCAGGAAGGCCCCATCTGTGTGAGTCTGCTCTGACCACAGTAATACACCCCACAGACCAGGCAGCTTACACTACAGGAATTTATCGTCTCCCATTCTGGAGGCTGGAAGTCCGAGATCAAGGTACGGGCAGGGCTGCCTTCTCCTGAATCCTCAGCCCGTGGCTTGCAGATGGCATCATCTCCCTGTGTCCTCACCGGGCTGTCCCTCTGTGCGTGTCTGTCCTGATCTCCTCTTCTTACAAGGACACCCGTCTGATTGGATTAGGACCCACCCGTATGACCTCATCTCGTCTTAGTCACGTCTTCAAAGGCCCCGTCTCCAAACACAGCCCCATTCTGAGGTCCTGGGGGTCCAGGCTTCAGCATTTGAGCTTCGGGGGCACCAAGCAGCCCGTAACACCCCCCTCTTCCTGGGAAGTCCTCTTCCTGGCACCTCCTGACCCTTCCCGAGTGACTCAGGGCAGACCCCTTCCGCTCCCAGCCTCCATGACCTGCAAGGATGGTGTGACGATGGGCCAGGATCATCAGGGTCATTTATCTGCCAGCTTGAAATGCTGCACTTATGGGAGCCTGCAGGTGACGGGAAGGGTGGAGAAGGGGCCGGGCCCCGCAGAATGTCTGCGGCATGGACGCTGGAGCCCAACGCCTGTGCCTGGCCCCCAGCTGTGCCACATACGGGCCATGTGACCATCAGCAAGTTATATGACCTCCCTGGATCTCACGTCCTCATTTGGCAAACAGGGATAGTCGTGATCCCTCCCTTAGGGCCGGTGCTTGGAAAGAATGAACGAACATGGGTAAGGTGTGCCTGGTGAGCGCTGTCTGGGCTGAAGGAGGAGTTTGAGAAGGCGGCTTTATGAAGGGAGGTGGCCGGGCGCGGTGGCTCACGCCTGTAATCCCAGCACTCTGGGAGGCCAAGGCGGGTGGACCACTCGAGGTCAGGAGTTCGAGACCATCCTGGCCAAAATGACGAAACCCTGTCTGTACTAAAAATACAAAAATTAGCCGGGCATGGTGGTGCATACCTATAATCCCAGCTATTCAGGAGGCTGAGGCATGAAACGTGGAGGTTGTAGTGAGCCGAGATCGCACCACTGCACTCCAGCCTGGGCGAGAGAGTGAGACCCCATCTCACACACAAAAAAAGGGGAGATTATTTGGGGTGGAGTGGGCCTCAAACCCTGGGGAAACATTTGTGCTAAGTTCCATGGGCAGCTTTGGGGATTTGCTCCACAAGGACTCCCGAGAGATCAGTGTCCGCAGGGTGACACCGGTGGCTGGGTGACCAGGAGAGGTAGAGGGGAGATGGGGCCTTTGCTGAGACCCTGTGGAGGTGATGAGGTTGGAGGAGAGGCCATGTGGAGGAGACCAGCTAAGAGCAAGGAGGGGACGGCCTCAGGGACCACACTGTCTGGTGCAGTGAGGGGCGCTCATCCCTCCCCGGCACACAGCCCGGTGAGTAAATTTTGGTGCACAAAGCCAGCAGCTGCCACAGCTGGGCAGTAGTGAGCTCCCTGGCGTTGGAGGAAATCAAGCACATCCTGATGCTCACTGAGTGGGGAGACTTGATGGGAGAAACAGGAAGACCAGCATCATGGAGGGGTGGATTTTATTCTTATCAAAAGCAGTGGGGGGAGTTTCGAGTCCTGGGAAGAAGCACTGGAGGAGATGGCTTTTGGAGTCCAGGGATGGATCCCCAGTAGCTGCCCCATTTTCTGCATGAATTCGTGCTTTCATGGAGGCCCAGGGGCCGGGCAGCACAAGTCAGGCTGTGGGCTCAGGGTCCACACACCAGCAACCCTGGAGGAAGTGATTTCTCTGGAGTCAGCTTCTGGTGGGATCTGAGGTTTGCAGCCGTCGATCTGGCCTCAGAGCTGAACCTCTGCCCTGCAGAGGCACCGAATGCCCACCGAGGGGCGGCTTTCAGGGCCAGCGTGCCCCGAGCCAGGCAGATGAGGCTGGTTAGGAATGGAGGCCACTGTCATTTACTGCCTCTGACCCTAGGGATCAGGCCAGAACCAGGGAGCTCCTGCCAAGGAGACGGACATGGAGGTGCCGGCTCCCCTCCCGGAGGAAGCCTGATCGATCCCCGCTGCCGCAGAGCCCTGCAGAGCTCCTACTTAGGCCTGGTTGTCCATCACGATGCGGGCTTGGAGCGAGTGGCCTTCCCATGGGAGACGCAGGGGAAGGCCCGCTGCAGGAGAAGGGGAACTGAAGTAGGGGCCGGGGCTGGGCCAGTCCACTTGGCAAGGACGTGGCTTGCAGGGGGTGCTGAGACCTTGGCCTTTTGCCAAAGCACCCCGCTCCCTGGAGCCACTTGCCCACCCCTCCCCCAGGCTGGTTCGGCCCCAGCCAGGTAGGTCCAAAGTCCTGTGCTGCCGGAGTGGAGTCTAATAAGCCCCTCCTGGCAAGGGGCTCACCACCAAGGCACCCCACGATGACGGCTCAGGAAGTGGGCCCACGGACAGGTGCCTGAAAAAGCCCAGGACCCCTAAGCTGAGGCTGAAGGACAGAGGCGTGGGAGAAGCCAGCCAAGGCTCGGGAGGGCACCCCAGGCGGAGGCACCAGCATGAGTCAAGGCCCGGAGGGGAGCGCTAGATACAGCCCTGGGTCCTCAGGCCGAGGATGGGGACTTTTTCTGAGAACATGAGGGTTTCCAGATTGGAATGTTGGAAGGCTGGGCTCCAGTCACAGCCTGAGGGAGGCTTGATTGGAGCAGGCAGGAATGGAGGCCCAGAGAATCTTGCACGGTGAAGCGGGCGGAGCCAGGCAGCTGCCACCCCAGGCACACACGGGCACACACCTCCTCCTCCCCCTCCCATGTTCTCTAGACCTGCCCCAGGCTTCTCCGAGCGGTGACCAGGCCCCTGGGGAGGGGCTGAAATCTGGAGGCGGGCATGGTGTTCCCAGAGAACATGGTGGGGTGGGGACTTACGCTCAGTGAACCCACGTTTCTAAATGCCAAATCTACTCTAAACTCCAAAGGGGGTTGGAGTTCTTGTCTCTGCAGAAGGGCAGATCAGGGAACTATTCAGGGGGAGGGGGGGCAGAACCTAGAGGCCAATTCATTGTCCAGGTTGAGTCAGGAACCCTGGGGTAGGCCCAGCTTTGGGAGGACAGAGGACCTTGGGGTGGCAGGAGAAGGGAGGGTCAAAAGTGCATCAAGGGGTAAGGCCAACCCATGTAGCCTCAGAGAACTGAGATGGGGACTCGGAACCTGAGGTCTGCCCCGAGCAGGAGGTCCTGGGCAACTGCAGTCTTGCCCTTGGGTGGGGGAGGCCCTGCCCAAAAGATGGGGTGGAGAGAGTGAGGGGAGCGCCCCCATCAGGGGTCGGACTTTTCCCTGAAACTTGACTCTCGATGCTTTTCTAAGTGATTAAAAGTCCCCCTAACCAACAATACCCATGTCAAACAACGCCTCCTCCAGGAAGCCACCCTGGGTTGCCTGGGATGGAGATCAGCTCCCTCTTGGTATTTGTGGCACCAGCTTGCTGTGGGGAATATTAGTGCCCAGGCTGGGTGATCTTAGGCAAAGGACTTGACATCTCTGAGCCTCAATACCACCTGACTGTCAAAGGACTAATAAAGTCAAGCTCCAGGGCTGGTGAAGGAACTGAGACGGGGATTATCATGAGCTAAACTGTGTCCCCCAAAGGACACGCTGATGTCCTATCCCCAGTATGTGACCTTATTTGGAGACATGGTCTTTACAGAGGTGATTAAGTTAAAATGTTCTGGGGTGGGCCCTGATCCAGTGTGCCTGGTGTTCTTATGAAGAGGGAACATTTCAGCCGGGTGTGGTGGCACATGCCTGTGGTCCCAGCTACTGAGGAGGCTGAGAGGCAGGAGGATCACTTGAGCCCAGGAGGTGGAGGCTGCAGTGAGCTGTGATCGCACCACTGCACTCCAGCCTGGATAACAGAGCAAGACCTTGTTCCTCCAACCTCCAATTTTTTTTTTTTTTTTTTTTTGAGGCAGAATCCCTCTGTCGCCCAGGCTGGACCGCAGTGTCATGATTTTGCCTCACTGCAACATCTGTCTCCCGGGTTCAAGCGATTCTTCTGCCTCAGCCTCCCGAGCAGCTGGGATTACAGGCACCTGCCACCGCACGCAGCTAATTTTTGTATTTTTAGTAGAGATGGGGTTTCACCATGTTGGCCAGGCTGGTCTCTAAATCCTTACCTCAGGTGATCTGCCCGCTTCAGCCTCCCAAAGTGCTGGGATTACAGGCATGAGCCATTACACCTGGCCTCGATTATTTTTTTTTTTTTTTTTTTTTTGAGACGGAGTCTCGCTCTGTCTCCCAGGCCGGACTGCGGACTGCAGTGGCGCAATCTCGGCTCACTGCAAGCTCCGCTTCCCGGGTTCACGCCATTCTCCTGCCTCAGCCTCCCGAGTAGCTGGGACTACAGGCGCCCGCCACCGCGCCCGGCTAATTTTTTGTATTTTTAGTAGAGACGGGGTTTCACCTTGTTAGCCAGGATGGTCTCGATCTCCTGACCTCATGATCCACCCGCCTCGGCCTCCCAAAGTGCTGGGATTACAGGCGTGAGCCACCGCGCCCGGCCAATTATTTTTTTAAAGGAGGAAATTTGTGCACAGACAGACGTGTACAGAGGAAAGACATCCCTGTGACTGAGTGACGTGTCTTCCAGCCACGGAGCACCAAGGCTTGCTCAGGGATGCTGGAAGAGGCAGGAAGGATCCTCCCCAAGAGCTATGAGAGGGAGCGCGGCCCTGCCAATCCCTTGATTTTGGACTTTGGGCCTCCAGAGCTGCGAAAGAGCAGACACCTGTTGTCTTAAGCCCCCCAACGTGTGGCAATGTGTTATGGTGGCCCCAGGACGCAGATACAGGGACAGATGTGGGCTCCCTGCAGAAATGCTATGAGCTCCTTGTGGTGTTACCCCAGCAGCCCCTGTCACCTGCCCCTGTCTGTGTGCCCTGAAGTCAGACTCACGGCACCTTGTTGGCCCAGCCCCAGGTGCTCCATGTAGATGCTGATAGGTGATGGAGGAAAGAAATAGGGTGATCACACATGCACGCATATACATGTGTGGACAAGCATGCAGGCATGCACACAGGCACATGTGCACATACATGCAGGCACATGCACACAAGGGCACGTACATGTGTACACACATGCAGGAATTCACACACACACACAGGAACACAGGCACATGCATGTGCACAAGCATGCAGGCATGTTCACATAGGCACACACATACGTACATGCAGGCACACACACAAGGGCACATGCATGTGTGCACAGACAGACATGCTCACATATATACATGCGCAGGTGCACAAGACGTGCACACAGGCAGACATGCTCACATATACACACATACACAGGTGCACACAGGTACATACTGTGCACACAAGCAGATATGCTCACATACGCACAGGTGCACAAGACATACTTGTGAACACACATGCAGACATGCTCACATACTCATACATGCACAGGCACACACAGGTACATACGTGTGCACATAGAGACATGTTCACACGCATGCACACAGGCACACACACACTTGCAGTATGTGCGTGGACACAGGCCCAGATTAGCACCCTGCTAGAGATGGAGACCAGCCCCCACGCAGACCCCGCCCTGCCTGCCCATCCAGCTCCTGGAGCCAGCGGGCGTCTGCGCCCCAGTGTTTGGCTGCAGTGAGTCAGGCCTTGGGGAGCAATGCGCCATGCTCAGCTCTGGGAGCGGGCCAGGGCACTGGTCCTGGGGCTAAGGCCCAGCGTGTACAGGCTGTTTGCTGAGGGCGTGCTTTGAGGAAGAGCATACCCGGGTTCCAAAGCGCCTACAGTGAACATCTACTGTGTACAAAAGTGACAGTGATGATGAGACCAGCCTGATCCCCGAGGGGCTCACAGAGGGAAGCCGGGGAGGAGGGAAGACAAGTCCTGAGGCCCCACTTCATCATAACAGCAGGAGGGGTGCACTGAGCTCAAGGCCACGTTCACAGGTGGCTGCTGACAGTGCCTCCATCTCCACCCAGGGACCCCACAGCGTGGAGGCTGAGGCCCCTCTACCATTTCCTTACCACTCCTAGACATCACGGGTCTCTCCCTCCAAGTGAAACATCCTGGCGGTTGAAACTTGTTTTAAGAAATAAGATACCTCCGGGCGCAGTCCACGTAGGAGCCTGCAAAATGTCACTCCTGTTATCTTCTCATTTAGCCCTATTTCAGTCTGAATAAAGCAGAATGAATCACAGGGGACCAGGTGAGCAGAGCCCGAGGCCTGGGCCATTTGCCTTCATCACTGAGGAGGCCGTCTGCACCCCAGCCTTCAGCATGCAGGGGGAGCGAAGGGGGTGCCCAGCCTCGCCCCGCCCAGCGCACCCCTGCAGCAGCCCGGGAGGGCAGGCCGTGGCTCCTGGGAACACGGCGCCCAGCTGCAATCCACATTGCTGCTAGTGAATATGGACAATTCAGAGACATGAAATAAGGCAGACAGAGAAAAAGCATCGGTGACTCTGCCAGGCTACATATGTGTGTGCGTGTCTGCATATATATACACACACGTGTATACGCACACACAGAGCCACACATCACTCAACGACAGGGACACGTTCTGAGAAATACATGGTTCCGTGATTTTGTCATCGCGCGTACATCCTAGAGTGACTCACACGAACGCAGATGGCGGAGCCTACCCCACGCCTGGGCCTCGCGGTACAGCCTGTGGCTCCGGGGCTACACACCCGCACGGCAGGTGACTGCACTGAACACTGTAGGCAGCTGCAACACAAGGACAAGTCTTTGTGTTTCTAAACACATCTAAACTCAGAGAAGGTGCAGTAAAAATAGGGTATTATACTCTTCTGGGACCACCATTGCAAATGTGGTCCATTGGTTACCAAAGTGTCTGTGTGTTGTGTGTATACATACGTAATTTTTCTTTTTCTTTCTCTCCCTCCTTCCCTCCCTCCCTCTTTTCCTTTGTTTTAAAATTTTTTTTTTATAAATTTGGAATTCTTCTTACTAGGCTCCCTAATTTGCAATTTATTTGTTTTTAGGGTTTTTTTTTTTTTTTTTTTTTTTTTTGAGACAGAGGCTGGAGTGCAGTGGTGCAATCTCAGTTCACTGCAACCTCCACCTTCTGGGTTCAAGCGATTCTCCTGCCTCAGCCTCCCAAGTGGCTGAGGTAACCAGCCCAGTAACCAGGTGCTCGCCACCACGCCTGGTTAATTTTGTATATTTAGTAGAGATGGGATTTCACCATTTTGGCCAGGCTGGTCTTGAACTCCTGACCTCAAGTGATCCGCCTGCCTCGGCCTCCCAAAGTGCTGGGATTACAAAGTACTGGGATCACAGGCGTGAGCCATCGCATCCAGCCCCAGTTTGCAATTTATAATCTGCTGTCTCCTCACCTAATGTTAGATCCCATGGCTTGTCTCTGACACAAGACGCCAACGAAGATCGGCATTTCTGCAACCTCTGGCTTCCAGGAAGGCTGCCTCCCTCCCCAACTTCCTCTGATCATCGTGCGGCTGAGGAACAGATGGGGAACCAGGTGCACAGAGAGGTATGGCCACCTTCACGGGGTCACACAGGTGAGCAGCTGCGGAGGCCAGAGCTGAGGCCACCAGGGAGCTCCTTGGGTGTCCAAAGGCTTAAAAAATTCTGGTTGCCTTCCTCAGGCTGAGAAATGATATGGTGGGTGATGCAGATGAGGGTCCAGGGTGCCTGCCCTGGGGAGCATGATGAGCAGATGGCGGTGCAGCCACACGTGGAGGACTCAGCTCCCAGAGCAATAAAGGGACACCTACGCCATGCATGAGGCTGGGAGACTGTGCAGGGGGAAGAAGTCACTCGCCAGGAGCCCAGGTGTGTGGAATTCTGGAACAGACTAGATCTACCCTGGACTAACCTGGACTGGAACTAACAGACTAGAACTAACTAGAACGAATTCTAGAACTAACCTACGGTGGAAAACATCAGAATGGCAGTGGCTTCTGGGGGCCAGAGGTAGGAAGGCACTGGGCAGGGGTATGCAGCAACATTTTGGGGGCATTGTCTTTTTTATTTTTCAGAGGAAGGGTCTTGCTCTGTTGCCCAGGCTGGAGTGCAGTGGCTCAATCATGGCTCACTGCAGTCTTGACCTCCTGGGTTCAAGCCATCCTCCCACCTCAGCCTCCTGAATAGCTGGGACCACAGGCATGTGCTGCTACACCTGGCTCATTTTTTTATTTTTGTAGAGATGGGGCCTCCCTGCATTGCCCAGGCTGGTCTTCAACTCCTGGGCTCCAGTGATCCTCCCACCTCTGCCTCCCAAAGTGTTGGAATTATAGGCGTGAGCCACCGCACCCGGCCTGATGTCTGTCTCTTGATAAGGGTTTGGGCTGCAGAAGTGGTCCGTTAGTCAGAGCATTCAGTGGCTCCTTCAGAGTTATACATTTCATGGTATGTGAATTTTACTCAAAGCAATAAAAAATCTGAAACGAATATTGAACTCTAGATCATGACATGCAGTCGGCCGGTTAAGGGGGAGAGAGTACTGGTGCCTGCAACTTGGAAAGAGATTGATTATGGGTGGGCAGAGGGACAGAGAAACAAGATGAAGCGGGTCTAGCGAAACGTCAGTTGTGGAATAACAGGTGATAGCATCTGGGTGCTCACTGTGAAATCATCTCAACTTTTCCAGATGTTTGAAACATTTCAAAGTTCAATATGAAAAGCAATGAAAAAGAATCTGGGCTTTGCAGACAAACTGCTGGGAGGTGGCCACGGCCCAGTATCTGTGTGGTCCTGGGTGGGTTTCTCAGCCTCACGGTGCCTCAGGGTCCTGACTGTTAAGTGTGGGTGGTAATAGCACCGCTGCCCACGGCGTGGGTGAATTAACACAGGCAGGGCACTTAGACAGTGCCTGGCACACAGCAGGTGCTTAATAAATGTGCCCTTTGTTGATGTTATTCCTCAGCCCTGAAAGTATCAGCCACGTGTCCTCCAGCTACTCAGAGATGCTGAGGAACAGCTGGGATTTGCACTGGGTTCACGTGCAGGGGACCCCAAAGAGCCAAAACAAGCTTGAAAAGGAAAGAACAAAGTGGGAAGACTCAGCTGGGTGCAGTGGCTCATGCTTGTAATCTCAGCATTTTGGGAAGCCAAGGCAGGAGGATCACTTAAGTCCAGGAGTTCAAGACCAACCTGGGCAACATAGCAAGACTCCATCTCTACAAAAAAAAATTTTAAATTAGCTGGATGTGGTGGCATATGCCTGTAGTCCCAGCTACTCAGGAGACTAGGGTGGGAGGATCGCTTGAGCCTAGGAGTTCAAGGCTGCAGTGAGCTATGATTGCACCACTGCATTCTAGCCTGGGCAACAGAGCAAGACTCTGTTTCTAGAAAAAAAAAAAAGTGGGAAGACTCACACTTCCTATTGTGAAAACTTCCTACGGTAATGAGGACAGTGTGGTACTGTGGTAAGGACAGATATGAACAGCAATGGGCTAGAACTGAGAGTCCAGAAATAAACCCTTGTATTTTTACTCTATTTATTTCCAATAAGGGAGCCAAGACAATTTGATGGGGCTAGGGGAAGAGGAGACCTTTGACACATAGTGCTGGGTCAAGTAGTCACATGCAAGAGAATGAAGATGGACCCTTACCTCACACCATATACAAACATCAACTCAAGATGCATCCAAGGCTAGGTGTGGTGGCTCACACCTGTAATCCCAGCACTTTGGGAGGCCAAGGCAGGTGGATTACCTGAGGTCAGGAGTTCAAGACCAGCCTGGCCAACATGGTGAAACCCTGCCTCTACTAAAAACACACACACACACAAAATTAGCTGGGCATGGTGGCGAATGCCTGTAGTCCCAGCTACTCAGGAGGCTGAGGCAGAAGAATCGCTTGAACCTGGGAGGTGGCGGTTGCAGTGAGCCGAGATCGCACCACTGCACTCCAGCCAGGGGAACAAGAGCACAACTCCATTAAAAAAAAAAAAATGCATCTGAGACCTCAACAGAAGAGCTAAAACCATGAAACTCTTAGAAGAAAATACAGAACTAAATCTTCGTCATAGGCAAAATTTTGTCAGATGTGACATCAAAAGCCCAAACAACAAATGAAAAAATTGGACTTCATCAAAATCTAAAACTCGTGTGCCACAAATAACAGCAACGGGAAAGTGAAAAAACAACCCACAGAAAGGGAGAAAAATATTTGCAAATTATACATCTAATTAGGGACTGTGTCTAAAATATATTTTACAACTCTTACAACTCAATAATAAAATGATAACCCAATTTAAATATGAACAAAAGATTCAAATGGACATTTCTCCAAAAGATATGTAGAAGTTCAATCGCACAGAAAAGATGCTCGGCATCATTAGTCACCAGGGAAATGCAGATCAAAGCCACTAGGAGATACAACTTCACACCATCTAGGATGGCCATAATAAAAAAGACAGATAATAGTAAGTGTTGAGGCCGGGTGTGGTGGCTCATGCCTGAAATCCCAGCACTTTTGGGAGGCTGAGACAGGTGGATCGCTTCAGCCCAGGAGTCCGAGACCAGCCTGGGCAATATGTTGAAACCCCATCTCTACTGAAAATACAAAAATTTTCCAGGCGTGGTGGTTCATGGCTGTAGTCCCAGCTACTCTGGAGGCCAAGGTGGGAGGATTGCTTGAGCCTAGGAGGTGGAGGTTGCAGTGAGCCAAGATCGTGCCACTGCACTTCAGCCTGACAGTGACAGAGTGTCACCCTTCAGGTGACAGAGTGAGGCCCTGTCTCAAATGATAATAATAATAGTAAAAGTGTTGGCCGGTCATGGTGGCTCACGCCTATAATCCCAGCACTTTGGGAGGCCGAGGTGGGTGGATCACCTGAGGTCAGGAGTTCAAGACCAGCCTTACCAACATGGAGAAACCGCATCTCCTAAAAATACAAAATTAGCTGAGTGTGGTGGCTCATGCCTATAATCCCAGCTACTGTGGAGGCTGAGGCAGGAGAATCCCTTGAACCCAGGAGGTGGAGGTTGTGGTGAGCCGAGATCGTGTCATTGCATTCCAGCCTGGGCAACAAGAGTGAAACTCCATCTCAGAAAAAAAAATAATAATAATAATAAAAGTGTTGACGAGGATGCAGAGAAATAGGAACTCTCCTACGTTGCTGCTGGGAACATAACATGTGGCATCAAAATTTTGGCAGAGTTTGTGAACTCTTCAAAATGTGAAAGATAGGCTTACCATATGACCCAACACGTCCGTTCCTAGGTGTTTACCCAAAAGAAATGGAAACACATGTGCGCGTGAGAACTAGTACATGAATGTATCTAGCTGTGTGACTCACATTTCCAACGCGAAAACAGCCCAAATGACCATCAGCTGATGAATGGGTAATAAAATGTGCTCCAGGCACTCAGTGGAGTGCTATTTGGCAATAAAAAGGAATAAAATACTGAAATGCTACAACATGGATGAATCTCAAAAACAATGCTCAGTGAAACTAGCCAGTCACAGAAGACCACATATTGTCTGATTCCATTTATAAGAAATAGCTACAATAGGCCGGGCACGGTGGCTCACACCTGTAATCCCAGCACTTTGGGAGGCTGAGGCGGGCAGATCACGAGGTCAGGAGATCGAGACCATCCTGGCTAATACAGTGAAACCCTGTCTCTACTAAAAATACAAAAAATTAGCAAGGCGTGGCGGCGGGCACCTGTAGTCACAGCTACTTGGGAGGCTGAGGCAGGAGAATGGTGGGAACTCGGGAGGCGGAGCTTGCAGTGAGCCAAGATCGTGCCACTGCACTCCAGCCTGGGTGACAGAGCAAGACTCTGTCTTAAAAAAAAAGAAAAGCCTTGGGTTCCCATCCCAACCTGCTCCTGCAGGATTTCCTTAGGCAAGTTGCCCCCTAAAATTCAGTTTTGTCACCTGTAAAAGGGGGAAGGAAGGATTCACCTCCCTGGGTTACAGTGGGAACCAGATGAGATGATAGAAAACAATTTTCCATTTTCATTTTCACATTGAAATTTATTATAAAGGAACATGTCTGCACATTGCACAGAATTCAAATGGCATTACAGGGGCATATGGGGAAAAGTCTCATTTTCTGGGGTGATGGGAATGTTCAGTATTTTGATGGAGGTAGTGATGGCAACCAGTGTCCACATTTGTCCAATTTCAGAACTGTAGTTCTGAACAGTATAAAACTGAAGAAGTATGAATTTCACTGTCTGTAAATAAATAATACGTTAAAAATATTTTTTTATATTGAGTCCCCGGCCGGGTGCAGTGGCTCACTCCTGTAGTCCCAGCACTTTGGGAGGCTGAGGCGGGTGGATCACCTGAGATCAGGAGTTCGAGACCAGCCTGGCCAACATGGTGAAACCCCGTCTCTACTAAAAATACAAAAATTAGCCAGGTGTGGTGGCACGTGCCTATAATCCTAGCTACTCGGGAGGCCGAGGCAGGAGAATCACTTGAATCCAGGAGGTGGAGGTTGCAGTGAGCCGAGATCGCACCACTGCACTCCAGCCTGGGGGACAAGAGTGAGACTTTGTCTCAGAAAAAAAAAAAAAAAAAAGTCCCCTTCTACCCTCTCCCCAAGACTTGCAGCCCCCAGGTTCCTACAGGAGGCACCCACTATTTCTAGTTTCTTGGGTCTCCTTCCAGTAATCAGTGTGTGCAGGCAACTAAAATGTCATTTCATTAACTCCTTTTTGACACAGTGTAAAAAAAAAAAAAAAAAAAAGGTGCCATATACACTGTCCGGCCCCTTTTGCTTTTTCACACTAAAGAACATCTGCAGATGGACTCCAATCAGTCCACCTTTATCCGGCTGGATGTGCCATGATGATTTAAGCACTGCACTGTCAGCGGGCACTTAGGATCCTTCCAATCTGCTGCTGTTACAAAGAGTGCTTCGGCGAATAACCTTGTACAAAGCAATATATCATTTTTCACATTTGGGAGGAGTATCTGGAGGACAGATTCCTAGAAGCAAATGCTGGGCCAAAGGGTGTGTACATTTGGAATTTTGACATTGTTTCAGAGGTTCCAAGGGTGTCTGCTTCCCCACACTATTGCAACAGGGTGTGTCCTTAGACTGTTTAATCTGTGCCCATCTGATGAGTGAAAAATCACATCAGTACAGTTTCAGCATGCACTTTTGTCACTAGGAGTGAGCATAGGCACTTTCTCATTTGTTTAAACATCCTTTTGATTTCCTTTTCTGTTCATTACCTCTGTCTATTTTTTTTTTTTTTTGGCCTCTTGGCTATTTTTCTTATTGATTTGTAAGAGCTCTTTATATAGGGGGAACTGGCTCTTTGCCTGAGATAGAAATTGGACACATCATTTAATCTATGGCTTCGGGGTTTTATGGGCATTTGTTGTTCTTGCTGTGAAGTTCTGGGGACAGGAAGAGATTGTCACCATTCTTCTCTGGTTACCATTTCCTTAGGATGGGTCCGGGGGTCGGGGGGAATTCTCTCCCCACTCCTTCGCGGTTAATCCCAGCTGCTCTATCCCTCCCCTGCTTCCCCCAAACACACTCAGGCAACTGGGTCATTCACTTCCAGCCAGGCCATCCTCAGCAGAGAGAGGGCGCAGGAACCACCTGCAGGGGGGCAAAGGTATCAAAGCCACCAGATGAGTCCTCACTTATCCTGGAAGTGGGTGTGGTCATGTGGGGCTGGAGTGGGGCACTGAGGCCTGGAGGTGAGTCAGTCTGTCCTGCTCTCTCAAGCTCACACTCTGTTGGATGAAACTGACACATCAAGTCAGGGCGTCCAGGGACACAGGCTCAGGGCAGTGGCAGGGTGGAGGGGAGGGGGTGTGCTTCCAACCACCTAAGGAAAGCCCTGAGGCCCCACAGCCCCAGGCCCCTACGGCTCTTACTGACCAGCCTCTTCCCCAAAGGGTAGCTGGGTGGGTCATGAGATGGTGGTTGATTTGTTTCCATAAAAATGAGAATCTTACTGGCAGTTTAGCTCTTTTTTTGTTTTTGAGACAGTCTTGCTCTGTTGCCCATGCTGGAGTGCAGTGGTGCGATCATAGCTCACTGCAACCTCCACTTCCTGGGCTCAAGTGATCCTCCTACCTCAGCCTCCTGAATAGCTGGGACCATAGGCACACACCACCACACCCAGCTAATTTTTTATTTTTTGTAGACAGGGTCTCACTATGTTGCCCAGGCAGGTCTTAAACTGGGCCGTTTTCTTCTGAACGAGGACGTTTTGTACATCAGAAGGACCTGCTAAGCCCTGGATCTAGCAACGGTGCCCAGGTGGGTGGGGGTGCACCCACCATCCCTAGCTCTGTCCTAGGTCCTGGCCCAGCTGACTCATCTCTGGAAAGACAGGCTGTCTGATGGACCGGGCCATCGCTGCTGCGTCTGGGCTGCTGCCGGGCAGTGGCAGCACCTCAGAAAGGAGGCCTGAGCGAGCACGTGTGTGTGGAGCGACTGTGCGTGAACGCATGTGCATATGCAGATGGGAACATGCTTAGTACAGCTGCCTTCAAGTTTGACCATCTGGATTCAAACCCTGGCTTGGCCATTTCCAGTTTATGGTGACCCTGGCCAAGGTACTTGATCTCTGGACCCCTCGATGTTACCCTCTGGGAACTGGAGATCTTCACAGCTGGTTCACTTCTAGGGTTGCTGTGAGGACTAAATGACTTCATGCCAGCCACCAGCCATTAGGAACCTCCATCACAGGAAGGATCGTCATAGTGCCACACCAGTGTGCGTGCCTGCGTGTGAGGGTTACACTGGGTGGGGCGGGGTGTGTGCGATTCGGGGGTGTGTGAAGCAGGATGCCTTTGCAACTCTCTGCACAACCACAGTGTGAGCTATGGGGTGGGGGGGGTTCCAGCCTTCCTGTCCCAGTGAGGCTGCGGCATCTTCCTGTGGGACACCGGCTTGCGGCGGGGAGCTGGGGTGGGTATCCACACGCATCTTCCCTGGATGTGCTGTAAGGTGTCTACACCACACAGGCTGCCTCTGGGTACCTCTGTCTGCTGGGGGAGGGGGATCAGGAGGAGATGAATGTCAGAGAGAAAGAGACCAAGACGGAGAAAGAAAAGGAGAGAGGAGAGGCGGAAAGGGAGAGGGGAGAAGAGGAGGAAGAGGAAGAGGGAAAGAGACAGAAAAGGAGGGTGGAGGGAGAGAGAGAGAGGAAGAGGGAGAGAGAGAACAAACATATTCTCTGACAGAGGCAAACAGAGGCGGGGAGAGAGAGCTCCAGAAGAGGCCAGAGACAGCCAGCCTTCCTCCCACCTCCTCTCTTCGGGTCTGTCCTGGGGTGGCCCATTCCCAGCCTGAGGGGGGACAGCAGCCCGAGGCCAGCCAGGCCCCGCGGGGGCCCTGCCTTCTCACGGGACAGGAGGGCATATTTCAGCATTGGAAGGCGCTGCAGAGGGAGTCAGTCAGGGCTGAAATTCCTCAGCGCCCTGGAAGGTCCGCGGGACAGCTCCCTTCTCCCAGCTTCCTCCAAGGAGCCAGGTCCGGGACTCTCCAGGCCCCTCGAGTAGGGGAGGGGGGAAGTGAGAGAAAGGGGCTGTGTGCGCACCTAGGCCACTGCGCGCTTCAGAGCAGCCGGGACCCTCCCTGAGGGACCAGGAAGAGACCCCCCCCAGGCCGGGCTCGGCCCGCTCTGTCTCCCTGTTCCCTGGAGGTCTGGGCGCCCCCGCGCAGGGACTAAGGGCTGGACAGCCGCAGGCAGGGGCTCCGTCCTTGGCCTCCACCCTTCGTGTCCAGCAATCCCGGGAGCAGGCGGCGGCACTTCCTCCATGCCCCGGCCTCAATCACGGTCTCAGTCCCCCCAACCCCGTCCTGCAGGAACAAGTGTGGTAGAGGCTCGGGGTCGGAGGGCGGGCGGCCGTCCCGCGGGCTGGACGGAGTTTCTGGGCTGCGGAGAGGCCGTTGGACCCACGTCCGGACAGGAGCCCCGCGCGCCCATCCCCGGCCCGGCCATCCTCGGGGCGCGCTGTCTGCGGCCTCCCGCGCCACCCCCACCCCTGTCCCGGGACCTCCTCCGGGAAAGACACCCGGGGAGCAGCCCCCTCCCCTCCAGTAGTCCCCTCCCCTCCCCTCTCCCTGCCCTCTTGACGGTGTGGGGCTCCCCGGCCGGAGGGGCGCGGCGCTGGCAGCGGGGTCCAGAGTGTCGCGCCCAGCGCGCGCTGGGGGTCCCGGGCTCCGCAGCTCCGCACGCGGCCGGTTTGTGAAGCGGCGCGCGGGGGCTTAGCCGGGCGAGGGCGCTCTTGAGCCTGGTTTGGAATTTTTAGCCCACACGAAAGCCGCAGGCTGGGGAAGGGGCGGGTGGGAGCGGGAGACGCCCTGGGAAGCCGTGAGACCGCTCGGCGAGGGCTCGGGACCACCAGGGAGCGACGGGGGACCCCTCGGCTCAGAGCCCGAGGGCGCGATTTCGGATCCGCTGGGATTCCGGAGGCACATGAAGGGAGAGGGAAATCCGCTAAACCGAACCTTCCGGGAATCGGAAGGCGCCGGGCCGCTCCCACGCCTCCCCCTCCTCCCGGCCGAAAGGCGGGGGGCGACGCGCAACGGGGAGGGAAGGGAGGGAGGGGTCGGCGACCTTAGGGGAGGGCGAGTCTCTGGGGACGCGGGGCCGCCAGGGGCCCGACGACCCTCTCGCTCCACCTCCCCGCCCCCAAGTGCCCCGCTCTCCCCCCGCCCCGCAAACGCGCGTCCTGCGGGCTGTGCTTTGGCCCTCGCGGACGCGCGCGCTCACAGAGGGTCTGACTTGGGGTCAACTTCCACGAGGTTGCCGGGCGCCTGTGAGCACAGCCGTGTCCCCACCCAGGGGCCCACCTCCCAGCGCCACCAGGGTCCCGACCCCCAGACCTTCGGACGCTTCTCTTCCAAACCGAAGCCTGGGAGCCTCTGGGTGGCCTGGGGCGGGGGCAGGGGGCGAGCGGGGCGGGCCAGGAGGAGGGGGCGAGGCCGCCACTCGGCTTCCCACGCCGCCCCCGCGGCTGGCTCCAACTTCCCCTCCGGAGCCCCCCTCCGGCCACCCCCCAGCCCACCGACGTGCGGGCAGCGACCCCGCCCCCCGCCCCTCCGGTCGCCCCCGCCGCGGCCCCCGCCCCCTCCCCATCCCTCCCCGCGCGCTCTCCCACATGAAACCTTCCATCACGCTCAGAAAGAATGTGCTACAACCTCGGCGCTGCCGCGGCCGCCACCACTGCGCCCGCGCCCGAGCCCGAGTCGGAGCCGGAGCCGCCGCTCCCCCGCCTGCCCGGCCAGCCCCGGGCTCCGAGCGCGCGGTCCCCGCCGCCGCCGCCCCGCGCTCGCCCCGCGCTTGACGCAGTGAGCGCCGCAGCCTGGCTCCCGCCGGCTCCGCTGGGCTCCGGGTCGCAGGCCGAGTCCAGCCGGGCGGGCTCCGGGAGGGGCCGGCAGGGCGGGAGGGGGAGGAGGGCTGTCTGGAGCCAGCGAGCCCGGAGGAGGAAGAGGAGGAGGAAGGAGGGGAAGCCGCCGCCGCCGCCGCCGCGCTCGGGGAACCGGGGTGCGCGCGCTCTGCTCGCCCGCGACAGTGCCTCCAGCCCGGGGCCCGCACCCCGGCCCAGGTAAGAAGGGGCCTGAGGGGCAGGGGGCTGTCCGGGGCCGGGGGACCCCTCTGTCGCCGCTGCGGGATCGGAGGGTCCCCGCCCCTAGGGGAGGCAGGGAAGAGGATGCTCTCTGGGGGGGGCGGCGGGGGGCAGCGCAGGGTCCCCAGCGGCTCTCGCAGCCCGGGCCACCCCATCCCTGGTGCCCTGACCTCGGCGTCCGCGCCAGGGCCGAGTCTCCCCGCCCGCGGGGCTCTGGATGCGGCGCTCGGGGCCCGCGGCTCCCGGGCGTCCCCATCCACCCACCCAGGTTCGGAGGCGGGCGCACCCGAAGTTAGCGGCCGCCGAGCCTGGGCCGGACAAACTTCCCTCCCCGACGCCGCGGCTGGAAGGGCCAGGACTCCGGACCCCTAGGGCTAGGGAGGCGCCGCGGGGACCCCGAAACTTTCCGGAGCGCGCTGAGAGCAAAAAGCCGGCTGGGCAGAAAGAGGGGGAGGGGGCTGGGCGCGCCTTCGAGTGCGCTGGGGTAGCCGCGGCGCCCCAAGTTGAACCACAGACGAACCCCTCTTCATCTGAAACCTGGTCTCGGAGTCGGAGGTGGGGAGGGAGTGGGCTGTGGGTGCCTCGACTTCGCAAAGCCGGCGTGGGGGGGCGCAGCGCCCCGCCCCGCGCCGCTTGAACCTCCGGAGGGGGTGTTACGGGACCCCCGCCCCCACCCCAGCCGGTGGCTGGGCTCTGCCGACCGCTGCGGAGCTCCCGGGAAGGACCCGCTCGCGGCTATTAATAGGCGTCGGTGACCCTAGCCTCTCCCGGTCCGGGAAGCTGGCGCGGCGGGGCTGGGCTGGGCTGGGCTGCCGAGTGGGGCGGGACCCCGGGGCCCAGAGCGGACCCCCAGCTCTCCTGGTCCCTCTTCCGCCGCTCTTCCCTCCCTGCCGCCTGCTTTCCTCCCATTTTCCCTCTTCGATCTCGGGGTGTCGGCCCCCCCCCGAACTTTTTCTCTTCCCAAACTGCACGGTGGCCACCCGGTCACGGCCCTGGGCCGTACCCGCGCAATCTCAGCACCATTCCCGACCGAGTCCTCCGCCGCGGGCTGAGCGCGAGTCCCCGGGGCCAGGCTGCCCAGGGAGGAGCAGGGACTTCCTACAATCCGCGCCCTTCCTCCCAACCCACGGCGAGCGCAACACATTCGCCCGCCCCTGCGGCCCCATCTGAGGGCGGGGAGAGGTCGCTGGGGGCAGCTTCGGGGGTTGTGGAGGGCAGGGGGGACCCGCGAAGCTCCTGGAGCGTTTAGGGATGCAGCTCGGGCGGCGTGTGCAGGGAGGAAGCAGCGTCCCGGCGTCCCCCCTTCAGCGTCGCCTTCGCGCGCCTCGAGGGCCCAGGAGGGTTCGGTCTCCCCCACCCCACCTGGACACTCAGGTCTGAGCCTGAGTGGATTTGAGGATCTGGGGGACGGGGAATACGGAGTCCTTCTTCCTGCCTCGGTGTCTGCAGAGCCCAGCCCTCAGGCAGCGTGGGGATCTTTGTCCCCAGGGCCAGCGCCGGCCCCGCCCCCCGCCCCGTTAACTCCGGGACTCCGCCGCCCTCCAGGTTCCAACCTCCCAGCTTCACCGCCGCGTCCTCTCCCCGGTTCTGGGTCTGGGGGAGGGGCAGGGGGCGTGGAGCGCGGCGTTGGGCCCCGGACAGATGTCCTCGCGGCGGCGGCGCCGGCGTCCGGGTAACAGCAGGCCGCCAATCGGCGCGGCCACGGGGGAGGGGCGACCCGGCCGGGACTCCGGGGACTCGGTCGCAGCCGGACGGCGCAGCCTCCGCTCGGGGTGGGGGGGGGGGGCGGCCGCGAGGACTCGACCCCTGCCGTGCAGCCCGGCCTCCAGTCCTCTGCCGTCCCCTCCCCCAGCTCCAGGTTTCGCTCTCTGCTGGGGTCCTGGCTCCTCAGGTTGCGGGATCTCGCCTCCCACGGCCCCGCGCGCGTACCCCTACCCGCCCCTCAAGTTGACCTCTGAGGTTCTCCGTGGATCTCAGACCCCGAGTGACCGCAGAACTGACCTCTGGGGTCAGGCAGTACCGGTCAAGGGCGCTCTGAAGAGGCCCTCGGCCTCAGTTTGCACCCCGAGGAAATGGACTCATCATGCCTGCTCCTGGGAAGTAGCAGGACGTCCTGGCGCGGCTCCTCCGGGCAGGCGCCCAGCACAGCGCAGGGCACACGGGGGACACCTGCGAAGGCAAAGGAGGCTCATTCCAGAGCTTCGGCTGCACTTGGCCAGCACAGGCCTGGGGGAACCTGCTGGAAATGGGGATCCAGTACCTCTCTTGGGGTTTATGTTTGGCAGGCGGAGTGGATAGGCTGGGGCCCGGAGCCCGGTGGTCATCTTCTGCACAAGGCTGGCCAGGCCAGAAGCTGGAGGGTAGCTTACTGGGACCTTCCAAGCGTGACCAAGGAAGCTCTGGGGGCCGACCAGCTTCTCCCTAGTGGAGCTGCAGCTGGGGAGACCTCACAGACAGGCAGGGAGGAGAGGGTGCCCCGCTCACCGCCGGCCTCGTTCCACAGGCCCAGGCCTGGCACATCCCAGGCTTGCAGTATCTATCTGGTGGGTAAACAAGGACCTGCTCTTGGCCTGCGGCCTGGCTCTGACCGTGGTCCAGGTCGGGGCAGAGGGAGAAAGGCCACAGCTTAGGTGTTCCAAACCACCGGTGCCCTTCCTGCCGGCCCCTGGGGCTGTGCTGGGTTTCCAGGGCCCCTGCCCCCCAGTATTTGCATGAAATCGTGGGGGCGCACTGGCTTTCGTCCTAGCACTCCCCTTCAAGGCTCTGCACCCCTATCACGGGAGCCCCACCCAGCCAGCCGAAGGAGGCCACAAGCTCTAAATTACTAAATTCGGGCCAGTGCTGGGGGCCTGGGAGCCAAGGCAGCTCAGAGCCCACTCTCCGATTCTGGCTCCTGGAGAACCCTAGGACCCGGGCGTGTCAGGCCCTGCAGCCGGGCTAGGCCGGTCCATACAGGACTGAACGGCGTCGTGGGCGTTCATTCACATTCCCTCTCCGGTCCCCACACACTATAGGATTTATCTTGATTTGCTGCCTTTGAATTGAGTCAACTCTTTTGTATGCTCGTTGAATTGCCCAGCTGCTGGCGGCGAGCGGAGAGCGTGCCGGGGGTACTGAGGCCGGGAACCAGAGGCGGGCGGGGGACAGGAAGCGGGGAGGGGGCGCCGGCGGGGACGCGCGGGCTGCGCGGGGACTGGAGAGGGTCCCCAGGCGCCGGCCGTTCTGCGAACGCGGGCTTGTCCAGGCACCGCCGGGGCCTGCCCGGCCCGAGCGTGGAGTCCCGAGGCTCCTGCCGGGGGTCCAGGCTGCCCCTGGGGCTCTGCCTTCGACGCGCTGTGTAGGGCCAGATTCTGGGCCTCTCTTGACTCAGTTTCCCTTCCTGTAACATGCGGACGGGGGCTTCCGCACAGGCAGGTTGTCAGGGTGAAACTGAGCCGAAGAGTGCTCCAGAACCCCCTGAAGTCCTCACAGAGGTTGGGGTGAATGAAGGAAGGAAGCGGGGCCAGGGCTGGGCAGAGGAGGCCCGGCCTGCGCCCTGCGTTCTCCGCCCCTAGGTCCCTGCCCTCCCGGATAAGGGGCGGACCGACGGGAGGACCTGAGAACGCCTTGGCTTTGCTTGAGGTGGTGGGAGTCGCGGGTAGCTTGTTCAGCCAACAGCTGTCGCCCCCACTCCCCCCACCCACCCACCCACCCCCTCCACCTTTTAGATGTGGGCGGGGAGGGCCGGGGACGGACCGCGAGGACGCCCCCTGCGCTTTCTAGGACCTCCCCTCCTTCCCCAGCCCCTGCGCGTCGCCGGGAGAGGGAAGGAGCGGGTTGCCGCGGGGAGCCGAGGAGAGCAGGGGGCTCGGGAGGCCAGGGAGAGAAGGGGAGGGCCAGAGGCTCCGAGCCGGACTCGCGGCGGAGGAAGAGGGGGTGGAAGGGAGCGCGCAGGCGGGCGAGGGAGCGAGGGAGGGAGAGAAGGAGGGAGGGAGGGAGGGAAGGGGGGCGGGAGGGGGCAGGGCGAGCTTGAATTCCCCCCCGGCCGCGCGGCGAGGGGCGGGGCCGCGCGCGCAGATCGATGGGCGAAGCTGGGGAGGAATTTCAATCCCGGGAGCGAAGTTAGAGCTTGAAGGACGGCGGCGGCTGCGGGCGCAGCCCCGGAACCGAGGCCGGGCGGGCAGGTAAGCGGCGAGCGCGGCCGGGCGCTGAACCTGGGGGACTTGGGACCCGGACCACCCCCGGGGAGCGGCGCGGCCAAGCCCCCCGCCACCTCGAACCCCGGGCGTCCCCGAGTGCGCAGCGTGCGCCCCCAGCCCCTGCTGCGCCCCCAGGCCTGGCGCGCGATCCGAGCGCAGCGGGCAAAGTTGGAGGAACTTGGCGGCGGCGGAGCGGGCGCAGGCTCAGCCCGACAAAGCCCGGGGGCCCGGGTCGGGGTCGCTGCCGCAGCCCGCACGCTGCCCCGTGCCTCCGAGAGGTCCCTTCCCCAGCGCCTCTCTCCCTTCCGTCCCCCTTCGCCGTCCGCACCCTGCCCGGCGCCCCCCAGACGCGGCCCCCTGCCCTTCCCTTCCCGGAAATTAGGGGGCTGTCCTCACCTCCTGGCCGAGTCGCTGACCCCTCCCCAGGCTCGCATCGCCCTCCCTGCTGGGCCGCCCTCCCCCCGACGCTGCGAGCCTCCTCGCTCCGCGCGGGGACCGTCCAGTCACGCACGGGGAGGGGTCACATTCCTCGGTCCCAGCCCCTGAGTCCAACCACTGGCGGGGGGGTGGGGTGGGGGGCTTCGCTCCGAACTGAACTTACTGGGTGCTTTCCACCCCTCGCCCCACCTGGAGTCCATCCTCGTCCTCGTCCCTCTGGGGGCTGGGAGGAGGCTGCCAAGCCTCCGTGCCCCAACCTGCCTCTAAAGACAAGCGCCCCCATTTCCATCCTTTGAAACCTGCAGGTCACCTGCTTGATGCTGAGGGTGGGGCGGGGGGCACTGCCTGCCGTACCGCACACCGCCCCCCCCCCCATAAAAACGACACCCTCTGAGATGAAAATCCGGCTTTTCCAGGTCTCAGCTGTGTGACCTTGGGGCAGGTGAATCTCAGAGCCTCAGTTTCCACACCTGTGAAATGGGGCTAGGATGATCATGCCTTCTGAAAAAAACGAAGGCTTAGCAGAAAGGGTCGAGGCCGGCCGAGCCAGGTGTGCACGTCCTCAAAAAGCCTCCGTGCCAGCACTTTCCCTTCCTGCACACCCGGAGTGGGGCCTCTTTGGACCCTGGCTTGGGCTGGCTGCCTCTGCCGCTCATTCCCTCGATTGGGCTAAGGGCTGTGCGGAGAGCCTGGGGACAGAAGCTGTGGAGGGACCGGGAGCCAGGAGCAGATGTAAATGGCAAATCTCCCCATATTGCCTCTCTCAGGGGCTGCCCCCTAGAGAGGCCCCCAGCCTCCAAAGAGGTCCAGCTTGCACCCAGCCTTGGGGGAAACCCCATTGGGTTGGGCATAGGTTGCTTGAAAAGCATCAACATGCTCCTCTTCTCTGCCTGGCTGGCCCCCTGGCCTCCTGCCCCCTGGGTCCCTGCCCCTGCCACCTTTTAATTGAACAAGCATTGAGAAGACTGGCTTACAGGTCCCAGCCCAGGTTTGCGCCCCACTCCACCAAAGCAGGGGGACAAACTCCAGGGGGCCGTGTGTGGGAGGGGGTCACCCCCTCACCTGGATTTGAGGGGGTTTGGAGCCCAGCCAGGACCCCAGCACTTGGGTCCCTCATTTTCCTGGGCATACGGTGGTCAGGGAGTTCTGATCCCCACCCCTAGTGGGCAGAAGACCTGGGGGTCTCCAAGTCAGAGATTGGGGGCCATGCCCCTCCCCCTGTCCTACAGCCAGCTGTGCAGCCCCCTCCTCCTCGGCCGCAGCAGGACTGCTGTGTGCGTATAATTCAGGATGATACAGCAGGCTCGGCAGGCAGCTCCCGACTCCCAGAAAAGCCAGTGGGCACCTGAACCAGAGCCACACTCCTGAGGCCTGGTAAGTCTGGGGTAAGGGTGCAGGGATGTGGTGGGCACCTGCACCCAGGACCAGAGGAGGGGAGGGAGGGCGGCGTCCCTTCCCCACCATGCCCCAGGACTGCCACTGGAAAGCACTGATTTTTCAAAGTGTCTTTGGAGGCAGGCTCCCCACACCTGGGCCAGGGAGAGGCTGCTGCTCCTCCACCTCCCTACCACGGTCCCCACCAAGAAACAGGTGTCCGGGGTCCCAGCAAGCGCCCAGGGCCAGAGCCTGGAGTAGTTGCCTGTCTCGGACCCCGGCATTTGAATATTTTCACCCTAAATGTATACTTGTAGGCTTCACCTGCTCTCCAGGAGAGAAAAATTAATGGGACTAAAATATGACCACAGTGCCTGAGATCAATGGGGTAAAATCGGAGTGGCTGCCTGGGTCCCATGTTGGTGACTTTCTCTATCTGTTTCCAACACACACGCATCAGCTCTAGATTTTGATAGAATTTTCTAAGCACTCAGGAAAGCCTCCTTCTAAGGTCCCCCTGAGGTCAGAGCCCCCACCCCAGGATCCCTTCCCCCCCGACAAGCCAATTCCCCATTTTGGTAGGGGACTGTGTTTCTCCGTGCCAGACTCAGACACCATCGCATTGGAGGAAATTTATGAGCAGAGGTGCATGGACTTGGGGTGTTCATATATCTTCACAAGAAAGAAACAGGCAGGCCCTCGAGATGCCCGGGTGGGTGGTGCATAAATACACGAGGGGGCCGGTGGCGGGGCGGGGGGCAGGATTAAAAATGCAAGTGAGTGACAGGCGAGAGATAGATAGATCTCCAGGGCTGGGTGATGAGGCCATAAATTTCCAGGCGTGAACCTGGAGCGGATGGTGGCACCGCCGCGGACATTGGATACATTTGTCATCTCTCCAGCGCCCCCCCCCGCTCTTTCCTTTTTGTTTTTGTTGTGGATTTGGTTTCTTCCAGCACAAGCTCAGGTGTCAAGTGGCCTTGGGTGGGTGTTTGTGGGGGTGGCTGGTGGTGGAGCCACTGCAGTGGACGATGGCGCCATCCATTCCAGCACCAGCTGTACAGATGGGGAGACTGAGGCCCGGATTGGGGTGGGGCCGGAGAGGGTGGTGGAGGGGTCCTATGTCTGGCGTCTGTGTCCTGTTGTGTTGGTTCAGGTCAGGGGATTCCAGCAGGGTGGGAGGCCTTGGTCGTTGGGGGCTGCTGCCTCCCTTCACCCCTGTGCACCCTGAGCCAGTCAGTGGCACCGACAGTAAACAGGAAGCAGGGTGGCAGCTATGGGCACTCGAGCCCAGCACCGTGCCCCCCCTCCCCGCCCCCTGCCCCGGATGTCCCTTTCCCAAGGCTGGTGGATTGAGACCTGGTTCTGTCCCACCTCTTCCAGCCTCCTGGGGAGGGAGGGCGGGAGGTGAGAGACCACCCTGGGAGCGCTGATGGCAGACAAGGGCCAACTGTGTGCCCTACCTGGAGCCTGGGACAAAGCCCAGAGGAGCCTGGCTGCCTTGGAGCTGGCATCCCCAGATGGAAAGACAATGGTCTCACAAATAAATGTGCCTCCTTTCCCTCGGAGATCAGCCGGTCCAGCCCCTGAAGATGGTCCAGCCGGTCCATTTTCCAGAAGGGTCCAGCATCGCCCGAGGTCACACAGCAAGTAAGCTGGAGCTGTGGCTGGACCAGGCCTCCACACCTGTAGAGCTGTCCTGGGGCAGCTGGGGTCTTGGTCTTGGAGAAGAGCTGGAACCCAGGCTGAGGCAGGAGGGGGTCCAGCAGGGCTTGAGGGACCTTCAGAGGGGAGGCAGAGAGGACGACTACTCCGCTCCCTGCTCCAGGCCACGGGGGTACACAGGAGCTGGTGGGGAAACTGAGTCAGGCGGCGAGGACCACTGCTCTGCTCCCTGCTCCGGGCCGTGAGGGGTGCACAGGAGCCAGTGGGGAAACTGAGTCAGGCAGAGAGGACCACTCCTCTGCTCCCTGCTCTGGGCCATGAGGGGTGCCCAGGAGCCGGTGGGGAAACTGAGGCAGAGAGGACCACTCCTCCGCTCCCTGCTCCGGGCCATGGGGGTGCACAGGAGCCAGTGGGGAAACTGAGCCATGGAGGCTGGTCCACACAGCTCTTCCCCACCCACATGGCTAGGACTCCTGGGGCTGTTCTGTGGTGGGAGACCCTGGAGTCTCAGGATCTCGGTTACTCAGCCCCGGTTGCCTCCCTTCTGCCCAGCAGTTAGTTCCTCAGGACTCACGGCTTCCAGGCTCCCCTCGCCTGTGAGCCGGACCCAAGCTCCTCTTTGGGGCTGAGGAGGAGGGGTCTAGCTGGCCCCTATAGGGTGGGCAGAGTTTAGATAACCCCACAGGAAGAGGCAGGCATCCAGGCAGGAGAGGCAGCGGAAGGGAAGGTGTGAGGCCCCCAGAGCAGTGAGGGGGGTGGGGAGAGGGGCCATGACAGTGGACGGTGACCCCCCCGCCCTCGACGTCTGCCCTAATGTCTTCCTCTGCCAGTTCCAGGACAGACTCGGGCAGCCACAGTGGGAGAGACTGGTGGAAGGGACAGGGCCTTGCCTCCCTGTGTGTTGTGCCCAGTGCCCCCACATGAGGCTGGGGTATATTGGAAAACTGCACTCTGGGCTTCCGAGGGAGGGATGGGGACAGAGGAGGCACAGCCGGGCGGGAAACATCCTTCGGCCCGGGCCAGCCCAGCCATCACCAGGTCCACTGTGTTTGCTAGAGCCCCCAATTCAATCTCTGAATTTTAAAGATAGGGACACTGAGGCGCAGACAGGGCAGTGGCCGCAAGCCACTGAGGCTTGCAGGCAGTGGTATCTGGGCTCAGCCCTGCTCCCATGCTGGGCTCCCCACACCTCATATCCGGGCTCAGCTGGGAGAGTGCCCTGGCCTTACCGACGGGGACCCGGCAGCCCACGGCGTGGAGGTGAACCAGCTTGTCTGGGAAGCCACATTCCACCCCTGTGCACCCCCAGGCCCTCTGTGGCCCACTACCCCCTCTAGGACCCCACCCCACAGAAGCGCATCTCTCTGCTGTCCGCCCCACTCCAGTGGTAACTTCTGTCAGAGGGCTTGTCACAGAGTGCTGACCGCGCTGAGAGCTTCTCACCAGCGCTGGACATGTGGCCAGGTGGCGGCCGAGGGCTCGGGGGCGGGGGTCTGTCCACGTGACAGGTGCACACCCCGGCATTGCTGCCCTGACATTTGGAGGCTGTTGGGTTGGGTCCAGGCGGAATCCTTCCTGGGATGGAAACCCCGGGAGATGATTGACAGCCTGGAGGCTCCCCCGTGTTTACCGACAGATCCGAGTCTTATTTTCAGCAGGATCAAACTCAGGCACCTCTTAGTCATTAACTCTCTCTAGTTTAATAAACACAGATACAAACACAGCCAGCCATGTGCCCGCCCCACATGGATGAGAATCCCGCCCGGCTTCCTGGGGCCGAGGAGCGGGGTCTGGAAATGGGGGGGCCGTCGGGGGGCTCCCCAGACCCTCGGCCGGTGCGCAGGAGGCCCTGCAGGGAGAGGGCTTTGCAGAGCACACAGTGAGGCGTCGCTGGCCCGGAGGGACGAGTCAAGGACAGCTGTGTGCCTTCACAGTCCCGCGCTGTCGAGACACAGCCCGAAGTAGTGGCTGGGAAGGTGTCCCGGAGATACCCACAGCACAGCTGCCCCGCCAGGGCTGCATGAAGGGTTGGCCAGCGCTTGGCTCCCTCACTGCCATCTCGACCTCCACGGCCTCCCTAGAAGCCCAAGGGGCTGGGGACCCTCAGGATGTGTCTCCTGGGCGTGGACTCTGGGCTGTGCTGTGGCTCCTGCCTGGCCCCCGCACTGGTCAGAGTGCTGACCGAGGGAGGCTGCCTGGGAGGGGGACTGGGATGCTTCCCGGACATGTCTGGAAAGGTGGCAGCTGGTTCCTAGACCAGATCCCAAGGGAGATGGCATTAGCCAAGTGCCTACCTCTGCCTAAAGGGTGCTGGTAGTGGCTCCAGGGCACCCTGGAGAGGAACCCCCAGTCTGTTGTCTCCCTGCCTGAGGGGAGCCTGCACTGAGGCCTCTGCCCTCCTCACTGACAGACTGCCCCTGTGTCTGTTTGCCCCGTGGAAGCTGTGGAAGGGCCCGGCCTCTGCCCTCTTCACTGAGGGACCACCCCTGCATCTATCTGTCCTGTGGAATGGTGGAAGGGCTTGGCTGCAGATCATGGGGTGGCCCGGGCTGGGGAGCCTCTGGTGTTCGGCGTGACCTGAGGTGGGTCCCTTCCCTTCCCGGAGCCTCGGCCTCTCCTCCGTCATGTGAGGACGGGGGTGGATGGATGGCTGTGGGGAGTGTAAATGGCTGACACCAGTTCTGGAAAGGGCAGAGCCGCCACTGCTGGCAGAATCCCCCGCCCTTCTGACTTGCCCTGCATGGCCCTCAGACCTGCAGCCCTGGAACCTGGATGGGGCGCAGGTTCGGTCCCTGCGTCCCTCTGTGCCCTGCTGTGCAAAGAGACAGGGAAGGAGGATGCTGGGGAAGGGAGAGCAGGTGTAATGGCCCCGCAGCCGAGACACGCTTCGTGTGGGTGAAGGGCAAGGCCAGTGCAGCTGGCCGTGGGGGCTGAGAGGTGAGCGGGAGAGGCCCCAGGGTCCGGGCTGCTCCTGTGTCGGAGCTCTTGGGAAGAGTTGGTTGGTACTCGGATTGCTTCGGGAAGTCTCTGGGGAGTTTGCAGCAGCTGAGAGACAAGGCTGGCTTTAAAGCATCCCTCTGATGTCGACGGAGAAAGGGTTTTTAAGGGCACACGAGGGAATGAGCCACCCAGGGGACTGCCGACGTCTGAAAGCCATGAGGGTAGCCCGTACTGGGTGCCGACGCTGGCAGCGGAGAGACAGAGAGGATGTAACTTCTGTTTTGACAGTGCTTAGAAATTGGAGCTACATTCCTATAGAGAAAAATATTCTGTAAGGCAAAACCCATTTTCCTATTTATATTCATTAGGAAATGAGGGAGGCCGTCCTGTGGAGAGGAAGGTTGTGCGAAGCAAGTCCTGCTTCCCTTTGACAGCCATTAGCATTTCAGAGCTGTGTTCTTGGGGAGATGAACCCCCCAGAATGGATTGGTATGAAACAGTGGGGTCATCTTGGCACAGAACCCCTCAGGGTGCCCACAGAAGTGGGGCTCAGGGCCCATTCCTCAGGTATCCGGCACCCCGGCTTCCTCCAGGAGACGGGATTCTCAGATCTTCATTTGCGTGTGGCTCTGGGTGCAGATGGGTGTCCAAGTGAATATGGGAGCAGGCACGCATGTTCACGTGTGTGCGTGTAGATTACCACTTGTGTGAACAGAGGACTGTGCAGGGGTGTGTGTAGGTTCGCGGGTGTGTGCATGTAGATTCGTGTCTGAATATGGGAGTGTGCACACACGTGCATGAACTCACGTGTGTGTAGATTAGTGTCTGCGTGAATAGAGGTGTGTGCACACCCTCCTGGCCCCCCCACCCCTTTCCCCTCTTGGACACCACAGTGGGCAGCCGATGTGGGTTCATGAATGATCGTGGCTCTGATGTGAAATTCCTTCCGTCTGAGGGTTAGGTTCTGTAAAATGAATTTGTTGTCTGCTTTTTCTTTTTTTTTGCAAATTCAGTCGAGCGGATGGAGGCTCTGAGATGCAGGGAGCGTGTGGAGCTCCCGCGGGTTCCTGGTGGGTCTGGGAGCGGCCGGCTCCCCTGTCCTTGGGGTAGGCAGGGAGGGACGTCAGGAAGAGAGTCAGGCCCCTGAGGTGTTTGCTGTCTGACAGACATCCGGGCTTATTTTTGTTCCTTCATTACATTGTCCCCACAGAGCAAGAGCATGCTACATCTGAGGGCTGTGAGTCCCCAGAGACAGCTTTTCAGAGAAACAACTCACCAGAAATCCAGTGTTCCCGCACCCGAATCCACACCAGTCAGGGACCGAGGGGACTCAGCTGAATGGGCAGCTCCCAGCCCTGGGCGCCTGTGCCCTCACCATGCACAGTGTGTGTGCCACCGTGCTCCCACACACACTGGGGAGGCATGCACAGGGGTGCACAGGCACAGGTGCACGCACACACACACCATGGGGTCCTGGAGTGCAGCCTGTGCCAACATGGGACTTCAGCTCCCATCCTGCCACGACCACCCAGGGCACCTGAGCCTCACACCCCATACCTGGGCTCAGAGCAGCTCTCCCGCCCCACCCTGCGGCCCTGCATGTCAGTTGTGGGTAAGGCCCGCGCCACTGGGAATCTTCACACAGCCCGGAGGGAGGTGCTGTGTGCCCATTTCACAGACCAGAAGGCCGAGGCATGGAGTGGGGAAGTAACATGGTCCAGGCTCACGGCTCACATGTGCCAGAACCCAGCATAGCCTGTCTGGGACACCCTTGGGCCCCCACCCCACATTTTACAGAAAGGTCTGTAAACAGCCTCAGCACCTCCCATGGTGCCCAGACTTCCCCCAAGCCTCCTCTGGTGTCCTCTTCCTGCACCCACCACCAGCCTCAGCCCTGCTGCCCTTGCCTGGCCCCAGCGGTCGTGGGTGTGGACCCTGAGCCTCGGCTCTCACTTTGCCCTCTGTCTGCCCACGTGGGTGCCAGAGCATCCCCCATCTCTGCGACAGTCTTGGTGACTACCCGGCTTAGCGAGTGAGGGAATATTTGGCACAGCAGCGAAATCGGGAGTGTGGGGTGCGGGCATCGCGTGGACACGCTGTGAACTGGGATTTGGAGCACGGGTGATGCCAGAGTGGGTGATGTCAGGGGCTGGCCTGTGCTCCCAGGAGTGCTCACCCCGAGGAACTGGCCTTGGGTGGCAGAGGAGAGGAGAGGCCTGGGGACCCTGACCCTCATCTCCCATCACCTCCGCTGGGCTGCGTGACCCTGAGTTACACACTAATGATTATGCCCGTCTTGCAGGGATGTTGGCACCTACTCAGCTAGAGCCCACCCCCCACATACACACACACGCGTGCGCGCACACACACACGCGTGCACACACGTACGCGCGCACACACACACACACACAACTGCGCATGGCTCCCATTTGACAAAAGAGCAGCCAGGGCTCTGTACCCTGCCAGGGTCTAGCTGGTGACCAGGGCTGGGCGGGAGGGCCATAGCTACAGCCCAGGCCTGGGTCCATTGTGCTGGCATTATCACGGCTGCACATCCCCCTCCCTGCAGGAGGCTCTGGGACCTCCCCAAGCCTGGGGGTGCCTGGCCTGACCATCTGGGCCGTGGGCAGGGAACTCTGGGCCTGGGGCCAGGAGGACAGTCCCGGGGCCTGCTCTGGGGTCCCCTGCAGGTTGCTGGCTGAGGGAACCCACAGGAACGTTCCCTGGAGGTTCAGGCAGGAGGGGAAACTGAGGCCCAGGCTGCTGCCTCAGCCCCGTCCCTACCGAGCTCTCCCGGGGAGGATGTGGGGAGGGGAACCGAGGGTTCCTGCAAGCCTCATGTTCGCACCTGTGCACTGGAGCTGCTAACTCCTGTCTGCTGGGGTGAGTCCCACCAAGCGGGGTGGCATTTGTGGGGCGTTGGCACAGCCTGGATGCCATGGTGCTCAGAATGAGGGTCCCTTCCCCCTGCCCCCTGGCCACACTCCAACAGTGGCTCCCTCCTGTGACTCTGCCCCTGTCCTTGGCCATTGCGGGCGTGGTGTCCCCAGTCCTCTGAAAGCCCCATTGTGCAGGGTCACCTTTGCCTTGTCCTGTCCACCACAGGGCCCTGGCACCCAGATCACCATCCTCGAGGAAAGGAGAGGGCAGGGACAGAGATGGAACGGGGAGCAGAAGGGGGCGCGTGTGCCCCTGAGCGCTCCTGTGTGCAGGTGCACAGTTCATTAAACATGACCATGAAGTCGGGACATGGGAGTTACGCATTAGAAGTGTTCATTCACTGATTCATTCATTCATTCACCTACCCAGTGGACATTCTCCGATGCTGGGCTCCGTGGTCTGGATACGAAAGCAAAACAGGTGTTATCCTGGGAGTAGCCTGGGCTTGCCTTGGGCACTCTGGCTCATTCTGACCCGGTCCGTGGGCCCAGGGCAGTGCTGGAACACCCCTTGGAGGAGTGCCCAAGGCAGATCACGTAGGGGAACAAATTGTGTGTTTGATTTTTGGGAAGGTACCCCAAGGTCACGGGGAGATCCTTCTGTTTTGAGTGGAAACCAAGTGTGGCAGGATGGTCAAGACGTGGATGGTCTGGGGTCTGGTAAAGTCATTCTGGTTCTCACCACCCTCGGGACAAGAATCTGATCACCTGGGGGACGATGCTGAAAGGGGCAGCGGCTGTGCTGCGCTTGTTTCCCTTGCGTGAGCTTGCTTCTTTTTTCTTCCTGAGCAGCTTTACAGAGGCATCCTGTGCGCCGACACCGTCACCGTGCCTTCCACTCTCCATCTGCAAGCCCATTGCAAGGGCACCAGGCAGTGGTTTTCATGCATTCATAGAGTTGCACAACCATAACTACATACCAGCTATAAAACATTTTCATGCCCAACTGTAGTCAGCACCCCCTACCCCACCCCCAGGCACTGATCTGCACCCTGTCTCTGTGGATTTACAATTTTTTTTTTTTTTTTTTTTTTGAGACTGAATCTCACTCTGTTGCCTAGGCTGGAGTGCAGTGGTGCGTTCTCGGCTCACAGCAGCCTCCGCCTCCTGGATTCAGATGATTCTTCTGCCTCAGCCTCCTGAGTAGCTGGGATTACAGGCGCCCACCACCATGCCTGGATAGTTTTTGTATTTTTAGTAAAGACAGGGTTTCACCATGTTGACCAGGCTGGTCTCGAACTCCTGACCTCAGGTGATCCACACCCCTCAGCCTCCCAAAGTGCTGGGATTACAGGCGTGAGCCACTGCGCCCAGCCTGTGGATTTACATTTAATGGACATTTCACATCAATGGGATCCTGCATCCTGCAATATGCAGTCTTCTGTGGCTGGATTCTAACACTTAGTGTCATATTTTTGAGGTTCAGTCATCTTATAGACTGTGTCAGTAGTTGTTGGTTTTTATTGCTGAATAGTATTCTATTGTATTGCTAGACCGTTTTACTTATCCATTATCCAAAACACATGCAGAGCATGTGTGTCCAGCGTGGGGCCATTATGAATCATGCCGCTGTGAACATTCGTGCACAAACTGGGCAGCTTCCTGGAAGGAGAGTTCATCTGGTCAGTTCATATTGTAAAATTCTTTTTTTTCTTGAGATGGAGTCTCACTCTGTCACCCAGGCTGGAGTGCACTGGCTTAATCTTGGCTCACTGCAACCTCTGCCTCCCAGGCTCAAGTGATTCTCCTGCCTCAGCCTCCCAAGTAGCTGGGATTACAGGCACGCACCACCATGCCCAGCTGATTTTTGTATTTTTTAGTAGAGACTGGGTCTCGCCATGTTGGCCAGGTTGGTCTTGAACTCCTGACCTCAAGTGATCCACCCACCTCGGCCTCCCAAAGTGTGTGCCACTGTGCCCGGCCATATTTAAATTCTTAACAAGCTGCCCAACAGTTTTCCAAACTGGCCGGACCATGTTACATTCCCACCAGCAACACGTGAGGGTTCCAGCCCCTGCGTGTCTCTCACCACCTGCTATTGTCGGTCTTTTTATTACAGATCTTCAGGCGGATGTGTAATGGTGTCCCATGTGGTTTAAATTTGCATTTTCCGAATGACCGATGAAGTTGAACATCTTTTCATGTGCTCATTAGGCATTCATATTTCTTCTTTGATAAAATGTCTATTCAAATCTCTTGCCCATATTTAATGGATTTGTCTTATTATTGAGTTTCAAAATTATTCAGAATTATTGTGAGTTCTGTATATGTTCTGGATACAAGTCCTTTATCAGAAATGTAATTTCTGATCTCTTATCCCACTCTGGAGCTTGTCTTTCATTTTCTTAATGGTATCTTTTTGGAGCACAGACATTTTTTAACTTATTATAAAGTCCAATTTATCATTTTTTTTCTTTTATGGAGCATGTTTTGGGTGTCATATTTAGGAATCGTTTGCCTAACCCAAGGTCACAAAGATTTCTTCCGTTTTCTTCTAGGACGTTTATAGCCTTAGCTCTTGCACTTAGGCCTATTGTCCAATTTTAGCTAACGTCTGTATGGTGTGTGAGTGTCAGAGCTTGTTTTGCTGTATACATGTTTTTGAAAAAGACTATCTTTTCTGCACTACATCTTATTGGAATCATAAATGGAAAAGTTTATTTCTGGACTCTCAATTCTATTCCATTTGAAGTATATGCCTATTTTTATTTTATTTTATTTTTTTTATTTTCAGAGACAGGGTCTTACTCTGTTTCCCAGGCTGGAGTGCAGCGGTATGATCACAGCTCACTGAAGCCTCGAATTCCTGGGCTCAAGTGATCTCCTCACCACAGCCTCCCAAGTGTTTGGGACTACAGGCGTGTGCCATCATGCCAGGATAAATTTTTTTTTTTTTTTTTTGTAGAGACAAGGTTTTCTGTGTTACTGAGGCTGGTCTTGAACTCCTCTCCTCAAATGATCTTCCCATCTTGGCCTCTTGGAGCACTTTTATTTCTTTTTCTTGCCTTATTGCACTAACTGGAACTTTCAGAATAATCTTGAATAGCAGAGGTGCTTTGTTCTTGGCCTTAGAGGAAAAGCATTCAGTCTTTCACCATATGATGGGAACTGTGGGGTTTCATAGATGGTCTTTATCAGGTTGAGAAGTTCTCTGCCATTTTTAGTTTATTGAGAGTTTTTCTGTGAATGGGTGTTGGATTTTGTCAAATTATTTTTCTATATCTATTAAGGGGATCAAAATTAGTGATTTTCAGATGCTAAACCAACCTTGCATTCCTGGGGAAAATTCTACCTATATTTATATGTTGTTGGTTTTGGTTTGCTGATATTTTAAGGATTTTTGAATCTTCTGCTTATGAGGTTTAAAGGTCTGTTATTTTCTGTGATGTTTTTGGTTTTGGTATCAGGGAAAATATTGCTCTCACAGAATAAGTGGAGAAGTTTTTCTCCTTTTTTTTTTTGAATGAGTTTGTGAAGTTTTGATATTATTTCTTTAAATATTTGACAAAACTTACCACTAAAGTCATAGGGGCCTGGGCTTTTCTTCGTGGGAAGATTTCAAATTAATCAGTTTGTTTGTTTTTTAACTTGTTATGTCTTAGTTTAGTTTTTTTTGTTTTTGTTTTACTGGTTACAAGTCTGTTCAGATTTTCTATTCTCACTAAACCAGTTTTGATAATTTGTGTCTTTTTAGGAATTTGTTCACTTCATCTAAATTAGGTCTAATCTGTTGGTGTAAAGTTGTTCATAATATTCCTTTATATTTCCACATACATTTGAAAACATTGTGTGGTCTTTTGGGTGGAATGTTCTATAAATGTCAGTTAGGTCAAGTTGGCGGTAATATTCAAGTCTTCTCTGTCCTTGCTGGTTTTCTGTCTAGTTGTTCTATCAGTTATTGAGAGGGAGTGGAGTATTGAAATCCCCAACTATTTTTGTTGATTTGTCTATTTCTCCTTTTAATTCTGCCAATTTTTGCTTCATGTATTTTGGGACTTTGTTGTTATGAGGATATTTATTTATAACTGTTACATATTCCTGAGATACTGACATATTTATCATTATGAAACCTTCCTCTTTGTCTTTGACAATATTTCTTGTCTTAAAGTCTATTTTATCTGACATTAATTTACCTACTCCAGGTTGGGTGTGGTGGCTCATGCCTGTAATCCCAGCACTTTGGGAGGCCAAGGCAGGAGGATTGCTTGTGCCCAGGAGTTTGAGACCACCCTGGGAAGCATAGGGAGACCCTGTCTCTACAAAAAAATTTTTAAATTAGCTGGGCATGGTTGTGCACACCTGTAGTCCTAGCTGCTTGAGAGGCTGAGGAGGGAGGGTCACTTGAGTGTGGGAGGTTGAGGCTGCAGAAAGCTAAGATTACACCACTGTACTCCAGCCTGGGTGACAGAATGAGACCCTGTCTCCCCAAAAAAATTTTTTACCTACTCCAGTTCTGTTATGGCTAATATTTGCATGTATATATTTTCCTAGCTTTGTTATGGTTACTGTTTGCATGTATATCTTTTTCGATCCTTTTATTTTCAACATATTTGTATATTTGAACTAAAATGTACCCCTTCTAGACAGTATATATTTGGGTTGTTTCCACACTTTGAATATGTCATTCCACCACCTTCTTCCCCCCATAATTTTTGATGAGAAATCAGCCATTGATCATATTGCTGTCCAGTCTGACAATCTCTGCTTTTTATTTGGTCTGTTTAGTCCATTCACACTTAATGCAATTTTTTTATTTCTTATGGTCGCTGTTTTCTTCATTGTTTTCCATGTCTCATGTCTTTACCCATTCTTTTCTCCTGTGCTGCCTTCTTTTGAGCTAGGTAAATACTTTTCATGTGCCATTTTAATTCCTCTGTTAATTTTTAAACTAATTTTTAGAGTTATTTTCTTATTGGTTGCCTTAGGGACTACAGTATGCATACCAACTTATTACCATCTATTTTTCATTAATACTAACAATTATGGTAAAATATAGAAACTTTACTCCAACATAGCTCAATTTTCTTCTCCCTGTTTTGTACTATTATTATCATATATTTCATTAATATATGTTGACGTATGTTATAACATATAACAATATAGTGTTAAAAATATTGCTTTATACAATCTTATGTTTTTAAAAGAAGTTAAGGGAAGGAAAGAGAAAGTAATACATTTATAGAGCTTTTTATATTCGTCTATGTATTTACCATTTCTGGTACTCTTCATTTCTTTCTGTGAATTTGAATTACCATCTGACATTTCCTTTCAGCCTAAAGGACTTCTCTTGGTATTTCTTCTAAATAAGCTGTACTAGCCCCAGATTCTTTCAGTTTCTCTTGATCTGTAATGTTTTTAGTTTGCTTTCATTCTTGGCTAACAAATTTTTTTTTGTTTTCATATTTTGAATATGCCATTCCACCACCTTCTTTCCTCCATAGTTTCTGATGAGAAATCAGCCATTTATCATATTGCTGTTACTCTGGACACTGTGAATCAATTTTCTCCTGCTCCTTTATTTGTCTTTCAACAGTTTGGCTATGATGTGTCCAGGTTTGGATTTTTCTTGTGTTCATCTTATTTGGTGTTTGTTGATCTTCTTGAATCTGTAGATTAATGCTTTTCATCAAATTTGGGAAATTTTCAGCTATTATTTCTTCAAATCTTATTCCTGTGTCTTTCTCTCTCTCCTGTTCTCTTGAGACTCCCATCACCACATATGCTAGTGCACTTGATGTCTCATGTATGTCAGAGGCACAGTTTATTTTTCTGTTCAGTTTTTTCTCTGTGTTCTTTAGATTGAATACTTCTATTGATTGATCTTCAAGCACACTAATTTTTTTTTGCCATCTTGCAAGCCCTCATGTAATGAATTTTTCATTTCCGCAGTCATACTTTTTAATTCTAAATTTTCCATTTTTTAAATAATTTCTGTCTCTTCATTGAGGTTTTGTGTTTTGAGTCACTATTATTATCCTTTTCTTCAATTCTTTACACATAGTTGTCTTTATTTCTTTGACTGCATTTATATTATATAATATATAAACCGTTGAAAGATTTATATTATATAATATATAAACTGTTGAAAGATAATATATAAACCATCTTTATGTCTTTGAATGTATTTATATTATATAATATATAAACCATTGAAAGATATTTATATTATAGTTTATCTTTCAACGGTTTATATAAGTATTAAAATATATATATTAAATTATATATAGTTATATTATACAAATATATAATATAAATATATATTTATATTATAAAAAGCTTTGAAGTCTTTGTTATATCTAACATCTGGGGACACTCAGTGACGGTTTCCATTGACTTTTTTTTTTCTGAGTATGGGTCACCCTTTCCTGTTTCATTGGATGTCTTGTAAGTTTGTGTTGAAAACAAACACTTCAGGTAATATATTGCAGCAGTTCTGGATGCTGATTTGTATTCCCAAGAGTTGCTAGTATTGCTGGGTTTTGTTGTTGTTGTTGTTTGTGTAGTAATTGACCTGGACTGAAGCTGTGAAATTCATTTTCCCCTGATGTGTGAATGTGAGATCATTGTCTCTGTTAGTTTGTCCTTGTTTTTTTTTTTTTTTTTTTGAGATGGGATCTCACTCTGTTGCCCAGGCTGGAGTACAGTGGTGTGATCATAGCTCACTGCAGCCTGGAACTCCTGGGCTTGAGTTATACTCCCACCTCAGCCTCCTAAGTAGCAGGGACTACAGGTACATGTCACCATTCCTGGCTTTCTTCTCTTTTCTTAAATCCCTACTTGTTTTAATTCTGGCCTCCTAGATTACCTCTGTGTTTGCATAGCTCTGTGGTCAGTCAGTGATTGGTTTGGGGTTGTTTCCAAATACCTTGAGCCAGTCAGGCCTACACATGCTGTTGATAGATCTGCATGTGGGTCTGTAAGCACATCCAAAGATCGGGTAGTTTTCAGGCCTGACCTGGTTTCTACTTTTTTCCAGACCCTCTTTTGTCTCCTCTGCATATGCCTACAGGCTTTCAGCAGGCCAGAAATTTGTGAATTGCTTGGGCCCTCTCTGCTGTCCCCTGTGTATGTGTGGTACCCATCCACTGGGCACATGTGGAAGGCTTATCAGGTATCTCTATGACTGTCATATTTCATGCAACTCTCTGTCAGATTCCCAGCTAGTCTACTGGTGTATTGCTGCCCCAGTCAGGATCACAGCTTAAGCCTGGTAGAACCACTGGCTTTCCCCATTCACTTGCCACCGAGATTGCTGCTTCTTACTGACAGCACTTCTGCCAGACGAGAGTCTGTGCCTTCTGCTTCAAATAAAATCAGCCCCTGACAGCAAAGCTGCTAGTTTTTATGATTTGCCTTGCCCTGCCCTGCCCTGTGGGAATGACTGCATTAACTGAGTTGGGGGGAGGTGCGGGGGGAGATGGGAGAGCTTCAGGTAAGAACTCCACAGATTCCCCCTGTCTTAGCCTAAGTTAAGCAGTTTTTCATGAATGAAGGCCTTTGGTTAATTTCAAGGATGTGGAAATGATTGTTTTTGAGAATTTGGAGTAGCTTTATAGTTGTTTTTTGGAGAGAAGATTTGGTGACCTTTTCACTATTCTATGCCAGAATTCCCACCCTGTGGTATTTTTTTTTTTTAAACAAAACTTAAAAAAGGGTAGCATATGCAATTCCATGAAGTACCACAAAGTGAAATTTATGTAGGAACCATCTAGCTCAAGAAATAAAAATGATACTTGTATCTCAGAAGCCCCCCACCCCATCTCCTCCTGATCACTACCCTTCTCTCCTCCAGGGGAATCTCACAACTGCATAGGACTGTACAGTTGTCTCAAAATAGAAAATTTAATTCTAAGGAAATAAAATAATGCCATTGAAAATGGATGGTATATTTCAATAAAAGGGGTAAGATCAACTGGATTAGTATACCTGGAAAAAACTGAAACTTGATGCCTACCTCACACCATAGATTAAAAAATTAATTCTGGAAGAATTAAAGGTCTAAATGTTAAATCTAAAACAATCTTTTAAAAGCCTTTGATATTGTCAGTCCTTTTAAATTTTAGCATTACTAGTGAACACCTTTTCATAAGTTTATTGGCCATTTGGATATTTGTATGTCATTTTTTTGTGACCTATCTGTTTAAAAGTCATATTTGTCTTTTTTCTTTTATTTGTTTATTTTTTTTATAGAGACAGGGTCTTACTATGTTGCCCAGACTGGTGTCAGACTTCCTGCTCAAGTAATCCTCCCACCTCAGCATCCCACATAGCTGGGACTACAGGCACATGCCACCATGCCTGGCTAATTTTTTTTTTTTTTTTTTTTTTGTAGAGACAGAGTCTCCCTGTGTTGCCCAGACGGGTCTCAAATTCCTGGACTTAAGCGATTCTCCTACGTTGGTCTCCCAAAGTGCTGGGATTACAGGTATGAGCCACTGCACCTGGCCCCATTTTTCTATTGAGTTGCATTCTTTATATGTTTGTAGGAATTCTTTATATATCTAGTAATTCTTAATTTTTTGATTACATATGTTGAAAATATCTTCTCTCATTCCATGGCTTGCCATTTCACTCTTTCAGTCATGTATTTTAATGAGAAGAAGTTCTTCATTTTAATGTTACTCAAGTTCTCCTCCATGGTTAGCACTTTCTGTTAGCTTATAAAGAAATCTTTTCTCACCTTAAGTTCTTGAAGATGCTCTTCTATGTAATCTTCTAGGAGCTTTATTGTTTTACACCTGACATTTAGACTTTTAATCCACCTGTAATTTTTTATCTATGGCGTGAGATGTAAGGATCAAGTGTCAGTTCTTCCTAGGTATACTAATCCAGTTGATTTTACCCCTTTTATTGAAAAATACCATCCATTTTCAATGACATTATTTTATTTCCTTAAAATTAAATTTTCTATTTTAAGACAATTGTACAGTCCCTTGCAATTGTGAGAATAATACAGAGAGATCTCATGTACCCTTTATCCAGTTCCCCCCAGTGGCAACATCTTACAAAACTATAGTACAGTGTCACAACCAGGATATTGACAGTGATACAGTCCAGATACAGAAAAGTCCCATCCCACAAATATTTCTCTTGTTACCCTTTTATAGCCATGCCCCCTTCCCTCACCCCATCCCATCTCTGACCTCTGGTCACTGCTAATCCATTCTCCATTTCTATAATTTTGTCTTTTCAAGTACAAATGCTCCTCAATTTATGATAGAGTTACATCCTGATAAACACATCATAAGTCAACAATATGTCAAAAATGCATTTAATACCCCAATAAACCCATTATAAAGTAAAAAAATTATAAATCAAAGCATCGTTAAGTCAGGGACTGTCAGTCTGCTGTGTAAATGGAATCACACAGTATGTAACATTTTGGGATTACATTTGTTTTCCCCCACAAGATTCCCTGGTGATTCATTCAAGTTGTGATGCTTATAGTTTGTTCTTTTCTGTAATTGAGTAGTGACATTATTTCTTAACCTGGGCCTCTCTACTCAGCATACTGTATGTAGTGTGTATATATGTGTGCATGCTCACGCATGTGTGTGCTTCTGTGACTGTGGAAATATAATTTCAGCATTGCACAGGCTTGTAGTCACCATTCCAGTCATCTAATGTGTCTGAGGGCTCAGAGCTCAGATGGATAAGTGAGGGGAACAAAAGATGAGGTGAGACGCTGGGAGGAACACAGATTCCCGGCTCAGTCCCCAAGCCACTGGTTGCTAAGGAACCATGAATACATTTCTGGGATTGCAGACTGACCCTGTTCCCCTGGGATCTGCAGAGGGCTCAGCTGGGCAGGCCTGGTTCCACCTTTGCTGGGGGCTGGGCCTGGTGCACTACAGACCCTTGAGATGCTGTGGAATTGGTGACAAGGGAAAAGCATATCCTGTCTCCTTATTTTTAATCATGTTGAATCTCCTAACAACATTATCCATTTACAGCGCCTTGAGCCAGCCAACTTCCCTGGCATGGCCCAGTTTGAAGCCTCTGCAATCACGTGCCCATTACAGGTGGCGAGTGCTACACTGAGATGAGTGTCTTGCCCAGATTCACACCTTCCTGAAGCAGAGCCAATGGGGAGTCCTCTGGTTCTTTAGCTTTTGGTTGTCTCCATGAGACCTAGAGTGGTAACAGGAGCTCTTCCCCAAGCAGTCAGGGATCTGAGCCAATGCAGTCACAGAATGGGAACCCCTTGAGCCCTCTGGACACCTGGCATCTGGAGAGGGCATTAGGTTAGGAATTGGGGATTGGGACTCTAGCCCTAGCACACAACTGGCACATTCCCTTCTTGACATATGCATCATCAGATGGAGGGGTGGATGAATGTATACATGGATGGACTGATGGATGGGTGGATGGATGCATGGGTTGATGGATGGGCGGGTGGATGGATGAGCAAGTGGATGGATGGATGGATAGGTGAGTGGATGGATGGGTGGGTAAATGGATGAATGGATGAATAAGTGAATGGATGGATAGTTGATGGGTGAATGGATGGAAGAAAGATGAGTGGGTGGATGGGTAGGTGGGTGAGTGGGTAGGTGGATAGGTGGATGGGTGGATGGGTGGATTGGTGGGTGGGTGGATGCTAGAAGGATATATGGATGATGGATGGATGGATGGGTGGGTGGGTGAATGGATGAATGGATAGGTGAGTGGCTGGATGGGTGGATGAATGGATGGATGAATGGGTGAATGGATGGATGAAGGATGAATGGATGGATGGATAGGTAGATGGTTGAGTGGGTGGGTAGATAAGTGGATGGATAAATGGATGGATTGGTGGGTGGATGCTAGACAGATATATGGATGATGGATGGATGGGTGAGTGTGAATGGATGAATGGATAGGTGGGTGGATGGATGGATGAATGGATAAATGGATGGATGAAGGATGAATGGATGAATGGGTGGGTGGAGAGGTGGGTGGATGGGTGGATGGGTGGATGCTAGAAGGATATATGGATGATGAATGGATGGATGGATGGGCGGGTGTGTGAATTGATGAATGGATAGGTGGGTGGGTGGATGGATGGATGGGTGGATGAATGGGTGAATGGATGGATGAAGGATGAGTGGGTGGAGAGGTGGATGGATGGATGAATTGGTGGGTAAGTGGGTGGATGCTAGAAGGATATATGGATGATGAATGGATGAATGGATGCCTGAATGAGGGAGGATGTAGATTAATGATGATGGAAGTAGATAATGAATGAGTGGATGATACATACAGAGACCTACAGGGACTGGAAAAATACAATGTCAGTATGGACAGGAGCTTGGAAGAAATGGGAGTGTAGAAGTCCCCCAGGTAAAGAGGCTAATGTCACCAAATGGCAAATGGAGATAATGAGGCCCCCAGAAGTGGCTTGTCCAAGCCCAGGGAGTCAGAGAGCGACAGAGTTGGGACCCAAACTTGACCGTGCCTAAGTCCAGATCCAGGCTTCCCTCTCCACTGCTTCACATCTGCAGACAGCAGGGTCTAAACCAGGAGCCAGGGGCCTCCGGGATGCCGACACTGATCCCAGCAGACAGGAGGTCTGTTTGCACCCTCGGAGGTTGATGCAGGGAGTCTGGGAGTCAGGGCTCTGCAGTCTCCACCCAAGGCTGCCACCTTCTGCTCTGCAGCCTTGGGTGCTTACTCCTGGCAACAAGCATTGATTGAGCACCAGCTGTTTTTGGCACTAAACGTTAGGCCCTGGGCTGGACCCTGAGATATTCGGTTGGGTAAGCGCTGTGGTCCCTGATGTTAGGGGACTTATGGCCCTCCCTCAGCTTCCTCATCTGTAAAATGGGCAGGGGGTTAGAATCGACACCTCTGAAGGCTGTGTTAGGCTGGAATTCCCAGCTTCAGGGATCCAGGCCCGACCCACTGCTCCCACAGCCCAGGCCTGACCCACTGCCAGCTCTGCATCCCACAAGCTGGCCACCGGGTAGGTCTCTGTTGGCATCAGTGGCCGGTGAGAGCCGAGGGCGTCGTGGAGATCCATGTGAACCATGGCCTCCCTGTGCAGCTGTCTGAACCCCACACCTGGGACATTGCCAGGCTGTGTCTAAAGGCTGGGCCAGGGAGCCCAGGAAATGTTTAACTTTGAAAAATGGACCTTCACAGCTCATTAAGCCTCAGCGGCGCCTCGGGCGGTGTGGGGAAGAAGGAGATGCCAGGGCATGAAATTGCTGAGGTATTTAAAGGCCGATTCTGCATTCCTGACCAGCAATGTCTGCCTGCCAAGGCCAGCAGTACCAGGCTCCAGGCTGGGCTGGCGCAGTGGTGCTCACGTGCCCAGGATGGCCACGATGGCTGGTGGGCGGGGGAGTGCCGGGCATGAGGGACTCCTTTCATCTCTGAGTGCCATGACCCTCCTGGCATCTGCTATTTCCTGCCTTCGTGACCTTCGACGAGACACTTTTTGCTGCTGGGCCTCAGTTTCTCCACTTTCACTGTGGTCTGTGTGCCAAGTAGCACTCCTATTTTTAGAAGCAGAAGCTGGTTATAAACTGCACAGATCTGTCTGGCCTGCCCTGCCAAGGCCGGATTGCCAGAGGGTTCTGTGAGTACCGATCGTGGCTGCAGGGACGGGCTGGGCTGCGCTGTGGAGTCTGGGCTGAGGGCTGCTCCCTCTGGCCGTCTGGGTCCACTCAGGGCTCACGGCAGTGTAGGGCACACCTCTCTCCCAAGCCTGGGCCGGGAGGGCCTTGCAACAGGCAGAGTAGAGAGGAGTGGGGCTGGGAGCTTAGGGATCTTGAATTGGGGGTGCATCTGCATGGAGCTAGGGAAGAGACAGCCAAGAAAGATCGGGGCTGATCAGCAGAGGCAGGCAACACCGTGGCACTTGAAACATGGAAAATTGCCTTCGTCATGTACGCTAGATGCAGAGGCATAAACAGGGCATACCCAGGGCCAGCGGCCCACCTGCCGGCTGCACCTGCCCCTGGCTGGGTGGAGTGGGAAGGGAGATTTTTGAGGCCCTCCTGGGGCTCCCTCCCCTCAACCTCACCAGCTCCCTGACTCTGCTGTGTGACCTAGGGTCAGTTACCTTACGTCTCTGAGCTTCTATTAATATTTCCTTCATCGGAAACTACGGACGTTTCTTTAATTCCTAGGTCTGAGGACTGTGGAATCAAAGGAGAGAAAGTGAAAGAACGCCCAGTGGGGGCCACATCAGCTTCCGCCTCTATGTACCCTGCAGGGAACGGCAGGGACCTCACAAGGCAGGCCTGGGCCTGCGCCACGCTCTGCCATGTGCTGGCCGGGCTGTTACTCTCTCAGCCTCAGTTTTGTTGTCTGTAAAATGGGCGCAGGTCAGCCTCTCCCTGTGAACAAGGCTGTGAGGATTCAGCCCCAGCTGGGCTGGCCCGTCCTTCACCCTCCTTAAGGGGTGCAGGCCCCCAGGAAGTGACTGCCCATGCAGACCCCTAGTGACCAGATGCTGGGTTCCGCTGGGGTCCTGGTAGTGGGCAGTGCAGGCCCTGGAGATGTTCATGGCCGCGTGGACACCTTAAGAGTCCAGCAGACGTGGGGTTAGGAAGAGAGGATGTACTGGCTGGGGAAAGGAACGCCCATCGGGGCAGCCTCAGAAAGTGCCCGATTCCAAGAGTCTGGGCAGGCGTGGGCTTGGACTGCCCAGTGTGCCTGGACAGCCGTGTACACACACTGGTGTGCCTGAGTAGGTATGTGCACATATGTGTACACATAGGTGACATGGGCTTAGACTGCCTGGTGCACCCAGACAGGTGCGTGCCGCAGGGACAGAGTATACGATGTGTGGTGTGGGGCGTGACCCACTTCCTGGTGCAAGAACACATACACGCCTGTGGACGTAGCCTTGCTGGGTGTGTGCACATCTGCAGAGGGGTCGGTGTACACCGCTGTGTGAACACCTCCGGCGGTGCCCAGTCCGTGTGAACACATGCAGGTGAGCACAGACACATGCGTGCATGCCCTCTGTGTGTCTACAGACAGCTGTGTGCGCCACACTCACCCTCCCGCTCGTCCCCATGGCAACCCCAGAGCAGGTGTCTGGGAGACCCTGATCAGTGCTGACAGACACGGGGTGCGGGACACGTGGGATGGGCCTCCCCAGGGACGGCTGGGCCAATCGGGGTTCCTGGGCAGAGGCTCCAGCAGGAGTGAGAGTGCTTCCTCCTCCCCAGTCCATGCCACCTCCTCCTGCGTGCCGGCAAGGTGGGCAGCACTCGGGAAGCCCCCGTCTGGCTGTGATTCTTGCAGGGCGATTGGAGCAATACAGCCCTGTCTGGCCTGTCCGTGCACCGACGCTTAGAGCTGAACAGCCTTCAGGGCCACAGACTCAGCAGGGAGCGCCCAGTCTGTGGTCCTGGTCTCACTTCCTAGAAAGAGAAACCGAGGCTTGAAGCAGCTCCAGCCAGGGTTCCCCAGCCAGCCCCGGCAGACCCAGGCCCCTCACACTCCACCATGCCCACCTCCATCTGGAAGGAGGCAGGGAGCCCCCAGGTCCCAGGCTTGGGAGGCCGGTGCCGGGCAGGGCTGGGGAATGCCATCACCTTAAACCCACACTGGCCTCCCTGCGGGTGGTTTTCCTGCCTCCCTTTGCCGTTTTGCTGGTTATCAAAGACCTTTGCTGCGAGACCCAGGCCGGCCCAGCCCAGCGCCTCCCATCCTCCTGTGAAGTCATCCGCTCAGTTGGCAGGGTTCCCATGGCAACGGCAGTGATGTCACAAAGAGCTGGAGGAGGATGGCTGGAGGGAGGAGTGGGGTGAGGCTCCGGGAGGGGATTCCTGGCTTCTCCCAGGCCTTCTAGAAAGATAGAGCTCTGGTCCATCAGTCACTCAATAGGCCGGAGCTTATGCCCCTAGAAGCAGATCCCAGGGGTACCCCCCACCTCCCTGAGACAGGAAACCATCTCCTTGAAGGAGTCAGCTCCCCCAGCACCCAGACGCCCACCTGCCCAGGTGCAGAGGCCCTTGCAGGAGCGAGGGTATGAGACAGGAGGCCCTGACACCAAGACGTCACTGTCACCATGCCTGGCCCGCACAGCGGTCCTTTGCCAAACTTAGACTGACTCTGAGGGCTGCTGGCTGCACACCCTCCAGGGTGCATTCGAGACCACCTGTCAGCTGCCCTGCACTTGAGTTTCTTGATCTCCACTGCTATTAATAGTTTAATTCCAGAACCAAAGAAACTGTCTGTTCCACAGAAGTGGGGGACTCTGAGAGTCTCCCTGACCCTGGCTGCCAACAGCAGCCTGTGCCCAGCTGGGACAAATTCCAGCTCCCTGCCCTCCCTGTTGAGTGCTGCAGAGGGGCGTCGGGCGTCGTGCACATGTGCCCATCCCCCTCACTTTGAGTTACGCTGCAGACGGCTCCGGATGCACGTGGCTGTGCCAGGCAGCAGACGTGGCCGACAGGCACATGGTGGGACCTGCTCTGTGGCTCCAGAGCTCATGCGCAGCCCGCTGGGGCTGTGAGGGTTCTGTCCATCCACCAGGAAGGCCACCAGGACCCTGCTCCTGCCTGAGAACCCCAGGAAGTAGTAGCGTGCCAGGTGCGTGGCCGGCCTCCCAGCCCTTCCCAGCACCAGCTGCGTCCTCCTCCTCCAGGGCTGCAGCTCAGGGCTCAGGTGTCCGCGTCGAGGGCACTCCCTAAAGGGCAGGAGCAGGACCATTGGCACAAGCCTGGGCGAGTCTCGCTGGGAGGCAGGAGCAGACTCAGCCCGCCAAGCCCATGAACCCCACTTTGAAAACTGTGCAGCCGTGCGCGGCCACTCACACCTGTAATTCCAGCACTTTGGGAGGCTGAGGCGGGCAGATCACCTGAGGCCAGGAGTTCAAGACAAGCCTGGCCAACATGGAGAAACCCCGTCTCTACTAAAAAATACAAAAATTAGCCGGGCGTTGTGGTGGACACCTGTAATCCCAGTTACTTGGGAGGCTGAGGCAGGGAGAATTGTTTGAACCCAGGAGGTGGAGGTTGCAGTGAGCCGAGATCGCGCCACTGCACTGCAGCCTGGGTGACAGAGCGAGACTCCGTGTCAAAAAAAAAAAAAAAAAAAAAAAAACCGTGCTGGTTTGGTTTCACTGACTCCCATTCATTTATTCACAAACATTTACTCAGCAAATCTTGTTGGGCCCGCCAGGCCCTAGGGTTACCAGACAAAGTCTGTTTCCTCCTGGAGTGTGCATTTATTAAATACCTACTGTATGCCGAGCCCCAGGCTGGTTTAGATGTGGGGGCACAGCAGTGAGCAGGGCAGACCTGACTCCTGCCTGCCTTTGTCGGCCCCGGCTCTCATAACAAAAGCGGGACACTGGAGTCTAGACAGCAGCACACATTGTCTCCCCGCCCTGAGACTGGAAGTCTGGGATCGGGTGCCAGCGGGGTTGGTTCTAGGAGGGCCAGTGTCCTGGTTTGCAGATGGCTACCTTCTCACCGTGTCCTCCCAAGACAGAGAGAGAGAGAGAGTGTGTGTGTGTGTGTGTGCGTGTGTATGTGAGAGAGAGAGGGAGAAAGAAAGAGACAGAGGGAGAGAGAGAGAAAGAGGGTGAGAGGGAGAGAAAGAGATGGAGAGAGAGAGAGAGAGAGGGAGAGAGAAAGAGGGAGGGAGAGATGGAGAGAGAGAGGGAAAGAGAGACAGGGAGAGAGAGGGCATGCAGATGCCCTGGTGTCTTTCTTTCTTTCTTTTTTTTTTTTTTTTCCAGAGATGGTCTCCCTCTGTCACCCGGGCTGGAGTGCAGTGACACAATCACAGATCACTGCAGCCTCCACCTCCTGGGCTCAAGCCATCCTCCCACCTCAGGTTCCATAGTAGCTGGGACCACAGGTGCGTGCCACCACACCCATGCACTAACTATTGTTTAAAACTTTTTTCTGTGGAGATGGAGTTTCGCTATGTTGCCCAGGCTAGTCTTGAACTCCTGGCTCAATCAGTCCTCCTGCCTCAGCCTCCCAAAGTGTTGAGATTACTCGTGTGAGCCACGGTGCCCAGCCTGGCATCCTTCCTTGTAAAGGCTCTAATCCCATCGTGGGCCCCACCCTCATGACCTCGGCTAACTCCGATCACCTCCCAGAGAACCCGCTGCCTCCTCTCATCAGCCGGGGGCCAGGGCTTCATCCCAGGGATGCTGGGCACACTTCAGCCCACGGCACTGCCCTTAAGGAGCTGAGGGTCCGGTGGGATGACTCGAGCAAAGGAAGGCATTAGGAAAACAACGAGGGCCACAGGAAATGACCACGAGCAATGCACTAGCAGGGACTGCTCGTCCCCTTTCAGTGGGGCAGGCTGGGAGGCTTCTCAGAGGAGGTGACTCGCCCAGGCTGGGGTCCAAGGCCCAGCGCCCCTCACTGGCTTTGTGACCTTGGAGAAGCTGCTACCCTGTTTGATCTGGGCTTCGCGGCAGGGGTGAGATAGCCTAGAGGTAGTGCTGGAGATGAGGATGGCAACTTGTGCCTCCCCAGGCAGGGCAGAGAGGAGCCCCCCACCCCTCCAGGCAGGAGAGAGGCCAGGTCTAGAGGGGAAAGGGGAGGGTCTCACGCCCATATTCCCATCCATGGACACGCACAGGGCCTGAGACCCCTGCTCGGCTGCCGCAGAGTGTGGGACTCAGAGAGGAACAGTCGCGCCCCTGCCCCCTCCTCCACGGGGATATCTGGGCTGCTGGAGGGGCCTGTGCAGGGAGGAGCCGGTGCTGGGAGCACCCTGGGGCCTGCACTCCCTGCTCTGTGGGTAGGACTGAGCACCGCTGGGTTGACCCTGCCTGCCAGGTCCCGGCACAGCCGAGGCCAGCCCGGTGTATAGCACGTGTTTAGGGTCTGGGTTCCCAGCTTCCCACTGGCCTTGTCTTAGCCTGTCTTCTCGTCCACGCACCCAGGGGTACAATTGGGAAAATCGGTATTTGCCAAATTTGCAACAACTGCTGTGTGATCTGAGACCCTTCTCTAGGGCGGTGTCCACTTCCTGCCCCCACCCCTCCTCCTTCCGGGACTTTATCTCTGTTTTTCACCCTGATCAGGGCTGCCTGCCCGTGAACACATCAAGGCATGTGTCACCTGAACAGATTTTTAAAAATTGTTTAATCGTAATTTATTTGAGAGACAGGGTCTCTCTCTTTCGCCCAGGCTGGAGTGCAGTGGTGCAATCATGGCTCACGGCAGCCTTGAACTCCTGACTTCAAGTGATCCTCCCGCCTCAGCCTCCAGGTGTGGGAAGAAAGGAGAGACAGACAGGGCAGTGGGGCTGGGGCCAGGCCTGGGCTTCCCGCAGAGCCGGCCGGCGGGCGGGCGCTGACTAAGGCAGCAGGCTTGGAGAAGACATCAGACTTTCTTTTCTCTTTCTAATAAATATTTCCAAATGTGCCTGACACAACAGTTACCATCTCTCCTGGCCTTCTTCATCTCTCTAGGTATCCTTTTTTTCATAGGATGCCTACATTTGAACATCTAGCCAAATTTTTAGCCGATTAGATTCCAAGGGAACCTCAGCCTTCATTTCAGGCAAACAAGCAAATTTCAAGCCTCATTTTCTACTTCTAATAAGCACTTATCAAATTTACAGCTCTCATATACAATTCATCAGGTTAATGCCTTCGGAATATTCCTGCCTCCCTTTTGTGGCAATTTTCTTTTCCTGCGTTGCACCCTCGGTGCTCCCTCTGACTTTGCTAAGCAAATTAGCACGTCAGCTTCCTGTCGGGTGAGGAATGGTTGGGCCACAGCAGAGAGAAGATGGGGCGAGGGGGCCTGGCCACCGTTGGCAGCCGCAATGAAATTTTTTTTTACAACATATAAAACATTGTGCCATCCTGAATCACAAAGTCCTAATTAAACACGAATCCTTTTCTGGGGGCCTGGCATTTGAATATATGTAATAGCATATTATTTCTCTCTTTAATTTCAAAAGCAATATACATGTGTATACACTAAAGAAAACTAGGAAAATGCTGAAAACAGGAGATGTAAACTGTGGCTCCACCATGCAAGAGAAGCTTGTCAGCATTTTAGAGCTTCTCCTTCTGGTCTTTTTTCTTCTTTTGAGGATCGGCATTTGTTTCAGGGTTGATATCACTCTTAAAAGAAACTTAAACATTTGAGATGTAAGTTACATACAGAAAAGTTCACAAATCCTCACTGTGCACAGCTTAATGAATTTTCACAAGCACCCCAGTGAAGAAACAGAACAAAACCAGCCCCCCGTGTCACCAGCCCCAGAAGTCTCCTGATGGTCTCTCCAGGTCACCTCTCCCCCACCTCAGGGTAAACACTACCCTGGCTCCTTCCGGCATAGCTGAATTTTGCCTGTGTTTTCATGTTGTATAAGTGGAAGCATCCATTATATACACATTCTGTCTGGGTGCTTCTGCACATTGCACCTGCGAAATTCATTCATCCTTGTTAGATGTGATGGCGGTTCCTTCCTCTTCATTGCCGTATAGTATTCCCATGTAAGGCTGTACCTCAGTTGATGTATCCCTTCTCTGCTGATGGCCTTTCAGGTTGTTTCTAGTCTGGGCTATCGTGGGTACTGTGAGCAGTGATGCACTTCCCCGCACATGTGTTTTGTAGAGACATGTTGATATCTCTGTCCATCTTGAGAATGGACTTGTTGAGTCTGATCATTCACTGACCTCCAGCAGTTTCCAAGTTGCAGCCAGGTGCAGTGGCTCACACCTGTAATCCCAGCACTTTGGGAGGCCGAGGTGGGCAGATCACTTGAGCCCGGGAGTTTGAAACAAGTCTGGGCAACATAGTGAGACCCTGTCTCTAAAAATTATTATTTTTTAATTAGCTGGGTACAGTGACACATACCTGTGGGCGCAGCTACTCAGGAGGCTGAGGTGGGAGGATCACCTGAGCCCTAAGGGGTCCAGGTTGCAGTGAACCATGATGCATCACTGCACTCCAGCCTGGTCCACAAAGCAAGACTCCATCATAAATAAATAAATAAATTGCCACAGTCAAGAATAATAAGGGTGTGCTTTAATTGATTTAGTCATTCTCCTACTTTTTTTTTGGAGATGGAGTCTCACTCTGTTGACCAGGCTGGAGTGCAATGGCATGATCTCTGCTCACTGCAACCTCCGCCTCCCAGGTTCAAGCGATTCTCCTGCCTCAGCCTCCCGGGTAGCTGGGATTACAGGCGTGTGCCACCGTGCCCTGCTAATTTTTGTATTTTCAGTAGAGATGGGCACCATGTTGGCCAGGCTGGTCTCGAACTCCTGAGCTCAGGTGACCCGCCCGCCTCAGCCTCCCAAAGTGCTGGGATTACAGGCGTGAGCCCCCGTGCCCGGCCTCATCATTGTCTTCTTATTGAAAACTTTGGTGGTTTCCATTTTTTTCCTTCTCTATCAAGCAGCAATGGAAATCTTTGGCTGTACATGGTTTTCTCTCTGGGATTCTCTCCTTCTGGTAGGTTCTCAGAAGTGGGGCTGCTGGGTGAAAGGCCCGACATCCCCTCACAGCCCTGTGGAGGTGTAGACTGTGAGCTGGAACAAGCCGTCTATACAGCAGGGTGCGAAAGTCCCATCTGAGCCAGGGAAAGAATAACCACCGTGTGAACTTTGTGTGAATGCATCTGCGTGACCACAGTCAGGGTGAAGACGTAGAATGCTGGCGGCCCTCAGAGGCTTCTGGCGCTTTCTTTCCCAGTCCCAGAGCTCTGTCATTCCTGATCGTAGCAACCAGCATTCCTGGACAATTGATTCTGGATTCGCCTGTTTCTGAACTTCCCATAAATGAAATCTTTGCATACTTCTTCCCTTCTGACCTCGTTCTTCTGGTCAACACTCTCCGGGGGAGACATACCCATTCATTGTGCTTGGTGCTGGTTCATTCTCATCACTGAAGCGTGTGCTGTCCTAAGAGGGGATCAAGGTCGGTTCCATTTTGGGGCTGTGGTGAGCTCCCTTGCATATCTCCTGCTTCACACGTGTGGGACCCTCCCTGAGGTTTACACCCCAGAGAACAGTCGCCGGCTCTTTCCCAAAGCGGTGGTGAGGCTTTGCACCCTCAGGACAGCGGACGAGAGTTCCCGTTGCTCCACATCCTCCTTCCCCAGCGCCAGATCTGATGAGATGCTTGAAGCCTCGCCGGTCTGGCGGGTGTGTCCTGGTATCTTACCAAGCTTTCATTTGAATTTCGCTGGCGAGTAATACAGTTGAGCACGGGGTTTTTGGCCGTGTGGATGCCCTCATTTGTGAAATGCCTTTTCAAGATCTCTGCTCATTTTATGACTGAGGTGTCAGTTTTCCTTATTAATTCATAAGAGGTGTTTATAGATTCTGAATGAGATCACATTCTCTCAGAAGGTAGCTGTCGTGTAGCTTGTGTTTTAATACTTTGCATGATGTATGTATGCGTGTGTATGTGTGCGTGTGTGTGTGCGCGTGTGTGTGCGCATATGTGTGCGTATGTGAGCCTGTGTGTGCATGTGTGTGTGTGGTGCACGCATGTGTGTGTATGCATGTGTGTATGTGTGCGTGTGTGTGCATATTTTAGAGACAGAGTCTTGATCTGTTGGCCAGGCTGGAGTGCAGTGGTGGGATCACGGCTCACTGCACCCTTGACCTCCCTGGCTCAAATGATCCTCCCACCTCAGCCTCCAGAGTAGCTGGGACTACAGGCACACTCCATCATGCCTGGCTAATTTTTTACACAAATTTTGTAGACACGGTGTCTTCTTTTGTTGCCCAGGCTAGCTTTTCATAGTATATTTTTACGAGCAGAAATTCTTTATTTTTATGTAGTAATATTTATCAATATATTCTTGCATGAGTGGGAAGAAATTCTTCCCTGTCTCTCAGTCATCAATATATTTTTCTGGCTGGGTGCAGTGGCTCATGCTTGTAATCCCAGCACTTTGGGAGGCTGAGGTGGGAGGACTGCTTGAGCCCAGGAGTTCAAGACCAGCCTAGGCAACATGGCAAGACCCCTTCTCTAAAAAAAATTAATGGAGCACAGATGTGCATGCTTGTAGTTCTAGCTACTTGGGAGGCTGGGGTGGGAGGATCACCTGAGGCTGAGAAGTTTGAGGCTGCAGTGAGCTGTGATTATGCCACTGCATTCCAGCCTGTGAAACAGAGTGAGACCCTATCTCAATCCACAAATATATATTTGTATTATATATACATATTTTATCTTTTTATCTACTTTATCTTTCAAAATGTATAGTTCTTCTTTTTGCATTTAGCTCTGTAATCAGCCTGGAGTTGACTTTATACGTGATGGGAAGCAGGTATTCAGTTTCATTTTTTCCCATATATATTCAATTTATTGAAAAGTTATGCCTCCTCTCTCTATTAAGGGCTGCCTCTTGGGTCAGTTTCTGGATTTTTCTGTTTGTTCCATGGGCTTGTGTGTCTAATCTTATAATAATATCTGAGTCACCATAGCTTTATAGTCAACTGTCATTATCTGATGGAAGAAGAGCCATCCTCGGCCGGGTGCAGTGGCTCACGCTTGTAATCCCAGCACTTTGGGAGGCCAAGGTGGGCAAATGACAAGGTCAGGAGATTGAGACCATCCTGGCTAACACGGTGAAACTCCGTCTCTACTAAAAATACAAAAAAATTAGCCAGCGTGATGGCGGGTGCCTGTAGTCCCAGCTACTTGGGAGGCTGAGGCAGGAGAATGGTGTGAACTGGGAGGCGGTGGTTGCAGTGAGCCGAGATTACACCACTGCACTCCATCCTGGGCGACAGAACGAGACTCCGTCGGGGGGGAAAAAAAAAAAGAAGAAGACCCTCCCTCACTCCACCTTGTTCTTTTTATTTAGTGACATTCTTGGCCTTTTTTTCTTCCATATACATTTTAGAATTAGTTTGTCAAGTTCCACAAAAAGAAAAAAAATGGATTGTGATTTTGATTGAGATTGCCTTGAATGTATAAATTAATTTGAAGACTGTTGATGTTTCATAAATATTCATTTTCTATTCATTACAGACATATAGAAATTCAATATATATTTGTATATGAATTTTATGCTAATATTTTATTAATTTTGGTAACATATACATTCTGTTGGACTTTTTATGTACATAATCACATTGTCTGTGAATAGCGAGAGCTTCGTTTCTTTCTTTCTGAATCTTATAATTTTTGTTTCTTTTTCTTGCCTTATTGCAATGGCTGCAGCTACTAGCACCATGCTGAATCAGAGTGGTGGCAGCAAGTATCCTTGTGTTGCTCTTGATTGCAAAAAGTTTTAGCTGCACCGTGGTGTGATATGCTGTAAGTTATGCACATGTTAAGAGTTTAGATCTGTATTGCCAAATGACTTTCCAAAAGAATTGTGCCAATTTCACCACAACCGTGCCAGCACTGCAATGCACTGGGATTTATTTTTAGTTTGGTGTTTTTGTTTTTTTAGATCATGTCTACTTTGATGGGCCCATGGTGTCTCACTGTATTTTCTAAAAATTTGCATTTCCCTGATTATACGGGAGGTTGAGCATTGGGCCATACGTTTCGTAACCACCTGTATTTTCTGTTTTGTGTTTGTTCCTTTACAAATTTGTTTATATGCTGTTGATGTCTCCCTAATCAATTTGAACGAGTTCTTTACATAATGAAGATAGTTATCATTTATCTGTCACATTCGCCACAAATATCTTTCCCTCTCTGCTATACAGCTTTTAATTTGGGTTACTTTTTGTGTTCCTTTTTCTTATTTTTATTTGGTCAAATCTGCCTCCTTTTTCTTTTAAAATTTATTCTCTTCCTTCTGAGCTTGGAAAGCCTGTTTCCCTCCTGAGAACTGATAAGTATTGAATTCTGTTTTCTTCCAGCTTTTTTATGGCTTAATATTTCATATTTAACTGCTTACCCCGTCTGGAATTTGTGGGGCTGTGGGGTGTGAAGTGAGGAGTTAATTGCCGCTTGCAGTTTACCAGGGGATGGGGCCTCATTTGCACTTCCAAGTCTCTGGGCTCAGCTTCCTCTGTCGGTGCTGAGCGGGGGAGATTAAAGGAAGCAGGGAGGTGGCATCTTGTGCGCTGGGATTGATTGTGGAGCCCTAATTACCACGGGGACAATCCTACTGGCAGCCTCTGCCTGAGTTTCAGTCCAAAGCAAAGAACTCTCGGCCGAGTTTAGCTACATCCAGTGTAACCTTGGGGAGGTCTCTGTGTATGTTTGAGACTCGGTTTCCCAGTCTGTGAAATGCGGGTACTGATGACACCTGTCCTGTAAGGGCTGTCGCCGGACTGTGTGCTGGGGGGTTTGTCCTGCAAAAAGCAAGGGGCCGGGAGGGCTCAGTACAAATCCCGGCTCTTCTGTGTGACCTTCAGCAAGAGGTGTCACTGCGGTGTGCCTTAGTTTCTCCATCTGAAAACAGGGATAATAAAGCTGGAGTTTCCACCTCCTCGTGGGGCTGGAGGATGGTTCTGCAAGTCAGCCCATGGGAGGGCCTGGCATTTGCCACAGGTGCACAACCGCTGTTGTTCTTGTTACGGCTGCCACTCAGGAGAAGGGAGCCTGCAGCCGGGCATGGTGGCCTCTGGGTGGGGGACCCTGCCAGCTGTGAGTGGGCTGGTGGGTGGGGCCACCTCCTTTTCCCAGCACCGATGGAGGCCATACTCTCCCCCTCCTCACCCCAAAACTGGGCTGTGGGGAATGGGCACCCAGAGACCCAGTCTCTTGGTCCTGATCCGGACAAAAGGACCAGCGTTGTCTGGAGAACCTACAATACACACACACAAGCACACAGACACTCACACATGCACACACAAGCACACCTGCATGCACACACACTCATGCATGTGCACACGTGCTCACACACAGCCAGACCCTCCGTAAACACATGGTGATACACACAAAGCCATGTGGGTCACTGGGTCTCGACTCCTCCCCACCCCAGGAGGCTCCACCTACAGCAGTACTAGGTGGGGGTCAGCTTGGGGTCCTGAGTGTGACCTGGGGTACGCAGTCAGATCACCCACTGCCCTTGCTTGGGAGTCCCGTCTCCCTCACTCTGAGACCCCACATCACGTCACCCCTGCGAGGTCAGTGCCAGGTCTGGGCACCCCTCCACAGCCAGGTGCCCAGCCCCCCAGTAGGGGGCAGGGACTTGAGTGGCAACGTCACCTGTCTGCTGAGGGCCTGCCTGCTGTATGCTGGGGTGTGGGCTGGGCAGGCCCCACACCAAGGGTCAGCCCTGTCCACCAGGGCTCGAGGTCAGCTTAGAGCCTCATGGAGCTCCCGGCTGGAGAGAAGGCAGCCGTGCGTGTCCCCGTCAGAATGTGGAGACGGGGACAGTGAGGATGGGCCCTGAACAGAGGAGCCAGCCTGGGTGGGTCTGCGAGAGGCTCCCAGGCAGAGGGCACAGCAAGTGCAGAGGGCAGAGGTGGAGACCTGCTGGGGTGGGGGGCGCGTACTGGAGAACAGAGGGACACCCAGTGGCCAAAGGGCAGAGCCCGCAGGAGGTAACAGCCTGAGGGCTGCAGGTCACACCCACAGGGCCAAGGGGTGGGCAGCATGGAGGTGCAGGGTGGCAGGGACCCTGGGCGGGGCGGCACAGCTGTGCGGGAGGCTGGGCTGCTGGCATCAGCAGGCGCCCCTCCTCCCCACCTCGCTAAACAATCATTGCACAAAATATGCAAATGGTATAATTACTGTTATTTGTTTTGCTGATATAAGTGTTTGAAATGCAAATGTCAAGTTTGGGCGCCTTCATTTTTCCAACCCTCTCACCCGGACATTTGCAAGTTGATGAGTTGTTCTTCATCCTGGAAGGAGGAGGAGGAGCTCCCCCCAACCGCCAGGGTGCCAGGGGAGTGAGTCCAGCGTGGCAGCCGCCACTGCCTGCCCGAGGGCACTGCTGGGCCCCCCTTCCGACGGCACACAGTGGGCACCTCAGATGGCAGGCCTCACAGCCTCACCATGCACCTGTGTGATCAGCCACTCGGAGCCTCAATTTACCCTCGCCTCTGGGGGCTGCTGTCCCTCTGGGCCCTTGCCCTTTCTGGCCCTGCCCTTTCTGGCTCATGGCAATTCAGTGGATGGCTTTGGGCCTCGGTTTCCTGTCCACAACATCCTGCACAGATTTGTTGCCCTTCTGTAAAGTAGAGTCTTAGTGTCCCGGGATGGTCCTCGGGGAGGTCTGATGAGCCCCCGAATATCACAGACAAAACTGCCTGTGTATTTTCCAGGGTGGGTTCTTAGCTTTGACCCCTCCAGCCCAGTGGTCTCTGAGGTTCCCCAGCCTGCGGTTCCAGACGAGATTGAACTGTGAGCCTTCACCCTGACAAAGGGATGGTCACGATCGTCCTTGTTCTACAGGGAGGGAAACTGAGGCACAGCATTCCAGGGGCTTGTCCAGGTCACGGCAGTGGTGGTGTCGCTGAGCTGCCAGCCTAGCCTCCCTCTGGGTTCCTCCTCCGATCCACCGCGGACCACATACAAGGGCAGGAGCCACCACTTCTTCAAAACTCAGCAGCTGGCTGGGCACCGTGGCTCACGCCTGTTATCCCAGCACTTTGAGAGGCCGAGGTGGGTGGATCACGAGGTCAGGAGTTCAAGACCAGCCTGGCCAAGATGGTGAAACCTCATCTCTACTAAAAATACAAAAATTAGCCAGGCATGGTGGTGGGTGCCTGTGATCCCAGCTACTGGGGAGGCTGAGGCAGAGAATTGCTTGAACCCAGGAGGCAGAGTTTGCAGTGAGCCGAGATGGTACCACTGCACTCCAGCCTGGGCAACAGAGTGAGACTCTGTCTCAAAAAAACAAAACAAAACAAAACAAAACAAAACAAAACAAAACAAAACACCCAGCAGTTCCACATCCTTCAAGTTCCACCATGCACTGCTGCCACCCACACCACCCTCCACGACATGCAAATCTGGGCGTGCCCCCGGCCTTCCCAGTGCAGCCCCTGGGCCAGCAGCTGCTGTGTGTTAGATCACCAGTGACCCCACGAATGCCTGATCGATGCTGGCTGTTCAGAAGCATGGGTTTCTAGCAGCAATGCAAGGACCACTGTGAGGTTGTCTAATCACCTTCACCCCTATAAAGTGCACAGCCCCAGAGAGACCACCCTCCAGGCCTGGCTGGCTTCTACAGGGTGGATGAGTGGGCCCCTGCACCCCACCTTGTGTCCAGCCCCTCGGGTGCCATGCGTTGGCAGATGCTAGGCAGGATGTTGGGTTAAAGCTCAGGCTGTGCCCGAGGTGGTGCATTGGATGCCTGGGCCTGGATGTGTCTGAGTGAGCCTTTGTGGAGAGCGATGGGTGTGCCTGTGTCATTGAGTGTGCATGCCTCTGTGTGCGCATGCATGAGTTCATGTGCATGTGTACACATGTGCAACACACGTACACGTGTACACATGTGTGCACGCACATACATGTCTGTGTACACTCACAGTCTGCTTGCGACGGTAATGGAGAGTGAAAAGCTCCAGGGCAGGTGCCCTGACGTGCACACCGTGCCCAGCACACGCATGTGAGAACATGCAGAGCCCGCTCCCAAGGGGTCTGGGCCTCTGCTCACAGTGACACGGTGGTTCCGTGATGTCTGGCTGTTCCGCTTTTGGATGGCTTTGCTGGAAAGTCCGAGAGCAGCTGGAAATCCGCGTCCTGGCCCGACCCCTCCACGTGACTGCAGGCTGGCTGCACACGCCTGTCTCCTAGTCTATAACATGGAGTGCTTTGCAGAGCTGGGCTGGGTATACAGTAGGCACTCCACAAGCATGCGTTCCTGCCTCTCCCTGGGGCTTTGCGGGAGGCTGGTGGGCAAACGCCCTGCATCGCAGCATCTGCCCTCCCAGCGCGGGAAGCAGGGGCAACCCTGGGGCTGATGGGTGCCCTGGGAGGGGCCTTGGGCAGGACCAAGCAAAGGAAGCAGGCACGGGCTGGGTAGACGGCAGGGCGGCTCACAGAGCAAAGGCCTGGGGCAGAGCGGGTGTGGGCCTGGAAGCCTCCTCTTATTTTATTTCAGTTACCTTTTCCAACACAGGTTCAACCTCATTAGCATATTCAAATACACACCATTATTATTTCAATTAGTGGTTAAGTAATAATCTCTAACTGATGAGCATCCCCCCACTTCCCCACGTATTTTTTGGTTATTTACATCTGCTTCTAACCCACAATTTTAGGTAATTACATGCCACTCACTCATCTATTTGCACACACACACTTCCTCCAGCTACAGGTTCCTGTTCGCCTTCTAGCACTTACTCTGTCCCTGGAGCTGTGGGAGCGGGGCACAGGCAGACAGACAGACCGGGGGGCCCCTCCTGGCCCCCACTAGGGCCTCCTGAGGCTCCCTCAGCCTCCAGGGGCGCGGATGCGGCAGAGCCCAGCACCAACCCCCCGCCTCTGCACCAACCTCGCGAACCCCTTTGCACCTAGAACCCCCCTTTGTCTTGCAGACACTACCTCCTCTGGTCCCTGCACCCCACCAGCACCCCACAGCACTTCCCCTCCTGCCCTCCAGATGCAAAAGCATCATTCATGGGGCTGGGCTCTGCACCACACCCCAGCTGTGCGACCCTGGCAGGACGACTTCCCTTCTCAGCCTCAGTTTCCCTATCTGCAAAATGGGGATCAGGTGCCACCTCGTGGTGAAGGAAGCAAGTACGCTGGTGAAATGAGATGAGGCCTGGAGAATCCTCAGCACCAGGGCTGGGTGCGTAAAGCTTCCTGGGATTGATCCAGTGGGTGGACGAATGACCTGACCTGTGGGCGGCATAGTTCACTGACCAGCCCAAGGTCTGTCACTCAGCAGACCAGCACAGAGCTGCGCTTGGGCCTGAGGCTTCTGCCTCCTGACTTAGTTTCCTTCTCAGTGATTGGCCTGGCCTGGCATTTGGCATACTCTGCTCCCAGGCAGTTGGGGTGGGAGGTGCCAGGGAGAGGGCCCTGCCAGGGGTGGAGCAGTTCTGGTGAGCATACCCAGGGTCTCTACCTAATCAGTCCAGCTGTTGTTTCATCTTCCTTCACCTCCTGGAGGGATGTTGGATGCGATGTGCCTGGAAGGTTCCCACGGACCCAACAGCCCCAGAGGCTCTGGGGCTGTAGCCCCAGAAGTGAGCCCCACCTTTACCCCAAACACCTGGGCCACCGCCAAGTGACTAGAGCTGGAATTGGTTGCAGTGACCCCAGGTCTGGCAACTCCCTCGGTCTGCAGTTCAGTTCATATCTTGCATCTGCTGTTGGCTCCTCTCCCCTCTATCCCGGCTGGCACATGGCTCTGTGTGTCAGCCTGCTCTGTGTGTCAGGAAGTCCCCAGCCTCTCTGATTTGTTCTTGAGGTGTGACGTACCTGCAGTCCGACACGTGTGACTGACAGCTGGTGGCTCCGGCAGGTGGGGTCTTCCAGCAGCTGAGACGGCTGCAGGAGGCGATGCTCCATCTCTCCTCAACCTCCTCCCCTCTGTCTCTGTGCAGGTGCAGCTGCCTTGGCGACCATTTGTCCTACAGTTTGTCCGGACCCAGGCTGTCCTTCTGTGTGCTGGAATGAGGCGAACATGTCTTTGAGCCCAGCAGGGAGGAATCCTCCAGCCTATTCCTCGCTGGTGCATCAGGTCGTTGGCGGGCCCTGACACACAAGTAAGGCATGCTCTTGTTCCTCATGCTCTCCGCAGGGGGTTGCAGAGAAGGGGGACAGGAACAATTCCTAATGACCTGTGAGTACGTGTGCCTGGAAGGAGATGGAGACAGAGCCAGGTGTCCTGCAGAAATAAGCGTTTCTTAGGGATTGACTCTTGTTCAATGGTGCTGCCCTCAGATGAAGGGAGTGGACAGAGGCCGCAGGGGTGGCCTCGGAATTGGACAAAAGGAGCCTGGGGCTGCCGGGGGACCCGGAAATAGTCTAAGTAGGTGGTGGCCATACTCGGGGTATGCCCATTATCCTTCCCTGACAAGCCAGGATCAGCCCTGAGGATTAGAGGAGACTTCATCTTCCACCACTTTTGTGATCAGATATGGTCCAGTGTTTGAGCGTAAAACCACTATGTGAATAACACGGCATAGGTCACGTAGGTTAATATTGACTTGCAGTATGTATTTGAAGCAGGTTCTTGTCTGGAAAAATATATACAAATGTTGAATTGAATGCCTAGGTGAATAGGCAGGTGGAGGTCTCCATCCCAATGGCTTGCCAGATCTTTTGGTGACCCAGTTATGCTGTGTCTTTTCTGAGTTTCATTCTGCATTGGGAAGGTAGCTGGACAAGTTCTTTTTCTGCAGCATTTTTCAGAAATAGCAGATATGTCCTCTCTGGGCAACTGTACTTTGGATTTGGGAAACTGTACTTCACCCAGTTCTGGGACTCCAACTCAGCAGTTTTCAAATTTAGCAGGTCCTGTTCCGTAGTTTCTTTGTCTAATAGAGCTCGGTTGTAATATCTAACTTGACCAGAAGGAGGCGCTATTGTTAAGCAACACAGTACACTGAAAAGTCTGGATTTTAGACTGTGGGTTTCCTCAATAAATAGCTTGTCTTCCATATTGAAGAGTTCTATACACTGAATTTATTTAAAGTGGTTGTATTCCTTATGTTCTGCCAATTCCAATGGACCACAAGAGGAAGGCATCTGGGAATTTTCGGGTTCTCTCCTTCATTACATGGGGGGACAGACAATCTGTCTAGAACCTCCCAAGGCTTGCCTTTTTCTGCTCGTGGTCAGATGGTTCCCCAGACCTCTCCACAGCTTTTAGAGGGAGGTATCTCAGGAAGACAAGTTGAACTGAACTCTGGGGAGGGATCCCAAAGGACCTCATTTCCCAGGCTCTATCCTGCCCCCTCACCCCTGCCACTAAGGCATTATTTGAAAGCCTCACCAGGACTTGGTAGGGAGGGGTTCCACGCACAGCATTGGCCCTGCCAACAGCTTGTAGCATCTCCAATTTGGGAGGCCCTCAAGTCTTATCCATTGCAGCTGTCTCATGTTACAGGTGGGGAAACTGAGGCCCGGGGGGCCACATGGTGATTCAGAGTCAGATCGGGGCCATAGGTCTCCTCTAACTCACAGGCCAGTGTTCGTTTCTCCACGTCTTTCTCTTTCCTTCCCACAAAGGCTGGCAGGTGATGGGGTCCCCAGGGCAGGCTGCTCCCTGCCCAGGCCCCAGCCCCTGGTCCACTGCTGCTGTTAGCTCTGTCCTGCTCTGCTGCCTTGAATATTGCCTAGAATATTAGGGCTGGAAGGCACCTTCGGGATCATGAACCCAACTTTCTCATTTATAGATAAGGAACTTGAAGCCCAGAGAAGGGAAGGGACTCACTCCTGAGACCACCCAGCAAAATCTTCACAAAGTGAGGGCAAGGTCCCAGGTGTTCCAGGCCCCCAGCCTGGAGTTCCCTGCGGCACAGTGGGCTGCCCCGCCTGAGCCAGGATCAGCAGGGACTCAAATGCCAGCCCCTACCTGGCCCTATCTGAGGTCTTCCAGCTCCCCAGTGGGATAGTCCCTCCTTCCCATCTGGGATCCCTCCAAGCCCTGCTGACCTCAATACCACATTCGTATTTCAGGAAAGATACCCTTCCCCTGGGAATATGTGGACCAGTCTCCGAGGGGCTGCGTCTCCAGAGTGGAGTGATGTCCTCCCTGTGTGCAGACTGTGTTCCATGTGGGTCTGTCGGTTGGCCTAGAAAGTGGAAATGAGGGAATGAACCCAGGGTGGGTCTGCTGTGCAGGGGTGGGTGGTAGCAGCTGCCACTGAGGCCCGCCTGTGGGACCCCTACTCAGCCTATGCCCCAAACATCCAGAGGCCAGAGGAGGGGAGGGGAGGGAAGGGCAGGGAGTGTGGGAAGAGGAGGAGATGAGAGAGGAACAGAGAGACCCAGAAAATATAGAGACTTCCAGAAAGAGGAGGAGACAGCCGGAGGCTCAGAGAGACATGGGAAGGAAAAACCTTGAAGAGAGAGCGAGAGAGTGAGAGAGAGAGAGAGAGAGAGAGAGAGAGAGAGAGAGAGAGAGAGAGAGAGAATGAGACAAGGGAGAAAGCGCACTCGGAAACGGAAATCCCAGTTTTCAGTTCTTCGTGTATTCATCCAGTCTGTGCTGATCCCCTACCAGAGCAAAGCCCTGTGACAGTGACCTGCCCCTGCCCCTCTGTGGATGACAGTGTCCCCACCTGAAATGTGAGGGCGTCCCCACAGACCCTCTCTCAATGAGGCTTCCCTGGGCTGGGAGCTCTTGGGAAGACAGGGCAGTCTGGGGGAGGGGGCGGCAGCTCGGACCGTGCCAGGAGCCCAGGAACCCCCTGGCCTCCAGACTGAGACCCACGTTGCGGCAGAGAGAACACAGAGGCCCACAGGGCTGCGGCAGAGTGTGGACAGTTAGGGCGAGGACAGCAGACTGGGCTGTGCGGACCCCAGGCCTTTGCCACAGCCGTTGGGGATGGGACAGTGGTTGGGAGGCGTGAGCTGGGCTTTGCTTGAGATGCCTGGCAGCAGCTACGGGCCTTCCCTCTCTGTGTCTTTTCGTGTGGGGGTCCCTTTGCCGGAAACACCCTGTCCCCCAAGTTTGTCTGTTTCTTTTCTTTTCTTTTCTTTTCTTTGAGAAGGAGTCTCGCTCTGTCGCCCAGGCTGGAGTGCAGTGGCCTGAGTAGCTGGGACTACAGGCACCCGCCACCACGCCCAGCTAGTTTTTGTATTTTTAGTAGAGACGGGGTTTCACCCCGTTAGCCAGGGTGGTCTCGATCTCCTGACCTCGTGATCTGCCCGCCTCGGCCTCCCAAAGTGCTGGGATTACAGGCATGAGCCACGGTGCCCAGCCTTCTTTCCTTTTTTTTTTTCTTTTTTTTTTGAGACGGAGTCTCGCCCTGTCACCCAGGCTGGAGTGCAATGGTGCAATCTCGGCTCACTGCAACCTCCACCTCCAATTTTCAAGTGATTCTCCTTCCTCAGCCTCCCAAGTGGCTGGGATTACAGGCACCTGCTGCCATGCCCGGCTAATTTTTGTATTTTCAGTAGAGACGGGGTTTCGCCATGTTGGCCAGGCTGGTCTCAAACTCCTGACCTCAAGTGATCCGCCCACCTCAGCCTCCCAAAGTGCTGGGATTACAGGTGTGAGCCACCACACCCAGGCTTTCTTTCCTTTTTAAAAGTCAGACAAGCTCTGCCCTGCTGGGTTTTGGATGTGAAATGCTGGGCAAGTCATCTTCTACCTCTGGCGTCCCTCTTTTATCTCTTATCTTTTATCAGGACAGCTTCAAGTCCCTGCCCACATTTTATCTATAAAATGGGGAAAATAAGGCCCCTCAGGAGGGAAGCGTTCAGTGGGATGTGTAGACCGCCTGGCATCAAGTAGATACTCATTCGACCACCCTGGGTACTGCCCTGAGCATGGAGTGGGAACTCAGCAGTCTCCGGAACACCGATGCTGCATCCATGTTAGTTCTTTCCTTCCTCCCACAGATATCTGTCCTTCCATCCCAGCCCAAGTTCAGGCTCCTCCAGGCTCACCACAGCCTGGTGGGATCACCCCAGCCCCATAGCCTCCGGAGTCCTCGCCAGGCATGAAATCTCTGTCTTCTCTCTCGCTTCAGCCCCAGGCTGCAGACTCTGTGCTGTGAGCCTCAGAGCCCGGCAGGTGGGAGACAGTGCATAAATGTTTGTTGAATGAGTAGATGGGACGCTTCCCAGCCCGGCCCACCTCAGAAGGCAGGTGGCAAGACAGATGGGCCCTGGCTCCTGTGCGGTCTGACGGTGGAGGCAGCCGCTCCGCTGAGTCTTCCTCAGGAACTTGGGGTGGGACGCATTGTTTCCGAGATCCCTTCTAGGGACATCCTTTTGTCACTCAGCGAGTTGAAGTTTCCCAGCTTCTAAAGCCCCTGCCCCTCCCCTCCACTTCCTGTGTTCAAGGCCTGGTCCCTAGAAGTTGCTTTTATCCAGGCAGTGATTGAGAGTTTAGAAGGGGCTCTCTGGTATCCTGTGACCCTGGGTGACCTTGGCTGGACTCCTTCAGCACCAGGGAGAGAGGCCGGTGGCTGTGATAGGAGGCAGAGGCCTGTTGAAGGCAGCAGGGCCTGGGAGCCCATGGAGGTGAGCCCAGACCCTCTCTGCAAGCCCCTTCCCCTCCGTAGGTCTCGGTTTCCCTCTCTGGGGAGGGGGGGGCGATGTCCTTGCCAGCAGAGGTGCTGCTCAAGTGCAGGGCTGGCATCCCAGCGACTCGCCCAAGGCCACCTCGCCAATCCCCGCACCCTGCGTGCCACTCCCCCAGCACTGCCGCACGCCCGGCTCCCCTCCCCCACCTCTCCAGGAGCAATTGTTTATCTGCCAGAGGGTGACAGGCGGCTGTGGCTGGCATGTTGAGCCGCCGTCCAGAGATCAGCTGGCGGCTGCTGAGCAAACAGCACGAGCTAATCAGCAAAAGGTCACGCCGGCTCCCCGAGTCCCCGCATTTGAAGTCATGCCTCACACGGGCGGGCTGGAAGGAACCTGGGACGTTGAGTTAGTGGCTCAGTGACCAGGTCAGCTTCAAGTCACAGCCCACAGCTCATCGCCCAGTTGACCAGCCTACGCCTCTGAGGTTGCATCTTCTAGAGATTCCCCAGCCCCAAGGGAAACCCATCGCCTGTCTCCAGGTGGAACAAACCCTCTCACGACAGAGGCTCAGCCCCCAGCATGCGGAGGGGCCAGGCTTAACCACCCCAGCCCTGCCCGCTCCCCCTGCCCGGGACAGACTGTCCTTCAAAGCAGCAGTGCAGGGCTGGGCAGCATCCCCACCAGAGCTGTCCGTTCACCACCCCCCACACCACCTCTGACTTCAAGCCTACCGCCTTCCTCTAAATCCATTCAGTTTTTAAAAACTTAAATACATTTATTTAAAAGGGAAGATTTATAGCACTACTACAAATGGAAAACAAGCCTCTCTTGCCATAAATAGAATTCATAATCATAAAAATAAATTCAGTGGAAACAAAACAATGTTATTAAATTCTAGTTGGATGCTGTAGCCCCGGGGGAGGCTCAGAGCCCAAGGCCTACTATTGCTTTATTAAAAAGGGAGAGCAGTAAGTGTGCAGAGGTGTTCAAGACTCACCAACCCTGATCTGAGACTTTCTTCTTGTTGTAATCAAGAGTTTTAAAGTGAGAGTAACTTTCTCATAAAATGATTCAGTAGTATTTTATGCTGTGTCAGCTAGGGACTGAATTTGGCTGCGCAAGACAAACCTAAACACTGCATGGTTGAACCCCACGTGGGGGTCATTTTTCTTACGCAAAGACAGCAGCAGTGGAGCTGGTACACAGCCTAAGGGGGTTGTCAATGGTCCAGGTTCCTTGTAGCTTCCTGCTCTGCCACTGCGGACGTTTGTCCTCATGGCCTCAGGATGGCTGCCACACCTCTGGCCATCGTATCTGCATCCCAGGCAGGAAACTGGGAAGTGGGGTAGAGGTGAAGGAGAAGGGAATACACCAGCTAAGTCTGTTCCTTGTCATTAGGAAGGTAGCAGCCAACAGCCTGAGAAGGAAGCTTCTCAGCCAACGGCAGAGAAGAGCCGTTCTCTTGCCCACGGCAGTCACTGCTGCCTTTGGGTTGGTGCTTACTATATGTCTTATTCATTTGCCAAGTAGTTGTTTGGCACCTACTAGTTGCCAGGCAATAGACCTTGTCCTGGTGGTATTCACAAGGCTGCATGCTGGCATTTGTGAGATGAGCCACGGCCCACTGTGGGGCATCCCCCAGCCTGGGTTCTCCCTGCTTCCGCCTCCACCCCACACCTGGCTGCTTCTCCTCATAGGAGCCCGGCACAAGGGCACCCCCTGCCTCCATCCTGTCTCCCCTCTGCACACACCTGGGACTGCCCAAGCCCAGCCTGGATGGAGTCGCCCCGTGGGCCACCCTGGATGAGAAGGGAGCTATTCCTTTCCCCTCCCCAGCACCTGGGTCTCCTGCCCACTTCTGCCTCCCAGAAAGCCCCTTCCCCGCTGCAATCAGCCTCCTCCTGCAGGCAGGCCAGGCTGCAGGGATCCAGCTTCTGCTCCTAGATCTTCATTTGTCTTTTAATTTCCTCCTGTAATTTACATCCTGTGACTCCTGTAATTTACATCCTGTGACTCCTGTAACTTAATTAGCAGACAGAAGGCGTGGCTGCAGATGCCCAGCCCCCTGCCTCTGGCCTCTCCCGCTGGGCAGGACCTGGAGATTCCCTCCTCCCCCTGGGTCAGGGCTCCTGAAGGCTGCCTCCGGCCCCAGTTTGCCCATCCCTGCCGCAGAGTTTGTCTTTCAGCCTGAGCTCTGGCCTCCTCCCTTCATAGACCCTACCCCCGACTTTGAACTCTGGCCTCTGACCCCTGGTCTCTGACCTGCTGTTTGGCACCCAGCAGGAGGGATCTGTCCCAGGCCCAGGTTTAACTGTGGGCGCCATTGCTCACCAGCTGTGCACACAGAGGCAAGTCATGTAACCTCTCTGTGCTCTTCCTCAGTGAGTTGGGGGTGAGGGTCTGTGAGTAAGTAAATGAGAAGCCAGGAGCCCTCTCAGCTGTGCCTGCTCCTCTTCCACGTGTTCCCATCCCCTGCTCACCCCAAGGTCCTGCCCACCCCAAGGTTCTGCCCACCCTGAGGTCCTACTACCCTGCAATCCAGCCTTGGCTTGAGCTAATTCCAGGTTTCCCTGCTGGTCCCACAGCCAGAGGGTCTAGGGTCATCGTGTTGTGTGCTGTGGAGGCCCCAGGGGCTCACACAGCATCTGGTGAGGTGACGGCCTGGGTAAATTCTGAAGCCCTCTTGGGGCCCTGGCATGTGCCCGGCGAGCCATCTGGGCAGGTGCCACTGAGTCTTTCTCCCCCATCCTCCCTCCAGAGCCTTAGCTGCCTTCCTTCCTGCCGCTGGACGTGGGCGTATGTCTGTGTGTGCGTGCGTGTTTGTGTGCCCCAGGCTGGCCCGGCTACATGCCTGCACAGGTGTGATCCCCAGGTCCCCTGCATGTGCAAGGATATCCACATTCTGCACACACAGGTGTAGGCATCCCTGTGCATACGTGTCACGTGATGACCCCTGGGGCTGCATGCGTGTCATAGCTGTCCCCTCCCCCTGCAAACTCAGCCCCAGTGACTCACAGCCAGGACTGCAGCCGCACTCCCCCAGCCTCACCCGGGAAACTGTGATTCCAGCAGCTAAAGTGGGTCAGAGAGCGTGCAGGGGAACTGGAGGGCCTGGGGAGGAGGCCAGCACCAAGGCCTGGCTTGACGGCAGCCATGGAGGGGGAGGGGAGAGGAAGGAGAGTAGGGAGAAGAGGAGGATCTGCAGGGGCCAGGGCGCAGGCAGCCGGCATGGGGCATGGGAGCCAGAGGGAAATTAGTAGACAGGGCTGCTGTTTTTTCATAGCAATGATTTGATCTGGAAAGATGTGGCCCAGAGCTCAAGGAGCTGCTTCTCTGCCAGAGCATGCAGGAGGGAGGAGGGGGAAAGGCGTGGAAGGAGAAGGACACATTTACTGAGCACCTTCTTGATGCAGCCTCTCCGTAACACCACAGCCCTGAGCGATAGGCATCAGTGGTGCCGCCGCACGCAGGAAATAGAGGCAGACAGGGGCCGTGCATCTGCCCAGAGCCGGAGCTCAGGAGAGCCACCCACACTCCAGTATCACAGCCTTGCTGTTCTCTGCATGGAGATCACAGGTACCTGGAGCAGCCCATGGGGCTCTCTGCCTGCCCTAGCTTAGGCTGCTCAGGACATTGGAGTATCCTGGCCTGGCCGCTTGCAGCATGGCCCTGAGATGCCATGAGCACCTCAGTGGGCCGCAGTTCCAGGCTTGCTCAGCTGACACGCTGAGACTCTGGGACACCCAGGAAGGGGCAGGTGGAGGTAGGCAGTGTGTCCAGTCTGCAGGCACATGCTACGGTCCTACTGTGTGCTCCACTCAGAGGAAGGTGCCGGGGGAGCTGGAGCCTTAGCTGTGCCCCTGGGAGCCCAGGCCTGGCTGGGGATGTGGTTCATGGGGGAGCCTGACCTTCCCAGAGAGGAACGGTGCATGCATGCAGACCTCAGAGAATCAGACAGATCAGAGTGGCCTTCTAGGAAAGAAGAGTGTGTGGAACTTAGAGGGGCACAGGGTGCTTTCGGGTATGAGAGATGGCAGAAACAGTGGCGTCTCCAACACACGTGGCATGTGCAGCATATAGGGATGGCCAGGGTGGGGCTGTGGTGCCAGGGTGGGCATGTCAGGGACAGGTCGCAGGGGAGGAGGAAGTTGTAGTCCTGCTTCTCCTCCCTTCCCCCTATGCGCAGAGTACCTCCAGATTGTGCCAGGCCCCCTCCCTTGTAATCTGCTCCTCTGAGCGAGAAGCCTCTCATCTGTATTAGGTAGGACAAGCTGTTGAAGAACGGTAGTTTAAATAAGATAGAAGTTTATTTCTCTTTCACAAACAGCCAGAAGTCAGTGGCCCAGGGCTGGTAGGGTGGCTCTGTCACCATCACCTGCAGTTTCCATGTCTGGAACCAAAGTGGCTGCTCCCGCTCCCACCATCACATCTGCATCCCAGCTGTCAAGGGGCATGCATGCCCATTCCTTTTAAGGGAGTCGTTCACCAGTGGAACACTTCAACTCCACTCACGTCCCGTTGGCTAGAATGTGGTCCTACGTGCAAGGGAAGCTAGAAATGTAGTATTTAGGTGGGTCCAGCTTAAATTTGGAGTTCAATTAGTAAAGGAGGAAGAGGAGAATAGGGACCAACAAAAGGTCTTGGCCACTCATTCCTCTGGACACCCTGGGGCCGCAGTACCTTGTGGGAAGAAGGGAGAGTGGGTCACCCTCAGCGGGCCTGACTGGAGAATGGGAAGTAGCATTGGGGGTGACTGACCTATCCACAGGCCCTCTCCTTGGTCCTGGCCGAAAGCCTTTCTTGCTAAAAGTTGAAATATGAGGAAATCATTAGCATGCTTTGAATGCAAAGGGTGCCCAGAGAGACACCGACCATGTAACTTAGTGTCCAAACCAGAGCACTTCTGAGAGTACAAAGAGGTGGCGTTTGCAGTGACATCGGGACAGTAGGGCGGACCAGGATGTGCGGTCACCCCACCTGGAGACTCTCCCATCTGTGTTCTGGCTGGGGAAGCTGAGGTCCTCGGTCACACTCAAGTTAATGATGGAGCCACTCTAGGACTCCAGAAGGGCCCCCTCCCTGGCCGTGTTGGTTCAGATTGTTCAGATTCCCTCTCGCCCATTGATTGGTTTGTGGACCTCAGCTGTGACCTCTCTGGCATCCTATCCTGGACAGAAGGGTCTTGGGCCTCTGCCCTCATTTCTCTTCCTGAGAATCTCACCTCCGCGGAGCCACACTCCAGGGGTTCTTAGGATGGGATGCACAGGAGGCTGGAAACGTGAGCTTCCTCTTTTTTTGCCCCCAAGAGTGTCTGGGACCAGCCCGGAGCTGTCCAGGGGCCTGAGTGCCTGAATCACATCTGGGGTTGAATGAGTGCCTCCATCTCCACCCCCAGGGGTTACCAACAGGGCCCCGCCCACCAACAGGACCCCGCCCACCAACAGGACCCAAGCCACCAACAGGGCCCCGCCCACCAACAGGGCCCCGCCCACCAACAGGACCCAAGCCACCAACAGGGCCCCGCCCACCAACAGGACCCAAGCCACCAACAGGGCCCCGCCCACCAACAGGACCCAAGCCACCAACAGGGCCCCGCCCACCAACAGGGCCCCGCCCACCAACAGGACCCAAGCCACCAACAGGGCCCCGCCCACCAACAGGGCCCCGCCCACCAACAGGACCCAAGCCACCAACAGGGCCTCGCCCACCAACAGGGCCCCGCCCACCAACAGGACCGGCTCTGGGCTAGGCAGCCCCGTCTAATTCCCGCTTCCGCAGACAGGGCCCTCTGGACACACCCACCCCTGGAGACCCCTGTGTCTTAGACATGGCCCTGTTGTTCCCCAAGCCTCCCAGCCCCCGCAGTGCCCTCCCTCCCTACCTCAACCGACAGAAGGAGGAGCCGAGTTTGGATGGGGCCACAGACTCTGATTCTGTGAGGACACTGCCCTTTCCAGATCTGTTGGCAGACCTTTGGCATCTTCTTGAAAACCAAAGACACAACAGGGCCCAGAGGAATCTCCCCAAATGGTGGGGTTCGAAGCACTGGGATCAGGCCAGGAGCAAATGGCTAGGAGGTGGGGGGCCTCCCCTACCATCACCTCTGCAAACCCTTCCCCACCATCACCTCTGCAAACCCTCCCCCAACACCGCCTCTGCAAACCCTAGCCCCAGCCACTGGCACTCAGGCAGGGGCCTCCCCCACCATCACCTCTGCAAACCCTCCCCCACCATCACCTCTGCAAGCTCCAGCCCCAGCCACTGGCACTCAGGTGGGGGCCTCCCCCACCATCACCTCTGCAAACCCTCCCCCACCATCTCCTCTGCAAACCCCAGCCCCAGCCACCCGGCATTCCGTGTCCTGGGTTCCCCTTTCTCAGCCCAGAAATAAGACTCAGCTGACAGCATTCTGGCACAGTGTCCTTTGCGAGCCTGATGCTGCCTGGAGATGTCCCAGCCAGACACCTCTCCTTTTAAACCCCACCCTCTGCCCATTTTCCCTGTCCCAGGGAAGCCACTATCCTTGCACTCAGGCCCAGGCTGGATGGAGTCCACGGCCTCTGCCCTTACTCCAGTGGGAAGACGAAGATGGGAACAGCCGGTGGGCAGACGTCTCCACAGTGGGCCCCAGGCTTCCTCTGCCTGCCCTTGATTTTCCCAGAGGCCTGCTGGCTCACGCCTGCCAGGAGGCCCATACAGCTGCGGGCAAGGGGCAGCCAGCTATGCCCCAACAAGCCTCAGGAATGGGTCCCCAGCCTCCACCCAGGCACAGCAGAGAACACCGAGGCCATGAGCCAGGGAACCAGCGTGCAGGTTTGTGGCATGAATGAATGGAAAACCGCCTTCAATAACCGGGCCCCATCTAACCAGGCAGGTGGTAGACCAGATGGCTCTTTGCGCCAGCTTGTGTGCCAAGAACCTCAGCAGGTTGTGATGCCTTTCTGAGCTCCTTAAAAGCTCCTTCCTATTCCAGTGCATCTCAGGCCCTGGAGACCACCTCTCTCCCCTTCCGGTGGTGGGATCCCTTCCTCCCCCCAGCACCCCCCACCCCCCGCACCTAGTACTTGGATCTCTCTTCCACAGTGTAAGCTCTTACTTTTATTATGTAACATAGAACATCACTGTATTATCGTCTGAAGTAACGATTACTAAATAGTGAGCATTAACTCAAACTCAGACCTTGCATGCTCCGCTGGTACAGAGGCAGCCCCACACCCATCCTGCCTGGGCCCAGGTCCCAGCTGTGTCCCTTACCAACGTGTCCCTTGCACTCTCTCTGTGCCTCAGTTTCCTCTTCTGGAAAATGAGAATGATCAGAAGACTTTCCACGTCATGGTATTTCTATGTGTTTAATAACATGTTTAAATAAACACGTGTCAGCACTTGCAAAATTAAACATTGGATAAAACCTGTCTGGCATTACTGTAATGAGCTCTCTCATCCCTGTGAGGTAGCTGAGAGGCACAGAAAGATTTAGCAACTTGCACTGGGGGAGGGAGAGCCGGTGGGAGGCAGTTACATGGCTGATCACTCACTCACCCTCCTCCTGGCTGCCCAACCAGGCCTGATGTTTTCAGGGAGCTACAGGGGTGTCACCTTGGAGAGGGATGACCTCACTGTGTAACTCAGGGAAAATCCCTTTCCCTCTCAGGGCCTAAGTGTGTGAGTGCAAGCTCTCAGGGGGCAGAGGCCAATATTGGGAGCGTCTCTTGATGTGACTCCAGGCACGCTGGAAGGCACACACAAGGCAGCGAACTTGCTGGACAGTGCATCTGCCCTGTGCCATGCCCTAGCGTGGCGTCTGGCACATAGTAGGTGCTTTAAACGCCTTGTCGGCTGGAAGAAGAACAGCTGGGGCCTTAAAGCCATCAGCCTGTGAGATGAAGGTTCAGCTTCTCACGGGCACCATTTGCATGCAGGGCATCGAGTTACGCACCTGCCAAGCCCACCACACTCAGTCCATCGGGTGTTTCCTCAGTGCCCAGAGGAAGCCGGGCCTGTCAGGGTCGAGGAGGGTGTTCTGAGGGAGGGACTGCACCCAAAACCATCGCTCACGATCTGCTGTCCAGGAGTTTTTGAAGCCAATCAGTACCCCTGCCCATGGCAGAGGGAGGTCCTGGAAGGGAACGAGAAGGCCCAAGCTCAAGTCTCCCTCGGTCCCCTGTGATTCTGTGACACTCCCTTCCCCTCTCTGGTCTTCAGTGATTGTATCTGTGCCATGGGAGCTTTTGTGTGACTCACTGCCAGAGGCCCCTGGCTTACGGCTCCCAGAACATTCTGGGGTGTGTACATCCCATCCTTTACTACAACAGGTGCGAAGTGGACGGTCTTCTGCGCAGCCCTGGGAATGGCTGACCTGGTCAGGGGCCCGGGTGGCCCAGGCCTGGTCCTTGGGACTAGAGAAACAGTGCTTAGACCAGACAGGTTGTCTAGCTGGAGAAGTGGGCACATTAACAAGTACAGGTGCTTGGCCCTACCTAGACTTACCAAATCAGGACCCCAGAGTTACGTCTTGGAAGCCTCTTTTTCTAAAGTTCATGAGTCATCCTCACAGCTAGCCCAATTTAGGAGCCACTTTTTTTTTTTTTTTTTTTGAGATGGAGTCTCACTCTGTCACCCAGGCTGGGGTGCAGTGGCGCGATCTCGGCTCACTGCAACCTCCGCCTCCTGGATTCAAGCGATTCTCCTGCCTCAGCCTCTCAAGTAGTTGGGATTACAGGTGCCTGCCACCACGCCTGGCTAATTTTTTTATATTTTTAGTAGAGACAGGATTTCACCATATGGGTCAGGCTGGTCTCGAACTCCTGACCTCTGGTGATCCACCCCCCGCTCAGCCTCCCAAACTGCTGGGATTACAGGTGTGAGCCACCGCGCCTGGGCAGGAGCCACTTTTTCAGTCCAACTTCCACTCCAGTACTTTAATACCGTCTCTGGTGTCCTGCCTCTCCTTGTATACCTCCACTAATGGGGAGCTTAGTTTTATATGGCAGCCCATTGCTTTCTAAAACATTTTAAAATTGATTATAAAATATTTAAGATGTCTCAAATATCTAAGAAATCCCTTATAAATATTTTAAAGTTATAAAATATTTAATACAATCAATGACCTAAGGAGTAATACAATGAATACCTAAATACCCACCCCTTCCCAGCTTAGTCCCTGTGCAATGAAAGCTTCCCCTTCTAGATCCTTTATCCCTCTTTCTCTTTAAAAATTTTTTTGGCTGGGTGCGGTGGCTCACGCCTGTAATCCCAGCACTCTGGGAGGCCAAGGTGGGCAGATCACATGAGGTCAGGAGTTCAAAACCAGCCTGGCCAACATGGTGAAACCCCATCTCTACTAAAAATACAAAATTAGCCAGGTGTGATGGCAGGTGCCTATAATCCCAGCTACTCGGGAGGCTGAGGCAGGAGAATCACTTGAACCCAGGAGTTGGAAGTTGCAGTGAGCCAAGATCGCACCACTGCACTCCAGCCTGGGTGACAAGAGTGAAACTCCATCTCAAAAAAAATTTTTTTTCATAGTGGTCAAATATACATAAAATTCACCATCTTAAGCATTTCAGCACGCGGTTCAGTGGTGTTCAGTGGATTTGCGGTGTTGTGCGACAGACCTCCACAACGTTATCGTGACACATTTTGTATACTTTGACCATATTTGTACAAACGCCTATGTAATACGCTTTTGCAGGCTCTGACGCTTTGGATATGGCGTGTGGTACAGCAGGTATCTTGGAGAGCTTGCTTGTTGGCTGGGAGGCGTATTTGTGAGTGGGATCCACTCTGTGCACATGGCTCTGTGGTTCCTTCTTTTTCACTGCTGCATAGTACTCCATCGGGCCCACGCCTCACAAGGTTCTGGTCCACTCTCTCATGGACATCTGGTGTCTGCCCTGTCACCATTATAAACAATGCTGTTATGAACATCTTTGGGCAGCTCTCCCAGCTTCTCCAGGGCTGTGCCCCGGCCTGGGGCTTGGGCTCGTGGGCCACGAGCATCTTTGCCTTGGTGAGATGTTGCCTAGTTGTTTTCCAGCACTGTGTACTGGGTCCTGCTGTCATTGTCAGGCATGGAGAAGTCTCTGGGAGGATGAGGAGTGGCCACATGCAGTGCCTGCACGGGGTTGGGGAGCCTTCTGCTATAGGCAGCTCTGCAAGTTGCAGTGCACCTGACGCCCCTGCCCTCAGCCAGACACCCCATCTCCTCCCACTTTTTTTTGGATGAGCTGACGTTGTGTCCCCTCCCATTGAGGCCACTCATTCACCCGGAAACATGCCCACGCTGACCTGTGAGCCACGTGGGATGTGGTTAGTCACAGGGGCTATGGGGCCAGGCTGCCTTGGCTTAGGCCCCGGCCCCACCACTTAGTTGCCGTGGGAACTCAGGCAAGTTCACGAACATGTCTGCCCCTCGTCTGTAAAATGGAAATAACAGCACAGACGTCACAGGGTTACCATAAGTATCCAACATGTTAATATATGCAGAGTTTCTAGCACAGTGCCTGGCGCGTGGTAGGTGCAATGTCAGCATGAGCTTTTGTGATCTCCCTGGAGGTCTGAAACCAAACCCTTCATCGTGGCTAAGCAGTGCTGGGCAGAACCAGATCACCTCCTCTATTCTACCTAACAGATCTCTATTAAGTCAGCCCGCGTTGCCTTCTCAGGTGACCGTGTTTACCCTTGAACTTGCTCTTGGTCTTCCTGTTCCCTGAGGTGCCGTGCGGCCCCACCTCCCTGCTGGCTGGCTACGTGGGTGTGAGTTTTGCCCTGTGTGACTTGTGGAGATGAATTTGACCCTCAATCAGTCCAGCAGGAGGGAAGGCTTGGATCTTGGTCCTGGCCCTCCTGCAAACTCTCAAATTTCGCCCAAACTGCTGCTCCCAGGTAGAACCAGGTGAGGACAGAGCTTGTGACCCCCACCCGGACCCCCTTTGGGGAACCCCCGCCCTTTGAGGGACTCAAGCATAAGTGATCACTGACCACAGCCTTGCCAGAGCCCGGGGCCCCATGAACGCGACTCCCCCCAGGGCCTGTCACAGAGGCCGGGTGTGTCTCACCTGATTCTTCTCCGTGGATTCGCAGGTTCACGGCCACCACTGCCCCTTCCTCAAGGTCAAGGTTACCTGTGCCTCACACCCACCTCCCGTCCTGCACCCCTGGCACCCCTTTTGGCCTGTGTCAGCCTCTTTGCCAACTTCTGAGGGCATCATCATCTTCATCGCCTTACCTCACAATGGACACTGGCCCTGCCCTGATGTGAGGTGCTAGCCCCCTCCCCACCATGCCGGGCATGGCCCTGGCGAGGCCCCTGTGGGGAGGGGCACAGCCCAGGAGGCAGAACAAGGTGTCACAGCCCAGCCCTGCACCCCAGAGGGTGGTTCTGTCCCTGAGCAAGGTTGGGCTGGGGATCAAAAAGGGGTCTCCCAGAAGTGGGGCAGAGGCCAGGATTAGGGAGGGGAAGCAGGTGACCCTGAGACCCCAAAACCTGGTGGGTGCAGGCAGTTTGGCCCACAGCAGGGGCCAGGCACTGTCTTTAGGGAAGAAGGAACCCAGGGAATAGGCCGATGATTCCCAGAGGGAGGCTGCCCGGCCAGAATCCCGCCCACAGCTGGTGCTGGGGCTCCTGGCAGCTGGCGGGGGCCCTGGTGGTGTGGAGAGGAGAGGAGACAGTGGGACGGGACAGGGCGCAGGCGAGGCCGGTGACAGGTGCGTGTGTCTGCCAGGTCGGTGCAGCCTTAGAGAGGCGGGAGCGAGACAGACGGGAGGGAGGGAGGGCAGCAGGTGTGAGGCAGAGCGGGGGTGGGGTGGGAGCAGAACACAGGCCTCCCTCCCGGGCCGGCTGCCTCTCATTGACTAAGTCACTCCTGAGAGGGTGCACTCACACCCCAGTTGGGTGGTTTCCAGTGTTGTCGGCTTCACCGAAAATGGAATGTCCTCTGGCTGCCCCAGCTGTCGGACGCCCGCCTGCTGTGAGGCAGTAATTAGACGCTCCTGTGTGTAACACATGTGTGCACGTCTGTGTGTGCACGTCGGGAAAGGGTGGGGCGGGGCAAGTGGTAGACCCATGGCTGGAGGGGCCAGAGAACATGCCCACACATGCGCACACACACAGTACACATTCACACAAAAGTCACACTCAGACACACATAATACACACTCAAAATAACACACAGTACACACTCGCACAAAAATCACACACAAATACACACTCACACAAAAATCACACACAACACACCCTCGCACTCACAAATACACACGCACAAAAGTCACACAATACACAAAAATCACACACACATAGTACAGTCTTACCCCAAATCACACTCACACGCAAATACACAACTTGCGCAAAAATCACACTCACACACAATACACACACACACAATACACACACAAAAATCACACTCATACACACGCACTATTCTCTCCCAGGGCCTAGTGGGTCTTCGGCTGGAGAACGCAGGGCTCCAAGGTCCGCACCCGCCACGGTCCTGACCCCTCCTTGCCCTGTGGCCACCGCACCCAAGCTCTGTCCCGGCCACTATGCTGGGATGGGGACATGAGCCACTGTGGGTCTCTGGGTGGTGCTCCCACCCCAAGCCGAGAGCCGCAGCCCTGCCTGCACCGTGCCTCTCCAAACCCTGTCAGTTCTTCCTCACCTTGGCCCTTTGAAGCCTAAATGAGAAGATCTATTTATAGCAGTCAGCATATGGACCCTGCCAAATGTGCCCGCTCAGACATATGCTGGCGGCACGCTCAGCCCAACACCACGCCAAGTCCCTCCCCAAGGCCAAGCTGGCCCAGCTCCCCCGAGGCCTCACGCCCACCAGAGTGTGCTCCCCGGGGTCCCTGGATCCCCTGGGGTGTGGCAGCTGCTGCAGAGGGGACCCAGGCCTCCAGGGAGAGCTAGCCAGCCACTCGCTTCTAGCCCAGGCTCTGTCCAGGGAGGGCCCCCAAGTCCCTTCTCCCTCTACCTCCTGGATACAGACAGGTGAGCAGGTGGGAGGTGACAGCCAGAGGCACGGCAAGGGTGTCACCCTGAGAAGAGGGGAGGGGCCGTCGTCCCAGCCTCAGGTGGGACATGAGCCCAGCTGTTACCCGTAGGGCCCACAGGCGGGCTGGGATGCCTCCTCCACCAGAACTCGCCCCTGCACGTCCCGATTCTTCCGTAGGGGACCCATGTCTGCTGAGACAGGAGCCGGGCTGGGTTCTTCCCATCATTTGTCCTTTTGTTTAGTCCTCTGAGGGTCGTTTTACAGGCACAAAGATTGAAGCCCAGGGTGGGTGGGCTACTTACTCAGGGGCACACAGCAGCAGGCAACAGGATCGGTGTCCAGCATCGGGGTCGGGCTGTGGGATTCCATCACGCGTGTTCTCTTCAGCACTCATAGCCTCTGTGATCCATGAAGACAGCAACCCTGTTCCGTCCATCTTGGTTCCTTCCCTGCCCACACCCAAGCACTCAATAAATACCAAGTGAATGAATGATTGTGAGAATGAAGAATGAATGAGCACACGAGGGGGGTGGAGATGGTGAGTGTGAGTCCCCAAGCTTCAGCCAGGCCTCTCCACCATGCAGTCTTGCTCTTCTCCCTGGGGTAGCTAGAAATGATGAGACAAGGTCTTTTATTCTGATGGGGTTATCTCCTGAGGCTTTTATTCTGGTGGGGGTATCTCTTGAAGCTCAGCTGTTTCCAGAGGCCAAGAAACTAGGGCTGAATCCTCCCTTTTCTCTTTTCCATGAGAGGGGCAGGGAAAGGAACTAAGTCTTGGGACCTTCAGTAGTGGGGTGCCCCTGTGGTCAGTCCTGGGCTGCCCTAGAAGGGTAGCCCCAAGCTGTCTCCCCAGCCCCACTCAAGGGGCCTCCCTTCATTTCCTCATTCAATTCGAGGACTCCACTCCCTTCCAATATTCTGTCTGCCTGGATGCTTTGGCCTTATCCAGTAGTCTTTTTTTGGTCACCCAGGGTGGCATGCAATGGTGTGATCATGGCTCACTGTAGCCTCCACCTCCTGGGCTCAAGGAATCCTCCTGCCTCAGCCTCCCAAGCAGGTGAGACTACAGGCATGTATCACCATGCCCAGCTGATTTCTTATTTTTTGCATAGATGGGGTCTTGCTTTGTTGCCCAGTCGGATCTTGAACTCCTGGATTCAAGCAATCCTCCCACCTTGCCCTCCCAAAGCTCCAGGATTACAGGGGTGAGCCACTGTGCCTCACCTCCCCTAGTCCTTATTTGCAGCCTGTTGGACTTTTGAATGCCCAGGGAATGGGCCTTCTCTCCACCCTGTGTGCAGGGGAGCGGTTTGAGAGAGGCCGAGAGGTCCAAGCACCACCCCTTTGCATGGGCGGTTTTCTGTCCAGAGCCATTGAGAGGCAGGGCCGGACTTGGATCCCAGACCTTCCTGCTCCACCCAGGGGCCTCTCTTTTTGCCTCTCCTGCTCCAGGTTGCGAGGACAGGCTTTCCCTTAGGGCGCCAAACGGGTGAGAACAGAAGGTCTCCCCCAGGACCTGTGGTCTGCACTGTAGCCCTGGGAGTGACTCCTGCTCCCCATCCCCCTGCCACTGCAGTAGCCCCTGTGGAGGGAGCCCAGCCCCGGCCTGCACCCTTCCCAGAGGCTCACTGACTAACAAGGGGCAGCCTCTTTCAGACCAACCGCATTCTGCGGCCTTTCAGCTGTAATTAATGTTTGCTGTGTTATTAGAGAGATTCTTGATAGGCTCTGAGATGCGGAGGGTTTGCAGAGCTGGCTGGGCGAGCAGAAGCCAGCTGCTGCCAACAGGCACCCAGTCCTCTTCACTCAGGGTCCTGGCCACCTTCCCTCACAGAAAGCCACTGCCCCAGCGCTCAGGGTCCCCTGGTTCGGAGGCACCTCCTGGGCTTTGCTCAGACCCCCCACCTTTCCTTCTGTCCATGCAAATCCCACCGATGGCTTTTGGACCACTTCACGCCCCAGGCAGCACACAGCACATGCGTTTTCTCACGTTCCCCCCTCCAGGAACCCCAGGGTGATGTTAGTATTTTCAGTTTTCAGAGGAGAGAAAACAGAGGCTGGGAAAGACCCAGAGTTTTGTGAGTATCAGGAACTGAGTGGGAGGATCCAGCTCCACCCGGGTCCCAGCTCCTGTCGGGGAAGGGGAGTTTCACACCAGCTCCTCCGTGTGTCCAGCGTGTTCACAAACACCATCGCATCTCACTGTCGTGATGGTCCTGTTCATCATCTCATGATGTCCATCATCTCATGATGGCTATCAGTGGCCCCATTTGTCAGAAAGGTAAACTGAGGCTCAAAGAACTTAAGGACATTCTGCAAATCACCCAGCTGGGGAGCAGCCGGCTGCTCAGGAGGCAAACTCAGCTTAAAGCCCAGCTCCTCCTGCCCCGCGGAGCTGCCACTGCCAGCTTCCTCTGGCCCTCACACCACACAGGGCCCCTCTGCTCAACTCACTGCCAGGAGCCCTCCAATTCTCCAGTGGATTCTTAGAGCCAGAGCTTGGCCCCCTGTGGTGGATGGGGAACGTGAGCTTGGAGGAGGCCTGGGGCTCCCCACCCACTCCCTCTTACTTGAGGACTTGGGTTTGGTGTGAGTCAGTGATCCTCCACTGTCCCACAAAGTCCTGCACCCCGGGGCTCAGGGCCAGCTTCTTTTGCTCAGGGTTCTTGGGTCAGGCACTGGGAAGGGCTCAGCAGGGCGGTTCACCTCTGCTCAGCAGCGGCTCCTTCACTCCCAAGCCAGTGCCATGGCCCTAGCCTCTCAGTCTCGATGGGACCACACCCCCCACCACCCAGGCCTCACAGCAGGGTGCTGGGAAAGTCGCTTTTCTCACCTGGTGGCTGCTTCTAGGACACAGGAGGCAGGGTGGCCGGCCTAGCTAGGGGCTGTGCCCAGGACGGACACGGCTTCGCTTCTACCAGCGCCTTGGTTAAGGCTGTCTCAGGCCAGCCCAGATTCAGGCGTGCTGAGCTAGACCCTGTGTCTCAGCAGGGGGTGTCAAGGTCTCTGCAGACTCCAGGTGGGAGGTAGAGACGCAGCTGTCTTTTGCAGACAGGGTCGGCCCTAGTAGTCCTGCCTTGAGCCCCTATTTACTTCCTGCGTCTGTTCCTTTTCTCCTATGTTAGAACAGCCGTCCCGAAGGGGCTGAGATTGCAGTTTATTCATTTTGTATTGTCTGTGCCCTCCCCTCTCAAATGCCTACTGGGATGTCCATCTGTCAGCACGGATGCCGAGGCACGTAGACCAGCAGGCCCCAGGAGGTGGGCGGGGGTGGTCTCACAGGCCTAGCCTCAAGGGCAGGGAGCTGGGGTCACCCTCCAAGGCCCTCGGCAGCCCCACCCGGGGACCAGCCCCTCCCAGATGCCATCTCCGAATCCGCCACGTCGGATGCCTTCCAGGCGGTCATGAGCTCTCCCAGAGGAGGCTTCTCTATCGTTCACCCTGCTTTGAGCTGACCCTGAATCGTGAAAATCTGGAAAGCACAGAAGACAAATGAGGCGTGACATTTCACTTGAGAAAATGATCATTCACTTTACAAAGCAGTGTGTGGTGTTTGCCTGCAGGACTTTCCGGAACACATCCACTGGGGAGGGGGGCCAAGCCTACAGAGCCAGGGGCTTCCAGCAGCAACACTGTTTGATGAGCTGGAGGAGGAAGCCAGGACAGCCTCAAACCCCAAACCAGCCAAGACCCTGCAGGAAATGAAACCCCACCCTGATCTCACCCGTGAATATTGGATCAAAAAGCCTCAAAGACACTCAAGGAAATCCAATTCCACAGAATATCACAGAGATAAGAATCGGCCATGATTATGTAGAAGTTATACAAAAAATTCAAAGTTGGCTTAATATTAGATAAATCTATTAATAAACTACACAGTGTCCACAGGTCAGCTGGAATGCACATTCATAATGACGAAAGGCATTTGATAAAATCCAGTGCCAATTTCGGATTTTAAAGTAACTGCTAGAAATAGAACCAGAAACACACGTCTTTATCGAAGTCAAGAATCTGTCTCAGTTCAACAGCCAGAATCATTCTAGGTGATGAGATTTTTTAATGATTCCCATTCAGAAACTTATATTAAAAAACAGCAATGCTTTCATCATTGTCCAGAAATTCTGGACATAGCAATAAGACATGAAACAGAATTAAATGGGATGTCTACAGGGAAGAATTGTAATTATTTGCTGACAAAATGATTCAAGATCTTAGAAACCCAAGAGAAGCAACTGAGAAAAAAAATGACTTAATATAAAAATTTAATACGAAGGTGCTGGGCTGGAAATCAAACCAACATATACAAATCAATAACTTTTCTCTGAACTAACAACAGCTAGTCGAGACACATAATTAAATAAACGGTCCCCACTTACAACGGCACCAATAAAACAACAAAACCCTCCCAATTCCCAGGAATGAATCGACAAGAGAAATTTAGGATCATTATGAAAAACTCTCTAAAGTTATCCTGAGAGATATCAAAGAAAACAAGAGTGGTGAGATGTGCCGTGTTGGAATATTACCCGAAAGTCTTTCCAGAATTAATTCACAGGTTTACCACCATCCATCAACAGGCTCGCAGCGAGTTTTACAAAGCGAGATAAAATCATTCTAAAAGTTCATCTGAATGAATATTCAAATGGCAAGACTAAAGAAACGCAGAAAAGGGAGAATGATGAAGGATGTCTTTCCTGCCAGGTATGGAAGCTTTTTATAGAGTTATGGTGATTGATATTGTGCTGAAATTGGTAAAAGAAGAGAGGGGAGGTGTTATCAATAGAAATAGGAGAAATGGTCCCACACAGAGGCCTCATGAGAGGGTGACCATATGACAATTTATTGCCCCAAATGGGATACTTTTAGAGTGACAAGAGGATGTATTCACCATTATACGGGGAAACAGACATGCACAGGGCCCATCCCAGGAAAACCGTGACATATGCCGATTTCGGATTGCCTTCCTTTATTTATTTATATATTTTTTGAGACGGAGTCTCGCTCTGTCGCCCAGGCTGGGGTGCAGTGGTGCGATCTCAGCTCACTGCAATCTCCGCAGGAGAATCAAACGATTCTCCTGTCTCAGCCTCCTGAGTAGCTGGGATTACAGGCCCCCACCACCACGCCTGGCTAATTTTTGTATTTTTAGTAGAGACGGGGTTTTGCCATGTTGGCCAGGCTGGTCTGGAACTCCTGAGCTCAGGTGATCTGTCCGCCTCGGCCTCCCAAAGTGCTGGGATTATAAGCATGAGCCAGGTGCCTGGCCTGGTTGCCTTCCGTTATAGGCAGCTATGGAGTTAATATTTCCCTGAATTCATTCAGCATGCACTGCCTACTCAGTGCCTGGAAAGGAAACCCCAGCTCCAGCCCTACCTGCCCCGAGCTTTCGGTGCAGAAGGTGGACTCTAGGTGGAGATAGATGGGAATCAGAGCCTGGCAGCGTGGGGTCACAGCGGAGCAAGCACAGGCAGCCCCGGTTACAGAGGGGAGGTTCCAGCCCCAATCTGGGGGCTGAACAGAGAAGCCCACTGAGTGGGGGAACATTGGGGTGCTGGGAGGGGTTCACGTCCCAGGCAGAGGAAACAGCATGTCAGCAAAAATGCAAGAAGTCCAGGCGAATCACAGCCTCAAATGGCAAAATGAGAGCTGAGAGACAGCAAGGACCCTCACTGATGCCCAGTCAGCCCCTTTAAGAAGTGCGGACTCTCTCCAGGGTACTGGGGAGCCACGTAAGGTTGCAGGGGGTAGGAGGAGAGGCAGGAGATGCTCCAGCCTGGGTGGAGATGGAGCACCAGAAATCAGCCCGAGGGAATAGATTACTCAACATAGTGTCAGGGCAATTTGTTGCCTATTTGGGGGAAGGGAGAAAATCAATTTTGATCCTTCTTTACACCAGAAAAATAGTCTGCAGGTGGATTGACAGTTAAATGTAAGAATTCAAACAGTAAAGAGGTTGGTAGACAGAGGCGGGTGTCCTGTCTCAGGATGGCATGGAGTTCCCCGAGCCGCAAAGCAGGGGAAGGCCATGTCGGTGGGGAGAAATATGCCCCACGGAGCTGATGACAAGCAAGTCAAAAGCAAGCATCTCCAGGCTGTGGCAGTAGCTTTGTCTGCAGAAACCTCTTTCCTGGGAAGTGAGCTCAAGCCACAGTGGGGACGGCGCTGAACAAGCTTCGGGGAAAGGCTGTGTGATGAGGTCAAGAGACATCTCATTTTTCTTTTCTTTTTTCTTTTTTGAGACAGAATCTCACTCTGTCACCCAGGCTGGAGTGCAGTGGCACAATGTCAGTTCACTGCAAGCTCTGCCTCCTGGGTTCAAGCGATTCTCCTGCCTCAGCCTTCCGAGTAGCTGGGATTACAGGCACCTGCCACCACGCCCGGCTAATTTTTGTATTTTTAGTAGAGATGGGGTTTCACCATGTTGGCCAGGCTGTTCTAGAATTCCTGGCCACAAGTGATCCACCCACCTCGGCTTCCCAAAATGCTGAGATTATAGGTGTGAGCCACCGCACCCAGCCCACATTTTTATTTTCACAGCTCAGCCAGATCCAGCTGAGGTTCCTTGGCAGCCGGGACACCAGTCCCCGGGACACGCAGTGCCCGACAGGTGGCCTTGGGGAGTGGAAATGGTGTGACCGTGTGAGCGAGGGCTGGTGGCCGGGGAAGCCTCCAGAGGGAGTGACAGGCCTCTCGGGTGCTGATGGGCGTGGGGACAGCAAATCCCTTCCCTGTCCTCTTGAGGCAGGAGGAGCCCTGGGCGGTAGGACAGTAATTGTCTCGTGGTGTTATGTCAGCATCCCTGGGGTTATGATAGAACTTTCTAGTAACAGACAGGAGATAGCACCCCTTCCGACTGTGGAAACATCCTGGTCACTGAGCAAACCGGGCTGGGCCACTCCCTGCCTGGGGCGGCCGCATCCCAGCCCCGTCCCAGCCCATCTTCCGTTGCTGAAACCTCCTAGGCTAGACTTTGCTTGATCATTTATTTCCCTTATTAGTTTAACATTTGAGGGCTAATTGCTCATTTCTAACCTTCACCCCAAAACCATGCCCCAAATCTCTAGCACAATTAACAGCAGCCAGGAAACACAGATTCAGTCATTGTGGTAATGGTGCTGTGAGGCAGGATCTGTGCTTGCAGACAGCCCACACGCCTGTGCACCTGCGCCTGGGGAGAGGGGAGCCAGGCCTCAGCTCCCCCAAAGGGTCCTTCCAGCATCTTAGCAGGAGGTCCTGTTCTACCACTAGGCTGTGACCCCCGGTCAGAACAGGGACAGAATCTGCAAGCTTGAGATCATCAGAAAGGCTTTCCCAGAGCTCAGGGGCTCCTGGAGGTCAGGGTACTACTAGGAAGAGAAGAACCAGCACCTGTCTGCCTTCAGTCTCAAACCAGCCATCCCTGAAAGCAACTGGAGAGATTCAGGTCAGACTAAAGATAGAACTTCCAGCTGCCAGGGTTATGAGGGCGTGATGAGGAAAGTGCCAGGCATCCTTGGACACCTAGACCCTTGCCTGGCATAAGTGATGCGCTTTCTGACGGTGGTGGGAGGGGGACCAGTGTTCCTGGAGAGGGTCATTCCTCCTCTCCCGGGGCCAGCCAGCTACCCGCACCCCACATCCCTGCCAGCGCCGGAGCAGGGAACCATTGCAAAGTGATTTCTCCCTCCAACGGCGCCACACATCATGTTTTTTAATTTAAAAGATGCCCCGTGGAAGCATAACAGACCATTAAATGTTTGAGTCTCTAATTAACTCCAGAGCAGCCCGGGGCTGCGAGCCCAGAGGTAGGATGGCAGAATAAGCCTGGTGTATCCCAGGAGGCAGCACTCAGGGCCCCAGCCCCAGCCCTGAGCCCTCCCCGCTCTGGTCGGGAGGAGGCAGAGGGGACCAGGCACCCCCTTCCCGACCTTCCAGGGCCAGGGCCTTGGGGAGGGTCTGTCTCACCCAGCCCTGGGCTCCCACTCCGGGGCCTGCCTCTGCATATTCTGGGGTGAGGCAGGAATCTGCATTTTCACTTTTTTTTTCTTTTTTTTTTTTGAGACAGGATCTCTGTCACCCAGGCTGGAACACAGTGGCACAGTCATGGCTCACTGCAGCCTCAACCTCCTGAGCCGGTGGGATCCTCCTGCCTCAGCCTCCCAAATAGCTGGGATCACAGGCGCACGCCACCACACCCGGCAAATTTTTTTATTTTTTGTAAAGATGGGGTCTCACATTGCCCAGGCTGGGTTCGAACTCCTGGGCTTAAGCCGTCCTCCTGCCTCCGCCTCCCAAAGTGCTGGGATGACAGGTGTGAGCCACTGCGCCCGCTCCGGGAATCTGCATTTTTAAGTAGCAGTGGAGTGCTGTTGCCGCCTTCCTGGGCCTTGCCGTGGGGGAGTCTCAACTTCCTGGCTAGACTTTCCCATGCTGAGCCTCTGTTTCCCCATCTGTCCAATTGAGGTAACACTAACCTTTGCCTCCCTGAACCCTGGGGAGGGGCTTTGCATGCGGGAGGTGCTGCACACCGGCGGACCGTCGAGGAAACAGGAGCTTTTCTCTGTTGCACACTTGTAGGGTGTTCCTGCTCTTGGGGGCAGGGCAGGGGGAGCCCTGCAGCTTCCATGAGTCGTGTGGATGGCCCAAGGTCACATGGTAAGGTCGTCAGGCACTCGGCACCGTTCCCATAGCCCCTTGACCTTCCCCAGCACTCACCGAGTCCTCACACAGTGGGGACGTGGTGCAGGCAGCAGTCCCCTCCGTTCTACTCCCCAGCCCGGCCTCCTGGAGGGCAAGGCGGAGGTCAGGGGCCTGCTAGACCCAACCCTGCGGCCATGTCCCCAGGAGCCAGCCCCGCCGAGTCAGCCCTCCCAGCCCTGGCCTTGCCTGCAACCCCCGCCAGCCTCCCCTGGACAATAGGATGGGAGCAGGGAGCGGAAGAGAGGACTGGGTCTGGGGGAGCCATGAGGGAGCCCCCAGAGCTGGTGAGATCCCTCAATGGGCCCCCCTCTGTGGGCACCAGGTCCGGCAACTGTGCTGAAGGAAAACCCACATATGTCCAGCGTGCGGCTCCATCTCCCATACTGCCTTGCACTCACCTTCCCTCCCCTACTGAGGAGGAAATGAGTGTCTACTGGGCACCCCCTTGTACCCAGCATCATGCCAGGAGCCTTCAGTAACTGGTGATGCATCCCCCACCACAACCCTGGGAGGCGGACACCGTGATGATCTCTGTTTGACAGATGAGGGGACTGAGGCTAAGAGAGGTTAAGTGACATGCCCAAGGTCACACAGCAGGCGCACGGCAGAGCCAACACCATCTCCTGGCCCACGATGGTTCTGTGTCCCCTGACGCAGCAGGTGCACAGGCGGGCCCCCCACCTGCTCCTAGCTGGGCCGGGTCACCGTGGCAGGCCTTGCGGCTCGAGGCCCAACTGCCCTGATATGCCTATCACAGCCTCATGGGCTCTGCGGCAGAGCCCAGGGAGACAGACAGGGCGAGAGCCAAGCTGCAGAGGCAGGCAGACGTTAGCAGTAAACATGATCTATCGGCAAAACATTGGAACGATGAAAAGTTATCGATCTATAGCTTTCCAACCATCTCCCCGCCTCCCCCACACGTCTGGCCCTCCGCCCACCTTTCCCCCTGGAGCTGGAAACTTCGCTCCATCAGCAGAATCCTCAGTCCAGCCCCGGCCCCGGCCCCACACCAGCCCTGGCCTCTTGTCTGGTTTAAATGATCGAGACGAGGAACAATATTTTTAGACAGATGCACGCCCGTCCCAGCACGGCTGTTGTGATTATGCAAATTCAGTCGTAAGAAGTTTAAAAGCCTGGAACCACCATATTTCTTGATTTCATTAGTGATGACACAGGCCGCGGAAGGAACTTGGTGCCCACCTCACACGCACTGTCCCCATCGTCCCCTGGGGGACAGCGGGGTGCTCTCTGCAGGGGGCAGTGTGTGTGAGGGTGATCACGAGATGTCATAAGGGCTCCAGCTGGGGAGACACCAGGCGCCGCACACAATCCCAAGAGTCCTTGGAGGCATCTGGTTCAACAATTTCATGTTAGGATGGGGGAAACTGAGGCCTGGAGGTGGGAATTGGAGACCTGGGACTCTGGCTCTGGCCCGGATGCCTGGCCTCTCCTGCTGTGGCCAGCTCTCCCAGCAACTCCAGTATTCAGACGGGAGAGGGTCTCCCAGGAGAGGGTTCTCAGGGAGCAATGCTGCACTCTCTCCTCCCACCCCTTCTGAGCAGAGAAGCCCAGGGAGGGGAGATGATCCAGTTAAAGAACAGGCTCCTCTCCCAGCACTCAAGCCCTTCCACCTGCCCCCAGCTACCCCTGCAGCCCCACCTCCCGCCCAGCATTGCCCGCCACTGCCTGTGCCCTGGACACCCCACACTCCCTGGAGGGGCCTCCTGCCTTCATGGCTCGAACACACCCCCTCTCCCTGGGATGCCTGTTACCCTCCTTCCCTAACTCCTACTCTTCTGCTGGGGCCCTTCGAGCGCAGCTCCTGCCAAAGCCCTGCCTGGTTACACCCCGTCTCGCACACCTCCCTAGCCCAGCCAAGCCTCCTCTTTCCCTGCAGGCCCCACGGTGGTCTGTAAGTCCTTCAGGGGCCCCGTGGTTCCTAGATGTCCAGTCCCTGGCAACCCACCTTCAGTGGACAGAGCAAGGCCAGGAGATGAACACGGACCCTCCTGCTCCGGGTCTCGGGGGCACAGCAGGCGGTAGACTGGCTGGCCCCTGGCTCTGAATCCCAGCAGATTCCAGCTGGAGTCGGGGTCTTTTCTGCTGTCCGAGGCGGGTGGGTCCCACTCTCAGATGCGAAGCCACTCGCCCTCCACCCATCCAGGAGAGAGAGCTTCTTCGGGAAGGTCAAATGTGCTTCAGACTCCGTCCTTTTGAGTGTTCCCTCCACCTTCAACGTTCCCTGAAGTGGCCAGCTCATTCCATCGGGGGCATTCCCGCTCACACCACCTCCCCGCAGCCCTGTCCTCTGCGCCAGCTCCTGCTTGAACACCCCTGCTGATGGGGGGCTCACTACCTGCCACAGCTTGTTGGACAGAGCTGGGTCCCAGGAGTGCTCCTGTTTCCAGAGGCCACTGGTGGTTCCTGCCCCTTCTCCACCCTCCAGACAGGCCCAGAGCCGAGCACATTTCCAGGGTCACCTGGCCTAAAGTCTGACCCCGTTCTCTGTTCTCCCGGCTTCTGTGTCTGTCCCCCTGATCAGCACTCTCTGTGAATAGGGTATGCCGGCCACCCCTTCCAGCTCCCTCCAGGCCCTGCCTGTGGGAGGCAGAGCTGTCCCAAGGTGGAAGCCTGGTAGGCTCAGTCCTGGGACAGGCAGATGCCCCCAGGACAGCCGAGGTCCCCGTGCGACAAGCAGACCTCGCCAGCGGCTGTGAGTGAACGCAGCGGTTCTGGGAGCCCATTTCCCCCGCTAGCCCAGGCGACCCTGGCCAGTCCCTTCACTCGAGGGGCTTCCCACCCAGACCACGGAGGGCGCGTGGTCCCATGTCCCATGGCGTGGCCTGTGGTGCTCTTGTGGCTGCCCAGGGCCGGGCACGTGGAGGCCTCTCTCCATCTGGGTGAGGGGCGTCAGACACTGAAGCTGGTACGGATGTGCACAGACCGATGAGACCTGGCGGGGTATGGCCCAAAGCTGAGATGCAGGACCCCCTGTGGGTTAGGGTTAGGACCCCCTAACCCCCTGCGGGCATGTCATATCTTTCCTGAGGGGGTAACAGGGAAGCATATGGGCTTGATCAAACATGAAGTGGATGGCCGGGTGTCGTGACATACACCTGTAATCCCAGTGCTTTGGGAAGCTGAGGCAGGAGGATGGCTTGAGCCCAGGAGGCCAAGGCTGCAGTGAGCTATGATTGTACCACTGCACTCCAGCCCGGGCAACAGAGCGAGACCCACCTCTTTAAAAAAGTACAAAAGGAAGTTAATGTTTGTGAGAAACCACAAGCTCCCTGGGAGGAGTGGTCTTTACTCCCATTCAACGGAAGAGGAAGCAGAGCCAGCGCATCCCAGCCCGTGCGCAGCGTGGCCCGAGTCTGTCCAGTCCTGGCTGCTGGGCACCGCGCCGGCCCTGGGATGCCACAGCAGTGACCAGGACACACAGCTCCTGCTCTTGCAGTGGCAGGAGGAGCTCCAACATGAATTAAAAGTAAATAACCAAGCAGAACATCAGGGAGAGAGAAGGGCCAGGATTTAAACTAGGTGGGGGCTGAGAGTGAATTCGGGGTGCAGAGCAGGGAGGGCTCTTGGGGCAACGCTGCTGCGTCTCGGAGTGAATGACAGGAGGGAGCTTCCCAGGCGGAGGGGCGGCTGGTGCAGGTTCTTCAGCCAGGAAGGGGGCATGCACCAGAGGACTGGGAGTGAGAAGGAGCGGAGGCCCATCCAGTGGGCCCTGGAGATTGTGTCTGGAGGCCGGATTCTCCTCCACGCGTGGAGGACTGGACGCCCTCAGGGCTGCGCGGGGCCGCAGGACCGCCTTGGTGGTTAGCGAGGCTCCCTCTGGCTGTGGAGGGAGAATGGATTGTGGGTGCCAGGAGACCAGGTGGTACCTTGGGCGTCGTCCCCGCTGGAGGTGGGTTTGGGCGGTCGTGGTGGGAGTGGAGTGATTCCAGATGCTTCTGCAGGTGGATTAGATGCTGCTGGAGTTGGACCAGGTGTGGGGGGAGGAAAGAGAGGAGTCCAGAATGCGGCGTCAACTTTTGGTGTAGGAATGTGGCGGATGGTGAGGCAGGGAGATGCCAGCGGGGACGGGAACTTGGAGCAGCCACTTAGACGCAACGGGGGAGAATCTTCAAGTCGGGGGCAGCCGAGGGCCTCAAGATAGACCGAGGGTCAGCTGCACAGAGACAAGAGCACGGGGCACAAGACCCCCTGGGAGAGCTGGGGAGAGGAGGCAGTGAGGACCGAGCCTGGCCTGGAACATGTGGAGTCGTGGGGAAGGTGAAGGAGGCTGGACAGAGAGGGCGGTGGCTGGGATGCTGGAGTGGAGAGGGCGGCAGGAGGGAGCCAGCAGCTTCCTGGGCCAAGGGCTGCCGAGAGGCTGAGCAAGACAAAAATGGGCCCTGGCAGGGCAGAGGTCACCGGTGGCCTTGGTGAGAGCGGCTCAGAGGGCCCGAGGGGGGACGCCCGGTGGGGCGGGGCTGAGGATGGAAGAGGAGGTGAGGGAGGGGGATGGAAACTGCTGGCGATCCTTCCAAGAAAACCTGCTGCAATGAGGCAGAGGCTGGAAGTTACACAGGTCAAGTTGGTTTGTTTTATGGAAGGTTCTAGAACTACGAGTTCCAATACGGCAGCTACTAGCCACGTTTCTGGCACTCCAGAGCCACAGGGGACCCGTGGCCACCCTGTTGGACAGCGCAAGTACAGAACCTCTGTGCATCCAAGAAAGTGGTGTGGGCAGGATGGCATTGCAGAGGGCTGGAGGTATCAGACCTGAGGGGTGCCCATTCCAGAGGCGCCACGGCCTCTGTGTCTCCCTGAGGCAGGAGGCCAGGCCCTGGGAGCAGGTGCAGATGGGCTGAGAGGAAGGGAGCTCCTTTCAGGCAGTGGGGAGCCGCCCTCCTGAGGGATGCCTATTGCCCTCCCTGGGGCCTTGTGGTCCACGCCCATACGAGCCTCTGGGTCTGAGGCAGCAAGTGTGCTGAGGAGGGGACCAGGGCTGGAGCTGGGTCTGTGAAGGACAGTAACGCCCATGCGGGGTCTCCGCACCTGCCCTCCGTGCCAGACAGCACTCCTTTCTAGAAATGTTGTTTAATGATCGGATCGCTGGACGTGGGGTGCAGCGGCAGGTGTGAGTGCGGATCAGCGAGGGCACAGGCTGGCGGGGCATCGAGAGTGACTTGAGTGAGCGAGCCCAGCTGGAAAGGGCTTTGGGGGGGCCTGTGGTCTGTCCAGAACCTTCCTAGGTGATTCGGCCTTTCCCTGTTTCCTGTGCCAGGTCCGCAGCCTCTGCCCTTGGGGACTCCTGGACCCGGGCCACCCCCCGAACCCCTCCTAGCACAGCACCTGTCCAGCCTCTCCCCCCCGGCCCCTGACAGGAGGCTGCACAGGGCTGACTCACAGTGTGACTTCGGACAAGTCCTTCTGTGTCTGTGCCTCAGTTTCCCCGCTGTAAAGTGAGCTGCAGAATGAAAACTTCGGGGCCCCTTGGCTGGGCATGGTGGCTCACGCCTGTAATCCCAGCACTTTGGGAGGCCAAGGCAGGTGGATCACCTGAGGTCAGGAGTTCGAAACCAGCCTGACCAATATGGTGAAACCCTGTCTCTACTAAAAGTACAAAAATTAGCCGGGCATGGTGGTGTGTGCCTATAATCCCAGCTACTTGAGAGGCTGAGGCAGGAGAATCACTTGAACCCAGGAGGCAGAGGTTGCAGTGAGCTGAGATTGCACCACTGCACTCCAGCCTGGGTGACAGAGCAAGACTCTGTCTCAAAAAAAAAAAAAAAAAAAGAAGAAAGAAAACTTTGGGGTCCCTCCAAAGCTGGGGGCCATAGAGGGGGCAAAATCTGTGCCTCCTAAGGGGCTGTGGGCCCACCCTTCCTCCCTGGCAGGGCGCTGGCCACACTGGGAAGTCGTGCCCACACGCCCTAAAGATCTCCCTGCCCAGGAGACTTGGCAGCGAGGCCAGGCTGGGGGTGGGGGGAGGACTCCCTGAGCCCCTGCAGGCCAGGCTGCTGCTCACCTGTACTCTGGGGCAGGGGCCGAGCAGGAAGGTGAGGGCTGGACTCTGGGCTGGGGACGGCCTGCCTCCCTCATCACACAGGCTCCCCAGCCTGATGGAGGAGGGCTCAGAGCTGGGTGGGGAGGTGAGGCTGCGTTCCCAGCACCACTCCCAAGGAGTCTGATGCACAGATTCTTATACTCACAATGGGGGGAGTGGGGCATGGTGGTACGGAAAGGGCTGGCAGGGGATGAACCAGGTGAGCCAGGAAGGGGGAGAGAGTGTGGCACCCAGCCAGGCCCTGGAGATGTCAGCCACCGGTGCACACTTAGAGCGTGTTTCCTGCATGCATGCAACATGCCAGACATACAGACCCCCGTGCATGTGTGAACATGAGGAGGAAATCTGGGGGGCTCCGAGCTGCACTACCGAGGTGCCACCCACACCTGCCTCCACCCAGCCCCAGACGCACCAGAGCCCCAGGCCTCGCTGCCCAGACAGGGGGTCCTCAGTGACACCTGCTCTGCCCAGGGCCCCAGTGAGCATGGCCTGCGCACTCATGTACACAATCACCTGCCCTGTGTACACACCTGTGCACACACATCTGTACACACACACAGACAACCTGGCACACACATACGAGGGCTCACGTGTACAAACACGTGTGTGGGTGGACACAGGTATACATGTGTCCACAAACACACATGCACACACACACACGTGAACCCCATGTGCATGCAGCCCTCCAGCCCTCAGCTGCGGGCCCAGGAGAGCCGGAGCAGCCCCAGGCCCCCAAGCCTCCTCCCTGTGCCTGTGGTGAGGGCTCTTAGGCCCTGTAATCCTCCTTACCTTGACTTTGGGTTATTTTGAGCAAGAGATTAAAGGTGATTACGATTGTGGCTGAGGCGCCACGCTTCCTACACGCTTCCTGTGCGGCCGCTGGCCAGACCCGCCCTTCCGGAGGCCGGGCACAGCCGGACGCCATCCGCCCCATGCCCTTGGCCCGCCCCCGGCCAGCACGCGCCTCTGCCTGAGACCTGGGCCCCCAGGAGGCTTGGGAAAGCTAAATCCCAGCATTGGCACAGGTTGTCTGGGCACGGTGCAGGGATGGTGGGGAGGGATGGAGGGGCTGGCGTGGGTGCGAGCTGGCAGGTGCACACGGCATGATGGTGACCAAGACAGCGCTGACTCCCGTGATGGTGGATTTCACATCCAACCGGACCACGTGGGGACCCCATTTTCCCTACCCAAGCAGCCCCCTGAGCCATTTTTGAGTGGGCCTAGCCAGGTCCTGCCCGGCTGGGCTTGGCGTCCCCTGGCCACTCCAGGCCAAGCCCTGGGTTAGCTCCCCGAGGCCCGCTAGGACCTCGTTGTAGCCCCCATGCCGTCTGACTTCTCCCTCTCTTTAAATCAGAAATAGACTCTTCTCCAGGAGCCGGAACAAAATTGTTCTTTATGAAGTTTCCAAAGGGAGGAAAAAACCCATTTTACATCATTATATTTTTTTTCTCTAATTTAAACCGCTTCAGTGCAGACTAGTTGCAAACGTCAATATCAGTGAAATACACCCAGCTGGCTGCCCGCCAGGCCACGGCTCGGTGACAGAGGCCGACTGTAAATCCACATATTAACAAGCAAACACACCCATTTCTCTATCCTGCAGGGAAAACACAGGCGGCCGGGAGGTGAGGTCGCACACCAGGGGCCCCCTTATCTCGAGGGTAGTGGTGGGGGGGTCCATGGGGGAGCAGGAGCCCAGCGGGATGCCTCGCTCCCCGGACGTACCTCCAGCCCCGTCTGCAGGGTCCTTCCTGCCTGGGGCTTCCCCGCCTACAGCTCGGTCGCCACATCCTCTGTGTCCAGGCTCAGCAGACACTAGGCAGATGGAGGAGGCACCGTCCTGCCTGGAGACCCTCAGGGTCCAGTGGAGGCTGAGGAATAGAGCAGAGGACCCCGTATGGTGGTGGGGAGGATGGCAGGAGAGGCATGCGGCTCCCCCAGGGACCTCGGAGCTGTCCCTCTCCCAGCCTGAGGAGGATGTGTGGAGCCTGGAAATTCTCCGCAGAGCAAGCAGTTCCCTTCCTTCCAGAAGGGAGGTGGCCCCTATCCACCAAGGTGAGGTGCAGACAGTGCCAAGTCCCAGTGCCGGGTAGACGCCCTCAGAGACCATCCAGCTGGCTCATTTGGGGAAACTGAGGCCCAGAGGGGGCACAGCGTGCCAGGGACACAGGGCGGGCGAGCTCAGACCGAGACCTGGCAGACACGAGTCCCCGGACAGGCCAGAATACCTCCCGGTGCCTCCCTCCCAGAGGGCTGGAGAGGAGCCCGCGCCCCGGAAGGATTCTGTGTTGAGGGCTGCGGACCCTGCGGTGAGTGCGCAGGGTAGCTCCTACAGGCGGCTCCAGGGGCGTTGTGGCCGGGCCTCCTGGGAGCAGAAGCCCCAGGTGACAGGCACCGTGCCCAGTGAGGGCCTTCACACGCACATCCCTGGCCGCAGCCAGCCGGCGGAAGCCCAGTCACTCCTCAGCCAAGCGACTTTAGGTCCCAGTCCCCTGCCTCAGTTCCCTTATCCGACCGGGGTTGCGCCGAGAGTGAAATGGGCTTCAGGGACCTCGATTCTGGGCTGTCAGTACCTTGGAACATGGCCAAGCAGGCAGTGCCCCGTCCATTTTGCAGATGAGGAAACTGAGGCCGAGAGCCGAGGAGACCCCTCCACGGGAGGGTGAAGCATTTCCTCCGCTATCCTGACCTGTCTCAGGACCCCCCAGGGGCTTCTGAGGAAGGAGCTTCTGTTTTTTCTGTGTTTTACAGAAGAGATTCAGGGGGCTCAGCGGAGCAGGGACTCAGGCCACATTGGGATGCCGCCGCTGTGAGATGCCGGCCGTCCCCTGACCGCTGTCTTCTCTCTTGTCCCCTGACCGCTGTCTTCTCTCTTGTCTTGCAGCAGGAACGTCGGAGCAGGAGGAGTCAGTGGAGCCATCAGGACACCCAGGCCCATGGGGCAGGAGGCCTCGGTCACCACAGGACTGGGGCGGAAGACGAGAGGCGGCCGGCCGTGAGGGAGGCGCCCTCCCTCCCCGCGCTTACGTCGCGCGGCCATGCGGTTTGGGACAGGACACCCCTGAGAGTGCAGGCACCTCCCCCTCCCGCCCCTCCATCCCTCTGGGGGCTGGCGCCTGGCCCCCCACCTGGTCCCCCTGGGCAGGCTGAATTGGGGCTCCCTGCAGGGCGGTCCCGATGGCCGGGCGTGGGTGGGGCGCGCTGTGGGTGTGCGTGGCGGCCGCCACCCTGCTGCACGCTGGCGGCCTGGCCCGCGCAGACTGCTGGCTGATCGAGGGCGACAAGGGCTTCGTGTGGCTGGCCATCTGCAGCCAGAACCAACCCCCCTACGAGGCCATCCCACAGCAGATCAACAGCACCATCGTGGACCTGCGGCTCAACGAGAACCGTATCCGCAGCGTGCAGTACGCCTCGCTCAGCCGCTTTGGCAACCTCACGTACCTCAACCTCACCAAGAACGAGATCGGCTACATCGAGGACGGCGCCTTCTCGGGCCAGTTCAACCTGCAGGTGCTGCAGCTGGGCTACAACCGGCTGCGCAACCTCACGGAGGGCATGCTGCGCGGCCTGGGCAAGCTGGAGTACCTGTACCTGCAGGCCAACCTCATCGAGGTGGTCATGGCCAGCAGCTTCTGGGAGTGTCCCAACATCGTCAACATCGACCTGTCCATGAACCGCATCCAGCAGCTCAACAGCGGCACCTTCGCCGGCCTGGCCAAGCTGTCGGTGTGCGAGCTCTACAGCAACCCCTTCTACTGCTCCTGCGAGCTGCTGGGCTTCCTGCGCTGGCTGGCCGCCTTCACCAACGCCACACAGACGTACGACCGCATGCAGTGCGAGTCGCCGCCCGTCTACTCCGGCTACTACCTCCTGGGCCAGGGCCGCCGCGGCCACCGCAGCATCCTCAGCAAACTGCAGTCAGTCTGCACCGAGGACTCGTACGCGGCTGAGGTGGTCGGGCCCCCACGTCCAGCATCCGGGCGCTCACAGCCGGGCCGCTCCCCGCCGCCCCCGCCTCCGCCGGAGCCCAGTGACATGCCCTGTGCCGATGATGAGTGCTTCTCCGGGGACGGCACCACGCCACTGGTGGCCCTGCCCACGCTGGCCACGCAGGCCGAGGCCCGCCCCCTCATCAAGGTCAAGCAGCTCACTCAGAACTCGGCCACCATCACCGTCCAGCTGCCCAGCCCGTTCCACCGGATGTACACCCTGGAGCATTTCAACAACAGCAAGGCCTCCACCGTGTCCAGGCTGACCAAGGCCCAGGAGGAGATCCGTCTGACCAACCTGTTCACGCTCACCAACTACACCTACTGCGTGGTGTCCACCAGCGCCGGGCTGCGCCACAACCACACCTGCCTCACCATCTGCTTGCCCCGGCTGCCCAGCCCGCCTGGTCCGGTGCCCAGCCCCTCCACGGCCACCCACTACATCATGACCATCCTGGGCTGCCTCTTCGGCATGGTGCTGGTGCTGGGCGCCGTCTACTACTGCCTGCGCAGGCGGCGGCGCCAGGAGGAGAAGCACAAGAAGGCCGCCTCGGCAGCCGCAGCTGGCAGCCTCAAGAAGACCATCATCGAGCTCAAGTACGGGCCAGAGCTGGAGGCGCCCGGCCTGGCCCCGCTGTCCCAGGGCCCGCTGCTGGGCCCCGAGGCCGTGACGCGCATCCCTTACCTGCCTGCGGCCGGCGAGGTGGAGCAGTACAAGCTGGTGGAGAGCGCGGACACCCCCAAGGCCAGCAAGGGCAGCTACATGGAGGTTCGAACCGGGGACCCTCCGGAACGCAGGGACTGTGAGCTGGGCCGGCCGGGCCCCGACAGCCAGAGTTCGGTGGCCGAGATCTCCACCATCGCCAAGGAGGTGGACAAGGTCAACCAGATCATCAACAACTGCATCGACGCGCTCAAGTCCGAGTCCACCTCCTTCCAGGGCGTCAAGTCGGGGCCCGTGTCCGTCGCGGAGCCGCCGCTGGTGCTGCTGTCCGAGCCGCTGGCCGCCAAGCACGGCTTCCTGGCGCCCGGGTACAAGGACGCCTTCGGCCACAGCCTGCAGCGGCACCACAGCGTGGAGGCCGCCGGGCCCCCTCGTGCCAGCACCTCGTCCAGCGGCTCCGTGCGCAGCCCCCGCGCCTTCCGAGCCGAGGCCGTCGGGGTGCACAAGGCCGCGGCCGCCGAGGCCAAGTACATCGAGAAGGGCTCCCCCGCGGCCGACGCCATCCTCACTGTGACACCCGCGGCCGCCGTGCTGCGGGCCGAGGCCGAGAAGGGTCGCCAGTACGGCGAGCACCGGCACTCGTACCCCGGCTCCCACCCGGCCGAGCCACCTGCGCCCCCCGGGCCACCGCCGCCGCCTCCGCACGAGGGCCTGGGGCGCAAGGCGTCCATCCTGGAGCCACTCACCCGGCCGCGGCCCCGCGACCTCGCCTACTCGCAGCTGTCCCCGCAGTACCACAGCCTGAGCTACTCCTCCAGCCCCGAGTACACCTGCCGGGCCTCCCAGAGCATCTGGGAGCGCTTCAGACTGAGCCGCCGGCGGCACAAGGAGGAAGAGGAGTTCATGGCCGCGGGCCATGCCCTGCGCAAGAAGGTTCAGTTCGCCAAAGACGAGGATCTGCACGACATCCTGGACTACTGGAAGGGCGTGTCGGCCCAGCACAAGTCCTGAGCCCCCCAAGACCGGCGATGCCCACTGGACCAAAAAGGATGCAGGATCCACCCAGAGACTCAGCACCAAACCCAACACACGCACGCCACCACAGCAACTGTGACAGCGGGGGGCCCTGCAGAGGCGAGGGGGGAGCGAGTGGGGACAGACAAGGGGGACACGTCCCGAGCTCCTGTGGCCGGTCCTGGGATGCGCTTGTCGCCCCGGGTGGCACGTGTCCACACACACACACACACACACACACACACACACGAGGGACTTCGGAAAACTGTGTCTTAGGGATGGGGGGTGGGGGTGGGGATTTTTTTTTCATTATCTTTCCTCTTTTGAGTCTTCTCTGCCTTTTCTTTTCCTCTCTATCTCTTTACTTTCTTCCTTTTTTAAAAAAATATAATAAAAGACAAGTTATTTTAAAAAGACATAAAATGCCATCCGTGGGGGGTGTGGCCGGCGTGGCCACCTCGGGGCCCCTCACGTGATCTCCTCGGTCCGTGGTTTTCTGTGGATTCTCTGTCCAGTCCGTCTCTTCATTGCCGCCTCCGGAGTCCACTGCAGAGGGGCAGAGTGAATGCCGGCGGCCAAGTGGCCTCCGGGACAGGTCCTGGAGCCCTGCTGGACTCAGGGTGGGTGGAGGCTGTGCCTGTGGACGGCCGGGGTGGCCAGGACGGCCAAGGGCTGGGAGGCACGTCCCCCAGCCCAGCCCCCATGTACACTGTAGTCGTTCTATTGTACAGAAAAAAATATTTCTATATTTGCAATGTTTGCTGTAAAATGAGAAAGAAAAAAAGACTATGTCTACTAAAAAAAAAAAAAAAAAGACTATGTCTACTTAAAAAAAAATCTGCAAAGGAAAACAAATCAAATGCTTGTTTGTCCTGGGTTTTTACTGTGGGTTTCAGGGAAAGAGTTGAGGTTTCTTTTATGTCCCGTTTAGGGGGTGGTTTTACTGATTTTGGCCTTGGGGTGGGGACACGCTGTGCTCTCTTGGCTAGAGCGTGGTGTGACCAGGGGGGTGCACGTGGGAACCCTTGGGAGGTGGGCGGCCCGCACTGGGCTGGAGCGTGTCTGAGAGCCGGTGTGGACAGGGTAGGCGGGAGCCAAGCTCAGGTGGCGGCGGGAGGACGGGCGGGAGCAGGGTCTTGGTGTGGTGGATCCACGGTGCGGGGCTGCTTCTGTGTGTGTCTGGCTGTGCGTGCCAGCGGGGTGTGTGCAGAACCCAGCAGCCGAGGGGGTGTGAGTGGGCCTGGGACGCCCAGAGGCTCTTGAGTGAGGTTCCGGGTGAGCCGATGGTGTGGGTTTGCATGTGATTGAGCGTGAGCGTGAGGTGGTTGGAGGGTGTGTCTGTGTGAGGGCGGGTTCCCCTGCTGTCGCCAGAGCCCCACCTACAGGAAGTGCCCAGAGACCCCTAATTCTTCGGGGGTCTCTCAGGACGCTGAGCCCGGAGCCAGACCCTGCACTGCAGCCCCCTCCATATGCATCTCACCCACCACCCCTCCAGGCAGCACGCCCTGGTGTGGGCCCCCGTTCTGAGTGAATAAGAGGCTGGAGTCCATGTGGGACGAGCACCAGGTTGTTTAGCATCCCCAGGGGAGGATGGAGAGAGTCCCTGGCTTCCTGCTGCCCAGAGCACAGGGTGCCCCTCATCCCACCTACAGGAGCCAGAGGGAGACGCTGAGGACGAGACTGGACTCCCAGGCCCTCGAATCCACCTGCCAGCTGAGTGGGGGTTTTGTACCCACCCCAGGGAAACAGCCCCCAGCCCTGCATCCCACGCAGAGCTGCCTTTCTGCTCAGGGGGAGGGCCCTGTGAGGAAGGGGAACACCTCACCCTGGGCCCGGACACCTGCCTGATGCCGGGACTGCTGAGTCAAAGCTCCCTGTCACCCCTCTCTTCCTGTCTGGATGGCCCCTCCCCTGTCCTTCCTAAAGTCCCGGCTGCTGAGCCCCCACCCCACCCCTCCATTGATGGCAGACCCACCCCCACTCTGAACTCTGGCACAGACCCAGGGAGGGAGGAGGCTGCGGCTGGAGCCGGGTCCCAGAGGCAACAGGAACCCGGGAGACTCCAGGGCAGGAACCGGAGGGATGAAGCCGGTTTTCAGGCTCTGACGGGTCCCCCAAGAAAGGACCCAGTCTCAGTCTGACCCAGTGGGGGACAAGGAGGGAGGGAGGAAGGGCCAGTGCAGGTAGGAGCAGGGGCAGCCTCTGCTTGCACGCCCTGGGTGACGGGAAGCTCACCCCTCTCTTCTGTAGCTGTCTCCAGCTTTCGGGACCTCCCTTACAGCAGAAGCCCAGGGGGCTGTCCCCCAGGGGCCACAGAACTGAGGGCCCATCTGTCCCCTCCAGGTTAGCCAGCCCGATCCTGCCACCTGCACCCCGGTCACCCCACCAGGGACCTGAGAGTGTGAGGCCTGCTCCGGGGGTGCACGCCCGGGTGGGCTCCACGGGCACCCTGTGACTCAGCCCTCCAAAGGGGGCCATTTCTGAGGACGCTGCATCACCAGCTCTTCGCCGTTTGACCCAAGGTTTCTGGCCAGCCCGGGACTCTCAGCCCTGGGCAGCTCCCTGTCCTCCATGAGGGGTCCCGGGAGGGCATGAGAGACCGCTGGAGACCACAACGCCAGGCCCAGGGGAGAGGAGCGGGGACCAGGAGCGGGTTCCAGGGCTGACGGGTGGAGGCCCAGAGAGGGCCCCAACCTGCCCAAGGTCACATAGCAACTCGATGACAGTCTGGTCATGGGACAGAGAGGTGGCCAGGCCTTCTCAGCCCGCTGCTCCCTTTCACTGAGGAGCGAAGATGGGCTATTTATAGGAAATGCGGGAGAAGGGCAGACACAGAAGAGAGGCGCCTGCCTTGGGAACACCGGGCAGCTGGCCAGGAGTCAACGGCCCACAGAGGAACAAGGGAAAATGGCAGGCAGCGAGGTGCGGGGTCCTCAACAGCCAGGACACCCCGCCCGGGAGCTCAGCCCTCCTGGAAGCCGCGGGGCTTGGCCCCGAGTGTCTGCAAACGCCCAGCCAGTCCTGGGAAAAAGAGGCCCGAGTTCCCGTGCCCTTGCTTGAAGGTGTCATGGTGGGGGTGACAGGACATAAGCAGGAGGAGACACACACTTAGGAAGCGGCTACTGTGTGCAGGGCTCTGTGCCAAGCTCTGTGTGGGCGCAGGGAGGAGCCCAGCCCGGCCCCGGCCCCCCGGGGAGCTCACAGGCTGGCAGAGAACTCAGTGCAGAGGTGGGTGACCCGGCTCAGGGCAGCAGGGGAGGCGCTGGAGGTCTGGGAAGGATGGGAACTCCTGACTGGGAAGAGCCGGGAAGGCTTCCTGGAAGGGGTGGTATTTGGTTTGGGCGAGGAAGGAGGTGGAGGTTGCCAAGGTGAGAGGGGTTGGTGCCCTGTGGGCTCAGAGCTGGGCTCAGGAGCAGGAGAAAAACCTGCCAGACCCAGCCTTGCCCTGCAGCTGGGATGGGTGCCCAGCTTCCGAGGGGCAGCCCTGGAGGGCAGGTCTTGCTCGTTTGTGAGACCAGGGCTAAGCCACAGCGAGGCCTCAGGCCCAGGCCGTACCCCTACGACCGTGTGACCATAGCAAGCCACTGGCCCTCTCTGCCTCAGTCTCCTCGTTTGTCCAGTGGGGGGGATGCCGATGCCTGTCCCTCCTGCAGTGCACTGGTTATCCATTGCCGTGATCATGCTGCCTAACCCACAACCACAGTGCGGTATGGCCCCTCGGGGGGCGGCTGGCAAGAGGGCACACTCTCATGTCACGGGGCACAGGGAGGACCGGGTTCTTCCCCACAGTCTCCCATCCTCCATCGAGCCAGCACGGGCTGGTTCTTGCGGCGACAGCCGAGGGAGCAAACCCCAGGGTCACATCTGCTGGCATCCCACAGGCCAGGGTGAGCCGCGGGGCCGAGCTCAGAGGAAAAGGGTGGACAGGGCGCCCCAGCCCAGGGGCCTGTGGCCAAGGCTGCAGACACAGAGGGCAAAGACAGGGGGGGCCTCTGTGCACCGAGGCCTAAGGCATGGCTGAGTCCAGGTGTCCCCTCCCGGGGCAGAGGGCAGAGCAAGAAGAGCAGGAAATCCAAGGCCCCAGGTCTCTGCCACCCACGCATTCACTCAGCACCCAAACGCAAAGAGCCTACTGTGTACCAGACACGCTGCCTGCCACTCCCCACCGAGAACACCTCAGCTGCGGTGGCCTACCCTGTACCAGACACGCTCCCCACCAAGAATGTGTCAGCCACGGTCCCGACAGGAAAGAGCAGACACCCCAAAGTAGAATCCTTCAAGGGGTTACCTACAAAGGGGCCATTTCCAGAGACACCAAGCTGACGGCACACCTTGGCCCCCTGGGAGAGGGGGAGGAGGAGAGCCCCCGAACCCGGAGGGAGAGAGAGAGGTGCAGAGAGGCCCACGGGGCCCTGGAGAGGGACCTCAGGGGAAGTTCCCAGTGGGCCTCAGCAGCCTCGCAGGAGGACTGGGGACACATGCCCACCCCCGCTTGTCCCCCGATCTCCCTCCCATCTCCTGCTGGGCTCCCTGCTGGCTGCATGGCCAGGACATCAGGGAGCCCGTGATGGGGCCCGCAGGGCTCAGTCCACAGACAGCAGGGGTGAGAAGGTTCAGAGACAACCCGGACTGGGTGATGGGGGAGGCTGGCCTGGGGGCAGCCACAGAGGAGGGGGCCGTCATCTCCACTGGGGACAGGGAGGCTTTTAGAGGAGGTGATCGCTCAAGACTGAAGGTGGCCGGGCGCGGTGGCTCGCGCCTGTAATCCCAGCACTTTGGGAGGCCGAGGCGGGTGGATCACCTGGGGTCAGGAGTTCAAGACCAGCCTGACTAACATGGTGAAACCCCATCTCTACTAAAAATATAAAAATTAGCCTGGTGTGGTGGCGGGCGCCTGTATTTCTAGTTACTTGGGAGGCTGAGGCAGGAGAATCGCTTGAACCCGGGAGGCGGAGGTTGCAGTGAGCCGAGACGGCGCCGCCGCACTCCAGCCTGGGCGACAGAGCGAGACTCCGTCTCACAGAAAAAAAAAAGTACACAAAGCAACTACAGCAACAACAAAAATCAGACAAAAAGACCCTGAAGGACAATCAGGAGCTGGCTTGGCAGAGACAAGGCGGCAGGGACGGGGAGCGGACTTCCACCCAGAAAGGATGGCGGGGGCCAAGGTGCAGAGAGCACAGACCCCGACCCCACCCAGAGGGGCCACCATGGGGCAGTGAGGGGGCCCGGCCTGCTGAGACCAGGGATGGGGCGGAGCCAGGCTCAGAGGCCTGCTTTGCAAGTGTGAAGAAATGACAGTCGGCCTCTGTGCATAGGAAGCCATTGAAGTCTTCTATTCTATTCTATCCTAATTTTATTGAGACAAGGTCTTGCTCTGTCACCCAGGCTGGAGTGCAGTGGCACGATCATGGCTCACTGCAGCCTCAAATTCCTGGGTTCAGGTGTTCCTCCTGCTTCAGCCTCCCAAGTAGCTGGGACCACAGGTTCGCGCCACCACACCTGGCTATTTTGTTTGTTTGTTTGTTTTATAGAGACGGTGTTTTGCTATGCTGCCCAGGCTGGTCTTGAACTCCTAGACTCAAGTAATCCACCTGCCTTGACCTCCCAAAGTATTGGGATTACAGGTGTGAGCTGCCTCACCCAGCCAGTATGTTAAAGAATAATAACTTTTATTGATTTTTGTTTTATCTCAAAAGTAATCCTTTTGCTACATAAACTTCAGAAAACAGTTAAAGAAGGAAACAGAAATCATTTACTCTCCCCACCCTGAGCTAACCATGGGAATATATTGGTATCTGCCTTTCTAGCCCTTTCTCTCTAGAAATGCAGCAGGCTTGAAATCTCTACCCCGCAGGTGGATATGCAAAGAGGTATCTCTTTATTTTCTGTAACAACAGGTGTTTGTAGCCTCTGTTTCCCCCAGATGGGGTGTAGGGCGTGGTGCATGAAGATGGGGAAATAACGTGTGTTTTAGGATCCAGTGGAGAAGAAAACGTTGATGGCGAACGGAAGAGGGAAAGAATTGCTGGAGCAATGTTTGAGTAAGACGGGACGAGACACTGTGCTCCATGGAAGGGCCGGGCTTGGCCAGACAGGTCTTGGACTTGGCCGTTGCTCCTCCTTAGCGGGAGAGAAGGTGGGGATGTGGGCTCTGGCGTGGGAGCTGGGGGCACACGCGGGGCGTAGGGACAGTCTCTTTGGGTGACTGCGATTTTCTCAGCATCTCTTCTCACCCCATTGCATTGCCCTTTTGTTCTACTTTCTAGGAGTCTTTAAAATTTTTACTTTAAATTTGAGGTAATTATAGAGTCACAGGAAGTTGTAAAAATAGAGTCACCCAGCTTCCCCCAGCGGTGACACCTTACGTAACTGGCGTACAGTATCAAAACCAGGAAGTCGGCTTGCACCTGGGTGTAATTTTGTTAACTAGACTAAGATCTGATTCAGTTCCTAGCAGCCTGTACACGCATTCACCTGCGTGGACGTGTGTGTAGTTCTTTGCAAACTTACCCCCCGTATATAGATTTCAGTAACCACCGCCCCAGTCGAGATTCAGAACTCTTCCGTCACCACAGGGATCTTGTCCCCCCCACTCCACCCCAACGCTACCCCTGCCTGGCAGCCACACATCTCTTCTCCGTTTCTGTCATTTTGAGAAGGTTATATGAATGGGATCATGCCCTGTGTAACCTTTGAGGTGTTTTTCGCCCACTCAGCGTAAGGCCCTTAAGATCCACCCAAATTCTTTTTTTTTTTTTTTTTTTTTTTGAAATGGAGTTTTGCTCGTTGACCAGGATGCAGTGCAATGGCACGATCTCGGCTCACTGCAACATCTGCCTTTCTGGTTCAAGCGATTGTCCTGCCTCAGCCTCCCAAGTAGCTGGGATTACAGGCACCTGCCACCACGCCCGGCTAAGTTTTGTATTTTTAGCAGAGACAGGGTTTCACCATTTTGGTCAGGCTGGTCTCGAACTCCTGACCTCAGGTGATCTGTCCGCCTTGGTCTCTTAAAGTGCTGGGATTACAGGCGTGAGCCACCACCGCACCTCGTCTACCCAAGTTCTTTTATGGGATCAACAGTTTAGTTTGTTCCTTTTCATCGCTGAGTAGTATTCCTTTGTATAGATGACACACCCAGGTTTATTTAACCATATTCACCTGTGGAAAAACATTTGGGTGGTTTTGCACTTTGGAGCCATTACAAATAAACTGCTATGAACATTCACGTGCAGGCCTTGGTGTGAACTTAAGTTTTCATTTTTCTGGGGTTAATGCACAGACATGCAGTTGCTGGGGTGCATAGTAAGTGCATGCTGGCTGCTCAAATGTTTTTCAGGGTGGCTGCGCCATTTTTTATCACCACCACCAATGTATGCGAGATGCAGTTTCTCCACACCCTCACTGGCATTGGGTCGTATCACTATTTTCTGTTTCAGTCGTTCTAATAGGGTGTAGTGATCTCATTGTGGTTTAATTTCTATTTGCTGGTATCTACTGATGGTGAACACCTATTCATGTGAAACCTATTCATGTGCTTATTTGCCCTCTGTAGCTCTTCTTTGATGAAATGTCTCCTTACATCTTTTTTCCCTTTCTCTTCCTTCCTTCCTTCTTTCCTTCCTTTCTTCTTTCTTTTTTTCTTTCTTTCCTTTCTTTCTTTCTCTTTCTTTCTCTTTCCTTTCTTCCTTCCTTCCTTCCTTCCTTCCTTCCTTCCTTCCTTCCTTCCTTTCCTTCTTTCTCTTTTTTGACAGAATCTCACTCTGTCACCCGGGCTGGAGTGCTGTGGCATGATCTCAGCTCACTGCAACCTCTGCCTTCCTGGTTCAAGCAAGTCTCCTGCCCCAGGCTCCCGAGTAGATGGGATTATAGGCACCCGCCACCACAACCGGCTAAGTTTTGTATTTTTAGTAGAGACAGGGTTTCACCATATTGGTCAGGCTGGTCTCGAACTCCTGACTTCAGGTGATCCACCCACCTCAACCTCCCAAAGTGCTGGGATTACAGGCGTGAGCTGCCGTGCCCAGCCTTTTTTCCCATTTTCTAAATGTTTCGTTTGTTTCTACTGTGGGGTCTTAAGTGTTCTTTACATTTTTCTAGAAACGACACCTTTGTCAGATGTGTGCTTTGCAAACATTTTCTCCCTGCCTGTGGCTTGTCTTTTCATCCTTTGAATGCAAGCATTTTTTTTTAACGTTTTGAGGTCTAGTTGATCCATTTTTCACTTTCGTAGATCATGCTTTTGGTACCACATTGCCGAGCCAGTGGTCCTGAAGATGTTCTAGTATTTCTGCTATATTTTATTTTAGAAGATTACAGTTTACTTTTTGCATTTAAATTCGTGGCCTATTTCGGATTAATGTTCGAAAGCGCCGGGATGGTGGGCGTGAGCCAATACGCCCAGCCAATCCCTCTGCTTTTAATAAGTGCCGTCACCTTCAGCTGTGCCCAGTGTCCTTAAGTCCAAAGTGTTCGTGATTCTTCCTTTCCTGGGACTAAATTTCTAAACAAGGACAGCCACCCATTGTGATTGGTGTTGCCTTTTAAACTAATATAATCAGTGAATCTTCTGGACTTTAGCCCTAAGATTTGGACCATCTATAATCAGCTATGTTCTCTCCCACGCATCGAGTATGGTACTATCTATCAACCATCCTTGGCAGGCTTGAGAAAACAGTCACTCAAATCATTTTTCTGAAGGACTTAATTCCTCCCTGGAACTTCAGCTGGGGAAGGCTGTCATGCAGCCTGTCCTGCTGCAAGACGGTGAGGCTTTTGTGCCCTGCTGTGAGGTGGTCACTGACAACAAGCTGCCCCAGGGTGAGGGAGCAGGATCCCTGGGCACCTGCGAGAGGGGTGGTGCAAACCGCCCGAGGAAAACCCTCCAGAGGGGAAGCAGGTGTGAACCTCAGCAGAGACGCCAGGCAGCAGCTGGAGCATGGGTACCCCAGAGGGGTTGGGGGAATCCCACAGCATGTAGGTAGGTCACCAACAGCATCTGCTGCCGACTCACTTTGCACTATTGAAATGCATTTGATTCTCGCATTAGATGGCTTCTATCCGACACAGCTTGCCTGCATTTTAGTTGGTTCACCTGCTGAGACATTTGGAGAGGGGTAGAGGGGTGAACACAAGTACCCACAGGTGTAGTATGCCCAGGCCCAAGACTGAAACCTAACTGTAACTGTAACCATACCATAACCCTAACCATAAGCCTAACTCTAACACCAAACTAACCCTAACCCTAACCCACAGGTGCAGTACGCCCAGGCTGACCACTGAAACCTAACCATGACCCAAACCTAACCATAAGCCTAAACCTAACCCTAACTTAACCCTAACCCAGCCCTAACCCAACCCTAACCCTAACCCCAACCATAAGCGCTCATCACAGGCAGCCTTGCTTTCTCATGCTGATCACGGTCCATTACTCTTGCCAGCTGGTGACTGCTTTCTTTTTTTCTTTTCTTCTTTTTTTTTTTTTTTCCTGAGATGGAGTTTCACTCTTGTTGCCCAGGCTGCAGTGCAATGGCACGATCTCGGCTCACAGCAACCTCCACCTCCCTGGTTCAAGCGGTTCTCCTGCCTCAGCCTCCCGAGTAGGTGGGACTACAGGCACCCGCCACCACGCCCGGCTAACTTTTGTATTTTTAGTGGAGATGGGGTTTCACCATGTTGGTCAGGCTGGTCTTGAACTCCTGACCTCAGGTGGTCCACCCGCCTTGGCCTCCGAAAGTGCTGGGTTTACAGGTGTGAGCCACCGCATCCGGCCACAGGTGAGTGCTTTCTTTGCTTGTTTCTATCTTGGTAAAAGGAGCTCAGGGTAAACAGGTAGCATCTACCACGTAATCAAACCCAGGTTCACCTGCTTGCTGTTATTATAGGAGGCAAAACTTGGGAGACGGGTGCTGGTGGGAGGAAAAGCAGGCGTATTCGGAGGGCCAGCCGACCGGAAGGACGGTGGACTAGCGCCCTAAACACCATCTTTAGTCAGCACAAGTTTCAGCCTTGGTTTATGTTACATGTGGGGGAGGGTGGTTGGGACCAAGAGGTGACTGATGACCACAGACATCTGGGAGCCAGGGAGGGTCCAAGGATGCTGGACACTTCTTAGTCCTTGACCAGGTCACAGTGCTCCTGTAAATCTTTAACAAAACCTAGTTATCTGTTTATACAGCTCCCTTTAATCCCAGAGTTAGTTTTAAAAGTCACATGATTGCTGTTTTTGCATTTTTGCCTCAGTGCTCTAAAACTATCCTAGCCTAGGTGCAGAAGGAAAAGTCCCCTTAGAAAACATGGAGTCAGTTGGCTGTTTCGCTGTTGCAATCGTTTTAAATGTAGTGGGACGTTTAAAATAGAGACACAGAGACGGTGTTTTGTTATGTTGCCCAGGCTGGTCTTGAACTCCTGGACTCAAGTGATCCGCCCGCCTTGATATCCCAAAGTACTGGGATTACAGGTGTGAGCTGCCTCGCCCAGCCAGTATGTGAAATAATAATAACTTTTATTGATTTTTTTCTTATCTCAAAAGTAATCCTTTTGCTTGTGTCCCCTGGTGGAAGTCTCTTGCCTCTGGGAGCCAGGATCCTGGGAGCCGCGGAGCCTAAAGTTGTGGGATGGAAAGCAGACATTCCCCAGGTGGGTCACCAGTGGTGACGGACCGTGGGGTCACCCCCGCCTCCTCCCGTCTGGCTCTCGGGAACCTGTCTTCTATTCATTGGGGAAACAGCCCTGTATAAATAGCACCACCGTGTCAACGTGTAAGCCACATGCCGAAGGACGTGTCCCTGTCTTCACAGCGTCATCTCCAAGCAGGTCCCCTTGCTGTCATTACAATTCCACCCACCACTCTATCCAGCTGGCAGTTTTGGGGTGCTGTACTGTGTGGTGGGATCAGAGAATCCCGGGGTCCTGTGCTTACCGACTCACCTTCTCCTCCATAAAGCGGGTCCCTTAAGCCAGAGTGAGGTTAGGTGGGTCCTCGTGCCAGCGCATGAGACACTCCATGGGCCTTGGGGTTGGTCCTGGCTGAATCCCAGGTAGCACGAGTCCAGGCCGGAAGGAGTCCACTGAAATCCACTTGCCACCACCACCAAGAGACGGCCTCATAGCGAGGTTCAGACATTTGGCAGTGGCAGAAGCTAGATGAACCCTGGTGAGGGGAAGTTCTTGCTATTGGGCCCTGCAGAACCTCCCTCCCTGCTACCATGGCTGTGCCAAATAAGAGCCACCGCACCAGCACTGAGTGGTCAAGGGCGATGCTGGGGTGGCCAAGGGTGGAGACTGGGATGGCCGAGGATGGAGGCTGCTGGCTGAGGATAGAAACTGGGGTGGCCAAGGATGGAGGCTGGCTGGCTGAGGATGGAGGCTGGGCTGAGGGTGGAGGCTGGCTGGCTGAGGATGGAGGCTGGGCTGAGGGTGGAGGCTGGCTGGCTGAGGGTGGAGGCTAGCTGGCTGAGGGTGGAGACTAGCTGGCTGAGGGTGGAGGCTGGGGTGGCTGAGGGTGGAGGCTGGCTGGCTGAGGGTGGAGGCTGGCTGGCTGAGGGTGGAGGCTGGGGTGGCTGAGGGTGGAGACTGGCTGGCTGAGGGTGGAGGCTGGCTGGTGTCCCGGCATGAGCCATCCTTTCCACCTGGTTTCTCAGAGCCTCGTCTGCCGTGGGCTCCCTCTGGTGGGTGCCACAGTGAGCTGCAAAGATTCTCGTACTTTGCGCCCACTCCTGCAGGTCCCCCATGTCTCTTCCAAAATTATTTGTCCCCAGTATTCCAATCTTGCTCCTTCCGCCTCCCCAGCCCAGCAGCCACGCCATTTGCCGCTGCTCATGAGTCCGTGTGGATCCCTACCCTGCGTCCCTTCTCTCTGCACAGGGGAGCGTGGCCTGGTGGGCTGCGTGCTCTCAGCTCCCACAAGCCCAGCCTTCTGTCTCTCATCAGCCCATCTTTGAACCCACAGGCGTGAGCTGATACAGAGCCATGGGAGAAACAATCAGGAGACGCTGGCGTCCGGGCCATCCTTCTGTGTAGCTGGCCAAGCCCAGTCCTGCTGATGGGCCAGTGTGTGCCCGTGGCTTGTTGGGTTTCTCAGCCCCTGGCTCAGGGCCGGCAGCCTGCAGGCGGCACGGTCACTGGACACCCCGTGGTTAGTTGCCCGGCCAGGACCAGGCCCCCCAGCACGCCAGGAGCTGCTGTTTTGGAATTGGATGTGGTTCCCCGCTGCGGCGTGGCCCTGCTCGGGGACTCCGGTCTTGCCCTGTGCTACGGAACTGCACTGTGCCTGGCCTGACATCCTACCCAGCACACTCACCCACCGCGGGTGCCTGGAGCGCCACGGGATCTGCCGGCCAAACGGCCCAAGTGGCAGGATTCCTTGGACCTGAGCCTCGAGCTGTGGCAGAGTCCTTGCATCAAGGCGCCACTTGAACCTGGCATTTTCCATGCCTGTTGATGAGTGTGGCAGAGCCGTTTTACCTAACGCAGAATAATCTGCTCCTGCATCTAACACAGCCTACGGAGCCCGGTGCTCCTGTCTTCGTGGTAGAAGGTACTAGGCACCGTCGCTTGTCTTTTACCTTTCAGGAAACATCCCAGCCTGCCAAAGACTGTTACCAGGGGCCCCCTGGCCACCTGCCGAGTGGGTGGGGGCAGTATCAAGAGGTCATCCTTCAGGTCTGCAGGGCCACGTCTGGTACTAACTGTTTTAGGCTGAGCTTGCTCGAGGCAGAGCCTGAGACAGGAATTCTTTGCAAGTGATTAGGGGGTTCTCTCAGGAGGAAGAGGAGAGTTGTTTGTTTTTGTTTTTGAGACGAGTTTCGCTCTTGTTGCCCAGGCTGGAGTGCAGTGGTGCGATCTCGGCTTGCTGCAACCTCTGCCTCCCAAGTTCAAGTGATTCTCCTGCCACAGCCTCCTGAGTAGTTGATGACAGGCACCTGCCACCATGCCCAGCTAATTTTTGTATTTTTAGCAGAGATGGGGTTTCATCATGTTGGCCAGGCTGGTCTCGAACTCCTGACCTCAGGTGATCCTCCCGCCTCGGCCCCCCAAAGTGCTGCGATTACAGGCGTGAGCCACCACGCCCGGCCGGAAGAGGAGATTTGAACACGGACCACAGAGGGCCGGTGTTGTGAGGCTCCAGGGAGGAGACGGCCATCCACAAGCCAAAGAGAGAGGCCTCAGGAGGAATCAGCCTTGCCACACCTTGACCGAGGACTTCCGGCCTCCAGAGCTGTGAGCAATAAATGTCAGTGGTTTAAATCGGCCAGCCTGGGGTGTTCGTTATGGCAGCCCTCGCAGACCAGCACGGCCAGGACGCTGCCAGTTCCCGGCTCCACCTGCCCTTCCTCTGACAGGGAAGGAGAGTGGAGAAGTTGAGCTGCTTGGATGCCCTATGCCCTATGAGGCCTCTGCCTGATCCCACAGAGGACTCTGCAACACAGAAGGAATCACAGAATCTGCCCTGCCCTGGGTCCGTCAGGAACTTACTGCAGGCAACCAGGGGTGGGGACCGAACTTCCTGATACATCATTGCATTAGGGTGGGCAGCTCCAGGGGCTAAGTCTCCAGGGAGGGCTGCAGGGCCGCCACCTGCAGCTATGGGACCTGGGGGGCCAGACAGGCAGACAGACCCCACCCACCAAAAAGTCACACCGAGGGCCGGGTGCGGTGGCTCACACCTGTAATCCCAGCACTTTGGGAGGCCGAGGTGGGCGGATCACAAGGTCAGGAGTTCAAGACCGGCCTGGCCAATATGGTGAAATCCCATCTCTACTAAAAATACAAAAAAAAAAAAATTAGCTGGGCATGGTGGTGGTGGGCGCCTGTAATCCCTGCTACTCGGGAGGCTGAGGCAGGAGAATCGCTTGAACCTGGCAGGTGGAGGTTGCAGTGAGCCAAGATTGTGCCACTGCTCTCCAGCCTTGGGGACAGAGTGAGACTCCATCTCAAAAAAAAGAAAAAAACAAAAGCTGCACCGAGGCATGTGCCCATGGGCCCATGTTTATTTTGATGTGAAGATGTTTTGAACGCTTATTTAACAAAATTTATCCATCTCTTGTCTTTACAGATTCTGTTTTGTTTCAGAATTTCATAATAGTCCCATTCACAACAGCCAAAAATAGAAACGACTGAAGCGTCCACCAACAGGGGAAGGACCGAATTACAATATGACCAGAGACTAAACGCCGGCAGCGGTGAAGACGGATGGATCGCTGGCATTCTGCACAGCACGGGTGAGCTGCACCACACCATGCCATGCCGCAGAGGCCTCACCTGGAAGATTTCCACAGGCCCTATTTTTAATCACTAAGAAACCCAGACTGCTCCTAATAGAAAATAATATATAATTTGCTTTTTGTTTTTCGATATCTTTTTTTTTCTTTTGGAGACAGAGTCTTGTGCTGTCGCCCAGGCTGGAGTGCAGTGGTGCGATCTCGGCTCACTGCAACCTCCGTTTCCCGGGTTCAAGAGATTCTCCTGCCTCAGCCTCCTGAGTATCTGGGATTACAGGTGCCCACTACCATGCTCGGCTAATCTTTGTATTTTTAGTAGAGATGGGGTTTCACCATGTTGGCCAGGCTGGTCTCGAACTCCTCAACTCAAGTGATCCGCCCGCTGTGGTCTCCCAAAGTGCTGGGATTACAGGCATGAGCCACCGCGCCCGGCCCAATATCCTTTTATCTTAAACATTTACTACTCTGGGATTTATTTCAGTTTGGCATACAAAGTAGGGAGCTTTGGAATTTTCTTTCAAATGATTGACCAGGTGTTCGGCACGGTTATCGAGCAATCCATTGTACACCCACTGACGCGAGACGCCACTCCCACCTCTCACTAAATCCTCGTCTAGGTGCTGTCTGTTCCCGGCTCCTGCGTTCTCACTCATTGATCTATCTGTCTCTTCCTCCCCAGATTCAGGTTGCTTTAGCTGGTTTAGCTAGTGATGCATTTTAATGTCTGATAGGGTAAGCCCTCTTCATTATTCCTTTCTATTCCCACATTTTTCTCTGCTGTTCTCATGAGAGCATTCTTCAGATGAGCCTTAGAATCACGATCCCACATTGCAGAACGCTTGCTGGGCTTTTGTGTGGGATTGCTTTAAATTTATAGACTAACTTGGAGGGAAATTACATCTTTATAATATTGTCTTCAATGCAGCAACATCGTAACTTTCCTTTTATGCAAAGTGGGTTTTTATATGCCCCAGTGGAGAAGACATTTCTTTTTCTTTTTTCTTTTTTTTCTGTGTGTGCGTGCGTTTGCGTGCGTGCGTGTTTGTGTGTGCACGTGTGTGTGCATGTGTGTGCGTGTCTGCACGTGTGTGCGTGTGCATGTGTGCATGCGTGTGTGCGTGTGCATGTGTGCGAGTGTGCATACGTGTGTGCTGTGTGTGTGCACGCGCGTGTGTGCATGTGTGTGCCTGTGTGTGCATGTGTGCCTGTGTGTGCCTGTGTGTGCATGTGTGCATGTGTGCATATGTGTGTGCATGTGTGCATGTGTGTGCCTGTGTGTGTACGTGTGTGCGTGTGTGTTAGTATCTACCCAGCAACCACTACCCCGGCCTCAGAGCCTCTTTCCTTCGCACTCCCAGGGATGCCGTCCCCACCAAAGGGGTGAAGCCATGAACCAATCGGAGCCAATCAGAGAACTCCATCTCCCCAACCACAGCAATGGATCACAGCCCGGCCGTCGGTCCCTCCGTGAGATTGGGTATATGGGTGTTGGGAAATGAAAGCATTTTCTTTCTCTGGAATTACCATCTGTAAGGATGGGATGGGTCTGGGGAGAGTCTGCCTGCCTGAGAAACGCAACAATAAAAACATTCGCGGAGCCCTTGCTGTGTGCCAGGCCCTGCTCTCCAAAGTTTACAAGCATGGACTCCTGTTGTCCTCACAATAACCGCATGGGGACAGATAGGAGTGATGTTCAAAACATTTAATAACTGGGCTGGGCGTGGTGGCTCACACCTGTAATCCCAACACTACGGGAAACTGAGGCAGGAGGAATGCTTGAGGCCAGGAATTCAAGACCAGCCTGGGCAACATAGTGAGACCCTGTCTCTAAAAAAATTAATAAATTAGCCGAGCGTGGTGGTGAGCACCTGTAGTTCCAGCTACTCAGGAAGCTGAGGCGGGAGAATTGCTTGAGCCCAAGAGGTCGAGGCTGCAGTGAGCTAGGATTGCACCACTGCATTCCAGCCTGGGCCACAGAGCGAGATCCCGTCTCAATAATAACAATAATGATGATGACTGGCAGGACCCCAGCACTGCCTGGTTGAAACGGACCCCACACCGGTATGTGCCAGCCGCATCTCAGCTCCGACAGAATCATCGTCATCCCATTTACGAGTGTGGAAACGGGGCACAGAGAAGTTTCATAACTTGCCCAAGGCCAGGAAGCTGGTCAGTGGTAGAGCCTGGGCTCTTTCCTCAACCTGGAAAGTGGTCCAGGAGTGAATGCTGCAGGCGACAGACCCTCACAGTGGCTGGCCTGAAGGGGACAGGTCCAGGGAGAGGTGGGGACCCTCACCCCCAGCTGGAAGGACAGTGGCCCTCGTCTGAGGGTAGCACGTTGGTTTAGGGGCCTTGCTGCTGGGATGCATCCCCTGCCTGCAGAGCCTGGAGCCCCAGCGTGGGAAATGCCCCCAGCGTGGAGTGCCCCCAGCATGGGAAATGCCCCCAGCGTGGGAAATGCCCCCAGCGTGGAGTGCCCCCAGCGTGGGAAATGCCCCCAGCGTGGGAAATGCCCCCAGCGTGGAGTGCCCCCAGCGTGGGAAATGCCCCCAGCGTGGGAAATGCCCCCAGCGTGGAGTGCCCCCAGCGTGGGAAATGCCCCCAGCGTGGGAAATGCCCCCAGCGTGGAGTGCCCCCAGCGTGGGAAATGCCCCCAGCGTGGGAAATGCCCCCAGCGTGGAGTGCCCCCAGCGTGGGAAATGCCCCCAGCGTGGGAAATGCCCCCAGCGTGGAGTGCTCCCACCGTGGAGTGCTCCCAGCATGGAGTGCTCCCAGCGTGGAGTGCTCATGGCGGTTCCTTGTGCCTTTTGATACAATCGCATAAGAAGGCTGTGTGGTGGTTCACACCTGTAACCCCAGCACTTTGGAAGGCCAAGGAAGGAGGACTGCTTGAGCCCAGGTGTTTGAGACCAGCCTGTGCAACATGATGAAACCCCGTCTCTACTACAAATACAAAAATTAAGCAGGCATGGCCAGGCGTGGTGGCTCACGCCTGTAATCCCAGCACTTTGGGAGGCCGAGGCAGGCAGATCACGAGGTCAAGAGTTCGAGACCAGCTTCACCAACATGGTGAAACCCTGTTTCTACTAAAAATACAAAAATTAGCCGGGCATGGTGGCACACGCCTGTAATCCCAGCTACTTGGGAGGCTGAGGCAGGAGAATCACTTTAACCCGGGAGGCGGAGGTTGTGGTGAGCTGAGATCGCGCCACTGCACTCCAGCCTGGGCAACAGAGCGAGACTCTGCCTCAAAAAAAAAAATAAAAAATTAGGCAGGCATGGTGGCACAAGCCTGTGGTCCCAGCTTTGTGGGAGGCTGAGGTGGAAGGATCACCTGACCCTGGGGGTAAGTCAAGGCTGCAGTGAGCCATGATTGTGCCACTGCACTCCAGCCTGGATGACAGAGCAAGACCCTGTCTCAAGAAAATAATAATAATAATGCAAGGACAGGAATGCAGCTGTGAACATTTTATTTTATTGCATTTCATGTATACGATCATTCCAGTCAAAAAATAAGTGACTTTTATAAAACCAAAATATCTTCAAAGCTACAATTTAGGCAACATCTTTATTTTCTTGAGTCATTCTTTAGTTTTAAAATAAAATTGGCTGGGTGTGGTGGCTCATGCCTGTAATCACAGCACTTTGGGAGGCCGAGGTGGGTGGATCACCTGAGGTCAGGAGTACGAGACCAGCCTGGGCAACATGCCGAAACCCCGTCTCTACTAAAAATACAAAAATTAGCTGGGCATGGTGGCACATGCCTGTAATCCCAGCTACTCAGGAGGCTGAGGCAGGAGAATTGCTTGAACCCGGGAGGCAGAGGTTGCAGTGAGCCGAGATCACACCACTGCACTACTACCTGGGTGGCAGAGCAAGAGTCTGTCAAAAAAAAAAAAAAATAAGAGTAAATTTCAATTAAAAATATATTAGCCAATTTTAGTAAAATATCTCACATATGAAAGAAAATTTGCATTCACCAAATCAAAATATGACACTTTGCAATTCATACTCTGTGTCACTCTTGAATTTTAAACCCAGATACAATCTCCACGTGGTCACAGAGAATAAAGGGCTGGCGGAAGTGGGGTTCCGTGTCTGCGCTTTTACGTTGCTATGTGCGGTGGGCAGAGCGATGGCCCTGAAGATGCCCAGGTCTGGACCCCCGGGACCCGTGACCCTCGTGCTTTGTGTGACAATGGGGACTTTGCAGACATGACTCAGGCAGGGCTCTGCAGAAAGCGAGTTTCCTGTGTTCTCCAGGTGGGCCTGAGGTCATCACAAAGGTCCTTATAAGAGGGGGGCCTGGGACATCTGGGCACAGAAGATGCTACTCTGTGGGCTCTGAAGATGGAGGAAGGGCCCCTTGCCAGGGAATGTGGGCGCCTCCAGGAGCTGGAAAAGCCAGGAAACAGATTCTCCCCGAGCCTCCAGAAGGAATCAGCCCTTTGGACGCCTTGATTTTAGCCCACGGAGACCCGATTTGGACTTTACACCTAACCTATAGAACTGTATGAATAAGTTTGTATTATTTTAAGCCACCTAAATGTGTGGCAGTTCATTACGGCAGCCATCGAAAACTAAGGCACTGGGTTAAATTTTGTTTTGCTTTTTGTTTTGTTTTGTTTTGTTTTTTGAGATGGAGCCTCGCTCTGTCACCCAGGCTGGAATACAATGCTGCAATTTTAGCTCATTGCAACCTCCTCCTCCTGGGTTCAAGTGATTCTCCTGCCTCGGGATCCCAAGTAGCTGGGACTACAGGCGTGGACCACTACACCTGGCTAATTTTTGTGTTTTTAGTGGAGGCGGGGTTTTACCATATCGGCCAGGCTGGTCTTGAACTCCTGACCTCAGATGATCCACCCGCCTCGGCTTCCCTAAGTGCTGGGATTACAGGCATGAGGCACCATGCCCAGCCTGGGCTACAATTTTTTTTTTTTAAGACAGGGTCTTGCTCTGTCACCCAGGCTGCGGTGCAGTGGCGAGATCATGGCTCACTGCACCCTCCAACTCCTGGCCTCAAGCGATCCTTCCACCTAGTCTTCCTGAGTAGCTGGGATTACAAGCATGCACCACCATGCTGGCTAATTTTTAAATTTTTTTGTAGGGACCAGGGTCTCACTATGTTGCCCAGGTTGGTCTTTTTTTTTTTTTTTTTTTTTTGAGACAGAGTCTTGCTCTCTTACCCAGGCTGGAGTGGCACAATCTCGGCTCACTGCAAGCTCCGCCTCCTGGGTTCACGCCATTCTCCTGCCTCAGCCTCCCAAGTAGCTGGGACTGCAGGCACCTGCCACCATGCCCGGCTAATATTTTGTATTTTTAGTAGAAACGGGGTTTTACTGTGTTAGCCAGGATGGTCTCGATCTCCTGACCTCGTGATCCGCTTGCCTCAGACTCCCAAAGTGCTGGGATTACAGGCGTGAGCCACTGTGCCCGGCCAACCCAGGCTGGTCTTAAACTCTTGGACTCAAGCAATCCTCCGGCCTCAACCTCCCAAGGTGCTGGGATTACAGACGTGAGCCACTGTGCCTGGCTAATTGTTTACTTTGAACCTATTACTCAAACCTAGGAAAATATAAGACCACAAGGTGAAAACCCAAAACAAACTGTGAGCCCAAATCATTCCAAACCTTTGTGAACTTACACACAGAATAAGCATGTGTCACTGTGTGTGTGTGTGTGTGTGTGTGTGTGTGTGTGTGTGTGCTGGGGCCTGGCATGTAACTGGGAATTCTCTGAATTAACTTCACGTCTTCTATGGTGTTTATTAAAGGCTAAGTAGTGCAAACCCACTAAGTAACAGCGTACACACTGCCTCACTTTGCTAGAGCTGCCTTTACAAAGTGCCACACACTAGGAAGCTCCAACAACAGAGACATATTGTCCCACAGCTCAGGAGGCCGGACCCCCAAAAGCAAGGCATGGGCAGGGCTGGTTCCTTCCCAAGGCTGTCAGGGAGAGTCCGTCCCTGGCTCTCTCATTTAGCTTACGATCGTTGGAGGGCAGCCTTGGGTGATCCCTTGGCTTCTAGAAGATTCACCCGATCTCTGCCTTCATCTTTGCATGTGCATCTCTGTCTCTGTGTCCAAATGTCCCCCTTGTAATGGGGTCACTGGTCATATTAGATTAGGGGCCACCCTAATGATTTCGTCTCACCTTGATCATCTGGAAAGACCCTGTTTCCAAACAAGTTCCCGTTCACACGCACTGGCGGTTAGGACTTGAACACTCAACCCATGACACCCACGCACACACGCCACCCATGTCACGTAACCACCACCCAGCCATTTAACTCTGTGTGTGTATGTGCCTGTGCATGTACAACACACACAAACACACACACACACACACACACACACACACACAGAGTTAAAATTCACCAGGGAGAGCAGCAGTTGTTTAGAGCAAAGACACCACAGCGCCCACACGTGCCTCGTTTGAGGTCCTGCAACCAGCTGGCCTGGGGAGCCGGTGACACCACCCACCCCCGTCTGCTCATGCAGCTTCCAGTGGGCTCTGTCACTTCCATCAAGAACAACACCCCAGGGCTACAGGAGCAACACCCCAGTGCCCACTGATATTCACTCTAAGGTCGTGGCATTTTTTCCGAGACCTAAAGCATTTTTAATTTCATGTTATTATTATTTTGAATGGGCTATTTCCCCCATGTTATTCTGATGGCTGTTGCTAATAGGCAGAAAAAAAAGTCTTTAGCTGGGCGCAGTGGCTCATGCCTGTAATCCCAGCACTTTGGGAGGCTGAGGTGGGTGGATTACTTGAGGTTAGGAGTTCAAGACTAGCCCGGCCAACATGGTGAAACCCCGTCTCTAGTAAAAATACAAAAATTAGTCGGGTGTGGTGTGGTGGTGGGCACCTGTAATCCCAGCTACTTGGGAGGCTGAGGCAGAAGAATCACTTGAACCTGGGAGGCAGAGGTTGCAGTGAGCCAAGATCGTGCCACTGCACTCCAGCCTGGGCAACAGAGCAAGACTCCTTCCCCAAAAATAAAAATTATTTTGAAATACATCTTTCTTTTAAAAGTTTGTTTGAATTTACATAGGTAAAAGTCAGCTTTTCTGGTGTGCAATTCTAAGAATCGGACAAATGTACAGAGTCACGCAACCACTGCCAAAATCAAGGTGCAGCTCCTCAAAAATAGCTCTCAGGTGCCGAGCCTCTGCAACCAGCCTTCCTTGAACCCCTTAGCCCGCCCTGTGCCCCTCCCAGTGCTGTTGGCTGCCCGGTCCAGCCACCCTGCGGCATCACCCAGACCCAGGACTCCTCCAGCGGGAACCTTCAGAGGTTCCTTCAGCTGGCGTCTGATTGATCCCAGTAGGTATGTGTGTCATTTTAATTGCTGAGTGGTATTCCTCGGTATGAAGGCATCACGGTTTCCTTATGCACCAGTTGAAGGCTGAGTTCCGTCTTCAGTAAATATGAACAAAACTATGAACTTGCAGGCATCGGTTTTTGTGTGAGCACAATTTTTCAGTTTTCTGGATAGATATCCATGATATTGAGGCAGGAGAATAGAGAATGAAGGTAACCAGGGGTTAAGGGAGAAGCAAAAGACCAGCAGGTGCAGCCAGTTCTAGGCAAGGTGAGGCAGCACACAGGCCGCCTTTAACCTGTGATAACAAGACAGACCCCTCTACTTCAGCCCCTGATTGACTGCGGGCCGAGCCTCCACTTCAGCCTCTGATTGGTCAAAGGCCAATCCTTCATAGGTGGGTAACCAATCGGAGACCTCTAAAGGGCACCGAGGGGGTGGTGCCAAGTTTTCTTGGCCTTATAAAAGCCCTGGGAGCCTTGCAATCAGGAGACTCTTGAGCCACATGCTGGGGCGTCTCTTGCTCCGTGAATTGTGCCTTTTCTCCTCCCCTGTCCTTTCTCTTGTCTTTCTTTGCTTCATTCTCTTGTTGCTTTGTGCGTGCATTTTGTTCCATTCTTTCTTCAACACGCCAAGACCCTGGACAACTCGCAGCCGAGACCTTCCATCCGGCCACCCGTGTTGGCGAGCAGGCCGGGAGGTAAGCCCGAATTTGGGGATGTGTTTTTTTCTTCTTTCTTTGTCGAAGCTGTCATCTGTGGGCGCGGGTTGAGCAGTGAAAAGCCACCAGGGCACCCGCCGCTTGAAGTCTCCGGTGACACGATAACTCGGTCAGGGAACGGGTCGTTCAGGTCCTGCCGAGCACAAGACACGTCCGCGCAACAGCCAGGGCGATGTTTGTGCTGCAGAATGTCTTTGCGGAGCCGAGAGCCCCCGTTCCGGTCGGTGTCTGTGTCCCTGTGCCGGAGGCGGTGGTGTGGAGTTACGTTTTTAGGGTCCTCTTCTGAGAGCGGGACAGGGGCCCCCCGTTTTATGTGTGAGTCTTTCTGCGTGAGAACCCGGAATTCTTCATGGTTCCGAGGGACGGATCCCTGACTTTGCTGTTAATAGTGTTAAGGTCTGTGGTGAGGTCCCGTGTCTCACGAGGGTTACCGGCTGAAGAAGCTTATTTCACTTGGGACGCAAATAGCTAAGCATTGCATCCCGGGACTAGGGGAATCACAGTAAATCAATCCATCGCCTACGGGGGACGCCTCCAAACCAGCGCCAGGGCCCACCCTGGGGTTCGGGATGTCTGACACCCTAAGGCTGGGGACGTCGCCTGACCCCCTGAGGTCAGAAACGTCTGCAATATGCAGGCCCTCCCTAGGCCAGACCACTATGGGAAACACCTTCCAGAATCCTGCAATCTGTAAAGCTTCTAAGACGGGCCCTCAAAAAAAAGTCCTGAGGCCGGGCGCGATGGCTCACACCTGTAATCCCAACACTTTGGGAGGCAGAGGCAGGTGATCACTTGAGGTCAGGGATTCAAGACCAGCTTGGCCAACATGGTGAAACCCCGTCTCTACTAAAAATACAAAAATTTAGCCAGGTGTTTGATGGCTCAAGCCTGTAATCCCGGCTACTCAGGAGGCTGAGGCCAGAGAATCACTTGAATTCGGGAGGTGGAGTTGCAGTGAGCCTAGATCGCGCCACTGCACTCCAGCCTGGGCAACTCGGTCTAAAGAGACTGAGTTTTAGACCTGAGACTTGTTCTTAAAAAAAAAAAAAAAAATCCTAAGACTGAGCTGGATGTTGTGGATGACCCCCTCTTACAAGGGCCACTTGTCTCTTGTCAAATCCTCCTCAGCCCCCCACATCCCCAGAGCGGATCACCCTCTTCCGCAGGTCCCATGGCACCGTCCCTCTCGGGAGGAGTGGGGTCCAGTCCAGTGCAAGTCTCATTTCCCACAACTGATACCCAACAATGTCAGGGAAAGTGGGGAAGGTACTCGGAGGACCCTGGCAGGTTTGTGGACAGGTTCCAAACCTTGGCTCACAGCTAACACCTTCCAGCCAGTAACAATGGGATTGCTAGCTCAGAAGGTCACTGTAGGTCTGAGAAACTGTGAAACTGTTTTCCAGAGTGGCCGTGCATGGGACGTTTCCTCCCGCCACCAAAAATGATTCTGTTTGCTCTAAATACTCACCAGCATTTCATGTTGCCCAAATTCTTTATGTAACCATTCTTTATTATCATTATTATTTTTAGAAACAGGGTACTCTGTGGCCCAGACTGGAGTGTGGTGGTTCAATCCCAGCTCACTACAGCCTCCAACCGCTGTTTGTTGCTAGTCTATAGACATATATATTTTTTTTTCACTTTTTACTTATTTTTTTGAGACAGACTCTGACTCTGTTGCCCAGGCTGGAGTGCAGTGGTGAGATCTTGGCTCACTGCAACCTCCGCCTCCCAGGTTCAAGTGATTCTCGTGCCTCAGCCTCCCAAGTAGCTGGGACTACAGCGCCACCACCACGCCTGTATAATTTTTGTATTTTTAGGTAGAGATGGGGTTTTATCATATTGGTCAGGCTGATCTCAAACTCCTGACCTCAGGTGATCTACCTGCCTCGGCCTTTCAAAGTGCTGGGATTACAGGCCTGAGCTACCGTGCCCGGCCAATTTTTGTATATTGACCTTATTTCCCATGACCTTGCTAAACTCATTTATTAGCTGGAGGAACATTTTTGGAGATTCTATGGGATTTTGTTTGTTTTAATTCAATTTGACAATCACTCTCTTTCAACTGGTGTACTTAAACTATTTACATTTGCTTTTTTTTTAGTTTTAAATTTTAAAAATAATTTTATTAAAAAAATTTTAGGCCAGCCACGGTGGCTCACACTTGTAATCCCAGCACTTTGGGAGGCCGAGGCAGGCAGATCACTTGAGGTCAGGAGTTTGAGACCAGCCTGGCCAACGTAGCGAAACCCCGTCTCTACTAAAAATACAAAAATGAGCTGAGTGTGGTGGTGGGTGCCTGTAATCCCAGCTTCTCAGGAGGCTGAGGCAGGAGAATCATTTGAACCCAGGAGGCAGAGGTCACAGTGAACCAAGATCGTGCCACTGCACTCCAGCCTGGGTGACAGAGCGAGACTCCAACTCAAAAAATAAAAAAATTAAAAAAATTTATATTGACAAATTATAATTATTTATGGGGTACAAAGTGATGTCATGATACACATATACAGTGTGGAATGATTGAATCAAGCTAATCAGTATATCCATCCCATCAAACACTTACCATGTATTCATCCTAACTGAAACTTTGTCCCCTTTTACCAATATCTCCCCATTTTCCCCACCTCCCCACGTGCGACAACCACCATTTTACTCTGCTTCTGAGTTTCGTTGTTTTAGATTCCACGTGGGAGCGAGAACATGCAGGGCGGGCGCGGTGGCTCACGCCTGTAATCCCAGCACTTTGGGAGGCCGAGGCGGGCGGATCACAAGGTCAGGAGATCGAGACCATCCTGGCTAACACGGTGAAACCCCGTCTCTACTAAAAATACAGAAAATTAGCTGGGTGTGGTGGCGGGAGCCTGTAGTCCCAGCTACTCGGGAGGCTGAGGCAGGAGAATGGCATGAACCCAGGAGGCGGAGCTTGCAGTGATCCAAGATTGGGCCACTGTACTCCAGCCTGGGTGACCGAGCGAGACTCCGTCTCAAAAAAAGGAGTGAGAACATGCAATATTTGTCTTTCTGTGCACAGCTTATTTCACTTGGCAAAATGTCCTCTGGGTTCATCCATGTTGTTACAAATGACAAAATTTCATGCTTTTTCAAGGCTGAACAGTATTCCATAGTAGTATACCACGTTTTCTTTATTCATTCAGCCACTGATGCACACCCAGTTTGATTCCATAACTTGACTATTGTAAATAATGTTCCAGTGGACATGAGAGGGCAGATATCTCTTCAACATACTGATTTCAAATCCTTAGGAGAGATATCCAGAAGTGGGATTGCTGGATCACATGGGCATTCTGTTTTTAGCTTTTTGAGGAAGCTGCATCATGTTTTCTATAATGGGTGTAGTAGTTTACATTCCCACGCAAGTATACAAGGGTTTCTTTTGCCCCACATTCTCACCAACCCTTGCCATCTTTCATCAATTTTTTTTTTTTTTTTTTGAGATAGTCTCACTCTGTCGCCCAGGCTGGAGTGCAGTGGCACAATTTTGGCTCATGGCAACCTCCGCCTCCCAGGTTCAAGCAATTCTCCTGCCTCAGCCTCCTGAGTAGCTGGGATGACAGGCATGTGCCACCACACCCAGCTAATTTTTTGTATTTTTAGTAGAGATGGGGTTTTGCCATGTTGGCCAGGCTGGTCTTGAACTCCTGGCCTCAAGTGATCCACCCACCTCAGCCTCCCCAGGTGCTGGGATTACAGGCGTGAGCCGCCGCACCTGGCCTCTTTCATCTTTTTGATATTAGCCATCCTAACAGACATGAGGTGGTATCTCATTGTAGTTTTGATTTGTACATTTCCCTAATGGCTTGTGATGATGAGCATGTTTTCATTACCTGTTGGTCATTTGCATGTATTCTTTAGAGAAATGTCTATTCAGGGCCTTTGCCCGAGTTGTTTGCTTACTGTTGAGTTGTTTGAGTTCCTTATGTATTTTGGATATTAAGCCCTTATTAGATGTGTGGCTTGCAGATATTTTTTCTCAATCTGTAAGATGTCTCTTCACTCTGTTAATTATTTCCTGTGCTGTGCAGAAGCTTTCCAGTTTGACATAATCCCTCCTGTTATTTTTGCTTTTGTTGCCTGAGCTTTTGGAATCAAATCCAAAATATCATTGCCCCGACCAATTGCCTGTGGTTTTCCCTAGTTTTCTTCTAGTAGCTTTACAGTTTGAGGTCTTACGTTAAGTCTCTAATCCATTTTGAGTTTTTTTTTTAATGTGGTATGAGATAAGGGTCCAATTTCATTCTTCTGTCTGTGAATACCCAGTTTCCTAAACTCTTTGTTACAGACACTGTCCTTTTCCCACTGTGTGTTCTTGGTAACTCTGCTGCAAATCAATTGAGCATCAATGCATGGGTTCATTTCTGGGCTCTGTACTCTTGTTTCATTGGCTGATGCGTCCATTTTTATGCTGGTAACATGCTGTTTTTATTTATTTATTTAGAGATGGAATCTTGCTCTACCGCCTAGGCTGGAGTGCAGTGGTGCGACCTCGGCTCCCTGTAACCTCCGCCTCCAGGGTTCAAGCAATTCTCCTGCTTCAGCCTCAGAAGTAGCTGGGATTACAGGCATGTGCCACCACACCCAGCTAATTTTTGCATTTTGAGTAGAGACGGGGTTTCACCATGTTGGCCAGGCTGGTCTGGAGCTCCTGACCTCAGGTAATCCACCCACCTCAGCCTCCCTTTGGGATTACAGGCATGAACCACCCCACCCGGACCAACATACTGTTTTAATTACTTTAGCTTTTGTAATATAGTTTGAAGTCAGGTAGTGTGATGCCTCCAGCTTTGTTCTTTTAGCTCAAGATTCCCTTGGCTGTGTGTGTGTGTGTGTGTGTGTGTGTGTGTGTGTGTGTGTGTGGTTTCATATGAATTTTAGGATTTTTTTTTCTATTTCTGTGAAATAGGACATTGGAATTTTGATAGGGATTGCACTGTATCTGTATACAACTTTGGGTAGTATGAACGTTTTAACAATATTTATTCTTCCAGTCCATGAACATGAAATCTCTCTCCATTTATTTGTGTTTTAATTTCTTTTATCAATGTCTTAGAGTTTTCAGTATACAGATATTTCTCCTGCTTGGTTAAATTTATTCCTAAGTATTTTCTTGTTTTGTGGCTATTGTAAATGGGGGACAGTTTTCTTGATAGTTTGTTGTTAGTGTGTAGGAATGCTACTGACTTTTGTGTGTTGATTTCGTATTCTGCAACTTTACCATAATCATTTATTATAAAAGTTTTTAAAGAATCATTTATGGCCAGGCGCAGTGGCTCACGCCTGTAATCCCAGCACTTTGGGAGGCCAAGGCGGGTGGATCACGAGGTCAGGAGTTCGAGACCAGCCTGCCCAACATGGTGAAACCCCATCTCTACTAAAAAAAAATACAAAAATTAGCCAGACATGGTGGCGGGCGCCTGTAGTCCCAGCTACTCTGCAGACTGAGGCAGGAGAATCGCTAGAACACAGGAGGCAGAGGTTGCAGTGAGCCAAGATCGTGCCACTGCGCTCCTGCCTGGGTGACTGAGTAAGACTCTGTCTCAAAAAAAAAAATTATATTTAATGTGATTATGAATATGGCTGAATTTAGAGCCTCCATTTTGTTTTTGTCATATCTGTTTTAAATTCATCTGTTGGATTATTTGAGTATTTTTTGTTTTCCACTGTATATATCTATTGGCTTTTTTGCTATATCTTCTTGTATTTTTTAATGGTTGCATTAAAGATTATAGTGTATATGGTGCAACTTTTCACGGTCTACATAGAGTAAATATTTTACCACTTCAGCTACATTTCGTAAGTGGAGAATTCTCTCCACCTTTATGTTAAGACTGTCATACATATTTATGTCTGCATACATTGAAAACCACCCAGGTAAATGTTACATTTTTTGCTATCAATAGTTATATGTATTCTAAAGAACTTAAGAAGAAACACTCTGTTATATTTACCCTGATATTTGTGTTTCTACTGGTTTTCCTTTATTCCTAAGTTCCAGTTTCCCTCTAGCATTACTTCCTTTCAGTCTGAAGAATTTCCTTTAGAATTTCATTAAAAGAAGGTCCACTGATAACAAATTCTCTTAATTTTCCTTCCTCTGAAAATATCTTCATTTCCCCTTCATTCCTGAAAGATATTTTTGCTGGACATAGAATTGTAGGTTGACAGTTCTTTAGGCACCTTAAGTATGTTGATTTTCTGTGTTTTCTGAGGATAAACCCAAAGTTACATGAGGTATTGTTTTTCCCACGGTTATCACGTCCTCCAGCTGCCCTCAAGGCTTCTTTATCTTTCTTTTTCAGCATTTTGATAATGATGTGCCTGGGCATTGTTTTCTTTGTGTTTATCCTATTTGGAATTTGCCGAGTTCTTGAATCGGCAAATTTATGTTTTCTACCAAATTTGGAAAAGTATGGCCACAATGTCTTCAAATATAATTTCCTGCTCCAATTACTTCTCTCCTTTTGGGATTTCAATGACAGGAACAATCGAGCTTATCGTTCCACAGGTTCCTGAGATTCTATTCCTTTTCCACCCAATCTTTTATACTCTCTGTTCTTCAGAGTGGACCGTTTATAGTGACCTGTCTTCAGGTTTCCCAAAGCCTCCTCTTTTCATCTCCATTCTAATATTGAGCCCATCCTATGAATTTTTTATTTTGGATAATGTGTTTTTTTTTTTTTTCAATTCTAAAATTTCCATTTAATTCTAGTTTCTCTCTCTCTGCAGAGAAATTCTATCCTTCCATTCACTTCCAGATTGTTCATCTTAACCTCATGAATTAAAAAAAGTTACCTGGGTTATTCTGGGACTGCTGTCTGTTGATTGTCTTTTTTCCTTAAGTATTGAAAAACTTTCCTTTTACTTTTTTCTTTTCTTTCTTTCTTTCTTTTTTTTTGAGACAGGGTCTCACTCTTAATTTTTTTGTATTTTTAGTAGAGACGGGGTTTCACCATGTTAGCCAGGATGGTCTCGATCTCATGACCTCGTGATCCGCCTGCCTTGGCCTCCCAAAGTGCTGGGATTACAGGTGTGATGCACCGCGCCCAGCCCAGAATACACATTTTTAAGCTGACTGCTTTATTGGGCTCTTATGAATTCTAATACTTTTTTTTTTTAAAGAAAGCTATTTGACATACAATAACATATAAAAATAGATATAAAAATCAGGGAGTTTAGGAACAGAACAAGTACCCGGGAACCTGTTATGCGCCTTGTACCATTCTTTTATCCCATGCTCTGGACCCCAGAGGTGACCACTAGTCTGAATTAATTTTTATTATCATGATATTGCTTTTCCTTATAATTATTCTAATGATACTACTTTTAGGTACATCCATAAATAGTGTTTACTTGTTAATTTTAATTATACATAAAAATGGTGTCGGTGTATGTATTCTGTTTTTTTGCACCTTGCTTTTTTTTTTTTTTTTTTTTTTTTTTTTTTAAATAAGCTGGGTCTTTGTTGCCCAGGCTAGAGTGCAGTGGTGCAGTCATGGCTCACTGCAGCCTCAAACTCCTTGGCTCAAGTCATCATCCTGCCTCAGCCATCCAAATAACTGAGATTACAGATGCACGCACCACCATGCTCAGCTAATTCTTTTTATTTTTGTTGAGATGTGGTCTTGTTATGTTGCCCAGGCTGATCTTGAACTCCTGGACTCAAGCCATCTTCCCATCTCAGCCTCCCAAAGCACTGGGATTACAGACGTGAGCCACTGTGCCTGGCCCTTACGACTTGTTTTTTATTCAAAATTATTTGAAGATTCATCTACTGGTGGGCATGGCTGTAGTTCTTTAATCTCCAGTTCTGTGTTGTGCTTCATTGTATGAATATACATCCATATATTTATTCATCTGTTACATGGAAATCGAGTTTTTTCTGGTGGTTTGATCTTGTGAACCATGATGTAGTGGTCTGTCCTGTCCTGGAGCTCTGGTGCAGAAGTTTGTCTCGGGCCTGTACCTAGGAGCGGAATTGCTGGGCCAAAGGGTATCACATCATCGGCATGGCTAGATCATTTGAAATTCATTTTCAGAACAGCCATCAGTGCACGAGAGTCTCTGCCAACCAACATCCTTGCTAACACTGGACATCATTAGACGTGATCATTGTTGTCAGTCTAGTCTATACAAAATGGTGCCCTGTTAAAGTTTTCATTTCCATTTCTTGTAATACTTTTTTTTTTTTTTGAGATGGAGTCTCACTCTATTGCCCAGGCTGGAGTGCAATGGTACCATCTCAGCTCACTGCAATCTCTGCCTCCCAGGTTCAAGCAATTCTCCTGCCTCAGCCTCCCGAGTAACTGGGATTACAGGCGTGCACCACCACGCCTGGCTAATTTTTCTATTTTTAGTAGAGACGGGGTTTCACCATGTTGGCCAGGCTGGTCTTGAACTCCCGACCTCCTAATCCGCCTGCCTCAGCCTCCCAAAGTGCTAGGGTAACAGGCATGAGCCACCACGCCTGGCCATTTGTTGGAATACTTTGAGATGGACCATCGTTGGCCATTTGTGTGTTGTTTCCAGTGAAAGCCTATTCATGCCTTTATCCATCTTTCCATCAGGTTGTCATTTTTCTCTTTTGGATTTTAGGAAGTCTTCATTCTAGACGCTAACCCTTTGTCAGTTAGGTGCATGCTGGAATTGTCTTCTCTGAGTGTGCGTCCTCTGTTTTCACCTTCTTTGTGTTGACTTTTGATAAACAGACATGCTCATTGTGATTATAGTTGCAGATAGTACTTTCTCTCTTTGTGGTGTGAGTCTTCTGCGTCACACTGTGCTTTTTGTATCTTGTGCTCTTTGTATCTCATGTTTGTACCTTGATTTCTGTTTTTTGATATGAAGTGATGGTTGAATACCATTCCTGCTCCCCTCCCCACGGGGATAACCAGTTGCCCAAGCACCATTTATCGAATGTCCGTTTCCTCCTGCTGATTTATGGCACCCCCTTTGCCATGCATCGAGTTTATATAGTCACACGTGCCTCTCTGAGCTCTCAGTCTATCCTGTCCCTTTGACTAGAATGACATAACTCCTTTAGTTACTACAGATTTACAATATGCCCTATGACCTGGGAGGCGAAGTCCCTCCTAGCTTCTTCAAGAGCGTTTTGACTGTTCTTGACTCTGCTCTAAATTCTAGAATCAGTTCATCAAGCTTCATGAAAATCCTGTGTGTTCTTCCAGAAGTCATCGCTGCTATACCATGTGGCTGAGGTTTGGGGTTAAGGAAGTTGTCTTCCCTTTGCTATGCATTTTTATTATGGATACATAGATATTATGTTTTTTTAAATGTTTTTCCTGGCCAGGTGCAGTGCCTCACGCCTATAATTGTAGCACTTTGGGAAGCCGAGGCAGGAGGATCACTTTAGTTCAGGAGTTTGAGACCAGCCTGAGCAACACTGTCTGACCAGTCAGACGTTGGAGACCCTGTCTCCAGTGAAAGTTTAAAAAATACTAGCCAAGCATGGTGGTTGCACACCTGTGATTCCAGATACTTGGGAAGCTGAGGAGGGAGGATCGCTTGAGCCTGGGAAGTCAAGCCTGCAGTGAGCTGTGATTGCACCACTGCACTCCAGCCTGGGTGACACAGAGAGCCCTTGTCTCAAAAAATAAAAACAAAATTAAAAAAGCATTTTTCCTATGCTAGCGAGATGACCAGAGATGTTCCTTCCTTATTCTGTTACTATGGAGAATGTATAAATGTATTTCCTAATGTTAAGGCACCGTTTCAATCCAGGGATAAACTTGATTTGGTCATAATGTGTTACAGATACAGGCACACACATAAAGAGATCATGCTATCACATTATAACCAAATTATATAGATAAAGCACATTATGGGCCAGGCACAGTGGCTCACACCTATAATCCCAGCACTTTGGGAGGCCAAGGCGGGAGGATCGCTTGAGGCCAGGAGTTTGAAACCAGCCTGGGGGCAACATAGCAAGATCCCATCTCTACAAAAAATAAAAAAAAATTAGCCAGGTGTGGTGGCATGCACCTGTAGTCCCAGCTACTTGGGAGGCTGAGGTGGGAGGATCACTTGAGCCCAGGAGTTCAAGGCTGCAGTGAGCTATGATTGTGTCACTGCACTCCAGCCTGGGCAACAGAGTGAGACACTGTTTTTTAGAAAAGCATTATGACCAAATGTATACACAGTCGTGCGCCGCGTAGAAACATTTTGGTCAGTGACTAACTGCACATCCGACAGGGGTCTCATGAGAGATTGTAGTGGATCTGAAGATTCCCTGTCGCCTGGTGCTGTGGTGGCCATCGTCACGTCACCGTGCAGTACGTTACTCGTGTGTGTATGTGTGTGTACGCACCCGTGATGCTGGGGTAAACAAGCCCTCTGCACCACCAGTCATAGGAAAGTCTAGCACATACAATTACGTCCAGTGCACAGTACTTGCAAATGATGATAAACCACTGTGTCACTAGTTCATGTATATACTATCCTATACTTTTTTTTTTTTTTTTTTTTTTGAGATGGAGTCTCACTCTGTCGCCCAGGCTGGAGTGCAGTGGCGCGATCTCGGCTCACTGCAAGCTCTGCCTCCCGGGTTCACGCTATTCTCCCGCCTCAGCCTCCCGAGTAGCTGAGACTACAGGCGCCTGCCACCGCGCCCTGCTAATCTTTTGTGTTTTTAGTAGAGATGGGGTTTCACTGTGTTAGCCAGGATGGTATCGATCTCCTGACCTCATGATCCGCCCGCCTCGGCCTCCCAAAGTGCTGGGATTACAAGCGTGAGCCGCCACACCCGGCCAACTTTTTTATCATGATCTTAGAGTATACTACTACTGATTAAAAACAAAAACAAAGTAACTATAAAGCAGCCTCAGGCAGGTCCTTCAGGAGGGATTGCTGAAGCCCTCCATTGGGACAGGATATGGAGGGGAAGTCAGTGATATTGGCGATCCTGACCCCGTGTAGGCCTAGGCTAATACTGGGCTAATATGTGTGTTTCTGTTTGTAACAAAAAATTTTTTAAGTAGAAAAAAGGGTACAGTGGGTCATGCCTGTAATCCCAGCACTTTGGGAGGCCGAGGCAGGAGGATAACCTGAGGTCAGGAGTTCAAGACCAGCCTGGACAACATGGTGAAACCCCGTCTCTACTAAAAATACAAAAATTAGCCAGGCATAGTGGCATGTGCCTGTAATCCTAGCTTCCCAGGAGGCTGAGGCAGGAGAATTGCTTGAACCTGGGAGGCGGAGGTTGCAGTGAGCTGAGATCGTGCCACTGCACTCCAGCCTGGATGACACAGCGAGACTCCATCAAAAAAAAAAAAAAAAAAAAAAGGTAGAAAAAAGTTTCAAAAATACTAGGTTGGTGCAAAAGTAATTGCAGTTTTTGCCATTAAAAGTAATGGGATTAAAAAGTAATGGTATTATTTTTGCACCAACCTTAATAGAAAAAAACTTACTTACAAAATAAAGAAAGAAAATATTTTTGTACAGCTGTACAACGTGTTTGTGTTTTAAGCTAAGTATTACCAAAAAGTAAAAATTTTTTTAAAGTTTACAAAGTAACAGTAAGCTAAGGTTACTTTATTATTGAAGAAAAAATATTTTTAATAAACAGAGTATAGCTTAAGTATACAGTGTTTATAAAGTCTTCAGTAGGCCAGGAAGGGTGGCTCACACCTATAATCCCAGCATTTTGGGAGGCCGAGGCAGTTGGATCACAAGAAGTCAGGAGTTCGAGACCAGCTTGGCCAACATGGCAAAACCCCATCTCTACTAAAAATACAAAAATTAGCAGGGTTTGATGGTGCACGCCTGTAGTCCCAGCTACTCAGGAGGCTGAGGCAGAAGAATCGCTTGAACCTGGGAAATAGAGGTTGCAGTGAGCCGAGATGGTGCCACTACACTCCAGCCTAGGCGACAGAGCGAGACCCTGTCTCAAAAAAATAGTCTCCAGTGGTGCACAGTAACGTCCCAGGCCTTCACACTCACTCACCCTCTCTCACCGACTCACCCAGAGCAACTTCCACTCCCGCAAGCTCCGTTCGTGCTAAGTGCCATATCAGGTACGCCACTTTAAAGTCACTGATCCTGTGTTTTCACGGCACCTTCTCTGTGTTTAGATGTGTTGAGACATACAGACATACAGTATTGTGCTGCAGTTGCCTGCAGCGTTCAGTGCTGTCACCTGCTGTGCACATTTGGAGCCCTGGAGCCCAGGAGCCACAGGCCACACCGTACAGCCTGGCCATGGGGTAGGCTCTGCCATCTTAGAGTACACTACTGGATCTGTGGAAGGTCACTTACACGTGACGAAATCGTCCAACAACATGCGTGCAGACAAACAGATATGGTGCTATAACATTATAGCAATATGCATATAATATTCTACGCATGTCTCAGAATGTATCCCCAGGGTTGAGCATTGCTTGACGGTACATATAACACTATTGAGGTAGGAGGTGGGAGTCAACTCCAGACCTGATTGAAGACTAGCTAAAACACAGAAGAGGCACTGAAAGCTCTTCTCCCTAAGACAGGCCCACCAGCGCCGCAACAGTTTAGCATTGCCATGGCAACACCCGAAAGTTACCACCCCTTTTCATGGCAGTGACCTGGAAGTTATCATCCCTTTTCTAGAAATTTCTAAATAACTTGCCCTTTAACTTACGTATATTTGAAAGTGAAGTTTGGGCGTAGTGGCTCACAGCTGTAATCCCAGCACTTTGGGAGGACAAGGAGGGCGGATCACTTGAGGTCAGGAGTTTGGCACCAGCCTGGCCAACATGGTGAAACCCTGTCTCCACTAAAAATACAAAAATTAGCCGGGTGTGGTGGCGGGCACCTGTAATCCCGGCTACTCGGGAGGGTGAGGCAGGAGAATCGCTTGAACCCAGGAGGTGGAGGTTGCAGTGAGCCAAGATAGCACCACTGCACTCCAGCCTGGGTGACAGAGCGAGACTCTGTCTCAAAAAAAAAAAAAGAAAGAAAGAAAGTGGGTGTAGGTATGATTGCAGAACTCCTCCCAAGTTGTTACTCTGGACACACTGCCCGCGGGGTGGCCCTGCCCTGTGGGAACAGCCATGGGGCTGTAACCCCGCCACCTCAGTAAAGCTGCCTCATTCTACCCCACTGCCAGCTTTCCCTTGTAGTCTGTCCTAGGCGAAGCTAAGAACCCTCACCAGCTAAGCCCTACTCTGGGGCTCGCCTGTCCCACATCACTGCTAGATGGTTTGATTTTTGTTGTTGTTGTTTCAGAGATTTTGTGTATATGCTTATTAAAGAGAGTGTCATTAACTTCACTTCTCTTACCACCCTTGTCTATCGGGCACAAGGATTTTCTAATCATCAGAGAATCTGCTCGGGAGCACTCCCTTTGGCTGTCTTTCCTGGAAGACTTTGAATAAGATGGAAATCATCTGTGCCTGGAATGCTTTGCTAGAACTTGCTCACAAAACAAGCTGAGCCTCGTTTTTGTATTGTGAGAAGATTTCTAAAATACTGATTAAATCTTTGTTGTTGTTTATAGTGCGATTCAGGATGTCTCTTCTGAGTCTGTTTTGGGAATTTGTATTTTCCTGGGAATGTGTCCATTTCATCTAATTATCAAATTTATTTGCAAAAAGATGTTCATAATATTCCCTTTTTCTTTTTTTTTTTTTTTCAGATGGAGTCTCACTGTGTCACCCAGGCTGGAGTGCAGTGGTGCAATCTCGGCTCACTGCAACCTCCACCTCCCAGATTCAAGTGATTCTCCTGTCTCAGCCTCTCAAGTAGCTGGGGTTACAGGCAAGTGCCACCAAGCCCAGCTAATTTTTTTTTTTTTTTTTTTTTTGAGACAGAGTCTTGCTCTGTTGCCCAGGCTGGAGTACAGTGGCGGGATCTCGGCTCACTGCAAGCACCACCTCCTGAGTTCATGCCATTCTCCTGCCTCAGCCTCCCGAGTGGCTGGGACTATAGGTGCCTGACACCACGCCCAGCTGATTTTTTATATTTTTAGTAGAGACAGGATTTCACCATATGGGTCAGGCTGGTCTCGAACTCCTGACCTCTGGTGATCTGCCCCCCCCCCCCCCCGCTCAGCCTCCCAAAGTGCTGGGATTACAGGCGTGAGCCACTGCGCCCAGCCCATAATATTCCCTTATTAACTTTTCAGCCTCTACTCTCCTGTGTAGTAATGTTCATTTTCTCTATCCCAATAGTTCTTGTGTTTTCTATTTTTTAAAAAAATTGATTAGTCTTGCTAGAGGTTTAGTTCAGCTATATTAGTTCTTCCAAAAAATCAACTCTATAATTCCTCCCCATTGTATTTTTATTTTCTATTTTATTAATTTCTGGTTGCCTTTATTATCTTCCTTTCATTTTCTTTGGAATTATTTTCCTGTTCTAACTTTTTAAGTTGGGTACTTATTAATTTTTAGGGGATTTTCTTCTAATATATGCGTTTATGACTACAAAGTACTTATCACCATATGGTGTTACAATTCATGATCATTTTTGGTATTTTCACTATTTAGTCTTAAGTATTTCTGAATTTCCATTATGAGACTTTTTTACCCGTGGGTAATTAGAAATATGTTTTTAAATTTCTAGATTTATTAAGATTTTTAGGCTTTAGGTTTCTTTCATTGTTATTGACTTCTAAACTACTTGGCGTTGTGCTCAGAGAATGCTGTTACTATGGTACCAGTCCTTCCAGGTCTATTTAGGTTTGATTGATGGCTGAATATGTAGTCAGTTCTATAATGTTTCTTGGGCCCTGGAGAAGAAAGCATATTCTCCGGTTATTGTATACAGAATCCTATAAATATCTTGCGGATCAAGTTTGTTACTTTGTCGCTCAGATCTTCTAAATCCTTACTGATTTTTATTTGCTTGTTCTATCAATTACTGAAGGAGGCGTGTTAAAATCTCCCTGTGTGCTGCTGGATTGATCAGTTTCTTCTTGTAGCCATTTCTTGTGTAATTTGCTTTCTTTATAAAATTTAAAGTTACCCTAATAGGTACATACACGTTCAGAATTCTTCTGTAGTTCTCCTGAGTCAGCGCCATATTGTGACCTCTTTATCCCTGGCAATGCTTTTTGCATTTTGATCAGAATATTATTTTCCTGGCTGGGCACAGTGGCTCACGCCTGTAATCCCAGCACTTTGGGAGGCCGAGGTGGGTGGATCACCTGATGAGGTTGGGAGTTCGAGACCAGCCTGACCAACGTGGAGAAACCCCGTCTCTACTAAAAATACAAAATTAGCCGGGCTTGGTGGTGCATGCCGGTAATCCTAGTGACTCGGGAGGCTGAGGCAGGAGAATCACTTGAACCCGGGGGTGGAGGTTGCAGTGAGCCGAGATTGTGCCACTGCACTCCAGACTAGGCAACAAGAGCAAACTCCGTCTCCAAAAAAAAAAAAAAAACAAAAACAAAAAGAATATTTTTCATTCTTTTTTCAACCAATCCCTGTACTGTATTTTTTCATTCACCCAATCCCTGTACTGTATTTTTCAACCAATCCCTGTACTGTGTTTTTCAACCAATCCTGTACTGTATTTCAGTCTCACACAAAAAAAAGAATATTTTCATTCTTTTTTCAACCAATCCCTGTACTGTATTTTTTCATTCAACCAATCCCTGTACTGTATTTTTTCAACCAATCCCTGTACTGTATTTTTTCATTCAACCAATCCCTGTACTGTATTTTTCAACCAATCCCTGTACTGTGTTTTTCAACCAATCCTGTACTGTATTTCAGTCTCCAAAAAAAAAAGAATATTTTTCATTCTTTTTTCAACCAATCCCTGTACCATATTTTTTCATTCAACCAATCTCTGTACTGTATTTTTTCATTCAACCAATCCCTGTACTGTATTTTTTCGTTCTTTTTTCAACCAATCCCTGTACTAACATTTTAGGAGTGTCTTTTTTGTTTTTTATTTTTATTATTTATTATTTTATTTTTATTTTTTTGAGACAGAGTCTTGCTCTGTCACCCAGGCTAGAGGGCAGTGGTGCAGTCGCGGCTCACTGCAACCTCCACCTCTCAGGTTCAAGCAATTCTCCTGCCTCAGCCTCCTGAGTAGCTGGGACTACAGGCACCTGCCACTACACCCAACTAATATTTTGTATTTTTAGTAGAGATGGGGTTTCACCATGTTGGCCAGGCTGGTCTCGAACTCCTGACCTCAGGTGATCCACCTGCCTCGGCTGGGATTATAGGCATGAGCCACCACGCCTGGCCGTGGGCATACAATTTTAGAGCTTTTCTTTAACAGTTTTTTTCTGTCTAAACTTGGAAGATAGTTGTTCCTGTTCCTTTTTTGCTTCTTTTATGTGTGATAGGAAGTCGTAGGTGGTCTGTTTGTTGTAGTGTATGGGTGACCTGTATGTTCTCTGGTGCAGCTTTTAAGCCCTGTGTGTCATGTTCTGCAGTTCCACTATGAGGCACCTCTGAATGGATTTCTACTCTTCCTGCTTGGATTCATCTGGGTTTCCTTATCTGAAAGACTATGTCTTTCATTCATTCTAGGAAATCCTTTGCCATTATCCCTCCTGACAGTGCTTCTCTCCTATTCTGTGCAGAATTTCTTTCTGCAGCACCAATTAGCCCTGTGCCGGACCTTCTCCCCTGACCTTCTGTGTCTCAGAGCCTGTCTTTTCACCTCTGATTTTCTTGGTGCTACATTCCCTGTAATATCAACTTCCAGTCTACTAATTCTCCCTTCAGCTGTGTCAGTCTGTGTTCAGCCCTTGTGCTGCAGTCTGTGGATTTTCCGCAGGTCTACCTTCTAGTCTGCCAATTTTTTCTTTTTCTTTTTCTTTTTCTTTTTTTTTTTTTTTTTTTTTTCGAGACAGAGTCTCACTCTGTTGCCCAGGCTGGAGTGCAGTGGCTCAATCTCAGCTCAATCTCAACCTCCATCTCCCGGGTTCAAGTGATTCTCCTGCCTCAACCTTCGAAGTAGCTGGGATTACAGATATGTGCCACCATGTCTGGCTAATTTTTATATTTTTAGTAGTGACAACGTTTTGCCATGTTGGCCAGGCTGATCTCTACCTCCTGATCTCAGGTGATCCACCTGCCTCGACTTCCCAAAGTGCTGGGATTACAGGTGTGAGCCACTGTACCCGGCCCCAATTTTCTAATTCTCTGTTTAGCTGTATTTATCTGCTGTCTAATCTTCCCAGTGATTTAAGATTTATTCATGACTATATTTGTTTTACTTTGTTTCTTTCCTAGTTTTTAAATTCTCTTACTATGTTTTCATTTCCCTATTTCAGGTCTTTAAAAATATTAAACGTTGTGTTTTATATGCTGTTTTCATTAAGACCAATATCCCAGGTCTTTCTGGGCCAAGTTCTATTTGTTATTTGGGCTGATCTTTTACATGGTGTCTTGCTTTCTGGTAGTTTTTTTATTAAAATCATATTATTGTACATATTATATGTAAATATATATTTGAACTTGACCTTGGACATTCTCTAAGGCCTGGGTTGAGGCATATTCCTCCAGAGGAAAATGTGTTTGTTTTGGGCAGGTTCCTGAGGCACTACAAATCCACATTAAATTACAATTCTCAGTTGGGCACGGTGGCTCACGCCTGTAATCCCAACATTTTGGGAGGCCGAGGCAGGCAGATCACCTGAGGTCAGGAGTTCAAGACCAGCCCGGCCAACATGGTGAAACCCCATCTCTACTAAAAATATAAAAATTAGCTGGGTATGGCGGCGGGCACCTGTAATCCCAGCTACTCAGGAGGCTGAGGCAGGAGAATTGCTTGAACCTGGGAGGCAGAGGTTGCAGTGAGCCAAGATTGCACCACTGCACTCCAGCCGGGGTGATAAAGCGAGACTCCATCTCCAAAAAATAAATAAATAAAATTAATTACAATTCTCACCTTGTCATTTTGGGGTCATGCAAAGAGCAGAAGATTTAGGAGCCAAGCCCGTGGCAGGGCTGGTCAGTGCTGCACATTCTCTCGGGATTTAAGAAATAAACTTGCCTGGTACTAAGGTTAAGACAGTTTCCCTGCCGACTAAGGCTCAGGATGTTTCCTAGTTCGCCTTTTCCTGAAGGGGGCAGCCATTCCAGAATGCTGGCTTCAGGCTGGGTGCTCTCTGACCCCTTCCCAGTGTGGTCCCCAGGCTTGGTGCCCCGTCCCTCTTAGGACAGAGTCGCCGTGTCAGAGCCACCTTCGCTCCCCGAGTATCTGCTGGCTTCAGCCCCTCTCCTGCCTCTTGGACTCTGGCTGTCATTTTGTCCATGGACTCCCAGAATTTCTTTTGGTTGCTTGCAGGTTCATTCTGGCAATGTAATTTAGGTGTTTTGCAGGGAGTAATTGCAGGGTCTCTAGTCCAGAGCTCTCAACCTTAGCTTATATCCGAGTCCTTGTTAGCAGAGCTTGTTAGCAGAGGTTCCCAGCACCCCCTCCAGAGTTTTGGACCAAGACAGGCTGGGGCAGGCCTGAGAATCTGCATGTCTCAGGAGCTCTCGGGTGATGCTGGTACTGCCGGTGCATGGGCCACACGTTGGGGGCATCTGCCCCTTTTTCCTCTACAGCACCTGGCGGGCACAGGCGCTCTCATCAGGCACGGAGGAGCGCCACATTGGGGGTGTTCAATTAATCTGGTGTATCTGCCTCGAAAGCCACCTTCACAGTGACTCAGATTTTAGCATGTGTGAGCATCACCTGGACAGCTTCTTAAAACACACAGTGGCCGGGCGCGGTGGCTCGCATCTATAATCCCAGCACGTTGGGAGGCCAAGGTGGGCGGATCATTTGAGGTCACGAGTTCGAGACCAGCCTTGCCAAAATAGTGAAACCCCGTCTCTACTGAAAATAGAAAAATTCACTGGATGAGATGGCTCATGCCTGTAATCCCAGCCACTTGGGAGGCTGAGGCAGGAGAATTGCTTGAACCCAGGAGGCGGAGTTTGCAGCAAGTGGAGTTTGTATCACTGCACTCCAGCCTGGGTGACTCTGTCTCAAAAAATAAAATAAAATAAAAACACATAGCGTACTTGCCATCAGACTGTTAATATTAGTTACAAAGAATCAACTTAGAGTTTCTACGTGTCACTAATAAACTATTATTCACATAAATTCTGTTTTTATGTATTGCTTCCTCCTGCTTTCTTGACATGTGTCTTGATGTCTTTAACCCACTAGCTTCATTTCTGCTTGTTAAATAATGAAAACATTTAATCCTATGTATTTTTTTTTCATAGTCTTAGCTGGATCTAAGTTTAAACAGCGATTATTTTCTCCATCGTTACAGAGTTTAAGTGCAGTTTTTATTTCCTCTTTGACCCAAGACTCATTTAGCAGAATGCTTTACACGTGCAACTGAATCATAAAATGCTTCTTAATTTCAAGTTATAATGCATTGCTGTTTGAGAAAATGCTCCACTCAATTTTTTTTTTTTGCATCTCAATGTATTGTCAGTCTTTCTGTCACATAGACACTCAAAAGTTATATTCTCTGCTTGAATAAAAAATAATTTGAACATATATTTATCTCTTAAGTATATCTCTTTTACAACATTTAGATTTTCTCCGATTTTTCCCTCCTTGAGCGAGCCTTATGATTCTCCAGAATCCTGCCTGGAGAGTTCACAGACCATGACACAGGGAGGGGGACCCCGGCTGAGCTGCTGGACTCACAGAGCTGAGGAAATGGAGCTGAGGGTCCAGGGAGATAAGGACGGATGGAGAGAACAAAGCAGAATCCTGGGGAGGAGGGAGCTGCAGAGAGAGCTGGAGCTTTGTAGAGGCTCCTCCTCACCCACTCCGGAAAGCGATTCGTGGACTTTAATGCACCTAACAGCAGAGTTTCAAAATACACTAAGCTGGCCGGGCGTGGTGGCTCACGCCTGTCATCCCAGCACTTTGGGAGGCCAAGGTGGGTGGACCACCTGAGGTCAGGAGTTTGAGACCAGCCAGGCCAACATGGCAAAACCCTGTCTCTACTAAAAATACAAAAAATTAGCCGAGCATCGTGGTGCTTGTCTATAGTCCCAGCTACTCAGGAGGCTGAGGCATGATATATCCTTGTACCCAGGAGGTGGAGGTTGCAGTGAGCCAAGATTGAGTCACTGCACGCCAGCCTGGGTGACAGCGAGACTCTGTCTCAAAAAGCAAAAACAAAACAAAATCCCCCCAAAAAAATACACGAAGCAAAACCCAACAGAATGGTAAAGAGACGTAGAGAAATCGATGACAGTGATTTCAACACTGCCCTCTCAATGACCAATCAGACAGGCACACAGAAAACCACTAAGAGCTCACAAGATCGGGACATCACCACTGGCCACCTCGATGGACTTGATATTTACAGAATGTTCAACCCAGCAACAGGAGAATGAGTTCTTTTAAGTTGCACGTGGAATATTCACGAAGGTAGACCCTATTTAGGGCCATAAACAAGTCTCAATAAACTTGAAAAGATTCAAATCATACAAAGTGTGTTCTCTCACCTCAATCGAATTAAGTTAAAACCAGTAACAGAGGCTGGGCATGGTGGCTCACGCCTGTAATCCCAGCACTTTGGGAGGCCAAGGCGGGTGGATCACCTGAGGTCAGGAGTTCGAGACCAGCCTGATCAACATGGTGAAACCCTGTCTCTACTAAAAGTACAAAAATCAGCTGGGCATGGTGGCAGGCACCTGTAATCCCAGCTACTCAGGAGGCTGAGGCACGAGAATCACTTCAACCCGGGAGGCGGAGGTTGCGGTGAGCCAAGATTGCGTCACTGCCCTCCAGCCTGGGTGACAAGAGCAAAACTCCATCTCAAAAACAAACAAGCAGTAACAAAGATTTCTAGAGAATACCCAAATATTTGGGGACAAAAATAAACACTTCTAAGCAATCCACAGGTCAAAGAAGAAATCAAAAAGGGAAATTAGTAAGGAGTTTGAAGTGAATGATGATAGAAACACAACATAGCAGAATTTTTGAAATGCTGCCAAAGTGGTACACAGGAGGGAATTTAGAACACTGAATACTGGCCGAGCGCAGTGGCTCACACCTATAATCACAGCACTTTGGGAGGCCAAGGTGGGGGGATCACTTGAGGCCAGGAGTTCGAGACTGGCCTGGGCAACATAGTGAGGCCCTGTTTCTACAAAAAACAACCAAAAAAAAAAAACTCCCCAAAAAATGAGCTGGGCGTGGTAGTGCACACCTGTAGTCCAAGCTACTCACAAGGCTGAGATGGGAGGATCACCTTAGCTTGGGGAGTTTGAAGCTGCAGTGACCTGTGACTGTGTCCCTGCAATCCAGCCTGGGTGACAGAGTGAGACCCTGTCTCAAAAACAAAAAATGCTAATGAGATGGAATAAGCAAATTAATATAAATAAGTGATGAATATAGAAAAGGAAAGAAGTAAAAATGGAACATAGAACGTTTCAGACAAGGCCAGACAAGGTGGCTCACACCTGTAATCCCAGCACTTTGTGAGGCCGAGGCGTGCAGATCACTTGAGGTCAGGAGTTTGAGACCAGCCTGGCCAACATGGTGAAACCCCATCTCTACTAAAAATACAAAAATTAGCTGGACATGGTGGCACGTGCCTGTAATTCCAGCTACTCGGGAGGCTGAGACAGGAGAATCGCTTGAACCCGGGAGGCAGAGGTTGCAGTGAGCCGAGATCACGCCACTGCACTCTAGCCTGGGTGACAGAGCAAGACTCTGTCTCAAAAAAAAAAAAAGTATCAGACAAATATAAAATATATAAATACATAATGTGATGTATTTAAACTTATCTATAGTAATTATATTAAATATAAACTGACTAAACACTTCAAATAGAAGGTAAAAATTGGATGAAAAAGACTGAAGTATAAGCTATTTAAAAGAAACATTTAAATATACACTGAACTCAAAACTTTAGAAAAGGAATAGCAAATTTCATTGATTTTTGAAATCATCATTTTTTTTTTTTTAAGATGGCGTTTCATTCTTGTTGCCCAGGCTGGAGTGCAATGGCACGATCTTGGCTCACTGCAACCTCTGCCTCCCAGGTTCAAGCAATCCTCCTGCCTCAGCCTCCCAAGCAGCTGGAATTACAGGTGCATGCCACCACCATGCCCAGCTAATTTTGTATTTTTAGTAGAGATGGGGTTTCTCCATGTTGGTCAGGCTGGTCTCGAACTCCTGACCTCGGGTGATCCATCCGCCTCAGCCTCCCAAAGTGCTGGGATTACAGGCATGAGCCACTGTGCCTGGCTGAAATAATCATTTTTTTCTATCTAAAAATGATTGCAAAAATCAATGACATAAAAGGAACATATACAAGAGAAATTTAATAAAACCAAAAGATGCTTCTTTTAAAAATATTAATAAAATTAACAAATCTCTGGAAAAACTGATCATAGAGAAGAGAAAGATAAACAATGTGCTGACATCAGAAATGAAAAAAGACATCAGATCTTAAAATCAGTAAAAGGATCATTAGAAATTATTATGGGCCAGGCATGGTGGTGGCTCCCACCTGTAATCCAGCCCTTTGGGAGGCCAAGGCAGGAGGATTACTTGAACCTAGGAGTTTGAGACCAGCCTGGGCAACATAGTGAGGCCTTGTCTTTACAAAATTAAAAATTACCCAAGTCTGATGTCATGTGCCTGTCGTCCCAGCTACTTGGGAGGCTGAGGCAGAGGCTTGCCTGAGCCCAGGAGGTCAAGGCTGCAGTGAGCTATGATCCTGCCATGTCACTGTACTCCAGGCTGGGAGACAGAGTGAGACCTTGTCTCAAAAAAATTATGAACAACCTTATGCCATTGCAGTAGACAATTTAGAGAAAACAAAAATTTACTTGAAAAACACATCTTATTGAAACTGACACAAAAAGAAATAGAAAATCTGAATAGACATATATTTGTTAAGGAAACTGAATATAAATTTAAAACCGGCCGGGTGCAGTGGCTCACGCCTATAATCCCAGCACTTTGGGAGGCCGAGACAGGCAGATCATGAGGGCAGGAGATGGAGACCATCCTGGCTAATACGGTGAAACCCCGTCTCTACTAAAAATACAAAAAATTAGCCAGGCGTGGTGGTAGGTGCCTGTAGTCCCAGCTACTCAGGAGGCTGAGGCAGGAGAATGGCATGAACCTGGGAGGCAAAGCTTGCAGTGAACCGAGATCATGCCACTGCACTCCAGCCTGGGCGACAGAGCGAGACTCTGTCTCAAAAAAAAAAAAAAATTTAAAACCTCCCCCATAAGAGAACACCAATCTCAGATGGCCTCACTAATTTTTCCACTTAAGAAACAAATAATACCAATGTCATGTGAATTCTAGGGAATAGAAAATGTGGAAATACTTCCTAACTCATGTTATAAGGCTAACATACATTTGATAGTAAAACATGGCAAGGGCATTATAAGAAAAAAATTACAAGCAAATTTCTCACAACTATAAATGCAAACATTATCTTAAAATTAACAGATTGGTAGCATAAGGGATCCTTATGGTATAAATATAAATACCCTCTACTTCTAGGGGGTGATCAGGAAACCATGGGCTGAGATTATTACAGGATTCTTTTTTTATTATTTTTTAATAGACACAGGGTCTTGCTACATCGCCCAGGCTGGAGTGCAGTGACATGATCATGATTCACTGCAGCCTCAAACTCCTGGGTGCAAGCGATCCCCCCAAGAGGATTCTTGTAGTTGGTGGAGGAGCAGGATCACCGGGAAAGCCTCACCCTGAATTTTAGGATCTGCCCCCTTTTCTAGGTTACCAAGGACCAAGTAACCATCAACAGTCTATCACTGAGAGACAATTGCATAGAGACAAGTTCTTTTTTTTTTTTTTATTTTGAGATGGAGTCTCACTCTGTCCCCCAGGCTGGAGTGCAGTGGCACGATCTCGGCTCACTGCAAGCTCTGCCTCCTGGGTTCATGCCATTCTCCCACCTCAGCCTCCCAAGTAGCTGAGACTACAGGAGCCCGTCACCATGCCTGGCTAATTTTTTGTATTTTTAGTAGAGATGGGGTTTCACCATGTTAGCCAGATGGTCTCGATTTCCTCACCTCGTGATCCACCCATCTCGGCCTCCCAAAGTGCTGGGATTACAGATGTGAGCCACCGCACCCGGGCGCATAGAGACCAGTTCTAAGGAACAGTCACACAGGAAAGTCTGAAAGCTGACTGTAGGGCAGGAACATGGAGAAAACCTCTATAACACAATCCCCACACTAGATCAAAAGGTAACGTTAGAGGAATTTCAAGCCAGTGTTAATCACAACAATAACAAAACCCAGGTCCAGCTGAACTTCTGACTAGAATAACTCAATTCTCTATACTAATGATCTGGCAGCAAAAGAGGTATGCACATTTTCAGTCATTACTACCATCTACCCTTGTCTCTACTAAATACTCAGCATTACTACCATCTACCCAAGTCTCTACTAAGTATTCAGCATTCAACCAAAAATTACAAGATACACAAAGAAAGCAAGGAAATAAAACGATCTACTATGAAGAGACAAAACAATCATTGAAACTAGGTTTACAGATGATGCAGATGTTGAAACTACCAGACAGGAAAATTGAAACTATTAAAAGCATAACCATGATTTGTATGCTATTAGCTATGAGAGAGAAGGTAGAAAGTATGTGAACAAATGAAGAATTTCAGCAGAACAATGGAAAGTATAAGTCAAATGGAAATTCTAAAAGCAAAACAAAAACAACCAATAACACAGATGAGGAATATCTTCAAAGGGTTCCTTAGCAGATTAGACACTGGCAAGGAAAGAATTATTGAACTTGAAGACAGATCAATAACAGATGCCCAAGTGAAAGCATACAGATAAAAAAAAGTGAAAATAAAAACAATAACAGAACAGAGTATCTAAGAGCTGTGAGACTCTAAAGGAACATACTACATGCAGTTGGAAACCTAAAACAAAAGAGAACAGGACAGAAGAAACAGTTGAAGAAATAAAGGCTAAAAATTTTTCAAAAATAAGAGATATCAAACAATGGATTCAAAAGGTTTGAGAACCCCCCAAAAGATAAATAAAAAAGGGACACCTGAATACAACATATGAAAATTGCTGGAAACAAAAGGTAAAGAGGAAATCTTGATGTCAACCAAAGTATAGAAAGTACATTACGTAGAGAGGATCAAAGGTAAACATTGCAGCAGATTTGTTGTTTGAAACTATATCAACAAGATAATGGAATGATATCTTTACATAAGCTAGAGAAAAAAACTCAAACCAGAATTCTATACTCAGAAAAAATATATTTTAGAAATCAAGACAAAATGACTTTTTGCAGACAAACAAAAGCTGAGGGAATTCATTAGTAGCAGATCTATCTGCATTACAAGAAAAGTTAAAGTTCTTTGGAGAAAAGGGATTATGGTGTCAGACATAAGTTTGGATCTACTCAAATCTTTGGAAATGATTAAAATAAATATAGTTAAGACTCCTTATATTTAATCACTGTAAAAGGAAATTGACTTTCTAAAGCAAATACAGTAGCAATGTATTACAGGTTTATAGCATATGTCAAAGTAACATTAAAGAAAAAGCACAAAAGATGAGAAGGAAGAACTGGAACTATACTTTTGAGCAACCATTAAAAATTTTTGAAAAAGAGTTACAGACAAAAGTGGAGACAAAATGGAAAAGGAAACACCAAATTTATCCAAAATTAGGCAGAAAAAGTAGAAAACGGAAAAATGGAACAAAACAAGAACAAAATGGTAAACTTTAATGAACCATGTCAATAATTGTATTACATGTAAATGGTCTAAACATGCTAATTAAAAGACAGAGATTGTCAGACTGCATGAAATACTAAGAACCAATTATTTGTTGTTTACAAGAGATCAAATTAAGTATAAATACATAAACATTAAAATCAAAAGGATGAAAAATATATACTATGGGTTCTATAATACTAAGCAATGTATTCTCAGCTCCTAATTCACCTTCAATGCCTGATCTTTGAAATTGGTTATTTTTCCTTTACAGTTGGCAAAACATTCATCAGTAGAGGGCACTGGAGAGACATGGCAGGAAGAGGGGTCTTGATTCTTGTGGCTTATTCACCATTATCCTGAAGAGCACTGTTTTCCCCCTGACTGCTTCTGGTTTTCTGTGGTGCTAGATGCCACAGGATTCAACTTTCTCCAGAGTATGGCTCCATGTGTTTTTTCCATATCTCAACCTGTGCAGATCTCAACCTGTTCCCACCTGGTATAGGTAGGAATCTGAGACAGTCTGGTCACAGCTTCTTGCCAAGTCCTCATCTCCAGGAGCATGCACAATGGGGATGCCATGGGGGTGGTCATCTATTGAGCTGGCCATTCAAATTTCATCCACACAGACACCCAGAGCTGCCTCAGCTCTCCACATCCTCTTCTCAGCCCCAAACACATGCATGTTGGGGTCCTGGCAGGGCTGGCTCACTGGGTGGCCAGTCCCTCAACCTGCATCCCCGACATTGGCCCAGAGTGATGCTGGTCCGAGCCATACACAGAGGTGTGCTAGGTTACACACATGAGGAAGCCTCTCTGCATGAAGAAGCCTCTCTAGCTCCCAGTTCCAGCAGAGCCTGCATAGAAACTTGTCCCACCACCCTTACACCTGACTCCTTTGGCCTGCCTCCATCATCCACAGCTTACCTGTATTTTCTTCAGCCCTCCAAATGCAGACATCATGAGTTCTAGGACTCTTTCCGACAGTGTCACTGAATACTTCTTTATGCCTGACATCCTCTGCACACCTGTTTGCTAGTGTTAGCTCACATGCTCCCCAGAGGGCTGTTCCTGCTTTCCCAGTGACCATGGACCAGCTCTTGCTCAGGCAACCCAGAAAACATCTCCACCTTCCAGTAGCTGCAACCACACCCTTTTCAATGAGGCCTGAATCTCCCCGCTGCCCCCAGTCTGTCTTTGCTCTCCTCAATGAAGAGTGTCCTTAGAGTTCTCTTTCCATTTTTATACTCTTCTATCCTAGCTTGATAATTTCTAAATATTAAACCTCTCCTGTTTAAATTGCTGTGTGATTTCTGTCTGATGATTGGATCCAGATTGGAACTTGAAAATTAAGAGCAAATTAAACCCAAGGCAAGCAGCAGGAAGGAAAAAATATTTTTTAAGAGGGCAGAAACAAGTGAAATTGAAGAGAAAAATAGACAAAAATGAATGAAACCAAAACATGGTTCTTTGAAAAGATCAATAAAATTAATATGTCTTTAGCCAGACTGAAGGAGGAGGAGGAGGAGGAAGAGGAATAAATTATTATCATAAATGAAGGGGGGAGCATCATTACAATCCCTACAGACTGCTAAGGGATGATGACAAACAACTTTTCGCTCATAAATTCTACAACTTAGAAGAATATATTTCTTGAAAGGAATATATCCCTTTCCTACAAACTACCAAAGCTCACTCAAAAAATAAAAATGAAAAATAAATGGTCCTATATCTATTAAAGAAATTAATACTTGCAAACATTGTAAAAATAAAACTCTGGGCCCAGATGGTTTCACTGACGAATTTTACCACATATTTAAGGAAGAAGTAACGCTAGTTCTACACAATCTCTTTCAGCAGTAGAAGGAAGACTTCACATTTGTTTATGAGGTCAGCATTACCCTGATACCAAAATCAGACAGACATTACAAGAAAAGAAAACATCAGAACAAAAGCTTTTTAACATAGACCCCTTCAAAATTCTTTTTTTTTTTTGAGATGGAGTTTGCTCTTTTTGCCTAGGCTGGAGTATAGTGACATGATCTCGGCTCACTGCAACCTCTGCCTCCTGGGTTCAAGTGATTCTCATGCCTCAGCCTCCCAAGTAGCTGGGATTACAGGTGTGCACCACCAGGCCTGGCTAATTTTTGTATTTTTAGTAGAGGTTGGGGTTTTACCATGTGGTCCAGGCTGGTCTTGGACTCCTGACCTCAGGTGATCCACCTACCTCGGCCTCCCAAAGTGCTAGGATTACAGGTGTGAGCCACTGTGCCTGGCCGCAAAATCCTTTTTTAAAAAGGACAATATATAACAACTAAGTGGGGTTTACTTCAGGAATGAAAGGTTGTTTCCACGTTTAACAGTTAATGTAATTCAATTTCTTGATAACGTAGAAACATATGATTACCTCAATAGATGCCAAAAATACACTGAAATAGCGCAACTTTTCAAATTAAAACTTTCTGACAATTACAAATAAAACAGAACTTAAGTTGACCAAATATACCAAAATAACTTATAGATAACATCATATCAATAGTGAAATATTGAATGTTTGCTCCCTTTGTAAACAAAATAACACTATCACCACTTTGGCATGACATTATGCAGTAGATTCTAGCCAATGCAATGAGGCAGGACAAATTTAAAATGGTGATAAAAAATGGATCTGCAGAAGTAAACCGTCTTTATTTGTAGGCACCATGATTGTGAGCCTAGTAAATCTAATAAAAAATCCACAAGCTATTAGCCGGGCGTGGTGGTGCATGCCTGTAATTCCAGCTACTCAGGAGGCTGAGGCAGGAGAATCGCTTGAACCCAGGAGGTGGAGGTTGTGGTGAGCCAAGATCGCACCATTGCACTCCAGCCTGGGTGACGAGGGAAACTCTGTCTCAAAAAAAGAAAAAGAAAAATCCACAAGCTATTAAATTAATTTAGCGAAATTCACCGGATACAATATACTAAAACTAATATACAAACATCAATTGTATTCCTAGAGTTTCAAAAAATTAGAAAATTAATGAATTTTTACAACACTGTGGAAAAAGAATCAAATACCTGGGGATCTAATGAAAAATATGTAAGGTCTCTATACTAAAAACAATAAAATGTGGCTGAGAAATTAAAAACTGCTATGTAAATGAAGAGATATACTGTGTTCATTAATCGACTCAGTATTAAGATGTCAGTTCCCCTCAAATTGATCTGTAGATTCAGTGCAATGTCAAAATCCTCACGAGTTTTATTGTGAAAACTTAGAAATGAACCACCACATCCATAGCCCTCTGACTTATGACAAAGGCACCAGTGTAATTCAGAGAGGAAGGGATGGGCTTTTCAATGAATCGTTTTAGAGTAACTGGATATTCATAAGGGGAAAAGTGAACCTTGACCTCACACCATAAGTAAAATTAATTTGAGATTAATCATACATCTAAACATAAAAGCTAAACCATAAAGCTTCTACAATAAAATATAGAAGACTATCTTGATCACCTTGGGCTAAACAAAGATGTCTTAAATAATATACAGAAAACATTAACCATTAAAAAATGCCAACTTAGGGGCTGGGCACAGTGGCTCACACCTGTAATCCCAGCACTTTGGGAGGCTGAGGCAGGTGGATCACCTGAGGTCAGGAGTTTGAGACCAGCCTGACCAACATGGTGAAACCCCATCCCTACTACAAAAATAAAATTAGCTGGGCATGGTGGTACACACCTGTAATCCCAGCTACTCGGGAGGCTGAGGCATGAAAATTGCTTGAACCCGGAAGGCAGAGGTTGCAGTGAGCCAAGATCATGCCACTGCACTCCAGCCTGGGCGACAAAGCGAGACTCCATCTCAAAAAAAAAAAAAAAAAAAAGGCTGGGCATGGTGGCGCACACCTGTAATCCCAGCAATTTGGGAGGCCAAGGTGGGAGGATCACTTGAGTCCAGGAATTTGAGGTCAACATAGTGAGACCCTGTCTCTGCTAAAAATACAAAAATCAGCTGGGCGTGGTGGTGGTACATACCTGTCGTCTCAGCTGGTCGGGAGGCTGAGGTGGGAGGATTGCTTGAGCCCAGGAATTCAAGGCTGCAGTGAGCTATGACTATGCCACTGTACATCAACCTGGGTGACAGTGAGACCCTGTCTCAAAAATAAACCCATGGTAAGATACCACCACACACCCATCAGAATGGCTAAAATGAAAAAGGTGAAACATACCAAGGGCTCTGAGGACATGGAGGACCGGCATTCCCAAACACTGCTTATGAGAGTGACGCCAGTCACTAGAAATCTGTTTGGCAGTGTCTGCTAAAGCCGATGTGATGGCCAGGCATGGTGGCTCACGCCTGTAATCCCAGCACTTTGGGAGGCCGAGGTGGGTGGATCACCTGAGGTCAGGAGTTCGAGACCAGCCTGGCCAACATGGTGAAACCCCATCTCCACTAAAAATACAAAAATTAGCCGGGCGTGGTGGTGGGCGCCTGTAATCCCAGCTACTTGGGAGGCTGAGGCAGGAGAATCACTTGAACCGGGAGGCAGAGGTTGTAGTGGGGTGGGATCATGCCACTGCACTCCAGCCTGGGTGACAGAGCGAGATTCTGTCTCAAAAAAATAAATGAAGCTGAGGTGGATGTCCTTTGACCCAGTGGTTCCATTCCTGGGTCCGTATCCCACAGAAATGCACACCTGTGTTCCCCAGAAGACGTGAACAAGAATGCTCACAGTGACCCATTCTTGATGCCCAAAGTAGAAATCTACCCATCAGCAGCAGAATGGATAAACTATGAAATCATCATGCAGTGGAATCTACGCAGTAACGACGATGAGTGAAAATAACCACCCAGGCCGGGCGCGGTCTCTCATGCCTGGAATCCCAGCACTTTGGGAGGCCGAGGTGGGCAGATCACGAGGTTAGGAGATCGAGACCATCCTGGCTAACATGGTGAAACACTGTCTCTACAAAAAAATACACAAAAATTAGCTTGGTGTGGTGGTGGGCGCCAGTCCCAGCTACTCGGGAGGCTGAGGCAGGAGAATGGTGTGAACCTGGGAGGCGGAGCTTGTAGTGAGCTGAGATCGCGCCACTACACTCCAGCCTGGGCGACACAGCGAGACTCCATCTCAAAAAAGAAAAGAAACTAACCACCCACAGCAATACTGCTGAATGTAATGCATACAGCATTTGGGCAGAAGCCAGACACAAGTGAAGACACGCTGTGCGCAGTTTCATTTCCATGATGTTCACAGCAGGCAAAACGTCTCCCTGGTGGGAGGGGTCGCCCTCGTGGGCACAGGTGGTTCTGTGGGGGCGTCTGATAAAGTTTCCTGTTGGGAGCTGAAAAACGAAGATTCACTGAGCTGCACCCTCATATTTGTGTATCTTTGTTACACTTCAATAAAAATTTACATGTTAAAAACTCAAGGCCGGGTGTGGTGTCTTACGCCTGTAATCCCAGCACTTTGGCAGGCTGAGGTGGGTAGATCACTTGAGGTCAGGAGTTTGAGACCAGCCTGGCTAACATGATGAAACAGCATTTCTACTAAAAATACAAAAAATTAATCAAGCGTGGTGGTGGGCGCCTGTAACCCCAGCTACTTGGGAGGCTGAGGCAGGAGAATTGTTTGAAACCCGGGAGGCAGAGGGTGCAGTGAGCCAAGATTGTGTCATTGCACTCCAGCCTGGGCAACAAGAGCAAAACTCTGTCTCAAAACAAAACAAAACAAAAAAACACTCTTAGGAAAAAAGGAATAGATTGGATTTATTCCAGATTTCTTATCTGGAAGAAGGGATCCAACTATAATTTATAATAGTGAGACACTTGATATATTCTCCTTAAAAACAACAAAAACATTGCAAGAAGCTAGCAGCCCCCTCGCGGCCCCTCCAAGTCACTGCCCACCACCCAGGAGTGACCCTGATCCCCTGTGTGTGGAGCTCAGTAATTAAGAGAGTTTGGCAGGAAGGCTGGGATAGACGTCGTGACTGAGGAAGAAGAACAAAGGCGCAGACGCTGATCCACGCGTGTGTGGAGGCCTGATTTATGACAGCCCGGGCGGTGGAACCAGCTTGGGAAACAGGAGACTGTTTAATAAATGCTGCTGAGACAATTCGTTATTCATGTGGAAAAAATGAAATTGAGTTTCTGTCTCACGTCATAAATAAAAGTCATTTGCAGAAGACAGTGTGGGAGATTATGTTTATGTCCTCACTGTGTTGGGGTTTCTTAAGACGCAAGAGCGCCAACCATAACAGAAAAGATTGATAAATTCAACTACATGAACATTGAGAACTTTGTTTATCAAGAAATGACATAAAGAGGATAAAAACAAGTCACAGGGTGCAAGGAGATCTTTTCCACGCATACAACAGCAAAGGATGGGTATCCAAGTATAAAAAGAATTCCACAAGATCAGTAAGAAAGAGACCAAGCCCACAGAAAAATGAGTAACAGACAGGAACAAACATTTTACAACAGAAGAAACGTGAATGGCAAATACTTCTATAAGAAGATATCTAGCTTCTTTGGTATTCAAGAACAAGTATGTTCAAGTTGCCATTTTGTACCCAGTAGACTGGAAAAACTTGGAAAGTCTGGTAGTACAAAGCATTGGTGACAAGATGTGGCAAGATCTTGCACCTTGGCTGGGCGCAGTGGCTCACACCTGTAATCCCAGCAGTTTGGGAGGCCACAGCTAGAGAATTGCTTGAGGCCAGGAGTTTGAGACCAGCCTGGGCAACACAGTGAGACCCCATCTCTTAAAAAAAACATTAGCCAGATGTGCTGGTATGTGCCTGTCATCCTAGCTACTTGGGAGGCTGAGGCAGGAGAATTGTTTGAGCCCAGGAGTTCAAGGCTGCAGTGAGCTATGATGGTGCCACTGCACTCCAGCCTGGGCGACAGAGCAAGACCCTGTCTCTAAAATTTAAAAAAGAAAAAGATGTTGCATCTTGTTAGTGGAAAGGTAAATTTGTCTCAGCACTTTGGAAAGTAATTTGGCTTTAGCTTGTAAAGCTGAATATTGACAGGTGCAATGCCCCAGAAGTTCTACTCCGAGTTAAATCCTAAATAAACTTTTCTACATGAGCCCAAGGAGACAGGTAGTGGGATGTTCACACCACACTGTTTCTAGTAGCAAAAAATTGGAAACAGACCAAATGTCCATTTGATGGATAAATACATCTTTGTTATATTCATACTATGGAATTTTACACCGTGGTGAAATGAATCAACAACAATCCAAGAATAATATGGATAAATCTTAGAAACAGAACATTGAGTGAGAAAAAGTTCAGTTGCAGGCCAGGCGCAGTGGCTCACGCTTGTAATCCTGGCACTTGGGGAGGCTGAGGTCAGTGGATCACCTGAGGTCAGGAGTTCAAGACCAGCCTGGCTAACATGGTGAAACCCTGTCTCTACTAAAAATACAAAAATTAGCCAGGCGTGATGGTGGGTGCCTGTAACCCCAGCTACTCAGGAGGCTGAGGCAGGAGACTCTCTTGAACCTGGGAGGCAGAGGTTGCAGTGAGCTGAGATCATGCCATTGTACTGCAGCCTGGGCAACAGAGTGAGACTCTGTCTCAAAAAAAAAAAATTATTATTCATGTTTCATTCAGCTTCATAAACAGGCTCACAAAATCATTTTGGCTTGGTTCTGTGTAAACTGTTTAAGGTTCTGTGTCCATTTCCTGCCTCCAAGGGGCACATCTGTCCTGCCCACACCTTTCAGTTTCCTCAAATCCCTGCCTTGTCCCCCACTCTCACGTCACCATGTTTACCTTGCACAGACGGCATCTTTCAGCAGCAGTTTTCTTGGTCACTTAAAGTTTTTCCGATCACTCATCCCTAAACTAGAAACCGGGCTTCAGGAGCCCCTTGGTGGCTTGAACAGAGGAGATGGCCAGTGGCTGGTGTGGGGACAGCCCAGGAGAATGACTTGTTTTGTGACATCCGAGGCCTCTCTGGAGTCCCTGGCTGGGGGTGGAGATGGTGCTCACTCTAGCAGAGAAATTCAGCTTCTGCCTGACTCCAGGTCACACTGGGCCAGCAGCCTGCAAGAGAGACCTGGCTTCACACCCTCTACATGGGACAAACTCTAAGATATACACAAAGAGGAAAGAAACACAAAAAGCAGCCCAACAGTCAGAGACAGGTTTATTTTGGAGGAATAAACCAGAGAGGGGCTTCTGGCCGATTTTTGGTCAGGAGTGCTCTTTTTTTTTTTTTTTTTTGAGATGGAGTCTTGCTCTGTCGACCAGGCTGGAGTGCAGTGGCGTGATCTTGGCTCACTGCAACCTCTGCCTCCCGGGTTCAAGTGATTCTCCTGCCTTACCCTCCCGAGTAGTGGGGACTACAGGCACCCGCCACCACGCCCAGCTAATTTTTTTATTATTAGTAGAGATGGGTTTTCACCATGTTGGCCAGGCTGGTCGCAAACTCCTGACCTCATGATCCGTCCGCCTTGGCCTCCCAAAGTCCTGGGATTATAGGTGTGAGCCACCACACCCAGTCAGGAGCGCTCTCTCTTACAGAGTAAGGGTATATATTGGTTTTAGGGTGAGGGGGCTTATCACAAGTTTGGAATGTTTCTGTGTGGGGCAGAAGTTTTATGGTGGGGTTGGAATGTCTCTGGGAGGAGGGCAGGTTGTCTGTGGGCTGACTTCTTTCCGGCTGGAGGGGGGTTATCTCAGGGCTGGCGTATCTCTGGTTGGGGAGGGGTTTGGAATGTTTCTGGACGGAGATGTTATTTGTGGTTTATGGTCATGCTGACCTTAGCCATTAGGCTGATGCCCTTTGGATGTAGGCGGCTTTTGATCAAAGTGAACTTTAGAATGGTGGTATTTGTCCAAGATGGGAAAACTCCTGCTCTGTCACAAACTGTTACCGGAGAGGGGTCCCGATCCAGACCCCAAGAGGGGGTTCTTGGACCTCACACAGGAATTCAGGACGAGTCCATAGCGTCACATGAAAGCAAGTTTATTAGTGAAGTCAAGAAACAAAAGGGTAACCACTCCATAGGCAGAGCTGCCGGGGCCGCCGGCTGGCTATTTTTATGGTAATTTATTGAACATATGCAAAACAAGGGGTGGATTATTCATGAGCTTTCTAGGAAAGGGGGCGGAGAGTTCTTGGAACTGAGGGTTCCTCTCCTTTTTAGACCATAGAGGGGAACTTCCAGGCGTCCGCATGGCATCTGTAAACTGTGGTGGCGCTGGTGGGAGTGTCTCTTAGCATGCCACTGTATTATAATTAGCACATAATGAGCATCGAGGATGACCAGAGGTCATGTCCGTCGCATCTTGTCAATAATGACCAGAGGTCACGTCCGTCGCCATCTTGGTTTTGGTGGACTTTGGCCAGCTTCTTAGCCACGTCCTGTTTTATCAGCGGGGTCTCTGTGTCCTGTGTCTTGGGACCCCCTGTGTCATTCTGTGACGAGGAACACCCAGCCTCCTGGGCTGCAGCCGCGCAGGTCTCAGCCCCATTTTTCCCAGCCCCTGTTCAAGATGGAGTTGGTCTGGCTGGAAGGCCTCTGACGAAAGCGCCTCCTCGCGTCTCTGTTCCGGGATCTTTCATCTCCAGGGGGCTCCTGCGTATGCGGAAACGCCCTCCCGCCTGTCTCTGCTTGTCTCCTGATCAGTTCACTCGCCTTACAAACCTCCTAAGTCTATGTCCCTAAGTATTTAAACACAATTGCACAATTAATGAATCCCAATTTAAAAAATTAACCAATAACATTTCCCAGGTATTTAAGTATTGATTACAGACTTTAATCAAATACTTCTAAATATTAAAATCACAAGCTAAATGTGCTTAAATCACATAGCTAAACGTGCTATGGACCAAATTGCGCGCTCTCCAAATCCACGGTGCAGCCCCAGCCCACGTGTGACCGTGCTTGGAGATAAGGCTTTAAGGACGTGATTAAGGTTGAATGAAGTCCTAAGCGTGGGGCCCTGATCTGATAGGACTGTGGCCTTATAAGAAGAGAGCTCTTTCCTCTCTCCTCCTCTTTCCCTCTCCCCCTTCCTTCCCTCCCAGCCATGGGAAAAGACACCACTCACAAGCCACAAAGAGGCCTCCCCAGGAACTGAACTAGCCCGCACCTTGATCTTTGCCTTCCAGCCTCCAGGACGGAGAGAAATGGATTTCTGTTGTTTGTAAGCAGCCTGGTCTATGAGATGTTGTTGCGGCAGCCTGGGGGGACGCACACACTACAAGTTATTCCCAGGACTTAAAAGCATAGTGCCAGCTGGGCGTGGTGGCTCACACCTGTAATCCCAGCACTTTGGGAGGCCAAGGCGGGCAGATCACGAGGTCAGGAGTTCAAGACCAGCCTGGCCAACATGGTGAAACCCCGTCTCTACTAAAAATACAAAAATCAGCTGGGTGTGGTGGTGTGCGCCTGTAGTCCTGGCTACTTGGGAGGCTGAGGCAGGAGAATTGCTTGAACCTGGGAGGTGGAGGTTGCAGTGAGTAGAGATTGCACCACTGCACTCCAGACTGCGTGACAGAGCGAGACTCCGTCTTGGGGGAAAAAAGAAAAAAAAAAAAAAACCCAGTGTCAGAGGGTGGGAGGGTTTTGGGGTATGATGGAGTGGTGGGTTCACGACTGCATGTTTTTCTTTTCTTTTCTTTTCTTTTTTGAGATGGAGTTTTTTTGCTCTTGTCGCCCAGGCTGGGGTGCAGTGGCGTGATCTCGGCTCACCGCAACCTCCACCTCCCGGGTTCAAGCGATTCTCCTGCCTCAGCCTCCCGAGTAGCTGGGATTACAGGCTCGCGCCTCCACATCTGGCTAATTTTTGTATTTTTAGTAGAGATGGGGTTTCACCATGTTGGTCAGGCTGGTCTTGAACTCCTGACCTCAGGTGATCTGCCCGCCTCGGCCTCCCAAAGTGCTGGGATTACAGGTGTGAGCCACTGCACCTGGCCATGTTTCTTTTCTTGAGACAGAGTCTTGCTCTGTCGCCCAGGCTGGAGTGCAATGGTGCGATCTTGGCTCACTGCAACCTCCATCTTCTGGGTTCAAAAAATTCTCCTGCCTCAGCCTCCCAAGTAGCTGGGATAGCAGTCATGTGCCACCTCACCCAGCTAATTTATTTATTTTTCATTAATTAATTTTTTTTTTTGAGACAGTCTCATTCCATCAGCCAGGCTGGAGTGCAGTGGCGTGATCTCGGCTCACTGCAAATTTTGTCTCCCAGGTTCAAGCAATTCTTGTGCCTTAGCCTCCCAAGCAGCTGGAATTACAGACATGTGCCACCACACCTGGCTAAGTTTTGTATTTTTAGTAGAGACAGGGTTTCACCGTGTTGGCCAGGCTGGTCTCGAACTCCTGACCTCAAGTGATCCACCCGCCTTGGCCTCCTGAAGTGCTGGGATGACAGGCATGAACCACCGTGCCTGGCCAGTGCTTTTTCTTTAAACTACAAACTCCGTCTCCTTCCCACGTACATTTCTCCCGCTCTCAGTGACCACCACTGTATGGCTGTGTTGCTGGTCTCCCTGAGCCTCGGTTTCTCTTCTGCAACCTGGGGGCCCACTCCGGGAGTGAATTGGGAAAAAGCAACTCAGCTGAAGCCTCCAAGCCTCCTCCCGCTCCCTGGCGATCTCCCGGGAGGCTCCTGTAAGGCATGGGCTGGAGGTCGGGGGGCTCGTGGCTTAGAGGTGACTGCTGAGAAATAATCATAACGAAAGGGAAAAACTGAATTTCCTGACAAAAAGGGGGAATCAGATATTTAAGGCAGTCAGTGGGGCTCTTGGCGGCCGTTGAAACCACACTTCTGGAGGAACATAATGGCGTGGACAGAGCCTCATATTCTAATTTTCAGTGAAAACAGAAATAACGTAAAACAGCATATGCAGTATGGTCCAAATTCCCTGAAAAAATTATTTGTGTCTTCATAAATATGGTATATATTGTCTGTAGAAATGTGTACATATTGAGATATTTATCTGTGTAGATATAAATATATGTATAAATATGTGTGCATAGGCCAGGTGTGCTGTCTCACTCCTGTAATTTCAGCACTTTGGAGGCCGAGACTGGAGGATCACCTGAGGTCAGGAGTTCGAGACCAGCCTGGGCAACGTGGCGAAACCCCGTCTCTACCAAAAATACAAAAAATCAGTCAGACGTGGTGGTGGGTGCCTGCGTTCCCAGCTACTCGGGAGGCTGAAGTGTGAGGATTGCTTGAGCCTGGGAGGTGGAGGTTTCAATGAGCTATGATCATGCCACTGCCCTCCAGCCTGGGCAATAGTGAGACCCTGTCTCAAAAAGAAAAAAATGTGTGGGCCAGGTGCGGTGGTTCACGCCTGTAATCCCAGCACTTTGGGAGGCTGAGGCGGGTGGATCACGAGGTCTGGAGTTTCAGACTAGCCTGACCAACATGGTGAAACCCCGTCTCTACTAAAAACAAAAAAATTAGCTGGGCGTAGTGGCGGGCGCCTGTAATCCCAGCTACTCAGGAGGCTGAGGCAGGAGAATCGCTTGAACCTGGGAGGCGGAGGTTGCAGTGAGTCGAGATTGCGCCACCGCACTTCAGCCTGGGTGACAGAGTGAGACTCCGTCTCAAAAAAAAAAAATATGTGTATATATGTATACATTTCCGTGTGTATATATTTAAATATATAGTACATATTTCTCCGTAGACATATATAAACGTGTGTGTGTGTATATATATATATATTTCTATGTGTATTGTCAAAAAACAGTATTTAAACAACTTGGGTTTAATGATGGGAGTGGCTCCTGTTAGCGATTCCCGAATTTGGCAGCTCCATCTGTGTAGCTGCTTGTCTATATGACACGGTGCACACATGATGACTGTAACTGTCTATATGACACAGTGCACACGTGATGTCTGTAGCTGCTTGTCTATATGACACGGCGCACACATGATGTAACTGCTTGTCTATATGACACGGTGCACACGTGATGTCTGTAGCTGCTTGTCTGTGACACGGTGCACACGTGATGTCTGTAACTGTCTATATGACACAGCGCTCACATGACTGTAACTGTCTATATGACACGGCGCACACGTGATGTCTGTAGCTGCTTGTGTGTGACACGACGCACACGTGATGTATGTAGCTGCCCGTGTCCACATGTTCTGGGCATTTCTGTTGTGTGTCTCCAGGCGTGTGTTGCATGTATAACTCCAGTGTCTGTATAACTCCAGTGTCTGTACCTAGAGCCCACTTGGATGCGAGCTGTGAAAGCTGCCAAGATACCCCCTTCCTGAAGATTCTGGGGTGTTAGGGGAGGGCACCGCACCCGTCCTCACCCCACACATCCATGAAAAAGGTGACCAGGGCCCCCGACTGCACCAGGGCTCTGAGCAGCTGTGGGGTGGCCCTCATGGGGTCATGCAGGGCTGCGTCAGAGGAGGGTGGTCCCACCTGCAGAGCGTCCACCTGGTGTGCAAGTGAGACCTTGATGAGGACATATATGTGAGAGCTGCGGGTCCCAGGGGTGCTTCTGCCTGTGTGTGCGTGTGCATGCAGACAACACACAGGTATGTGTGCACACTCACAACACACACGTGCACACAACACGTGTGTGCACACTCACATGTACACATGAGCACTCACACAACACACGTACACGGAGGAGGGGTGGGAAGACAAGAGCCTCCAGGAGCATTGCTGAGTGGGCGTGTTTAAGTGACTTTTTGAGATGGAGTCTCGCTCTGTTGTTCAGGCTGGAGTGCAATGGCATGATCTTGGCTCACCGCAACCTCTGCCTCCTGGGTTCAAGCGATTCTCCTGCCTCAGGCTCCCGAGTAGCTGGGACTACAGGTGTGCGCCACCACGACTGCCTAATTTTGTATTTTTAGTAGAGATGGGGTTTCTCCATGTTGGTCAGGCTGGTCTTGAACTCCCGACCTTAGGTGATCCGCCGGCCTCAGCCTCCCAAAGTGCTGGGATTACAGGTATGAGCCACCGCACCCGGACTTCAGTGACTTTCTTTTTTTCTTGAGACTTTCCCACATTTTCTAAATATGTTACAGTGACTGAGTATGAATGTTATAAAAAACCAAAATTCTAGTGTATGTTTGTTTTTAAAGTAAAAACTCCTGAAGCCATCTCCTGTCACAGGGCTGCCATGGGGCAGCTGTGAAGGCTCCAGGTCTGGGGCCCACTCAGCCCTGCCATACTGGGCTCGGGGGGAGGCTCCCTGCCAGATGGGTGGCCCCAGGAAGGGGCGGCAGGAGCAGCACCTCTAGCCGTCCGCCTGAGGCTTCGTTTACCACTGGGCCTCAGGGCCTTCCCCTCTCCGGCCAGCTCTGAAGGGGTTAAAATGCTTCACCAATGCAAATAGATTTAATTAATCCTTTCATCAGCTGCAAATATACCTTCTGAACCCTATTAAAAACATGAATATGCAAATATAGACCTTTTTGAATTCTCATTTTCGAGGACTTGGTGTTGGGTTTGATTAGCGAATTCCGTTAACAGCCTGTAAACCTGCTGCAAAATTTAATTTCCATTTTAAATTAAAAAAAAGCATGAAAGCGGTGGGTAATTGGGCTAATTATAGTGTTATGCTGAAGAGGCCACATACTGCGCCCTGGGGTGTCCCCTACCTGGGCTGGGTGCTGGGCCAGGTGGACACCCCTGGCAGGTCATGTGGTCCGTTTTCCAGATGCGAAGACTGAGGCCCAGGGAGGGGAGGACCCTTGCCCACGACCATCCCGCAGGCTGGGCTGAGCCAGCATTCAACTGAGGCCTCCTGATGTCCCGGCCGGGGTGCGCCTGGCTGCCCAGCCCCTGGCTCCGTCTGGGAGGAGGGGGTGCTCAGAGGAAGCTGAGGGGCCATGAGCTCCAGGTCCCCGGTCCTTGGTGGGCAGTGCTCACTGCTCACCTCTGTCCCTCTGCCCAGGAGGGAGCCAGGCCTGGCTCTGCCACCGCCTCCGCCCGTGCCCAGCGACACCAGAGCTGGGACAGCCGCTTCCCCTGTTCTCTGGTTCCAGTTTTCTCATTAGTCGAGTAGGGACACAGCACAACATCACCTGTCACCACGCAGCATGGATTCACCCGCACACACCTGTGCACCGGTGTGAGCCAGGACTGTCAGGCGCCAGCTCCCTCGGTGAACGTGACAAGGCCCCTCCTTCCCCACGGGGGTGACACGCCAGAGCCAGGGGCGCCCGGGGTGGCTGGGCCCAACCGAGAGGGACAAGTGGAAAATCCAGCGGGATCCCCGAGACCAAAGCCGACTGTGGAAGGTCCCATTCACCGTTCGCATTGGTCACACGTCGACACGATGCCATGTTGGATAGATTGGGTTAGAGGTGTATTTGCTAACATTAATTTCACTGGCTTCTGCTTACTATTTAACGTGGCTACTAAAAAATGTCAAGTTACGTATGCGGTTCGCGTGGCGTCTCTATTAGCGCTGTTCTGTGAGGACGCTAATCTGTCTGAAACATGACTGTATCTGCTGGAACAGATGTGCAGTCTATGTCTATCAAAAATAAACTATGCATTGAACAAAACGCCAGGTAGTGGGGAACGCCGGAAGAAAGGATAGAGCTGGCTCAGGAGATGAGGGGAAGGGAGGGCTTACTCATGGGTAAGGATCAATTGGGCAGCTCCTGCCGCTGTAAACAAACCCCAGACTACGACCCGCCGGGGCGGCCTCCGCCGCACCAGTTCTTTCTCGAGGTTCTGGGGGCCCAGGTCCAAGATCAGGACATCAATCGGCAGGGCCTGTTTCCCCGGAGCCTCTCCCCGTGGCTCTCAGAGGGCCACCTCTGCTCGTTGGGATCTGGGACTCGGTGTTTTGTTTTGCTTTGAAAGATAGTGACACAAATGGTTCAGAACTATGGAAGTTCTGAAAAATGCTGTCAGTTTTACTTTAAAATGAGAATCTGGTGTTTCTGTGTGTCACCGTTTTCAATAAAATTTCTTGAGAGTGTTGGCAACAACAGCAAAATCCAGTGAAACAGATCAGTACACGCGTCTATGGAAAATTTCCAAGACATATTGTGAAGTGAGAAAAAGCAAGCTGCGGAACAATACGTAGGGATTTTAAAAGCACACAGACCACCCAGGGAGGCAGAACCGTGTGTTTTCGTGTGTCCATATGGTAGGTGTGCACATCCACCCACAGGCGGGAGAGTCTGGGATGGGGGCCAGAAGGGACTTCTCCTTTTCACTCTACGTTCCTCTCATATTGTTGGAGGGAACTTTGTTTTGTTTTAGTGTTAAAAATGTATTTGAATTGTGCAGTTAAAGAAAACATAAAACAAAACGAGACTGCCAGGCTGGGCCAGCTGATGTCTGGACCGGGCTCCTGGCGCCTCCTTGCCGGCCGTCTCTCACTGTGCGACTTCGGACAGGGAACTCCTCCTCTCTGGGCCGCAAGCAGCGATTTAAGCATTCTGGTGAAGCCGCCTGTCCTCAGGTGCACACACATGCAACCATGTGCACACATGGCTATGCACCAACACACATGCAGTCATGTGTGCACACATGAACACGTGTACACATGGCCCACACCAGTACGCACATGTGAAGTCATGCTTGCACACAGGAGCACATATGCACCTATGTGCACATATGACACACCAATACACGTGGTCACACATGCACACATCACATGTACACACATGCTCATGTACACAAACCATACAGGGATACATGCACGTACACACATCTGTACATACACATGTGCACACAGGGCCACACACCAATACACAAATGCAGTTATGCACACACACGGCACATGTATACACACAAACCAAGCCTGGGGACATGCACTGCACATGCCTATATGTGCACGTGTACACGGGTCATGTGTCCAGGAGTGGCAGTGGTGCATGCCCACACCTCTGCATGTACATGCCTGTAAACACACTCCTGTATGTATAGCCCGAGGTTCTGAGCCCCTGGACCTCTGAGTCTCCCTCCAATGCTGTCTCTGGATGAAGGTCCCAGCCCTCGCCTGCCCATGGTGTCCTGGTGACATTTTAACAGGAGGGCAATGGGCCAAGTTTAACTCAGACGCTGGGGCCTGGAGGGGCAGCTGAATTTGCAGTCAAGAGAGCAGGGTTTGAGTCCCTGCCCAACACAGACTTGCAGGAGGCGTTGGTGGGCCAGTCCCTGGCTTTCTGCACTGAGGTCTCCTCTCCTGACAAGACCAGACTTGCAGGATCAGTATGGGATGAGGATGAGCATTGCCAATTGGCAAGTTCCAAGCCGATGAGAGCCTCTGTGTGTACGAGCTGCGGGAGAGACTTGTTAAAGGTAGATTCTCACAGTTGCTCCAGGCAGGACCTGAGGACCTGCCTTTCTCAGGTGCTTCCAGGGACCCCACTCTGAGAAGTGAGGGGCTGCAGAAAACCCAGGGATTTCTCCAAAACTTGCACGAGTTGTCTGTGGGAAGGAAAGAGACAGACTAACCCTGCAATGGTCTTGTGCTGGCTGCCCGGTGCCAGGTGCAGTGGGAGGGAGGGAGGGAGGTTGATCCCTCAGAGGCCCCGGCAGGTGGCACTGTCCTCTCCAGCCTGCCGGGAGGCTGGAGGGAGCCCTGGGGCCCCCCAAATCCTGTTACATCCTGGCAATTACAGTTGATTGCTGTAGCACTAATCCCTTAAAATTAGTCATTAGCGGCTTAAGAACCATTTAGCGTTGGGTGCCCACTAAGGAGCTGGGGGGAAGCGGGGAATCTGCCAGAACCAGAACTTTCTCTGGCCCGGCAGCCAGGGCTGGGCAGGGACAGGGGACCGGTGGCGCCTCCTGGGGTCCTCACACGCTGTTTCTTTCCCATTCCACCTGGCAGACGCGTGAAGAGGATTTGACAAACTCGTGGGGAAGGTTTATTAAATCAGCCCGCAAGGGACACATGTTATCAGAGACCTCTGCTCTCTCCAGCCCACCCAGACACGTCCCTTGGGGGTGTGAGGGCTGCTCCAGCCCCGCCTCTGCCTCTTCCCGGGGAAAGGAAAATCCCATGATCAGAGCAGAGCCGCCTGCCGGCCGGAGCTGGTGCATCTCAGCGCTGGCTGGGGGGCCCAGCCTCTTGTAGACCCTCCCGGGGAGCCGGCAGGGGAGGTGCCGGCCCCGGGCTCCCCGAAAGGAAGGTGCTTTGGAGATCCCTGGCTGTGGAGGGGGAAGGGGAGACCAAGGCAGGAGGGTACCCCTGGTCCGGATGCGGATGTGGACGGGGAAGGGGAGACCAAGTCAGGAAGGCGCCCCGGGTCCAGATGCAGACTTGAGATTGCACCTGGGGACAGGGGGCTTGTTTGTGGCCCTTTAGCTGCCAAGCCCGTCTTGATGCCACAGAAGCCGGGGTGGAAGGCAGGTGTGGGCCGTGGCCCAGGCTGCAGCAACCAGAAGGTTCAGCAGCCTCAGATCTTGGGAAGGTGACACAAGGGCTTGGGGACAGTGGGTGGAGTCCTGTGGCCATGAGGGTCTGTGGCTGTGGGAACCCCTGCTGCGGTTTTTCTGGTGTGGTTGGAGGCCGTGACCATTGCTCCTCAGCCACCAGGTTATGCATCGGTGATGGCAGAGCCAGTGGTCCCAGGGTCCCGGAGCTGAGGGGTGTGTGTCCACCGGGGGAGTCAGTGGGGTGTGTGTCCACCGGGGGAGCCGTGGGGTGTGTGTCCACCGGGGGAGTCAGTGGGGTGTGTGTCCACCGCGGGAGTCAGTGGGGTGTGTGTCCACGGGGGGAGCCGTGCCAGTGCCTCCTGAGGCTGAGCCCACCTCCCCACTCTCCATTTTCTCAGCCTCTGCCCCAAATCCTCCTGGTAAGTTCCATTCCCACCTGGGCTGGCTGGAGTTTAGCTCTGGCCTTGCAATCAAGACCACCACCTTTGGGGGGGCTCCTGCCTGGACCTGGACCCGGCTGTCGCCCACCAGGGACCACTCCCCCTGCTGCCCCTGGGGCAGAGGCTGCGGGCTTCTGTTCTGCCTGAGGGCTCAGCCCTCTGTCCTCCCCCAGGATGGCCCCTGACCTCCAGCCTCTGGGCCCACCCTATCCCCGCTTCCTACCTGGTGGGGTCCCATCCGCCTTCAGGGTCCAGTCGGACCCCATCTCCTAAATTGCCTTGACAAGAACCGGCCCCTGTCCCTCTGTGTTCACAGCCAGGGTGGTGCTGGCTCCCTGGTCCTGAAGGGCCAGCTGAGTGGGGCTCGGTCCCAGAAGCCCCAGGTCCATGAGTGTGTGTGGGGGCCGTCACCGGGGCTGCTGGCGGTGAAAGGGTGGGTGGAGGCAGGCACCTCGGCTCTCAGGCTGTGGCACGGCAGGAATGGTGATGGGGAAAGCAGGGTGGTGGGGGCTGGGGTGCCAGGACCCTGGGATTGACCTGGGGGGTATTGGCAGAGGACAGCCCAAAGGCTAGACCAGGGCCCCGTTCTGATTATCTGTGGCTGTGGGAGCAGCATCCTGTGTGGGCCCCGCTGTGCTCAGCTGAGACATGGGGCTGTGGCCACCCCAGGGCTGCGATGGGGCCGAACAGTCTGGGACTCCGGGTTTCAGTGTGAGAGCCAGTGGTTGCCCAGCTCTGGCGGGGCTGTGTGTCTGTCTGAGGCACATGTGTGTCCAGGGGCCGAGCCAGGGCAGAACAACCTTCACGTGACATGGAGACATCTCACTTCTCTTGTCTGCACAGCCTGCGTCCCGCACAAAGCCTCGTGAAGCTGAACCCCATGGGCCTCCGAGGACCCCTCCGTCAAACCCCTTGCGCCCAGGAACAGAAGCCAACACTGAAAGGTGACATTGGGGGGTAGGGAGAGGACACGCAGGAGGAATCAGGGGCTTCCTGTCTCGAGGCTGGGGGACACAACACATCCGTCTCTCCCAGTGGGCCTCTTAGTGGACGGCCCCCCAACTTTCCCCTGAGACCTGGAGGAAAAGGGCTTTCATGAAGGGTTTGTGGAACCTGACGGAGTGTTCTAATGGTGGGCGGGGGGGGGGGGGGGTTGCTGGGAGTGGGAAGTGGGACGTGAGGCGGGGGTGGCAGAGCCGGAGCTGCCCCACCTTTGAGGAGTCTGGGTGGAGGCGGCAGTCCCGGGCGTGGCCCTGGCCCAGGCCCACAGTTCGCAGGCAGGTGGCAGGGTCCACGCCTCCCTGCTCCTTCCTCCCCCTGCCCCCGCCCCCACCATGGGTCTCCCTCCGTCTCAGCATTGGAGGCTCTGGAGCAAGGCCGTTCCCCTGGCTGCACCAGCTCCCCTCTGCTGGGCTCAGATAGCGGCAGCTGCACCTCTGAATCATCGGCTCATATTCCCCATGGCTGGAGAAGGCCGGGGCCGCCGAGTTGGGAGGAGGGGACTCGCTCTCCAGCCTCCAGGGCCAGATGCTCCATCTGCCCCATGGGGCGGAGCCACCCCACACCCCTGGGTTTGGTGCTGCCAGCCGGGTCCAGGCCCTCTCTTGGCCCTGGAGAGATGGGCACAGAGGGCAGTCTCCCCTCGATGCACCCTTATCTGTGAGGACAGTCCCCCCAGCCCCTGTGCCTCCATCCGGGTTCCATCAGCAAAGGGAAGTCCTGGAGCTGGGGCCCGGCCTTGAGGCAGAGCTGGAAGCTGCTACGCGGAGGGGCCTCAGCCCATGGTGGTGGGGAGGGCACCCCAGCCACCCTTGGTCCCAGCTGCCACCTGTGCACTCCCTGAGCAGAGATGCCTGACTCACCCTAACGTTGTCCGGGCTGCAGATGGCGGCGGCTGCTGAGGGAGCTCCTTCCCCTCCTCCCGCCCACCCTGCTAGGGCTAGGCCACAGATACACAGGGCGAGTGGGAGTGTCTAGGGGAGAAGATTTTATTTCACAAGGTGAGGAACCCAGGCTGGTGGCCGACGCCCACACACCAGGCTCCGGGACGCATGGGGTCTGCACGTGGAGAGGGTGCTGGCCGCCCCAGCAGGAAGCCCGACGTAGGTCCCAGCGTGTCTGTCAGTCATGCTGCTGCCCTGTGGGGCTGGAGAGGCAGGACGTGCACCCAGCCTGTGGCTGGCGGGGCAGGGGACCTGCAGGTCAGGCCAAGCAGAGTGGCTCCGGCTATGCCCCCGAGCCTGCAGGCTACGCCACGGTCTGGCGGCTGAAGAGCTCGAGGGTGAGCGAGCTGAGGAAGGCAGGGATGCTGTCCTGGCGCCGCAGGTGCACCTCGATGAGCTCGCCCACGGTGTGTGAGAACTCTGTCTCCAGTAGCTGCATCTTGGAACCCGAGGGGCTGGTGGCCTGCGGGGCAGTCAAGAAAGAGACAAGACAGCGGTCAGCCCGACAGGCCTCTCCCTCTCCCCTCCCTCCCTACACAGCCCCTCCAGCCATGGGGGCTTCCCTCAGTCTGAGGACCTGGACAGGGGTAGATGCGTCCTCAACCCTGCCAGGCCTTATTCCAGGTCACCTAAAGGGACTGAATTAACCCAGGGCAAGGTCTCTGTTGTCTACACTGTCATCTACCCAGGCAGTTGGGGGTCCCAGGCACTGTGGGGTGTGCCCACCCAAGGGGCTGCCACCTTGCTCCTTCCTCCACCTGGGGGGCTCCAGCACCTGTGCCAGGCCCTAGTGCCACTCTTCACTGAGGCTGGAGGACCCCACGCCCTGGGCAAGTCCTGCAACGCCTTCCACACTGCCTGGGCCCCATGACCTAGTTTCCCCACTTGTGCAGGGGGGCGCTGGGGGCCCAGGGGGAGTCTGGCTCTGTGGATTCTGCAGCCCAGAGGGCGGCCTCCTGTAACTGGAGAACGGGCAAGGAGGAGCTTCCAGACAGCGCTGCAGGCCCCAGGGGACACAGGGCAGGAGTCACACAGCAGGTCTGAGCAAGCTGCTGTGCCACGGTCCTGGGCTGTGTGGGGAGTGGACAGAGGCCCTTCTGAGCTGCCCCCGAGAGCCAGCCCCACCCCGGTCAGCACCCACACAGCCCCAGGTCAGGCAGGACACAAACCCGGCCCACCACAAAGCTCCCTCTGAAACCACGTCCCTGAAAAGTCCTGTACCCAGAATATGCCCAGAACTCCCACAACTCCACCATGAAGAGGAAAGAGCCAATTAAACAAGGGGCCCTTGAACATTTCTCCAGAGAAGAGCCACACACGGCCAATGAGCTCATGCCAGGACGCTGGGCACCGGGGAAACGTGAACCGCAACTGAGCGAGACACGGAGCCGCCTCGCGCCGACGGCCACTGAGAGCAACCACCATGAGCTGCTGGGTCGAGGGGAATCAGACCCTCCGCGTCGCTGGCGGGAGCGTGTGTGGTGCGGCCACTGCAAACAGCCGGCAGCTCCTCAAAGAGCTGGACGCAGAGTCCATGGGCCCAGCACCCGCCCGGGCGCGCAGCCAGGGGGTCTGAGCGCAGTCCACGCACAGACCTCGGCACGGGTGTCCACGGCAACACGATCCCATCACCAACAGATGGAACGCGGAACCAGCCCTCAACCGCCGGAGGGAGACACAAAACCGGGTTTACCCGTCAACACCGCTTCGTACAGCCGAACTCTGATACACGCTGCCACGCGGGCAAACCCCGAAAACACGCCCAGCCAGTCACAGAGACCTGTCGACACAACTCCGTGCCCAGGGGATGTCCTGGAGGGGCACGTCAGGGCTCAGGGCCAGTGGAAATGTGCCACGGTTAGACTGGTCGCGGCTGCGCACTGAATGTGCCGGGAGGAACGGAACGGTAGACTAATGGAGCGCTAGACGTGAGGGTGAGCTGCATGTGTGTGCATCGGAGCTCAGGAAACCGTTTTGGAAAGCGCTCCCTCCGCCCGGCAGCCCTCTGGGAACCCTCCCCAGGAGCCACAGGGCGGCCTGGCTCCATCCAGCTTGGTCCTGGCAGCTCCCCTGTCCACCGGAGCATGCCTGGGCTGGGCCCCGCCCTGATGGTGTCGCCCCTCCCCTCACCACCTTTGGAGCACGTGCTGCCCCAGAGGCCCTGCGACCTGACCTGTTCCTGCACCTCCTGTTTCTCAGGAGCCGTCCCCGTGCCCTCCCCCTGCCCTCCCCCTGTTTCTGCTGCCTTAGTACATTTGGCCTTGTCATAGTTCAACACAAACCATTTTTAAACAAAAACAAGAGAAACCACTCTGACCTTTCGCTGAGAAAATCCTTTCACTTCTGCCTTCTGCTCTTGATTCTGAATTTCTCCCCCTAAATGTCAGAGGGGCTGATTCTCCTGCAGCTGCCGGGCAGGGGTGGGGAGGCAGTGTGGGAAGAAGTCTCCTCAGCCGGCCCTTCGCCCTCCTCCCAACCCAGGGCTGGCAACCTGGCTGGGCCTGACGCACTGTGGTGCAGACTCTGGCCAGGCTGGACCAGAGAATAGCTGTTTTCCAGGCACCCGCCTTCCCCGGCCCTCAGAGGCTGGCAGGCTTTGGGAGCCTGGCCGTTCATTTCTAAAAATATTTTTTTTTAGAGACGAGTCTCACTCTGTCACCCAGGCTGGAGTGCAGTGGCATGATAACGGGTCACTCAGCCTCGAGCTCCCGGACTCAAGTGATCCACCTCAGCCTCCTGAGCAGTTGGAATGACAGGCATGTGCCAGCACACCTGGCTAATTTTTAAATTTTTTTGAGAGATAGATAGACTTTAGCTATTTTGCCCAGGCTGGTCTCAAACTCCTGGCCTGGCTGGTCTCAAACTCCTGGCCTGACGTGATCCTCCTGCCTCAGCTGCCCACGACGTGAGGATTACAGGCGTGAGCTCTGATCATTCTTTATTTGAAACAGGTGCACCCCGCCAGCGTCAGCAAGACAGCTGCTCCCAATGGTAGGCCGGGCAACCCACTCACGGCTCCTACAGCACCTCCTCTCTGCCGGCCTCAGGCGGCTCTGGAAGAATGATGCCCTAATATACCGCGCTGCCCTCCAGGTGGGGGTGGGGGTGGACGGAGACAGGCAGGAGTAACCAGTGCTACTCTCCCAGCTCAAACCCCACACGAAGGCAGACCCAGCGTTTGCAAAACACCAGCCCCCGGTGAACAAGTCGACCTGCTGTGCAGCCCACCTCTGACTCCGTTTCCCCCAGCGTACCCAGCCACATTGGGAGGCTCCACCTCGGTCTAACGCTCCGGCATTAGCAGGACCTGCTGAATGAGTGGCGCCGGGCCCATCCATCTCTGCCATCGCTGCTCAGCCCTCTGCCATGTTCAAATATCACACAGTCCCCAGGTACCTCGTAAATCACTGTAATTACGGGCTGCTCACTTAAAATTAAACTGCAATTTTTTAAAAAGCAAATTGCCAGTAAGACACGTTGGCTGTGGCTGGAAATACTTCTGAGGCTGCCTGCGCGCAGGCTCTGGCTTCCTCTCCCTCTGCCTGGCCGGCCCGAGCTGCCACCTGTCTAGTCTGCGCACATAGCGGCCCTGTGGCTGGCGGGCGCCCTGGGGGAGACTGAGACACTCACTCTTAATGAAGACACTCGCGGCGTCCATTGTGGCCACTGCACTCTAGTCCAGACCCTCGCTGGCCTGGCCTGGGGCTCACCTGCCCCTCTGGAAGCAGAGAGGGCCTGCCCTGGAGGGCCGGGGACCTCTGCAGCATGTCCGTGGAACACGTGGGCCAGGGATTGTGTGCCCGGCCCCCATTCCAGCTCTGCCACGTGAGCAGTGCTCACTCGGTGCCTAGGGCTGACTAGTCTTACTAAGCGCTGGTCCCACCATCCCCTGAGCCGAGCCCCATGGTGTCCCAGCGGGCACGGACAAGAGGCACGGAGTGAGGGAGGGGTGGGGGCTGACAAAGGGCTTGGAGAGCAGAGACAGCGCACACCACCAACTCTCTCCACACACCACTTTCTCCACACACCACCAACCGCAGGATGTGGTGGGGCTCGGAGGCCAAGGGGGAAGTGTGAGGGATTCCTGTCAAGAACAAGACCCCCTGCTGCTGAGGGTCCAAGAGAAACTCCATGAACTGGGAAACTCGAGGGGAGGAAGCTAGAGATGGAATGAAGGAAGCCCTGAATCCTGGCTCAAACAAGGAAAGCTGAAATAATGCAGTAAAATGAGAAGACACGCAGGAAATGGAAACGATGCTACTTCGAGATACTGGGAAGTTATGTGAATGCTGTTCATCTGTGGGGTGGCGTGAAGAGGTGGAGGCCACACCAGTGGACATCAAAACCAGAAACCAGTCAGAGAAAGACAACAGGAAAACTGTAAGTGCCTGGAAATTAAACAGCACACTTCTAAGTAATCCACGAGTCAAATGGGATGCCTCGAAGGAAATAAAAAAGAGAACAGAATGGAAACAAGAATACAGCATAATGAAATTTGCCAGACGCACCCAAGGCAGTGCTTAGAGGGAAACGGACAGCACTCAATGCCTGTATCAGGAAAGGAGAAAGATCTCAAATCGCTTCTCTAAATTCCTACTTCAAGAAACGAAGGGAAAAACAAGCCCGAAGCAGGAGGAGGAAATAATACAAGTAGGAATGAACAGGAAAACAAAAGTTATTAAAACCAAAAACTGCTTCTTTAAAAAATAGCAATAAGGCCGGCCAGGAGCAGGGCTCACACCTGTAATCTTTGCACTTTGGGAGGCCAAGGTGAGAGGATCACTTGAGCCCTGGAGTTTGAGACCAGCCTGGACAACACAGTGAGACCCCATCCCTATAATCAATCAGCCAGGTGTGGTGGCATACACCTGTAGCCCCAGGTATGTGGGATCACGTGGGCCTAGGAGTTTGAGGCTGTAGTGAGCTATGATCACACCACTGCACTCCAGCCTGGGCAACAGAGTGAAACCCTGTCTCAAAAATTTGTTAGAAAGACCAGCAACGATAAATTGATAAACCCCTGGCAAAACTGACAAAGATTAAAAAGGGGGAACGCCTGTAATCCCAGCACTTTGGGAGGCCGAGGTGGGCGGATCACGAGGTCAGGAGATCAAGACCATCCTGGCTAACACAGTGAAACCCCATCTCTACTAAAAATACAAAAAATTAGCCGGGTGTGGTGGCGGGTGCCTGTAGTCCCAGCTCCTTGGGAGGCTGAGGCAGGAGAATGGCATGAACCCAGGAGGCGGAGCTTGCAGTGAGCCGAGATCGTGCCACTGCACTCCAGCCTGAGCAACACAGCGAGACTCCATCTCAAAAAAAAAAAAAGGGGGGGGGGAGAGTGAAATGACCAATATCAGAAATGAAATGGAAATATTATAATAGATCCAGAAGCTATTAAAATAACAATAAAAAATACTACAACAAAACTTGATGCTCATAACAAACTGGATGGATTCCTCGAAAACCACATACTACCAAAACGTGCCAAGATAAAATAGCCTCGGTAGTCCTATAACCATTAAATAAATCAAGTTTGTTCTAATTAAAATGCTACTCAAAATCTCCAGTCCCAGATGGTTTCACTAGAAAGTTTTACCGAACATTAAATATGAATTAATACCAATTTTACACAATCCTTTTTCAGTTAACAAAAGACAGAGAAACACCTTTCCACTATGAACCCTGTACTGAAACCAACAAGGATGGTGCGCACACAAAGAAAAATAAGTATCAGTCTCTCATGAGCTTAGCTGCAAAAATACTCAACAAGGACTAACAAATGGAATCCAGCAACACACGAAAAAGAGTATCACACCCTGACCAAGTGGGATTCAGTTTAGGTGTACAACGACGGCTAGTTCAAATTTGAAAATCAATCAATGTTATCCACCCTATCAACAGGCTAAAGGAAGACAATGATATGATCCTATTGGCACAGGCAAAGCATTTGAAAAAATTTAATCTCCATTCCTGACAAGAACTCTTGCAAAGCAGGAATCAAGGGAAAGTCCTCCGACTTGGTAAAAAGCACCACGAAGAACCCTCAGCTCACGCTGCTTCACGGAAGAGTCTGGCCGCCTTCCCTCATTCGGTCAGCGGAGAGCTGGCTTTCCCCACTCATCCTCAACCCAGCATGGGAGCTCCTCACGCCAGGGCATGCAGGTAAGAAAAGGAAAGCAGCAGCATAGGGATTGGAAAAGAACAGAACTGTCCCTACTCGGAAATCACATGACGGCACACGTGGAAAACCCTAAGCAATCTGCAGAAAACTCCTAGAATGACGTGACGGCCCACGTGGAAAATCCTGAGCAATCTGCAGAAAACTCCTGGAACACTAAGTGAGTCCACGAAGGTTGCAGGAAATAAGATGAACATACAAAAATTAACCACATTTCTATAAAGCAATTGCAAACAAGTGAAAAACAAAATTAAAAGGCAATATAATTTACAGAACATCTTAAATACTCGGGTATACATCTAACAAAAACTTGTATAGTGTCTGTTTGCAGAAAGTTAGGAAATACTGATGAAAGGAATCGAAAGGAATAAAAAGAATGTTTGTATAAATAGATACAATGTTTATGAACTGGAAGACTTATAGTAAATCAATTTTTCCAAAATTGATCTTTGGTTTTAAGGTAATTGCTGTCCAAACCTCAGCATATATATATATATTTTTTTTTTTTTTTTGGAAAGAGGGTCTTATTCTGTCACCCAGGCTGGAGTGCAGTGGTGTGGTCTTGGCTCACTGCAGCCTCAGGCAATCTTCCTGCCTCAACGTGCCAAGTAGCTGTAACTACAGGTGCGCACCACCACTCATGGCTGTATTTTTTTCATAGAGATGGGGTCTCCCTGTGTTGCCCAGGCTGGTCTCCCAACTCCTGGGCTCAAGCGATCCTTTTGCCTTGGCTTCCCCAAGTGTTGGGATTACAGGCGTGAGCCACCATGCCCGGCCAGCATTTTTTTTTTTTTTTTTTGGTAGAGAGACACAAGATTATTCTAAAATGTATATAGAAAGCAATTCCAAAAAAGAAGAGTAGAGGAATTGCCCTTCCTGATGTTGAGAACCGTACAGCTACAGCACAGCGTTATACGGCTCCTACGTCAGACAGACATGGCTGGGGCAGCGCTGGAGGGGAGATGTGGAGACCAGCAGAACAGAACAGAGGAACTCGAAAGAGACCCACAGACGCGTCCAGGCCACTTTCTAACAGAGAATATTATGCCGTGACCAAGTGGGACTTCGTTTAGGTGTACGAGGCTAGCTTGGTATTTGAAAATCAATCAATGTAATCTGCTATATCAACAGGCTAAAGAATAAACAACATATGACCCTATTAATCGATACGGAAAAGTCACAGAAAAGTCACAAAGGCGCTTCAGTGGAGGAAGGGCAGCCTTGTCTTTGCTACAGCTGGAGCCGGAGGAGCTGGACACACTTAGTTAAAAAAAAATTTTTTTGACCGAAACCTCACATCTCAAATAAAATTTAACTCAAACTGTATCACGAACTTACATGTAAAACACAGAATTATGTTAAAAAAGAAATCTTCAGGATCTGGATGAGGCAGAGCTCTGACACTCAACACCAAAGCACAATCCACAGAATAAAATTAAAATGGATAAATGGGCCTCGCCAAAATTTTAGGAAATTGCACAGTGGAAGAGCCTGTGAAGCAGATACAAGGATAAGCTACACGACAGGGCGCCAGCGTCTCCCTGCCCATCTCTCCTAGAACGCCACGGCCACAGGGGACCCTGGCACCTGGAGGGGTGACTGCAGCGTCTTAACCCCAAGTGGGATTCCTGCCTGTGCCCTGGCCCCACAGGGCAAGGCCCACATCTGTCTTGCTTCTCTCTTTTCCCAGAACAGACCTCACCAGGCTGGAGAGTGGCCTGGGCACAGAGGCCGGGCCTGTGGCATCAGCGGCCATCGTGAGGGCAGAGCGCCCAGGCATTCTCAGACACACCCCTGCTCCCACTGGCCTTCCTGGGAGAAGCACCCCCTTGTTCCAGATGAGAAGCCGCAGCTGCTGGGCCGGGGGAGGCATGAATATTTCATGCTTGGATCTGCAAGCGCCACGCACCTAACTGGACACAGCTCCAGGCGCCTGCTTCCCTGAAGCCCAATCCTCCTGTCATTGGTGTGCTGCAAGCGCCGCTCCGGAGCAGGGCTCTGTGTGGGGAGAGGAAAGGAGCCCTCGGGGGAAGTTATGCTGGGAGCCCATTTGTGGGGGGACGGAGAGCGGGAAGCAAGGTCCATGAGGATGGGGTGTCCTGCAGCTGGGTCCTGACCGGGGGCTGCTCCCTCTCCTGGGCCTAGGCACTGCAGGAAAATGGCAGGTAGTCAGCCTGCCACCACCTCCCGGCCACCAGCACACACCCTCAACAGACCTTCCAGATAGACGGCTCAATCCTGACTTGAGCACTGCCGGCCCCAACGCCTCCCCTCTTACACCACCTGCTTGTGCGGGCCTGGTGGCAGAGCTGCCGACATCGGGGGCTTTCGCACCCACCAGAACTAGCTTCTAACCTCGGCTTGGCCACCAGGAAGCTGCGTGACCCTGGGCACACCGACACACCTCTCTTGAGCCTGGTCTGCACGCTGGGCATTGCCGAGAAGACTAACGAAGTCAGGTGCGTAAAATCACCGGGCTCAGGGGAGACACAGAGCACAGTGGGATGAGGAAACCCTGTGCCCACGTTACCCCGGGCCATGAGGACAGCAGCTGCCCCGTGCCCTGGCGCCATCGGATGGCCTCTACTGGGAAGTGAGCTGCTCCCGGCCTTGTCCCCACCTCGCTGCAGCAGGACTGGTTGTCTGCCAGGCCCCGGAGCCCCCAGGCTTCCCACAGAGGCTCCCCCACCAGGACCCGCGGGAGAGGAGAGGGGCGTGCCTGGATGGCATCTGCCGGGGCAGCCATAGGTCCCTGTGAACCTCGCTTGTAGAATACACCTGCTCTCAAAGCCAGCGAAGGGGAGATTTTTTTTTGTCTTGAGGCTGTCAGGAAATCAAAGTGTTTTCAACTTCAAAAGACTCTCCGGGCGTCTCAAGTTGAGAATCTGACGCGTCCCAGGCACTTTCATGCACACATGGGGCGAGCCGGGGAGAAGACTCAGCAGCGTCCGCCGAGAGTCAGCCCTGAACTTCAGGGGTGAGAAAACCCTTCAAGTTCACACTGCAGCACGACACACACTCTCACACCCACACTCACAGAGTGCAAAAGGACTCTTAGAAAATCAAAATGTTAATGGCGGTTAACTCGGAGTGCTGGGACGGAAAGTGACTCATGGTTCTCTGCATTTTCCAGATTTTTTTATATGCTGCATATTTGTAATTAGGAAAAATGTATATCTAAATTATATCTGCAAGAGCGGAACAGCTTCAAGACAGGCCGCTGAGCACACGGGTTCCCCACTGCGGACACATGCAAGCCCCAATCCTTATCCACCTGGCCTGCAACCCTCGGGCGTCTTGCTCATCTGCCCGTCTGCCTGGAGTGTCTCCAGACACTCTGTGGGAGGCCCCTCTGTGGGCTGCTGAGGCCGGTGCTGCCCACCCACCTGCCCCAGATGTCCTGGGCCTGGGGTGCCAGGCTGGCGTCATGGCTGGCATCTTGGCTGGTGGCACCACAGACGCCAGGCGTGGGTCACAGCGTGAGCCCAGCCAGCTGGTTGGGGTGGGTGGCGCTGGTCAGGTGGCCACAGCAGAGTCCGCTGAGGCTACCTGTCATAGGGCTGCTGCTGAGGTGTGAGAGACACGGGCCCAAGCCCCTCGGCACCCAGCGGCCAGGGCACCCAGGTTGGGCTTGTGCAAATCCCAGGTGGGGCACAGCTCTGTCCACGGGTCTTTGCGGTGCCCGTCTGAGCGCCTGTGAACAGTGCTGGGCAGTCTCACCATGCACACAGCTCTGCACGAGCCTCCACGGCCAGGGCTGCCCTCCCTTCCCTAAAACGTCTCAGGGGCTGAAGGCCTTGGACCATGGCATCAGGGTCCAGAGGTGATAAACCTGGGTAATGTGTGCTCTCATCCCAGCAGGTGCTGCTGGGGGTTAGAGGTCAGCACAGTCCCAGCCCCGGGGTTGGAGGTCAGCATAGTCCCAGCCCTGGGATGAGCACAGTCCCAGCCCCAGGGTTGGCGGTCGGCACAGTCCCAGCCCCAGGCGGGGTTGGAGGCCAGCACGGTCCCAGCCCCAGGGTTGGAGGTCGGCGCGGCCCCAGCTTGGCTTCATGACCTCGGCAGCAGTGATCTGTATCCCAAAGTTCAGGCGTGATAACGTCAAGACCGTGCTGAGCCTGCCGGGTACAGCGTGAAAATGGCTGGTGCTACCGTGGTCTACGCAACCTGTTAGACCGGGATACCGAGGACTCCTGGCAGCCTCACAACTCACAGCTGGGCTCTGCACAGGAGTCTCAGGTGCTGTGGGGCCAGCCTGCCTGCTGCACATCCACGGCCCGAAGGTGATCCAGGAGCAGCAGCCACCACCGAGCCCTGACAGTCACTGCCTGGCCCGTCCGCGCTCTGAGGAGGGAGAGAGCAAGCTTCTCGCTGCTGGTGTATTACCTCGGCCGAGGGCCTCCTCCTCCAGGCTGGCCACAGGACTTGTTACAGCCTATGCCTGACTCCCCCGCTCATGGCCTCACTCCCTCATGGATGCCCATGGCCGGCCCAGCCCCACCCTGCACAAGCCCTCCAGCTCCAGGCCCAGCCCAGCTCAGCTCCGCGGAGCTCCTGGTCCAGAGGTCCAGGTTTGACCCCAGGACACCCTGCTGTGTGCACGACCCTCAGCTCCCACCCCTCTCTGCCCCACTGTCCCTCCGGCGTCCCTCGGGGGAGACGACACAGCCGGGCCCAAAAGAGGCCTCGCAGATGCTGCCGCGTGAGCACCGCGCTGAGGGCCTGGCGGCAACTGGGTCAGGACAGCTTGGACAGAACGCCGAGAACAAATGTCCCGGCATGAAGTTCCAAAGAACGGAAGCTGGCAAAAAGTGTGTCCGGCACGGGGAAAATAGCTCAGCCAATTATTCCTGCCTAATTGTACCGAGGAAAGCATCTAAATACTGCCTGTGCTAATTATACCAGCGTTATTGGGGTTTATCTTCCCGGCGAGGGTGACCTTTCCTTCAAGAGTGACTGGCGGGGCGGGCAAGGCCAGGCACCCCAGCAGTCGCAGAAAAATCCCAAACCAACAATTATTATTATTATTATTCTATTTATACAGCTCCCCCTCGCACACGGGCGTTCTGCTTTACAGCCACACGCAGCTGCTCCTGCAGCCGCAGCCGGAGGGGAGCCGAGGGAGTGGGGGCGCCGGCTCGGGGTGGGGCGGCCTGCGCAGCCCCTGCTGTGAGTGGCATCCGCCACGGGCGGCTCCAAGGGCCGTGGAAGGGCATGGAGGCCACAGGGATGAGTTAGAGGAGGTGGCGGGGATGGAGAAGGTGGGAGAAGGGGCTGAGTGTGGGTTAAAAGACAGGGACTGGCCCCGAGGGCAGCAGGAGCACAGAACACAATGAAGGTTAAGGGAAGAAAGGGGACGCAGCGGGCAGGGAGGACAGGTGCTCAGATCAGGCACACGGGTGAGGAGGGAGGAGCTGCAGCACAGCCCTCGCCCAGTGGCTCCCTGAGCCCCGCCCAGGTGTGGGGTCCTCCCCTCCTGAGCCCGTCGCGGGTGTGGGGTCCTCCCCTCCTGAGCCCGTCGCGGGTGTGGGGGCCTCCCCTCCTGAGCCCGTCCCGGGTGTGGGGTCCTCCCCTCCTGAGCCCGTCCCGGGTGTGGGGGCCTCCCCTCCTGAGCCCGTCCCGGGTGTGGCATCCTCCCCTCCTGAGCCCGTCCCGGGTGTGGGGTCCTCCCCTCCTGAGCCCCGCCCGGGTGTGGGGGCCTCCCCTCCTGAGCCCGGCCCGGGTGTGGGGGCCTCCCCTCCTGAGCCCGTCCCGGGTGTGGGGGCCTCCCCTCCTGAGCCCTGCGTGGCTGTGGGGTCCTCCCCTCCTGAGCCCGTCCCGGGTGTGGGGTCCTCCCCTCCTGAGCCCGTCCCGGGTGTGGGGTCCTCCCCTCCTGGGCCCGGGCTAGACAGCACCACCCTTTCCAGATGTAGCCGAATGAGAACAGGAGAGGACGTCAGCGGCCTCTGCGCCTTCTCACCTCCCACCCAGGCGAGGCCCATGCTGCTGGCAGTGACGTTTCGTGGAGCGCCACGCTTAGGGCAATGTGATGCTGGGGATGCGGGGTGAGGAGGGCCGGAGATGCAGGCCCGCCCTCCTGTGAGGCTGCCCCTCTTATGTGCTGTGGGCCCCGGGGCCCATCAGTTTGTCTCTCTGAGCTGAAGTTTCCTGAATGTAAAATGGAGACAAAATGCCTATTTTCCCACCTCAGAGGGCGGCCGGCAGCTTCCGGCCGAGACAGAGCCACAAGGACAGATGCACCTGCCATCTGAAACAGCCAGAATATGAGGCATCAAATGTGAAACAACAGTTTTCAGTCAGGAAGGGTGGCGGGCCCTGAGAGACGGGGCGAGCCTGGGGAGACAGTCACAGCCCAGGCAGGGCCTCGCGGGACCCGAGTTGAGGGACAGGGCTGGAGCTGGAGCCAGGGCGCCGAAAAGAGTGCCACAGAGGAGGGCTGAGTTCGCTGGAGTGCTCAGTGAGAGGCTGAGAAAACCTGGAGCATTAGAGAGAAAAACCCAGAAAATGGCACCCGAAGCTCACACTGGGCTGGACCAGTGCCTGTCTCCGGCAGCCTCGCGGGAAAGCCTGCGAACTAGGCGGCTCCAGGGCACAGCACTGAGATGGACACCCCGCAGCAAGGGGCGGTGTGAGCCCCAGACAGACGCTGCCCTGCTCCCACCTCACATTTCCTAAACCGAGACCCAGAGAACCAGGCTGTTTCCAAGTACCTGAACTGTGTCTCCGAACAGAGCTCACGAATATTTATAGGAACACACACACACGTGCATGCACAGGCACACGCACACATGCACACACAGCCTCGCAGCACTCAACAAAGAGAAAATCAGCTGAGTGAAACAGACCTAGGGCTGACCTGACGTCAGAAGCGGCAGATCACATTAAGTCACTGTAACTTTGCTCCATATGCCCAAAAAATTGAGGATAGACATAAAAGGGACAAAAAAGAGCCAAATTGACCTTCTAAGGATGAAGACAACAAGTACGGGGGACGGATCCATGCCAGATCAGACATGGCGAAAACAGGATCAGTGAAGCTGCAGATACAACCACGGAAACCGTCCGAGATGAAACAGATGAGAAAAAGAAAGAAAAGCGCATACAAACAAAAAGGAAAAAACGGAAAGACAGACATAAAGGAGGCAGCACATTGGGCGTGGGCTGTGGGGCGACGTCACATGGCCTGACACGTAGGGCAGGAGTCCTGGAGGCAGGCTGGTGGCACTTCTGAAATGGCTCCTGATGGTCCCCACCTCCAGGCACCACCCGCATCAGCGCCAGCCCTTCAGCGTGACTTACAGCGGATGCAAAGTGGGGCGCAAGTGCTGGCTTCCCCTCTGCAGTCACGTCACAGCAGCCGTGACTTCTGCGGCTCCCACCCTGGTTCTCAGAGCTCTGACCCGCCAGCTGCCATGCGTGAGCGGCCCACACGGCGAGGAGCTGCCATAGGACCAAGCGCGGCAGCCCAACCACGGATAGAAGCAGAATCCTTCCGACGGCCACATGGGTGTACCTGGACGTGGGACCTTCCCCAGCAGAGCCAAGAGGACTGTGGCTGGTGAGGTCTCTGAGCAGAGAGCCAGCTCAGCCACACTTGGATTCCTGACCCCAGAAGCCACGAGCCAGTGAGTTCTGCAGCGATGTTATTCAAGGACTGGTTGCCAGTGGTGGGGACAGCAAAGAGTCTTGAAAAAGTAGTGGCCCCAATTTTCTGAAATGTGTGGAAAAGTGTAAACTGAGAGATCTGAGAAGTTCAAAGAACCCCAACCACCAAAAAAAAAAAAAAAGGCAGGGGGAGGAAACAACATTAAAGTACACAAAGTACATCATAATCAAACTGCTCAAAACCAGTAGTACAGATGAAATCTTAAAAGCAGTCAGAGGAAGAAATGACAACTGACCGACAGAGGAACAAAGATGAGAATGACAGCAGACTTCTCAGAGGAAATACTGGAATTAAGAAGACAGTGAGATCACCTCTGTAAAGTACAGAAAGACAAAGCCCAGAATTCTCCACCCAGTGGAAATATCTCCCCCCAAATAAAGACTTCTTCAGGTGTGCAAGAGCTTAAAATATCCCAAAAAGCAGCTGATTCACACTGCAAGAATATTAAAGGAAGCCCTTCAGACAGAAGGAAAATGAGGATGCAAACAGGGGCTTACACAACAGGCCAGGCCGGTGGCTCACGCCTGTAATCCCAGCACTGTGGGAGGCCGAGGTGGGAGGATCACCTGAGGTCAGGAGTTCAAGACCAGCCTGGCCAACATGGTGAAACCCTGTTTCTACTAAAAATACAAAAATTGGCCACGTGCAGTGGCACATCCCTGTAATCCCAGCTACTCGGGAGGCTGAGGCAGGAGAATCGCTTTAACCTGGGAGGCGGAGGTTGCAGTGAGCCGAGATCGTGCCACTGCACTCCAGCCTGGGCGACAGAGTGAGACTCTGTCTCAAAAAAAATAAATAAAAATAAAAACAAACATGGGCCTACACAAGAAGAAGGAAGAACAGCTCTACTCCTTCCATGAATGAGGGGTGGGAGCTGCATGGGCAGACATATACAACATTTACAATTATTATTTACATCTCTTTCAAAGATAGCTGACTAAACAGAAATAAAAACAAAGTATTGTGGGGTTTATCATGTGCATAAATAAAATATATTATAAGCAGATGACTAAGGCAGGAAGGAGAAGACTGGAAGTATGTGACTGTCAGGTTCTCACACTACACATAAGGCGGTGTCGTATCATTCGAGGATGACTGTTAAAGATCTACGTGCCCTAAATCCTAACACAACCTGTAAAAAATACAGTTAACAAATCAAAAAAGGAGGCACATGAACTTGTAAAAAATTCAATCCAAGAAAGGCAGAAAAAGAGGGAAGAAAAAAGAACAAAGGACAGACAGGACAAACAGAAAACAAATAACAAGATGATAGACTTATCTAATCAAAGTAGTAATCAATTTAAATGTAAATGGCCCAGTGAAAAGGCAGAGAATGTCAGATTCTATGCATATTTAAGACTCAGCTATATCCTGCTTTTAAGAAGCACATTTTAACTATGAAGACGCAGTAGATTAAAAGTAACGTGAAGCAGATACAGCGTGCTCACAGAAGCCAATTCGCCCTGTGTTCACATGAGCACACCTCGCTTCATCCGTGGCCTGACTGTGCCTCACAGACACTGCATTTTTTACAAGTTTAAGGTCTGTGTCTGGCAAGTCTATTGGCACTATTTTTCCAAAAGCGTGGATTCACTTCATGTCTGTGTCGTATATATTTCCAACTTTTTCATTACTAGTATATCTTTTATGGTACTCTGTCATCTGTGATCTTTGATGTCACCATTGTAATGGTTTCGGAGCTCCACAAACAGTGCCCATAAGAGAGCAAACTTAACTGATAAATGTGTGTGTTCTGACTGCTCCACTGACCAGCCATCCCCCATCTCTCTCCTTCTCCTTAGGCCTCCCCATTTCCTGAGACACGACCGTCACAACAATATTGAAACCAGGCCCATTAATAACCCTAGAATGGCTTCTAGGTGTTCAAGTGAAAGAAGACTCACATGTCTCTCACTTTAAATCAAAAGCTAGAGATAATTAGGTTTAGTGAGGAAGGCATGTTGAAAACTGAGGCCAAAAGCTAGGTCTCTTGCACCACACAGCTAGCCTGCAAAGGAGAAGTTCGTAAAGGAAATCACAAGGGCTATTCCAACGAACACATGAATGATAAGAAAGCAGAACAGGCTTACTGCTAATATGGAGACGGTAAATGAGCTCTTGGGGCCCTTAAGAATGATGCTAAGTCTTCTCTGTCTGTGCTCTATCAGTGGAACAACAAAGCCTGGATGACAGCACATCTGTTCAAACGTAGCACAGTGCACTGAATATTTTAAGCCCACTGTTGAGACCTCCTGCTCAGAAAACAAAATTCCTTTCAAAATATTATTGCTCACTGACAATGCAACTAGTTACTGGGCTCTGATGGAGATGAACGTTGTTTCTATGACTGCTAACACAGCATCCATCCTGTGGCCCCTAGATCAAGGGACAATTGACTTTCAAGTGTTATTATTTAAGAAATACATTTTCTAAGGCTATAGTTGTCACAGAGTGCTTCCTCTAATGAATCTGGGCAAAGTCAACTGAAAACCTTCTGGAAAGGAGCTGTCATTCTAGATGCCATTAAGAACATCAGTGATTTATGAGAGGAGGTCAAAGTATCACCATTAACAGGAGTTTGCAGAAGTTGGTTCCAACCCTCATGGATGACTTGGTTCAAGAAGAGGTCAGTGGAGGAAGATGGACAGATGTGGTGAAAATAGCAAGAGAATTAGAATTAGAAGCAGAGCCTGAAGATGTGACTAAACTGCTGCAATCTCATGATCAAGCTTGAATGGATGAGGAGCTGCTGCTTATGAATGAACAAAGAAAGTGGTTTCTTGAGATGGAATCTGCTCCTGGTGAAAATGCTGTGAACATTGTTGAAAAATGACAGCAAAGTACATCAACTTAGTTGATAAAGCAGTTTGAGGGGTTGAGAGGCTTGGCTCCAAGATAGAAAGAAGTTCTACTGTAGGTAAAATGGTTTTAGAGAGCATTGCATGCTACAGAGAAATCTTTCATGAAAGGAAGAGTCAATCAATGTGGCCAGCTTCATTGCTGTGTTTTTTTTTTTTTGGCGGGGGGGGGGGGGGTGGGGATGGAGTCGTGCTCTGTTGCCCAGGCTGGAGTGCAGTGATGTGATCTCAGCTCACTGCAACCTCCACCTCCCAGGTTCAAGCGATTTTCATGCCTCAGCCTCCCAAGTAGCTGGGATTACAGGTACGTGCCACCATGCCCGGCTAATTTTTGTGTTTGTAGTAGAGACAGGGTTTCACCATGTTGGCCAGGCTGGTCTCGAACTACTGGCCTCAAGTGATCCACTTGCCTCAGCCTCCCAAAGTGCTGGGATTACAGGCTTGAGCCACAGCACCCAGCCCACTGGTGTTTTTAAGAAACTGTCACAGCCACCCCAACCTTCAGCAACCACCACCCTGATCTGTCAGCAGCCATCACCATCAAAGCAAGAACCTCCACCAGCAAAGAGATTACAACTGGCTAAAGGTTCGGGTGATCATTAGCATTTTTAAGCAATAAAGTATTTTTAAAATCAGAACATGTACATTGTTTTTTAAAGACATAATGCTATTGTACACTTGACAGACTATAGCATAGGATAAACATAACTTTTATATGCACTGGGAAACAAAATGCATGGCACTTGCTTTATTGTGATATTGGTTTAATCACAGTGATCTGGAACCAAATGCGTGATATACCCAAGGTTGCTTACTGACAGTGCAACTCTGTATCAAACAAAGCAGATTTCAGAGCAAAGAATATTACTAGCAATAAAGGTCATTTCATAATGATAAAAGCGTCCATTTATATATGAAACAAAAACTGGAATGCAAGAAGGAATAGAGAAATCTGTAATAATAGTCAGAGATGTCAATATTCATCTATCAATAACTGATAGAACAGGAAGACAGAAAATTGGCAAGGATATAAAAGCTTCGCAAACATTATTAAAAATGTCAGCTACTTGACATCGATATAGCACATTCCAGCAGGATACAGGATACACACAGATTTCAAGTACACACACAACATTTACCAAGGCAGTAACATTCTGGATGGACCTTAAAACAAATTTCAAGAAATGTGACCAGATGCAGTGGCTCACGCCTGTAATCCCAGCACTTTGGGAGGCCGAGGCAGGTGGATCACCTGAGATCAGGAGTTCGAGACCAGCCTGGCCAACATGGTGAAACCCCCTCTCTACTAAAAATACAAAAATTAGCCAGGCGTGGTGGCACGTGCCTGTAATCCCAGTTACTCGGGAGGCTGAGGTAGGAGGCAGGAGAATCACTTGAACCTGGAAGGCAGAGGTTGCAGTGAGCTGAGATTGCGCCATGCACTCCAGCCTGGGTGACAGAATGAGACTCCGTCTCCAAAAAAAGTAGAAGGATTTAGACCGTTCCGAGAATGTTCTCTGACAATAATGAAATTAAATGAGAAATTAGTAACAGAACGGCATCTGGAGATTTTCAAAAAATGTGGAAACTAACACACTTCTAAATAACCCATACGTCAAAGAAGAAATCAAAAGGGAGGTTAGTTAAGTCATTTGAACTGAATGAAGATAAAAACAAAATATCAGAATTTGTGGGATGCCACTAGAGCAGAAACTAGGGGGAAACTTATAGCACTGAATGTCCACATTAAAAAAAAGAAGGTCTCAAATCAGAGACTTCAGCTTCGACCTTAAGGAACTAAAGAAGGGCAAATTAGACAAAGTAAGCAGAAGAAAGAAAATAAAGATCAAAGCAACAATGGTGAAAGAAAACAAAAAAGCAGTAGAAATAATAAAACCCAAAGCTGTTTCTAGCCAGACTGACCTGGAATAAAAGAGAAGAGACAAATTATTAACATCAGGAAGAAGAGGGATGATAGCACTACAGATCCTACAGATGTTAAAAGGATAGTAAGAGAAATTATGAACAACTTTATGCCAATACCTTTGAAAACAGATAAAATGGACAAACTTCTGAAGATACAAACTACTAAAGCTCACCACAAAAGAAAAAGACAATGTGAATAACTCTATGTCTATCAAGACACCGATGTGTAGTTAAAACCTCAGGAAGAAAACTTCAAGGTTCAATGGGTTTACCGATGAATTGGATCAACTATTTAAAAAAGAAATAATATCAATTCTACATTAACTCTTTTCTTCCAGTTTGTTTTAATCAAGAATTCTACATGAACTCTTTAAGAAAACTGAAGAGGAGGAATGCTTTCCAACTCACTCTGTGAGACCAACATTACTATGATATACAAATCAGAAGACATTACAAGCCGCACCCCCCCAAAACTATGGAACAACCCTAAGGAATATTTATGCAAAAATTCAAAACAAAACGGTTAGCAATTCACATCCAATAACATATAAAAAAAGATAATGTAGTATGACTAAGTGGGGTTTATCCTAAGAATACAAGGTTGGTTTAACCCTAGAAAATCAAAGTAATTCCACATATTAACAAAGTACAAAAGGAAAACCATATGATCAACTCAATAAATGCAGAAAAAGCATCTGATCAAACCCAACAGGCATTCCTCAAAAAAAAAAAAAAAATCTCAGCAAACTAGGATTAGAAGAGAACTTCCTCAGCCTGAGAAAGGGTATCTATGAATGACGTACAGAGAATACCACACTTAATGGCTGAAGATTGGATGCTTCTCCCTCAGATCTGAAACAGGACAAGGATGTTCACTCTCACTGCTTGTATTCAGCATCATCCTGAAGGTTCCAGCTAGTGAAATAACACAAGAACAAGGAACTTCACAAGCATCCAGTGTGGGCAAGTGGAAGTGCAAGTGTACTTACAGATAATATCATTGTCTAAGGAGAAAATCCCATCAGATATACTAAGAAGCTACTGGAACTAACACATGAGTTTAGCGAAGTTGCAAAATAAAAAGATCAATATACAAATGAATTGTTTTTATATAGTAGCAACAGAAATTAAATGTAAAAACAAAACTCTTTTATAATAATATCAAAATCTAAAATACTTGGGATAAATCTGAAAAAGATGTGAAATACCTATGTTATCAGGAAGGGGTCTCAATCTAGACCCCAAAAGAGGGTTCTTGGATCTCACACAAGAAAGAATTTGAGGTGAGTCCATACAGTGAAGTGAAAGCAAGTTTATTAGGAAAGTAAAGAAACAGAAGAATGGCTACTCCATAGGCAGAGCAGTGACGTGGGCTGCTCGACTAACACTTATACTGTATTTCTTGATTATATGCTAATGAAGGGGTGGATTATTCATGAGTTTTCCGGGAAAGGGGTAGGCAATTCCCAGAACTGAGGGTTCTTCCCCCTTTTAGACCATATAGGGGAAATTCCTGACATTGCCATGGCATTTGTAAGCTGTCATGGCACTGGTGGGAGTGTCGTGTCATATGCTAATGCATTATAATTACAGTATAATGAGCAGTGAGGATGACCAGAGGTCACTTTCTTTTTTCTTTTTTTAAGACGGAGTCTCACTCTGCCGCCCAGGCTGGAGTGCAGTGGCGCAATCTCAGCTCACCACAACCTCCGCCTCCTGGGTTCAAGCAATTCTCCTGCCTCAGCCTCCTGAGTAGCTGGGATTACAGGCATGCACCACCGTGCCCGGCTAATTTTTGTATTTTTAGTAGAGATGGGGTTTTACCATGTTGGTCAGGCTGTTCTTGAACTCCTGATCTCATGATCTGCCTGCCTCAGCCTCCCAAAGTGCTGGGATTACAGGCATGAGCCACCGTGCCTGGCTGACCAGAGGTCATTTTCATGGCTGTCTTGGTTTTGGTGGGTTTGGGGTCAGCTTCTTTACTGCAACCTGTTTTATCAGCCAAGTCTTTGTGACTTGCATCTTGTGCGGACCTCCTATCTCTCATCTTGTGACTACGAACGCCTAACCTTCTGGGAAAGCAGCCCTGTAGGTCTCAGTCTTATTTCACCCAGTCCTTATTCAAAATGGAGTCACTCTGGTTCAAATGCCTCTGATACCCGCACACTGAAAATGAGAACACATTGCTGAGAGAAACTGTTCATAGATTAGAAGTTTCCATATTGTTAAGATGTCAATTATCCCCAAAATGATCTATAGAGTCAGCGTAATTCCAATTAAAATCCTAGCAGGCTGACAAAGATGCAAAAGGCTATTCAGTAAAAAAGAATGATCTTGATGCTGGAGTAACTGGACGTTCATATGCAATAAAAAATGAAAAAGAGTCAATCCAGACCTTGCACCATATAAAAAAAAACTCAAAATGGATCATGAACACAAATGTAAAATTTAGAACTATAAAACTTCTAGAAGAAAAAAAAATGGAGGCAGTCTTTGTGACCTTGGGTTAGGTAAAGATTTCTTAGATACGACAGCAAAAGCACACTCCATAAAATAAAAGACGGGTAAGTTAGACTTAATCAAAATTAGAAATGTCTGCTCTTCAAAAGACATTGTTAAGAGAATGAAAAGACATGTCATATATAAGGAGAGAACACCAGCAATGTACATATTTGATGAAGGATTTGCATCTGGAGTATACAAAGAACTCTCAAAACTCATTAAGGAAACATAGAACCCCATAAATAATTAGCAGAAGATGTGAACAGGCACTTCAGCGAAGACCAGCAAGATGGCACAGGGACAGATGCTCAGTGTCATTCGTCATGAGGAAAATGCAAATTAAAACCGCAATGAGACGCCGTCAGTCACCTCTTAGAAGGACTGAAATTAAAAAGACTGATCATGTCAAGTACTGGTGACCGTGTGCAGAAACTACAAGTCTCCTATACTGCTGATAGGAATGGAAAATGGTGCAGGCACTTTGGAAAACAGCTTGGCAACTTCTTGTAAAGTTAGGCGTACACTGACCACACAATCAAGCAGTTCCGATTTAGCCAAGAGAAAAGAAATAAATGTCCGTGCAAAGCTTGCATGTGAATGTTCACTGTACACTTTATTTGCAACAGCCCCAAGCTGGAAGCCACCGGAATGCCCGTCAACATCTGGATGGATGAAGACATTGTGGTCTATCCGTATGACTGTAAAGGGATAAACTGTTGATACCATAGCAACACGGATAAATCTCAAACTAACTACGCTTAGTAGAAGCAGCCAGATGAGAAAGGCTAGATACTGCGTGATGCCACTTACAGAAACTCTGGAAAACGTGGATGAACCCGTGGTGACAGGAAACACAGAAGGATCAGTGGCTGCCTGGGGTCGGGTTGCAGTGGGAGGGGCAAGGCAGGCTGCACAGGGCCTGGGATCTGGGGGCGAAGGGTCTTGCCTTGATGGCCTCACGGGTGCGTGTATACAGATGGTAGCTCATCAATAACGCAGACTCAGCAAACAGGGAAGCCCTGGCAGGAGGAGGTGGTGGCATCGGGGGCAGGTCCAGCTGTCACAGGCCAGCCTGGTGAAACACGGCAGCGTGCTGCTTCTCCAGACAAAACTGCTCCCTCTTGGGTGTCTAGAGGTGATTCCCGCGTAGCTCTGCCTGGACTGGGAAACATATTCCTAACCCCGTGCAGGGGCTGCAGTCCCTCTACCCGAAACCCACGCCAACACCCACTTCACATTTTGCATTTGAATCTCAGGAGGTTCACGGACCCTCTAACCCAGCGGCACCCGCAGCCCCTGGGATGGAAAAGCATCATAAAAGCAGACAGTGGCGCGTGCTGGGGAGGACGGGGAGAAGCTGGGAGAACAGGCAGCTCCTTACAAAGCTCAAAGTTAAATTACCATGTGACCCTGGCACTTCCGCTTATGGGTGTACACCCAAGAGAAACAAAAATGCATTTCCACACACAAGCTTGTACACGAATGTTCACAGCAGCACTGTGTGTAATAGCCCCAAACGGAAGCAATTCAAATGTTCTATCAACGGATGAACGGATAAACAACCATGGTCTATCCACACACTAGACCGTATGATTCATCAGTAACAAATGGAGCGTCAGCACGTGGTCCAATGTGAGCGAACCGTGAAAACCTTACGCTCAGCGAAAGATGCCAGATGCCAGAGACCACTCGCCGCTGAGCCCATCTCCCTGCAACACTGCAGGTAGCGGAGTCTAGAGACAACACAGACAGCGGCTGCCGACGGCTGGGACTGGGAGAGGATGGCTATGGGGCACGTTTCCTTCCAGGGTGATAAAGGCATTCATTCCAAGATAGACTGTGATGATGGCTGCACGCTCTGTAGATGACATCTCAATCAAGCTGCTTCATGAGAAAGGCCCAGCCACTGACCACGGGGTGAACGTCCTGCCATCCACAGTCCCTGGCCGAGAAGAAGGTATGACTGACAGGTAAGACTACCTAAGGTTCCAGGCACACCCTGGGGCGGGGAGGAGGCTGGGGACAAGGACAGAGTGTGCAAAGACACGCCGGGCTCTGGGAGGTCAGCAGAGAGTCTGGACCCCAGATTTGAGGCAGCCAGGAACTGCCTGCCAGTCCCAGCTCATATGGCCTGAGCTTGGCCAACCGCGGCGGGTCCCACTCGCAGATGGCCAGCTGCCTCCGTGCCCTGGGGCAGGGATGTCCTGTTCCTGCTCTTTAGAGCAACAGGGAGGCCCTCCCTAACAGACTCCTCAGTCATTTAGGTTGGGGGCAAAAGGGGCTGGCCGCAGCTTCGTGTAGGTGGAGCAGGGCTTGGTGGGAGGGCGGGGCTAGGTGGGCTTGCCCGGGGTCGAGGTGGTGGTCACCGTCTAGTCCCCACCCAGGACAGACACTCGGGGTCCCAGGGAGGGCTCTGCCTCCTGCCTGGCAGGAAAGCGTCCTGCCCCCTGCCTGGCAGGAAAGCGTCCTGCCCCCTGCCTGGCAGGAAAGCATCCTGCCCACCCGGTGCCATGGCCTGGGGAGTGCTTGGCTCTCAGGCCAGCTGCCCGCAGGACAAGCTGGGCCTGGGGCGGGGAACCAGCCTGTTCGCTTCCGAGTGGGGCTGACAAACCCCCAGCCTCTTCACAAAGGCTCCAAAAACAGAATGTCGTGGAGAACTGGACGCAGATCCACAGGGCCATAGAGAGCATTTCCGGCTTAGTCAAAGGAGTAACTTTCTAACAGTTTAAACGCGCGAGATGGGATGTGCAGGCTTGGGAGGCAGTGGACCAGATAAAACCATTGGCCAGAAGATACAGAAGGGCTCTAGGCTGCCCAGGCCCTTCAGTTAGAACATCCCCCCCGCCTCCCCCCGGCTCCCAGGGCAATGTCAGAGACCATCTGGATGGAGGATGGGGCTGGTCCTGGCTTCTCACAGCTTGGGAGGTGGGGCAGCTGGGCACCAGGTCAGCAAGCCACAGGTCCACCCACGGCCAGGGCCCAGGCTCCCCGCCTCCCCCCATAACCACCTAGGCATGGAGCACAGACCCTGCCTGGCCATCGGCCCCCCAATCCCTGCTGGAAGACGTGCCCAGGCGGAGCAGGACCCCCGCATTACTGCTGCGCATCCAGCACCTGCAGCGGGGCCCAGCACGGCGGGCATTCCACATGGGCGAGGGCCAGACGAGTGAGCCACACCCCACCCTTTCCTCAACCATCCCCCATGAGGACGACATCAGAGTCATCCCCCAAGCCCAGGTCTGACACTCTCTTTCCCCAACTTTGGCCTGGAGCCCGAGGCCTACCCCTCTGCTCTCCCTGCACGCTGGATGCCCTGGAGCCGGTGAGCGTGAGCAAGTGAGATCCTGAGGCCAGAAACATCTCCCCAACCCAGCCAGACAAACTCTAATTCACCCGTGAGCCCCAGCTCCAGGCCACCTCCTCCAGGCAGCCTTCCTTGACTGCAGTGCGCCCCGGGGTATCTGGGAGACGCCTCTGCACAGTCTTTGAATCGGGCTGTACAAGTATCTGTCCTAGCAGCAGCAGAGCCGCGTCATAAACAGTAAAACAAGCCAGGCGTGGTGGCTCACACCTGTAATCCCAGCACTTTGGGAGGCCAAGGCAGATGGATCACCTGAGCTCAGGAGTTCCAGACCAGCCTGGCCAACATGGCAAAACCCCGTCTCTACTAAAAATACAAAAAAAGCCAGGCATGGTGGCGGGCGCCTGTAATCCCAGCTACTCGGGAGGCTGAGGCAGGAGAATCGCTTGAGCCCGGGAGGCAGAGGTTGCAGTGAGCCAAGATCGCGCCACTGCACTCCAGCCTGGGCAACAGAATGAGACTCCATCTGACAACAAAACAAAACAATAAAACAGCAACAGCAGTTCAGGGCTCCTGCAGTTCAAGGTTTTAGCGGCCTGGGCATGCGGTTTCTCTGCCTACTTGGACCTGAGCAGCCTCCCTCTGCCCAATGTCACTGCACACTCCCTGCATGCCCCAGCCCTGACTCGGGTGAGTGGACCGTGCAGACGGCGAGAGGCCACGCAGGCCAAGCCAGGATAGAGCAAACCCTGGCGGGGCCAGGTGGTCCCCGTGCGTTTGCAGCCTGGATGTGATGCCCAAATCTCTGGGCCAGGCACAGCTCTCCACTGCCGGCGGCTGGTGGGATTAGATGTGACCAAGGCCGCTCCCGGGCCGGCTCTACTCTGTGGGGGGCAGGTGCGGCTCTGGGGGTCCTGTTGGGCCTGAGCACGTCCCGATAACCTGGCTGCTGCCCACTGCCCAAGCGCCAGAGCACACGGCCACCAATGAGAGCTGTGCTTCCCTGGTCCTGGGTTAAAAATATCCCCGTAAGTGACAAGACTTTGAGAATTTCGTCTCTCCAGTCACTCACATGGGGGGCGAGGACAGCTCTTGGCTCCGCGTCTCGCCCGGCTGCATCTGATGCCTCCCTGGGCTGAAGCTGCATCTCATGAAACAGACGAGAAGTCATTCACAGCCCGACAGCACAGGCACAGAAATTTGCTGTTTTATACCAAGTTGAGCGGCCTGTCATCTAGAAGCTTCTGTCCTGACCTCCTCAGCAAAGAGGAAGTCACGGAACCGGCTGCTGAGCCTCCTGACCTCGGCCTGGCCTCTCCTGGCAGCTGTGGGCCCCAGGATGAAAGCGGGCACCACGTCACTCACGAGACAGAAGCTGTCGTTCTCAGAGCCTCCCAGGTGAGTGGCCGGGCGCCTGCCTGAAGCTGGACGAGCCCACAGTGGCTGAGGCCGGTGGGGACCCAAGGGGCCAGTCCGGCCTTCCCGGACCACCAAGGAAGGTGGGCGCTGCTTCCCTCGCGGGGCAGATGGTCTCGGCCGTCACTCTGCTGTCCCCGTCCTGGCTGTGAGCTCAGCCTCAGTGTCCCCACCTGTGAAATGGGGAGACCCCCAATCCTTCTGGGCGGGTGCCTCGCTTCTGCCCTCGCATGAGTCTCCCCTTCCTGAGCTGGGATTCCATCTCTGCTGGGAATGAGGTGCTCCCTGGCTGAGAACCCGGTAGCCAGGCACAATCACGCCGTCACCACCCCAGCCCTCAGCCAGACCCTGCCTGCTCGCCGCGCTCGGCCGCCATCTTCCTGTGGACGCCACTTACCCTCCGGCGTCACCATCCGCTGCAAATTGCCTTGTTTTTCGTCTTTGGCAGGGCTGAAAATTTGATCATGAAAGGGAATTTTCTTTTTTTTTCTTAATTAGTACTTGGTAATATCACCAAGCTGTGAGTTTATGGCTTTGTAGATCTTGTGTGTTTGACACTAACTACTCACAAAGGCTTTTAAAGCTGCATTTCAACTCTGCAACTACCATGCCGGTAATTAAGCCAGAGGAAGCGGCGACAGATTTCACTTTTCACAGACACCCTTCCCACCTGTGCTCCCGCTCCGTGTGGCCGCAGCCCCCGTGGCCCTGTGGAAACCCAGCAGCTCCCTGCGGCTCCGGCCCTGGAGGCCTGAGGTGGCCTTGCCTCCAGGAGCCCGGCCTCAGCCGTCACAGCCGGGCTTGGCCCTGCACTTAGGATCCAAAGGGCAACTCTTGGCAGCTGGAAAGGTTCTCCCAGTCCACAGGCCGCCAGAATCCCTTCCGGCGCATGCCTGCCTGAGCTGCCACAATGCCGCGTGCTCACTGGCCCCCCAGGCCTGTCCCAGGCGAGCTGAGTAACTGCAGCCACCTGAGCCCCGGCGAGGGACAGACAGCTATGCTTCTTCAGGTCCCCGAGGGAGGCCTTCGTCCTTCGTCCATCGCTGGGCCCATCATTTACTGAGTAGCTACTGCCTGCAGCTGCAGAGGCCTCCACCTCCCACTCCTCACCTGGGCCCCTGCAAGGCAGCCGAGGCCCAGGGCACGGTCAGGCTGTGTCCTGGAGGGGAGGGTGGGCAGGGCCTCTGAGTGCTGCACAGCTGCGTCCCACATGTCAGCCCCTCGCCCAGCTGGCCCTCCCTGTGGCTCAGCACACGGGCTGCCTTGCGGCTGGTTCCCGGATGGGGAGGGTACACTGCCTGGAGCTCAGGGGCTGGCTGGGGTGAGTCCGAGGCCGGGCTCCAGCACAGCCTTCAAGTGAGGCCCACAGTGGGGCTGCTGGTACTGAAATGGCATCCTGGCTTCCCAGTAGCACATTCCTTGAGTGTGTCAGTCCCTCTGGGGACCATCTGGAGGACGGGGGCTAGAGAGCAGCCCTGGTCATTCTCCACCAAGACCACACATGAGGCCCCGATGGCACAGTGCCGGGATCCTGTGTAATTAGGGTCTGGGTGCCCTCGTTGCCCTACTCCTCTGAAAGCGAGCCAGGTTCACCTTGAACCCTGCAGAATGATGCTCTTTCTGGCGTCTTTCTCTGTCTTCCTGGGCCTTACAGGTTCTTCGGCAGTAAATCAACTAAACGGTAACACTCTTCCCTCCATCTTCCACATTCAGGCAAAGCTGGCCCCGGGGAGCTCCTGCGCAGACGTCCCTCACGGCCAGGGAGGCCGCAATGAAGGCTGAACCTGGGGAAGGGGCCCAGGTGCGGTGTAGACCTCCTCTGTCATCCAGCCCCTCCTGAGGGGGCTTGATGGGCGTCCACAAGTGGGCAGCTTTTCCGCGCTTCCCCGTGTCTGACTGTGCTGAGGGCCTCCTGAAGTGCAATTGGTTAGTCACGGTTTAGTGTTCTTTACTGCAATGCTATTTTAAGATGCAATTAAAACGTCTCATTGCCAAAGTGCGTGCTTCCTCCTGGGGGCCTCCTTCCTAACACGAAGGAGTCAGAAACCAAGGCCGGGAGGAGACCTGAGCTGAAGACTCACTTCTGGAGTGGGCACACTTTGTCCCAGCTCCGTCTTCCTGGAGCACCCAGGAGAGCCCGCTGCAAGAAGAAGCCCCACGGCAGGCCACGTGGAGGCGAATTCACCTCCTACCCAGACAGCGTGGGCAATGCTGAAACGAGCGTGAGCTCCGAATGATTTTAGTGAGGTTCAAACCTCCCCTCGGCTGTCAGCCTCTGAATCTCTTCCACTTCAGCCACGGCCACTCCATGGCTAGGGGCGGGGAGGGGACACTCAGAAGTTTGGTTTCTTCTGAGGGGCCTGAGCACACACTCAGGATGTGAGTGGGGCCGGGAAGGGCAGCAAGTGGAGCCTATGCAGGAACACTTGTGCAAGGCTGCACGGTTTCACTACCACCAGAAGGCAACTAAAAATCCCCACAACTCCAGGTGTGTCCTGGCTGGTGTCACGGAGCCTCACACACGGCTGAACCGCTTAACTCACATCCAGCCACAGAACGGCCTGCCAGGGGCTCCCCGGGGACCTGACGAGGGTCAACACTTTCCCACGACCCTCTGCCATCCCCGGTGTGCCCTTGGGGAGAAGTGTGGTGGTCCCACAGGCCCCCCTGCCAAAACCTCATGCTTGAGGAAGCACTCCCAGTGGACAGGGAGCCCCAGCTGCTGCTGCTGGACAGGTAGGGGCCCAGGGGCACAAGGGGCCACCTCCAGGCTGGGGGGAGACCTGGGGAGAGACGCCGGTTGGGTGCTCCACTGCAGACCCTGACACGCGAGGTGTGGGACATGGACGGCATTCGAGGTCCCACCCCGCTGAAGGAGCTTGACACGGAGCCCTGCAGGGGGCAGAGGCGGCCCAGGGAGAGGCGCAGGCAGGGGACGCAGCTTGGGACGGGCCTACAGCTGGCCCAGGAAGGTGCTCCCCGAGGCTGCCACGTGCCCAGCACCTCCCCTTGGTGACCATCCCCCCAAAGCTGGGGGGAGTCCAGGGCCCAGCACTCCTTTCTCCAGGCTTCCCCCAGGACATCCTGCTGTGGCTTGGCACAGGCCGGGCACTGACAGAGGGGACCCGTCTGGTTGCATCCGATCCTTCGATGCTCCTGCAGGGGTGGAGGGGCGCGTGGGTACAGTCAGCAGGGCTGTGGCCGTACCGTGCAAGCCACTCCAGCACCTGAGCGTGTCCTCCTCTGCGAGTGGGACAGGAAAGCCTGCCTCGCACAGCTGCTGCCAGGACGGAGACAGTATGCTGCTGGTCAGTGAGTGGGCACAGCCAGGGTCACTGTCCCGCCATCAGAAGGAGGACAGGGGTGCGGGGAGGAGGGGCCTGAGCCCGAGGCTCCTGGACTCACAGTGGGCACAGGGTCTGTGCAGCCAAGGCCCCACCTGGCGGGCGCGGGAGGCAGGCCCTGACTGCAGCGGGGAGAGCAGAGCGAAGGGGTCTCCTCTTCCCTCCTAGCAATGCTGTGTGGCTGATACGCTGACCAGCTACTTGACACCTGGCACAGCCTGCTGGGCTCAGGGTGGGGAGACGCATGATTCCTATCTTGTCTGTAGCTTTCCTGAGGCTGACGCAGGGCCCAGCGCTCCGGAGGGAGACTTGATCACACACAGGCAGTGCACAGAATGTCAATGTGGGAGAGGCCGGCGGCTCTGACCTTGGTGTGTTACAGCCCTTGCCACCTCCCTCCGCTGCCCTGCATGGGGACTCAAACCACAAACAGCAGCTCGGAAACAAGCAGACACGCGTCGGACTCTGGTTCACGGGGAAGAGCGCTGTTTAGGAGATGGACGTGCTCCACGCAGAGACGCGTCGGGCTCTGATTCATGGGGAAGAGCTCTGTTTAGGAGATGGACGTGCTCCACGCAGACACGCGTCCGGCTCTGGTTCACGGGGAAGAGCGCTGTTTAGGAGACGGACGTGCTCCACGCAGACATGCGTCCGGCTCTGGTTCACGGGGAAGAGCGCTGTTTAGGAGACGGACGTGCTCCACGCAGACACGCGTCCCGCTCTGGTTCACGGGGAAGAGCGCTGTTTAGGAGATGGACACGCTCCACGCAGACACGCGTCGGGTTCCGGCTCACGGGGAGGAGCGCGCTGTTTAGGAGATGGACACGCTCCACACCACCTCTGGCGTCCTCTCTGCCCTCAGGCTCTTGGGCATTCAGAGCCAGGAGCTGTTTCTGGGGAGGCAGAGATCCCTCCAAGCCCCAGGAAAGGCCTCCTGCTGCCTCGGGGACAAAGCTGTGTCAGGCTCTTCTCTCCACGCTCCCCAAGGGAGGGGAGGTGCTCAGAAACAGACCAAGAGACTCAGTTGGTGCCAGGATGGTGCCCGTGACCAGGGAGATGTGCACATGCGTTCAGCGTCACTGGGGAAGGGACAGCCACACAGGCAGTCTCAGGCTGTAGCTGAAACCCCAGGCATTTCCCTAAAGCACCAGCGTCCAGAACTGAAGAAGGGACCAGCCCCATCCGGCCCCAGACCACAGTGGGGAACCTTCCAGGGCCAGTCTCCCCCTGCTGCCCTTCCCGCAGGGCCAGGGGCTGGTCAGCAGCACAGGCCGCCCCCGGCGCTGCAGTCCTGGACGTCCATGGCTGACAGCTCCTGGGCCTGGAACACTGCCCTTTCCTCCAGCTCTGCAAAGACACTTGAGGTTCCAGCCAGGACACGGGACATAAAGGGGGTCAGCCCTCACGGACAGTGTTTCCATAGAGGGTTCAGGAGGTTTATAAACACCAGCAGGATGGATGACACCACAGCCACCACAGGAGCCAGCATCCAAGAGACCCCGTGAGATGCCAAGGGTCACTCGTGCCCGAGGTGCCCTCCGGAACCGGAGACTACAGATACCAGGGGATGCTTGGGCCAAGTGTGTCCAGCCACGAAGGTTACTGCCCGGCCCTGGGAGGTCACTGGGACCAGGAGCTGCCCCCACAAGGAATGGGCGGAAGGAAAGGGTGACCGAGTGCCCGGCCCCGTGCCCGTGGCTCAGGAAGACATGCTGTGTTTGCATTTCTGTTGTTCCCAGAGCGAGGGGATGAGAAGCCTGAGGCCGGCCCGTCCCTGCTCCAGACGCCCCCCCACCGCTCCCCCTCATAGGAGCCAAGGAGGAGGAAGTGCTTCATTCTTTGCAAAGAATACTCCGCCTGATGCAATTTGCGTGTGCAAGATGTGTGAAGTGCCTTTTCCATTTCATCAGCACCCGCAGCCTGTATGAAGCTGCTGTTTGCTCTCTGCCAGCTCGTGGGGCTTGAATGGTATCACGGGAGGTTCTTCATCTTGCGGTGGGACGGTCGCCTCCTGCTGATGGCTCCGCGTTTTCATTGACCACATTCATTACAAAGAGACATTTCAAAACATGTTCTGCAGCTGATTTGCTCCTTGGCCCCAAGAATGGAATACAGATAATCTGCTCACATCCATCAGGTATCTTTCTGTGATTTCATTTTGGAAATGATGTTTTAAAGGCCTCTGACTTTCCCGTCTGTCCTGGGAACAAGGAGTTCCTCCCTGGTCCAGGGTGTTTGTTTGAAGGCCACACATCTTTTCCAACTGACGCTTGTCCTTTTCTGTTTAGGAAGCACTGGTTTTCTTTCGGGACACAACCGAACGTGCCAGGACTGCAGGAGCCGCTGGATTACAGAGCAGCAAACCAGGCATGGCAGGCGGTGCTCGCGGAGGTACCACGGGGCGGACCAGGGTGTGCAGCGTTACGTGACTTGGGAAGATGTGGGGGGCCCGATGTATCTACCAGGAGACAGTGGAGACCTCTACCCTTTAGCTGTCCTCTGTCCCACACAACCCAGCCCCCACTGGGCGGCCACTGCAGGGGAAGCTCAGCTGGAAGGTTCCATGGGAGAGACCAGACCAGTCCTGGCACTGTCCAGCAGCTGCCTTCGGCCCATGTTCTGAAACCGGGATGCACACAGCATGGAGATCTCAGCCCTGGGCAGGCCTCGCCCCCTCCAGCAGCTGCCCTCGGCCCATCTCCCAAAGCCTGGACGCATACACTGGGGAGACCTCAGCTCTGGGCAGGCCTGGGTTCCCATCGCTTCGGCGTCCCTGGGCCCGGGACACGGAACACACTTGCTGCGTGCTGTGTACAAGAATGAACGAATCGGCCTGCCTAGCACCCCTTGGCCGGCTCCAGGCCTCCACTTGCTGTGTCAAGTGAGGCTCCCACGTGCTGAGGGGACAGAGGGTCCCTGTGACCTGCAATGCTCCCACTCTCACCCACGCAGCTGCTCACCTACACAGCCGGTTTCTCCAGGGCTAACAGGCCACCCAGATGCAAGCCAGTCTCAGCCCCTGACCACACTGGTTTTCAAATGAACTGTGGACTCTCATGACAGAGAAGCGGCTGGGAGTCCCAGCGTGGGATGTGGTGGGACGGGGCTGGGGTGTGCAGAGACGATGATGGAGGAGCTCCTGGGGGCACACAGACCTAGTGTCGCTCTCAGGGCTGGGTCCGCAGGCCACTCTCCCTCCCTCAACAACACTCACGCCTGCTGCAGCCCCAGGAAGGGTCAGGACTCACAGATGCCAACAAGCAAGCAGCCCGTGCTGGAAGCATCACCACCACCGGCCCCAGCAAAGGCTTCCTGGTGTGTGCGGCTGACCATCGGCCACTCGGGTAGACAGAAGTGTGGGTGGGCTGTGTGCATGCCAGGGCAGACGGACAGCCCGGGGTCTCAGGCCAATGGAAACAGGAAGTTTCCGGCTCCATTTGAATACTGGTGGAAATGCCGGGCCCTCATGCTGAATAGGACACTCCATCCAAGCTTGCCGCCTCCTCGGAGGCTTGGGCCAGTCACCGGGCCCGGCTGTGCTTTCACAGCTGCTTTTCTTATGGGAGAGCAAGATCTCCTGGGATTCAAGACCCTACCAGGAGTAGAAGACAAGGGTCATGGGAAGGCTGTGTGAGCCCTCAAGGGGCACCATGGACCCCGAGCACCAGCGATTTGCGCTCCTGGTTCCGAGAGCCCAGCGCTGAATCCTGGCAGATGGGGAAGCTGAGCTCTGTCTGACCTGCTCTGGAAAACAACTGGTCCAGAGAAGGACGAAGATGTCACTTAATTCTGAGTTGCTGAGGATAAGCCAGGGGCCCTGGAGGTGACTGTGCTGCCCACAGCATCCCAAGGGATGCCACATCCCCACAGGGGCAGCCCAGGTCCCCCAGAGGATTGTGTGCCCCCCACCACCAAGGTCCTTGCCCACTGGTCTGTGCCTCAATAGGACAGCCTCCTTCTCACACTATTTTGAAATATAAAAATAACACTCATCACCCATCACCCAGTCACTCAGAATCACACCAGCGGGGGCACAGAGGCGACGGCATGTAGTTCTCCAGCCTGTTTGTGAGCACGGGTGTACATGTACACACACACACACACACACACACACAAATGCACATGCACGGACACATGCACACACACATACACGTGCACACACAGACATGCACACACACGTACACACATGCACACACACACACGTACGCACATGCGGGGTCAGGGAGCTGATGCTGTGCGAGGCTGTCGAGGGCTTCTTCACTCAGCGGCACTTGGGAAGCGCTGCTCTGTGGGAGGCCCCTCATCCATGTCCTCGTTATTGGCAGCACAAATCTCCAAGTGAGGAGGGGCCATGTTTACCAGCCGTCCTTCCAGCCCACGTCTCCTACGGTTCCTTATTTTCACAGGTACTGTTTTGCAGACACAGAGCCCCCAAGCAGCCCACACGTCTTAGCCGGGTGAAGCTTTGCTTTATGAAGTGCTGCCTGGACCCCTGATGGTCGGCCCTCCCCGTCGAGACAGTGGCAGGCAGGCGGGGGTGCTCAGGGCTGTCTGCAGGGGGCAGCCAGGACCTCACTGAGGTGGCCGACTGGGTCCACGCCCTCCTCAGCCTGCACTGCTGGACAGGCCCCAAGAAGTCGTGCTCGGCGTGGCCCAAGAACGGGAAGCGGCAGCGTCCTGGCGTCCTAGGTGAGACTTCAAGACGGCTCCCTGCTCCCACCTGGGCTAAAGGTGGAACCCCAGGTGTAAAGAGCCCCCTGGGGTACAGGGGAGGCTGGATCAGCAGACGCCGGCTCTGGGAGGGCCCTGAGGGGCTGTGGAGGGAAGGTGACCCCGCAGTGGCAGCGGCAGCGGAAGCAGGACGGCGCGGTGCCCGACACCTGAGGCCACTCTCCCTGGACGGGGGGCGGGCGGCACTGAGAGGCGGCCATAAAAACCGGAGTTTATTTAATAAAACAAGAGCCCACGCGGCAGCAGTTGCCTCCAAGATGAATGACAAGCGCTGGAAGGGCGGCCACCTTCCTCCAAGGAAGAAACAGCCCCGCTTTGATTAGGAAAATATTGGTTAATTTTCCAGTGGAGTGAGTGACCTTAAGGGGAAAAATCTAATTTCCGGAACAGCTCTGTGAGGCGTTTGTTCTCACCACTCTCGTTCGCCTTAATCTGAGTGGTTGTGGGTGAGCGGCGGCCGGGGCAGCGGCTTCCCCTGGACCTGGTGTTCGGTCCTGAACCCCTGGGCAGGCCTCCCCTTCTGGGGCAACAGGACGGAACCGACAGGCGCCCAGTCAGGTCCCGAGGGCCCCTCTGGACCCACGCCTCCAGGCAGCTCCCATCGCTAGACATCCTTTCCCACAAGAGTTCTATCTTACGAGGCGCCCACCCTGCCTCCTAGGAACTCACCCCCTGCCACCTCTGGAGCCACCCAGCTGCCTGGGCCCAGCTCAGCCCCCTGGTACCATGAACAGAAGCTGCTGCTTTACACTGGCTGTGGGGCCCAGGCTTCCTCTAGTGGGTCCAGGTGGGGGTACCCCAAGTTCCTGCAGGGCTCCAGACGGTGGGTCAGGGCCTGGGCAGATGATCTCACTGCCCCGAGCCTGTGCTTGACTCCGGGGAGCTGCACAGGTGACTCGGCAGAGCCGGCCTGGGCCGGAGAAGGCACGGGGCTGGACCCAGGTCCGGGGACCCCCAAAGCCATGGTTGCCCAAGTTCGCAGAGGGGAACAGGCACCCCAGGGCACAGGGCTAGCCCTGTGATCAGGCACCGCACTATCCACCCCTGCATACTGGCCCTGCCCAGCCACTGGTGACAGCAGTGATTGCGACAACAGCAAACACATGTTCACTGCAGGCCAGACCGTGCACAGAGCAGCCTCAGAACTAGGAGCTCCTCCCCTCCTGGGATGGGGAGTGGGGAGGGCACACCGAAACCTGCCTGACCCCGTGTGGGACCCCCATAGGAAGCAGCTTCCGGGCATCAGAGAGCAGGAAGAGACACGAGAAGGGCCTGGCGTCGCGTCCGTGGGTCGAGGACCACAAATGTGTTGCCCTAAGCTTCTGTGACCCTGCGTCCACCGTGGCAGCCCGGCTGGAGCCAACAAGGTGGCAGGGAGGGCAGGAAGTAAGCCCACAGGCCACAAGCGTCTGTGCCAGAATCTATAGGCACTCATGTGGCCCTCCCAGCCCAACTGCTGACTGATGGCGGCAACCCTGTGGGGTGACCCATGCCCAGACCAGAGCGGGCGGCAGGAGCCCGGCCTCGGCCGGCACAGGGTGGAAGGTGGGGGTGACCCACGCCCAGACCAGAGCCGGCAGCAAGAGCTTGGCCTCGGCCGGCACAGGGTTGGGGGCTGATGGCTGAGCCCATGGAGAAGGTGGGGGAGGGTGTCTGCACGTTCGTCCTGGAGATGGGACTCGAGGTCACGGGAAACCCCGACAGGGAGGCCGTGCTGGGACAGCTCAGACCTCGAACGTGCCATCCTCGTGGATGAGAGGCGTCCCCAGCAGTGCCCAGGAAGCCCCTGATGAACTGTGCGTCACCCCAGTGACCAGGGCCAGAGGAATCTGCTCGGGGCCCCGGGACAGCACGGCTAGTCTGAAAACTCGAGGAATGCACGATTCCTGGAAAGTCACCAATCACCAACCAAAACGGTCCCAAGAAGAAGAAAACTAGAATGGAACAGTTAGTGAAGGCGTGGCGAGGAAGACGGCAGGAGGTCCACACAGGGGAAGGTGCTGGGGACACAGCCTTCAGTGCCGGCGACCTCTGCTTTCTCAGGAACAGGCACTTACAGTGTCGCGAAACCTGTTCAGCATCCCAGGCAGGCGCAGAAGGGCCTAACTGATCTGTGACGCCTGCCTGCCAAAGGCCAGGCCTCCTAGGTGCTGCCCAGGGAGCTAGAGTCGCCTGCCTGCCAACAGCTGGTTCGCCTGGCTGCTGCCCGGGAGCTGGAGTGGCAGAAACAATGGGTGGGACCAATGGTGGGAAGAGCTCGGGGAGGCAGGGCCCGGCACGGGTGGGCGGACAGTGTCAGCGGCAACGAGAGGGGCTGGGAACCTTCACTGGTGCCCACGTTGGGGGCAGATGTCACAAGATTGTTCTGGAATCTGTTGGCCTGGGGAGGGGCCCTCCTGAGGCCCGAGACCCAGGGCAGGACCCAGACTTGGGGCAGAGCGGGTCGGGGAGAAGCCCCAGGGAAGAAAGTGCTTCCTGTGGGGACACAGGTTGGGATGGACGTGACCCAGCACTGGGCGAGGATCCTGCTGACCTGGCGAGAGGCACCGTTTGGGCAGTTTCTCAGGGATGACGGCAGCTGGGTTCAGGCCCCCACACCTGCAGCGTAGCACTAGGCTGTGGAGCTCACTGGGTTTCCCGGACTGGGAGGACCTGGCTTGGGGCTGGTGTCTCTGCCACCCTTAGACTCAGAGCCCCAGGAGCTACCACTGCCCCTCCAAGGGTCCCCCTCAATGGACCTTGCACTGGGGGGAGTCCAGGCTCAGGATCCCTGAGGCTGAGATGGGGCAATGCCCCGCTCCCTGGGCGGAGAGGCTGGGGCAGCCAGGCTTCCACCCTGGCCCGACCGCCGCCATCTGAGAGGTCCGGGTGACGTTATGTGATTTAAAAGTTAATTAAACTGAGTGGTATGAAGTATAACAGCCCCAGGTGTTTATTTCCAAAGAGACTTTGGAAGGAAAAGGGGAGAAATCTAATAAAAAGCTTTGCGAGATACTGCATTAGGAAGTAATCATACCGCTAAATCACCCGGTGTCGGCACAGGCCTTGTAATGACTCCGGACTTGCTGTTCCCCTGCCTCCTGAGCCCACCCAGCCAAGACGCCCTGCTGGGACCCTCGGGCTGCCCTCTAAGGCCAGGAGAGCCAACAAATGAGACTCTGAGAGCCGCACGTGCTGAGCCTGGAAGGGGCGCCTCCGAGGACGGGCCGCTGTCCCTGGAGCCCATGTCTGCATCATTTATCCGGGCCTTCACGTGCTCCTCTAGCACGCACCAAGCACTGAGCACATGCCAGCTCACAGCGCAGGGCGGCCGAGGCACCCGCAGGACTCAAGGCTCAGGGTCCTGTCCCAGTGTGGAGTGGGAGCTGATAACGACATGCACCAGGAGACTGGAGCCCGGGAGAGCCAGGGAGAGCCCCGAGGAAGTGCATCTGGGCTGAGACCCCAAGGATGTACAGGAGGTGGGGGCCCTGATGCGGAAGGGACTGCGGATGTCATCTCAGTCCACCACCACCTTCTAACAGCAGCGGCACTGCTGACTGTGGGAACTTGCCACCTCACGGGACTGCCCTCTGTGTCGGGACAGGCCTGGCGAGAAGGCCCCACGCGTGTGGAGCTGACACCTGCCTCCCCTGTGGGTGGCACAGCAACAGCAGGTAGCCCGGTCCCTCTGGAAAGAGCGGAGGTGGAGGGGCCTGGCAGGGAGGACGCACACGGCAGCCCTGCCTTCATTCAACAAACACACGCTCAGCCCGGTCAGGCATCAGACGGCAGTGACAGACAGAAGCAGGTGACAGCAGACGCTTAGCACCAGTGTCCTCCTGGGCACAGAGGACCTTATGCCATGCTTCCTTGCCACTGCCATGCCTGACCCCGCTCCAGCCCCCACCCTGCCTGCCTGACCACAGCAGACTGATCACCAGCTCAGAAACACTGTCCCCGCCGCCCTGCACACCCACACGCCTCCCTCTGCACGGGGGCCCCCTGCCTCTCCCAGGCTGAGCTCAGAAGGACACTGCCTCCTTCCTGTCCCACCCTTCCATCCCCGCCCAATGACAGGAGGCAGCTGGGACTCGCCTGCAAGGGGCCCTGCCTCTGCACCCCCTCCCAACCTACGATTTCACTCCGAGCAGCCTGGGTGGCCGAGCAGGGGAGGACCGGGCAGGCCCCACCTGGCCGTCTGACAGGTGGACTCTCGGCCCTGTTATCAGAAAGTCCTGTCAGGAGCCAGCCAGAAAGGCCATCTTTTGGTCATTTATCAGGCTAATAAATGGCTTCTCCTGCTGCCGCCAGCTCCCGGCGCCATTCTCATGCCGTGCACTGGGAGCTTCACGATTAATATCACTCATTGTGAAGGGTAATTACCAGCTCGATCACGGGCGTCGGGTACATTTATCCACCCCATCCAGGCGTGGCGGAGGCCACATCACTCACGGGGCTGCCCAGCCTCTGCCCCTGGGGCACCTCCACCCCCGCCCCAGGCTCTTTACATTCTCTGAGCCCCAACACTGAGCACCCAGGACAGGCCGCACCCACCATGGCCCCGGTGCCTCGGTGTTGGGTACTGAGCCCGCTGGGGCTGGGAGTGGCTGAGACTGCCCCAGCCCCAGCAGCGAGCGGACGTCCTGGGCCCCGGCAGCTCGTCCCCAACCCCCGCTGTGGGGGAACCTACCCTGTGGAAGCCTGTATTGGTCCACTCGGCCGCTGCAGACTAGGTGGCTCGTAAACAGAGTTCACTTCTCACAGGCCTGGAGGCCACAAGGGCAGGGTAAGGCACAGGCAGACTTGGTGTTTGGTGATGGAGCTTTCTCACTGTCTGTCACACGGGGGAAGGGGCGGGGGGACTCTGGGGTCCCCTCTATAAGGATGTTAATCCCATTCACGAGGGCCCCACCCTACCACCTCAGCACCTCCCGAAGACCCCGCCTCCTCATGCCCCTCACAGTGGGGATTCGGTTTCCACGTGGGAACTGCGGGACACAAACCTCGGTCCCCAGCATCCTGCCCCTGTCCCCACAGAACCCACATCCTTCTCCACCCCAGCAGCCCCAACAGTCTCACCAACCATCAACTCCAAAGTCTCCTCTCAACCTCACTGGCGTCACATACGGGGGAGACAAAGGCAGGACAGGAGGGGACGGACGCTCCCATTTCAAAAGGGGGAAAGGCAAGAGGGAGGGTGCCAGGCCCCAGGCAGGCCAAACCCCGAGGGGCAAGTCCCGTGAGGCCCAGAGGCCTGAGAGCTGCCGCTGTGGCTCCATGCTCCACCTCTCGTCCACTGGGGAGGCCCCGCGCCCACCGCTGGCAGAGCTCCTGGCCTGTGGGAGGCACGTGGGCTGCGGTCCCCTCTGAAGAAGGCATCGGCGGCTGGGAGTTTTCCGAACCACCTTCAGGGTCACCCTTCCTCTGCGGTGAAGAGCCGCGCGTGTTTGCCGGCCGACAGCTCTGTGGTCCTGTCATGTCAAGTCCAAGTCGACAGCCTCCCTCATCCTTCCCGTCTCCCTCCTCTTTGGTTCCAGCTGGCGGTGTCTCTGCCGCAGTGGCAGACGGGGCCTGAGGTCACACCCACACGAGCCTCCCTATCAAACGGTTGCGGGCCACACCCTAGGGTTCTCTCCCTAGGGTTGCTCTCGTTTTCTCCAGCAGCGATGACAGCGACAAGCTGAGCATTCCCCAGGTGCTTAAGTTCCGCTTCCTTCTGCTTGATGCCATCCTAGGCCGCCCCTCTGTGCCCGCATCTGACTATAACAGCGGGAGGAAAGGCTGCACCTCAACGCCTGGCCTGGAAAGAGCTGTGGCCAAATCTCCAGTCTCATCCCTCACACACTCACTTTCCAGAAAACACGGCCCGGGCCCAGCCCAGCCCAGCCCAGCTCCACCCGAGGCGGGTCTCCCCTCACCACCACACACACCCACGGCCTCCTCAGAGCGGCCTTGTCCGTGCCCCCTCCTAAGATTCTGGGAGCATTCCTTGTGCAGGAAGATGGGGGCTCCCTCCACAGTGCTCCTCCCTTCCTCCTGAGCCCTCACCAGCATCACCTTTCATGGCCTGTTCTCGGCAACATCTGCTTTTCACAGGCTCCACCCCAACCCTTCCAGCCTCTCCCACTCCCCAGCTCCAGAGAGGCTTTCGGGGTCTGTTACAGCTGCACCCCACTCTTGGTACCAATGCTCTGTCTCTTTGCGTCCAGCTGCTGGAACCCCACAGACAGGGTGGCTTATGAGCAGCAGACATTGGCTGCTCAGGTTCTGGAGTGGAAGTGGGAACTCAAGGCGCCGGCAGACGTGGTGTCTGCTGAGGGGAGGCACTTCCTCGCGGTGCGCTCACGTGGGGTGCGGTGAGGGAGCTCTCGGCTTCTTCATAAAGTGCTAATCCCAGTCCAAGGGCTGCACTTCCTAATCCCTCATCTTGGGCGTTAGAATTTCAACGTATGGATTTTAGAGGGACACAGACCTTCAGCCTGTGGCAAGGCCCCGCGCCCTCCTGCTTCTGACGCCTCTCCACACGTGCCTCTGAATAGGGACATGGCTGGACCGGGGAGGGGTGTGCCTGTGGGGCCAGCAGGTCGGGTTGGGCGCAGGGAGAAATGAAGGGAAGGAACATCTCGCTTCGGTTCTGGCTGAAGACGTGGGGCCACGCTCTGGGCTCAGCCTGTCCCAGGTGCTCGGGGAAGAACCCGCCAGTCCCCACAGGCCAGCCTCTGTGGGGGCCCCCTGCCTCCAGCGGCCCCTGCCGGGGTTGGGGGATGGGAAGGGGGAACCAGCGCGCGGAGCACCGCCCACCCCCACAGCCCCCGCTGGCCAGCTGTCGGCTAATCTGCTGGCTACGAGCAGGTAATTTCTCATTGGGGCCTGCTCGCTCTCTGCTTATCACCCGCGGCCTGTATCCGCTGCGTGCTGTGTGAGCAGAGATAAGATTCATTAATAAAGAAAAGTTCAGGAGGAGCTGCTCGCGGCTCCTCCACAAACCCAGAAGGGAAGATGGCACAGCCCCGAAGATGGCATAGCCCCGCCGCGCTCCAGACCAGTCCCTGCTTCCTGCCAGCGGCAGGGCCCACGCGCACCCCGCGTGCCTCCACGTTCCACACGTAACCCAACCCTGGAACGTGGTCTCGGGCCACAACGGCTGGAGGGACTCCTGCGGGCCTCTCCCAGGCTCTGTCACCCTGGGGGAGGGAGAGGGAGCCTGGACCTCGCTGCCTGTGTGTCCCCAGGGAGGCCTTCAGACCGAGCTGACCATGAGCTGCCACACAGCAGCTCATCCTGTTTCCTGGACCCCCCAGGAAACCCTGACTGTGCTGGACCCTGCTGGTCACGCCTCCTGCCAACCCTCCAGCAGCACTCGGGTGAGGACGAGGAGCTGCGGGGAGCAGACTGGTGGGGCAGGCAGGACAGTGTCAGGGTCTCCCCCTCGGTGCCCGAGGCTCTGGGAACCTCCAGGACTCCTCACCAACAGCAGCCAGAGCCACGGTTTCTTAGGCAAGAGCCGCGAGCGCGGACCGTACTGGCACCTTCCCGAGGATTTCATCAGCAGCCCCACCAGGAGGCACGGCTGTCCCACGTCTCGGGCGAGGGTGGGTGCGATGACTTTCCACAGCCTCTGACTCAGTGCTCAGGGCCCCTGAAACCCGCCTTTGCTGTGCTCGGGGGGCGGCACAAGGTAGGGCTGCCTGCCGGTGTCCTGGTCATGCCCCGGGAGGCAGCCAGCCACAGCCTGGTCCCTTGCTGGCCCCATGACCCACAGTCAGGCCTCTGCTGTCACATAGGCACTCCTCACAGTCCCCCACCCCGCGTGTGCAGCTGAGTTTTCAGACAGAGGAACAGGACGGTCCCCTCGCTGCCATCTTTTGAGTTTCTGCCCTGCTGCGGCTGGGATGAACGGGGCTCAGGTGAGGGGGCTGGGCCCGAGGATGAGCCCCTGGACCAGGGCTGCCTGGGAAAGGACAAGGAAGGGCTGGGCCAGCTGGACAGGAGGAAGAGGGGCCTTGGAGCAAAAAAGAGGACACAGGAGTGTGGGCAAGGCCAGGGCTCACCAGGGGCCGGGGGACGTCCTGGTCCTGCTACATCTGAGGCCTGCCCGGCTAGGCCAGCACGACGCCCCCTCTGAGGCTCTGATGTCCCAGCCAGTCCTTGTCTTTCTCATCCACTCAGTCCAGGAAGGCAGGTGGTGCCTGGGGACCTCCAGGCTGGGGGCCCAGGGAGGCTCTTGTCCACCCCGGCCCTGCAGAACCTGCAGAGGCAGCCCTTCCTCCCGTCCCCAGGGCCGAGTCCCTTGGCTGTGGCCCACGCTGGCAACCGCTGTCCACAGAGCCCGAACTTTCCTCCCTGCCTGTATTAATTATGACGGAGTAAACAACAGAGTTCTGGAAAATGCACGTTTCCATGTGACTGCTTTTTTTTAATTGGTAGGTCTAACATTTAAAAGCTGCTTTAATTTCTTAGGCTTGCTTTTCCTCAGCACGGGCTCAGGCTGAGAGCAGGGAACTCATCACTGGCGCGCCCGTCGGTGGCAGTGTTGGGAGTCTTGGAGCACAGGCAGAGTCCCCTGCTCGCCACAACCAGGAGATAGCGGTGCTGGGATCTGAGTGGGGACATGGGCTGGCCAGTTGCACCCCAAGGCCGGACCCCAACTCCGTTCCTGGCCCACTCTGGGCATGACAGGGGATGAATGGCTTTTGTTTTTGCCTTGGCTCAGCCTCCACCTGGCTTGGAGATCTCTGAAATCCTTGGTTTCTGAGGCCTCCCTTCCACCCAGGGGCTCTGCGTGTGAGAGGGTGGCGTCCACGGCGTCTCCGGCTCCCATGTGGTGCCCCCACCTCTGCACACCTGAGGGACAGGCGTCCTGGGGTCAGCCCTGAAACTCATTCAGGTCTTGCTGACCCTGTCCCGGCACCAGGACGCCCGCGGTGCCTCCTCCTACCTGGCGGGGCTGCTAGGGTCAGACCCACGCCACAGTGCAGGGCAGACTGGGATAGTGAGAACATGCGCAGGGCACATGGTGGCGAGGACGCATGGGCTACACAGACACGAGGCCCACAGGAAAGCCACAGAGGCCACAGACTAGGCCACCATGGGGTCCCAGGGCAAGGGGCCCCCAGCTGGAAAGTAGGCCCAGCAGGAATGCTTCACGAGCACGGGCAGTCAGAGCCTCTGCCCCTCCTGGCTTCAGGGACAGGGCCTGACCACCTCTGGGAGATCCCAGGTCAGGGCAGGGGGCCCAGGTCATGACTTGCAACCCACCTGGACCACCACGCCTTTCCACTGAGGCTCTGAAAGGCCACCCAGACACAGCTCAGATCTGGGGGGCGTCCCCCGACTCGGCCTGCATGGGAGAGGTGGAGGGATGGAGCAGACCTCCACACCAAACCCCATACGCAGGAGGGCCAGGCACCTGAGAGAGGCCTGCAGAGACGGAGCAGACCTCCACACACAACCCCACACGCAGGAGGGCCAGATGCCTGAGAGAGGCAGTGGGAGATGGCGCCGGGCTTCCCCAGCCTGCCTCCCCCTGGTGTGAAGGAAGAGCCACTTCCCAGAACGCTCAGGCAGACAGCTGGGTGCGCAGCAGCTGTGATGATCAGAACCCTGACCAGGCCACAGTGGCAACGACAGCCTCCTGGGGCTGCAGGTTCACCAGGCGTCTCCATATCGGCCCTTCCAGCTTGCATCTCCCCGTTGATTCCAACTCATTCTGCACAGGGAAGGATCAGGGCAGAGCCACAGGGATATGTGTTTCGGCTACCGTGCAAAGGGCTTTGAAAAGTCAGTGCTGCCCACAGGTGGGGCAGGTGGCTGCGAGGCGGAGCGCATCCCACCTGGAAGCCCCACAAGTGGGATCTGAGTGGCCCCAGGTGCCAGGACTTTATGTTTTTCTCTGGGGACCTTATGGCACCCATGATGGGGACCTTGCCAGCAAGGAGTGGATGCCAGTGGCAGCCCTGCAGAGGAGGGAGGAGACAGGCCCCAGGCACAGCCCCAGCCCCTCAGCTGGTGCTCTCCGTAGACCTGACACCCTGCAGGGCTCCCTCTGTTCCCTAGACGTGACATCCTGCAGGGCGGCCTCTGTTCCCTAGACCTGACATCCTGCAGGGCGGCCTCTGTCTCCCTAGACGTGACATCCAGCGGGGTGGCCTCTGTCTCCCTTAGACATGATACCCGGCGGGGCGGCCTCTGTCTCCCTAGATGTGACATCCGGCGGGGCTGCCTCTGTCTCCCTAGATGTGACATCCTGCGGGGCGGCCTCTGTCTCCCTAGACGTGACATCCTGTGGGGCTGCCTCTGTCTCCCTAGACGTGACATCCTGTGGGGCGGCCTCTGTTCCCTAGACCTGACATCCTGCGGGGCAGCCTCTGTGTCCCTAGACCTGACATCTGGCGGGGCGGCCTCTGTGTCCCTAGACCTGACATCCTGCGGGGCGGCCTCTGTGTCCCTAGACCTGACATCTGGCGGGGCGGCCTCTGTCTCCCTAGATGTGACATCCTGCGGGGCGGCCTCTGTGTCCCTAGACCTGACATCTGGTGGGGCGGCCTCTGTGTCCCTAGACATGACATCCTGCGGGGCGGCCTCTGTTCCCTAGACCTGACATCCTGCGGGGCGGCCTCTGTGTCCCTAGACCTGACATCTGGCGGGGCGGCCTCTGTCTCCCTAGATGTGACATCCTGCGGGGCGGCCTCTGTGTCCCTAGACTTGACATCCTGCGGGGCGGCCTCTGTCTCCCTAGACCTGACATCCTGTGGTGGCCCCTGTCTCCCTAGAGGTGACATCCTGCAGGGCAGCCTCTGTCTCCCTAGGGGTGACATCCTGCAGGGCAGCCTCTGTTTCCCTAAATGTGACAACCTGCAGGGTGGCCTCTGTTTCCTGTCCCTCGTCCCTCACAAAACGCTTTGTTCTTCCCCAGTGAAGGTCTGGAAAACGAAGCTGCCCAGCTCTGCCTGGGGGCTCCCTTGGGTGCCTAACCGAGGGCAGGGGCTACTGGCGACTGCACCCACATGGCTGCCGGCCTCAGGGAATAAGGATCCCCTGGGCATCATCCTGGGCATCACCCCGGGGCCTGACCTCCGCTCACATCTCAGGATTCTCTGAAGTGCTCTCTCTCGGCCTCAGGAAGGGATGCCGTGAGCATCCCGAGCACAAGGGCACTGCACTGAGGACAGCTCAAGGCTGCCCTGGGTCACCCCTGTGCCTTCTGGGCTCTCCGGCAGCTCCAGCTCATGGCAGACAGGCCGGCCGTCAAATCTCCCACCCAGTTCTGGGTCTTGCCTGGAGGGGCTAGTCTATAGGTGGTTGTACCAGCAGCTGCCCCGATGGAGTCCACCTCTGTCCTGGCCCGCCCCTCCCCTCGGAAGCCGTCACTGGGACACCCAGTCTGTACCGCACAAGTCCCAGCACGCAAGCCCAGAGGCGGCCGCTCACCCTGCCCCTGACTGGACAACTGCCTCCATATTCAAACCACAACCACCAAAGACGGGCAGGAGGCTGGTGACCCCCCGGGGCTGAGGCTGGGGCTCGGCCACGGCTAGGCTCTGGGGAGCAGGGCAGGTGCTGGGTCCGGTGGGGGCTGGGCTGAGACCGGGCTGGTCCCCCTCTAGGCAAGGGCCCTGGGCACATGGCTCCACCTGGCTGAAGCTATCCTTTCCCAGTGACAACGGGGCTGAGGTGGGGACTAAAGGCCACAAGGGCCAGGACACGCCTCTAAACAGAAGCGTCACTGCTCCGCCTGCCCCCTGGTTGGAGGGACACTGCTCCGCCTGCCCCCTGGTTGGAGGGACACTGCTCCGCCTGCCCCCTGGTTGGAGGGACACTGCTCCGCCTGCCCCCTGGTTGGAGGGACACTGCTCCGCCTGCCCCCTGGTTGGAGGGACACTGCTCCGCCTGCCCCCTGGTTGGAGGGACACTGCTCCGCCTGCCCCCTGGTTGGAGGGACACTGCTCCGCCTGCCCCCTGGTTGGAGGGACACTGCTCCGCCTGCCCCCTGGTTGGAGGGACACTGCTCCGCCTGCCCCCTGGTTGGAGGGACACTGCTCCGCCTGCCCCCTGGTTGGAGGGACACTGCTCCGCCTGCCCCCTGGTTGGAGGGACACTGCTCCGCCTGCCCCCTGGTTGGAGGGACACTGCTCCGCCTGCCCCCTGGTTGGAGGGACACTGCTCCGCCTGCCCCCTGGTTGGAGGGACACTGCTCCGCCTGCCCCCTGGTTGGAGGGACACTGCTCCGCCTGCCCCCTGGTTGGAGGGACTCCTGGCCCCCCAGCCCAGGAGCTGCTGGGAACGTAGAGGGCTGGGGTGTGCCCTCAGCCTCAGAGCCCCACCGCCATGCAGGGGACGCAGAGTGACTAGAGAAGTGAGTCTCTTGAAGGCCTCCTAGACCTGCAGAGCCTCTGGCATCAGCCATGGCTGGACACCCCCACCCATTTCCTCCACAGAGAAACTCGGGGAGCTGCTCAGGGGTGTCTGGGGCGTCCCCAAGAGCGGCACCCCGCAGCCTCGGTGCTCTGGACTTCGGGAGCCAGGTTACTCCGGGTTGGTCTCCTCAGCACACCGAGCAGCACCCCGGGCCTCTGCCCACCAGAGGCCAACAGCCTGGCCCCAGCTGTGAGGACTGAAATATCTCCAGATGTTGCCACGGGTCCCCTGGGAGGCAGAAGCAGCCACAGTTTGAACTGTGCCCTAGAAGACGGCAAAGCTCCACAGAGGCCTTCCCTCCTCATGTCCCTGTCCTGTGCATGAAGTCTGGTGGGGACCCCAGAGGCAGGGGCTTGAGGATTTGTGCCGGAGAGTCCCGAGACTGCAGCAGGGCCGACCTGGATCCCTCCCTCCCTGCCTTGCCCCTCCCAAGCTGTGTGAGTCTCTCAACCTTTCACAGTGTCAGAATCCTCTGTACAATAAAGTTCATCAGATCCACTCAGGGGGCATTGCTGGAGGCTGAGGGCATCGGCCCTGGCCGGTCCAGCAAGTGGCTGCCATCTAGGTAACGGTCTGCCTACAGGCCTGTTATTTACTTAGTATTTTCTTTAACCCAACTTTCCTTATTAGCTTCAATAGGCCCAGTGAAAAAGGAAGCTTTACATCACTGCTGTAAAATGAAAAAAAACAGTGCTTGCTATAAATAGAGTGACGATGAAAACAAACTCAAAAGAGACAAAACAATTCACCGAAACCCTCATCTACTGGTCTGAGGTGGGCTCTGGGCCCACAGCTACTTGCCGGCCGTAGAAAGGGGCCCGCAGGGTCAGATGTCAGGGTCCCATGGGCACTAGACTGAGTCCGTGTCTTCAGGGGATCAGACAAGTCCCACATGTGTTGGGGAGACCCAGAGCCTCCTCCTCACTGCCTGGTTGCTGATTGTGGGGCCGTCTTGCACAGGCCTGGAGGCTGGGAGGGGACGCTGCACTCCGCACCCTCCATCCAACCCCCCAACCAGAGGAGGGAGCCCCAAGCCCCGCAAGCCAGGTGGCGTCCAGATCTGAGCGCACGAGGAGGCCGCCTCAGCACGGGCTGAAGACCTCACTCCTTCGGCCTCCGAAGACGGGGTTAGCGGAGCCCAGGGCGGGGTGAATGCCGGGTGCGGCTCATCAGGCCCGAGAGGGCAGGGAGGAAGGCCTGGGGCCAGGATCTAGTTAGGCACTGGTGAGGGTCCGCAGAGAGCCTGTTAACAGTCTGGCTGCAGAAAGGCAGCTACCGGCAGGCCCGGGGCCAGCGGCACGGCCGTCACAAGGCCTGGGCGGGGAGACCTCGCGGTCCACTGAGGGCCTCTGTGAGGAGAAAGATGAGACAGCACTTCAGTCCTGGGGAGGGTCTGGAACAAGCCCCCGCACAGCACGGCCTGGCTGAAGGCCCGGGAGCCAGTACTGAGGCTGACCCCTGAGCAGCACTTCAGCCACATCTCACCCCCAGACCCAGGAGGAGACTTGGGCTTGCAGAGACCGTCACCTGCCCACACCCCACGCGCTGGGCTCAGCCTGTGTTCTCAGCTGCCCTGCCCTGCCCCATCTTGCCCCTCCGCTCCCTGGAGCTCCTGGGTGGAGGGTGGCCGGCCTGCAGTCCCGGAACACCGTGGGCTCCCGTGCTCCTGCAGCCCCGTCAGGCACCCGGGGGCCCAAGGATAGAAAGCCCCGAGGAAGGCCAGGCGCGGTGGCTCCTGCCTGTAATCCCAGCACTCTGGCAGGCCGAGCCAGGTGGATCACAAGGTCAGGAGTTCAAGACCAGCCTGGCCAAGATGGTGAAACCCCGTCTCTACTAAAAATACAAAAAATTAGCCAGGCATGGTGGCACGCACCTGTAATCCCAGCTACTCTGGAGGCTGAGGCAGAGAACTGCTTAAAACTACTCTGGAGGAGCAGAGGTTGCAGTGAGCCGAGATCGCGCCACTGCACTCCAGCCTGGGCCCCGAGGAAAGCCGAGGGAGAAACTGGCCAGGATGGGGACGGGGCGGCCCTGCGGAGGAATTCCCGCAGCCCGGTGGGACTTGCAGAGGAACAAAGACCCCGGGCCAGGGTCTCCAGGAGGGTCAGACAGTTGGGGAGCCGCTTTCCTGGCCACTTGTGTTGCTAGCAGAGACACCTGAACACCTGAAGGAGGAGGGGAGGCGGCTGCAGGGCTCATGGCCTGTCTCAGCTCAGCACTGGCTCCCTGCAGGGCAGACCCGGGGCCCCTTTCCTGGACGGGACTCGGGGGAACTTGCCTTTGGCCAGAGCTCCAGGGAACCTGCAGATCAAAGGTCCAGCCCTTCCTTTTGACTGGGGCTCAGGGCTGGATGGGTCATTATCCAAATTGCTTCTGGCTTCTGAACACCCCCCTGCCGGGAGTCTTTAAAGGGTGGATTTGCAAAGTCCCCATGACACAGTTGCTGGGCAATTTGTCAGGACGAGGAAATATTCCTTAGACATCCACACGAGCTGATGCCCAGAACTGCTGCAGCGGTGCCCTTCCCCCATGCGGGGCTGTGGCCTGGACGTCTGTCTCCCGACCTCACGTGGACCCCTGATCCTCGATACTGGAGTGGGGCCTAACCGGAGGTGTTTGGCCGTGAGGGTGGGCCCTCGTGAACAGACTGGCCCCCTCCCTGGGGTGAGGGGGTTCCCACTGTTGGGAGAGCCTGGTGCCCCCCGCCCCCACTCCGCCCCTTTCTCGCTGCGTACTCTCTGCACACAACAGCTCCCCTCGACTTCTGCCAGGAGTGGATGCGGCCTGAGGACCTTGCCAGATGCAAATGTCCAATTTTGAACTCTGCAGCCAGCAGAATCCTGTGTCGAATAAGCCTCCTCATAAACCACGCAGTCTCAGGAGCTCTAGTATAGCCACACTGAAGCACTGAGACACCTACCACGCCCGCAGCTCAAGTCCCCACCTCACGCCCACTGACCACGCTCTCACTTGTCTAGTGACACCCTTCCGGGAGCATCCCTGTCCCCAGTCTGCCCTGTCCAGAGCAGGTGACCAGGCCCATCCTGTCTGGGACTCCCGGAAGGGGGCACATGCGTGAGGCGTGCACAAGCACCCACCCTATGGGATCTGGCCCACAGAGTCAGGGGCCCAAGGCTTCCCACCAAGACCCCAGCTCTCCACAGTGGCTCCTCCTTGGGGAAAGAAGGGCCAGAGAGAAGCTCTTGGGGGTCTGCAAGGCCTGTCTGCCTGTCCCTTGAGTCAAAGCTGACCTTGCCGGGCACAGATGGGGCCCCCAGGCCTGGTGCCAGCCCCGGGGCATCCCAGCCCTGCTGCTGCCCGGCTGTAGCCCTGAGTGCCCACAGCAGAGCTTTCAGAGGTCTCAGGACACCCTGCCCTGCAAGCTTCCCTTCAGTCTCCTCAGAAGAAATTGCTTTAATATTATTTACAAGCGCAGGGCGACGGAGCAGCCAGATGGGAAGATGAGTCTTTTTACGATGCAGGGAGGACTGGAGACCTGAGAAGGGATACTCAATATTAATACCATCACCTCAGTGTGGAATTGAGGCCTCTTGGTAACCAGAGGCTGTTCACACAAGATCCCTTGAGGAATGCCTTCCACAAACTTTGATGTGAACTAATTAAGTTTGCACAGTTAATCAGGACTGGCTGCCTTGGAGACGCAAAGGCACAGACCCAGAGAGCGGCTGCTACGGGATCTACAGCGACTGCTCTCTCTCTCGAATGGCAGCCCCTCCTGCTTGCAGGCCCTGTGCACCGCCTGGGGGCTTCGGGGCTCCACGAGCCAGATGACAGCCTCTAGTGAGCCACTGGGCCCTCGGGGAAGCCCTGGACAAGCCTGCCAGCGTGACAGGCACCATCGGCCCGCAATGGGCCAGGCAGACAGCCGTGATGCGCCCCAGGGGAGGGTGGGGTGGTCCTGGGTCTGGAGAACCATGCTGGTTTTGAAGCAAAACTCTTGGGATAGCCAGGGATGTCCATGTCAGAGACCACGAGTGCCCCCTGACAGACCGTGGGTGGGAGCACAGATGCTCAGCAGGGCTGGTTGGTGGGAGGGGGGCCAGAACGCCCGGGTGCACACTGGGAGCCAGGTGCCTGGGTTGGGAGTATAGGGCCTCAGTACATGCTGGAAGCCAGGTGCCCAGGTTGGTGGTGCAGAGCCCGGGTGCGCTCTGGGAGCCAGGTGCCCAGGTGGGAGGAGATAGACGCCTAGGCCCTTGCGCTGTGGGTCCCGACAGCCTCTGCCCTCCAAGACAAGGGTGGAGCCTTGCAGAGCCTGCTCCTGGAACCCTAACTGGTTCTGTAAAGCTCCCTGTGCCCCCACTGCAGGCTGAGGCCGTAACATGCTCCCAGGAACAAAGGGCTGAAGCAAGAGATGAGAGCGAGCTCCACCCTCCAGACGGTTCCAGTCTCTGGGGCAGAGACACGAGGGTGCACTGTGCTGAGGAGAGGTCTTAAGTGGGGAAGAGGAGGCTCAGGGAGCGCTACAGAGAAGCTGCTGGTGTGAGACGCCACGGGAGGCTGCGGACAGGCAGGCAACGCAGAGGCCATGGCACCTCTTGCCGGCCAGCCCCAGAGCAGTCCTGCTTGGCGGGAGCGTTGGGGGCAGGCAGGGGTGAAGGGCAGGGAACATCGTGAAAACCAACTAGATCTGTTCCACGGGCTGACGGGAGCCCTGAGGGCCTTCAGTGAGGGTGTACCATGACTGGGGAAGCAGCAGGAGGCAGCGACATAGGGCCCGGTGAGGGCCAAGGAGGAGAGATGGGCAGCTCAGCTGCCAGCGCTGGCTGGGCCAGGCTCCTGCAGGCGTCTCACTGTGCTGGCCTGCTCTCCATGCCCACAGCGGTCCTCCTGCAGTAGGGATGGGGAGGTGCAGCTCGGAGGTAGGGGAGGTAGTGGGCAGCACTCACTACAGGGCCCGCTGGGCTCCTGACCGCAGAGTGGGTCACCACAGCAGCACCTGCTGGCCCAGTGGGTGAGGGGCTGAGGTCGGCTGCAGTACTTGGAGATCTAGGGCCAAGCTGGGGCGAAGTGGGAGACAGAGGCAGGCAGAAGCTGGTGAGATGGATGGCACGGTCAGTGCCACAGACATGGGCACCGTAGGCCTCCCCTGGCATCACTGACCACATGCCAGGGACACACATGAAGCTCATGCCCAGCCCAAGCTCCAGAGGCCTTCGGGGCTAATGGAGGAGGGGAATGCCGGGACAAGGAAGTGTGGGACAAGGAAGAGGTGCTGGCTGCCTCCGCAGGACCCCCCCGGAAGATGTAGAGGAGAGAAGCGGGTCCAGCATGGAAGGCGGCACTGCAGCCTGAGCTCCAGGTCTGGATGAGGCGGTGGCAGCAGCTTCCTCTGGGGGCCGCAGGAATTGGGACAGATCTGGCCCTTCTGCTCGCCCAATCTTCTGCAGAGTGCAAAGCGGGCCATGCATCCCACTGCAGGTGTGCAGTGAGTAGGAGCGAGGTGGGCCATGGGGCGCGGAGGCTTCTGCACATCTCAGCAGCACTCTGCCAGATTCTACCGGTGGCTCGGGCCCAATTTCCATTCCAGGAACCTGCGCCTGAGGCCTCCTGCAGGCAGGGAGAAGGGCCACGCTTCCTGGCCTCCGGGGCAGAGCTCCTGCAGGGTGGCTGTAGGGGATGGGAGGGGTGGCACAGGGAGGTGACACAGTCCCTCATTGGAGGGACTGGACGGGCTGAGCACTGGCCCCTGCCATCAGCTCTGGGACAATAATTGGAGCTGAAGTTGTTCCAACGACTTATTAAAAATAAATGGCGATGCATCGGAGGCAGTCCCTGCCCAGATGAGAGCCACATAATTAGAGCAGTGTCTGTGCTCGCTTCTCCCGTCTTCCCTAATACGGGGCGACAACCGTCTCTGAGGGGCCCTCCACATCTGTCCTCTGTGTGGCCAGTGCCCTGCCCTGCCCCACATGGCGCTGAGCAGACGCCAGCAGTAATTCCCCTACTGACCTCTGTAAGCACTGTCCCTGCCGTGCCCGCTCAGAGTGGGCCCTCCTGCACCCTGCCATTCAGCCCAGCGAGGTGCACTGTGGCCCCCCAGACACCAGCACTCCTGACCCCACAGTGGCCCCTGGGGTGGACAATTTGGCCAAGATAACCTTGAGGCAGAACAGGGAGCCAAGCCCCACCTGCTGATAACCGAAATCAGTTAGAACTTTCTGGATTTTTAAGGAATTGGCTCTGAGATTTCAAGTCACTGCCTCCCCAGCTCCTGGGTACTGTGGAGGCAGCGTGGACTTCCATGGCTGCTGCCGCCCAGCACACACCACGCTTCCCGGGCTGCTCCCACGCAGGCCGCGCCTCCCGGGCTGCGTGCTGCTGGAGTGGGGCCCTCCATGTCTGTCCTCCCCAGCGAGGCCTCCCACCCACCCCACCCCACGGATAATTTACACAAAGAAAGTACAGGCTCAGCAGGGGGTGGGGAAGGGAGCTCCTGGAGGTCCCTCCAGGGATGGAGCATCATCCTGGGGTCCTGGGATTAGGCTTGGATTTCTCCAGCGCGTCATGCGATACCCTTGCGGCCTGCCTGGAAGTCAGCACAGCCCATGCCGGGTAGGAGTGACACGCACTGCGTGTTCACAGCCTTAACCAGAGGCGAGAGTTCTCACAGTTGGGGATGCGGCTCAGCACCAAGGGGCCAACAGGACGCAGTGACGACCACCAGGGGAACGCCCAGAAGACCAGCATGTCAGCTAAGGAGCTGAAGGTGTGACCTCCCCACACAGGGGCCCAGCGGTGCAAGCCCTGGCACACCAACCCTCTGCATGGAGAACCTGGCCTCTTCCCCACACGGACGAAGCTGAGCACGGAAGCGCCGCCTCACCGCGCCAGGCAGAAAGCTAGCCCGGCACAGCCCAAACCCTCGCGTGTGTAGGACTCCCCCAAGGCTCTGTGAAAGGCAGGCTCTGGCTCGGCAGGCTGGGGTGGGGCCCGAATGGCACCGACGCAACTGGTCCAGGCCACACGTGGACGGTGAGGCCCGGGACGGGAACATCCGAGCAACGATCCATGCCCAGGCACCATCGCCCGCCCCCATGGCTGCCGGCATGGGGCGGGGTTGGGTCTCAAGGAGAAGGCACACACGCTGCTGTGGGGGCCACAGAGGCCCGGGGGAACGCCAGGGAAGGAGCAGTCAGCCCACGTGGAGAGCACCCCTTGCCTGGGACCCCCTCCCACAGCCTCTCCCAGAGGCCTCTCTGAGTTCCCAGCATCTACCTCGGCGCAGGCTCTTAGCTCTCCCTGAACTCCACCTTATAGGCTCTCAAGGGCAAGAACCAAGTCCAGGTTCCTAAACTCCCCAGGTTTCCTTAAATCCCCAGCCCAGGGTTGGGCACAGCGATGGCCTGCAAGAGCTCAGCCCACGTGCAGCTGGGAGCAGGTGACCTCCCCAGGGCCCTCTTCCCAGCGCCTTTGCTGCCTCCCCTTCTCTCCAACCTCAGTATCACAGGGACCCGGGAAAAAACACTGAAAAACGTGACAAAACGGAACATAACCATGTTCCAGCCTGGCTGTGCCATCCATCTCCAGCTGCCGAAGGGTAATTTAATTAGCCTGCGTCGGTAATGAGCTACGATTGTCAATCAGCACTGTCACACTAGCACGGGTTGAGGGGGCCGAGGACCACAGCCTCATGGAGATCACGTGCGTGGGCTCCATGGAACACATCACGACTGTCCCTGCAGGAGGTGATGCCACACCACACCTAGACTGGGCTCCCGCAAGTGCCTCCATGGGGCAGGCAGGTTCAGGTCCAGCTGCTGACGGAGGACCCAGGCTCGTCCCACAAGGCAGGCTGTGAGCCCAGGAAGCAACGGGGTCCAACAGGCGGCTGGCTGGAGCACTTCATAAGCCAAGGGGTGCCTCGCCCGTGCCTCCCCTGCCCCTGCCGTGCCAACCCGGAGTCCACATTGGTAGGTGAGGTGTGGGAGGCCCAGACACGGCAGAACAAGCCTGACCTTGAACCGAGACAGGGAGAGTGACTGACCCCAGATGCGAGCCGCTGCCCAGAACTGTCGGCAGGAAGGCTGTGCAGGTGGCAGCTCACGATGTGTCACATCCGGCCTAGTTGGTGCCCAACATATGCCTGCCATGCTGAACCCAACATATGCCTGCCACGCTGAACCGACCATAACACCTGCCACGCTGAACCCAACATATGCCTGCCACGCTGAACCGACCGTAACACCTGCCACGCTGAACCTAACATACGCCTGCCACGGTGAACCTACCGTAACACCTGCCATGCTGAACCCAACATACGCTTGCCATGCTGAACCCACCATAACACCTGCCACGCTGAACCCAACATACTCCTGCCACGCTGAACCCACCGTAACACCTGCCACGCTGAACCCAACATATGCCTGCCACGCTGAACCCAACATACACCTGCCACACTGAACCCAACATAAGCCTGCCACGCTGAACCGACCATAACACCTGCCACGCTGAACCCAACATACGCCTGCCACGCTGAACCCACCGTAACACCTGCCACGCTGAACCCAACATATGCCTGCCACGCTGAACCCAACATATGCCTGCCACGCTGAACCCACCGTAACACCTGCCACACTGAACCCAACATACACCTGCCACACTGAACCCACCGTAACACCTGCCACGCTGAACCCAACATATGCCTGCCACGCTGAACCGACCATAACACCTGCCACGCTGAACCCAACATATGCCTGCCACGCTGAACCGACCATAACACCTGCCACGCTGAACCGACCATAACACCTGCCACGCTGAACCTAACATACGCCTGCCACGATGAACCTACCGTAACACCTGCCACGCTGAACCCAACATACGCCTGCCATGCTGAACCCACCGTAACACCTGCCACGCTGAACCCAACATACGCCTGCCATGCCGAACCAACCGTAACACCTGCCACGCTGAACCTAACATACGCCTGCCACGTTGAACCTACCGTAACACCTGCCATGCTGAACCCAACATACACCTGCCACGCTGAACCCACCGTAACACCTGCCACACTGAACCCAACATACGCCTGCCACGCTGAACCGACCATAACACCTGCCGCGCTGAACCCAACATACGCCTGCCATGCTGAACCCACCGTAACACCTGCCACGCTGAACCCAACATACGCCTGCCACGCTGAACCCAACATAAGCCTGCCACGCTGAACCCATTGTAACACCTGCCACACTGAACCCAACATACGCCTGCCACGCTGAACCCACCGTAACACCTGCCACGCTGAACCCAACATATGCCTGCCACGCTGAACCCACCGTAACACCTGCCACGCTGAACCCAACATACGCCTGCCAAGCTGAACCCACCGTAACACCTGCCACGCTGAACCCAACATATGCCTGCCACGCTGAACCCAACCTACGCCTGCCACGCTGAACTGACCATAACACCTGCCACGCCGAACCCAACATATGCCTGCCACGCTGAACCCAACATACGCCTGCCACGCCGAACCCACCGTAACACCTGCCACGCCGAACCCACCATACGCCTGCCACACTGAACCCAACATACGCCTGCCATGCTGAACCCAACATACGCCTGCCACGCTGAACCCAACATAACACCTGCCACGCTGAAGCCAACATACACCTGCCACGCTGAACCCAACATACGCCTGCCACGCTGAACCCAACATACGCCTGCCACTCTGAACTCCTGCACCTGTGATGGCGGTGCAGGCTTCCCCGGAGGGCCAGCAGCTCGGAGCCCCAGAGGAGATGTGGAGGGGACATGGAGGGGACAGGGTCTAGGGTCCCCACACTTGGGGGTGGAGGAGATGAGAAGAGAGGGGGCAGAACTACGGTGGCTCAGAGCCCACAGGACAGAGAAAGCAGAGGGAGGGAGAGACAGGATGAAGACCTCTCATCTCCAGGCTCTGCTGTGTTCCAGCATGACTCCCAGGCGGCAGCTCCTGCTGACAGATACAGGCCCAAACAGCCCAGTCCAGGCCCCAGGCCTTGGGGAGCCTCCTCCACACCCTGCAGGCCATCTGCGCTCCCTCTGTCCCCTGTCCCGCGACAGAGAGGCTGACACCTACCCCGCAGGGCTGCCTGCAGGGTCAGACATGCACACTGTGAGCCCCACGGGGTGCTGCAGGCCTGGGACTCAAACACTCTATAGAGAGGATCGGGGCCACACTGGGGCTGCCGCACCGTTTCCCAGATGACAGGTCATGCCCAGCGGCCTGGCCGATGGCCCTGAGCCCCAGGAAGTGAGGCCCCTGGTCCAGGTGCACCAGGCCTCCCCACAGCACCTGCTCCTGGGTGAGCCCTCACCCTCTGCGCTGCGGCTTCCCCGTCTGTCTCTGCTCCCAGGCCCTGAGCCTCAGGGCAGGCAGCTCCTCCTGTTCATGTCTAGCCCATGTCTGGCATCCAACAGTCGCCTGCGACACCGAACTGGGCTCAGCTGAACGAGAGGCCTTTCTTTCCAGAACAGGATCCAGGCTGAAAATCACCTCCAGGACGCAGCCCAGGGCAGAGGCCGCTCTCTGCTCCCGCCGGCTCACACTCACACGGGCAGGTCTCCAGGGCTGTCCTCCTGGCTGCGGACTCCTGGGCACTGGACCGTGCCTCTCTCATCTGCCCCCAGCACAGGGCCAGACACGGGTGATATGGAGAAACGCTTGCTGAACGAATAAACACAGGAATGAAAAGCCAGCTCCGAGCCTTCTGTGTGCTGAGATCGAACTCCACAGTGAGGATCGTTCTGTTTGGAGAGGACACCGCGATGGACGTCAATAAAACGTCAACGCTTCCAGTCAATTCAAACACCCAGGGTGGGGGGCGCGTCAGAAGGAGAGAAAGCCGGAAACTGTCACGGAGAGAGAGATGGCCGTGATCTTTAATCCAGAAATCCCACTTTGGGGACTTTATCCCCAGGTGAGAAACGGAGAGAAGAAAGGGCCCAGCCCAGCAATGACGCAACGAGTCACACAGGGAAGGGCTGCATGCCGAGCCGTGGAGGAGCGGGGAGGAGCCCCCCGTGGGGCTGGTGGGCCCGGTTCCAATTCTGGTGCAGCCTCTCCTGCCTCAGTGTCCCTTTTCATAAGGGGGGCCTTGACCCCCACCGTAAATGTGTGCAGGGAGCCTGGCTCACAGGCCCCATCCCCGGCTGGGGAGTCCCCTCTGGACCTCACGGGCTGGGGCGCGAGTCCGGGTCCTGTCCTGGGGCCTCAATGGGCTAGAGAGCGCCAGCCCTAAATGGGGTTGTAATTACAGCAAGAGGGTGGGAGCAGGGGCAGGGCTCTGGGAGGAGGTTGGGGAGGCCTCAAGGAAGGTGGCATTTGGGCTGAGTCCTGGAGGATGCGAGGGGCGGTGGGGAGGGGCAGGTGGGGAGCCCTGGTGGAGAGCTAGTAGGAGCACGGCACGGCCGGGGCTGGACAGTGCTGAGGGGTACGGGCAAAGCACCTGGGCTCTCTACGGATGGGGGCCAAGGGGCTCTTCTGGGGCTGGGCAGGGGGCTCTGCGGTGGATGGAGGGGTAGTGGGAGATCCTGGCAGGGGACACACCAGCTGCCCACTGCTGCCTCCCTCACTGTAACCCCCGACCACCATGGGGGAGTGGGCACCCCGGGTGCAGGATGTGCCCTGACAAGGGCCGCAGCTCACCCCTGATGGACACCCCCACCGAAGCCCAAGCTGGCCCTGAAGCCCAGTGGGGAGACGTGTGTTTGGGGAGCAGGCAGGGCTTATCCTGCCTCCAGATGCTGAGGGACTCCTGGCCCTGAAACTGCTCCCCGTGGCTGAACGAGAATGGATGCTGAGCCCATCAAGTCGGCACCAGGGAGGAAGCGTGGAGCACACAGGCCCAGGCTGAGGCCAGAGGGCCTCTTGGAGCACCCCACGCCAGGGTCAGTTCCGGTGGGGAGGCGTGGAACACACACAGGCCCAGGCTGAGGACAGGCGGGCCTCTCTGAGCACCCCATGCTAGGGTCGGTGCTTCTGCCTGGCCACCGGGGATCCCGGGACGGTGTTCCAGGCTCTCCATCTGCACCGGAGTGGGGATGGAAAACGAAGGTCAGGCTGCCCAGCAGACAGTGGCTGGCGCCAGAGGTCAGTGCAGCGAGGCCGTCTCGGTGCACGGCTGGTAAGACCCGGGGTCTCCCACCAGCGCATCAGCTTTGGGGAGGTGACACACACTGGCAGACAACCGTGTCATCGCACGGCCAGGCTGGGCCACAGTGCAGAGGACAGAGGGGGTGACCGTGGCTTGGGATGGTCAGGGAAGCGTCTCAGGAGGAGACGTTGCAGCAGCACCGGGACGGGGGTAAGACGGTGGCCAGGCCGTGACATCGAGGGTAGCACCCGCCGTGGCCAGGGTGAGGCTCTGGTGGAGGAGAGGAGGCGGAGGGCTGACCTTTTGATCTTGATAATCCTATAGCTTTCCGCACAGCTTGTGGCTGAGTGCGGCTTCCTTAAAAAAAAAAATAAAAGCGCTGTTGAGTGGCTCTCACCTATCAGCATTACCCAGAGGCAGGTGGCTCTTCATCGATCGCCTGGTGGGCTTAGGAATTGACCCAGGAGGGAAAAGCAGCTCGCAGCACACCACCTGCTACCTGCTCGATTGGGGCCTTGTGTGGCTCAGCAGGACCCACAGGCCCTCCCGCCTGGGCACTTAGTGTACACGGGGAGGGGTGGGGCTGGAGGGCTCCAGGAGAGAGAGGTTGGGTAGGATGGTAGAGAGGAGGGGCAGGTATAGGGAGGAGGGGAAGGCAGGGAGAGAACACAGAGGCCTCCGGCTCTGCAGCATGGAGACCGGCCACACCCCAGGCCTGGCCATAGGCACCCTGCACCTGTGCCCAGTGAGTGGCCCCCACCCCGGGCCCCGGCTGGGCCTGGGAGCTCCAGGGCAGGCATACTCCGAGCCAAGGGCCTCCTTCCCCTCTGCAGGGCAGGCTGGGCAGGTACAATCAGGACAAGCTCCCTGTGAGACTGGGGACCCAGGCCCAGTCCCAATCCAGGTGAAGGTCCCTTCCTTCTGCCCCAGAGACGACTAACGAGCAGCTCCCCTGGCTGCCCCAGAGCCCCCCACAGGGGCCATGGCTTCTGACCCTTCAGACTCAGCTGTTCCCAGGGGCCCTGCTGCTGCCCTGCCCGCCCCCACGGCTGCACTCAAGCCTGCGCTGTGCACACCGAGGCCAGCTGAGTACCGGATAGGACCTGGGCTGAGGCTGCCCAGCTCACAGGGAAGCAGAAGCCGAGAGACCAAGAAGAAAACATCCCCCAACTGGCTGACAGTCGCCCTCCTCGACCCCAGATGCCACTAAGAACAACGCGAAGTTCTGGCACGCAGGGAGGGAAGTCCGTGTTGACTTGGGGGCGGGTCTGCAGCAGGAAGGCTGGGCACACCCTCCACTGGCTGCTCACTAACTCCCCTGCTGGCAGAACCTTCCGCTGCACAAGCAGAGGAGAAAGGAAGGCGTGGAACACAGCAGGTGGCCCACACGGGCTGGGAGGGGCAGGGAGAGGAAAGGCGGCAAGGTTCCCAGCAAAAGAGAAGACGCCACTCCAGGAACCCCGGGAGGTATAAGGGAACCCTGTTTAGTAACGCTGCATGTGCAACAGATAACAGGTAGTTCACGTGCACAGACGTGTGCGAACATCTATGATGTAACCGAGCGGGGCTGTGCAGAGCAACTGTTACAGGCTGAACTGTGTCCCCCAAATTTAGATACTAACCTAATCCCCATGTGACTGTATTTGGAAATAGGACCTTTAAGGAGGGAAGTTAAGTCTGATGAAGGTCATAAGGGTGGGTCCTGATCCAGCAGGGGCACCAGAGCTCTCCAAGTGCACAGTGGAAAGGTCACACAGGAATACAAGGGGCGGCCGTCCACAAGCCGGGAGGAGAGTCCTCCCCAGGGGCCAACTCCGGTGCCCTTTGATCTCAGATTTCAGCCTCCAGAATTGTGTGAGACACACGTTTGCGGTCTCAGCCCCCCGCCGTGGGGCTCTGTGACGGCAACCCCAGCCAGACCAGCAGAGTGGTGGACACGGCCAGGTCTTATTTTGGTGAACTAGCCCCTTGGCTCCATAGATCTCTGTAACGTACTTATGCGGGAGGATGGTAGCGGCATGGCAGCCCCACCTAGGAAGCAAGGTCTCCACAACCATTGGTCATGTTAAACCAGCTCCTTCTCTGGAGGCTAAGGGCCTCACGTGGTCAACTGCAGCCCAAGGTCCCGAGCCCCCCGTCTGGTCCAACACCAGGTGCTTTGTCTCTCTTCTCCTTCGCACAGGTGGTCACCCTGCCGGACGCTGCCCCTTTCCCCACCGTCCTCACCCACCGAGACCAGGTCCTACCACAATAAAAGGACTCTGGTTAGGGCTTTATGGAGTCACCAGCCCTTCAGAGACACATGCTACAATACTTGAATGATTGCAGCTAAATTAATTACGATACCTTGGATTTGCTTCAGAATAATCCAGGAAGGGGGAAGAGGGTGGGATGGGCTCACAGGGACTTCTCGATGCTGTTTTCCATATTTTTATATATATGCTTAAAACTTTCCATGGCAAAAAGTGAAAATAAACACAAACAGAAACCAAACCAAAAGCTAAAAGATGACAACTCATCCTAACCAGGCCAGGGTAACCTCCTCTCAAAACCTAGGCTCTGGAAGGACATCTTGCTCCTACCCCCAGAAGGTGATGTCCTTGGCCCCAGAGCCCCTGCCAGGGCTGCCCGGTCTTTACCCCTCTGCTCAAGGCCACACGCACAGGATGTCAACAGTATTTGTAGAATTAGCGAGGCAGCATGGGAAGGTGCGGTTCCATCTCCAGGCCCCCCGCCCTGGTCCTCCTCCCACTACTGCCAGAAGCAGTAAATATGTGAATACAGTTCACGTATTTAAATAGGTGAATACACTTCAACAAGCATTTTTGAATCATTTTAATTTAGAAGATAATGTACTCTCTAAAGTGAAAAAATAATTTCACAAAAAAATTTTGTGTAAAAATTACATAAAAAGAAAAAATGGAAAAATACTTTTAAAATGCTCTATGTTAACTAGTAAGATTATTTGAAAACAGACTGACATAGAGCTGGGGTCATCAAACTCCAACCCATGGGCCAATTCTGGCCCACCGCCCGCTTTTGTAATAAAGTTTTACTGGCACACATTTGAGCTCATTATGTAACAGTTCCTTCTGTGCTACAACAGCAGAGGTGTGACACAGACAGTATGGCTCCCAAAGCCTAAAATATTTGATACCTGTTTCTTTACAGGAAAGGTTTACTGACCCTTGCCCTAGAGCAATAACTAAACCAAAACAGAAGAAAACCAAAGAGGTATAATTAATAAGCCAATGTTGGAGAAAACATGGAATACCAAAAAACAGCCCAAAAGAGGCAAGAAAAATGAAAAAAAGAATATACGAGACAAAAAGAAAACAAATGACAAGATGGCAGATTTAAACTCAATGTCATAAAAATTATATTAAATATAAATGGCATAGATTATCAGTCTGAATAAAAAAAGCAAGATTCAATTAGATGTTATCTTCAAAAAATCCATTAAAAATATACAGACACAGGTAGATTAAAAGATTAGAAATATAGATAGGTATATATAAATATTAAAATTGTAAGAAAGCAGGAGTGGCTATATTAATATTACTCAAGTCAGACTTCAGAACAAGAATATTTAAGAGATGAAGACAGACATTGCATAATTATAATTACAATTGCAAGTGATCAAGAAGATATAACAATCTTAACTGCGTATGTACCCCAAAATAGGGATTAAAAATATAGGAAGCAAAACCTGACAGATCTGAAAGGAGAGAGATAAAAAAATCGATAAAACTTAGAGTGATGACGAAAAAAGAGATGATATGTATTGCCAAAATCAGAAATGGAAGAAGGGATGGCACTACAGATGCTATGGGTAATACAAGGATAATAATGAATTATTATGAATGATTTTATGCCAATAAATTTGACAGTATACACAAAATAAGCAAAAACTCAAGAAGATACAAATGACCAAAACTGACTCAAAAAACATCTGAGTAGTTCTATATCTATTAAATTAAATGCATAATTTAAAAAGCTTCCCACAGAGAAAATGCCAAGCCCAGATGACCTCACTAGTGAATTCTATCAGATATTTAGGGAAGAAATATCTCACACAAATTCTTCCAGAAAAAAGAGGAGGAGGGAACCCTTCCCAATTCATTTTTGAGGCTAGCATCATCCTGATACCAAGGCAAACAAACACATTACAAGAAAAACTAAACCACAGATGAATATTGCACAAGATCATAGATGCAAAAATTCTCACTAAAAATTAGGAAATTGAATCTATCAATTGTATAAAAAGGGACCCAGTGCGGTTTATCCTAGGAATGCAAGTTAGGTTTAACATTAAAAAAAATCAACCAGTATTACTTACAATATCAACAGAATAATTAAGTTCATATGAACATCTCAATAGATGTAAAAAAAAAAACTGACAAAATTCGACTCTTAGCAAGTAGAACAGAAGGGAACTTTCTCAGCCTGATAAATGGTATCTATGAAAAACTCATATTTAACAGCATACTAATGTCAAAATACTGGATGCTTTCTCGCTAGCATCAGAAACAAGGTAAAAATGTCCCCCCCCCCCCATTCTTATTCAGCACTGTACTGAAATTCCTAGCCAGTACTGAAGGGCAAGATAAGGAAATATAAGGCATAAAAGTTGAAAAGGAAGACATAAAACTCTAACTTTATGCACACGATACAATTGTCTATGTTGAAAATCCTGAAGAAACTACAAAAACTTTCTAGAACTAATAAGTAAATTCAGCAAGGTTACAGAATACGAGACCAATATATAAAAGTCAATTATTTCTATATATTAGGAATGAAACATTGGAAAATAAAAATTTTAAAGCACATTTACAAAAGCATGAAAACATGAACTAGTTAAAGCTAAGTATTTTAAAAATACACATAACCTGCATGTTGGAAAATAAAAAACATTGCTGGGAGAAGGTAAAGACCTATATAAATACAGAAATATACCATTTTCATGGATTGGAACACAATATTGTTAGAATGTCAGTTCTTCCCGGCCGGGTGCAGTGGCTCATGCCTGTATTACAGGCAGGTGGATTGCCTGAAGTCAGGAGTTCGAGACCAGCCTGGTCAACATGGTAAAACCCCATCTCTACTAAAAATAAAAACTTAGCCGGGTGTGGTGGCAGGCGCCTGTAATCCTAGCTACTCAGGAGGCTGAGGCAGGAGAATCGCTTGAACCTGGCAGGCAGAGGTTGCAGTGAGCCGAGATCACTCCATGGCACTCCAGCCTGAGTGACAAGAGTGAGACTTCATCTCCAAAAAAAAAAAAAAAAAGAATGTCAGTTCTTCCCAAATTGATCTACAGATTGAATGTAATCCAAATCAAAGTCCCAGCAGGCTTTTTTCTAGAAATTGACAGGCGGATTCCAAAATTTATGTGGATCTAGAATAGCTATAATTTTGAAAAAGAACAAAATTGGAGGACTTATGTTACTTGACTTTGAGACTTACTATAAAGCTGCAGTATTCAGGATAGCAGCACAAGGTCACCTGAATGGAACACAGAGTTCAGAAACAGAACCACACATATGGCAAACTGATTTTCTTTTGAGACGGAGTCTCACTCTGTCGCCCAAGCTGGAGTGCAGTGGCGCGATCTCGGCTCACTGCAAGCTCCTCCTCCCGGGTTCACGCCATTCTCCTGCCTCAGACTCCCCAGTAGCTGGGACTACAGGCACCTGCCACCACACCTGGCTAATTTTTCGTATTTTTAGCAGAGACGGGATTTCACTCTGTTAGCCAGGATGGTCTCAATCTCCTGACCTGGTGATCCGCCCACCTCGACCTCCCAAAGTGCTGGGATTACAGGTGTGAGCCACTTCGCCTGGCCGGCAAACTGATTTTCAACAAAAGTACCAAGGTAATTCAATCAGGAAAGGATATTCCTTTAAACAAGAGTTGCTGGAATAGGCCAACTAGGACTCGCCACAACTCCTACAGGAGTGACAGGTGAGAACCGGACACACCTTCCGTATCCTCACAGTGTTCCTAATCAGCACCCCTCAAACCTGGGCTGATGACATCCATGTTTCCTGGGAGCCTGCCAACACCCGGGTTCCTGGATCCTACCTGTGGTGACCCAGGCTGGGCAGATGGGGCCACAGACAGCTTTGGGAAGCCCTGCACCAGGTCATGATGTCTCTGCAGGGCCCCCAGAAACTGAGGCTGTCCTGGTTAGAGGAGCTGGGGAGCTGCTAGGACCTCCCTGCAGAGCCCAAACTTGAGGAAAGCTGGAGCCTCAGAAGGAAGGGAGGCCACTCGACACAGTGATGACAAAGGGCCATGGCCAGGCTGCCCCAAAGTCCTCCCCTCCTTGAGCCTCCTGGCCTTTCCCCGCTCACTACAAACTGACTTCCTGCAGTCACAGTGGGCCCTCAATTTGGCAAACAGTGTAGTTCTTGAACCTGCGTGCGTCCCATCTCAGGGGCCCCACACCAAACCCCAGAAGGATGCTCACATACAATCTTCACTGCCATTTCCAAAGCAAGAGGAAGTACGGTGTGGTCAGCAGAAAGCACCCGGCCCCTGAGGGCAGGCAAGCTGTAGGGCGTCCCAGTCACTCACAGGACCCTGTGGAGGCAGGGATCTCACTGCTGATGGGGAGCCTGGGATCCAGAAAAGAGATGGAACTGAGAGACGGTGAGCTGGGAACAGCCCCATCTTCCCCGCTGCTCCCTGCCCAGGCCACTGCAGCCCCATGGTTCAGCTTAGGAGTGGAGCCTGGAGCCTGGAGGGGAAGTCTGGGCTGCAGAGCTGAGCTGACAGAGGGCTCTCTAGGCAGGATGCCTGGTTCTTTGCTCAGACCCTGTCCATCTGCAGAACCTTAGGTGAACCAGGGCCCCGGTGTGCTGATCTTCATAAGATGGAGACAGGAACTGCTCCATTACATACCTGGGGTTTCATTAAGATTATGAGCCATGACAAAGTCCTCCCAGCTCTGCAGTCTCAGAATTACACGAGATGAGCCAAGTCTCATTCCCGGAAGTCTTACATGGCTGAAATAGATGCAAAACAACTCAAATATGGGTTTAAATGGTCACGCATTTGAATTAACCCATTTATGCCTAGTGTTCCATTATTGGAACACTAAGCTTGTGGGAGTTATTTATATCCTGGTGTTCAAGGTCATCGCCAAGGTCTGATTTTTCACAAAAAAATTTGCAACCTCCAGCATAAATGGGTTAATAATTTATCCAATTAATTAATTTTATCCAAACTAATAATCAATCTACGAGGACCCTAATCTAAAGAAGTAGCCAGAGAAAGATCTGTGTGGACAGATGATTGCTGAGATGCTTTGTTACACAGCGAAAGATAAATCAACAGGTGAGTAAATAAAAAGAGGAGCTGGCTAAATGTCCTACAACAAGGAAATATTTTAAGTAAATTATGGCACAACTGCGAAATAGCACATTATGCAACCATTAAACACCATCATCGAGGAAATATTTAATTGAGCGTAAAATGCTCACGATATAGTGTCGAAGGGACAGAGCAGGAAACAAAACGATCTGTCACAGACCCGACTTCACCAGGAAACAGACATGAAGATGTGGGGAGGCAGAGGTGGTGGGAAGGCAGCAGACACGACCCGAGGCCCATGGTGCCCCCTCACTCCAGGTGACGGGTGATGAGCCACTGGCATCTTCTCCTACATACTTCATTAAGCCATGAGGAATTCTCTATGCGGATATGAGGAACGCTGTGATTTTGGTCAGCAGTCCTGTGTGGCTGGTGCCACGGTAGAAGGGTGATCTGAGCCACAGGCTTGCCCGTGTCCTTGGGCCCCACAGCTGGCGACCTCCCCCACACCCTCTCTAAGGGACCGAGAATCACTCTGAGCCTCCGCCTGCTTGAACCTGGCGGTGGGCAGACACCGTTCACCATGCACATCCACCAGGAAGGTCTGTGGCTGGGGCCAGGGCACGAGATGAGGAGGGGCAGCCTTGGGAGGGCAAAGCTCACCTTACTGCAAGTACCCCACCCTGGGCTGGATGCCCACACCCCGGGGTGCCTCGGGAGGCGAGTGTGCCGGGCAGAGGGCACCTGGGAGATGTTAGCACACGCGAACATAGTGCTTGGACATCCTGAACCACAGCTGAAGCAACAAGATGGGACGTGAAGTCAGCATGCGTTGAAAGCAACTCCACTCTCAATTCAGGGGACCCAGAGAGGCAAATTCAAATTAAGCTGTCTGTGTAGACCTCATTGCTCCAGCGGGAGATGGGAAGGCTTCAGAAGAGACTGTGAATGGCCTTGCCTGCCTGTCAGGGAGGGAGGGAAGGGGTGAGGGGCGCGCGGGCCGTGTTTGACGTTGCTCTGGCTGGAGTCTCCCAGGGACTGCTGGGGTGGCCTTGTCAGTTAACTACTTCCTATCAGCAACACCCGTGGCCACAGGGTCCTGCTCACCTCCTTTCCTCAGCCAGGCCTGGAGCGTGAGCACCTCTGAGGATGCCACACACCTGCACAGGGAGCAAGAAGGCTGCTGGGTGGGCATGACATGGGCTCCAGCCACTGCCCTGCCACAGGCCCGCTGCATGGCCCCTCGCCCCCCTTCCCACCGCTGGGGTCCACACCCAGGCCTGCCCTCCATCACCAGGGCGGCCGTGACTCTGATCCTGGGTCGGTGCTGAGGTGAGAAGGCACTGGCAGTTTTGCTCCTTTAGAAATGTAGAGAACTGAAGTCTTGAGAAACACCAAACCCTGCACCACAAACGGCCCCAGGAACCAGCTCTTTAACACCAAACCTGGTGTCACAAACGACTCCAGGAACCAGCTCCTTATCACCAAACCTCGTGCCACAAACGGCCCCAGGAACCAGCTCTTTAACACCAAACCTGGTGTCACAAACGACTCCAGGAACCAGCTCCTTATTACCAAACCTCGTGCCACAAATGGCCCCAGGAACCAGCTCTTTAACAGCAAACCTGGTGTCACAAACAATTCCAGGAACCAGCTCCTTATCACCAAACCTCGTGTCACAAACGACTCCAGGAACCAGTTCCTTAACAACAAACCTTGTGCCACAAACGGCCCCAGGAACCCAAACTACCAAACTGTGAATCACAAATGTCCACCCCTTCCCCCACCATGAGCTCCTTAACACCCGAATCCTAATTCACAAATGACCCCTGGTATGTAGGAGCTCCTTAACACCAAACTGTGACTCACAAACGGCCCCGGGGATGAGCTCCCTTTCCAGAGGCAGCAGTCTCTTCTGAATGCCTGGGGCCATGAGTCATGGGGAGGGCTGCCCATGCCCGCAGGATGCCCATTTCCATGGGAATCAGCCCAGCTCCCCACTGGCTGCTGCCTGAAGGCCAAGCTCCAGTGTCCCGGAGACCCTCGCTGACTTCAGCTTCAGCACCAGGGGACGGACAACTCCCTGACCTCTCATGTCTCCAACCTCCTCAGGCACAATCCACACAAAACACTTCTGCCCTGTCCAGGGCGGCAAAGAGGGTACCGTGGCTGGGGTCGCGGGGTCCAAAGCCTGATTTCACGGAGGCCGAGGCAGAGGGTGCAGGTCCAGGCTCAGAGGGCAGTCTGTGTGCCCCAGGCCGTATTAAAAGGAAGGCACCATGTGTCTCTATTACCCAGACAGCTTCAAACCAGATGCCAACTCCCAGCTCCGAGTTCCAGGACTCGACCGGAGCAGGAGCCTCGAGCGAAGCTGACTCTGACCTGCAGACCCTGACACACGGTCAGGCCAGGGAGCCTCCTGGATACCCGGGCCAGGGGAATCGCGTGCAGCTGAAGGAAGCCTGGAGGAGGAACCGCAGGCCCCGCGCTGCACAGTGCAGAGCCAGCTGGGGACTCCCCAGCATCTGACCGCTCCATCCTCACAACCACGCCAGAGCGAGCAGCTCATTCGAGAGAGCATGTGGCCAACAGGAGGCAGCACTGGGACCGCAAGCCAGAGTTGGCGGCTGGGCCAGTCTCCACTTGGGGCAGGGCCAGTGGCCAGGAGGGACGCAGCCGAGGCATGCACGGTGTTTGGTGGCACAGCCCTGCTCGCAGCTGCCCTGGCTGAAGAGACGTGGCCACCCACCCTCACACCTGGGCGCCCAAGAGCATGCCCCTGGCCACCCACCCATGGATCTCTGGCCATCCACCAGTGCACCCCTAGCCACCGACCCACATGTCCGGGCAGCCACCAGCTCCCCTGCCTCTGGCTTGGGAAGCCTGAGGTGAGCCCTGGACTCCTGCAGCCTCAGCGCCTCTGGCTGAGTTCCAGGCCTCAATGCTCTTGAGGAGCAACGTTGGGTCAGGGGCCTAGCCGGGATTCCCCACCACATGGAGGCCCTGAGGCCGTCCTGCTGACCTTCCCTCAGCCCAAACTCCCATTGCATCTTCCTGCCTCTCAGCCCAATCACTGCCGAACTTTATTTCTGTTCCAAAATGTCACCAGGTCTAAGAGACGACCGAGAGTGGCCTGGTGAGACAGCCCGAGAGGGGCTGGGCAGCAGGGGAGTTGTCTGAGTGGGCGGAGGAGAACCCCTGGTCCCACATGGGAAGACTGTGTGGAGCGGACCACGCCTGCGCCCTGAGGCCCCCAGCCCAGGCCTCCTGTCTGCTGTCCCACAGGTCAGAGCCCTGGGGGCAGCCTGAGCCACAGCAGGGAGGCCACAGCGCCCTCAGACGCAGGCGGGGCAGGCCGTGGGGCAAGGGGGCAGAGGGCATTCTGCAGCTTGGGGCAGCTGCTCTGGGGACACAGTGTGGTGGTGCGCACCCCTCACGTCGCCCTCCGGGAATAGGCAAAGTTCATCTCAGCTTTAGAATCGGGGATCACTGTGCATGAAGTTACCCGTGTTGGTCAAAACCCATACATGTGAATGGTGAGCACACTTCTCCAACAACCTAAGTACTTAGTCATCACCACTGGACCCAAGGCGGGGACCCAGGAGCAGAGGCCCTGTGGTAGAGTCATAGCAGGACAGGGGAAGAGAAAGGACCTCGCTGCTCCAGCCTCAGAGATGGCTCCGGGCTCCTGCATGGACGCCCCCACACACAGACACTACTTTCAAGGAACTGGTCTCAGGAACCACTCCCTGCCCAGAGCTCCACGAAGGGCTGCCTCTCACATGCCCTCTGCCCACACCACAGCGTCCCTCTCGCGGGTCCTTTGTTCTCGGTCTATCCCCAAAAACCCTGTGTCCCAGCTCTGCCTAGAGAAAGATGGAGAGGGCTTAACGAGGGCTTTGAAGCTCAAACTCACAGCAGTGAGCACCAGGCAGAGGCCAGTGCACTCAGACAGGAGAGAAGTCCAGGGGGCTGGGCTGCGGGTGTGTGTGGGCCACAGGGGTGCGGTCGGAAGGGCAGATTTCAGGCGAATGTGTGACACGTGGAGCTGTCCCACGGTGGGCCGCTGTAGCTCCTGCTTCCTGAGTGGCCCTGCAGGGTACGGGCTCCCAAATGTCCGGCCTTCAACCCCCCAGTTCCGTCCACCTCTGGCTAAGAGCTGTTGCCATGACAACCCCAAGGTGCCCACTCACCTGGCCCCGTGGCTCTGACTGCTGCCCCGTGGAGCAGAGGCAGATCCCCGAGGGCTCGGCAGCCCGGCGCCCAGAGCCTCTCCCTGTCTCGGCCCTTCCAGTCCTGTCTCTCTCCCTCCAGCCTGGCCCCTAGGCCGGGTGGGCCCACTCCTCAGGAAAGGAATGAGGAAAATGGAGCAGGGCAGGCAGACACCCCAGCAGGGACCCCTGCCCGGCATCTCTGGCCCCAGCCCTGGGGGCCACACGCCTGGCTTCCCATTCTATGCCCCCAGCAGCAGCTCTGCCTCCTCTCCTCCACCAGGTCCTACTGCCTCCACCCCACGACCGCCCCACCTGGGCCCTCACCAGCCCTCGTCCGCGTATCAGGGCAGCCTCATCCCAGCAACCTGCAGAGACCCGTGGGCATGTTTACCTTCTCGTCAGCCCAGCAGCACTGTGAGGGCCAGGTTCACTTCTGGGCACCTGGCGGCAAGCTCTGGGCCTGGAATGGCACAGGGCTAGTCACTGTCTAAGGGGCTTGTCCTCTGGGGGTAAGTACCCCTCCAAGAGCCTGGAGTCCTGAGTCCTGATCTGTGCAAGATCAGTGCACGGGAGATGGTGGGCTGGCAGATATGCCCACTTATTCACAAGCCTGCTTCAGAAGGAAAGAACAGGGCAGCTACCAAGGTCATGTCTACACCCGTTGGCAGCAAAGCGGATGCTTCATCTGAGAGTGATAAATCCTGTGCAAATCTCAGCCTGTGTCAACACGCCCCAGCTAGACAGCAGGTCCTCGATTCATGAGTCGACACCTCTGCATGGGCTCGGTGACAAGAATGGGCGGCTGAGTGGGAGAGCACGGTGGCACGGGCGGGAGAGGGCCCACCTGGGGCTCGCACACCACACTGTGTCTGCAAACAGGCGTGTGGGCGTGTGCAGGTTCTCTGCTCTCAACACTTCCAGGACAGCAGGGGTCAGCAGGACCCTGGGCCAGCCTGGCAGGAAGGAAGGCCTGAGCCTGGGCCTGTGATCTGGGTGACCCTGGGCAGGCCCTGCTCTGCTGGTGCCAGCTGTGGCCAGGCACATGGCACTGTGTGCAGACAGGCAGAGACCTGCTGCAGGGCTGGGGCAGCAGGTGAGGAGTGAGCACAGGTCTGTGGCCCTAGCCCTGCACCCTTCCTGGCCCAGGCCAGCAGCTCCCTGGGGACAGTTGGGGTGTGCAGCCGGACTCCAGAAGGTGGTGCCGCAAGCTGCTTCTCTCACACAGTCCTGCCCCGCAGGTTCCTGGTGAGAAGGCTTCAGGGCTGTCAGTGACCGCATGGCAGCGGCAGGGAGAACAGGAAGAAGACTCCACATCTCTTTTTCTAACATGGCGCTTTGCATACCATGGGCCTTCACAGCCCTTGAAACACTCACTCAGGCTAGGGGGGCTCCGGCTGGGCCCATGCTGCCTGACTTGCTTTCCCTGCCTCCTCTGGATCCAGATCACAGAAGCAGGTGCCACATGGGACGCCTGGGAGAGACAGAGGCCAACTGTGAGCATGTGTGTGTGAGCATGTGTATGTGGGGGTGGCTGTGCATGTGTGGGCATGTGTGCATGCATGTGTGTATGTGGCTGCCTGTGTGTGGGCATGTGTGTGCATGCATGCGCATGCGTGGCTGCCTGTGTACGTGTGAGCATGCATGTGTGTGGGTGGCTGTGCATGCGTGTACATGCATGTATGTGGCTGCCTGTGCATGTGTGTGTGTGCATGCGTGCATGTGGCTGCCTCTGTGTGTGCGTGCACATGTGCATGCATGTGGCTGCCCGTGTGGGTGCATGTGTGCATGTATGTGGCTGCCTGTGCGTGTGTGTCTGCATGTGGCTGCCTGTGCATGTGTGCAAGCATGCGTGTATGTGGCTGCCTGTGTGTGTGACCATGCATGCGTGTATGTGGCTGCCTGTGCATGGGCATGTGTGTGCATGCATGCATGTGGGTGCCTGTGCATGTGTGTGTGAGCATGAATGCATGTGGGTGGCTGTGCATGCATAGGCATGTGTGTGCATACATGCATGTATGTGGCTTCCTGTGCATGTGTCCATGTGTGCATGTGGCTGCCTGTGTGTGTGCATGTGTGCATGTATGTGGCTGCCTGTGTGTGTGTGCATGTGTGCATGTATGTGGCGTCCTGTGCGTGTGTGTGTGCACGTGTGTGTGCAAGCATGCGTGTGTGTGGCTGCCTGTGCATGTGTGTGCATGCATGGCTGCGGCTGCCTGTGCACGTGTGTGTATGCACATGTGTATGTGGCTGCCTATGCATGTGTGTGTGCATGCATGTGTGTATATGGCTGCCTGTACGTGTGTGTGCATGCGTGAGACTGAGCATGTGTGTGTGAGCCTTCATCCGTGTGGGTGGCTGTGCATGCATGAGCATGCATGTTCATGGGGCTGCCTGTGCCTGTGTGTGAGCATTGTGTGCATGTGGCTGCCTGTGCATGTGTGTGCATGTGTGCAGCTGCCTGTGCGTGTGTGCATGCATGTATGTGGCTGCCTGTGCATGTGTGTGCATGCATGCATGTATGTGGCTGCCTATGCATCTGTATGCATGGGTGCAGCTGCCTGTGCATGTGTGTGCATGCATGCGTCTATGTGACTGCCTATGTGTGTGTGTGCATGCGTGCGGCTGCCTGTGCATGTGTGTGCATGCATGCGTGTATGTGGCTGCCTATGCGTGTGTGTGCATGCGTGTGGCTGCCTGTGCATGTGAGCATGCATGTGGCTGCCTGTACATGTGTGTGCACGCATGTATGTGGCTGCCTGTTCATGTGTGCATGCATGTATGTGGCTGCCTGTTCGTGTGTGTGCATGCGTGTGTGGTTGCCTGTGCGTGTGTGTGAGCATGCATGCATGTGGCTGTACATGTGAGCATGCATGCGTGCATGTGGCTGCCTATGCATGTGTGAGCATGCATGCGTGCATGTGGATGCCTGTGTGTGCGCGCATGTGTGTATGTGGCTGTCTGTGCATGTGTCCATGCGTGTGTGTCGTGTGTGGCTGCCCGTGCATGTGGGTGGCTGTGCATGGGTGGGCATGTGTGAGCATGCATGTGTGTGTGTGGTTTCATGTGTGTGTCAGCATGCATGCATGTGGGTGGCTGTGCATGCGTGGGCATGTATTTGTGTCCATGTGTCAGTGGGAGCGTGCATGATGCCAGTGCGAGGGCAGGGCCTAGGACACGAGAGGTCGACCTGCTCCTCCCGCAATCACCCTGCAGTTCTCACTGATGAGCCATGAAAGCTTCCATGATGCACTCACTGACCTGCAGATCCTCGTGGCCTGATGTCGGCAGACAGTGGCAGGGATCCACTCAGCGCAATGTGGCAGGCATACGGGGTCCCCAACGTGCCTGGCACTTGCATACATACTGGCCAAGGTCACTGTCACCACGACCCTTGGGCAGATGCGATGATCCTGGCCCACATAAAGGAAGACAAGGCTTGAGGAGGTGAAGCCATGTGTCCAGGTCCCGGGGCTGGCAGAGGCAAGCGACATCCACACCAAGGCAGTTCTGGCCCGGGTCCAGTCCCTCCCACCACCCGACGGGGGCTGACTAGCAGTGACACCGCCAAAGACCACCTCCATTCAGCAAACACTCGGGCAAGGCCTCAGATGCTGAGGAGGCTGGGGGATGGCGTGGCTGGTGTGCCCAGAAAAGGTGGCATCCTCACGGGCACTCTTGCCATTTCCCTGGCCTCTGTACTGCTAGGGTCCCTCAGGAGGACCCCAGCAGCTCTGGACCCTAGGCCAGGCCCAGCCCAGGGGCTCCACAGCAGCCCAGCTGCACATCCTGAGGCTTGTCGGGGCCAGGCCTGCACCGGTGGTTCTGAAAATGCTCTCCCCAAGTGGAGCTGCCCCTGCACCATCTCCTATGTTCCCTGCAACGCAGAGAGATGCTTCACGGAGGCAACAGGCTCAGCCATGCGGCCTCCGTAGGCTCACCCAGCCAGGCTCTTGGAGTTACACGCTTCTTTCCCCTGGGCTGACTCATGCAGGACCTGGGCCACGTCCCCTCTGCAGGCCGGATGCTGCTGTCAGCTGAGCCTGCCATGTTTGTGGCTTGGCCCTTCCTCACCTTCTAAGCAAGCATGGTGGCTCCAGACCCAGCTAATTCCTTCCCCTCACCCCACCCAGGCAGAGGCCCAGCCACCCATGAGACTCCAAAGCTCAGAGCTGGGGGGCCTGCTGCCACAGCTCGTCAGGGGCCACAGCAACAGCTGGGCTCTGGGCCCCAGGCTGGTGGTGCCCTGAAGGCTGCCCACCCACAGGGCTGTGAAGGCAGCTGGGAGGTGGAGCTGCCTCCACTCTCAAGACACACAGGACCTGGGCCTTCCTGGCCCCTCTCTATGGCAAGAATGGGGAATCATCTCCTGGGAGGGGCATGTATCCGTGGGAGGGTCTCACTCCTGGACCACACGCTCTGTCTGGTGTGGGTATGGTGGGCTCGGATCCCCGGGAGGGTCTCACCCCAGGACCACGTGTTCTGGTGTGGGTACTGTTGGTACGTCCCTGACAAGTCTCATATTGAAATGGGATCCCCAATGTTGGAAGTGTGGCCTATGGGGAGGAGGTGTCTGCGTCATGGGGTCACAGGCCTCACCCACAGCCTGGTACTGCCTTTGAGGGAATTAGTGAGGTCTCTCTCTGTTTCCATGAGAGCTGGTTGTTAGAAGGAGCCTGGCACCCCACCCCTTTGGCCTCCTGCCATGTGATCTCTGCCCAAGTGGGCGGTTCCTCTTCATCTCCCGCCATGAGTGGACGCAGCCTGAGACCCTCACCAGGTGCACACGTGCCCACTTTTGAACTTAGCAGCCACCAGAATTGTGAGCCAAATACACTCCTTTTTCTCTAGAAACCACCCAGTCTCAGATATTCCTTTATAGCAACATAACAGGCAAAGACACCAGGCAAGCCCATCCTGCCAGTTTCCACGGAGGCCCAGGCTGTGCCGGCCACTACAGGTATGTCGGGGAGAGGAGGAGGGAGCCCCGAAACCAAGGCCACCTGTGCTGTTTTATCAGCTCTCCATCGCTCAGCACCTGAGAAGGGGTGCTCACGGGCCCCACTTTGTCCTTGGGGAGCTGAGGCCAGAAGTCATTTCCCAGGGCCAACCTGCTGTGGTAGAGGAGTCTGGACCCTGTCTGACGCCCATGTTCTCATTTTTCCTGGGGAGGTGCACAGCCTTCCTGTCTGGGATTTCCACAGTCCATGCAACAGTGAGAATGCGGGACCCCAGCAAGATCAGACAGACGCCAGCAGCGGGCTCTGTGCGGGACCTCGGCGGGATCAGACAGACGCCAGAAAGCGGGCTCTGCGCCACCTCCCCTTCCCCTGCTGAGGTCCGGCAGGGGCAGCAAGGATGGGCAGAGGGGAAAAAAGGGTGCACAGAAGCGACACCCCGGGCCAGCACAAGGACGAGGGGTGCGGGGCTATTTCTTCTTCCCAGGAAGGCTGCTATACAAAAACATTTTTCTATAGCTGTAGGATGTGCTTGTGCTTTAAGCTAAGTGTTATACAAAACAAATTTTAATAGGCTGGGTGCGGTGGCTCACGCCTGTAATCCCAGCACTTTAGGAGGCCGAGGAGGGAGGATCACCAGGTCAGGAGATTGAGACCATCCTGGCCAACATGGTGAAACCCCGTCTCTACTAAAAGTACAAAAAAATTAGCTGGGTGTGGTGGCGCACCCCTGTAATGCCAGGTACTCAGGAGGCTGAGGGAGGAGAATCGCTTGAACCAGGGAGGCAGAGGTTGCAGTGAGCCGAAATCGCGCCACTGCACTCCAGCCTGGTGACAGAACAAGACTCTGTCTCAAATAAATAAATAAAATTAAAAAGTTTATAAACTCAAAAAGTTACAACAAACTTTATTCTTATTATTATTAGAGATGGGATCTCACTCTGTCACCCAGGCTAGAGTGCGGTGGCGCGATCATAGTTTTCACCGCAGCCTCTAACTCCTGGGGCTCAAGTAATTCTCCCGCCTCAGCCTCTGGAGTAGCTGGGACGATAAGCAGGCGCCACCACGCCTGGCTAAGTTTTAAATATTTTGTAGACACAGGGTCTTGCTATGTTGCCAAGGCTGGTTTTGAACTCCTGGGCTCAAGCGATCCCCCCACTTCAGCCTCCCCAAATGTTAGGATTATAGGCACAGGCCACTGTGCCCAGCCATTCATTTATTATTGAAGAAAAGAACAGTATTTTTAATAGTTGAGTGTAGCCTAAGTGGTACGGCATTTATAGTCTCCAGTTGTGCACACTCATGTCCTAGGCCTTCACACTCACTCACCCTCATTCACCAGCTCGCCCAGAGCACCCGCCAGCCCTGCGAGCTCCGTTCACGGTGAGCACCCTACGCAGGTGCACCGTCTTCCACCCTTCATACATCATGTTTATGGCACCTTTTCCATATTTAAACACGTACAGACACGCAGATGCTTAGCACTGCGCCACGGTGGTCTACTGCATTCAGCACAGTCACGCACTGCACACTTTTGCAGCTTGGCAGCAGCCGGCTAAACCATGCGGCCCAAGGGTGCGGGAGGCTGCACGGCCCAGGCTCGTACAAGTCATTCTAGGAAGTTCCCGCAAAGACAACACTGCCCACCAGCACGTTCCTCAGCATGCATCCCTGTCATCTGGCAAAGCGAGACCGTACTAGACTTACACATATACACACAGGTGAGTGCTGAGTATCCCTTATTGGAAACGCTTGGGACCAAGTGTCTGGGATTTCCAGATTTTCAGGTTGTCAGAATATCTGTATTACGTGCTTACTGGTTGAGTAAGCATCTCATGCAAATATTCATCCCTAATCTGAAAATCTGGTATCGGAAACGCTCCATTAAGCATTTCCTTTGAGTGACAGACCCACAATAAAAAAAGCTGTGGATTTTGGAACATTCCCGACTTCAGGTTTTCGAATCGGGGAGGCTGGACCTGTATACCTTTCCCCCTCATCCATATGACAAACCCGGTAGGTCGACATCGCCACATGTTTGTGCAGTTCCGGAATCTGTGCCGTCCACGCCTCTGGCCCTGACGCCCACCCTGCAGGCCTCTGAGCCGGGGAAGGCCCTGGACAGCAAGGAATGAGGAGCCTGCTGGAACCAGTGTGTCTCCCAGATCCCAGAAGCTCACGGTTTTGCCCCAAACTGCATTTGCTCTGTGTCCCCGGCCTGGTCACTCCACTTCTTCTTACCACTGATTTTCTCCCTCTCGTAACAGAAGGCTTCCTTCCCTGGGTTTTGAGAAGAGGGGAAAAGGGAGGTGGGGAAAATTCCGTGAGAACCACTGGGAGGAGTGCAGCCGGGATGGAGAGACCAGGAGCTGAGCCTCCCCGCTCCAGGCCCAGGCAGAGTATGGCCTTCCCAGGAAGCTCTAGGGACTCTGGAATCTCTATCCCCTCTCAGGAGGGAGAGGAGCAGAGGCAGCAGGTTCCCGCTGGGAAGAGCTGGAGCTGAGATTTGCCTGCCTTTCCCCCAAACGGCAGCCCAGGCAGCCAGCTCCCTCCACCCACGCGGCAACAAGAGGTTTGGTCCCGGCTGGGATGGGAAGTCCTGGCTGGGATGGGAAGTCCTGGCTGGGATGGGAAGCAGAGTGGCGGGGGACTGTGCGGCAAACCCTCAATTATCCCAGCACACATCTGTGGAACCCGCTTGACTGGAAACGGCTTCGGCTATTTCTAACTCTGTCTGCAGCCCCCTTTCTGCCTGAAGAATCATTTGGGGGAAAATCTGATAAAATAAATGACATGGCCAGGAGGCTGGGGTTTGGCGAGATCTTTCAGGAGCACGGGAGCCACGTATGCCAGCCCCCAGGTGGAGTGGGTGGGGCAGGGGGCCTGTCTCCCTGCTCTCCCTGCCCTCCCACACTGGCCTCTGCCCTCCGTGGCCCTATCTCAGGAGGGTAGCTCAGGGAAGACCCTCCTGGGCACACCTAGTGATGCTCAGCCCCCTGAGGATGCCTTTCTGAAGCCAGGAGGCCAGGGTCAGGGCCCCCAGGGAGCACCCAGACCACATTCCTCATGACAGATGGGGAAACTGAGTCTCACAGGAGTGCAGTGGCCTGGCCAAGGCTGCACACCAGGGTCAGGAGCTGCCCGGGACAAGGTGACTCCACAGTGTCTCTTATCTCTCCTCTGGACAGTGGAGACCAGGGCCACCGCTGCATGGCCCCAAGGAGTCAGTGACCATCTGCAGGCAGAGGTGCCAACATGAGCCCTGGCCCTACAGGTTGGCTGTTGTCTGTTCACTGTTTGTCTCTTCCCTTTTGCTCCACTGAAACCTGTTTTTCTGTCTGTCTGGCAGAGCCCTAGACTGCCCTCTCCATAAGCCAGGCCCTGAGCTGGGGGCGTGGAGCTGCTGCGAACAGTACAAGTGCCTCTCCTGTCACCAAGCTTGGTGTCCTGGATACAAAGGAGGCAGGAATGACAGGTGGATGGGGCAGGACTGATGCTGATCTCCTGGTCAGAGCTCCTGCCAGAAGACTTGGCAGCTCTAGCGCTGTCTTCTTGGAACCCAAGGGGGAGGATTTCTCAGGAGGCCAACGGCCTCACCCAGTGAAGGGCAGCTCGGAGGAGGACTTGGGAAGAGTCGGCTTACAGGGAGCCTTTGAAAGCTCCCTAAATGTTGCAGGCCCTCCAGAAGGTCTGCAGGGACCAGGACACACAGGGCCGGCAGAGCTAGTCACAGCTCTGGGAGAAGCACGGGTGCACCGTGGGCTGGAGCTGAACCAGCCAACAGGGATCCCGGTGCAACATGACCCCTCCCCAGCTCCACAGGTGGCACTTATGAGACTTGCCTCTTGCAGCCTCCGAAGTGAGCCACAGTTACTTCTACTCCACAGGTGAGGAGACTGAAACTTGGGGAGGTGAGGCTGCATGCCCAGTGTCAGCCCTCATGAACATGCTCTAAAGGCCCATATCCAGCAGGCGATCCCTCCACATCAACCAGATGGGGCGCAGGAAGGTCTGGGAGGCCCCAGCCCTCCAAAGAGGGGAGGGGGCGAGCGGGGTGCTAGGCACAGCTGCTAGCAGGGCACATCAGCTGGGCAGGACAGAGTCTGGAGGAGGAGTGGGAGAGGGAGGAGGAAGAGCAGGAGTAGAGGGTGGGGGTTGGGTGAGGCTGGGGGAAAGAGGCTGTGAAAAGAAGCCTAGGGAGAAATGGAGCAAGAAGCATCTTTAAGAACCAGGCACCCAGCAGTGGGGGAGAAACACAGGAGGGGCACACTTAGGCCCCCTGGGGACCCTCAAGGGACAACGAACCCAACAGGATAAAACCTCCGGCAGACTCGCCTGTCAGGAAAAACACAAGGTGGCACGTGTCCTAGGAGGGAAGCCAGCGGAAGAAGGGTCCCACATCTGGGGAACCCAGGAGGGCTTCCTGGAGAAGGTGTCTACAAGCGAGCTGGGCCCAGGTGAAGAGGATGGAGCAGGTGGGCCTTGATGCTGGGGTTCCAGGGAAAACCGCAGACACAAGTTGGCAGCTTCTTCCTGCGGGGACTTCACTGCTCAGAAATGAAACCGATGGACCAAGGTGGGGTCTTGGCAACCATGATGGATGTGCCAGGAACATGGCCCCACTTACTCCTGTGGGTCAGACGTAACTGTACCTGCTTTACAGATGAGGCAGAGGCCCAGCCAGCACCCCCCTGGCAACAGCTGCACTTGGGCACCAGCCCACAAGCTCACCTAGAGTCAGCCCCCTGCCTGGGTTGCCCAGAGCTCCCCATGCCAGGCCCACCCCGCAGCTCTCAGCCCCGCCTGCAAACATCAACTTGTAAAGCCCTTCCATACTTTACTTAATCTCCCTGATCCTGTGAGCTTCAAGCATGAAAACACAGTGCATGTCACACATGGGGAAAGTGGGTAAGCTAAAAGCAACCTCGTTCCCTGACACTGTCCACCTGAGCCAGCCCCCGGAACACGGCCCAGAGCAGGCATGGTGGGTGGCCGGAAGGGTGGGGAGCGGGGCCTCTGCGGGCACCAGGCCTTGCTGGTGGAGCACTGGGCCAGTGGACCGTCTGTCCTTCCGGAGGCGGCTGCCTCAGCTCCATGGCTTCTGACCCAGCACATCCAGCCCTCAGGACCTGCAAAGTCACATTCACACGGGCCTTGGGCCAGGACAGGCCGTGGTCCAGAAGGTCAGGTCAGGCCAGGCCTGCCACTGGAAAGAAGGGACAGCAAGGGCTGGAGGATGGGCAGTGAGGGGGCGGCCTGGGGAGGCGCCAAGGCTCCAGATCACAAGAGTCTAGGAAGGCGGGCAGGATGCCTGGCAAGAGCTGCGGGGCCCAGGCCAGACCCCTGCAGGAACCACGGCTCCTCAGGGCGAGCCCGGCCTCCCGTACGCTGTGTGTCCTTTAGGCCTGGGGCGAGCAGGGCTGGGGAGCTGGCCAGCTCCTGGGCTCTCTGTCCGCCTGCCTCCTCCTCCTGGGGCCCCCTTCCTGCCTCTCCCTGACCTCAGGAGCCTGGGGGCTGAGAGGGCTCCAAGGCGGAAAGGAGGGCAGGGGTTCCTGCCCAGGCCATGGGGGCTGAAAGTCCGGCCACTGGCAAGCTGAGGCCAGCCCAAGCCTTCTGGTCTCAACATCCTGCCATGGCTGGGATCCTGGGCGGGCGGATGAGGGCCGGGGGAGCTGAGATGCTGGCTCGAGCAGGAAGAGCGGCAGGGCCCATGCTCGAGGGTATGACGGGGATGGACCTGGTGTCCAGCAAACCTGAGGACATTGGGCAGGGCTGCGCTTCAGAAGCCCATGCAGGGCTTACAGTGGTCAAGATGCTACTTGCTGACGGTGTTTTTAAAAAGTGACACAGGAGCACACACAATGGAACCCCAGGATCCCGAGTTCCCAGGTGTAAATGAACATGCCTAGGCATGTGCCTACGTATGAAACACCGAAAGGAAACACGGCGAAGCAGGACAGCGGCCACCTTTCGCGGGAAGATGACGAGTGGCTTGCTTCCCTCTTTTGGATTTTCGACACTCTCAACAGAAAACACTGTGGAGGGTGCCCCAAGGTTCCGCTGCAGTTAGTCTTCCTAAGATTCGCTTCAACTACAGCACACGCAGGGATCCGGGGAAAACGCTGCCTCTTAATTTGTAAATGTTGATGTAACGAGTGATATGTTAAGTGATAACTGTTCATGGTACACCTTTATTAATACCTAATCATTTTAGAAACCTATGGAATTCGTATAATGCATTAAACACCTCTGTGAATTATTCAAAGTATACAGAATTATACAAAAGCGAAGAAGTACATTTCTGATAGCTTAAAGACTTGGTGTGTTTTTATTATTCAAAGGTTTGAGAGTTTCAAGAGTGTAGAAATGGATGACTGTGATCTGAGAAGCAGGAAATCCACAAGGAACGCAGAGCAAGCCCGGCACGGTGCCCCCGTGCAGCGCAGGCTGTGAAGACGGGCGGGTTGTGCAGAAGGAGGAGGAAGAGCCGGGCTAAGGCTGAATCAGACAGGCAGCGGCTCACCGCTGTGAGACGCTGACGGACATGCGTAGGCCGCACTGGGTACAGCTTTTATACAAATCAAAGTTGGTTCTCGGTTCCATAAAGACACGCAGAGGCTGCAGACTGCAGGCAGTTTAGACGCCCGTTCCAGACCACAGCAGTCCCAGGTGGGGCCCGTCTCTGCCTGTCCTCATCTCCCACAGCCACCGCCCCCTCCACCCTTCCTGAAGCAGCCACATGCCAAGACGGGGCCACGAGGTCATGCCGGGGCCACAATGCCACACCAGGCCGACGGCACCATCCTCACAAACCGGAGGTTAGCTCACCGGGGCAGTGATGAACAAGCCCCTGTTGCCCTGGGTCTCCAGCTGCTGGAGGTCCAAGTGGGGCCACCTCCACCCTGAGGGTCAACACATAACACCCCAATTTCTGCTGTTGGACCCCGCTCGCCCGAGGACTCTTCATGTCCACAACGGTGGACCCAGTCTGGCTTCACCAGCAAACCAGAAGAGCGCCTGCTGGCTCGCAGGACGCGAGTGTAGAGATGCGGCTGGCTCTCCTTTCCTCTTCTAGTCTGTCTACCTTGCCCTGTGCTGGCTTCTGGGACTGCGCTGTCCCACTGCGCAGCCTGGCATCTTGGAAGGCGTCCCCTGCCCCGGCCCCACACGGACTTCAGTCCTCCCCAGGCACCACTGCCTCTGGACACACTGACACACACGCCTACGGCCGCAGCCCTCATGGAACGAAGCCCAAGTTGCGACAGACAGAGGCTGAGAAAGTCAGGGGGACAGCCTAGGGTCTTCTGCACCCAGGAGGTCCAGGGCTGCAAAGCCACATAGGGTTGGCCCAAGGCTGAGAAGCCTCAGGGGGTGACGAGGACGGGCCAGTGCACCTCCTTCCCGCCCAGCCCTCCACACCATCCCCTTTGGACGCGAGGCTGCTCCTTTGCTGAGGGCTACGGTCGGATCTCCCCACAGGAGGAGACAGAGAGCGAGACAGCCGGAGAGCCGTCACACGCAGGACCCACCTTGAAGATGAGGCAGTCGCCTGGGTGCTCGGCGTACAGCGAGGTCAGCCGGTACTGGTTCTCCGTGGTGATGTCGATCTGGTAGCCGGTGAGCGTGTAGCAGGCCTTGCGGAACTCCTGGATCTTGGTCTGGAAAACCTCCTTGAGCCGCTGGTTCTTCAGCTCGGCACTCTCCACCTGCTTCTTCAGCTCTGCGGGAGGGACGGAAGGAGACAGTGAGTGCGGCACCAGGCCGGAGGGGTGGGGACCCGGGAGCGGCCAGGGCAGGGAGGAAGCCGAGTACAGGTGGGAGTGGCGGCTGCCCAGGGACACAGCAAGCCCCCGTGTCACACCAGCCAGCCTCCATCGGCATGCATGAGGGAACGGGAGTGAGGGGTGAGCTGATAACGGCTGACCCTCTGGTGGTGGCAATAATAAAGTTACTGCATTAAGAACGGTAACTCTGAGAGCCAGACTACAAGCAGCCAGGGCCCCTCCACAGGGATCAGCCCTCGGCCTGCAGAATGACAACCCCTGGAGCCAGCACAGTCACTGCCAGGAAGCCACAGGGTCAGGAAGCCACAGGGTCAGGCGTGACTCGGGGTTCGCTTGCCCCAACACTCCGGGGATTTAGGCGAGAACCGCGTGAGGAGCCGGTGCTGAGGATGTGGGTCCCAAAGCGAAGGCCTGGGCTGCCACGCCACCCAGTGATCCTGACCATCCATTCCCAGGTTGCCGCCTGGGTCCTTTCTGAGGCTGGACGCCTACCCCACAGGAGCCAGCACCGACAAACAGGGAGGCAGGCAGGAGGCCACCGGGACGTTCCGGATCCTACTGCCCCGGGGCTTTACCTGCCAGCCACCTCTGAGGTCAGGCCATCGTGAGACGACAGCCGGCACCCCCAGGCCCACTGCCCCTGACATGGCTCTAAGTGACTATTCAGGGTACAGCCCCACACCCTGCCCGTCAGAGTTTACGGCTGCTTGGGGAGGAACTGCTCTGCAGAGCCATCAGGAGGATAACAGCGATTATCATGAATTTCTCACCCGAGAGGCCTTCCAAGTAGTTAAACCTCGATTTATCCCCGCGTTAATTATCAGGACTGGCTCCACTTAGACGCACACAGAGCCGTCCCCTAGGCCGGGTGCTTCCCAGCAGTGCTGTCTGGAGCTGGCAATGGGGAGCCCTCCAGGGGCCTGGGACTGCTCCAGGCGGGGACGGGAGCCTGCTGGACCCTATCCTGCAGGCCACGGGAGCTGGGCCAGCTGCTAGCCTCCCTCCACTATGACGAGGGACTGAATCACAGGACTGCTGTAGGCGCCCACAACCAGGCACGGGATGGTCAGCTCCCTGGCTAGGCTGAGAAAGAGGATGTTAAAGTCAACCATGGCCATATGGTTGGAGAGAACAAGGGTTCCAACTCCAGGCAGCGCCCGGGGGGAGGCTGGTCCTGAGTTAGAGATGAGTCTGAAGGCCCCAGAAAGGGTGTGGGGTCCCCCACAGTCCACTCTAGGGGAGTGTGAGGAAAGGTGCAGTGTGAGTGCCTGCTGGCCAGGTCACAGTGAGTGAGAGAGGGGCTGCCGGGGAGTTTGTGCACAGCGGCCCGAAGAGGCTCTGATGGGCCAGTTTAAGGTGGACGATGCAGTCCAGGTTGCTTCCTGGAGGTGAGCAGGGACAGGGGAGCCAGGTGCAAACCAGAAGCCCTCAAGTCTGCAGAGGAAGATGGAGGACGCGGGAGGGGCCGCGGTTTCAGCTCGGCTCTGCCTCCCTGACCTGTGACTCTGAACCTACCCCTTCACCCCATCTCCCAGGACTTCTGCCTGCAACACGGACACAGGCAGGCAGCTGCCTTCAGAGGTGTTAGGCCAGATCACGTGCCGGAGGCCACCGCCGAGAGCGCAGGGCCGCTGGGCACCCCCGATGGCGTGAGCTCAGTCGAGCAGCCCGTTCCGAGTGCAAGCTCACTCACTGCCTGGCTATGACAGCTATGAACACGATCCGATCCCCAATCCACACACAATGACACCCAGGCTCACAGAGACTCGCTGCTTAGCTGCAAAAGCAAGGGCGCTGCCTGCCATGGGTTCTGGAAGGAGCAGCGGTGCAGGGACCACGTTAGCAGCATCCAGATGTCAGGGGCTGGGAGGATATGGGGCCTGTACAACCGCAGGCCTGTCAGCAGAGGGGCCCTGGCGCCCATCCACCTGTGGGATGGCAGCATTGGCACTGATTCAGCCCTCGCCCCAACCTGGCCTCCTCCCTCCGTTGCTGGCAAAGACGGCCCTGGGGGACACTGTTATTCCACGGCCCAGCCCCTCCAGCAGGACGAGGCTGGGGCCCTTGATGAATCGAGCAATCAGGCTGTGAAATCTGAAGGCTAATTGGCAGCTCTGACCCCAAGACTCTTCCCTGCGTCCCTCGGCTGATCCTCCCGAAGATGGGGCTATCGGTAGCAGGAATTGCCACGTGCACAAGGAAGAACGCAGAGACCACATTTCAGAGGCCATATTTCACCCTAACATGGCCCGTGCTGCCTTTGATAGATCTCAGGCGTCCAAAGGGGAAGAATTAGATTTTGGTAATAAATGCAAGCCTGACCTTGGAGAAGGAAACAGCCCTGTTTTCCGATAGACTTCAAAGCTGCCTGTGCCGCTCACAGACCTCTGGAAGTTCCGGGGCTCCAGGCTGTGTTTGCCCACCCATAGCAGGTTGGTATGAGGTCCCAGGGCGAGGAAGGCAGTGTGTGGGGCCCCCTCTCAGAGGCGAGACCACCACCCATGCGGCTGGGAGCAGCATGGGCCGCCGCACTCACTCCTGGGGCCACTCTCTCACCCTCTGACAGACAAACCCAGGGCCCTGGAGGGGAAGGGTCCATCCTCCATGCCACACAGACCCTCGGAGGTGAGGGGGCCCTGATCCTGGTCTCCTGTCCACGTAGGGAAGGGTCCATCCTCCAGACAAGGCTGCCTCGACGGAGTCGGTTCAGTTTGGGGCAGATCAAGCCAGCGTTCTGACCCCCCTTTATCCCTGTAGTTCAGTGGCTTACATCAACGTGAATGAATAATTCACACGATGGTTTGGATTAAATAAATAAAAGATGGGTTTTCCGCCTTGGAAATGTCATTGCTTTCTTGTCGGTTGCTCTCACGTGGTCTCCTCCCAAGTGAGCCAAGAGCCCGGGGTTCCTCTGGACTGGGTTCTATGGGCCTGGATCCTGGGCAGGCTCCTCTCAGAGACCCCAGAAGCCAGTGGCAGAGACCCCCAGGGTGAGAGGCGACAGCCCTGTGCCCGACCCCAGCCCTGGGACCACATAGGCACTGCCCAGGCTGTTCTCAGGCCCGACCTGCAACAGCAGTGCATGGGCTGAGGCGAGACAGTGGTGCAGCCTTCAGCGCTCCCATCCCCTGCCCAGCCCGGCTCGCTGTGTGCTCAAGGCCTGCTGGGCCAGGGGTGCTCAGGGAGGGAGCCCAGCTCTGCAGCCCTGCTCTCTGGGGTGGCCTCACCAAGGCTTTTAGGCCCTCTCCGCTGACCTCCAGGGCTACCCCAGGCTTAGAGCCAAACCGTAGGGAGGCCTTGAGCCCAGCCCACCCACAGCCCTGGCTCCTGCCTTCCCTGCCCGGGGATGTTGAACTCTGGCCACACTGACCAGGAGCACCTGCCTAGGAAGCAGCAACTCCCCTCTGCCTAGATACCGGCCCTCCTCGGGCCCCTCCTCCACACCCCTGGGACCCCTGCTTTGGGCAGAACCGGCCCTCTTAGAGGTACCTGCTACCACCTTGCAGGGATGCAGGGACACAGGCCTGGTACTGATGGGCTCTCAAGGCCTCGGTGAGGGGCAAGAGAGGAGGAAGAACAGCAGGTGTTCAAGTGGGAGTCAGAGAGGATGCAGCGGCGGCTGCCCAGGGCCCGGCCCAGTGGGGTGTACCAGGGGGCTGAAGGCATCCACGACACTGGTGCCTGAACAGCCACCCCCTCACCACCTTAGCCCCACACCTGCCTCCTCCTGGAATCACAGGAGGCAGCTGTGAAGAGGACAGAATAAAAATAAATTGTGCTCCATTAGGTAAAGGCTAGCTAGCAGGAAAGAGAGGCTTTACAGTACTGAGGGCCGGGATGTCAGGATAAAGGAGCATTTACAGCACTTATCTCAAGAGGCCCAGTTCACAGCCTGAAACGCAGAAAATGCTTCTACCTTGGCAGGGCAGGGAGAGCCAGCACACAGCTGTGACCCACGGGGATAGGGACAGAGATGCCGGGGCCCAGGCCTTTCAGAAGGAGGGAAAAGGAAAACGCGGTACTTTTCTCTACATCCTCTTTACTCCTTCGAGTGTTACGGGGCACACGCAGATGAGAGCAAGCAGAGAACCTTTTAAAGGTACCGACGGATCTTAGGAGTGCAGCCCCAGGGCACTGCCTGTCCACTTCCGCCCTTCCCCGGGGCCTGAGCTATACCCACGCAGAACCAGGTCGGCCGGGCTACGTGAGCCTCAGGGTGCAGGGAACCGTCTCAGGCTCCAGCCTCGCTGTACGTCCTGCAGTGGGAAGGAGGACCCAGCAGCAGGCACCGTTCCAGAAAGCAAGGACGCAGTGGCCTACGGAAGACGATCTTGCGGAACTCATGATTGATGAAGCACTGTTCCAGGCAGCAAGGATGCAGTGGCCTATGGAAGACGCTCTTGCGGAACTCATGATTGATGAAGCACTGTTCCAGGCAGCGAGGATGCAGTGGCCTATGGAAGACGTTCTTGTGGAACTCATGATTGATGAAGCACTGTTCCAGGCAAGCGAGGACCCAGTGGCCTACAGAAGACGCTCTTGCGGAACTCATGATTGATGAAGCACTGTTCCAGGCAGCGAGAATGCAGTGGCCTATGGAAGACACTCTTGTGGAATTCATGATTAATGAAGCACTGTTCCAGGCAGCGAGGACGCAGTGGCCTATGGAAGACGCTCTTGCGGAACTCATGATTGATCCAGCACTGTTCCAGGCAGCAAGCACACGGTGGCCTATTGAAGACGCTCCTGCGGAACTCATGATTGATGAAGCACTGTTCCAGGCAGTGAGGACGCAGTGGCCTACGGAAGACACTCTTGCGGAATTCATGATTGATGAAGCACTGTTCCAGGCAGCGAGGACGCAGTGGCCTACGGAAGACACTCTTGCGGAACTCATGATTGATGAAGCACTGTTCCAGGCAGCGAGGACACAGTGGCCTATGGAAGACGTTCTTGCGGAACTCATGATTGATGAAGCACTGTTCCAGGCAGCGAGGATGCAGTGGGCTACTGAAGACGCTCTTGCGGAACTCAAGATTGATCAAGCACTGTTCCAGGCAGCGAGGACGCAGTGGCCTATGGAAGACGCTCTTGCAGAATTCATGATTGATGAAGCACTGTTCCAGGCAGCGAGCACGCAGTGGCCTATTGAAGAAGCTCTTGCAGAACTCATGATTGATGAAGCACTGTTCCAGGCAGTGAGGACGCAGTGGCCTATGGAAGACGCTCTTGCGGAACTCATGATTGATGAAGCACTGCTCCAGGCAGCAAGGATGCAGTGGCCTATGGAAGACGCTCTTGCAGAATTCATGATTGATGAAGCACTGTTCCAGGCAGTGAGGACACAGTGGCCTATGAAAGATGCTCTTGCAGAACTCATAATTGATCAAGCACTGTTCCAGGCAGCGAGGACGCAGTGGCCTATGGAAGATGCTCTTGCGGAACTCATGATTGATCAAGCACTGTTCCAGGCAGCGAGGACGCAGTGGCCTACGGAAGACACTCTTGCGGAACTCATGATTGATGAAGCACTGTTCCAGGCAGCGAGGACGCAGTGGCCTATGGAAGACGTTCTTGTGGAACTCATGATTGATGAAGCACTGTTCCAGGCAGCGAGGATGCAGTGGCCTACTGAAGACGCTCTTGCGGAACTCAAGATTGATCAAGCACTGTTCCAGGCAGCGAGGACGCAGTGGCCTATGGAAGACGCTCTTGCAGAATTCATGATTAATGAAGCACTGTTCCAGGCAGCGAGCACGCAGTGGCCTATTGAAGAAGCTCTTGCGGAACTCATGATTGATGAAGCACTGTTCCAGGCAGTGAGGACGCAGTGGCCTATGGAAGACGCTCTTGCGGAACTCATGATTGATGAAGCACTGCTCCAGGCAGCAAGGATGCAGTGGCCTATGGAAGACGCTCTTGCAGAATTCATGATTGATGAAGCACTGTTCCAGGCAGTGAGGACACAGTGGCCTATGAAAGATGCTCTTGCGGAACTCATAATTGATCAAGCACTGTTCCAGGCAGCGAGGACGCAGTGGCCTATGGAAGATGCTCTTGCGGAACTCATGATTGATCAAGCACTGTTCCAGGCAGCGAGGACGCAGTGGCCTACGGAAGACGCTCTTGCAGAATTCATGATTAATGAAGCATTGTTCCAGGCAGCGAGGATGCAGTGGCCTATGGAAGACGCTCTTGCGGAATTCATGATTAATGAAGCACTGTTCCAGGCAGCGAGGACGCAGTGGCCTATGGAAGACGCTCTTGCGGAACTCATGATTGATCAATCACTGTTCCAGGCAGCAAGCACGCAGTGGCCTATTGAAGACGCTCCTGCGGAACTCATGATTGATCAAGCACTGTTCCAGGCAAGCGAGGACGCAGTGGCCTATGGAAGACGCTCTTGCAGAACTCATGATTGATGAAGCACTGTTCCAGGCAGCAAGGATGCAGTCGCCTATGGAAGACGTTCTTGTGGAACTCATGATTGATGAAGCACTATTCCAGGCAGCAAGGACACAGTGGCCTACGGAAGACGCTCTTGAGGAACTCATGATTGATAAAGCACTGTTCCAGGCAGCAAGGATGCAGTGGCCTATGGAAGACGTTCTTGTGGAACTCATGATTGATGAAGCACTGTTCCAGGCAGCGAGGACGCAGTGGCCTACGGAAGACGCTCTCGCGGAATTCATGATTGATGAAGCACTGTTCCAGGCAGTGAGGACGCAGTGGCCTACGGAAGACGCTCTTGCGGAATTCATGATTGATGAAGCACTGTTCCAGGCAGCGAGGACGCAGTGGCCTACGGAAGACGCTCTTGCGGAACTCATGATTGATAAAGCACTGTTCCAGGCAGCAAGGATGCAGTGGCCTATGGAAGACGTTCTTGTGGAACTCATGATTGATAAAGCACTGTTCCAGGCAGCGAGGATGCAGTGGCCTACGGAAGACGCTCTTGTGGAACTCATGATTGATGAAGCACTGTTCCAGGCAGCAAGCACGCAGTGGCCTATGGAAGACGCTCTTGCGGAACTCATGATTGATGAAGCACTGTTCCAGGCAGCGAGGACACAGTGGCCTATGGAAGACGCTCTTGTGGAACTCATGATTGATGAAGCACTGTTCCAGGCAGCGAGGACGCAGTAGCCTATGGAAGATGCTCTTGTGGAATTCATGATTGGTGAAGCACTGTTCCAGGTGCTTGGAATAGCTCTGTGGGCCTGGGCTCTGTGACCTCCCTCTGGGACCTCTCCCGTGAGTGAGGCCGGCCTGACCCCCATCTGTGTCCTGGGATGATTTTAAGAGGAACCTGGGGCTGGGCACAGTGGCTCACACCTGTAATCCCAGCACTCTGGGAGGCCAAAGCAGGCAGATTATCTGAGGTCAGGAGTTCAAGACCATCCTGGCCAACATGGTGAAACCCTGTCTCTACCAAAAATACAAAAATTAGCCGGACGTGGTGGCGCACATCTGTAATCCCAGCTACTCGGGAGGCTGAGGCAGGAGAATTGCTTGAGCCCAGTAAGCAGAGGCTGCAGTGAGCCGAGATTGCGCCACTGCACTCCACGCTGGGTGACACAGTAAGACTCCATCTCAAAAAAAAAAAAAAAAAAAAAAAGAGCCGGGGCCTAGCTGTTTACCAAGCACCCGCAGGCACCAGGCAGCACTGCCCTGAGGAGACCAGCCCCTGCACAGCTGAGGCAGCTGGCCCACGTGGGAAGACCCCACAGGAGGAAGAGACGCCAGCCCTGGTGCTTCTGTAGGGTCCCCGAACCCCAAGCAGCCTCTTCCCAGGCTGGCCTCGGTTGTGTATGCCAACACCGCTCCTGCTACCCCGTCCAGGATAACCCCGGCCATGCAGACAGATCTCCATGCTCCCACAGCAAGACTTGAGCTGAGGCAGGGCTCTCTCCTGGGATATTCATGCCCTGCTGGGTGCCCCGGCCTGGCTGCCACTGCAGCTGCATCTGGCCCTAGCCTGACCTGGTCCCAGCCCCGCCCCAGGGCCCTGAGCCACCCTCCCTTTCCAGCTGCCTCTCCTGCACCCTGCTTCTCCATCGCTCCAGTCTCTGGCTCCTGTTCTCCGCATGCTCTTTTCCTGCAGGGCACAGATTGTGGCGTCCACAGAGCTGTTTGAGATGCCTGGGCCTCACGCTCTTTCCCTGCAGTGCAACTGGGCCTCATGCTGTTTCCCTGCGGCGCACCCTGAGCTCAGGTGGGCTGGGCCAGGCCTGTGCGCACTGTCACACCTGCCCTGCACCTGAGAACCCGGAACATGGAAGTGCGCGACGGGTGCGTGTTGAACACGCAGGTGAGCGAAGCCACCATCCCCTACAGACCTGAGCTCCTGCCCCTGCGCAAGCTACACAGTCAGCTTAACCACAAGCAAGCACACACACAGCGGACGGGACACACACGCCTACTGCTGAACGTCCGTTTATCCCCGAACACGTGTGCGTCTGTCCCTGAACACCCGTGTTCATCCCTGAACATACAGCCTTCCCATGGCCTCAGATGAAAAGCCCTTAAAATCAAGGCAGGCCGAAGAGAGGCCATGCCACTGCCCCGCCCCCAAGCCCCCAACCCCATCCCTGCTGTGGCTAACAGGGTCACTGTGAGAGCCAGGGGCCTCCAGGGGCTTCAGCCTGCGAGGGGCGGTGAGGGCACCCATGGCCTCAGAGCAGCTCCCAGCTGCTCAGCCCTTGCCACGCCCCCATCCCCACTATCTCCCCACTGCCACCGCCTTGCCCCTGTCCCACGGTCCCCCAGCTCCTGCCCGACCTGGACCGGTGCCCCAGTGAGGAGCTGGCCTGGGTCTGGGCCCTGCACAGCTGCCACCGAGGACCCCAAGCCCCAGACTCTGCAGCAACTCTCGATTTAGGGACTGGAGGCAGCTTCGGAACTTTTCCTTCAGGGACTCACGGCACAGCCATTTTTCTTTCTAAACAATGAATCAAATACAGTTAACCAATGTTGGGATTTTCAGGCTTTAAAAAACCCACAAAAAGGGACTAATATTTCACCATTAAACAAGGCAGCCCCTGAGGCCCAGGCCAAGCCAGGAGGACAATCCTACTCGGCGTAGGCCCGGCCCCACTGATGACGCCGCCACGGGGCCAGGAGGAAGGGAGTGATTCCAGGCTCCATACACTGCCTGTGCGTTCACGGACAAGTCACCTCATCTCTCTAAGCCCCCTTTCCTCCCTGGGTGTGGCAGGAGTGGGGGAAACATCACCTGCCCCCGGGTCAGTGAGACAGTGGAGGCGAAAACCCTCTCGGCAATAACGTGTTCCTCTTAATAAAACACATCCCTGTGTCGTCAACAACCACTTGGCTGTCTACGGACATCACGGGTGCTCGGCGCGGGATCTGAGTGGCGGGCCTGAGTCCAGGTGTGGAGTGAGGGGGCAGTGCGGTCTGGGCCGCAAGGACACCCAAAAGATCACCTGAGCATGGTCCGGAGAGACAGGGTGACCGCCCTGGCCCCTGCAGTGTGCGGCCCCCTCAGGAGACAGCGGCCCGTGACCCCAGAGCTCAGGAGTCCGGCCAGGGCCACCCTGCAAGGGTGAGATGAAGGCTCTTAGCAGACATGGGTGACCAGACAGTACGTTTGCCCACACACGGTCCCAACGATGTAGCACAGCCTGGGCACAGCACCTTTCCCAGCTCAAAGGTTGGGATTCCAGCATGACAGGCCCAGCAAGTCTGTCCAGGCTGCTGCAGCTGGAACTGGGGACCACCTGGCTCAGGGCTGCAGCTGCCCCGCAACTCTCGCGATCATACCCTTCAGCAGGTCCCTGATGACGTGAGACAGGGAACAATGTCTGGAACCCTGCATGGCTGAAGACATCTCTACCTCACCATCAGAGCTGATGGGTAATTTGGCCAGATGCAGAATTCCAGGCTGTATACACTCCTCCTTCAGTTGTGTTTGTTTTGTTTTTTGAGACAGGGTCTCACTCTGTCACCCAGGCTGGAGTGCAGTGGCGCGATCGTGGCTCACTGTAGCCTCGAACTCCGGGGCTCAAGCAATCCTCCCACCTCAGCTTCCCAAGTAGCTGGGACCACAGGGAGCACACCACCACACTGGGCTAATATATATATTTTTAGGGTCTTTCTATGTTGCCCAGGCTGTTGTTGACCTGCGGGCCTCATGTGTGCCTCCCACAGTGTTGGGATGACGGGTGTGAGCCCCGCACCCGGCCTCTCTTTCAGTGCTGAAGGCATCGCCCTCAGGTCTCAAGTGCTCAGCACTGCTGTGGAGAAGCCTGAATCCGTTCTGACTTCTGGTCTTCTACAAGTGACTGGTTCTCACTCCCCGGAAGTAGCAGAGCCGTGTCTCTGTTCTCAACATTATGAAACTCCCCCAGCATGCATTTCTCTCATGACCCCCACCACACGGCCTGGCTCCCCCAAGTGTCTATTTCCCACCTCTCGTTAGATGTCTCCCTGGCGGCGGCTGGGCGCCTGGCATGAGCAGCGGCCCCAGGGGGTCCTGCTGGACTGTTTCTGGGAGGCTGCCAGCATTGGCATCTCCAGATCTTCCCTCTAGGATGGGTCTGATGGGTCAGAGATGACTCTCAGATGCTCAGTGCCAGTGGGAACACAGGGCAGGAGGGAACGTGCCCAGACTCGGAGCAGCGGGACCAGCCTCTGAAGGAGCCCGACACCGGCGTGGTGTACTAGTAGGTGACGCAGAGGCCTCCACATCAGGCCGAGGTCTGACCTCGACGAGAGACGACCAAGGATCCCCTGCACGCTGCGGACACAGGAAGCCAGTGGAGGCCCAGGGCTGGGGGAGCCGCCCGAGTGTCCCTGCAGAGAGTACTCTGGGCCCTGGCAGGCACTGGCAGCCCCGGTCCTGCCCAGGCCCAATGCCGAGCCAGGCTTCCCGGGACTGAATTATTCATGTTTTGCAAGCTTCTAAACTATTTCAGTTTTACATTTTTAAATATTTAATAATTAGGCATCAAATATTGATGCAATTTTATTAGCAGCCATGGGCATGGGGCATTGCAGTGGTTATGGCTGTGCGATTTGTATCCGGGTCCTGGCTGGCTCTGCAAGAGACTGTAGGAGGTGGGGACGCACCTGTAGGCTGGCCGGGACCCCCCGGGATGTCACCCGTGAGAACCGTACCCCAGCATGCCCCACAGCGCCCCACCTGGCTCATCCCAGGGGCTGCCGGCCCCAAATCCAAATTCCCGGAGACCAGCCCGAGGGGCTGGCAGGCATCATGGTCCCCAGGAACTGGCTTTGGCAACAGGAGGATGGGACGCCACCACCTGCCAGCCAGGGCCTGCTGCTGCCCCAAGAAGATGGTCGCTTCAACTCTGCTGGTACCAGACGGCCCTTGAGACACGGCCTCCATGATGAGCCATGAGTTCCCCTGCTGGGCAGAAACTGCACACTCTGCTCCAGTGAGAAGACACTCGCCCTGGAATTACACACGGAGGAGCCGCTCCCTGGCCCACCACCTGGCAGGCGCTGGCTGGGTGAGCTCTGTGCAGCTTTCAAACAGGGCACCTCTTGTGTGATTAACGACTTACTCCAGCAAGCAGCTTGTCACCTTGCACAAAACTGATATGAAAAGACACCAGCAATTACAGCCACCAGATTACGGGGTGGGAGAGTCCTGGGGTGACAGGCGGGCGCGGATATCATATTTGGAGAAGAATCCTCCCCCAGCACCGAGAACACAGCAGCTGAACCCCAAGGGACAGCCCCCTCCCCCGGCACCAGGCTCCACAGCCCCCATGGGGTCCTTCGGCAGCAGAGGCCCAGCGGAACCTTGGCGGAAGGAGGGACATTGGCCCCCGTGTCAGTGATCCTCCGGACACCCTGCATATGTGGGGGGACGTGGCACCTGCTGAATGGACAGAAAGATGCCTGCAGGAGGCCAGAATCCAGCTCCACGGTCTCTGGCCAGCAACAGGACTACAGGGAGGGCTGGTCGCAGCAGCCGTCCGACGCGTCAGCACAGGGCCACCTCTGCGATGCCAGCACTGTTGAGGGGACCCCTTGAACACCCGCCGCGGAGCCAAAGCTGGAGCCCACGCTGGGCACTGCCCTGGGGGCTGAGCAGCTGTCTCCATTGGTCATTCAGGCTTCAGTTCAGAAAAGCCTCCCTGGGCCACCCCCACCAGTGGTCTTCTGGGCACCCCACATTTGCTTTCTCCCTAGAGCTCACGAGCATCTGAGATCGCGTGTTTGCCCGTGTCCTGGCCTCTCTTCCACCTGGAACACGTTCGTCAGGTGAGAGCCTGCTCGGGCTTTGAGTAGGTGCCTGTCCGGGGCAGGAACACGCAGCCTCGCTGCACCCATCCCAGCCGGGCCCCGCCCTGGGGAGCATGGCTACGTTTGTCCCCACCTTCTGGATGGGGAAACCGACGATGAGAAAGCAGGGAGAGGGCTCCCTGTGACGCCAGTCAGGCGGGACATGGGCTCCAGCATGGCGATGTGGGGCCACAGTGTCTCTCTCCTGACCCCCAACCCTGCACCCATCCCGTGACCGGAGGCCCTGGCGGGGCCTGGTCTGGGCGCATCAGTCCTTTCAAGTGGCCTCAGCTGCCTGTGCCCACAGCCCTGATTAGCCGTGAGGATTCATAACTGCAGGCGTGCCTCATGTCTAAGTGCTACTCCCACAGTTCCCGCTCCTGGGCGGCCGCCTCTCCCTCCATCCCCCGCACCCCTTGAGCCAGACAACTTGAGTTGCCTTCGGCCTTCCTGGATTCAGCACTCAACACCCGCTGGACACCAGGTTTCAACGCTCTGTCCTCACCAACCCTCCCTGGCACCACCTCTGCTCGGGGTCTTTCTTTACTAGAGTCCAAATTCTACTTCCTGTCACCCTCCTCTCCCTCCTCCTCAGGCCCCAGGGGTCTTTCTTTTGACGCAGAGCCCAGCTTCGGAAGGGGAGCACTGCCCCCGGCGCAGTCACTTGCAGAGTCAGAGCCCAGCTTCGGAAGGGAAGCGCCATTGCCCAGCACAGTCACTCGTGTGCAGCCCAGGTGTTCTGTCCTCTGCCGCTACAAGTCCACAGTCCTCCCAGACACCCCAGGCACACTCAGAACGCATGGTGCTCATTTCTGCTGCCACAATGTGGCGGGCACATTTGCCTTCTGCCAGGGGACGATGTTCACCAGCGAACTTCTGCAAGGCCAGACTCCGGCGTCACCTCCAGATGAGGCCCCTCTTGGGCATCCCAACCCTCTCCAGTCCGGCGTCACCTCCAGAACAGGCCCCTCTTGGGCATCCCAACCGTCTCCAGTCTGGCGTCACCTCCAGATGAGGCCCCTCTTGGGCATCCCAACCCTCTCCAGTCCGGCGTCACCTCCAGATGAAGCCCCTCTTGGGCATCCTATCCCTCTCCCCTGGACTGGGTCTGAACCTCTGCGGCACACACACGCCTTTCCAGCTGCGGCCACCTTTGCAGGGCTGCTTCCCTCACTGTGTGAGCTGCCTGAAGGCAGGGGCTGGGCCTCACCTGTCCAACCCGCCCTCCATGCAGCTGCAGGGCAGAAGTGGTGGGAGTGGGCTGGGTTCCACATCCCCTCAGACACTTGTCGGGGGTCTGGGGGCTGACGGGAACCATGGCCAAACCCAGAAGTCTGCAGGAGTACACATAGCTGTCGGGATAGTTTCCTTCTGACCCAAAATCCTGAAGTGGGGGAAACTGGGGTGGCAGGGGTCCAGATGGCGGCAGGGGCCCTGCGTGCGGGTACAGACCCCAGAACCAGCCAGCTCCGTGTGTGTCAGCAGTGGAAACCGCAAGGCCAGCCCTGTCGACTGGATGAAGGATGGCCATCTGAGAGACAGACAGCAAATGGGGGCATGTGTGGCTCAAAAGGAAAACTTAACCTATCCTTTTGGGGAACATGAGCTGAGAAACTCTGGTAAAAGGAAGCAGTTGGGGTCAGAGGTGACTCCTCCTGTTTGGGTGAGGTGAGGCAGGCGGCAGGTGTGGGCACCAGGAGAGATAAGAATGGGTGGCCACTGCAGAGACTGCAGGCCCTGCACGGAGATGCCAGCCCACAGAGGGCAAGGGGTGCCCATCCTCTCACGGCTCCTCCTGGCACAGGCAGGGCTGCGGTCCCTGCCGCCGATGCATCAGAGCCACCGGGACCCTGTGCTCCCCATCCCTGCACCAGTGGGGGAACGGTCCTCAGAGCACTCCCCTCTCATCCCACCAGCTCCAGGCAGACCCAGCCTCACAGGCCCACAGCCAGGGCCCCTGTGCAGGCAGGGAGCCCACCGCGCACGCACCTCCCAGAGCCAGAAACACTCCAGAGGGAGCAGTGCCCCACAGCGATATCACAGCCGAGTCAAGACGTGACCACAGAACACGGCCACCTCATCTGTTTCCGGAAGCTTCCCTCCAGGAACATGCCCAGCAGCTGGTCCGTGGAGAGAGGCCTGGGGTGGCGGCGGCGAGGTCCTGGGAGACGTGGGGGCGGGGCTGTGTGGGCTCCGGCCGCTTTGCATGCCGCGTTCATGATTAATTTCCCACCGAGGCTTGCAGAACCTCAGCTCCCCGGCAGGCGAGCCCCCTCTGAGAAGAGGGAAGCCTTTCCAGAGCTCATCTTTTATTGACTGGGTCATTTTCGAGTCAATCTGTCTGCTTTCGGCAAGACGAGAGTTTTAAATCTCCTGTCTCTTTTCCCCTTTTGGAGATGTGGCAGTCTATGAAAACCTGCTAATGTAGGCAGCGAGGCCTCGGATTCCTATGTAATGAACTCTTCAGATAGCAGGAGACTCGGGAAGAGGACACGGAACTGCTCCAGTAATTGGAGCAGCCAGACACAGGGCTCTGGAAGGAGAGGGGCAAGGAGCAGGGTTCTGGGCGGGGTGGGTGCAGGGAGGACCCCTGAGTGCTGAGGAGCACTCCACCCGGAGGAAGCGGCCTGGGGTGGCGTGGGGTGGGGGATCCATCAGGGCAGACGGGCTCTGCATGAGGAGGAATCCGCGCGTGCACGCCCGGCCTGGAGAAGGGAACCGTCGGGGGAGGCTCTCTGAGGCCAAAGGCTTTACCTTCTGGGAGCTGTAGCGGCAGCCAGGCCCCTTGCTCCCCCAGGTCCTGGAGATGGCCCTGGCGTCCTGGGGGTTGGCGTGGGGTCAGCAACCTGGGACCTCGCAGGGGCTCTGGCTCTAGAAGTGGCGGGGAGGGGGAGCCCTCGGCTGACACCATGAGGATTTCATGATTTACAGCTGCTATGGGGGGAGGGAGAGCAGCCCCCAGTGGCCTCTCCCCCAGGACAAAGCTGAGGCTGAGAGGGAAGCAGCTGGTCGGGGACACAGCAGAGCCACTGGGGCTGCAATGCAGGCCGTCCGGATTCCGTGGGGAGTGGAGGGGAGGCTCCCTGGCTGCCTCCGCCATACAGACTTCACCCCTATGGGAAGAATCCTGCAGGAAACGCCACAGACTCAGTCATGCCCCCTCACAGTTCCTCCTGGGCCCTGCTTGGAGTCCTGGGTGGCCACGCTGGAGGGAACGCCCCATGTCCTGCTGGACGCCATGCTGGGGGGGGAGAGGGTAGACAAGCTCCCAGGGCAGCGTGGGCAGGTCTCCCCCCCCAGCACGCCTGTCCACCTCTCCTCTCCTGCAAGCCCAGGCACCGCGTCCAGGTCCCAGGCCCGACCCCACAATGGGGGACATACTCTCCACTCTGCCACACGCCCTCACTGGCTCTTCCCAGCCCCCTCCCCTGGCCAGTGCTGGCCTGGAGGCCTCAGGACCTGGGAGTCGGAAGGAGGAGATGGCGCTGTGATGGGTGGCAGGAGACCAGACAGGCATCAGCAAGCGGTGGCTATGCCTGGGCCCAGGACCGCACGTGGGAAGGGACTCTGCAGATGTGTCCGGGGCAGGGATGGTGAGACCACGGGCGTTCCTGCATTATCCTGGTGGCCCGCTACAATCACGCGGGTCTTCACACGTCAGAAAGGGAGGCAGGAAAGTCGGCTAGAGATCCGAAGATGTGCGCTCCGGCTCTGAGGGTGGAGGAAAGGCCGTGTGCCAAGGCACGTGGGTGCTTCTGGGAGCCAGAAAAGGCCGGATGTGGATTCTCCCCAGAGCCTCTGAAACGAACCGGCCCTGATGACCCCTGGCCTTTAGCCCAGGGAAACGTGTGACTTCCAGAACCCGAGATCACATCGTGTTGAGTTTTTGGTTTGTTTTTTTGAGACGAGGTCTCACTATGTTGCCCAGGGTAGCGAACAGGGGTGCGATCACAGCTCACTGTGGCCTTGACCTCCCAGGCCCAAGCCATTGTCCTGCCTCAGCCTCCAGAGTAGCTGGGATTACAGGCAGGTGCTACCACACCCGGCTAATTATTATTATTATTTTTATAAATAGGGTCTTGCTATGCTGCCCAGGCTGGTCTCCAACCGAGCCTCTGGCAATCCCCTGTACCTGGGCCTCCCAAAGCGTTGGGATGACAGGCATGAGTGCCGCGCCGGCCCTGCTGTGTTGAGTAACTCAGTCAGTGCTGGTTTGTCATGGCAGCAACAGGAGCCTCATGCGGTGGCATCTAAGGATAGTGTGGGCCTCTGGTTTTCCAGAGCCGAGCCCTCCCTGCTGGGCCACAGAGCAGCAGGAACTGGGGTCTCACTGGGAGCAACCCTGGTGCCAGGGTCCTCAGAAGCGCTGCTCAGCTATTCATTCACCCAGCAGGTATGTGTGGAGAGGTGCTGGGCGCCTGGTAACACCCCAGGCCCTGAGGACACAGTGTGTATGGAGAGATGAACCCCCTGCCCTAATGGATGTTGCTTTTCAACTAGGGAAACAGATAAAAAATAAACGAAGTGCAACAGTAGCACCTTGGAGCGGAAGTGCTACAGAGAACCGCAGCCGGGAGGGACGGGGAGATGGGAGGGGGAGGGCTGCGGTCCGAAAAGGCGTCCTGGCAGCACCTGGCTGGGAAGGAGACCTGGGGCAGACTTAGGGGAAAAGCCACGCGCTTCCCGGGACAGAAAGCTGCAGGGCCAGGGGACGGCGCAGGCAGAGGTGCTGAGGACGGTCAGGGGCAGCGAGGAACGCCACAGGAGGCCGACGCGGGACGTACGTGGAGCGGTGTTCCACGGCGGGCTGGAGGACGCACGCTGCCTGCCTCCAAGTCTCACAGTCAAGGAAGGACCGATGGTCGGCTGCGTGGGACTGCTGCGGGTACAAGCAAATGTGTCGCCGGCACAGAAGACAGCCAGGACGAAATGTTCAGCGTTGAGTGCTTTTCAAAAAGCAAGTGAAAGCAACTCCACGGGGAAAGAAAAGTCTTTTCCGCCAGCGGGGCCAAAACGACCCAATGTCCACACGGAGACAGTGAGATGTGGACCTCCCCTCACGCCACGAACAGAACCAGCGGGATAAGGGGCTTAGTCTAAGGTCGATTCAACACTGGGGTCAGCAGGGAATTCTTGGGACAAAGCACTACCACCATCACTACCACAGGAAAAAGTGATTCGTTATACTTCATCGAGATTTAAAACTGCTTATCAAAAGAAAGCATTGAGAAAATGATGAGAACACAATCCAGTCGAAAATGGCAGGGATTTAAGTAGGTATTTTGCAGAAGATGACCTAGGAGAGGCTAACAAGCCACGTCGGTGCCCATCATCCTCACCTGTGAGGAAGTGCAGGCATCCCCACACACTCCGCACCCACCAGTGGGGCTGTGGTCAGAAAGAGAGATGCCACCAACACCGGGAGGGTGTGGGGCCCCTGGAGCCTCACGTGGGACATGCAAACGGGTGAAGCCGCCTCGGAAACCGTAAGGCAGCTCCTCTCCTCCCTAGAATGTGGAAATTCCCCTCCCGTCTGGAGGAACGAAAACTGTATCCACACAAAGACTTGTACCCAAACGTCCACAACGTCCACAGCATGACTCATGACAGCCAAAAAGTGGAACCACCCAGACGTCCCTCAGCTGAGGACTGGATGAGTGAATTGTGGTCCGTCTGTGCTAGGCAGCACGCTGGGCAGTACAGAAAGAGGAGCAAAACACACGTCATGGCACGAGGCGGGGACAGCACGCTGGGCGGTATAGAGAGAGGAGCAAGTCACACGCCAGAGCATGAGGCATGGCGGGGGAGGCGGGGACACACGCCCAGCAGACAGTGAGCCCTCAAGGAAGGGACTCGACTTAGCCCCTCGGACTACGCATACCCTCCAGGCCCTGCAAGGGAGTCAGCAGCTGCCCAGGCCAGGCCTGGGGGATGATCACTGGCGGGGAGATGAATTCGTGTCCATGCCCTGTGCTGCGGGTGTCTTGTTGCCTCCCTGCAGCTCCCCTCCCTCATGAGTAGAAATGACAGTAGTCCCGATCCCACGGTGGGGGCCAGGCTGGGCTCCCAGGAACTCCACTGCATGAACAGCCCGGGCACCCCCATTTGCCTACCAGGCACGACCCTGGCGCATCTCCCGAGCCAGCGAGAAGCGAGACCAGGGCACCCCCATTCACCTACGAGGCACGACCCTGGCACATCTCCCATGCCAACGAGAACCGAGGCTGGGGCTGGCAGAGGACACGGCTTCTCCAGTGTCCTCCAGTCATCACAGCATCTTGTGACAGGAATGTCCTCCACTCCCCACTGCAGTTTTCCTCCTGCTTTTCCAGGACAAGGATGCCCACAGCTCGAGGTTGGTTACCCTCCCTGGACCAGGCACCCAGTTCCCTCCATCCATGTGCCCCAGGGCCGAGCGTCCAGGCGATGCTCAGAACACACACGGACAGAACAGTGTGGGCTTGGCGCTGGGGTCCAGCGAGGGAGCCGCGGCATGGAGCCACCCGCCCTGCACTGCCAGCACATGGGCCTCCCGCTCGGCTGCCCACCTAGCATGCAGACCACCCAGCCCTGCACACGTGCGCTGTGCTCACAGGAGCCTCATGACAGCCTGGGGCATGAGGGGCCACACCCCTGACCAGAGATAAGGACATGGGGGCCGAGACAGGGCTGGGTGCCCACCCCGGGTGAAGGGCGCACCTCCCCTCCAGACAGCCAGAGCTCCCAGCAGCGCCGCCCCTCTCCGCCCTCAGCACCGCCTGGCCGGGGCTCAGGGGAAGCGCCTGTTGGATGTGTCAGGCACTGAAGAGCTCCCACTTCAATCAGGTTTAAATGCAACTGTGAAGAAATCCCTAATTGGGTACTTGGCTTGAGTTACAAGCAAAGTTTACAGACGTGCCAGAAAGAAAGAGGAGAGAAGAAGGGTGTCGCGGCGACGGAGCTGCTTGCCACGGCTGGGGACCGTAGCAAGAGCAAGAGGGCTCCTCAGCAGTCCCTGTGGCTGGCACACGCTGCCCGGGCGTGTGGCCGTGCACAGCCAGGACAGAGAAGTCATCCTGGGCACTTCTGCCAGACACAGCAGGAAGGGTGGGGCCACCTGGCTGTGCCAGGAACATTCTTACCTATCTCTGGTTCCCCAGGAAGACAAAGCCCCCAGAGCAGCAAAGAGAAGGGCTAGCGGGGACGGAGGGCGGCCCTGACTGTGTTGCATCAGGCCCCACCCTGTGGTTCAGCCCAGAGCCCAGCAGACTAGATGTGGGGCTGGGGAGGGGCCCAGGCAGCGCTGTATCCCTACAACCTGAATCGTGGGCCCACATATCACACCCCACCTCGCAGACCAGCACCTCTGCCCAGTCCACGGCCAGCGCCCGGCTCAGCCTGCCCCGGACCGTGCTCCACTCTGCAGCCAGGCCACCTTCCAAATTGACAGAATGCCTCCGAGGCTCTGTGTGACCCTCAGGATGGAGCCCAGAAGCCCCACGATGGCCCAGTGGGGACCGCCCCAGCCTGGTCTCTGGCCCTGCTGCAGTGAGGCCCACCTGTGTCCCAGCCCTGGGACCTCAGCCCCAGCGCAGTCCCCTCCCCACACCTCTGCTGACTTCTCACTGGTGCTGCAGAACCTGGTTCTGGGAGCGTCTGTCTGGATCCTCCCTCGGCTCCGTCTTGGGGCCCCCGAGCATGTTCCCAACACACAACCGCAGTCACGCCACTGGGGACGGTGCTTCAGCCCTCCGCACTGCCCAGGAGCTCCGAGGCCCAGGCCGGGTCCACGGCATGGGGGGCGCCCAGTCCAGGGAGGATCTGTTTGCAGGCAGCCAGGCGGGTGTGCCCAGCACAGAGGGTGGTACCCTTCCTCTACCCCGCTCACCTGCAAACCCTGTGATTAAATCCCATGATTCCTTTACAACTCTAATTACACACCTAATTAATGGTGCTGGCCTTTATTACCCAACACCAACACCAAAGAACAGCATGGAGAGAAGGGCCTAGGGTGTTTAACTGGAGTGCCAGCCAGCCTTCAGCAAAGCCACTGTGCTCTGAGGCCACTGCCCCACCTGGACTGCACTTGGGCCCACCTGAGGAGACCACAGCTCCCGGCCCCAGGGCGACTGGTGCTGTGGCTACTCCTGGCCCCAGCCCCCCTCCCCTCCCCTCCCCTCTCTACAGGGCGCCTCAATGAGTGCACAGGGTGAGAGCACGTGGCAGGGCAGGGGCACTGATCCTTCCAACACCCGTCCTGTCTCTGGGTCACCCCAGGCTCTGGCGGCTCTTGCCAGCAGGGCAGTTCCCTCCGGCCCATGCCGCCGTGATCCGGCCCCTCCCCAGCAAGGACAGGGACCTCCTCCTATCGTTCAGTCCCAGGAGTCTGCAGAGATCGTCCGCCTGTCACGCTCACCCTTGGTGCGGGGACAGACGCTCACAACTGCCCCAGGACCTGGGCCGGTGGTCCCGTTTCTCAAATGGGGAAGCTGAGATGCAGAGAGAAAAGGGTCCACCCAGACCCCCAACTGTTACGACGTGGAGCAGGACCTCCATCCAAGCCTTCTGACCTCAGGCTCCCAGGCCGTCCAACACGGCTGCCCCGGCCTCAGATGGACACACGGTGTGTTGGAGCCAGGGACACCTGCAGCCTGCAAGGTCTCCTCTGCCTTCTCTCCCTGACCTGGTGCAGGAGGTCCAGGTGGCTGGCACTGAAGGCAGAACTGTAAAGCCAAGCCTGCCGTCCTCGCTGGGGACCTACCACACAAAGGGAGGACCGCACTGGGGAATGGGCTCATTGGGAGCCACTTTTGTTTCTCTACCCACCAGCCTGGCTCAGCTTCTACCAAATGGGCTCCTGCACGGGCCCAGAGGCCAATGGGCTCAGGCCACAGCCGCCATCGTCGCCATCACCATCATGCTGAGCACACATCATGGGCCAGCGGTGCCTCTGCTATAAACACACCCTCCACAATGACCGTGATTGGAGTGAGCCACATGTCAGAGCTGAGAGAGCTGAACCCAAGGTCACATGGCTGCTGGTGCAGAGCTGGGACCATGGCCCAAGTCCAAAACAGCTGACAGTGTGTGGCAACCCCTCCTCCATCAGCTCAGGAGCAACTTTGCTTTGGAACTGAAATTTAACTTTGATCAACAAAAAGAAACTGCAGATGACTCTGGGGAGGGAGCTGAAGTTGCAAAGTGCCCAGGGGTGGCAGGGCGGAGTCAGCCTTACCCACACCCCTCCTCCAGTCCACCCAACGCTTATAGAGGGCCAGTGCCAACAGCTCCAGTGACACGGAGGTCCCCAGTGACACGGAGGTCCCCAGGAGGGCGCACAGCAGGGCTGCAGCAGCGTTAGGAGACAGCAACCCCCAGAGTCAGAAGCCGGGGCTGTGTGGGCCCAGCATCCCTGTCCTTCCCCAGTACATGAGTGCTCCTGGGTCCCCGGCTTGCCCCCAACCCTGCAGCTCTCGGGACTTGCCTGTCATTGCGTGAGCCAACTCCCTGTAACAAGCATCTCCGTGTGCGTGCGTGCGTGCGTGTGCATGTGCGTGTGTACACACATTCTACGAGTTCTGTGTTTCGGCAGAACCCTGCCCAGTAAGCTCGCCCGGGGCTGTGTTGTCTGCAGATGGAGCAGCGACAGTGTGTGGGAGGAGCAGGGGCAGAGAAAGTCGGGGAGACTCGGCTGCCGTGGCAGCCTCACACTGTGTTGTGGACCCAGCGATTCCTCAGAGGCACCAAGGGAAGTGGTTAAAACAGGAAGACCCGCTGCACGCTCTCACCCACGGGAGCGGGGGGAACCCATCGCATGGAGTTGGGGGAGAAGGAGGGTGCAGGTGTGGGGTGGGCGGGGATGAACGGAGGCTGGTCAGTGGGTACAGACGCACAGCCAGATGGAAGGAGTAAGACCTCACGTTCCACAGCCGAGTGGGGGCGGACTACAGTCAGCCACATGTGCTGTCTACTTTAAAACAGTGAGAAGAGAGGACAGGAGGTCTTCCCAACACTTAGAAATGACCAGTCCATGAGGTGACGGATACCCCAAATACCCCTGTGTGGCCACTGCCCATTCTGGGCATGCAAGACAACATCACCTACACCCCATAACGATGCACGAACACTGTGTATCCATTTAAAAACCGACAGCAAAAAACCCTAATCTTCATTGACTGAATAAAAAAGATTCACGGGACATCCGGTCCAGACAGAAAAGGGTGCAGATTCATGTTCCCTGCTCCTCCTGCAAAGCTCGGCTCTGAGCCCTGGAGACGACGAGACAGGCAACCCAAAGAGAGGGTGGGGAGGTGGGAAGAGGGCGGAGAGGCGGCCTGGAGCCAGCAGTGGGGACTCAGGACCCCTGCCCAGCAGATGGCAGCCCAGATGACACACTCCTGCCTGGACCGGAGCCTGCAAAGGGAACCCCGGCACGCTGCGGGTCTGAGACGTGGTATCGGTGAGGGAGGCGGCCCTGAGGCGCCCTTCCCTGCTCAGACACAGACGCTGGAAAGCCAAAGATTCTTCCACTAGATTAACCTATAACTTCAGTGTAATTTCAGTAAAAAATAAAACCTTGATACCTTTTTTTTGAATTTGACTAATTCTTTTTTTTTTTTTCTTTTTGGAGACAGGGTCTATCTCTGTTGCCCAGGCTGGAGTGCAATGGTGTGATTTTGGCTTACTGCAACCTCCATCCCCCAGGTTCAGGCGATTCTCCCACCTCAGCATCTATAGTACCTGTAGCTGGGACTACAGACACCCTCCCGCCACGCCTGGCGTTTTGTGTTTTTAGTAGAGACAGGGTTTCACCTTGTTGGCCAGGCTGGTCTTGAACTCCCGACCTCAGGTGATCCACCCGCCTCAGCCTCAGTGCTGGGATTACAGGCATGAGCCACCGCGCCTGGCCGTGACAAAGTAATTCTAAAATTAACTTAGAATAATAAACAGGTAAGAAAACCTTTAAGTCAAAAAAAAGGATAAATGAAATTAAAAAAAACAAAAGATCTGAATACAGACCCGATTTTGCCTAAGTTTTAATAAAGATGAAGGTATAAATCTACGGGGAAGGAAGGATTCTGAGATAAATGGCCCTAGGGCAATTGTTTAGTGATCTGGAAAAAAAATCAATTTAGATCTCGACCTCATACCATACACCAAAATAAGTTTCAAGTAGATTAAATCTTTAAATATAAAAATAAGCTCAAAGAGCCCAGAAGAAAATAGAATTATTTATCAAATCACTAAAGTACTTACTAAGCTTAAAAGCAACGGAATTAACAGATAAGAGAGAACCTGAAGACGAGGGGTTCAGGTTCTGGGAAAGATGAAGAAACCAATCAGCCCTGTCTCTCCCTGAGGCAGCTCTGACGATGGAGGGAGTGCAGCCAGCAGCCGACTACAGACCTGGAGAGCCACAGGCTGCAGGCGGGCTGAGGTCGGAACCCAGAACCACTAGCATCACCAGCCCAGCGGCGAGCGCCCTGCTTCCAGCTGCGAGAGACATGCAGCTGGACCTGGCCGCGCCGCGTCTTTACTGCGCTGCACCCCACGAGCCACGAAGGCAGAGTCTCCATTCACACAGACCTCCCACGCCTCGCCTCAGCAGCTTGCCGTTGTCGGCGTGCTGTGGTGTTAGTGATGCCTGCAGATTTCATCTTCAGAAGAGTGAACAGAAACGGCATGTTTTTAATTTCGGTTTCCACATGTGCACTGCTATTGTGTAATATTTACAGAACTACACAGACACACGGACATATTTCTCATAAAGTGAGCTCAGCAAGGTTGCAGGATACAAGAGCCACACACAGAAATCCCGGGTGAACTCGCTCGACTCGTTTTTATCTTGTGATTTTCGACATAATCACGCCACCTGTGAAGAGGAAAAGGGTCGGTCCTGCCTTTCCAGTCCGTGTGCCTTCGACCTCCTCACCCTGCTGCCCATCTGGGGCTCTGGGACATGGACCAAGGCGGTGAGAGGGAAGGCCTCTGCCTGAGTCGGCGTTTCCCAGTCCCTCACCAGCCAGGTCTGCGGTGAGCTGCACGGTTTCTGCAGATGCTCTTTGGCAAACTTGGGGGTTCTCGGCTTCTCCTGGTTTGCCGAGTTTCCCCATGAACGTGTGTTGGGCCTCGCTGACTGCATTTGTGCATCCGTTGGTTTGGCCATGTAATTTTTCCTTTTGGCGAGCTGACGCGATGGATTGTACCAGCTGACGCTCGACACCAACCCAGCCTTGCACTCTCAGAAAACAGAAAATAGCCCCGCAGTGTTCTTCAGTTTTGCCACTGGTTTTGAAGTTGGGGTAAATGCTTGCTTCACAGAGTGAGTTGGGAAGTGCTCCCTCTTCTGTTTTCTTGGAGAGTTTTGGCAAATTGGTGCTAAGTTTTCTTTAAGTGTTTGGTAGAATTCACCAGAAAACCATCTGGGCCTGGAGATATCCTTTTTTGGAAGCTTTTTGATTGTGGATTCAGTTATTTAATGGTTCTAGGATTAATGAGACGATCTATTTCATACTGGGTGAGTTCTGCAGTCTGTGGTTGAAGCTTGCTGGAGTTTCTGTCACTGGTTGGGTGTTTGCCCTGGTGCTACCCAGTCTGGACTTGGGGACCCCTAAAACCTGGGAGTGAGCACAAGACGCACACAGCTTGTCAAGAGAAGCCTGAGAGGCAGTGTGGGAAATTCTGTCTGTCTCCATCCTCTTCTACCCTGACACCCAGGCAATCCTGCGCTCTTCCGCCCCGGCACCCTGGCACCCCCGCGCTCTTCCGCCCCGGCAGCCGGGCAACCCCGCGCTCTTCCGCCCCGGCACCCGGGCAATCCTGCGGAGGTACAGCCACAGCTGGACAGACGCCTAGAGCCCAAGAGTGGGCCCCTCCCTCCAGACAGGGTGCGTGGGGCATGTCCTGCCCTGTTCCAACGCTGTGGCTGGCGTTGGCCGTGAAGGCGGCTGTGGCCGTGGGACTGACTGCACAGCACAGTGGGCAAGCCTTGCCTGGCTCTGTGGCCAGAAGGCAGTGAAGGGAACCCTGGGTCACCTGGGAAGTGCTGGGTGCTCAGAGTGGCTCTGGAAGGTGCCCTCTAAGCTGGGCATGGGGCTCTGACCCTAATCAGCACCCCACAGGTGTGAGAGTTGGACTCTGAGCTAGACCACACCAGGACCCAGCCAGGACTGTGGAGGACACAAGGTTCAATGGCCTGGGAAACTCGGCAAAGAGCCTGAAATGGAAGTGCCATCAGGAAATGCTGAAACCAACAGAAATTTACATTCTCCAGAGAACTTAAGAAAGACCTAGAATCTCGGGATATTCAAAACATCCAGAATGCAATCTAAAATTAAGCAGCATGAAAAGAACCGGGAAAACAGAAACCTGCCAGGGAAAACACGACCAACAGGCGCCAAGATGACGGAGATGCTGGAATTATCGAGTGAGATTTTAAAGACGCTCCAAGAAGCAAGTGATTGGAAAACACAGACTTAACTTTTCACAGTATCTTAGAGATGATGCCGTGCCACTAAGCTTGGTGTAGAAAGCACATCACCACAGGAGTCCTTCTCGCGGCAGGGTGGCAGGCATTACACCCACACACGCTGGAACCCAGCAGACAATGTGGGCACATGAATTCCTTCCCGTCCTTTAACTTAAAACACCACCACACTTGGAGTGTCTGAAAGCCTCTCTCATCTGCACGGAGGGGAAAGGGGAGATTTCTTTGAGTGACTGCAGGTTGCTCATCAGAAACCACAGAAGCCAGAAGATGGGGAAACAGTGTCGATTTTTAAAGTGCTAGGAGACAAGAACCACTCTCCCAGAACCCCACATCCAGCAATGGTATCCTTCAGTAACGAGGTGGGGTGAGGACACTGCTGGGCAAGCAAACGCTGAGAGAACCTACTCTAAAGAAGCCCCGAAGGAAGTCCTGCCAAACCAGAAATGATCCCAGGGGAACCCAGGAACGCCAGGAAAGAAGGAAGAGGCAAAACCACAAACTACTTTTTGCCTCTTATGTTTTATAAAATAGGCATGACAGTTAAGAGCAAGAATTGTAATATTTCTTGGTGGGGTTTTCCACATATAGAGAGTAAGTACATAGGACTACTACAACATAAAGGGAGGCAGGGAGAAGCCTACGTCGTGGTGAAATCCTGACGTTTCCACCTGAAATGATAAAATATGAATTATAAGTGCACCGTGAAATGTTAAGCTTGCACATTGTAAACCACAGAAAAATCACTTTAAAAGTATACAAATAGATATAATAAAGACATAGATACATCAAAATGGAGTATAAAAAAGGCCAAATAACCTGAAATAGGTAGGAAAGAGAAAACGGGAATAAAAAATGGAGGACAAACAGAAAACTAATCATAAAATGTACCTAAATCCAAATGCATAAAAAATTACATTAACTATAAATGGCCAAAACACATCTATTAATCGGCAGAACACACATACCTATCAGGTGCACATGGGACATTTTGAGGTTATCAAATTATCAGCTACCAAATAAACTTTAAATTGCAAAGAAAGTGAATCGTAGAAAGTGCGTTCCCTCAACATAATGAAATTGAACAGAAATTACCCAGAAAATCAGGGAGAGACACTTTGAAATTAAAAAGCATCCTTCTAAATCTGTATGGATCACAGCAGGCATCCTAGTCTATTGGCGGCGCTATCACAGAATACCTGAGATTAATTTATAACGACCCGAAGTTTATAGGCTCACAGTTCTGGAGGCTGGCAAGTCCGAGATCAAGGCACCAGCTTCTGGCAAGGGCTTTCCTGAGGCGCCATCACATGGTGGACGGCAGGAGGGCAGATACAGAGAGCCAACTAACAGAAGCCCCTTTTACAACAGCACGAATCCACTCACCAAGGTGGAGCCCACGTGACCTCAACGCCTCCCAGGAGGCCCCACCTCCCAACACCATCACTCTGGGATGAAGTTTCCAACACGTGGACTTTGGAGGCCACGTTCAAACTATGGTACATCTTAATGGAAATTTGAAAATGTTTTGAACTGAACACACATAAAAATACAACATTATCAAAATGTGTGAAATGCTGCTAATGCAGCACTCAGATGCAAATTTCTAACACGGAACGCTTACGTTGGAAAGCAGAAAAGATCTCAAATATGCAATCTAATCTTCCACCTGAAGAGGCCAGAAAAAAAGGAGAGCAAACTAAAACTAAAGCAGGCAGAAGGAAGGAAACACAAAACTACAACAGCAAAATATCAATGAAACCAAAAACTAGGTCTCTAAGGAGATCAGTGAAATTTATACATCTCCAGAAAGGCTAACAGACAAAAAAAGAAAAAAGAAAAAAAAAGACATAAACGACCAGTATCAGGAAGGAAGGAGTACCGCTACGAACCCAGCAGGCACGATAAAATCAGCGAGGCAAGAGCACAGACAATTCACTGCTCATACATTTGATCACAGATATAATGAACCAGTTCCTCACAATAAAAAAAACCCCAAAACCTACATTCTACCAACATTCAGCTGAGATGAAAGAACTCACTATTCCTGTAATGATTAGAACCTGCCACAACCACAATCCCTAGGCCCAGATGGTTTCACCAGCAAATTCTACAAAACATTTAAAGAAGTAACACCAATTCTATATAATCTCCTCTAGGACATAAAAGGGGGAATACTTCCAATTCACTTCATTCATTACGTGTATACTACAACCAGACAAGGGCAGTACAAGAAAGCTACAGACCAATATGAACACAGACGTGAAGATTACTGACGATGTCAGCAAGATGAACTCAGCAACATGTAAAAATACTATGCCATAACCAAGGGGGGGGTTTATTCCAGGAATGCAGAGTTGGCTCAACGTTGGAAACTTCCCAAAAAAATCACAATGACACACTGTCAATCACACTAACGGTGTAAGGGAAAAAAAACATACGATCCCATCAATTGATGCAGGAAAAGCATCTGACAGACGCCAACATCCTACATGATAAACACTCTCAGCAAACTAAGAATGGAAAGAGCGTTTTCAGCTTGATAAGGAAAAACCACAAATAAACTGCAGCTAGCAGCACGCCTCATGGAGGAGGATGGACTGCTCTCCCTGCAAGGTGAGGAGAAAGGCCAGGATCTCTGTTGCCCCATCTCCTACTCAGCACCATACTAAGGTCCTAGACAGGGCAACACAGCAAGAAAACAAAATAGAAGACATATGGATCTTAACAAAATAAGCAAAACTGTCCCTATTCACAGGTGCTATGACTGCAAAGGATTAGAAAACAAAATCAAAACAGCAACTAACCCAGATGTAAGAAGTGAGTTCAGCAAGGTCATGGGTTACAAAGCCAGCATAAACATCCGTCATACATCTACACACACGCACTGAACACCTGGGACCCATAAAAACAAGCCTACAAATAATTACATAGCTCCAACACTAACAATAAAACCAACAAAACCATGTGTATTTCTAACAAAAAAGGGGTGGGTGGGTACGGTGAAAACCACAAAATGTGGATGAAAGAAAATAAGAAGAACGTAAATAAATGGAGAGCTACATTGTGTTCATGTATCGGAAGACTCACTGCAACCAAGATGTAGATGCTCCCCAGACTGACTGACAGATGCAGTAATTCCTCTAAAAATCTGAGCAGGCGTTTTGCAGGTAAAGACAAGCTGAATGTAAATCTTGTCCATAAAGTGGGGGATTGTGCTGCTGATTTCGAGACTTACTACGAAGCTACAGTAATCAATACCGTGGGGTGTTATTAACAGCAAAGGAACAGACGCTTAGATCAAGGGAACAGAAGAGAAGGTGTAGAAAGAGACCCCCATAACGCATGGCCAACTGGTTTTGGACAAAGGTGCAAACATAATTCAATGGTGGCAGGACAGTCAGTTCAATAATAATGGCACAATTGGACATCCATATAAAAACAAAAAAGAAAAGTAGCTTGAACTCAAGCTCACACCATGGGCAAAAACTAACTCAAAATGGGTCACAGATTTAAATGTGAACTTAAAACCTTTTAGTAGAAAACAAGAAAAAATATGTTTGGCCTGGAGTTATGCAGAGAGTTTCTGGATCTGACCCCTATAAAAGAAAACCTGATCATCAGCATGCACCCAGATGAAAAGCATTTGCTCCGAGGAACACAGGGTCAGAAAATGAAGAGGCTCGTCACGGGCTGGGAGAAGATATTTATCAGCTATATACTCAACTTGGATTCACCCCAAACTCAATACTAACAATTCAATTAAAAAATAGGCAGCACCAAGCAGCACGTGGGGGGCAGCTACTTCTCCAGACAGTGGAGAGCCACCAGCTCGTGCCCGAGGCCTTGGCTGACGTCACATCACTTCTGTCTCCAGCACTACAGTCGGAGCCCACGACGGAACACCTGCCACACCTGCTGCTGCTCCCCACGACCCGCCGGTCCCTAGAGGAGCCCATGACGGAACTCCCGCCACGCCTGAGACTGTTCCCCACCACCCGCCGGTCCCTAAAGGAGCCCACGACGGAACTCCTGCCACGCCAGACACTGCTCCCCACCACCCGCCAGTCCCTAGAGGAGCCCACGACAGAACTGCCACACCTGACACTGCTCCCGACGACCCGCCGGTCCCTAGAGGAGCCCACGACGGAACTCCTGCCACGCCAGACACTGCTCCCCACCACCCACCAGTCCCTAGAGGAGCCCACGACAGAATTGCCACACTTGACACTGCTCCCCACGACCCACCGGTCCCTAGAGGAGCCCACGACGGAACTCCTGCCACACCTGAGACTGTTCCCCATGACCTGCAGGTCCCTAGATGGCAGGACCCAGGCAGACGATCTCAGCTTGGCACAGGACTGGGCCAAACAGGCATGGTCCTGCACTTCAGACGCCAGCCCTTCTTCTCCAACTCCCACTAACTGCCGAACAGGGCTGGAGCCCCTGCACCCCCATCCCATTTGAACCGCTCAGCTGTCGGCATTGCACGGTGTTTGTACTGAGCAAACAGAGGCGTGGGCAGGTGGCGGCCCTGCCCAGGTGGCACGGGGTGGGGGCATGACGTAAACACAGGCCTGTGCCACGTGAGAGCTGGGCACTGATTTCTGGCCGTGGGAGGGCACAGCTGGCTTGGCACTGCCAGGCCAATGGGTAGCTCTCCACAGTGCTTGTCCTGGTGGTCCACGGAGCAGCCATTAGGGCACCTCACTGAGGCCACCTGTGGGGCCAGCGCCAGCCAAGCAGGAAAAGTGTGAGTCCTGAGACTGCAGAGGACACGCGCCGATACAGACAGAAGCAGTGCACAGGACGCAACAGAAAGGCAGTCACTGCTCCCGTCCTCAGCCCAGGCAGGGACACCAAACCAGGCCTCCCCTCGAGGGCACCCTCCTCCCTGAGGCCGAGCAGGTGGATTCCAGGCAGAGCAACTCTGTGGCCAACCATCTTCCCCTCCCTCCTCCCCTCCCGGGCCTCCCCTCTTTTCTTCCACCTCCTCCCTTCTCCTCCCTGGTATCTCTTCTCCCTCTTCCTCGCTCCTCCATCCTCCCCCTGCCTCCCTCCTCCCCAAAGACACCTCTAGGATCAGCTGTGCCCACACAGGCAGTGACAAATTTGATCACCTTCAATGTGCTGCTAAGATTATTTTAATATTAATGCATTCCCTAATTAAGCTGCAATTAACAATCTCCCTGGCCCAGCCTGGACGTGGCAGGGGGGCTGAGTGAGGAGTCAGAGCCAGCACGGGAGGCCGGGCTTTGGGGCTCCTATCCGCCAAGGGCCCGTGCCGATGGCAAGGGTTGTTTAGTGACTGCCTTGTCAAAGACACCAGGAAAATCACAAGGGTGTTCCTGCCTGAACTTCCGAGCAGGGACTCAGATCCCCGAGAGCAGGGGCCTCTTTATGTGTTTCTGTGTCTTCTCTGACCGGAGGTCTGGGGCCCACACCAGAGACAGCCCTTGGGGAAGCCGTGGCAAACACGAAAGGGAGCTCTTGACTCTGCAGCCCCGCTGCCACGTCCCCTCGCCCATCCCCCACTGCCACGTCCCCTCGCCCCGTCCCCACTGCCACGTCCCCTCGCCCCGTCCCCACTGCCACGTCCCCTCGCCCCGTCCCCACTGCCACGTCCCCTGCCCCGTCCCCACTGCCACGTCCCCTCATCCCGTCCCCACTGCCACAACCCCTCATCCCGTCCCCTACTGCCACATCCCACCACCACGTCCACACTGCCACGTCCCCTCGCCCCGTCCCCCACTGCCACGTCCCCTCGCCCCGTCCCCACTGCCACGTCCCCTCATCCCGTCCCCACTGCCACAACCCCTCATCCCGTCCCCTACTGCCACATCCCACCACCACGTCCACACTGCCACGTCCCCTCGCCCCGTCCCCACTGCCACGTCCCCTCGCCCTGCCCCCACTGCCACGTCCCCTCATCCCGTCCCCACTGCCACAACCCCTCATCCCGTCCCCTACTGCCACATCCCACCACCACGTCCACACTGCCACGTCCCCTCGCCCCGTCCCCACTGCCACGTCCCCTCGCCCCGTCCCCACTGCCACGTCCCCTCGCACAGTCCCCGATGCCACGTCACCTCGCCCCATCCCCCAATGCCATGTCCCCTCGCCCCGTCCCCAGTGCCAGGTCCCCTCGCCCCATCCCCCAGTGCCACGTCCCCTCGCCCCATCCCCCAGTGCCACGTCCCCTCGCCCCGTCCCCACTGCCACGTCCCCTCGCCCCGTCCCCACTGCCACGTCCCCTCGCCCCATCCCCCACTGCCACGTCCCCTCGCCCCATCCCCCACTGCCACGTCCCCTCGCCCCGTCCCCACTGCCACGTCCCCTCACCCCATCCCACCACCGTGTCCGCTCACCCCACCTCACCGCTGCGTCCCCTCGCCCACCCCACTGCCACGTGTCCCCTTGCTTCGTCCCACCGTCACATCCCCTTCACCTTGTTCCTTGGGGGCCCTGATTCCCCAGAGCAGGAAGAGACATCTGCTGACCCCCGAGATGCTGGGTGATCAGGGTGTGAGGGGACTCCCCTGGGACTTGCTTCCTGGTGGGACACTGGGCGCTGTCTCAGGCCACGCGGCTCCCCCTTAAGCCAGTGACAGGCCTGCCATCTGCAGACCTGCTGGCCTGAAGCCCTCACAACTTACCCTGGTCTCTCTCGTGACCCAGGAGACCCACCCCTAACCCATGCTCAGGGCCAGCCAGGCCGGGGAGGAGCATCCGTCTCTGTCTCAGGCTCACACCTGCCATCTCACCCTTTGCAGGGACTGTGCAGGCAGCCTACCCACGGTCACAGGAGCGAGGGCGCGTCGTGGGGTCCACGTCAAGGGTCTGCTGACACCACGGGAACACCCCCAACTCCTCACCCCACCCACGGTCACAGGAGCGAGGGCGCATCATGGGGTCCATGTCAAGGGTCTGCTGATGCTGTGGGAACACCCCCAACTCCTCACCCCACGCACGGTCACAGGAGCGAGGGCGCGTCGTGGGGTCCACGTCAAGGGTCTGCTGACACCACGGGAACACCCCCAACTCCTCACCCCACGCACGGTCACAGGAGCGAGGGCGCGTCGTGGGGTCCACGTCAAGGGTCTGCTGACACTGCGGGCACACCCTTGCTCCTCATCTGGAGAATGGGGAGGGGACAGCCCTCTCTGGCAGCAAGCGGCGTGACCTGGACTTTTCTCTTTTTAACTTTAGATTTACATGCACATGAGTTAAGAGCCCAGGAATTCTGTGGGGTGTGTCAGGGAACAGCGGTCTCCACACTTCTCATTTCCTTCCTTTCTCTCCAGAGTCCACCATGTTCACCTCTCAGCCGATCATGTCGGTATTAACTGCATTTCTCTGGAATACACATTCTGTGGCTCCTTCTGGACTTGAGCGCTCGGACGTCCTGCTGACTTCCCGAGAGACAGCGAGGCTTCAGCTCTCCCTCCCTCCCACCCTGCAACACGCGTCTCCCTCCTCCTGGTCCCCTTTCTTAATATGAGGCTCAGGGCTGTGTTCAGATCAGGCCTCAGCTCCCTTACGACTGTGTGAGGCTGCTCAGGGCCAGCTCAGAATGCAGGACACTGCTGCTTCTGCTGCTTCTCATGCAACTCTGCTGTCCCCAGAGCCAATGGTCGTCCTGCTTCCCACGCACTCAGCCTTCTAGGTGCTCATGGCTCTTGGCAGCCATCCCTCTTTGCCAGCTGTCTACACAGGTGCTTCCCAGTCTTTTTGTGCGGGGCAGCAAACCTAAAACCTGAGAAATGTGTGTGGCACGCAGGGAAGGAGGAGGCTGCCAAAGAGTGACCCAGGGACCTGGGGACCAACGTCCATGGCAGCCCACGCCTGGCACACACGTGTGGAAAGCTCCGGTCCGCATCATGACACCCAACGCACCAGGTTCTGTCCTAGAATCTCTGGTGGGTTCCAGCCCCCGCTGGAGGCTGCCCAGGCTGGGGGCTTCCTTCTCTGCTCTATATCCCAGAAACTCTGGCCCGTTCTGGCCCCTGCCAGCTGCTCCCCAGGCCTAAGGCTTCCTTCTCTGCTCTATATCCCAGAACCTCTGGCCTGTTCTGGCCCCTGCCGGCTGCTCCCCAGGCCTGAGGCCTCCTTCTCTGCTTCCGCGGCAGAAGCCCCTGTGGTCTGCTCTGCGTGCCACAGCCACACTCTTTCCTGGTTTACTCCCTCATCCTTTGGGAGTGCATCCTCTGCCAGCTTCCTGAGAGACGGTGCGGGGCCGTCAAGTTTTTAAGGCCTTGAACCCTGCAGATGCCCGTACTTCTTCCTTCAGACCTGATGTGGGGCTGGGGGGCTATGAGATCCCGAGATGCAGGTCACTCTGCTAGAAACTCGGAGGTGCTGCTGCTAGGAAACGCTAGATGACTGATCCCGGATCCTTTGACAAGTGACCTCTGTGTTTCTTCTCTGAAGTTCTCAGGGTCTTCCTTTCGTCCTGTGTCCTGAATCTTCATGCTGCCGCACACTGTGCGGGTCTATCCCCAACCACAGACAGCCCAGTCTGAGCCTCTCCCGGGAGGCAGGGAGCTGCGTCCTTCCTTCAGGGAGACGTCCTTGAGGCACTTCTGTTATCATCTGCTTTTTCCCTGTTCCCTCCTTCCATGTTCCTGTTGTTCAGACAGTGGGCTGTACCTCTAATGTTCTTACTTCTCTTCTCCTGTTTTCCATCTCGTTGTCTTTACTTTCAGACTTTCTCAACGTTACTTTACAAATCTTCTTAGATTTCCATTCACTGTTCCCTACTTTTGCCTTCCCCCTGCTCACTGCTTTCTCTTGGTGTGTGTTAAGCTGCCCTGTTGTTTGGTTGCTGAAGCCCCGTCTTCTCTCTGAGGAGATCCAGGAGACAGTTTTTGGAGATTTTCTTTGCTGGGACAGTGGGTTCCCTCCCCGCTGACGCTGTGTTTCTCTGCGTTTCGCTGTGCTCTGTTTTCCCTGCTCGTTTCCTGTCCTTTCCCTTGGGCTGTCTGACAATCCCTGGGTATCAGCTCCTCACTAGGGGAGGGCACTAGGGGCCCAGGGATACTCCGGGTAGGAGCATGGAGCCGTCTGCCACGGTTTTCCCCAGGGAGCGATCCATGGGAGCTGTCGAGCTGGGGAACTGCCAACGCCAGGTCCTTCTGGGCTGCTCGGATACACAGGGAGGTCTTTCCACCATAGCCTACAGGGTCACACCTGCTGCCCGTGTTCTGCAGGGCACGTGGCGGGGGTGTGCGATCCAGGCCCACACCTGCATCTATCAATCCGGGCTCAGTTCAAGCCTGTTGTCCTGACTTGGGTCTGTCCAGGGACCTTGCCAGCCCTCTCCAGAGCAGCGGTCCACAAACGCGCTGAGCATCCGCGTGGTCTGTAGGGCTGCCTAGCACAGACTGCCGGCCGCCCCCAGGCCTCTGGCTGAGCAAGTCTGAGATGAGACCTGAGAATCCACATTTCTAAGAGGCTCCCAGGGAGGCAGCGGCCGACCTGGGTACTGCACTTTAAGTATCACTGCTCCAAGAATAAACTGCTGGCTTGTTTTGGAGTCTTCATCTTTCCCGGGGAGCGGCAACTGCCCAGGGCACACAGATGGACAGATGGTTCCGGGGACCCATCTCTTAATTCAGCAATCAAGCCTCCAGATCCACTGTGCTTCAGTCAGTGGCATCCCTCCCCTAACGCCACTTGCAGCCAGTTCCTGGGCTGCGTTGGAGTTTTGAGGTGTAACTCAGGCGGGTTCTCAGCTCCACCCGCCGCCGGCTTAGATTCCGGTTTCCCAAGTCTACTCAGTCCTTTCACTGCTCACCCGCCAATTCCAGACTCCAAAAGTCTGCCTCTGTATCCTCTCCCTCTGTGGGGTTAGGCCTTACATAAAACAGAGGCCACCAACACTGTGATTTTTGGGGGCACAGACACGCGCTGCATCAGCCACTGGGGCCTGGACGCCCGACCCACCCTCACCTCCTGGTGGCGCCATGTGGCGCGGCCCCCACTATCCCAGGCCTCTGCTCATCCTCCCCTTCCTGCTTCCAGACCACGCTGGCCCTGACTTCTCCATGGTCAGCTCAGACACGCCTCTTCGCACCCCCCACTCCCAATCAGCCATGGCCCGGGCACCTGTCACAGCCAGATGCCGACCACCCGCGTGCCTGAGACGCGCAGAGACCCAGACAAGAGGTTAACGAACAGACGGGCGAACCCGAGACAGGCAGAGACCCAGACAACAAGGGAAGGAACAGACGGGAGAACCCAAGATGCGCAGAGACCCAGATAACAGGTGAACAAACACACGAGCGAACCCTAGACAGGCAGAGACCCAGACAACAAGGAAAGGAACAGACAGGTGAACCCGAGATGCGCAGAGACCCAGACAACAGGGGAACAAACACACGAGCGAACCCGAGACAGGCAGAGACCCAGACAACAGGGGAACGAACAGACGGGCGAACCCGAGACAGGCAGACACCCAGACAACAGGGGAACGAACAGATGGGCGAACCCGAGACAGGCAGAGACCCAGACAAAAAGGGAAGGAACAGACGGGCGAACCCGAGATGCGCAGAGACCCAGACAACAGGTGAACGAACACACGAGCGAACCCGAGACAGGCAGACACCCAGACAACAGGGGAACAAACAGATGGGCAAACCCGAGACAGGCAGAGACCCAGACAACAGGTGAACGAACAGACGGGCGAACCCGAGACGGGCAGAGACCCAGACAACAGGGGGACAAACAGACGGGTGAACCCGAGACGGGCAGAGACCCAGACAACAAGGGAACGAACAGATGGGCAAACCCGAGACGGGCAGAGACCCAGACAACAAGGGAACGAACAGACGGGCAAACCCGAGACGGGCAGAGACCCAGACAACAGGGGAACAAACAGACAAGCGAATGGGTGCACAGCCAAGGCACAGGCCCGTGACAGCAGGGGATGGAAGGCCCCTTCCCAAATCCTCTCCCAGGGTGCAGAGCCACCTAAAAATATGGCTCCAAGTCTGCATCCTCAGCTCCGAAACTTGCCAATAACACCTGCAGAATGCAGGGCGGAGAGGGAGCCACGGCTGGACCAGAAAGGGGGCTGGGGACATGGGGGCTCAGGCCCTCACAGCCACAGTGGAGACCGGGAGCAGCCCTTGTGCAGGTGGGGAGCTGGAAAGGAGCCCCCGACTGCCATCAGCTCGCCCCTCAATCTGGCAACACAGGCCCCCCCTTCTGGCTTTTGTCCTCCAACCCCACCATACTACTCCAGGAGGGCACACCACCCGCTAGCCAGCCACTAAGCCCCTACCTGCCGGCAGGGTGCGCCCAGACTCAGGGCAGTCTTGGCTTATGGGGGTGGGGCACAAGAGGGAGGGAAGACCCCACCTAAGACCCTCCCCACAAAGGAGCGGGGCAGAGGACAATCACTCCTGATACATCAGCCTGGGTGCTGGGCTGTGGGAAGCGGACAAGTCACCGCCACACAACCTCTGCACCTGCATGCTCACAGGGAATGCTCTCCCACAGTACAGGGCGCGATGGCAAGTAGGTGGGAAGAAACAGAAGAAGGTATCATCGGATGAAAGCTGAGTCTGAAATCACCTCGAGATGCCAAAGGCCAGAAAGCAGCAGCCTCCAGGCCCCACCACAGATGAGCCTGCAGACACCCCCAAGGGAGGGGGCTGGCAGCCGGGTGGCTCTAACACAGGAGCAAGGGGACGCCGGGCCACGCTCCAGGCTGCTGCTAAGGGCTGGACAGGGAACCCTCCCCCAGGTCCCCCCAGAACCAGGAGCGTGGGGCAGTGCCCAGCTCCCTCCAACAGCAGAGAGCAACACAGGGGGCAGGGGTCTCCTGAGCCCCACAGCCTCGCTGGGGGTGCAGACTGCACAGTGACTCTGGACTCCCAGCCCTGCTCCTTCAGGGGCACCCTGCAGAGTCGACACAGCCCCGGCAGCACCCTCCGAGGCTTGGCGTGGGCAGACCCCAGCACCACCTCCCCACATCAGGGGATAGGCTGGCGTTCCAAAGGCCGTGGGCCTCATGTAGACCTGGAGGGTGTGGGCAGGCCCTGCTGGCCCTCATGGAGGCCTCATTCTTCCCTGGGACGCCACAGGCCTTGGCCTCAAAGGGCTCTCTGGACGCCATGAAGCACACTTAAGCTGGTGAGAGATGGACTTGTTTTCGTGGAGGACTGGATTTACTTGTGATTAATGGGGTACATATAAACTGACAAATGATACGAATTAGTTTAAGGGCCTGAAATTTCAGCCCCTTGCTTCTCCACAGCTGCCTGCAGACTCGGATGGCTCCACCTGTTTGCACAACCCCACGGGGCCATGGGGACACGGGGCCAGGGTGCTCTGCCCCAGCAACCACCAGACCCGGCTGCCCACAGGGGAGGACAAACCCTCTGGGGATGACAGGCAGGGGCGCCTGAGGCTGCCCCAAAGGCGCACGGATGGACCTACCCACGGAAGGTCGAGGATGGCAGGGACCGGGGGTGGGGGGTGCCTACCTGCCACCTCCTTGGACGATGGCAGACTCGCGGCGGCAGCCTCAAGGTCGGCTGGGACGGTGCCTCCTCTCTCCATGGCGCGCAGGAGCCCGCGCAGTCGCTCGCACTCCGCCTGCAGCTGGCTGTGGTCCTCGCGCAGGCGCTGCCTGGCCACACTGGTGGGGTTCAGGCTCATGTGCAGCACTTTGGTCCTGCTCTGGTCATAGTCACCCTGCAGGAACACACACAGCACAGGTCACCATGGCCCAGGCACACACGCAGCACGGGTCACACACAGCATGGGTCACCATGGCCCAGGAAGACACACAGCACGGGTCACACACAGCACAGTGCTCAGTTCTTTTGTCTTCTTGAGCCTGCCTGGCAGCCATCTCTCCTGGAAGGAGTGGCTCCTTCCCTGTGCCCTGTGGACAGGTGCAGGAACAAGGCCTGGCCACCTGCTGGGTCCCTTCTGCCTAACCACAGGAACAGGGTGAGAGGGGACATGCGGCCTTTGCTCAGCCAAGTGCGGTGCTTCCCAGAATTCCACACTCAGTGCCCGGGAGGGAGGCTTCCTCTCCTCTGAGGTTCCTGGCTGGGATGAGACTGGGAGCCCGTGTGGCCATGTTCCCATCTCTTCCCTACCAGCCTGGAAGGTGCCCCGTGCCACAAGAGAAACAAGGTCAACCACACAGAGATGGAAGGCAAGGGAGCCTGGCATCAGCGTGGGTGGCTCAGGAATGCGCCTCGCAACCTGATGTTCCCACGAAACCCAGGGCCGGGATGTGTGTGGCATCCTTGAGGGAGGAGTGCGCCTGGAGGCCCAGCCTGCTGACCTGTGGTGGGTGACCGACCCCCAGCAACAAGCACCATGCAGCCCTGCAGCAGGGACAGCCCCCCACAGCAGGGGACAGCCGCCCACAGCAGGGAACAGCCGCCCACAGCAGGGGACAGCCGCCCCCAGCAGGGAGGTGCAGGGTCACTGCGCACCCGAGACCCCGACCTCACGCCACACACAAACATCAGCCGCCCACAGCAGGGAGGTGCAGGGTCACTGCGCACCCGAGACCCCGACCTCACGCCACACACAAACATCAGCCGCCCACAGCAGGGAGGTGCAGGGTCACTGCGCACCCGAGACCCCGACCTCACGCCACACACAAACATCAGCCGCCCACAGCAGGGAGGTGCAGGGTCACTGCGCACCCGAGACCCCGACCTCACGCCACACACAAACATCAGCCGCCCACAGCAGGGAGGTGCAGGGTCACTGCGCACCCGAGACCCCGACCTCACGCCACACACAAACATCAGCCGCCCACAGCAGGGAGGTGCAGGGTCACTGCGCACCCGAGACCCCGACCTCACGCCACACACAAACATCAGCCGCCCACGGCAGGGAGGTGCAGGGTCACTGCGCACCCGAGACCCCGACCTCACGCCACACACAAACATCAGCCGCCCACGGCAGGGAGGTGCAGGGTCACTGCGCACCCGAGACCCCGACCTCACGCCACACACAAACATCAGCCGCCCACGGCAGGGAGCTGCAGGGTTACTGCGCACCCGAGACCCCGACCTCACGCCACACACAAACAACAGCCGCCCACGGCAGGGAGGTGCAGGGTCACTGCACACCTGAGACCCCGACCTCACATCACACACAAACATCAATTCCACCACATTCTGTCTCCTGGGAGTAGACACAGGTTACTCAAACAGGGTTCAGGAAGTGCTGGCCGTAAAAGAAAAAAAAAAGAGTACAACTGACCTTATAGAAATTAAGAACTTCATCCACTGAAACAGTGGAAAGGCACCCACAGAGCAGGAGGTGCTGTTTGAAAATCACATTTCTGAGAAAGGGTTCAGATCCAGAACATACGAAGAAGTCAGAAATAACCAAGGGCATGTCAGAAATAACCAAGGGCATGTCAGAAATAACCAAGGGCATGTCAGACAACCCACTCTAAAAATCTGCAAAACATGTGAGCAGACACTTCCCAAAAAGACACCCAAAAAGCTGATAAACATATGAAAAGGTGCACACACATGGGCCAGGGCTGGGGCCAGAGGCGCGCACGCACACACACACACACACACACACGCACGCACACAGAGACCAGGACTGGGACCAGAGGCGCACACACACACACGGGCCAGGGCCGGGGCCAGAGGCACACACACACACACACACACACACACACACGGACACAGTCCAGGGCCGGGGCCAGAGGCGCGCACACACACACACACACACACACACATACAGGCCAGGACCGGGACCAGAGGCGCACACACACGGGCCAGGGCCGGGACCAGAGGCGCACACACACGCACACACACACACACACACACACATGGGCCAGGGCTGGGGCCAGAGGCACACACACACACACACGGGCCAGAGCCGGGACCAGAGGCGCGCACACACACACGGGCCAGGGCCAGAGGCGCGCACACACACACGGGCCAGGGCCGGGACCAGAGGCGCACACACACATACGGGCCAGGGCCAGGACCAGAGGCGCTCACACACACACACACACACACGGGCCAGGGCCAGAGGCACACACACACGGGCCAGGGCCGGGACCAGAGGCGCGCGCACACATGGGCCAGGGCCGGGGCCAGCGGTGCACGCACACACATACACACACACATACACACACACACAGGCCAGGGCTGGAGCCAGCGGCGCACACACACGCACACACACGGGCCAGGGCTCCCGCCAAGTGCTGAGATTCTGCAGCTTGTGGCTGTGAGCTGTGGGGCAGTGAGACTGGATGGGCACCCGGTCCCTCAGGCACAGACATGACCATGGTCATGACATGGGTCATGTCAGGCACAGACATGACCATGGTCATGACATGGGTCATGTCAGGCACAGACATGACCCAGCAAGCCAGGCCAGCACCACGCATAGCAATGGCCTCCTCCCCTTTGGCAATGAGTTCCTGCCACCCTTGGGGCTTCTGCCCACGCACTCTCCTATCTCCCAGAGGGGAACAGGGAAACACATCCTGTGTTCAGATCACCCCACGCTCTCAGGAGAGGCCGGTGTGGACACACCCCACGGGGTGAAGAGACCGGGCGCAGTAAGCCTCCAGCCTCCCAAGAGCTCAGGCTGCTGTGGGCCACTGCTCTCCAAGTCCCCGAAGGACGGCGAGGCCTGGCTTGGGCTGTACCCTGGGGACCTCACTTGGGCTGGAGCTCATCAGCCATGGGCAATCGTGGTCCCAGAGCCCAGAATGTGCCTCCAACAGGGAGAGAGGAGAGGATGGGGAAGAAGGGAAGAGACCTCACCCCTCCTGGTGCCACCCCGGACTCTAAGACATCCCCCTGACGTCACGTCACACAAGCTAACTGCTGGCCCTGCCACCCCCCTCATGGAAGAGGCCAGTGGAGATGGACATGCTGACCTGGACCAGGGACCTCCGGCCCCATGGCACGATGGCAGAGGCCGCCGCAGAGGGAAGCGGGGTTTGCAGACACGGCTCGCTTGGCCGCTCCCTCTGTGCTTCTCCTGGGAAGGAGGAGGGGAGGGGAAATCCACCCACTCAGGCCCAGGGGAGAGGGAGGCGGCAGCCCTGCCGCTGGGCCGGGGCAGGAGAGGATCCGCGCAGCTCTTCACAGGTTTTCTGAGAACCTTGTAAACCTCAGAGGATGAAGAGACATCTTGTAACTCTGGCTGAATCACAGACTCTTGGGGTTGAAAGGATTGCTACTTCATCCAGTTTTCACAGCCGGGGTTAAGATAACCCAGTATGCAGAATCCAGCCACCCACACGCACTCAGGAGACCCCTCTGACGGGCGGCACTGGCTTTCCGGGGCCTCTGTGGGCTGGACAGCATCTCAACCTCTTCACCATCCTACGGAGCCTCGAGGAGCCAGGGAGGATGTGGGCAGAGGGTGGGGCCGCCTCCTGCGGAGAGCAGCCAGTCACGGGGCTGTGCAGTCACCCTGCCCCCGTCCTAACCACGTAGCGCTGCAACTGCACCCAGAAAGCCGCAGGGCACACAAGGCCAGCATGGGCCCCGCTGACGGAGCTGCGGGCACGGAAACACGAATCTGAATTTCAGATAACCCGCGTGTGTCCCAAAATATTCTTCTTTTGATTTTCTTCAACCCTTCAAAAATGTACAACGGTTCTTAGTTGAGGGGCTGCACAGAAGGCGGGGCTGTAGTCAGCTGACCCCTGGCAAGAACCAGGCCGCACAGCGTGTACTCAGCCCTCCTCTGACCCAGAGCAGTGAGACCCTCCTCCCCCAGGCCTCACCCTCCTCTTCCTCCCCCCGCAGGCCTCACCCTCCTCTTCCTCTCCCAGGCCTCAGCCTCCTCTTCCTCCCCAGGCTTCAACACCGCGGACCTCCTGAAGGGACCTCCAGGTGGGAGGAGGTAGTGACCATCCTAGAGGCTGCCCAGCAAGGCCTCGCCTGGCCCCAGCATCCTCCTACTTAGCAGATAGGGGGACTTGCAGGAGGGGTCGGGGGTCAGCGGTGGTGCGCCCAGCGCTGGCGTTGGACCCAGCAGTGCCTGAGGACGTCAAGTTCCCCGGGGTGGATGTCCTGGCAACGTTCAACGTTCCACGGGCAGGAACGAGAGCCAGAGGCACAGCCCCAGCCCCCAGCCCCCAGCCAGGGTGCCCCACGACCGGCCCATCATCCTGGGATGAGGTTTCCCCCCTGATGGGGGGCTTGAGGTCCAGGAAACAATTCTGTATATTAGAGGATTTAAGGACCAAAAGCCCAAGCCAGTAGAGATGAAGGAAACCAAATCAAAACAGAGAAAAGATAAAACTGAGAAGTTCTTCTTAAACACCAATCCTGTCACCCTCTGGCCCCCAACAGTGCAGCGCCCTGCACTGCTGGCCCCGCTGGGGGCGAAGGCTTGGTGTGTGCAAAGCCACCGTGTCCGGGCTGGGACCAGCCCCCAGGCTTGTCCTCCTCAGCCGCTACGCATGCACCACCAGGTCCTGCTCTCCCGGAGCCACAGTGTGAGGCCAAGGTCGGCGCAGGTTCCCGTGGCCCGGCTTCCACCTGCAGCAGGAGGCCCTGGGTCACGGAGAGCATTCACTGGGCACCTGCGGCTGGGGCTGGAGCGACCTGCGATGGCACCGCTGACCAGGGCTGAGAACAAGCCTGGGCTCCATAACTGGTGGCGTGGAGAACCCACCTCCCAGGAGGGCGAGGGAAGTGGGAGGACAGGCGCTAGGGCTCTGTGCAGATGGCAACATTCCAGGCACCTAGTCGTCTTTCTGTAAGTTCAGGGGACTTTCCCTGCCTAACGCCTGGAGAAGGCAGAGCCCCTAGAGGCAGCACGGGAGGGGCAGACTGGGCACCACCCACCCGCTCACGTCCCCACCGTGATTCTGGGCCAGGCTCTTGACCTCCACGCGTTCGTTCCTGCCATCCTTCCTTTCTTCCCTTAGTCCATCCACCCGCACACCTGTCTGTCCATCTGACATGATTTCCAGGCCCTGGATGCCCTCAGCACAGCTGTGAATACAGGGGTGGAGCTGCCACTCATGGTGGGAGCAGCTGGCATCCCACAGAGGAGCCTCCTGGGCCAACACTCAGCAAGTGGAGGGGACATTCCCGGCCCCTCCAGAAGGAGGCCACGCCTGAGCCCCTGGGGGCCCAGGACCTCTGCTCCAGGTGAGACAGGACCGTGCCCCAAGGTGGCTGGGGGCGACAGCCAAACTTCCAGCCTGCTGCTGTGACCACAGCCTGGGCAGCGCAGAGTCAGGCACACCATTCCATGCCTCGGAGCCCGCGCGCCACACATTTCAGCAGGTGCTGGAAGTGCAGGGGTAATGGGAGCCCTGTGCTGAGGCCCGTCTCCAGGGCAGCCGAGTGTCGGGATGGGAGGACGGCCCTATGTCCTATACAAACAGCACCACTCCTGCACCCACCCCACCAAGAGGAGCCATTTCAAACACACAGGCAGCAAAACAGCATGGGAGGAAACTAGGCGGGATCTAGGTGATTAGGAAACATCCCATGTCTCGGATCAGAAGACCCGGCGCTGTCGGGACCAGAGACTCCCAGGGCTGATCTGCACATTCTGTACAATCCCAGGACTCAGCCGGCCTCCCTGAAGAACTGATAAGCTGATTCTGAAACTCACACGGAACTGCAGGGGCTCAGAAGAGCCACCACAGGCTTGCAAAGGGGGAACACGGGAGGAAGACTCAGTCTCCTGATTTCAAAACTTACTACAAAGCCACTGCAATCAGGATGGTGTGGTGTGGGCATGAGGACCGACGTACAGACCAACAACACAGTGGAGAGTCCAGGAACCAACCACACGTTCATGTTAAGTGATTCTGAGAAAGGTGTTAAGACCTTTCGATAGGGAAAAATAGTCTTTTCAACAAATGCTGCTGGGACAATGGGCTGGCGCATGCCAAAGAATGAAGCTGGGCCCCACCTCCCACCATAAACAAAAACTAAGTAACAATGGATCCAAGACCCACGCAAAGCCCAACCGTAAAACCTGTGGAAGAAAACAGAGGAGGAAACCCTCCTAACCTTGGATTTAACAAAGAATTCTTAGCCCAAAGCACAAAGAACAAAAGAAAATAACAGGTAATCAGACTTCATCCAAACTAAGAACTCTTGTGCTTCAAAGGACGCCAGTGACAGGCAAAAACAAGCCACAGAATGGGAGAAAATGTCTGCAAATCTATACCCGAAGAACTTACACCTCAACACATGAAGCACTGTCAGCAAACGACCCAGTGTCACAATAGGCAAGGCGTCTGCAGACAGACTCCTATGAGGACCCAGTGTCACAATGGGCAAGGCATCTGAAGACAGACTTCTATGAGTTCAATAGACACATGAAAAGCTGCTCGGCATCATCCGGCATCCAGAGACAGAAAGTGAAATCACAGCCAGGTATCACTTTGCGCCCCCAGGACGGCTGGGAAGTCACGCAACAACACGTTGGTGAGGATGGGGATAAACTGGAACCCTGGTGTGCGGCAGCCCTGGAGAACAGTCTGGCAGTTCCTCCAATGGTGAAACGGTTACCATGTGATCCAGCAGGCCCAGTCCCAGGCAGACCCCCGAGAGAACTGCACACACATCTACACAGACTCGTCCGTGAATGTTCAGGGCAGCTGTGTTCATAACAGCCCCAAAGCGGAAACCATCCAGATGTCCATCAGGCGATGACTGGATATGTAAGATGTGGCCGTGCAGACAGTGGGGTGTTTCAGCCACAAGAAGGAACACAAGGTCCACCAGTTGATGACTGGATATATAAGATGCGGCCGTGCACAGTGGGGTGTTTCAGCCACAAGAAGGAATACACCACCGACACCTATGACCACATGGGTGAACCTTGAACAAGGGAAGTGAGAAAAGCCAATCACAAAGGCCACAGGACTCCCTTCCCAGGAAATGCTGGTAATGGGCCACGGGACTCCCTCCCAGGAAATGCTCAGAACAGGCCACGGGACTCCCTTTCCAGGAAATGCTCACAACAGACAGACCCACAGAGGCACGCAGTAGCCGACTGGTGGCTGAGGGTTTGAGGGCACGGGAGACAGCAGGGTGATGGATAACTAGAGGGTTCGGGCTTCCTTGAGAGGGGATCAAAACGTTCTGCGAAGGGTGACGGTGGTTGCACTAGCCGTGGACATAAAAGTCGCTGAACTGCCCCCTTCAAAGGGACGAGGTACGTGGAATGTGCGTCGCATTTCAATAGAGCTGTTAGAAATGGCGGGCCGGGTGGGGAGTGAGAAACAGCAGGAAGCGTGGATGCAGCTGCCAGAGCCTGCGGGGCTGAAACCAGCCTCTTCCTTTGCATGTACCACGATTTCAACTTCAAGAGCAGCTCTCCACGGGGAGGACAAGGGCTGAGAGGGGCTGCCTGGAGGGAGCTCCAGGGTGAAGGAGAAACTCTGGGGCTCCGTAAGGAAATGTCCTTACTTGTATCCTGCTTGGGCTGGGAAATGTGAGGCTGAAGGGGATCCCTGCCCCCAAGACCCTCCTCCTCCACAGCCGGAAGAGCCTCTAGGGCACAGTGGCCTGACCATCACCCCCCACCCCGTCGGCCCTCTCCCACTCCTGCCAGCTGGGCCCAGACACCAAGTGCAGTGACCACAGTCTGCAGGACCAGGTGACGTCAGGGTGTGCCCACAGGGCCCTGCCTTGGTGGCTTCTTGGAGCCTGCAGGCCACCTCTGCAGCTGATGGGGACAAAGACCCCTGTGAGTCAGCAGCTGACAGGCAGGGGACCGGCTGGCCTGGCTTCTGTGGCTTGGCAGCCCCTGCAAGTGCACAGTGCAGTGGCCACCAAGGGAGCCGGAAGCAGAGGGAGACGGGTACGGGCAGCCCCTCACCTGGGCCGTCGGCCACTGGGAGAGACAGTGGACACCGAGACCCTCCCGCTAGATGGGGGCTGCGAAGGGCCAGGCCTCCGTCTCTCTCTGCAGAGCAGGGAAGCAGCACGGTGCCTCGGCGCCCGCTCAGCAGGGGCCCAGCAGAGGCCGGCTGCCAAGGGTGACTGCTGTTGCCAGCGGGACACCCCGATCAGCCTAAACACTCATCTCAGTAGGCGTCCTCCACGCCAGAAGTCCAGCTCCGCGGTGACAGGGACTCCTGTCCACCACCACAGCCCCAGCACCGAGGACTATCCCGGCACAGGCTCCATGTGGAAGATGTGTTTGCTGAATGAATGCATGATGATGATGAACACTTACTACACTCGGATGTGCTCCTGGGGCTTAAACCAGGTGGCTAGAGTGGTTAGAGTAACGCAGGAAGTAAGAGCAAGTAGGTCCCACGAAAGGGCTTGGAACCCTTCTCCAAGTCGTGGAGAGTCCCACTCTCACTTCCTGGGTCACAGCCGCAACCCAGGAGAAGCAGAGGGTGTGGGAGAGGTGCTGCTGCTGCTGGGCCCACCCTGGAGATGAAGGGAAGGAGGGTGAGGGCAGCGGCCATCTGCAGACGCCATGGGGTGCCGGGCCCGGCCAGTGCTCTGTGAGCCCTCTTTCATGTATTCTGCTGCTTTCTGGAGGAGAACGGTCATGCAGCACTCACGCGACCCCTCAGAGGTGCGGGTAAGGTGGCGGCGCTGGGCCGCAGACCGGGGTTAGGGCTCTGCATGGCGTGGCTGTGGCTGGGGGCCCCAAGGGACTCAGAGGGTGGCCTGAGAAGTCTGGAGGCAGTGGGGGAGGGACCACCAGGGCAGGAGGTGGTCCAGGGGCATCCCAGATGAGGCACAGGCCAGTGCAGCCTCAAGATCCTCCTACGCAAAGACCCAAGCACTTCCCACCATGGACATACCAAGCCTCCAGCCCAGAGGAAGGGCCAGTGGGTTCTGCACTGGGGCCAGGAGGCAATGGACACACCAAGCCCCAGCCCAGAGGAAGGGCCAGCGGGTTGTACACTGGGGCCAGGAGGCAGCGGATGTGGGGTGGGCTCTGCAGCCCAGGAGGCAAGATCACTTCCTCCCAGGCCCCATCTGCCCATCCGCTCAGGGCCACCCCTGCCCTCTGTGCATTCTGGCAGGACGCCTCCTGCTCACAGAACCCACCTCTAGCTGCAGGCCCAGGGGGTCAGTGTGAGGCTCCAGGCGTGGGGAGAAGCCCCTCCAGTGCTGCCCCGGCCCCGTGCACCCCACCCACCTAGGGCGCTGAGCACTGTGTGTGCCAGCAAGCAGGAGCACCGTTGGGGGCTGGCACCACTCAACTCAAGCAGATGGGAGATGGAGCAACCTTGCTGGAATCGGCTGTTAGCTGACAGCTTCCAGGAAGAAAGGGGAAAATGGCTATAATCTTCTGCTAAAATTTGTTGCCTTGTTTGATTCACAGCTGAGAAAACTGTTGAGACGCTGACGAGAATCTCAAAAGGAAAAGTTTGGAGCCTTCCTTTGATGCGATGGTGCAATCATTGACTCAACAGAAATCTTTCACTTGCAGAGCGAGCAGGCGCTCTGGTGCTGCTACCCAGCGCGGTTAAGCGGAAGAGCCGGCTGGCGGGTGCAGCGGGAGAATGCTGGGACGGGCAGGGCAGGTCCCCGGCCACTTGCAGGCCTACTGTCTGTCCAAGCTCCCCTCCAGGCTGGGCCTAGGGTTCTGGAGATGACAGGGCCCCACCTTCAGACAAAGCGGTCTTGGAGGGGTCTGCACAGGGAGAGACAAGGCCCAGAGAGGGTGCGGGTGCTCCCGGGCTGCCTTGTAAGCCCACACCTGTGCCTCCAGGAGGCCTCGGCCTCGACGGCCCGTTTCTCTCTGTGTTCAGGGGACTGTCTACAGCCCAAGTCCTGGAGGAGGAGGCTGGGTGGGGGCTGGCGTTGGCTCCATCTCTGTTCCCACTGTGAGTTCCGCCCCTAACTCGCTGGTAGGTCTCCGTCCTCTCTGGGCCTCGGCTTCCCATCTGTGAGGGTGAGTGTGGTGAGTTTCACCTTAAGGACCTCCCTTCCGGCCAAAATGCTCATAAGACCCGGAGCAGAGGACAGGAAAGCCCTGAGCCCACGCCCTGGTGCGTGCAGGAGCTGGGTGCCATGGGCCCTTGGCTGCCCCGGGCAAAGGAAATGGCTTCTGAGGGGCCCTATCCTCAAGGTCCCTGCTGGGGAGGAGGCTGCCTCCAGCAAGGCCCAGGCAATACTTGGGGAGGGAGGCGCCTGTCCCCGTGTGCCTGACGCGCATGCCGAGAGCAGAGAAAGCGCTGGAAGGAAGCAGCGACAAGAGGGGAATGGAAAACACAGTTAAATAACCACCAGTCCTTATGCATATTTATAGATCGTCCGGCGTCAAAATTCAATCAATACCTCTCCTGGCTGAAGGAAATGGCTCACGGAGGAGAGCGAGGCAGCTCGGGCTGTGCCTGTTGGGCCAGGGCATTGCAGAACCAGGCCCACCAAGAGGCACAGGCAGAGGCCCGGCCTTCCCATCTCCTGCCCGTGGCCTTGCCTGCTTGGCCTTCCCATCTCCTGCCCGTGGCCTTGCCCGCTTGGCCTTCCCATCTCCTGCCCGTGGCCTTGCCCGCTTGGCCTTCCCATCTCCTGCCCGTGGCCTTGCCTGCCGCACACGGCTGGGTTGTGGAACCTGCCTCTGTAACAAGCCCAGGCGAGGGTCACACCTCCCAGCCCTGCCCTCAGCAGCGGCCTGACCTTGGGCAACTTACTCAGGGCCAGCAGGAGGGCTGAAGGGCTGGATGCACCTATACACACCTGTCGCCGAGGGGCCTGCGGGGCCGTGTCCCACCTATTCCAGGAAAGCAGCTCCCAAGCAGGTAGAGGCACATGGATGGGAGAGGGCAGCCTGAAGCAGACAGAGAAACTGAGGCCCAAGGAGGGACAGAGGCCATGCTGCTGTCCGTGACCAGTGCCCGGGAGCGGTGGGAGGATGAGAACTGGATGGGGGTAGGACAGAACCCCGAGAGCTCCCTTTCTGCAGAGCTGAGTGCTCCACCATGGGGAGTGAGTGTCCCGGGCCTCATCTGGGGCACCTGCAGGGGGCGAGGGAGTGGCCCGGGGTCACAGGGCGGAGCCCCTGGAGGCCCCTCCAGCACACGCACCATGGCCAGGCTTCACCAGAAGTGGAAACTCCCCACAGCCAAGGCGTCCACGGCAAAGCCAGCCTGCGAGTGAGCCCACCCACCTGCGCCATGGGCCCCAGCAAACGCCCCCCATGAACCCCCTCCACCCCCCAGTGACCGTGTGCTGTATAGCCTCCGCTCAGGGCCCTGCCCAGAGGCTAAGCGAGGGTTCACCAGGGCCTGAGGGAGGGGCCGCAGCTTTCCCCAGCAGGACACGCCCTGTGAGCCAGCACGTCTGCCAAACCAGTGGAGCCGGGACACTGGCACCCAGGAGACGGCGCTGAGGCCACCGCACAGCTCCGGAGCTGGCCTTCCCGGCCTGAGACCCTGCTGGGCAGCTCCACGTGAAAGGCCAGGGGAGGAGGGAGCTGGGAGGGGTCATGCCTGTCCTGGTTCCAGCAAGGGTCAGGGGCTCCTCCCATGACACCCCTGATAACAGCCTCTGTGGTTCCATAGCAGAGAAAGGGCGGGCGGCCTGCCGTGGCCAGGGAAGACGGCATGTGAGAGTCTCCACTGGTCAGCGGGGCGGGGACAGCATCCCCTTCCTAATCTGGCCAAGGCTGAGACCAGATCACCCTGGGCTGAACTCCTGGGCTCCAGGGGCTGTGCCTGTGGTGAGGAGGAGATGGTCCTGATGGCACCCAGCAAGGCTGACATCTGCCCCACCTGCCTGGAGCAGTCCCTGAACAGAGACGAGATGCATAGCTCTGGAGGGAGACCCAGGCCAGACACTCGTACAACACAGGAGGGGCTGGGCCCGACACACACACAGGATCCAGGAGGAAGGACACACAGCTGCTGCCCCAGGACGCCATGTGGGGCTTCCCTGGACCTGTCAGCAAAGGAAAAGCCCAGCTGGGGCAACGCTGCCCGGGCCCTGCTCCTTGAGGCTCCAGGGTGGCTCTCCTAGGAGGGGCCCGGGGCACGGCCCCTAGAGCTGACACTCTGCGGTCCAGAGTGTGTGCACACGCACTAGCTTGCTCTCTGAGCCTCGATCTGCTGTCTGTAGAGTGGTGGCTATGGTGACCTACCAAGTCCATGGAAAGGTCGGGCGGGTTAACGGACGTGCACATGGTCTCAGGCTCTAAGGAGCTCTGCCGGGCACGCAAGCATCGCCCGGGGGGACCCGCGCAGTGAAACCAAAGACGTGGATCTCCTCCCTCTGCCACATGCGCCCGGCTCTGAGTCCCTCTTGAACTCCATCCCTGTCTGAGGACTCAAGACGTCCTTGAGAACCGAGGGGCATCTGGCAAACCAGGCCATGGGCAGGCTCCAGGTCCAAACCCAGTTCCTCATGAGAGAAGCAAAGTGCTTCCCCTTCCCCAGAGTCCTGCCAAGTGGAGGCGGCGGGGAGGGGCCTCTTCCTGGCCCCCAGGAGAGCCGCAGCCACTTTCCACCTCCCCTGAAACCCCACAGGCACCGGCAGGGCCCTGTGCTTCCCTTCTCCTCTAAAAAGCTGCTCTCATCCGTTTCTCTGCAGATACGCCCAGGAACCAAAGGACATCGGTCCCTTGGACGCAGTGCCTGCAGCAGCGGCTGCTTGGGGAGACCTCCATCGTGCCATGTCCAAGAGCCGCGGGGACTGGCACCCCGTGCGGGGCACTTGCAGACAGGGCCACGGCCCTTGCTTCCCAGAGGAGGCCCCGGGCCTCCAAGAGGCTGCAGACATGCTCAGGGATATCAGCTTTGAGGAGCCCGGACCCCCCAGGTCCCGCCTTTGAGTTTGGTTTTCTACCCCAAGTGCAAGACATGGCTTCAGTCCAAGTGGCAGCAGCAGGGACAGGCTGGGGGAGATCGAGGTGCTCAGCAGTGGGTCCCTGGGCACATCTCTACTTGAGGGGACAGCAGAGACTACTAGACGATCTCTAGACAAAGGACAAGGGCTCGTGGGCCAGGCGTGCATGCCCATGCCTGCCCAGGCAGCAGACGCAGGGGTCTGGCAGAGCCCGAGCTGGGTCCCAGTTCCACCAGCCACAACTGTGTGACTCTGGGCCAGTCCCCAGCACCCTGACCTCAGTCTCATGTCACCCAGCGGCGAGAATGGTCACCATGTGATAGGGAAGTGAGAACTCGGGCACACTCACACCATCCGTCTGTCCGTCCGTCCAGTGGCTCTGCCGCCCTCCTGCACGTCCCGCGCCACCTCGAGGCCCGCAAGCCCTCATGAAAGCTCCCCTGACCTCAGGCCTCATCAGCAGATGAAGGACTCTCAGCACAGCCAATTACCCGGTGCTGGTAATCACCCGCTGACTTCCACCCGAGTCCTTCAGAAGGTAATCTGCGGAGGGCGACTTGTAAACAATTTGGAGGGAGAAGATAAAAACCCCAATCGTCAGAAGGGTTGGACAACAGTGACTTGGGCTGAGGCCTGGCTCTGAGCGCCAGTCGACCCCACACGGGAGCCCCTCAATGTCTGCCCCCAGCTGCAGCTCTCACCTCCTCCCCTGCACCCAGGCCCTTCGCCACCCTCTGCTGCCTCTGTGAGCAGCTGCAGGCCCACAGGGGGAGGGTGCTCTAGTGGGGCCGTTGGCAAAGCTCAGCATGGGGGGAGCAGCACACGTGGGCAAGTGGGGGATGAGCGGGCAGAGCCCAGTGAGCACCGCGGTGGGTCCTGGCTCTGCCACCCGTGCTCCTCGTTCAGCTCACAGCACATCGCCTGCCCCATCTGCAGACGAGGCATCTACCTGAGCTCCCACCACGGCAGTGTGGTCAGTGCACAGGGCACCCACTGGCCACCCACCCTGGGCACGAAGCCCATGCTTCCTGGGAGGAGGAGGCGGGGGACCAGCACTGTCCTGGTCCCGCTGCAACCACAGGTCCTCCTCCTCCTTCCCAGACACGTGGGCTTCACCCGGGAGGCTGCTCCCCTGGCCTGCCGAGGAAGTGAACTGGGTCCCTGCCAGACTGGCGGATGAGCAGGAGCCCTGGACAGCCTCTGCTATCCCAGTCTCCCCACTACAGGGCACAAACAACAGCCAGCGCCTAAACCATCCTGCCTGAGGCTCAGCCAGAGCTGGCAGGAGGCCTCAGGGGCTCAGGCAGCAGGTGCAGGACCAGCTGGTGGATGAAGGGCCTGAGGAAGGCAGGAGTGACCGAAGGACAGAGGCCGTGTGAGGGCAGGGTTGGAGTAGTCACCTCAAGCGCCCTGCCCCTCCCGTCCGGGGTGTGGCTCACTCCTAACAAGCTGCCTGCTGGGTCTCACTGTGGTGAAACGCACGTGACAGGAAGCTGACCGCCATAACCATTCTAAGTGCACAGCTCCCTGGCATTCAGCACACTCTCAGTGCTGTGCGGCCACCACCACAGCCCATTCCCAGAGCTTCCTCATCTCTCCAGGCTAAAGCCCACATCCATCAACACTCACTCTCCATTCCCCTGCCCCAGCCCCAGCCCCTGGCACCGGCCTCTCCACCTCCTGTCTATGGATCTGATGACTCTAGGGGCCTCGTGTAGGTGGAATCACATAGCCTGTGTCCTTCTGGGACTGGCCGGTTTCACCCAGCTCAGCGTCCTCAGGTCCATCCATGCTGCGGCAGGTGTCGGGACGCGCCTCCTCCTTGAGGCTGTATCTATCATGCTCCACCGTATGGAAGGACCACACTGTGTCCATCCATGCATCTGTCCACAGACGCTGGGGTGCGCTCACCTCTGGGCTACCGTGAGCGAGGCTGCTGTGAACGTGGGTGCCCGTATCCATGAGTCCCTGCTTTTGGTTCTTCTGGGCATGTACGCAGCGGTGGACTTGCTGGTCAGTGTGGTGAAACAAAGCCACTCTTCCATCAGTGGCAGCACCATGGCCAAGCCCCCATCGGTGACATTTCTTCTAGAATCTCAGGCTTAGTCTGCAAACTCCCATGGCAGGAATTACCTAAGTGATCACACTTTCCTTTCTCCCTAGGCTGCCAGGAAGCTCCGATTAAAACAGACGCCCAACTTCACCAGCACCTTCAGCCCTTGTGGGCAGAACATTCCTGGTTTCCCACACACAGCATCGGCTGCCGGGAATCTGTGGAGCAGTGAGATCTCATGGAAAGAAAACGAGCACCATCATAGAAAACACGATGCTGCTCCGAGGACTGCGGCCGACTCAGCCTCCCCGGCGGCCCGGTCCGGAGTGGGCGCTTCTCCTGTCCTTCCACGAGCCACGGGAGGAAACCAGGAGCCCTTGGTCCCGCCAGGACCTAACGTGGGTCCCTGGGGCCCCGTGCCAATGACCTGCTTCCTTTCACGGACGGGAAGCACCTCATCCGTCTGAACCATCAGCTCGCTGTATGACTCCCACAGAACAGGGGCCCAGAACATCCGGGCTGTGGCTCCTTGGCCCCCGCTGTGCCCTGGCTTAGAGCAGCGCCTGGCACAGAGGTGCGTGAAGGTGGCTCACGCATGGGAGGGGAGGGCTGGGCTGGTGAGCATGGAGTCCCATGGGCCCTGCAGAGCTGCCCTCCCGTGATCCTGCCTCCCAGGAAAAGTCCAACCCCCTTGCCTCACAAAGGAGGCCCTCAGGGCACAGAGAGGAGCACTTCCCGAGGCCACCAGGTAACACCAGGCCCATCGTCCCGGTCCAGAGGCCACACTCTGTCCAACATGGTAGAAGGTTCAGGAGAAAGAGCCGAACACAGAATGAAGGTCCCACTGATGAGCCACATGCGTTACTAAGAGTCCAGCGAGCGGGAGAGGCCAGACCTGAGGAGGTTGGCTCAGAGCACCCGCCGGGAGGCCCCGGTACAGGGACACGACCCCAGCCCACCACACCTGGGCATGGACGCCAGCACAAAGGGGGCAGCTGTGGCTCCAGGAGGGAACGCGGCCCTCTCCCAGGGCAGCTGCAGCGTTGGTGGCTTCAGAATTCCAGGGATCTGGGGGCCACAGGGATGGCATCTCAGGGAGGGGGTGAGGAGGTCTGAGGAGAGGTGACGGGCCCGCCCCACCCTGGTCCCAGGGACACGGACCAGGGATGTGAGGTACCGCACCACCTGCCTGCTGGTGCAGACGGGAGCAGAACGGTCTCCGTGTGCTTCCAGCTTCTGCTCACAGGGAACCCGGCAATCTTCTACCCACTCCTTCCCAAAACAGATGCACTTATTTAAACGTCACAGGGCTCTTGTCTGGTCTCTTTCCTGAACAGCACTTGGGACATTGAGGTTGGCCCCGGCCACAAACCCCACCCAGGCCCCCGCCAGGGAGGAGCAGGCAGGTGGGGCGGGGAGGGAGCCGCACTGGGGGGCTCCACCAGCCCTGACCACCAACCTGCCCAAACAAGCACCATGATGAGGCCACATCGAGGAACGGCTGGAGCACGGGCTTCAGAACCCAAAGATGAATTCTACTTAATTACACGCACACTGAGGCATTTAGAGGAAGCGTGCAGATGTCTGCAATTTACTTAAAGCGCGTCAGAAGAATAAAGTGGCGCGGCGGCTGGGCGAGGGATAAAGAGATGTCAGGAAGCCCCGCGGCGGAACATCCGTGGTGGAGCCTTGGTGGCGGGTGACCAGGCGCTCGCTGCAAACTTCCCTCAACTTCACAACGTATCTTTAAATGTTCATCATCAAATGCTGAAAAAACCCAACAGGGTTGAGTCTGAATGCTGCTCCCATCACTGCTGGGTGACACGGGGGCCCCACGGGGCACAGGTGCCGGCCCAGGCTGCACACTTCACACACACAAGCTGGAGGCTCCTGGGTGGGACTGTCAGGTGGGGATGCGCCCGCCCAGCCAGAAGGTCAGTGTCCTGCCCAGTGCGGCCTCCACTGGACGTGCCCCTCTCTACCCAGGGCGGCCTGTGAGCCCCGACTAGCCTCACTGTGTGTCCTGCCCCGTAGCCTGTGAGCCCCGACCAGCCTCACTGTGGGTCCTGCCCCAGCTCGGTGCCCTCCATCCCCGCATGTGGCCCATCAGAACCACAGACGTGGAAAACGTCCAAGTGTCTTGGAGGTAAGGACGACGGTATTATGACAGACAACAGGAATGGCCACCATGCAGGCCTGGTTCACCAGGTATGTGCAGGGCCCCCCAGGAGCCATCACCGGAGATCTCCAAAGACAGCCTGCGGGAAAGGCCCGTGCCCTCCACATCCTTGGGAGCACACTAAGGCCAGGCTGCAGCCAGTGGGAGACAGAGCTGTGGCCCACCCCAGGCTGTGGGGTCCAAGCTGACAAGGCCCAGTGTCCCAGCTATGAGGTGGCGCATCAGAGGGCAGCCGGGAGCCAGAAGAGAACAAAGCGCTGGGGCCCCAGCTCCTCAGTTCTAGGCCTGGGGAAGAGCACAGGGCACACTCAGGAGGTGGGGACAGGGGTGGGGCAGGAGGCCGTGGCTGCAGGTGGGGTCAGGGACTGTGCCGCCCACCTGACCTGACTCCTGCGGCTGCACCAATAGCCATGGGGGTCCCTCTGCCGCCAGATCTGGAGTTCCACGGGGTCCGCCCGATTTCTGTCTTCACTTCAGAACACTGCAACACGTTCAAGACTCATTCTGCCTCCTAACATGGAGAGTCTGAGCTCCTTCCTCCTTCACACGCAGGCTCCCTGTGGGCCTCACTTTCCCCATCTAGAGAGGGGGCGCCAGAAGCCCGGCCAGCCACCGTCCGTGGGTGCCCCGAGCTCTCCCACCCCCACCACGGGATGGGAGGGCTTGCAGTCCAGGAGCCCCGCCCACCCACTTCCAGCCCCTTCAGCGACACAAGGGTGCACCCAGTCGGCCCTAATGAGTGTGTGGACAGCTCTGGGCTCTTAGGGAGACCCAGAAAGGCCAGTGCCACAGCAGGGCCCAGTGACGGCCCTCCCAGGAAGGCAGCACGAAGACCTCCCAGGCCTGGTCTCCTGGCCTCAGCACCGCGGGAGGGCAGCGGCACTCGCGCCCAGCTCTAAGGGGTAACTGAAATTCTCTTTCCTCGCCAACCAGCTGTGAACTAATTACAAAAAGTTCTAACTAGTCAAGCCCCTCTCCAAGCATATGTTCCCAATTAAGTCAGACTGCAGCTGATTTTAATCAATCTTCCTTGAAGCGGCCCAACTTGAAGGCTTCTCCAGAGGGAGCGGGAGCAGGGAGAGGAGAGGGCATCGCATAGTGGGTGCAGGGGCGGCAGCCGGCTCCTGGGGCCTCGCTCTGTCACCCAGGCTGGAGTGCAGTGGCGTGATCTCGGCTCACTGCAATCTCTGCCTCCTGGGTTCAAGCGATTCTCCTGCCTCAGCCTCCTGAGTAGCTGAGACTACAGGTGCCCACCACCATGCCCAGCGAATTTTTGTATTTTTAGTAGAGGCAGGGTTTCACCATGTTGGCCAGGCTGGCCTTGAGCTCCTGACCTCAGGCAATCCACCCGCCTCAGCCTCCCAAAGTACTGGGATTACAGGCGTGAGCCACCATGCCCAGCCAAAAGAGAGATTTTCAATGGTCTTGCAAGATTAGGTGTCTGGTGGGCAGGCACACCCAGCACGGTGACAACAAGCCATTTATCCCCTAGTGCGCAGGCCCCTCCCCCGGTTCCTCACAGGCTGAGTACTCTGGGGTCACAGTCTTCCTGGATGTTGCCTACTGGTTGTTGGGCAGGGGCTATAGGTGTGTTTTTAGGGTTGTCCTGTTGCATTTTGTTGCAGCCCACAATGCACTGCAATCCTCGTCAGCTCAGGGGCTCTTCAGTTATTTGACTTGTGACCTAAGTAGCTGGGCAGGCTGATAAGAACAGATGAAACGAACTATTTTGCAGAGTAGTATAACTTCCATCTTAGACTAAACTTCTTTGGTTTGGATGAGGGCAAGTAAGGTGGGTGGGGGGGTGGGGTGGCAGGGGGGAGCGGGAGGCCGACAAGCAGGCATTGGTGATCCAAGCAGGGGCCTAGTATATCCTGTTTCTTCTGTAGTTTGGTGACCTAAGCCGGTTCAAGGCACTTTATCTTGGAAATGGACCCCTATTTACAGTATTTCCTTCAATGGCACAGCCCTGGGCATCCAGAGCCAGGGGCAGCCTGAGCCACCACAGGGCCTGTGAGGCCTCACCTTCCCCAGGGCCACCCTGGACGTCCCCCCACTAAGGGTGTAATCGCAGGGGGTGTCAGAAGTGGTGGCAGCTGGAGGGCTGTCTGGAAGTTTCCAACACTCCACAGGCCGAACCCCAGTGGCCTCCCCGCTTCACTGCTCTGCACTTGCTTCTCCCACGCCATCCGGGCACAGTTGTCCCTGTTGCCCTGACCCAGGGAGGAACAGCTCCTGAATCCTGGGCTAGGCTCGAGGTCACCATATCACGGCATAAACATCTGCTTCCCCAGGACCACCAGGCCCAGCCCTGTCCTCTCCCCAAATGGCCACACTGGCCACACTGCAGCACCACGCCTCAGCTCTGAGCAGCTTCAGGACATGCCTAGGGGCAGAGCCCCCACCCCTCCAAGGCCCTGGCAGAGCTCAGGAGAGGGTCACAGGTGACACTGCCAGCCACTCCTCATGCCAACCCCACGGTACCTGACAGCCCTTGGCATCTCCCACAGAGGAGTGCTCCGCTAGTGAGCTCCCGAGCACACGCCGTCTGCGCAGAACAGGGATGGTGGCCAGGCCCCATCAGGTGTTCACCAGTGCTGGCACCGCACTCACCCACACCCCTCACCTCATTCAAGCCTCAACAAGCTCCAAGGGCCGGCCACTGAGGACACCTTGGGGAAAGGGCTGGAAGCTGGAGCAGGGAAGCCGTAAGTGGTGCCTGCAGGGATGCCTGGCCCCCAGTCAGCAAGCAACGTGGGCACCAAGGAGCAGGGTTCAGGCTCTGCTCAGCCCAACACCCAGAAAGACGTTCAGCAGCTCTGACGCAGAGCCTCTGGTGGGCGGGCAGCAGCCCCGTGACCGCTCCCTGTACACCACGGCCCAGTTAAAACAAGATGACAGGTCCTAGGCTGAGGACAGGCCAGCGCGGCTCGGAGCCGCCCATCACCACAGATGTCACTCCTCCCATCGTCAGAAACTGGTCATAAAAAATAGATTTGATCTGCCTCTAACAGGTGCCAAGATAAAATCAATGGCCTGTCCAAAAACCCGGTAACCTCGAACCTGAGGGCTTCCTGCCATGCAGCAACTCAGGAGGATGAAAACCAAAGAGAAAGTACAATTAAAAGAACACAAACAGCAGTCCAGCCTCGCCACAGCAGATCCCGGGTGGGCATAGTGCAAATCTGCCCAGAGCCCACTCCACCGACACCAGGCGTGTGGGTGGTGCGGGCCGCAGAGGACTCCAGAGGCAGCCAGTGCAGGCCTGTCAGCGGCATGGCCTCCCTGCCAGGCAAGGGGGTGCACATGGGAGGGAGGAGAGTTCAGACAGACGAGCCAGAAAACGGGTGTTCTGTGGCAGCAGGAACCACGGTCGTTCACGACGCCCAAAGAAATGAGAGGCCCAGGCAGTGCCTCACCCAGAGGCTGCCCCGCCCTCACCTGCAGAGCTCGCCGCTCCAGCTGTGCCTCCAGCATCCTCTTTTCCTCCTCCAGCCGACTCCGCTCGCCTTCCAGCTCCTCGACCTTCAACCTGCAAGGACAGCAAGACGGTGACCAGGTGTCCGAGGCCAGCCATGCTGGGGAAGTCCCACCCTCTGGGTGATAAGGAGGTGAAAGGTTAGGAGACCCAGCTATACAGCTTTATTTCTAAATACATATCTGTGAAGCTCTCAGAGTCCAGCGATAACATCAAGAGAAAATTGGAAAACGACACAAGTACAGGATGGGGGAGTCCGTGGCGGCCCCTGCTCAGCTGGAGGAGCCTGTGCGGAGAAAGTCTCTGTCGACCACACCTTGGCTGGAAGCACAGAGGGAACCAGCCCGAGGCAGGACGCCTGGGAGTCAGTGTGTCCGTGTCCGTCAGCCACTCCCAGAGGGTGATGTGATGGCGGAGTGCAGGGGACACTGAGGGACAGGAAAGCAACCTCGGGACATCTTCAGAAATGAGGAAAAGACAGGAAAGGACTTCTACTGCGGGGTGTGGAAGAAGCTGATGACAGGGGACCACAGAGGCACAATTCAGATGAGAAACAAAAGCACGCTTCCAGGCGACCCATGGTGAGTTCCCTTCTCCACAGTGGGAATAGAATACAAAACAAACCTCCATGGCCGCAACCGGAATGGGGCCAGTTTTAGTTCACTGTAAAAAGCTGTCTAGTTTTGTCTTCATTTCTAGATCTAATATTTTGAATGGAAAACATATTCATGTGGTTTAAAAATAAAAAAAGTCTGTCAAGGCCTGTAGTGATGGAAAGATTACTCGACACCGCACAGGGACAGGAGCAGGGACAGCTATTCCAGCCTGAGAACTGCTCCAGGGCGTCCCAGCACACCACAACAGCAAGACCCGAGGAAACCCAACTCTTTCCAAGAAACCTAACTGCATCTCTGAAAAAAGATCAAGAAGATTGATACAAATGCAAAAACATCTAGAACACAACAAGCTAAAATTCACAATGCCTGCCATCCAGTCAAAGATTACCAGACATTTAAAGCAGCAGGAAGACACGGCCTATAATGAAGAGATTAACCAAACAACGAATACCTACCAAGACGCAGCATTGCACAGACGGCAACACTGGCAAACAGGGACATTTAGACAGTTGTTAAAACTACTGGAAAAATGCAACAGTTCAGACTCGGAAGAGACACAGGTAGAAGTGGAAACTACCTGTCAGATAAACATGCTGGATGGGATTAATGACAGATTAGAATCCGTAAGAGAAAAGTTTAATGTCCTCGAGGGCACAGCAATAGAAACTATCAAAAACAAAACACAGAGGCCAGGCACGGTGGCTCACGCCTGTAATCCCAGCACTTTGGGAGGCCAAGGCAGCTGGATCGCTTGAGGCCAGGAGTTCAAAACCAGCCTGGCCAACATGGCGTAACCCCTTCTCTACTAAAAATAAAAAAATTAGCCGGGCGTCGTGGTACACCCCTGTAGTCCCAGCTCCTCAGGAGGCTGAGGCATAAGAATCGCTTGAACCCAGGGGGTGGAGGCTGCAGTGAGCCAAGATCACCCCAGTGCACTCCAGCACTGACAGAGCGAGGCCCTGTCTCAAAAACAAATAAATAAGCAAACAAACACAGAGAGGAAAAGATTCCTGAAAAATGAAAAGAGAATCACTGAGCTGTGGGACAGCTTCATGAGGCATAAAATTCATGAACGAGAGTCCCCAAAAGAAAGAAGGCAGAGGAAGCGACGGGACAAATACTATAAGAAAGTTCCACTTTCAATGGAAAGGATAAAGCCACAGATGTAGAAAGCTCAACAGACACGAGGCAGCGCAAGGAACACAGGCCCAGGAAAGAAGACGCTGGCAGCCCCAGAGCACATCAGGACAAGCCTGCTCAGGACCACGGCACGGAAAACCATCTTAAAGGCAGAGGTGGTACCTACAGAGGCACAAGGCGGGGTTCTCATGAGAAACAGTGCAACGGAGAAAAGAGGAGGGAGAAATTTCTGAAATAACGAAAGAAATAAAAACCGCCACCTTAACGGTGAAAACATCTCCCAAAACAGAAGCAAATAAAGATGCCTTCAGATCAGACACGAAAGCTTAAAGAATTCATCATCAGCCGACCTGCTCTACAGAAATGTCAGGTAAGGCCTGCAGGTGAGGGAGGACGAGGGCGGGGCGGGGCAAATACACCCAGATCTGCACGGAGAACCAGGAGGGCTGGAACAGCAGCTGCATTTAGGGAGGATCTTTCTTACATTCAGGTCTCTTAAAAAAATTTAAATTATTAACTTTTTAAAGTGATTAATAGATTAAACAAAACTAATGAAAATATATTGGGGATTTAATATATAGAATAAATAAAATGTATGACAACAGTATAAAGGCTGGAGGAGAAAAACCAACACTGTGGCTGTAAGGTGATTATACTGTGTGTGAGAAGACGTAATATCACTTGAAGGTAGGCTGTGGTAAGTTAAAGATGTATACTATATACCCTACAGCAAGCCCTAAAATAACAAAGACTTATAGCTAAGATGCCAAAAAAGGAAATAAAACAAAATCAGAAAAATACCAAAGTGGATTGAAAAAAGGTAAAAAGAAAAAAAAAAAAGGAAACAGAAATGAAGAAGAGACAGATGAGTAGAAAACAGTCAAATGACAAGATCAAAACTAATTATATCATAAACAAATTAGATGTAAGTAGCCTAACTACCACAATTAAAAGGCAGACACTCAAACTGGATTAAAAAGCAACACCCAATCAGACACCGCTGACAATAATGCACTTTAAATACAAAGATGCAAAAAGACATAACATGCCATCACTAAGAAAACCAGCAAGAGAAAGCCAGAGACGCTACTAATACCAGAAATAGTAAATTTCAGAGCACATATTATTACCAAGAAGGTAACTTATAATAATAAAGAGATTGATTAATCAAAGGAAAATAATAATCCTAAACATGTGTGTGCTAATAAAAGAGCTGCAAAACAAATGAAGCAAAACCAGCCAGAAATGCAGGGAGAAATAGACGGGTCCTCAATGACAATCTGAGACTTCAGTATCCCTCTCTCAATAGCTGATAGAACAACGGGCAAAAAATCAGGAGGACAAGGACCACATGATCAGCCAACTTGACCTATTTCACCTGGATAAATGCTTCGACTCTTAAGAGCAGGAGACCCAGTCTTTTCAGGAGCACTTGAACTATGTACCAAGAAGACCTCATGCTAAACCATAAAAGAAGGCTCAGTCTATTTAGGAATTTCATAATTCTAACTATGTTATAGGACCATCATGGAATTAAACTAGCAATCAGCACCAGAAAGTCATCTGGAAAATACTACTGACAAAAGCATCCAACACCATGAAATACACAGAGATGGAACGGAACAGGCCAAGAAAAACCTGCACGTGACAAGCTCCGAGCACTGTGAAGAGAGCTCCAGGGCAACCTCCACACAGGGAGAGAGAGAGGCCTTGTCCACAGGCTGGGAGACTCTGGGTGTTGGGAACGCACTTCTCCCCCAAATTAATCCACAGAATCAGCAACCTCAGTCAAAATCCCACAGGCTTCTTTGTACAAATTGGCAAGCTGATTCTAAAATTCATATGGAGATGTAATGGACCTAGAATAGAGAAAACAACATTGACAATGAAAAAGGAGGGGCTACCTAATTTCACCAACTACGTTAAAGCCGTAGTAATCACAACAGTGCAGTACTGGTCTGCAAGACAGACAGACCGATCAAACAAAACAGAGTCCAGAAATAGGAGCACAAACACAACCAATTTTTGAAAAATATATGAAGGCAATTCAGCGTAGAAAGGACAAACTCTTCAACAAATGGTTCTGGAACAACTGGGTGTTCTTGGGGGAAATAAAGAATTAAAATCTTGTACAATAAATGAAAATCCTGCTCAATCCTGAACCAAAAGTTACAAAGTTATTAAAAGAAAATACAGGAGAAAATCTTGTAAATTTGGGACAGCCAAAGATTTCTTAGCTATGATACCTGATAGGGTTTGGCTGTGTCCCCACCCAAATCTCATCTTGAATTGTAGCTCCCATAATCCCCATGTGTTGCGGGAGGGATATGGTGGGAGATAATGAATCAGAGGGCAGTTTCCCCCATACCATTCTCGTGTGTTGTGGGAGGGACATGGTGGGATATAATGAATCACAGGGCGGTTTCCCCCATACCATTCTCGTGTGTTGTGGGAGGGACATGGTGGGAGATAATGAATCACAGGGCGGTTTCCCCCATACCATTCTCGTGTGTTGTGGCAGGGACGTGGTGGGAGATAATGAATCACAGGGTGGTTTCCCCCATACCATTCTCGTGTGTTGTGGGAGGCCTGTGGTGGGAGATAATGAATCACAGGGCGGTTTCCCCCATACCGTTCTCACGTGTTGTGGGAGTGATGTGGTGGGAGATAATGAATCATAGGGCGGTTTCCCCCATACCATTCTCATCTATTGTGGGAAGGACACGGTGGGAGATAATGAATCACAGGGATGGTTTCCCACATACCATTCTCGTGGTCGTGAATAAGTCTCACAAGATCTGATTTTATAAGGGGTTTCCCCTTTGGCTTGGCTCTCATTCTCTCTTGTCTGCCACCATGTAAGATGTGCCTTTTGCCTGCTGCCATGATTGTGAGGCCTCCCCAGCCATGTAGAACTGTGAGTCCATTCAATCTCTTTTTCTTTATAAATTACTCAGTCCGGGTATGTCTTTATCAGCAGCATGAAAATGGACTAATATCCAAAGGATCATATATAACAGAAAACATTGAAAAATTGGACTTTATCATAAAAAAACTTCTCTTCAAAATACCTGATGAAAGAACGAAAAGACAAGACACAGACTGGGAGAAAATATTTGGAAAGCAAATAATCTGATAAAGGCCTTGTATCCAGAACATATAAAGAGCTCTCCCAAACTCAACAGTAAGAAAAATAATCAAATTTTAAAATGGACAAAAAAACAGGTGCTTTACCAAAGAAGATCTACAGATGACAAGTGAGCTGAATGAAAAGATGTTCAACATCATTAGTCATTTGTGAAATAAAAAATAAAAGGCCACAGTGAGACATGACTGCCAACCTATTAGAAAGCCTAAATGAAAACCTTTAAAAAACTAGCCGGGTGTGGTGGTGCACACCTGTAGTCCCAGCTACTCAGGAGGCTGGGGTGGGAGGATCACTTGAGCCCAGGAGTCAGAGGCTGCAGGCAGCTATGATCCCACCACTGCACTCCAGCCTGGGCAACAGAGCAAGACCCTGTCTGTAAAAGAAACATTTAAAAAAATAAAAGAGGGACTAAGGAAAAAGACTGTGCTGCATGCTGGTGAGGAGAAGCTGCACACCAACTACTCTGGAAGACGGGCAACCTCGGAACACGTTACACACGTGACCGCCAGCCACTCCACACTAGGCGTTTACCTGAAAGAAAACGAAGTCGATTTCTACATGGGACTTTATTTATAATATCCAGCAGTTTCAGAATAGCCAAAAACCAGAAAAACTCCAAATGTCCATCGCAAGGGAACGTATAAACTGGTGTCTCCATACGACAGAACACAACTCAGCAGTGAAGACAACACAGCTGTGTGCACAGTGATCTCTCCCCCAACCAGCCATGCTGCGTGGAAGAAGCAAAAAGAGGGAGACCACATGCTCCAGGACCAACGCCATGCCCAGAAGACTCGACAGCCGCCCGCCAATCTACAGTGATGGAAAGCACGTCGGCGGGTTTGGGGTGGGGAGAGGAGGCAGGGAGGAGGGATTCCTGTCAAACAAGAGCACATGTCTGGGGGTCTTGAATATGAATGTGGTAACGGCTCCATGGGTGTATGTGTGTGTACATGCAAATTCACCACACTGCACTTGACATCGCGCAGCTTACTGCACACCAGTTATACCTCAGGAAAGCTGTAAAAACCATACTGTAGTGAATGACCTCTGACATCTGCTTCCTGCTTGTACGGCGCACCTGCAGGACATGCTTCCGGAGGCGAGGCTGCTGGCCAGGGGCAAGTGTCTCTGTCATCCCAGCAGACGCCGTGCGCTGCCCTCCCTGGGTGTCTGGGGCACTCCCACTCACACCAACATCCTGAGCATGGGCCTAGAAGGTACTTCTGCAGCAACAATGCTTCGCTCCTCTTGAGGCAGGGAGCGCCGGCAGGGGAGACATCTGAGCACAGCCCAGTGTCACCGTCTCTCGGCAGGGTGGCCGTGCAGTGTGAGACCTAGCACACACCTCCGGCACCAGCTGATGCCTCCTGGAGAGGTTTTGGGAGCCCCGCAAGTGCTGTGGCTTTACAAACAACCCCCTCAGTCTTCACATCAATCTAGCAGGGAAGTCCTGGTGCCTGAGTAAAGGGGAGACTGAGGCTCAGAAAGCCATCTGAGAGGCCCCTGATCACAGAGCTGGTAAGGGGCCTGGCCGAGGGCCCAGGGTGGGTGTTCCTGACCCTCGCCTCCCAGGGCTTCATAGGGGAGTGAACCTGCCCAAGGTGATGAGTGACGACATGGTGGGGGCCTCCAAGGCCATCTCCGAGAAGCTGCCTTCTGCAGGGGCTTCTTGACTTAGGGAGACGCTGGATGAAAAGGCCCCTTTTAAAATGATATTATGGATTCTGAAGGCTTGGGAGCAAAATGCTTTCAAGGGCTGAATTGGAATGAGCGCACGCGTGTAGCTGCAGCCATGTTAACAGAATGACCTGCGTGACCCACCCTCGCCGCCAGACAGCAAGCCCACATGCGGGCTCATTTGTGCACCGAAGGGGTGCGCTTTCTTCTGCTGCCCTCCTTTCAGACAAACTGCTACCGCACAGAGAGCGAGAAAGAGAACAAACGAATAAACAAGTTGGGGGGATGGTGCTCAAAAGCTCAGAATTCTGGTTTGCCTTCAAATGGCTCAAAGCAATCAGTTCTGGCATAAGCTTCTTGAAATTGACTTACTGCAACTTTTTTAAACACGAGGAGCGCTACATAAATTAGCTGCCAGCCTAGATCTTTCCTCGAGAAGATGACGCCAATCAAAGCAGGTGCCTGTCTCCGAGCGTGTGCGTGGAAAGCAGGTGGAGGGTAGCCGGGATCTTGCTTATAACAAACCCATCACACACGGGGGAAACTTTTGCAAGAAAAATGATTAGTTGTTTTTGCTGAACTAAAAGATGCATAATGGGGGCGGGAGGCCTGGGTGCCGCAGGTGAGGCTCCTGGGGCCTGGAGAGGGGACAGTAGGGAGACCCGAGGCCCAACGGGCAGACAGCATCCAGTCCAGGAAGCCCCTCACCCAGGCCAGCCTCCCACGGGTCCCAGACCCCTGCACTGCCCGCCAGCCCCTCCCCAGTGGGCCTTGACCACCACACTTCACATTTTACTTCTCTGTCCCCTTCATCAAATGGCTAGCTCCACGTTTCCAGCCCTGATCATGGTGTCTGGCTCACAGCAGGCATTGATGACCATTTCCCTTGAACAACGGGTGTGGGAACCCCACCAGAGAGGCTGGCGAGTGGGGTACGTAGGACCCCCAGCCCTGGAGATGGTCACACAAGGGTGGGTGGGGCCCAGCTTAACCCAACACTCGCTGCGTGTCCTGACACGGAGCACCTCGCCCCTCCAGGCTTGTTTGTCATAAAGAGAGCACGTGACAAAGCCGCGCAGACATGGCAGTGTGACGGGTGCCCACGCCTGCCCTTCCTCTCCCACAGACAGGGCTACAATGCCTGGACACGTGCCCGGCTCTGGAAGGCCCACCGCACTGGTGGGTAGGGAACATCGTGGCTCTTCTCTCGCATCCCCTGACCTCAACCTCGTGCCACCATCCAGGCAGTGGTGAGGCTGCTGTACCAGGAGCTCAAGGCGAAGTCCTCCAGCACTCACCTGGGGGCCGGAAAAGAAAGCCACTGAGCTTCAGGAGCGTGGGACCCTCCCTGCTCGGAGTATGGACTCCCCGGCCCCCGTGGCCCCTGCCTCTGCTCTTCGCACACTACCACGGGCTCAGCCCACAGGGCTGCAGTGGCGGCAGGGAGCCTGAGGCAGGAGCCGTGCTCTCTGTCTGAAGCTGCTGTCGTTCCAGATGGGCAGGACAAACTCTAGCTGCGTTTTCCTCCCTGTCCTCCCTCCTGCAGGGCCGGGCGTGGGCCCAACCTCCATGACACCAGCAAAGTGCAACAGACGGTGCGAAGAGAGCCCCACGTCCCTGGAGGACCACAAAGGGGAGACCCAGAAACGTGAAAGGACCCGAAGATCACAGAATGGAAGGACTGAAAAGCGTAGTCCTGGAGAGTTGGGGGGCATCCCTGGGTCGGCCCATGCCTGGGTCCCATCCACACTGGCATCTGAAGCCGGTGAGAGCTGAGGGCGTCCCTGGGTTGGCCTGTGCCTGGGTCCCATCCACACTGGCCTCTGAAGCTGATGATAGCTAAGCTGACAGGCACTGCCAATGTCCCAGGCCAAGGCCAGGAGCGCTGCCAAGGCTTCACAACCTGAACTGGGATGGGAACCGCGCCCCACAGAAGGTCGCTGGGACCTGGGCTAGAAACCACCCAGGTCGGCTCACTGCTAAACTAAAACACTCTCATTTCTCACAGGACTTAAACACAAAACCTCTTCTCACAATGCTCAGGACATAACCCCAAATTACTCGGCACATGAAGAACCACAGAGATTTCAAGTCAGCCTGGAGAGAGGCAGTTCCAGCTGCTGGGGCTGAGGAGATGGGGCTGGGTTATCTGGGAAGTGCGGCGGAGAGGGGCCACAAGACGGCCCATGCAGACGAGTGTGCACGCTCTCACAGCACACGGAAACCCAAAGGTCTCAGCAAATTCACAGAAAAGTGAATTGCTGAAAAAGTATTTAAGGAAATAAATGGCTGAAATATCCCAAACTTGGCAAAAAAAAAAAAAAAACAAAAAAAATCCCTAGAGATTCAAGAAGCTGAGCAAACTCCAAACAGAATAAACCCAAAGAAATCCACACCCAGACACATCCAAACGAAACTGCTGAAAACTGAAGGCAAAAAAAATGGTGAAAACAGAAAAAAACTGTGTGACCTCAAAGGGAACAGCGATTCGAGCGTCTGCAAATCTCTCCCCAGGCAGGAACCGCGGTGAGGAGGAGGAACGCCGCAATCGTGGCGTGCTGGGAGGCGAGGGCCGCGGGCCGCGCTGCGTGCGCAGGGCAGAGCTCCTTCAGGAACACGAGAGGAATAAAGACGGACCCACCCGAGGGAAACCGTGAGGAATCGTAGCCACCTGCTCTCCAGGAGAGGCTGCCGGAAATCCTTCAGAAGGAAAGAGGACATGAAGGATACCTGGAGCATCGACAATGAAGGAGGAACAGATGGCAGCTATCTGGGCTTACAGATAATACCCGGGTCTCTTACTGCCCTTTTCAAAACACTGTATGACTGAAAACAAAACCTGTGGCATTTCCATGTAGGTAGAGGGACAGCAGGAAGGGAGAGGGCAAGGGACCTGCCGGGAGGGGCTTCCAGGTGTGACTTCAAGTGGGATGAGGCTGATTCTCAGTAGGCAGTGATAAGTACTCTAATTCCCAGAGCAAACACTCAAAACATCAGACTGAGAAATAGTCAGATGCCCATCTGCTAAATTAAAATGAAATACTAAAAACCATTCAAGTAACTCAACAGAAAGCAGGAAGCATGAAAAGGAAAAACAAAAATGGAGGAGACACACAAACAAATAATAAAATGGTAGCAATGAAAAGACAGAGATTGCCATGATGGTTTAGAAACTGACCCGATGACATCATGTATACAGAAACTCAAAGAACGGGTACAGGTACGCTGCAAGTAAAAGGACAGAAATATTTACAGCACGCAAACACTACGGTAAAGGCAGCTGGCGGGAGGGTGTAGAAGCAGTGCCGTCCCAGGAGCCACAGGCATACCCAGACCCTGACCTGGGCTGCTCAGGACTGTGCTGCCAAGAGAAGGCTCCGGGCTCCCTGGAGGAACGGATGATTGGAAAGCTGGGGCAGAGGACACGAGGTGAGTCTGGAGCACCCTGTGGTGCCAGAGAGTGAGGAAGGGCTCAGAAAACCCAATGACGGGGCACAGCAGGGCGCGGCCGGCCGCGGGGAGATCACGCAGCGAAACAAGTCCCGCTGCATGCACCGGATCAGAACACAGAGCACACGGCAAACACCCTCCAGTCCACACTGCTGGCAATAAACAAGTTCCGGTGCGTGCACCAGATCAGAACACAGAGCACGCGGGAAACTCCCTCCAGTCCACACTGCTGGTAATAAACAAGTCCTGGTGCGTGCACCAGATCAGAACACAGAGCACGTGGCAAACTCCCTCCAGTCCACACTGCTGGTAATAAATGAAGAAGTGAATAAATGGGGAAGAGGAGACACCTCCCTCACAGAACTCCACATCATACATGTAGAACTCATCCCTCCAGAGGGGGAGCGTCGCCTGTGCCCTGAGGGATTCGCTTCCAAGGAAGAGACTGGAGAAAGTGCAAACAGCTTCGCGGACGAGGCACCCGGCAGAGCACGCCTCAATCCGGCGGTCAGGTCCACCGTCGACGCCTCAGTCCGGCGGTCAGGTCCACCGTCAACACCAGCGGTCTTGTCCACATCAACGCCTCAGTCCAGCGGTCAGGTCCACTGTCAACGCCTCAGTCTGGTGGTCAGGTCAACCGTCCACACCTCAGTCCAGTGGTCAGGTCCACTGTCAATGCCTCAGTCCAGCGGTCAGGTCCACTGTCCATGCCTCAGTCCGGCGATCAGGTCCACCGTCAACGCCAGCAGTCATGTCCACCATCAATGCCTCAGTCCAGCGGTCAGGTCCACTGTCCATGCCTCAGTCCGGCGGTCAGGTCCACCGTCAATGCCAGCGGTCATGTCCACCATCAACGCCTCAGTCCAGCGGTCAGGTCCACTGTCCACGCCTCAGTCCGGCAGTCAGGTCCGCTGTCAACGCCTCAGTCCAGCGGTCAGGTCCACCTGCTGTTGCGTGGATGTCAGGGGCTCCCTGATGGGACGTGGTGAGAAAGGACTTGTCGTCTGTGATCTTCCTTCCAAAAACCACCATCTCAGGTTAACAATGAAACACATCACACAAGCTCGCTTCGGGGGCGTTCTAGGGACTCCTAAACATACTGAGGTCAGGAGAAGCGAGGAAAGACAAAACTGTCACCGACCAGCGGCAGAAGAGATGTGACGACTAAAATCAACACGGTGCCCTGGCTGCAACATGCAGGAAAGCCTGGTGGATCCAAACAAGGGCTGGAGACAGGCCCAGAGTCACACGCCGGTGACGAGCACCATGGCAGCGTGAGATGTCAACAGCGAGAGAAACCGGGTGAAGAGGGTATGAGAACTCTCCGTCCAATTTCCGCAACTTGCCTATTGAATCTGGTAAACAGTGTGGCAATTCCATCTTTTCAAAAAATCGACTGTTGGCCAGGTGTGGTGGCTCCCGCCTGTAATCCCAGCACTTTGGGAGGCCGAGGTGAGTGGATCACCTGAGGTCAGCAGTTTAAGACCAGCCTGGCCAACGTGATGAAACCCCATCTGTATTAAAAATACAAAAATTAGCCAGGCATGGTGGCACATGATTGTAATCACAGCTACTCGGGAGGCTGAGGCAGGATTCACTTGAACCCGGGAGGCAGAGGTTGCAGTGAGCCAAGATGGTGCCACTACACTCCAGCCTGGGTGACAGAGCGAAACTCCACCTCAAAAATAATAAATAAATAAATAAAACAAAAAACCTATAGCTTATGTCAATCTCAATGGTGAAAGGCTAAAAGCTTTTCCCCTAAATCAGGAACAAGACAAGAATGTCTGCTTTTGCTGCTTCTATTCAACATAGCCAGAACAATTAGTCAAGAAAAAGAAATAAATTGTATCCAAATTGGAAAAGAAAAAGTGAAACTACTTCTCTCTCTTTGCAGATGCCAGGCTACAGAAAACCCTAAAGAAGCTGCAAATAACCTGTTCTAGTCAATAAACAAAATCAGCAAAGTTGCAAAATACAAAGTCAACACACAAAAGATCAGTTGTATTTCCCTGTATTAGGAACAAGCAATCTGACAAGGAAATCAAGAAAACAATTCCATTCATAACAGCATCAAAAAGAACAAAACACTCTGCAATACATTTACCCAAGGAGGCATAAGATTTGTACCCTAAAAACTGCCAAACATTGCTAAAAGAAATGGAAGAAAACCTAAGTAAATGTAAAGCCATCTGTGTCAGGGAGAAGAAGACTGCCCACTGTTTACCCGTCAGCGGAGTCAAACCCCCTGAAAAAGAACCACCACCAGGGAGACTCATAGCTCCTGACCTCAAAATTTATGAGAAAGCTACCTAAGTGAAAAAGGAACTGACTTTTATACACAAACAACCTGGATGGATCTCGCTCGAGGGCGTTGTGCTGAATGAAAGGAGCCAGTCTCAAAAGACTGCATGTTGTAGGACTGGGCTGGAAAAAGCCGAGCCGCAGAGTTGAGCAGACATGTGCAGCTGCCGGGAGGTCCCTGTGTGGCTGGGTGAATGGAAAGGGGGACCATGGAGGATTCCTGAAGGGTTGATGTTATTTTGCACTCTGATTACAGGGTGATTAGAGTTCATAGAGCTGTATCCTATAAGAAAAAAGTTAATTTTACTATATAATTTTAATTTTTACTTTTTTTTTTTTTTTTTTTTTTGAGACAGTCTCACTCTGTTACCCAGGTTGGAGTGCAGTGGCACGATCTCGGCTCACTGCAACCTCCACCTCCCAGGTTCAAGTGATCCTCGTGTCTCAACCTCCCAAGTAGCTGGAATTACAGGCACGCGCCACCACGCCCAGCTAAGTTTTCCATTTTTAGTAGAGACGGGGTTTCGCTATGTTGGCCAGGCTGGTCTCAATCTCCTGACCTCAGGTGATCTGCCGGCCTTGGTCTTTCAAAGTGCTGAGATAAAAGGCGTGAGCCACCATGCCCAGCCTATTATATAATTTTAAAAGTAAAAAATTTAAACACCTGCTGGGCTGTGTCCTATATCTTACTGTGGTGGCTGCATGCTTGTGCATACATCTATTGAGACGTGACGGTGGCATCTGGTGGGGGAATGGTGGTAGAATTGTAGATCATTGCTGGCATTCTTTAGAACTGCAGGCATGTGGTGGTAAGAAGTGCATCCACTTTTATTTACTTATTGTTTTAAAACTCTGAAGATAATGTAGCCTCTATGACCTGCTCCCCGGATAAGGGTACCACCGCCCGCCCTTGGTACTCGCCGACCATGAACTCAGGTTTAAATGAATCCCTTCCATTGTGTGCGAGTTGCGCTAATACAGTAGATATCCTTAAACTCCTTCTCAGGCCTGCAGTTAGAATTCAGTAGTGTGGAGATGCATGCAGTGCCACCCGGGGCCCACAGCCAGCCCTTCGGTGTGCGAGTTCCACCTCAATACAGTGAATATCCTTAAACCCCGTCTCAGGCCCGCAGTTAGAACTCGATCAACGTGGAGATGCACGCAGTGCCATGCGGGGCCCACAGTGAGCCCCGCACAAACATCACTTGCCTCTCACTGCAATCATGGCCACCGCTGCTGCTGGGGGCTGTTGCCGTCACCAGTAAGAAACACAAGCGATGGGATTTCTCAGTGCAGCCAGGCTCCTACAGGCTACAGTTGGTCTTTCCAGACACACAGAATTCTCTCGCACAGAAGTCAAAACATGGCCAACAGTTCACCTTCATTCTCACTAGGTGAAAACGCGAAACCACTCAAGCTCCAAAAGGGGTTAATCAACTATACATTAAGACTTACAAAAACCTATAAAAACATGGGGAAGTGTTTATGTTATAATATATAGTGGAGAAACAGGATGCAAATGATGTGTGTTTCACTTAAAATATATATTATATAAACGGAAAAATCATCAAAGACTTCAGTTAAAGACGGTAGCTTGAACACGTGCACTTAAGTGTAATCTCTCTCAAAATCCCGGTAAAACAAGGGTAAAGGTTTTGCTTACTTTTTTTGAGGCATTTACCTGAAGACAAAGAAAAGAAGGCACAGCATCAAATAGCCTTTAAAATGGAAGCTGGAAAGCTTCCAGACAGATGAGTGGCAAACGACCCCAGAAAAGCTGAATCCCACGCCAGCAATGGAACAGCCAAGAAGCTTTGACACCACAAGCTCCCCAGGTTCAGGGATACCCACCCCAGCAACAATTTCCGGAAGCAGGGAGGAGGGAGCGCTGGAACTGCAGGGCTGGCTGGAGACCTTTAAAACAGAATGAAGACCTCATCACAGATTCACAGCAATTTGTGGGAAACGTACAAGGAGGTCCGTGTCCTCTTTACCCAATCTCCCTCGATGGTAACAACTTAAACAGCAATATCAAAAACGGGACAACTAACATGGGTACAATCCAGAGACTGCTCGCCTGCCGCCAGCTCACAGACACTTCCCTCCATGTCTACTCCCACGTGATCTGTCATATGTGTGGATGTGTGCGCCCACAACTGCCATCCAGACACAGGCCTGTCCTGACACCGGAAGGCTCGCCCCGCTGTCCTTTTGTACACACATGCACCCCCGTGCCTAAACCCTAGCAATCTCTTCAATTTTCTGTGTCAAATTGATCTTAATTATTAACTGTTTGGTAGATTTCTCTAGGGAAACCATTTGGGCCTAGGGATATCCTTCGCATCTTTATGACTTCAATTTTTTTTAAAAAAATAGTTTACAAGATTATTCAGATAACCTATTTCATCTTGGTCGAGTCTGGTGGCTTGTGGGTTCTGAGGAGTGAGTCCGCTGCTTCAAGTTGTTTGTGGCATAACACCCTCTGCTTAATGGCTACAGGGCCTGTAGTGATGGCCCCTATTTCATTGCTGATATTGATGATTTTGGTGGTGTCTTTTTATTTTTGTCAAATTTGCTAGAGATTTGTCAATTTTATTGAATTTTTTTTCCAAAAAAGCCAGAACTTATTGTTTTAATAATTTTCTCTATTTTTTTTTTAATTTCATTGCTTTTTGCTCATGTTATTTCCTTCATCCATGCTTGCTCTGGGCTATTCCACTCTCCTTTCTCCAGGTTATTGAGATAGGAACATAAATTAAGAGACCATTCCTCTTTCTCAACGTGAACACTGAGCATGACGTACTTCCTTCTCAGCACCGGTCTAGCTGGACCCCACTTACTTAGATGTGTGTATTTCCATTATTGCCCAGTGTACTTATTTGTACCGGGAGACCTCCTCCCCCACACGGGCAATGCAGACATGTGTTGCTAATCTCCTAATGCTTAGAGACTTCCCTGTTGTTCTTCTGTTACTGACATCTAGTTTGGGTTCATTACACTCAGAGCACACAGTCTGAGTGAATTCGATTCTTTCGAATTTACTGGGGTCTCTTTGATGACCCGTGATGTGATCTGTTGTGACTGTCCCAGGTGAATGCAGAGGCAAGAGTCCTCTGCTCTCGGACAGGGTGTTCCACAGACACTGATTAGGTCCTGCGGGCTGATGAGGACACTCAGTTCCGTCAGTCGTGGAGGCTGAGGTGTGAGTTCTCAACTGTAAATGTAGATCTGCCCGATTCTCTGTTCATCCCAGACACTTCTGCGTCCTGGGTTTTCTAACTGTTATTTGGCTTGTGTACATCTAGGAGTGCCAGACCTGGGGGCAGAGTGGGAGTTCTGCCACCGCACAGACCTGGCGGACACCATCCTGGTACACGCGGAGTGCGGACGTGCACCTGCTCACAAGGGCGACAGACAGGCAGGTGTGAACTGGGCCCCTAGAGTGGGGATGCGTACCCCACTCACGAGGGCCACGGAAGGGTGGATGCGAGCTGGGCCCCTACAGTGGGGAATGTGTACCTGCTCACGAGGGCCGCAGACAGCTGGGTACGAGCTCAGCCCCTAGAGCGGGAATGTGTACCCCACACACGAGGACCACAGACAGGGGGGTGCGAGCTGGGCCCCTGCCTGTCTCGCCACCACCACGGACAGGAGGCATGAAGGGCAGCGGCAGCCTCCCTGCTGCAGGGTGTGGGGAAGGCCCTGCTGAGCCTCTGACATGGGGTCCTGGGGGTTGAAGACCCCCCTCCACATCCTGCTCTGCCTCGGTGCTGGGTGAGGTGTAGGCTCCGATCCCTGTTGGGCATGGCAACACTACTGGACCAGAGAGCCAGAGCTGGGCCTGCCTCTGCTGAATGGCACCAAGGTCCCTGCCATCAGCCCTGCTGACCCTGCCCAGCACAGACACAGGAGCAGTGCCGGCTGCTGAAGGCTGGGGCAGGAGACGCGCTCCCCGAGGGGCCACGCTGATGCTGCTGGGCGGGGACAGGGCACTCTGCTGGCTTCTGCTTCTGGGAGTGAAGGGCAGGAGCCTGCATGTCACTCTGCACATCCTGCATAAGATCTCCGGGCTGAGACAGGCCCTTAGGTAAGGCACGGACAGGGTGCCCCACCGCAAGAGGAGTCCTGCATTGGCGACACACTTCCCTGCTCAGCCCCCAGGAGCTGGCAGCACAGGCCCCCACGCCAGAGTCACCCAGGCTGGAGAGGAAAGATCAGAGGCCCCTCCCAAGGGCTCCCCAGTGGAAGACCCAGCCGGATTCCTCGGAGAAGCACAGGGCAAACCCACCCTGGCACAGGCAGCTGGGACCACCAAACGCTTAAGGAAATCATCCAGAAAGAAAAGAGTAAGGTCCAACACTGGCAGAAAAACAGCAACTTAGAGCAACAGAGAACAGGGTTCACTAGGAGAAGAAAACTCCAAAAAGCACTATTATTAACATCAAAGACACAGTGACCCCACTGCACTCATGAACACTGACAGGATGCTTTATACATAAAAGAATCCTCAGAGAACAGAAACAGACTCTCAGGAAACGAAGAGTATAGCAACAAATAAAATAAGAACAGGTTAACAAAGCTGAGAAAATACAGAAGGTAGGACAAAAATAAGGAAAATAGGATCAAAAAGATTTAAGAGAGAGAAAACTATTCGAAAATCCAACATCCAAGTAACAGTTTCAGAAAGAAGACACAGAAAACAGAGGAGAGGAAATGATCAGTGAACAGAGCCAGGAAAGCTCTCAAGAGCGGAAGGGCGTGAGACGCCAGAAGGAAAGGCCTGGAGTGCCCAATGCAGCGCACAGAGCAGGCCCCGGCCAGAGTGTTCGGGTAACCTGAGGATGCTGGGGACCAGGGGACCAGGGGAGGTGGGCAGGCTTTCGGAGAGAAAGAAGCAGGTCCGGGGTACAGGACCCAGGCAGGCAGGGCCCTGAGGACCCAAGCTGCAGGCCGGACCTGGGGAGCGCACCTGCCTTCACTGGCTGTGGTCACCGGCACCACCTGCAGAGCCCAGGCGCAGGGGCCGCTGTCGCTACCGGCAGCCAGGCAGTGGGCTGGGGACAGCTCTGGTGGTCACGGGCCTGCTGACAGTGCTGCCCAGCCAGGTGGAGGCAGCTCACCAGCCTTCACCCTGTTGACCTGGCTGCCTCAGCCTGCTCCTGAAGCTGCTCGGGGGAGGGAGAATGAGGCCACAAAGGCTCCCCAGGTCCTGCCCTGGGCTCCTGATCCCCAGATGGGCTGGGCAGTCCATCACCAGGCCCCCTCGGGGCCACGCCTTCCCACCTGGGACCATAGCATCTGAGGGTGACCTCTTTCCAGCCACAGCTGCCCTTCCAATGGGACCAATCACTTGTACTCCAGACCCGGCCCAGCCAGCAGGTTCTCCACGGTGGGCAGCAGGAGCGGCTGCAGAACAGGACAGAACCAGGGAAAACCAGTTCCACTTTCCCAGGCTGAACTCTCCCTGGCGGCCTGGGCTGGGCACGGTGAGCTCAAAGATCAACCCACTGCCCTAGAAGCTTGGCAGGCAGGGACTGTCTTTCCAGTTACCTCTATGTAGTTTCATGAGGGGACTTAGAGCAGCGGTGTTTAATGGAGATTTGTTGGATGAAAGATGATAATTTCTACAAAAGAACATTAAAAGTCTAGCACCTGGCCCTCTGGAAAGGACGTGGGCCTGGGCACTGGGTCCCTGGGGTGTGAGTGGAGATCACAGAGTGTCCTGAAGAGTGGGGACCTCGGGTGAGTGGGGTCATGGGTCACCTCTCGTCCCCTGAGGCAGGCCGGCGTCTCCAGGGCCCCCAGCACCTCCCGGGACCCAGAAGACATCACACGGCCGGGAAGCGAGGGTCCGAGTGTGACTAGCAGGCACTGGCACAGATAGGCAAGCCTCTGGAATTAGCAAGCGTCTAACCAGTTGCTGAATCTACAGGCAACATTTAGGATTTGCTAGAGCTGCTATTTGACAGCAGAGAGGACGGGCTCAGATTTGTTCTGGCTGAAAGGGCTCCTCAGCTGCTGCCTCTTAAAAATCCCCACCGACGCTCTCTCTAGCTTCAGTGTTGAAAAACGATGCTATGTGATACATGTCATTCACATACAACAAATAAATGGATGTGAAAATGTGAGTGTGCATCTGGGCAAGAGCAGGCACACATGTGTGGCTGTGCATGTGTGTGTGAGGACCATCCCTGGTCCTCCTGTGTCCGAGATTGGTGGGTTCTTGGTCTCACTGACTTCAAGAATGAAACCGTGGACCCTCATGGTGAGTGTTACAGTTCTTAAAGATGGTGTGTCTGGAGTTTGTTCCTTCCGATGTTCGGACATGTTCGGAGTTTCTTTCTTCTGGTGGGTTCGTGGTCTTGCTGGCTTCAGGAGTGAAGCTGCAGACCTTCATGGTGAGTGTTACAGCTCTTAAGGCAGCACGTCTGGAGTTGTTCGTTCCTCCCAGTGGGTTCGTGGTCTTGCCGGCCTCAGGAGTGAAGCTGCAGACCTTCGTGGTGAGTGCTACATCTCATAAAGCAGTGCGGACCCAAAGAGTGAGCAGCAGCAAGATTTACTGCGAAGAGTGAAAGAACAAAGCTCCCACAGCGTGGAAGGGGACCCCAGCGGGTTGCCGCTGCTAGCTCTGGCAGCCTGCTTTTATTCCCTTATCTGGCTCCACCCACTCCTGCTGATTGGCCCATTTTACAGAAAGCTGATTGGTCTGTTTTGACACGGTGCTGACTGGTGCGTTTACAAACCTTTAGCTAGACACAGAGTGCTGATTGGTGCATTTACAAACCTTGAGGTAGACACAGAGTGCTGACTGGTGAATTTACGAACCTTGAGCTAGACACAGGGTGCTGATTGGTGTATTTACAATCCTTTAGCTAGACATAAAAGCTCTCCAAGTCCCCACCAGATTACCTAGACACAGAGCACTGACTGGTGCGTTTACAAACCTTTAGCTAGACACAGATTGCTGATTGGTGCATTTACAATCCTCTATCTAGACATAAAATTTCTCCAAGTCCCCACCGGACTCAGGAGCCCAGCTGGCTTCCGACAGTGGATCCCACGCCGGGCTGGGGGCAGAGCTGCCTGCCAGTCCCACGTCACACGCCTGCACTCCTCAGCCCTTGGGTGGTCAATAGGACCAGGCGCCGCAGAGCAGGGGGCCGCGCCGTCGGGGAGGCTGGGCTGCGTGGGAGCCCACGGCTGGGGGTGGGTGTGGGCTCAGGCATGGCGGGCTGCAGGTCCCAAGCGCTGCCCCACGGGGAGGCGGCTGAGGCCCAGTGAGAATTCGACTGCAGCGCAGATGGGCCAGCAGTGCTGGGGGACCCAGTGCACCCTCCGCAGCTGCTGGCCCAGGTGCTAAGCCCCTCACTGCCCGGGGCCGGCAACGCTGGCCAGCTGCTCGGAGTGTGGGGCCCGCCAAGCCCACGCCCACCCAGAACTCGCACTGGCCTGTGAGCACCACGCACGCAACCCCAGTTCCTGCCTGCGCCTCTCCCTCCACACCTCCCCGCAAGCAGAGGGAGCCGGCTCCGGCCTCGGCCAGCCCAGAGAGGGGCTCCCACAGTGCAGTGGCAGGCTGAAGGGCTCCAAACAAAATGGTGGGGACGAGAAGCTTTGACCTTGATGTAAAAGATATCAATGATAAAGGCCTTTTCTTAAATTGTAAAAATGAATAAACCCCAAGCATGCCAGCCCACACAAATCTGACACACGCCTGGCCATGCTCCCATCAACTGCAGAACGAGAGGTTCTAGGTGCCAAAAGGCCCAGCAGAAAGCAGAGTGCCATCTCAGAGAGCGGGGAGCCGTGCAGCGTGACGCAGGCTCCTGCGTGGGCAGCCACGGGCCGGGACACGCTGACCTTCCTGAAACCTTCACAGATGCTGGAAGCCACAGCTGCAACTCCCCAGATTTAAGAACCTACTCCACCACCTCCCACGTGGCTCCTGGGGACTGGAGGACAACGGTGGAGACCACCCTGCCTCGCGTGGCATTCAGGACCTTGCAGGGTCAGGCACCAGCCACACCAGCCCAGACCTTCCCGATGCGCTGCTGTGCACGGCCTCTCCCCCTGCGCCCGCGTGCCTCCAGAGGCCCTTTCTCCATGATGACAAGGTGTGGCCTCTGCTGCTGGTCCCAGCTCCCCCTCTCACTGCAGACACACATTGAAGCCTGTCTGGCACGTCATCCAGCCTTGGCCTTGGTGAGCTCCTGACCTGCCTGGGCTGCCCTTCTGGGCCATTCCTTCTGTCTCACTACACACTACCCCCTCTCCGAGGCCTCCAGGCCCGCTGCTCTGTGTGGCAAGGGTCTTTCTCCCCAGGTGGGGCTGCTCTTGCAAGTCAGGGTGTGTGTGGGAGGCATATTTTGCTCATCTCTGCAAAGGAAAAGCCAACTCCGGCTTCGGAGGGGCTCCCAGCACCAATGCTTGGTGAGCAGGTGGTGGGGACGGCCCCTCTGCCACTCTCCTTCCCCTCCCCAGGCCTGGCAGCCAGTGCTTTCTCCAGTCACATTCTTCCACTTTAAAGCCTCTAGTGCCTCCCACTGCTGCTAGGAAAGAGACTGCATGCTCACCATGGCACCTGCCCGGTCTCCAGCTTCCCCCACCCCACACCCACACTCACACACAGCCCCCAACCCCATCAACCCGAAGACCACACGCAGACGCACTTCCAGGGGGAGACATCCACTGTCACAGGACCACGTGCACCTCACAGGCTGTAACGACAGAGCCTCTAGGTGAAGAATGGCCCCCAGGTCCCCGAGACATGGAGACGCAGATGAAGACGGAGAGCGCGTCGGGGCCCACTCACCACTCCATCAGCCTCCATGCTCGGCCCTAAGGACGCCACGGCACACACTCAGTATCTGAACACTTGAACGGCTGAGCAGATGTAAATGAAACCGCTCAGACTCCGGCAGATCCCAGAGAGGGCGATGTGTAAGGCACAGCCCATGCATGAGGAATGCTTCAGAGACGCTGGAGGAACATCGAATCTAGAAGGCATCATAGCTGCCATGTGCAGAGCACTTCCTGGGCCGGGGCCACACTAAAGGCAGCCCTTTTCCTGCTTTACTCTCGGCAACCCTGAGAAAGAGGGGCCATCCACAGGTGAAAACTGGAACCCCAGGGAGTGGGTGTGACGGACGAAGCAGAGGCTGCTGCCGCGGGGGGTCCAGGGGCCCACACACCAAAGCTGTGTGGCCTAGGAAGGGTGCTCTCTCCCCACTGCCACCCCCATCTCACTGCAGGGCCATTTGATGTCCCCTGGAGCTGTCTCAGTCCCCTGTTCTCAGTTCCTCTGATGACCAGGAGAAACCCTGGATGCCCAGGGCCTGGCCTGCTGCAGACACTCAGAGCAGAGGAGTGGCCAATGCAGGAAAGCCATGGGCCTCCTGCCACCCCACCCTGTGCCCACAGCCACCGCCTCCCACATTGGATTCTGGCAGGATACTCGGGTTGCCCCACAGCCACTTTCAATCCGCACTGGATGGGGCAGCGCCAACACAGGCACCAAAGCGGAGCCCGGAGCTCCACCTGCATCTGCCTGGAAACCTCTTGCCTGAGGACCCTGATGGGTCCACAAGGCGGGGGAGAGGCAGAGAGCTCTAGAAAAGCAGCCCGGCCTGCAGACCCTGCTCTAGGGGCGCCGTGTGCAAGCAGGAGCTGGGGTGAGGGTGGCCTAGGACAGTGCAGTGGCAGAGAGCTGGCAGCATGTCTGAAGCGGAGCCCAAGGGCTGCTGGACACGCCTGGCTGCTGCACTGCCTGGGCTCTGCTCTGAGCCACACTCCCGTGCAGCCATCTCGGCACAGCACTGCCATGCAGCCCCTGCGGCTGCAGACCCGGCTCCAGCGCCGCCCCCTGATGGAGGACCTGCTCCCTTCTGAGCGTCAGGGACACTGAGAGACCCCTGCTGTCAGTGCTGGCTGGAGAAGTGCTGCTGAAGAAAGGGCCACACCAGCAGAGACGAGTGTCCCTGCAGAGAGGAACCTAGGTGGATGGGATGGGACTTACAAAGAAAAGCCCTTCCAGGAAGGCAGCAGAGGAGCAAGACTTTACTCCAGCCACCCACGGGGGAGCACACAGAGAAGGTCACGGCCTGGAGAGGGGGACAGGAGGCTGCCGGTGGACGTGTCTCCCGCACTCCCCTCCTCTGGAAAGGGCACACCTGAGCGTGCGCACCTCCCCGCTGGGGGACACGCCTGAGCATGTCCACTTCCTTCCTGGGGGACACGCATGAGCGTGCCCACCTCCCCCCACCCCACAGGACACACCTGAGCACGTCCGCCTCTTCCTCCGTGGGACACACCTGGGCGTATCCGCCTCCTCCCCCACAGGACACACCTGGGCGTATCTGCCTCCTCCCCCGCAGGACACACCTGGGCGTATCCGCCTCCTCTCTGGGGGACACACCTGGGCGTGTCCGCCTCCTCTCTGGGGGACGTACCTGAGCGTGTCCGCCTCCTCCCTGGAGAACAGGAAGCTCTGTTCGGCAGAGCTGGACTGAGACTTCAGCATCTTCAGCTCCATCTCCAGCTAGGAGAAAGCAAAGGATAGAGGGTCAGCAGACACGAGCGCACCCAGGTGTGTGGGGAACCCCAGCCCAGGCCCCTGAGACCACCCCTGGCAGCACCCCCGCCCTGGGCTGGGAGCTGCGGGAGAGACCTCTCTCCTGGAAGCCTGAAGCTGCCAGGCCAGACAGCACTCTAACTTTGCAAACTCAAGTTCTCTCATTTTTTTGTCACTTCCATCTCCTGAATAGCAACAGATGCACAGGCTCACGGTGAGGTGTGTGGGGTGCATGTGAGAGTCTCTGGAGAGTGGACACGCAGCTGGGGAGAGAGCACGCTCCAACGCTGCCGTCGGTTTGGTTTAACAGCCACAAGCCGTCGTTTATTCCGCTACTTCCAATTCCTCTACAGAACAGCGTGAGATGCTGCACCGCCCGGGAGGGAGCCTGGATTCTGTTTTTCTTTTCTGAGATGGAGTCTCGCTCTGTCACCCAGGCTGGAGTGCAGTGGCACAATCTCGGCTCACTGCAACCTCCACCTCGCAGGTTCAAGTGATTCTTCTGCCTCAGCCTCCTGAGTAGCTGGGACTACAGGCGCGTGCTGCCACGCCTGGTTAATTTTTTGTATTTTAGTAGAGATGGGGTTTCACTGTGTTCTCCAGGCTGGTCTCGAACTCCTGACCTCGGGTGATTCACCCGCCTCCGCCTCCCAAAGTGCTGGGATGACAAGCGTGAGCCGGTGTGCCCGGCCAGGAGTGTGGATTCTAACTCGCCCCTACACACCTAGGGTGGGAGGCATCAGGGGCAGCAGACGGTGGGGAGGCCAGGAGCCAGAACGGACTGCGGGCTCAAGGAAGAGCAGGGCACAGACGGGGGCCTGGTCAGGCAGGCTGGCGCAGGCTGAGGGGCTACGTAGGCACCAGCTCCAGGGCCCGGGGGTGCTAAGGAAGGCCCACCCAGAGACGCCCCTCACCACTCCTGGGGTGTCTCATGGACAGGATCCGATGGGTTTAGGGAGGTAAATCCTGCCCCTGGCCCAAGTCAGAACCTTGTTCCCACCAGTCCTGACCCACTCCAAAGCCCAGCTCACTCCGTCACGAAGGGAGGAGGAAGGGCAGTGTGGCCTCAGGGAGGGAAGGACAGGTGCCAGCAGGTACCACGGCAGCCGGAGGCCCCCAGCAGTGAAGCTGCAAAGCCTGCCAGACACCCAGGGTGGAATGATGTGAGGGGGACAACACCCCCTGGGCTGGGGGCCAGCAGGAGCCTGGGAAAAAAGGCACTGGGGCAGGGGGTGCACAGTGTGCAACAGGGCAGGATATGCTAATTACCCTGATCTAATCACCATATGTTACATGTACTGAAACATCACTATGTACCCCATAAATATATACAATTATCATGGGTCCATTAAAAAGAAAGATCCACAGTTCAGACAACAAACACGGATGCCCATGCCCTGAGCAGCCTGTCCCCAACTTCCAACCCCAGCGCCCCAGGCCCCCGACTCTCAGCCAGCCAACGTTCTGAGGTTTGAGCATATGTTCCTTCCGGAGGCTGCTGGTGCGCATGCCAGCAACATGTCTATGTTCTTCCTCCCACCACACTTCATTTTATTTAACAAAAATGGTAAGATGTCCTACACATCATTTGGTACCTTGCTTTTTTTCACTATATATATAAAATATAAAAATATATACATAAATATACATATATATTCTGAGACAGAGTCTCGCTGTGTCACCCAGGCTCGAGTGCAGTGGTGTCATCTCAGCTCACTGCAGCTCCCAGGTTCAAGCGATTCTCCTGCCTCAGCCTCCCAAGTTGCTGGGATTACAGGTGCACGCCATCAAGCCCAGCTAATTTTTGTATTTTTAGTAGAGACGGGGTTTCACCATGTTGGTGAGGCTGGTCCCGATCTCCTGACCTCAAGTGATCCACCTGCCTCAGCCTCCCAGAGTGCTGGGATTACAGGCGTGAGCCGCCGCGCCCAGCCTTTTCTTCTTCTTTCTAACTTATCTTTGTATACGTGATTTTAAATTTTTGTTTCCCGCCCCCTTCACTAAATTCCGACCGACAGCAGCAGTTCTCAGTTGATTCTCTTGGCACATAATCTTATCAGCAGCAAAGAGGGACGATTTTCCAATTTTCCTCCTCCTTCCCAATATTGATACCTTGGGTTTCTTTCCCTTGTCTACTTTGGATGACTAGTATCTCCAGAATAATACGAAATCACAGTTGTGATACTGGACATCCTTAGGTGGCCTGTGGCTTCACTGGAGCTGAAGCCAATACTTTCTTATTTACAGCACATGACCTTTTTTTTCAAATAGGTATTTTCTATCACAGTGAGAAATTACCCATATATTCCTATTTTATTAAGAGTTTTTAATCAAGGCTGAGTGTTGGATTTTGTCAAACGCCCCCATGAAGAGGGTATTCTATAAATTGATATCCTAAAATCAAGCTGACAGGCTGGTCCTGGAATAAATCTTACTGCATATGATGTATTTCAACCTGCTGTTGAATTTCACTCGTGACATGTTAACAATGACACTGATACACGTATGCGCGTGCATGCACACACACACACGTGCACACACGCACACACACCCACAGACGCGCGCGCGCGCGCGCGCGCGCACACACACACACACACACACACACACACACACAGGCTTGTAAGGCCTTTGCAGTTGTTGGTGTCAATACAACACTTCCAGAATGCCTTCCCCTCCTTTTCCCACAGTCTGAACTGGTTTACACAGTGCTCAAAGTATCTGCGCTTTGAAGATCTGGTAGAATTTTCCCATGAAACTGGCTTGGCCTGATGCATCTTCTGTTTCTTTCCTCTTGTGGTGGGGGAGAGCAGCCATGGCAATTTTGGGACAACGTTTTTCTACAGTAATTGATCTGTTTAAAATTTCTCTCTCTTCTGGAGTTGGGATTGATAGGTAACATTTCCCTAAAACGTCATTCATTTCCCACAGATTTTTAAGTTTATTAAAATGGAACTGAGATATAATTCATAATTCTTTTTATAGAAATCAGACAAAACTCATAATTCTCAATTTTTTAATTTTTGCTTTTCTTTCCCATCGAGGTATACATAATTTACACGCAGTAAACTTCTCAATCTTATGTGCACAGCCTGATGGCTTTTTATACATGTCTTCACCTACGTATCCACCGTCCAGATCAGGACACAGAATTCTCAGCACGCCTGAAAGCTCTCGCATGCTCCTGCTCAGTCAATAGCTCCAGGTAATTAGTCTTGTTTCCTATTTTGGATGGTGATACTTTCTATCAATTTTTTATTAGAACTGTGAATAATTCATATGTTTTATTGGTTTTATTTCAAATAACAGGTATTTGGACTTATTTATTATTTCTACCATTTTTCACTTTCCTATTAACTTCTGCTTTGATCTTTACAAATTCCTACCTTTTTGTTTCACTAAGGTTTACTTTCCTTTTGTTCTCTGACTTCTTGGGTTGAAGGTTTAATCCATATATTTACATGCTTTCTTGTTCAATGATATAAATATTTAAACTTGTGAATTTAGGTGGTTCCCACAGGCTCTGATGAGAAGTGTTTTCATGACAATTATTTTCTACATCTTATGCACTTTTGAATCGTACTTCTTTGAACCAAGAATTGTTTAAGACACAGTGTTTTGTTCTGTTTGGGTTTTGTTTTTTAAATTCCAAGTGTTAGGAGCTTTTTTTTCCCTGATTTTGTTCTTGATTTCACATCACACTGCAATCACAAGAAGTTGTATTAGTTCTACTTATTTTAATTTATAAAGGCTTTCTCTATTACCGAATACACAATTAATCTTTGTGAATGTTTTCTATGCACTCCTTTTAACATGAGTATATTCTCTAATTTGGGGGATATGGGTTTTACGCACATATGTATTTTTCTGTTTTCCATTATTCTTTGCCCACTTGCTATATCGCAGATTAGGACATAAATCCTGCTACTGGCATCTTTGACAATTTCGCCTTGAATCTTTCCTCATTTCTGCTTTTCCCAACAGCGGTGATGTGTTATTTGGCTAACCCATCTGAACCTCACTGTGAAAAGCGCCCACCTTTGTTTCTGAGCGGCTTCTGGCTTGAACTCACACTGCATGGAGATCATAGCTCCTGCTTTCCAGGTTCACTTCACCAGGATGCCTTTGCTTCCCGTACTTTCCAACATGTTTGGTTTTGCTTTGCAATCCAATCAGGAAGTCCTTTCCTTTTAATAGGAGAGTTTAGTCCAACTATAACTGGATTTGTGTCTATTTCTGTTGTATTATGTTGTTATGCTTTCGATTTTGTAGCTTTTACATCTATCTCATTCTGTGGCCTTTTTAATCTAGTTTACTTTTTTGCGTGTAATTCTCTCGAGGCTTAGAAAAGTGTGCATGTTTTACCCTGGTTGCTTTTATAACTCAGCTTTGTTTCACACCGATACTTTCCTACTAGACAGTACCTACTGTATCTCCTATGTTGGGTGCCTAACTAGTCAGATACATCATCCTCCCTGTTGAACTTTATAGTCTGTGACGGTTCATTCCATGTGTCCACTGGACAGGACCTGGGGTACTCAGATCAAAACACTTTCTGGGTGTGTCTGGGAGGGTTTGTGGATGAGATCAGCATTTGAATCGGGGACTCAGCAGACGGCCCCGGGCAGCATGGGTAGGCCTCCTCCAACCCCTTGAGGCCGGAATGAAATGAAAACTGGAGGAGGCGACCGTTCCTCCCTTGCCTGCCTGGTGGCCTGAGCGGGGCAGCTCCCGTTTTCCGCCCAGGACTGGGGCTTTCACCACAGGCTCCGCTGGTTCTCAGGCCTGCAGAGCGGACTGGGCACAGCACAGGCTCTTCCAGGTCTGCTGTGCACAGATGCAGACCACGGGATCCTGGCTCCATGGCCAAGAGCGAGGGCCTCACAGTCACTCTCTCGGGATAGACCAGTCTACCGCACCTGGTGCTCTAGGGAGCCTAACATGCAGCTCGATCTGCTCTCCCCACCTGATACTACCTTTAGATGGTGTGTCTGTGTCTTCGGCTCTCAACAGCGAAGCCGCCATCCTCATGTTCTCTCCTCCCTCTGCCATCCTGACACTTCTTTTTGAATACATGACATGTAGCACTTACATTTCCAGGCTTCCACATTCACTTCATCTTCCAATTCAGGAGATGGAACTCTTGCTGCGGGTTCTTTAGGTAGTTTTCCCCGTGATTCGCCTCCCCGTGCATCCGGTCACCTTCCTTCCTGTACTGCCCCCTACTGCCCCCTCTCCTGCTCTGAGACCCTCCGGGTCCTGTCTCATGCAACCCCCGGCCTCACCGTCTCTTCTTGGAGCGTGTGCGTTCCGCCCAAGCCTCACAGACTCTACCGCCTCGTTAACTTTTGTTTCTTGGCAAAATGTCTGGATAGAATTTTCATCTGCTCAATGTCCACCGTTTTTCTGTGAAACTTTTTCTGCCACTTGTTTTTGTTCTTTTTCTCCTTTGCTCTAACACAAATGCATGGAGTAACCTTTACTGCTCACTGCTGAAGATGAGTTTTATTGAATCCGGCTCCGTGCACAGGTTCACAGTGGGGAAGGACAGGCCTGCTTCCTTTTATCTGAAATCCAGTGACAGTTTTGCTGCGAGTCCAATCAGCCCCCAGTAGCTCCCTCCGGCAGGAGAGAAAGGACACCGTGAGTTTTCCTAAGAGCAAATGTTCTGTCTGCCACAGATGCGGCTTCAAGTACGTGTGATGCACCTGTGTGACCCCTCAGCTCAGCACCAACCTCTGCTGCAGCTTGGAACCACACGCCAGTCCAGCTTGGAACCACACGCCAGTCCAGCTTGGAACCACACGCCAGTCCAGGGACCCCCGTTCCAGCTGCCGCCGGCCCCCGCACTGCGGAGCCAGGGTCAGGGGCCGCCTCTCGCAAGGGCTCACGCCGGCAAGGGAGTTCTACTCCGCGGCTCCCTCGCGCCGGCAAGGGGGTTCTACTCCGCGGCTCCCTCGCGCCGGCAAGGGGGTTCTACTCCGCGGCTCCCTCATGGAGCTGCCTCCACCCGCACTGCTCCAGGCTTCCCCGGGGATGTGTCTGCTCACTGCGTCTGCTCACTGCACTCTCCTGCACCACGGGCTTCCTGCCTCTGCCTGGGGCTTGGTTTGCAGCTGCATTTCTGTTTTGTCAAAATTTAAGTGCCATTTTGGTTTTCACGCTTCTTGTTATTTGTAGATGATTTCCAGGAAACAAGGGGGAAATGCTGACGTGTGCCACAATGTTCAGAGCAAAAAATCAAGCCCTTTTATTTTAATGTGTAACCTTAGACTCATAAGTAAGCTCCCAACTGTATTCTCAGAGTAGCCAATGCCTGCCCCCTTGAGCCTGTGCCCGACACCCCCAGCCATGCTGCAGGTCCTCCACCCACCCTGCACCTCCCCGCCAGGCCAGCTCTCACCCCTACATCCCCCTCCAGGCCCATGGCACAGGACAGTAGCCACAGAGGGCCAGACCCATGATCCATGTCTGTGGGCCACCTTCCACCTACACCCCCCGCTCCCATCCACCATTTAGATCCAGTGGAAATGCCGCCTTCCCCACAATCTGTCCTGGCAGCTCCCTCACCCCTCCCCTGCCAGCTGGAAGTGCCCACCCCCACTCCTCTGTGACCGCACCCTCTACTCCACCACACCACATGGTGACTGGGCACGTGACTCTCCTCCCCACTGGATGGGACGTTCCCTGGAGGAGACGTGGTAACCATGTAGGGCCCCATTGCCAGCACAGAACCTGGCACACAGTCGGTGCTTGGACGGGCACACGGGTGGGCAGATGGTGGGCACAGACGCGGCAATGGCCACTTCCCAGGCACGTCCAGCGTGTGTGCGGCCGAGCTCGGAACGGGGAGGTACTGGGGCGGGTCTAAGTATCCCGGATGAAGCGAAGAGAGCCGCCCATGCTGAGCACACAAGCCCCGGAGTCTGCTCTGCTGTCCGCCAATTTGAGAAGCCGTGTAGACATATCAGTATTTAAGGGAAGGAAAGCCATCGGGGAGGGGGGGAGAGGCAGGTGGGGGAAGAGCAAATGCGAGGATGGTCCCGGGGTGCTCTCGGCACCAACTGCAGTGCCCTCGCCCAGCCGCCGGGCCCGCACGGCAGGGCCACGGCCGCCCGGCAGCCCCGGCTCCACGTCTTTTCTCCTGCGGGCTCGGCAGCCGAGAGTGGAGGGTGCAGAGGGCTCCTTGTGAGGACCTGTGGGACTCGCTGGCAGGGCACAGGCCCGGGGCAGCAGCGTTCTCAGAGGTAACTCACAGGCACCTGTGCCTCCAGCCCTCACCGTGACGACGGGGATACCACCACCTGTCCCTGGGTGGGAAACCCGGGCTCCCAGGCACGGGACCATGTCTGAAGCTCCGATCTCTGGGGCAGCCTACAGCCTAGGGAGGAGGCTGAGCTGGCAGGAAGTCAGGCAGGCCCCTAGGAGGCATCCTCACCGAGGACCTGTAGAACACCTACTCACACCCGGGGCAGGCCCATGAGAGGCGAGGAGCGGCAGGAGGCCCGTGAGGGAGGGGAGACCCAGAAGAAAAGGAGTAGCAGGTAGATGGAGCAGCGTGCGGAAGCACGGGTGGGAAGGTGGGATCCAGGAAGAGGGCGCTGGGGACAAGGAGAGGGCCCTGCTGAACGCTTCCTGACATGGCGGAGGGCCCATTCATTATTCATCCAATGGTCACAGAGCAAGACTCACCTCCCACACCTCCCAGGGGCAACTCTGCCGCTGCATCAGGCAGCGCACACAGCAGCCCGGCCGTCCCCCGTTCAGGTGGCACACAGCAGCCCAGCCATCCCCACCACAGGGACCTGAGGCCCAGGCACTTTGTGGAGCGCCCAGCCTACAAGACTTCAGCGCAGACAGATCAGGGCCCCACCAATGCAGTGACAGGGCAGGGAAGCCCTCCAAAGCCAGGCCTGGGGACAAGACACTGCTCTGGGCCTGGCCCAGGCACAGAGCACTCAGTACCTAAAACTTCGTTTTCTGTGTTTACTCCCTCATGCCTGTGTCACGGTGGCTGTGAAGCAGCAGCACAGTCCCTGACGGACTCTCTGGAGGACCCGGCCGCGCTCCAGGGTGGCCCAGGCGCACAGCGTGGCTGGGGAGGGCAGCGCCACAGGCAGACTTCTTGGGAAGGGCCGTGATCCCACGGCAAAAGCCTGGAGGACAGGATTCCCGGCGGCCAGGGCTGCCTTCCAGGGGCCCTGCGTGTGCTCCGGGCAGTCCTAGCACTGAGCCTATCCTGTGGAAATCATTCTCTCTGGCCAAACCCTGTGCCCGCACCAGGCTGCAGGAGGCAGGGCCACGTGTGCCTGGCCCCTCCATGCCCCTTCCCAAGGCCCACAGATGGCCATCTCCTCCCTGACAAGGCCCTGATGCCCAGCAAGACTGAGAGCCCTTCCTGGGCTGCCTCACAGGAGCCCCTTATATCACATACCTGAGAAGGGTCTAGTGTCTAGAACACATGAAGACTTACCACTAACCAACAAAACAACCCATTTACAAAGTGGGCAATGGATGGGGCAGACACTTCTCCAGAGAAGACAGATGCGTGGCTGATAAGCACAGGGTGAAGTTCAGGACCACTGGCCTCAGGGTAACGCAAACAAAGCCACGGGAGCCACTCCACACCCGCCAGGACGGCTCTAACGAAACGTGGAAAATTTCACACCCGCCAGGACGGCTCTAACGAAACGTGGAAAATGGCGGCACCACTGTCACTTCTCTCACGCCCAGGAGCGTTCATTTGTGTCCTCTTAGTTACGATTAGTCTGGCTAGAGGTTTATCAATTTTATCTCACAGAAACAGATTTTGGTCTCATTTACGGAACTCAACTGTATGTTTGACTGAGATGAAGCAACCTGTTGATCTCCGGTGGGGCCGACAGGGAGAGGGGAGCAGAAAGCCAGGCACGGGCTGGGAGCCCTCGGCGGCGGGAGCCGCCTCACCCTGGAAGACGGAGCTCGCACAGCAGCATGTGCGCTGCCCAGACCCAAACTGGAACAGGTGTGGGGACCCTGGGAGAGCAGCCTGAGCGCGAGCACAGACGTCCCGGCAGCGCTCCAGCCTCAGCGTGGACCAGCCCCAGCGTGGACCAGCCCCAGCGTGGACCAGCCTCAGCGTGGACCAGCCTCAGCATGGATCAGCCTCAGCACAGGTTGGCTTCAGCATGGATCAGCCCCAGCGTGGCCCGGCTTCGGCATGGCCCAGCCTCAGTGTAGGCCGGCTGGCCCCATGTTCCTCTGCCTACAAGGTCCCTCCCTCCTGGAGTACAGGCCTGGCCTACCAGATCCACTCATAGCCCCAACCTTCATGAAACATTCATGCTAATGGTCCTTGTGGCAAACTCACTAGCGCAGCATAACCTTTAAATAGAGACCTTGCATTCGGTTTAATTTGGGAAGATGCAGGGTGTGCTCCCAGGGGCCTTCCCTAATGCCACAAACTAATAACAAGAGGAGGAGCTGGGTAACTCCCCCCACCGCAATTCTAATTAACGAGGCTGCCGCTGAGTGCCAGAGTGAGGGCGTCCACATGCGCGTGCACCCGCCGCCTCATCGCCAACTCACGTGGCATCGCTGAGTCTCAGCTGCAACCTGTGCCCGGGAGGTGGTGAGGCTGAGGCCCAGAGCCTCACAGAACCCTGGCTGCAAGGTGAGGGCTCACATCCCAGGGCTCCCTGGGGCTGACTGGGGCAGAGGCTCCAGGTCTCCAAGAGATGAGAGGGTGCTGAGGTCACAGCTGGGCATCCTGGCCAGAGGCCACCTTTCCGCTCAACTCTGCACCCTCTGGCACCAGGAAGGCTTCTGGAGTGGCTGTGGCTTCCTAAGGAGGCCTCGGGGGGATCTTAGGTGGAGTCCACTCTCCAGCTTCCTTTCCAGCCTGGAGGAGACACAGGCGCTGTGGGCCATGGACAGCCCCCTTGGCTCACCCAGACATTTCCTCGTGAGCACAGATGTGCGCCTGAGCTGGGAAATGCTTTCTCCTCAGAAAAAAACAGCCCAGCCGGAGGGCATGTCCCGGCCGAATGTTCGCCTGATGCACCGCCCCTGGGATGAGGCCGCTGCAGAACCAGAGCAGCTGTGCTTGGAGGAACCGGGGCCTCACCACCAGGGCTGCAGCGTGCCCAGGGCCGCCACTGCTGGCCTCACGAGCACCGCTGGGTGCCTGAGCACCTGCCCCACCAGAGCGCCACTGCTGGCCTCACGAGCACCGCTGGGTGCCTGAGCACCTGCCCCACCAGAGCGCCACTGCTGGCCTCACGAGCACCGCTGGGTGCCTGAGCACCTGCCCCACCAGAGCGCCACTGCTGGCCTCACGAGCACCGCTGGGTGCCTGAGCACCTGCCCCACCAGAGCGCCACTGCTGGCCTCACGAGCACCGCTGGGTGCCTGAGCACCTGCCCCACCAGAGCGCCACTGCTGGCCTCACGAGCACCGCTGGGTGCCTGAGCACCTGCCCCACCAGAGCGCCACTGCTGGCCTCACGAGCACCGCTGGGTGCCTGAGCACCTGCCCCACCAGAGCGCCACTGCTGGCCTCACGAGCACCGCTGGGTGCCTGAGCACCTGCCCCACCAGAGCGCCACTGCTGGCCTCACGAGCACCGCTGGGTGCCTGAGCACCTGCCCCACCAGAGCGCCACTGCTGGCCTCACGAGCACCGCTGGGTGCCTGAGCACCTGCCCCACCAGAGCGCCACTGCTGGCCTCACGAGCACCGCTGGGTGCCTGAGCACCCGCCCCACCAGAGCGCCACTGCTGGCCTCACGAGCACCGCTGGGTGCCTGAGCACCCGCCCCACCAGAGCGCCACTGCTGGCCTCACGAGCGCCGCTGGGTGCCTGAGCACCCGCCCCACCAGAGCGCCACTGCTGGCCTCACGAGCGCCGCTGGGTGCCTGAGCACCCGCCCCACCAGAGCGCCACTGCTGGCCTCACGAGCGCCGCTGGGTGCCTGAGCACCTGCCCCACCAGAGCGCCACTGCTGGCCTCACGAGCGCCGCTGGGTGCCTGAGCACCTGCCCCACCAGAGCGCCACTGCTGGCCTCACGAGCGCCGCTGGGTGCCTGAGCACCTGCCCCACCAGAGCGCCACTGCTGGCCTCACGAGCGCCGCTGGGTGCCTGAGCACCTGCCCCACCAGAGCGCCACTGCTGGCCTCACGAGCGCCGCTGGGTGCCTGAGCACCTGCCCCACCAGAGCGCCACTGCTGGCCTCACGAGCGCCGCTGGGTGCCTGAGCACCTGCCCCACCAGAGCGCCACTGCTGGCCTCACGAGCGCCGCTGGGTGCCTGAGCACCTGCCCCACCAGAGCGCCACTGCTGGCCTCACGAGCGCCGCTGGGTGCCTGAGCACCTGCCCCACCAGAGCGCCACTGCTGGCCTCACGAGCGCCGCTGGGTGCCTGAGCACCTGCCCCACCAGAGCGCCACTGCTGGCCTCACGAGCGCCGCTGGGTGCCTGAGCACCTGCCCCACCAGAGCGCCACTGCTGGCCTCACGAGCGCCGCTGGGTGCCTGAGCACCTGCCCCACCAGAGCGCCACTGCTGGCCTCACGAGCACCGCTGGGTGCCTGAGCACCTGCCCCACCAGAGCGCCACTGCTGGCCTCATGAGCACCGCTGGGTGCCTGAGCACCTGCCCCACCAGAGCGCCACTGCTCTGACTTCCACGCTGGATACCCAGCCCCATTTACACTCACGGAGGAGCGTTGGGAAGCCAGATGGGTGGTGTCTCTCTATGTGGCTTCCAAGGGCTCCAGAACCTTCACTGGGATCAATGAGGCTGCCTCCTCAATAGGAGCAGTTGTTAACGCTGGGGAAGGGGAACAGGTGTCAGAAACCTTTTGAAGATGGCAACTGCTCTCTGGAGAAAAACGTGTGCAAGTAACGGAAATGTGTATGCAGCCTCAAGCGCTTTGTGGAGAACTGAGCACCTGCCCTGGGATGCTGGATAAAGAGCCCCTGCTTAGAAACAAGCCTGAATTTGAAAGTTCTCCCTACAGAAAGGGCCTCCCTCCCTCCTATCAGCTCCAATCCTACATCTGCCTTTTTAGGACATCTGAGGCCACCTCCTGTCCCTGTGAAGCCTCTCACTGTGGAAGTTAACTCTGCTGGGGGAGCTTGGGGAAGGCTGTCTGCCAGGGCTGCTGGCTGAATCACAGGCAAAAACAAGCCCCCAGGCGGCCCAGTCCAAGGGAAAGTCCCAGTGTCTCCAGGACAGGTGGATGTGAGGATGGCATGGGCTCTACGTCAGGGAGGCAGGCGGCAGGGGCAGGGGCAGGGGCAGGTGACACCATTGTGGGCCTGGGGCCAGAACGGGATCAGCTTATGGAAGATACACGTAGCTGAGAAAAAGCTTAAGCCAGAAAGGGCCACTGCAGAGACACGACAAGTTTAAATCACAGGAAAATGCTTCGTACTTAGGATGAGGGTACTATATTTCCCCTATACAGAATTACTCCCATAATTTTTCAAGATAAATGAACCGATTTCCTTTCTCGTGGTTATTATAGACTCGATCTAAGTTTCGTGGAGTGGAATGCACGGGGGACTTCACTGCTCTGAGTCTGAAGTGCCCACCTTCTCCTCATCCCCGCCCCCAACGCCCAAAAGATGCCCCCATGGGTCATATGGCAAGTGTGCAGACAGCAGTGACATGCAGGTGACTGAGATTCTAAACCACCCAGGAATAACCCTAGTAAGCAGTGGGCAGGACCCACAGTGCAGGGAGGGCACAGGGCTTCTGGGGGAGCCACAATGCAACCAGCTTGCCTTCCCATGTCAGTCCGCAGACCAAGGCAATGCAAGAGGACTGGCAGGAACCTTGGCAAGCTCCCTCTAAAGTTTACCGGAAAAAACATTGGAGAATATCTAAGATCATTCTGAAAGAGAAAATAACACAAAGGTCACGACGTATCAGACACACTCTGAGGCTCTGCTAGCTCACACACTGTGGCACTGGCCCAGATAGAAAACAAGCTTACGCCTTCCCTCTGCACTGAGATTTTCTTCTGTTTTTTGGAGGAGAAGCAGGGATCCAAATCCTCTACAACCAAGGCTCAGACATTATGCCTGAGAAATCTATTTTCTGGGCGAAGAAACCATCTTCTCAGCTACTTTTTCTAAAATGCAGATGATCCTTACAAGGTAACGACATTAAATCACCAGCATCTTCTCATAAGATCTTTGCAAACTGGTAAAAACTGAAAAGGCTGGGTCCTCACACTGGGAAAGGGGACAGAGGGAAGATGAAGCATCCTCCTCCCACCTGTCCCCACTCAGCACTCGGCAGATGCTTTAAACTCCCCAGCTGAATGCCTGGCCCTGGGCTAACGCTGGAGCCCCAGAAAGCCCTGGGTCCTGTCCTGGTGGATTTCACAGACAGCCTGATATGAGGAAGCCCCTGCAACTGCCCTGGCCACAGGGTCTGGGGTCAGCCTGCCTGGGTGTGAACCCTGGAGCACTCTCCACCACTGCCGGTGCCAACACGGGCAGGTCACTAATCCTGGCTGCCCCTGTTCCTCGTCTGAGTATCTGGGGCCACAACCAGCTTGTGGGTTTGCTGCCAGGATCACAGGGGGATAATCTGTGTAAACAACAAGTGTGTACTCATGACATGGTGAGCAACAGCACACACTGGCTTTGCACGTGCCACCGCCACACCCAGGGCAGCACAGGGACGATGGTGGCGGTGATGGTGAAGGTGCAGGCCCCGTGAAGGCAGGGAGGGAAGAGCGTGTCTGCGATGCAGGGGCAGCAGCACGGGTCCAGCTCAATTCCCAGGGGGCCTGAGGCTCCGCTGAACTGAAAAGACATCCTCAGAGGGGGAGCAGCACAGGGATTGCTTGGAAGGGCGTGAGAAGATGTGCTCAGAGGGTGGGGACATCACCGTAGGCAGGGCAGGCCCATCGGGCACTGAGGGACCAGGCAGAGACCCCCCAGTAGGAGGACTGGGCAGGGCAGTGAGCGCCCACCGGGTCTCACACAGCAGGAAGGAGGTGGGCCCATGCCATGGACTGTGTGCTCCCGCTCTCATGCTGAAATCCTAGGAGGGAGCCCGGGGAGGTGAGGAGGCCACCGGGCGGAGCCTCGGGGGGGGGATTAGCACCCTCATAAAAGGGACCCCAGAGCTCCCTCGCCCCTCCCACCGTGTGAGGACACAGTGAGAGGGCGCCATCTGGAACCAGGAAGCCTCAGCAAACACCAGACCGGCCAGTTCCTGATCCTGGACTTCCAGCCTGCAGAACCGTGAGCAACAAATGTCTGCAAGGGTTTTGTTTTATTTTATTTTTTTAAACAGAGACGAGGTCTCACTCTGTTGCCCAGGCCAGTCTCGAACTCCTGGGCTCAAGATTTCCACCCACCCCAGCTTCCCAAAGTGCTGGGATTACAGGCGTAAGCCACCACGCCCGGCCAACATCTGCTACTTTAAGCAGCCCAGTCTGCGGTGTTCCTGTTAGGGCAGCTGAATAGACAGATGCGCAGCCACAGGGTCTCTGTTCCCTCAGACAACAGCCTAGAAGAGGCACTCAACAAATGCTTGCTGAATTAGACAACTTCCCTCCAATGCAAGAGGCATTTAAAGCAAAGGTTGCTCCATGTGACACCTGCTGTGGCCAGCACGATTCCTTCCACTCTGTGGAGAAGCCTCGGGGGGCACCTCGGGGCACGCACTGAGGATGAGGCTGGACGCAGGGAAACCTGAGCTGGTGAACGGGCAGCGAGCCTGGAACCAGCCCCGGGGCTGCTGAGGAAGATCAGGCCCCTGTTCTCACCCAGAATCACTTCCCAGAACAGCCTGGATCTTCCCAGCACACGAACTCACTTAGCTTTGTGAGACTCCAGGGAGGCTCCCCGCTTCCTCTCTCCACCCTGAGGACCAGGCAGTGAAGCACCTGCCTGTGGCCACACAGCAAGAGAGGTGACAGGTGTGGCTGAGGGAAGGGACCAGTTGTGTGGGATGGAAGGGCGGGCGCAGGAGCCCCAGGCGGGGGGCCCAGGAGAGGCCGCCTCCAGGGCTGGAGAGGAGGAGAGTGAGCTAAGGACACAGTCTCAGACTTTGAGCCATTCCCCAGACCTGCCCCAGACACATCCCTGGCCCCAAAGAGCCTCTCCAAGCTCAGGACACCTGCACACCAGCGCGCGCGGGGACATACATGCTGGTGCAGCGTGAACTGAACAGGTTTCCAGGGACCAGGAGGCTGCCAGCAGCCATACAGAACCCCGGTGCCACCAGCCATACAGAACCCCGGTGCCAGCAGCAAGCCCCTCCAGCATGCCAAGCACGAAGCACTCCAGTCAGAAGTAGCACTTCGTCGTGGAGCAGGATGGGTCCGGAAGGTGAAATGAGGTACTGTCAGTTACCACACCAGGAGGCTCTCATGATCATTCATCTGCAGGCACTGGCCATGCTGCTGGATGTGACCAGACAGATTCCGGGCTGGGCACAGCCATGAGGACCAGCACTGACGAGGGGCTCACAGCTGCCTGGTCCATCTTCAGTAGCAGCACCAGTGAAGATAGAGGCACCAGCCACGCCTCCCGTGTGTGCCGGGCCCTGCCGGTCTACACACAGCTCCTGGGCATGCAGGGTCCCCCGGGTCTACACACGGCTGCTGGGCGGGCAGGGTCCCCCCGGGTCTACACACGGCTCCTGGGCGGGCAGGGTCCCCCCGGGTCTACACACGGCTCCTGGGCGGGCAGGGTCCCCCCGGGTCTACACACGGCTGCTGGGCGGGCAGGGTCCCCCCGGGTCTACACACGGCTGCTGGGCGGGCAGGGTCCCCCGGGTCTACACATGCCTCACTGGGAGTCTCTTCAGGGAAGCTCCGCCGGTGTCCTCAGCCTCCCATGAGAAGCCAGAGGCTCTGAGAGCCACACGGACCACAGGCTCCTGCACAGGAGACCCCAGAGAGCCTAGAGCTTCTTCATGGGCCCACGGGACCTGCCCTGCTCACGGTCGCCAGATTTCAGAATCTGTCTGTAAAGCACCTGCCGCTAGGCCCGACTCAGAGTGGGCCTCGACACCCTTCCCATTTCAGAGATGGACAAAGAAGGGTGGGGGACGGGAAGCAGCCTGTCCGGGCCTCAGTGCTGCTGTAGCCACGGCCCTTGGTGAGGCAGACTTGGCACAGGGTGCCCCTGGGAGCAAGGAGCAGGCACAGAGGGGCCACAAAGGGAAATCAGCAATCAAGGAAGATGCTGCTTAATCAGAGCTGAGAGCGGCGTAATTCCCTCTGAATCGGAAAATAAAGCTTCACTCCTCACTCCCCAAAGTCTATAAAATATTAGAGGATATTTTAGAGCTGAGAGCGGCGTAATTCCCTCTGAATCGGAAAATAAAGCTTCACTCCTCACTCCCCAAAGTCTATAAAATATTAGAGGATATTTTAGAGCTGTAATCAAAAGACTCCCATCTCCAGCCACTGCGGGCCTAGCTAATTAGGGGGGTTCGCTAATGATACGACGATGGCCCAGGAAATCTCTCCTTGCGATATTAATTGCATTTAAAGAAAAAAACATGAATTGTACTTATGCTTACTAATTAGTACGGGTTTGCTAATTAATAATAAGAAAGTCAGAGTGCCTTTGTCTTGTCATTGGCAATTAACTAAAGATTTAAATTTTTCTTTTTTCTCTCTTTTCTCATTTCCTAAATAACAAAATGACTTTGGGTTGGAAAATAGCAGGTAAAGGAGCTGCAGGCTGGGAGACGGGACGGGCACTAGGGCCATGTCCCAGACCACTGTGGACAGAAGGCGTGAGTGACACAGTCAGCCCTGCCTAGAATGTGGCTTCTCCACACAAGCCCTGAGGGTGCAGACCACCTAGGCCCCAGCCTTTCCAGGGACAAGGGAGCCCCTTCCCCAGACAGCACCCACTGCCGAGCCAGTCACAGGGAACTGGGTGGGAGGGGCCTCAGAGCCAGACCTGGGTGACTCCAGCCATCCCAGCTCAGGGCGAGCTCCCGCTCAGGTTCCTCCACCATAAAATGAAAAGGGAGTCAGGCTGTCCCGCAGCCCAGAGACCCCCTTCAGACAGGAACATGCACCTGTAACCCCCGGGAAGAAGCCATGACACTGAGGGCTCTGGGTCACACAGAGAAGGGGCAACCTGGAGCCCAGGGCTGCACAGCCCAGTGCGGTGGCGGGGGGCAGGGGAGGGAGGCCACTGGCCTTCAGGCATGCCTGGCAGGGGCCAGCCCCAACCACGGTGTCTGTAGCCCCCTTGCCTGGCACTGCTCTCCCCAGGACCTCCTCTGAAGGGCTTTGCATGGCAAGAGGGGCACACAGCCAGCGAGACCCCTCCTCTCGTCCCTCGGGAGCCCTGCGGCTCCAAACAAAGGACGGGGCCAGGAACAGGAGCTCAACCCAGGGAGGGGTAAAATCATGATTCTGCTTGGGGGCAATCCTCCCACCAAATTCGAAGTCAAATGCTGCAGCTTGGGGCCCAGGCATTAGCGCTTAAACGGTGCTGCGTACGATGAATAAGGAACAGAAATTATATGGGCTAAAAAAGAGAAAAAACACAGGTTGAAAAGCAGCCAAACCTCCAGCCCAGCGCTGCACCAAGCGCACCTCACAGCCCCCTGACCAGAACCAGATATCTGGAGAAGCCAGCACTCCAGGGGCGGCCACACCCACCCCACCTGAGGGCCCAAGACCAGTTTCTGTCTCTCTCCCCACAAAAGAGGACTGGAGTGAGCAGCTCCTCCAAAACCACCTGCAGCCAGACAAGGGCCGATGCCCGGGTCAAGATGCCAGCTCCGAGGCGTCCGTGCCTCTGTTGGACATGGGGAGTCCATGCTCCAGGGCAGCTGCAGGTGCCGGGCAGGTGGCTCAGCCATAATGCCGAGGGCTTGGCCTGTGCTCAGACAACTCCATTTCTAACCCTCCTGGCCTCCTGCACATGCAGAAGCATGGCCCCCAGGCACGTTTCAATTCAGGCCAACAGTGAGGCAGCCAGCGTGTTGACACACAGAACACCAGGGTCTCCACAGGGCATCTTCAGATGGGAGCATCCCTCCACCCACCCCAGGCTGTTCCAGAGGCAACAGGAAAAGGGTCCTCACTGAAGGGTCCAGAAAGCTCAGTCACTGAGAAGGAAGCACCGACAGCCCTCAGGGCTGGGAACTAGGAAGGCTCTGGGTGTGTCCCCCACCAACCCCCTGCCAACCCCCCGCCAAGCCCCCACACAGGCAGAAGAGGACCCTGGCATCCTTCCTGAACACCTGCACTCAGGGGAACCAGACCCCACAGTCCACAGACCCCCTAACCCCACTCACTGCTGGACACCAGACCCCACAGTCCACAGAGTCCCCTAACCCCACTCACTGCTGGACACCAGACCCCACAGTCCACAGACCCCACAGTCCACAGAGTCCCCTAACCCCACTCACTGCTGGACACCAGACCCCACAGTCCACAGACCCCACAGTCCACAGAGCCCCCTAACCCCACACACTGCTGGACACCAGACCCCACACTCCACAGAGTCCCCACTAACCCGCTCACTGAAGCAGGAGCATCTTTCAGGCCTGCCCTGAGCCATCTCAGATGAGGGCAGAGGAATGGAAACCGAGTCTCAGACCTGCCATTAAACAATACAGTTACAATGGGTTCCCCTGCAAACTACATCAGCAATGAAAGGTCACAGCAGAACACAGAGAGGAAAATAAACAAAACAACAACCCCACCCCCCAGTATTTCTACAGCCTAAAGAAAAACATGGTTGATACTCCAATTTCTCCAATTTTAAAACCCAGACCTGAGAAAGGCCTGTCCTGGAGCCCCCAACAGCCTGATTTTCCCTCCGCTGAGCAAAGCGTCACATCTCCGCCTCCCTCCCTCCACTGCGCTCCCCTGGCAAACCCGCCCTGGTAAACCCCATTCCCCATGACTGTGTCTGCTGGGAAGCACCTGAGCGTGGCAGACAGAAGCCTGACGCCCAACCTGGCTCCAAGTTTACACCACAAACCTCAGCGGGACTGCGGGGACCCTCACAGGCCAGTGCGCCTCATGCCCACTTCAGGAGGAGACAGGAAGCTCCAGCAACCTGCTGGCCCCAGCCCCTTTCGATGCCCCTCCACTGCCCCAGCCCTACATCATGCCCGTCACTACAGTAAGGCTCCCTTCAGCATAAACCGCTCTCCCACTGCCCATCGGTAAAGCGAATCTTCCCTCCCGGCTCCAGGCCCAGCCCCTGACCAGGCCCTTCTGGGCCTCTCCTCTCATCAATGAAACGCCGGCCGCAGGGCCCAGGGCAATCCTCTGCTCCCCTTCCGGGTCTTCTCTGCAGTCTGACTGTCCCCTGAAAACACTTCCTTCTCCAGGGCTCTGTGACTGCACCTGCCCTCCACGGAGTACCCCAACTCATGGCTGCTCCCCAAGACTAGATGCCAGGATGCTGGAATGCCCCAAAGAGGCTTGAGCCTCCAGTTCTGACTTCTCTGCTACCTACTCATTCCCAACAACAGAAACACCATGCAGAGCAGATGGGCACCTCTGACCCCAGGGCACCGACTCAAAGCCTCCAGCCCTGTGCATCCAACGTGTGGCAGGCGTGAGACTCCCACACTTCACCCTCAATCTCCCCACCCCATACCATGAGCCCACCCGGGGCGGAATGCCGAAGCCGTCCTTGATTCCCAGCCCTCACGCTCTCTACCTCACCTGCATCTCCCTTCAACGCAGCGGACTCGGACCACGCCTCCGCACGCCATTGCAGTCCTAGCCCAGGGCACCTGCGTCTCCCACCCCGGCCTGCCACTTCCCACCCATTGCGGCCCTGCACAGAGCAGCCAGGCATCCTTTACGAATGGACACCAGGTTGTGTCACCACCTCCTCCACCCATGAAACCACAGCCCTGCCGTGACCACACAGGGCCCACAAGGTTGGACTACCAACCACCGCGGACCCCGCTTCTGTCACCCCTAACCTCACTGTTGGGTCCGGGACCTGCCTGCCCCACCATTTCCACCACCAACAGTCGGGTCCCCCAGGCTTGGCTCAGGACGCTCTGCAGAGCGGCCCCGGGAGAATGCGGCTCCTCCATTCGCCACCACCGGAAGTTCTGTCTTTCACTCTCCTATGGGCCACTGACTACTCACTTGGCAACAGTGTGCCTCCAGGAGGGCAGGAGCCTGTGTTGCTGGCTGCCGCGTCCCCAGCACCAAGAAGAATGTCCTTAAGCAGCTGCTGAGTGAACAGCGACCATTCCAGAGGCTCAGGACAGCTGTTGCCAGCCCACCTGGCCTTGGTCCTGCAGATGCCAGCTCTGCCCAGACCCGCGCGGTGCCCTGCTGTTGCCTCTCTGCGCCGCTGGGCAGCTTCTTCCAGGGTCTGCAGACAGCCCTCGCCCATTCCCAGCCTAGGCCCTGGTGCCCGTACCTCTCAAGACGGTGATTTCCAACCCCATCCAACCCTGTCCCATGAGAAGGGCCTGTAACCATGGCCGCACCCACAACCGCCACAGGCTGTGCTGCCAGCCCCAGAGCCTGTCAAGCAATGAACCCTCAGCACACCCCTGCCGGGTGGAGAGGAAGGCCCTGAGGCCCTGAGAGCCAGGACACCGGCTCACAGTCACGAGCTGGCAAGCAAGGATGCCCGACGGGAGCCTCGACCTGGGCTGCAGGCCCTGGGGTCCGTACAACGCCGACAGCAGCTCTGCCTGTGACCCAGGCCAGCCTGACGCATGGCCCAGGGCAGAACATGCAGACACACGCACGCACGCATGCCCCAGGGCCGTCCTTGTCCTTCACAGACATGGCCAAGGCCAGGGCAGCATGGAGGGAACCTACACTTTGTTTAGGCCAAAACGCTTCAAAAGCAAAGCCCATTTGTTCCCTAAAACAGTGGGAAGCTTTTGACACTGGAGGTCCAGAAACCAGGAGAGCCTGCCTGGTCCCCCACGGGCCCACACTGCGGGCCCCCCACCCAGGCTCGGAGGCAGCCAGGAGAGTGGGGCCCATGTGGGCTGAGGAGAAAACAGCTTAAAAGCACGCCTGCTGCATTCACAGAGGGCAGATAAGCACTCACTAGAGACGTCCCTCTCCTGGTCAGGACCCATGCTGAGTGGCGCCCAAGCCCCGGCTGAGGCACTGTCCCACTGGGGACTCGGGTCCTGTGTGGTCGGGACAGGGGTCCATGAAGCCACAGCACTGATGTCCAGTTCGCTGCTGGACAGACCCCTCGTAGGCTCTCACACCTGCTTTGCCCCGACACCGTGGCCTCATGCGGCAAACATGTCACTGGCCCCCTGCCACAAACACGGTGGTGGGGCCCGAGGGGCTGTGCTCCCCGCCGGCGCATGCCACCTGTCACTAGTAGAGATGGGACTCAGGCTCCTCACACACCCTTCCCCGCTCAACGCAGCTTCCGACGACAGAAGAGGCAGCCATGCACTGGCGCCTGCAGCCTAAAGGCTTATGGGGACAGGCGTCCCTGCCCAGACCCAGGGTCCAGGTGCCCTGAATCCCAGCCACTCCCGCGTCTGACTCACCATGTCTGCTCTTTGTTTCTGGCCTCCCAGCTCCTCCAGGGCCTGCGACAGCTGAGCCTGCAAGACAAGACAGGATTCGGCCTGAGACTGTGGTGGGCCAGGCCCCATTTCTAGGACTGCAGGGAACACAACCCCCACCACCCCGCAGCCTCCACTCTCTGGGGAGCAACGGGACCCAGGAGCTGGGAAGTGGGCAGCCAGAGGGTGGGCAGGGGCCAGTGTGGCTGCCCCGCGAGGCCGAGAGCCCAGTGATGGAGACAACTGATGGAGACGAAGACCGAGTGGGCTGCGGGAGGCTTCACAGAACCAAGGTCCATTCCTAAAACCTGCCTCAGGAAACTGACTGTGAATGGGGTGGACAGGGGTGGGCCCAAGAGGGACTGTGGAACTGGGGAGAGACGGAGGGAAAGGTTCAGCATGGGACTTTCAGTCAGAGGAAATCAATTCACTCTCCCTGGCAGGCTCGTGCTTAAAGAACAGAATCAGGTGACCTTCCAGGCAGAGGCCCCACCTCAGAGCATCTCCTCCACCACGGCCACCCCCAAGCAGGACCCCGACCCAGGCAGGAAGGGTCTCCTGCCCCGACACACTCCCCAAAGGGCACCAGGCTTGACCCCACACTAAGGGTAGAAAAGCCAGCAATGAAAAGCCAGCCGCCTCCTCCTAACAGGCCTCATGGAGCAGCAAGGCTGGGTCTGGTTGTGGGGCCAGGATGTCAGCAGTCCAGCTCCCTGCTGGGGACAGTGACCCTGCACCCATGACCTGCACGGTGCATGGGGCTCAGGACCTCGGAGACCCCCGCCCTGGGCCTCTGCCCCTGCGGTTCCTACCTTCCCCCACATCCTCTCCCTCTGCCCCTTCCTGACTCCTTCCCACGACCCCGCTTGGCTCCCCACTGCCCCCACCACCTAAACACATTGCGGCTCTGTCCTAGAACCTGGGAGGAAGGGCGAGGCAGGGGGCCTTGTGAGACCCCCCCAGGCCACAGCACACAGGAAAGTCCGGGAAGGAGATGGAGGGCCAGCCCAGGAGTGAGGCAGGTGGCTGTGGTGGGGTGTGGGATCTGCGGGGTGGAGGCCCAGCAGGCCTGAGGGTGAGGGAGAAATCGAGAGGCAGGCAGATGCCTGGCCCAGCGGCAACTGGAAACCACCAGGCAAGTCACCAGGAGAAACGGGAGAGAGGCGGGGAGGCGTGTGTATGTGCGTGTACACAAGTGTGGGTATGTATATGCACACCTGTGTGTGGCATGTGCACATGTGGTGGGGATGGGGGAAGTATGTTTGGAGACACAGAAAACAAGGCACTACAGCCCCTGGGGACACAGCCTGGGGAAAGTGGCTGAGGCAACAGCCCACAGTCCTCAACCTGTCCGCTCTGCAGACCATGGGCCCCCAAGCTCCCCTACAGGCCCAGCCAGAGCCAGGCTCTGGACTTCCCACGGGCTATCCTGGTGCCTGCTGGTTCTGGACGCCACAGCAGAGTCAAACCCAGGCTCCAGGTGCTCCCGTGGAGGCTGCAGGTGTGAGCACCTGAGCCTCCCAAGCCTCTGGTGTGGGGCCTCACTCAGTGGGGCCACCGGAGGGACCCCCATTGCCCAACACCCCTGTGCAACGCCTGTGGATGAGGGGAAGGCCTTGAGCTCTGCCCATGACCAGCCCCGCCTGCTGCCCTCACACTGCCCTGGGGGAGGCCCTGGAGCCAGCCTAGCCACTGTCATCAGGAGGCAGGTGGCCGTGGCCACGCTGGGCTGTGTGGACCCCACACTGGAAAGCTTGGTGCCTCGAGGCCTAGGAGCAGCACACTGCCCTCCTCACAGCCAGCTGAACCCTGGATAATCCGGCCACTGCTGGGGTCACCAGCAGCTGGGACTGGGAACGGCAGATGGAAGAGGGACATCCCCCAAACTGGGCCTAGACACAACGCACTTCACCGAGCTGCAGCCCTGGGCACTCCCGGGGGCACAGGGAGCCGGGTCGGGGCATCCAGGGCACCCCATGCCCCTGGGCAGAGCCTCAGCACATGGGAGGCAGCTGCAGTCCACACTCAGGCTCTCCTCACGCAGCCCTACACCCCGCCCAGGTCTACCAGCACCCACAGGCCACCAGGCCAGAGAGCAGCCCAAACAGGGGGGACGACAACAAGGCTCTGAGGTGGCCTGGGCAGTGAGACGCACCCATGAGAGCTGCCCGCACCCCTGGCAAAGCTCTGAGCTGGCCTGGGCAGCGAGATGCACCCGTTAGAGCCACCCACACCCCTGGCAGCCCGTCCATGTCCGCCACACCCGGCACACTGTCCTGGGCACACAGGCGGCTGGCACGATGGGCACCGGCCTCAGGTGACAGCTACAGGTGAGGCACATCGTCATCCCCATTTACATCAGTTCACATGGCAACCTTGCAAGGTCAAAGGCACTTTACAGGAGCAGCTTAGAAGAGGCAGGGTCGTCCGGAAGCAGCAGGGCTGAGAGCTGTGCGCGAGGCCCGGACCAACCACGCTCTCCTGTGCCTCCCGACACAGAATCACTGCAGGGTGGAGCCGTGACCACGGTGGCCAGCCCAGGGTCCTGCCGAGGCCAGGCAGGCCACAGCAGCCTCAGCCTTCACAGCCTCCGGCGCCACGCGGGCAGGCTGCAGGCATTTTCCGAAGGCTTCATCAGGTTTCTGTGAGGACAGCACTGAGTGATGTGTGTCTGAAGACAAGTTCATTCACAAGCGGCTCATCAGCCTGAGGCCGAGGCGTCCACCTCCGTACCAGCCCCATTCAGCCTAGCACTTCCATCGATGGCTGGAAAAAACAGAACGCATGCATCTGAAATCCTCACATGACCCAGGGCCTGGAAACACAGACACCAGTGAGATTTCTGATACATCCTCAAAGCCACAGTCGCTGGCGAAAGGTGACTCGGAGCCAAGGAGCCCTGAACTCAGACTCGCGCACTGGTCTCGGGTACCTGGGCAGGGCCTGCTTGGAGCAGCTCCCGTGAGAGTGCAGCCCCGGGATGCGGCCAGGAGGACGACCGCACGTCAGCAGGAGCAGCTATGGCTCGGCTCACACGCAGGGCCCTGGGTTCAAGAAGGCAGACATCGACGAGCTGAGTGCTCCCCAGGAGGCGACCAGGACAGCAGAGGGCATCACAGGAGCCATCCAGCCATGAAGACAGACGGCTTACAGACAGTGAGAGCCACCTTTCACTGAAGACTGAACACACAGGTGTCACTCAGACTGCAAAGAGACATCCACGGGGTCCTGTGTGACCCAGGAAGTTCTGTGTCTTCGCCTGCATTAGGGGGGTTACACACACACTCGCTCTGTCGTCCGACAGGCTGAAAACTTACAATCTGTGCACTTTGGTGTATTGTGTTATATTTCCATTAAAACATATACTCTAGCACCCTGGGGGACGAATTAGGGAGGAAAAGAAGGACGGTTCTGTTACCATAAAGAGAAATGGTTTCATCCAGGCACCGTGCTCATGCCTGTGACACCAGCATTTAGGGAGGCCAAGGCAGGACAACTGCTTGAGGTTAGGAGTTCGAGACCAGCCTGGACAACATACAGAGATCCTGTTTCTATAAAAAATTTAAAAATCAGCTGGGTGTGGTAGCACACAACTGTGGTCCCAGCTACTCAGGGAGCTGAGGCAGGAGGATCTCTTGAGACCAAGAGGTTGAGGCTGCAGTGAGCCATGACTGGGCCACTGCACTTCAGCCTGGGCAACAGAGTGAGACCCTGTGTCAAAAAAACAAAAACGAAGATGTAAAACAAAACAAAAAAAGTTCGTTTGTAACCGGCTGCATCTTCCCAAATGGATGGCCAAATGGGACACTGCACAACCCTGAGTCAGAGGTGACTCCAGGCGGAGGGTTCTCAGCAGAGCAGCCACCAGACAGAAGCTCAGCACGCAGAGGGGCCGGAATTCCAGGAGTGTGAAATGGAGAGCACGCTCCATGGGCATGGAGATGGGGGAGCGGCAGGGAGGCAGGAGGGAGCTCAGGTCTGGCTTATAGACATTCTACAGCACAAGGTTTGTGGGTGCAGGACACCTCAGCCACCTCTCACTCATAACCTGAAAAGACACGTGTGGGTGCTCCTAAGAACAGAGCCATGGAACACCGAGAGAACACAGACGAGCAGGCCCTGTGGCCATTCAAGGACACACACTGCTGTCTGCAGCTCCAACAGGGTAAGTGGTCAGACATGAAGTTTCCAAGTAACAAAAAAGAATGTTTTACATGGGAGCGGGTGTGGACAGGGCAGGAGGGAGTTGGGAGAACGAAGGTGGCTGTGGCCTGGGGTGTCAGCCACAATGCGTGCCTGTCCTGGGCCTCCCCAGGTTCTGTGGAGGGAGGGTGTGAGAAGCTCACAGCAGAGTCCCAGCACCGAGGAGCATTTGGCAAACGTCCACTCCTCCCTCACCTTATTGTTCCAAGAACACAGCTAAAGTAAGAAAAACAAAGAAAACACCGAAACCCGCACGGCCCAGCACAGGAGAGACGGGACATCACTAAACCCGCACGGCCCAGCACAGAAGAGAGAGGACATCATTAAACCCGCACAGCCCAACACAGGAGAGACGGGACATCACTAAACCCACACAGCCCAACACAGGAGAGACAGGACATCACTAAACCCGCACGGCCCAGCACAGGAGAGGCGAGGCAGGACATTGGGGTCCCGAGAGACCCAAGACGACGCTCTCTGTGTGCGCAGAGGAGGCTCCCAGATGGGGCACCAGGAAGCTTTGGGGGACAGGCTCTCATGGGCTCCAAAATGCGCTAGAACTTCTCCTTCTGGACAAGCTGTAGGAACCAGCACAGACACACCCCCCACCTCAGTCCCCAGACACCAGATACAACACAAGGAACAGTGGGATTCCTGCGAGGGAGGGCAGGCAGCTCAGAGCTCAGAGCCGCGGGAGGGGATGGGGTGAGTCCCCCAGGACGCAGGCCGGGGCAGTGCCACAGACAGAGCCCAGCAGGCCTGCTGGGTGAGGAGAGAGGAATGGGAACTCCAGGAGGCACAGATGGGCAGCTGGGCCTGGCAGGCCAGCACCAGACAGAGGGAAGGGACCTGAACAGACGCCACCAGAGAAGAGGCGCCGAGGTGGAGAAGCACGGGAAACGCTGGGCACGTCAGTCACTGGAGACACACAGATTGAAGCCAGGGCTAAATGTGCTGCTGCCCCGCTGGATCCAGATACCAAAGCCGACAGTGCCACAGCGGAGCGTTCTCCCAGCTCTGGTGCCGACAGCCTGTGCAGTAACGCGTCACTGGACCCCGCGTGTTGCCACGGTATGGCCGCTGGGAAGAGCCTGGCAATGTCTTAAGAAGTTAGGGCCCGGCCCGGTGGCTCACGCCTGGAATCCCAGCACTTTGGGAGGCCGAGGCGGGTGGATCACCTGAAGTCAGGAGTTTGAGACCAGCCTGGCCAACATGGTGAAATTACTAAAAATACAAAAATTAGCTGGGTGTGGTGGTGCATGCCTGTAGTCCCAGCTACTCAGGATACCAAGGCAGGAGAATCACTTGAACCCGGCAAGCGGAGGCTGCAGTGAGCCAAGATCACGCCACTACATTCCAGCCCGGGCGACTGAGCGAGACTCTGTCCCCACACTGTCCCCGCCAAAAAAAGTTAAACCCCACAATCCTACTCCTGGATGTAGAGCCCAAAGGAATGAAAACCTGCATTCACAGGAAGTCTGGCACGCAGATATTCACAGCAGCTCTGTCCCAGCTGGCAAGAATGGGAAACCACCCTGGTATTGGTCAGTGGGTGAACAGACGAGACCATTTTGGTAGAGTCTCAGGATAGAGAATTATTTTGTAATAAAAGTAAATGAACTGCTGATACAACGTTGATGGGTCTCAAAAGCTCTGTGCTCAGTCAGAGATGACAGACACAGCAACTGCAGGACTCTGTTTACGTGAAGTTCCAAGAAAGCCCAAAACAACAGTCACAGGCCCCAGACCGGTGTCTCTACGAGCCAGGGGTGGCAGGAAACTGACGGTCAACATGGATCAAATCATACAGATAAAGCTGGGGGATTTTACTGAGTATAAATCATATTTCAATAAGGCTGCCTTTAAAACATGGAATCCCCAGAGCTCGGGGAGAACCACACTCACAAGGGCGAGGAGCTGGCACAGCCCGTGTGTGCACTGGAGAGCAGCTCCCGCAGGGCCTCAGACAGCGCAACTCCAGGCTGGTCTCGGTAGGGTTCCTCCAGGAAACCGCATCTGTGATGGAGGCAGTGGGTGGGCGGCAGAGCACCCCCTGTGGAAACACCCTGGACAGTGCACTTTAGCACTGACTGTGGGGCTGCCCAGTCACCTTCGGGGGACACAGACACCTCTCACTCTCTGGGTGACCGGGTGGAGCCCCCAGGCCCTGGCCACAGCGTCCTCACCTCTGAGACAAGAGCTCCCCAAGCTCAGGTTGGCTCCGCAAGGCAGTGTAGGGTGCAGCCTGTTCTGATGCGGAGATGGTGGGATGGAGAGAGAGCTTCCCAAGGCCCGGGGTGGGGGCTGGGCTGACGGCTGGGAACACCAGATGCCAAGCCTGCTCGCAGGCAGGCCAGGCACTTCCCCAGCCTCAGCCCCTCCTCCACAGCCCACCCCGGGCTGGGTGCAGACACACAGGAAGCTCAGGTGGGAAGGAACACGGCTCCATCCCAAACAGCCTCAGACGCAGACACGCAGGAAGCTCAGGGGGGGAAGGAACACGGCTCCATCCCAAACAGCCTCAGACGCAGACACGCAGGAAGCTCAGGTGGGAAGGAACACGGCTCCATCCCAAACGACCTGACGCAGTGCTCGGGTTCCCCAGGAGAGGCCAAGCCCACTCGGAGCCAGGCTTCAGGGGCACACACCAGGGAGCACTGAGGGGTGCGGAGGCTGTGGGGAGAGGGTTTCATCACATGGCGGGAAAACCAGTACGAGCAGGCCCCCAGCGCAGCCACGCCCCGGCCCCGCAACCCTGGCACCGAGTGACCAGGGAGCTGCCTCCACCCAAGCAGCTGAAGGGTCACACACAGCTCTTTCCGGGTGGGACCACGTGTCCCGGGTGGCTACGTGTGCTGAGACACGAGCCCCGGGCCCTGGCGCCCTTGGCACCACCGAGGTGCTGCACAGAGGCCTCAGCCGGGCTATTTTTATCCTGAGGTGAGAAGTTGCTGCCTGTGATCCAACACTCCTGCCAGCCAGGACATGGCAGAAAATGGCTAGGACAGGCAGCCACAGACCCCAGCAGCCACAGGACAGCCGGACTGAGGAGGACCAGAGGGCACCAGGCACAGACCCCACACACGGTACAAAGGCTGGAGCTAGGGGAAGGCAGCCCCACCGGTGGTCATGGTCACGGTCACGTGGAAAAGGATGGGACGGAAGCTCAGGCCTCCACCTTCCTGGCCAGGTCTCCAAGTGGCTTGTGACACAACGTGAAGAAGCAGGAGGCGGCACACCACAGGGTCCCCACAGGGCTAACCAGGCCACAGCCCCAGCACCTGCCCCTGGGTGAGGCTGTACACAGAAGCTCTCCCTGTGGGTGGAGGTCTGAGGATGACTGTGAGCCCAGCGCTGGCCACAGAGCACACAACAGGCAGTCAGTGCACGGTCAGGGGCTCCACTGCAGCCCCTGATGCAAGGAAGGCTAGGGGGTGGACGCCCAGGCCCTGGGGGATGCTCTGAGGGTGGCAGCAGGTCCTCCCATGGTGGAGAGGACAGAGCCTGCCCTGGGCTTATTCCTCACGCCCAGCAACGTCAGCTCCTGTGCTGGGCAGCGGTGCTCTAAGTGTGTGCTGCCGGGGGTGGCACCGGCGTGTCACGGGGAGCCCGGCTCAGCGCAGTTCTGTACTGCACAGACGCCCCGTTCTGGGAATGGAGCCAGCACCTCGCGATTCCCACTGAGGACCTGTGGCCACACAGCAGAGGCTCCCACAGCCCAGACTCCAGGGTGGTTTCCATAAACCCCTTGGCCCACTTTTCTTCACTGCATGATTTTTAACAGGTTTTTTTTTTTTTTTTTTTTTTTGGCTTTATCTCTGCTTCGTACAGTACAGTCATCTCAAGTTCTTTCAATGAGGGAAACATCACCAACACACTCACAAGTATTGGGCCTGGTGAACAACCCGAGGCCCTGAAGATCAGGCTCTCCCCAGCCCTCCTGGAGCCAAACCACCCACGGCAGCCAAGTGACAGCACCCGCAGAGCTGCCCGAGCCTCTGGGAGGTCACGGGGAGGAAGGGAAGACGGAAACACCGTGACGGCCACTTCTGCCTAAATCGTTAGGAACTATTTCAGAGTCCCTGCAACCTGAAACGGGGATTCTCCACACACCTCCACACGGCCAGCAGCGCAGTAATCGCTTTTAATTAAATAAATCGGAAACACAAATCAGGCCAATGTGTTGAATCAAGGTGGCGTGCACTGCGTATTTATAGCTCTATCCACAGAGGACTCCTGACACATGCTACGGGCTCCCGCAGCCGCTTTATTAAATGGAATAAATAACACCGTGCAAGACGGCAAAACTTCACCAGACGGGTCTGGGGTTCTCCCAACTCAACACTGTTTTCCTGCAACGTCTCTGCTAGAATGAAAACATGGTCCAGATGAGAACAGACTGGTGTCTGGTTTAGCTAACGGGTGGGTGGAAGGGAACCACTCTCAGAGCGATGCTGCATCCTCCCGCTGGCGACTACCCCGAGCCCACCTGGCGGTCAGGTAGCAGATCCTCACCTGCCCCGAGAGGCGCCTTCCCCAGGGGCATGCGCAGGGCCGGGCAAGCTTCCAGGGAAGGCTTGCGAGGCCCGAGGTCAGAAGACATAGGAGTGTGAGTGGGGGACAGAGGGGTGAACAGAGGCCAAGGGAGAGGGAAAGATGGAGACAGGAACTATCAGACATGCGTGCAGAGGACAGAAAGAAAATCAAGAAGGGAAAAGGAGACGGGAAACAGAAAGAAAAGAAAAACCGGGTGGAGGTAGCAGGGAGAGAGGGAGGCAGGGGGTTCGGGGGGAGCACCTGGGCTCTGTGGGGTCAGGAGCCCTCCCCGGCTGGGGCGATGGCGGCCCCCCACCCCCCGACCGTGAGGAGAAGAGGAGACGGGCCCTTCACAGAAACCAACAGCCAGAGACACGCGGCATGTGCAGGGTCTCCAGAGCAGCCCCTTGGCCCTCCACGGGGGCATCCCTGGCTTGGGCTGGCGTCCCTGCCCCAGGGGCTCCCTGTGCACAGAGGGTGCAGCCACCCTTGCCACACTTCATGTGCAGCCGCGCCCCAACCTTCCCTGGAGCATAGCACTCCTGCTGGGCCCCCGCCTTCACCTTGCAAACATGCTTAGTTCCCAGAGTTGGGGCCACGTTCTCCCGAACTTGCGCCACATCCATGAGGAGGTGGGGAGCCCCCAGCAGATGCTCCCCTGAGGCAGGAACCCAGCCCAGGAGCTGGCGGCACCCCCAGCCTCCCACCCGACTGTCACTTCAGGGAAAGGCAGGGCACAGGCTCCGCAGGTGACCTGGTCCCGCTGAGGCAGAAAGGCAGGGACACCTCTCCCAGGCTCCTGGGAGGAAAGAGCTGACGCGGAGGTGCCCCCTCTGATGAGGCAAGGCATCAGGTCACGCTGTCATGCAGGATGTGGTGGTGGCTGCTCCACAGACCCCAGAGGGCAGTGGCACCTGCACAGGCTCAGGGAACAGCCAGGGGCCTGGAAGACCTCTCTGGAATCTGTGCCAGCAGCCGATACCGTGGCTGTCTCCATCAACACAGACAGGCCAGTGCAGCGGGGTCCTGGGGGGAGACTGCAGGTGCTGGCCTGCTTCTGGAGGGTACCCAGGGGGATGGGCAGAGGAGGCTGTGAGGGCTCAGGGAGGACCAGCCGTGTGAACTCCCACAGTGAGGACTAGTCAGTGCTGGTGGAGTCTGACCCTGCTCTAGCCCTGCTGGGCCCAACTCTTCTATGTGCCTAATTCTCCTGAAACCCCAGGAGACAGACAGGAAGGGGAGTAACCTGCCCCCACACCCCACCATGGGAAGGGAGGGGCAAGGTCCGCAACATACATCCCACTAGCAGGGTGAGGGCTGAGGCTCCAAGCTGCCCGGCAAGGGGGCAAGCACGGTGCCCAAACAGTGCCAGCATCTGGTCAATGAGTCCTGAGGTCCCTGACAGCCCTGATCGCCTTAACACACAAAACACCAGAACCCAGGACTCTGGATGTGCCCACGGCCAGGCCCGTGACGAGCCAATCACAGTGCAGAGGGCAAGCACAGGCTGGAGAAATCGCTCAACGTGGAAAACGCCAGGGACGGCAGAAGGGGTCAGAGACCCTCCCCGCAAATCTCTCTTCATTAATGCTTCACAGGGAGCCAAGGGTGTTGCAATGAGATGGCTATTAACGCACTTAGGTTTACGACAGCTCCCAGGTACAGCCGGAGCTAGCCTTTCCCGTGACGACTGAAGGTCAGTGTGCAGCCCTCCGCAGCAGGCCCTGCACGCACGGGATGGCTAGACACAGAAAGGAAAGCCAGGAGCGGGAGGAAGGAGGATGGACAGAGGGGGCAGGGCATCAGAAGAACACACCAGGGGGCAGTACCAGTGCCTGAGGGTGGTCTCACACCCAGGGTTCACTCTTGTCAAGCGTGGTGGTGGTTGAGGGCTCACCCATAGGTGGGGACACGGCATAGTTCCAGGGCCCTTCGGCGTGGCCTCCATGTGAGCAAGGGGTAGCGAGTGCATGTGGGCCCTGGGCCTGGGGCCTCCTGGGCTGGGACCTGTCATTCTCGCCAAGTGCCATCCCCAGTGCCTGAGCCTCTGTGCCCACGCCCCCTCTAAACCACTGAACCATCTGCCAAGCAGCTTTCTAGATGTAGTTTGGCGACCTCCTTCTCCCATCTTCCCTGAACAGCTGCTGGGACGCCCATGCAGCGCAGCTCCCTGAGACCCTCCATTACAATCCTTTCTCCAGAAATTCAGCTCCTCCTAACATCCCACATGAATTATGTTTGTTCATTAAATGTCTCCCCTACCCAGCAGCTCGGCTCCAGGGGCCAGAGGCTCTGTCAGACTTTCCCTGGCACACGGCCCAGCCTGCTGTGTGTGCTCAGCAGCCCGGCTGGAAGGTGGCTGTGGTCACGCCTGTGAGGCTGGCTCTCCATCGGGGGACCCAGGTCATCTTCCAGCTGGTCACTGGCTGAATGAGGAAAGGACACAGCAGCCTACAACAGGGCAACAGGCCACACCGATGCCATCATCTGCATCTCCATCTCACCGCAGTCTCCACCATCAAGGCCCAGCCCAGACACAGTGACCCTTGAGACCAAAGAGCTCACAGAGCTCGGCTGTTCAGCTGTGCTCGCAGACACCACAGGCCCAGGCCCTCTGAGATGTGGCCTGGCGGTGTCACACACCAGCTCGGTGACCTGGGCATGTCCCTTGACGCCCCCAGGCCTGGGTTTCCTCGTGAGCGAAATTCGGATCACAACGGCACCCACTCCATAGGATACGGTGACAATGAGACTGAGCAGTCAGGTAAAGGGCCAGGCAGAGCAGAATGGTAAGGCACCCGGCGGCGGCGTGTGCCAGCGAGGCCAGAAGACCCTGGCAGGTATCCCACCACGCCCAGGCGGGGCTGCACTGTGCCCACGGAGAAGTGGTGCAAATCCTGAGAGGAGAACACGGGCCTTTCAAGCTCCAGGCTGGGAACGGTGTGCTAGGAGCCCCCGGCCCCAGTGTAGATGAGAAGTGTGGATGGGGAGTGTGGACGTGGCCTCCGCCCAGGCCCTGCGATACCCAGCTCCTTCTTCCCACTGCACAGGTGAGAGCTGCTCAGAGCTAGACAAGGGCACGGAGCGTCACGGTGGCCCATGGGGCAGGGAAAAGGCAGAAGCCAAGGCTGAGGCCACCTCTCCTGGGAGAACCCTGGAGCCAGGAGAGGGATGCAGCCTGGAGGCTGCAACAAGGAGGAACACCTCTCCCAGTTCCACAGGGAGCTGGGCGCCCTGGGCCTCACACCCTGCCCGTCAGGCCCCAGCAGAGCCTCCCCAGCAGCGGGGACTAGAGCCCTGGCAACAACTCTGAGCACCCGGAGACCAGGTCTCCTTGGCAGATGCCCCTCACAGGGGAAGGACCTTGAGTGCCCCTTTGGCAGGCATCATGAGGCGGTCCTAACCAGTCAAAGGGGCACTGTCCCTCTGTCATCCGCTTGCAGGCTGGGACCACCTGAGACACCCTGACAGCGGAGGATGCTGCAGGTGCCATCGTGAGAATTAACGTGGATCCACATGCAGAGGAAGCAGCCCGTGGACACCCTCCCTGACAGACACCTGCCAGCCGGGAACTGGGGAGGCGGGGTCCAGACCTCCACCTCCCCGCCGCAGGCTCTGCCAAGGCCCACCGGGAAGAAGCCCCACCTGGCGACGTGAGCCCCACGCCCGCGGCCCCTCACCTCCATCTCGGCGCTGTGGCTGTGCACCTTCTGCACCATATCCTCAGCCTCCCGCATGCGCCGCGTCAGCTGGGGTGAGTACTCGGCCGGGGTCAGCTCGCTGTCGTAGGACCCCAGGATGGCCCGCATACCGTCCCGCTCCTGTGGACACAGAGGGCAGCTGATCAGGACCCGGGACGGGGGATGAGGTAATGATGGAGACGGCTCAGGGAAGGCCCCACGAGAGCTGGGTCACGCGGGGGCTCCCTCGTGAGGACCCAGGCCAGCACTCAGAGCCCACCCCTGAGGGCCCACCAAAGTGAAGAGGGCCCCAGAGTTCAGCATCCCCAGACCCAGTAAATGCCAGCAGCCCTGGCTTTGCCTCGGCACCCGCTCTGACCACGTCAGGCCTTCACTACAGCGGGTGTGGGCTCCACCTCGTACCGGCAGTATGGCTATGGGGTCGGCTGGGAGCAGACGCCTCTGCCCCTGTGGACACAGCACACACAAGGCGAGGGCGCACAGTGGGCAGAAGCCCAGGTTCCCCACCCCAGCCTGTTCTATTGGGTCTGCGTGACTCCTCTGAGTCCCAGTCACACTGGGCCCAGGGAAACGACAGTGGGCAGGCCCAGAGCTGGGTGAGTCCCCCTCTTCCTGGGACCTCTGCCCGGACCTGTCGAGGGAGGGGACAGTGTGCACCAGGAAGCTGCTGCGTTCCAATGGGACAGGAAACCCATCGCTCGTCCAACCGCCCAGGGCTCTCGGGAAGGCTGAGTCCCCGCTTTTCAGCTCTGGGCTGGGGAGCTCCTTGTCTTCCCACAGAGCTCCCAGGATGTCGGAGGCCACACGCAGATCCCTACAGAGCAGCCAGGCCCAGCAGGGCTCAGCTTCCTGGGATGACACTGACCACAGTGTCAGGGCTGATTCCTAGAGCCGGGCAGAAACCCCTGCTCAGTTGTGTCCTGCCAGCCAGTCAGGGGCCCCGGGAGCTGTGTGCTGCCTCCAGACCCTGCGGGTGCCCATGGGTCGGGAACTGAGCTGCCAAGATGGCCCCCAAAAAGGACGTGCTGCTGCGGGGAAGTGTGGTCTTCCCTCTGGCCTCCCATTGCCTGCACTCCCTGCCCCAGGTGTGGGCCTGAACCACAGCCCCCGGACCCTTCTGGTCTCAGACGCTGAGTCTGGATGGAGCAGATTCCAGGCGCAGGCTGGCGACCTTCTCCTGCCTGTCCGCCCTGCGTGAGCCCACAGGAACCACATGATCAGGGAGCCAGCCCTCCAGACACCCACCCAGGTGTGCGGGAGGGCAGCTTCCAGATCTTCACGGGCATCTGGATGCCCTGGACGTAGATTCAGGGTGGGCCTGGGAATCTGCCCTTCTAACATGTGCCCCAGGGACATCTAACTGATGCTCTCAGCAGCCTCTGCTGAGGGGCTCTGCCCCATTCTTGAGAGATGGAGGATGAGGATGCTGGGGTAGTAGAGCCCAGGAAGAAGCGGATGGGTATCTATAAGATGCAGGTTCAAGCCCCAGCTCTGTCCTGAGGCCAGCTATTCAACCTCCCTCCCCAAGTCTCAGTTCCTTTGTTGATAAGATGGGAAATGGGGTGGCCATGAAGACTGATGCTGTCAGGAATGAACTGTCCAGCCAGCTGCCCTGGAAACAACAGGTGCTCAAGAAGCGAGAGCCAGGACCTCACAAACCCGGGAAGCGGTCTCCACTGGCCCACACCCCTTCCCAACACACATGCTGCGCAAGGGGCCAATGCTCCGGCACAGCCCTGCACCACCTCATTGAGTTGTGGCCAGCGTGCTCCCCACCAGGTGAGGGCAGGAGAGCTGTGGGGACCGCCCCCACCAGTACTGGCTGAAAGGGCAAATTCATGGCCCTGATAGAGACCAGCTCACTCAGGCAGCCTGGGGAGCAAGACCCCCACCCAGAAGCGGAGTGCACAAAACTGCCAGGGTCCCTTCCGTGCGGCCTCCTGAGTCTGCACGTACACAAGCTGAGCCCCCGCCCAGGCCCCGCCTGGCTCCTAGGAGAGACCGACCCAGTGCTCCCCAGCACTGATGACTGCCTGGCCCCTGCCAGGCCCTCGGTCTATCCCCCACAGGCGAGGAGGGCGAGGCTGCAGGGGCTCAGGAAACCCCGGCCTGCTCTCTCAGAAGACCCTGGAGCTCAGGCCGCCACGTCTGGGGCTCTCCTGCCGTCTGTCTCTTGAGCCAGGGACACAGGTGCCACCCTGGTGTGGACTTCATAATTAGCTGATGACAAAAAATTCAAAATTCAATAAGTGAGAAATTAAAGTTACAAATCCAACTAGAACGGGTCACGTATCTGTGGAAAATTTGTTTGCACAGGAAGGTTTATCGTGTGTCATAATCTTATTGAAATCCTATATCTTCCCATTGACTTTTATCGTTTCAAGCCAGTTACCGGAGTTGTCAGTACCAACGCGCGGACGCCGCGCAAGGCCGGGGCGGGGGACTTCCCTTGGTAAACAAGCTGTAATTGTCTCTTTTATTGATCAGTAAATCTCTGAGAGCTTCTCTTCGTGACGGCTCTCTTCAGCCTAACTCCAGGCTAGCACTGGCTGGCACAGAAGAAAAGCATTAGAAAGTTTGTTGTTTGTACCCTTTCAAGAACCTGTTTTGTCACCGGTAGTGAAACAGCAGGCACGGTGTGGGTGTGACTTGCTATGACTTTTTAACAGCTGACTCCACCTGCGGGCAAGTCCACTTCATTTCCACCTCAGCAAATGCGGTGATTAACTGCTGAACAAACAGGCGGCTGGCAGTGCTGACGGGGGCGTCCCAGACTCGCTTTAAGAAGCACCCAGCAGAGTTACATTGTCCACTGGCTGCTCCTCCTTAGGTACAGAAACGTCCCGGTTCTAAGGAATAGAATGTGCTCATCATGCAACGAACGGCCATGTGAAGAGAAGGTGAGCAGTCGGCATCACCTGGAAGAAGTCAGCTGAGGACAGGGCCTCGGTGCCCTGGATACACCGGCCGATGGGGGCCGGGGGCAGCAGTAGAGGGCGGCTCTGCCCTGGCCTGCGATAGTCGGGCAGAGGGGCTGCTCACCCAGGGAGGCTGCAGGAAGGATCTGGGCGCCCTGGGAGGCAGCGGTGGGGAAGGGCACTCCAATCAGAGGGAACAGCGTTGAGTAGGCGCCCAGAGGACCCTTGCGAAAGAGCAAGAGAGATAATGACGCTCATTCCCTCATCAGCAGGTGCTCCGGCGCGCTAATTACCACAGAGCTTTTGAGTATAAGCCCCAAGCATGCCGATGATTCCCACGCAATGAGAGACAGATTCCCAAAGAGGCTGAGAACGCCATAGCAGGGGGCAGGACACCTGGGCAGCAGGGGCTGAGACAGTGGGCAGAATAGGGCCCAGTGCCCTTGGAAGAAGAAACCCAGGGCACAGCCCTTGGGCCTGGGCTTGGGAAGGGCAGGGGAGATCAGAGCAGCGAGACCAGGAAGCCGAGACAGAGACCAGGGCTGCGGGTGGTGAGAGCACCCACAGGAGCGGGAGACTGCAGGACGCCGGCCCTGTTGGAGGTGCTGCAGGCAGGGGAGATATGGACGGAGGCACCGCAGTGGGCAGAGACCGGCCCCGTGGCCCCCAAGCAGCGGTCACTTGAGGTGTGCATGCCCAGGCCAGCCCCCAAGTCAGACCCAACACACACACCCAACGAAGCCCACATCCTGCCTGGACCGTAACTAGATGTGTGACCTTGGGAAAAACAAAGAGCCTCTCTGAGTGTGAGGACACTCAACCACACAGGAGAGGGCAGAGAACGCCTCAGCCTCACTGCGAAGTTCAAATGCAGCATGGCACAGAAAACCAGGCACACGGAACCCGCATACACAGGCGATGAATGCACGGCAGCCACGGTGGTCACTTCTGTCCTCGCTGCTGTCTGCCTGGTTCTTCCACTATGACTACAGCTGCTCGTGAAAGATGGCCAGGAGAGCAGGCAGGTGGGGCAGGCGCGTCCCGCACGATGGGGACAGCCTCTGGCCATGGCCACGCCTGGTGAGGCAGGCGCCCAGCACTCCCTAAGTCCACACCATGGACACAGAGGGCTTCCCTCCTGGGAGTCAGTGGCAGCCTGAAGGGGCTGTGTGAGGCAGGCAGGCAGCTCCATATGCAGAGGCCCCTCCTTAGAGCCCCAGCACCAACCCCCACTTTCCAGAGAAGCCCAGAAGTAAGCTGAGTACCGCGTGCCCCCTCCAATGAAGCAGCAGCCCCTCACCCATCTTCCTCCCTCACCCAGCCTCCGCCACCCACTCCCGCCCGGCCTCTGCCACCAGTGCTGTGGAGCCTGCCTCCCTCCCTCCGCCCCCTCCAGCCCAAGGCCGAGGCCCACTCTGCAAGGGCTCCAAGGCTGTTCTGCACATGCGACATTCTCTGCAGGGCCTCTTCCCAAGCCCATCCCACCTCAGCTCAGCCACCTCCACCCAACTCTGAGTCACTCCACAACTTCTCCTTTTTTTAGAAAAGGAAATGTATGGTCATAAATAGCTGAAAAGCCCTGTTCTAATTACCTCTCCCGACGCATGGAGCCACCACAAGAAACTGAATAGATTCAGGCGGGAACGTGGGGCTGCAGACACGGCTCTGCCCACTGACGCCGGCACCATCTCCTCGCTGCCACCCGCCTCCCCAGAGTCCTCTGCCCACTCTTTCCCCAGACCCCCAGTCACCAGCCTGGACAGGTCTGCTGTGACCCCAGCAGCAAGATCGCCCCAGACAGGAGAAGGCCCTGCTGGGACAGAGGCTGGGAGAGGCAGGAGGCCTCTCTCTGGAACCCTCATCCCAGCTGGTCGTTTCCCAAATGAGCAGGACTCTGGCATCCGTGGGGCCCATCGAGAACATGATGACAGGCGAAAGCGGCAGTAATAAGCGCCTCGGAGGACCCACGCGGGTCAGACAGTCCTGCGCTCCAATCTGACACAGACCAGCTGTGCACCCTTGGGCAAGGGACCTAACGTCTCTGAACCCACCCTCCTTGTGCAAAACGGGGGCACGAATGCCCCAAAGAGTGCTTAAAAGGTGCACCAGGATTAATAAGTACATGGAGACAGCACCCGTCAATGGAAAGGGCAGCAAGGAGGGCCACTTACGGCCACAGGGGTTGGGGGTGGGGGTCGGGCTGCCCGGCCCAGCCCCAGCCACCCCCCACACAAGGCCACGCCTCGCCACCCTCCACCCACGCAAGGCCACGCCTCACCACCCCCAACGCAAGGCCACGCCTCGCCACGCCACAGTGCTGAGTGCACATGAGGCGGCGTCCCTGTGCTCGGCCCACGCCTGCTCCTGGGCCGGATGCCCTGGCCCCCACAACCAACTACAGAACGCTTCGCCTCCTGTCTGTCCCTCGCTTCTCTTTCCTGGGCCTGCTGCCCCTAAACGAGGTTTTTTTTTTTGACAACTGACTGTTTTCAAGTATGATTCACTCAGGCAGATTTTAATTGGTGACATCAGCACAGCATGCTAATGCTACATATGACTTAAGCACACGTTACCTCATTTGATCTTCAGAACCGCCAGGCAGGCACAGGGCTGAGGGAAGAGGACTCAGCAGCTGCGAGCTGTTGTGGCTGCCCTGTCGCTCAGACCACGGAGGGGCAGAGCCCCGGCTGGTGCTGCAAACAGAGGAGCCGCCCAGGCTGCGGCCCTACAGTCCCGGGGTCAGCGCCCAGCCCGGGGAGGCAGTGCCATGGACAGCCTCACTGGTGAGACCACTGGAAGTGGCTCTCCATGATCGGGGGGGGCACTAACCCCCGCTCTGGGCTGCCGGAAGGAGGAACTCACGAGGCCCGAGATTGCTATCCACAGCCCCAGCGTGACCCCAGCATTCCCATCAAGGCGTGCACCCGGCCCCGGCACCATGCGGCCCCCACCCTTGCCTTCCTGCGGCTCTGACCCTGCAGTTCCCAGCAGCCTTCAGAGGACGGAACGCCATGGGCACACGGCAGCTGTGAGACCGAGCCGCAGGGGGACGCCCGGCCCTGACATCATGGGAACAAGCTAGAGCAGAACACCATGAGGACCCCGCCTCTGTGAGAGCAAAGCCAGCTCCCTGGGTCCTCTCTCACCTGCCCGGGCTGCCCTGGTACCCGGAGTCTAGGGGCCTCCTGGGAGGGAGGCTGACCCGGTGGCTGTGGGCAGAGACGAAGGAAAACATCGGACGGACTTCAGGCACTAGTTAAAAACACACACAAGACAGGAGAAACTTCATCTGAGACGACAGCGGCCTAAGCAAAAAGAATACTTTTTTTTTTTTTTAAGACAAGGTCTTGCTCTGTCGTCTAGGCTACGGTGCAGTGGCACAATCTCAAGAATGAATAACTTAGAAGAAAATGTATTAATTTAATGGTTAGAGTAGAAAGGCTAAAACTGAAAGTAGCAAGCTAACTAACCAACATAAAAAATGAAAAAAAACAAAACAACATATGCAGAAAGTATAGGAATAAAAATAAAGATGAGAGCATAAATGAGCAAATGTAAAAACAGGTCCACAGAAACTTCCCGTACTAAAATGCACTGAGGAAAAAGCAATGAAAACAAAAGAAGAGGCGACCTAAGAACAGTGGGATGACCGTGAAGGTGGAACCTACTCATGACAGGAAAACCAGAAGGAGAAGGAGGCGAGGAGCGAACACAGTAAGTATCTGCCGTGATAATGGCCGAGATTTGTCAAATCTAAACCCCAGATCCAGGAAGCTCAGAGAACATCAAGCAGGAAAAATACCAAAAACTCCACACTTAGCCATATCATATTCAACTGTGGAAAATAAGACAGCCTGAGAAGGGAGAGCCCTTCATTATCAACCAAGAGAGTGAGAAATGCATCAGACCTCCTGACCGAAGCCACTCAGGCAGCAGAGAGGGGAGGGAGGTATCCAAGTACTGAAACAAAACAGCACCAGCCTGGAATTCTGCATCCAGCAAGATGATCTTCTGTAAGAAAAGCAGAAAGAAAAACTCTCAGCGGGGCACACTGGCTCACACTTGTAATCTCAGCACTTTGGGGAGCCAAGGCAGGCAGATGGTCTGGTGTCAGAGGAGTTTGAGACCATCCTGGACAATGCGGCGAAACCTCGTCTCTACTGAAAGTAGAAAAGTTAGCTGGGCATGGTAATAGGCGCCTGTAATCCCAGCTACTCGGGAGGCTGAGGCAGGAGAATCGCTTGAACCCAGGAAGTGGAGGCTATAGTGAGCCAAGATCGCACCACTGCACTCCAGCCTGGGCAACAGAGTGAGACTCTGTCTCAAACAAACAAACAAACAAAAAACACTCTCTTAGACAAACGAAAACTGGGGGAGATTGGTCATTGGCAGCCCTGGCCCCTGTAAGCAGTGTGAGGTGGATTCTCCAGAGAATCCCATGAGAGGTCAGAAACTCAGATCTATGTGGAAAGACAGAGCAGAGAAGTAACAAATAAGGAAAAATAAAATCTACTTTATTCATCTGTTTTTTTCGAGACAGAGTCTCACTCTGTTGCCCAGGCTGGAGTGCAGTGGTGTGATCATAGCTCACTGCAACCTCTACCTCTGGGGCTCAAGTGATCCTCCCACCTCAGCCTCCCAAGTCGCTGGGACTGCAGCTGTGAGCCGCTGAGCCTAGCTTACTTTCCTTAGTCTCGTTCATCTAATGGACGATTGTTTGAAGTATAGGAGCAGCAATGTGTGGGGTGACGATGGTGCAGGGATGGGTGAAATGAAGCAGCAGGTGGCACGGGAGGCAAGGGGAATGGGCGTGTTCTGCGGGAGGCGCCCACCCTGCCTGTGACCTGGTCAAAGGCCATCTGACCATGGGCTTAGATTCATGCTAAATGTATGCTGCAAACTCTAGGATAATTCTGTGCTTGGCTCATGCCTGTAATCCCAGCACTTTGGGAGGCTGAGGCAGGTGGATCACCCGAGGTCAGGAGTTCAAGACCAGCCTGGCCAACATGGCGAAACCCTGTCTCTACTAAAAATACAAAAATTAGCCGGGCATGGTGGCAAGATCACGCCACTGTACCCCAGCCTGGGCGACAAGAGCAAAACTCTGTCTCCAAAAGAAAAAAAAAATTCTGTGCTAACAGAATTAAAAAATTAAATCATATAACATGCTCAGTTAAAACCAAACAAAGCAGATAAAGAAAAGAAGATTTAAAAAAAACAAAGAACAAGTGTCCCAATAGAAAAGAGTAACAAACATGGCAGGTATTAACAGTATCAACGATCATTTCGAATGTGAATGATCTAAACACACCAATTAAAAGACGGTCAGGATGGATTAAAAAAACAAGACCCAATTATATGCTGTTTATAAGGAACCCACTTAAAATATAAACACACTTTGAAAGGAAAGGAAGAAAGCTAGACCACACTAAGCCCAAATAAAAGAACGGTGGAGCAGCTTGATCAATCTCAGGCAGAACAAGGAAACGATCAGGAATGAAAAATGGCACTCCATTCCGATAAAAAGGTCATTTCTCCAAGAAGACATGACCGCCCTTAACATGCATCTACTTAACAACAGTGTCTCAAAATATGCGAGGAAAACCTGAAAGAACTACAAGGAGAAATGGCTCAATTCACTGTTACAGTTGGAGGCTTCAACACCCTCTTATCAGAAACGGACAGATCCCGCAGGCAGAAAATCAGTGAGGACACAGCAGAATTCAATAGCCCCATCAATCAACTGGGTCTAAATGACAATGACAGAACACTGCATCAACAGCAGAATATATATTCCTCTCAAACTCATATGGAAAATTTACCTAGACAGACCACATTTGGGCCATAAAACACACCTAAAGAAATTAAAAAGAATATAAAGTATATAAAGTAAGCTCTCAGACCACACTAAAATTAAACTGGAAATCAGTAACAGAAAGATAACTGAAAAATCCCAAGATATTTGGAGACTAAACAATCCACTTGTAAATAACGCATGGGTCAAAGAAGTCTCAAGAGAAGTTTAAGAATAGTTTGAACAAGAAAATGAAAATACAACCTATCAAAATTGTAGGATGAAACAAAAGCCATGCTTAGAGGAAAATTTATAGCATTGAATGTAAATGTTAGAAAAAAAGAAGGATCTAAAATCAATCAACTAAGCTTCCCATTAGGAAACTAAAAAAAGAAGAACAATGTAAGCCTAAAGCAAGAAATAATAAAAATTGGCCAGGTACAGTGGCTCACGCCTGTTATCCCAGCACTTTGGGAGGCCAAGGTGGGTGGATCACCTGAGGTTGGGAGTTCAAGACCAGCCTGGCCAACATGGTGAAACCCCATCTCTACTAAAAATACAAAAATTAGCCAGGCGTGGTGGCAGGTACCTGTAATCCCAGCTACTTGGAAGACCGAGGCAGGAGAATCGCTTGAACCTGGGAGGCGGAAGTTGCAGTGAGCCGAGATCACGCCACTGCACTTCAGCCTGGGAGACAGAGCAAGACTCCATCTCAAAAAAATAAATAAATAAAAATAAAATAAAACAAAATAAATAATAAAAATTACAATAAAAAACAGTGAAGCTGAAAACAGGAACTCCATAGAGAAAAACCAACAAAACCAAAAGCTGGTTCCTTAAAATTCATAAATCTGTAGCCAGGTTAACCAACATTAAAAAAAAAAAATAAAAAAAAGGAAGACACAAATTACTAACATCAGAAGTGAAAGAGGAGCCATCACTACTAATCCTATAGGCATCTAAAGGGTAATAAAGAAACATTATGAGCAACTCTACGCCCAGAAATTTGATAACTTAGATGAAATGGACCAATTCCTTGAAAGACACGAACCACCAAAACTCACATGAGGAGGAAGAGATCACATGAATCGGTCTTTCTAGTGGCCTGCCCACCCCCAGCTCCCTTTCTCTTTCCTGACTGAGACACACAGAGGGCCTTCACCACCATGTGAGCCAGGCAGCTGCATACTTCCCCTGTGGGCTTGAGCATTCCATTACTGCCTGAAACAGAAAGATCAGCATGTTGCTGTCACATAGAAATTGGCGGTGAGCCAATTTCCTTCAACTCCCATAGAAACTCCACAATGAGACCCCTCCCTGTAGACATACTCAGGTCTTGCTGTGGTCACAAGGAAGCTGCTGCCCCCTCTGTAGGCAAGTTCCCCTAATAAACGCTTCAAATGATCACTCAGGGTTTAGTGCTTCTCTCTTTGGAATCCCAGCCAGCCCCATCTCAGGCGGGTTTGTGGCTATCCCTTGTGGGCACTTCCTACAGTCACTTTGGCGACGACCCCAGCCCTGGGTTCAGCCAGAAAAAAAACAGGCTGTATCTATGAAAGAAATTAAGTTGATCACTAATAACCTCCCAAAAAGGAAAGCACCAGACCTAGATGGCTTCACTGATGAATTCTACCAACTACTTCAGTGAGAAATGATACCAATTCTCCAAAATCTCTTCCAGAGAATAGAAGCAAACTATTCTGTATGACACTGTAATGAGGGAAACATGATATTATGAACTTATCAAAATCCATAGAAAGACACCACACAAAGAGTAAACTTTAATGTAAACTATGGGCTTTGGTTAAAAATAATGTGTCAGTACTGGTTCATGAACTGTAACAAATATACCACAGTAATGTAAGACTTTAGTAACAGACAAAACTGTGCTGTGGAAAGAATCATATGAGAGCTCTATGCTGTCTTCTTAGTTTTTCTGTAAACCTTAAACTCTCCCGAAAACAAACTTTATTAATTAAAAAATTATAGATCTAGAGGAACATTTCAACAACACTTCTCCTGCCAAAAAGAGAACAATCAAAAGAGCTAGGGAAGAGGAGAGGAAGACAGATTAACTTAAAAGAAGCAACAGTGAGACTGACAGCTTGTTTCCGAGCAGAACCAATGGGAGTCAAAAGACAGTGGAATGATAGGTTCAAAGGGTTGTAGGCTGGTGGATAGGACAGGCATTGATAACCTATGATTTTATACCCAGCAAAACTGTTCTTCAAAAATAAAAGTGAATTAAATATGTTCCGGACCCCAAGAAAATTAGATAATTCCTCAGCATTAAATCTGTATCAAAGGAAACAAGGGGTATTTTGCAGACAGAAGAAAAACGATTGCAGATGGATGCTCAGAGATACAGGTTGCAACACAGGGGAATAAAAAGGGTTAGAAATGTGTACATATAAATGAATATACAAAAACAGTATCTTTTCAAACACGTAAGTGTATGAATAAAGTACTTTATAGCAATAGCCTACGAATGGAGCAAAATGTAAACAGAAGAAAGGATTTTAAGACCCTTGGATTGTCTAGAAGGAAAAGAAGTATTAATTTTATTAGACTTTGTTAAGTATATAATAATAGTCTATCTTATAATCACCAACATAGCCACTAAAATTACATAAAAGCACACATAACAAGATAACGATCATAAAAAAATTTATTCTACGATTAAGATGTTTTCATAAAAAACGAATAAAAACTAAAGGCAACTATTAAGATGGTTAATTTCAATGCAAATGTATCATTAATTACATCAGTTACAATTAGATTAAATATTTCGACTAAGAAATGATTTTTACGCTGAATATAAATACTTATATATTTATAGTATACTACATTTATAATGAAACAATTTAACAATGCTCAAAATGAAAAGTGAAAAAGTAAAAGGTGCCAATGCTATTAAACACTGGAAGCTGACATACCCGTATTAATATCCCAGAAAGGAGATTTAAAAATCAAAACAATCCGCAGAGATAAAGAATGTCTCATAATAACAAAAGGCAAAATTCACCAGGAAGATAATTCACAATTTATATGTGCCTAATAAAACAGCATCCAAAGACATACTGCAATAATTGACAAAATTAAAAGAAGAAATAGACAAAACTCACAATCATAATGGGAAATTTCAACACAACTCTTGCAGGAGCTGAGAAAAAACATCATTAAAGAAATGTGAAGAATAAGATTAACAAATGATATGTAGCTATTTACAAAACACTGCACTCAACAATTGCAGAATACATACTATTTTCAAGTGTGTATGGGCCATTTACAAAACTGACTTCCGATGGGGCCATAGAGCATTTCTTGGTAAGTTTTATGGGACTGGGGTCATTCAGAGGATAGTCTCTGAGCACAGGGAGATAATGCTAGAAATCAATAAGAAGATACCTGAAAATCACCAGATGTTGGGAATTTGAGAAATTTGTTTCTGAATAGCCCATTGGTCAAAATAAAAATCACAATGGAAATTGATAAATGACTTGAGCCCAATGATAAGGAAAATACAACACATCAAAACGTACGGTATGCAACTAAATTGACAACCTTAAATGCATATACTGTAACACAAGAAAGGATAAATATCAATTATCTACATATACAACTCAAAAGTTAGAATAACATCAAATTAGACTCAAAGAAAGTAACAAATTAATGAAATAAAATACATATGGGAAAAAATCAATAAAGCCAAAAGATGGTTCCTCCAAATGACTAATAAAATTGATAAACTCTTGATGAGACAGATTACAAAGAATAAGCAAATAACAATATTGAAAAAGACATAACTAGAGATCACAAAAATATTAAAAACATGACAATAAACAACTTTACACAAATGAATTTTAAAGTTTTGATAAAATGAAGTTTTAAAAGTTAAAAACTAACTTTTACCACAACTGAATAAAGAAAAAAAAAGAAAATCTGATGTTTCAAAGCTATTAAAATAAATCAAGCCCAAATTTAAAATCTTGTAAACAAGAAACCCCTAGGCCCAGATGCTTTCACTGGTACACTCCACCAAGCGGTTAAAGAAGAAATATCACCAACCTTATAAAACGATTACAGAAAACAACAGAAGACAACTTGCTAATATTTTCTAAGGCCAGAAAAGCCATAACATCACAACCTGAAAACGACATTCTGAGAAATGAAAAGTAATGACCTTTCTCCCCAATAAATGCAGATGCAAAATCCCTAATTAACGTACTGGCAAACCAAATAAAGCATTACACACAGAGCATAACCCATAGGCCATGCTCATTTATTCCTGGAATGTAAGTTTGGTTTAACATTTGAAAATCAATTAATTTAATGCGCATTAACAAAATATAGAAGAAAATCAAATGATCATCTCAATATTTGCAGAAAAGGCATTTGATTAAAATTCAACATCTATTCACGATAAAAACTATGAAACAAAACAAAAGCAAAACCCTCTTGGCAAATGAGGAATAGGGAGAACTTTAATCTGAAAAGGATTTCCTTACTAAAGTCGTCAGCACGATCTTTAACAGTGAAATGTTGAAAGCTTTTCTTCTGATGATGCAAAACAAACACCAGCTATCAGCATGTCTGTCCAAAGCAGCACTGGCTATGCTAAGCCACAGATAAGAAGAGGCATGAAAGGTACGAAGATCAAGAAGACAATGAAAGCTATTATTAAATCACTCAATTATGAACATAGAAAAGTCAATATAATCTACAAATAAATTATTAAAATAAGTAGATTTAGCAATGCTGCAGGACCAAAGTTAATAATCAAAGTCCAATTAGATTTCTACATTATTATTCAAAGCACAAACATTATTATTCAAAACAACAAAACCCATGATATGTCCACCCAGAAAACATTATGAAACAATTTCGAGAGAAAATAAGTATGACCTAAGGCCGGGCGCGGTGACTCACGCCTGTAATCCCAGCACTTTGGGAGGCCGAGGCAGGCGGATTACGAGGTCAGGAGATCGAGACCATCCTGGCTAACACGGCGAAACCCCGTCTCCACTAAAAATACAAAAAATTAGCCGGGCGTGGTGGTGGGCGCCTGTAGTCCCAGCTACTCGGGAGGCTGAGGCAAGAGAATGGCGCGAACCCAGGAGGCAGAGCTTGCAGTGAGCCGAGATCATGCCATTGCACTCCAGCCTGGGCGACAGAGCAAGACTCCATCTCAAAAAAAAAAAAAAAAAAAAGTATGACCTAAACACATGTTAGCATATAGTACGTCCATGGATTAGAAGATTCAATATTGTGCAGATGTCATTTAATCAATGCATTCTCAATAAAAACTCTAGCAAGTCCACTGGTGAGACTGACAGGTTGAGCTGTAAAATCTACGTGAAGAGGCGGATGGCCAGGTAGAGCCAGGGCAGCCCTGATGCAGACAAGCAGAGAGGGCCACCCTATCAGGTAACGAGACTCTAACATTCTCAGGAATTGAAACTTGTGGTTTTGCCAAAAAGAGATGAACACACCAACGAAACAATACAGATTCCAGAAACAGCCAATACAGACAGAGCCACCTCACGTGAAGGTGTAACCAGCACTGTGGCACAGGCGGAAGGAGCAGCTTTGCAGTAAGGAGTGCTGAGTCCACTGGATACCCACGTTGACAAGAAAAATGAAAAAAAAAATAAGGCTTCACACAGTGCAACAAGGCTGCGCAGGGCAACAAGGCTGCGCAGTGCCACGGTCAGTGTGAAGAAGCAAAGCCACCAAGAAGACAGGAGTGAAACCCTGGAACAACCTGGAGGGTGGCGAAGCTTTCTTAAACAGGACACACACAAATCACAACCACAAAGGGAGGTAAAGATTGATAAATTAGATTTCATTCAAATTAAGAATTTCTGTTTAGAGTGTGAAAAGCTGCTACAGAATGAGAGGAGACATTTGAAATACAAATACCTAACAAAAGATGATATAATCTCCCATTCTGTAGTGTTAGTCACAGTAGCCAAGAAATAAAGAAATTCAAACGCCCATTCACAGAAAATTTTAAAAATTATGACGTGATATACCCATAAGATAGAAATGAAATAACACAGCAACAGAAACCAAACACGAAAGATTACACGCTGCATGGCTCCATTTCACAACATTTTTAAATGGGCAGAACTGGCGTGTGAGAATCGGGAAGGCAGGGCTTTGGGGGAGGTGGAGGAGCCGGCAGGTGAACTTGGGAGCCCTGGTGACACCGTGTTCCCGACCGTGGAGCTGAGACATGGATGGACTGATTTCATCATAGCCCTCTAAGATGTACTCTCAGGACAAAGCACTTTCTGTATGTCTGTTATGCTCTAATAAAAAGATTAAAAGGCAGTAATTTTTTTTTTTAAACGGAACTCCATAATTTGAAGAGCTTGGCTGTGGTTGTAAGTCCCATTTACAAACAGCTCAGGGCAAACACACTCAGATGGAACCGTGAGCCCAACTCGGACTCCAGAGGCCTGGAGGCCTAACTTTCTGGCAGTGGGAGAGCAAGGGCGGTGGGAGTTGGTGGCAGGCGCAGGGCACTCTGCATGACACACCCAGGGCAGCAGAAGAGGAGGAGCCCAGCAAGTTTCTAGGCAAGAGAGTGATTGATAGAGGGTAATTTGAGGTTGATGTGCGAGTTATGATTACAATGAAATGAGAGAGGGGAAAAGCTTCAGATGGAGCTGAAGAGAAGTAAAAATCCAAGGAACAGAAACAAGATCATCCCTAGCGCCCAGACACGAGTGCCAGGAGAAAGGTCTCTGGAAAGGGCAGATGCTGGCTGTCCCCTCCTACACAGTCCTGTGGACACCGGGCTCACCACATTCAGGGAGCAGATGGAAATCGAGTCTTTGGCCCAAGCTGCTCCCCGTGTAATCCTAGCCTCATTTCTGCAGGGCACCCCTGGCTGGCAGAGAGTGCCCCAGAAACGCGGAACCCAGAGCTGTGTACAGGTGCATGTCCGCTACGCCCCGCCCCGCGCTCCACGGAAGGTCCACACACAGCCTGAGGAGGTTCCCCCAGCCCACAGTGACGCCCGGGGTGGAGGTCACAAAGTTTTCAGAGTCATCCAAACTCATTACCTTGCTAACTGGGTAAAAAGTCCAGTTCAATGGATGGTGACTGAATTAGAGGGCGATTGTAACAGAATGCAATTCTACTATTAATAATTTCCGTATAGCAGCTCGAACAAAGCACTGACAAAGTGTCACCAAATGCATTTCTTGCTTCACTTCTTTCATGAACAGATAAGGCTAATTCACTTGCTTACGCTAATTAGAGCCTGTTACACGCGGGCCCCTGAACAGCCTTGATGTGCAGAGGCCCCTGGGTAAGCCAGGGCGCCAGTGACAGGTGGCCGGACCCCGCAGGAGTGGAACCTGCCCATCTGCGCTTGACGAAAATGCCTCCAAAACAAACCAGACGCCGCCCCGGCAGAGGAAACTGAGAATGAGGAGAAACGGTCTCTTTTCCCGATGAAAGGGTTCTCTGTAATGGGCACCAATGACCAGGTTTTGAAGGGCAATACTGTGGGTCAGCGAGGGTTTCCGGGGCCCCGTGGGAGGCGCCCTGCTGTCAGACGCGTTTCTGTCCTCCTCAGCCCCCAACCTGCGCCTGGTGCTCTCGGCCAACCTTGCTCAGAGCTTGATGATACCATGTCTCTCCCTTGTTCCCATTCCATCCTCTCTGTTCTTCCTCATTTTTGCCTCAAGTTCCACAAGTCTCATTACAAGGTTATCTTATCTGACCAATAAACCCGGTTTACTGTTGACAAAGCTCTATTTCTGCTGGGCGACTGGATTCGGAGGAGCCCCCAGGAGAAAAAACGGTCCCCAGCCTTCAGCAGCATCCTCCCTCCAGCAGCCAGCTGTGCATTCTCCATGAACTGCACCTACGCGAGCTCTCCTGAAGGCAGCAGGAGGCTGAACACCAGGCCGCTCAGAGAGGAAGCACGGGGTCCTCTCCCACTACTCACCCCTCTGCCTGCAGCTGCACCAGGCACACAGAGCACGCTCCCTTCCCTGCCCCACAGCTGTCTTGGGGTTACCCTCAGCCAGCTCCTCCTCTGGCTTCCTGCCGTCACACCCTCCCCACTGGCCTCCACCACCCACGTGTAGCTGTGGGGGAGGGGGAAAAGGGGCTGTTCTGGGCTCCCCACCAGCAAGCCTGGTTTTTACAATTTCAACCTCTGATAAAAAGCTCTACAACACCTATTGTAGGAAGGAGTGGAATCAATTATGATTTCCCGAGGCAATTTTACTTACATTTCACACTGCTCTATGACAAATTCCACTTCATTTGTGTTCGCTGTATAAATGCATTCCCCAGCATCCACCTGAACCAGCACCAGCCTTGTTACAGCAGCTGCTCACACCTGCGCTATGACGACGTGGGTGCCGTGCACATCTGGGAGGGCACTGGGACCATCCTGACAGGAAGCCATACCCAAGCCACAGTGGCTGCAGACGGCCCCTCACCAGGGAGGAGGACGTGACCCTCGCAAGGTCTCGCCAGCATGCCTGACCCACGCGGATATGGGGCCATGGGCCTGAGACAGGCCCTGTGCCGCATGGCTCTATTTTGAGTGCAGTTTATTTGACAGGACAGGGAGAAAGGAGAGCAGGGCAACGTGGGAAACAGACAGCACAGTGGAGTCACGGCTCTGGGGCCACTACTCAGCCTGAGCAGTCAGACGGGTTCCTTTCCTCTCTAGGCCTCCAGCGTTCCTATCAGCAAAACAGGGAATTAGATGGACTTGGTCTTCTACAGTTCAAAAATCTTACAGTGCTGCAAAGTCTAGGTGGCTTTCTCCACCGACGGGTAACAGGCAGGCAGCCAGTGCCCAGGGTGCCAGGCACACTCCGGGCCTTGTGCCAAGGAGTTTCCATGCATCAGCTCCCTGACCCCTCATTCATGCGGGACGCCCGGCCCCAGTCCCTGTCCAGTGCCTGGAACAGAACAGGTGCTCAGGAACTGTGTGTTCAATTAAAAAATGAACGAGTGAAACCATCAGCCAATCAGTCCTCGGAACCACCTCCTGAGGCAGGCTGGAGTCCTCCCTTTCAGATGAGGACAAGGCTCCAGGGGAAGGCGCGCGCCCCAGGTCTCCAGCCTCCGTGAAGCCGAGCCTGGGCTCTTGGCCATCATGCTAACGGGCAGGTGGGAAAGCGCTTGCCCAGCCCTGGGCTCTAATAGCTACCTAAAGCCCCCGGGCAGCAGTGACCCCACGAGTCCTGAAAAGATTTGGTGCACATCCATGGCCAGGGGCAGGCCATTACCCAAACAGCTCTGACATCAGGGTCCTTCCTCAACTGAAAGCTCATCTCAGCTGGGGAGAGCTGGCCTTGCCTTCGTCTCCTTCAGAGCTGTGCTGGGCTGAGTGGGGCCAGAAATCAGCATGAGGAGAATTCAAAACAAGATGACTCGCCCATGGGAAGTACCTCCCACCAGGCTCGAGGGACCCTGTGCTGCTTCTGGCATTTTGAATTCGCGCCCAGGGCTGTGGGCTCCCACCAGGGTCAGGCCAGCTCCTAGCAAGTGGTGAGGGGGGTGGCGCCGGCCTGCTCTCCCAGAACTCAGCCTGGAGAGGGAGGCAGACGTGAGCACTGTAAGAACAGGCGAGGACAGGCAGGGCACTCAGGGAGCCCCACACCAGGAAGGAAGACCCACTCTGCACACAGGGAGAGTGTGCATGGGGCAGGGGGGCAAGGCGCCCCCGCAGAAGGACGTGGAGAGGGCACCAGCTGAGAAGATGCCCCCAGCCCACTGGTATCACGTGTCTACTGCCTTCTTGGGGTACAGCAGCGTGGGCTGAGGACACCCAGCTGACGCTGCCACTGACTGGCCATGATAAACAGACGCAGAACTCCGAGAGCTCACGCTCCCAGCCCAGCACCCCACTCATACACTCGCCAGCCAGGCACCACGTGCCAGGCCCTGTGCTGGCCAGGAGGTGGGCCCTTCGATCATCCCATTCTCACAGAGACAGCCCGGGTGCTGCAGGTGTGAGTAACGCACCCCGGGGGCACAGAACACCTGGGTGCGGAGCCCCAGTTTGAACCAGCCCAGATGACCCGGTCACCCCTGCCCTCGCCTGCTTCACTGCACTAGAACTAAAGGAAACAAGATGGATACTCCATGGAGCAAGGCCCTGAAAGGCTGTGGGCCCCGAAGCAGTGGAAGGAATGACAGAGAAAGACCAGCACGCTTCGCCACACCAACACCTCCGTGGGTCCCAAAACGCCACTTAAAAACACAAAAGGTAAAAGACAAACTGGGGAAAACGTGCCACAAATACATGAAAACCTTTTACAAATCAATAGGAAAATCACTAACACGGTAATAGAAAACTGGGAAAAATCAACAATCAACAGAAGAAACGTAACTGACAAACACAAAATTCATTAAGACCCGTTCCTCACCTGGAGTGGCAAGAAGTAAAATGCTAACACTCAGCACGAGTGAGGCCATGAGGGCTGCACGCTACACCTGCTGGGACAGCAGTCACGGGCGCTTCTGGAAAACGAGTCAGCAAAACTGGCCAAGGGTCCTGAAGGTGTTCACACCCTTCCACTCAGTAACAATTGCCTAAAAAGTAATCAGACTGCGGTGGCTCACACCTGCAATCCCAGCACTGTGAGAGGCCGAGGCAGGAGAATCACCTGAGACCAGCCTGGGCAACATAGTGAGACCCCATCTCTACAAAAAAAATTTTTTTTTAATTAGCCAGGCGGGGCGGCATGCACCTATAGTCCCAGCTACTGGGGAGGCTCAGGCAGGAGGATATATTGAGCCCTGGAGTTCAAGACTGCAGTGAGCCAAGATGGCGCCACCACATTGCAGCCTGGGCGACAGAGCAAGACCCTGTGTCTAAACAAATAAATAAATAACAAATGAATCAGATATGGGGAAAGCACTGAGTCCAAGGATGTTGCACACATTAGCAATAATCATGAAAAAATTAAAAACAAAGCTAAATTTCCAATAAAGAGTCTCCTTTTTTTTTTTTTTGGAGACGGAGTCTCGCTGTCGCCCAGGCTGGAGTGCAATGGTGTGATCTAGGCTCACAGCAACCTTTGTCTCCCGGGTTCAAGCGATTCTCCTGCCTCAGCCTCCTGAGTAGGTGGGACTACAGGCACACACCACCACGCCCAGCTAATTTTTTGTATTTTAGTAGAGACGGGGTTTCACCGTGTTGCCCAGGCTGGTCCGAACTCCTGAGCTCAGGCAATCCACCCGTCTCAGCCTCCCAAAGTGCTAGGATTACAGGCATGAGCCACCGCAGCCGGCCAAGAGTTTACTTTTGGTATGTCTACACGAAGAAACATCGTACAGCCAAAAAAGATTTTATTTTCAAGGAATGCTTAATGGCACAGGCACTGGCTGCAATAAAATGTCACAAGTGCAGGAAGCACACAAGGCTGCCAGCTCTGCCACAGCAGTCCCCACACTCGGCTGCCTCCATGGCACCTGCGCACGTGGGTGTCCGTGAGTGCTTACTGGTTGGCTGATAGATTGGCTGAATGAATGAACAGGGGAGGAAAGGAGAGAAGGGAGACGTGGAGATGAAATGCATGCCATGTTCTTGGTGCTACCTCTGGGTGCAGGAGTCAAGGTCTTTTTCAATGGCCTCTTTATACTTTTTGATCAGTCCCCAAGCTTTGCACATGTCCAGTGTCACAGTCAAAGAGGGCTGCATGTTTTAAGAGTCCAGTGGTCAGAGCACTCACACCCATGTACTCCGCAGACCCAAACCTGAGGCCCAGCAGCACAGGGGGCCACAAGTCCACACTGGGGCTGGCCCCACAGAGGCGGGAGCTCAGGGAGGGACACAAACTCCACAGGGAAGCCAACAACAGATGCCTCATTTCTGAATAAAGAAATGCCAGACACGATGTGGGAGAAAAGGAAACCAGGCAGCCCAGAGGGGCCACATGACCCCACAGACAACCCCAGGGACACGCAGACCACACACAGCCCAAGGACACGCTGAGAAATGTAAACCGGAGTCCAGGCTCCCAGGCATGAGCGCGGGAGCGCTGACAAGTCGGGACAGAGCTGGGGTCCAGGCTCCCAGGCATGAGCGCAGGAGCACTGACAAGTCGGGACAGAGCTGGGGTCCAGGCTCCCAGGCATGAGCGCGGGAGCACTGACAAGTCGGGACAGAGCTGGGGTCCAGGCTCCCAGGCATGAGCGCGGGAGCACTGACAAGTCGGGACAGAGCTGGGGTCCAGGCTCCCAGGCATGAGCGCGGGAGCACTGACAAGTCGGGACAGAGCTGGGGTCCAGGCTCCCAGGCATGAGCGCGGGAGCACTGACAAGTCGGGACAGAGCTGGGGTCCAGGCTCCCAGGCATGAGCGCGGGAGCACTGACAAGTCGGGACAGAGCTGGGGTCCAGGCTCCCAGGCATGAGCGCGGGAGCACTGACAAGTGGGGACAGAGCTGGGGTCCAGGCTCCCAGGCATGAGCGCGGGAGCACTGACAAGTCGGGACAGAGCTGGGGTCCAGGCTCCCAGGCATGAGCGCGGGAGCACTGACAAGTCGGGACAGAGCTGGGGTCCAGGCTCCCAGGCATGAGCGCGGGAGCACTGACAAGTCGGGACAGAGCTGGGGTCCAGGCTCCCAGGCATGAGCGCGGGAGCACTGACAAGTCGGGACAGAGCTGGGGTCCAGGCTCCCAGGCATGAGCGCGGGAGCACTGACAAGTCGGGACAGAGCTGGGGTCCAGGCTCCCAGGCATGAGCGCGGGAGCACTGACAAGTCGGGACAGAGCTGGGGTCCAGGCTCCCAGGCATGAGCGCGGGAGCACTGACAAGTCGGGACAGAGCTGGGGTCCAGGCTCCCAGGCATGAGCGCGGGAGCACTGACAAGTTGGGACAGAGCTGGGGTCCAGGCTCCCAGGCATGAGCGCGGGAGCACTGACAAGTGGGGACAGAGCTGGGGTCCAGGCTCCCAGGCATGAGCGCGGGAGCACTGACAAGTCGGGACAGAGCTGGGGTCCAGGCTCCCAGGCATGAGCGCGGGAGCACTGACAAGTCGGGACAGAGCTGGGGTCCAGGCTCCCAGGCATGAGCGCGGGAGCACTGACAAGTCGGGACAGAGCTGGGGTCCAGGCTCCCAGGCATGAGCGCAGGAGCGCTGACAAGTCAGGACAGGGGAGGACGATGCATTCCTGCGCCACCTCCGTGCGGGGAACCAGAGCTCCAGCCTGAATCCCTTAGGGTTGGCTCAGAGTCCTCTCTGGATGAAGTGTCTAGTCTGAGGAGGACAATCCATCCGGTCGTGAGTTTGGACTCTTCCTACACACAAAGGCCAATATATCAAAATTAAATCCCACGGAAGCCCAGGTTGTCACTGGAGAGCATTCCCCAAGCTCCAGGCAGTGGTAAATCAGAGGCCTGAATCCACTGTGGGCCCTCTTTTGAACAGAAGACAAAAGGAAGAGCTTACCCCTAAAGGCAACCCAGCAACCCAGACGTGTGCCTGTCCCACCTCCCCAAGGCCAGGGCTCCTGATCAGAGGTGCTGTAAAGACTCAACAGCCCTGGCAGTACAGGGAGCCCAAGCAGGTGTCGGAAATGACACTGGGTACCTAGAATCCTAAGAACTAAGCTGTCTACAGATGCAGACCAACCAGGTGGGAGGTGGTCAGCTAGATCCCACCAACGCCACTCATACCCACCAACGCGCACGAGGCACGCTCCGCCTCCTGAACACTCCTCCCAGGGCTCCTCCAGCACTCCTCCCACAGCTCCCCCCACAGCACGAGCTTCCGCGTGCCCACCCACGCGCAGAAGACCTCCACCTGCCGCATGCTCCTCCCACAGCTCCCCCCACAGCATGAGCTTCCACGCGCCCACGAAGGTGTCCAGCCATGCAGCAAACGTGGATCAGGCCCAGGTACACATCAGATCTCACCGGTTCCAGTGCCTTCTGCCACGTGGAAATTTCGGCTCCTTCTTTGTCTTCTTAATAGACTCTTCTTTTTTTTTTTTTTTTTTAGAACGGGTTTAGATTTAGAAGAATGGAGAAGATGGTAGAGACTTTTCACATATTCCACACCCAGGTGCCCCACTGTTAACATCTTACACGAGCACAGTGTGCTGGCCACAATAAGGAGCCAGCATGGACCCAGGCACGCCTTGCTCTCCTGGACTACACAGATACTGTGCTTCTTACAAATGGAAGGCTTGTGGCCGTCCTGCCTTCGGCGAGGCACCATGTTCCCAACAGCATGTGCTCCCTACACGGCTCTGTCACATCTGGTAATCCTCATGGCGTTTCAGACATTGTATCACTATTATATCTGTTGTGGTCTGTAATGGGTGGTCTCTGATCTTACTACTGTCATTGATTCTGGGGCGCCACGTCCTGACTGTACTTCCGACATTGCATCACTGTTATGTCTGTTGTGGTCTGTGATCGGCGGTCTCCGATCTTACTGCTGTCATTGATTCTGGGACGCCACACACTATGCTCCTCAGACGGCAAAAGCTTCACCGACCAACGCTGCTTGTGTCTGGCTGCTTCACTGACCAGCCATCTCCCTCCCTCCCTCTCCTTGGGCCTCTCTATTCCCTGGGCGACACAACAGTATTAAAATCAGGCCAATTAATAACCCTACAACAGCCTCTAAGCATTCAAGAGAAAGGAAGAGTCGCATGTCTCTCCTTTAAACCAAAAGCTAGAAAGGATTAAGCTTAGTGAGGAAGGCGTGCCAAAAGCAAAGATAAGCCGAAAGCCAGGCCTCTCGTGCCAAACAGCTCGCCAAGTTGTGAATGCAAAGGGAAAGTTCTTGGAGGAAATTAAAAGTGCTGCTCCACTGAACACACCAACGATAAGAAAGTGAAACTGTCTTATTGCTGATACGGAGAAGTCTGAGTGGTCTGGATAGATCAAACCAGCCCCAACATTCCCTTAAGTCAGAGCAAGTTCCACGAGGCTGAGAGAGGTGGGAAAGCTGCAGAATTCAAGTCTGAAGCTAGCAGAGGTGGGTTCATGAGGTTTACATTAAGAGGCAGTCCCCATCACATAAAAGTACAAGGTGAAGCCGCAAGTGCTGACGGAGAAGCTGCAGCAAGTTCTCCAGAAGATCCAGCTAAGAGCACCAATGAAGGTGGCCACACTAAACACCAGATTTGCAGTGCACATAAAACAGCCTTCTGCTGGAAGATGCCGTCTAGGGCTTTTACAGTTACAGAGGAGAAGTCGATCCCTGCCTTCAAAGTTTCAGAGGACAAGCTGATGCTGTTAGGAGATAATGAAGCTGATGACTTTTTTTTTTTTTTTTTTTTTTTTTTTTGAGACACAGTCTCACTCATTCTGTCACCCAGGCTGGAGCACGGTGGCACAATCTTGGCTCACTGCAACCTCCGCCTTCTGGGTTCAAGCAATTCTCCTGCCTCAGCCTCCCAAGTAGCCGGGATTACAAGTGTGTGCCACCACGCCTCACTAATTTTTTGTATTTTTAGTAGAGACAGGGTTTCACCATGCTGGCCAGGATGGTCTCGAACTCCTGCTGACCTCAAGTGATCCGCCCACCTCGACCTCTCAAAGTGCTGGGATTCCATGCATCAGCTACTGTGCCTGATCTAAGCTTTTTATTTTGATCCAATTACAGATTCACTTGGAGCTATAAAAAATAATACAGAGATCACAAGTAGCATTCATCCAGTTCCTCCCAATAGCAACATCTGGCACAACTACAGCACAGTATCACAACCCGTATGCCGACAATGATACAGTCAAGATACAGCACATTTCATCACCACAAAAACCCCTCGGGTTGTCCGTTCACAGCCACGATTCCTCCTGTGCGTCTCCGTAACTCACGGCAGCCATCCACAGGCTGTCTATCACTTCAGCCTTTTAATAACGTCATGCAAATGGGATCATGCAGCACACGACCTTCAGGGACTGGGCTCTTCGCTCCGCTAAACTCCCTGGAGATCTATTCAAGTATGTTTATCCACAGTGAATTCCTTCTTAGTCCTGAGTATTACTCTGTGTGACGGAGGCACTACCGTTGTTTAACCATCACCACCGAAGGACATCAGAATTCTTTCCAGTTTTTGGCCATTATGCAAAAGCTGCTAGGAAGAGTCCTCTGTCGGGTTTTGTCCGAACCTCGGTTTTATTTCACTGGAATCGACACCCAGGAATGCGACTGCTGGTCATATGGGAGCTGCAGTGCAGTTTTTAAGAAACCCTCGAGCTGGTTCCAGGGTGGCTGCACCCTGTCACTCTCCCATCAGCAAGGCACCAGAGATGGAGTTTCTCTACACACTGACTGGCATCTGATGGTGTCCGTTTCTGAACTTTGACAGGTGTGCAGTGACACCTCACTGTGGTTTTAACTTGCATTTCCCTCATGACTAATGATGTTGAACATCTTTCCACGGGCTTAACTGTCATCTGTATATGTTATTTGGTAAAAAGGTCTGTCTATATCTTTTGCTTGTTTGCTAATTAGGTGTGTCTGTTTTGTTTTTCTATTACTGAGTTTTGAGAGTTTTCTCATCTATTACAGATAACAAATCGTCTTTGTCAGATATGAAGCTTGCAAATAGTTCCTCTTTATCTCTACCTTGTCTTTTCATCTCTTCACAGGAACTTTCACGGGGCAAAAATTTTAATCTTGATGGAGTCCAACTTCAGTTGACCCAAGCAGAAGGAACGAAATAATAAATATTAGAGCAAAAATAAGTGAAATAAAGAACACAAAAACAATAAAAGAAATCGGTCAAGCCTAAAGTTGGTTCTGTGAGAATAGCAACAGAATTGACAGAAACTTTTAGCTGGGCCAACCAAGGAAACAAGAAAGAGGGTGCAGATCACTGCAGTTGGGAGTGAAAGAGACACTAGCTGACCTTCCAGAGATAAAGGCTGTAAAGGAATACTACGAACAGCTGCATGCCGAAAATTAATAACGGAGGTGAAATGAACAAACTCCTGAAAAGACAAAAGCTACCAAAACTGACTCAAGAGAAACACAGACAACCTGAGTAGACCCACAGAACAGCAAAGACACTGGATTAGTTTTGAAGACGCTGCCTGCTGCCTCTGCGGCTCCATCTCAGCTCCTCCGGACCCTCCCAGATCCCCACAACTGGAATGCTGGATCTTGTGTTGTGGCCCCACCGGCACCGGGGACTTTGTTCCTTTTATTCCATCGTATTCCCAGGTCTCATCGGTGTCGGGAACTTTGCTCATTTTATTCCATCGTATTCTCTCTGCTGTTCAGAATGGGCAGATGGGCAGTTCCTATCGGTCCATCTCTGAGTTCACGAACGCGCTCCTGTCGCCTCCATTCTGCTGCTGACCTTATATCCATTAAGTTTTTCTTTCCATTATTGCTAGGCATTAACTACATTTTCTGTCTTCCCAGCTGCTATTTACCTAGTCCTTTGCTGGGGAGCGTCGGCATTTTGGGGATGTGCTTCCTTAGCTCCAAGTCTGGGATGAAAGAGGCAGACGAGGAAACCTGGGCAGCTCCCCGCCAGGCTGTTCCGAGGCCCAAGGCCCCTGGCCTCCATCCCGCAGAGGCTCACTATGCTCATTCCATAGATAATGTCCAGGACTCTTCATTATACTTAACAGAAGGATCAAAGAAAATGCGTCAACTCCATCTTCCTGCAAACAGAGGTGTTGGCTGCTCTTTGGAATCGCTCATTCAGCCAATGCTGATTTAAACCTTCTACGTGATGTGTGCCGTCATAGGGGCTGCCCTGAGAAGCCTGGCTTCACAATCACGTGTGTCTCTCACTGTTGGCTGCTGAGAACCACAGAAGAGCTCTCAGCACACAAGGGCTCCATCCTACCCCCTGCACTGAGACACCGCCCACCACAGCAGGACTTCCTGAAGCCTGAGCTACAGCACCCCCAGAGTTCCTGTCGGAAAAAGCTCAAGGCTGTCAGGAGGATTTGCCCTTGGTTCTACCACACCTGACAACAGGCCCCTGCCCTGCCTCCCCTTCCTAGCACAGTTACTTCAGAAAATCCGAGCTGACAACTGTGAATCCTTCCTCAGTCCCTTGGAGACACACATGCCCGCACCTCCTACAGCTCTGGGATGTCCTTCTCAAGGACCGAGAGCCAACCCTTTGGAACGTAATCATCAGGAAAACAGGCCTGTCTCCTAGTCTGGGGCTGGGGAAGGGGAGCAGGAGCCCATCCCTGCCAGCCCCAACCTGCCAGCTCGTAGCAGAGTCAGCTCATCACATTCATGCTACCCAACCCTCTTGCTGCTTTCTGTAATTTTTCACTTCCCTGACTCCATTTGGGCACCTGTTCCCCACACTCCCTTTAAAATGCCCAGTCACATCTGCACAAACCTGAAAGGAGCTCAGCTCTGTCCCCTGCTGTCAGCAGCGACTGAATAAAATCTGTTTTCTCCACTTTAACTTACATCCAGCTGCATATACCTTTGACATGGGTCACGACTGACGCTTGACATGAGTTGAATGAAACCAGATGAGGAAGAGCTTTGAAGGCATACCATCAGGTGTCAGGTCACTAACCCTCTCTTTGCCCGAGAGGAGTAGAAAACTCCACAAGACAGTCTCACTTCCACGCTGCAAAAATGTCAACTCTCACCATGGCAGCCCACAGGGGGGAGGGATACTGAACACAAAACTCACTCAGGTGCCTGCTTTGGCCTGGCCACGCTGCACCCAGCTCCCCGCAGCACCTCCTGCTCTGTTCCAGAGAGGCGAGCAGAGCCTGCATCCTACCCAGCCAAGGCCAGAGAGAACTAGCTCCCTGGGAAAGCAGCAAGGGACCATCCAAGAAAGACTTAGACACACACACGCACACGGACATGCACACAGACACACAGATGCACGTACACACATATGTACACACACATCCACACACGCACATGTGCACACACACACGCAGACACACATGCACACGGACATGCAGACATGCACACACATATGTACACACATACACATGCACACACACACGCACATGGACACAGACACGCACACAGACGTGCACACACAAGCGCATGCGCACACGTACACAGACACACATACGCACATGCACACACACGCGCACATGGACACAGACACACGCAGATGTGCACAGACACACAGGCACACGGACACACGCACAGACACACACATGGGCACACAGGCACAAGGGCATGCACACGGCATTCCTAACTGCCACCACCGACCTTTTCACACTCCAGCCACCCCAGAACCCTGGCGTTTAGAATCTGCAGCTAAAATACACCCAATGATGGTATCAACGTTCATTTATTCATTCAACAAATACTTGGCGATATGGTTTGGATGTCTGCTCCCTCCAAATCTCAGGTTGAAAAATGTTTCCCAAAGGTGGAGGTGGGGCCTGGTGGGAGGTGTTGGATTATGAGGGCGGATCCCTCACGAATGGCCCAGAGCCATCCCGAGTGAGGAGTGTTGTTGGAAAGATTCTGGAACCTCAAGTGTCTCTCTTGCTCCTGCTCTTGCCATGTGACGTGCCTGCTCCTTGCCTTCTGCCATGATCAGAAGCTTCCTGGTACCTCAGCAGAAGCAGATGCCGGCGCTGTGCTTCCTGTACAGTCCGCAGAATGACCCAGCCTCAGGGATTCCTTTATAGAGACACAAGAACGGACTAATACACCTGAGGAGCCTTCACGCACACACATGTCCACGTCCACGTCCACGTCCACATCCACGTCCACGTCCACATCAAGGCAGTGCTGCTGAGGGCCAGAGGACGCTGCCACAGGCCGACCCCGTGAAGCTGAAAGTCACCTTCGCCAAGAAGGATGGGCTTCTGGAAAACACAGCCCTGCACTTAGAAACTTCAGACCCTACTCTCCACAATCTCTTTATTTATAAAATTGCTTATGCGAAGATATTTCCACGCAGAATGCATTCAATTATGCAGTGTAAGGGGGGGCCTGAATGGAGAACATCCAAGTCAGCCACGAAGACACTTCAGGAAATACAAGAAAACGACCCTGCCACTGACTTTCGAATGTGTCTGCATCCACGCCCCTGTCCCATCGGAGGGGCACAGGGTAATACATAGCACTGCGCTCCCCTCCTTCTCCTGTGGTTCCCCTCCTGACAGCGCAGTGCAGTGCGGCAGACACCCCTCATCCTCGGTGTCAGGGCAGCATTAGCATGTAAATAGCTGGCAGACACAAGGACGTGAAAGCAAGGAAGAGCTCTTTAATTAACTTTAATCCTCCAAAAATCCATGCTGCAATCTGTTCTGACAATCCCACGCTCCTTAGGAGGCCCTCGGCACGACCTGGCACATCCTGTGGGCTGGAGGTGGCCGGAATGGGCGGGCTTGGGAACGTGATGCCCGGGTACCGTGCCTACAAGGACGCTGGGTCATGACTGTTCTCTGGAGGCTACGGGTGCCCTGCAGAGTGGAGGCACGCGGAGGGCCTGGGGGGGCTGGGGATCCAGACTGGCTGAGCGCCTGTTTCCCACCACAAACAGCCCTGCGGAGTGCCAGCCTTTTTCTCGAGAGTGGGGGCAGCACCACCCCAGGCCTCCTGCCAGGCCCCAGGGAGCCCTGAGGCAGGGGCCTCTGCCCATTCTCTCCTCCCAACACCCCGCACTGCCCAACATAGACATAAGCTGGGCCCAGGGCTACTGAACAGGGCCAGGGAGGGCCGGGCAAAGCCTGCCCCTGGAACGTGGCAGACCTCACCGTGCAGGAACAGGGTGTGGGTGGCGGCCGCGGGCTCGGACGTGACTCAAGCACAGATGGGTGCCCGTCCCGTCAAGAGAGCACACGCAATGGACGGCGGCAGCAATGCTCCAGCAACCACAGCAAAGGCCTGATGGAGAGAGGAGGGGAGACAGCAGCATGGGAGGACGAGCTGCCTAGAGCTGGCGGCCACAATGCGCCGCAGGAAGGGGAGCAGCCAACGGTCTGGAATAAAAATCATAGCGAATGCTCACAGGACAGAGGCAGCTACTACAGGTCCTGATCCAAGGGTCACTCTTGCTCATTCCTCCCAACTTGTTCAGTCCGCCAACAACACTGTGAGGACACGCTGGGACAATCTCCGCTCTCTCCAGCAACGAAACTGAGACACAGACGAATGACTTCGGCTGGGTTCCACACAGCCAGCACCTGGGACCAGGATTTGAACTCACGCACCCAGGCTCCTGAGAGGACGCTCCTGCCACAAAGCACCTCAGGTGTGAGAGGCCAAAGAGAAGCTGCCCGGCGCACGTGGAAGAAGGTGGGGACGCTGTGAACACACTGGGAACAGTGCTTTAGAAACAGCAGCAGTGAATCCCAGAGGAGCCCGCAGCATGTGTGAGATGATAACACAATTTCCCAAATGGTTCAGCAGGGCACAGAACCAGCACGGGGGTGCGGCCGGGAGGTCTGGGTCCTGAGTACACATGAAGTCCCCAGGCGATCGACCACACAAGCCTCTCCACTGCTCCAGCCTCGGTTTCTCTTCCTGTACAGCGAGGGCGACTCAGCACAGCCCACGTGTTTCCCGCTCAGCTTTGTGAGATTCAGTGAGGATGACAAGAACTGGAACTGGAGTCCCAGCTCAGTGAGACAGACCCCAAGAAATGGAGGCCATCAGTATGGCGTAGTCCCCCGGGGCGTGGACACCCTCTCAGCTCCTGTGCCAGTGGTGTAGACAGGGGAGCCCAGGGGAGGCAACAGCATGAACAAAACCCGAGCCCCGGGCCAGGCCTGTCACCTCCCCACTCTGATGAGCAGCAGCAACCATTCTCCGCACTTCACAGAGGAAGCAGAGGCTCTGACAGGGGCCACACGCCCAAGCCACACGGCCGCAGAGGCACGATCTGAGCCAGGGCGCCCTGACGGCAAGCCCCGGCCTCTGATCACCTCCCAGGGTGAAGCCATTCAGCAAGGGAGCTGCTGCCACCAGGGGCCAGAAAGGACATGAAAGGCTCCGGCCTCCCACCCGGCCTCCACACCCCTCTCTGCTCCAGGCCAGGAGCACCAGCCCGTGTCTCAGTGGCTGTGAATCCCTGTAAGAGTCCCCTGTATCCCTGTGAGAGCCCCCGTATCCCTGTGAGAGTCCTCGTATCCCTGTGTCCCCGTGAGATACCCCACGTCCCTATGAGAGTCCCCCATGTCCCTGTGAGAGTCTCTGTGTCCCTGTGAGAGTGACTCCCAGCCCTCAGGCTGCCGGGTGCCCTCTCAGGTGCCTCTCATGGCCAGCCCAGCACTCTGCGTGTACATAGCACTATCCCTCTCGGGAGCCCGCAGGGTCACACCAGCCTGGCTTACACAGAAATAAATTGTGCTTCTGTAACCAGCAATATTTCTTTAACTGGAGGTTAATAAAAATCACCGTTGGAGGCTAACCAGTGGATCTAATTTATTTAGAGACTTTTCTGAAGCTGTGGATAAAGCCCTTTATTAAAGCTTAGTACAGCACCTGACGATGCCCTGGAAAAGCGACAGTCGCTTAGTGGGATTTGGAGGCCGTGGAGCAAAGTGAAAAGTCTAACAGGATTCCTTGAAGGAAGGAGAGTGGGGTGGGGGAGGGGAGCGGGACATGGGAGCCAATTTCTCACCTGAGGAGCCCAGCCTCAGCCAGACAGCACTTCAGGGCCCGTCCCAGGCCTTCCCTAAGCCTCGGAGCACATGGTGAGCCCCAAGTAGTCCTTAAATCCAAACGTTCTGCCGAGGGCCCCCCATGGAGCTGAGCCATCATCTTTAGGAGACATGGCACACGTCCCCTGCACCACAGGCCGCCACAGCCCTGCTCCCTGAGGGCCTGCCCATGACAGAGGCGGCAGTGGAGGCCCTGTAAGGGAAGGACTTCCTGGGGAAGACCAGCTGAGTGCTGCAGTGGCCACCTCGGCTGCCTCTAGGGAGTCAAGGAGGGTCCCATGTAAGCCCCAGGCCGAGCCCTGCAATCAGTGCCTCTCCTGGGATGCGGGTGGTGGCGCAGGCCCCACGCCCCAGGTGGACTGAAGCCCCGCCCTCCCTACAGAGGGGAGTCCCATCCCTTTCCAGGCCTGCACTCACAGGCACCCTATGTCCCTGTCCTCAGCTGGACGGCAGCGCAGGCAAATAAGATCGCCTTTCAATGTGCACAGAAATACAAGACCCCTTTCAGCCACCAAAGGCCCCCACAACCTCAGGGCCGTCCAGCGAGCTAGGAAACCCATGTTGTCCTCCTCCTCCCAGGCCCGGCGCCCGTGCCCACCCAACCCTCCCCTCCAGACAGGCTCCGGCTGGGGCACTGCCCATGAAATGATTTCGACACACAGAAGCTCACTTAAAACTTCTAGTCTACAAGAGGTGAAAACTTTGGAAGGGTGAAGTTCAAGAACTGTGCAAATCCTCTTATTTTTCTGGAGACGGAACTCTGCGTGGCGATCATCTCCTCAGCTGCTAAACCCCTTCCAGATCAGAAGCGACACAAACCCCGCCTCACCCGCCTGCCCTACACTAAGCCGTGAGGACGTCTTAGTGTAGGAAAGGGGTGAGCGCTGCCCGCCTGTGCCCAAGGGGCCACATTCAACCAAGGGTGGGAAAAGAGGTGAGTCCTTTCCAGACCATCTGTCCCCACTGAAGATTCCGTAAGCTCCTAGGTGGAGGGCTAGACCTTGCCCAGACAGGAGCCTCAGGTCTAAGGAGGAGGAGCAGCGCTCCCTGTGCCCACACGCACAGTGCCCGGCCCCCTGTCCCAGGTGCTACCTCTGCACCACACGCTGCGCACACAACACCCCCTGGGCTGAGCGCACCCACTCACAGACGACAAAGGAAACTGGAGGATCAGTAATGAATGGCCACCAGCGCGCACATCCATGCCCCAATGCCAGCTCCCGGGTTGAACTCCTGGGTTGAACTGTTTACTGCGTGCCACCCTCCTGGGCAAACAGTCTTCGGCTAAGGCCCTCCCTTCCCAGATTCTCAGGTTCTACAAGTCAGTGTCTTTCCTCCGTTCACCCCAGCTCCCCAGGGCTGCTGATGAGCTGACCTAAGGCAAAGCAGGCAATGAGAACTGTGGAAAGGGACCCTGAGACACCGCTTGCTCTGAGCCGCAGCTGCGTAACAAGCTGCAGAAAACCCACCGGCACGAGGAAACCCTGGGGGCCTGTCTGCAGACCGTGCCGATGATTGCTTCCGTCTGGAAGAACCTCCCTTCCTCCCCTTGGTGTTTTATTGGGGGCAGTTTAGCTCTTTATGGGTGAAGTTAACCAAAAGAATATTAACTCCATTCTACACTCCCTGCATCTGACTGTTTTCCATTTGATGATGGATGATGTTTAATACCTCCCAGTCTGAGCACACTCTGGGTCTGTAAATACAGATCCTGCTTTATTGCTGTTTAATAACTATCACAATGGTTGGGGCTGGCCTTGTCTGCTGGGCTTAATGTTCCATGAGGGTCTCGTGGGAAAAGAAGCCAAAATGCATAAAAGAACCAGTGTTCCAGAATGGTAAGCACAGATGCACACACATGTGCGCACACAGCACTCACACATGTGCATGCTCAGACACATGCACACACAGAGCTCACACAGCACAGACATGCACACTCACATGCATACAGAGAGCTGCCTCTGCAGACACATGCACACTCACACACGTGCACTCACATATGCAGAGAGCTGACTCCACAGACACATGCACAATCACACACGTGCACTCACGTGCACACAGCTCACCAGTACAGATACATGCACACTCATGCTCAATGCACAGTTCACACAGATGTGCATGCACAGCTCACAAAGCACACGTGCACACTCACATGATCACATGTGCACACAGAACTCACACAGCACAACATACATGCGCACACAAGTACACACGTATGGACACACACATACACAGCACTCAACACAGATATGCACACACGTCTCCTACACAGAGCTCATGCAGCACAGACACGCACACAGTAATGCTCATGTGTGCATGCATGCACACTGAGCACCGACACGGGTGTGTTCATGAACACCCGGGTGCACGCATGTGCACACTGACGCACACGCGTGCTCTCAGACACCATGCTCCAGCACCCTAGTCGGGCAGCGGGGTAGGTGTAGAGGGACTCGGAGAATGAGCAGCTACCTGGGCTGCGAATCCTGCCTGTTCACCCAGGCAAGTTCCTTCATCTCATCCAACGACAAATTCCTGTTGCACAAACACGGGATTTCCAAATCTGAGCTCAGAATTCTCCAAGTGAGTTTTAAGTGAGATGATTAGAGGGATGTTAATGAAATGAGAAGTTACTCTGACGAATGCCAGCAGTGACCGCTATACATCGAATGCCCACTCACTGCAGGTCCCATGCCAGGTATTTAACATAGGATTTGTCAGGAAATAAATTTGATGAATGGTAATAAGCATCAACCACACTGCATAAGGCCTGGCACAGGGCAGGCAGGTGGGTCAGCCAGGAAGGGGCTGTCCCATAGGATGTTGAGTGATGGCCAAAAAGTCCCCCTCCGCCCCTCTGTGAAGAACCTCCTCCAAGACGAATGCAGAAAACCGCACTCAGCTGAACGGAGCTGTGATGGGAGCCTCCCGAGCCTGGCTGAGCCCCCTGTGCCACACCCCTCCAGCTTCAGGTGCTCTCCCCACTCCACAGTGACTCACAAGCCACCACTCCCACTTCCCCAAGCCAGCGCCAGGCCTTCTCGAGGCGAAGAGCTGTGCCGATTGTCACACTTGCCTGTGTCCAGCCACTGACCGCGTCAACCATGCTGCCATTTTCATCAGGGTCCCATCTTATTTTTAATGTGATTTTGTGTAGCAGGGTGACTTTTAGGAACACACATCACCTTAGAATAGAACTAACCATATGTTTGTTGAGTGAGTTGATGATGAACTACCTCACACATATATTTGAACATTACAATTTAAAAATATTTTCAAAGCATTCCCTCATGTAATCTGTGAATCGGCTCCCCGTGCAGATGGGGTGAGGCGTGCATGCTTCATTCTTCCAGAGAGGAAGCAAAGGCAAAGAGAGGGAAAGGGAGCTGGCGCCAGGCACAAGTGAGAGAGTGACAGAGCTCAGGTTCTAACAGGTTTTCTGATTCCAGCTCCTAGGCTTCCTCCCCCTAGAAGAGAGGAATTCCAGCAGGGCTGGCCTCAGGCCTCCACCTCCCTTCCCGGTGCCCCGCCCAGGGTCAGACCCTCTCCCTGCACAGTGGGGGCCCCCACTCCATGGCCTCTGCTGACTCGGAGCCGACTCAGTAGGTGGCTCATGCCCACCATGGGTGGCAAAAGGCTCGGGGGCAGCTCACCAGCTCACGGGCCTTCTGATGGCACTCAAGAAATTTAGTTTAAACACACACAGATTTTCAAAGAGGCGGTAGGAGGAAGGACTCACCTAGTCCGCCCAGGGGCCTCCTGCAGAAGCAAGATCTGTGCCTGGACCTCACAGACACCTGGGTCCAGCAGCATCCCCATGTCTTGCTGGAGGGCAGGAGCCACCCAAGGGGCACTGGGCACTGCCTGGCGTGGGTGGCCAGACTCGCTTCATCAGCACCAGTGTCCAGGAGGACTATCGAGCACTGTAATTCCCAGGGCACCTCATCCAATGTCTGCAGGCACCAGACCACAGGTTCACAGGGCACCTCATCCAACATCTGCTGGCACCATCTGCGGGCACCAGACCACACGTTCACAGGGCACCTCACCCAACGTCTGCAGGCACCAGACCACACGTTCACAGGGCACCTCACCCAACATCTGCGGACACCAGACCACACGTTCACAAGGAACCTCACCCAACGTCTGCGGGCACCAGACCACACGTTCACAGGGCACCTCACCCAGCGTCTGCGGACACCAGACCACACGTTCACGGGGCACCTCACCCAGCGTCTGCGGGCACCAGACCACACGTTCACGGGGCACCTCACCCAGCGTCTGCGGGCACCAGACCACACGTTCATGGGGCACCTCACCCAGCGTCTGCGGGCACCAGACCACACGTTCACGGGGCACCTCACCCAGCGTCTGCGGGCACCAGACCACACGTTCACGGGGCACCTCACCCAGCATCTGCGGGCATCACCGCCCCTTCCACCTGTTGCACTCCTACGAGAGCTAAGCCAGGTATGAGGCCAGACCAGAAACCAGAGACCAGGATGGAACCTCACGCGCCTGCTGGAAGCAGGGAATCCCCTAGCCAGTGCCTCAGACCCATGTCCACACCCACACGGGCAGACGGAAGCACCAGGCTGAGGGTGGTGAGCCAGGGGGTTCCTGGGCCGCCTCCACTCTGGCTGGTGTCAGGCTGTGGCTTGACCTTTCTGGCAGCTCCGTTGAAGCACCCACAGAACCATGGAGACCACAAGCCAACAGTGGCCTATCACCGGCCTGGAGAAAGTCCAGACACTTCACACCTTCTGACTGAGGCCAGGGACCTCTCCCAGGACCATGGACACAGGGACCCAGGCACCCACCCAGACTGTGGTGCAGGGAACTTACAAGGCTCTTGGGTGTGCCGTGACACCAAGGACAACTGAAGGGGCAGAGGCTGCGGAGGGAGCAGCCCAGTACCCCCGAGGGCGGCTCAGTCCTCAGCAGGCCCACCCACCTGTGCCTCACAGGCCAGGAGCAAACACACCTGTGCGGAACGGCCAGGTGAGGCTGGCTGTCACCTTTAACATCTCTGAATGTCTCCAGGAGGGGCCTAGAGAGGGTTCAGACACCACCACCAGGATGCTGCAGCTATTTTTAGTAGAAAGACTCAAGAGGCTTCCTTGGCAGGGAACCATGCCTTTGAGCATGACCATCAATTTTCACCTGCAGCTAACTTCCTTTCCTTTCAAGATCAAGGTTATTCAAAGATTTGGATTTCTTCGAAACTGAGTTTAAAGAGAGCATGTTTCTCTACCAAACAGGATAGGGGATTTTAAAGCACAAACAAGGACAATGTCAGGCCAAAGCCTGGGTAGGCAGGACAAGGTTCCGGGCCTGGTCCCTCCAGCCCTTCCCAGACACCCTGCAGGCCCTGCTTGTGTCCCCCCGAGGCTGGGCTAAAGCCACCTGTGCCAGCTGGATGATGCCTGGCCTGGGCACTGGAGGAGCCTCCCTGGGCTCCTCTCTAAGCCTCGGTCTCTCTGGTATAAACCTCCAAAGCTGAGGGGGACTGGGAATTCCACAGCCTCTCTCCTAGCAGGACACTCCAGGTTTCTCGTCCATAACCCACGTGGTGCTGTGGAGCCTTGGCCTACAGGACAGAAGGGGCTCCTGGGATCTGGATGAAGTGGTGGCGAGGGGGGCGCTGACCTTGTCCTTCAGGAAGAGCCACGTGGCTCAGCAGGCAAGATCCAAGACGTTTCAACGTGGTATGTTAGAAACTCACACTTAATGCAGAAAAGCCCAGGAACGAGACATTGAAACCGCACATGAAGACTGGGCCTTCCCTGCATCCGCCGGGTCACCTTGCTGTCCCCCACCTCCCCCACCCCCCCACCAGCTGCCCTGCGCCTGCCGGGTCACCTCGCTGTCCCCTACCTCCCCCAACCCCCCACCAGCTGCGCTGTGCCTACTGGGTCACCTTGCTTTCCACCCCCCACCACCCCCACCAGCTGCCCTGCGCCCGCCAGGTCACCTTGCTGTCCACCCCCCAACCCCATCCCCCACCAGCTGCCTGGGGCCCCTGAGGGCTCCTCAGAGCCATGGACAAGCTGAGCAGCAGGTGCCGTGTCAGGCTATACCACATGGGGTGCCAGAAACTGATTTCACTGGGAAGTCTTTTGTTAGGAGTACTCCAAGGGCAAGCGTCCTCTGGGAAGCGTGTTGGGAATGGATGTTTACAGGGGCGTCAGGCAGGGAAACAGCCAGGCGGAAAGACAACCATTCATGCAGAGTCAACACCTGTGCACCCCCTGCATTCCACGAAGGAGCCCCCGGCAGGCCAAGACCCACGCTCCGCACACATCAGAGAGGAGGGGCTGGCCTCAGAGAAGCGAGAGCAGGAGCAGGGTGACCACGGACAAGGGCAGAACCCTATCGTCCTCGCCACGCGCACAGCCACAGCTCCGCCACAGCCAGCCATGGCATGACTCCATATGCCAACAGGCTTCCCTGGCCCCTTCATGTGAGCAACAGAGCACAGGCAGCGGCGTAGTAGGAGCCCCAGGCCTGCCGCCACCACAGTTGGTAACAGCCTCAGGAAGACCACACAGACAGAATGCCCAACAGACAGCAAGCAACAGCACCCAGGAGGGCGCCGGACAGCTCACTAGGGCCCAGGCACAGCAGGCAGGGAGGGCGCCGGACAGCTCACTAGGGCCCAGGCACAGCAGGCAGGGAGGGGGCTGGACACTCACTGGGGCCCGGGCACGGTGCCCAGGGAGGGCACCTGACAGCTCCCTGGGGCCTAGGTATACAGTGGAAACCCTACTTACGTTTATAAGTCCTTATATCTTACAAATAAATGGGTGTGTTCATTATTGGCCGCAGGTCATACCTATCCTTTTTAAACAAATATGCACGTATCAGTGTGCAAATTCCACAGTTTTTATAAAGGGGTACACCATCAAAATAAACCTGGAGCAAACAGCTGGGACACAGCTACGGCAGCTGGCATGGGCATGGCCCTGGCGCCACAGACTGCTGCCCGGAACAGACAGAGGAACCGGGAGGGAGCTGGGGCCCCAGCCTGGAGCATGGGGGAGGGAGGCGCTGGACCTCCGGGGCCATGGGGAGATAGGAAGCCATGTGTCCCCAGCAGGACATGTGGGAGGAGGAAATCCAGAAGGGAGAGCTGCCCCAAGTCCCGGGACAGCGGAGGCTCCTCCACCAGCCTGAGGAGGGAACGGGTGGGTGCCGCCTCCAGTGCCTGCATCTGAAGGCCGAGCCGTCCCTGCCCTGGCACCTGCTCCCAGCCACTGCCTACCCTCCTGCTCTGCCACTGACAGCTACACGTCTTGCGACTTTGGTTGTTGGGAAAGTTGAAAGCAAGTAACACCCTCTTCCACATTGCTGACATTAGCTCAGGCATCAGAAGCAGAAGCCTCGGGATCTGCTACCTGGTAGCAGGCCCTTCCTGAAAACCGGTGAGTTTGGGGGCCGCGGAGGCCCATGCAGACGGTGAGGCTGGGACCAAGAGTCCTCCGGGCGGGGGCAGAGCACAGGGCAGGTGAGGCAGAGGCAGGAGAGCTGCTCCCTGGCCACTCCAAAGGCCTCAGCACCTCCTGTAGGTGAAGGAGTCCAATATTCACCAGGCATTTACTCAGAGCCTGCTGTATGCAAGGAACTGTGCCAGCCGCCGGTGAACAAGGGAGAAAAGGGCCTGCCTCAATGCTATGAGCCGGACGCCGGGGATGATCTGGGTTCCGGGAAGTAGAGAAGCTGTGTGAAGGCCCCAAGGCCCTGGCGGGCGGCAGGAAAGCAACGGGGAAGCAGAGGAGGCTGCAGAGGTGGGGCCCATCTTCCCCGCACAGCACGTTCCAGCCAGGGCCTGGGGACACGGGTTATGGGGGTGCCCCAGGCCAACAGGGTACAGGGCCAGGGACAGCCCCTGGGTGAAGCCAGGGAGCCTGTGACCCAGGCCCTGCATTCTGGGCTGCAGGTTTCAGTAGGCTCCTGTGACCGAGCTCTCCAAGTGTGATTTGCCACCATTAAGTGGACGCAGGCCATGACTCCTCAAAAAAGAAAGTAGACCTGGCTTCCACAGTGCTCCAGGGGCACCCGATTCTAGCCACCCTCAACACGGAGACCCGAGGAGACAGCCTTATCTCAGCAGCACCATCCAGAAATGCCCTCATCGGGGTTTCTGATGACACACCTGCCACCAGCACCCTTCTGCAGAGGGAGGCAGGGCGGGAGGGGTCAGGGCTGCACCCGGGTGCCCGCAGACAGGGCACTCCCACCAGGGCCAGAGCCCACGAGCACTGCTGCTCCCAGCCCACCTCCCCCAACACAGTGCTGTGGCCATCTCCTCAAATCTCCCTGAAAGGGCCAGGAGTTCCACAGCCTCACCTGGAACTGTCCAGAAAGTCCCACCCATGGGCGGGTGGGGACAGGACTGTGGTCTTTTCAAAGAGCCAAGAGTAAAGATGGGTGACCTGAATCCAGTGTAACGCAGCCTCCAAACTCCACGCACCTGAGGCAGAGACGGCGGTCGGGCGCACGTGGAGGGCTCGGGCTGGTGGAGGCGGTCCACGCTCCCACAACCCAACCTTCATCATCTTCACACTGGAGACGGGTAAAATGCATTGTTTTGATTTCACCGTATTTCCTAAAATTGCTTTTCTCCCTGGAATTTTTTTCTGCCACAGCCAGGTCCAGCTCCCTCTCGGAGGGAGAGTGCAGCAGTGTCTGTGACAAGGTTGGCTTTCTAATAACTGTGCAAATGGCTTTGTCCCATAACAAAGTGGACATTCTTTCCTGAATGGATGTAATAGAAATGTCAGTCTAGAAAGGTAATGGGAAAGGGCGATATATTAACACCTGGAAATTAAATTCCAAAGCCGAGAGAACCCTGCTTATCTGTGGAGGGAAGAGGCCCTCTCACTGAGCAGAGCAAACACGACCCTGGAAGCCGGGCTGGCCAGCGTCTCAGGGCCCCTCCTGCAGGCTTTGCACCGATCCAGGTGTACGTGGAGGGATGTGCTTTAAGTATGAACAAAGCAAGGTCTGAAGCTGAACTTGAGCTGCGCTCGGCTGGGCCGTGCCCTCGCAGTGATGGGAGAGCGGGGAACACATGCGGTACTCAGGGCTGCTCCTTGGACATCCCCAGAGGCTAAAGCCCAGGAGACAAGATGGGTTGCATGGGTCACAGTAGCAGGAGGAGCCGAGCGGTGGGGCCGGGACTCAGGGACGACGGCAGGGCCCGAACTCCATCTGTCCTGTGTTCACGTACACAGTGCAGAGCTTGTCACAAAGGGCGGGGGCAGCAGAGACAGAGGAAGCGGGGCCAAGCCTCCCTCCAGGCACTAGGCAGGCAGCACAGCGAGGCGGTGCGTGCCACGACAGCACCAGGCAGAGGCACGCCACAAACCCTGACAGAAAGCAGGGAGTGAATGAGCACACGCCAGGACGTGTGTCCTCTCGGAGGCAGACAGTGAGGACAGCAGGTAGGCAGTGGTCTTCAGAGGGAGCTGGGGGTGAGCCAGGCCTAGGGCCAGTCAGCAGCATCCACATCAGCTGTGTGACCCGGCCCCTGTGGCCCGCATCGTAGGGCACGATCCAGGCCTCTGCCACCCCTGACAGAACTGGCCCGGAGCAGCACAGGAGCGCCACCAGGGAACCGGTGAGACATGGGGACCGCAGGCTGCACCCCAGAGCTACCAAGTCACACTCAGATTTCCACGATCTCTACAAAAACACAAAAGAATTAGATGGGCACGGTGGTGGCACCTGAAGTCCCAGCTACTCGGGAGGCTGAGGCAGGAGAATCACCGGAGCCTGCGATGTCGAGGCTGCAGTGAGCCGAGACCACACTACTGTACTCCAGCCTGGGTGACACAGAGAGACCCTGTCTCAAAAAAAAAAAAAAAAAAAAAATCTAGGACCAGGCACAGTGGCTCACAGCTGTAATCCCAGCACTTTGGGAGGCTGAGGTGGGTGGATCACTTGAGGTCAGGAGTTCGAGACCAGCCTGACCAATATGGCAAAACCCCGTCTCTACTACAAATACATAAATTAGCTGGACATGGTGGCAGGCGCCTGTAATCCCAGCTACTCGGGAGGCTGAGGCTGGAGAATCGCTTGAACCCAGGAGGCAGAGGTTGCAGTGAGCTGAGATCATGCCACTGCACTCCAGCCTGAGTGACAGGGCAAGACTCCATCTCAAAAATAAATAAATAAATAAATAAAAAACACAAATCTAGCATCAAGGCTGGCCGCATGGCCTGGGCAGTCTCTATGCCACTCTTAAGCCTCGACTTGCTGGGCTAAAACGGGGCCACAGAGCTGACCCCCCGACGCCTCAGCGGGCGCCACAGGGAACATGATGACTGTCTGACACAAACCCCTGGAGGGTCACAGAGGATGATGCTTTCCAGATGACACAGCAGGTACTGGGTGTTATAAATACTCCCTTCAGTGCTACCTAAGACCAAAAATTTTCAGTATTAAAAAAGAAAGAGCAAGAGAAATCGTGCCGATCATGAAGCCTCAGACCTAAAGAGGGGTGTGGAGCAGAAGAGACGGCGATCAGAAGCAGCATGGGGCTCGCGCAGGCTCTTCTGTGGGAGGGATGGAGGCCCTCTGCTCTGCTCTGCTCTGCTCTGCTCTAGGGAAAGAGGGCTAGATCTCACACCCTCAGGGGAGGGAGGAGCACACAGCCAGATTTAGGCTCCCACTGGGGCAGAGGAAGAAACCACAGAATGGCTATCCAGGAAAGACGTGGAAGGAAGTACAAGACTGGCTCCACGACCCATCTGCAAAGCGACCCAGGAGATACCCACGTGAGCGAGGGCGGTGCTCACCTCGAACCAAGGCCCACCACAGAGCTCCCACGGGCTCCCACCCAGCGCCCATTATCACAGAGGGGTGAAGGACAAGTCCTACTCAACACTAGAACCAGGACAAGGAGTTGGTGTGGCTCCAAGAGGCAGCCCAGGGGGACTGTTGTGGGGCCACAGAAACCTACACAAGCGGCCGATCGCGGAGAGGAACACAGGCTGTGCTAACGCCAAAGCCCCTGGTCTTCCCACTGCACCACGACCACCTACGGCATTGCCACGGGGAAGCCGGGGAGACGTGGCACCTCGCCCCACAACCTTCCCAAGTACCCGTGCAGCTATCATTACCACAAACCAAGCCCCACCACGGTCTAGCACGGCAGATGGACACAGCTCTCCCCGCAGTGACCTTCTGGGCTCAGCAAGGGCGCCTGTTCACCGGCTTCCCACACCCTCCCTGACACACGAGCCCTAAAGCGCCTCCCTTTCTTCACAGCAGCCATCACCGCCTCAACGCGACTGACACCTGCCCCAGCCCCACCTAGAGAGGGGCCCTTGAGCTCCGAGTCTGCTGTGCAGCTCCCTGCTGTTTTCCACAGCACCTAAATGTGCCAGGCTCACAGGAGACGCACAGTAAGAATCTGGGGAATGACCGAGCGCGGTGCCTCATGCCTGTAATCCCAGCACGTCGGGAAGCCAAGGTGGGCAGATCACTTGACGTGAGAAGTTCCTGGCCAACGTGGCAAAATCCATCCCTACTAAAAATACAAAGAATTCACCGGGCATGGTGGTGTGCACCTGTAGTCCCAGCTACTCAGAGGCTGAGGGGAGAACTGCTTGAACCCGGGAGGCAGAGGTTGCAGTGAGCCAAGATTGCACCACTGCACTCCAGCCTGGACATCAGAACAAGACTCCATTCCCCCCACCGCCCCCCCAAAAAGAAGAAGTTGGGGAATGAAACATTAATGATCGAGTGAGTGAACTGAGTCTGGGTTTCTCCTTCTCAATCCCTTTTCAGCTGGCCAGTCCACCTGTATTATATGCTTTGTATGCGTTAAATCCTGCTGGAAGGCCAGACTTTCTAAATCCACAGAGAATATCAGAAAATGTTTTGAACTCAACAGTAACAAAAACAACCCGCATCAAAATTTATGGGGTAGGCCTTCGTGACAAAGACTCTTAGAAAAGCACAAGTTGGAGAGGATTTCATTAATTCAGTAAAGAGTATCACACAGAACATCTAGCACACACCACGCTTACTGATGGATTACCAAAGCGCCCGTCACAGCCTGAAGGAGACAAGGTGCCTACTGTCATCATTCCTCCATGACACTGCACCTGGAGGAAAGGGGCATGGAGAGAAGCAGGGCCGGAGAGGGAGTGTGGCCAGAGGAGAGGAGAGGCGCGGGGCTGGAGAGGGAGTGTGGCCAGAGGAGAGGAGAGGAGAGGCGCGGGGCTGGAGAGGGAGTGTGGCCAGAGGAGAGGAGAGGCGCGGGGCTGGAGAGGGAGTGTGGCCAGAGGAGAGGAGAGGCGCGGGGCTGGAGAGGGAGTGTGGCTAGAGGAGAGAAGCAGGGCTGGAGAGGGAGTGTGGCCAGAGGAGAGGAGAGGCGCGGGGCTGGAGAGGGAGTGTGGCCAGAGGAGAGGAGAGGCGCGGGGCTGGAGAGGGAGTGTGGCCAGAGGAGAGGAGAGGCGCGGGGCTGGAGAGGGAGTGTGGCCAGAGGAGAGGAGAGGCGCGGGGCTGGAGAGGGAGTGTGGCCAGAGGAGAGGAGAGGCGCGGGGCTGGAGAGGGAGTGTGGCCAGAGGAGAGGAGAGGGGCGGGGCTGGAGAGGGAGTGTGGCCAGAGGAGAGGAGAGGCGCGAGGCTGGAGAGGGAGTGTGGCCAGAGGAGAGAAGCAGGGCTGGAGAGGGAGTGTGGCCAGAGGAGAGGAGAGGCGCAGGGCTGGAGAGGGAGTGTGGCCAGAGGAGAGAAGCAGGGCTGGAGAGGGAGTGTGGCCAGAGGAGAGGAGAGGCGCGGGGCTAGAGTGGGAGTGTGGCCAGGGGAGAGGCGCAGGGCTGGAGAGGGAGTGTGGCCAGAGGAGAGGAGAGGCTTGAGGCTGGAGAGGGAGTGTGGCCAGGGGAGAGGAGAGGCGCAGGGCTGGAGAGGGAGTGTGGCTAGAGGAGAGAAGCAGGGCTGGAGAGGGAGTGTGGCCAGAGAAGAGGAGAGGCGCGGGGCTGGAGTGGGAGTGTGGCCAGAGGAGAGAAGCAGGGCTGGAGAGGGAGTGTGGCCAGAGGAGAGGAGAGGCGCGGGGCTAGAGTGGGAGTGTGGCCAGGGGAGAGGCGCAGGGCTGGAGAGGGAGTGTGGCCAGAGGAGAGGAGAGGCGCGGGGCTAGAGTGGGAGTGTGGCCAGGGGAGAGGCGCAGGGCTGGAGAGGGAGTGTGGCCAGAGGAGAGAAGCAGGGCTGGAGAGGGAGTGTGGCCAGAGGAGAGAAGCAGGGCTGGAGAGGGAGTGTGGCCAGGAGAGAAGCAGGGCTGGAGAGGGAGTGTGGCCAGACGAGAGAAGCAGGGCTGGAGAGGGAGTGTGGCCAGAGGAGAAGAGAGGCGTGGGGCTGGAGAGGGAGTGTGGCCAGAGGAGAGAAGCAGGGCTGGAGAGGGAGTGTGGCCAGGAGAGAAGCAGGGCTGGAGAGGGAGTGTGGCCAGGAGAGAAGCAGGGCTGGAGAGGGAGTGTGGCCAGAAGAGAGAAGCAGGGCTGGAGTGGGAGTGTGGCCAGAGGAGAGGAGAGGCATGGGGCTGGAGAGGGAGTGTGGCCAGAAGAGAGAAGCAGGGCTGGAGAGGGAATGTGGCCAGAGGAGAGGCACGGGGTTGGAGAGGCAGCGTGGCCAGAGGAGAGAAGAGGCGTGGGGCTGGAGAGGGATTGTGGCCAGAGGAGAGGAAAGGTGCGGGGCTGGAAAGGGAGCATGGCCAGGGGAGAGGAGAGGCAAGGGGCTGGCGGGGAAGCATGGCCAGGGGAGGGGAGAGGAGAGGCACGGGGCTGGTGGGGAAGCGTGGCCAGGGGAGAGGAGAGGCGCGGGGCTGGAGAGGGAGCATGGCCAGGGGACAGGAGAGGTGTGGGGCTGGCAGGGAAGCGTAGCCAGGGGAGAAGAGAGGCATGGGGTTGGTGGGGAAGCATGGCCAGCATCTCTCAGAGAGTATGAGTGTGCACGTCAAACACCAGCATCAGAGCAAGGTTGTCATGTGCAGGGTCAATGTGCAGGACCCAATGGTACATCCACAGGCCAGGAACACATACATAGAAGATCAAAGTCCAAGAAGACAACATGAAAACTGCGTCGAATGTTCAAATACGCAGGGCAGAAAGTCTAATGACATGTAAGAATCTACCCTAAAATCCATCAAACTTGCTGAGAGAAATTAAAGGCCATCAAGGTAAATGGTGGAACATGTGGCATTCATGGTTCACAAGATACGCCGATGCCGAGATACACCGATGCCGAGGTATCAAGATACGCTGATGCCAAGATACGCTGATGCCGAGATACGCCGAAGCCAAGATGCCGAGATGTCGAGATACGCAGATGCCAAGATACGCCGAAGCCGAGATACGCCGATGCCGAGATACACCGATGCCAAGATACGCAGATGCCAAGTTACGCCGATGCCGAGATACGCCGATGCCGAGATACGCCGATGCCGAGATACGCCGATGCCGAGATACGCCGATCCCGAGATACGCCGATCCCGAGATACGCCGATGCTGAGATACGCCAATGCCAAGATGTCGAGATATGCTGATGCCAAGATACACCGATGCCGAGATGTCAAGATACGCTGATGCTGAGATACACTGATGCTGAGATACGCCGATGCTGAGATAACGCCGATGCCGAGATAACGCTGATGTCGAGATATGCCAATATCGAGATAATGCCGAGACCGAGATAACGCTAATGTCGAGATACGCTAATGCCAAGATAAGCTAATGCTGTGCTTCACCTGGACACAGGGAAACACTGGAAGGAGGAGGCAACGACGACAGCATGGAATCGTAAACAAATAAAAAAAGAGCCCATGGAACACACCAGAAAGCCCTGAAGTGGACGGCCACGAGGGGTCCCCGGGCCACGGCCATGGCAGCGCCACGCGTGGGGAGAAGGCGGCCTTGCAATAGAGGCTGCCAGATCAACAGCATGTTTCACAGAACAAAAGCAGCAACATATAAAAGGTAAACAATAAAGTGTTTAGAAGAAAACCACTGAGTATCTTCACAACTTTGGCAGGCAAAGACTGTTTAATCATGACTCAAAAGCACCAGCATCAGCAAACGTCGGTGAGCTGGCTGCATGAACATCAACAGAGAAATTCCGAGAGTGAAAAAGCAAACCACAGGCTACGAGAAGATAACTAAATACGTTTCAACAAAAGACTTTCACATCCAGAGTAAAGAACTACAACTCAGTAAGAACAAGGCAAACAATCATTTAAAGGCCCAGGACGGATACAGTGGCTCACGCCTGTAATCTCAACACTTTGGAAGGCTGAGGCAGGCAGATCACGAGGTCAGGAGTTCGAGACCAGCCTAACCAACATGGTGAGACCCCATCTCTACTAAAAATACAAAACTTAGCTGGGCGTGCTGGCGCGTGCCTGTAGTCCCAGCTACTCATGAGGCTGAGGCAGGAGAATTGCTTGAACCCGGGAGGCGGAGGTGGCAGTGAGCCAAGATTGAGCCATTGCACTCCAGCCTGGGCAACAGAGTGAGACTCCGTCTCAAAAAATAATAATAAAATTAAAATAAAATAAAATAAAAATAAAAGCCCAAAGGGGTAGGAACAGAAAGCCTGTCCAGGTGCCCCCAGGAGTCGGTGTCTAACCGGCCAGTGAGCATGTAAAAAGCAGCTCAGCTTCACCAAGCCTCAGGAAAGTAAGAACAACAGCTTTCGAGTACAGGCCCCCACCAGGGAGAAAACCAAAGGCAGGAGGTGAGGACCCGGAGGGACCAGCACCATCCACACCCCAACAGGAGTGCCACCTGGCACAGTAACTCTGGCGGGGGTGGCAGCCCCGGGAACTGACCCTATGCCACACCTGGGCATGCCCAGCGCAAGGGCACCCAGGGGATCACCAAACGTCATACACGTGTTAAAACGTCCACGTCAGCAAGAGTCAACACCCCCATGCTGGAAACCATCCGATGTCGGGTACAGCCAAGTGTATTTTAAAAAGTGGTATTTTTATACAATGGAAAACTTAACAGAGTAATTAAGAAAAATCAACAAATCTCAGCTATACACAACACACATGACTCTCACAAAGATAACGTGTAATGGAAGCCAGGGACTAAAGAGTACAGGTATGTGATTCCAATATGTGACGCTTAAAAACAGGGAAGTGGGCCAGGCGCAGTGGCTCACGCCTGTAATCCCAGCACTTTGGGAGGCCGAGGCAGGCAGATCACCTGAGGTCAGGAGTTCAGGACCAGCCTGGCCAACATGGTGAAACCCCGTCTCTACAAAAATACAAAAAAATTAGCTGGGTATAGTGACAGGCACCTGAAATCCCAGCTCCTCGGGAGGCTGAGGCGAGAGAATGGCTTGAACCCAAGAGACGGAGGTTGCAGTGAGCTGAGATCGCGCCACTGCACTCCAGCCTGGGTGACAGAGCGAGACTCCATTTCAAAAAACAGCAACGACAAAAAAAAAAAAAAAAAAACAGGGAATTGAAGGCCGGACACAGTGGCTCACGCCTGTAATCCCAGCACTTTGGGATTGGGAGGCCGAAGTAGGGGGATCACGAGGTCAGGAGTTCGAGACCAACCTGGCCAACATGGTGAAACCCTGTCTTTACTAAAAATACAAAAATTAGCCCGGTGTGGTGACGCACACCTATAATCCCAGCTACTCGAGAGGCTGAGGCAACAGAATTGCTTGAACCTGGGAGGCGGAGGCTGCAGTGAGCCGAGATCACGCGACTGCACTCCAGCCTGGGCAACAAAGAGAGACTCTGTCTCAAACAAAAAAAAAACAGGGAAGTGAAGTCAGGAGGCGCTTGCCCTGGAGCTGAGGGAGCGGCTGGAACCAGGCACGAGGGTCTTGCTGGGGTTGCTAACTACCTGCTCTTCTAGAGTCTGTCCTGGGTCTGTAATTTGTGCACACTAAACTTCAACACGGAGACTACTGAGAACAAGCCTCCCGAGGTGGGGCTGAGCCACACCCACTGTGCAGCACCCACCGCAGGAAGGCAAAACTGGAACACCTCACACGTCAGGTCACTAAACCGTGACCCACTCCCTGCACACAGCATCACAACAGCAGCAAAAAGGAACACGCTGCATTCCCAGGGACGAAGGTCAAAAGGATAACGCTAAGATAAAAACAAAGAGAAGCCACAGAAGCGTGGCTCTATGTACAGAAAACATAAAAATGGGAAAAGCGGAGCAATGTTTAAAGATATACACACAATTAAACTAGAAAGAAAAATGAGGGAAGGGACTGCTCTACGTTTAGAGCACGGCTCCGTCTGACAGCGGAGGCTGTTCTGTTTCTTACACTGGGACTGAGACACGGGAACTTGCTGTATTCTTTGAGCTGTATGTATATGTTCTATATGATCTTTGCACACGCAATGTGTTTCACGAGAACAGTGAAAAGAAAGACTGGACGTGGGGTGGGTGGGACCTCACTGCGCCAAAATCTTGCTCTCTGATCCAAGAGTGGGCAGAGTCCTGGGCCCCTGGGAGTCCCTGGCTCCGCGTCCTCACTCCAGGCTGTGCCGGATCCCAGGACTTAAACAGACACCATCAGGGAAGATCAGGGCTTTGAAATAAAGGCAAGCCAGTGACTTGAAGTGGCACTCAGCTGGAGGAACAGCGGCCTTGTCTGTGGCTGGGACAGGCATGAGCTACATTAACCTTGTTGGGGTGGTCTCCAAAGTGGAAGCTGCCCAAGCTGTATGAACACAAAATAAACAACAGCGCTTGCCTCTGCTCCATGTCCCTTCCACCCACACGTCCTATGGGAGCAAAAACATGCATCAGGTGTGTCTCCACCGTGCTATTCCAGGAGAGATGAAAATAACCTGTTCAAAAATAAAAACACTCCAGCAACGTGGGCCCATTTCTAAATCGCTGCGCAGCCTGGGCACGGTGCCAGCGAGGCCCTGCCCTCTTCCCGTGGGCACCACACCCGCCTTTGTCATGGCCAGGGTGCGGCCACCAGAACACACTCCTTCATGATCCACGGGCCACTCTGACCCTGAGCACCTGTGGCCTCAGCTCCCTCGGGGCAGCCAGCCTCCCTCGCTCTGCCCTCAGCACACACAATCCTGCAGAGGAGAAGAGACACAGTCAGAAGGAAATGGAGGGGCCTCCTCAAACCCCAGGCCTGGGAGAATCCCAGCGAGGACTGCACTGCCTTCCTAGGATGGACCAGAAGGGGGCCTGGAGCCTCTCCCGTAGCAGGCCGGCTCCACAGATGACACTGAGCTTCAGCAAGGAACACGCATGTCCTGTTCTGGGCCTGGCCTCGCGGCTAACCCTGCCGAGACACTGAATCCAAGGAGGCTGGGGATGCAGCCCAGCAACCCCCTGGCGAGGGAGCACACAGGAGCCCAGCCTCAGGCAGCCGAGTGAATACACAGGACACGAAGAGCAACATGTCTTCAAAACAATCAACACCAATATCCAGGCGGGCCCTCCACCAGAAAGGGCATGGGAGACTCCAGCACAGCATCCTGGGCACAGAAACGACCCCCAAGAAGAGAGGAGGCCCTGGCAGAGTCAACTGAGAACGCGCAGGGGTCCCTGAGCTAAGCCTGGCTCCCCTGCCCCAGATTCCCTCGGGAAGGCACCATAGCATGGAGAGGAGGCCTCAGGAAGCGGCTCTGGCCCCTGTAAGAGGCTGGGATGGCTCAGGCTCACAAGAGCTGCCTCTGGGCCAGGAACATAGCAGGAAGAGAGCAGCTTCTCCGAAGAGGACAGAGGCTTCTCCCCGGAGGACAGAGGATTCTCCTAGGAGGACAGTGGCTTCTCCCGGGAATGTGGCAGCTTCTCCCAGGAGGACAGAGGCTTCTCCTGGGAGGACAGAGGCTTCTCCTAGGAGGACAGTGGCTTCTCCCAGGAATATGGCAGCTTCTCCCAGGAGGACAGCGGCTTCTCCCAGAGGATACCAGATTCTCCTGGGAGGATGAGGATGGCAGCTTCTCCTAGGAATATGGCGGCTTCTCCCAGGACGGAGGCTTCTCCCAGGACAGCGGCTTCTCCCAGGACAGCGGCTTCTCCTAGGAGGACAGTGTCTTCTCCCAAAGGATGGCGGCTTCTCCAGGGAGGACGGTGGCTGCTCATGGGAGGACAGAGGCTTCTTCCAGGAGGACAGCAGGTTGTCAAGGGAGGACAGAGGCTTCTCCCGGGAGGATGGTGGCTTCTTCCAGGAGGACAGTGGCTGATCATAGGAGGACAGCGGCTGCTCATGGGAGAGCAGAGGCTTCTTTCAGGAGGACAGCAGATTCTCAAGGGAGGACAGAGGCTTCTTCTAGGACTCTCTTCTGGATGTGAGGCAGGAAGAACATGGAACTCTTCTGAGGGGTCCCCCCTTGTACTTCCTGCATTCTGCCCCCTATTTAACTGTTTCTTAAACAGCAGCAGCCCCCGCCTTCTTGGGCCCAGTCTCCATCTGCCTTCAGCTGTCTCCTGGATGGATCTGGCCTAAACTGCACCCAGCGAATACAGACACCAGCTCTCCACACTCTCCCATCACTGAGGGTGGCAGCCGTGTCCAGGGTCCCAGCCCTCCTGTTAAAGCTCATCCGCTCCCAATCCCACAGCAGGCCCAGCCACGTTGGTTTTGAGACCGTGGATCATCAGGAATGTTTGTGGACGGTTTTTTGATTGACAAAAGGAACTTTATGGCAGTGGGCAGATCTGATGCCCCAGGCAGCGAGGACGTGGGAGAGGGGAATGTGTGTCGTCACCAACCCCAGCTTCGGAGGAGGTGGCCGAGGAACGTGCTCATTCAGCCAGCCCAGACCCAACACCCCAGCCCAGAGCTCGAAACTCAGACCCTCAACAACTCCAGAAGACACAAATCTGTCTTTCCCAGTGTGCGGGTTCCCAGGGCAGGGTGTCACCATGACAACCACAGTCTGTGCTCAGCAGCCACGACGTGAGTCCGACGCCGCTGGACACCCAGCGTCAACTGCTCCCCCCAAGCCTGGGGCCTCCAGTAACTGATCTGCTGTGAGACAGGGCGGGAGGGTGGAGTGCAGACAACAAGGGGTGGGAAGCGGAGGCTTTTCTGTCATTTGAAAAGTTTCTTGCTAAAAGTTAGCTTGTATCACTGATATTCCAGAAACAAGACTCTGCAGCCATACTGCGGAAGCTTGGGGCACTGGAGAAACGGCTCATTTCAAACAGGAAAATGGTTTGTGTTCACCCAGTTCCAGAAGCCAATTTTCAACTGCTTAAAATAGTCATGATATTTTACCAAGGTAATTATACTCTTAGCTATCAGTAACAATTAAATCCTTAGACTAGAGCCGTTTAATAAAGGTCTCGAAATAAAACCACACACTCCAAGCACCGTGTACTAAAATGTCAAGCACACAAGGAGAGCCTCCAATGGGAAGCAGAGGCCCAGAGCCCCCACCAGCCGGAGGCTCGCAGCCCTCCTGGGTGCGCCTTGAGAGAAGGCGCTCCTCGACCACCCCAGCTGGGCGGGCTGCCATGCAGAGCTGAGGTGGGCACTGGCCGACACCAAGGCACACAGACCCAGAGCAGCAGGCACGCCGCTCCCTCCAGATGGCTGAGTGAACAGCTTCATCACGGCTGGCTGGACGGATCCTGCATCCCTGGCCTGGGGCTACACGGGCGACTGGGATCAATCCTTCGTCAGGATAAACAACCAGTCCATGCCCGGCGATCAATACCCACCTTCTTGCTAACACAGAGCAGGCCCGCGAGCACAGCAGGGTCGGGGTGAGGCTGGCGCGGGCCAGAAAGTGCCAGAGGCTCTCCACCTGCAAAGCAGAGCAGAGAAGAACAGAAACTTCCTGCCCTGAGCGGGCCGGGGTGGCCATCAAAGAGCAACGGCAGGAAGGAAGCCGGGCACAGACTTCCCAGAAGGCTGCGGGGCTCCACTAGACCATGAGGGAGCCCCACAGGGATGAAAACCACACCAGACATCCAGTGACTGCATGTAACTCCTCATCACGGCCGGGAGCCCTGGCACTAAGAGGGTGTGGGCAGCAGCACCAGTGTCGCGTGGGTCACAGGCTGCAGGCCAGACCCAGCACACAAGAACACTCAGGCCCACACGTGACCTGTCAAGGGAACTCTGCCCATCAGCTTCCAACCGCTGGCCTCACTTAAGAAACCAGGAGGTTCCCAAGGGATGAGCCTCAGCTGAGGCCGGGCGGGGCTGCCCTCCTGTGGGGGCCACACTTGTAGCCCAGGCCAAGACCCAGGCCACGCATGGAGGACCAACCCAAAGTGCTGCCCGCCTGGCCGGTGTGGGCCGATGTCACTCCCCAGCCCCGACCCAGAATCGGGGACTGGGCCCAACAACAAGGTGCACTCAAGGGGGTGCCACCCGAACACAGCACGTTCGCAGGCACCCGGGGTCATCAGGCCACGTTCGCAGGCACCCGGGGTCATCAGGCCATGTTCGCAGGCACCCGGGGTCATCAGGCCACGTTCGCAGGCACCCGGGGTCATCAGGCCACGTTCGCAGGCACCCGGGGTCATCAGGCCTGAGCCCAAAGTTTAGCAGAAAGGAGAACTGAGACCCAGAGAGAATGAGGGACATCTGAGATCCCAGAGAAAGGCCCAGCTCCCAGCCCAGCCCTCCCACTCTTCCTCCCCCAGGAAGCTCTGAGCTTCCAGCATCACGGGACCACAGCACGTCATCACGCACCCAAAGATCACCGAGCTAAGGTGTCCCGCCACTCTGAAAGAACACAGTGTCGCCCCCTCTGCTTCCCGGGCCTCTCCTCGGCGGCAGGGTCGGGCTGCACTTGCCTGAACCCCCGCAGTGGTCAGCCCAAACCCCCGCAGTGGTCAGCCCGAACCACCGCAGTGGTCAGCCCGCGTGCTGTGGCCTGTGGGCCCAAGCCGCTGTCTCCTCCCGCTCCAGGCCTCGAGGTGACTGCAGCAGCGCTTTGTGATGACCTGCCTTCTCTCCCTCCGCCGTGGTTCTCCACACACACTTTCGCAAAGGGGAAATTCTTGGGTCCCCACAGGAATGCCACCTCCTGAGAAAAGCCCTTCTGCGGCACCACCACGGCGTCCACCTCTGTTGAGGTGCGTGGCAGGTGCTGGTCTGGTGCCACTGCCTGGCCCCGCTAGAAGAGCGAATCCTCCAAGGGCTGTGCCCACACATCCACGCCACGTGCACCTCACGCATCTTGCTTAGAAGCTCACACACTAGCAGACACGGTGTGGAAGAGAAGGGAACACAGAGGAAGGTCGAGAGCTTGCTCCACAGAAACGTACCGTGCCTGACCATGCAGCAGGGCTGGGTGTCCCCTCTGCCAGAGGCAGCAGACAGCTCCGGCTGAAAAGCCATGTGAGAACATTTTGGAGTGTCCCCTGTCTGGGGTGCACCTGCAAAGCCAGGGCTTTGGGGTCAGCATCTGAGCTATGCGCAGGGGCCAGCTCAGCCTGTGTTCCGGGTGCCCACACAGTCAGTGCCCGAGGGACCTAGGCCCATGTGAACTTTTCCTTTAGGAGACAGCATGGAGCCGCCCAGAGCGAGCTGGAGAAGCTGTAAAACAGCATCTTTGGAACGGAAATGTTACTCATTTTCTAAAAGCTCCACAACCAAGAGGTCCCAGCAGCAAAGAGGCTTGGTTTTCATCAAAAACGATCAAGAACAGGTAAACATCCATGAGGCACAACTCCCAGTACTTGACAGGTGCAGCATGCATCCTGGGCCAGGGTGGCACAGCCCTCCGCCCACTCAGCACTAGCTGGAGGCAGGCAGGGGGAGTCTCCGCCCAGCAAACTGGACACCCGCCCTGGCCCAGAGAGCATCTGGGGACAGATTGACTTCTTTCCCGCCTTGTCTTCTGAAATTTCAGTGCCCAAGGAACATTTTAAACAGAACTCACAAAAACCGTCTTTCATGCTCCAGCGACCTCTGCTCACGGTGCCAGGCATCAGAACCCCCGCAGGCACTGAGGCTTAGAGTCGGGCCATGGAGCCACCCACAGGTGGGGCACACCTGGAAGCAGGTGACAGCCTTCATCCCAAGCCCAGGCCAAGACCCACACAGTGTAAATGGCATCACTGGATGGGAAAGCATGAGGGTGCTGACTGCAAGGCACGTGGGAGCCTGCAGGGGGTCCGCAGTGACAGGGAACCCTCTCCAGAGCTCAGCACCAGGCCAGGGGTGGACACTGAGATGCTGGAGGAACTGAAAAGGGTGGGGCACGCAGCAGGCCCAGAGAGTCCCACAGGGAGCACCGGGGCTGAGCACTCTCTGGCATTCCCAGAACCCTCCTGGCAACCCAGGGCCAAAGTGCCAACCCTGACCCGGCTGCAGCACTCCTGCCTCCACAGTGAGATCCAGCTAACCAGGTGTGCACTGACCCGCAGCTCCCTGCGACTCTGATCAAGATGTAAGGGCATACATCACCTTGGTGAGCAGCAGGACCCGTTTCTGGAGCCTCCGGGCCAGCGCCTCGTGGGTCTCGCGCTTCTTCCTCTCCTCCAACAGCTGGCCGCTGACCTGCCGGAGCTCCTCCTGCAGCTGCTGCCTGGCCTTCTCCAGCCCCCGGGCGCTGCATGGGAGAGACAAGAGGGCAAAGCAATGAAGCCTGGGGTGACCACCCCACCAAGCCCCGCCCCACCCCAGGAACGAGCCCACCAGGACATCCTAAAATAGAGCTGCACGTGCAACCCCCTCACTGCCATTTCCGCACTGCTGAATAGCTACTTAAGGCCTTTCAGGAGTTTCTGGATTTCAAATAGACTCCCAGGGTGATCCCAGAACACGGCAGGGAGGGGGAAGGGAGCTCAACTCCACACACAATGGGAAAAATTGTCGGCGACGCAGCCCTTCAGGAGACGGGACTTCTGAATGAGCGAGATTGCAGAGCCAGCGCTTCCCCTCTGAATCACCGCAGATGTGCAGCGTGGTGCGGGGAAGCAAGCGCCAGGCGCCTGGTTGGGGGGCCTGTTCTAAAAACATTCTGTGAGGTTGAAAGCCCAGCCTGGCGCTAAGCACTGGGAACCCGAGAGGCCTCCTGTGGGCCGACGCCAGAGGCAGGGCCAACTCCAGGCTGCCCAAGAGGCCTCTCCCTGTCCGCCCCTTCGGGTGGCTGATGGTTCCTTTCAATTCTGCTTTTGAAACCTCCCTTTTCCCTGCATGGTCCCCACAGCCACTGCCTCAGTCCCTGTGCTCGTTGCCTGTCACCTACGTTACCACAATAGCCTCCCAACGGCTCTCACTAGACCCCTCTGCCACTGGGCACCAAGCTGTCTCCTCAGACAGCAGAGAGGGGCTGGGTCATGCGATTTTTAAGCCTTTGGTGGCTCCCAACCACTCTTGGTGAGCTTCCGAGTTCGTGGCCTGGCAGTAGCGGGCCTCAGGGGTTTGGATCTTGCCCCTCTCTCTCTGTCCTTCAGGAGCTGACTTGGGACCGGACAAATGACAGCGTCCACTGACCCTGACTGCAGAACCCACCCATGATGCAACGGCTTTCTGTGATTCCGGGAACCCCAGGACTCCACCTCCTCACGGGAGGGGCTCCCAGGAAGGGCACAGTGAGGCGCAGAGAGGAGAGGCTGTCCCAGGGAGAGGGTGAGTCAGGACTCCACCTCCCACATGGGACAGCCGGGCACACAGGTGCTCCCAGGAAGGGACACAGCCAGGAGAGATGAGAGGCCGCCCGAGAGGAGGAGAGTCAGGACTCCACAGTGAGGTACGAGAGCTCTCCCAGGAAAGGACACAGCCAGGAAAGAAGAGAGGCCACACCGGGGAGGGTGCGAGTCCGCGGAGGGAGGGCCCATCCCTACTCAGACAGCCCAGGCAGGCGCAGAGCGGAACGGCGCTGGAACACGGGAGCTGCACACGACTCTATTGAGTACCACAAACTTCTTTCCAAAGGAAATCTTAACTAAATCTCAAGGAAATAAAACACAGCACTGGGATAGAGAAAAGCTAACAGGGACCACAGCCCTGTGAGGCAACCATCAGGGAGAGCCAGGAGGCTGCTTGGAAACAGGAATGTGGGATGGGGCCATGACCTCCACCCTCACGTTCACACCTTCCCAGCCATTGATTGCTTCTGCTCGGCCTTAGTTGCATGACTTGAGGAAAAGTTTCATCCCTGGACTGACAGATGGCGCTTTCTTGGGCAGTGGTTTGGGGAAGGGAAAGCTTCATCCTGGGGCTGGTGGATGGTGCTTTCTTGGGCAGTGGTTTGGGGAAGGGAAAGCTTCATCCCAGGGCTGGTGGATGGCGCTTTCTTGGGAGGTGGTTTGGGGAAGGGAAAGCTTCATCCCAGGGCTGGTGGATGGTGCTTTCTTGGGCGGTGGTTTGGGGAAGGGAAAGCTTCATCCCGGGGCTGGGGGGATGGCACTTTCTTGGGCGGTGGTCTCCACTGGACTCATGTTTGAGTGAAGTGAATACGGGGTTTTTAACTGTAACTTAGTAGAAGTCTTGAAATAAAGGATAAGTTGAAAGTGAATGTGAATCCAACACTCACAGAACGTCAGAAGGGACTTGGTGGCGGTCCTGACCCAGCCAAGCATGGCGGGAACCCCAACCTGGCCACCCTCAGCCGGCCCCAGCAGAAGCCACACAAGCCCACAGACTGGGGCCAATGTACTGGCGTCCAGGACGCGGGCGTCTCATTTCAGCCGCGTGTGATCTTGTGAAATATGTAACTGATCGTCAACCCATCTACCAGAACACAGCTCCTAAAACCCTCGGGCTTTCCCGACTGAGGCCTTCCATGTGCCAATGACTGACGGTGGCTGCAGCCCCTGGGCAGCTGCAGGATGGGGCGGGACACCAGGAAGATCGAGGCCGGACTAGAGGCTCGGGACTTCAGCCCCACCCCTAAGCTGGGGAAGGAGAGGGGCTGAAGGCTGAGTGGTTCACCAATGAGCAGGGGCGGAGTCAATTATGTCCGCCTGACAAGGCCTCCATCAAAACCCAAAGGTTTCTCACCGGAGCAGGGAGCGCTTTCACTGTTCCTGGAGGGTGGTGGCCTCCATCAAAACCCAAAGGTTTTCCACCAGAGCTAGGAGAGCTTCCACTCTTCCCGGAGGGTGGCGGCCTCCATCAAAACCCAAAGGCTTCTCACGGGAACTGGGAGAGCTCCCACTGTTCCTGGAGGGTGGGGAGGGCACGGACGCTCTGCACCCTTCCCCCACATCTCGCCCTGCGCATCCATTCATCTGCATCCTTCGCAGTAAGCTTCATAATAAACTGGTGAACATACGTTTCCTTGAGTTCTGTGAGACACTCCAGCAAATTTATCAAACCCAAGGGGAATCCCAACTGGGTGGTAGGAACCCCAGTTTACAGCTGGCCGGTCAGAAGCACACCTGCGGCTCGCGACCAGCACCAGAAGGTGGGGACTGAGCCCTCACCCAGGGTCTGACAGCACCTCCAGGTAGACAGTGTCAGAACAGAACTGAGTGAGACTGAGCTGAACGGCTGGTGTCCCAGGCAGAACCAACTGCTTGCTTGGTGGGTGGGGAAACACCCCACATCTGGTCAGAGTCTTCTGTGTTGACTGCTGCGACGTGAGAGCAGAGGAAACCGTTCTGAGTCTTTCCTATCCCATCAGCCGCCTCGGAAAGCCCTACACTGACACTGGCCCCAGGTGCAGCACTGGCCAGCGGCCCCCCTGCCCCCTCCAGGCGCTCCATAACCAAAAACGCAAGACAAAATAAAAAGCAGGCACAAAGCTCATGGGAAACACATATTATGAGGCTACTTTGGGACCCAGTTCAATTTTAAACTACTCATGGGCCAATTTAATACTCAAGGGCTGTAAAATCTACTCTTGAATCACTGAATTCAGGTGGGAACGTTCACAAGTGCTTTAAATCACGGCTCCGTGTGGTCATTTAACTAGAAGAACGCCACCATTCCCTGTACTCTGCTTCAAAGCCAGAATGTGCAAAGGCAAGAATGTGACAGGTGCTGTCTTTCAGGTGACAGGCACAGCACAGGCATCTGGCCAGAGAGAAGGGTAAGGGGCTGCGCTGGGAAGCACCCTCAGCTCAGCACAGGATGGCTGGGCAGCCTTGAAGGGGGCCCAGCAAACCCACACCCTGCATCCTGAGTGAGGGTGCGCTCACATCTGTGTGGGGGCACATGTGGGGCTGGAGTCCCCCCGCCACGCAGAGCAGATGTGAGTAACGCACACCCACAGGACAGTGGCTGTCTTGCTTCAGAGCCCAGGCTCCCGGCACTTGAGGACCAGGGCTCAGTGCAATAGAGCCAGGGGCCAAGACTGGGTCCCAGGAACTGGATGTGGCCTGAGCTGCTTCCCTCAGGCCCACATCCCACTCTCTGCAGCCTAGGCCGCCTCGGTGAGGCAGGACGGCAGGCACCGAGGCGCCCCAAGCCCGGCCCTCGGCCTGTAACAGTGGCTCAGCAGAACTAGCATATCCCTCCGCCACTGCTTAAAGGGTCTTTACCTACTCCTAGCTTTTAGAGTACTGAGATAATAATGCAAAAATAGCAAAGAGTAATAATGCAAAAACTCACTCTGGGATCAAAGGGGAAGTGTGGAAACAGCTAACTAGGCTTTGTTAAAGATCTGCAGGAGTGCTGTGGCCTGGCCAAGGACAGAGCAGTTCCCGACCCCTCGGACCCTTGCTGGCACCCAGATCTCTACGATCGTCAGTCACCTCTTGGACCCAACCCCCTCCTCTTGCCCCTACCCTTAGCATAACTAGAGCCTGGGATCTGTACTGACTTCAGATGGTCTTTGTGACTGTAGGTCACCATCTCCCCGATCCGCTGGCTCCCCGAATACGCCTGCTCTTCCTCCGCCACTCTCGCCTCTCGTGTCTGGCTGTCAAGCATCGAGCAGCTGAACCTGGGCTTCCTTACAGACCCGGTCTGAGGAAATGCAGTGGCTGCAGGATGTAGCGTGAAGCGTGTGTTCTGCAGCACCCCAGAGGGTAGACAGAGGCATAGGGGCGTGGGGCTGAGCACAGGCTGGAAAAGCTCATCCGCCAGGTTGTGAAGCAAACCTCTCCTTCCTGGCAGTGAAATCCACATCATGAACGGAGATGGGAGAAGTGAACCAGAGCAACACACATTCCCGGCTGAGGGACGGCGTGGGCAGCAGAGAGACACCCACTCCAGGACCGTCCAGGTGCAAGCACTCGGGCCCGCGTCATCAGGGCCACATCCCCAAGGCCTGATGGCTGACACTGAAATCTTCTGAACAACAGAACTAGACTGTAAAAATCCAACACCAAGACGTGACAAGGAGACGACACTGTGGAATGCTCGCCAAGAACCATGTCCGGGATGTTTGCCACTCACACCTGACTGGCAGGCGAGTCTACCCAGTCTGTTCAGCACACGGGATGTGGGTGAGGACGGCCACATGCCGTTCCAGGCAGCAGAGATGGCAGCACGGAACACCGCAGCCAGCCTGGGCTCGCTGGGCCTCCATTCTACTGGGGTGGGAATCTCAAGCAAAGAAGCCACGCGTGTGGCATGAGCAGAGAATCTCACGGCGGGTGCAGGTACTGAGGTCACCGAGAGCAGAAGGAAGACCCTCAGGCGCCAAGGACGCAGTGACTTCAGGAAGCAGCTCCCAGCCCTTGGGCTGTGGGAACACGGGGCAGAGGCTGACATCATTAAAATGTAGACACTCAGAGATGGGCCCCATGGAACAGGAACTGAGGCTGCTGAGGGAGGCCATGCTGGTGTCTGCATGGGGACCCTGGAGGGCCTGGACCCAGGCCTCTGAGAACAGGGCAGCAGCCCATGGAGCTGGCACCTCTAGGCGCTACGGAATCTGCAGGCTGGCAGGCTGCTGGGAGGGGGCAAGGCCAGCGGCTAAAGAGCTGCCCCACTTGCCTGCAGGCTGACCCCGGGCCCTCTCCAGCGCCCCCAGGACAGGCACTCCCTGGCGAAGCGCAGGTGTGGGCTGCAGCCCTGGCACCGCAAAGTAGGGCTCAGAGAAGGGAGTGTGGAGCTGCGAGGCAACAACTCAGTAACCACAATGGGCAGAAGACAGGCCATCAGCAAACCAGCAAGCAGGTGCCTCCTGACACTGGAGGGGAAACCGGAGGCTGGGGGGGCCCTCGGGGAGGGGTGGCGGGACAGCCTGTGGTGTCAGAGACAGGCGGTGTCAGAGCCGGGGACGCTTCCAATGGGCAGCTGGCGTGCTCATTCGTGGTCAGCCCAGTGGGCCCGAGGTTGGGCCAACCGGGAGCAATGGGCAAGGTCACAAGAGGACGAGCAAACCAGGAACGGCCTCTGCACGGGACGTGGAGAGCGGGCTGAGCCAGAGGGGCAGGAAGGCAAGGAGCAGGCTGGCATGTGTCCATGAGGTGCCGGCGTCTCGAGAGGAGGGGAAGGTCCAGCAGAGGCAGCCCTGTCCTGAAGACCCGAGGAAGTGGCAATTAGGAGCCAAGCCCTGGAGGTGCAGGAAGGGCCGGCACAAAGTGGACGGCCCCAGAGTGCAGCCTAAAGGCCCCCCATCTAGCGTTTCAGACACCGCCAACAAGTGGTGCTGCCCACCCAGGCGTGCAGGTAGAGGCGCTCCGGCAAGATGGCCTCTGCCTCCCACCCCTCAGGCCCTGCAGGGCACCGGGACCCAGCACGCTGAGCCACAGCGGCACCAGCGACGGCGGGCTCTCCCCTGTTGGGGATGTTCTCTCTGTTCAATCCCGGCCTTTCTTCTGAGGTACAGAAGAGAAAACTCAAAAAATTAAGCCTCTAGTTCCATGCTTGGACTGAACTCTGAGGTCACTGGCATTTCCGTGAGCCTCTGGGAGTTCAGAATGAAGTTCTTAGTTCCTCAAGGAGAAGCCAGGCATGTTTATCAATCAATGGCTCTCTGAGCCAGCCTCTACTCAAAGAACAAGCTCTGAGCTTCTGAGCATCCATCTGCGCTGTGACCAGCCACTGCCGGCCACTTTAATGTGATCTTCATCAGAAACTCCCGGCCTAAGAATACCGACTTTCAAGGAACAACGAAAGGACACAATGTATCCCAAAGTGGCAGGAGACATTTTAACGACCTTCCTCAAGACACTGCTGAGCCAGCTCTTCCACGCACGACCCATTCCTCCCACACACTCTTTGTCTACCTTCTCCCAAGTCCCAGCCCACTGTGAGCACCCGCCAAGGCAAGGGCAGGCATCGCACAAACAGGCATCACTGGACTCTCCCCAGAAACCATGGGGCTCTGGAGCACAGGAGCCCACGGCGTGGCCACCGCGGGAGACAGGCTCTGAGAGAGGCCAGGACAGGTGGTGCTGGGGTCTAAGGCGAAGCAGTTGTGTGCTCCCGGGACCTGATCCGACCCTTGGGATGGTATGAGGCGGCTGTTCCCGCCCCAGTCACAAGGCTGAGTGGTGCCTGGAGTGTGGATCCACAGGGTATGAAGACGCCTCCACAGCCACGCCCGGGCCCAGGGCAAAACCAGCACGTTTTGGGCAGTGCACAGAATGCCTGTGTCGTCCCAAGTTCACCTGTGAAAACCCAGATCCCCAATGTGATGGTGACCAAACGGGGGCCCCTGAGAGGGCATTCGGTCCTGAGGGCGGAGTGCTCCCAATGGGATGCGCAAGTTGTAAGCAGCACAAAGCTCGAGTCCTCTCCCTCTGCCCTGTGAGGACAGGGGCTGGTCATCTGCAAACCAGGAAGAGAGCCCTCCTCAGACCCGGCACTGCCATCCTGCACTCCTCAGCTCCACAGCTGTGAGAAACGGACGTCTGTTCAGATCCCCGACTATGGTACTTTGTTAAGTGAGCCCGAACACAGACGGTCTCCTAACCCATAACGCCCAGACACACTGTTCACACATGGGCATGGGGTCACACCGAGGCTTCCGGGCTGATGACTGCCCCAACACAGTTATGACACAGTGAGCCCACAGCACAGTTAGCCTGCAGCACAGTGAGCCCGAGACACAGGTATGACACAGCGAGCACATGGCATGGTGACCCTGAGACAGGGTTACGACTTGGTGAGCCCGCAACATGGTGAGCCCAAGACGGTTACGACATGGTGAGCTCACGGCACAGTGAGCCTGAGATGGTTACGACACGATGAGCCCGCAGCACGGTCAGCCTGAGACGGTTACAACATGGTGAGCCTGTGGCACGGTGAGCCCAAGACAGGGTTACGACATAGTGAGCCCACAGCATGGTCAGCCCGAGACAGTTATGGCACAGTGAGCCCGCGGCACGGTGAGCCCGCAGCATGGTGAGCCCGAGACGGTTATGACACAGTGAGCTCACGGCACGGTGAGCCCGAGACAGAGTTACGACTTGGTGAGCCCGCGGCATGGTGAGCCCAAGACAGAGTTACGACTTGGTGAGCCCGCGGCATGGTGAGCCCGAGATGGTTACGACATGGTGAGCTCGCAGCACGGTGAGCCTGCCAGTGGCCTCAAGGGTTAAGATGTAAACACAGCCGCATGCACGGTGATCCTCAGTGATGACGTCTGGCATGAAACTAGGAAAATACTAATAAAATTGTATTCGAACCTTGGCAAAATCTCTAAAAGCACCTTTATTCTTAGCTATCTGAGGAACATAGATCAAGACCCACCCACAAGTATGATTTTTAATCATCTCGATTTTACAGATGAGTAAATTCAAGCCTTGAGCGACTGAGTCATGAGCATGAAGCCACCGTGTCCCCCAGGACACCACTGTACTGACCTCCAGGGTCTCCAGGGCCATGCCTTGAGCACCCCCATAGGGCTGGGGGGAGACGCCCCAGTCGGGCCAAGCAACAGCACTGCCACACAGGTGACACGTTCCATGTGTCTCTCAGGAAGAGAGCAAGTGCACGGGCTTGGCTGAGCCAGCGGTTGGGAGGGCTGCGACCCAGCGGGGAGCAGTGAACTCTAACTGGTGGCCTGGAGCAGGTACACGAGACAAAAAGCAGTGCCGTTCTGCAGGAGGCGCGCGGGAGCAGGAGACAAGGATCCAGGAGGCTAGCAGGGAGCAGAGGACAGGCTCCAGCCCCAGTGGACAGCCTGCCCTGCTCTGCTCCGGAAGCACCCACAGGTTCTGAAAGAGGATATCGCTGGACAGAACAACCTCCCAAACCACACGTGCTCGTCCTCCAGTCACAAGAACTGTACACAGAGCTGTGTTCACAGGCGCCCGTCGGGGAGCCTCGCAGCAGCCTGGATCTAGAGGCAAAATTTTAAATGGAGCACGAACTGGTTTCAGAAATACTCTCCCGGAAGGCCAGGGTTCCCAGACAGGGCAGAAGCAACACTGAGCATGTTCAGGCATCCACATTCGCTCCTTGCTAAGAGGGAACACCGGGGAAGGGCCCCCACTCACCACAGAGAGGAGCCGTCTCTGCCATCGAAGCCCCCAGCTCCGGCCTGGAGACCGGCACGACAGACGCAGGCTCCTTGTGTATCTGAGGAGCCGCCTGAGAATGGGAATCAATAGCTGCCTCTGCAGAGAGGCAGGGAAACAACTGCCCTGGGACCTACAGGGTTGAGAGGGTCCCGCCTACCTGCAGGATCCCCCACGTCAACCCACTATCCGGAGGCTCTGAGCGCTCCATCCACCTCTGGCCTTCTCCTTCCTCTTGGATGGAACTGAGGCCACCAGGCCCCTCGCTGCGAATGGGCAGGGGAGGACTGGATCAGACGCGTGCGTCCGTCGTGAAGCACGAGAGCATCAAGAGGTCCCAGTTCCTCCCCTGCCCCACGCTCACGGGGCCTCCGCGGCTGAGCCAGGAGATGCTCCCTGATCAGGAGCTGCTGGAGATTCAGATCAGAGTTTATGCTTCTCATCTACCCAGGACTGAAGAAGAAAGCAGAGGAGGCTGGCGGCCAGGGCCCCTCCATGTCTGAACTCGGAGGCCGAGCCTCCTGAGCAGTTTCCCACTCTCGCCCGAGCAGCTTTCGGCTGCAGGGGGTGCTCCTGGGTACATGACCTCGTTTAGTCTGCACCAGAATCTGGGAGGAAAGCAGCAGCGCCACCCCCACCCCACATCCCTGAGGAGGAAGGGGCTCAGAGGTGGCATGCCTCGCTGAGGACTTGGGTTCAAATCTCCACCAGAATCTGGGAGGACAGCGGCAGCACCGGCCCCAGTCCCCACATCCCCAAGGACAAAGGGGCTCAGAAGCCACCGTGTCCCCCAGGACACCACTGTACTGACCTCCAGGGTCTCCAGGGCCGTGCCTTGGGCACCCCCATAGGGCTGGGGGGAGATGCCCCAGTCGGGCCAAGCAACAGCACTGCCACACAGGTGACACGTTCCATGTGTCTCTCAGAAGAGGGCAAGTGCAGGGGCTTGGCCGAGCCAGCGGTTGGGAGGGGGTGAATGCCTCGCTGAAGACTCGGGTTCAAGTCCACGTGGCCAGCTCAGCCCCCACACCGTCATGAGGTTGGGGCCGGGCAGCCGCACTCAGTGGCACAGGTGGGCACTTGCAGGTGAAAGAGAGGGGCAAGCCCTCCTCCCTGGGGGGCAGGTTCAGACTCGGAAGGGGCTGGGACTCCGAGAGGGCAGGTGCCCCAGGACATCAGGCTCAGCGTGGCACGCAGCTGTTGTTATTTACTCTATCTAATCCCAATCTTAAATGCCTCCAAGTGTCAATACACATTTTTCTGAAAAAAATAAAAATCCAAACAGCGGAAACAAAACCAGAGAATGAGAAGACCAAAGGCTGAAATAATTACCAATCAAAGGAACGGCCAGGGGAGCAGGCTCTGAAGCTGCAGCCTGGCCTCCCGGTCACTTCTCCCCGACTCTGCCTCTGATGAACGCTCTGTTCCCAACATCTCGTCAACTGGAATCACCAAATTCAATTTGCATTCCCAGATAAACAGAGGCCACACGGCAAATACTCTCATCTGACCTTGAAATGTGAGAAGGAAAATTGCCCTTTGCAATTTCAATTCACTCCCAACCATAATGAATAATCCAGTTTAGCTGATCAGCTACCAACCTGTAATCGCCTGGGCAGGGCTCCTCCAAATGCTGGGTGGGGAGCCCCGGCAAGCACGGCCGCAGGGAGACCATAAATTCACTTCCGCCCCAGGCTGCTGGAGATTAGGAAATGAGAACTGCAGAGACAAGGGGGCAAGTCACCTCCCCAGGCTCTACTAAACAACCGCCCCATGCCCTCCAGCTCTGACTTGGAGAAAAAAGAGAAGCCACAGAAGATAATCCGGTGCCTGGAGTGACGCAGAGAGGCACAGCAGGTGTCCTGGACACATCTACCGTCTCCCGAGGTCAGAGAGAAGGAGACCATCCGTGCGTCCGTCAACCCTGTCAGCGCTGGCTGCCTGCTCGCCTAATGCACAGGACAGAAGCCCCAAGGGGCCACATGGCCAACAGGCAGGCAGCAGGCGGGTGGGCCAGCCTCGAGGCTGGGGGCTTTCTCTGCACTGCTGCTCAGCAAACAGCCCACCACCTATGGTTGTAAGGAAAGTTTTCCTGGAACAAAGCCACTCCCATTCATTGACATATGGCTTACGGCTGCTTTCCTGTGACAGAGCCCGTGGCTCAAAAAGCCAAAAGTATTTACCATACGGCTCTTTACAGAGAAAGGTTACCAACCAATACCCTATACCACTACCCTATACCACAGATATGAGGTTTAGAAACGCTAGCATGGGTAACTAAAGACATGAGTTCCCACCCACCTGAGGCCGGGCGACTGCATGTCCCCCACAAGAGAGCAAGCTCCTGCCGGCTCCCCGCCTCGGCCACTGCAGATGCACAAATTCAAAGGCAAAAACAGTAATAACCACCCTCTGACTAAACCCACCCACCCACCCTCATGTGCAGAGCGCCTCCCCCACGATCACAGGCCTCTGGTAGGAAGCCCAGGATTCCGGGGCCCCTCATTTCCAAATGGGAGCAGGACTCAAAGAACAGCGCTGGGCTCTGACGCCAAGTCCATCCCCAGGCAGCTGGAAACTCCCGGGTCGCAGAGCAGCCCTGCTGTCGGCTGCACAGGGCCGTGCATTCAGATGAGGTGCGGAGCCAGATTTTCCCAATGAAGATGCGTGTGGTTGGGCAAAGGGAACTGCCATTTCTTCAAACACACCCTGAACCTCCCTGCCAGGGAGGGAGACGTTTTCGCCTCATTTCTCGGTTAGGGACACAAATGCTGGGGGAGAGTGGCATTCCAGGGGACCTGGCTCACAGGCGGTACCGCCGGGACGTGGCCTGCACTTTGTGACATTATATCTTGGCCTCATTAACCCTCAGCTGCCTCTCAGCATGCCCAAGGTCCAGACTCTGTGCCCCCTCTCCCTGGTTCCCCGTTCCTGAAGGGTGAGAAGATGCCTGAGCCCAGGAAGAGAGAGGAGAGAGCTGCTGTGATGGTCCAGGAGCCAGGCCAGGAACCAAGGACAGGACTGGGGATGACGCAGGGTGGGAATGGCAGAGCCAGCGGGAAGGGTGTTTGGAAACAGATATGGACAGACAAGCTGGGCCGGGGTGGGGAGGTGGGGAGGCTCTGAGCCGGTGGTGGAAAGCGGCCTGTGGGCAGAGGAGTCACTTGGGGCCAGGGTTGCCACACTGGGCTCCTTGCCCCTTCCTCATCTGGATCATAGGTTCTAGCGAAAGTCCATCGAGTTCCCTCAAACTGACGCGTAAAGGAACGAAAATCACAGCATCCACGTATCAGTCCCACTCCACCAACACTTCTCCAATTTCCAGAACGCCATCGTGCGACCCGGGAAACCTCAGGACACATCTCAGCTGGAGGACACCAGCCTGTGGAGGGACTGTGGGTCTCAGGGACTGCCAAAAATCCCCGCATCGGGCCGGAACCCACCCCACACAGGAGGCGGGGGGCGCTCCCTGCATCACTGCAGCCCAGGACACCATCATGCACCCCTTCACTCCCTCGACCAGCCAGCAGGCCCCAGGACTTCTCTCTTCCGGGCTCTGTCCTCCACACAGGGGTCCGCCGTCACTGTTCCAGCCCCCGTGGTCGGCGGAGCACAACGGCCCAGGCCCGGCGGAGGGGGCAGGAGCTAAGTGCGAGGGAGAAAAGCCGGAGCACAGGTTAGAGAGGGGAAGGCCGCCTGGCCTAGCTGGTGGGAAAGCGGGAGACACACCTGCCGTCAGGGTGGGGAGGCTGGGCCTTCATGCGAGTGGCCAACAGAGATCACGGGACCCCTGGGGAGACAGCAGGGCACGCCTGACATGGCCCCAAGGTCAGGAGCAATAACAGCAAGGTAGCAGCTTCCAGGGACAGAGGAAAATCTGATCATGGAGATTAGGAGAGAGGTTGGAGCCAAAGATAGAGACTCTGAAGTCTGGCCACACTGAAGTGACAAGAAGAGATGTCAAAGCACAAGAACTTATGTAAGAAGGAAAAGCAGAGACCGAGGAATAAAGAACGGAGAACAAGCTCCCGGGAACACCTGCGCAGGAGATGCCAGAGAAAGGGAAGGGAGGCAGGAGGGGGAGGGGACGGGGACCAGGAGGCCATGTGTGAGTGTGAGGGGGCTGTGCACATCCCACAACAGCTGCACGGGAAACCAGAAAAGCCAGGGAAGGAGGGAGGGAAGGGAAGGAGAGCGGGGACCATGGGGCCGTGTGTGAGACAGAGTGCAGGAGGGAGAAGGGAGAGAGCGGGAGAGACAGGAGGGAAGGAGCCAGGCCTGGGGAGCTCAGCAAGGGAGATGGGAGAGACAGAAGGAGAGACCAGAGGGAAGGAGCCGGGCCTGGGAGCTCAGCGGAGCTGCTGTCGGAGCCGTGACTTCAGCACCATGTGGCCAGTGAATCAGAGCCGTGAGGCATGGAGCTGGGCTCTGGCCGGCGTCGCCGGGTCTGGTGTGGGAGTGCAGCACTCTAGAGAGGCAGCAGGCCAAGTGGAAGGACCAGGCTGAGGAGATTGAGCTCTGAGGATCAAGGGGCTCACATACCCCGTTTAACTGAGGCTTGCATCAAATTAGACAAATAGTTAAAAGAAGAGGCAAAGCGATCTCTGTGGCGTCTCTCTTTGGAATCACCCGATAGCCCAATTAGCAGCTCTGAAGCTGAGGCTCTAGTGCCCATGACAATTGATGGAGCCCGGCGCCTGCACTCGGCCCAGCCTCCGCCCACGCCTGTGCGCCGCACGACCACTCCAGCTGCTTCAGCGCTACCTGGGTAATGAAGCACATTCGGCCTGTTTATTTTCCCATTGATTTTGCCATCCTTGACCCAAAGCACAGAAGTCAATACCCCGTTAGGTGTGGCACCTTCATGGGGCCTCTGCTGTCTCTCGCGCTGCAGGGAGAGCTCCCCTGCCCGTCAATCAGGAACGGGTGGCACAGGCCCCCAGGGGGAAGAGCCGTCCCTCCCTGCGCGTGACGTCCTGGGTACCCAGGGCTGACAGCCTCTAAACGCTGTCACTCGACCAATAAAGAAACATCTCCAAAGCATTCCCCGTGCTGAGTAACAAAACTTTAAGGAGAAAATGAGATTTTCGGAATTATTAGTTTCCCTTTCATTCCTTTCTAGCAGGAGCTGGAGAGAGGAAGGCACCCATTCGCCCATCACTGAGTCACCCGGCAGCTCATTTATGAACCTCGCTTCCTCCGTGCCGGGCGGGGGGCTTGGAGGGCTGACACTTGACTTGAGAAATGCCAGCTCTAAGCAGTTTATTTCCTCTTGAACTTTAAGAACTGACAAAGACAGGAATGACCTTTAAAAGGCAGGGTTAGTGCTTGTTGGAATCACTGAGCACTTCTTGGCTTACACAGCACGGAGAGGAGGTGCGGGGTGAGTGCCCCCAGTCTCGAGGCACGGCGCTCAGCACTCGGGCAGGTAAATCAGCGGAGAGGCCTCCAAGGTGGGTCAGTGGGTGGAGGCCAGCGCAGGGCGGGCTGTCGGGAGACTCCAGACGTAACAGACTGCAAGATGTCCCCCGTGGCCAAGATGGAAGAGGCAACGGCATCGGACGCTAGGAAGACCTGGGAGACCTGGGTTGAAACCCGGCCTCCGCCACTGACCTGCAGCAGGCTGTGTACCAAGAAGACCAACATTTCCTCCTCCCAGTTCTTCAGGGAAAAGCACGTGGGAAGAAACAGATCTGTTCCTGATACTGCAGGAGCGCCCGTTCCCATCTCCAGGACCTCCTGGTTGGTCACTGTGAGTGTCTGCTGGGCCCATCCTGTGGGCCGGCTGCAGGATGCTCCCAGTGATTCCAGCGCAGTCAGACCCTGGGGTGGGGAGGAGCTTGGGCAAGAAGGCACTGGGGAAGCGGGCGCAGACTGGGCATGGACCCCCACCCAGTGAAGGTCCGGTTTTCCACATGCACCCAACTCGGAGAAGAATGCTCACATCCGAGCCGCCATTCCCTTTCTCGCTATCAGTTAACCAGCGGCTTCCTCTGGACACCCGAAAGGCATTCCAAGGCAGCACTGCTGGCAGGGTGTGCGGTGGACACTCCGCAGGATCTGGAAGACTTGGGTCAAAATAATTCAGGAAACACAATGGAAGTTTCTGCGTATGTGTAGAAAAATAAAGCTCTGCTGTGCTGGTGAATACTGACTTCATTTCCTCAAAGTCCAGGGGGGACAGAAAGGGCCTGTCCACAGGTGTGGCCGGACCCGCCACAGAGACAGCCACGGGCAGCGCGAGGCCAGGAATGCCAAGGGCCATGACCTTCACTTGCTGGGAGCAGAGCACTGCAAGGGGGCAGAGCATGCGAGTGGCGCTGCCCGGGCAGGGTGATGCCAGAGAAGGCCCTGCGCCCACGCAGACGTGCCGGGGACGAGGGAGCAGGTACCTGTGCTCACGGAGGTCCCCAGGCTCTGGCAGGCCTGACTGCTGGAGAGCAGATTAGAGGCAGGAAACCCAGCTCAGTGCGGAGTCCTAGCCCAGAAAACCTACTTCCTGAGCCACGGTGGCGGCCACTGCAGCCGCCAGCACACCACTCAATGTGTCACCTACCGCCAGCTTGATCCCTGCATTGGAGAACCTCCCTCAGAACTTGCCTCGCACCTCTGGACATCTCCTGGAACGTCCTGATGTCCGGCCCCAGATAACCCTGGGAGCCACCAGAGCCAGACTGGGGCAGGGAGGAGAAAAAGGAAGGAGCCGTGACAAATACAGGGCCAAGCACGGGGGCAGGAGGGTGCTCCCAACCCTCCAGGTGAAGAGCCTGCGACTCTGTAGCCTTGTAGAGTAAGAAACTCGCCACATGTGGGTAAAAGAGACCTTATCATTGCCGTCATCGTTTCCTGAACATACATCGTCACGTTTATGTGTTTCCCACCACCCCAAGCCAAGGACTATCATCATGTCCTTTACAGACGAGATGGCCCAGCTGAGAAGACATCAGAGAGCCTGCTAAAGGGCCAGCAGTCAGTGATGAGCAAGAATTCAACGCCGGTCTTGCTCAGTCCTGACAGTGACTACACTGTTCGTTACTGCAGCTCACATGCTAGCCACGGGTCTCAGAACCGTAACTCCACGCTCACCTCAAGCACCCACTGTGTATCAGCCACCATTCCAGGCAAAGCAGACACAATGGTGACTGTCCTCAAAGAAGCTCAAAGGTAGAAAAGGTTAACAAAAGACAAGTGTAACGGAGCAAGTAACGGTGCCTGCTAACAAGCTCCACCCTCCCACCTCACCGTGTGGTCTGTCTCCCCGCCGCACAGCCACGCAGTACACACCCCAGGAGAGCAGCGCATGTAGCTGTCCCTGCCTGCAGCCGCCATTGCCTCTCGGCCACCTGGTTCTCCCAGGGCAGTGGCCACTCTGATATTTCTGCCCACAGTGAGCACATGAGGCCACGGCAGTGTCTCAGGAATGCCCTGCTTTGAGTTCGGGACTTTGCCTATTCTGGGCACTTCATATTAATGTCATCATACAGGTGGTGGCCTTTCATACTGTTGAATTGACTTGGCATCATGTCTTCAAGGCCAGTCCCTGCTGCAGCATACATCAGCCTCCATCTCTTATGGCTCAATAACTCCTCGCTGGGTGGACAGCCGTGTTGTTTTTAGTCACAGCTGAGGGGCATTTGGGTTGGCCCCATCTCTTGGCTACTATGAGCAATGCTGCTATGAACGATGACACGAGTGTTCGTGCAAACATGTTATCAATTCTCTTGGGTGCGCACTTAGAAGGGAAGTTGCTGGGTCATCCAGTGACCGCCTAACCTCTGAAGACCCACTGGACGCTCACGGCAGATGCAGCTTCACAGGACCACCAGGTGCGTACGAGGGCGCCGACTGCCCACTCCCGCCAACTTCACAGGCCCATCAGGCATGTATGAAGGCCTGGAGGATGGTGAGACCCATCACCTCCGTGCGCAGCTCCACCTACCCCCAGGAATCCCACCCTGCCCGGGAGGACTCCACGCTGCGGGGGAGGACGGCAAGACCCGTCACCTCCCTCCCTCCTGGCCAGCAGCCCCAAGGAGCTCCTAAAGACAAGCAACTGAGCTCCTAAGGATGAGCCCCTCCCTCCCCACAGGCCCAGTGAGGACAAGATGCCTGGTAGGGAAGAAGCTCAGATTCTCCGTCCTCCTCCCCAAAATGCATCCCATCCAAAGGAAGGTGCAGCTCAACAACTCAGCACTGGGTAACGCATCACTGAAGCACAGGCACGCCCTCGCTCACACCACAGCCACAAAACCTGCCAAGTCCTTATGGCATGGTAATTAGGGGAAGTGCTGCCAGTGACCTTTAATTGGAGGCTCCAGACAGGTCAGTCAGTCAGTGCCAAGGAGCACGACAGAGACAGCACAGCCGGCTGGGGACGGAGCCACACACGGCCTCTGCCCATGGGAAAGCCGTAAACGCTGCAGGCAGGGAGACAGGCCAGCCACAATTGCTCTTTTTCTTTTTTTTTCTTTTTGGAGACAAAGTCTCGTTCTTGTCCCCCAGAGCTGGAGTGCAATGGCACGCTCTCGGCTCACTGCAACCTCCGCCTCCCAGGTTCAAGCAATTCTGCCTCAGCCTCCAGAGTAGCTGGGATTACAGTTGCCTGCCACCACACCCAGCTAATTTTTTTTGTATTTTCAGTAGAGACAGGGTTTCACTGTGTTGGCCAGGCTGGTCTCGAACTCTTGACCTCAGTTGATCCACCTGCCTCGGCCTCCCAAATTGCTGGGATTACAGGCATGAGCCACCGCGCCCAGCACAATTGCTGTTATCTTCTGCGACTAAAAGCAAGGGTGGCAGAGAAATCACGTGCAGGAAGACGGGAGATGTGGCCAGGAATCCTAAGAGTTACAAGCTGAGTTCAGGAAAAAGTTTTAAAACAAGAAAAAGCAACATCACTTTGAGAAGAGCATGGAGGAGGTGGTGGTCATGCATGGAGAAACTGGGCTTCAAACCTCATGGAAGCTCTTCTCTTTAAAAACGTACCCACATGGCTGCTGGCGGCAGGGGAAGAGCGCTGTGACCAAGGGGAGGCAGGAGAAACTCTTAGGGTGATGGAACTGAATCATGGCTGTGGTGGGGGATGCTCAGTGCAACTGTCAAGACCCACAGAGCCACACACCTCAAAGTGAATTTTACTACCAATAAATAATCGGGAAATGGACCAGGCATGGTGGTTCATGCCTGTAACTCCAGCACTTCGGGAGGGTGAGGCGGACAGATCACTTGAGGTCAGGAGTTCAAGACCAGCCTGACCAACATGGCGAAACCCTGTCTCTACTAAGAATACAAAAATTAGCCAGGCCTGGTGGCGCGCGCCTGTAATCTCAGCTACTCATGAGGCTGAGGCACGATAATCACTTGAACCCGGGAAATGGAGGTTGCAGTGAGCCGAGATCGCACCACTGCACTCCAGCCTGGGCAACAGTGTGAGACTCCGTCTTGAAAATAATATTATTAATACTACTACTAATCAGGAAATGGAGAAGCCCAAATGGAATACAACTGTTGAAGGCAGCTTCTATACCACAGTCTGCACAGCTCCACTGACCCAGGCCTGGCAGGGCGGACCTCTCCTGCCTGTGCCGATCGCAAAGGAACAGTGGTACTTGGGAAGAGACAGGATCCTCTTTGTTGTAAAAGGAATGATGTCCCATGGCCAGGAGCAGGGACTGGGGAGCTGAAAGAAAGCTAGCGCCAACTGTATGTTTAGAGAGATCCTGCCTGTCCACAGAGAACAGCTTCATGGAACACCGTAGGCGCCCCTTAGCATCCAAGACAGCACGGCGCTAGCAGCTGAAGGGAAAACCACAACAGCGTGTGGGGAGAGGAAACAGAATTCAACAGCCGGTGCCTCTGAGAAGATCCAGTGAAACTCAGCAAAGCTGCCACTTCCCCTCTCACAGCTAACTGGATCCGTTTCCCAGCAGATCGAGGCTTGAGGCTCTAGGAGAGTTAGAGAAGAAGAAGACTGGGACTCGGACCACACTGACTTCTCCCCTTTAAAAGTCTACACACAAAGCACCCGCACAGGCTGAGTGGAAATATGGGGGCCCACGTGCATGGCCACAGAACAGTGGACGAGGTCGGGCAGCAAAGCGACCTTGGATCACACATCGCGCCTCTTCACGCCTCCTCACACCCCTGCCTGAAACCTGCCGACGGGCCTGTTGCCGCTGGAACACAATCCAGGCCCCCATCACAGGCTGCGCCATCTGGTTACCAGCACGGTGGTCTCGTGCTACCCTGGTTCCGTGTCGGCGCCAGCCCTCCAACCTTCTGGCCCACACTGAGCCACCTATTCCCACCACAGCCCCCGCCCCGCTCCGTCCCACCATGGCAGTCTGAGCTCCACTGAACCCCAGAGAGGCTCCCCGCTTGCCTCCAGGGAACACCGCCCCAGCCTCGAGTGCCACCATGACAGCTCTGGAGCTGCCACTGCACGTGCACATCCATCTCCCTGGGAGGCCGGGGAGATCAGGACGGTGTGGCACAGCCTGGGGCACTCCCAGCACTCAGCAGTGGCCATGAGCGAGAGGCAGCAAGGGGACGGGTGGAGGGAGTGCCATCTGTCACACTCCATGCAGCTCTTCAGCCTGAAGGAAGGACACCGACGGAGCCGGGCCATCTCTCAAGTACAACCTAGACGCCCTCAACTCCATTTCCTGGGTGCCCCAAAGCACACACCAGATTCTCACCAGCAGTGAAGCCAAGTCCAGGGTCCACAGAGGAGTTGTGAAGGTTCACACAGGGCTGGTGCTCACCCTCTGCCACCGACCCGCACGCCTCCCACACAAGCTGCCAGGCCCACGGTGGGGGTTGTGCCTGCAGAAGGCCTCCGAGCCACGCATGCAGGCGCCTCACCCGGTGGCTGCCATGAGCCAGGACAGGCTATTCATTCTGCCCCACTCCACTGATGGCCTGAAGGTCACCAAGTTCAGGTCAAAGCAGGCAGGGATGGGTGTGCTTTGACAGGGAGAGCGGCTCACACGGCCGACTCGGGCCCTGCTGTGCAGCTTCCTCGAGACCACGCAAACAGGCAAGGAGAAGGCAGCCACGGAGACACAGCTCTCTGTGGCCAGTCCCAGGCACAGTGGAGGCCACAGCCAAGGTGATATGGTTTGGCTGCGTCCCCGTGGAAATCCTAACTGGAATTGCATCTCCCAGAATTCCCACAGGCTGTGGGAGGGACCCAGGGGGAGGTAACTGAATCATGGGGGCCCGTCTTTCCCATGCTATTCTCGTGATAGTGAATAAGACTCACGAGATCGGATGGGTTTATCCAGGCTTTCCACTTTTGCTTCTTCCTCATTTTCTCTTGCTACCACCATGTAAGAAGAGCCTTTTGCCTCCCACCATGATTCGGAGCCCTCCACAGCCATGTGGAACCATAAGTCCAATTAAACCTTTTTGTATTTCCAGTTTCAGGTATGTATCAGCAGCATGAAAACAGACTAATACACAGGGAAAGCAACCAAGCCCCAACACCTGTCCCTGGGGCCCACCGCACACGCCCACCCATCACGTGCATCGTGTTTAATCACACTTCCAATACCTGTCCCCGGGGCCCACCCCACACGCCCACCCCATCACGTGCATCGTGTTTAATCACACTTCCAACACCTGTCCCCGGGGCCCACCCCATCACGTGCATCGTGTTTAATCACACTTCCAAGTGCACACCTTCTAAAGGAACGGGCTTCCAAAACAAAGTGTCCAATAATCATGCTGTTCTGACATCCATCTCGAAGGCCAGGCTTAATTAAGGCCAGGCTAACACACACCTGCCATGAGATCAGAGTGGGCTGAAGGGCTGCTCTCCCCAGACCTTTCGAGCTGCAGAAGGAGCTCCGGCCAGGGACAGGGAACACCAACCCTAGTGATGTTGGTTTGCTACCAGCTATGCAACGAAAGCTTTGAGGGCAGGCGGACAAGGAAGAGTGACAGGAAACGGCAGGTTCCCTTGTCAGGAATGGCATGGTCGTGTTTAACTTCATTAGGAAGAAGTCATTCACCGCCAGGGACTCCTCACCAAACACATCCAAATGGTCGGTAAGGGGCCTCAAAGGCTAGTGCCGAGCAGGCACCACCCCTGGGGTTCTAAGGTGGAGGTGAGAGAAGGGTAGGCCAGAAGACAAAGCAGGTCCACTGAGTCACCGGCGCTCGGGGAGGGGCCAGGTCCACTGCCAGTTGAATCTGGTTCTGCGGTCGCTTGCTTTGGGGAACTCAGGCAAGCGTCCTGAACACTTCAAAACCTCCCAATGATCCTTACCTCAGGGGTTTTTAAAGTAAATTTTGATTTTGATTTTGGAACGACTAGGTGTACAGAAAAGTTGTCAGGACAGTACAGTGAGTTCCCAGGAACCCAGCCTCCCAGTGCAAGCACTGGAACGGTGTCACGAACGGACCTGGGACTCTGCCTGGACAGCACCAGTGTGTCTGTCCTTCAGCGTCCTTGTTCCTTCCCAGGGTTGGATCAGGGTGCCATTAGTTGCCACACCTCCTGAGTCTCCTCTCATTTGTCAGCCTTTCCTTGTTTCTCATGGACTTGGCAGTTCTGAGCAGGACTGGCCCAGGCAGGCCCCCCGCAGGGTCAGGTGTGTGTTGAGGCTGGACTGGAGCTACAGGTCTGTAAAGAACCACAGACGCAGCGTCCCCATCATCCCTTGGAGCCCGGGCGGGGCCCTCATCGCTCCGGGAAGGTGCTGCCCACCAGGCCCCTCCAGGCAGGCAACGTTACCTTTTGGGTACTCCACTCTTTGGAAGGAGGTCACGGAGCCTGGCCTACCCTAGGGGGATTAAGTTCCATCTCTTGAGGGCAGAGAACTACATCCATTTTATCTGCAATCCTTCCGGAGGGAGGAGCTGCATCTGCCCCATTGAGTCACGCCATCATTTATTTCGGTCAGCCTGATTCACCCGCGTTTATTTGACGCGTCGGGTTATAAGTCACTCCACTTCATTTTCTTGCTGCAAGTGTTTCGCCTTCAGCCACAGGAATGCTTTCCTCTGGCTCCTGTGTCCCATCCACACGCCCCATCCTTTTGGGTTTTCTGCATTTCCTTACTTTCTGGAACTAGAAGACACTCCAGGCTCCTCCTGTGTATTTCCTACCCCAGTCCTAAAACCAGGTATCTTTCCAAAGACGCCCAGGTCCTCCTACCGAGAACAGTGCTTGGAAGCCCTGCTCTGGGCCCCGGTCAGCTCCCTGTTGCTGGGTGTGCCTGCCTCCGGGCCCCGCAGCAGTACAGGTATGTGCCAGCCCTGCATACACAGACGCATCTGCCTGCAGTTCCTTCTGAATCTGTCTACTTGTGTTGAGCCAGTCAGGAGTTCATGCTGATGTCTGGCTGGGGTCTGGCTTTTCTCACTTAGAAAAATACATTCAAGATCCATCTGGCCGGACACGGTAGCTCACGCCTATGATCCCAGCACTTTGGGAGGCCGAGGTGGGCGGATCACAAGGTCAGGAGATCGAGACCATACTGGCTAACAGGGTGAAACCCCGTCTCTACCAAAAAATACAAAAAATTAGCCGGGCTTAGTGGTGGGCGCCTGTAGTCCCAGCTACTCTGGAGGCTGAGGCAGAAGAATGGCGTGAACCCAGGAGGCGGAGCTTGCAGTGAGCAGAGATCACGCCACTGCACTACAGCCTGGGCGACAGAGCGAGACTCCATCTCAAAAAAAAAAAAAAAGATTCATCTATGTTGTTGTATGATCGATACCTTGTCCCATTCTCTCACTGAACAGGATTCCATTGCACAAATGTACTAATTTGTTTATCTGTTCCTCTGTTACAGGGTGTTGTGGTGCTTCTGGTTTTTAGTTAACTATGAATAAACCTGCTATAAACACGCACATTCAGGTCTCTGTGTGGACACAATTTTCAATTCCCGTGGTTAAGAGCCCACAGACAGGGCCATCAGGTCATACGATAAGACCGTGTTTGGCTTTGTAAAAAGCTGCCACGCTGCCTCAAAGTGGTGGCACCATTTTGCACTCCTCCCAGCAGTGCGTGAGAGTTCCTGTGGCTCCACGTCTCCACCAGCATTTAGTGCCGTCAGTGATCTTACAGTTTTTAGCCATTCCCACAGTGTGTGGCCATGTCTCATGGTTGTACTAATTTGCAATCCCCCAAAGACAAATACTCCTGAGCATCCTCTTTTTATTTTTTAATTTCTGAGACAGGGTCTCTCTCTGTCTCCCAGGCTGGAGTGCAGTGGTGTGATCACAGCTCACTGCAGCCTCAAATTCCCAGGTTCAAGCAATCCTCCCACCTCAGCCTCCTAAAATGCTAGGATCACAGGTGTGCATGACCACGCCCCACCCAAGCATCCTCCCTCACGCATCTGCCCTCTGGATATCGGTTGACTGTCTTTTCAACCACGCCCCGCCTAAGCATCCTCCCTCACACACCTGCCCTCTGGATATCGGTGACTGTGTTTTCAACCATGCCCCGCCCGAGCATCCTCCCCTCACACACCTGCCCTCTGGATATCAGTGACTGTCTTTTCAGACATTTTGCCCATCTTTCAATTAGGTTGCCTGTTTTCCTATTATTGAGTTTTAAGAAGGCCTTATATATTCTGGATACCAGTTATTTGTCAAATATCTGACTTGTAAATATTTTCTCCCATTCTGTGGTTTGTCTTTTCGTCCTCTTAACAGTATCTTCCACAGAGCAAGAGTCTTTAACAAGGCAAATTTATCAAATTTTTTCTCTTATGGATTTCCTTTCAGTGTTATACCTAAAAACTCATCGTCCAACCCCAGGGCACACAGATTTGCTCCTCTATCTTCCTCTAGCAGATCAGAGGGCCTTCTTCATGGGTAACCAGGTAATGCATATAAAAGCATTTGGGCCGAGTGCAGTGGCTCACACCTGTAATCCCAGTACTTTGGGAGGCTGAGGCGGGTGGATCACGAGGTCAGGAGTTCAAGACCAGCCTGGCCAATATGGTGAAACCCCGTCTCTACAAAAAAAAAAATATATACAAAAATTAGCTGGGGATGGTGGCACAAACCTGTAACCCCAGCTACTCGGGAGACTGAGGCGGAAGAATCGCTTAAACCCAGGAGGCAGAAGTTGCAGTGAGCCAAGATAGCACCACTGCACTCCAGCCTGGGGGACACAGAGAGACTCCGTGTCAAAAAAAAAAAAAAAAAAAAATTCAGAGGGAGGGCAGTACATAGCCAAAAAGTTATGTTTTAAAAGAATATTTAACATGGAAAATGTTCACAAAAGATTAAACAAAACAAGATGACTCAGTAAATAGTGCATGCAGTATTTTCTCCTAAAATCCCATTAGAAAAACATGTTCCATGTATATAAAAATGCCAGGAAGGATCCTGGCCAAAACAGTCACAGCAGCTTTCCCTGGGAAGAGGGACGACGGGAAACCTTTCTTCTCAGCTTTGCTGTCTCCTCCACATTCTCGAGTGTTCTGAATCAAAGTGTGTTGCTTTTGTAATCAGACTCAGAAAGGAATTCAAATAAAATGCTGACATCCCCTTCGCTCTCCTCCTCCTTCCTTCCAGGTGTGGGAACACAGCTCACAGAATGTGGGGAAAGCAGATCCGGCGAACCTAGAAGAGGAAGTGGCCCCCAAGACAGCTCCGTCTCATCCACCCCTATGAGACACACTGGCACTGGCTGGGCAACGCACGGGAGAGTCCACAGCTGCGCTCCATCAGCCAGAGGAGCACGGAACGCGGAACCCAGGAACGCAGACAAAGCCACTGTGGGGCACGGGGCAACAGACAAGGAGAGGCTCCATCAGCTGAAAAGCCTCAGGTGACGATGTCAGGTCGGCAGTCGGAACCCCCAGAAGCTGCTCCCGAACTCATGACAGCAAGGCAGGGAGAGGACAGGAACCTCAGAGCCACAGCATCCACACAGAGCTCTCAGGCCACGCGGGCGCAGACGGTCGTCTGTGCAGCTTGCAGGGCCAAGGAAAGCAGAGGCCAGGGAGGACAGCACTGGTGAGTGGGGAGCCCGCTGGGAGCACACGCCCAGCCATGAGCAAACTCACAGCCCTTGCTGAGCTGCTGGGAACAGGTGGCCTCAACGCCAGCCACAAGGGACAGCCCTCCCAGGAGGCTGAGCAGGGACCCACCCATGGTCAGTGTGGAGGAGTGTGTCCCTAAAGGGCTCCCAGTGGCCAGCACTCCCTCTGGATGCAGAATCCCTCTGGATGCAGAATCCACAGCTCTCACATCGGGAACGGGACACGCACTCACCCACACTCTCGACAGAGGATGCCCGAGCACCCCTGTGTGTTGGAACCTGTTCACAACACTGCTGAGGAGGCGCTACCCTTCAAGTGACAAGACGGATGAGAAATAAGACACAAAAAACCAAAGTCTATAATGTGCTTGACGGGAAAAAGTGACAGCAAGACAGGGAACAGACAGTCATGATGTTTCACAGGTGGGCAGGGAAGGCCCACGAGGAGGTAACAGTTGTGAAAGACAGGAAGGAAAGTCAGGAAGGCTGCTGCTATCCAGACAGGGTGCTCCAGAAAGAGGACTGGCCAGTGCAAAGGCCCTGGGGCAGGAGCGGGGCTGGCAGGTGAGAAGGCCCCGGGACAGGAGCGTGGATGGCAGGTGCAAAGGCCCCGGGGCAGGAGCACAGCTCGCAGGTGCAAAGCAGCAAGGGGGAAGGACTCCAACCAACGAAACCACATGACCCATCTACATAGAGACCAAACACGGCAAAAGTGACCCAGGGCGATGGGAACTGGGTGGGAGTTCCAGGAACAGGAAGTGGGGGGGCAGGAGGGACTCAGCTGATCACGCTGTTTCCTGACCGGGTGATGGTGATGCCGTGTTCATGGATAATTTGTGCAGCTCTCTATATACACACTACATACACTACAGTGAAACATGAGCAAAATGAAGTTTTTCAAACTGAGCAATCATTAAATAGTAAATATATATATATATATCTCCCCATATTTTTTTTTGAGGCAGAGTCTCGCTCTGTCGCCTAGGCTGGAGTGCAGTGGCTCCATCTCAGCTCACTACAAGCTCCGCCTCCGGGGTTCACGCCATTCTCCTGCCTCAGCCTCCCAAGTAGCTGGGACTACAGGCACCCGCCACCACGCCTGGCTACATTTTTTTGTATTTTTAGTAGAGCCGGGGTTTCACCATGTTAGCCGGGATGGTCTCGATCTCTTGACCTCGTGATCCACCCGCCTCGGCCTCCCAAAGTGCTGGGATTACAGGCATGAGCCACGGCGCCCAGCCTGCAAGAAATATTTTAAAATAAAATGTTTTTGGAAAGATAAAAAAAGAAAAGAAAAGAAAAAGCCAAGCACACATCCCTTTATCCACACACCCTTAACTTCAAATAGCAGAAGAGATGCAAAGCAGCCTGAGTGGGTTAGCGCGGCTCCCAGGCTGCAAACGGAGATGGGCAGTGCTGAAGCCGCGGTCGCTGTTAAAGAGAAGGGCAGCGTAACCAGAGGGGAGATAGTGCGTGCTGTGGCTGTTGCTAAACAGAAAACGCAAGGAGGCGAGGTGGACAGCAGCAATGCTGGGCAGGGTGGGGCGAGGCAGCACTTCCTCCCTGAGCCGCTGTCATCACCTGCCTACTGCGAGAGGGGCACAGGGACACACAGGCGCACAAGGCTCAGCCGGCGGGGCCAACGCAGGGAAGCCGTGAGGAGAGGAGGGCAAGGACAATAGGGACAGCTGTGGGTGCAGGCCGGACACCCCAGCCGTCTCTAAGGGGAAGGGCAGAGTGCATCCACGCACACTTGCCGGCAGCCCTAGGGTGGGTGGGGGTGCCTGAAGGAGAGAGGCGAGGTGTCTCCCTCAAGGGAGCTTTGCTTCTGTGAAGGAAGGAGAGCGCGGGTCCGCGGGGAGACACAGCAGGAGAGACGGGGTCCCTCATGAGCCTCAGGGTCGTTAGAATCGGGCTCCCCCAGGCCTGATCAGGACTCAGTCACGTAATGACAGCTCGCAGCCCACAAACAGGAGAAAGCAAGGCCGGCGGCCAAGGTGGCCTCTGGGTAAGGCCATCAGAGCACACGACGCCACACAGGCTGTGCTCAGAAGAAAGGTGAATTCCAGATGAGGACAGGGAGGGTCCTGAGGGACCAGCCTCCAGGACACTTGCCAGCCACAAGGTCGTCCTCGTCGGACACAAGGGCTCCCAGGAGGAAAGGGCCCTGTGATCCCAGGGAGAACTCACACAAAGACCCAGTCCTCCGGCGCAAAGAGCTGTGGTGCTGACCCTCTGCGCCTGCACACATCTGGGGGTGGCGGGGCTCATGCCTGCAATCTGGCTCTGGGCACACATGAGCCTGGCCGAACCTCAGTGCGGACTCGGCTTTCACTCTCAAAAGCCAGGTCTCCTCCTACGCTGCTTTTCCACAGAGCTTTGAATTTGTTAGCTGCCTTCATGGGACCAGGGGACTCTTCTATTTTATTCTGTGTGTGCATTGGGCAGGGCGGGGCGGGCACTGAAACAGCTCTCCAAGGGGCATCTGAATTGAAGACTTCGAGGACAGCTTCCCCCGCTACAGCGAGACCCTACAGCTCCTCGGCAGAGGACAGGAGGAACGAGGCCAGACTCAGCCTCAGAGAACCTTCCTGCATGTGTCTCAGGCAAACTCGTCAACTCAGGCCCCTTCACGAGGCCCAGCCACAGACATAAGGGAGGGGGCAGGCTGCAGCTGCCCCACGACCACCACCACCCCGCCCAGCAGAGGCTGGGGGCACAGACCCATGGTACAGCCCGACAGCAGAGGACGCTGGCCCAGGCGTGGGCCCCACCCTCATAGCCGGTGACCCCCGGCCAGCAGGTCTGCCACTGTACCTCCAGGCTGCCACCCACAGGCGGGCACCCTCCAGGACTGCCAGGAATGACAGCGCACCCGGGGACCCTGCCAGGCACAGAAAGCAAGCAGTGGACCACAGTTGACATGGTTATGATAAACGCACCACGGGTATCCCCCACACCAGCTGCAAGGCGGGAGATGTGAAAGGGGAAGGGGGCAGCCTCCAGGCTCCTGGCTCCACCACACCCCATGGCACCCAGGCACAGGCTCACCCTACTCGGCTCCACCACGCCCCACCCCACGGCGCCCAGGCACGCGCTCACCCCTCTTGGCTCTGCCACACCCCACCCCACGGCACCCAAGCACGCGCTCACCCCACTCAGGCCTCAACGTCCTTGTTTCCGGGACACACAAGAGGAGATGACCGCTAAGGCCTCCTCAGCCAAGACCAAGTGGACAGGACTCAAAACCAGCCCAAAATCCAAAGCAGCACAATGCAGGCAGCGAGGACGTGGGGGCCAGAGCCGGGACACCTGGGGAGGGGGTCTCACTCCGCCCAGGCCTCAGACAGGCGACTGCTCCAATTCATCTCAGTCCACACCACTGAGAAAGCAATGGGGCCGAGGAACAATGGGTCCGAGAATGCCAAGGAACCCAAGCTGGGAGCCAGGCAGTGAATGAGAAAGTGCTTCTCACACCTAGAGAAGCTATGAGGGTGAGAACCCAGGCAGCAGGAGGTGCGGACACCCACAGCCACAGCCGGCCATCCACGGGCACCAGGCCTCTGGAGGTGCAGAAGGGCACGCCCCTGGCACAGGGGATGAGGCAAGAGACACACAGCAGCAGCAGGGGCTGCCCGGACCAGCAGGGAGTGGTGCTGAGTGGGGAAGGGAGACAGTGAGGCCTTGAGGCTGCAGAGGCGTCTGGGACCCCTGGGAGCAGCGCCTGCATCGAGACTCAGCCCATTCTGAGGCTCATGCCTGGGCAGTGTTCCTCAGCAAGGGACGAGGGCCGGGAAAGCAGAAGGGGTGCCCCTGCTGTAGGCTTCTGCACTCAGGTCTCCCAGACCAACGGGGAGGGCACGCTCAGCAGCGCGGTGTCGCACTGGATCAAAGTAAGACGGAACTGAGAGGAAGCTTCACCTCCAGCGGGAGGAAGGCAGCGGAATCACTCATGCGGCGGCTCCATGCCACACAGCTCTGTCTTCTCGGGGCACAGAGGACAGATCAGTGAGGACGCCCGCGACTTCAGACTCTGAAGACACACTTGGAATCACCTTGCTTTGGAGGACTCAAAATGACCTTGAGTCTTTGAGGCCCCAGGACTGGGGCTGACTGCACAGCGCCGTCCTCTGCCAAAGCCCCGTAGCACCAGAGCGCCAGTCACACACCAGGCCTCTGCGCAGAAGGCGCATGGCAAACACCCTCCGTCCACAGATGAGGCCTGCGCAGCACACGCCACGGGGACCCAGGTGCTCAGTCCAGACAGGAACAAGAGACCTCGGGCCCTAAACCCTGTGACAACCAGACACAAAGTGGGCAAGAGTCCCTCCCACTCACCGCAGAGATCCAAATAGCCAGGGTCCCTCTCCCCTGCTGCCTGGGGTCCCACCAACCATGCCGTACGCAGCAGCAGTCACCCAAGCCATCATGTGTATGGTCTCTTGCCTGGTTAACAAGTCAGGAAGGCTACGCTAAGGACGGCCCCCTCAAACAAATGGGCAGGGAGCACAGCACGGCAGACACGTCCATCCAGCACAGCCCTGGTCACGGAGGACACGGCACATGCAAGAGCCGCCTGCTGCCACTGCTCCAGGAGGCCCAAGGGAGCGCACTACCACACCCGATAGCTGCCCGGCATGAGCCAGAGGCAATGAAGATCTACACACCACAGGGCTCACACCACACGCCAGGCATCACGCACCAAGGCCCGGCGTCCCCAGAGGTGGGCCCAAGGGGAAATGGAGGAACAGAAGGAAAGCCCCTGGAGGGCCAAATAAAGGGGTCAGAAAAGACGCTACTCGAACTGGACCTCAAAGGCTGAGCTGGAATTTGCTAAGCCAAGAGGGCAGGTGGGAATTCTTATAGAGGAAACAACAGGAAGGTGCCGGAATGTCTGGGGATGGAGGGCACCCTGGCATGGACACGGAGGCCTCCTGACACGATGGGTGGCAAGGGTGACAGAAACACAAGTGACCCCAGTGCACGTGGCTGAAGAGGGTGAGCTTCACTGAGGCTCCTAAGCGCAGTGGTAGCACAGCCTCCCATGGTCCAGGAAGGAGCATCCCCCAACGCACCGCTAACACTGGTGACCAGACTCCACCCCGACCGCCAGGTCAACATGCAGCAGCCACAGCCTGTCTCACCTGGACCCACAGCCCCGCCTGCCCTGTGCACTCCGGCGCCCGGCCCACTGTGGAGGGTGCAGGTCAGGTGCTCGCTCTGTTCCTCAACAGGAGTTGTTTCCCGCAGCCCCTGCCGCCTTGGCTTCGTTAGCATTCAACAGCAATTTATTCCTCTCTCGCTGCCTTCTTTTGTGCAGCAGAGATAAGTAATGTTTCTAATCTGTGCTATCTCCCAGCTGCAAATGTTCAAGCACTTTTTTCTTTTTATTTAAAAAAATGAAATCTCATTTTAGATTTGCAAAAGAGACAGCTAGCAATCTTTACTGTACTAACAACCCGCCACCCAGAGGCCAGGCGGGAGCGTGGACGGAAGTGAGCGCATCGGGCTGGGAGACAGCCGAATCTCAGAAGTCAGCACTGGGAGATTCATTTCTCTTCTCTTCAAAAAACCCATTAGACGTGGTTCAGAAGAGGTACTCCTACCCGAGACCCAGGAAGCACCCGGGCCGTGGCTTCCTGTGAACAGTCCTCAGGCGTGAGCTCTCAACCCTGCAGGGAGGAGCCCCTGGTAGGCCATTCTGGCCATGAAACTATCCCCAGTGGGACTGGCTGCCGACTGTGAGGAGTCACCTCCCACCAGCCCAGCCCTCGATGCCCCAGGCATGACTCAGAAGAACCAGCACCAATGCTCTTGGTGTCATCTGGGCTAACCTAGCACATGGATTTTCAAACTTCTCACAGCTCAAGCCAAGGGGCTGGCTGTGAGCTCCTTACAGGTAGAGGTCATTCCTTACACTTCGCCCCCAGCCACACAAAGCCCAAAACCGTCTCAGGGACATGGGCATTTAATAACTACCTGTTGATGGATAAGGACATAGGTGAGAAGCAAATCCCAGGCAACCATTGAGGTTTGAGAGACAGGTGCACACTGCTTTACGACGGCCAGCGCAGTCAGCTGCAAGTACTTTCTGTTCCAGACCAGCAGGGAAAATGAGGAGGAAAAGGTCTCAAAGCCCAGCCTGTTTCTGAGCAGAGCTAGGAATCCCAGCTGACTAGATCTCCGCGTTCTCCTTTACTCTTGAAACTCTATGGCAGAAAGCACGGCCTTTTGACCTTGAGCCTTCTGACAGATAGTAAGAAGCATGCCACAGCCAGGCGCTTCTGAGCGTGAAGCACCTGCTTCCTGGAGGGGGTGCCACACTCCAGACATTACAATGCTGGTGCCTTGCTCTGTGGTACTGCCGCTTTGCTTCTGCTTTACCCTACCCACCTGCCCACCCGGCGCGTCTGCCTCGTCCTGGCAGGACAAGCCCTGAGCGGGCCCTGCACCATCTGCAGGCCTCCTGACACCTGAGAGCAGAGATGCTGTCCGTGTCCTGGGCCCTGGCTGCAAACCGGAAGGCGTCCTTGGAAACGGCCGCACTGGGCCAGCACACAGCAAGCAGGGAGAGTGGGAGCCGCGTCCACCCAAGCCCCAGGTCCTGGCCGCAAATCATCACTTCATCTTGGCAGCTCATTCTGTTTTTATCATCAGTTTTAAATAATTAAGCTGGCCCTGAAGGGGGTTGGAGGGTGGGAGGGGAACAGCTCGTTGCCCAAGGCCAAGCCCCAGCGACTGGAGGCGCGGCTCCAGCATGACTCCTGTCGGGAGGGGCGCAGGGGCCTCCAGTGCCCCCCACCTCCACTCTGCAGACACGCCTGACAACTTGACGTTGGTGTTAAAGTCGTATCATTTCTGTAACAGTGCAGTTATTAACGAAGCCTCATTTGCACGTGTCAGGGGAAGAGAAAAATCACCTAATTAACCACTTTCCCCATCAGCAAGAGGATGGGGGGAGTGCTGCCAATTTGTTTTCAACGGCTTCCTTCCCACCCTCAGAAACTTGCTCCCCTTCAATGGGAAAAAACTCATAATCCTTTGTCACAAGGGACTGGAAAAACCCTAGTTTCCACTGTGGGAACATTCATACACCAAAGAGGATGCGGGCTTTTGTGCTATGGGGTCTGCCCTGGGGGGAAGGGCCACAGCCACTGTGCCTGGCGCGAGACTGGGGCTCCACTCCTAAAGGGTCTCCATTCAGGTGGGTGGCATGAGACTGGGGCTCCACTCCTAAAGGGTCTCCATCCAGGTGGGTGGCATGAGACTGGGGCTCCACTCCTAAAGGGTCTCCATCCAGGTGGGTGGCATGAGACTGGGGCTCCACTCCTAAAGGGTCTCCATCCAGGTGGGTGGCATGAGACTGGGGCTCCACTCCTAAAGGGTCTCCATCCAGGTGGGTGGCATGAGACTGGGGCTCCACTCCTAAAGGGTCTCCATCCAGGTGGGTGGCAGGAGACTGGGGCTCCACTCCTAAAGGGTCTCCATCCGGGTGCCTGGCGTGAGACTGGGGCTCCATTCCTAAAGGGCCTCCATCCAGGAGGCTGTGCACCTGGACCCTGAGAGCCAGTAAAGAACAAAGACGCTTCTTCCCTCAACTTACCAAAGTGAGCAGCCTCTATGCTGCCACCCACCAGACTACCGGCTCCATGCTCACCAAAGTGAACAGCTTCTATGCTGCTCACCCACTAGACTGTTGGCTCCGTGCACACAGGGCCACAGCTGTCTCAGTCACCATCACAGCCCAAGCTGGCCCACGCCTGACACATGCTGGATAAACACATACCAGGCAGGAGAAGGAGGAGTGCAGTCCAGTGCACACAGGGGGCTCTGCAGCTGGGAAGACCCTGACTGGAGGTCTGAATCTGCCATGGGTGGGAGTGGGCAGATCACACAGCCTCGCTGACCTTGGACCCTCCTGTCTGACTCAGGACTGAGTCTCCCCAGCAGAAGAGGCTGAGAGCACAGGATAAGGTGAAAACGCAGGCTAGGTCCTGGCACCAGTCACAGGGCAGACTCTCAACAGATGCCAAGTCCTGCCACTGCACCCACCATCATCACCAACACTGCCACTGTCACCACAACCACCATCACCACCGTCACCGTCACCACCGCCACCGTCGCCACCGCCACCACCACCACCGCCACTGTCACCATCACCACCATCACTATCACCACCACCACCGCCACTGTCACCATCACCACCGTCACCATCACCGCCGTCACCATCACCATCACCACCGCCACCATCACCACCGTCACTATCACCACCGTCACCATCACCACCACCATCACTAGCACTCTCACCATGTCACCATCACCACTGTCACCCTCACCACCACTGCTACTGTCACCACTCACCACCACTGCTACTGTCACCACTCACCACTGTCACCAATAACCACCATCACCACCATTCTCACGTCACCATCACCACCACCGTCACCATCACAACTGTCACCATCACTCTCACCACATCCCCATCACCACTGTCACCATCGGTGACACCACGGTCTCCACCACCCTCGCACCATCATCGCCACTGTCACTATCTCCACTGTCACCAGCACTCTCAGGACCACTCTCCACACCATCACCACCGTCACCAGCACTCTCACCACGTCCCCACCATCACCACTGTCACCATCAGTGACACCACGGTCACCGCCACCCTCGCACCATCATGGCCGTCACCGTCTCCACCGTCACCAGCACTCTCAGGACCACTCTCCACGCCATCCTCAGCATGAGACGCATCCTTGTCACTCCAGAGACAATGCCCAGAGATGGCGTCTTCTCCTACCCACTCCTAAAGCGGGCCTCTCCTCAGGTGTATAAGGCACACGGAGAAAACAGGTTCGGCAGAGGTGGCACTGTCCCCTCTCAGGACATCAGCTCCACAACTCAGAGGAGGCAGCCTCCGTGATGCTGCCAACACCTGGGTCAGCGCTGGGTCAGGCCTGGCCACGCTGCCTGCCTGCTGGAGACGCGCGTCCTCTCCCACCTCAGGGCCCCTGCGCTTGCTGCTGCCTCTGCCTGGAACGGGCTCTCTCCCCTGCCCCTGCACCCTACAAAGGGGCAGCTCCGACCACGCTTCAGCTCTCAGCCCACATGGTGTGTCCAGAGGGAGGCCGTCCATCCGGCCACGCTGAGGGCCGGGTCGCAGCCCAAGCCATGGCTGCCCCGACGGGCCCTGCACACACAGTCATACCTGCGCTCCTGCACTCAGTGAAGGCCTGGGCCTGCCTGCCCCGCCGCTCAGTAGACGGCACATGGGACATCGCCATGCCTAGTGATGACGTTTCTGTTTGGAAGAAGTGGGTGAGCACCTGAGAGGACAGAGGGTGAGGCGATACAGCAGTGCAGCAGATCTCACCCGCCCCCGAGGCCACTGCACAGCGGCGGGGCTCTCGACCACCGTGCTCTTTGTTGGGCGGGGCAACCGCAGATGGGCCAGCACTGGGGCAAAGCCCACCACCAGGCAGCCCTGGGAGCCCCTGCGAAGGCCTCTCAGGAGCCGGGCAGCACAGCCAGAACACTGAGACTCGATCCCACAGGGGAGAAGGAGGGAGCGGCCACGAGGAGGAGCCAGGGAGGCGGCTACTCAGAGGGCAGGTGCTGTCCTCCTCCCTGCCCAGATCCCAGCAGTGTGGCATAAGCAGACCCCCTGAACCACTGTGCACGGAGTCCCTCCGCATCCCCAGGCAGAGGGACAGTCTCACAGGTGGTGTCCGGACTCTGGAGATGGGGTGGGAAAAGGCAAGGAATGCGGGGAGACCACCAGTTCTGATGCCACGCCATACAACACTCCACCCCGCTGGACGTCGGAGAAAGAGGCCCCCAGACACATGGCAGAGAATCAAATATGCAGCCGGTGTCTGGAAATCATTCAATGAAGGTAAGGAGTGTGCTCCTCAGCAGCCTGCCTTGAGCAAAAGCATCTCGTGGCAGATAAGTAATGATCAGAGCTCTCCGGGCCAACTGCACAACAGGCCATATCTGTTATTAAAGGCATGCTGCTTTGATGACCAGAAACCTGGATTAGAACCACGGCAGGCTGGGCCTCCATTTGGGGAACCAGGACAAAGGCAGAGCAGATAGCGGCAAACTCCTCCACAGAGGCAAGCCCGGAGTCCCCTGTGCACTGGCGGAGGCTGCTCAGCCCGAGTGGCACTGCACAGGCTCCTGAAGGCAGATGAGGCCCCGGAGAGAAAACACAGGAAGACAGCCCCCACAGCCCCGCCCCTCCGCGAAGGAGAGCCGTCACGGCGGCGCAATAGCAGGCCAAGGGGGACGCAGTCTGGCATGTGGAGGCGGCCTGTTGCGTCAGATCCCTGACCCGCATGTCAAACACGCTGGTGCCTACAGGGGGCGGCTGCGGCACCTGGACACTCGGAACACGCGCTCTGCCACCAGAGACAGGCTGGGCTCAAATGAGAAGGAATGAAATGCCAGCAACTACAGATCTTCCACGAAAGCTCCCCTTAAGCCAGCTCTTCGGTTTAAATGAATTTACTCCTCGTTAAATTCTTAACCTGAAAACATAACTGTTTTATACTTACATGCCTCATTGTGACATCCCTAACGCCTTTGAAAACATAACTGTTTTATACTTACATGCCTCATTGTGACATCCCTAACGCCTTTGCCATGAAAGACCTCACTGCCAAATCCCACTTTAATTATCTGAGCACAGGTCACATAAATCACTGCAGCTCCCACGCCAGGCCGTGCACAGCCATGTGGGCTCAGCCTGCAGCTGCCTCTCCTTCCAACGTGCAATGCAGGGTAGGTCCCCCCGCAAGCCCTGGGGACTCTTTCCGGAGCTCAGGGAAGGAAACCGCTCACCTCCTAAATGTTAAAACACGAAGGGAACTACGCACAGCCCGCCTGGAGATGGGATTCCTGGCACAGCCTGAGGGCTGACCCACCCAGTCAGAGCCCGGCTTCCCCAGGGGCCGGACACCGCAGTGAGGGGCTGTTCTGAAAAGAGGTCTGCCGGGAAGAAACTGGCTGTGCCTCTGCAGCCCGGGAGAGCCTCACTCTCTGAGGCCACAAACACCGCACCGTCCTGCTTGGGGATATTCCAGTGAGCAGAAAGGGAAGGTCTCTGCCGACAAGGGGTTGGTTACTAACAAAGGGCACTAACACACGAGCTGGCTTCAGGTGGTCACAGCCTGAAAGGCAACAAAGCCAGCAGCGAGGTGGAGTGAGGGGGCCCAGCTAAGAGCAGGGGAGGAAGGCCACTCAGGGCAGAACAGGCCGCAGAAACCGCAGTGCCCTACGGGGCGGTCTCTGCTGGCCTGGCAGCAGCAGGCAGAGCAAAGCGTGGGCTCCACGGGAGGGTGGGCGGGCACAGCCTGCGCTGGGGCAAGGCAGGGAGCGTGGATCATCACCCGAGGCATTCATAAAGGACAACCCAAATGTCTGCTTTGTGGCTGCTCCTACACTGCCCTGAAGCCAGGAAGTAACGAGGCCAGGAAGCCCTGGGACCAGCCATGCAGCCTTGCCAAGGCCAGCCACGCACTGTGAAGGTTCTGAGGGAAAATGGGGCCTCTCTCACCACAGCCCTGCTTTACCTGGTGGCCTCGGCCTGTCTCCTCACCCCCGCACGGTCCAGTAAGAGACCACCTTCCAGATGAGACCAGAAAGTCCAGGCACGTGAGACGCCCAGCCAAAACCCCAGTACCACCAGCTCCAGCTCTCTCCTCCTCAACGCTCCTCACCCACCCCGCTCCCCAGCTCCAGGGTAGGGCAGCAGGAAAGGCCCCCATCGTCACAGATGCCACCTAGCAACACCTTCTGGAGCACAGTCCCAGAGCCCTATCCAGCTGCGGCCCCACAACCAAAGGGCACCAACACCTCAGCCCTGCCCCTGCCCCTGCCCCACATATGGCCCCGCCCCTGCCCCACACATGGCCCCGCCCCTCCATTCTGCCCAGCACGAAGCCCCACCCCCCAGACCTATCTATCACACACAGCGCCAGCCATCACACAGCCCCGCCCCTCCACCCTGCCCAGCACACAGTCCCGCCTCCCACCCCCAGCACAGGGCCCTTGCCCCATTACGCCTAGGCTAGGAATTGGGCCCTTAGTGCTGGCACATCGGCAGCACCCCTCCACTGCGTCGGTGCCTTGCGTGAAAGGTGCGAGCACGGCAGGCCGCTTCTCTATCGGATCCACATGTCCATCCCTGGAGACGGCCATGGTCACTCACACTCCCCACTTCCCAGGCCCGGCCCCACCCTGCCCTTCCTTCTCTATCGGATATACATGCCCATCCCTGGAGACGGCCATGGTCACTCACTCTCCCCCTTTCCCAGGCCCGGCCCCACCCTGCCCTTCCCACATGCGCTCCTGGAAACCTGTGCCAAGCCAGCAGGCTCTCCGAGGCTCCCTCTCCAACCCTGCCTAACACCAAGGAGGACACGTGAGCTCCACTCTCCCAGGGGTGGGGGGAGAAGGCAGGCCAGGGGCACAAATCCCTCCTAGGAGACCGCCTCCCTCCTCTCCAGCCCACCAGACCCAGGCTAGCATAGCCCGTCACACTCTCGGCCCATCCCGCAAAAGACGCCTGCAGCTGCACTGGAACGTGTTGTCCCGCATGGGCTGTAGGGCCTCCACGAAACCTGAGAGAGGAAAGTCACCATTCAGTCCCTTCTGCAGGGCTGCCCCTCCCCAGCTGTCATGAGTCCATGCTGCAGCCGGCTCTCTCAGCTGGGAGCCAGTCACCCTTCAGCCCCCAGGAGGACTCGTGATGGAGACCCTCCTGGCCCTGGCTGAGAGACAGCTGAGTGCAGACCTGGGCAGGGGCCCGGGGGTCCAGAACGCAGCTGGCCCAGTCCCCTAGAGGAGCGTAGTCTAGTGTGAAAGAGCCAGGAGGCTCCTGACGCCGTGTGTTCTCACAGGGCCCGGCCCCACAGCCTGGCTCCCAAGGACAGGAAGGGCACCCACATACAGCATCACTCAGCACCTGGCTGCCTGGGACAGCCGGAGGGCCTGAGGATGGCAGCGCACCGGGAGGCGTGGAAGGAGGCAGGGCCAACATCCCTAGCAACACAGAGGAGTCGCAAGCACCTTCCCTGCAGGCGGTAAGCCAGGAGTGTGTGGGGCGGGACAGTCAGAGTTGGTGAGGTCTCGCTGCCGGAGCATCCGGTGGCAGGAAGCCCAGTCCAGAGGCTGCAGCCCAAGCCACAGCAGCCCTGGGGCAGAGGGGGCTGGCCCTCGAGGATTATGTGGTCACTGCAGGGTGGTCTTTGCCACCCCACCACCTCCCCCTGAACTACCCACAGCCTCTTCGCTGGACCCCTGCATCCTCACGCACCGACACACTTCCTGCTCCCCATCCCGAAGGCCTCTTTCTCCAGGTCGCTCTTCCGACTGTGTGAGGTAACCATGCCACTGCCGCGCTTCCAGTCTTCAACAGCTGCCCGCTGCAATCATGCTGTGATCCCCGCACTGTGCCAGCCCTGCTGGCGTCCCAGCAGCTCGTCTGTCCCGCTTGGTCACCCCTGCCCAGCCCCCGGCTGCCCTCAGGCCTCTGCTCAGATGCTGCCTCCTGGTAAGGCCCTGCCTGGCCCCCAGTGACGTCTTTCCCACCCTGTCATTCCACAACACCCAAAGCATTTCCTTCACAGTGCTTTCAATAATTTCAACGCACTTCCTATGTTTCAAAACATTAGAGGGTATTTGAGGGTCGGAGATGGTAAATGCTTGGACACAGTGATGGGTGAAAATGGTTTCTCAGCTGCCACCCAGACCTGCAAGGGCACCCATGGGGATGGTGCCTGGCACATGTCGCTGGACTGTGTCCCGGGCTGTGACACCATAGCTCTCCACAGAAGAGTCCAGGCAGGGGACAGGAGACACCGGCACCCCCCCACCCCCCACCAACAGGATGCTCAGTGGGGACATGAAACCCATCCAGGTGCTCGGAAAACACCTGTTTTAAAACTTGCTGACCAAAAACCCCAAAATGGATCATTTTTAAATACAAGGAGCACTAAAGATTTTCATTATGTACGATAACATTCCCATCAGAAGAGAACAAACTTGGGGGCTGTAGCAAATGAATTCCGGTGGGATTCATGTCCGCTGATCACTATTCAGGCCCCACCTCATTATCATAGCAGGCTTAATTGGCATTTCATCCCCACATTGTGTCTCACAAACGAACAAGGTGTAATTATGGTAAAAAGAGCGCTCCGACGGTTTTGGTTTAATTCATGTCATTCATCCGCGTCAGAATCAGCACAGATGTTCTACTGGAGGACAGAGAGGAAGATGAGTGGCTTTCAAATTATACTTTTTTAGTTTAAAACTTTATTTAAAATAAAAAGTTATTTAAGTAAAATTTACAACACAGTGTTTTTCTCCCTTTGTTTTACTTGCTATAGGGCATTAACTTTCAAAGGCTGGTTCTGCTTAATTTGATTTTTCATTTTCAAATGAACATCTGTGTTTAGGTCTAAAAAGCTCTTTGTTTAAACATACAGAGCCCCAGAAAGGGTCTGAACAAAGCCTTCCTCTGTAAACACTTGATTACCAGGAAGGCTTTTCACAGGGAGCCAGGGGTTGGCAGAGGGGGTTTCACTCTGGCTTTCTCTCTAAGGTCAGTAGAAACTTTCATCTCCTTTCAGAATGGGAGAAACAAAGGCAGCAGCCCTGGGGAAACGGCTCAGCCTCGAGCTCCTTCTGAGCTAGGGACGCGGCAGGAGCGGCTGTCAGAAATGGGCCCAGGTGGCCTCCAGGAGCCGGCCCGATCCACGATCAGTTCCATCCCTTCTTCACTGGCACATCTCTGAGGCAGCTCCTGGGGAAGTGCAGGGCCCCCGCGAGGGCTCGCAGGAAGAGCACGGGACAGACCAAACAGGCGCTACCAAGTATGGGTTCCAGACCCCCACCCGGCCATTCCAGACGCCTCCCTGTGCTGCGCACACAGCCTCCCCGCACCCGCTCTGCAGCTCAGAGCTGCTCACCCTCAGCTCTGGGTCCTCCGCACCCACTTCGGATTCCCATCAGAGGACAGGCCCTGCCTGTGGGCCCATCACCATCCCATCTCCCACCTAGACGGAAAACCCGAGCTCTGCTCCTCCTGAAATGAGGCCAGCCCTCTGGTGTCAATTACATGCAACTTCCCCGGGCCTCGGCTTCTTCTTCAGGCCACATGGATAGTCCCTGCCTTAAGCAGCCCATGAGAGCACTGGAGGCGCACACACAATCAGGTGACGAGAAGCGGCTGCAGCAGCCGCAGGGAACACGGCAACACAGGAGCCGAACCCGGCACAGCGGGAGCCCCACGCCCGCCAACCCCAGGAGGACACTCAAGAGTGGGGCCCCAAGGACTCTGTCATTTCAACTCACTTCCTATGTTTGTAAACGTCAGAACTCATAGCAGGGAGGTGTGCGGCCTCAGGATCCCAGCAACAGCCCCCAACAGCCTCGAGATGCTCTGGCGTGTCAGCTTTAGGGACTACATCAGAAGACTTCCCCACAATCCAAGATTGTCAAGAGCTGGTTAACGTAGGAAGTTTAGCAAGAGCTCACTGCGGCTGCGTGGGTCTAAATAGTTTTAAACACTTCTGTGTTTTTATAGCATTATATTTAGAAACCTCTAAATAAAACTCATGGCGAGTGTTGCAATAATATACATTTTTTAAACTAATTGAATGTTGCCATTACAAGTGCTATTTTGGACAATCTGCTAAATATGTAATTTAGGAATTAAGATTCATATCTTACAGGATACGCTAATTATTCCTTTGAATCCGTTTGGGTACTTTCTGAACACACACAAGAAGTCTGAGAGTTGGCGACAATATCCACCCTTCTCCACAGCGCAGAGGTCAGGCCACTAGTAAGGGCACAAGCGTGGGCTCAGCACAGTTGTGAGAGTGCAGACCCAGCTGCGCAGGCCGGAGGTGGCCATGAGGCCCACGCCTTTCCAGTCCAGGAGGCTCCGGCTCAAAGCAGCGGGAAGTTCAGTTTATTAAACCACAGCCGATTTTCCTAAGGCTCCCCTCCACTGATCTCACACACGTTATCAAAATGACACAGATGTCCAGATGGCAGCACCTCGAAGATTCTTGAAGCCTCCTCCTGTGACTTCAATGACACAGATGTCCAGATGGCAGCACCGCAAAGATTCTTGAAGCCTCCTTCTGTGGCTGGACTGTGCGCTCACAGCCGTGCCGCCATGCCCCACGCCTCGGTACACAGCAGGCACAACCAAGCGAGCAGCTGCCCGGCTGCTCCTGTTCCCTTGGCGCCTCGAGGTCCCGGCTCAGAAGCCACGCCCAAAGCGGAAATCAGACCCCGCAGGGCTGTGACTCGCACAGACACCTCCTCTCCTGTGAAGCATCTACTTCTATTAATACAGCCTGAGACAGAGTTCACTTCTTCTGAAGTCACAACCCAACAGTGATTCGCTCTGACTCACACTGGCAGTGGAGAAAACTCTGGAGTGACTCAGACGTGCGGCAGATGAAGGCCTCCTTCCCATCCTCAACACAGCCAAGTCATTTTGGGTCTCAAGTGTCTCCCTTTTGTCCCAAATCAAATTTTTCTTGCTGAAGAGCCATCATTTCAGACTATTAAGATGCTTTCAGATCTGTGACGGGCTTCACCAATTAATAAAAGCTACTTCTATACCGATACTCACCGCCTGCCCCCAGTGCGGTCCGAGCAGGGAATTCCATGGTGCACGCCCATAAGAAGCGCTTTCTGCATCTCACAGGACAACAGCCGTCTGCGCTCAGACCCCACCATCTCCCTCAAACACAGTTTCCCAGCAGAGCCGAGGAGATGACGGCGCGGGCAAACCCTTCCTGTCCAAACAAAGCTCACTACATCCCTGGCTTGCTCTGCTCTCACCCCATCCCTCCCTCGAGTCCTGTACACAAGTGAGGGGAGGAAGAACGGATCAGGAAGCAGCAGGGTACAAAGAGCAGAAGAGAGCTTCGGTCTCAAGTCCACAGGGCACGCTGCGGCCAAGTCCTCCGACGAAAAGTAAATTAAAGACAAGAGGAACAAAGAAGAAACAGGGAGAGAGGAGGAGCACACACACCGAGCGTCCACTGTGCCCGCCCCTCGCTCCCCCCACACCATGCGGTCTGTGTGATCGTCCCACAGATGAAGACTAGAGGGGCTCGGGAAGCCAGGCCTCAGAGCCCGCAGGCGCCTCCATGCACCCCTCCACCTCTGCACGCTGGCTGCCCAGCCCCCAGTCCCAGGCGTGGAAGCCTCCCAGGCGGCAAGGAGCTTTCGAGACCGTGGCTGCTCAGCCCTTGCTCTCTGCTCTAGTCAAGGAGCGTGCCTCGGAATGAATGAGGTACAGTCTTTCCCTAAAGTCACCGGAGAACAGAGATCAATGAAAAAGGAGGAAGGGAGGAAAGACAAAAGACTTGAGAGGAAGCAAAACGAAACCAGCTTAGATTTGATCCCGATACGTGGGAAATCAGGTGGGGAAAAGGGGCTACAACTCCATGATGACCACAAGTCCAGAGGGCTGTGCAAGCCAACACGGCTGGGGGCTGCAGAAAGCACCACAGCAACTGTCTGACGCCAGGTTGGGGCCAGCAGCCGCACGCTGGAAAACGCAACACACAGCCCACACAGCCCTGTGGGGGCAGCTAAGCCCAAAACCCTGGCGTGGCCCAGCAGGAGCAGGCCTGTGCGGAGTGGACCTGCACACACAGCAAACGCACACACCGCGAACGCACACACCGGATGCTTCCCGCTGTGGAGACCCACAAGGCAATGTCTTCTGAAGTTAAAAGGATGCCAGGATCCAGCAGTCCCACTCCTAAGTATGTGCTCAAGGAAAAGTAAGAGTTTAGATCATACAAAGCCAACATTTCCAGCAGCTTTACTCCATTTCACCAAACCCAGAAACAATACAGATGTCCTTCAACCAGTGAACGAATAAACAAGTCCCAGAGCAGCCGTGCCTGGAGCATCACTCAGCAACGAAAAGCAGCGCTGCGATTCACACAGCCACGCGGTGAGTCCCAAATGCACCTCCATGAGCCAAAGATGCCATATTTGTATGACGTTCTGGAAAAGGCAAAATCACCAGACAGAAAGCATGCTGGGGTGGCCAGGGAGGGGAGTCTGGGGTGGTGGGGCCGCAAGTCAGCCCCAGGCATGTGAAAATGCGCAGCTGCACAGCAGAAGGGCAAATGAGGCTGTATAGACAGTTTTTTTTAATCAACCAGAATGAAAAAGACTCAAAATGAAACACCAGCTCTAAGCGGTAAACCTAAGGGAACCACAAACAAAGAACACAACACCAGGCAGTGGGAAACACAACGGCACCCACGGTGCTGAGAAAACGCCACTTCCACTGGGAACGGTAGGCCAAGGACAGAACGGCCTGTCCACAGACACTGCACCCTCGCAAGTCAACCTCTCCTCACAGAGCCATGGATTAGCAATTCCAGAAAGACCCTGTGCGCACGTGAGGACTGGATGGGTAAGTAAAACATGGTGTGTGCTGACACCTGGGCTTCTCAAGACCAAGGAGACAGCACAGGAGGCGAGGACAGCCCAGGGGTGCTGGATGGAGCCAGTGTCAGGGTGTCCACCGAGGGGCCCTGGGGCCCTGACACACCCGGAGCAGGCAGCACCCCACACCCACATCTCATCTCTAAGCAGCACTCGGCAACAAGAGGAAACAGGGCTCACTGGGAAAGTGGCGGACTGCAGGAAAAGGGCAGGAAAAACATCTAAGTTTAGAGCATCCTGCAGTGCCAGATAGTTTGAAAAAAAAAAAAGGCTTTAAAAAAAGATGAGGGCAAATCACAGGGCACGAGAGCCCAACTGTGAGAGCTCCCAGTGACCAAGGCTGAAATACCGTGAATGAACCGAATCCGCAGAGCACTGGGTCACGGCCGTGAAGTAAAACAGAGAAGGAAGCAACTGACACAAATAACCTACTCGACGAGGGGCAGAGCCTCCCTCAGCAAAGCGTCCCACTCAGGAAACGGGGACGAGGGGCAGAGCCTCCCTCAGCAAAGCGTCCCACTCAGGAAACGGGGACGAGGGGCAGAGCCTCCCTCAGCAAAGCGTCCCACTCAGGAAACACGGAAGAGACGGGCGGACAGAAAACCGCCCTGGGGCCATGGTGACAAGCCCCGCAGCTGAGATGCACCAATAGATGCTTGAACTAGGAGGAGAAGTTTTTGTAAGAAATGGGGGCTGGGCACGGTGGCTCACAGCTGTAATCCCAGCGCTTTGGGAGGCTGAGGTGGGTGGATCACCTGAGGTCAGGAGTTCAAGACCAGCCCGACTAACATGGCGAAACCCCCTCTCTACTAAAAATACAAAAATTAGCCAGGCGTGGTGGCAGGCGCCTGTGGTCCCAGCTACTTGGGAGGCCGAGGCAGGAGAATTGCTTGAATTCGGGAAGCAGAGGTTGCAGTGAGCCAAGATTACACCACTGCACTCCAGCCTGGGCAACAGAGCGAGACTCTATCTCAAAAAAATAAAATAAAATAAATAGGATATTTGCATATTCTCAAAGCATCTTCCCCAAGATACTTATTATCAGAACAAAAGCCGCAGCCATGCATTTAGGGAGGCCTTCGCCAGGTGACCGGAGTGACCACACCCGCAACAGAACATGGTGATGTCGCACACCCCGACATCACACACCCAGAGGGACATGACATCCCTTTTAAGATTTTCTGTCCAAAAATGCATAGCTTCAACCTAATCATGTATAACATCAGACTCGCTCCAACTGAGGAACATCCACAAAACACCAGCCCGTGCTCTCGAAGAGGCGGGGTCACGACGACAGGAGAGACCGAGGAGCAGATTCTCTCCTGTCCCAGAGTGCAGGGCAGGACAGGGCCACCAAACGCCATGGGGATCCCAGGCCAGATCCTGGCACAGAAAAAGGAGCTCAGTGGGAGAGCCGGCAAGACCTGAACGCAGTCAGGACCCGCGCCTGCTGCACCCAGGCCTTACAGCTTCTGATAACTGTACACGGGCTCACAAGACGTTACCCTCGGGAAAGCTGGCGGAGGGTGCGTCGAAACATTCTCCACGACTTCTGCAACTTTCCTGTCAGTGTAACATTATGTCAAAATGAAAAGTTCCCAGAAGAACATGCCAGACACATGAGAAAGACAAAAGGGCAAATGGCCGGATGGTAATGACTCATCCCAAAGGCCATCTCAACACACCTCGGGCGGGAGAGCCCTGAGCCAGCCCACGGTCTGAGCAGGGAACCAGGGGGCCTTCCCTACACAGAGCACAGCTCCCACCCTGCAGCACCGCCCAGCCGGGGCCAACACCAGAGGACGCCATCCTCCTTAAGGCCACAAAGTGTATGGTCCTAGGGCATCTTTCCTGAAAGAGACAATTGCGAGAAATGAAAGCCTGGCTGCCGGGATCAATCTTGCGGGTCACCTCCCTGCAGCAAGGCCCAAGCCGACGTCACGTGGCAGAAGGATCTTCATGAAGATGAGCATGGCTACGACTTGAACGGTGGTTTCTTAACAGGGTCCAACAACTACAGCCTGTGGCCAAATCCCACCCACAGCCTGTTTTTGTAAACAACTTTTGTTTTTTTAACAAAGTTTTGATGGAGCACAGCCACCCAGAATCAAATACGAATCGCCGCTGCCGCTCTCACAGCACGATGGCAGAGTTCAGCGTCTTCGACAGAGACCACCTGCCCGGCAAACCCCAAAGAGTCCGTTCTGGCCCTTCACACAAGACACTTGTCAGACCCATCTTTTGAGGCCCACAGGTAGTTCTGGGATCTCGGTAAGAATCTGCTTTGCAAACACAAGGGCCTCGAAGCCCCGCCTTCCGGTGAGCACCGCTGCAGCAGCAGGGAACCTTCCGGAAGAATCTGTTCCCAGGGTAGAAACAGTGACGGGCCAGTGCAGCAGAGAAGAGCAGAGCGCCTGGGAGACCTGCATCAGAGCCCGAACAGCTGGAGGCGCCAGCTCAGTCTGTATCCCCGCCCCGCGACCCAAGGCTCCCCCAGAAGCCGGGGCCCACCACTGGCACACTGCGGAAGCACTCCCGCAGGAGGACATGAGGCCACGTTCACACCACGGGGCGCTGGCTCAGGACCCTTCCCAGCAATTCCCGCATGTTCCGGGGTCAGAGGAGGCGCTGGACAGGGTCCCCACGTGTTCCAGGGTCAGAGGAGGCGCTGGACAGGGTCCCCGCGTGTTCCGGGGTCAGAGGAGGCTGGACAGGGTCCCCACGTGTTCCGGGGTCAGAGGAGGCACTGGACAGGGTCCCCGCGTGTTCCGGGGTCAGAGGAGGCGGTGGACAGGGTCCCCACGTGTTCTGGGGTCAGAGGAGGTGCTGGACAGGGTCCCCGCGTGTTCCGGGGTCAGAGGAGGCTGGACAGGGTCCCCACGTGTTCCGGGGTCAGAGGAGGCGCTGGACAGGGTCCCCGCATGTTCCGGGGTCAGAGGAGGCGCTGGACAGGGTCCCCGTGTGTTCCGGGATCAGAGGAGGCGCTGGACAGGGTCCCCGCGTGTTCCCCGGTCACAGGAGGCTGGATAGAGGCTCCACATGGCGTGTCAATGCCGGGCCTGTGGACACTCAGTCTGCATGGTTCCCGCATGGCCACATCCAGGGAAGCCACGGCCCTGCCCCCAAGGTCAGGACTATTCCTGGCCAAACAGAAGGACCTGCCGCGCATGACCTGCATGGAGCGCTCGGAGCAGAGGGAACGCACTGAGGTGCTGCCATCAGGAGGGGAACGGTGGCGGGCCCTGCGGGAAGAAGCTCTCAGAGCAGGGCGGGCTGTCCCACTTCCCCTTCCTCCTGCCCCAGGCCCACACCCTCTCCTGCCAGCACCCCACCACCTAAACACAGAATGCGGCTGCGCTGCCGGAGACGGTGGAGGGGGGATAAGGCTCAGTGGGAATGGGGCCCAGCCCCACTGCCCACCACTTAACCACACTCCCTAACCCGAATATCCCTCTGTTTCCTCAACACTAAATAAGGGCCAAGGTGACCACAGAAAAAGCTGAAGGGCGTGAGCAGGACCTCACTGTCCACACTGACGTGTTGGCTGCTGCTCCCAGTGGCCCCAGCTCCAGGATCCTCTTGTGCCCCTTCCCAGCACAGAAGGGAGCGAGAGCCAGGCCCAGGGAGCGGAGTGCGTGGGTGCAGCTGGAGGGCAGGCGGCTGTGTGTGTGCCAAGTGCCGGGAGGACGAACAAGACTCAGGCCTGACTCATCTCATATTCCTGAAGCACCTAAAGTGGGCTGCACACAGCAGGTGTTGAACAAACGCTTCCTGAACGGGAGCGACAAGGAGCCTCTGTCCTCTAAGAGACAAGAGCCTTGCCAGGGAGGACTGGGGAGCCCCCAGAGAGCCAGCGCAGACGATGAATGCCAGGGCAGGGAAACCGAGGTGTCCCCAGCAAGACCCCAGGTGGGCAGGGCCTGGATAAGGCAGGTACCCACACGTGGCAGGCCAGAGGGTTGGGGGGGGGGGGGGCTCCTGTGTGTACACAGGGCTGCAGGAGGTGGCGGTCAGCGGAAAAGCAGTAACAGGCCATGTGTCATACTGTTGCAGGGGGCCCAGGTCCATCGGACTGGAGCAGAAAAACCAGAGAAGAAGCCTGAGGAAGAAGCAGGACAGGCCACCAGACCCAACGGGGAGGAAGGCGTCTGGATGTCCCAGAGTTAGTGAGAGGGCCTTAGCCAAGGAGGCAGGCACATCACCAAGTACGAGGTGGTCTGCACCCTGCCTCTGCAGGCCTGGGCGGTGCTGCACAAAGTCCCAGGAGATCCTGAAGTGTGCCCTTGGTAAAGAGGACAGTGGAGACAAAGAAGTATTTGCAATGAACAAGTGAAGGCCCACAGCAAACACCCAGCATGGCACAGCACTGGGCACCACCCGAAGACAAGGAAACCCGACCTTGGGGAGCTCCCAATGCAGCAGGAGAGGGATCCAGGCTCTAACGCTGGGAACACAGCCTTTTCTAGAGATAGGCCTGGCAGAGGCAGCCAGGCAGGCAGCCAAAGCGGGCAGGAAAGACCAGAAGCAGCTAAGAGTCTCCTGCAACATCCACGTTCCCCAGGCCCCTCCTTCCTGAACAGTCTAGCGGGCCCTGGGGGCCACCGTCAGGGAGGAGCAAGGCTCTGCAGGGAAGCTGCACCCCATTCCCAAGGGCACCTTCCCAAGCCAAGTCAACCCCTGTGCAAACTAACAGGCAGTCCAGCTCCACAAGCACTGCTGGTGCGGACGGCACAGAGGCTGGGAGAAACCCACAAACAGAGGCCACCCACATGGTCGTGGTCTCTACAGACAGGCAGCTGCCCATTCACAAGGAGGAGGCATGATATGATATGGTCTGACTGTGTCCCCACCCAAATCTCATCTGAAACTGTAGTTTCCATAATGCCCACATGTCATGGGAGGTGAGTGAATCACAGGGGCAGTTACCCCCATACTGCTGCTCACGTGATAGTGAGCTCTCGAGAGAGGTGACTGTTTTATAAGGGACTTTTCCCCCTTTTGCTCGGCACTTCTCCTTCCTGTCACCATGTAAAGAAGGACGTGTTTGCTTCCCCTTCCACTATGATTGTCATTTTCCTGAGGCCTCCCCAGCCATGATAAACTGTGAGTTAATTAAACCTTTTTCCTTTATAAATCACCGAGTCTCGGGTATGTCTTCACTAGCACTGTGAGAGTGAACTAACACAGGGGTAAGAGAAGAGAGAAGCCCTGCCAGGGAGAGGACAGCAGCAGGAAGCACCCAACCATGAAGTGTGTGTATCCACAGGGCCCCACTGGCCTTTGGCGCAAAGCAACTCACTTGTATCCACAAACATCCCAACAACTGCCAGACACTCAGCATCCCTGGCCCCAGTCCCTTGCACAGCAATGGCCCCTCAAGTACACCCCCAAATGTTCCCTAGTGTCCCTCAGCATGGGGCAGGACAGGAGAGGATCAGGCCACCCAACTGCCCTAGGAGGCTCCAGCCCATCAGGCCAGCTCAGTGCCCCTTACCCACCCTCCACCCTGTGCACCCGACACTCATCCCAAGCCGCCAGCCGGCCACTCCTGACCACAATGCCGGACGCTGTGCTGCCAGGGGTGCCACTCAGCCACAGCCTGTCAGACCCTCCACTGGAGTGGATGGGGCAGCATCCAGGGCACAGTGCCAGCCCTGCTCTGGGGGCTCCTCTGCAGAACGGGGCCTGAGCCTGACACACGCAGGACGTGGTTGGCGGTCACAGATCTACACGGCACACTGTGCAGGTGAACCCTCCCTCCTGACCAGCAGGACCTCCCCCTGTGCTGCCATCAGGCTCCCAGAAGCAGGAGGTCAGCCCTGAGTGGTGTGTCAGAGCCACGGGAGCTTGGCCGTGTGGGCGCGGTGAGCACACAGGGGTCTGCCCAGCATCCGTAGTGCGTGGCATGAACGCGGCAAGATACACACTACTCAACACACTGGGCCAGCATTTTCTCCCCAGCAAGCACTATCAAGGCTGTTGTTGGTGACAGGCCCTCGATGTCCAAGTTCCCTGGGGCAGGTGACGGAAGTGAAGGAACAGGGCCGTCCCTCCCAGCCCCTGCCCACATACTGCTGCCCACACACTGCCTCCATGGCAGGTTCATGCCGCCAAGGAGCAGGCTCGGCTCACAGTCTTCCTTCCGGATAAGGGGCTACCACCAGCTAAGCACATCCCTCCAAAAGCCACGTCATATCTCACAGGCATTTCACAGGTGACGTGAGGCACGCGCAGACACGTCCCTAGCATTCCACAGCCGTCTGGGTCACAGCCTGCTCTCAGAGGAGAAGCCACCCCGCGATTGTGCCTCCCGTCTCTCTCCTTGACCTGCAGTGCAGACCTGGAGCTGAGACGTCCTCCATCAAGGCCAAAAGCTCCACACGCCCAGCTGCCTGGGCTCGCCCCAGCCTCCAGCCCCACGTGACGGTCTGCCTCCCAGACCCCTGCGCGGACAAGCAGGAGCGGCTGGGCTCGAGCTCCAGGGCTTCAGGGTGACTGCTGCCCGGTGCTCTTGGTGAAGCCGTGTTTCCACAAAGCAAGAAGGTTCAGGCCAGGCAGCCTGGACTCCTGCTGTGTTTCATCTACTGTGACATTTCTCCTGTCCCAGTGCCCTCCTCTCCCTCTCCATTATCCCCCCAAAACAAGTGACCAAAGGAGTGCCCCGCCCCTGGTTCACAGACATGAGAAGCTCCCAGGCCATGGCTCTCCGCAGCGCCTTCCCTATCGCATCTCCATCACCCACCCTTTCTGACAGTGGCCCACATGGTTTAGGACGGGGTGAGAGTCCTCCATCTCCCACCCAGATGCGATGAGCAGGAGCTGTCGTGGGGCGCACACTCTCTGTAGCTGGCCAAAGCTGGACGACGCCACAAGAGCAGCTCTTTACATCCTCCTGGCCCTGTGCAAGTTGACCCCAGGCAGCTCTCAGGTCCCGACTGTGGGGACAGCACGTGCCCGAGCTCTGACCCACATGCAGACATCAGAGGCCTCCAAGCCCTTGACTTAGTGGCAGGTGGGCTACAGCTGCAGGACAGAGGGCTGGAGCTCTGGAGGGTAACCTGTGCTGAGTGACAATGCACCCCGAAACCCAGAGTGCTCCTGAGGAGGGAGAGCCTGCCAGTCCAGCAGGGGACCCCTCAGCACAGTCCTGGCTGCACCCATACAGCTCACACAGATGGCAGCCACACACGTCCCACGACAACTGTTCCAGACCCCTAGGCTCTTTCCTGCTGGCTCCTCGCTGGGGTCCAGGACTCTGATCTGGGATCTCCCCTCCTTCCAAGCATCCAACCAGGAGCTCCTTATTCCCTGAAAGCCGCCCTCAGCATCCTCCTCACTCCACCTCCTCCCAGCATGCGCCCAAGGCATCCCTAGCAATGCCCCAGGTGGAGGAGCCCCAGTTCATGCTCTCCATCCTCAGATCAGGCCCTCCAGCTCTCCCTGGGGACCAGGTGGCACCTGCCTTTTCACTCCTCCAAATGAAGTGGAGCCTCCTGCAGTCCCACGCCCCACACTGGGTCTATGGTAAGGCCACCTCCCCCTCTCTTGGCCCTCTCCACCTGCTGGCTTTGCCCAACACAGTCTCCCTTCCCCAGTTGCCTGTCCTTCAGGACCATTCCTTACAGACTGGCTGCGGCGTGTGCTTACCCCAACAGCCCCGCCTGTATGTTACAGCAAATGGCACCTCCTAAAGTCTGACCCAGCTCAACACCCGCCACCACTTCCTCCCAGCTGATAACGAAGGCTGCGCTGCAGCAGCCTCTGCCTCCACAGCCAGCACCACCTTCTGAGAAAGCCTAGGACTGGCCGCCACACCCTGGAGAGCCTGGGGGCGCAGCCTTGGGGTCACCACCCTGCAATCTGCACGGCTTCCAGAGCCTGGCACAGGGAGGAGGCACTCGCAGTGCAGGAACCAAGCGGAAGCCCCACACCCAGGGCGCTGCCTTCTGCCAGACTCCCCGTGCCCCCACGGGTCTGACTCTTGCCCACCCCACCCAGAGGCTTCCTCAGAGCCAGGAACTGTGTCTTCTGTTGCTCTGTTTCCCCAACAACACAAAACCAAGGCGTTTCAGAAACATAATAATTATCTGAGAGTATCACTTCGAGAGAGACTTGTAAACAAGAGTATATGCCAAGAAAGACAGGGGGTGCGGGACAGGAGGCGGGAGGCAGCCTGCGAGCCCCCATGGGAGGAACTCGGGGGACAGCAGGGCCTCAGGAGCTGCTTCCGTTTCCAAGGCTGCAGGCAGGGATCAGAAAAGGATCCCAACAGGCTGGTGTGGCCTCCAGGGCGGGGCGAGGAAGGTCTTCACCCCTGCACCTGCTCTAGGGCAGGCGCAGACCTGACGTGGGGAGGCCCAGCAAGGAAGACAGGCGGCTGCCATCACAGCACAGGTGGACTCGAGGGAGATGGGCCCAAGTGGAGTCGCACGGTGACGGCAGGGCTCCTGCAGAGGCACACCAGCCCCAGCCGCAAGGACACTCCCGGCGCAGGCTCCCAGGGCAGGCGCCCCGCCACAGCATTCACCAGGACGAGCTGGACCAGGTGGCTCTGGGGCCCTTCCCGCCTGAGGCCTCACGATCTGAGTCTCCACTCACTGGTGAGCCCCATTTCCATGTGAGGTGTAGGCGCTGGGTGCTGCCAAGAGGACAAGCCCAGATGCGGCTCCTCCGCCTCTCCCAACCTCTGTTCAGCGTCAGAGCGAGGCTCTGCACCAGGCCCCCAGCACCTGCCAGGCACCGTGGGGACAGGCAGGGATGAGGGAGGCTGCGGATACGCCACACACACTCGGTCCAGCTGGAGCCTCCCGGGCAGTGGCAGGCACGACCTCACAGCCCCCACGGGAGGGTCGTTAACAGAGTCCCGGTGGCCAGAGGTGTACCACCAGGCAGGTGCTCACTGACACTGTCCCCATGGGTCAGGCTTCATTAGAAACCACAGACCTCAGAATAACAGGCCTCTGGGCTCCTGGGAGGGAGTGGGGCAGGACTATGCTGCAGATCACGGCATCCTGGAAATGTTGCCAGCAGGAGGCCGCTTGGGCCCAGAGCCAAGGTGGCCAAACTCAGCCTCCAGCACTAGAGCCTGGGGGCCAGGAGTCCTCGAGGGTTGGGTGGGGAGGGAAAGGTCACACCTTTCTACGAGCCTGATGATGTCCCACCTCCCTCGCAGGCCTGTGAGGTCTGTCTCACTGTCCCTCCAGACGGTGAGGTGTGTCTGCCTCGCTCTCCACCCTCTCCAGCACCGGGCAGGGGCTGGCACAGCAGGAACACAGACCCGTGCAGCAGCCAGATGTGGGGACACGTGGACACCTGAGGGACCGGCAAAGGCGCACAGAAGGGCTAGAGAGCCAAGACGCACCAAGACACTGGGGAAAAGACCCTGGGTGTTAAAAGTAGCTTCTGGGGTGGGGAGGGGGAGACTGGAGGGACAGAGGAACTCTTGGGAAAAGGCCTTGAGTTTTAAAAGTGTCTTCCTGGCTTGTCTGGAGGGACAAGCAGAACTGCCACTGTCTCATGTCATCCACAGAAAAGCCATCACCAAGAGAGGTCGGAGCAGTGGCCACCCCGCATGTGGCCAGAGGGCTGGGACAGAGGAAACCCGCGGGGGCTGGAGAAATGCTCAGACTGCCCGCGTCAGACCTGTCCACCTCGTGTGCCTTGCCTAATCTCATACCTCAAAGTGTCTTAAAATATTATCTAGCACCTTGATAACTGTTACTTAAAACAGCCAATCCCTGGCTGGGTGCAGTGGTTCACGCTTGTAATCCTAAAAGTTTAGTAGGCCGAGGCAGGCAGATCACCTGAGGTTGGGAGTTCGAGACCAGCCTAACACGGACAAACCCCGTTACTACTAAAAATACAAAATCAGCCAGGTCCCAGCTACTCGGGAGGCTGAGGCAGGGGAATCACTTGAACCCGGGAGGCGGAGGTTGCCATGAGCCAAAATCAGGCCACTTCACTCCAGCCTGGGCGACAGAGCGAGACTCTGTTTCAAAAAAAAAAACAGCCAATCACCAGGTCCCAGAATCACAAACCAGGGAGTTGACGCTGGCCTGCTCCAGGCAGGTGAGACTCAGGCAGGAAGGATGCAGCCTTGGTCCAAGCAGCTGGCAAGTCAGCCCCAGTGCCAGAGCCACGACTGCCACCTGTGCAGGTGCACGGGTGAAGGGTTGCTAAAGCTCACCCCCAGGCGCAGCTGGGAAGTCAAGGCGCAGGATCTGTCCAGAGCTGCACATGTGCAGGCCATGGCGTCAGTGTGGGTGGTGACGGCCGCCGTCCACCCAGCGCCCCTCCCAGGTGAGCTTCCCCGTCACCGTCTGCCCATCCTGCCCTGGTAGAGAAGTGTATTATCAAGGCGACCGGTACCTCACCTGCCTCCCTTCTGCTGAGTCTGGCTTAAAAAGCAGCAGGGGAGCCGGGCGCAGTGGCTCACACCTGTAATCCCAGCACTTTGGGAGGCCAAGGCAGGTGGATCACGAGGTCAGGAGATTGAGACCATCCTGGCTAATGTGGTGAAACCCCATCTCTACTAAAAATACAACAAATTAGCCAGGCGTGGTGGTGGGCGCCTGTAGTCTCAGCTACTCGGGAGGCTGAGAGGCAGGAGAATGGCATGAACCCGGAAAGCGGAGCTTGCAGTGAGCCGAGATCGGGCCACTGCTCTCCAGCCTGGGCGACAGAGCGAGACTCCATCTCAAAAAAAAAAAAAAAAGCAGCAGGGGAGCTCAGCCAGCTCAGGGACTGAGATGAAACTGCACGCTACAGCTTGGAGACATTGCGGGAGGGCTCCCAGCAAGCGAAACTGGGCTGGGGTGCAGGACGGAGAGAGGGCGCTGGTGAGGCCCTGGTCCTGTGTGTGAGGGCGGCTGACACCCGGTGGGCTCTGTTTGCGCTTGAGCTGGTGACGGTAGGGTTTCCTTCCCTGTCAAGCAGGAGAGCACCCCAGTCCACCCAGGGAGCACCCAGGAGGAGCCAGCCCCGCCAAGGGCACGCATGGGAGGCGTCAATCCGCTGGAGGGCAGCAGCCCTCAAGCGAGGACTCACGGGGACATGCGATACCAGGAAGCGAGTCGGAGGCAATTAAGCCTGTTTCAGAGTGCACTTCGCAGGCGGCGCTGAATCGATAGATCCTCCGGCGGCGTGGTGCTGCAGGTGAGGAATCAGTCAGGTAAATGCCTCCCAATCTGTTCCTGCTGTGCAAAGAATCAGCGCTGTTTACCACTCAAGCCAGAAATAAATAAATAAAGCTGCCAATTAGCCAGCGCCCTTTTCCGCTCTGGCAAGGGCTTTTTAGCTTCTCCAAATACACCAGAGTCCTGCAAGGCTGCACACAAGCAAAGGCAGCCCAGGCAGCAAGGGGCGGGGGCTTAGGCCCCGGGGGCAAGAACTCTGCTTCCTGGGAAGCCCCCTGTAGCCAGGTCAGGCTCCTCCTCTAGACGGGGAAGCCGGGCAAACACCTCCAGGAGCAAGGCGAAGGCTCTCAGTACCCCCAGTACAGATGCAGCCGGGAGCCCCCAGCTCTCCACAGGTCAGAGGCCACGCCACGCCCCTGCTCAACTCGCAGAGCAGCAAGGCAGGAGGGGCAGGCCATCGGGCAGCGGTGCAGGACCCACAAGGGTCGAGACATGGAGAGGAGGCAAGCCCACCCAGACAGGCCTCTTCCAAGACTCCAGGGGCACGAGGGCTCCAAAGACCCTCGCCCAGGAGCAAAACGCACAGACACGGGGGTGTGGAACTACCACGGGGCGTGGAACTGATTTGGGAAGAGCCCAACGTGCCGAAAGGAAGAGCAGGCTCCCCCAGGACAGAGAGTAAGAAGACCTGGGAGATGAGTGGGCAGAAGGCCTGCCTGCTACCAGGGCTAGTGAGGAAACAGCTGCACCCACAGCCTGAGGGGACAGCCGGCCTGCATGTGGCCCACCCCAGCCAACAGAGGCAGACTGCCCAGGGGTGCAGTGAGGGCAGGATGGCTAGGAAGACTCTGGCAGAGAGGAGGTCACGAAGCCCCCGCTCTGAGCTCGGCAAGGAGCGTATGGGGCTCCACGCCTCCCCAGGGGCAGACCTGCTGGGTTCTCACACACCCCGGGAGGGCCAGGCCCACCCTGCCCCACCCTCCTCTGGGTCAGGAGACAGCCATTCCACCTGGGTGCCCGGCGCTTGTGGGAGAAACTCTGAATTCAGGAGCCTTGCTCAGTGCCAAGCACGGTGACATCACATACAACAGAGGCACCTCCGGGTGAAGGAGGACGCAGGGGCTCGGCCAGTGATGCCAGCGGGCCTCCCTGGAGCTTGAGAAGGGTGCAGGAGCTGCAGGCGGCCTTCCAGCCCCAGGGCAGGAGACACCAGTGAGCACGGAGGACACACATGGGCATGGCTGAGGGCACAGGGATGCAGGTGGTTCCTGCTCTGCATCCCGGGCCCCTTCCCTGCTGGGCTCCCGGCCCACACTAAGGATCCGGTCCTCACAGCGACCCCAGGAAGTCCCTGCTGTCAGGGCTGCACTTTACAGACACAGGACCTGCCACAGAAAGGTTGCGTCAGACCCCGGGTCATGCAGCCCACAGTGGCACAGCAGCAGCAGGGCAAGTCACCGCCACTGTTGCCAGGTGCACTCCAGCAGGTCCTGGACCCAAGGGTGGGGGCGGCGCCACGAGGCAGGTGCTGACAAGGTGGGTGGGGGTGGTGCCCCTTCTGATGACTGGACAGATGCCCAGGTGGGGACAAAGAGGACACAAGCAGCAGCCCTGAGCCGAGCCACCCACGCATCCTTCCTCCTCATGCTGGCCCCATGTGTCCCCCGGGCGACAGCTCAAAACAATGGGTAGTGATGTCTCCGCAGCCTGGTGAGCGAGCTCCACCGTACACTCAGGATGAGACTGTAACAGGGCATCTGAGATATCCTTTGAATATTTACGAGTTCTCATCTGCCCAGGTGAGCGAGGGCCTGCTGTGGCAAACCCAATTCTAGCTACAACCCCCACCAGGTGAGGCAGCACCTCACCGGCAGGAGGCTGGCTCGAGGTTTCTGACGACTCCAAACAGGGCAGTGAGCCACTGGCCCTCTCACCCAGAGGCAGGCGCCCAGACACCAAGCAGCACGAGTGCTCCAGAAACTGCAGCTCAGACTGAGCTCCCACCTCCAGCTAAGGGCTTCCTGGGGTCATTTACCACAGCTCTGAAAAATAAACTGAGGAGACAATATCAAGAGAGACTCCTGACATTTGTCCCGCTTTAAAATCAGGAGAACGGACTACCTGAAAGTCAGCTTACGCGTCTGTTTTAAGCGTTGAGCCAGCACTGGCATCTGAGGAAGCAGCCAGTTGGCCCCTGGGCCTCCTCACGTTTACAGCGCCACAGGTGAGAAAGTGAGTGGGGCCAGGCGGCCTCCTGGAGAGGGGTCATCTTCCATGGGCTGCTTTCCACAGGTGGGGCTGCAGCCCGGGGCGCTGGAGCAGTGGACTCGGGGACAGACCCAGGCTTCGGTCCTCACTGCCACTTCCTGCCAGGCGGCCCTCCTGTGAAGCGAGGGATGGCACCTCTGCCATATGGCCTAGGTTCCTGCAAAGACCGGGCAGGATGAAGGAGAGCGTCTCGGGAGCCGAGAGCAGACACAGGCAAGGCTCAGTGCGCGGCCCATGGACGGGGGACGCCCACAGAGTGCAACCCTCGGAGGGCCCCAGGTTGAAGACTCCACCTAGAAGGGGATGGTAACAAGGGCAGCTTCGAATTCCATTTTCAATAAACACACAGGCACTCGGGCATGCACAGAAAGGGCAGAACCCCAGGGCAGCAGATGTGGACCAGACCACTGGAGGCCCCCAGCCTGGACCCCAGGAGCCTGGAGGTCCTGTGCACAGCTGCGGAGCTATCTTCCCCCCTCAGGCCTGGGGGGCAGCGGGGACACCTGACCTGACAGCCCAGGCCAGGCACAATGATTGTGCACCATATGGCCACTAAGAATCGACACAGGCCGATGCCGCCAGCCTTCCTTGGGACCAAGCACAACCCAGGCCCAGCCCAGCTCTGAAAGGCAGTGTGAGGAGGCCCAGGAGCATCTCTGGGGACCGGCCTCTTCTGTCACTCAGAGTTTTTAAACATGCAGCTTAGTAGGTTCCTTCTGCAAGGAAGCAGAGTGACCGCTGGGCAGCTTTACACCTGTCGTCAACCCTGCAGTGAGCCACGAGCCTCCGCCAGGCAGGTGCTCACTGACACTGTCCCCATGGGTCGGGCTTCATTAGAAACCACAGACCTCAGAATGAATAACCCCCTCTCACACTGCCAGGCAAATCAGCTGATCAGCAATGCTTCTATGTATCCAGTAGGGCATTTTAAACAACGGCAGATTACAACTGAGAACCTGGGATAAAGCCAGCGGGCCAAGTCAGGTGTGAGTTCAGTCACGAAGCACATCCGAGGCCTCGTTCCCAGGGAAGAACAGAGCAGACGCGGGTGGGATGAAGACATCTGAACACTCTCCTGGAGGGGGCCTCTCAGTGACCCCACTTTGGGGACAGTCTTCCACAGTGCTGGCCTGACCCGCTTGTTCCAGAAGAGAGGTGCTCAGGGCTGGCATGAGCCCACGGGCCTTTGCTAGTCATGGGAGTGCCACAGAGAAGACGTCCCCGCCCTCCCCTACTTATGACAAGGGGGAGATGGACGAAAATCTGAAGTGATCAGAGGGGCACAAAGGAGCGGCAACTCACCCAGCCCCAGCAAGACACAGGAGGCTGTAGAGTGGGGCCCCTGATGGAGCACCCAAGGGGCAAGGAGAGGGCAGCAGGGACAGCCCAGCACACTTGCTCCAGAGGGGATTCTCCTGAGGGCAATGGACACACAGCCTCTTGGGAAGCTGCTTCGTGCTGTGCCACGGAGGAGCAGCTGCACACGGGGGAGCGGGCCCGACCACACCGACCGGTAGGAAAGACCAAGGTCCAGACGTCAGGAACCTGGTGTAGGTGGGCAATGAGGGAGCAGAAACGACCTGGGGTCTAGGGTGGGGAAAAAAGGCAAGAGAGGAGGAGACCCACAGGAACCCACCTGCAGAGAGGAGCGGACCCACAGGAACCCACCTGCGGAGAGGAGGAACCCGCAGGAACCCACCTGCAATTACAATCTCACGCCCACCAAAGACCCCTGCACTCCGGGAAACGTGCAAGAGCAGCCGGCACTGTGGGCGTCAGGGGAGCAGACGCCTGCTAGGAATGAGAAAGCCTAGGGTGGAGTTGCTGGGGCCTCAGAACCCCACTACCCACGCAGGCACGCAGCTGGCAATGGCCCCAGAGCCGGTCTGAACTGACTCCGACCAGCGGCTGTGACCTCAAGCAAGAGACTTCTGCTCGCACCTGAGAGATTAAGACAGTGTCCACCTCTCGGAACTTCATGATGAGAACAAATGGATGAAAGGCCCTGACACTGAGAGACATTCGATAAATAAAACGCTTTTTAAATCACAGTCGTCGGTTACAACTCATCAACTCGGGCTCTGGTCCGGCCTCATCCCCTGTTGAGGAGCTGCTGACGCCCTCCCAGATTATTTCTAAATTAACATGGTTCTCATGAAGCCGGACAATTGTCCTGGTTTGCATACATTCTTTAGAGTTCTCTGGTCCCAGACTAATTATTCTGCATTTTCTGTCACTGAATCGCATTTGTCATCAGCAGCTCAGCCACCTCTCATCTCCCAAACAGCACTACTGAAACCTGGCAGGGCCATCCATGCCTAGAGTCCCCGAAATGCAGCCCTGGTGCCAGAAAGAGAGGGCGGAGGAGGCCAGACCACCGTGAAAGACCTAGGCAGTTCAGAGTTCATGAAACACTCGCTCATCAGCACGGGAGTCACAAAAAGCACAGAACACGAACAGGAAGGCTGCTTCTGGAAGATGGCCGTTCAGGAGAGGCCAGGTGACCTGCCCTGCCTGAGGGAAGGCCCTGACGGGAGTCCCTACACCCAGAGGCCTCGCAAAGGGCACAGGCACGCCACCAGAGGCTGTGTAACATGGAAGGATGAGCGGCAAAGCAGAAAACACGATGTGTCTGCAAGAGGGCTGAAGGCTCAGCTGGGGCCTTGGCCATTGCAGGGATCCTGGCGGGGACACAGAGGGGCTGAAACCGGCTCCCTCTGCCCTTCTCACCCTGGGGACAGGACAGGTGGCTGCTGGGACCTGCCCTCAGAAGGTTCATTCGGCCACCCTCAAGCCCGTCAGGCCACACCACGCCTCCCCAGGAGCACAAGGCCCCATCTTCAGCTCACACTGCAGTCTCTCTGCTCCCACACCTTCAGGCTTCCCACGCGGCAGTCAGGCACACGGACCACAGGGAGGAGGAGAAAAGCCAGAGGGGGACACAGACCTTCCCAAGGCTTCAGGGCATCTGGACCTTGAGGAGATGGGGAGTGCTGCTGGCGCTGACCAACTGGGCAGAGTGGAGGTGGTGCACGACCCCACCACGAGGACAAAATTGGGTTTGTGGGCAGGCAGCTCTCTGATCGGAAATTCCTTCCAGTCCCAGAGCCAGCTGGAAGGGGCAGGGACCGGGCAGGCGCATTCCATGAGGGGCCCGCAGGATCCCGGGGGAGCTGGGGCCACCAGGGCTAACCCACCGCCAGGCAGCTCACATGTGCAGCAGGCCAACACCAGGCAGGCCAGGGGGCAGGGAGGGAGTGAAAGAACAAGACGCCTGGAAGAGGGAAAGCCCAGGTTTTTGCCTGTGGACATCTGAATGTGCTGTGGCAGGTATAGAAGAGTAAAAGGTCTGTCTCCGCGGGACTGTGAATGTGGACAGGCACGAGCAGGCCAAGCCACCCAGCAGGCTCACGGCGGCTCCTGTCCACACGGCTCCTGCTAGGCAGCGCCCCTCCTGCCGTGGGTCTGAATCCGTCACCTGCCAGTGACGAGGACGCGAGGAACACGCGCTTCTCAGAGTCCAGTCACACACGAGGCAGCAGGACAGGAACCCCAGGTGCCTCCCGTCATGAGGAGAGAGCACACACACGATCCCATCCCTCTGGAGGCTGCCTGTCTAACAAAGATGGTCTCCCTGACGAGAGCAAGGTGGCAAGACAGACACAGCTGGACACGCAGGCTCGAGCTTCTGCCCAGAGATCAGAAAAACAAATGCAGTTATTTTTACACGCATGTCAGAGACAGTCCAAGGAGTGCTCTCTGCACCCCAGGCTCGAGCCAACGGCCTCCCCCAGGATCCTGTCTACACACAAGGAAGGTGCACAACACAGCCACCACCGTCGGAGGGGCACACAGGCAGGCAGCTGGGTCAGCAGGTGCAGACGGACTCATGGTTCCCATGGCACCCGCTGCCAGGAAGCTCCCAACCAGTCCAAAAAGCTGTCCTTCTGGGGCCCAGCAGAAGGGTGAAGAAAACACTACCCAACAGAGGGGCAGGGATGGGGTTAAAAGCACCTGGGCAGGCAGACAGACTCCAGCACCAAGTGGGTGCAGGAAATGCCACCTGGCTGCCCCGATGCGCCTCACTGCATCAAAAGCACCTCCACATGTCAGGAGGCAAATGCCCTCCTCTTGGATTTCCCTGCCCTGCCTTCGGCCCGCAGCAGGTGCCTGGCTGGGCGCAGCCATGGAGCTCACCTGAGAGGTCCAGGGAGCTGTGCCAGCAGCATTCAGGTGCCTCCCCGCTGAAATATTTCAGTCACCACGTCCTGGGGCTAGAGAAAAGCTAGCCTGGACACACAGCACCTCGAGGCCAAGTCCCCAAGCCCAGAGCTCTCTCCACGCCATTACAGCCCCCAACTCCCAGGAGTTCCCCAGGGGCACACCAGATGAACAGACCGAGAAATTTGGAATAAGGAAGCAATTGAGAGGCCAGAGCTTAACTCTCTACGTCGTCTGCGGCAGGTCTGGGAAAGGAGACCAGCTTCCCACATAGTCTTGGGCCTCTCTCTCTCTCTGGGACCCCAATGATTCCAAACATAAACTCAATTCCAAAGGTGTGTCCTATCACTCCTACTTGTAAAAGAAAATAAAATGTCAGGACCCTCTCAGTTTATTATGCCAGGGGGAAAAAGTTAAGCCCCGGAGGCCGAAGCTGGGAGCGTGTCCGCGACTCTCTCTTCCTCTTAGCTCTTGTTCCGTAAATAACTAGGAGAGACCAAACACCACACCTCTCCCACTTCCAGTCACCGATCTTTGTGATGGATTCACTGCCTCTTTCACTGTCCTGCACCTACAGACCAGATGGCACAAGATGCCTGCTACATCTTCAGTGCGAATGCCAAATCAACCTTCCCGGAAAGATAAAGGCCACCGCATCGAATCCGATCTTTCTAATGATGCATTAAGCCTCTCGCAGAAGGATGCTGAGATCTGCTAAGCTTCCCTAAACTTGTCTACATGAATGATCCGGAACTTCCACGCTTCGGAACACTGACTTCCATTCTTTGGAATCTGTGCTTCCCTGGTGGCCGTCCTGGAAGAACCTTGCACTTGAATAAGCTCTCTTTAAACTAGATTCGGACGCTTTGGAGTATTTTGGGTTGACATACTGCACTATGAGCTCCTTCAAGAGATGGATGAGCAGCGTGTCAGCCTTCTTCGGGCCCCAGAGCGGACCCTGCACACGATAAACACTCATCCCAGGCACTTCAGGAATCTGCAAAGGCAGTCTTGGCCCAAATGCTTAAAAACAGAAGGGACGCATGTACTATGGTCTGGAGAGGCACAATCCCCCTCACTTCTCCACCTTGTGATGAGAGGCTACATTAAAAATGGCTTACGCACCATAAAATCAGTTCTATTCATGGTGAGGAAATACGGAAAGGCAGTAAAATTGGCAGAGCATGGAGATGAGAGGACACTAAACTCCCTGGCTCTCTAAGGAAACAGGGAGCAGCTGAGACTGTGACAGGAAAAGGAATTTAACCAATTTAAAATTCAAAGCGCTGCTTCTGTTCCCCGACGAGCTTGTCAGTCCCAGGGGACCTCTGCGCAGGCACTGATGGTGTCCTTGCTCAAGGCCTCCCAGCTCATCCTCACAAATGTGCTGGAACATTCGTGCCTGCACCAGCTGGGCCCCCAGGTTCTCATCCAGAGAGCAGCAACAGGGACAGCTCAGGTGTGTCCCCCAGGCCCACACGCCTCCCCAGGGGTGCTCTGTGCCCTTCAGCCCCCATCAGCCCTTGTCCTCACCCTGGCCCGAGCTGGCTCAGGCTGGGAAGGTCAGCAGGATGTGACAGCCATCGCACCTGGGGTCTCTCTGGTCATGACAAGGGACCTGCTTCCTTCTTTCGGCAACTGGCAGTCACACAAGTCCTGTGAGCCCCCCACAAGGGCCTGACCATGCACACGTGAAATGATGGAGGGCTGCTCAGGTGCCTCTAATGGAAAGGCTGGTGAAAGATGTGCCTCGTAGACCCGCCGCGGCGCTGCCTCCTGACGCTCAGCGTGGTCCCTCTCTTCTCCAAGCAGTCAGTGAGGCTGACTCAGGAGGAAGCTGGCCCCAACTGCATTTTGTCTCAATCTGACCCCTGGGACAGCTCTCTCTAGCCTCATCTTACTTGCTAATTTTTGTTTTAAATTTACAGATATTCTTTTTTCAAGCAATTATAGGTTTACAGGAAAACTGAGGAGAAATGAGAGTTCTCATCTACCCTTCAGCCCCCAGGCAGATTCCCCTGCACCGTGCACGACTGCAGTCCATTCATTACAACTGATGAACCCAAGTCCACAGTGGACACGTGGGCTCACTTGTCATGTCTTACATTCTCGGGTTTAGACGAACGCATGTCTGCAGTCCCTGTGCGACCGCGCGTCCACCATCACGGCCGCGTGCAGTCGGTTCACTGCTGCGTGCGACCGCGCGTCCACCATCACGGCCGCGTGCAGTCGGTCCACTGCTGCGTGCGACTGCGTGTCCACCATCACGGCCGCGTGAAGAGTAGGTTCATTCCCCAAAAATCCTCTGGGTCCGCCTGCGCATCCCTCTTGTCCATCCCTGGCAACCACCGATCTTTTTACTGTGTCCACAGTTCTGCCTTTTCCAGAATACCACGGAGGAGAAATCCCACAGTACACCGCCTTTGCAGACTGTCCTCTTTCACTGTGCAATATATATTTAAGATTCTTCCACGTCTTTTCACAGCTTGGTAGCTCATTTCTTTTTAGCTCAGAACAGTATTTGAGTGAATGGACATACCATCTTTTATCCATTCACCCATGGAAGGACACTGTTACTGTGTGGTTCCCGACCCCTCCAAATCTCAGGTTGACAACTGATCCCCACGATTGGAAGCAGGACCTGAGAGGAGGGGTTTGGGCCATGGGGGTGGGTCCCTCATGACGGCTCATGCTGAAGAGCAGTCCTCACTTCATCAGTTACCAGGAGAGATGATTGTTACAGGGAGCCTGGCGTCTCCCTGCTCTCCCCCTTCCTGCGTCTGCTTTGGTGAGGCGCCTGTTCAGAGCTCACCCATTTTCAATGCTGAGCATCTCCTCACGTGCTTCTCCGTCACCCACGTGTCTGCTTTGGTGAGGCACCTGTTCAGAGCTCACCCATTTTCAATGCTGAGCATCTCCTCATGTGCTTCTCCTTCACCCACGTGTCTGCTTTGGTGAGGCACCTGTTCAGAGCTCACCCATTTTCAATGCTGAGCATCTCCTCATGTGCTTCTCCGTCACCCACGTGTCTGCTTTGGTGAGGCACCTGTTCAGAGCTCACCCATTTTCAATGCTGAGCATCTCCGCACGTGCTTCTCCGTCACCCGCGTGTCTGCTTTGGTGAGGCGCCTGTTCAGAGCTCACCCATTTTTTAATTGGGTGGTCTGTTTCCTTACCACTGAGTTTGAAGAGTTCTTTGTATAATTTGGATAACAGCCCTTATCAGATATGTCTTTTGCATGACGGTGAAAAATATTTTCTCCATTTGGGGCTTCTCCTTTTATTCTCAACAGTTTCCTTCGCAGAGCAGCCATTTCCAACTCTAACGAGGTCCATCTCATCAATTCTTTCAGACTGTGCCTTTGGTGTTGTACGTTAAAAGTCACTGCCTAATTGAGAGTCAGCTAGATATTTCCGCCGCTATCTTCTAGGAGTTTTAAAGTTTTGTGCTTTACACTCAGGTATGTGATCCACTCTGAGTTGATTTTTGAGGAAGGTGTAAGGTCTGTGTCTAGATTTTTCCCCTGTGGCTGTTCCGCTGTTCCAGCACCATTTGCTGAGAAGACCGTTTTCCTCTGAGCTGCCTTTGCTCTGCGGTCCACGATCAGCCGAGTATATCTGTGTGGGTCTATCTCGTGGCTCTCTGACCTGTTCCACAGACCTGTTCGTCCATTCTTCCATCAACAGCGCACCACCTTGATCACTGTGGTTTTACGCTAAGTCTTGAGGTCGGGGAGTGTCAGTTTTCCGGTGTTGTTCACTGGTGTTGTGCTGGCCATTGCCATCTTTTGCCTTCCCATATAAACTTTAGAATCTGTTGATATCCACAAATATAACTTGCTGGGATTCTGACTGGGACTGCACAGACCCTCTGGGGAGAACTGATAATATATTGACTCCTCCTACCCGTGAACATAGAATGCCGCTGCATTGATTTACGGCTTTGATTTCTTTCATCAGGTCTGGTGATTTCCTCACACATAACCTGTACCGGTCTCTGTGTCTACACTGTTTTTTGGTGCTAATGTAAATAGTACTGGGTGTTGATTTCAAATTCCCTCTGCTTGTTGCTGGTACACAGGAAAGCAGCTGACGGCGTGTATGGCCCATACCCTGCTCTCTCTCACCACTCATTATTCTACAAGTTCTTTTGTTAGTTCTCAGAATTTTCTACATAGACGATCATGTCATCTGCAAACAAAGACAGTTTTATTTCTTCCTTCCTTTATTCCCTCTTCTTGTCTTACTGCACTATAGCTAGTACTTCCAGTACGACAGCGAATAGGAGTGGTGAGTGGGACTCCTTGCCTCGTGCCTGATCTTAGCGAGAAAGCTTCTAGTTTCTTACTTGGTTTTAAGACGGAAATAGTTGACAAGTAATAAGAAATTAGCTTCTCTATGACAACAAAAAGAAAAATCTGCCCATTTAAACAGGACCAGTCACCAGAGCCCAATTGTGTCCAGCAGCTGCACACGTCTCTGGAGAGGCCACCCTCTCTTAAGGACTAGTCTTGGATTTGTGGGGTTCTCAGAGAGCAACTTGTGGCTGCCCAAGTTCCTGGCTCCACCAGAAATCAGGTGGGCATGATCTCCAGGCCCCAGGGACACCCCTGCTGCTCATCTAGGGCAAGAACACCTGAAAGAAGTCAGCTCTGCTGCTTATGGGTTGAGCCATCTTCCTTCAACTGCCCGGAATGCTGCAAAGTGGGCCTTTTCTAGGATACATGAGTCACCGTTTCCAGAAAAACCAGAACTGAGGACACCTTCCCAGACATTCAATGACTGACGTTCATTAATGATGTTCATGTTCAACACACAAAAAACACCCCCTACAATCTAATCAGAATTTTGAGCAAACACTACCCAGAAAGGTAAGACTAGCCACGAAAGGTGTGAAGGAACGGTGAGCGCACCTGCCTTCAGCCCTCACCCACCCAGCAGGCAAGGCTGAGCAGAACCTGTGTGTGGGGCCCTCAGGCCACTAGGCCCTCCTTCTTCCAACTGCACACCTGTGCGGGGCCAGACTTATTCCACAGACTCCAAAAGAAGAGACCGTGGCAGATGGACGCAGACACGAGATGCTCCCATCTTCTATTTCACCAGACACTGAAGAGATTTGTAAAAAGTAAAAAACAATGCCATTCCTCTCACTGTCTCGTTTTGTGTTAGAAAATGCATTTTTCATAAATATATTTTGTTAAGTGATAATGAATTGTTTTTAATGAGATTATAAATATAATTGTAAATAATGATTTAATTTTAATTTTAATTTCCAAAGATGGTAAATACTGATAGTTATGATTCCCCACAAATAAAAACTCTTTGTTTTCGGTAATTGTTTATCATTAAAGGGGCCTGGACTGACAAGTGAGGGCAATGCTGGTGCAGAGGAAGGCTCAGGTGGTGGGCAATGTCCGGGCCTCCTGCCCCCCAGCTCTCACAGCGACCCTCGGGACAATGCCCACCAGCTCTCGCCACCTCTCACGGCCACATATGGGAGTCCTGCCTGCCACCTCTCATGGTGACGTGTGTGCACATGTCCCAGGCCCAAGGGAAAGTACACTCATGAAGGGAGCAACGGCCTCAGCAGAGACCTGAATCTGAGCCTTTGGAGGTGAGTCCAAGGATCTCTATTTTCAGGCTCTTTTCGCCATATAACTCACAAGCAGCCAGGCATTTGGGAAGCGTGGCCATGATCAGGACCACGCGGCCCAACGCTCTCTAGTCCCCTAAGGGATTCACTGCTGGTTTCTCTTCCCAGGCAGAGGGAAAGCTCCTTCAGGGCAGGGGTCACAGCCTTCCTTCTCCTAGAGCCCCTATGTCCACTCCAAGCTCAATGAGACAGAAACAGGAAGCCGCACTTGCCCCACGCTGACCAAAAATGCCTGTCACAGCCACGTCCACACTGTTCCTCCTGCAGACTCTGCGCAACTGTGTTTCTCGGCCACAGTATTAAAAAAGGGTCAGCATTAAGAGGCTTCATGCCCTGCGGAAGCGACCTGTGATATCTGAGCTTGAAAAAGCATCGCCCTGATGAGAGGCAACGTGGTGAGAGGGCACAGGCTTAGGAGACAGCCAGCCCTGAGCTCACAAGCAGACTCCAGGCTGAGTGGCTCCACAACCTTGGGGAAACTGGGGCAAAGCGAGAGGCTCCCCGCCAGCAGGCAGGATCAGTGCCAGGGCAGGGGGACACGTGTGGAGTGCCTGGTACCCACAGGTGCCTAGCAGTGGATGTTTCTTTGTTCCGACTCTCTTACCCAAGTTTCCTAACAGGATCGAGAGACCCTCCCAGGTCTATGGCACCAACTCGAGCTCAGGATGCTGGCAACACCAACACCCTCCCTCAGACCAAGTGCACTCACCTGCCCAAAGCCTGCCCCTTCCAGGGGCTCCTGTTCTCCACAGGCAGACTCTGAGCCAGCTGCATTCCTCGGTGGGGGCCCTTCCCATCTCTTGGCATCTCCTCGGGGCTCAGCAGTGGAGGCCATGGTGGGAGGGCCTGAGACTGATTTTATGTTCTGCCAAACAAGGAAGGAAAGCGTACTCCAATCGCCTGATGGCACCGGAGCTGCTCTCCACACCTGCACACCAAGAATCCCAGCTCGGCATGGAAAGGAGCCGGCAGTGGCCAGCTTCAAGGCTAAGAAGGAAGCTCTTGGCTCAGAGCTTACAAAGTTTACAACAAGTTACAGGGAAACTCAAGAAAAGCGTTCATAAGAGGATGCTCCCAAGTCCACTGATGATGCCCTGGGCTTGGCAGTGCCGGGCATGAGAGAGGAGGCCTCGAGGACCCCACCTCAGTCTCCCCAGATAGCAGCTCCTGGCAGCCCTGACCCTGCTCTAGGCTCCGCTGTGGGGTGTGGGCTGCTCTCCTGGGGTTAGGCTCACACAAACCCCTTCAAAATAAGCAAGGAAACAGAAGTTCAGGGCACCAAAATACTTAGGGACCAACCCCAGCAAGGGCCCTTCTCCCATCTCCCTATTCTCTTCCTGAAGCAACAATAAACAACATTCAAGTAGTATTCATTTCTGTGTTTTCTCCAAATGTTTGAGGAAATCTACATTCTACTACCACCTTTTGGGGGCCAAGAAAGATGTTCGCTTGCAAAGGACAGAACTGACCCAAGCACCCTCTTCTCAAACGTATATGGCACTCCAGATGCCGTTTTCTGATTTGGGGAGCTGAGGTCAGACACCTTCCGCTCTCTAACAGAAACGTCACAGAGCGGCAGGCATGTTACCGGTCTGCTTGGCCCATGCAAGTGAGGGGCCCACACTGCCTCCTCCTTCCCTTCTGCACCTTGCACACACCACCTCTGGCCCAGGTGAGTGAGGGGCCCAGGCTGTCTCCTCCTTCCCTTCTGTGACTTGCACGTGCCACCTCTAGCCCCAGGTGCAGACAGGCTTGTGCCATGGCACTGCCTGAAAACCTCAGCCAGGAAACAGAGCGCTTTCCCCATGGTCCCGGGTCACCTCAAAGATGCCACCTCAGGCTCCCACACAGGCCAGATCCACAACCGGAACAGAAACTTCTCCAGGAAAGGTCTCCTGACCAGCAGTTTCTGAACTGTGCTCCTCTGGCCCTGGAGGCTCCAAAGAGGGGAAGCCAAGCAGGAGGTGGACGTATGGGGCAACTACACGAGGACACGATACCGGCCATGATGGCAGCTGCTGCTCACAGAGCGTTTCTGTGCCGACGGTGCCATGTCGGATAACTATGCGAGGGCCACACGACACCAGCCACACGACACAGGCCATGATGGCAGCTGAAGTTCACAGGGCGTTTCTGTACTGACAGCGCGGGCCAGCCCATGATCAGAGCACAGAGCTGTGAGTCCCAGGCCCTTCACCAGGGCTGCACCCACGCTGCGCTCTCACCACCACTGGGCAGCCCCTGACACTGCGGACCTGAGACTGCTGTTACAAAGGGTTTCATGGGGGTGGGAGGAAATGCCAGCTTTTTTTTAACTTGCTAAAGAGGGTGAGAGAATGCAGGGGTGCATACAGGGTCCAAAGGGAAGGAGAAAGGAAGGGGATGCATCTGCTGCCCCAGGGGACGTGCTCCCTGGCCACCGTCCTGGCTGCGGCAGCGCTCAGCAGGCTGGCGGTGGGGCGGTCAGCTCTGCAGGTGCACTTAGTCCAGAGCCACTCAGCCTAATGAAATGAGGCATCCTGAGAACCACGACGAGGTGGGCGCCAGACCAAGTGGCCTAGAGAGATGAGCACTTCAGCATGCAGAGGTTGAAAACAGATCCTACTGACAAAACGGAAGGAACCACATCAAGAGGTGGGGATTGGGGGCATGAATGCCAGACGCACACTTCCGGCTTGTTAGGAGAAGTCAGCCGGAGGGGAAGCAGCAGATGGGGCCTCCCCCGCTCTCAAGGCCACACCGCCATCGCCTGCAGCACCTCACTCTGAGAACCCCAGGCCCAGGGGCCAAGCAAGCACTGAGAGGAAGGCCAGCACTCCGCTGCCTTCCCCCAGGCAGGCTGCACATACCCTTCAAAGAAACCCATTGAGGGTGGAACTGACCCTAATACAAATGAGGAAAGAAAGGCTCGGGGGTCAAGTGAGCAGGACCCAGTGACAGAGACCACAGACCCCACTCCTGCAAACAATGCCGCCATTCCCTGAGCACCTGCTTGATGTTGGGAACTTCTGAAATCTTCAATTCTCCACTCATCTTGCAAAGCAAGAGTCCTGGACCTGATTTTCCAGATGAAAAGCAGGACAGGCAAGGAGAACACCTCTCAGCTGGAGTCAACATGCATCGGAGAGGCCCAAGGTCCCAGCAGGACAAGCGGTCTTCCTCCTCAGCAGACGCCCCGGTACCGAGGCCAGAGGCGAGGAGGAAGAGCAGGCGAGGCTGCCTCAGCCTCACCCTCCTGTGTGGCCAGCCCACCCAGACAGGGCGAGGACTGTGAGGAGGGCCCAACCCCCAGGAAGCACCCCACACCATGTCCACAGCCTAAGCCCTGGCTGCCACGGGGATCACACGGCCCGACCCCCTGAGCCAGCAATGTACTCTCAGCCAACCCATGGGAGCACCCTCCCCGCACCCCCACCCCACCCTAGCTCACGGGACCACCCTCCCTCTGAGCTCACAGGCTGCAGTCCAGGGCTTGCCAAGGCGGGAGCGCTGCGGGCCCCAGGACGCACACTGAGATGCCCCCCACCCTCAGCAGTGAAGGTGACTCCCCCAGCCATGCCCCCAGGGCCACAGCCCTGAGCTCTGTGTCCTGCCTCTGGTCTCAGGAGGAACCAGACACTACCAATGACCCAGCACCCTGAGAGTATGGAAAATACAACACTCATGCTGGGAGAAGCTGCCAGGGGCTGGGGCCAAAGGCAGACTGCTGAGAACTCCACAGCCACAGAGGACACCCGCCGCTCTCCTTCAAGGCTGAGAACTCCACAGCCACAGAGGACACCCGCCACTCTCCTTCAAGGCTGATGGGGGAGGAAGCCGGGCTTCGGCAGACCCCCGTCCAGATGGCTCCAGCAGGGGCCAGTGTGAGGGGCTCTGCGTGGAGAGGCCAGCTGCAGCTCGGACCACACTTCCCCCGACCCTCAAGGCTAAGGTTTTGTGGGTGGTTTAGGCCTGAGATGATAAAAAACAATTTTATGCCTAAAAATATTAAAAAGTAACAATACAGATCAGAAAAATCCATGCTCTAGGCTTCACTCCACCAAGTAGAGTCTCTTTCCCCCCACAGGCCTCAGTTTCCCTGTTTTTATGGTCTACTATCTGGACCCCGCCCCCCCCCAGTCCCTGCCCTGCTCCACTGCAGCACAGCACGCCACAGGCCAGGTGGCCAGGCTTCCAAAGCCCTCAACTACTTCCCTGCAGGACGTGCATCCTTCTGTGACCTGTGCTTGGCTCAAGATCACCTACACAGCGTCCAAGCCCAGGTGGCCCCTGCAGACGCCTCTCCCAAGGCCTCCCACTCTTGTCAATCCTTGGTGGCTTCCTCTGGGCCTTCCCCAGGCCAGTGTCCCAGAGGCAAAGGCTCAGCCACATTCACCACTGCCCAAACGTAAAACAGTGACTCCAGCACCCCTCCAGCAGCCCCCGTCCGCCCTGCACATGTTCTTACACAGGACCCTCAAAGGACCCTGAAGGGTGAAGGGTGCCGGTGCCACCCTCCACGCCTCAGAATCGGAGAGTGCACCAGGGCCGAATGGCCCTCCGAGGCCCTAGCTGCAGCCGCAGCCGCAAAGCCGGGAGCAAGAGGCCAACCAGGGCAGGGACGCCGAGTGACCAGGGAGAAGGGAGAAAAGAAGCCAGGCATCCCTGGCTTAGCCACTTCCAAGATGAAGAGCCTCGTCTGCCTTAGACACTTCCTCCAAAACAAGAGCCATGGATGTGGGTGGGAGCCGGCCCCGCATCCCAGCACGAGGCCAGGCCCCCGCCAGGAGAAACCCCAAGGAGCAACCAGGCCTCCATGCCCAACCTCGGCTGGAAAGCAATGCTGATGGCAGTTGCCTTCCCCCAGTCCCTGCATGCCAGAAAGGGCGGCTCCATGGCCCTGGGACCCACTGGCTTCTGGAACAATCTCCTATGGCAACTGCCACAGAGCTAAACACTCAGAAAGTGATTGCATTTGGGATGAAATTTTTTTCTAGTGCTTGAATAAAAGGGGGAGTTTCACATTTCATCCACTTCCACATCCCTTAACAATAAAAACTTATTTAAAAAGCCATGAATATGTAAATGCCATTTTAAATATGGAAATGCAAAACATTCAGGGAAACAGTCTGGGTGTGAAATATTAACGGCAGCTCATCTTGCTGAAAGAAGCAACACAAGCTGGCTAAAGCAGCAGGCGGAGGCACCCCGGACAGACCCCAGAGCCCAGCGGCAGCGGACGCTGGACCCGGCCCCGTCATGAAGGAGCGTGTGCTCGCCTTGCGGGCTCTGCCTGGGGAGGGAACAGGTTCAGACACCCACCTAGAGCAGGGCCAGCCTTGCCAAAGCCTGCCTGCATCCTACAGGGCCACGCAGTGCCCCACTGCGGAGGCCCCTCCAAGCAGGCAGACACCGCGTGCTGCGGGGCACAGCCATGACACCCGACCATGCCTGCTGATGACCCAGGCTTTCCCCTGGAGCCAGGATGGGCTGGACCCCCTCTCAGGAGAGATGGGGCTCGATCTCAGGCCCAGCAGCCAGCTGCAGCCTGAAACATGATGGTGCCTCAGACAGGCCCCCAGACCATACTGGGGGGCCACAGAGAACCCGGCATTGGCAGGATGGGCACCGGGTCTATGTCCCCCAACCCGGGACTTCACTAGCCCTGATCAGGAAAGGACTGGAGGAACAAGAAGGCACCGCATGAGGGAGGGAGGCCCCAAGACAGACGCCCGCTCACCCAGACATCTCCATGCCATGCCCCCCTTCTCTCTCTCCCTCTAATTGGCCACAAAATGTACAGGCCTGGTACCCACCCACCCCCGCTGAGGAGGCCCCACGAGGAGGTTCTAAGCTGAGCACAGAGGAGCGGGCGGCTGCACATGCCACAGGCACCATCTCACGTCCAAGTCTGGGCACTGCAGGCAGGTGCCGCACAGACAGCCTGGGGAAGGCCCAGCTCCTCCACATGGCCTGGCTCCCGGGACAGGTGCCGCCAAGTCCTCTTTTCCTACTAAAGTCCCAGTGGAGAAGAGAGGGGGACTGAGAACCAAAAGGACAGGCAGAGGCCACCAGCCAGGCCAGGGTCGCCGGGGCAGCCATCACCGGCCAGCAGGTGGACCGCACAGCCGTGAGCACAGAATGGGCCTGCTCCCCTGTCACCTTGAGCAGCGCACTCTGGGGCACCTGACTCACTGAGGGGTCCATGTTCAAGTGCATGGTGCCAGACCCCAGGCACAGGGATGTCCCTCACATTTCCCCAAAAACCCGCTCACTGGGGCTATCCTACAGACAGACAACTGACTCACGAGAGAGACGGCTTTTCAAAGGGCCCACACTAGCCAAACTAACCCGAGCAGCCTTCGCCAAAGAACAAGGCAGGCACGTGCCAGCATCCGCACTGGAACCACCACAGGAAAGCAGATGCCATCAAGGGCCCCGTTCTAGAGACAGACAAGGAGCCTCAAAAGGCTGTCCCCTGGTGCAGGGCTGGGTTGGGGGCTGAGGCCTCTATGGCGCAGGTGCACTGTGCGTCCCAGGCATGGTCCGGGGCTGCGGGAGAAACTCTTGGGACCAGCCCCACATGGGACGCACAAGGGGCAGAGGGGGACAGGAGCAGGATACAGACAGATCACGCGGGTTCTCTGCTGCCGGACGGAGCGCCCCTAGCTGCCACTGAGCCCACGGTGAAGGGCACGGTGCCACCCAGAGCTCCTGGCGCGTGCCCTGCCACAGCCCTGGACCAGACAGGCATGGCAGGCTGCCACCGTGGAATACATGGAGACAGCCCATTAGACTCAGGCTGATTCCACACCTTCTGCCAAAGACCATTTACATCGAGTGGCGCCAAAGCCGAACGGACGCAACAAGGCCTCTGGCCATGTCAAACCCCAGGGGCCCCCTTATGCCGAGAGCAGGTGGTCAGGTTGAGCATGAGACTTGCTGGGAACACATGGCTGAGGCCATGGTCAGTTCAAGGGCAGGCCAGAACTGGCCATCCCGATGTGCTCTCTCACCCACACTGATCCACGGCAAATTCCGTCACCTTGACCTCCCAGATGCCCCCACCGCCTAACCCGTCTGATCATCACCACTGGCCACACACAGGAGACATCCTGCCCCACAGAGTCCCCTGGAAAACTTACCCCTGCCATGCCCTGAAGGCTCCCAGAAATTGTACTTTCCCATTACCTCAAAAAGTGACAGCAGGACACGGTGCCAGTGATGACAAGGACTAGCTAAAAACCTGCACCCTGAGCCAGCACCGTCCACAGGCTCCATAGAGGCGACTGCACTGAGCCTCAAAACCCCCAACAGGAGTCACCATCACCAGAAAGACTCGCTCGGAGAGCCACTCCTGGTAGAGCCAAATGCAAACACAGGCCCCAGGAACCTGGGCCAGTGGTGGCTTCTCCAGCGGGAGGCCCCTCAAGTGCAAGAGGGGAACAGCCCAGCCACCATGGATCTCGTATGCCTTGCTGGTCTCTGGATGACTCAAGTGCACCATAATTCAGATGCCAGGTGACAAGGCCTTGTTACGTCCTTGAGAGGACGGCCTAACCACCTGGGACCAACAGCAGGAAAGACTCATAACTAGTAAACTGATCTTCACTCACTCTTGGGAGGTGACAGAAACCTGAGGCAGGAAGAGGCTCAGAAAAGCACCGTCTGTGACAGAAAACATGGTGATATCCACTCATCACACCCAATGACTCTCGAGTCCCTTATGCTTGACAAGGGCCTGACTCCTCCTGACGCTGCCCAGGCCCCTGATGGCAGCAGTAGATGAAACAGGCCAGGCCCAGGCACCTGGAAGCACCACACGGCCAGGTGCTCCAGGACATGCCAGCCTTGTGGCTTCAGGCCAAGGGCTCTTCTGCCTGGAGGCAGCAAGGTGGGATCTTCAAAACAAACTGCGGCGATCACAGCCCAGGCTGGAATGCACTTCTGGGAAAGCCGATGCACAGAGGGGAGGCAGGGGAGGCCAGGGCAGACCCCAACATGAAGAGCTCCATCTGCATCCACGGCCCTCAGGGGCTCCCCTCTGTGGACTTCTCAGCCGGCTCTACCTTAAGTCAGCATCGAGGAGGATGCCTGGGGCTTCAAACAGGCAAAACAGCACCAGGCAGGATCCATGACCCAGGGTCTCTGCTGAGGCAGAGAAGCAAGGCCAAAGCCGAGACGGCAGCCACACAACGTGTCCCACAGGGACCCAGGAGCCACCTGCAAACACATCCCACAGAGCTCTGGAGACCCACAGGCCTGGACGCACGTCCTGCTTTCACCACCTCCCAGCTGTTTAGCCCGGGGCTCAAGTTCCTCCCTGCAAAAGAGGGAATCATAAGAGCTTCCAGCTGGGAGCGTCTGTGAGGCTCAAGTGAGAGGCTGCGCATGAAGCACAGCGCAGCGCATGGTGAGGGCAGATGCGAGACAAACACTGACTGCTCTCAGCGTCCCCATCGTCATTCATCGCCGGGATTACAGATGATACACCTGAACCCTGGAGCCCTCACGGGGTCCTGAGAGGCCCCGCTCCCGCCACCAGCCCTCTCCAAAGCACGGTCTTATTTCCAGCACAGCAGAGAAACCGCCAAGAGCATGGCCCCACGCATCCCTGCCCGAGCTTCCCAGCCCTGTTCTTCACGAGCCCTCAGAGCACGCTGGCCTATTCCCCCCCAGATCTGAAAGATGACAGCATGGCCACGGGCTGGGCCACAGAGGACTGCAGCCTCCTGTCCCGGCTCTTCCCACGGCAGAGCTGGGGACGCCAGGCAGAGGGGTGCTTGGGTCCCTAAGGGCCAAGGAGACTAAGAGGGCCCGGAAAGGGAAGGGAGGCTACAGGGCAGCCCCGGGGTGCCCTGTGTGAAGCGTGAGCAGAGGGCGCACCAGATCCACCCACTGATTCTGAACAGTATGCCCTGTCCTCAGCCCCACAACCAGGAGGTCCATTCTCAGATTCTAAGAGCCGAAACGAGGCTTGAGCGTAAACCAGGCCAGGCTCCCCTACACTGCCATGAAGCTCCTGCTCCAAGGTAAAGAGGCCCAGGATCTCTGACACGCTCTGCTCACACCAGTGACCAATGACGCCCCATCTGTCCACGGCTAAAGGAAGGGAGAAACACACAGGAGGCAAGGTTTGGTGGTTCTGACCCAACCCCCAGGCTGCAATGCACTCAAGCACCCCACCCTCCTGGAGCGCCTTACGGCCAGTGCCCTGTAGGCTGCCCCGCTGCCCACTGAGAGCCCTGCCTGCTCCTGGCTCCACAGCCAGCCCCGGACCCTTCGTCACAGCACCACGTCCCGGGGACTGCCGAGAGCTGCTGCACCAGGCACGTTACCAACGTCATCCCGCTGAATCCTCAAGCAGCCCCACAGACACTCTCTCTGCTGTAAGACAGGAATTCCAGTGCAGCACCTGAGCAAACCCGCATAAAGCTAACAAGCAGGCTCCTCGCAACCCTGGAAAGCAGTAAGTCCTACACTGAGAGTTCCAGAAGCTTCTTGCCTCTACCAACTCCAGCCCCAAGACCAGAATGCAGCACAGGTGCCACCGTGGGGCTTCCAGCCTCCAGTCCTAAGAGCGCAGAAACATTCAGACAGAAACTTCAGTCCAGCTCACAGCAGCGTTTGGAACTGTGCTTCACCAGTAAAAGGGGTCAAAACTATAGCTCAATGCTAGGAAAATTCCTTCTTGCTCCAGGCTGGTTGGTGGCCCAGCAGCTAACTCCGAGATATGGTGTCATTTTCTCTTCCTCAAACAAGGGAGGTGATGGCTTCCGGCTCGGCATCTGCTCACTGCGGGATGATCTGTTTCCTGCACCAGGTTGCACGGCAAGCTGACATCAGACCCTCCCTGGGCGGCCTTCCCTACCTTGGAACTCCTCTGGGTGGGAGAGCTCCAGGATCCTCCCTGAAACAGGCTGGAATGCTACTGCAGTAACTATGGAGAGAAACTGAGGCAAACTTTAAAAAGGCAGCAACGGCAGGAACTCCGCAGAGGAGCCCGACCCACAGGACCTGCTGAGGTACCTGCTGGCTTCTGGCTTCACGGACGTGGACATGTGTCATGTTGGTGAAAGGAACACCAAGTCACCAAGACAGCGACTGTGGGAAGGGCGCTCTGTTCCGCACATCAGATCAGCAGAGAAGGAAAGTTACACAACACCCAGGAAGTGCATCAAGACTGCGTGGTGTAGGCTGCTCACAGCGGCACACTACGCCGGCTGATAGGCAACATTCATCTTCTAAAAGCCAAGCTCCTGAAAACAGGCACACGAATGACCCAGCCGTCACTTCAGAAGCTCGGCCTGAGGCACAAGCATTCCGAGATGCTGCCACGTGAGCTACCCCAGCGGCACCGTCACAGCAGCACCGCCTGGAAGAGGGAGCACCGGGCACTGGGCTACGAGGAACAGGGTACCACCTCGATGAGGGAGCACCGGGCACTGGGCTACGAGGAACAGGGCACCGCCTCGAAGAGGGAGCACCGGGCACTGGGCTACGAGGAACAGGGCAACGCCTCGAAGAGGGAGCACCGGGCACTGGGCTACGAGGAACAGGGCAGTGGAGCCGCACCCTGAGAAGCTCCTCAGATGGCGAGAACAGCGTTCACTACCAGGGAAAGATGGACACGGCCAACATACTTGGTAAAAACTGCAGAGGAGAACATACGTGGTCACAAGCACGTGCCCGCTGGTCCGCACAGACGAGGGAAAATGCCCAGCAGCTGCTCTCATGACCCGTGACCTCAGCTGGACCAGGGCTCTGTTCTTCAGTGACTACAAGCTACTTTCAATGAGAAACAAACAAAAGTGACTTTAAAATGAGGCCCGCCTGGCAAAGCCCTCGGGGATCTGGGCCACCGTGGCCTCCCATCTTCTGCCATGCCGCCTCCTTCACGCTCATCTGAATTTCTGTCCAACTGCCTGTAAGAGACTTGTAGAAATGTGCTCAGCTGTTCAACCGTGCGAGGCTCCCTGACCCCGCCACGGCAGGCCGCGACGAACACGGTGTCCCGCCACGGAAGAGAGCAGCAGCCCAGAGGCCAGAACGCAAGCACCAAGGCCACGACGGGACTCATCCACACCTCATTGGCCACTGCCAGCGCTGCCTGTCCTAGGGTCTGCCTCCTTCCTGGGCCTTGGAAGTGCACAAAAGGGCCAGGCACTCAGCGTCACCAGGCCCCAGAAAGCCTTGGTCGGGAAGTGTCCACCCACCAGCAAGCAGCACTGAGACCCGGGGACGGCTCAGTGCCCAGGCGCAGTTCAGGAGGCTCAGACCTCACAGCAACCCAGTCGTTACTGCCAGTACCTTTCAGCTCACAGAGATGAAGAGAGGACCAGGTGCCTGCCCAAGTCACATGACCAGCAAGGAGCAGACCAGCCGCCCCCCAGGACCTGCAGGCAAGAGGGACCGGGAGCTCCAACCTCACGCCCAGAGGCCTCCTGCGCCTCTCCACTGCCCCATCTCAGGGAAGCGTCTCCAGCGCTCCTGGCGACGGGTGACCAGCGCCATCTGGAGCCTGCACCTTGGCTAAAGAAGCCCACACAGGGCAATAAGCCACACGTGGGACAGAAGCCAGCATACAGACACACACATGAAAGCAAGCTGGAAACGCTTGTGAGAACCCAGGATTTCAGGGCAGCTTCTCCCTTTGGCCTCCCAGACCAGCGCAGTACTGAGGACCTCGTCTCACCCCCAAGACCCCATTTCACAGAACAGGACGGAGCACCAAGCGCGTCCATGGGATGCCCCAAGACTCACCCTTCCCCAGGGCGGGTGCCCCAGCTCTCAGAGGGAGCCCACAGGTCCTGAGAGGCCAGCCACAGCTGGGGTTGTGAGGACCACCTGCCCACTGTAGAGGCTGCTCCCTGAGACAGAGACCCCATTCCCAAACCAATCCCCCCATGGGCTCAATCCACATCTCTGACCACAGCGAAGGCAACATGGGCAGCATGCAGATGCGAATGTTCCCTTCCGTGTGGCCCTGGACACAGAGATGGGCCTGCTGCTGCTGGTCAAGGCAAATAATTTTAGGAAGCACCTCCCTGTTTGGTGGGAGAAAAGTACAGGCAACTTTCCTTTCCTTTAATAGTTCATTCTGTTTCATTTCCAAAGTAAAATGATGAGGATCGCCTGGTAAAGTGTGAACGCTTTAACTTCAAATCACTTTTAATGCCTGTTTCATCTGACAGCGGCTTTGAAAGCAAAAGGCAATCTTTATCATTTGAGGTTTTTCAGTAAATTGATGTGATTATGTCCAACACAACCAGATGCTTCTAAAAGCCAATTTTCAAAGTGACATCAGCCCCCAAAATAAGAAACCTCCTTCTGGCTATTAATAAATTATTAAAACACTCTCTCCACAGGAGGACAAGGCTGAGCTTGATCATCAATGGCAAACAGGTGAGCTTCAGGCCCTCCGCACAGACCCACGGCCTGGTCAGCCGTGCAGGGCGCAGAGCTCCCCTGGGGCCCCGTTGCACGGCCCTTCCCTCTGCCGCAAGCCCACCCCACTGCCCACCAGCCCCACAGGTCCCACCGGATGGGGTTCAGTCCCTCATGGTAGCTCCACCTTCTGGTCAGGGGCAGGCATAAGACCCCTTCTTAGCCAAGGAGGCATAAGGGGCCCTTGCTGGCAGTGGGGGTCCTAGGAAACGCTTTCTTGTACAGAAAAGATCCAAAAAAGAGGCCTCTCATTTCCGCCTCTGGGTGTGATGCCGGAGCCTGGATGGCCCCTCACAGCCACGAGCGAAACCAGAGAAGAGCCGGGCTGTGGGATAAGAAGAAATACATATCTGATCGTCATCCCAGGTTCCCTGAAGCCCTTGGGACTTCCTGAGTGAGGGGCATGTCTCTTGGTATTCATAGTGAGCCCCTTCCAATCACGCCTGCATTCATGCTGACGTGAAGACTCAGGGTGGGCCCGCTAGTGACCGACGGGCTGGTTCCCAAGACCACATGAGGCCCCAACCCTGCTGGGAAGACAAGAACCCTCCTGATCCAAGGAGGGACCCCACAACAGGAGGCCAACCCCCAGACCCCATGGCAGTTTAGCACATTGTCAGAACGATGGACGGTGGTGCCTCAGCGGAGGCTCACAGCACATGGTGGAAACATGGGGCAAACCCTTCCCTCAAATCCCTGCTCCCCCATCTCCTCCCAGACCAGGGCCAACCACATGATGAAGGACAGCCATCCCCCAAGAGCCAGGGGGCACACACTCTCACTCACCCCTAACTCTCCAAAGCAAACGCATCCCCACAAGCACCCTGGGCGGCCAGGTCTACCTGCTGGTGACGGCGCTGTTCTTGTCCTTCAAGGCAAGCTCCCTCTGCTGCAGCTCAACCACGAATCTGGAAAGGTCTTCTGGAGTCCTGCAGGATAAACAAGGCACACTCAGTTCCAGCTGTCCCCGAGAAGTAAACCTGATTCTGCACACAAAACAGAAGGCCAAAAGCAACCTCTGTAGCTGATGCTCTGGGACCCAGGATGTGTGAACTCTGTGGACCCAGGTCCAGGGCAGCATGCACGCACTACAGCCTGGGGTCAACCACAGCCCCCACCCCTATGCAACACCGGGGAGATGACCTTAGAAAGCCCCGATTTTACTTCACCTGTAGAAACAGAGACACGACCTGACAGTGTCACTCTTCAGAGGAAACGAAATCATGTTTAAAAAGCACCCGCCAGGCCCCTGGCACAGGGGAGGTGCTCAGCGAGTTTTAAGTTCCTTTCCTCACCTCTCCTTCAGAAGACCCACATATAACAACAAGAGTAAAATCAGCGATCTCCAGGTGTAGCGCTTTCTACTTTCCAGGACGATTCCAGATTGTCTCAGTGAATGCCCCAGCAACCCTGTTGTTCACCGTTTCCATTTTTTAAACGAGGAAACTCAGACTCCAATGTGAAACAGCCGCTTCAAAGTTCAAAGTGCACCCCGATGATCAGCAACAGCTGAGCTCGGCCCGAGCCACATCTTCTAACTCAACGCTGGGACTCCGGAGGACACAGCAAGGATCTGAGCCATGCATGCAAAGTTACGCCAGTGGTGTGTGAGCATTCCCAGCCTCACAACCTGGGGCACAAAGCCAAGGCTCCCTGGCTAGACTGACCCAGTGGCATGTGAGCTCAGGCCCGAGGACCCATCCTTGTTCTTCTCTTCACCTGTCATGGACCAAGCGCAGGTCCACATAGAAAGCAGGCGCTGGCAATGCTGTGAGAGCCCCACCCAGCCCCACTCAGGGAGCCCGCACCGCACCACTGAATGAGCAACGGGGACCCCGACATTGGCCAAGGAGGCTACCTGCACCCCTGGAAGGAGAGGTCCCAGTCACTCTGTCAGCCAGGCCCCCAGAGCAGCCTCGGGTGGATCCCGGGCACACCCTCCCAGCAGCCTGCCCGGGAGCTCCTCTCTGCGAGTCAGCCACGGCCACGGAGAGGCACACTGCAACCACGGACCCCTAACAGAAGCCATCCTGCTGCCTAAAACGCGCACGCTGCAAACCTCACGCACTGGGCCCGACCAGACTCTGCCCTGAGACAGCCACTGACCTTTCCTGTCACTTGAGCACCCTACCCATGGGCCCCCGAAACCCTCATCAGCTCATCCAGCGCTCACACAGCCCCTCCCCCGGTCTTCCAGCACCCAGCTCCTCCTCCAAACAGAGGAAGGGCCACTTCCTTACAGTGTCTCTGGCCACCCCCACGCCCCTCGCCATCCCATGCCTGTTTTGCACGGCACAGAGGACAGCTGGAGGCCGCCTTGCCCAGCATTAGTTTGGTGTTTCTGGAGTGTCTTCCATCACTGGAACAAAGCTACCAAGAGCCTGTGAGCAGATGTCCTGCGGCCTGGCCCAGGCCCTGAGCCCTCACACACACCCAGGGCTGGTCATAAGCCCTCCCTCTGACCACAGCCAATTCACACAGAGCACGCCACGGCCTTCTCCCTTCCACGTCCCCCAGAGAGGCCTCCTCTGCCCACCCAAAGAACAGGCCCCTTGCTGAACATCTAGTGGGGACAGCGATGGGTGCAGAAGGAGTAGCTGGCACCGGGGAGACCCCATCTGTCCTCACACACACAGGCAAACCGGGGTTAGAAAGCAGCTCCGTGGAAAAACCATTTATGACTGAAAGACCTTGGAAGAGAAACTGAACTCTAGGACAGAGATGAAAGGTGCAGCTGCCCTTGAACGCCGTGACCATTCTCTCCAGTTTCCCAAAGCTTCCAACCTCAGGGAGTTAAAAATATCAGTACGAAAGTAAGGAAACCTTTCCAAGCCAAGAGATATTTTTTCTGAAACATTTGAATGAGATATTTAAGTTGTTTTGCATTAATCAAAGGGGCTTGTAAATTTTCACTAACTCAGTGCAAAGAATTTATTTACAACAAATAAATAAAAATCGCATATATCCACATCTGCAACGGCGCCTCCCAGCCCCTGTGCCCAGAACCAGCGGCAGGTGGGGTGGTCACAGGCGGCAGGCTACAGGCTCCACCTACACAGCCAAGACCACCCCGCCTCACACCCCTCAGGGACCTCACATGTCACTGGACCTGAAACAGCAGGAGGCCAGTGGAGAGGCATTTGGCAGGCAGTACCAGGCCCCAGGGTTCTCCCAGCTGGGATGGTTCTCTCTCACCAGAGGGCACACTGCCTGCCACCTCCCTCTGTGGGGAAGCCTCCCTGCAGCCTGCAGAGCAGAAGGCAGGGTCAGGAGCATTTGACACCGATTTAGAAACAAGCTTCTTGCCCCAAGGTACGAACCCACCCAGCAAAGCTGGGAGCTGGGGTAAGATCTCAGAGGGCCAGGCTCTGCTAACCATGTTCTGCGATTCCCAGTGATGCCAAGACCATGATAAATGCAACCATTTAGCAATGAGGGGGGAAATGGGAGTGGTTCAAATCAACTGAAAAGTGACAGTGACAGAGCTCTCTTCTGAAGTGCTGGGCGCCCACAGATGGCACACGCACCAGGCAGTCTCCTACGTCACCCAGGAAGGCCTCTGTCTCATGTCATGGGGTCAACGCCTCATTCTGGCACTGATGGGCCACAGGAGAAACCTGAGTACTCTGGAGCCCCGGGGCATCCATCTCCATCACCCAAGGAGCAGGCTGGCTCTCCACATTCCCACCGACTCTGCAGGAGGCTGCTTCCGGGTGGCTCCCCTGCACGCTCCTCCTTGCCTGAGGTGGGTGTGACCTGGAGTTGTCCTGCCCCAGGCAGGAACAGAGAGCATGGCTTGCCCTGAGGCAGAAGGCTGGCGCCTGAGGCGGATGGTCCCACACAGACCCCAGCCCTCGGGAGCACTGTCACGTGATGGGCTCTCAGCCTGGATACTTGCTGGCCACATCCCTAGGCCCCCAGATCCCTGCCGGCTCTCAGTCCCCATGCGACCAGGCCCCCATCATAGGGAGGACTGAAGCTGCAGGGCTTGCTATTCCAGAGCCCTCCAACCACAGGGGCAGCCGTGCCCAACACCTCCCACGGGCAGAAGCCGCTGGAGGGCACAGGGGCACCAGAAGGAATCCCTCCCTTCGCAGCCTCTTGCGCTGAAAAACCCGCAGTCACCACTTTGGCTAAACCAAGCCTCACGAGCCCTGTCTGGCCATTCTTGCTCATGACCAGGGTTCAGCTTCCACTCAAAAGCACAAGCACAGTGAGCTCGATGACAGCCTTCAAGAACGTCACACGGGACCAGTCTACTCTACTTGCAGAGACAGAGGGAAGGCCAGGACATCCTTAAAGGAAAAGGAGATGGACCCATGGGAGAAAACCTGGGTCTCAGCCCCAGCCCTGACCCCTCCAGGCTCAACTCCCTACCTGCTCGGCTGGGCTTCCTAAGGCTCACTTCCAAAACCCTACGGCACAGGTACAGTGCACTGCTATTACCTGACAATCCCTATGCCGTTAACTTTATGGATGTGGAAGGGACAGGGAGGCTGGAGGCTGTTTTCAGGGTGTGCAATCCAAGCCCATTTTCACACTGGCATTGGGAGGCCGGGAGAGGACATGCACCGTGGAGGCGGTGTCTGGATGTCGCCGGGGACATGAGGAGAAAACACTTCAAGTACAATCATCAACCAGCATGTTAAAAGTTGTGAAATTTTGTATACCCTTTGTTCGGCAGTGTCAATCAAAAGAAAATGTGTTCCCCATATACAAAAATCAACTGGAGATGGATTACAGGCTGAAACCTAAGACCCAAAAATATAAAAAATACTAAAGAAAACAAGGAAAACACTTCAGGACATTGGTCTAGGCAAAGATTTTATAGCTAAGACCTCAAAAGCACAGGCAACAAAAACAAAAATAGACAAATGGGACTACATCAAAGTAAAAAGCTTCTGCCCATCCAAGAAAACAATCAACAGAGTGAAGAGACAGCCTCTTGAATGCAGGAAAATATCTGTCAACTCTTCGGCCAATAAGGGACTAACATCCAAAATACAACTCAAAAGAAACTCAAATAACAACAATTAAAAAAACATAAATAATCCCACGAAAAAGTAGGCAAAGGACACAAAGAGACATTTCTCAAAGGATGACATGCAAATGGCCAACAGGTATATGAAAAAATGGTCAACATCACTAATCATCGGGGGAATTGCAAATCAAAACCACAATGAGATACCACCTTACCTCAGCTTAAAATGGCTAATAAACAGACCAAAAAACACACAGACAGATGCTGGTGAGGATGCAGAGGAAAGGGAACTCTCAGCTGCTGTTGGAAGGAATGTAAATTAGTACCACCGCTATGGAACCCAGTATGGAGATTTCTCAAAAAGCTGAAAACAGAACACCACCACATGATCCAGCAATCCCACCACTGGGTATTTACTCAAAGGAAATCACTGTATCAAAAAGATACCTGCATTCCCATGTTTATCACAGCAAAGATGGCAAAGATACGGAATTAACCTGTGTCTATCGACAGACGAATGGATAAAGAAAATGGGGATGTACACACAGTGGAATGCTATCCGGCCGTAAGAAAGAACAAGAGCTGGGCCGAGCGCGGTGGCTCACGCCTGTAATCCCACCGCTTTGGGAGGCCGAGGCAGGTGGATCAGGAGGTCAGGAGTTCGAGACCAGCCCGGCCAACATGGTGAAACTCCATCTCTACTAAAAATACAAAAATTAGCCAGGCGTGGTGGCACACGCCTGTAATCCCAGCTACTCAGGAGGCTGAGGCAGGAGAATCACTTGAACCAGGGAGTCAGAGGTTGTAGTGAGCCAAGATGACGCCACTGCACTCCAGCCTGGCAACAGAGCAAGACTCCATCTCAAAAAAAAAGAAAGAATGAGAGCCTGTCATTTGTAACAACGTGGCTGGAATGGGAGGTGACCGTGTCAGGTGAAACCACCAGGAACAGAAAGAAACTGCACGTCTTCACTCATGGGAGCTGTGGAAATTCACCTCCTAAAGGCAGAGAGTAGAATGACAGGAACTAGTGGATTGAAAGGTCTGGGTGAGCGGAACCACAGATGAAGAGAGTTGAGTTAATGGGTACGAACATACAGTTAGATGAAAGGTATAAATTCAGTTGTTCCACAGAAGAGGAGGGTGACTAGAGTTAACAGTGTATTGTATAATTCAAAGTAGCTAGAAGAGAACCAGAATTTTTCCCAATACGTGGAAATGATAAATACTCAAAGTGATGGTTACCCCAAATACCCTAAACTTGCCCATTCCACATTCTGTGCACGTAAGAAAATATCACAGGTACTCCATAAATATGTAAAATATTATGTATAAAAATAAATAAATGGTAAATAAATAAATAAAAGAAAATGGGCTCTCTGGGGATGAAGTGTATGAGCTTTAGCTAGTGGAAACAGAATGGGTTTAAGGCAATGGTTTCAGAGCACTCCATATCAGAAAAAGAAAAGATGAAATGGTTTTGCCAACATGTGGACATTTCTGAGGCCACAAAGGAGGTCCCATCAAGAACAAGGTGGAATCCGATCAAACGGGTCAGGAGGTCACCTCCTGAACTCTACAGGAAGCATTCCGGCGCCCTCTTCTCGTATTAACAGCAGCCTGTGGAGAAGGACGGAGGCCACCATCTGGAGTAAAGGACATACCCTTGAACCAAGCGGGGTGGGGAGGAGGAGCCCAGGAGGCTCTGGGCACGCGGAGGAGTCCACAGGGGTGGACTGTGAGCTCTCAGAGAGGCTTGCACGGAGAAGCAGCACGGGAGCCGGAGAGCCGCTCCTCCGGCTTGGGGCTTCTGTGGCCTGGCAAGAAGGCTTGCTACCTGAGGAAGACTGGACCCTCCAAAAGGACGAGGCTAAGAGAGCGAGCAAAGGGGGGTCCTCAGGCCTGACCTGCTGACCTGCCACGCTCTTCCAAGAGGACATCCTGAGGAAACCCAAGACAAGCACCACACCTGGCCACGGTGGCATCCTGCCACCGTGTTGGGATGTTTTTAATTGTGGTAAAATACACTTAACATAAAATATACCATCTTAACCATTTTTAAGTCCCCAGTTCTGTCGTGTTGAGCATATTCATGTTATTGGGCAACCAGCACCACACCTATCCCCAGAACTCTTAATTTTGCAAAACTGAAACCCTGTCGCATTAAAGAGGAACTCCCACAGCCCCTCTGCTCCCAGCCCCAGCCACCTCCATACTACCTTCCGTCTCTAAGAATGCGACCACTCCAGCCACATGAGTGGAGCCATAGAGCATTTCTCTGTGACGGGCTCACTCTACTTGGCATCACGTCCTCAAGGCTCATCCATGTTACAGCATGTGGCAGACTCTCCTTCCTTTTGAAGGCTGAGTAATACTCCATTGTGTGGCTACACAACGTTTATCCACTCACCCGTCGGTGGACACCTGGGCTGCTTTCACCTTTTGGCTGTTGTGAATAATGCTGCTAGGAACATGGGTGTGCCAATGCCTGTTCCAAACGCTGCTTTTAATGATCTCGGGTGGATACGCAGAAGCGGCACTGACAGAGCATCCCCTTTTCGGTTTTTCCGAGAACCACCACAGGCTGTTTTCCACTGTGGCTGCACCAACTTACTTTCTCCATCTCATAGTTTTTAATTTAAAAAAAAGCTCAACAATAAAAAAAATAAGCAAGTCCTCATAGCCATAACATTGAGCACTGAACACCCATTAAAGCTGATGCTGGGCAAAAAGGTGGTCAGGCAGTTGCTGCAAAAAGCGCAGGACACGAGGATGTGCTCGGCTCTAACCAGGACAGTGGGCGCATGGTTTCACGGCGCGTGTGGCGAGGGCAGCGGGCGCACGGTTTCACGGCGGGTGTGGCGAGGGGAGCGGGCGCACGGTTTCACGGCGCGTGTGGCGAGGGGAGCGGGCGCACGGTTTCACGGCGCGTGTGGCGAGGGGAGCGGGCGCATGGTTTCACGGCGCGTGTGGCGAGGGGAGCGGGCGCATGGTTTCACGGCGCGTGTGGCGAGGGCAGTGGATGCATGGTTTCACGGTGCGTGGCGTCATGACGTCGGGCTAATGGCATGGACCACCTGCACCAGAGTCATCTGAGGCAACTCCAGCCTGCCCCGCCCCACCCCACCCCACTGAATCAAGACCCCCCTGAAGGCGGGGCTTAGGGGCTGCACACAAACTCCCTGGTGATTCTTACACACAACTACTTCCGGAACTACCGATCATCTGCATAAATAGAGAGGGGAGGCTGGGCGCGCAGTGGCTCACGCCTATAATGCCAGCACTTTGGGAGGCCGAGGCAGGCGGATCACCTGAGGTCAGGAGCTCAAGACCAGCCTGGCCAACATGGTGAAACCCCGTCTCTACTAAAAATACAAAAAATTAGCCGGGTGCAGTGGCAGGTGCCTGTAATCCCACCTACTCAGGAGGCTGAGGCAGGAGAATTGCTTGAACCCGGGAGGTGGAGGTTACAGTGAGCTGAGACCACGGTATTGCCCTCCAGCCTGCGCAACAAGAGCAAGACTCCATCTCAAAAAAAAAAAAAAAGAAAGAAAGAAAAGGAAAAGAAAAGAAAAGAAAGAAATAGGGGAAAGTCTAAGCAGAAAATAACCCTACAGCCTTCTGGGCAAGTTACCAAAGGCAATTCTTTATGTCACCAGGATGCCACCCACCACACGTGTGACAGAGAAAACACTGCCTGCGGTTCTCTGTCAATCTGAAGGACAAATATTAGGTTACAGAATTTGGTCCAAGTCTAAAAGAAGAATCCTACAAATGTCATCACAAGAATTCTGGAAACTCGAACACCTGAAACTGCATGACACCTTTGGCTTCTACGTAGGACAAGGTTATGGACTTTTGATCATTTGATATATACTGGAACGTCTTCAAAAGAGTGCTAAGTAATACAATATTTTAAGAATAGAAATCAATAGTAAGAAGGCGATGGGAACACTGTTGTGGGGAGGCCTGGCTCCACTGACCACTCCAGCAGTGCAGGTCACCGTGATCAGGAAGCGGTAATGATGGAACAAATCACAGCACTCAGAGGGCTCCTCCCCTTCATGTTACCATTTGAGCTCCCCACCATGCAAGTCCACACCTCACATGCGTAAGAACCCGCAAAAACTAAGAGACTGAGAAGAGAAAAGCAGCACAGCATGCTCCCGACACGGAAGACGCTGCCCATCTGGGAGGAGTGGGAGAGCCGGTCCCCTACAGTCTCTGCTCAGTGCAGCACAGGCCCAGGGCCCTGGGACACAGGGCAGAGGGTGTCTGAAAGAGGAGGGCAGACACCTCCCGAGAAGCCCTGGGACTCAGGAACCCGGCTTGTGCCTGTGGGAAGAGAGGGCTGGAGCTCCACCACCACTGGCTGTCACGAGCTCCACACAAGAACAGAGGAAAGTTCTTGAAGAGCTGTTGAATCATGAAGGGTTATTAAACAATTGCAGCCTTCGCCACACATCAAATCCAAGACCAGAGCCCCAACACCTCCAACTGGCAGGAAGAGTGTTTATTTTCCAGAAGCCTCCTGACCTGTGTGTGGTTAAAGCTACTCAGAGATGTTTACCAAGGGTGCTCTGGGGATTAGCTAAGTGCTCGTAACCAGGAGGAGCCGTGCCAAGTATTATTACGGCCTAAGAATAACTCCCGACAGTCCATTCTGAAACCCGCACTTCACCAACTACAAAGTGGAAGGCATTCAGAGGCCTCAGGAGCCTCAGCTCGGAGATGACACGGCAGTGACAGTTCCAACTGCAGTCCAAGCTGTGACATCTGCTGCTGAACACGCGGGCTTCAGCTGCGAAGCCTTTTAAATTCTAACTGGTGGGTTTTCAAGGGGAAGAAAGTCTTTTTGTTCTATCTGCAGCTGAATTTTGACTCAAGCCCAGCTGCACGCAGAGCAGCAGAGGGCTGTGGGGAGTCCGGCCTACTGCTTTCCTTCCGAGGCGAGAGCAGCTCCAGCCCAAGCCACAGCTATTTTGGGGCTAATAGCAGATGTTGGGGCTCTAGCTGAAGCCCAAAGTGCCAGTTTCACCGAGTCTGAAAAACTGGAGACCCAGAGGACTCCGAGGTGGAAAATGAATGAAACAGCAACAGCCATCAAACTAATTAGCAAACAAGACACCTCAAGCTTTCAAAGAATAGAAATCCACAGGGCCTAGGACCACAGTCCAAAACTGCTGAGGCTGGGGCTCCAGCCAGAGCCCTGCGGAAGGCAGGGAACACAACCCAAGCGACACAGGCTGTCTCTGCAGGGCTTGTTTTGCGAAAAGTATGCAGAAATAGGAATAAAATACATTAGACAGCAAAACCTCAGTGCTACAAACCAAAGGACAATCAGCATTCACAACTGCAAAGTCACAAGGGCAACAGGGCGTCATGTCAGCCGGACTTTTCTGGCTGATGCAACACAATTGTGTGGAAAGGTGGGGTCGCCAGGTTGGGAGAGATGCATGGCCCCAGAACACGGGAGGAGCAGCTGGTGTTTTCCTGAAGACAGGGGACTAATGCCATGCTGTGCAGTACCCGGCCCTGGGTCAGGTTCTGCAGGAGCCACCTGCCTGAGGCTGCACCTGCTGCACCTGCTGCACCCAGCCTGAGGCCACTAAGCTGGAGCTCAGACTCTCTGGTCCCAAGATCAGAGGAACCCCAAGTCAGGGGATTCACATGGGGCACCAGTCCCTCTCACCAAGAGCCTGGGCCGCTCCGTGACACCCTGGCCACATGGCAGACGATGCCACTCACACTCTTCCCAGCAGACAGAGGAAAGGTCACTCTTACCCCATGGAAAGGGACCCAGGCAAGGTGTGGTTTCAGGCCTGGCTGCTCCACCACTACTCTCCAGCCCCATCCATAAGCCCAAAGGCCCACGCAGCAGCAAACCCTCGTCACGCTGTGACTCCCACAGGGAGCAACCACTTTCCTACGGGGATGTGGGTCCCACACACTGCCTGTGCAGGACAGGGGTGCAGGAGGCATCTGCTTCTCCACGTCACTGCCTCAAAACCTCCCACAACGGGAGCCACATTCCCACCTCAGGTCCTCTGCACAGCCCTCTTCCACAACACCGCACCCCTAGATGCCTGCGTGGCCTGCCCCCTCTTCACTTGTTTGAGTCTTCAATGGAATGTCACCTGAGCCCTGGCTCCTGGCCGCTCCTCCTGGTGCTCTCCTCCTTCACAGAACACCACCAGCTGAGATCCTGCATCTTTCTACCTGCTTATTTAGTGTCTTTCCCCCTCCACTGGAATGCAGGCTCCAGAAAGGCATGGGACTGTTTTTTATTTTGTTCTGTTTTTTTCCACTGGCCCAATAATACGTTTTCAATAAATACTAAGAGAATGAGCAAAAAAAATCATATCATTCCAGAACAGTAACTATCCGACTAAATGCTACGCAAGTCATTCTACTGAACTCAGACCACTGGATTAAAAGTTCGGTATAACAGGTTAAATGTCGTAGTCTATCCATACAATGGAACTTGTGTAAGAGGAAAAAAACACATCTTTTCCTATATTAACATGAAAGATCACCAAAAAGGCAGTGCTAAATACAGACACAAGAAGCGGACTATAAGTATGCTATGCTGCCGTGTGCAGAAAAGTCAAAACCTGCATGGCTGTGTTGATTCATTTTTGCACAAAAGAAGTCTGGCCAGGCGCAGTGGCTCATGCCTGTAATCCCAGCACTTTGGGAGGCAGAGGTGGGTAGATCACTTGAGCCCAGGAATTTCAGACCAGCCTAGGCAACATGGTAAAACCCCGTCTCTGCAAAAAAAATACAAAAAATTAGCCAGGCCTGGTGGGGAGTGCCTATAGTCCCAGCTACTCAGGATGCTGAGGCGGGAGGATCTCTTGAGCCTGGGAGGCAGAGGCTACAGTGAGCTATGATCGCGCACGGCACTCCAGCCTGGGTGACAGACAGAATGATACCCTGTCTCAAAAAAAAAAAAAAAATCTAAAAGATAAACAAGAAAATAACAATGGCCTCCTGCTGGAGAACAAGAACATGGCAGGAGGCTTGCCACTGGATCCTATTTTTTTTTTTTTTTTTTTTTGAGACAGAGTCTCACTCTGTGGCCCAGGCTGGAGTGCAGTGGCGCAATCTTGGCTCACTGAAAGCTCCGCCTCCTGGGTTCACACCATTCTCCTGCCTCAGACTCCCGAGGGGCTGGGACTACAGGCGCCCACCACCATGCCCAGCTAATTTTTCTGTACTTTTAGTAAAGACGGGGTTTCACTGTGTTAGCCAGGATGGTCTCGATCTCCTGACCTTGTGATCTGCCCGCTTCGGCCTCCCAAAGTGCTGGGATTACAGGCGTGAGCCACCGCCCCCGGCCTATTTTTTTTTCTTTTTTGAGACAGAGGCTCGCTCTGTCGCCCAGGCTGGAGTGCAGTGACATGACCTCAGCTCACTGGAATCTCCGCTCTCCTGCCTCAGCCTCCAGAGTAGCTGGGATTACAGGTACCCACTACCATGCCGGGCTAGCCACTGGATACTTTTTGAATGTTTTCAATATTCTGTACCAAGAAAATACAATAGCTGTTCAATAAGTAATTTTCAAAGCCTAGTATTGCAACCTTATATTGCAGAATCAGGTACTACATAAAAATTTTATAAAAAGAAAAATAATTCCCACAACAAATTAATGCAGAGAAAATCTAATTATAAACATTTGTAACAAAACAATTCTATCATTCCTAACTGACGCTCAGCTATGCATAACAATGCAAATAACTGGCACTATAAATGGGGCAGCAATATATCACTGCAAGGTTTCCTACCCAGAATCATCAAGACGATAATGGAGCCCCTGCCCCTCCCCCTCCCTCTCCCCTTTGCACGGTCTCCCTCTGATGCCGAGCCGAGGCTGGACTGTACTGCCGCCATCTCGACTCACTGCAACCTCCCTGCCTGATTCTCCTGCCTCAGCCTGCTGAGTGCCTGAGATTGCAGGCGCGCGCCGCCAAGCCTGACTGGTTTTCGTATTTTTTGGTGGAGACGGGGTTTCGCTGTGCTGGCCAGGCTGGTCTCAGCTCCTGACCGCGAGTGATCTGCCAGCCTCGGCCTCCCGCGGTGCCGGGATTGCAGACGGAGTCTCACTCACTCAGTGCTCAGTGTTGCCCAGCCTGGAGTGCAGTGGCGTGATCTCGGCTCGCTACAACCTTCACCTCCCAGCCGCCTGACTTGGCCTCCCAAAGTGCCGAGATTGCAGCCTCTGCCCAGCCGCCACCCCATCTAGGAAGTGAGGAGCGTCTCTGACCGGCCGCCCATCGTGTGGGATGTGAGGAGCCCCTCTGCCCGACCGCCCAGTCTGGGAAGTGAGGAGCGCCTCTTCCCGGCCGACATCCCGTCTAGGAAGTGAGGAGCGTCTCTGCCCGGCCGCCCATCGTCTGGGATGTGGGGAGCGCCTCTGCCCCGCCGCCCCGTCTGGGATGTGAAGAGCGCCTCTGCCTGGCCGCGACCCCATCTGGGAACTGAGGAGTGCCTCTGCCCCACCGCCACCCCGTCTGGGAGGTGAGGAGCATCTCTGACCGGCCGCCCTGTCTGGGAAGTGAGGAGCCCCTCTGCCCAGCAGCCGCCCTGTCCGGGAGGTGGGGGGCAGCCCCCGCCCGCCAGCCAGCCCGTCCGGGAGGTGGGGGGCAGCCCCCACCCGGCCAGCCACCCCGTCCGGGAGGTGGGGGGCGGCCCCCGCCCATCCGGGAGGTGGGGGGCGGCCCCTGCCCATCCACCCGGCCGCCCCGTCTGGGAAGTGAGGAGCCCCTCTGCCCGGCCACCACCCCGTCTGGGAGGTGTATCCAACAGCTCATTGAGAACGGGCCATGATGAGGATGGCGGTTTTGTCGAATAGAAAAGGGGGAAATGTGGGGAAAAGAAAGAGAGATCAGATTGTTACTGTGTCTGTGTAGAAAGAAGTAGACATGGGAGACTCCATTTTGTTCTGTACTAAGAAAAATTCTTCTGCCTTGGGATGCTGTTAATCTATAACCTTACCCCCAACCCTGTGCTCTCTGAAACATGTGCTGTGTCCACTCAGGGTTAAATGGATTAAGGGCGGTGCAGGATGTGCTTTGTTAAACAGATGCTTGAAGGCAGCATGCTGGTTAAGAGTCATCACCACTCCCTAATCTCAAGTACCCAGGGACACAAACACTGCGGAAGGCCGCAGGGACCTCTGCCTAGGAAAACCAGAGACCTTTGTTCACGTGTTTATCTGCTGACCTTCCCTCCACTATTGTCCTATGACCCTGCCAAATCCCCCTCTCCGAGAAACACCCAAGAATGATCAATAAATACTAAAAAAAAAAACAAACAAAAAACCAACTTAAAGGGGTAAATGATATCTTAAAAAAAATCCATTAAAAGAGGAAAACACAAAGAATAAAAATAAAGTTATCTATAATCCACCACTCACAAAAAAAAAAAAAAAAAACGTAATGGATCCCAGAAGTTGGCTAAGTGAGGAATCAAATGATGCGTGTATCTCAAACATTTCAACTTAAAACAGAAAAACACACAATTATCTTTCAAGCTGCAAACTTTTTCTTCGAACATGAGTCCATTAATTGGAGTTTCATCTTTTTTTTTTTTTTTGCATGAACCATGTCCACGACACACCGCTCATGATTGTTAGCTTTGTTTCTTTAAAGTGGATCCCTGTCATCTTCCCAGACCTTACAACTTTTCCTCATAATCTTTCACTATTTGCTTTATTCAATAGCAATTTTTTAGCAATTTTCCTTTGGGACTTTCCAAAGCATTCAGCTTTGTCTTCACAGAAACATTGCTCTACACATAATTATTTTTCATCAGCTTCCATATTTAATTAAATGATGTAATTACAATGACGTGCAACAGGCACAAACCGGCACATTAAGGATGGGCGGCCAAGGCCTCCAGGGAGCAGGACTGAGTGAGCACCACAGTGTTTACAAAACTCAGGAGTGATCACAGAGCCCAGGGGCTTGCTCTGGGAGTGTGGGTTGGGGGCGTAATGGGATGGAACTAGGGAAGGTCCACATGTTTTCAAAGAAACTTTCCTTTTTCTTGAGAATGGGCACACAGGCGACAGTATGTATTCTTTGTTTTTTGTTTTTTGAGACAGAGTCTCACTCTGTCGCCCAGGCTGGAGTGCAGTGGCACAATCTCGGCTCACTGCAACCTCTGCCCCCCCGGTTCAAGCGATTCTTCTGCCTCAGCCTCCAGAGTAGCTGGGATTACAGGCGCATGACACCACACCTGGCTAATTTTTTGTATCTTTAGTAGAGACAGGGTTTCACTATGTTGGCCAGGCTGGTCTCCAACTCCTGACCTCATGATCCGCCCGCCTTGGCCTCCCAAAGTGCTGAGATTACAGGCGTGAGCCACAGAAGCACACTTTTCTACGTATAATGCATTTTAAACTTGGTCATGAGAGTTGCTGTGCAGCAGGAATCGACACTCTCCTAGGCAAGCCTGGGGAGCACTGGACGCCCTGGAGGCAGCCTGGGCCTGGCTCCTCTCAGAGCTGCCCCCTCCTCACCATGCGAATCTGACACAAAGCATCTCCCTCATCCATGCCAAGAATTACTGGGAACAGAAACGTGCATGTAAATAGTCTTGTTTTCAAAAAGCAGGTTCTGCAAACCATCCCAAGCATAAAGAGGCAGCAGAGTTAACACCTTAGTGTCTGCAGTCAGTCAAGCACTCAATTCTAAGTCCATTCATTGCGAATCTGTGACTCTGAGCTCTCCAAACCTCAACCCCCCACCTCAGGAAAATGGGAACAGTTACAGTCCAGCATGGACTCACTGAGAAGCGGATGCATGCAGACACCTATGTCCTCTTCTCAATAGGTTACTTGTATAACGAACCGCTGTATAAACAGAGACTACAAGATCAGAAATAAATATTTCTCTATCCACTGGCCTCTTTCCAGAGGAGACATAAGGTGATTCTAACATCCTCAGGCACTGTTCCAGAGTGCCGACTGATGCAAAGGAATGGGAGAGGCAAGAGAACAGCCTGGCACAGCAGAAAGCCCGCACTCTGGAGGCAGCCAGGTGAAGGGCCCAGCTGAGCCTCAGTTTTCTGGTCTATGAAACAGACAATTCGACCCTCCTGCAGGAGCTCTGCGCTGAGGGCACCCGGCAGTCAGTGGAAAACCCTGGACCCCTGTGACGGTTGCTGGTGCCCACGCCCATCGCCCGAGCAGGGGCAGACGGCATGCCTATCAGGTTGTAGGTCACATCAAATGGAGACAGCAGATATGTTAAGTGACAGAATCAGAGTCTAAAACCACACTAAGAAGCAGGAAAAATGGGGGGGGGGGGGGTTGCGGGTGGTAGAGGAAAAATAAATTTTTTGACAGTTGCACCAAAAAAAAATCAATTGTAGAAACATATGGTGGTAGGGCACACCTGCTCCATCAGCATAATCTGTGAAGATGCCTGCAGAATCTGCATCCAGTGAACAAATTTAACTGAGCACCTGCTGTGTGCCCAGCAAGGACACTACATGGACAAACAGACAGAGTCCTTGGCAGCTAGAGCTGAGTGGCTCGCTAAGGAGGCCGACCATGACAAGAGTGGGCAGGTGACATCCCCAAGGCCCAGAGGAGGTGACAGTGGCTTGATCCAGTGGCCGGATCTGGAGAAGAGTGGAAAGCCTGAGGCTGAGGGAAGGGGGCATGTTGACCCGGGAGGGCCAGGAAAGGGCTCTAGCTAGGGAAAGGTGACACCTGAGCACAGATTCAACGAAACAAAAGGTGGGCAATACAAATACGGCTGGGCGCAGTGGCTCACGCCTGTCATCCCAGCTATTCTGGAGGTTGAGGCAGGAGAATCGCCTCAACCCGGGAGGTGGAGGTTGCAGTGAGCCGAGATCGCACCATTGCACTCCAGCCTGGGCGACAAAGTGAGACTCCATCTCAAAAAAAAAAAGAAAAAGAAAAAAAATAGAAAGGGAAGAATTTATAGGAAGTTCTACAACAAACAAGGCTAAGCTACAGCTGCCGGGGATGAAGGGCTGGACTGGGGGGACCCCGGGAACTCTGGACTGATAGAAGTGTGTTATCTGGACGAGTGCACATGTTCCACTTGTCATGACTCATCCAACAACACACCTCAATCTGTACACTTCAGTGTCCAGGCTCAGGGGATGCCTGAGCCGTCAGCATGAACCCACGGTCACACTCTGGGATGCGAGCCACCATGGGAGGATGCTGCTGCCTGCCGCACTCCAGCCACCAGGACCACCCTCTGCAGAGCGGGAAGAAGCAGCCGTGCACAGCAGGGAGCTGAAATGGGGAAACGTGGTCCAGGGGAGAGGGGACTCTGCGCCGTGTTTCACTAAACCAAGGTGGTGTCCACGGCACGAAACGACCAAAACACGCGTCTCAGCTCAACAGAATGGAAGGGGTGGGACAAGTGGGTGCTTTGCTAGGTGGCAGACTCCCCATCCCCAAGAGGTACAGGGAAAGACTGACGGGCAAGGTGGCTGGAGGCTCAGGGCGAGACAGAGTGCCCCTGAGGACCACGGTGGGGCTTGGAGCAACATGGCCATGGCTGGATGGCCACCCCATGCTGCCCACAGCCCCGCTGACAAAGGCAGGTCTGTGTACGCAGAATGACCGGCCCCCAGGGTACACCTGTGCCTGGAACTCCAGTGTGGTTACTGTGGGTCCACATGCTCTGCGAAAGAGGAAGTAAGTCCTGGGGTCCATACTGATGAACGTCTTAGAGCTATTAGGGTCACTCATTAAGTGACTTCAGTAAAACCACACGTTCTCCCATGTGGAAACTTCTGACAAGAACAGGCCGCCAGCAGCAAAGTCCACGCCACCACGACTGTGACGTGGTCCATCCAGACCTCGCCTCCCAGGAGGGGATCCCGCCGCAGCCCTGGACCCAGGCCATGTTTTACAGCTCTTTTGCCAGAAACTGGCCCCCATCTCTCTGAGCTGTCCACAAGTCAGCAACTTGGCTCAACTGCTGCAGGGACATGAGTTACAAGGGTCCCCAGACACATGTAAATAAAATGAAGAAATGCCGGCTTTACAGTTGCTGCCCTCGCACTCTTTCTCCCAGCTCAGGAAGGATCTCAAGGGCTTCAAAGCAGCCTGGGTTCCAATTAAGCCCGTGTGACCACCCCAGGGATGCCAGAACATTCCTGATTAACAAGAGGCGCTGTTTGAACTGTTCAAGCTAAAAAAAAGCCCTCAGAACCTTTCAAACAAATGCCATAATTTTCTCTCCCTGTTTCCTCACTCTTTGGAAAAGCTGATCTTTTGAATGCTTTAAACGTTCAAAAAGAAAGCTAGATAATGGCCCCAAACACAACTTCGGCAAGAAGCTCAGAACAGGGGCAGCAAGTGGAGAGCTTGGGATGCAACCACACACAAGCAGGCCCGCTTCCGGGAGGCGTGGCCCGGCCGGCCTGAGGCTGTGACAGCGTGTGTCCACTGTCCACAGCAGCTGGGCCGGGAGAATGACCTGGGCGGAACCACGCCTGGCAGGGAGCTGCAGGGCCTCCATCATCATGCCAGGCGAACCCAGTGACAAGGGCCTCAAACAGAAGAGGCCCAGGGAAGGGCAGCCCATGGGCCTGAGAAGCACCACTACACACCTGGGCGGCGCACTCCGCTCACAAAGCACTCTTCCAGGAAGGGCCCCGGGCTGCTGGAGACTGAACCGGAATCTGCCTAACTGGTGGAATCCCCTTTTACAAAGAAGTGCCTGTAGCTCACGGGGCTAGAACCCAGGAAGGCCCCAGGTGAGCTCGAAACCCTAAAGCAACCCCGCTGTGGACAGTGGCATCGCAGATAGGAGAGTGCCGGTGAAACAGTAAGACCAGGGCAGCATGCTTCACTGGGCAACGGAGGTGCTGCTGCAAGTGGGCGCAGTAGCAGGCAGGTCAGGGAAAACCAAGGGACTATGACTTCAGAGATAACAGGTGACATTCCTGACTGTTCTACCTTTAGTCATGATTAGCAGGCCGGGCGCGGCAGCTCATGCCTGTAATCCCAGCACTTTGGGAGGCTGAGGCGGGCGGATCACGAGCTCAGGAGATAGAGACCATCCTGGCTAACACGGTGAAACCCCGTCTCTACTAAAAATACAAAAAAAATTAGCCGGGCATGGTGGCGGGCGCCTGTAGTCCCAGCTACTCGGGAGGCTGAGGCAGGAGAATGGCGTGAACCCGGGAGGCGGAGCTTGCAGTGAGCCGAGATCACGCCACTGCACTCCAGCCTGGGCAACAGAGCGAGACTCCGTCTCAAAAAATAATAATAATAATAATAATAATTAAAATTAGCCGTGCATGGTGGTGGGCACCTGTAATCCAGCTACTCAGGAGGCTGAGGTGGGAGGACCACTTGAGCCCGGGAGTTCGAGGCAGTAGTGAGCTATGATCACATCACTGCACTCCAACCTGGGCAACCTCATCTCTTAAAAAAATTAAAAAAAAAAACACAATATTTTAGACCAGGCATGATGGTGTATGCCTGTAATCCCAGCACTTTGGGAGGCCAAGGCAGGAGGATCGTGTAAGCCAGGAGTTTGATACCAGCCAGGGCAACATGGCAAGACTCTGCCTCTTAAAACAAAAATTTTTTAAGAAGCAAAATAACCATTCTGTAATAAATTTCACACTCCCCACCGCACCTATCTTACCTGCAAAGATTTATTTTGGCAAAGAGGCAGCAGATTGCAGAGTAAAGAACAGTAAATTGGACGGGCATGGTGGCTCACGCCTGTAATCCCAGCACTTTGGGAGGCCGAGGCGGGTGGATCACTTGAGGTCAGGAGTTCAAGAACAGCCTGGCCAACATGGCGAAACCCCATCTCTACTAAAAATACAAAAATTAGCCAGGCGTGGTGGTGGGTGCCTGTAGTCCCAGCTACTCGGGAGGCTGAGGCAGGAGAATGGCTTGAACCCAGGAGGCAGAGGTTGCAGTGAGCCGAGATCGTGCCACTGCACTCCAACCTGGGTGACAGAGCGAGACTGTCTAAAAAAAGAAAAAAAAAGAACAGTGAATTGAAAATCAAGTAAATCTGGCTTCTAGAGAAACAATCAAAGGCAATGTGGGAACAAAGGACTTTAACGAACAGAAACTCAGAAAAAGGTGCATCATTAGCGAGATGTTCTTTGAACTTGCTGAGCAATAAAGGGAGAGAAAAGGCCTCAGAACTCTAGAAAGGCAACAGCCATGCACCTGCAGGCCTGGGCTGTGGCCCCAGCTGGTCCCTGGCCTGCTGTGTGGCCTGGGCTTTCCTGAACTTCAGTTATCTGTCCTTAAAAGGGAGGAAGGGACCAGGAGACCTCATCCTGATCTGTGATTCTCCTTCAGCAAACAAAAATCGCCTAAGAATCTCTTCCTTCTGATGATGTGGCTGGTGTGGGTGAACCAGCCGCGAGAAGGCACAGGACGATACTCCCGCGTGGAGGGCGCCACGAGGTCAAGGTCCTGAGGCCGGAACACCAAGGAGCTCTGGGAGGGTGGAGGAAGAACACAAGCCTGGAGCAGGGGGCAGACACACGGGGCGTGGGGCCCAGAGGCCACCGGGAGGACTCAGGTTTTATTCCGAGTGTGCTAAGGAGCCAGGGATTGTGGCTGAAGCGGGAGGAACACGCTAAGGAGCCAGGGATGGCGGCTGAAGCGGGAGGAACACGCGCTCGGACTTGCTGATGGGCTCTTACGTGGGCTTTTCCCCAGCTGAAGAATGAGTTACTAAATGTGTTTTAAAATGCAAAAATGTGTACCCGGTGCTTGTCCTGGCGCTGTTCAGAACAGGAAGAACCGGAAACAACCTGAATATTCACAGGAGGCAAACGATCCGTGACAGGACAAGCGTGGGATGGCCTCCTGTGTGGCAGAAAGGACATTCGGGACCTATGACGCAAACGCAGGCGGCTACACATTCGCCTGCAGGACTGCACCTTTTAAAGTCCGCATGTAGACAGTGAAAATCTACAAAGGTAAACCGGAATCTCCTAAGAGCGGGTAGGGATGCGACTGGTGGGATTACGGGGGATTGGCAGTCTTCTTTTTATGTATCTGTATTTCCCTACTTTGTAAAGAACATTACTTGTGCAATAAAATTAAGAAAAAAAGTTCTATAGCCACCTTGCTCAACTTCGTCATGTCAAGGAAAAAAAGTATTTAGGAACATAAATTGTTCTTTACTTGGAAAAAAAAAATCTCTTGCTCCAATCCAAAAAGGCATAGGAAAAAAGGCATAAAGAGCTGTGCACATTAGCAAAGGGGCCCTCTTGCACTGAGCGGTGGCCAGTGTGTCTACACTGCAGGTGCCAGGCTCCGCGCTGCGTGCAATTAACAGGTCAGGTGCATGGAGTTTAAAGGAGAGCAGAACAAGCAGCGGGTCAAGGTGCCAGGACTGAGATCACAAAGACCCACAGGGGGCACATGGAGCAGAGGCTGGACCACAGTCTGGGTGGAGGGGTCGGCCAGGACTGAGAGCACAAAGGCCCACTGGGGGCACTCGGAGCAGGGGCTGGACCACAGTCTGGGTGGAGGGGTCGGCCAGGACTGAGAGCACAAAGGCCCACTGGGGGCACTCGGAGCAGGGGCTGGACCACAGTCTGGGTGGAGGGGTCGGCCAGGACTGAGAGCACAAAGGCCCACCGGGGGCACTTGGAGCAGGGGCTGGACCACAGTCTGGGTGGAGGGGTTGCGGAAGGCTTCCTGAGACGAGACAGGATGCAGATAAACCCTAAATGATGAATGCATCCGAAGGGGCCCTGCCTCCCGGACTCGTGCCCTCAGGTCGTCCCTTCCACAAACACCCGGGCCAGGCTCTGGCCACAGCTACTGCAACCACAACCAACAGGCTTAAGGAACCTGCATGCCAGGGCTTGTCCCTATGGGCTTTGGCAGCCACGTGAAGCAGCTCGTCCTAGCCAGAGAGAGCCCCTGAGGAAAGAAGGCAGCCCTGCCTCCTGGCCATTAACAAGGCAGCACACGTGCACATAAAGCCATCCTGGATGTCCCATCCCCAACTGCCACCAGATTGGCCCCAGGCAACCTGCAGAATCCTGAAAAATTACCAAGCACTGTTCAAAGCCACTAAGTGTTCGGGGCTGGAGTGGGCCGTAACAGGGAAAGGGGAGGGCAAGTGGGAGGGCAGAGGGAGTGGGAGAAAGCACAGAACTCATGTTCGGTGTGGCTGGTGCAGAGGCTGAGGCGAGGGTGACAGAGAAGCGGGAGAGCCAGGCAATGGCAGGAGGCTTCTGGTCAGCCACATGGAGACATGAGGACTTCATCGTGACATCGGCAGGGACAGACAAACAGCTTTGAGCAGGGTCTCGTGGTCATTGCTTCATCTCAGGCAGATCCCTCCAAGTGCTGGAGTGAAGAATAGTTGCAAGACGCAAAAGTGAAGCCAGGGACGGTAAGGTGGCCACTGCACGAGAAAGGGTTTCCAAGTGGCGTAGCGGCAGTGGGGATGGGCTGGAACTAGCAGGATCCCAGGAAGGCAAGGAGAGGAAATCACAGGAAAGGCGACACAGGCTGAGAAGGGAAAGTCGGGGCGTCAGAGATGAGAACCAGGTGCCTGCCGTGGGTACTGAGTGGATGGGCCTGCCTCTCCCAAGGATGGGAACCGGAGGAGCCCCAAGCTCCCTGTGACCAGTTAAACACAGGCAGAAACACATGGGGGGTTGGCGGTTATAGGTGATCAAACGCAAAACAACTTCTGGCCTTCAACAGTTCAAAGAGCACAGTTGGAACACAGATGATTTAGCAAGACAGGCAGAACTCGATAGTGCTTCAAAACGGCCCAATTTTCCTTGCTGCTACGCCACTGGTGGCTGCCATTAATGAATGGGGTAGAAAAGAGAACTGGGGAGAACTTTCAGAGAATCCTAATAATCTGCTGAAGAGAAGCAACGTTTCCTGCGTATCGTGCCAGCAGAGCGAAGGGCACTCTCATTCTCCCCAATTTAAAGATGAAAACATGGGTGCAGTTCCATAACCTGCCTGAGGCCACACAACCAAAGGAGGCAGCAGGCCTCAACCTAGGCTCTTACCCAGTAGGCTCACAGGACTGTCAACACTGTGGTGCTGGAGCCACAGCATGCACACACGTGCACACATGCCCCACAAAGATTCCTCAACCTCACCCCCGGAAGTGCTTGGCGGATTACAGCAGGGCCACGTATGGGTCACCTCCACCCTGCAAAGGACAGCAGAGAAGGACAGCAGCCGGAGGGTGGAGATGGGACACGTATGGGTCACCTCCACCGTGCAAAGGACAGCAGAGAAGGACAGCAGAGAAGCCCAGCAGCTGGAGGGTGGAGATGGGCCACGTATGGGTCACCTCCACCAGGCAAAGGACAGCAGAGAAGCCCAGCAGCTGGAGGGTGGAGATGGGACACGTATAGTCACCTCCGCCATGCAAAGTACAGCAGAAAAGTCCAGCAGCTGGAGGGTGGAGATGGGACACATATGGGTCACCTCCGCCATGCAAAGGGCAGCAGAGAAGCCCAGCAGTTGGAGGGTGGAGCTGCTGTGTTCCTGAGGCCTCACCGTGCCCAGTAAGAGGGCACCATGCAGGCTGCCAAAGGGGCCATGAGACCACGCAGCCCAAGACCAGACCCGTAAGAGATGCCAGAAATCAGCCACATCTGGAGGGTCCCTGGGATAGACACACAAGCTCATCACCACGAGGCCTAAGTCTGATGGGAAGAGCACACGGCAATGCAACACTGCTGTGTGGGTTCAGATCCCAGCCACTCATCGGCTGTGAGTCCTCAGGACAGCTGCTAACCTCTCCTGCCTGTACTTCCTCACTCATAAAATGAGTATGACAACAGTGCCCCCACCTCAAAGGGTGGCAGGGAGGACTGCTGGAGTGAAGGCCCAGGAAGTGCTTGGAGCAGCACCTGGAAAGGGCCTGGTGAGTGTTCTCTGCCATTATTCCTCACCACACAGCTTTCATTCTTCACAGCCTTGCGAGACACCACGACCCTTCCCATTCAACAGACAAGCACACGAGGCTCGGGTGGGACGTGTCTGGCCCAAGATTACACCGCTGGGAAGCTGCAGAATCCCATGTGAACCCCAGACTCCAACTCTCGTCTGACTCTCGCCCCTGCAGGCCTCGACTCCACACAGGGCCCAGGGCCCAGCAGCAGGAAGTCACGGTGCCGCTGCGAAAGGCCCCGGGTCTCCAGAGAACATCCACGCCTCCTCAGGACAAAGGGCTCCTCTGGGAAAAGGCACAAACACTGCCTGCACCGTGTGCTTCCCAGAACAGAAAACGGGAGGGCGCCGCCGCCAGGACGGGGCAGCCCAGGCGCAGCCACTCGCCACCTTGGCCGGCTCAACTTCCCAGCAGCATCCAGCAAAGCCGTCAGTAGTCCTCGTGGTGCCAGCTCGAGTGCCTGATGGGCCCTCGCACGGGTCTCCGTGGGACAGAGGTAAGGGATAGAGGACCGAGGCCCTAACCAGCTGAGAACCCACGTGGCTGGCCGCAGTCCCATCCCAGCCCTGCTGGCTGCCAGGTCAAGGCTGGAGCCCCAGATGGGCTCCCGTGGGGCGAAGTCAGAAGTCAGAGGTGCTCGAGGCTGCCCCATCAGATGGCTCCTGGGAGCGTGCACACCGCGGTCTGTGCGCACAGAAGACCCCAGACGGTGCCAGGCACCCTGCACACATGCCTCTGGCTGAGACTACAGCACCTGCTAGCATGCCCCTGGCATTCCCAGTCGAATCTCCTTTTCTTCCATGTATACGTATTCCTCGTGAAGTTACATAAACAAAGTGTACATAGTCAAACTACAAGGCTTGTTATGGCAAGCAGCCATCCCCAACTCCACTCTGCATCTCCTGGCCCAGTTCCCAGCCTCAGAAGCAAACACTCTAAGTTATTTGAGTCAATTATGTTGAAACGGACCTCCCTTCCTCTAGACGATAGGCTTTCATTGCCACTTTCCTAATTCTTCAGTTTGGGGCATTACCTGTGACTTCTCAGGATGGAAGAGGAGGCCATGGCTCTGTGCTCCCACCACCCCTCTGCCGCCCCGCAGGTACCACCATCACCACAGCTCTAGCTGCCCCGCGTCTGGCTGAGCCCCGCGTCTAGCTGAGCACAGCTGGGTGCTCAACCACTCACACTGAGGCCACAAAGGAAACCATGGTGACTTCCAACTCCTTCCTACTTTGTGCTTCCCCTCAAGCTAACAGGAGAAGGGGTTTTTCACTTGCTTAGCTGTCTGTTTATCGCTCATTCCACCCTGGCTCTTTAAACTGTTCAAATCTCCTCTGGAGATGTCCATGCTCACCCGGCATCGGGCTGCCTGGCAATCTCGTCTTTGGGGAGACTTTCTCGGCACCACTTCCTGCTCTGAGGACTGAGCACCATCTGCCCGGGCACAGGCATCATCTTCAGCTGCTTCTCCCCCAGTGACGGATATCCTGCTCCCTGCGTTCCAATCCTTCCTCAGTCATCAGTCTCTCTCTTCCTTAGTACAATGCACCCTCCAGTAGCTTTCTGAAAAAAGATTTGAGGGAGATAATTTGTTTTTAAGATAGGGTCTCACTCTGCCACCCAGGCTGGGGTGCAGTGGTATGGTCATAGCTCACTGTGGCCTCCACCTCGTGGGCTCAAGCGATCCTCCTGCCTCAGCCCTCCGTACCCTGAGTACCTAGGACTACAAGCAGGCCAGCACACCCAGCTGCTGCTGCTATTGTTGCTGTTGTTGGACAGATGGGGTCTCACTCTCCTATACCATTACCCATAATGGTCTCCAACTCCTGCGCTCAAGTGATCCTCCCACCTCAGCCACTGAAAGTGCTGGGATTACAGGTATGAAGCACCATGCCTGGCCAGGATGACTGACTTTTTTAAAGACTTTGCAAATCTCCATTGTGCCTTTAGTCTGCTCTCTCATGCGACTGTTAGTTTCACTGGGTATAGAATCAAAGGCTGAAAATTATTTTCCTGCAACTCTAGACCACATTGCTTTACTGTGCACTAAATTCCAATGCTGCTGTCTAGAAGCACAAAGCCATCCTGATTCCCGCTTCGTATGTAACCTATTCTCATCCTTCTGAAGGTGTGTAGGATGCTGTCTTTACCCTGATATTTGGGGTCCAGCAACATGCCATGGCAATGGTCTTTGATCACAGACGTTCATCCACTGGACTGGGTACTTGGTGGCTCCTTCAGTCTAGAAGAGGATGACGCTCAAGAGAGGGTTTTTCAATTGTTTCATTATGCTGTCCTCCCCGCCGTTTCTTTGCGGTACTTGTTGAATGTGGTCCACAGAACCCGATCCTCAGAGTGTATTCCGTTTCTCCTGTTTGATCTTTTTTTTCTTTCCGGATCTCCTTAACTTTTCCAACACTTACACTGATTTTTTCCCCATATCTGTTCATGTAGTTTTAACTTCCCAGAACTCTTCTTGTTCACTGAATGTGCTTCTTCCAGAGGACATTTTTCTTGTTTCATTATCTTCTCTTGTTAAAATAACCACTTTTATCTCACTGAGGATGCTTATGAGAGGTTTCTTCCTGGAAGTTTTATCCTTGCATAATTTCCATTTCCTCTACACTGTTTTTCTGTTTGCTTGGTCTATACCTTTTACATCAGAGACTCCTTCAGATGTCTAGGAGGCTCTGAATGAGCGACTGTGACGGCCACCTGTAAGTTTCACGGCAACAGAGTTGTGAGGTGGCGACTTCAGTACCTTTCTGTCCTCCCTCTGGATAGTCTCAGTCCCCACAGGAGGCCCTTCTACTCTTGCTTAGTGGACAACGCTCCACCAGCCCAGACTCAATGCTGAGTGGGGACAAAGCTGGTCATCTCGGCGGTCACACAGAGTTCACTTACCGTAGTCCATAAGGCACCCCGTCCCGAAAAGCGCCAAGTGCACGACCATCGGCTTTACCGCCTGCTCAGCACGCCTAATGCCCGCCCCGGCTGCACTGGGCTGAGCAAGGACCAGGGCCTCTGAGCAGCCGGCTCACAACACACTCTTATGTCCTCGTGTGGCCACTCTGGAAGTAAGCAGTCACAGCTCCCAAGCGTGGTCAAAACTCTGCAGCACAGATCAAGCTAGCTCTCAGCTTTCCCCACTCCCAAATTAGCATTTGGTTTTCTCAAGTCAGCTAAGTCCATCACCAACTCTCCAATTACATTCCAGCTTCTGAAATAGGAATGCTATGACTTTACTTTCTCCTTATTCACATGAACCTTTGCCAAAAAAAAAAAAAAAAAAAAAAAACCCACCACACTTCTCACTGCAGTATGAGGTTTCAGAAAGAAAAAGGTAGGTGTATGTATTCAATCTACCATCCTCTCCATCCCCCAAACTGGTCCTAGAAAAACTCTGGCAACATACTTTTCTATTTTACCAGTAAGCCACATTCCTCAGGCTTGTTGAATGACTGCCAAAGTAGGAGCCATGTGCAGCCCAACAGAGCTCAGGCATTCCCACCACAGAAAGGGTGGGGCTCATCCTCCTCCTGAAGCCCTGGTCCCTTCCGTCCAGGCCATCCCACACAATCACCCAGGAAGTTTTGTAAGCATGCAAAATAAACCCAAAGACAGGAAATAAAGATTAAAAACAGATGGAAAAACTACAACGGTGAGAAATCAACCAAGTCAAAAATCAGTTACTTTAAAAGGCTAATAAAGTTGCAGACATCTGAAGATATTAAGAGAGAAGAGAAAAAGCACAAATAACCAAAATCAGGCAGGAAAAAAGGACTATCATCAGCCATCCTGTCTGCATTGTACATTTTCTTTAATTAAATACGAGTCTAAGGATGAGTCTGGGTGCGGTGGCTCACACCTGTAATCTCAGCACTTTGGGAGGCCAAGGTGAGTGGATCACTTGAGATTGGGAGTTCAAGACCAGCCTGGCCAACATGCCAAAACCTCGTCACTACTGAAAATACAAAAATTAGCTGGGCATGGTGGCACATGCCTGTAATCCCAGCTACTACGGAAGCCGAGGCAGGAAAATCACTGGAACCTGGGAGGCAGAGGTTTCAGTGAACCGAGATTCCACCACTGCACTCCAGACTGGGTGAAGAGTGAGACTCCGTCTCCAGGAAAAAAATAAATAAATAAAAGAGTGAAATATTGAACATTTTCCCCCAGATCAAAAATAAGAACAAGCTATCTGCTACCACCACTGCTATTTCACGTCGTACCAGAGGTCCCGGCCAATGTAATAATGTGATAAAAAAGAAACAAAAGGTATAAAGCTCAAGAGGAAGGAGTAACATTGTCTTTATTTGCAAATAGCACTATTTTTATACAAAAAAAGCCTAAGGAATCTTAAAAAAAAAAATTTACTGGCACTAAGACTGAATTCAGCAAAGTCACAGGACACTGTCAAAACACTAAAACTATACTGTCTCTATACACGAGAATCCAGCAAAGTCACAGGACACTGTCAACATAGTAAACTATACTGTCTCTATACACGAGAATCCAGCAAAGTCACAGGACACTGTCAACATAGTAAACTATACTGTGTCTATACAATAACAGCAAATATTGGAAAGGTGACAGTCTTCAAAATTCTACTCAAATTATCATCAATAATACAAAATTCTTAGGATTAAATTTATCAAAAGATAGGCAAGAGCTCCTCTAAAAAACATACGCTAGTAATAACTGTTTGCTTGGTGAGCTGTGTGGCCAGGGTTGTGAAATCAGAAGAGACACCCAGCCTTCTCCAGGTGAACTGTGAATCGCTAATATGTTATTAAAAGACGTATTTCAGAAATGGTGCGCTTCAGTGGAAATCCCTGGAGATCTGTCAATGCCTTCACATTCCATAATATGTTTTAATGTCAGGAGAAACACAGACCAAAATGCTTATGAAATAGTCTGGTCAAGTTTTTCTGTATCCGAGTCCTTCAAGTGCTCTCCCTGATATCAGGCAGTAACAACATAGTGTTACAGCCACAATTTCAATGACCTAAAATGATTAGCCACATTACTTCTTTAATTTGAATCTGGCACTTTCTAGGCCACTGGTTCTCAAGTGGCCTAGTGCTATGCATTCATGTACAGCAGATGTATTCATGAGGTTTTATGAAATTAAAAATGGTTCACTCTATCTCAGACTTACCCAGTCTCTTCATTTGATATGCTTTGGTATATTCCGGGAATATTTTGTCTCAACATTGTACATCTCAAGACTGTTTTCTTCATAAAAATTATGTTCACCCATTTCAATGAATCAGATGTTAACATCCACTGACTTCTTTGAAACAGGCTGAATTATTATCCTTAGTAATATTTTGTCTAATTTTTTAATCGCCTTTTTATCTTTGTTTTGGATGCCACAGAAACAACCCAATTTCCTCATTAGTTGCATTACTATTAAAACCACATCAGACATTTCATGTTTGAAAATTATATAAAACCTCATCAGGCATTTCACACTTAAAAATTATCAGTAAGAAATTAACCATTGCCATCAAGTCTTTGTCATCTGTGAAAAGTTTCTGCTCGACTCTGTAAACGCCTGCCTGAAAGCTCGGGATAAACTCACAGGCCAGAGTTTGCATCTTCAACAAGAAGGGCAGTCTCAGTGGCTCTGGAGAAGGACTGCAGCCGACATCGCCATGACTGACACCTGTGGGGACAGGCTCTGGAGGCAAGAGCAACCCTTACACCACTTTCAAACACACCAGGAGGTTAAGTCCACATTTCCAAATTCACTTTAGGCAAGAAGCAATGGTTTCATGAGTTTATAAACCCTAGATCTAACAGGATAAGAATTAATTACACAGAACTAAATGAACTGAAGAGGGAAGTTTTACTGAGGTTATTTGTGGATGCTGGTTTTATGTTCTATTTTCTGGATACAAGGGGAAGTCATTGCCTTTTCTTCTTAAGCTATTTAACCTACAACAATTTGTTGAACTCAGCTTTGATAAAAACGAAATATTTTCAAATGATCTTTGACCTTCACTGGTATCCCAGAATTCAGAAACTCTTACTGAGTCTCCTTAATTTTCACAGCAGTAGGTTCAATAAGAACCTTTCCTCCTTTTTAACGTGATAGAATTGGACAAACCGTACAACCAGTGCCTTACCTGCGTGTCATCTGAGAACAATGCTCATTCAATAAAGCATGACAAACTACTCTGAAGGGTCAAAGATGGCGGTGCACATGCAGCCAACAGCAACAAAACTCTCCCATCTTCCAGATGGTTAAGACCACTTGCTGGAAAGACAGGAACCTCAGGATACTGGGAGGACCTCAAGAAGAGGGGAATTCACCCAAATGTACAGGTAGAAAACATAAAATAAATTTGCAACCATGAAATGGAACAGTTCTTAAAACACAGAAATTAGGCTGGGCACGATGGCTCACGCCTGTAATCCTAGGACTCTGGGAGGCCAAGGCGGGCAGATCACCTGAGGTCAGAAGTTCGAGACAAGCCTGGCCAACATGGCGAAACCCTGTCTCTACTAAAAATACAAAAATTAGCCGGGTGTGGTGGCGGGCGCCTGTAATCCCAGCTACCTGGGAGGCTGAGGCAGGAGAATCACCTGAACCCAGGAGACGGAGGTTGCAGTGAGCTGAGATCACATCACTGCACTTCAGCCTAGGCGACACAGAGTCTCAAAAAAAAAAAAAAGAAAAGAAAAGAAAAACTACTATCACAAAAGAAAAAATTGATGAATTGGATTTCATCAAAATCAAAAATTTTTACTCATCCAAAACACCATTAAGATCTCAGTAAAAATGTCAGAGTAAGAGCCTATGGAAGTTCACTCCACCATAAAAGCAACAGAAGAGTGACTAAAACGGTCAGAATCAGATTTTTGAACTCTGAAAACTAACCAAAGGCTTACAGCAATCCGGGAACGTTTGGTCAAGAAAATCAGGTGGCTCTCAAGAAGAGTGCGCCTGGGGCATTTTAACTCACCCTGGTCCCAGCCCCCACACCACAACTCCATGGTGGCCTTGAAAAATCAGTCTAGACCGGGCACGGTGGCTCATGCCTGTAATCCCAGCACTTTGGGAGGCCGAGGCACATGGACCACAAGGTCAGGAATTTGAGACCAGCCTGACCAACATGGTAAAACCCCGTCTCTACTAAAAATATAAAAATTAGCCGGGCATGGTGGCGCATGCCTGTAATCCCAGCCACTCAGGAGGCTGAGGCAGGAGAATCACTTGAACCCGGGAGGTAGAGGTTGCAGTGAGCCAAGATCGCGCCATTGCACTCCAGCCTGGGCGACAACAGCGAGACTCTGTCTCAAAAAAAAAAAAAAAAGAAAAATCGCACTCTACATTCCCAGGACAGAGGGAACAGAATGGGGCTGGCATCTCTCAAAATACCATTCCCAAAGAAGAGTTATTACTTGACCCATCTGGGTCACTTACTACCTTAAGATCCCAATTAAAAGTCCTGTCTTAGGCCGAGCATGGTGGCTCACGCCTGTAATCCCAGCACTTTGGGAGGCCAAGGTGGGTGGATCACCTGAGGTCAGGAGTTTGAGACCAGCCTGGCCAACATGGTGAAACCTCATCCCTACTAAAAATACAAAAAATTAGCTGGGCGTGGTGGCAGGCACCTGTAATTCCAGCTACTCGGGAGGCTGAGGCAAGAGAATCGCTTGAACCTGGGAGGCGGAGGTCACAGTGAGCCAAGATCGTGCCACTGCACTCCAGACTGGGCAACAAGAGCAAAACTCCGTCTCAAAAAAAAAAAGAAAAGAAAAGAAAGAAAGTCCTGTCTTGATTTCACCTCCCCTAATCTCTCCCAGGGCAAAAACTTGGTTGGGGAATGAGTCTGTCAACCACTTCAACATCACAAATGCCTGAGTGACAGCAGTGGCAAACAAAAGACTCACCAGAACGCTGACACAGAAAAGCTAAGAAATGAGCTGTCCATGGGGACTGAGATTCTAAGGGGCCATGTCCGTGCATGTTGCGCACAGGCTCGGAAAGGCCTGTGAAGGCCCTGGGTTCTCCCTCCTGCTCACCTTGAAGCTCTGAGCAAGCAGGAAATGAGGGCAAAGGCAGAGTGGCCACCACCTGGCCCAGCGTGCACCGGAGCTCCTCATCAAGGACTCACCAGTTCTAGGTATCTCAGGAAATCTCTGGCTAATATTCATTCTGAGACTGGCCTTTGCTTAAGACCGAGCATCTAGCCTAAAGCATGCCGAACTTCCAGACAAGCATTAGAGGCAAACAAAAAACTGTCCACAGATCACAGAGACTTGATGGCCATGGTTAATTTACGACTGAGAGTTTTCAAATGTGAAATGTCTAGTGAGGTTTTGTAATAAAAATAGTGCAACTGTCAAGGAAACTGGGCTTGTTTCTGTAGCATCTGAAACAAAGCAAAATGCCAATGAGAAAATTAGACAAAATATCTCTGGGGATAATAATTGTTGTCAGATTGTTCACTGCTAACGTATAATATTAAACATTATCTTATATTAAATATAATATTAAATATTGATCTTGTATCCTGCAACTCTGTTGAACTTGTTTATTAGCTCTAATAATTTTGTAAATGTGTATTCTTTCAGTTTTTTAATGTATAAAATCATGTCTTCTGCAAATAGAGACAGTTTTCTTCTTCCTTTCCAATCTGGATGTCTTCTATTTCCTCTCCTTGCATAAACGTCCTGGGTAGAGCCTCCAGCACAATGCTGAACAGAAGTGGAGAAAGCACGTATCCTGTCTTCATTTTTCTTCTCTCTCTGCTTTATTCCCCTTACCGGAGAATCCTGACGGACCTATCTTCAGGTTTGCTGATTCTTTCTTCTGCTGCTCAAATATGCCGGTGAGCTTATCTACCAAATTTTCATTTCAGTTGCTGTACTTTTCATCTGTAGAATTTCTATGTGGTTTCTCCTTATAGTTTCTTTTTATTGATATTCTGCTTCTACTGATTGATTGCTTTCTCCACCATGTATGAATTATACTTTCTTGCTTCTTGCATGTCTTCCGAATTTTGCGGCAACTCTGGAATCAGATTCTCTGCCCTTGCCAGGGCTGGCTGCTGGTGCTGCCAGCTGTAGTTGTTTTTTACTTGTTTCATGACTTTTCTGAACTAATTCTGTAATGTTTGTGTCTCTGTTCTATGCAGCCACTGACGTTTCCACACGTTAGCCATGAGAAATACAAATTAAAAAGCACATAAGATTTAAAAAATGCTAAATATCATTAATTATCAGGGAAATGCAAATCAAAACCACAGTGAGATACCACCTTAATCCTGCCAGAATGGCCATAATTTAAAAGTCAAAAAATAACAGATGTTGGCGTGGATGTGGTGGAAAAAGGAACACTTTTACATTGCTCGTGGGAATGGAAACTAGTACAATCACTACAGAAAACAGTACAAAGATTCCTTCGAGAACTGAAAGTAGAGCTACCGTTTGAGACAGCAATCCTACAGAGGAAAAGAAGTCATTCTACGAAAAAGACACGTGCACACGCATGTTCACAGCAGCACAATTTGCAACTGCAAAGATACGGAACCAGCCTAAATGCCCATCAACCGAGTGGATAAAGAAAATGTGGTCTCTATATATATATATATATCATAGAATACTACTCAGCCATAAAAAGGAATGAAATAATGGCATTTGCAGCAACGTGGATGGAGTTGGAGACCATTCTTCTAAGCGAAGAAACTCAGGAATGGAAAAACCAGACATCTCACATCCTCACTTATAAGTGGAAGCTAAGCTATAAGGACACAAAGGTGTAAGAGGGATATAATGGACTCTGGGGACAGTGTACACTGCTCAGGTGACAGGTGCACCAAAATCTCAGAAACCACAACTAAAGAGCTTTTCCATGCAATCAAACACCACGTTCCCCAAAAACTATTGAAATAAAAAATAAAATCCCATTAAAAAAATAAACTACTACTGATATAAACAATGAAGATCATAAAATGTAACTGGAAATAATTTTTTGTCCCACAATAAGTCATTGTTTAAATTATGGTATATCCATCCAATGAAAAATCATGCAGTCATTAAAAAAAAAAATCCACTTTAAGATACCACTCCACACCCACGAGGCTAACCATAAGAAAAAAGACATCATAATAAGGGTTAAAAATTCAGAGAAACCGGAATCTTCATATACTGCTGGTGGGAATGTAAAATGGTGTAGTTACTATGGAAAATAGTTTGGCAATTCCTAAAAAAGAAAGAGCTACCATGTAACCCAGTGTTTCCACTCAAGAGAAGTGAAAAAAAAAGGTCTCATACAAATATCTGTACTTGAATGTTCGTAATAGCCAGAAAGTGAAACAACCCAAATGTCTACAGCTGATGAATGGGTCACTGAAATGAGCTCTGATGACACAATGGGGTATGACCACGTGCCATGTGGTGGAAGGGAGCGCTGATCCGTGCCACAGGGTAGACGCCCCTTGAGAACGTGCTGAGAGGAAAGCGCCAGCACAGAGGCCACCTATGGTGCGATTCCACTGATACACAACGTCCAGAACAGGTAAACCCAGAGACAAAGAGCAGAGGAGTGACTGCCAGGGGCTGGGGAAAGGAGAACAGGGAACTTCGGCCAACTGGGCTTCCTTTGGGGACCATGACAATCTTCTGGAATTAGACAGTAGGTATGAGTGTACAACCTTACAAATATACTAAAAACCACCAAATTAAACACTTTAAAACAGACAAGCGGCAGGGCATGGTGGCTCACGCTTATAATCCCAGCCCTCTGAGAGGCCAGTGTGGGAGAACCACTTGAGGTCACAAGTTCAAGTCCAGTCTGGACAACATAGTGAGACCCTATCTCTACAAAAGAGAAAAAATTAGCCAGGTGTGGTGGCTCACACCTGTATTCCAAGCTACTCAGGAAGCTGGATCACTTGAGCCCAGGAGTTAGAGGCTGCTGTGAACTATGATCGCGCCACTGCATCCTGGCCTGGGTGACAGAGCAAGACTCTGCCTCAAAAAAAAAAAAAAGAACAACAGTCAGTCTTACAGTAGTAGTCATGTATATTTTAATAATTTAAAAACTAAAGAAAATGACAAGCCACAGACAGGGCAAAAATGTTGACAAGACATACACTGGATGAAAAACTTGTATCCAGAATAAAGAACTTGGAAAAATCAATAATAGAAAGAAAGCAAACCAATACAATTTCCCAAAAGACTAAGAACAGACACTTCCCAAGGAACAGATACAAAGCTATGTTTATTGCGGCACTATTCACAATAGCAAAGACTTGGAACCAACCCAAATGTCCAACAATGATAGACTGGATTAAGAAAATGTGGCACATATACACCATGGAATACTATGCAGCCATAAAAAATGATGAGTTCATGTCCTTTGTAGGGACATGGATGAAGCTGGAGACTATCATTCTCAGCAAACTATCACAAGGACAAAAAACCAAACACCGCATGTTCTCACTCATAGGTGGGAATTGAACAATGAGAACACATGGACACAGGAAGGGGAACATCACACACCGGGGACTGTCGTGGGGTGGGGGGAGCGGGGAGGGACAGCATTAGGAGATATACCTAATGCTAAATGACGAGTTAATCGGTGCAGCACACCAACATGGCACATGTATACATATGTAACAAACCTGCACGTTGTGCACATGTACCCTAAAACTTAAAGTATAATAATAATAAAAAAATAAAAATAAAAATAAAAATAAAAAACAAAGCTATTAAGCAAAAGAAAGAACTCAGCCGGGCGCAGTGGCTCACGCCTGTAATCCTGGCACTTTGGGAGGCCGAGGCGGGTGGATCACGAGGTCAGGAAATCGAGACCATCCTGGCCAACACAGTGAAACCCCATCTCTACTAAAAAAATACAAAAAATTAGCCAGGCGTGGTGGCGGGCGCCTGTAGTCCCAGCTACTCGGGAGGCTGAGGCAGGAGAATGGCATGAATCCGGGAGGCGGAGCTTGCAGTGAGTGGAGATCGCGCCACTGCACTCCAGCCTGGGCAACAGAGCGAGACTCTGTCTCAAATAAAAATTTTAAAATAAAAAAAAAAGAAAGGGCTCAACATATTCACTGACTAGGGAACTGGTCATTAGGGAACGTGAGTTAAAGCCAAAAGTCGGTAACGCCACACAACCGCTGGAATAAATAAAGGATGTTTTAAAAATAAACAGCCACACCAAATACTGGTGAAAATATAATGCAAATGGAATCTCATACATTCCAGGTAGGAGCATAAAATCATACCACCACCTTGGAAGACAGTTTGGCAATTTCTTATGAAGTTATACACGTACTCATTAAAAGGCCCAGCAATTTGACTTCTGGGTGCTCACTCGAGAGAATGGAAACATAGGAGCACATGAGATGTGGATGTGAATTAACCACAGCTATACTCACAAGAGGCAGCTACTGGGAAACAACCCAGATGTCCTCGGACAGCAAACGGGGAAACAAACAAGCAGATTCGTACAAGTTAAAAATGAACCACTGGGCCGGGTGCGGTGGTTCACACCTGTAATCCCAGCACTTTGGGAGGCTGAGGCAGGCGGATCACCTGAAGTCAGAAGTTCGAGACCAGCCTGGCCAACATGGTGAAACCCTGTCTCTACTAAAAATACAAAAATTAGCCAGGCGTGATAGCGCACGCCTGTAATCCCAGCTAGTCGGGAGGCTGAGGCAGGAGACTCACTCGAACCCAGGAGGCGGAGGTTTCAGTGAGCCAAGATCACACCATGCCACTCCAGCCTGGGAAACAAGAGTGAAACTCCATCTCAAAAAATAAATAAATAATAAAAATAAAATGTAATGTACCACTCATCTCCCCAAAACAGGGCTGAACCTCAAAAGCACTCTGTTGTCCAAAAGCAGGGCCAGGACAAGGGTGAAGCAAGAGAGATGCCGGCGTACAAACTTTCAGGAGGTGATTGCTCGGAGAATCTCACTCTTGGGGTGTGCAGTGTAGATCCCACACTCTCTTGCCTCCCCCCTAGTCCCAGCCCTGGGCAAAAGATGACAGCAATTTAAGAATAAACACAGTACAATTCCATTTATTTACAATTCAAGAACACACAAAACTAATTTATGGTAATAGAAATCAGAACAGTGCTTGTCTCCCGGGGGTAGGAATTGATTGAAGGGACGAGAAGGAACTTCCAGAGGTAATGGAAACTTTCTGCAGCCTGACGGAGGCAGTGATGACACAGGTGGTACATTTTCAATACTCACTCAATTATATACATAAGATCTGTCCATTTCACTGTATGTAATTATTATCTCAAAAAAATGTTAAAGGAATAGATAGTTTCTTTTTTTAAAAGACCACATTGAATGCCACTGTCAAAGCAAGGGAACTGCATCTGGCAACACAAAGGCATTTTCTAAGCCACGTGCATGCTTCTAGATTTTTTTTTTCCTTTTTTTAATGCTTCTAGATTTCTAAACAAGTTTCATGAGAGAGAGACCATTTTAATCCTGGGAAGCTAGTGTGACTGGGGATTGAGGTGGAAAAGGTGAGAACGTGACGGTCAGGGTGAGGAGAGAAAAAAATCGAAATAACAGGCGAGAATGCGTCCTCTACCTCCATTTGTCATCTAAGCCACCGGACTCACCCCCACCCCCAGCCTACCTGTTCAGGAGGCCCTTGGGCCAGGGTGGGCAGCATTTTCAGAGCCCTTGACCCCAGTCGGTCCATTAGGGAGGGTGCCTGAGAGCCTGAAAGCTACCAGGGCAGACAGATGAGCCTGCAGGCAGGAAGCACTGTCATCTGAAACATCTGTCACAGAAAGCACTGTGCTAAGAATACAGCAGCTGACTTTAAGTAAAGGGCAAAAATCGGAAACACTAACAACATCAATGAATGTTATCAGAAAAATGGGCAATCTTAAGTACTGTTAACAGAAGTATAATTTTGGAACGTAATTTGGCAAAAATTATTAAAGTGTTAAATATTCATACTCTATGTCTTAGCATTCCCATCAATAAAAAGAATGTTTCAGATACACTTAAAAAATATGTTTAATGAAATGGTATTCACTAAATCTGTGTGTTAATAGCAAAAAGAAAAAATTGGCAACAACTGTAGTGTATGCTAATAAGGAAATAGTTAAAATATGTGCATTCTACGATGGAATAATGGCTACTAAAGAGTAAACACCAGACATTTCAAGTAACTCAATCCAAGGGAAAATAATATAACAATACAGGCCGTATGATGCCATTTGTTATGTACGTAAGACGTCCATGCACATAAAAATTATGTAAGGACTTATAGCAAACTGCTAATGTTAACCTGGGATACAGCAGAATTTGAAAAAGCAGAGAAATCCAAGAAAGTTTCACTTTAATTCTGTACTGTTTGAGCTTTCTTTGTAGTGAGGATGGATTTACATTATCCTGTACAATATTTTTGAAAAGCATGTCACAGAGCTGTAGGATCACATGTGAGTCCAACTTGTGAGCCTCTTCTCGCCTTGAGGGACTAAGCGCTAGGACAACAGTTCACTAAGTGTGGTCTGCAGACACCATTCTAGGCAGTCTTGTAACATCAAAACTATTTTCTTTTTCTTTTTTTTTTTTTTTCTCTGAGACGGACTCTCGCTCTGTCCCCCACGCTGGAGTGCAGTGGCACAATCTCAGCTCACTGCAAGCTCCACCTACCAGGTTCAAGTGATTCTCCTGCCTCAGCCTCCCCAGTAGCTGGGATTACAGGCATGCGCCACCACGCCCGGCGAATTTTTTATTTTTAGTAGAGACGAGGTTTCGCCATGTTGGCCAGGCTGATCTTGAACTCCCAACCTCAGGTGATCTGCCCACCTTGGCCTCCCAAAGTGCTGGGACTACAGGCGTGAGTCACTGTGCCTGGCCATCAAAACTATTTTCATAATAATACTAAGTGGATCACTTGAGGTCAGGAGTTCGAGACCAGCCTGGCCAACATGACAAAACCTCATCTCTACCAAAAAATACAAAAATTAGCCAGGCATGGTGGCGTACACCTGTGGTCCCAGCTACTGGGGAGGCTGAGGTGGGAGAATCACTTGAATCCAGAAGGTTGAGGTTGCAGTGAACCAAGATCATGCCACTGTACTCAAGCCTGGGTGACACAGCAAGACTCTGTCTCCAAAAAAACAAGGAATAATAATAATAAGCTATTATTTGCCTTTTTTCTTCTAACTGTGCTGACATTTGAACTGAAGATACAAAAGCACTGATGGGTATAACACGTTAGCAAAACAAACCAGGGGCACCACGTGGGGTCTCGCTATGCTGCCCAGGCTGGACTGCAATGGCTACTGACAGGCACAATCACAGCTCCCAACAGCCACAAACTCCTGGGCCCAAGCCATCCTCCCACCTCAACTTTCCGAGCAGCTGGAACTACAGGAGTACTGGGCCCAGTTAAAATATTCACTTCATTAAATCTTAACCCCTTGATAAGATCTCAACATTCTGTGTGAAGAAATAGAAAGCACATGTAAGACATTTCTGGTGCATACTAAAGTGCGATGGTTGGTCTTCCATGTTTGAGTTGTGAACTGAACTAGCCCTTTTTATGTAAAATATTTTACTTAAAAACTAACTGACCAACAATAGTTACTCAGGCTTGAGCATCTGGTAGACATTTTCTCAAAAACGAATTAAATAAACGTTATCATTTGAAAGAATACAACCACGAGTATTTGTTGACAATAATAAAACTCAAGCTGCCAAACACATATCTAAATTCTTAAAAATTTGTATCTACCACCACAAGCTTGATGGATTCCTAACGTTTAAAGACTTTTCAATAACTTGTGGTGATTAGCTTGTAATTTCTTTAATAAGGCATAATAAAAGACCTACATAATTCAGTGCGTCGATATTTTCAAATGAGCAATGTATGATGTTACATAACCATGCATGGATAAAGGTCCATTCAAAGTGCAAGAGACCAATGAATTTTAGTACGACAGTTTGAAAAGATTATTCCGTACCACAACTAACCTTCCAGAAACCACTACGTGTGGAACACTTGCTGTTAAGATGTCAACACCGCCCAAAGCCATCTAGACGTTCAATGCAATCCCTATCAAGACCTAACTAAATATTTTGCAGACATAGGAAAATCTATCCTAAAATTCATATGGAATCTCAAGGGACCCAAAGGTCCCTCGCCAAAGCAATCTTGAAAAGTTAGAACAAAGTTGAAAGAGTCACACTTTAAGTCAAAACTTACTACAAAGCCACAGTAATCAAAACAGTGTGGTGCTGACAGAATGACAGGCATATGGACCCATGAAATACAGTAGAGATCCCAGAAATAAACACTTTCGTATGCTCAAATAATTTTTGACAAAGGTGCCAAAACCATTCAATGAGGAATGGACAAGCTTTTCAACACATGGTGCTGGAAAACTGGTCTCCACATGCAAAAGAATGAAGTTGGGCCCTTAAACCATACACAAAAAATTAACCCAAAACAAATCAAAGACCTAAATGTAAGACCTAAAACTATAAAACTCTTAGAAAAAAACAGGGGAGAAGGTTTATGACATGGGATTTGGCACAGATTTCTTGGATATGACATCAAAGGCACAGATAACAGCAAAAAAAAAATAGACAAATGAAATCTTGGTAAATTTTTAAATTTTAAATTTGTCAAAGGACACTATCAACAGACTGAAAACACAACCTATAGAATGGGAGAAAATGTTTGGAAACCGTATCTGTAAGAGAAAAATATTCAAAACATACAAGGGAACTCCTAAAACAACAATGAAAATAACGCGATTCAAGAACAGGCGAAGAACCTGCATAGACATTTTTCCAAAGAAGACACACAACTGGCCAAGGAGCACATGGAACGGTGCTCCACACCACTAATCATTAGGGAAATGCATATCAAAGCCAGAACAAGACACCACCTCACACTCATTAGGATGGCTACCACCAAAAAAAAAATCACATCACATGGTGATGATGTGGAGAAACTGGAACTCCTGTGCACTGCTGATGAGAACGTAAAATGGTACAGCCACTGTGGAAAGCAATGTAGTGGCTCCTAAAATAGTTAAAAGTTGAACCACAGGATCCAGCAGGTTGAAAGCAGGGGCTCTAAGAGATATCTGCCCGCTCGTGTTCAGAGCAGCATTATTCACAGTAGCTACAATGTGGAAGCAACCTAAGTGTCCATCAACAGGTGACTGGATAAGAAGAACGGATCGTCTATCCATACAACAGAATATTACTCAGCCTTAGAAAGAAAGGACATTTTGGCACATGCCACAACATGGATGATCCCTGAGGACATTATGTTAAGTGAAATAAGCCAGTCACATAAGGACAAATATTTCATGATTCTCCTTCTATGAGGTCCCTACTGTAGTAAAAAATCACAGAGGCAGGAAGCAGAATGGTGGGTCCTAGAGCCAACGGGGGAGCACAGGGAGCGAGCGTTTAATGGGTACAGAGTTTGGCTTTGGGAAGATAAAGTTTTGGAGGTGGATGGTGGTGATGGTTGCACAGCAATATGAATGTTCTTAAAGCTACTGAACTGTACACTTAAAAACAGTTAACAGTCAATTTTATTGTATATGTATTTGACCCAATACAACAAATCGGGGAAAAGAAAAGCATCCTCCTCAACCTGATGAACAGTATCTCGCAAGACCCTAAAACTAACCTCATGCTTCAGGAAAATCTAAACGCTTTCCCTCTAAGGCTGACAAGGCCAGGACAGCCATTCTCACCATGCCCAGGTAAAACTGCACTGGAGGTCCCAGTGAGTGCACTAAGGCAAGAAAAAATAAACGAAATAAAAAGTAAATGGGGGGAAAGAAAACAAACTGAAAGCTAAATCTAAAATTTATCTGAAAATAAAAAAACTAAAATAGCCAAGACAATTCTTACAAAGAAAAAGCTGGAGGGCTTACTATGTTCTTTCAAAGAGTATTAGGAAGTGACAGTAATTACGACCTTACCATACTGGAGAAAGGACAGACACATGATTCAATGAAAGAAGACCTCGAGCAAAGGCCCATGAATGTATGGCTGACAGGCTTTCATCAGAGGTGCCAAGGAAATTCAAATGGGAAACAGACATACGTATTGTGGGGCAGGAAAGCGACCCTCAACTGTGACCACACTACACACAAAAATTAACTCAAAATTAACAGTAAAGTTAAAGCTAGAAAGTTTCTAAAAGCTTGGGTTAGGCAGATACAAAAAACACAAACCATAAAGAAAATGAATTGATAAATCAGACTTAGCAAAATTAAAAGTTTTTACCCTTCAAAAGACACTAAGAAAATGAAAAGGAAGCCACGTACCGGGAGAAAATATTCACCATACATCTGACAAAAGACTCTGTCATGAATATATATAGTACTCTGCCAACTCAGAAGATGACAGTCCAATTAAAAAATGGGGAAAAGACTTTGAAAAGACACTTCACAAAAGAAGATATATGGCCGTCAAGTTAAGTACATGAGTAGATGTTCAACATCATTAGTCACCAGGGCAACAGGAATGAAGGCCACAAGGAAATACCGCACACACCCACCAGGATGGCTAAAGTGAAGGTGGCCAATGAATGCATTCGGGATGCGGGGCCAGCGGAATTCAATGAAAGAGCTCGGGATGTGGGGCCAGCGGAATTCTCACACACGGGTGGCCAGGGGACAGAATTAGGCAGCCACTTTGGCTCATCAGCTTTTTCTAAAATTAAAACATACCATATCACCCAGAGGCCCCACTCCTAGGTATTATCCCAAGAGACAGGAAAACATACATAAAGAGACTTCAATACAAATGTTCACAGAATCTTTATCTGCAAGAGCAAAAAACCGGATTAAAAATTATGGTATATCCGTTCGATATAACAAGGACAACCGATACAAGCAACAAATGTGAATGAATGCTTTTCAGAAAACATTCTGCCAGTGAAATCACCAGACACAAATGACTGCATGACGTATGATTCCATTCCCACATAATTCCAGACGAAACAAAACCACGGTGACAGCCAGACTGAGGGCAAGTACGCTGGGAGCCTGTTACCTCCACCTGCCACTAGGAAGTCGCAACAGGCAGCATGAGTCCAGACACAATAGCAAACAGCCCTCCTGGAAAAGTGGGATTTCTCAAAGAACAGGAACATGGCCCTTTGGAAATTTCTTGTTTATTTCACCTAATGGTCATTTAGAGTTTGTTTTTACTTTTTTAATAATACAAATGTATCTAAAACTAGGGTGGAGGCTAACACCTGTAATCCCACCATTTTGGGAGGCTGAGGCAGGCGGATCACTTGAGCTCAGGAGTTCGAGACCAGTCTGGCCAACATGGTGAAACCCCGTCTCTACTAAAAATACAAAAATTAGCTGGGCGTGGTGGCAAGTGTCTGTAGTCCCACCTGCTCCAGAGGCTCAGGTGGGAGAATGGCTTGAGCCCAGGAGGCAGAGACTGCAGTAAGCCATGATTGTGCCACTACACTCCAGCCTGGGCCACAAAGCAAGACTCTGTCTCAAAAAAATTAAAAAAAATTAAGCCGGGTGCGGTGTCTCACGCCTGTAATCCCAGCACTTTGGGAGACCAAGACAGGCGGATCATGAGGTCAGGAGTTCGAGATCAGCCTGGCCAACATGGTGAAACTTCGTCTCTACTAAAAATACAAAAACTAGCCGGGCGCAGTGGCAGGCACCTGTAATCTCAGCTACTCGGGAGGCTGAGGCGGAAGAATTGCTTGAACCCGGCTGGCAGAGGTTGCAGTGAGCTGAGATCGCGTCACTGCACTCCAGCCTGGGTGACAGAGCGAGCCTCTGTCTCGATAAAAAAAAAAATACATAAAATAAAACTTAAAATTAAAAACTAAAATTAAATCAGGGTGGAGGTAGCACGTTAAATATAAATCCATGGGGTTTTTTGTTTTTTTTGTTTTTTTTTGAGATGGAGTTTTGTCCTGATTGCCCAGGCTGGAGTGTAATGGCATGATCTCGGCTCACTGCAATCTCTACCTCCTGGGTTCAAGCGATTCTCCTGCCTCAGCCTCCCAAGTCATTGGGATTACAGGCACATGCCACCACGCCCAGCTAATTTTTGTTATTTTTAGTAGAGACAGGGTTTCACCATGTTTGCCAGGCTGGTCTCGAACTTCTGACCTCAGGTGATCCACCCACCTCGGCCTCCCAAACTGCTGGGATAACAGGCGTGAGCCACCACACCCGGCCAAATCTGCGTTTTAAGCTGACAGGGAAGACACACCAGCAGCTATGATCGTGCATGCTCCTCTTCCATCTTCCGAAAGACAAGAGCTCTGAGTATTGAAAAACAATTCAGGAAAACTATCAGCCACCTAAGCCGGTAAAGCAGCAAAGATGAGAATGAAAGTGTGACTATGCCCCAGGCTCCTAGGGAACTGATTCTCCACAGAGTAAAGTTTTTTAAAAAATTCTAAGGAAGGGCGGGGAGAAGGGTGGTGTTTCTCCCCACCTCCCTCATGCTCCTAAACTAACGTCATGCCCCAAGGAAACGAGAGAAAAGGATGTCATTAATAAATTTATACCAAGTTTCTTTTCAATGGTGCTGAAAAGTATATGCAAATCCATCTGTAATTAGGTTTAAAATTCCATTTCATGGGATAATCAGACTTCAAAAAACTCAATTTTAGTTTTAATCAGATTTTAACAAGGATATTAAGTCCATTTCGTTTAGAAAAGGAAAAAACTGTGAACTTAACACAAAATGTATTCAAGCTTAGCCCTGGGAGATAATTAAATAAAATTAATTTGGCAAGGGTTGTCAGTAAATGGAAGTGCTCCAAACAGTGGTTCATGTTTTTGATGGAGACAAAAGCAACTCCTCACAGTACAAATAGACCCGGAGCTCAGCACTCGTGGAGGAGGGTGGAGCCTCTTCCCAGGGGCAGGGAGGCTGGAAACCCTAACCCAACCCTCAGTCAGAACAGGGACTCACACGCCCCACAGGGAGCCCAAACTGAGGCTGACAGGTGCAGGCTCACAAACCATCGGCCCAAGCCACGCCCCAGCATACTCACTTGCCCAAGCAACCGGGGTGAGACAAGGGCCACCCAGCTCCGACAGCCACCACGTCCTGGAGAGAAAGCGTCCCCGCCCAGAGGACGGTCCTTGTCCTAGAACAGCAAGGCCCTCCAACTCTTGGTCCTCAAAGCCCTTCCCCGCCTCCGCACCCAGCACCACATTGCTGTGCTGAGTTTCAGCACAGGGACCGTGCGTCCTGCTCTCTGCTGCATCTCCCAGCCAGTATACACCACGGTACGTCATAAGCCCTCAACAAATATTTGTTGAATGGAACAGACGTGATCACAATATGTGCTCCTGGGAACCCTCGGCTACCAGAAAAAAAGGCGAGACAGAAATGAGCACTTCTCAACCCTGGGAGCAAATTTATAAGGGTTTTATCCCTTCAAAATTATTACCAAGGGGTAACACGGCCGCGGGTAACTCCAGATTCCTCCGGAAAACCTCACTGTGCACTGCCAAGGCTCCAGCCAGAGCAGGTGCTGAGCCGCGATCCGGGAGACGCCAGTCTCACCCTAGGCTCTCTTCCACAACCACCCTCAGGCAAGGCCACACCGTCGCCCAACTGTCCCAAATCTGGAAAGGAAGAAACCACCATGATGCTGTGTGGGCAGCAAAAGGCTCTGCATGGGAAAGAAAAGCTGCAGGGAAAAGGCAGCAAGGCTCTGCATGGATTTTTTTTTTTTTTTTTTTTTTTTTGAGTCGGGTTCTTGCTCTATCACCTAGGCTGGAGTGCAGTGGCATGATCTCGGCTCACTGCAGCCTCGGCCTCCTGGGCTCAGGTGATCCTCCTGACTTGGCCTCTCGAGTTGTTGGGACCATGGGTGCGTGCCACCATGCCTGGCTAATTTTTTTGTGTGTGTGTGTATTCTTTTGCAGAGATGAGGTCTCACTATGTTGCCCAGGCTGGTCCTGAACTCCTGAGGTCAAGCAATCTGCCTACCACCTCAGCCTCCCAAAGTGCGGGGATTACGGGCGTGAGCCACTATGCCCAGCCTCTGCATGGATTTTTTAAACCAAAATTAAATGGCTAGCCCTGTATCCTCAGGTAGGAGTTAGCAGGCATGGCCTTCAGGCCAAACCTACTCCCACCCCAGCTGTCTTGAAAATAAAGTCTTACTGGAACACAGCCATATCCATTCATTTACGCACTGTCTACAGCAGCTTTTGCACTAAAATCAGTGACAGTCCTGTTTCATCCTGGGTCATCTCAGTTTTCACATGAAAGGTCCCACCTCCCAAGCAAAACTCCTCAGTCTCAGACAAGCCGTGAGGGCTAATCACCCTATTCTGGGCTAGAAAGGCAGAGCCAACTAATTGTAACAGAGACCTTATGGCCCCCAAAGCTACAAAGTAAATATTTACTATTAATACCCAGCCCTTTACAGAAAAAACGTACCAGACTCTGCCCTAAATCCATCCCAACCTATCATAGGTACCCACTGTTTAGTTACAGAAACTCAAAGAAAACCTAGCATACTAAATGATGAAACAAGAGAAAGTACCTTTTCTATTATTAAAAGTCTTTGGGCTGGACGCAGTGGCTCATACTGATAATCCCAGCACTTTGGGAGGCCGAGGAAGGCAGATCACCTGAAGTTAGGAGTTCAAGACCATCCTGGCCAACATGCCAAAACCCCATCTCTACTAAAAAAACAAATACAATAATACAAAAATTAGCCAGGCGTGCTGATGCGCACCTGTAGTCCCAGCTACTCGGGAGGCTGAGGCAGGAGAATCGCTTGAACCTGGGAGGCTGAGGTTGCAGCAAGCAGAGATCATGCCACTGCACTCCAGCCTGGGCAACACAGCAAGACTCTGTCTCAAAAAAAAAAAAAAAGTATTTGAATCTAAAGCTCAAGCTTAGAAAACTTACAGATAACTTAGCAGTGACCCCTACTGGGTTATCTATGCCACTTCAGCTAAGCTCTCGTAAACAATAAAAACACCTAAACTAAAAGAAATGCTTGTAATAGCTACCAATGACACTCTTTTCAACTCAGTCTACTAAAAATACCTACTTTTCTTATCCGAGTCAATAAAAAGTGAGCTTTGATTTAAAGGAACCTAGTTGATACCTGCATTTTGTAATTGCAATCCTAATAAAAGGCAAAATACTCCTGAGACCTAATTGCAGTAAACGCTAGCAATGCAGGAAAAGTAAAAACTAGAAAGAGCAAATGGGAATACCAAGAATTGTGTGTCAAAATGTCCTCCAAATAGACTCGTAAATAATTCCTATCAGCTCAAAAGCAGACAAACAGCAGTGCTCTGAAAAATTACACGGGGTGGAAGCCTGCCCCTCCCTTGCTGTGGGAGGACTGTTTGATTCCATGAAACTGAAGAGTAGTTTGCACCTGATAAAAAATTAATTGCTAATCTTCTAACTCAGCCACCTCCGCGAACAAGATAGTATTGTGTTGCAGCCTCAGAAGTTAAACGCTTCCTCTCCCAAGTAATTACTGCTCTTACTCTACCTTGCAGAGAGCCTCCTCCCACTGAAAACCAAATCCCAGAACTGCCAGGAGGTGCTTGGCTCCCAGCAAAGGCAGGCAGGTCAGCCCTCCAGCAGGCTGGTAGGTCCTTCTTGCCAAAGTTCGGCTGGGAGCCATCAGGTCTGAAAAAGAAGCTATCAGCTGATGGGCTTCATGCCCGCACATGTGCTGAGTTCCGCTCAGGCTAAATGGATGGCAGCTCCCAACAGAATCCTTTCAGTGCCAGCATCGGGCTGATCAGCTCACAAAAATGCAGGATCCAGCTGCATGGCACCATGTGGCCAGCCAGATGGATGGAGGTTATTGAGGGCACAGCTCACCATACTCCAGGATCAGCCAAGCATTCCGGCAACAGGGCCACAAATTCACTGGATGCCCTTGGGCCAGTCAGCCCCTCCCAGAACCCAGCTTAGTCCACAGGGTTCTGAGGAAGAACGAATGAGACGCTGATTATCAACAGGCTTTGTCAACTACACAGCAGCTCTCCAGAGCCAACCACCACCGTCAACAGTGCCATCCTGCCAGCAAAGTGAAGACCCTCTTGAGAACAGGCTCTGTCTTTAAACAAATAAACTCTAGAAACTCTTGTAAGCCACCTGTTTCCAAACCAGGGAAAACGTCTGGCCTTCATTCCCACCAGCGTCATTCATATCCAACAAGGCCGTCTCCAACTAAGATACTCCCGCAAAACGCTCCTGCGGCATCTTCCAAAAGATTGCATCTGAGGAGGCACCCCTGTTGTTTTCATTGTTTAAAGCTGTCTGTGTGTGTGCACTACGTGGGCAGACTGTGCTGTGCTCGTCACAGCGTCGCCAGAGCCAGCCCAAAGCCTGGCAAACGGCAGGTCTCCAAATAAATGTTCAGATGAACAAACAAACGAGCGTCTCCAAAATCACAGTGCTACCCACAGACACTGTGGTCACAAAGGAACAGGCATTCACCTGAAGAGGAAACAGAAAAACAGGGAGAGTCTGGCCTTCAACACGAACCCTCTTCAGAAGTCAGAAGGCCTCGGGCTCCCTGCTCACAGGAACAGTGCGGCTCAATTCTAACTCTCACTACAACGCGGCTGACTCCACGGCTCCTACTCCATGAGGCTCTCAACTGACAACAGGAAACACCGCCCACCCTCCCCACACTTCGGGGCTGCTGAAACCTGCAGCGGGTCAGACAGCCCCAGGGACTTCCACCAGCAGGGTCCTGCCAAGGCGCCAGGTCCTCGCCCTGCGAATTCAGTGAGGAAAGAGGCCCCTTCACAATTGGCGGATGTGCTCCTCCCTGATGAAGACCTTCTGCGGCTCCTGTGACCTGCAGGACGCGGTCCAAACCACCCTCAGGACAGGACAGATCCCTGCCAACCTGTCCAGCTTCTGCCACATCCCAGGAGAACTGTGGTTAGAACCAGCTGGAGCCACACAACACTGTCCGAACACGCAGCATCTGGCCAACCTGTGTGCTGCCAGCACCCACCCTATCTGGAACATGCTGCCAGCCTCTCAAGTGTCATCTCTTCAGGAGCCACGCTTGACCTAGCAGACATATGCCCGGCTAGATCTGAGAGGACTGGAAAACAGCCCCTGACTTATAGCTGTATCCCCAGCACCCAGCACCAGGCCTGCACACCTATGTGTTCAAGAAGCACTCACCAGTGAAGAAGAGGAAGAAACCCCACTGCTCTGGAGGCTTCTAGCCTCTCCTCACTCCTCCTCTCATCTCCCGCCCCGACCCACGCATCACTCCGCCGACGCCTGGTACACACGACGTGCACTGCACAGCCACCTTCTCCCTGCACACGGGCCCAAGCTCGGACACAGGCACGACCAGGACTGGCGGGCTGCAGAGCTCTCTGACCCGGTGAGGCACTGGCCCTCAGGCTCAAAGCCACCTGCAAACGCCAAAATCCCTCCAGACTCGGGCCAGCTGTCTGCTCCTCTGGCTCTGCCACTCCCCTAGGCCGGCTCATCCCTGCCCCTCACTGGGCAGGCCAGCCCTAGGGCTCCTCTAGGAGCCATGCAGGCCTGACATCGGCTGCTGTCTGACACCTCCTTCTGGCTACATCACTGACACTTCAAACACACATTCCCAAAACAGAGTTCACAACCCCTCCCTGCCTGAGAGCCAAAACTGGTCCTAGCCCCCGGGTCCCAGCCCCCAGGTCCCAGCCCCCAGGCCCCAGCCTGTGACTGACCCCATCTCCCTGCACCCACAGGGCCCATCAGCCCCTCCTCTAAGAGCAGGCCTGGGAACAGGCCCAGGACGGGGCAACCACACCCAGTTCTGCCCCACAAGCGCCCCCGCTCATCCCAAGGTCCACCATGAGTTTGGGTTTTTTTTTTTTTTTTTGGAGGAAGGGTTATCTTTATATTTTTATTTTTAAAAATAGAGATAGGGTCTCACAGTGTTGCCCAGGCTGGTCTTGAACTCCCAGGCTCAAGCGATCCTCCCACTTCAGGCTCCCAAAGTGCTGGGATTACAGGTGTGAGCCAAGGCACCCAGCCCAGCGTGGATTTGTGCCAGGAAGAGCCAGCAGGAGCTGACCAGCCCCATGGAAGCCTCCAGGCCGGCTGCCTGCTCTCATCTCCCAAGAGCCCGCCTTTGCTTCTGCCAGCCACTCACGCTCTCCACAGGCTGCAGCCAGGTACACACCCCCCTTCAAGCAACAAAACCACTGCCTGAGCACCTGGCCTGCTCTAAGCCCAGGGCTGAGACAAGGGGGAGCCAGCCACACACAACACCAGGAGCGCTGGCATCGCCGGAGCAAGGAGCCCGTGATGGCCGTCCACCCGGGACAGCAATCGCGCTCTGCGGCACGAGGCTTTCAACAGAGGCGAGTGCTTCCTGGGGGTCAAGAGCATGGAACACACACTTCAGGCCCCCTCTCCAGGCTGCAGGCCAACAGGCGTCCATGAGACAGACACTCCCTGATGTGTCCCACTCAGTTCTCCTGCCGCTGAGTGACTCTCCCAGGGAGGCCCAGAGCCACATGCTCTTGGTAGCCCCTACTCCTCCAGGTGTTAAAGCAGGTGCCCATGTACAGTCCACAAGCACAGGCCATCAGGCTGGGCAAGGATGGGCAAGGAACCAGGCCCCTGCCCTTTGAGGCTCAGGAGCTCCAAGCTACAGAATAGGGTTCCAAAGCTCCAGCCACTCGGAGGACACACAGGCCACAGGAAGCCGGCGACCAGTCCACAGAGAGACGCGCTGTGGGGCCCGACAGGCTGAGGTCAGGCAGTGGGATCCCCCCTTCACAGTCCTCCCGGCCTTGGGCGGGGCTATCCAGGAGGGGGCTGCCCCTCCCTGCCAGAGTGCACTGGGGCCTGTATGATGCCAGCCTGAGAAAGATGCGCAACTCCAGCTCCACCTGCACGGAGATGCCCCACAGCAGATCCCTGCCAAAATGGCATTTGCAAAGCGAGGAAACTGAGCCCCAGGAAGGCCACAATGATCAAAAACGGTCTCACTGCAACTTCCAGATACATTTTCTAGGCCTCTGGTTTTGGCCTTTTTAAATGTTGGCATATGGACTAAGGAATGGAATACCTAACTGCTCTCCAAGAAAGGAGTTTGTTACTTCTGGGTCACAGATTCCACACGTTCACCTTTCTGGCCTTCATACCTCACGTGTCACAGCCAAGACTCCTAGGAGGTCCCCTGCCTGCCGTCATGAAGGGCGCCTGCAGCCTGGTGCGCCACCCCCACATGCCCTGCACGCGGCAAACCGCTCAATAAGGACTGCAGTGAACACTTTCTTTAAATCATTGATGGTTTTCTTAATCATCTTAGAATCACTCTGCTACACGGATGTCCCTGGAGTTTCGATTCCTAAATCAGCAGTCTTCCACTCCGCATCCGCGCCCCCGCAGTGCCCCGCCTGGCACGGGCAGGGGTGCCTCCCAGACAACGGAAACCAGACGAGGGCCAGGCCAGGCAGACACACCGGGCAGCCACTGAACTGCTGGGCCAAGACCTCCAGCCTCCCAAACCCAGATTCCTGGTCCTAGGAGACGGCTTTCTCAGCTGCAGCCCAGACTCCGCGGTAAGGCCACAACCCAACCCACCACCCACCTAGGTGCTTCCCAACGCCATGCTGGCCAGCAGGGCCCACACTCCGCACCATCCAGGTCAGCTGGACCAGTCCCCAGCTTAGGGCAGACAGTGAAGCCTGGATGAAAGGGATGGGAGAGCCCCCTGCAGTCACTGGTGACAAATCCCCCAGAGTTCCAGGAAGCCACACTCACAAAGGCCCGAGGGCAAGGGAGGGGTAACTGCCCAACACTCTCCATGAAGCCAAGGGTCTCAGAGCTCTTCCCACGCCTGCCCTCCATCCTCCACCCCTCCCGGGGCGCACCCACGACAGGTGGAGGGTGAAGAGCGGGACCAAGGCCTGCCGGCCAGGTGTGCACCACCCTACGCTAACATAGCACGCGGGGCGCCCACCCAACCACCCCACACCCGCCCCGGGCCGCCTGCCACCCTGGAATGCAGGGTGGACACTTGCGTTCACCTGGAACCTCTTCTCCACCTCATCCACATCCTCCTCAGGACTCCCCACCAGACGAAAGTCCCATGGCAACAGCCGGATCTTGTTCTCCACTGGGCCCCCGACACCAGGCACCAGGCCTGCACACAGGGGGTCTAAGGAAGGTTCGCTGGCCTGGCTCGGAGCCCTGCTCCTCAGCACCTGGCTGTGTAACAGAGCCCCAGGGTCCACACACAGCTGCCAGTGAAGGTCTCTGCATTCTGCCCAGGTAAGACACGCACACGGTACTTCCGATCGTGGGAGATCAGAGCTCTCTGCACCTGGATAACAGTGGAAACATCGTCAAACAAAAGCCAGGAAAGTCAGATCACTTAGTCCACATGAGCCGCCCCACAGGCTGGTGCTGACTGGCTTGTGATGAAGTGATCATCTCACAGCACTTCTGTGAACGCAAGCCCGCTCTCCCCACCGCGGCTCTGCACAAACGGTGCTACCACGAGGACCGCCTGCTTCATGCACACGGCCCCCCTGCAGCCACTGAGCGTGCAAAGGCTGGTCCACCCTTCGGCCCAGCCTCCCCTCCCGCCTGTCCAGCAGAATCAGGGCACCTGATTCCAGGTGACCACACCAGTGAGAAGCGTGCAGGAGCTGGGAGGAGCGGGATGCGGGTGCCGAGTGACCGTGGGTTCCAGGAATTCAACAGCTCAGGATCTCCTGTTCCTCCCAAGAACCCAGGCCACGCAGGGTAGGTGGAGGGCGGGAAGGGTGGGTGGTGCAGGCAAGACCAGCAGCTCCTGACACAAATGACAGCTACAGCTGGCTGCAGGGAGTGACCCCAGGTGATCCTGTAGAGGTCACACCTCACAGCCCCAAAGCTGACGTTGAGGAATGTTGGGTGGGGAGCTGTGGAGCCCCGTAGCCTGCCTGAGACCCCAGCTCTCCGAAGGCCATGGCACTGCTGGGAAGTCCTCGGAGAGAAGGGCAGGTAGTGGTGGGCTGCCCAGAGGAGGCCTTCAGCTTCTCTGCCTCTGGCCCTCGGCTGGCGCTGGCTTCAAGCCGCCTGTCAAAATCCCCCTCCTACCAGCCCTGTCACAAAGCTGCCCAGACCCTTCCTCCATTCCACGCCAGGGCACCCCCTGCTCTACCTGTAAAAGTAGGGACGTGGACACCCTGGGAGCCCCTAGCCCACAAGGAGGGGACAGCACGCAACAGGACCCCAGTAAGCACCCATGAGTAAAAACCAGCCCAGATACCACCAGGGATGCCACCGCCTCCTCTAAAATAAATCCTGGAACCTACGGCAGCCGGACTTGTCTAAAGCCTGTCACTCTGGCCTTAGACTTTTTAAAATCAATTTAAAAAGAGACCTATAAGTAGAAGAGCCCTATCTACAAAGCTTGGAGAAAAGCCCCAAAAAGAGCTCCGAGACCAAGTGATAGCGTTTCCACCCGGACACGCCGCAGAGCACTCAGCTGTCTGTGCAGTCAGGCACATGCAGGGGTGGAGCCCAACGGTCTCTTCTGGGAAGCCCTTCTCTCGCCTCTCCCTGCGGGGTCCCAACACCCACAGCACCGCCCCCAGACTCTGACAGTCTCCAGCCTGCCCGACCGTACCTGGAATGAAGCCCAAGGGCGGCGTGAGCCTGTCAGCACTGCTGGGAACGCCCATCCGAAACTTCACAAGGGGGCGGAGAGGGGCACAGGCTGCACCCCAGCCAGGGCCGTCGCCAAAGCGAGGCAGCTGTCAGGAAGCTCTCTGCTGGCCTTGCTTTGGGGGTCTCGCTGGGATAGTGCAGGACCCCAGGGGGGCCCTGTCACAGCAGCCAAGAGCACTGGAGGCTCCGCCCATACATCACCACCAACTGCAAGGCACAGAGACGCCCTCGCTCGGTCCTCCACTCTTCAAAGGCTCAGCACACGCCTACTGCACGTCTGGCTCAGGGGCGCTAAAGGGAGACCCCAGCTCTTAACTCACAATGCTCAGGATTGAGAGGATGCGTTTACGGAAAACCAACACAACCCCAAGGCAGAAAGCGGCCAGGACTCAGCCACAGGAGGAGCTGGGGTTGAGAAGAGGAGAGATGGCAGGCACCGTGCTCGGACGGAGCTGGGAACCTGGCTCACGCCCCACCCTGGCCTGCACCTCTGGAGGGCAGCACACTCGCCACTCTCCAGCTCCAGGGTCCTGGGACCTGCACACCACAGACGCACAGGCCTGAGGGATCCTTCTCCCTCCAGATCATGGGCTCCACAAGAGCAGCTCATGGTGAACGAATGAACAAACGAAAAGGGGAAACGTGGCCCAGACCACGAGGCATCCGGCATGCAGGCCCAGAAGAAGGGCCATGCTCACACAAGTAGCCAGAAGGCCAAACGCTTCTCCCCCTCCTCCTCCCATGCCCCAAAGAAAACCAAACCGGCGCCAATTAAAATGGACCAACATACCTGACAGTCGCCCACCTTCCCAAGCACCACCAGGGCGTCTGGTATTGATCAACTCAACAGCCGGGTAATTACAAATCACGCGCACGGTAACTAGGATAATAAAACTGTCCAGGCTGGTCAATTAGACCCTTCCTTAGAGGAAAATCATGCATCCCCTCACTGTCCTCCTAATTGGCCTCACACATCAGGGAAGCTGGGCCCTGAGACTTGTCATCTGACCAGTCTACAAAAGTTTTTGGGAAAATGTCCAGGTCAGCACTGACAGGTGCCCAGCTTTGACTACAGGGGATGGGTCAGCAGTTCCAGGTGGGCACAGCTGCCAGGACTCTGAGCCAGCAATGCCCGCCTCCCACCTCCCCAGCCCAGCCTCCTCTGCAGCCCCTCCTCACCCCCTCAGGCCTGCCCTTGCTGACGGGTATAATGCCCACCCGCCGGGATGGGAAGCAAGGCCAGATTCAGGCACAACGGGACAGGCAAGGAGCCAAAAACAGCGGCATCTTGGCCACGAGCAAATGATTTCCTCCCTGAAGTGGGGGCTCGGCTACAGGACTTGACACCCACTCCCTTCCTATTTCATAGGGTCCCCCTCAGTGGGAGCTGCTAAATGACAGTTTTGAAAAGCCAAGCCTTTGAAGATGCCTGCTCTCCTCACTGTACTGTGACTTCGAGCTGAATCTCTCTAGAAACGTTGAAAGCACACCACCCCCATTAGGTGACGGCAGTCACACGCCGTGACGGGAGCGCACAGCACTCATGCTTTTCGGGAGGGCGGTGTGGCACCAGCTAGGAGTCTCAAACGCACATCTCTTTTGAACTAAAAATCATCCTTTTAAGAATTTACCCAACCAGCATAGCATGGCTAATTGGGGAAAGAAGCTGGAAACACCCTAAGTGTCCATCAACAGGGGCTGCTGGAGTCTGAGTCCGTCTGCACTCCAGCACACCCTGCAGTTCTTTAAAGTAGTTCAGCAGACCAGCCTGCGCTGGGGCCAAAAAACTGTCAAAAACTGAGTGAAAACAGTTGCAGAATAAAACTGTGGAAGGAGCCCCAATTTTAAAAGGTGATGGGAGTACATAAAGAGCTTCTATGTACACACATTTCCAGAACGACACACAGGAAACTCATCAGGCATTGCCTAGAAAGACGAACCGGGGCCAAGCACAGCACGCCCTGCTGCCCACCTCCGGGGCAATCAGTTCTATTCTGGAACAGCCCCCCAGGAATACTGAGAACACAAGGTGACGATGGCTAGGAAGCTGTGACACAGGGCACCCAGCCCTGAGTGAGGTCACCAGGGAGGGCAGGAAAGGAAGAACACGTTCCACTTTTCATTCCATTCATTTGCATTTATGCAGCTTGTTCTGCTTTTCATCAAATGTGAAACTCCTTGACCCTCTGCAGCCTGCACTGACCCCACATGCTGCCACTCCTCACAGCACTCCTGTGACGTAACAAAGACCCAGGAGGTGCACGCAGCCGTGGCCGTAGGCCTTCCATAAACTCAGGGGATGGGTCCCTCCCCAAATGAAGGCTGGCTTAAACAGCACCCCCAGGCCACTCTCCAATTCAGTCCAAGTCGCCACTAAGGAATTTTCCTTCCCCTCACAGCTAATCCGAAGAGCTGACCGTCTGCTGTTGACAGGCCAGCTTGAGTGAGGTATGATCTGCGCACGTGAACAGTTTGACAAGAGCAGTGTCATGAGCTTTGCTGCGTGTACACCTGTGCGGCGATCACATCCATTACGCCAAAGGGTATTTCTAGCACCCCATAAGACCCCAATCATATCCCAGCACGAGACTCCAGGGATCACTGACCTGCTTTCTATCACTGTTGCTCAGTTTTACCTTTTTAAAAAGTTCAAATCAATGGGATGGTATAGTAAGTATAAACTCAGTAAGTCTGGCTTCCTTCACTCAGCAAGAGAGACCCTTTCATGTTTCCAAGCACCGCCGCTGCCGCGCATTACACTGCGTGGAGACGCCACGGTCCACGTATCCCTTCACCTGCTGACAGGCACCTGAGTTGTTCCTGCTCTCAGACTGTTAGAATAAGGCTCTACAAACATTCCTGTACAAGTCTTCATGAGACCACATTTTCTCTTGGGTTTCTCTTAGATTAAATACCGAGGAATGGAACTGCAGGGTCACACCGTAAGTGTGTACAAAGCTACCAAACCATTTCCAAAGTGGCCGTACCACTTGCTACTCCCAGGGGCAACAGGCCTGGCTGCTCTGCATCTCTGCCAGCAGTCAGGATGGTCAGTCTGCTTAATTTTAGCCATTTTATTGGGTGCCCAGTGGTATCTCACTGCAGTCTTGAAACCGCCTTTACAGAATTTTAAGTAACGAGAGAAATCTACATTACTGACTCCACCTTGCTTCTAACCTCACAGGATCTTTTCTTTTTTTTTTTTTTTTTTTTTTTGCTTATTCTAATACAGAGGCCAAGATAACTATGAGAGGAATGTAGTTTATAGTTAAACTTCAAGGCAAGGAAAAATGACACCCGTCCTTGTTTGGAGATTAAGACTGGCATTGCTACAGGGGCCTGAACTTTGCTAAAGAACAGGCACGGGTAAACCATGACCTGTCACTGCTTACTTAGCTTGCTCTTCTACAGTGCCTGCTACCCGGAGTCACGTAACCAGACGTTGTCAGATTCGGAACTTCCCTAACGGCTCCTACAGACATCACTGCTGTGAAACCTAAAAAACTGGTCTTTGGGATATTTTTCAGATTTAGCATTTCAGCAGATCAAGAGATGCCACCTGGACTTGTGACCCCATCTCCCAGGAACTGACTCAGCTGCACGGAGACAGTCCTGACACCCCTATCATTGCATCCCCAACACAACCAACCAGCATTCACCACTCCCTAGGCCGCTGCCCGCCAAAACACCCTCAAGCCCTCGCCTCCTAATTCTCAGGGAGACAGATGTGAGAGTTATCTCGCGTCCACCTCCCTCGGCTGGCTCTGCAATCATTAAACTCCCTCTCTGCTGCCACACCTGCCGTTCTCAGTGCATTGGCTTTCTGGGCAGCAAGAAGAACCCTGTTGGGCGATTACAGTCTTAATTTGCATTCCCCTAATAACTAACAATGTTGACCATCTTTTCATGTCCTTATTTACCACCTATATATCTTCTCTTGTAAAGTATCTGTTAAAAGCAGGCCGGGTACAGTGGCTCACACCTGTAATCCCAGTGCTTTGGGAGGCCAAGGCAGGCAGATCACCTGAGGTCAGGAGTTTGAGACTAGCCTGGCCAACATGGTGAAACCTGTCTCTATTAAAATACAAAAATTAGCCGGGTGTGGTGGTGCACGCCTGGAACCCCAGCTACTCAGGAGGCTGAGGCTGGAGGATTGCTTGAACCTGGGAGGCGGAGGTTGCAGTGAGCCAAGATCATGCCACTATACTCCAGCCTGGGCGACAGAGCAAGATTCCATCTCCAAAAAAATAAATAAATAATAAAGTATCTGTTAAAAGTCTTTTGACCATTTTTTAAACTATGGTAATCTTACTAATTTGTAAGAGTTCCTTCTCTATCCTGGAGCACATCTTTGGTCAGATACATGTTAATATCTCGCAAATATTTTCCTAGTCTATGGTCTGCCTTTTCACTGTATCTTTTGAGAGCAGAAGTTTTCAATTTTGATGAAGTCTAATTTATCAATTTTTTCATTTATGGTTCATGTTCGTTGTATTGTAAGACCTCTTTGCCAAACCCTAGCTTCCAGATTTTGTGACTTTTACACATAGGTCTATGCGTCATTTGAGTTAAATCTTGTGTCCAGCATGAGACAGGTGTTAAGGCTCATCCTCACCACGAAGAGCCTACTGGTTTACCACCCTCGGTGAAAAGATTCTTTCTCCCACTGAATTATCTGGACACTTTGACAACAATCAACACTGTATTCTTCAATCATTTCTGAACATTCTACTCTGTTCTCCTGATTTACATGTCTATACTTAATACCACAGTGTCTCAATTTATGCAATTTACAACGTGTCTTGAAATTGGCCAGTGTAAGCTGTATAACTTGTTCTTTTTTGAAACTGTTATGGCTATAACAATTTATAGGTACTTTACATTCCCATAGAAATTTTAGAAATTGTCAGCCGGGCACAGTGGCTCATGCCTGTAATCCCAGCACTTTGGGAGGCCAAGGCGGGTGGATCACTTGAGGTCAGGAGTTCAAGACCAGCCTGACCAACATGGCGAAACCCTGTCTCTACAAAAATACAAAAATTAGCCAAGCATGGTGGTCCATGCCTGTAGTCCCAGCTACTGGGGAGGCTGAGGCAGAATTGCTTGAACCCAGGAGGCAAAGGTTGCAGTAAGCCAAGATCGCACCATTGCACTCCAGCCTGGGCGACAGAGTAAGATTCCGTCTCAAAAAAAAAAAAAAAAAAGAAATTTTAGAGATCAGTTCATCAATTTCTGCTGGGGCTTTGATTGGGACTATGTTAAATATTTGGGTCAATTTGAGCAAACTGCCATCTTAACAATAATGAATCTTCCAATACACGACCACAGTACCTTTACGATACTCTGAAATATATATTTGGTCTTTCTGTTCCCTGACATACATGCAGCTCCTTATCTGGAGTGAGAAGAGTGTCTCTTGTGAACTAATGAGCTGAGTGCTGGTTGGCAGCCCCCAGGCAGCTTCAGATAGGGTGGTTATCCGAAACACCAAGGTGAGATTAGAGGGTTGGGACTTTGAGTCCCACCCCTCAACCTCCTAGGAGGGGAGAGGGGCCGAAGGGTGAGTTGATTTCCAACGGCCAATGGTGTAATCAATCATGCCTCTGTGATGAAGCCTCCATAAAAACCCACAAATAAGGCCAGGGTTCAGAGCTGCACACACAGAGGCTCCTGGAGGGTGGTGTGCCCAGAGAGGGCATGGAAGCTCCGCGCCTCTCCTCACACCTCACTCTGCCAACCTGTTCACCTGTATTATTCGTAACATCCTTTATAAGACATGACTAAACATAACAAAGCATCTTCCCGAGTTCTGTGAGCCACACTAGCCAATTAATGAAACCCAAGGAGTGGGTAGCAGGGGCCTCGTTTAACAGCCTGTCAGTCAGAAGTACAGCTGATGTCAGTGAAAGAGGAAGAGAAGAAAACCGTAAAATGAAGCAGAGATGCCGGCCTACTACTTGCACCTGGAATCTGAAGGGGGCACAGATGTGTGGGACTGGGCCCTGACCCATTGGAAGCTGATGGAACTCCAGGTGGAGAGTGTGCAGATGAGGCTGCAGGACATCCAGCTGGTGACCCCTGGAGAACTGCTTGGTGTGGGGGAAACCTTCCAGTATCTGGTGTCAGAGGCTGTGTGAGAGCAGAGGGGAAAAGAGTTCATTTTTCCTCTTACAATGTCTCCATTTTTCTACATCAGGTGATCTTTAATGTCTCAGTTGCGTCTTAAGCTTCTCAGTGTACAAATCTTACACAGATTTTCTTATATGCATTCCTAATATTTCATGGACTTTGATGCCATCATACATGGTATGTACCTCGAGTGGCTCACTGCTAGTATACAGAAACATAACCCATTTTGGTACATTGTCCTTGTATCCCGTGACCCTGTAAACCTCACGGTTTAGTCCTACTGGCTTGTCATTTATTCCCTGGGAATTTCTATAGATAATTATGTTGTCTCCAGGTACAGTTTTACTTCCTCCTTTCCAGTCTGTCCATCTTTTCTTTTTGCTTCCCTAATTATACTGGTGAAGATCTCCAGTACAGTGCAACCAGGGGTGCAGGGAACAGACACCCTGCCTGGTCTCCATGTCAGGGATGCAGTCCGTCCACCTTGTATTATATCAGCTGGTTTTCTGCAGGTATCATTTAGCTGGTTGAGGAAGTTCTCTTCTCTTCCTAGCTTGCTGAGAACTTTAAATCACAAACGAGTCTTGGATTGTTACAAATGGTTGTGCTGTTCGCCTACAGAGATGGCCTGCACCCCCTTTCATTCTACTGAAACAGGTGATTTTCCAAAGAGAAGCAAGCATCCTGCATTCCCAGATGGGCTCCAGCCTCACGCCATCTTTCCCACTGGCCTCTCTGTATTACTCCTCCTCCCCCTCCTGTGCCCGAGGTCTTGCCGAGGATGACACGTACCTCAAAGGGTGTGTGCTGGCCTCCGCTTTCCTCACCCGTAAGTCACTCCCCGAGACAGACCATGCTCCTGGGAGACCAAGCTGATCACATCGCTGCCTCCAGACACACGCCTCGCACTGCTGCTAACTCCCTCAGCCCAACTTCCAGCACCCTAAGGATGAGGGTGTCCACACCACACTCCCGGCACTGGCATCCTGCCCTTCCCCACGTGTGTTCACGCAGGCTCATCCACACGCACTGTGTCCCTCCTTGCCTGTGACTTCAAAGTCGTAGAAACTAACATGCCCCCAGCCTGCGTGAACCCGTGTGCTGCACATGTCACATGTGCCCAGGCCTGTGTGACACATAAGGACCTCGTTCCACAGGGTCTTCCCATGGTTTCACTGACCCACCCCAGCCAGCCTGCCCAGCCTCCTCTCCTAAGACATAAGAAGCCCTACATGGGGAAGAGGGTGACCAGGCCACTCTCTCCTGGGGCTCAGCCAGGGTTTATCCAAGCCCGGGGCGAGGCCGAAGAGCCCTCTGAGGACTGCAGGACGTCAGCACCCTGTCCTTAGGGAAGGGCCCACACAAAGGACGTCTGACCTCAACGCCAGGAGCTCACAGCCCAGAGCCCACAGGCCTGAGGGCCCCAGGACACTGGTCAGAAACAAGGCAGGCATGGGACAGCCAGAAGCGCCCCCCTGAAGGCAGTCAGGAACAGTGGCCACAAGCCCCTCACATCCCCATCGACCAAAACCCCAGTGTCAGCAAGCAAGTCCCATGGTGGGAGAGCAGCGGTCCACTAGGCCAGAGAGACCCAAGGGAAGCTGCTGTGGGAAGGATCACCAAGGCGGGGGCACCACCTAGTGGCAGCAGCTCCTCCACACCCACGGGGCCTCGGGCCTCGGCAAGCCCCAAATCCCAGCAAAGCCTGGGCCCGAAGGCAAGCAGACGCCAGCCCACCCGGCACAGGCCCAGGGCACTCCCAGCCACAGAGCCCTCTGCTTCCAGGACATCTGATGTCACCTCAGGTCCCCACGGCTGAGAGGAGGGGATCCCCAAGCTCGCCCACAGAGGCACGCATGTCTCCACACAAGAACAGCAAATGCACTCAGCCCTCCCATGGGGGCCCCCGTGGCCCCAGCTTCTCACCACATCTGTGTCCCTGTCGCCGACTTCACCACCACATTCAATGCTGCCAGACACGGGAAATTCCTAAGAACTACCCCAAACCTGGTCCCTAAAAACAGAAAAGAAAGCCCAGTGCATCTCAGGTTTACCCAGAAATCCACTTTGGTTTTTGTTTTTGTTTTTTAGAGACAGGGACTCACTCAGTCACTGGAGTGCAGTGGTGCAATCACAGCTCCTCCTGGGCTCAGGTGATCCTCCCACCTTAGCCTCCTGAGTAGCTGGGACTACAGGTGCACACCACTGAGCACCGCTAATTTTTGTTTTGGTACACACGGGGTCTCAACTGCGTTCCCCAGGCTGATCTCAAACATCTAGGCTCGAGCAATCCCCCTGCGGCAGCCTCCCAAACCACTGGGACTACAGGTGTGAGCCACTGTGCGCAGCCAGAAATGCACACGTTTACCAAACCCTCCCGGTGATTCTAGGAGCCGTATTCGGGACCGCCAGCCCGCATTCCCGTGGACTCTCTAGGAGCCGTATTCGGGACCGCCAGCCCGCATTCCCGTGGACTCTCTAGGAGCCGTATTCGGGACCGCCAGCCCGCATTCCCGTGGACTCTCTAGGAGCCGTATTCGGGACCGCCAGCCCGCATTCCCGTGGACTGCGGCATGAGCACCACCCCACTGACGTCCAGCGTGAGTCACCCGAGATCACGGCCTGATGCAGAACCACACTCAGACACCCGCCCTGTGGAGCACAACACAAGGAGCAGCGGGGAGCCCTGAAGGGGCCCAGGCATGGCAGGCAACCCAGCACGTGAGGAAACCTGCCCTCTACCAGGCCCACAGCCAAGGCCAACGCAGGAGACTAGGGGTCGACCCCCACAGCGAGGACGGCTCCATCCACCTTCCTGGCCATCAGCCTCCGGCTGCTCAGAGAGGACGCTCGCACCAGCCCCTCTCCAACTCACAGGGCCCTCCACAAGTACACGATCACGTCGGATCTTCACACGCAGTTGGGGAGAAGAGCTCCGTGTCCCCCTTTCAATAAAGAGAACACTGGCCCAGAGCAGCGCAGTGACTTGACACAGGTCTTACTGTTGGTGGCGGGGGGCAGGGGGAGCCTTGAATCCAGCCTCCGAAGAACTATCTGTGTTCCTCATCAAAGCTGCAGGGCGCCACACATGCATGCCACTTGCTTCCCGCCCACTTTAAGCTGGTGGTGGGCACAGGCAGCCCACCTCCACCAGCCCTACAGACCAACCCCTCCTCTCCCTCATCCAGGGCCTGGCCACCAGGGAGGGCAGAGTGAACACAGAAGACACAGGCAGGCAGAACCCCTGGGGCCAGCATGCCCTCATGCTGGCCACGCCCAGGCAGCACCCCCAGGCCAGCTCGCCCTCACACAAGCCATGCCCAGGCAGGGCGCTCAGATGCGGGAACAGGGCTGAAAGGATCCACAGTACTTTGAAACCAGCCAGAGACAGCAGCCAGCTGTGCCAGGTCTCGTGCCCGACTGACACCCAGTGCTCCAGGGCAAACTGCACACTGGACCCTCCAGCAGGGCCGGGCCCATCAGGCACGTGGGGGCCTCTGATGTCCCTTCACAGGAAAGAAGTCACAGAGGTTTCTCATCTGGCCAGAGTATGCCTGGGAGCAGAAGGGTCGCCTTCCAAGCAATTAATAAGCCCAGAGAACAGACAGAAGCACAAAGCATTTAGGCCCCGCTGAGGCCGGCCCTACAGAAGTCTGTGTTCTACAGGGGGAGTTCAAGAGGAGACAGCAGCCCGGGCCGTGCTCTGACTTAGCAAAGCTCAAAGAAAATGAAGAGGCACTTTCAGGTGACAGAGAACTGAAGCCAGTAATGCTGATGAGAAGGTAATGGATTCCAGAACCAGCAGTCGGACGGTGTGGTCAAAGGATAGCTCTTTCAGAGAGTCTCAGTCTCAGCCTAGTTTCCAAGAACAGCAGGAAAGACAGGCAAGAAGCGGGAAGCCTTGAAATCTCACAAGCAAACACAATAAGAGGCCGCCTCGGCACCAGCACCTCGGGCCCTGAGCCCCGGGCTCTGATGGCTCCTTCAAAAGCATCGCTCCTGCACCTCCTCGAGACCTGGCGCACACAGGGCAACCAGGAAGAGGGGTCCAGACCAGAGCTGCCAGGAGGTGGTCACCTGCAGGGGCACCGCGACTGAAGGGCAGGGGCCAACTGAGCGGCTGCTGGAGAAAGATGAGCACAGGGTCCTGGGAAGGATGGGGCAGGAGGACAGACAGGACCAGACCTGGGAACGGTCCAGCTACCTGTCTATAAGAATACCATCCCCAGCACCCAGGGTGGTCCCCCGGCAGCTCCACCCCACATCCCACCACCCAAGCGCTGGCACTCAGCTTGGCACAGACTGCGTGAAGAGGCTGCTACAAGCACCAGACAATCGTCTTCCACTATGGTGGGTGAGAACCGTTTGGATCTGTGTCCCTGCCCCATGCCTCATGTTGAATTGTAATCCCCAGTGCTGAAAGTGGGGCCCCGTGGGAAGTGTTTGGATCCTCGAGTGGATCCCTCACAGCTTGGGTCTGTCTTCATGATAGTGAGTTCTCATGAGATCTGGTCATTTAGAAGTGTGTGGCACCTCCCTCCCAACACTACTCACGCTCGCTCACTCTCTCGCTCTCTCATTCCTGTTTTTGCATTGCGGCGTGCCTGTTCCCCCTTCACCTTCCGCCATGACTGAAAGCTCCCTGCGGCTTCACCAGAAGCCGAGCAGATGCCAGCACCATGCTTCCTGTACAGCTGCAGAAGCGTGAGCCAATTCCACCTCTTCTCTTCATAATTACCCAGTCTCTGGTATTTCTTTATAGCAATGCAAGAACAGCCTAATACAGTGGGTTTTTCTTAATTCTAAAAACTCAGTTCATCTCCACTGGTTACAGTTCCCTAAAATGAATGATTTCCCCCAAAAGCAATTATTTCCTCGGTATACACCAAAAAGAGTCCTTTCACAAAGCCCCGCAACGCAGGGCAATCAGACGCCTGCCACTGGTTTGCTGTGGATATTCCGCTTCTGAATGAAGATGTTACTAAGGCTTCAGCAGGATGAGTCACTGGGTTCCACTGCCCCATCCGCTGGGAAAGGCCTCATTAAACCTGAGCAGCCCAGGACAAATGCCCCGCACCAGCCACAGAGATGCCTGGCTGGAGACTGCGCTGGTGAGCCGGAAGCAGGCTCTGCTCTTCACCCAGGACCCTTCAAAGAAGGCGGGACCCCGGAGACACCTGCCCTTCCCTACCTGATGCTCAGGCCCATGGTCTGGTCCAGTCTCTCCCAGCTTTGCAGCTTGGCCAGCAGCCTCTGAAAAGACAACAAAAGCACAGACCCTGTCATCACCTGCCACAGGATCATCACATAAGACTGACAATCATGATCACGGTGCTAAGTCCCTGACCTCTCAGGAGAGCCTGCCCTCATCTCTGAGCTGGGCGCTACATGCTCCAAGTCTGCTTGGAAGTGGCCGGGTTATTATTCCCCAACTGCAGAAGCCACACTGGCGCTTCCTGCCTCACTCCTTCCTGGCCCCGTAAATTCAAGTGTGAATCCCAGCAAGCTAAAAGCAACGTGTGGCTGTGGAGGGAGAAGGCAGACAGCCTCAGAAAGGATCCTGGGGTTGACTGTGCCCCAGGGAGCAGCCTCGGGTCCTTGAGCCGTTAGGACTCATCCCTCCCCCATCTTCCAGGGGCTCCTCAGGGAACCAAGCCCTGGAGCAGACAGACTCAGTCCTGGAGCCAAACTTCCTGCCATCACACAGCAGACCAGGACCAGCAGGCCCTAGGAGAGGAGGGCAGCCACCCTGGAGCATGAGGGAGGGTGAGACACTGCCTACAGGCCAGCCCACCCCTCTGTGTCACATGCCTGTCCCATGCTGAGCCGCATCCCAAAGAGGTGAGTCTCACGGCCCTTCTAGGACGGAAGCAATCTGAGGGCAGGGACTCTGTGCCTTTGTTCTGGCCTCGCTTCACCTCCACCCAGTGCCAAGCACCATGCTGTTATCAACGCTCCACTCGGCAAGTCAGTGAGGTATTCTCACAGCCCCTCCTATGCGCAGGCACGCACTTGACTAGTAACTATATGACAGCCAACGCTACAGAACATTCGCTACGCGCCAGGCACTGCTCTGAGCACTTTGCATAGACTCATGTGAGCCTCACAGTCCTGACAAGGCAGCCAGCACCACTCCTCCCTGTGCAGACGGGGAGACAGACAGGGAGATGAAGGAGCTGGCCCAGGGACATGGAGCAGCAAGCACCCAACTACGGAATGTGGCTTGAGAGCCCCAACTCTTCAACCATCAAACAATAAATTACACCGCGGGAGAGAGAAAAGATGTCGCATGGGAGCTGTCTTTTCAGGCTAAGCTCCTACAGAACCCAGCACCTGAGAGAAGAGTCCCTGCCAGATACCCCCGCTGACAGGGAGCCACCTCACCGTGGGTCACAGGGCCAAGGCCCCAAAACGACCTTGGCTGTATCACAGCTCTGAAGAGGACAGAGACGCCACGCCACCCAAGGGGACTCTGGAAGTGGCCAGCTGGACAGCTGGGCAGCTGCAGAGCACTGCAGATGGAGTCTGCCCTCCTGCCAGGCCCCACAACCACCGGAGAAAGGCGGCATAGGTGTGCCAGGCACAGAGGGGAGTGGCTGTGGCCACAGGGAAGTGGCATGAAGGACAGAGGACCCAGGCAGGGGCCAGAAGGCCTAAATTCTGGTCCAAACTTGCTGTGCACCGGGCAAGAGAGGGAGCTTCTCTGAACCTCAGTTTCCTCCTCTGCCCGCAACATGACTGCAGGATGTTTTCCAGCACTGACACCTTCCTACCAACTGCCGCGGTGAAGACAGAACACCCCCAGCACAGGGCCCTGCCAGCCCTGATCCTCACAGTGCCACACGCATTCTGACTCACCCTCTGTACCAGTTTCCTGCTGCAACCGAAACAGATCACCACAAACTAAGTGGCTTCAAACAACACAAATTGGTGCGGCACAGAGGCTCACGCCTGTCATCTCAGCACTTTGGGAGGCAAAGGCGGGAGGGTCACTTGAGCCCAGGAGTTCAGGACCAGCCTAGGCAACACAGGGAGACCCCATCTCTACAAAAAAAAATTTAACATTTAAAAAGCCTGGCCGGGCATGGTGGCTCACGTCTATAATCCCAGCACTTTGGGAGGCTGAGGAGGGTGGATCACGAGTTCCAAGAGATCAAGACCATCCTAGCCAACGTGGTGAAACCCTATCTCTACTAAAAATACAAAAATTAGCCGGGTGTGGTGGCGCACGCCTGTAGTCCCAGCTACTCAGGAGGCTGAGGCAGGAGACTCGCTTGTACCCGGGAGGCGGAGGTTGCAGTGAGCCGAGATCGCACCATTGCATTCCAGCCTGGGGACAGGGCGAGACTCCATCTCAAAAAAAAAAAAAAAAAAAGCCCACAAATGTAATATTTTATAGTACTTTAGATCGGAAATCCAAAACGGGTCTCCCCGAGCTGGAATCCTGGTGTTGGCAGGGTTGTGTTCCTTCTGCAGATTCCAGGGGACAGTCCACTTCCCTGCTCTTTCCAGCTTCCAGATGACCCACATTCCTTGGCTTGTGGCCCGTCCTCCATCTCCACACCCAGCAAGAGCTGCCAAGTCCCTCTCACATCACTCTGAGCCCCCAGGATGGCCCAGGAGCCCCTCCCCGCCGTGGGCCAGCTGACCAGTCACCTCATTCGCCCTGCCAGGGAAGGTGCTGTGTTCACAGGCTCTGAGGATGAGGCATGGACCTCTCTGGGGACCACGATTCTGCCTCCCACCCCATCACAGCAACCTCCATGTTGTAGGTGAGCAGCTGGTGGGCGTGACCACAATACCGAGGCTCCTCCAGGCAGGGCAGAGGACACCCACAGGAACCGCACACCACACAGGCCCTCACCTCGTTCTCCAGCTCCAAGCCAACCAGCGTCTCCTGCATCTTCTCCTGGCGCCCCAGCTTCCTCTGCAGCCCTTCCAGCTCTTCCTGGAGCAGCCCGTTGGTCTCTCTCATCTCCCTGGCAGTGCCACAAAGAGTCGCTCAAATAGCCACACACCCTAGGGATAAGGCCAAGAGCCCGGGAGCCCTGCCCCTACAGGGTCTGCACAGTGGGCTCCATGTGCACAAACCCAGACTCACTCGAGGCGGCTGCCCCATCCCCCGCAACCCCTCACCGCAGGTGCGCGCTCTCCTCCCGCAGCTGCTTCAGCTCCCGTTCCAGCCTAGGGAGCCGTACCAGCTCAGACTTCATGTTCTTCACAATCGCTGCATCCTGCTCTTGCAGGGACAGCTTCTGCTCCAGATCCTGATGGAGGCCAGGGACAGAGAAGAAGGGAAAAATGAGCCACGAAGAGACCTGGAGAAAATCACACGCACACGGCTAAGAGAAGGAAGCCGGTCTGCAACGGCTATACACACTGCAGGATCCAACCACAGGACGTTCTGGGAAAGGAAGGGGTTGTCAAGGGCTCAGAAGGAGAGAGGCAGGGATTGACTGGGGGAGCAGAGAGGATTTTTAGGCAGTAAAACTTTTCTGTGTGACACTCTAATGGCAAATATAGAACATTTTACATCTGCCCGAACCATACACTGTCCCACTCCAAGAGTGACCCTCGCATGACCCGTGGACTCTGCGTGACACTGATGTGTCCAGGCAGGTTCATCACCGTCACACGTGCTCCACTCTACCAGGGTAGGCTGTGTGTGTAGGAGCGGGCGCAGGGGGTACACAGGAGCTTTACCTTCTGCTCATTTTGCTGTGAACCTAAAATTGCTCTAGAAAATACCATCCATTAAAAATTAAAGTCATTGAGGTCACAAAGTTCCTTCGCTAAACTGCCCCAGGTCCTCAGCAGCCTCCATGCCTCAGGACTCTCCTGTGGGAGGCCTTCCTGGGCTGCACCAGGGGCCTCGAAGCTGCTTCCAATACTGAGCCTCAGCATCCACTCCAGGGCAGCTCTTCCCAGCGCCGACCTCCCAGCCCTCCGCGTACTGGGAGCTGGCATTCACACTGCACACTGCCGGGCTGCTGTGCTCACCACCTGCCCTCGGGGAGCTCTCCAGGAGCAAAAGTCTGTCTCAAGTCTGGTCCAGGATGGCACTCCATGGTAAAACATCCCACCCCTCCCGTGTCAAGCCCACTTCTGCCACTCTAGCAGCACGTGTGACAGCTCAGTCTTTCCAATAGTGAGGACAGGCTTTTCCCTACGGTACCCAGTCCCCTTGGGACACAGACAGCTGGCATCTGTGAGCAGCAAGTCACTGAACAGGCAGAGTATGAAACCACGACCAAACCAGACGGTCATTCAACAAACACTAACAGAGTCCATCGCCCTGCCAGCCAGAAAATCCTGAGAGGTGGACTGAGGGCTGCGAGGGGCCAGGGACCACCACCAGGAGCGGACATGGCAGAGGCCAGGCTGGGGGTGCCGGGCAGCTCTGCAGCCAGGAAGAGCTGGTGTGAAGCCTGGAGGTGAGGGTGCATAAGGGCTGAGAGGGCACGGCCAGAGCACAGGGTCTGGAGGCTGCTCTCCAGGCAACAGGAGGCAGGAGAGGGATCTGGAGTCAACGTCTCCCTGGCACGTCCTCCGCAGGGAAATGGCACAGCCTGAGCTTGAGTCAGATGCCCTGACTGAGACCCAGCTCCAGCTGTGCAACTGTGGGCAGCTTTCTCAACCTCTCTATGCCTGTAGCATCTTCTCACGCTCATCAGCACTTGACGTCATCACACACACGGACATTTTCTCTTGGTGTTTGTGGTCAGTCTCCCTCCTCTAGAATACACGCTCCCAAGAGCGGAAGCATCTGCCTCATTCACCATGGCATCCCTGGTGCCCAGCACAGTGCCCAACACACAGGGCAGCAGCTAACCTCACAGAAGGACCACGGAGCTCGGCACCAGCGCAGAAAGGCCGACAGGGGCAGGAGAGTCAAGGCCACCACAGGGATGTCCACAAGGCACTGACAGGGAGTGACTCACCTTAATCTGCTGCTCGTGGTCTGCTCTTGCTTCTTGGCTGGCCTGGAGTTCCTGGATTTTCTGATTGGCTTCCTGGCATTTTCTATTGAAAGAAAAATACATCACACACAGAAACAGGCATGCGGCAAGGCCAACAATTCTCCTCAGCCTGAGACCCGCCCCAGCACAGACCCACATACGTTCATTCCCACCCCAAGGTTCAGGACCTCCCACGGCACAGACCCCCCGCCCCCCGCCAACACACACTCCACTGCATGGGTACCCCAAGGTCCCAGGCCCCAGCCCCTGTGGGCTGGCTCTCAGGCCTCAGTCTGCTCATTCAGACGGGGTGCGTAGTGAGCCCAGGCCACCTGCAAGGACCTCTCCAACAGTGGAACCCACAGCTCTCACCTGCCTGCGGCAACCCCCAGCCCTGGTGCAGCTGCGGTAGGGCCCCACCCAGGAATGACCTCTCCTCTCTACTACGGAACTAGAACTCTCCTAAAACCACATCTGCTGATGGAAGGGTCCAAGTCTGCAGGAGATGCCCACAGTCTCCTGACTGCACCTCCAGACAAGGCTCTCACGTCTGTGCCTCGGCTCAGCCCTGTGCCTGGACATCCCTTCCCAGCCACGCCCCCTCCACCTCCAAGGCACATGATGCTGCCCTTTCAACCTAGCCCTCAGCAGGGTACGGCGGCTCAGCCTGGGATCCCAGCACTCTAGGAGGCTGAGGCAGGAGGATCGCTTGAGGCCAGGAGCTCAAGACCAGCCTGGGTTACAAAGCGAGACCGCCATCTCTACAAAACGTTTTTTAAAATTAGCCAGGTGCAAAACTAATCCCAGCTACTCAGGAGGCCGAGGCAGGAGAATCACTGAACCCAGGAGGCGGAGGCTGCAGTGAGCCGAGATGGTGCCACTGCACTCCAGCCTGGGTGACACAGCGAGACTCAATCTCAAAAAAAAAAAAATTAGCCAGGTGTACTGCACATGCTTGCAGACCCAGTTACTCGGGAGGCTAAGGCAGGAGGATCACTTGAGCCCAGGAGGTTGAGGCTACAGTGAGCCATGATTACACCATTGCACTCCAGGCTGGACGACAGAGTGAGACCCTGTCTCAAAAAATAAAGTAAAATCTGGCTCTGCAGGAGCCCTCTCTAAGAAGGAGGGGGAGGAAGTTGCTGCCCCCATTCTGCTCCAGGAACATCAGGACACTTTCTGGGCTCACGGTCCTGGCTCCAGAGGCCTCAGCATCTGCCCCTCTTGAGTGTCTGTGAATTAGGACAGCATCTGGGAGTGTATCCACATCCCACCCAGCCACCAGGAGAGAGGTGGGACGCATGCCCCCACACGTGACCCGACCCCCGACCCCACACCCTGGCCCCGCCCACTTGTGTTGCAGGTCCAGCTGCTCCTGCAGCTCCTGCTTCTCCGACTCCAGGCGCTTCACCCGCATCTCCTGGTCCATCACGCTCCACTGCAGTTCCGAGATCCTCCCCTTCAGTGCGTTGATGGTCTAAAAGTAGAGGGGACCAGAGAGCCGCTCAGTGAGTGGAGCCCGTGCGTGGAAGGAGCCTGCACATGGAGATGAGAAGAGTGGAGAGGCGACACCACCCACGTGCTATAATCAGGGCAGGAGGCAGAGGGGCAGAGGAATAAGGGGGCAGAGGGGCATCGGGCAGAGGGGTAGGGGGGCAGAGCGGTAGGGGGGCAGATGGCAAGGGGGCAAGGGGGGCAGAGGGCAGGGGGAAGAGGAGCAGGGGAGCAGAGGGCCAGGGGGCAGAGCCACCTCCTTCTGGAGGATGCAGGTCAGGCAGACGCTCACACGCAGGGCCCACCCTCCTCCTGGTGCTCCAGAGCAGCACAGCCCAGAGCCTGCCACAAGCCACCCAGGAGCTGACAGAGGAGACCGGGCCCCAGCCAGGGGCCCTGGAAAGGAGGCTTGGTGAGGCGGCTTCAGAAGCAAAAGCCTCCACCAGCCAAGATGGGCCCGGACTCTCAGGCCTGGCACCTGGCAGTCTCTGTGCCAGTGCCCCACGCTCCCAAAGTCCCATCAGACATCCACATACCCGCCACACCATCACTTCGGTCTTCCCTCCAACCGTGGCTCCTGTCATCCCTCCCTAGCCACCCCAATGCTACCATGACGGCTGTTTGCTAGCGACATCGCCCTCACACCACAGCAAGGCACTGGCCAACCAACAGGACAAAGACGGAGGCTGTGCAAGGGGCAGGGCGGTACCTGCTGGGGAGGCCGTGCGCTTGGAACGGGAGCACGCGGCACGGGCAGGAGCGCCCCTGGGGAGGCGGCCCCTGAGCAAAGCCAGCAGCCCCTCTGGCAGCCTCCAGGACAGCAGGTCTGCCTGACATCATGGAACCCGCACGCGACAGAACCGCCAGGCTTCCTCCTGACCACTCCCACCAGGCGACCTTCTGAGGACCCTAACCCTCTGGAAAAGCTCAGAAAACCCCAGGTGTCCTCAGAGAAAGAAAGAGCACGTGGGTCGAGCCAATGTGAAAAGCCGGACAGACCCTGAGAAGCATCACTGTAAGTTAACACACGGAAACACACGGGCGTGATGTCAGCCCTGGGGACCACGCACCCAGGACAGGACAATGGCAAACTCACACAGCAAACGACCTGGGTGGGCCTGGCTGGGCGGCACCCTCCGCAAACAAGGAGGCCTCAGCACTCATTTCCCTGTCCCTGAGAACGTGCCCAGCTTAGGGCCTGCTGAAGCCTATCACCGCTGTCCACCCCACGCCGCTCTGGGAAGGCCCGCATGGGGGCTGCGTGCTCCCCACATGCCCACAATATGTACGGTTTACTTCACCACAACAGTGAAGCATCAACCTGGGAGTCAACAAAGAAGAAAGGTATTAAAAACATACTAACAATAAACACATCCTCCCAGAGGTCTTCCGAACTCAATTAATACGCACCGTGTGCCAGGGGCAAGGCCAGATGCAGGGCCGAGCCCACCTGCCCACAGGGTCACCCGTGTTGTAGGGGACGCCGGACAGTTGGCAAGGAAGAGGCGCATAAGATAATTCCAGAGTAAGGAGCGTGACAATCAGGACCCTGTGACAGGAGAAGGCAGTCAAGGCCTAGTGCGCAGGGAGGGCTTCCCTGAGGAGCGGCCACCTCGGCTTAGACATGACAGGCCAAAGCAGCAGCACCTGCAGCGCCACCATCTTCCCCTCACTATGCCCCACCCCACCGGGCACCGCCCTGCGGCTCCTGCAGTCTCCTGCTCCTCTGCCCCTCATGAAGTGCTCGGCACGACTCACCCTCCCCCATGGAACCACAGGTGCCCGCAGGCAGCGGGGACAGCCCCCGGCCCAACTCCAGTACAGCCCAGCACATGGGAACTGGAACCCAGAGCATGGGCAAGGCAAGAGCAGCTTCTCGGGAGCCAATCACGCCTCCTCTCCTGCCAACGTTCCCTCCAGAAGCAGATAGGGGAACAGCCTGAACACGCCTCCCCAGCACGGCCACAGGAAGGACCCGCGGCCAGTTTCTGGACCCCTCCAGGACCCCCGCTGCACGCCCACCCCACCCCTACCACGCCTCCACCCCCACACCAGCAGATTTTCATGTTTCCTCTTGGCACCAGCGATCTTGATCGCCACAGACAAAGGACAGGAGAGGTCAGAAGATTCCAATTTCCACCAGTGCCCATGTCTGGGCTGTTTCTAAAATGCAAGCAACCTTCACCAGGACTGCAGTTCACACAGGCTCCAGTTCAGAGGCAATTATCCGACGCCATCAGATGCCTGTAGACCTTGCAGACAGTCAAAGATATGCAAATCCAGACGTGCCTCCTTAAGCCTCCTGACAAAACAACAGCTATTTCCAGAAAAGACCACCATCCACGACAGGGAAGGCTACGGGGAAATTGGAGCCCTCAGCCAGGCCTCTGAGCACAACGGCTGCAGAGACCGCCATCGCTAGGGACCTTATAACCCAGTCCTAGGGGTCTGTCCAAAGTCAACAGAAGCGAGGGCTGAGGGAAGGGCTACCTGTCGCATACATACATGAGCGAACACAAACACACTAAACGTCCACAAACAACAAAAAACAGATTCATCATCCATTTAAATTCATAATTACAAAGGCAAAAAAGTGCTTAACTTTTTTTTTTTTTTTTGAGACAGAGTCTTGCTGTGTTGCCCAGGCTGGAGTGCAATGGTGTGATCTGAGCTCACTGCAACCTCCACCTCCTGGGTTCAAGCGATTCTCCTGCCTCAGCCTCCCGAGTCCCACAGGCTGGGACTACAGGTGCGCACCACCACGCATGGCTAATTTTTGTATTTTTAGTAGAGATGGGGTTTCACCATGTTGGTCAGGCTGGTCTCCAACTCCCAACCTCAGATGATACACCCACCTCGGCCTCCCAAAGTGCTGGGATTACAGGCGTGAGCCACCGCGCCCGGCCCAAAGTCTCAACTTTTTAACTGAAAACTACAGAATGGAAAATTAATACTTCTACTGATGACAACTATGTACAAAACGCAGCTGCCCGTGTGGGAAGCACAAGTGAAAACACAAGCGGGCACTGCAGTGGCAAACAAGAGCATGCACTCCCTCTCCTCGGGAAAACAGCTCCCTGCGCAGCAGAGGCCCCGCTCACCTCGCCAGCCTGGGCCAGACTGTCCTCTTTCTCACGCAGCCTCTTGCTGGCAGCATCCAAGTTCTGCTGACACTGCCTGTTGCGCTCCAGCTGCTCCTGCATCTTCTCCTCCGCCCCGGCCTCCCGCTCCTGAAGCTGCCGGATGCGCGTCAGGAGCTCCTGGTTGCGGTCGACCTCACGCTGTTAAGAGAGCAAGAGTCAGATGCCACGTGCCGCCCACGGGAGGGTCAGCGGGGAGCCCTCACCCCCACACCTCTCTCAGAACATGCCGAGGCACAAAAAAGAGCCGAGCAGGACCCATGAGCCAAGTCATAGGCAGAACCAGGACGGGACCTGGGACCCAGCCCCAGCGTTGGCACCCCCGCTGTGGCACCATGACGGTGAGCACTGTGCGAGGTCAGGGCTCCCAGGAAGGGCACTTGGCACAGATCACACACACATTTATCACACCGTCTGCTCAGCAGTTGCCTCTGCAGGGAGAGGGGGCATGGGAAATCTAAAATTCAGCATTGACCTTGGGGAGAAGCTGAGCTTTCATAGCACCAGCAAATCCTGTCTAATTACGCTCTGTCCGGCACTGAAAGGAGCTGGCACTCCCCCAGCGAGCAGACAACAGGGGCAGAGACAGGCAGCGTGGACAGGAGGCTGTGGGCAGAAGCAGTTTACACTGGGCTCAAATCTGCCACACATGCACCCCCTCTCACACAAACCACAAACCTCCAGACCCACCCCCCACGACTGGCCTTAGGGAGGCCGCGTGGCTCTCACTGGTTGGGATGGGACATGACCAAGCACCACGCTCAGACCTCCTGACTCTAATGACCCGCAGGCCCTCCAGAGTTCACTGCCAGGTACCGGCGTCCCAGGAGGTGAAGGCGGTGAGTCCTGGTGGAGCCCGGCACTCCGGGACCCTCTCACCCTGCCTTCCTCGGGAAGCACCAAGCACTCCCGGAGCCCCGGGTGGAGTACGAGCTTGTGCTGTCCTCATCCAGGGTACTCCAGCCCAAAACCCAGGAGAGCTGTGACAGAGGTGGCCGCCTTCTGAGAGAGGCTGACCCGCGCACCTCGGAGGGACTCCAGCCCTTGTGAGCTGCAAGGGCTGCCTCACAACAACCAAGAGACCCTTCTGTGATGCAGGACAAGAACTGGGGTTGGCACGGGGCTCCGCTCAGCACCATCACAGCCAGATGCGGCACCGGGCCTGGAACTGCCAGTCCCAGCGCAGACAGGGCAGCCAGCAGGTCTTTGGACTTCAGACACTTAAGTCTCGCCCCTAATAGGTATTTCCAGGTGGAACTCCAAGGAACAATTGGAAAACTACTGGTTCTGACTGTTCCTGGGGTCCCATGCAGCTGTGTCTGCGGGCAAGGAAGGACAGTCCTGTTAGAAGGTGGCTGGAGCTCAGCAGGGAGCCCCAGGTGTAAGCCCAGTCACCTGCATCCTTGGATTTCCCCAAGACAGGGTTCCCGGAGACCCTACAATGACCCCTCCCTCAATCCAACATTTGTGAGCACCCATAAAATGCCATAAGCTGTGCCACACAATGGAGATCCTGGGCAGAGTCGGGTGGGCCCTGCCCTCAGGGACTCTCGGCCTAGAGGAACTCCAACAGCTGCACACTGTCCCTCCTGCCTGACAGCCACAGCCATACCATCAGCATGCTGCCTCCAGACCAATGACCTGGTGGCTCCTCTCCACCCCTAACAAGGGAATCTCAGTAGTTAGGGAGACTCCTGTGGACTCTCCCTCCCCTTCCCACCAATTCCTCCAGTACTGTCCCTCCTAGGACCCACCCAGGCCATGAGCAAACGCCCCACCTCTCAGGGAAAACAGCTCTCAAAGCAGCAACGGAGCCAACCCTGAGGCAGTGGCCCCCACCCCAGCGGTGCCTCAGTCTCACTGAGCCCACACAACGCACACCGCAGTCAGGATCTGCAGGCCAGGGGCAAGCAATCCAACCAGCATCACACCCCGGAAGACGTGAGCTATTTTTCTAGGGCCCAGGAGAGTGTGTGAATACACCGCATGATGTCAGGGCGGGGCTGGACATCCACCCGCCAAGAGAGGGCACGGAGGCCAGGGAGACTTTCCGCCCAATACTCTGCCTGAACCTTGGCAGCATTTCCACAACTGATCAGCACTGACTGAAACCCTGGCAAAGTGCTGTTAATCAGAGCAGAGGGGATCCGCGCACTCAGTGGAAACCTAATTCCCTCCCCAAGGACAGGGTGTTTTCCCTGCTGCCCTGGGGAGCCAGGAGCAACACAGAGCCGCCATTGAGACCGGCACCCTTTGCTAGGGCCCTCCAACCCCAAGACCCAGCATGGACCCGAGACCCTGATCCACCCCATGACCTCCTAAGCCTGTCACTCCTACACCACTTGGCATTTCTGCCAGACCTGCATTCCAATTCTTCCAGAGGGAAGAGGAAACCAGGAGACCCAGCAAAAGAATCTGTGCCAGCACCGCAGCCTCAATGAACAGACACAGCAAGTGTTCCCATTTCATGCCACCCTCCTCTAGGACATCAAGCATAACTGATACCTGCCCCACAGCATGAGTGGCCTCAGAAGGAATGTCCTGGCAACCATGACACAGGGCGTGTCAGGCTTCCAGCCAGCTGGGTTCTCATTTCCTACGGCCTGGCAGGTACCGTGCACAGCCCCCTTGCTCCCAGGGACTGGGATCTGATTTCTTAAGACCTGGCAGGTACCATGCACAGCCCCCTTGCTCCCAGGGACTAGGATGTGATTTCTTATAACCTGGCAGGTACCGTGCACAGCCCCCTTGCTTCCTGGGGCTGTCTGGGCCGACCCTCGCCCCGCCTGAACCCACCTCGTAGTTCCTGGCACTGGTGCTGGCTGCTCTCTCCAGCTCCACTCGAGCCCTCTTGTGACTCAGCTCCATCTGCATTTTCTCCCGCTCCACCTGGATGAGGTGGGACTTCGAACGGATCTGCTCTGCTCTTTCCTCCAGCTGAGCAGGTCGCACCCAAAGAAAAACAGAATCCTCAGTGACGGCATCAAACCAGGTGAGTGACTCAGTGCAGCAGACACACTCCCTGAGGACCCATTCCCGCAGGTCCCGTGCTAAGTCTTGATGTGGCCCAGCCACTGGGCTCCAGGCTGGGGAACAGGGGAGGGGCAGGAAACGGGAAGGTGAAAAAGCCTGGGAAGAGGAAGACGTCTTTTGAGATGACATTAAGCATATTAGTGAAGGCAACGGCCTCGAATGCCACCCATTTATTTACCAGCCAACGGCTCCGTGGGTCGGAAGTCCAGACGTAGGTGGCTGCATTCTCTGACCAGGGTCTCCCAGACTAAAAATCAATGCAGTCGGCCAGGACATGTTCTCACGTGGAGCTCAGAGATGGAGAATGAGGTCTCCTTCCCGACTGGCTGCCAGCCCAGTACAGCCATCAACTCCTAGGTGCTGCCCACATCCCTTGCCACACGGCCCTCTCCATCTCCAAAGTCAACCACGTCCAATCTCCCTCATCAAATCCCTCTCCTGCTATGTCTCTTGACTGCTCGGCCTCGGACGTCTGGACTCAGACTTAAAGGGCTCAGGTGAGTACATCAAGCCCACCAGGGAGTGGATCAAGCCCACCCACGTAATCTCCCTATCTCAAGGTCAACAGATCTTAGACCTTAATTACATCTGCACAATCCCACAGCAATGAAACCTACTCAGTATTGGACTGAAACCTGGGAGGCAGTAGGAAGGTGAGTGTGCACAAGGAGCCTGGAATCTGGGGGCCCTCTCAGAAGCCTGCCTACCACACAGGGTTAGTGATTACAGGTGAGCTGAGCCTCTGGGGGCCCTCTCAGAAGTCTGCCTGCCACACAGGACTAGTGATTACAGGTGAGCTGAGCTCCTGGGGGCCCTCTCAGAAGTCTGCCTACCACACAGGGCTAGTGATTACAGGTTAGCTGAGCCTCAAAGAGCCCCAGAAGACTTGCCAAATAGTTCCAGAGCCGGCCTTTGGGTACGACCTGCTCAGCTGGAGGAAAAGGCAGAGTCACTGACTCTTCACGTGGCCCAGAGCCTTGCAGTGCAGCATCTCCCGGCACTTAACAAATGCAGAGTCGCAGACTACACCCCAGACCTACTCAGTCAGAATCTTCTCTTTAGGTTGGGTGTGGTGGCTCACACCTGTAATCCCAGTACTTTGAGAGGCCAAGGCGGGTGGATCACTTGAGGCCAGGAGTTCAAGACCAGCCTGGCCAACATGGGGAAACCCCGTCTCTACTAAAAATACAAAAATTAGCTGGTCGTGGTGGTACGCACCTGTAACCCCAGCTACTCAGGCTGAGGCAGGAGAATCGCTTGAACCCAGGAGGCGAAGGTTGCAGTGAGCCAAGATCACACCACTGCATTCCAGCCTGGATGACAGGGCAAGAGTTCGTCTCAAAAAAAAAAAAACAAAAGAATCTAGGCCAGGCGTGGTGGCTCACGTCTGTAATCCCAGCAGTTCGGGGGGCCAAGGTGGGTACATAACTTGAGGTCAGGAGTTTGAGACCAGCCTGGCCAACATGGTGAAACCCTGTCTCTACTCAAAACTATGAAAATTAGCCGAGTGTGGTGGTAACGCACCTGTAATCTCAGCTACTCGGGAGGCTGAGGAGGGAGAATCACTTGAACCCAGGAGACGGAGGCTGCAGTGAGCCAACATTGTACCACTGCACTCCAGCCTGGATGACAGAGTAAGACCCTATCTCCAAAAGAAAAAAAGAAACTTCTTTTTAGACACATTCTCAGGGCGTTCACATGCACATGAAAGGTTGAGAAGCACCAGAGTAGAGTGGTGGTTCCCAGTGGGGTCCAGTTTTGCCCCTGGGAACATCTGGCCCTGTCTGGAGACACCTGATTGTCACAGGGGGGTGGTCACATGTGTCTGCTGCTGGCTGGCGTCCAGGGGGTAGAGGCCAGGGAAGTTGTTAAACAGCCCACAATGCACAAGAAAGTCCTGAGAAAAAAGAATTACCCAGCCCAAATGCCAAGCGTGCCAAGGCCAGGAAAGCCTGGGACAGGGGAGGGAAGTTTCTCTGTCCTCCCACCTGTGTTCTCTGGTGGCCCAAGCCCACACTTCCTTTACTCCTATGTTACTGTGTCTCGATTCTCAGCTGCTGCTGTTTGGGCGTTCCTAAGACTGCCCTTCAAACTCAGCAGCCTTCCTGGTCTCACTTCTGTGTCTGCAGTCAAGCCTGAGCCTCTCGAGAAGGGTGGGCACCCCGCCTGCAGGGGGCACGACCGGCAGGGACCAGGAGTCCCAGACACACCTGATCCGTGTGCCACCTCTGCCTGGAGCTGACTACAACGGAAAGAAAGGAACCCTGAAAGTTTACCCTTACGTTAAATCAACACGATGTGTGAGAAACCAGACAGCACACATTCCCCCGGCCTGCCATGTTCTCCAGGCCCTCCCTGCCACGCCGGGGGCTCAGCAGGAGAGAGAGAACCACGACGAAGTCCAGGAATGGGATGTGACAGGGGCCAGGGACCAAGGCTGGTCTTGCCGCCATCACTCCGCTCACCACCTTGCTCTGACTACCGCACTCCATCACTGATCCCCTCACCGAGAGGCCTTTACCAGTGAGCACTGGGGGCCTCCGAGCCCCAAGACAGACTCTAGAATCCCACAGCTTTGACAGACAGGCCAAGAGGTCCCAGACATTCGCAACACTAAAATCACAGCATTTCAGACCAGAGTTGCCAACTCTGTCACCCGGGCTGGAGTGCAGTGGCGCGATGGCTCACTGCAACCTCCGCCTCCCAGGTTCAAGCGATTCTCCTGCCTCAGCCTCCCGAGTAGGTGGGATTACAGGTGCCCACACCCGCCTAATTTTTGTATTTTTAGTAGAGATGAGGTCTTACCATGTTGGTCAGGCTGGTCTCAAATTCCTGACCTCAAGTGATCCAGCCACCTCAGCCTCCCAAAGTGCTGGGGTTATAGGCATGAGCCACTGCAACCAGCTCAGAGTTGGCCACTTCTCATTTTGTCAGTGATAAAAAACAACTACCATCTATTACCTTCATAATTTCACAAAAGAACATTTACATAAATATTATATATATACACACACACATATATATATATATGACCTAATCTCAGAATAAAAAACAGTCCTCATCAAGAAAGGGCAGTGAGCAAGCTAGCAACTAGCATTCTTTTTTTTTTTTTGAGACAGGGTCTCACTCTGTCACCCAGGCTGGAGTGCGGTGGCGCAATCTCAGCTCACTGCAAGCTCTGACTCCCGGGTTCACACCATTCTCCTGCTCCAGCCTCCCGAGTAGCTGGGACTACAGGTGCCACGCCCAGCTAATTTTTTGTATTTTTAGTAGAGACAGGGTTTCACCGTGTTAGCCAGGATGATCTTGATCTCCTGACCTCATGATCCGCCCACCTCAGCCTCCCAAAGTGCTGGGATTACAGGCCTGAGCCACCACATCTGGCCACAAGCTAGCATTCTAATAAACACACATTAATTCAATTATGCAACAAAACAAATGCACACGCACACACAGTTTAACCAAATGCAGCAGGGCCTCATCTGGGCTCTGAGAGCGCAGGAAGCCAGAGCCTCCTCTAATGCGGACAGAACTACAGAACGGCTCTGGGGACCGCAGCAGGGACTGGGAAAGAGGGTCCAGGCAGAGGAGCCTAGAGGAGCCTGCGCAGCCACAGGGCCCAGGCAAGGCTGGAGACACTACTAGCCAGCACTCCACTCCCCACCACTCCCTACAACTTGGGGGCCCCATTATCGCAGCCCCAACTGGGACTGGGCTCATCACTCTTTGGAGCCTGAAGTCCTTCAGGAGGCCTGAATCCTCTGCAGTTGTGTCTACAGTGAGAAACCCCAAGAACTTGTAATGAAACAAAATACAACTATTTTATAGAAGAAAACTGTAAAAATCACCCCAAAATCTGTAAATGGCCCTCCACAGTCTGAGACCACAAAACACCCAGTCCTTCTGCTCACTGCTGTGGCTTTGTCTCTGGGCTGCCCAGGCACTCTCAGCACTGTGTTTCCAACACAGCCTTCCCGACAGTCCTGGTGCTCACTCCCCCAGGCAGTTTGGGTTCTGTCCTCAATTAGATGAATGAACTGGCTTTCCGATCCTGTCACCAGGGTCTGTGAGTGCACTTGTGTGAACGCAATGCTGAGCGCCAGGCCCACTCAGGGCGCTAACAAGGCAGGCCTTTAAGCCAGGATGGCTCAGGGCCCCAACTAGCCTCCAGCTACGACCCCAAAATGAGGAGTGCCCATAGTGAGACCTGGGAGACGAATAGCTGTCTCTAGGCTCTGCTAATACCGACCCACCTCAACTACAGAAGACTGGAAGAGGTCCTGCCCGGGCCCAGGGTCTCCCCAGAGCAGACTCCCACCCAGGCACATGCCACTCACCTGCATGCTCTGCTGGTACTGCATCTGCAGAGAACCTGGGGCCGAGGTAGAAATATCCAGTCCAGAGCCTCCCTCCACACGCTGAGAGATGAAGTTGTTCAAAGATCTCAGGGTGGATAAAACCATGGTGTTTTCCCCCAGGTCTTCCATGGTTGCTTTCCTTCCGGGGACAGACAAAGGACTGGTCAGGGGCAGCCTTTCCACGTGCCATCAGCCGTGCAGTCAGCAGAGCCTCTGGACAGCCCCACTCCCCTAACGCACATTGGAGCTCATAATACACCCATGCCTGTAACCACATTCTTCAATGGCAACTGGGAGCCATGCTGCCAATTTACCAGACAAAAAATGGAAGCAAGGAAGCATGCCACCAAATCCCCACCAGCAAGCCACCAATTGAGTCTCAGTTGCACATGGACAGATGGACAGCTGGCGCCCGGGAGGCGGGGCTCAGCACTCAGGTGGCACGTCCCCCAACTGCACTGTAAGAGGGTTCTCCAGAGACACAGAGCCAACAGGACACAGAGACAGACACAAGAGAAGGGCTTTATTGGGGAAACTGACTCACGCGATTACAGAGACTGTCCCACAACAGGCCGTCTGCAAGTTGGAGCCCTGGAAGCCTGGCAGTGTGACACAGTCCAAGTCTGAAGGCCTCAGAGCCAGGGGTCCGATGGTGTAATTCTCAGTTCGAGGGGCTGCTGGGACAAGTCCTGGAGACCAAAGGCCGGCGAGCTTGGAGTGCTGCTGTTGAGGAGAGGAGAGGAAGAGTGTATCCCAGCTCCTGCAGGCAGATGGACACATTCGCCTTTTCTCTGTTTTTGTCCTCTCCAGGCCCCCAGGCTCTTAGATACTGCCCCTGACTCTGAGGATGGATCTTCAGCACCTGGTCCACTCAGACTCCCAAGCTCATCTCCTCTGGAAACACCCTCAACAGGCACACCCAAAACCAAAAATGATGCTTTCCCAGGTTTCTAGGAATTCCTGAATCCAGTCAGTTGATGCCTGAAACTACCTACCAGGAGCACTCACAGCAAAGTCTGGCCTCTTGCCCAGGCAGGGTGGTTCACGCCTCTAATCCCAGCACTTCGGGAGGCGGAGGCAGGTCCGGAGTTCAAGACCAGAATGGCCAACATGGCAAAACCCCACCTCTAATAAAATACAAAAACTAGCCGGGTGTGGTGGTGTGCGCCTGTAATCCCAGCTACTCAGGAGGCTGTGGCACAAGAATCGCTTGAAACTGGGAGGCAGAGGTTGCAGTGACCTGAGACCGCACCACTGCACTCCAGCCTGGGTAACGGGGTGAGACAGTGTCTCAAAATAAATAAATGAATGAATAAATAAATAAATAAACATAAGCCAGGCACTGTTGCTCATGCCTGTAATCCCAGCACTTTGTGAGGCCAAGATGGGCAGATCACCACAGGTCAGGAGTTCGAGACCAGCCTGGCCAACATGGTGAAACCCCATCTCTACTAAAGCCAGATGTGGTGGCGTGCACCTGTAATCCCAGCTACTCCGGAGGCTGGGACAGGAGATTTTCTTGAACCCAGGAGATGGAGGTTGCAGTGAACTGAGATCGCGCCACTGCATTCCAGCCTGGGTGCCAGAGCAAGACTCCGTTTCAAAAAATAATAATAATTAATTAAAAAAAAAATCTGGCCTCTGGGAATCAGAAACGAGGCATGCAACAGTGACAGTAAAGATGATGATCATCACAGCTGTGCTCATTTTCATTGTTTATTTCTAGTGACATTAATAAGTACTACTACTATTTTCAACTAGGTATCAGAAAGAAAGGTATCTGACATTTCCGAGCACCGAGACTTCTTGAACTTCAGTTTCCTCATCTGTAAACTCATGACAGTGAAATCTACTTGCAAAGTTGTGGGGAACGGGGCCAATATCCCTCAAGTCTTCCACCGCTAGATGATGGGAATACGGCTGCAGGTTGACCAGCACTATATTTGTAAGCTCAGTCTCAACAGGGTGGTGAATTAGGTCTTTTTACACAGATTCTAGAGATGATGAAACCGAAGCTTCAAAAAGTTACAGAACGGAGATTGGAACTTGGGTCTGTCTGGCTTTGGAAGGCTGAAGACAAACCGCAGTAAAGAACTTTGCACCCCCAACACCGGCGCTTACTATGGGCTCATGGCAGGCCGGCCCACCAGCCACAACTAGGGAACAGCCAAGCGCGTTTAAAAGCCAAAGGTAGAACTTCTGCAGCTGCACAGTTTCTGAGTTTCCATTTAACAAGAACCTTGGCCTGGTGCAAGCAGAGGCCTGAGCTCCCCAGGCTGCCAGCCCCGCAGAGGCAGGCCCGCCTGGAAGGAGGCTCCACAGCCCAATTCCTCCATTGCCCAAACGAGATCAGGGTGGCCCTTGCCATCCCCGAGGGGAAACCGGGCCCACACGCCCCCTTCCTGAGAGCGGACCGGCGCGAGCCACCAGGATGCCAAGAGCCCCTGCAGCCCCGACTTCTCCACCAGGCGCCAGCTCAGGCCCCTTCCTCGGCGCGCCGGCACCCTAGCCCGGGGACCCACACGGTAGGCAGCGGGACCCCGGGGCTGGGACCACGAGCACGCGCCCCTCGGCCGCCCGCCCTGGCACAAGGGACGGCTGCGGAGACCCAGGCGAGGGGCCCGCTGTCCCCAGCACAGCCCAAAGGGGGAGTGGGGACAGGGGAGTGGGGAGAGGAGGGGAGAGCACAGAGAGGAGAGCGCGCCCATGGGAGACGGGGCGGGCGCGGGGTCCTGAGGCACGGGGTCTGGGTCGTTGTGCCCCACCCTGGCGAGCACACCCGGTCCGGGCCCTCGGCCCCTCCCTTGCCATTCCCGGGACCCCCGGGACCCCGGGACCCCGCCGCCCGCGCGAGCCGGGCCGCTTACCTCAGCCGCTCGCAGCCAGCTTGCCGCCGCCGCTCGGATCTCCCTCCGCTCCGCCGGCGCCCATTTATCGCGACACTTGCGCCTGCGCTCTCGCGAGACCTGCGTGGCAATCGGGCCGTAAAGAACCGAGTCTGCGCACCGGCTGATCCTGGGGACTCCGCGTCCGCACCCGGAGCCGCCACCCCTGGGAGACTCCGCACGGAAAGGACTCGGAACCGAAGGCTGAGCCAAGGCGCAGTCGGGGGCCCCCCGGCTTTGCGCAGGACGCGCTTCCACTAAGGCTTTCGCCTCGCGCCGTAATGTGTGGAATAGCCGCGCCCACGGCAGCCTCCTCGGACAAACTTGCACCGTTGACTCTTCCCAAAATTTTGCTACTCAGTATCAGCTTGAATCAATCCGTTATTTTGCTTTTTTCTGGGCCCACTAGAAATGCAATTTATGCTACTAGGCTACCTTCCCAGTGCTCTGCAAGCCAGGGCACAGCATCCAATGGGGTGAGGTCAGGCCCCACCATTATTATGGTAACCTTTGTCTATCCTTCAAATTGGAGCCTTCCTGAGAAGAGTGTGCCTTACTCGTTTCCATATTCTCTTCCTCTCCTCCTCCCGTCTCTGCCCAGCCCCTGGCTTCCCTCTAAGAAGATGCTGTTCCTAAGGGTCTGCAATGAATTTTCCTTCTTTCAGAGAAAGACTTCCAAGTTGTGTGCCCCGGGAATGAAATGGAATAAGAGAACGAGGTGGAGTAGGGCAAGAGTCCCTGGACTTAACAACCTGACTGCAACCAGAAATAAAATGAAAAGTCAAAACATCTGGCGGCCGGGCGCGGTGGCTCACGCCTGTAATCCCAGCACTTTGGGAGGCCGAGGCAGGCGGATCACGAGGTCAGGAGATCGAGACCATCCTGGCTAACACGGTGAAACCCCGTCTCTACTGAAAATACAAAAAAAAAAAAAAAAAATAGCCGGGCGTGGTGATGGGCGCCTGTAGTCCCAGCTACTCGGGAGGCTGAGGCCGAATGGCGTGAACCCGGGAAGTGGAGCTTACAGTGAGCCAAGATCACTTCACTGCACTCCAGCCTGGGTGACAGAGTGAGATTCTGTTTCTCAAAGAAAAAAAAAAATCAAAACATCTGACCCGCAGTTTCCTTCGGGGAGCTGGACAGAGCCCCAGATTCCTGATGGAGATTCCTGGGTTTCCAGACTTCCCCCACTGGTCCTTGGAATTTAATCATAGTCAACAAACTCTTCTTGAGGGATGAGTACACCTCCAGGAAATGGCTTTGAGGAAGCCAGTTTAAAAAAAACAAAACTTCAAAGCATGAAAGTACCTTAAAATAATGCAATCTCTATTATTTTATTAAATATAAAGCTGCGTCAAGTTCCTAGATGAGTAAAAGAAAATAAACACACCACATCACTGCTTGCTTTGGCAATTACATTTATGTTCTTGGGAGCCCAGACACTGATATAAATTTCCAGCAAAAACCAAAGCAGACCCACTGCCTGGATAAATTCAGACCATACGTCTTCCCTAATTGTTCCGGGAACTTTTGCTGCTTGAAGAATGCGTGAATTGCTATATTGTTCACCAGAAAGACAGAAGTTAATCCCCAGATGGAAATTTCAGATTTTTCTTTTGGTTTGCTTTTTGGTTTTTCATTTTTGTAGACATGGGGGGTGTTGCTATGTTGCCCAGGTTGGTCTTGAACTCCTGACTTCAAGCAATCCCCCAGCCTCAGCCTTCTAAAGCCCTGGGTTTACAGGCATGAGTGGCCTCACCCAGCCCCCAGATTTTCTACTTTAAACAGCCACACTAAGAACTGGAAATCTGTGCGTGGTGCTCTCAGAGCAGGGGTGGAAAGCCTGTTTGTGTGTGACAGTTTAACAGTCTATAAGATGAAGTCCCGTCAAGGCACACATGGGCACACCCATCCCTGCCTCGGCGGATTCCTTCTGATCCTTCCCACAGTCTGTTTTTCTCCATCCTTCCATCCTCACCTCTTTCTCTTGATAACTTTCTCTTCCCAAATCACAATATAGCGGACTTTTTCATTTTCCATGGCCCCTGAACTTAGTTTTGTCATCTCTTTTTGGTTAAAAAGAGAGAGAGAGAAAGAGAGAGAGAGACTCCCCACTTGTCCTGCTCCATCTCCAAAATCAGCTCAAATCTCCCAGGAACTCTTCAGGAGCTCAGGCTACGTTTCTAGCTTAAAAGGAGCTAATGACCATTATGAAAATGGCACAAGAAATCCTCACTGCTTCACAGTGCCCTTCCTTCCGTGGTACTGTGTGGCCAAGAAGTACACTTCTGATGACTCTTTCCTGCTGGCTTCAGGTTTGATGATCCTTACATTCTGGAATTCCTCTGTCAGTCTCCTCTGTAACCGACGGCTTTGACTTCCAGCCCAGGTTTTACAAAGGAATGTCCCCCCAGGTTGCAGGATGTCTGGGGTCACGCTGAGAAGGGTCAGGCACAGGCTGATGAGCCTGTCATGATCGAGGTCCCGGAACCCTGTGGCATTGGGCGCCATGTCGCTCAGAATCACATCTGCTCTCCTGCCAGGAAGCACCTCGAGGATTCTCTGTGAGGTTCTCGGGTCAGTCACGTCAGCAGGGCACAGAAAAGTTGCTCCTTCCAGGGGGAATATGTGAAGAAGATCTACCCCAAGCACGAAGCCAACAGGAGAGCTGGGATCTATGGAAGAAATGGTGAATGTGTTATTTATTTACACCCTGAATCTTTTTACAAAAATACAGTACATGCAACAAAGTGATGAAATAAAAATAAAATGTCAAGACCAAGGCAAAGAGCTAATGTGCAAATAGGTAAACACAGGCCTTCTCTATCTATACATCCTATAAAGACACATGGTGGAGATGGCGGGCCTTAACATCTGAGAAGCTGAGGCCCAGACAGGAAGTGACTGTCCTAGAGTCATCCTCAGCCATGGGCAGACCTGTGCCAGGCATCAGGACTTCTGATTCCAAATCTGGTATCATTTCACTACCCAAGGCTCACTCTCTGTGAAAGGGTTCTTATCTCTGAGTGCTCTTTTTGATAAACTAAAATAGAAAATAGGCCAGTCCCAGTGGCTCACACCTATAATCCCAGCACTTTGGGAGGCTGACACGGGTGGATCACCTGAGGTCAGGACTTCGAGACCAGCCTGGCCAACATGGGGAAACCCCATCTCTACTAAAAATACAAAAATTAGGCAGGCGTGGTGGCACGTGCCTGTAATCCCAGCTACTCGGGAGGCTAAGATAGGAGAATCGCTTGAACCCGGGAAGCGGAGGTTGCAGTGAGCCAAGATCGCACCACTGCACTCCAGCCTTGGCGACAGAGCGAGACTCGATCTCAAAAGAAAAAGAAAAAGAAAAAGAAAATAATAAACTAGTACATAAAGTGCCTCTGGATTAAATCAAGAAATCCATTCTCCAGCTTAATCCAATTGCTTTCAATGTAGAAACTACTGGAAACAAGTCAAGAGATGAGGAAAATGAACAGATATAAAATAACGTACAAAAACTGATATCGGCTAGGTGTGGTGGCTTACACCTAAAATCCCAGCACTTTGGGAGGCTGAAGCAAGAGGATTACTTGAGCCCAGGAGTTCTAGTCCAGCCTGGGCAACATAGCAAGATCCTGTCTCTACAAAAAAATATAAAAATTAGCTGTAGTCTCAGCTACTCAGGAGACCCAGCTAAAATGAGGCGTGAGGCGTCCCATTTTCCTGGGGTGAAGACTGAGGGGTTTCGCCTTTGAAAAATGAGGTAATCTTCAAAATACCTGGACTTCCAATGTTTACACTAGGAATGAAACACGGTCCCTTTCTCTCCCCCTACCGTTGGAACAGCCTTTCTGTTAAGCAGACTGAACAAGAAAATCTGTGACTGTACCCTTAGCTTATCAACTCTGACAATTTCTCAACAGAACTACGGCCCTCCTCAGTGGAGGGGACTGTTGGGGAGATGGGGGCGTTGGGCTTGTGAAGAGGGGGCTTTGAATGTAGGTACAGAGTGAGAAGAGGGGGAGGCAGATGCTGAGATCAGTTATAGGCAACAAGTCTTGTTTTACGTAAGGTGACACAAAGGCATCTTTTTAGTTTTAGCAAACTGGTGTTACTCAAATATCAGCAAGTTATCTTTGTGTGTCTTTGTGTGTGTGTGTGTGAGACAAGGCCTCACTCCGTTGCACGGCCTCAGCTCACTGCAGCCTTGACTTCCCCAGGTTCGAGCGACCCCTGCCACCTCAGCTTCCCAAGGAGCTAGGACCACAGGAACATGCCACCACACCTGGCTAATTTTTTGTAGAGACGGGGGTTTCACCATATTGCCCAGGCTGGTCTCGAACTCCTGACCTCAGGTGATCCTCCCCTTGGCCTCCCAAAGTACTGGGATTACAGGTGTGAGCCACTGCGCCCGGCCTCACGCCTCACTTTATGCTCCTGAGCTTTCACTCCTATAATATCCAGTATGTTACAACCTTCGGAAATTTCCACCGAAGGCAAACAGCTTTGGCTGCATGCTTGTGACTTCCGGGAGGACAAGCCCAGGCAGATCACGCTCACGCTCTCTCCTTCTGTCACTTCCTCCTACAAGGCACGCTGGGCCACTCTCCTGCTTCATCTCAAGAGCACTTAGGGGAACAGAAACCACTGAAATCAGTTACTAGGAGGACTCCACGGTGATAAGCTCAGCAATGAGAAAAGGAACTGACATTTCCAACACAAATTCACTTATTTAGTCAATAAATGTTGAGCTGAAAAACAATAAAAAGGCTTTCAGGCTGACCACGATGGAAGCACCAGGAAGCACCTCGAGGATGCTGGGAGGCAGAGGCGGGCGGATCACCTGAGGCCTGGAGTTCGAGACCAGCCTGGCCAACATGGCAAAACCTCATCTCTACTAAACATACAAAAATTAGCCGGAAATCACTTAAACACAGGAGGCAAAGATTACAGTGAGCCGAGATGGCGCCATTGCACTCCAGCCTGGGCAACAGAGTGAGGCTCTATAAACAAAAAAAAAAAAAAAAAAAAAAAATGCTGTTGAAAAGCCCGAAGAGGCATATCCCCGCCTAAGTATGGGCAGGGGCCACCCAAGGGGATGCAGGTAGACACCAAGAGTTCATGGCAAACCTACCGCAAACCAGCAGCGAGGCAGATGTGCAGATCCAGGGGGCCAGCATTCCATTTCTGCACTTTCAACAAGTCATGAAACCCTGAGCCTGTTTTCTCACCAATAAATGGGGACCAGTGTCCCTACTCTAAGGTATTTGGGAGAGACTTGGGAGAGCTCTGGGTGGACTGTCTCACCCTGTTCAAATGCCAGTGCATGCAGCTACCCTGGCTTTACAGCAGGAAACATAAATGGCAAGGATATTCACCACAGCACACGCATCCCAGCCAAAAGCCAAAAGCAACCTTGATGCCACAGTGAGGGAGCTGGTTAAAGAACCTACGGTGCAAGCACTACATGGAATAGGATGAAACTTTCCCAATGACGACAGTGTCTTCAGTTGCATGGGCGGTTGGCTGATCTCATTATTCAGGAGAACCTTTTTATATAGAAAATCTTACTCAAAACCCTAAGATACAAAACAGATGAAAACTGTGTCTCAGCTTCATCCAGAGCAAAGAATCCATAGCCCTGGCCATGAAGCCTCTTCTAGGTTCCGGACGGAGCAGCCCCAGTGGGGCCACCAGGAAAGCCCCAGGGCTTATGCGACTTGGAAATTTAGCTGTGCTGTTGGGGAAAGATGTCAATACATCATTAAGAGTAGCCGGGCACCATGGCTCACATCTGTAATCCCAGCACTTTGGGAGGCCGAGGTGGGCAGATCACCTGAGGTCAAGAGTTCGAGATCAGCCTAGCCAACATAGTGAAACCCTATCTCTACTTAAAAAAACAAAAAGAAAAAATTAGCTGGGTGCGGTGGCGGGCGCCTGTAATCCCAGCTACTTGGGAGGCTGAGGCAGGAGAATCGCTTGAACCAGGTAGGCAGAGGTTGCAGTGAGCCGAGATCACACCATTGCACTGCAGCCTGGGCAAGAGTGAGACTCCATCTGGAGGGGGGGGAAGAACAAAAATAATAACAATAATAATTATATATATATATATATATATATATATATATATATATATATATATATATATAATACATATATGTATGTATCATTAAGCAAAAATAGCTCCAATAGGCTGCAAATTAGCAAGAAAAGTATGGCACAACATCGCTTTTGAAAATGTGAGGGATCTATGCATGCACAAGCCTGGAAGGATGCACACCACCATGCTGGTGCTGGTACCTGCGGGCGGTCTCATGCGAGGTGATTTCCATGTTCACTGCACCTTTCTACCTTGTCTTTCATTTTGAAAATGGCAGCATCCTATTTTTATCATCACCATTGCTAAACCACCCACTCGGAAGCACACGCCTTCAAAAAAGGGCTCCACCATCCCGCATCCACTGGCAAAGGCAGCTTGCCCATGCCCACTCAGCCTCAGGGGAGCCAGAAGGTGCCAACAGCAGTGCAGAGGCCCACCTGTGCCTGCGGCGTTGACCTTCTGCACCGCCACCTGACTCCAGGCCCCAGGAGCTGCCCCACAGTCTAACACCCGAAGGCCGGGCCGCAGAATCTGGTGCCTCTCGTTCACCTCCAGGAGCTTGAAGGCGCTTCGACACCGGTAACTCTCCACCTTCGCAGCCTTCACAAATGGGTCCCTGAGATGTCGGGTCAGCCACAGGTGCTCAGCGCCTGTCCGATTCTTGCAGCGACTCCCAACAGTGTGGAACCCTTGACGCTGAAAGGAAACACACACCAGCTTCAAGTACCTGGTGGGAGAGAAGAGGAGCAGGCAGGTTGGCATCACACAGAACGGCAGGTCATGAGCTGGGAGGGCCCTCGGATCAACTCATTCATTTCTAGAGATGGGGCACCAAGGCCCAGGAGGGGAGGTGAACTGATAAGGCTACACAGATGGAAAGCAGGCATCACAGGCCAAACTGTGTCCCCGCAAAATTAATGTGTTGATGTCCTAACCCTTGGTACCTCAGAATATGGGGGTATTCGGAGACACCTGTAATTCCAGCACTTTTGGAGGCCAAGACAGGTGGATCCCCTGAGGTCAGGATTTCGAGACCAGCCTGGCCAACCGTGGCCAACATGATGAAACCCCGTCTCTACTAAAATGCAAAAATTAGCCTGGCGTGGTGGCAGATGCCTATAAACCCAGCTACTCGGGAGGCTGAAGCAGGAGAATCGCCTGAACCCAGGAGGCAGAGGTTGCAGTGAGCCGAGATTGCGCCACTGCACTCCAGCCTGGGCGACAGAGCGAGACTCTGTCTCAAACAATAACTAAATACATCAATTAATTAATTAAAGTAATATTATTTTCTCATCTGGCAAAAATGTTCATTGGGCTCTGACAGGCTGCAAGAAAACCTCATAAGGACAGATCCTTGCCTTAGTGACCTAGTTCCAGGGCTTTGACAGCTAGTACAGAGGGTCTGGCCTGTCACATTTCTTTTTTTCTTCTTTTTTTCGAGACAGGGTCTCGCTCTATAGCCCAGGCTGGAGTGCAGTGGTGAGGTCACGGTTCAACGCAGATTCGAACTCCTGGGCTCAAACAATCCTCTCACCTACATGTCTTAAATAAAATTGAACTAAACCTGTGTCAATCGTTGAAGGACAATTTCCAAGATTCTCTAGACAATTGTTACAATAAATGTAACAATTTATTCACAGCCCACAATAGCTAAGCAGGTGGAAGCTATACACACCTCCCCTTGTTTAACTCTGACAACAACCTCACCAAGGAAGTTCTATGTCCTCTTTTTCTTTTTTTAAGACGGAGTCTCACTCTGGCGCCCAGGCTGGAGTGCAGTGACAGCTCACTGCAGCCTCCGACTCCCGGGTTCAAGCAATTCTCCTGCCCCAGCCTCCCAAGTAGCTGGGATTACAGGCACACCTGCTACCATGTCCGGCTAATGTTTGTATTTTCAGTATAGATGGGTTCCACCATGTTGGCCAGGCTGGTCTCAAACTCCTGACCTCCGCTGATCTGCCCGCCTTGGCCTCCCAAAGTGCTGGGATTACAGGTGTAAGCCACTGCACCCAGGCATTTCTTTCTTCTTTTTGTTTTTTTAGAGACAGGGTTTTACTATTACCCAGGCTGGAGTGCAGTGGCATGATCACAGCTGACTGCAGCCACAGCCTCTGGGGCTCAAGTGAACCTCCCACCTCAGCCTCCTGAGTAGCTGAGACTACAGGTGTGTGCCACCACTTCCGGCTAATTTTTCTATTTTCAGTAGAGATGGGATTTCACCATGTTGGCCGAGCTGGTCTCGAACTCCTGACCTCTGGCGATCAGCCCACCTTGGCCTCCCAAAGTGCTGGGATTACAGGCGTGAACCACCTCACCCGGCCATTTTTGTTTTGCTATCATCCAGGCTGGAGTTGCAGTGGCACAATCACAGCTGATTGCTGCCATAACCTCTGGGTCTCAAGTGAACCTCCCACCTCAGCCTCCTGAGTAGCTGGGACTACAGGTGTGCACCACCATGCCTGGGCTAATTTTTTTTTTTTTTTTAATTCTTAAAAACCTTTTTTAGAGATGGCATCTCACTACATTGCCTAGGCTGGTCTCGAACTCCTAGGCTCAAACGATCCTCCTGCCTCAGACTTCCAAAGTGCTGGGATGACAGGTGTGGGCCACCAAGCCCGGTCTCTATGTCCATCTTTCTGATTTAAATAAATAAATAAAAGTTACCACCCTCATGGCTCCAAGGCCAAAGCTTCTAGCTTCTGCAACACCAAAGCGTGCTGACAAGCCAGGAGGCACTGACTGCTGACCGTGAGTCGCTGTCTTCCCCTCGCTTAAGGGGTCTCCCGGGAAAATGGCACAAGCCGGTCCCGGGGGCCAGGGCCCACTCGACAGCCCAGGAAGCGCGGGCAATGGAGCTACCCGGCCCAGAAGCGAAATCCCGCCCCGGGCTCGCCCCCGGCGCCTTGGATCTGGGCCCCGGCGCTGCGCCCCCCACCTGGACTCCGCCGCCGGCCCCGGCCTCCCCACGGCCCCGCCGGCCCTGCCCCTGGAGACCTGAGGGCGCCCTCCTCCCGGGGAACTGCGACCCGGAATCCTGGCCTCGCCCCTGTCGCGCTCGCTGAGTGCGGGGACGGTGCCCAGCGCTCGGCACCCAGCCCCGAGGCCAGGACCGAGGAAGGCGACCGGGCGGACCCCCAACCACTCCCGCTGTCTGCACGCGCAGCAGCAGCGCCCAGCTCACCCCGCCATTGGTGTTCCCCGCGCCTGCAGCGCGCCGCCGGAAGTGCCTGGCCTCACTTCCGGTCAGAGGCCACGCCCCCGGAAGCGGCGGTGCAGGTACGAAAAGCGCGCGCGGGGATTCCAGGAGTCGTGGTGACCAGGGAGGGGAGCCGGGCCAGCGGGCGGCAGGAGACTAGGGGAGCTGAGCCATGGGCTTGGGGGAGAGCGGGGCCGGGAGCTCGAAGGAGACCAGAAGAGCAGGGTCGGGGGCTCGAGGGAGACGAGGAGAGCGGGGCCGGGGGTTTGGGAGAGAGACAAGGAGAGCGGGGCGGAGGCTTGGGGGAGACCAGGAGTAAATCACAAAAATTTACTTTGGAAACCGTGGCTTCTGGCAGAAACAGATCAGTGTCGGGACAAAGTACACGGGCCTGGTGTGAAACTAAGCCACAAACCCATTTACCCTGTCTGACCTGCCTCCGCCACCAGGACCCAGTCTCAGTGAAATGGGAAAGGTTCCCTTGTCCTCCTCGAAGGGCGTGCGATGAGGATGTGGCTCACTTCTTCAGTGCCCCGCTTCTCAAGCCTCTAGGGGAACATACAGACAGGCAGGCTGAGGGGCTCCCACCCCACGGCAGTGTCTAGGGGTGAATGTTTGCAGCTCCTGAAGCCCCAGCAGGCATGTGTTAGAGGGTGCTCTTTCAGTTTAGCCTTGTAGGTGGCTTGTGTTAGTCAGCTGTTAGACTCCCTGCCTTATCGCAAGGACAGAGGGCTTTCTGTATCCCTAGGTTTCTTGCCTTGATGTACTGGAGCAATCAGATCACACGGCGGCTTGGAGAGTGAGTGCAAGGTTTTATGAGTGGAATTAGCCCTCAGCAGATGGGGGAGCCAGAAGGCAGTTGGAGTGGGAAGGTGATTTTCCCCTGGAGTCGGGCTGCTGAGCAGCCTGGGCTCTCCTCTGACCGCCCCTGCCAAACTCATGGTTCCATCAGTTGATGGCCTGCTGGTGCCTGTTGGTGTGCTTTCCACGTCCTCTTGACGTCCAGCGGCTTGTGTCTCTGCCCACTATAAAAAACCACTGGGGTTTTTTTATAGGCACAGGACGGGGACGTGGCGGGCTCGGGAAATGCAACATTTGGGCAAAAAAACAGAAATGCCTGTCCTCACCCAGGTCCCTGGGCACAGGCCTGGGTGTGGAGCCCTGGCCAGAGACCACGCCCTCCTCTACCCAGCACTTCCCTGCCCCCTTCCTTATCATCTGGTCCCTTTTCTCAGACACCACAACTTCCAAGAAGGATCACTGGTCCTGAACCCTGTGTCTTGTCCAGGTGTGGACCCCAGAAAAGTTGGTCCTGGCTGGGCGCAGTGGCTCACGCCTGTAATCTCAGCACTTTGGGAGGCTGAGGTGGGTGGATCGCTTGAGCTCAGGAGTTCGTGACCAGCCTGGGCAACGTGACAAAACCCCATCTCTACTAAAAATACAGAAATTAGCTGGGTGTGGCGGCTCATGCCTGTGGTCCCAGCTATGTGGGATGCTGAGGCAGGAGGATGGCTTCAGCCAGGGAGGCGGAGGTTACAGTGAACCGCGATCACGCCACTCTCCTCCAGCCTGGGCAACAGAGCAGGATCTTGTCTCAAAATAAATAAAGGAAAGTTGGTCCTGGCCCTCCAGCATTTCTCCAGGGTCCTTTTTTCAGCAGGGACCTGGCGGAGGCATCGCCCTCAGAGTCCTCTGGACCTGGACCTGCACACCTATGGGAGCAGGAAGGACCCTTGTGACTTCCAGTGGCCCCCCTGGGTGCCAGGTCCCACAGTAGCCACAGCAGGAGCAGAGTGGGTGGGGTATAAACTCCTATCACAGGAGGGAGGACTAGCCGGGCCTGGCTGGGTGGACCTGTGTCTACAGCCACACATTTCCTGGGAATCTGGAAGCCTGCTACAGAGAGGCCAGGTCCCACTAGACTGAAAGAAGTTCCTGTTAATCCAAAGGCCTGACCTGAGGACCACAGGATAAACTGCGTGGTTATTTTGGTGCCAATCAGGCACGGGGACTGTTGTTCCTCACTGTGTGCCTATAAGCAGGGGGTTCCTGGGGGTAGACGCAGGAGCAAGAGCACGCTCTGGAAAGGTGATGTTGTCCTCTGCACCTGAGTACTGACTTGTGGAGAAGGAAGGTAGCGCCGGCCTCTGCTCTGCTTGATCAGCCCTGCTGACCACTGGGTTCTGTTTCTACCCCAGAAAATCACTGGTTCAATGGCAGTTTTCCACCTGCCACAAGGGAAGCCACACGTGGCAGGGCTGGGGAGTTACAGCATACCCCCCCGCCCCCCACTGCCTCCCAGAGCACGTCCCCTTCCTCCTGGCCCCTGGCACGTGCTTCCTCCACGCACGTCATGGCTGACTCTGCCCTCTCACCTTCCTTTCAGAACCCAGGGACCATGGGCGCCTCCAGGCTCTATACCCTGGTGCTGGTCCTGCAGCCTCAGCGAGTTCTCCTGGGCATGAAAAAGCGAGGCTTCGGGGCCGGCCGGTGGAATGGCTTTGGGGGCAAAGTGCAAGAAGGAGAGACCATCGAGGATGGGGCTAGGAGGTAAGGATGGGGCAGGTCTGGCCATAGAACCGGCTTTCCCAGGGCACAGGGATTCGGGCTGTAGGGCCACACCCTTGGTTTCACCACTAAGAGCTAAGTGACCTGGAGCAGGGGGTTAAGCGTGAGCCTCAGTGTCTTCATCTCAGAATGAAGAACAGTCCGCAGCCCTTCGGACTCTTGTGAAGATAAAATGAGGAAATGAACTCGAAGGACTTAGAACGGTGCGCGGTGTGCGGTGCGTGCTGAGTGCGTGTTAGCTGTTGTGGTGCGGTGGTGCTGGGGGCTGCAGGGCGTATCTGGAAGCCTCTGTGCAGCAGCTTGAATTGAACCCTCCCAGCACCCTCACTGTTGCCGAAGGGCTCGTCAGTCACTTGGTTCCTCTGTCTGTTCAGTGGAGCTGATGATCGCTTTCATCTCACACTCGCTGTGCACAAAGCCTCACTGCATCCTCAACACAGCCAGCTTCACCTAGGAAGGAACTGAAGCCCAGAGAGGTTGAGCCGTTTACCCAAGATCACACAGTCCTCCAGACGCCCCTCAACCCTCACAGGGTAAATGAGATCATCTGTGTAAACATCGCTGCACAGACGTTAGCCCCCGTTCGTGTTTTTGTTCTGAGAAAGGTAGGCCAGCTTGCCTGGAGAGGAGAACTACAGAGTAAAGAGGGTCCTGGCACGGAGGAAAGCCAGGACGCTGCAGCCTAGTGGCTTTCCAATTTTTTCATCACAACCTGCAGTAAGAAATACGTTTTGTACTCTGATAGAGTGTACACACTCAGGTGTGCAGGTACAGCTAAAGTAAGTTGCAGTAGCCGCCCTTATTACATAAAAGGGGGCTCTACTTTTCCGATTCATTTCTCTTTTTTTCTCCAGAGGTGGGATCTCACCCATGGCACACTCTTGGCTCACTGCAGCCTCAAACTCTTGGGCTCAAACGATCCTCCTGCCTCAGCCTCACGAACAGCTGGGACCACAGGCACATGCCACCACGCTCAGTTCGTTTTTTAATTCTTTGTAGAGATGGTGTCTCATTAACTCCCAGGCTCAAGCGATCCTCCCTCCCGGGCCTCCCAGAGTGCTGAGATTGCAGGTGTGGGCCACTGGCTTGACCCTTTTTTTTTTTTCAATTGCAATCCACTAAGCCGATTTCCCGGGGTACATGGGTCCCAACCCTCAGTTTGGAGAGCCCTGTGTGTGCTTCCCCTCCAAGGCTTGGGACCCCAGACCGCAGCCACACGGACACGTTCGATCAGTCACTGTGGCAGGTGCCAGTGCGACAGGCTCTGTGCTGGGGGCCGCAGCTGGGGAGGAGGACCACTGGGTGTGAGTCGGGCATACAGCGTGTCCCTGCCAGGAGTGTGTGCAGAGCGACCACAGCACAGGAAACAGGAAAGGTGGCCCCGGGGGTTCTCTGCCCAGCCCTTTGTCTTTGATCTGCTAAGACTGCCCATCAGCTCATGGATTTCTGTAGCGCTGCTCTGTGTGGGGCCTGGGGACATGAGGAGGAACAGGTCAGTCCCTGCCTCTGTGGAGCTCTCGTGTCATCTGGCTGCCGGGTTCAGGAGACCTGCAGAAGGAGGTCTGGTCCATACCTCGTGGCCAGGGGCCTCCAGGAGAAAGGAAGGGAGAATAACTGGGCACCAGGAAAATGCTCTGAGGGCCTGACGTTGGCTGGGAGAGTGTGGAAGGAGGGAGGAAGGAGACATTTGCAGAAGCACAGAGGGCTGGAGGAGCGCCAGCTGTGCAGAGAAGTGGTGGGTGTGAGTGGAGCAGGCAGCGGTGCTGAGGAGGCTGGATGGAGGAACTCCAGGTGGCTGGATTTCCGCTTCTCGTCCTGCTGGTGACAAGCAAAGCACAGGCCCCCTCGGCAGCCCTGCTTTATTTTCTTCTGAACTTTGTCACGGTCGAAGGAACTTTCCTCCTACCCTCTGTAAATATTACACAAACAGAGGGACCATCACTCCAGACCCTCAAAGCTGAATACAGTGGTGGCTTGCTGTCAGACCAGGGTTTGAGGGGGGGAACTGAGGCACAGAGCCGGAAGCCTGTGACTTCCATCCTCGGGTGTAACCTGGAGACGGGGGTTTCACCATGTTGGCCAGGCTGGTCTTGAACACCTGACCTCACGGGATCCACCCGCCTCGGCTTCCCAAAGTGCTGTGATTACAGGCGTGAGCCACCGTGCCCAGCCGAGACCCTGTCTTAAAGAAAGAAAGAAAAAAATCCTTCGTTGGGGAGCATCTGCAAGCATGAGGAATGGGGGACACTGGAGCCAGACAGGCTGGTGCTTAGGGGTCCCAGGGCCCCGGGAACCCAGCAGCAAACAGCCTCGCCCTCAGGGGATGACGTACCATCAGCCACAGGCCACCAGCACGGCCCTGGGCTTCAGTACCTGCGAGTCTGAATGGATTTGCTCCTGGGGCAACCCCAGGCCCGTGCTGCTCAGGAGCGGGAGGCAGGGAGGAGCGTCGGCAGCCCGGTCTCTGGGGAGGCTGGTTCCTGCTTTATCCACGCAATACCCAGTCCTATTCTATCAGGAGGACCCCAAGATGGGCCCTAACTCCCAGGCCAAGAGCCGGTTTAGGCACCCTCCCCGCTTGCCTGCAGGGGGCAGGCCTGAGCGCCTAACCCCAGTCCAGAGGGCTGGACTCAGACCCTCCTCTGTGGGGCAGGGGACAGGCACGTAGGGAGTACTGAATTGTGGGGGTGTGCAGATTTGGGCTTCAGGCGCACAGTGTGAGCCGACCTTTCTAGACAGCATCCCTGGTCCCCAAAGACTAGCGAGGCCGGGGACACAGGAGCAGCGATGGGAAGCAGGCCCGCCGGAACCTCCGACTCCCACCTCCCCACGCCACGGACGCTGCACCACCCTGTGTTTTTGTTTCATGTATTTCTCACCCTGTTCCCCGTGTTCCGCCTGGGGAACCGAGTGCCATGGACAGAGCAGACACTTGGGCAGAACTGAACAGCGTCATCTTCGCCTGCCTGGCGCTCCCTGCCTGGGAAATGGAGCTTCAGCTCTGTCTCCCGGCGGATTCTTGATGCTTCCTACGCTGCCATGTGCTAGGGAAGATTAACTAAAATCAGTCACAATATCCCACTGGGAGGTGACGCTTTTTAAGACGAGCAACAGCCGGCCGCCAAGAGGCGGGTGAGGCCCCACTGAGCACTTCTATTGCATCTAACTGGGGAGCCATTTATACCCAAGTAGAAGCACACGTTCACTTTGTAGCTCAAGCCCAACTTTAATTAGCCATCTGTATGAATAAATGCTGATTCCAGGTCCGTTTCCTCTCCAGTCCCTGCAGTTTAAGCTGAGGAGGCATCGCTTAAATCAGACCATTTAGACCAGGCATGGTGGCTCACACCTGAAATCCCAGCACTTTGGGAGGCCAAAGCAGAAGGATCGCTTGAGCCCAGGAGTTCAGGACCAGCCTGGGCAACATAGCAAGACCCTGTCTCTACAGAAAAACACACACACAGAAAAATTAGCCGGGCATGGTAAGAGGAGGAGACTGAGGTGCCCAGCGGCTGCAGCCCGTGCATCCCCAGGGTCCCAGCACAGAGTGGGTGTTCAGAAGTGTCTGCTGAGGGACTGAGCAAGAACCCGACTGAGCACAGCAAGCAAACGCTCAGAACGGGAGGTCAGCAGCACCGCTGTGCCCAACACGGGTTTCCACCATAACCCGAAGTTGGAACGTTTTATTCTTCCATACCAAACAGGAGTTGAGAAGGCGGCTGGGTTCCTTGAGGTGTGGAATGTCATGCACTCCTCCTTTCTTGCGTGGAAAGCCCGAGGTATAAAGTGTGTATGATGTTTGCTTTTTTTTTTTTTTTTTTTTTTAAGACAGGGTCTAGCTCGGTTGCCCAGGCTGGAGTGCAGTGGAGTAATCCCAGCTCACTGCAGCCTCCAACTCCTGGGCTCAAGCATTCCTCCCATCTCAGTCTCCTGAGGAGCTGGGACTACAGGCGAGTGCCACCATGCCCAGCTAATTTCTGTCCTTTTTGTAGAAACAGGGTTTTGCCATATTGCCCAAGCTGGTCTCAAACTCCGGAGCTCAAGCAATCAATCCTCCCACCTTGGCCTCCAAAAATGCTGGGATTACAGGCATGAGCCACCCTGCACCCAACCTGTTTGCATTTTTATTTTTTAACTTTAAGCTATTAAGGGTTAATGTTTGCATTTCTTAAGGGAAAAACAGAGGAGAAAGAGCCAAAGGAAAAACACTGAAATGGTAGCATTCCTGGGTGATGAGTTTATGGCGTTTTGTTTCCTGGTTGTCTATAACAAATATGTAATTTTTAAATTAGCAACAGCGTTAGACTACTTCGGGGAAACCTGGCTCTGTGTGCCACGAAGCAGGGAAGGGCTTGTTCCCAGGCGCAGCAGCACTTGGGCATCCCGTGGTGAAGTCAGCCCCTTACACCTCCTCCAGGCACAGCTGTGGGGAGCATGTCCCGAGAAGGCGCAGGAAGAGGCCCAGGCCACGTGTCCCGTGTGGTCAGCCTGGGGACCAGAGTTAAAACCAGAGCTCCTCCTTCAGGAAACAGATCATAGAAGCCTGTGGTTTCATCCTGTGTTCTCAGAGAAGAGGCACCAGGCTGGAAAGACATTTCTTTGGGCAGACAGGCCCAGAGTATAGGGCCCAGGTTCCCAGAGCAAGCGTCCCAGGGCCCCGGCGGTCGTAACTACCGCTGCATGGGCTCTGATGCTCAGCCGCGGAAAAGCAAGTAACCGGGAATGAAGGAAGTGGGGTCAGTCCCAACCCTGCCACGTGCGGGTCTCGAGACGGTGGACAAGTGGCTGGACTCCACTGGGCCTGGGCTGTCACTGGTACACAGAGGGCACTGGGCTAGAACTGCGTTCCTCCCACCAGAGGCTCCACACCATCTCCGGGCCCCTCCCCAGAGCCTCTCAACCAAAATCAGTGTCTTCAAAGTTCAAGTTGATTCTGAAGCTCAGCCAGGTCGGGACCAGATAATGCATTCTAGGGGACATCCTCCTGGGTCTCCCATCCACCCTGGTGGCTCCCTGGGCTGTGTGTAGATGCCCAGCTCCTCCTCCCTGCCATCGTGTGGGCATGGCACCATGCCCTGACGGCCTCCCTCCCCTGCCCACCTCTGCCCGCAGGGAGCTGCAGGAGGAGAGCGGTCTGACAGTGGACGCCCTGCACAAGGTGGGCCAGATCGTGTTTGAGTTCGTGGGCGAGCCTGAGCTCATGGACGTGCATGTCTTCTGCACAGACAGCATCCAGGGGACCCCCGTGGAGAGCGACGGTGAGTCTCACAGGGCCTGCTCCCCCTCCCCACTATGCGGGTCCCATCTCCTGGCTGGGAGAAAGGCCATCCGCCCAAACCATCTCTGAGTGCCAGGGACCGGGCAGCCTGCGTCCCCCTCCACCCCACAGTGCCAGCGTGGGGCCCATGAGCCGTGGTCTCTGCACCGAGGCTCCAGTAGCGTACCTGCCCCTGCTCTGCGCCCACCCTAAAATGAGAAACACGGTAATGAGGATGAAATATAAACGATCGTCAGGTTCCTCACGATCACTCAGTGAACTCCTCAGAGAGTCAGTGTACGTTTGGGCTGGCCAGACGCAGTGGCTCACCCCTGTAATCCCAGCACTGTGGACTGTGGGAGGCCGAGGCAGGAGGATCGTTGAGCCCAGGAGTTCAAGACCAGTCTGGGCAACACAGTGAGACCCCATCTCTACAAAAAAACATGGTTTTGTTGTTGTTGCTGTTGTTGTTTTGAGACGAAGTCTCGCTCTGTCGCCCAGGCTGGAGGGCAATGGCGCAATCTCGGCTCACTGCAAGCTCCACCTCCCAGGTTCACACCATTCTCCTGCCTCAGCCTCCCAAGTAGCTGGGACTACAGGCGCCCGCCACCACGCCCGGCTAATTTTTTTGTATTTTTAGTAGAGACGGGGTTTCACCGTGTTAGCCAGGATGGTCTCGATCTCCTGACCTCGTGATCCTCCCGCCTCGGCCTCCCAAAGTGCTGGGATTACAGGCGTGAGCCACCGCGCCCGGCCAAAAAAAACATGTTTTTTAAGCATGAAGTTTGGGTTGCACCTCAGTGCCTCCTCTTCCCCCATTGGTACAGAAATGCGCCCATGCTGGTTCCAGCTGGATCAGATCCCCTTCAAGGACATGTGGCCCGACGACAGCTACTGGTTTCCACTCCTGCTTCAGAAGAAGAAATTCCACGGGTACTTCAAGTTCCAGGGTCAGGACACCATCCTGGACTACACACTCCGCGAGGTGGACACGGTCTAGCGGGAGCCCAGGGCAGCCCCTGGGCAGGAGACGTGGCTGCTGAACAGCCGCAAACCATCTTCACCTGGGGGCATTGAGTGGCGCAGAGCCGGGTTTCATCTGGAATTAACTGGATGGAAGGGAAAATAAAGCTATCTAGCGGTGGTTTTTTTTTTTTTTTTTTGGAGATGGAGTCTCTCTCTGTTGCCCAGGCTGGAGTGCAATGGCACGATCTCGGCTCACGTCAACCTCCGCCTCCCAGGTTCAAGCGATCCTCCCATCTCAGCCTCCCGAAGAGGTGGGATTACAGGCGCACATTGCCACACCCAACTAATATTTGTCTGTTTAGTAGAGATGGGGTTTCACCATGTTGACCAGGCTGGTCTTGAACTCCTGACCTCAGGTGATCCACCTGCCTCAGCCTCCCAAAGTGCTGGGATTCCAGGCGTGAGCCACTGCACCCGGCCGGTCTCTAACCTTTCAAACGTTCTTCTCCAGACACCAGCACAGCCTGCCAGGTCCCGTCCACAGGAAGCTACCAGATGTGCTGGGCTTCAGCCCGCACTGCTGCACAGAGGTGGGAGAGGATGGAGACTCTGTCCCCGAGGTGGGCAGCTGGCCCAGGGCAGAGACACACATGCTCAGTGCCACAAGCTGGGGATGTGTCCTCTTAAAACCCCCCTGCACAGTGTGGGAAGCTGAGGCTCGGCCAAGGGCTCTGGGCTAAAACCCAGGTTGAACGCCTCATAGGCTAGTCCCCTCCCCTGCCCAACTTTCATACACGTTTAATAACAGTTGTTCACACATGTTTATTGATAAACCGTCCAAAATGTAGGTCATGTGTAAACAATTCCAGTTGTTGGGTATATTGGGTATTGATCCCTGCAGCCTCCTAAAGTGCTTTGGACATGAACTGACCCGCAAAGCAAGGGCAAAGGCCTCAGATGCACAGAGCTGCCCTGACATCCCTTGGCTCGGAGTCCCTGTGCCCCATGTCAGAGCCCTAAACCTGTCTCCCCTGCCTGCACTGTGTCCGGCAGACAAAGGGCAGCTGTCTGCACGGTGACCCCGAGTACCCAGGACACGGACCACGAGGACCCAATGAAAATGTCCCCTTTCACCATGATCGGCAGCCCCCTTCCCACAGCCCCGCCAGCCCACAACCCCCCTCCCACGGCCCCGCCAGCCGTCCTCACAGGGCAGGCGGCATCTGGCATCTCCACCAGCATCACACGCAGCTGTCCCTGCCAGCTAGGCAAGGCCGTAATGACCGGCACAAGCTTGGGCTTGGGCCGTGGGCAGCAGGAGGGCTGGAGAGGCATGGGGGGAACCCCGCTCTCCCTCCGGCATGGGGCCTCCACCTGCAGCAGTAAGCAGCCTCTCAGCCCCTGAGCCTGGGGACCTGCCCGGGCAGCACAGGGCCAGGGCCAAGAAGTATTTGTGAGAAGGAAGGTGGCCTCCGCCACCCCTGCCTAGCAGGCCTCTTTCTGCTGCCCTTTAGAAGGCACTGGGTGGCAGAGGAGGAAGGGGAGGGAGGTGTTCCAAAGCCAGTGCCCACCCCTCCACAGAGCCAACCCCAGGGCACACAGGAAGCAGCCACCACACGTGGGAGACAGGCTGCCCTCGTCACCGCTGCCCTCCAGCCCCCCCTTCACCCTGCCCTCCTGACCCTCCCACCCCTGCCTTCCTGCCCCCCCACCTCCCTCCTGCCTTCCCACCCCTGCCCTCTTGCTCTCCTCACCCCTGCCCTCTTGCTCTCTCCTCACCCCTGCCCTCCTGCTCCCCCTCACCCCTGCCCTCCCTTACCCGTTCTCCTGCTCCCTCCTCACCCCTGCCCTCCTATTCCCCATCACCCCTACTCTCCTGCTCTCCTCACCCCTGCTCTCCTGCTCTCTCACCCCTGCCCCCTTGCTCTCTCACCCCTGCCCTCCTGTCCCAACGCCTGCCCTCCTGCTCCCCCTCATCCCTCTTCTGCTCCCCCTCACCCCTGCCCTCCCTTACCCCTGTTCTCCTGTTCTCCTGACCCCTGCCCTCCTGCTCCCCCAACTCCTGCCCTCCTGCTCCCTCCTCACCCCTGCCCTCCAGCCTTCCACCTCCATCCTCAGCCTCTGGACATGAGGACCCTGAGACCCTGCTCTTGAAGTTTCCAACACAGGGAGATGCCGCCAGGTATGTGGCCTCTCATACACTCACTGACCCCGGAGTCCCTGCCAGGAAAGCTCCTTCAGAAAAGCTCATTCTGAAGTCTTGCTCAATCCTTGGGGGCTGTCAGGAGCGCGTGCCTTGCCTACTCTGGAGACACAGAGGCCCCAGCACCTGATGCCCTCCACGACTCCCCACAGCCTCTATGGTCCTGCAGCTGGACAGGCCCCAGGAAGGTGCGGGGTGGACGGAGAGGCCTTGCAGCCTTCTGCCCACACGGGGTCACGCTTCATGGCTCGGGTGTCATGGTGCCATTCATGGCAACTGAGAACCTGTCTCTGCAGAGGGGCGTCAGAAGGCAGCGCAGCCCAAGACTCGGGTGGACTAGGGACTCACGGGACAGCCCACCCATCGGGCTCCAAAGGGAACGCTGCCCTCTGCTCATCTGGCCAGAAGGAAGCAGCCCACCTCACAGCAGGAAGGCAGCAGCAGAACCCACAGGGCAGGGCAGGCTGGGCCCGAGCCCCACAGCCACCGAGTCAGCACAGCCCACGGGGCCAGAAGGCACGGCCGTTCCCTCTGGCCGGCTCGCAGTGGACGATGGATCACCTGCCTGCGGGGCACACACAGGAGTCCCCTCTCCATCCCACGGCCGTGAGCTGCCCGTAGGTACAGGCGGAAGGGAAGCACCCTCCGTGAGAGGAGTGAACGCCCCAGAGGCCAGTGAGCATCTGCGGAGCGGAGGGACCTCGGAAACCCTGGAGCCCGGCGGGCCTCTTCCAGCACCCCTCCCCGGCCAGGGAGGGGCGTCAGGCTCCGGAGAAGTGCAGGGGTCCACTGGGCTCCCATGTACCTTCCACAAAAGGGGTTCGGGCAGAAGCAGACCCAGGCCTGAGGCGGACAGTCCAGCCCCACAGAGCTCAGGAGAATGGCCTTCTTCATCCAGAGCAGGGAAGGGGCCTGAAAGACCACTGGTTCCCTCTGTGAGCAGGTGGCTGGGCCGGCAAGTGCGTGACGGGAGGCTGGGAGGAGGGCTCTAGGTGCCTCAGAGAAGGAAATCCACTTAAAAGGGGGCTGTCCCTCCTCTAAAGCCTCAGCTGGAATGGAACACGCCCCCCCACGCCCCCACCTGTCCTCTGCCAGCCCATCCAGCCTCAGTGCCACACGGTGCAGACCCCAACACTGGCCACCAGAAATCAAGGGAGTCCAGGGGACGAGAACACAGCTGCTGTAGCGCCCACTCTCAGAGCCCCAGCTCTCCGTCACGCCTTTGTCTTCCAGGCCTGGGCACACACAGGGTCATGGTGTGGACACAGGCACACATGGGGTCATCATATGGGCACAGGGCATGAGGCCACTGGACCCCACAGGCCACTCCCAGACCAGGGCTCCAGGTGTTGACTGCAGCAATTTCCCTAGAAAATTCACCGTGCGTGCCCCACGCCCAATGGCCCTCCCTCCCAGCCTCAGCACCACTGGCTGTCCCCTCGCTGTCCGTGGTCAGTCCCATGCCTGGGCTGCAGGGCAGCCCTGCCCTCTCTCCTCGGCTGACCGAGCACCATGATGCTGCCCCTCCCGACTGTTCCAGCACCTGGAGGCCCTGCCTCCACGCTCCCCCAGGCACAATCTCTGTGAGATGAGAGATCCCTGCCTCCCCGCACAGCTCTGGGTGTCAGGAGGAAACCATTCCAGAGAACCCCACCACCTCTCTCGACCAGGCTAGCAGGCCACAGGGCGAAGGACAGTGTGGCCCAGCTGCCCCCATGGTCCACGGATGCGCCTCCCGACCCGCAGGCGTGAGCTCCTCTGCTCCAGCTGCAGCACGGGGCGTGGCGGGGAGGGGAGCTGCCGTCCAAAGGGAATTACACCGGGACACACCGTTTGGAAAGAGGTTTTAGTGCGGCCGCAGGGAGCACCACCTCAGCCTCAGGCGCTAGTGAGGACACAGGCCGTCCTCCGGCGGGGAGCACGGTGGGGTCAGGGTGCTGTGTGGTCCCGCAAAGAGGCAGCTGAGCTTGGGCCTCAGGTCGTTCCACACCTTGCTCATCTGAAAGGGAAGCGAAGAGAACAAGATCAGCAGGCGGGGCCGGGGCTCCTCCTCACGCTCTGATCCCAGTTCCTTCGCCTGCCAGTGACAGGGAGGGAGGGGCCCTCAGGTGCGCCAGCTCCTCAAACCTCTGGCAGAACCAGTGCTGCCCATCCTGCACAGAGGAAGCCCAAATGAGGAGTGGACCAGCGACATGTGACCTGTGGTCACAGACACCCACGCTTCGATCCCTGCACCCAGGACCAAAGGGCTGCAAATCTGCCTGCCGTGGAATCGTGAGAAACGTTACTATCGCGTCACTGCCAGTACATGCTCTAGCTGCCGTGCGGGCACTGGCCTCATGGAAGCCTTGGCAGGTCAAACACCAAGGCCAGCCTGGGCAACACACGGACACCCTGTCTCCACAGAAAATCAGAAATATGAGTCGGATGTGGTGGCACCTGCCTGTGGTCCCAGCTACTCGGGAGGTTGAGGCTGCAGTGAGCTGTGATTGCACCACTGCACTCCAGCTTGGGTGACAGAGCAAGACTCCACCTCAAAACCAAAAAGCAAACCAAAAACACAAAGACCACATCCACCAAATCAATAATACCCAAACCGGAATGCAAACGGCGGCCCCACTCGCCAAGCACTTTTGGAACCAGGGCAAGGAACGGATGCTGTGGATGTGAGGAGGGGAGCGCGGCAGTGAGGCAGGGGTCAGGCCAAGACCTGCCGTGCAGGGGCTCAGGTGGCCAGAGAAGGGCAGGGCGCACCCTGGGGGCCTGCAGGGGAGGCTGAGTCACTGGACCACAGCGCACACAGCATCACAGGGCTGGAAATTCCTCACCACCACAATAAAAAACCTGGTAGGACTGGGGTTATGGCATCATGCTCCGGGCGCCTGTTGGTCCCATTCCTTCACTGAGGACACACCCGGCCACTCACATGTCCAAGTCCAACCTGGTCCCTGAGACCCTGGCCATCTCACAGTGATGCTCCTAACACGGCGGCTGTCTACCGCCTCTCCAGCCCCACCACGGCCGCCTCCAGCCTGCCATTCCCAAAGTGCTGGACGGCACCCACGGCACCAAGCACCTCCCGGGGACAGTGTGGAATCTCGTGACCACCCCAGACACTCGGTGCCATTCCACACACACCACAGACCATGGCTTGAAAGCTACTTGCAGCTACTTAATAAACTTAATTTCAGCCGGGCACAAGGTGCTCGCCTGTAATCCCAGCGGTGCTGCAGTGAGCTGGCCACCAGAAATCAACGGAGGCCTGTCCCAGGACCTTGGGAGCGTTTCTTCTCCCAGGCTGAAGGAACCGCCATCTGCTCTGGAGGAAGCCGGCCAGGGCTCTCTGGAAGAACAGCCACCTGCGGCGCTCCGAAGCGCTAGAAACCTTCTCTCAGCCGCAGGGTGCGGGAGCTCTGCGGGCTTTACCTCCGACTTCTCAAATCCCTCCAGGAGGCAAACTCTCCCTGTCTGCTCCTCCCTCCGCCCCCCAGGAATCACAGGGACACCCTCACGATTCTGATTTTGGCTACACAGGAGACTAGAAGATCCGGGCGAGCACCGTGTTCCAAGGCCCATGCGGAGCCCAACTCCACTAAAGAACCTCTCTAGGGCGGCCGGCCACCGCGCTGCCGGGCTTGAAGGAAGGGCGGAGGGACAAAGAAAGGCCGTGGCCGAGACGGCGGCCGGAGCAGGGCGGACTCACCTCCTTGTGCCCTTGGATCTGAGAGTTGACGAAGGCGCGGAGGATGTGGGAGGTGAGGGGCAGGTAGACGTGGATGAGCTGCGTCTCCTGGTGCAGGCAGTACAGGGAGAAGTAGTTCCGCAGCTCCATCGTCTGAATCGCGTTCTCCTGCTGCGGAGCAAACAGCCGCCTTTCGCACCCGGCCCAGCCGGCGACGGGAGCACCAAGGCCCGAACACCAGCGTGCTCCCTGAGCCAGGGCGGCCCCTTCTCCTTCAGCCTTCACCAGGCATTTGGAAGGTGGCGAGGTAAGAGAGGGCCGGGGAGGGAGCACCGTGCAGGGAGCCGCATCGCTCTGGGCACGCGGGCCAGCTCCCTGCCTCCACTGCACCCCCAGCTCTGTTCCAGACACAAGGAGCCAACCCAGGGGAGCCCACCAGGACGGCTCCGGGTCCCACCATGGCCGGGAGGGGAAAGGCTCCCACGGGCCTGCTCGGCCGCCCCGCCACCCACCTCCACAATGCGGGACTCCAGCTGCTCCACGGACTCCGGCTCGCGGTTCTGCGCGGTGGCGCTCATCATCTGCCTCTTCATCAGGCTGTACTTGTGCAGGGCCCGCTGGTGCTTGTGCAACACGCCCTTCTCATGCCGCTCGCACAGGTCCTGCGGGGCCGGGGGAGGCATTCGCCCGCTGTCTGGATGCCTGCGCCAGGGCCCTGCGGAGCCGGCCGAGGGAAGCACCCCCGCCAGACGGAAGGCCCCGTCTTCCCCTGCAGCCCTGGCTTCTCAGCTCCTCTTCCGTCCCCCAGGAGTTAGACCCTTGAAGGATCCTAAGATCATTCCTGAAAGTTCTGCCCCCAGCCAAGGAGCAGCCAAGACTCACCTTATAGGACTGCAGCAGATCCAAGAAGAGGTTCAGCTTCTCCACCACGTCGTTCTCTTCCTGCTTACCCTGGAAGGCGAGGGGGAGCTCACCCACGCGGACGCACATAGGACCCGGTCCCTGCCCGGGAACTCAGACCCAAGCCTGGCCTGGGCCGGTTCCTTCCTCCCAGAGTCAGACGGGCTCCCCAGGACCACCAGCCAGGTCTGCAGGGGGCCCCCTTCCCCACCAGCCCACCCATTACCAGGCGGACACGCCTTCGAGCCCAGCAGTCTTTTTTTTTTTTTTTTTTTGAGTCGGAGTCTTCGCTCTGTCGCCCAGGCTGGAATGCAGTGGCACGATCTCGGCTCACTGCAAGCTCCGCCTCCCGGGTTCACGCCATTCTCCTGCCTCAGCCTCCCGAGTAGCTGGGACTACAGGCGCCCTCCACCATGCCCGGCTAATTTTTTGTATTTCTTTTTTTAGTAGAGACGGGGTTTCACCGTGTTAGCGAGGATGGTCTTGATCTCCAGACCTCGTGATCCGCCCGCCTCGGCCTCCCAAAGTGCTGGATTACAGGCGTGAGCCACCGCGCTGGGCCTGGCCCAGCAGTCTTGATGGGAACAAGGCCTGCGTTCCCGCGGGACAGCTGCCCGCCCTCCTGCTCATCAGCCCGGCCTGCCTTGCCTTTCTCAGGCCTTCGCAAAGCCGGCGACTCTCCCAACACATATGCTGGGAGAGCCAGATGCCCCAGACCCCCCGACCCCTAAGGCTCCATCAAGCACTGCAGAAAACCCGAGTTCCCATATAACGCTGTGAGCCGTGTGCAAAACGGGCACGCCCAGGAGGGGCACGGAGGAGAACAAGGGTGTTGTCTCCGCATCAGTAACAGGAGAGAGAAACGCAGGCCTAGGAAGGGGGCACAGGGAAGGGGGCGCAGGGTAGGTAGGAGAGACAGCAGCTGCAGGAAGGACGTGCTGCTGATCCAGGAAGAGAGGCGGCCGCCCCAGGCTGCACGCAGAAGCACCACACTCGGCGGTGGGGGCAGCGGTGGACACAGGCTCCTCTTCGGCCCTCACACAAGGCTCTGTGCGGGCAGCACAGCCACAGAGAGAGCCCAACAGGGCAGTGAGTGCACAGCAAACGGCGGGCAGCCCTGGAGTGGAACAGGGGCCCCATCACGGCAGAGGGATGCCCTGCTCCCAGAGTCACCACAGCACCTGGGGACACGAAGCAGCCCCCACGGGCGAACCCCACCCAGACGCTGCCTCGGCCTCCCCGGCTTACACCAGTAGCAGCCCTCGGTGGGGGCGCAGGCCAGGCACAGTGCACACGGCCCGAACACACGGTGCTCAGAGGCATCTGCGGTATGAAGAGTCGGTCCAAAGCCCTGGGCTCCAGCTGCCACTGAGGGGAGCATCCAAGCTCTGGAGACAGCAGGGGTCTGGGGAAGGCAGCGGAAGCGGCAGCCCATCCACCCCTGACCTGCACAGCTCACCACAGACCCCCCAGCCACAACCGCAACCAAGCCAGGCCGATGGCAGGTATCCTGGGGAAACCCCCGACACTGACGCCTTCAGTCACACCCGGGCCCTGAAGGGCTCCGGTCCCCACAGCTCACGCCCTCAGTCCCCACAGCTCACTGAGCACCTCGGGGAGACCAAGCTCCCTCCACGATTCCTCGGGCTCCACCCGTGGTAGGGGGTGAAAAGCTCACCCCACGCACTGCACGTCAAGCTCAGCAGGAGACGGGGCAGGCAGAAGTGGATGGAACGAGTTTTACGGGACACAGCCCTGGAATGGGAGCCAGGGGTGCCGCCCAGGCCCTGCTGCACCCCAGGGGACCCTAAGATACCCCTTCCACCCTCCAGACCTCAGGCCGACTGAACCCGGAGGCTCCCCGGCCACCAACCCCACACCCAAAGCAGCTGGGATTCCAGCCAGTAAAATGTGCCAGGAGAAGAGGTGTGTTAAGAGTTTCTAAAACTCTAGAGAGAAAACGCCAGCTGACCGCAGGTGCCCAGCTCCCACCTGACCAGGCAGGGGCTCAGGAGAATGTAGGCTTATTCCCTGGCCCAGCAGAAGAGGGGGAGTTCAGGGGTCCCTCTGTTCGTGTCATTTGTCACCAAGTCCCATCTGTGGTTCAGTGCTGCACAAGGCCCTAAACCAGGGGTGTCCAATGTTTTGGCTTCCCAGGGCCACATTGGAAGAAGAAGAATTGTCTTGAGCCACACATAAAATACGCTAACACTATGATAGCTGATGAACTAAAAAAAACAAAAAAGGAAAAAAGAAAGAGAGAGAGAAAGAAAGAGAGAGAGAGGAAGGAAGGAAGGTAGGTAGGTCTGTGTGTAAATCTCATAATGTTTTCAGAAAGTTTACAGATTTGGCTTTTTTTTTGAGACAGAGTCTTGCTCTGTTACCCAGGCTGGAGTGCAGTGGCATGATCTCAGCTCACTGCAACCTCCGCCTCCCAGGTTCAAGCGATTCTCTCCTGCCTCAGCCTCCCGAGTAGCTGAGATTACAGGTGCCCGCCACCACGCCTGGCTAATGTTTGTATTTTTAGTAGAGATGGGGTTTCACCATGTTGGCCAGGCTGGTCTCAAACTCCTGACCTCAGGTGATCTGCCCATCTCAGCCTCCCAAAGTGCTAAGATTACAGGCATGAGCCACTGCACCCAACCAAGTTTACGGATTTGTGTTAGGCCACATTCAAAGCTGTCCTGGGCCACACGCAGCCTGTGGGCCACAGGTTGGACAAATGTGCCCTAAACCATTAATGCATGCGCCTTTAACCAAGGCGAAGATCCCGTCACCATGGAAAACACAGACCCTACTCCGAGTCTCACGTGTCTTGCTGGGATATGGCTACCTTCAGCTCCTAATAGGTCTGGGGAGAGTATAACTGGTGTAAGTACAAGCAGACTTAGGAAAAACGGTCCTCGCTGCCCCCGACTGAACAGCAAGGGTGAGATGGAACTTCTGCTGCATCAAATGAAAGGCCTCGAGGTTTGTTTCATGTAAAAGCTCAATTTCACTACAACCAAGGACAGTGAGAGAGATTCAGGAAACAGCACTTCTCCAGACATCACAGTCCCAAAACACAACTCATGAGATGTCCAAGAGTCACAGAGCTGGGCAGAACCTCAAGCCATAAACTCCTACTGCACCAGAAGCCTCAACCTTCTCTCCCTCTTCAAGGTGGAAATGCGGCATCCAGGGCTGAATCAGAAAAAACCTTGGAAATCACCTCATGAGTGATGCTCATCCTGAGCTCTGCAGAGCCCCAGGGCACTCTGGGCACCCCGCCAACAGCCACCTGCTGAAGAGGGAGTGGAATGTGGGAAGGTTCTGGGTCCCTGTGACAAGAATGGCTTTTATGCTTTGCACACTGAGCTTGGGGGAAAGGGTCAGCAGATTACAGAAACAGCTCCTTTGGCTGGGCACAGAGGCTCGTGCCTGTAATCCCAGCACTTTGGGAGGCCGAGGCTGGCGGATCACTTGAGGTCAGGAGTTTGAGACCAGCCCGGCCAACACGGTGAAACCCCATCTCTACTAAAAATACAAAAATTAGCCGGGTGTGGTGGTGCACACCTGTAATCCCAGCTACTGGGGAGGCTGAGGCAGGAGAATCGCTTGAACCCGGGAGGCAGAGGTTGCAGTGAGCCGAGATCACACCACTGCCCTCCAGCCTGGGCGACAGAGCGAGACTCCGTCTCAAAAACAAACAAAAAAAAGAAATAGCTGTTTTAATAATCTAGTCCAACCCCCTTGTATTTAATTGATGGGGAAACTGAGGCCTGGAGACCAGAATAGCTTGATCATGGTCACAGCACAGACACACAATGCATAGGGCAGGGCCCTGAGGTCCTCTGTCTCTATCCTGAAAAGCCCCCAGCCCCACGTTCTCGGTCCCCTCCACCTGGGGGGAGTGGGCACACAGACCTGGAGACAGAAGAGACTCAGCCCCAATCTACAGAAACCAACAGTGCCCTCCCTCCGTTTCTAAAGGGAACACAGAAGCACGGGGGCGGAAGAGGAAGAAAACCCAAGACTTTCCACACCAGCAAAGACATCGAATTTCCTCTTCAGCACGAAAAACGTCACGGGCACCTGAGCGCCCCGTTTCCAGCTTAAAAAGCCCCGACTCCACAGCAGGTGGGTTCACCATTCACCAAGCCACTCAGGAGCTCCGGGGCTCAGGGGAAGCACAGCCCTCACGGGCACACTCTGATCACTCTCTTCAAACTAATATGAGTAGCCTGGAGGCCACTTTCCCAAGAAATAGGAACTAGGCAGCAAGCTCCCACATTCACAACTATGTCCACTTTTTTTTGTTTTTGAGACAGGGTCTCGCTCTGTCGCCCAGGCTGGTGTGCAGTGGCACCATCATGGCTCACTGAAGCCTCTACCTCTTGGGTTCAGGTGATCCTCCCACCTCAGCCTCGTGAGTAGCTGGGACTACAGACACGCACCACCACCCCTGGCTAATTTTTTTTTATTTTTGATAGAGATGAGATCTTGCTCTGTTGCCCAGGGTGGTCCTGAACTCCTGGGCTCAAGCAGTCCTCCTGCCTCAGCCTCCCAAAGCGCTGGGATGATAGGTGTGAGCCGCTGTGCCCAGCCATGTAACACTTTTTCTTAACATAAAAGCACCCAGATGAGCTTTCCAGTGTGATAGTAAACACCGTATCTTCAAACTGATCCCAAATGACTCCAAGATCTTGGCGAATTTCTGAAATCAGCTTCTGCCCATGCAGCAGGAGCACTGCCTGAGGTTGTGTGTGGAGCGGGAGGTGGGAGCCGCTCAGGTGCTGGGGCTTTATTATTCTGATGAGTTAAGTCTCCAGTGCCAAATCCTAGTGGACTCAGACAGCAAAGTGGGAACTATCTGGTCCACCCAGGAGTATGCCTGGAAGCCCAAGATCATCTTTTCAAAGACAGAGTCTGTCTTCCAACCTCAGCAAAATCAACACTCAAGACTACAGCCTAATCTGTTTTGTCGCTGGCAACCCCCTCTCGAAAGCGTAAACGCTCCCAGGGAGCCACCAGGAACAGATGTGGATGGGCAGCTCCCACCCAGGGCACAGCTGTCATTCACTCGGCTCAGAACTGGGAAGCCGGCCGGGCACAGTGGCTCACGCCTGTAATCCCAGCACTTTGGGAGGCCGAGGCGGGCAGGTCACCTAAGGTCAGGAGTTCAAGACCAGCCTGACGAACATGGTGAAACCTCATCTCTACTAAAAATACAAAAAATTAGCCAGGCATGGTGGTGGACACCTGTAATCCCAGCTACTCAGGAGGCTAAGGCAGGAGAATCACTTGAACCCAGGAGGCAGAGGTTGCAGCGAGCCGAGATTGCGCCTTTGCGCTCCAGCCTGGCAACAGAGGGAGACTCCTTCTCAAAACAACAAAACAAAAACGAACTGTGACGCCCATCTAAGCAGGAGGCACTCCCCATGCAAAGGCATAGCGTGTTCTCTGGAACAGGCGCCTGGGAGAACCGATCCACTCACCTGTTGTGCAGCCTTGTCGGCGAGCAGCGCGAATTCCACAGACAGGCCTTTCAGAGCCTGCTTCAGGGACCCCCACGTGCTGCTATTCAGAGCGGCCCAGGAGGGCAGCGGGGTCGTGTCAGACCCTATTGCACTGAGGGAGCAAGCACACAGGAGAGGAGACACTCAAGGCCTGGAGCTCACCTGGCAGTCGAGTCTGGCATCCCCCCCGACAGATGTCCTCCACGGCAACCTGCGTGACCCCGTCCTAGGACCCTGCTGCTCAAAGAGTGGCCTGTGGGGACCCTGGGAGCCCGGGAGAAAGGGTGGCCCTGGGGCTGCACCTCAGGACCTGCTGCGTCTCTTCTTCCCAACCAGCCCCCAGGTGACATGTGTGCACAGGTGACGGGCACTGCTGGGGCAAGCAGAGTCCCGGGTGGGGTCTCCCCTCCCCTCAGGCAAAGGAAGCGCTGCCAGCCCATGGTCTGTTCTTCCCCAAGTCAAAGGGATCTTTTTTTTTTTTGAGACGGAGTCTCGCTGTATCACCCAGGCTGGAGTGCAGTGGCGCGATCTCGGCTCACTGCAACCTCCGCCTCCTAGGTTCAAGCAATTCTCTGCCTCAGCCTCCCGAGTAGCTGAGATGACAGGCACCCGCCACCACGCCCAGAGAACTTTTTTTTGTATTTTTAGTAGAGACGGGTTTCACCATCTTGGCCAGGCTGATCTTGAACTCCTGACCTCGTGATCCACCCACCTCGGCCTCCCAAAGTGCTGGGATTACAGGTGTGAGCCACCACGCCTGGCCTGGGATCTTTTTTTAAAGTCTCATCCTGACAGTGAAAAAACTACCAGACTAGAAACTGGTGAGCATTTACTCGTGCTCAGAAATCCGTGTTTCAGGGCCGAAATTCTCCCGTGTTTCTTCCAAATATGACCCCCCATGTGCCTGAGCCACTTTCTGCCCCTTCTGAGATGAAACAGGTCAGGATGCTGGTTATTACGGTAAACGCACTTTCCGCCCAAGCCCTTCACCAGCATGGATTCCCGTCCCACCGCGCGTGCCCCTGCAGAAGCTGAAAGGTCACCTACCTTAGCTCCTTCCCGAATATGAGAAGATCTGCCGCATTGTCGATGGCCCGCGATGCGATCCGCTCGGCCCTGTCGCGAAGCTTGTGAAAGCTATTGTAGATGTTCCGGATCAGCTCCCGGCTGATGGCAAACTGAGCCTGGATGTCAGCTGGGAGGAAGTCCTGACATCATGATGGGGGGAGAGACACTGTGTTAGTCGCTGGGGAGCACCTGTCAGACGGCAGCAGCCGGTCCCCCAGAAGCTGAGCCACGGGAGACACAGCAGGTCCATGAGCCACCCCGGGAGCCCCACTCCTCCAGGCCTGCAGGGATCACTCTGTGTGTCCAAAAAAGAAACAAAAACCATCATCACCTGCATGCCACAAACACAAAGACAAATGATCCCATGGGATGAGGACCACAGAGTCCACTGAAATCTCATCACACTGGAGGACCTATCCAAAAACACTCAAATAAGGCCAGGGGCAGTCACTCACACCTGTAATCCCAGCACTTTGGAGGCTGAGGCAGGTGGATCACCTCAGGTCAGGAGTTCAAGACCAGCCTGACCAATATGGTGAAACCCCATCTCCACTAAAAATACAAAAATTAGCTGGGCATGGCGGCATGCACCTGTAATCCCAGCTACTCCAGAGGCTGAGACAGGAGAATTGCTTGAATCCGGGAGGCAGAGGTTGCAGTGAGCTGAGATCGCGCAACCACACTCCAGTTTGGGCGACAGAACGAGACTCTGTCTCAAAACAAACAAACCAACAAAACACTCGAATAATAATCTTGCCGGGCGCAGTGGCTCACGCCTGTAATCCCAGCACTTTGGGAGGCCGAGTAGGGCGAATCACGAGGTAAGGAGATCGAGACTATGGTGAAACCCCATCTCTACTAAAAATACAAAAAATTAGCCGAGCCTGGTGGTGGGCACCTAGTCCCAGCTACTTGGGAGGCTGAGGCAGGAGAATGGCATGAACCCCGGAGGCGGAGCTTGCAGTGAGCTGCGATCACACCACTGCACCCCAGCCTGGGCAACAGAGCGAGACTCCGTCTCAAAAACTAACAATACTAATCTTTAGCTGGATACAGTGACTCACACCTGTACCCCAGCGCTCTGGGAGACTGAGGCAAGAGGATTGCTAGAGCCTGGGAGTTTAAGAACAGCCTGGGCAACATAGTGAAACCCCATCTCTCCCAAAAAATCAAAAAATTAGCCAGGCGTGGTGGAGCGCCTGTGGTCCCAGGTGCTTACAGAGGGCTGAGGCAGGAGGATCACTTGAGCCCAGGAGTTCCATGCTGCAAGGAGCCATGATCACAACACTGCACTCCAGCCTGGGGACCCTGTCCCCAGAAAACAACAAAAATAAAAACAAACAATCTTCAAGTTAAACACAATGAACATAAATTCCTGAAAGACTCTCCACATGGGGGGAAGGCCTCTTCTATGCCGCGTTTATTCCCAAAGACTTTTTATAAGATTTGATACTAACTATCAGAGTTCAGAAAACAGAAAGCTCAGAGAGTAAAATGAAGGTAAAAGATTTGGCCAGGCATGGTGGCTCATGCCTTTAATCCCAGTACTTTGGGGGGCCATGCCAGGAGGATTGCTTGAGGCCAAGAGTTCAAGACCAGCCTGGGCAACATAGTGAGACTTCATCTATACCAAAAACAAACAAACAAATCAGCCAAGTACTGTGGTGCATGCCTGTGGTCCCAGCTATTCTGGGAGGCTGAAGTGGGAGAATTGCTTGAACTCAGGAGGTCGAGGCTGCAATGACCTACGATTGCACCACTGCACTATAGCCTAGAGGACAGAGCAAGACCTTGTCTCAAAAAATAAAATAAAATAGATTTTTAATTTTTGTATGAAGAAGCAGGTTTTTTTCTGGTTTTTTTGTTGTTGTTGTTGTCGTCTTTGACACAAAGTCTCACTCTGTTACCCAGGCTGGAGTGCAATGGCACGACCTGGGCTCACTGCAGCCTCTGCCTCCTGGGTTCAAGCAGTCCTCTTGCCTCAGCCTCCCAAATAGCTGGGATTACAGGTGCCTGCCACCAAGCCTGGCTAATTTTTTTTTTCTTTTTTTTGATGGTGTCTCTGTCGTCCAGGCTGGAGTGCAGTGGCGCAATCTTGGCTCACTCCAACCTCTTCCTCCTAGGTTCAAGCAATTCTCCTGCCTCAGCCTCCTGAGTAGCTGGAATTACAGGTGCACGCCACCGCACCCAGCTAATTTTTGTATTTTTAGTAGAGGCGGGGTTTCACCATGTTAGTCAGGCTAGTCTTGAACTCCTGACCTCGTGATCCACCCGCCTCGGCCTCCCAAAGTGCTAGGATTACAGGCGTAAGCCACCACGCCCGGCCGGTTTTTTGGGGTTTGTTTTGCTTTTTTTTGTTTTCCTTTTTTGTTTTGTATTTTTATTAGAGATGGGGTTTTGCTATGTTGGCCAGGCTGGTCTCAAACTCCTGACCTCAAGTGATCCGACAGCCTCAGCCTCCCAAAGTGCTGGGATTACAGGAAGGAGCCACCGCGCCAGCCTGAAGAAGAGGTTTAAAAAGAAAAAACCAAAAACAAAAAAACTACCAAGTAGCTACCTTAGTCTTTTTTGGAAAAAGACCAAACTTTAAACATTTAATAATAAACAAATGTAACAATGAATCCCCAGAAATCTGAAAAGGTGCTGACACAAGCATCCGTCTGTCTGAGTCACAGAAAAGGGCAGAGGGCACGAGGTGCCTGGAGGGCCTGAGGGCAGAGCTCAGCCGCAACCCGGCCCTGCTGCTTAGAGGCTCGGGGCCTTGGCAAATGACAGCCTCCCTGAGCCTGTTTCTCCATCCGTAAAACAGGCCTCCCAGCCCTGTGTCGGAGCAACTGAAACGAGGGTTAAATGAGGAAACCATGCGACAGATGTCAGCATAATCCCTGCCACGCAGAGGAGGCAAAATCACTTTGAAGGGTTAAAACTTGTTTCTCTGGTTAAAAAGGGATGTACTCTTCAAAGTTAGAAAAATACCTTGGCCCTCTCCCTCCCCCTCCCCCTCCCCCTCCCCCTCTCCCTCTCCCTCACCCCACAGTCTCCCTCTCATGCGGAGCCGAAGCTGGACTGTACTGCTGCCATCTCGGCTCACTGCAACCTCCCTGCCTGATTCTCCTGCCTCAGTCTGCCGAATGCCTGCGATTGCAGGCACGCGCCGCCACGCCTGACTGGTTTTGGTGGAGACGGGGTTTCGCTGTGTTGGCCGGGCCGGTCTCCAGCCCCTAACCGCGAGTGATCCGCCAACCTCGGCCTCCCGAGGTGCCGGGATTGCAGACGGAGTCTCGTTCACTCAGTGCTCAATGGTGCCCAGGCTGGAGTGCAGTGACGTGATCTCGGCTCACTACAACCTACACCTCCCAGCCGCCTGCCTTGGCCTCCCAAAGTGCCGAGACTGCAGCCTCTGCCCGGCCGCCACCCCGTCTGGGAAGTGAGGAGTGTCTCTGCCTGGCCGCCCATCGTCTGGGATGTGAGGAGCCCCTCTGCCTGGCTGCCCAGTCTGGAAAGTGAGGAGCGTCTCCGCCCGGCCGCCATCCCATCTAGGAAGTGAGGAGCGCCTCTTCCCAGCCGCCATCACATCTAGGAAGTGAGGAGCGTCTCTGCCCGGCCGCCCATAGTCTGAGATGTGGGGAGCGCCTCTGCCCCGCCGCCCCATCTGGGATGTGAGGAGCGCCTCTGCCCGGCCGAGACCCCGTCTGGGAGGTGAGGAGCGTCTCTGCCCGGCCAGCCACCCCGTCCGGGAGGGAGATGGGGGGGTCAGCCCCACCACCTGGCCAGCCGCCCCGTCCGGGAGGGAGGTGGGGGGGTCAGCCCCCCGCCTGGCCAGCCGCCCCATCCGGGAGGGAGGTGGGGGGCGTCAGCCCTCCGCCCGGCCAGCCGCCCCATCTGGGATGTGAGGAGCGCCTCTGCCCGGCGAGACCCCGTCTGGGAGGTGAGGAGCGTCTCTGCCCGGCCGCCCCGTCTGAGAAGTGAGGAGACCCTCTGCCTGGCAACCACCCCGTCTGAGAAGTGAGGAGCCCCTCCGCCCGGCAGCTGCCCTGTCTGAGAAGTGAGGAGCCTCTCCGCCCGGCAGCCACCCCATCTGGGAAGTGAGGAGCGTCTCCGCCCGGCAGCCACCCCATCCGGGAGGGAGGTGGGGGGGGTCAGCCCCCCGCCCGGCCAGCCGCCCCATCCGGGAGGGAGGTGGGGGGTCAGCCCCCCCGCCCGGCCAGCCGTGCCATCCGGGAGGGAGGTGGGGGGGTCAGCCCCCCGCCTGGCCAGCCGCCCTGTCCGGGAGGGAGGTGGGGGGGTCAGCCCTCCGCCCAGCCAGCCGCCCCGTCTGGGAGGTGAGGGGCGCCTCTGCCCGGCCGCCCCTACTGGGAAGTGAGGAGCCCCTCTGCCCAGCCAGCCGCCCCGTCCGGGAGGGAGGTGGGGGGGGTCAGCCCCCCAGCCCGGCCAGCCGCCCCGTCCGGGAGGTGAGGGGCGCCTCTGCCCGGCCGCCCCTACTGGGAAGTGAGGAGGCCCTCTGCCCGGCCAGCCGCCCCGTCCGGGAGGGAGGTGGGGGGGTCAGCCCCCCGCCCGGCCAGCCGCCCCGTCCGGGAGGGAGGTGGGGGGGGGTCAGCCCCCCTGCCTGGCCAGCCGCCCCGTCCGGGAGGTGAGGGGCGCCTCTGCCCGGCCACCCCTACTGGGAAGTGAGGAGCCCCTCTGCCCGGCCACCACCCCGTCTGGGAGGTGTGCCCAACAGCTCATTGAGAACGGGCCAGGATGACAATGGCGGCTTTGTGGAATAGAAAGGCGGGAAAGGTGGGGAAAAGATTGAGAAATCGGATGGTTGCCGTGTCTGTGTAGAAAGAAGTAGACATGGGAGACTTTTCATTTTGTTCTGTACTAAGAAAAATTCCTCTGCCTTGGGATCCTGTTGATCTGTGACCTTACCCCCAACCCTGTGCTGTGTCCACTCAGGGTTAAATGGATTAAGGGCGGTGCAGGATGTGCTTTGTTAAACAGATGCTTGAAGGCAGCATGCTCGTTAAGAGTCATCACCACTCCCTAATCTCAAGTAATCAGGGACACAAACACTGCGGAAGGCCGCAGGGTCCTCTGCCTAGGAAAACCAGAGACCTTTGTTCACTTGTTTATCTGCTGACCTTCCCTCCACTATTGTCCCATGACCCTGCCAAATCCCCCTCTGCGAGAAACACCCAAGAATGATCAATAAAAAAATAAATTAAAAAAAAAAAAAAAGAAAAAAAAAAGAAAAATACCTTGGCCCTGGTAGCCAGCTTACAGTTCAGGAATTCGTCCCCGACGCACTGTGCTGACTCCTTTAACTTGTTCTGCACATCCTGCAAAAGGAAAACACACAGCTTCACCCTCTTCTACTAGCAGCAAGAAAGCTGCTGTGGGGTATGGGTCACTGTGGAGCGGGAGGTCGTCTTTCCTCAGGAGAAACACATTTCCATATGTTGGCTTTGACATTAGTATTCTGCAATCTCTTGACTCTCCCTTAGATGTTTTTCTCACCAAACAGGACAGCCTGGCTTCACAGCAGGAGCACCACAAACCTGCAGCCTCTCTCCAGAGGCACAGCCACTCCATCCGCAGACGGGGGGCAGCTCTCCAGAGAAACAGCCACTCCATCCACAGACCAGGGGCGGCTCTGCAGAGAAACGGCCCCTCCATCCACAGACCCGGGGCGGCGTCAGCCCCAGAGATACCTGAGACCCTGGTAGCTTCCAAAAACGCAATAGAACAGGGCAAAAGTGTCTTCCTTCCTGGGAATGCATCCATGGCGCCAGGGACACCAGAGCCCAGGGAGCTGCTGGGCAGAGGGACAGGCCCAGCCCCTGGCACCGGAGCCCTCTCATCTGAAAGAGGCCTCCTGGGCAAAGCCGTGCCTTAAAGTCAGGAGCCACCCAGGAGATACAAGGGGAAACCCTAATATGCAGCTGTTTGCGTGTCCAGGAATTCTCAGGTTTCAGAGATGCCTTAAAGATCATCTGACTCAACTCTCATTTTACAAAAAAAAAAAAAAAAAAAAAAAAAAAGACCTGAGGCCCAGCATGGTGCGTGCCTGTAGTCCCAGCTACTCAGAGCCTGAGGCGGGAGGATCGCTGGAGCCCAGGGGTTCAGGGCCAGCCTGGGTAACATAGTGAGACCCCATCTCTAAAAACAGAAAGCAAGCAAGAAAACTGAGGCCGGGAAGTGACAGAGAATGATACCTGTGGGAAGGCCACAGGGAACGTCCTGCCCCCAGAACAGGGATATTGCCCACCTGTGACCCACTGCACCCCTGCCCACCGCCCCTCCCAGGTCCTGCCACATTCCTCTGCTGGCAATGCAGATCGCCTCCAAAGGAAGGTTTCCAACCCCAGGGCTCAAAAGATCCCACTGCCTGCTCCAGACATCCCCGGGGGCATCCCAGGGACATCTCAGGCACAGGGGGAAGGCCCCTCTGCCTCCGAGAGGAACGAAGACAAAAGGAACCAAGGCTTGTGTGAAGTCAGCCTGGGAGAGGGGGTGTCTTCCTGCAGCAGGGACAAGGACAGAGGCCGTCAGGTCCCCATTCAAGACGGGGTTTCCCTGAAATAGAGGAGAGCCTGGAAACCTCTATTCCAGTGGAGCCCCCGCCCCTCCCCGCACAGGGAGAGGGTCCTGCAGGCACAGGTGGAGGAGAAGCACAGGACCCGCCTTCCCTGGAGGGGCTGGCAGCTGCTTCCTCCTCCAGGAAACAGGAGCTGGGCTGCAGGGTTGTTTTTTGTTTTTTTGAGACAGGGTCTCACTCTGTCGCCCAGGCTGGAGTGCAGTGGCACAATCACAGCTCACTGCAAGCTCCACCTCCTGGGTTCAAGCGATTCTCATGCCTCAGCCTCCCAAGTGACTGGGATTACAGGTGTGCACCACCATGCCTGGCCTCAGTTTTGTTTTGGTAGAGACGAAGTCTCGCTATGTTGTCCAGGCTGGTCTCAAACGCCTGGGCTTAAGGGACCATCCAGCCTCGGCCTCTCCGAGCGCTGGGATTAGAGGCGTGGGCCACTGTACCTGCGAACTGTAGCTTCTTGACACACAATAAGGCTGTGCCGCAGCAGCTGGGAGGAGGGAAGCCCCACTCAGACCTCTGACGGAGTGCATGTACAACAAGTTAATTCCCGGATGCAGGTGTGGGCTGTGGCTCTGACAAGGAGGCTCAGCCTGTGTTCCAGTGGTCCTTAGTCAGACAGGGCCTTGTTTTAAGTCAACACTTCTTCCCATCTGGAGTCTCTGGCACCTCCCTAAACCCTCCAAACCATCCAGCCTAAATCCTCAAAGTGACCACAGAGATCCATGATCTCCACGCGGATTTACAAAATCCTGCAAAGTCAACACCAGGGACACCTCTGAAAATCACATTCAGACTGTTATCTGGAAAGGAAAGAAGTCTTGTCCATGTCATTCCTGCTGGGCGTCCAAACAAGGGACCAGGAGGATAAGAAACCACACCTGAGAGAGGAAAAGGCGGGTCCGGAGGCTCGGGGACTCCCCGGGGCCGGGACATGGGCAGGGCAGACACACTCACCGAGCCGCTGAAGGACAGGAAGAGCTTGAGGACCACATCCTCGGAGAACAGGGGGTGTCGCGCCACCAGGTTGACGAAGCGCTTCAGGGCTCTCCTCCTGGCCTCGATGAACTCCCTGTCAGCTGGAGGAGCACACGGGGTCACTGGACAGAGTCCAGGGCGCCGGCCCCCATCTTCTGCTCTGGGCGAGTTCTCAAAACTCTCCCTAGAGGTGGCAGAGGGCCCAGCGGCTAGCAGAGGGCACTGGCTGGGCCCCCAGTGCTGCTCAGACAATGGGTCTGAAAAGGCCGCCCAGAGCAATAACCTCACCCCCAGAGGCCCCCTCCAGCCACACACACTTGGGTCCAGGAGCTGCCAAGGAAAACCACAGATCTGCTTGTTTCCATCGGGAGTCCTGGGAACCACGTGAGTGGTCACTTTAATCACCTCCGTTAAAGACATCTTCCATAATCCCCTCCTGGCACTTCTCACTGCAAACAAATGGGTTTTGCTACGCTCTAACACTAACGCAACCCAGGTCTTCTTTTCTTTTTTTTTTTTTTGAGACAGAGTTTCGCTCCTGTTGCCCAGGCTGGAGTGCAGTGGCGCAATCTCGGCTCACTGCTACCTCCGCCTTCCAGGTTCAAGCGATTCTCCTGTCTCAGCCTCTGGAATTAGCTGGGATTACAGGGGCCCGCCAACATGCCTGGCTAATTTTTGTATTTTTAGTAGAGATGGGGTTTCACCATGTTGGTCACGCTGGTCTCCAACTCCTGACCTCAGGTGATCCACCTGCCTCGGCCTCCCAAAGTGCTGATATTACAGGCGTAAGCCACCGCGCCCGGCCGAGTTTTTCTATTCACTGTGCTTATAACTTACTCTGCAAAGGATGCAATTACTCATTGCTTTCATTCGGGTTAAATATTTTCACTCCAAGGGGAAAAAAAGTAAAAGCATATACTGATGCATTCAGGACATTTCAATCTGAACACAAACAAAAATGGTATTTAAATACTTTTTTTGAGACGGAGTTTCACTCTTGTCGCCCAGGCTGGAGTGCAGTGGTGTCATCTCGGCTCACTGCAACCTCTAACTCCCAGGTTCAAGCGATTCTCCTGCCTCAGCCTCCCAAGTAGCTGGGATTACAGGCACCCGCCACCACACCTGGCTAATGTTTATACTTTTATTAGAGAGGAGGTTTCACCATGTTGGTCATGCTGGTCTCGAACTCCTGACCTCAGGTGATCCGCCCACCTCAGCCTCCCAAAGTGCTGGGATTACAGGCATGAGCCACCAGCGCCCAGCCTTTAAATACTATTTTTAATGTATTAAGAAATACAGCCAGGAGTGTGGCTCACACCTGTAATCCCAGCCTCTTGGGAGGCTGAGGAGGGCAGATCACTTGAGGCCAAGGAGTTCTACATCAGCCTGGCCAGCGTAGCGAAACCCTGTCTCTGAAAAATACCATAAAAGAGGCCAGGCGCAGTGGCTCACACCTGTAATCCCAGCACTTTGGGAGGCTGAGGCAGGTGGATCATGAGGTCAGGAGATTGAGACCATCCTAACACGGTGAAACCCCATCTCCACTAAAAATACAAAAAAAAATAATTAGCCAGGCGTGGTGGCGGGCGCCTGTAGTCCCAGCTACTTGGGAGACTCAGGCAGGAGAATGGCGTGAACCCGGCAGGCGGAGCTTGCAGTGAGCCGAGACCGCACCACTGCACTCCAGCCTGGGTGACACGGCGAGTCTTCGTCTCAAAAACAAAAACAAAAACAAAAAACACCATAAAAGAGGCCAGGTGCGGTGGCTCACACCTGTAATCCCAGCACTTTGGGAGGCTGAGGTGCGCGGATCACGAGGTCAGGAGATTGAGACCATCCTGGCTAACACGGTGAAACCCCGTCTCTACTAAAAATACAAAAAAATTAGCCAGGCGTGGTGGCGGGCGCCTGTAGTCCCAGCTACGCGGGAGGCTGAGGCAGGAGAATGGCGTGAACCCGGGAGGCGGAGCTTGCCATGAGCCGAGATTGCACCACTGCACTCCAGCCTGGGCGACAGAGCGAGACTCCATGTAAAAAAAAAAAAAAAACACCATAAAAGAAAGAAAACAAACAATACAGGTAGGTGGCTGGGGCTCCCTCCTGGCTCAGCACTGGCAGGCCTCTTCCGATGAGGCTGCACTTCCTTAAATGCGCAAGCGGCCCAGCGCGCGTGTGCAGTTTCCAGGCGCTGAACGCCAGCCAGCGCTCATCAACTCGGATGCCCAGGCCTGAGCCAGCATCACACATCCCTGTCGCGTCCTCTGCTCTCTGCTGCCCTGAGCGCCCGTGTGCCCTTCAGCGTGAGCTGAATGATCTGCTCTGTGGCCTTCACATGCGGCGGGGTGAAAATCACATCATCAGACCCTGGGCTGCTTGCTCAGTGACCGATGAGAGGCAGAAGCATTTATGCATCATCGTACGATTTCAGATGCGGGGAACTGGCGACTGTGTTAGCTCCCATGCTGCGTCCCCGTCCAGGACACGGTGACTGTGGAAGGGCTGGGAACGGCAGAAAGCCATGATCAGCTCTAAGCACTCATTTCCCCAGCATGTTTTATTCAGAATTTGAGGAACGGGCTGAGGGAGAGACCACCAGTGAGATCAGAGCTGGCAGCCGCCATCCCAAGCTCTGCAGCCCAGGGGGACACAGGCCTGGGGAGCAGCTCTGAGGTCGTCTGCGATCTCCCACCTGGCCCGAGGCCATCTTCAGGCAGAGAGGTGAAGGTGAGGCAGCCGTGTGCTGCTTTTTCTCTCCTGCAAGATGCAGCTGACATTTCCTACTTGCACAACTCAGTTCTCTTCCATGAGGCCACCGAGCGCTCCCATGGTGCCCATGGCTCAGGCTGCCATGGCTTTGCAGATGCAGGCAGGGCAATGCCAGCCAGGTGAGCACACAGTGCTCCTGGCAGCCCTCTCGGGAGCTCTCGGGAGCCCTGGCCACTGCACTCTGGAGAGGAGAACTAGGGTTCTCTTTCACACCTGCACAGCAAGGGCTTCCCCACCTGTCAGTCATGCAGCTGAAGGCTCTGGTGGGCCAAGGCTGCCGGGTGCCAGTCTCCCTGCCTGCACCAAGGCTGGGCTCAAGCCACAGCTCTGTCCCAGATGCCAAAAGGCTGGAGTTTCCCCCGCAGCCCTGCACCTGCCCCGGTCTACAGTGGGGTCCATCCCTGAGCCAGGACCACAGGGTCCAGGAGATGGGCTCGCTCCCTCCGCCCCCGGTGGGCAGCACGCCTGGCTTTACCTCCCAGCATTCTCTTGGGTGGCAGGGCAGGCACCATACGGTAGGGGAACTTGTGCAGGAGCATCTCCTGGAAGACCACGAAGTCATTGTACCGTCTGTATACCGAGGACTTGAAGCGCTGCAAGAGAAGGGTCGGTGCTTAGATCCGACGTTGGAAACTATGCTGTCGCGTCACTTCCCCTCAACAGAGCCCGGGAAAACGACAGCACCAAGTGCATCTTCTCTCACCAGGCCTTTACTAAATGGAGAAACCCTGTGACGGCTTCGTATATGGAAATACAACTTTTAAACTTTGTATAGCTCTTAGGCCGGGTGCGGTGGCTCCCGCCTGTAATCTCAGCATTCTGGGAGGTTGAGGCGGGTGAATCACCTGAGGTCAGGAGTTAAAGAGACCAGCCTGGCCAACATGGCAAAATCCCATCTCTACTAAAAATACAAAAATTAGCTGGGCATGGTGGTGGGCGGCTGTAGTCCCAGCTACTTTGGAGCCTGAGGCAGGAGAATCCCTTGAACCCTGGAGACAGAGGTTGCAGTGATCCAAGATCGTGCCACTGCACTCTAGCCTGGACGACAAAGCGAGACCTTGTCTTAAAAAAATTAAAAAAGGCCGGGCGCGGTGGCTCACGCCTGCATTCCCAGCACTTTGGGAGGCCGAGACAGGCGGATCATGAGGTCAGGAGATCGAGACCATCCTGGCCAACACGGTGAAACCTCGTCTCTACTAAAAACACAAAAAATTAGCCGGGCGTGGTGGTGGGCACCTGTAGTCCCAGCTACTCAGGAAGCTGAGGCAGGAGAATGGCGTGAACCCGGGAGGCAGAGCTTGCGGTGAGCTGAGATCACGCCACTGCACTCCAGCCTGGGCGGCAGAGCGAGACTCCATTTCAAAAAAAAAAAAAAAACTAAACAAATGGTATGAAGCATAGTGGCTTCCCACCTGGTCAGTGACTGGCCCGTTACACACACATCAGGGTGACCAAACTGCCCCCTTGACAAATGTTCCCTATGTGGCAATGAATTTACTTAAGGGACGGGCAGCTTAGTAAGACTGGACAAAAGGCCAGCCGCTGGCTCCCTGGCAGGCAACGGCACGTCTCACACGCTCAGAGTTGCCTCACCCCCAGGCTGCCAGGCCCCAGAAGGAAGGGGTGGCTCGCTCTGCTCCCCCGTGGCATCCCACCAGCTGGTCCACATCCCCGACTGCGGCCCAGAGGGCCGGGAACCACGGCAAAGCCAGACAGCAAGGCGGCTCTGACACGGTCCTCCAAGGGAGTCCTCCCCTCTGACCCGCTTTGTCCTTTGGTAGCAGTACTGACAACCATTCGGACCGTGTGGCCACAGGCTCTGGAACACAGTGAAGCACAGCAGAGCAGACGGCAGGGAGGGGAGACCGGCTCGCTTGTCCTTAAGGCCAGGTGCAGTGGCTCATGCCTGTGAGCCTAGCACTTTGGCGGGCCAAAGTGAGAGGACTGCTTGAGCCCAGGAGTTCGAGACCAGCTGAGACAACATAGCAAGTCTCCATTTGTACTTTAAAAAAAAAAAAAAAAAAAAGACTGGGCATGGTGGCTCACGCCTGTAATCCCAGCACTTTGGGAAACCAAGGCAGGAGGACCACTTGAGCCCAGGAGCTCAAGACCAGCCTGGACAATATAGTGAGATCCCATCTCTACAAATAATTTAAAAAACTGCCTGGTGTGGTGGCATCCGCCTGTGGTTCCAGCTACTCAGGAGACTGAGGTGGGAGGGTTGCTTGAGCCTGGGAGGTTGAGGCTGTAGTGAGCTATGATCGTGCCACTGCACTCCAGCCTGGTTGACAGAGCAATACCCTGTCTCTTTAAAAACAAGCAAACAAAAAGACACAACTTTTACCCAGGACCATCTGCTCATGACGCTTTTCAAACAAGCCCCTGGCAGTGCCGTCCGGCCGGGGCTGGGCCAGGGCCGCCCTCTCCCACACAGGAGTGGGCCCTGCTCTGTCTGTGCGAATCCCACAAGCCCTGCTGACTCCACACCTCCCAAGGACAGTGTTAGCTCATCAATTACTCAATGCCCAGGATGAACAATGAAAACTCCCATCAGAATCTGTCGTAATGGAACTGAGACAACGAAGCAAGGGACAGAGAGAGCCACGGTGTTGCTCCAGACGGGCATCAGGCACTCGGTGTCTGTGTCTCACCTGCCCAATATCGGGATGCCCAGCAACAGGAGGGCCGTGTTATTAAAGGGGATTAGAGTGACACATATTGATCCTGCCATGCAAATTTCATTCACTGTTTGGGGTCCGGAGTCGATGGGGCTGACATTCTAATCCTCGGGGGTTTCCCACTATTACAAAGCGAGGCTGGTGTGGATCCCGCTTTGTGCTCTGTGGACCGTCCGCGGGAGATTCCTAAGAAACAGGCCTCCAGGCCGGGCGCGGTGGCTCACGCCAGTAATCCCAGCACTTTGGGAGGCCGAGGCGGGTGGATCATAAGGTCAGGAGATCAAGACCACCCTGGCTAACATGGTGAAACCCTGTCTCTACTAAAAAAAAAAATACAAAAAAATTTGCCAGGCGTGGTGGCGGGCACCTGTCATCCCAGCTACTTGGGAGGCTGAGGCAGGAGAATCGCTTGAACCCGGGAGGCAGAGTTTGCAGTGAGCCGAGATCATGCCACTGCACTCCAGCCTGGGCGACAGAGCAAGACTCCACATCGGGGAAAAAAAAAAAAGAAACAGGACTCCAGAGCACAGTGGTGGGGAGGACAAACTGGACCAGGGGTGACCAGGTGGGGACGTGGCTGGGCCAGAGTGAGGTGCGGGGAGCAGAGGTGTGGAAAAGTCACCTCCGCAGCCTGACTCTGCTGCGAGTTCTGGATCTTGCCTGTAAGCCAGCCACACAGACTCACCCTTCAGCCTTCTCCTGTCACACCACTCCTGCCCTGAGATGTTGAGACGTGACCCTTTCTTCCCCCTCCTGCCCCGACACACACACAATTTGCCAGTTACCTGGCTGGAAACCTCATACTCCACATGCTTCAGGAAGAGGCCCTTCTTCTCCGGAATGAGCTCCACCTGCACGGTGTCCCTGGCCAGCAGCTCCTGCAGGGTGTGGGACAGCAGCAGCGGGTTCCCCTGCGGCATCTGCATTCGACTGGGGGCTGGGACCTGCTGCACGATGGCCTGGGGCTCGATGGCCTGGGGTGTCGGCAGATCTGCAGGGGAGATGGTGAATGACCAGTGAGAATAGCTGCTCAAAAGCTGGAGCCTTGGCTGGGCACAGTGGCGCAGCCCTGTAATCCCAGCACTTTGGGAGGCCCAGGAGGGAGTATCACTTGAGCCCTGGAGTTCAAGACCAGCCTAGGTAATATGGTGAGACCCCATCTGTACAAAAAATAAAATAAATTGAAAAGTGCAGCCTCCCTCTGCTGTGTGCTAGCTCAGCACATGGACTCTGGCCACGTCATGCAACAGGTCCCATCGTCAGCCAGCCACACTCACTCACTCACACTACGGAGTCGACGCCGGACTCACTCACACTACGGAGTCGAAGCCGGACTCACACTACGGAGTCGACGCCGGACTCACTCACACTACGGAGTCGACGCCGGACTCACTCACACTACGGAGTCGAAGCCGGACTCACTCACACTACGGAGTCGAAGCCGGACTCACTCACACTACGGAGTCGACGCCGGACTCACTCACACTACGGAGTCGACGCCGGACTCACACTACGGAGTCGACGCCGGACTCACTCACACTACGGAGTCGACGCCGGACTCACTCACACTACGGAGTCGAAGCCGGACTCACTCACACTACGGAGTCGACGCCGGACTCACTCACACTACGGAGTCGACGCCGGACTCACTCACACTACGGAGTCGACGCCGGACTCACACTACGGAGTCGACGCCGGACTCACTCACACTACGGAGTCGAAGCCGGACTCACTCACACTACGGAGTCGACGCCGGACTCACTCACACTACGGAGTCGAAGCCGGACTCACTCACACTACGGAGTCGACGCCGGACTCACTCACACTACGGAGTCGAAGCCGGACTCACTCACACTACGGAGTCGACGCCGGACTCACTCACACTACGGAGTCGACGCCGGACTCACTCACACTACGGAGTCGACGCCGGACTCACTCACACTACGGAGTCGAAGCCGGACTCACTCACACTACGGAGTCGAAGCCGGACTCACTCACACTACGGAGTCGACGCTGGACTCACTCACACTACGGAGTCGACGCTGGACTCACTCACACTACACCCACTCATGCTACGGAGTCAACGCTGGACCCACTCACTCATGCTACAGAGTCGACGCTGCGGGCACGTCCTTTTGTTCAAAAAAATCATGGTGGTCAGGCACCATGGCTCACGCCTGTAATCCTGGGACTTGGGGAGACCGAGGCAAGAGGATCGCTTGAGCTCAGGAGTTCAAGACCACCCTGGGCAAGATGGCAAAACCCCATCGCTACAAAAAATACAAAATTAGCCATGCGTGGTGGCTCACTGGCTAATTTTGCAGTCCCAGCTACTCGGGAGGTGAGAGGATCACCTGAGTCCGGGAAGGCGGAGGCTGCAGTGAGCCATGATTGCACCACTGCATTCTAGCCTAGGCAACAGAGTGAGACCCTGTCTCAAAAAAAAAGAAAAAAAAAAAAAAAAAACTCTTCCCTGGAAGGCTTCCACCTGCTCACGAATCAGCAAGTACACCCACATTTCTGTGACTACATCAAATCAGTCTTAACCTTGGGGAAGGAAAACAAAGTGAAATATGTACAAGTTTTGTGTGAAAAAGAATCTTCCTTTTCTCTAGAGCCAAGAGAACAGGCTCAAACCAAATAAACTAGCCATACGATCTTCTAAATGCCCCAGTGTGTTCACAGTGAACACATTACTTTCATATGCCAAAAAGTCATCTGGACAGACAGGAGGGAGGGGAGAGAAGAAGGGAGGAAAGAAAGAGAAAAAACTCCAGGCCTGCTTATAGCTAGGACTCCCAACCACATGCACGGAAGAATTAAGCCAGAAAACTCCAGCTGCCTTACAGACAAGAAGTCACCGTGCACCCTGCACAAAGCAGCAAAAGCAAATCAGAGATCCTACGCCCAGCTTGCAAAGAAAAAACCAAAACAAGGAATAATGTTTAAAAAGTCAGTTTGGTTTTTAATACAAAGTGAGTTCTAAATAGAAAAAAAAGTGTTTCTCATTTTTTTTGTTTTTTACATGTTAGCGCACACCTGTAATCCCAGCTACTCAGGAGGTTGAGGCAGGAAAATTATCACTTAAACTCAGGAAGCGGAGGTTGTGGTGAGCCCAGATCACGCCACTGCACTCCAGCCTGGGCAACAGAGACTCTGTCTCAAAAAAAAAAAAAAGTTTAAAATAAGTGTTCTCTATTAAGCATGTATTAATTTTTATGATTTTCCTGATTATTAAGATAAGATAATCTTCCAAGAAAGAATGTAAACTCAGTAATGATTACCAAGTGGTCACATGTTGGTGAAGAATTTGAACTTTGATTGCATGAGAATCTGAAAGAGCTCAAAAAACACATTTTAAATCAAAGACACTTCTTTAACTCTCGATTGTCTCAAACATCTCAATAACTTCTATGTACAAGTTCCAATCATTAGAAAGCTATGCTTTCAAATATCAATTTACTAAACTAGAATGCCCTTTTTTTTTTTTTTTTGAGAGACAGAGTCTCGCTCTGTTGCCCAGGCTGGAGTGCAATGGCACAATCTTGGCTCACTGCAACCTCCACCTCCCGGGTTCAAGCAATTCTGCTGCCTCAGCCTCCAGAGTAAGTGGGATGACAGGCGTGCACCAATATGCCCAGCTAATTTTTGTATTTTTAGTAGAAACAGGGTTTTACCATGTTGGCCAGACTGGTCTCAAACTCCTGACCTCAAATGATCCACCCACCTCAGCCTCCCAAAGTGCTGGGATTACAGGCATGAGACACCGCGCCCGGCCAGATGCCCATATTTGCAAAATAAATTTTAATTAAGAAAAAGAAAGAAAAAGACCAGGTACTATGGCTAGCACCTACAATCCCAGCACTTTGGGAGGCTGAGGCAAGAGGATCACTTGAGCCCAGGAGTTAAAGACCAGCCTGGGCAACATAATAAGATGCCATCTCTACAAAAAATAAAATTACGGGCATGTTGGCGCAACCTGTAGTCCCAGCTACTCAGGAGGCTGAGGCAGGAGGATTGCTTGAGCCCAAGAGTTCACGGCTGCGGTATGCCAAGATTGGGCCACTGCACTCCAGCCTGGGTGACAGAGTAAGACCCTGTCTATAAAAACAAAAAGGAAAAAAAAAAAAACATCATTTCAAATGGGTACACTGCCAGGTGACGGACCACACACTGCAGAACGGGCAGAAACACCAGGAGGAGGAGCCCGGCTTTCTGCAGGAATAAACGTTATGCTCACTAATGGAACTTCAATACTCTATCAAACTGACACCCCTTGAAGCAGTGCACACAGCCCATAAGACACAGAGCCTGGACAATACACCCTAAACTAACCCAGTCCCACAGAGAGAAAACAGATGAGATGAGGGAGGCCAGCTTGGCCCCCAGCTGGAAAGGCTGTGGACGCAGGATGGGATCTGGCTCAGAGAGATCCTGGCTGAAATCCAGCCTCCATCATTTCCTAGCTTTGTGGCCTAGCACGCAGCCGCCTCTGAGCTTACTGTTCAAATCCGTGCGGTGGGTGTAAGGATGCCCTCACCCCTGGGCCTGGCCATCGCCATCTATGCCCTGATACTACAGCAACCCCCCACAGGCCCCTCGAACGACAGCCCCTCCCCACTCCAACCCTTCTGGCACCAAACTGCTTCACTGTGGGCTTCAGACCCAACCCGGAACCTGGACTTGGAAGTGTCTTGCCCCTGAAATGCCGCTCACTATCTGTGAGACCCTGGGAGGGAAGCAGCCCCTCAGATCCCAGGCCAAGGGCCTCAGAATTCAGTGAGGTGGGAGAGCTGAAAATAACTAGCAAATAGAAAACATTCAATAAGTGTCCCTGACTTCCTTCCAGATTTACCACGCTCCAATCCGAAAAGATTCTGCAGATCTACCCACTAAAACTCAGAATGCATTCCCCTCTCAGCAAGTTTTCGGTGGCGGTCAGCTCCCAGACTGGCTCACAAATTGGTGCCTTCCACACAATGTGTGGGAGTCACACTTGGATGCTGCACTTGCAAAGATAAACTGTGAGAGGGGGCTGGGCAGCTGTCACAGAAACCAGGCATGCGGTGAGGGGCAAAGTCAGGCCCAAGTCAGCCGCCGGCCCACTGTGACCCCTCTTTGCAACAAAAAAAGGGGAAACAACCCACAAGCAACATTCAAGATCCTTTCAGCCTCACAAGTCTGTGAATCTCCAAGCGAGTTATCCACAAATCAGAAGGTAACGAAACTTCAAACACACACACCCATCTCCCGCCCAGTGTCTTTCACCAGGAACTTCAGACAGTAACAACACAGAGCAGGTGAGCACTACATTCTTTTCACAGCTGACATCTCGGGCCTCCCACCCCAGAGACCGCAGCTTTAGAAACAAAAAAGGATTGGCCGGGCGCAGTGGCTCACGCCTGAATTCCCAGCACTTTGGGAGGCCGAGGCAGGTGGATCACCTAAGGTCAGGAGTTTGAGGCCTGCCTGGCCAACGTGGCGAAATTCCATCTCTACTAAACACACAAAAATTAGCTGGGCATGGCCAGGCATGGTGGCTCACGCCTGTAATCCCAGCACTTTGGCAGGCCGAGGCGGGTGGATCACGAGGTCAGGAGATCGAGACCATCCTGGCTAACATGGTGAAACCCCGTCTCTACTAAAAATACAAAAAATTAGCCGGGCGTGGTGGCGGAAGCCTGTAGTCCCAGCTACTCGGGAGGCTGAGGCAGGAGAATGGTGTGAACCCGGGAGGCGGAGCTTGCAGTGAGCAGAGATCGCGCCACTGCACTCCAGCCTGGGCGACAAAACCAGACTCCGTCTCAAAAAAAAAAAAAGAAACAAACAAACAGGATTTACCGACAAACCCCATGCAAAGACGCTCCCCCTTCATTGAAGCACACCTTCGCAAATGCTGACCTCAGCAGAAGTCACAGGCCCTGCCAGCCTCGGCGCAGGTGGCACGGGACAGACACTGGAGGGTCCCAAGCAGCACAGCTGCAGCTGTTGCCTGGAGGCCAAGCCCGCCCCGGACTGGCCCGCACACTACTTCCTGCTGACCCAGCGTGGGGCTACACTGAGCACTCACACACACCCCCAGCTCCAGGTCCGCGCCGCCCAGGCACTCCCTGGGGTTCCCCGTGCCGATGGAGAGGCCTTCAGGGCCGGTGCTTTCAGAGCCAGGACAGGGCAGGGGCCTTCCCAAGGAGACCACGAGTGTGGTTCCTACTGTCCCGTTTAGTGGCAGGGAGGACCTGAATGCGCATTCCCATGGACTCCAAGTTCCCTGCTCTTCCACGACACACGGCTGCTGTCCCCAGCTGCCAGTTCCCTAGAACGGAGGGGAGATCAGGACCAGCAAGGATGGCACAGCGTCCCAGGGCTAAATTCCCCAAAGTGGGTGCGTATCAGAATCACCTGGTGGGCTCCTTCAAACACAGAGGGCTGGGCCCACTCCCAGCGTCTCTCCAACAGGAGGGCTGGGGTGGGGACTGGGAATCTGCTTTTTTTGGAGGGGGTGCCGGAGTCTTACTCTGTCACCCAAGCTAGAGTGCAGTGGCACAATCTTGGCTCACTGCAACCTCAGTGTCCAGGGTTCCAGCGATTCTCATGCCTCAACCTCCCGAGTAGCTGGGATTACAGGCATGTGCCACCATACCTGGCTAATTTTGCATTTTTAGGAGACATGGGGTTTCACCATGTTGACCAGGCTTGTCCTGAACTCCTGACCTCAAGTGATCTACCCGCCTCTGCTTCCCAAATTGCTGGGATTACAGGCACCCGCCACCACGCCCGGCTAATTTTTGTATTTTTAGTAGAGATGGGGTTTCACCATGTTGTCCAGGCTAGTCTCGAACTCCTGACCTCAGGTGATCCACCCGCCTCAGCCTCCTATAGTGCTGGGATGACAGGCGTGAGCCACCACACCCAGCCTGGAATCTGCATTTCTAACAAGTTCCCAGATGCTGCTTCTGGTCAGGGGCCACAGTTTGAAAGCCCTTGTCATAGGGCAACAGAGAGAAGGAATTCGATCCCTTGTCCTGACCCCGCCCCCGAAGTAGAATGGAAATCAGGTGTTCATAAACACTGCTTTTATTTCCTTTTTTTTTTTTTTTTTTTTTTTGAGACAGAGTCTCACTCTGTTGCCCAGGCTGGAGTGCAATGGTGCAATCTCAGTTCACTGCAATCTCCGCCTCCCGGGTTTAAGCGATTCTCCTGCCTCAGCCTCCTACTGAGTAGCAGGGACTACAGGTGCACACCACCATGCCCAGCTAATTTTTTGTGTTTTTAGTAGAGACAGGTTTTCACCACGTTGGCCAGGCTGGTCTCGATCTCCTGACCTTGTGATCCGCCCACCTCAGCCTCCCAAAGTGCTGGGATTACAGGCGTGAGCCACTGTGCCTGGCCTATTGCTTTTATTTCTTCATCTGGATGGGGAGAATGAAAAACGACAAGTCAGACTACACCTTTTCCACTGAAATCAAATGAAAGACAGTCCGCAGATGTCTTCAATTTTCAATGTGAATATTCCTTCTTCCGCTCATAAACACTTTCTACCCTGGATTAAAACCTTCTCTACTTACACATTCTGAGTCGGCTAATAAATAAATAAGTAAATTAATTAAAACTTCTTGGCTGGGCGGAGTGCCTCACGCCTGTAAATCCCAGCACTTTTGGAGGCTGAGGTGGGCGGATCACAAGGTCAGGAGATCGAGACCATCCTGGCTAACACGATGAAACCTCATCTCTTCTAAAAATACAAAAAATTAGCCGGGTGTGGTGGCGGACACCTGTAGTCCCAGCTACTCGGGAGTCTGAGGCAGGAGAATGGCGTGAACCCGGGAGGCAGAAGTTGCAGTGAGCCGAGATGGCGCCACTGCACTCCAGCCTGGGTGACAGAGCAAGACTCCGTCTCAAAAAAAAAAAAAAAAAAATGCAAAAAATTAGTTAGGCATGGTGGCGGGCGCCTGTAGTCCCAGCTACTTGGGAGGCTGAGGCAGGAGAATTGCTTGAACCCGGGAGGCAGAGGTTGCGGTGAGCCAAGTTCGCGCCACTGCATTCCAGCCTGGGCAACAGAGCGAGACTCAGTCTCAAAACAAAAAAACTTTCTCTAAGCTACTATGTTATTCTGAAATTAACAAACTGTTCTCAGGAAATGGAAGCAGAAGTTTCCTGATCCATATTATAGCCATGGCATTAGACATGAGAGTTTGGCAGCTCTGTGGCCAGGGAACAGCAGGAACGCCCCTCGAACATGGAGAAATAGAGATGCTTCTGTTACAGGTAACACACTTCACCCATGATCCTCTCATGCCCAAGACAGCTCCCCTAACTACTGCGCTAACTGCCATACAGGTCTCATACTTTCTTTTTCTATTTTTTTTATTTGAGACAGGATCTTTCTCTGTTGCCTAGGCTGGAATGCAGTGGCACGATCACAGCTCACTGTTGCCAGGACCTCCTGGGCTCAAGCAATCCTCCCACCTCAGCCTCCCAAGTAGCTGGAACTATAAATGTAGTACACGTGTGCACCACCATGCCCAGCTAATTTTTGTATTTTTTGTAGATATGCGGGGGGGTCTCACTATGTTGCCCAGGCTGGTCTCGAACTCCTGGACTCAAGCAATCCTCCCACCTCAACCTATCAAAGTGCTGGGATTACAGGCGTGAGCCATAGCACCCAGCCTAGGTTGTATACTTTAAACAGTAACTTTTTTTTTTTTTTTCTTTTTTGAGAGGGAGTCTTGCTCTGTCTCCCAAGCTGGAATGCTGTGGCGCTATCTCGGCTCACTGCAACCTCCAAGTCCCAGGTTCAAGCGATTCTCCTGCCTCAGCCTTCAGAGCAGCTGGGATTACAGGCACACACCACCACACCTGACTAATTTTTGTATTTTGGGTAGAGACGGGGTTTCACCATGATGGCCAGGCTGGTCTTGAACTCCTGAACTCAGGTGATCCGCCTGCCTCGGCCTCCCAAAGTGCTGGGATTACAGACGAGAGCCACCTCACCCAGCCTAGGTCGTATACTTTAAACAGAAACTTTTCATAGCCTCAATTTCATTAACCTTTAGGTTTATTTTTAATACCTTATTTAATGTGATGTAACATTAAGATATTTTGAAATAAACTCACTCCATCCCTACAACCTGTACACATCTATATTCATTTTTGCATATTACTTTCCATGTGCATAAAGCTGTAATGTGCCATACGGGCTATTTTATAATTTTTTTTTTTTTTTAATGGAGTCTTGCTCTGTCGCCCAGGCTGGAGTGCAGTGGCACGATCTCGGCTCACTGCAACCTCCACCTCCCGGGGTTCACGCCATTCTCCTGCCTCAGCCTCCTGAGTAGCCGGGACTACAGGCGCCCACCACCACATCCGGCTAATTTTTTGTATTTTTAGTAGAGATGGGGTTTCACCATGTTAGCCAGGATGGTCTCGATCTCCTGACCTCGTGATCCATGCCTCAGCCTCCCAAAGTGCTGGGATTACAGGCATGAGCCACCGCAACCAGCCTAAATTTTTTATAGATTTTATATTTTTAAAAAATTAATTTTTTGGCCAGGCGAGGTGGCTCACACCTGTGATCGCAGCACTTTGGGAGGCTGAGGTGGGCAGATCATGAGGTCAGGAGTTCAAGACCAGCCTGGCCAACATGGTGAAACTCCATCTCTACTAAACATACAAAAATTAGCCAGGCGTGGTGGTGGGCACCTGTAATCCCAGCTACTCAGGAGGCTGAGGCAGAGAATTGCTTGAACTCAGGAGGCAGAGGTTGCAGTGAGCCGAGATTGCACCACTGTACTCCAGCCTGGGCAACAGAGTGAGACTCTGTCTCAAAAATAATAATAATAATAATTTTTCATAGAGATAGGGTCTCGCCATGTTGCTCAGGCTAGTCTCAAACTCCTGGGCTCAAGCAATCCAGCCTGGGCAACAGAGCAAGACTCTGTTTCAAAAAAAAAAGACTGATGAAAAAAATATTAAAAGTGATTATTGTCCAGGCGGGGTGCCTCACACCTGTAATTCCAGTACTTTGGGAGGCTGAAGCAGGTGGATCCATTGAGTGAGGAGTTCGAGACCAGCCTGGCCAACATAGAGAAACCCCATCTCTACTAAAAATACAAAAATTAGACGGGTGTGGTGGCGCATGCCTGTAATCCCAGCTACTAGGGAGGCTGAGGCAGGACAATCACTTGAACCTGGGAGGCAGAGGTTGCAGTGAGCCGAGATCACGCCATTGCACTCCAGCCTGGGCAACAAGAGCAAAACTTTGTCTCAAAAATAATAATAATACAAAAATTAGCTACACATGCTGGCGGGCACCTATAGTCCCAGCTACTTGGGAGACTGAGGCAGGAGAATCGCTTGAACCCAGAAGGTGGAGGTTGCACTGAGCTGAGATCGCACCACACTGCACTCCAGCCTGGGCGACAGAGTGAGACTCCGTCTCAAACAAAAACAAAAATAAACAACAACAACAACAAAAAAACTCTATATAGAGGCTGGGCGCAGTGGCTCATGCCTGTAATCCCAACACTTTGGGACTGCAGTGAGCCAGGATAACACCATTGCACTCCTGCCTGGGCGAGCAGAAAAAAAAAAAAAAGAACTATGCTTCATGGTGTTCTGGGAAAAACCCTTCAACTTGGCTATACTCTTCAGTGTGGCTGTGTGGCTGACTGTGCTTTTGAACACACTGGTGGTGTTGTCATGTGTTCTGGACCATCCACGGAGCCTACAGTTCAATATTCAGGTACTGGCTGGGCAGAGTGGCTCACGCCCGTAATCCCAACACTGTGGGAGGCTGAGGCGGGTGGATTACCTGAGGTCAGGAGTTCGAGACCAGCCTGGCCACCATGGTGAAACCCCCATCTCTACTAATAATACAAAAATTGGCCAGGCAGGGTGGTGTGTGCCTGTAATCCCACCTACTCGGGAGGCTGAGGAAGGAGAATCACTTGAGCCTGAGAGGCGGAGGTGGAGGTTGCTGTGAGCCGAGATCGCACCACTGCACTCCAGCCTAGGCGACAGAGCAAGACTGTCTTAAAAAAAAAAAAAAAAAAAAAAATTCAGATACTGTCTTTGTAGAAAATCTTAGTGAATATTTTTATGGCATCCAGAGATAAATTTCTGTCATGGATATATTAAATTTACAGTGAAAATACACACACACACATTACAGACACACGTCATTCCCCTCCTCTCCCTTTCCCTACTCAAAGTGAGTGCTTTCTAGAGCTGATGGGTACCGTTTCCAGGCAGGTGTTTCTCGACTGCGCAGCCCAGTGAGTTTTCTACATGAGTGCCCCAGGGCCATCGCACCCAGAGAAGCAACAGCAGAATTAGCATCGATGCCCACTCAGAACCTGTCACCACCCCAAGAGTAACCACTGACTTCTCAAGCTCAGGGGTTTTTTGGGGGTTTGCCTGTTTTGGGGTTTTTGTTTTTGAGACAGGGTCTCACTCTGTCGCCCAGGCTGGAGTGCAGTGATGCAGTCACAGCTCACTGTAGCCTTGACGTCCCCGGCTCAAGCAATCCTCCCATCTCAGCCTCCTGAGTGTAGCTGGGACCACAGGCACATGCCACCACACCCAGCTAATTTTCGTTATTTTTTGTAGAGATGAGGTTTCCCCATGTTGCTCAGGCTGGTCTCCAACTCCGAGTCTCAAGCAATCCTCCTTCCTCAGCCTCCAAAAGTGCTGGGATTACAGGTGTGAGCCTCTGCACCTGGCTTGTTTTTATATTATGTAACCACGGTCGAAAGTCAGTTCCTTTGTTCCTGACGTCTTTCCCTCAGCATCAGGCTGCGAGACCTGTTGTGCACGTGGCTGTGGGGCGATGGCTGCCCCTGTGGTGGGCGCCGCTGCGTGACTATGTGTCCTCGTCGCCTCCTCCTCCCTCTGCTGCGGGGCATCTGGGAGGGTTCCAGCACCTCCCTGTTCCACACGGTGCTGTTACGAACATTCCAGCACGTGGCTCTTGGTGGACATATGTGTGCCTTTCTGTTGGCTCCATAACATATCTACAAGTGAAATTGCTGGATCACGGGATCTGCATATGTTCAGCTTGGTAAATATTTCAGTTTTCCAAAGTGACTGAGCCAATTCACACTCCCACCAGCAAGAGCTCCAGCTGCCTCGCACACGAGCCAACATTCAGCATTTTCCGTCCGTCTTCCCTCATTCCAGGAGGACTGTGCCTCTTTTAACACAGTTGCGATCCATTAGTTCACTGTTCCATCTAGATGCTTTTCCCTTTACGTTATAACCACCGTTCCATATTCCCAATCCTCAGAGAGGAAGCAAAAATTCTGTTTTTCTCTTTTTTTTAATGCGGTGAGGATACATTCACTAGATTGCCAAGGCAATACTGCAGTCACTCTCTGAACATAGTTTCGGAAGAAAAGTCTCATTTGATGCTTTTCTGTTAGTAAAACGTAGTACTGTTCACGTGGGTATAACAAAGCCATTCGGGCCAGGCACCGTGGCACGCACCTATAGTCCCAGCTATTCGGGAGGGTGAGGCGGAGGCTACAGTGAGCCATGATCGAGCCACTACGCTCCTGCCTGGGCAACAGAGCAAGACTCCATTTCAAAAAATAAAAATAAGGCCAGCGTGATAGCACACACCTGTAATGCCAACACTTTGGGAGGCTGAGGCGGGTGGATCACCTGAGGTCAGGAGTTCAGTACCAGCCTGGCCAACATGGTGAAACCCTACCTCTACTAAAAATACAAAAATTAGCCGGGCGTGGTGGTGCGCACCTGTAATCCCAGCTACTCAGGAGGCTGAGGAAGGAAAATCGCTTGAACCTGGGAGGTGGAGGTTGCAGTGCGCGGAGATTACACCACGGCCCTCCAGCCTGGCGACAAGGGCAAAACTCTGCCTCTAAATAAATGAAAAAATAAATAAATAAAGCCAGTGCAATGGCTCGTACCTGTAATCCCAGCACTTTTGGAGGCCAAGATGGGCGGATCACTGGAGGCCTGGAGTTCGAGACCAGCCAGGACAACACAGTCAGACTCGGTCTCTACTAAAAATACAAATAAAATTAGCCAGGCACGGTGATGCATGCCTGTAATTCCAGATACTCCAGAGGCTGAGGCACGAGAATCTCTTGAACCCAGGAGGTAGAAGTTGCAGTGAGCCGAGATCACACCACTGCACTCTAGCCTCAGTGACAGAATGAGACTCTGTCTCAAAAAATAAAGAAAAGAAAAGAAAAATAACAGTGCCCAGCACATAATAGATGCTAAATAAACATCTGCTGAATGAATGAAAATAATTTAATTCACGTGAGCAAGAAAGCCATATAACTTAATTTGGGGCCAGGAGGGTGGCCGAGGCAGGGCAACAGCCGCATGCCCTCCCAGCACCTGTGAGGTCTCATGGTGATGGGGACCGCGCCTCAGTCAGCCACAGCACCAAGCAAAAGCTGCTGACACAAAGAGAACGTAGTCAACAGACCCTGCCACACTGAGTCCCGAGAGTGACCTCCGCACAAAGCAGAGAATCTTCCCTCCTCCACCACGGCCTCTCTGCCAATTCTCAGCTACAACCTTTTCCCCCAGGAGAACAGGAGGAGGAACCCAGGTGAGGAAACACTGCCGCATCGTCAGAACAACCAACCTACAGTCAGAGAAGAAGGTTGCTGTCTTCCTGCAATGGTCTCAGTGTTTCTACCTTGAAGCAAAGTATAAACAGTCTTGTAGCGGGGCACTGGCTCACGCCTGCAATCCCAGAACTTTGGGAGGCTGAGGCTGGAGAGGATCACTTGAGCCCAGGAGTTTGAGACCAACCTGGGCAACACAGCAAGACCCTATTTCTACCAAAAAAAAGAAAAAAAACCAGTCAGGCGTGGTGGTGTGAATCTGTAGTTCCAGCTGCTTCCAAAGCTGAGGCAGGAGGGTCCTTTGAGCCCAGAAGTTCAAGGCTGCAGTAAGCTATGATTGCGCTACTGCAGTCTAGCCTGGGGAGCAGAAGACACCCTGTTTAAAAAAAAAAAGAAACTAGGCCGGATGTGGTGGACTACACCTGTAATCCCAGCACTTTGGGAGGCCAAGGCGGGCAGATCACCTGAGCTCAGGAGTTCGAGACCAGCATGGCCAACATGGCGAAACCCTGTCTCTACTAAAAATACAAAAATTAGCTGGCTGTGGTGGCACATGCCTGTAATCTCAGCTACTTGGAAGGCTGAGGCACGAGAATCACTTGAACCCAGGAGGCAGAGGCTGCAGGGAGCCGAGATCATGGCACTGCACTCTAGCCTGGGTTATAGAGCGAGACTCGGTCTCAAAAAGAAAAAAGAAAAAAAAAAAAAGGAAACCAGTCTCGGAAGACCCAACCCCCTGGTCCTGATTACTGAGAATTTCTGAAATCAGTTCTCTCCAGGCTCCAAGCTCAGTTCAAACCCCACTTCAACAATGAAGTACTTCCCACCCCGGTTAAGGGTCTATCAGTCCTTCCTTCCTTCACACTCCTACAACTGGCTTCACTCTCCTTTTTGAACCTTCCTCAACCTGTCTCATTCACAGGCTTCTCCCAAACTAAAACAAACACTCCCTTAGAGAGCTGTGGCTTCCCACTGCTGCCTATCATGGGAGGAGCACACCACAGGTGCACCCAGAACACGTCTAATGACGGACAACTGGGTACCCACCTTCAAAAGCATGAGGCATGGCTGGGCGCACTGGCTCATGCCTGTAATCCCAACACTCTGGGAGGCCGAGGTGGATGGATCACCTGAGGTCAGGAGTTCGACACCAGCCTGACCAACATGGTGAAACCCTGTCTCTACTAAAAATACGAAATTAGCCAGGCGTGGTGGTGCATGCCTGTAATCCCAGCTACTTGGGAGGCTGAGGCAGGAGAATCACTTGAACCTGGGAGGCAGAGGTTGCAGTGAGCCAAGATCCCACCATTGTACTCCAGCCTGGGCAACACAGTGAGACTCCATCTCAAAAAAAAATGAAGCCGGACCCCTCCCTCACACCATATATGATAACTAACTCAAAACTGATCACAGACCTAAATGCAAGAGCTACCATTACAAAACTCTTAGCAGAAAATATAGGCATAAATCTTCATGACCTTGGGATAGGCAAAGACTTCTTTTTTTTTTTTTTTAAGACGGAGTCTTGCTCTGTCGCCCAGGCTGTAGTGCAGTGGCGCGATCTCGGCTCACTGCAAGCTCCGCCTCCCAGGTTCACGCCATTCTCCTGCCTCAGCCTCCCGAGTAGCTGGGACTACAGGCGTCCACCACCACACCCGGCTAATTTTTTGTATTTTTAGTAGAAACGTGGTTTCACCATGTTGGCCAGGATGGTCTCAATCTCCTGACCTCATGATCCACCCGCCTCGGCCTCCCGAAGTGCTGGGATTACAGGCGTGAGCCACTGTGCCCGGCCCAGGCAAAGACTTCTTAGATATGACACCAAAAGCACAGCAACAAAAGAACAAAATACCCAGCAATTTGGGAGGTTGAGGTGAGAGGGTTTCCTCGAGGCTAGATTTGGACACCAGCCTGGGCAACGCGGCAAGATCCTGCCTCTACAAAACAAAAATAAAAAATTAGCCAGGCATGGTGGCTCATGCTTGTAGTCCCAGCTACCCAAGAAGCCAAGGTGGCAGAATGACTTGAGCCCAGGTTGAGGCTGCAGTGAGCTACAATCGTGCCACTGCACTCCAGCCCGGGTGATAGAGTAAGACCTTATACCTAAAAATAATAAGTAAATACATAACAAAAGAGATAAACTGAACTTCATCAAAATTTAAAACTGCTGTGCTGCAAATGACACCACCAAGAAAGTGAGACCAGGCTGGGCACAGTGGCTCACGCCTGTAATCATAGCACTTTTGGGAGGCTGAGGTGGGAGGATCACATGAGCGCAGGTCTCCAATTCCTAAGCTTAAGTGATCCACCCACCTCGGCCTCCCAAAGTGCTGGAATTACAGGCGTGAGCCACTGAAACAAGCCAAATTACCTAATTTTAAAGATGTACAAAAAATTTGAATAGTCATTTATCTAAAGAAGATGCAGAAATGGCCAATGAGCACCTGAAAAGATGCTCAGTCGGGTGCGGTGGCTCACGCCTGGAATCCTAGCACTCTGGGAGGCCAAGGCAGGTGGATCATGAGGTCAGGAGATCGAGACCACCCTGGCCAACATGGTGAAACCCCATCTCTACTAAAAATACAAAAATACAAAAATTAGCTGGGTGTGGTGGTGTGTGCCTGCAATCCCAGCTACTCGGAAGGCTGAAGCAGGAGAATCGCTTGAACCCAGGAGGTGATGGTTGCAGTGAGCCAAGATAGCGCCATTGTACTCCAGCCTGGGTGACAAAGCAAGACTCCATCTCAAAAATTAAAAAAAGAGGCCAGGCCAGGCATGGTGGCTCACGCCTGTAATCCCAGCACTTTGGGAGGCTGAGGCGGGCGGATCACGAGGTCAGGAGTTCGAGACCTGCCTGGCCAACATGGTGAAATCCCGTCTCTACTAAAAATACAAAAATTAGCTGGGTGTGGTGGTGCGTGCCAGTAATCCCAACTACTCAGGAGGCTGAGGCAGAACTGCTTGAACTGGTACCCGGGAGGGGGAGGTTGCAGTGAGCCGAGATCACACCAGTGCACTCCAGCCTGGGCAACAAGAGTGAAACTCTGTCTCAAAAAAAAAAATAGAGGCTGAGCGCAGTGGCTCATGCCTGTAATCCCAGCACTTTGGGAGGCCGAGGTGGGTGGATCACGAGGTCAGGAGTTCGAGACCAGCCTGGCCAACATAGTGAAACCCTGTCTCTACTAGAAATACAAAAAATTAGCTGGGCATGGTGGTGGGCACCTGTAATCTCAGCTACTCGGGAGGCTGAGGCCAGAGAATCGTTTGAACCTGGGAGGCAGAGGTTGCAGTGAGCCGAGATCACGCCATTGCACCCCAGCCCAGGCGACAAGTGCAAGACTCCATCTCAAAATAAATAAATAAATAAGAAAAAAAAGAAAAAAAAAAGATGCTCAACCACAGTGAGATGTCACCACCCCCACCACAATGGCTATAATCACAAAGACAGGCAGTCACCAGTACTGGCAAGGACTTGGAGATTGGAGCCCTCATACAGTGCTGGTGTCTGGAAGTCTACCGGACACTTCATAGACCATCTCTTTGTTCCTAAAAACACTGTAAGTAGGTACATTTGTGATCTCATTTTACAGATGCAGAAATTGGAGGCCCAGCGGGTGATGACCTGCCCAAGGTCACAGAGCCAGCAAGGTGGCTGGGGGGACAGAACATGTACCAGGCTACTCAGTGACACCAGAGCCTAGGCTCCCTCCCTGGTGGCCTCATTCAACACCCAAAAACATGTGAGCAGGAGCAGGAGCTGGAGCCGCAGGTCTGTCTGTGACCATCAGCAAGCAGTTCACCCCTCTGCACTCCGAGGTCCCTGCTCTAAAATGAGGCCAAGGCCAGCAGCGGCTCACACCTGTAATCCCAGCACTTTGTGAGGCCAAACAGGGAGGATCACTTGAGCCAGGAGCTGGAGACCAGCCCGGGGAACATGGCAATACCCCATCTCTACAAAAAAATAAAAAGTCAGGCATGGTGGTGCACACCTGTGGTCCCAGCTACTTGGGAAGCTGAGGTAGGAGGATCACTTGAGCCCCAGGAGTTCAAGGCTACAGTGAGCTATGATTGTGCCACTGCATTCCAACCTGGGTAACAGAATAAGACCCTGTCTCCTAAAATATAAAAATAAATAAAATAAAATAATAAAAGACAAGACCATCCACCTCACTGTTTGGTTGCAAGAATTCAAAACAGAAAATGTAGGCCAAGCGCGGTGGCTCACACCTGTTATCCCAGCAACTTTGGGAGGCCAAGGCGGGCAGATCACTTGAGGTCAGGAGTTCGAGACCAGCCTGGCCAACATGGTGAAACAGCATATCTAATAAAAATACAAAAATTAGCCAAGTGTGGTGGCACGTGCCTGTAATCCCAGCTACTCGGGAGTCTGAGGCTCGAGAACTGCTTGAACTCAGGAGACGGAGGCTGCAGTGAGCCGAGTTCGTGCCATTGCACCCAGCCCGGGTAACAGAGGGATACTCCATCTCAAAAAAAAAAAAAAAAAAGAGGCCAGGCACGGAGGCACACACCTGTAATCTCAGCACTTTGGGAGGCCAAGGCAGGTGGATCACCTGAGAACAGGAGTGCAAGACTAGCCTGGCCAACATGGTGAAACCCTGTCTCTACTAAAAATACAAAAATCAGCCAGGCATGGTGGCAGGCGCCTGTAATCCCAGCAAAAAAAAAAAAAAAAAAAAAAAAAAGGAAATGTGTTTCTGTTGCTTTTGGGGCCTTGGGCATAAATTCTTTGCCTTGGCCTATGTCCGGAAGAGTTCTCCCAATGTTATCTTCTAGAGTTGTTATAGTTTCAGGTCTTAGATTTAAGTCTTGAGTTGATTTTTGCATATGGTGAGAGCGAGCGACCCAGTTTCATTCTTTTGCATGTGGCTATCCAATTTTCCTAGCGCCACTTATTAACCAGGGCGTCCTTTCCCCAGTGATATGTTTTTGTATGTTTTGTCAAAGATCAGCTGCTTGTAAAAATGTAGCTTTATTTCTGGGTTCCTATTCTGTTCCATGGGTCTGTGTGCACGTTTATACCAGGATCATGCTATTTTGGTTACTACAGCCTTAGAGATTAACTTGAATCAGGTAATGCGATCCCTCCAAATTCATTCCTTTTGCTTAGGATTGCTTTGCCTTTTCGGGCTCATTGTTTCCATGTGAATTTTTGGATCTTTTTCTAATTCTGTGAAAAATGACGTTGGTATCTTGGTAGGAATCACACTGACTCTGTAGATTGCTTTTGGCAGTGTGGTCATTTTCACAATATTGATTCTCCCAATCCCTGAGCACGGGATGTTTTTCCATTTGTTTGTGTCATCTATGATTTATTTCATCAGTGTTTTATTGTTCTCCTTGTAGAGATCTTTCACATCCTTGGGTAACTATATTCCTAGGGTGTTTGGTTGTTGTTATTGTAGCTATTGTAAATGGGAATGAGTTCTTGATTTGATTCTCAGCTTGGTCGCTGCTGGCAGATAGCATGCTACTGATTTGTGTATACTGATTTTGTAACCTGAAACTTCACTGAATTCTTTTCTCAAATCTAGGAGTCTTCTAGAGGAGTCTTGAGGGTGTTCTAGGTATAATATCATATCATCAGCAAACAGAGATAGTTTGACTTCCTCTCTTCCAATCCAGATGCACTTTATTTCTCTTGCCTGATTGCTATATAAATGGGGCTATTTAATACCTTATTTAATGTGATGTAACATTAAGATATTTTGAAACAGCCGGGTGTGGTGGCTCACACCTGTAATCCCAGCACTTTGGGAGGCCGAGGCGGGTGGATCACCTGAGGTCAGGAGTTCGAGACCAGCCTAGCCAACATGGTTAAACCCCATCTCTACAAAAATACAAAAATTAGCCAGGCATGGTGGCGGACACCTGTAATCCCAGCTACTCAGGAGGCTGAGGCATGAGAATCGCTTGAACCTGGGAGGCAGAGGTTGCAGTGAGCTGAGATCACGCCATTGCACTCCAGCCTGGGCAACAAGAGTGAGACTCTGTCTCAAAAAAGAAAAAAATATATACAAATGGCCAAAAAATATATGCAAAATGCTCAAAATCACTAATCCATCACAGGGACATGCAAATTAAAACCACAATGAGATAGTATCTTACCCCAGCCAGAATGGCTATTATTAAAAAGTCAAAGAACAACAGATGTTGGCGTAGATGTGGTACAGAGGGAATGCTTACACGCTACCGATGGGAATGAAATTAGTACAGCCTTTGCGGAAAACAGTATGGAGATTTCTCAGAAAACTAAAGGCACATCTACCATTCAATCCAGTAGTCCCACTACTGGGTAATCACCCAAAAGAAAAGAAATAATTACATCAAAAAGGGGACGGGCATGGTGGCTCACACCTGTAATCCCAGCACTTTGGGAGGCCGAGGCGGGCAGATCACTTGAGGTCAGGAGTTCGAGACCAGCCTGGCCAACATGGTGAAACCCCATCTCTACTAAAAATACAAAATTAGCCAGGCACGGTGGCACATGCCTATAATCCCAGCTATTTGGGAGGCTGAGGCAGGAGAATCGCTTGAACCCAAGAGGGACAGGTTGCAGTGAGCCGAGATTGTGCCACTGCACTGCAGCCTGGGCAACAGGAGCAAAACCCCGCCGCAAAAAAAAAAAAAAAAAAAAAAAAAAATACCTGCACATGCCCATTTATCGCAGCACAATTCACAGTTGCAAAGATATGGAATCAACCTAAGTGCCCGTCAACCGATGAGTAGATGCAGAAAATGTGGTTCATATACATCATGGAATTCTACTCAGTCATAGAAAAGAATGAAATCATGTCTTTTGCAGCAACTTGGATGAGACTGGAGGCCATTATCCTAAGTGAAGTAACTCAGGATCAGAAACCCAAATACCACATGTTCTCACTTATAAGTGAGAGCTGAACTACGGGGACACAAAAGCAGGCAAAAGTGGGATAACAGACACTGGACCCTCAGAGGGCGGGAGGGGGTGAAGGATGAAAAATTACCTACTGTGTACCATGGACATTATTTTGGTGACAAGTACAATAAAAACCCAGCCTCGACCAACGAACAATTCATCTACATAACCAAAAACCAGCCCTAAAACTATTGAAATAAAAATATTTTTTTAAAAGAAACACTAAAAAAACACAAAAAATGTTAAAGCACCTAGCATGGTGCCCAGGGCCCAAGCTTTTCTTTATTCTTATTTTTAGAGAGGATCTCGCTCTGTCGTGCAGGCTGGAGTACAGTAGTGCGATCACAGCTCGCACAGTGCGAGATCACCTCGAACTCCCAGGCTCTAGTGATCTTCCTGCCTCAGACTCCCGAGTAGCCGGGGCTACAGGCCTGCCCCATCATGTGCAGCTAACTTTTTATTTTTTTTGTAGAGGCAAAGTCTCACTATGGTGCCCAGGCTCTGAACTTTTCTTTTTCGTTTTATTTTTGGTTTGGGTTGTTTTGTTTTGTTTTTTGAGACGGAGTCTCATTCTGTCCCCCAGGCTGGAGTGCAGTGGTGCAATCTCGGCTCTCTGCAACCGCAGCCTCCCAGGTTCCAGCAATTCTCCTGCCTCAGCCTCCCGGGTAGCTGGGATTACAGGCATGCACCAGCACGCCCAGGTAATTTTTGTATTTTTAGTAGAGACGGGGTTTCACCATGTTGGCCAGGCTGGTCTCGAACTCCTAACCTCAGGTGATCCACCCGCCTCAGCCTCCCAAAGTGCTGGGATTACAGGCATGAGCCACCACACCCAACCTGGGTTTTGGTTTTGTTTTTGTTTTTTGTTTTTTGTTTTTGAGATGGAGTCTTGCTCTGTCCCCCAGCCTGGAGTGCAGTGGCACGATCTCAGCTCACTGCAACCTCCACCTCCCAGGTTCAAGAGATTCTCATACCTCAGCCTCCCGAGCAGCTGGGATTACAGGCACATGCTACCACGCCTAGCTAATTTTTTGGATTTTTGGTAGAGACAGGGTTTCGCCATGATGGCCAGGCTGGTCTCGAACTCCTGACCTCAAGTGATCCTCCCACCTCGGCCTCCTAAAGTGCTGGGATTACATGCGTGACCCACCATGCCTGGTCTGAGCTTTTCTTTTTTAATGGGCCTATACTCCTGATACCAAATTCCCAGATCAAACCACAGACAGAGCAAGCTGCTGACCAGGGTCAGGGCTCCCCAGAGAGCTAGGTTCCTCGATAGGACAACGGCATCTTGTTCTCATCAGGAACCAGACCACGCCTGAGGTTCCGTGGATGATTACAAACAGAGCACGGGCCATCCATCGCTGAGACCCAGGGAACTGCATATGAACCCCCCACGCACACCCACACACAAGCAGGACATGGGAGATGCAAGAGACCAGACCACAAAGGGGAAAAAAAAAATCACTGGTTCCACGTCACAAAACTGAAGTGTGGTGCTGGAAATACTCACCGCTCAGATGATTTCCTCTGACTCAAATCAGAGTCAAGGGACAAGCGGAGCCAGCCAAGGACATCAGAGCCATCCGTCCCACCAATCCCCCGGAACCCCCTTCTGAAAGGGCCCATTGGACTTCAGCTCATTCCTCAAAACACCTCTCGGGTCTCTCATTTCGGGAATGTTTATCTGAGGGGAGGCCCAGCGATTTGTTCCGGAGTTAAAAAGGAATACTATTTTAGCAAATTGGGGGAATCTTGGAATAACCTACCAAGTAGGAGTTTGGAGTTCCAAAAAGAGTCCTCGTCTCTGTTTAACTAAATGCCACCCATGCCTGGTTTCTTGCGTTTTCTTTTTTAACCCTCCTCCTGGCTGGTGGTTGGTTTGGTCTGAAAGTGACTCCGGTTTTTTTCTAGGGTCTCCTGACATGAAAGTGAAAAGATTCCAAAATATCTGACGGGGCTAAGTCTGTCTTGATCCTCATAGAGGCCAAATGGAGAAGAACCTTCATTGGCCACCAAATAAGGTCCCTCCAAGAAAATTCCAAGCAGTCAGCCAGCATAATGGGCCAAGTGAGATACAATTAAATCCATTTCAGCAAACCTTGATTGATCTATGGCAAGCACAGCAAGGAAGAAGGCGCACTTCCTTCTCCTGGCTGCCTTAAGGGTAGACAACAAGGAACGCAATTAATCAACCAGAAAATGTAACGCCTCAGAAGTCAGCAAGAACAAATTAGGAACTGTGAAAAATGTCACAGGAAGAGAAATATTTAGTCAGTTTTTCCCCCACGGCTAAATTTGCACTGAACACGAAGACCTAGTTTTCCATGCACAGAAGGCTGGACTCTCATCTGGTGTCTTACAGACCCCAAAACTCCAAGATTGGTTAACCAGGATGCTCAGATTATCTTAACGCGTTTAAGGGAACTCAGCCTGTGCCTCACAAAATTCAAGAAGTGATTTGTTTTTTCAGAGCTGACAATTCAAGGAGATTTTATGTTGAACTCAACTGGAAACAGACTGTCTACACCCAGTTGTCCAGAATGAACTAAATATTTTCAGTAGACACGTTGCAAAGCTTTCTCTCTTTTTTTTGGAGACAGAGTCTTGATCTGTTGTCACCTAGGCTGGAGTGCAGTGGCACGATCTTAGCTCACTGTAGCCTCAGTCTCTTGGGCTCAAGCGATCCTCCTGCCTCAGCCTCCCAAGTAACCGGAACTACAGACACGTACCACCATGCCTGGCTAATTTTTTCATTTTTTTGTAGAGAAAAGGTCTCGCTATGTAATGCCCAGGCTGGTCTTTTTTTCTTTTTTTTTTAAATTATTGAGACAGAGTTTCATTCTTGTCACCCAGGCTGGAGTGCAGTGGTGCAATCTTGGCTCCCTGCAACCTCCACCTCCTGGGTTCAAATGATTCTCCTGCCTCAGCCTCCCGAGTAGCTAGGATTATAGGCGCATGCCACCACGCCCAGCTAATTTTTGTATTTTTAGTAGAGACGGGGTTTCACCATGTTGGCCAGGCTGTTCTCGAACTCCTGACCTCAAATGATCTGTCTACCTTGGCCTCCCAAAGTGCTGGGATTACAGGCGTGAGTCACTGTGCCCAGCCCCTGTTGTGGAGCTTAAACCCAACCTCGAACGAGACAAGTAACCATTCTCCCACAAAATGACTTCAACACTCACAACAGGCATTCTGAATTTACATGCTCTTTCATTACGTCCTGTTTCCTAACTTTAAAGTGCATTCCTGTTCTGAAAAGATAAAAAGGACCTAGCACAATTGTCTAGGGTGTTATTTATGAGAAAGGTCTGTGCAACTATCTCCCTCTAAGGAAAACCATCTGAAGAGGGAAAGCTCCATGCCTACGAATGGCTGCTTAACGTGGCCAGACGCAAATCCAACAGAGACCCTCACAGGCCAGGCCACACTGCTCATGTCCCAGCTGCAGCCCCACACCTGGTGTGAATCCCAGCACCACCACCTATTGGCCGTGTGCTCATGGGCATATGAATACAAGGCAGGCCAGCCCCCAAATTCGGGCTTAGCCCAGAGGCTTCTAGGCTTTGTCTAGGAAGGAATTCAAGGCTGAGCCGATGGTGTTAGCAACTTTTATTGAAGCAGCAGCACGCACAGCAGCAACAGAGGTCCTGCTCCTTGCAGAGCAGAACCACCCCCTTACCAGGGCACCCAGAGCAGCAACTTAGAGGCAGTGTTGCACTCATATTTATACCTACTTTTAATTATATGCAAACTAAGGGGTGATTTATGCAGAAATTTCTAGAATGGGGGTAGTAAATTCCGGGTTGTCCAGTCATTGTCATGGAAAAGGGCATCCACGTGTTGCCATGGTGATGGTAAACTGACATGGCCCACTGGCAGGCGTGTCTTATGGGAAGGTGATTCTGCCCTGGACCTATTTCAGCTAGTCCTCAATTTCGACTGCTATCCAGGCCCTGCCTCCAGCGTCGAGTTCTGTCTCCTAACTCATTACCAAACCTCTGTATGCCTCAGTTTCCTCATCTCTGAAGTGAGGCTAGGACTACCTACTTCTCAGCTTGTTAGTTCACACACAGACCCTAAGGAGAATGCAGAGCACATTGTCCAGGCTCTCAAAGAGTTGGGGATCGGCCAGGCGCGGTGGCTCACACCTGTAATCCCAGCACTTTGGGAGGCCGAGGCAGGCAGATCACCAGGTCAAGAGATCGAGACCATCCTGGCTAACACGGTGAAACTTCATCTCTATTAAAAAAAAATACCCTCTCCCCTCTCCCGACGGTCTCCCTCTCCCTCTCTTTCCACGGTCTCCCTCTGATGCCGAGCCGAAGCTGGACTGTACTGCTGCCATCTCGGCTCACTGCAACCTCCCTGCCTGATTCTCCTGCCTCAGCCTGCCGAGTGCCTGCGATTGCAGGCTCGCGCCGCCACGCCTGACTGGTTTTCGTATTTTTTTGGTGGAGACGGGGTTTCGCTGTGTTGGCCAGGCCGGTCTCAGCTCCTAACCGTGAGTGATCCACCAGCCTCGGCCTCCCGAGGTGCCGGGATTGCAGACGGAGTCTAGTTCACTCAGTGCTCAATGGTGCCCAGGCTGGAGTGCAGTGGTGTGATCTCGGCTGGCTACAACCTCCACCTCCCAGCCGCCTGCCTTGGCCTCCCAAAGTGCCGAGATTGCAGCCTCTGCCCGGCCACCACCCCGTCTGGGAAGTGAGGAGCGTCTCTGCCTGGCCGCCCATCGTCTGGGATGTGAGGAGCCCTTCTGCCTGGCTGCCCAGTCTGGAAAGTGAGGAGCGTCTCTGCCCAGCTGCCACCCCATCTAGGAAGTGAGGAGCACCTCTTCCCGGCCGCCACCACATCTAGGAAGTGAGGAGTGTCTTTGCCCGGCCGCCCATCGTCTGAGATGTGGGGAGCGCCTCTGCCCCACCGCCCCGTCTGGGATGTGAGGAGCGCCTCTGCCCGGCCGCGACCTCGTCTGGGAGGTGAGGAGCGTCTCTGCCCGGCCGCCCCGTCTGAGAAGTGAGGAGACCCTCTGCCTGGCAACCGCCCCGTCTGAGAAGTGAGGAGCCCCTCCGCCCGGCAGCCGCCCTGTCTGAGAAGTGAGGAGCCTCTCCGCCCAGCAGCCACCCCGTCTGGGAAGTGAGGAGCGTCTCCGCCCGGCAGCCACCCCGTCCGGGACAGAGGTGGGGGTCAGCCCCCGCCAGGCCAGCCGCCCCGTCCAGGAGGGAGGTGGGGAGGTCAGCCCCCCACCCGGCCAGCCGCCCCGTCCGGGAGGGAGGTGGGGGGGTCAGCCCCCCGCCCGGCCAGCCGCCCCGTCCGGGAGGTGAGGAGTGCCTCTGCCCAGCCGTCCCTACTGGGAAGTGAGGAGCCCCTCTGCCCGGCCAGCCGCCCCGTCCAGGAGGGAGGTCAGGGGGTCAGCCCCCCGCCCGGCCAGCCGCCCCGTCCGGGAGGGAGGTGGGGGGGTCAGCCCCCCGCCCGGCCAGCCGCCCCGTCCGGGAGGGAGGTGGAGGGGTCAGCCCCCCGCCCAGCCAGCCGCCCCGTCTGGGAGGTGAGGGGCGCCTCTGCCCGGCCGCCCCTACTGGGAAGTGAGGAGCCCCTCTGCCCGGCCACCACCCCGTCTGGGAGGTGTACTCAACAGCTCATTGAGAACAGGCCAGGATGACAATGGCGGTTTTGTGGAATAGAAGGGCGGGAAAGGTGGGGAAAAGATTGAGAAATCGGATGGTTGCCGTGTCTGTGTAGAAAGAAGTAGACATGGGAGACTTTTCATTTTGTTCTGTACTAAGAAAAATTCTTCTGCCTTGGGATCCTGTTGATCTGTGACCTTACCACCAACCCTGTGCTCTCTGAAACATGTGCTGTGTCCACTCAGGGTTAAATGGATTAAGGGCGGTGCAAGATATGCTTTGTTAAACAGATCCTGAAGGCAGCATGCTCGTTAAGAGTCATCACCACTCCCTAATCTCAAGTACCCAGGGACACAAACACTGTGGAAGGCCGCAGGGTCCTCTGCCTAGGAAAACCAGAGACCTTTGTTCACGTGTTTATCTGCCGACCTTCCCTCCACTATTGTCCTATGACCCTGCCAAATCCCCCTCTGCGAGAAACACAAGAATGATCAATTAAAAAAATAATAATAATAAATAAAAAATAAAAAAAAATAAAAACTTAAAAAAAAAAAATACAAAAAAATTAGCCAGGCGTGGTGGCGGGCGCCTGTAGTCCCAGCTACTCGGGAGGCTGAGGCAGGAGAATGGCATGAATCCAGGAGGCGGAGCTTGCAGTGAGCCGAGACTGTGCCACTGCACTCCAGCCTGGACGACAGAGCGAGACTCCGTCTCAAAAAAAAAAAAAAAAGAGAGTTGGGGATCAGTGGGACTCATTCTCCCACCCCTGCTCTGCAAAGAAGGACCGACTACACATAAATCCATCTCCCCGGCCGGGCACGGCAGCTCACGCCTGGAATCCCAGCACTTTGGGAGGCCAAGGTGGGCAGATCACGAGGTCAGGAGATAGAGACCATCCTGGCTAACAGGGTGAAACCCCATCTCCACTAAAAATACAAAAAATTAGCCAGGCGTGGTGGCGGGCGCCTGTAGTCCCAGCTACTCGGGAGGCTGAGGCAGGAGAATGGCGTGAACCCGGGAGGCGGAGCTTGCAGCGAGCGGAGATTGCCCCACTGTACTCCAGCCTGGGCGACAGAGCGAGACTCCATCTCAAAAAAAAAAAAAATTCCATCTCCCCAAGGACAGGGGCAGATGGGAATACGGTCCCCTCACTGAGTAGCCCACCTTGGAGGGAAGCACGCCCATTTGCACATAACACAGGGTCACTTTAAACTTCGCAGAAGCTTCCAGGAGTGTCCCTCCTTTCCTATCTAGCCAAGGAAGGAAGGCTAACCGTGCACATGCCGTCCTGAGATAAGAAACTGCACACACAGAGACACTCCCCAGACTCTGAAGAGCTGAAAATGCAATTTCAAATCTCCTTTTGGTGCAAAACACGGGCACTAAGTGGCCGGTTCTTGAAAGACAGGTCCACCCCCAGCCTGGACTGGAATTTCTCAGGAGCTGGGAGGTGAAATTTCGGTCCTGAAGATAATGAACTGTGCCCAGTAATGAATATCATCTGACTCTCCTTGACAGCTTTGGCCAGAGAGCTGCTTTTGGCTTTTGGCTGAGAGTGAGGTTCCCAGACAAGCCTTGCTGTTCCTGCAGACGCCGGAGGGTCTGGGTGCTCCTTCCTGCTGTGCTGCCGGTGGGTCACCGAAACAGCTGGACTCAACAGAGCACCGGGCTGAGCCAGCAGCACTCAGGCCTCAGAAACAGCTGGAGGCAGGGGAGCTCTTCTGCTGATCAACCGCAGTGCCCTCTGTTAGGAGCAGACACTGAGGCAAGAAAACGGATTTCACCCTAAAGGCACCTCCCTCTGGGTAAATCCAACGGGACTTGGGGCATGAATACCAAGGCAGTCAGTCCAGATAGTCCTACAAAATTATCTTAGGAACCTCAGGTTTTCCCCCAACATTTTGTATTTTTGTTTGTTTGTTTGTTTTTGAGATAAAGTCTTGCTCTGTTGCCCAGGCTTGAGTGCAGTGGTGCAATCTCAGCTCACTGCAACCTCTGCCTCCTGGGTTCAAGTGATTCTCCTGTCTCAGCCTCCCAAGTAGCTGGGATTACAGGCACCCGCCACCACACCTGGCTAATGTTTATACTTTTATTAGAGAGGAGGTTTCACCATGTTGGTCATGCTGGTCTCGAACTCCTGACCTCAGGTGATCCGCCTGCCTCGGCCTCCCTAAGTGCTGGGATTACAGGCGTGAGCCACCATGCCCGGCCTGTATTGTATTATTTTGTATTATTAAATACTTTACACATGCACAGAAAGGACTATAAAACTTCTATGAACACTCGAACAAAATTATTTACCAAACACGTGTAACCACCATCCAGGCCAAGAATTAAAGACAGCCAGACTAGGCACGGTGGCTCACACCAGTAATCCCAGCACTTTGGGAGGCCGAAGCAGGAGAACTGCTTGAGCCCAGGAGTTCAAGAACAGCCTCAGCAACGTAGTGAGTCCCTGTCTCTACAAAATAAAAAATAAAGACAGCGGCACCCTGGAAACGCTCCTTCTGGTTGCATCCCTGACAGATCTGGGTGCCTTCTTCCCGCCAGAGGGAACTACCAGCCTAATTGGTACGGCATCTTCCTCGATTTTCATTCAGTCTTATCCCTTATCAGGCTCTGTAGGGTCTCCCAAAGCATTGGGATTACAGGCATGAGCCACTGTGCCCAACCCGGGACAAGTCATTTTTTTGTTTGTTTTTTGTTTTTGAGACAGTCTTGTTCTGTCGCCCAGGCTGGAGTGCAGTGGCGCGATCTCAGCTCACTGCAACCTCGAGCAATTCTCCTTCCTCAGGCTCCCGAGTAGCTGGGATTACAGGCGCATGCCACCAAGCCTGGCTAATTTTTGTATTTTTTTTTAGTAGAGACGGGGTTTCACCATGTTGGCCAGGCTGTAATCCAGCCACCTCAGCCTCCCAAAGTGCTGGGATTACAGGCGTGAGCCACCGTGCCCAGCCTCCGGGACAAATTTTAATATGGATTCCATTTAACAAATCATTTTCTGGAAAACATGTGGCAAGAATATCTCTAACTGAAATTTTTTTTAACTGAAATTTTATCATATTAGCACTTTCGAAGCACAACTTTATATTCCTTAATGCACTATTATACAGACACTAGGTAGAAAATTACGAAAACTAGCAGTGTAGAAAAATGTCAAGTGAAAGGAACTAACTATAAAGACGCATATTCACTATGATGATAACTACATACAAAGCAATGCACAGGAAAAAAGGAAATATATTAAAATGCAACGGCTGTTAAAAGGGGTGGAACTACAGGTGATTTGTCTATGAAATTTTTGCGATTGTGGTTGTATCACTTGTATAACAAAATTTTCTGAAAGCACCAATTCACACAACAACAGCGCATTACTGGGTCTGATGACAACTCACTCATCAGGCTCCTGGTGGACACCCGCACAAATCAGGTTTTGGAAGATTCCTGGAAAATAACGTAACTGGGCTTCTTGAAAGATATTACCTAACCTGAGTTTCTCCGGCCCCTACAGTACTTCCTGGGGTTAATCAAACTTTGTGTAATTTCACTTCAGATTTCCATAACACACAAACTTCAAAATGCTTATAGGGAGCTAAAAAGACCCCCATTAAACCCCTGCTACACACAACAGAAACAGCAAAGTGCCTCCTCCCACCCAGTCAACAGAAAACAGCAGGAAGGGCAGACCAGATCCTCCCGGAGCTGAACACACACCCCTCCTCAGTCCTCCCAAAAGGGACCCTACCTGATATTTTAATGCCAATATTTTCCCAAAAACACTTCTCACAAAGCACTTCTGCCCTTTAAGTCTGGTTATGTGATTTTTTTTTTTTTGGTGATTCTATAGTAGAAATATGCAGAGCGTGGCCGCGCTCCAGTTTCTCAGAGGATGACAATGGACCAGGTGCAGTGGCTCACGCCTGTAATCCCAGCACTTTGGGAAGCCAAGGCGGGGGGATCACTGAGGTTCCAAGTTCGAGACCAGCCTGGCCAACATGGTGAAACCCCATCTCTACTAAAAATACAAAAATTAGCCAGGTGCGGTGGTGGACACGTGTAATCCCAGCTACTCGGGAGGCTGAGGCAGAAGACTCGCTTGAACCCGGGAGGCGGAGGGTGCAGTGTGCCGAGATCGCACCATTGCACTCCAGCCTGGGCAACAAGAGCAAAAACTTTGTCTCCAAAAAAAAAAAAAAAAAAAAAAAAGGTGACAGTGACAATGCTGGAGACCGACAGCCAGGCTCTCCATGCACTCTCGGGCTCTGTGCCTCCTACCTGCAGCCTCCAAGCTTCTAATCACCGCATGGCTCCTCTCAGACACAGCAGGTCCTGTGAAACCACCCACGTCCAGCCAGCACCACCATCACCCCCGGTCTCTTCCCACTACCCCAGCAAACAGGATGGGCAAACATCTCTTTTTGTGATGCTTTTCTCAGGAAAGACAAAATAATACCAAAACAGAATTCCCCTACCCGGAACACATCACTTTCTTGCTAACCACAAATTCTGGCAAAATCTGTTCTACATAACAGTGATTCAGTTAGTTCCTCTTTCTTCAAATTGACACGTTTTACCTTGCAAATTGTGTATGTGTGCGTGTGTGTGTGTGTGAGAGAGAGACAGAGAGAGAGAGAGGATGAGCAAGTTTAAAGACCAGTAACAAAACATATTTGCAGTGTTGTCAAGTCTTATCACATAAGAAATATAATACAAAAATTTATAAAAATGTAATTCTATTCAAATATTTGAGACTCTGCTACATAGCAGATAGTATTCTAGATACTGTGGTTAAAGAAAAATAGGTTTCTGTTTTCTGGAGAGAGCCAGAATTAAAAAAAGAAAAAAGTAACAAAACTATATAAACAAAATAAACTTGTAAAAAAAATAAAAATAAGTTTGCTCATCAGGAGTTTACTACCAAAATATGTGTCATGGCCAGTCACGGTGGCTCACACCTGTAATCCCAGCACTTTGGGAGGCTGCAGCGGGCGGATCACCTGAAGTCAGGAGTTCGAGACCAGCCTGGTCAACATGGTAAAACCCCGACTCTACTAAAAATACAAAAATTAGCTGGGCATGGTGGCACACGCCTGTAATCCCAACTACGGGGGAGACTGAGGCAGGAGTCACTTGAACCTAGGAGATGGAGGTTGCAGTGAGGCTAGATGGCACCACTGCACTCCAGCCTGGGCAACAGAGTGAGACTCTGTCTCAAAAAAAAAAAAAAAAAAAAAAGGGTCATGGAAGGGAGCGAAATGGGGCAGAAGGTTTTGTCCCTAATGCAAACAATACTGTGGGGCATAATTTAATCACCATAAAATGAACAAATTTTTTTTTTTTTTTTTTTTTGAGCTGGAGTCTTGTTCTGTCAACCAGGCTGCAGCGCGGCACCATCTCGGCTCACTACAACCTCTACAACCTCTGCCTCCCAGGTTAACGCAATTCTCCCACCTCAGCCTCCCGAGTAGCTGGGATTACAGGCACTCGCCATTATGCCCAGCTAATTATTGGATTTTTGTACAGACGGGGTTTCACCATGTTGGCCAGGCTGGTCTTGAATTCCTGACCTCAGGTGATCCGCCCACCTCGGCCTCCCAAAGTGCTGGGATTACAGGCGTGAACCACCAGGCCCAGACACAAATCTTTTTTTTAAATAGGGATGGGGTCTCACTCTATTGCCCAGGCTGGCCTCAAACTCCTGGCCTGAAGTGATCCTCCTGCCTTAACCTCCCAAAGTGTTAGGATTACAGGTGTGAGCCACCACACCCTGCTCAAAATGTATAAATAGGCCCAGTGGGGTGGATCACCCCTGTAATCCCAGCACTTTGGGAGGCCAAAGCAAGTGGATCACATGAGGTCAGGAGTTTGAGATCATCCTTCCTGGCCAACATGGCGAAACTTCGTCTCTACTAAAAATACAAAAATTAGCCAGGTGTGGTGGCACACGCCTGTAATCCCAGCTACTGGGGAGGCTGAGGCACAAGAATCACCAGAACCAGCCGGGCGCGGTGGCTCACGCCTGTAATCCCAGTGCTTTGGGAGGCCAAGGTGGGCAGATCACCTGAGGTTGGGAGTTCGAGACCAGCCTGACCAACATGGAGAAACCCCGTCTCTACTGAAAATACAAAATTAGCCAGGTGTGGTGACGCATGCCTGTAATCCCAGCTACTCAGGAGGCTGAGGCAAGAGAATTGCTTGAACCCGGGAGGAGGAGGTTGCGGTGAGCCGAGATCGCGCCATCGCACTCCAGCCTGGACAACAAGAGCGAGACTCCATCTCAAAAAAAAAAAAGTATAAACTTTAAGTGACAGCGCAATGAATTCTGACCAACGTATTCACACAGAGAACAGACCTGACATGAGCGAGCAGCTGCAGGTAAGGGTTGATGGGAGCCCAGGGTGCATGGAAGTCGCCCAGGCAAGAGGGGAAGGCTCGGGGCAGGGGTGAAGGAGCCCCGAGGGTCAGCAAAGGCCCTGGACCTGCCTCAATGACACTCAAGGAGTCATCGCCAGGTCAACGCGGACAAACAGCACGGAGCTTCCGAACCGAATGGAATGTATGGAATGCCATGGGATGAGCCGCAAGTGAAGCGTGACTCACCCTCGTTCTAAAGAGTCAATGTAGGGCCGCAGGACTGTATACGGCAGAGCCAGGATACGCCGTGGTCATCTGTACATATTTCTATCCATGTATTAATCGATCCCGAGAAATCAGGCTGGACGACCAAGCACACTTACCACACTCACTGCCGTTCTCGCTGGATGTCACAATCATTGAGCTTCATGACCTAAGAACAGGCCCTGAAAAAAACCCTTATCCTGCATAGTCAGAGGACAGAATGTTCCGGTCAATCAGATATTTTGACAGGAATAGTTTCAATATAAAATCCAGCCAGGCTCGGTGCCTCATGCCTGAAATCCCAGCACTTTGGGAGGCCCGGGTGGGAGGATTGCTTGAGGCCAGGAGTTCCACACCAGCCTGGGCAACACAGCCAGACTGTCTCTACAAAAAATTTTAAAAATTGGCCAGGCGTGGCTGGGCGCAGTGGTTCACCCCTGTAATCTCAGCACTTTGGTAGGCCGAGGCAGGCAGATCATGAGGTCAGGAGATCAAGACCAACCTGGCTAACACGGTGAAATGCCATCTCTACTAAAAATACAAAAAATTAGTCAGGTGTGGTGGCAGGCACCTGTAGTCCCAGCTACTCAGGAGGCTGAGGCAGAAAGAAGAATGGCGTCAACCCAGGAGGTGGAGCTTGCAGTGAGCCAAGATCGCACCACTGCACTCCAGCCTGGGCAAAAGAGTGAAACTACGTCTCAAAAAAATAAATAAATAAAAATAAAAGGAACAAAAGAAAGCTAGAGAATATACTACGCTAGGGAAACATGAGCACACTTATATAAGGAAGTATATGTTTCCTGAGTACATATATGAATAAAATGTGAAAACAGAACTAAAACGGTCCATCCCAAACTGAGAACAATGGTCACCTCTCAGGTACAGACAGGAGATGATGGCAATTAGGATGGGACTTTCACTTAATCTACAATGTTCTATTCTTTTTTAAAGAAAATACATTTGTCCATGTATGGCATAACTGAAAATTAAGTTTTTATAAAGAGGGTTGCCCTAGAGAGCATTCACAGCTTAAGCTTCAAAGAATTCAAATAGAATGAGACTCTTAATGTGGAAAAGTACAACAAGCACATTTTTTTCTGGCAACACCGAAGATGCAGGAGATTTCACAGTTCCCACATGAATACCACCAGTGGGCTCTGGCTGTGTGGCCAAAACTCTAGAGAAGAGGAAATTCACTGTATACCCGTAAGGCACAACCACTCCTTCAAACCAACCTTAGTGAACGTGTAAGTCACACACATAGTCTCCGGACAATATTCAGAGACTTAACTTTTTTCTTTGCTGTTTTTGTTTTTGTTTTCTTTTTTAAAAATTTGAGACAGGATTTCGCTACGTTGTCCAGGCTGGTCTCTAGCGCCTGGGCTCGGGCGATCCTCCCTCCTCAGCCTCCCCAAGTGCTGTGATTTCAGACGTGAGCCACAGTGCTTGGTCTCAAGGCTGAGGTTTTCTCACTCCAGCCCACCCAATCAGGGTCCCCATCAACACACATTCCCTTGACATTGCCCACTTTGGGCAAATTACTTACCTCTGGATTTTAGTTTTCTCAATGTAAAAAGACCTGCGAGGCCGGGCGCGGTGGCTCACGCCTGTAATCCCAGCACTTTGGGAGGCCGAGGCGGCTAGATCACGAGGTCAGGAGATCGAGACCATCCTGGCTAACATGGTGAAACCCCGTCTCTACTAAAAATACAAAAAATTAGCCGGGCGTGGTGGCGGGCGCCTGTAGTCCCAGCTACTCGGGAGGCTGAGGCAGGAGAATGGCATGAACCCGGGAGGCAGAGCTTGCAGTGAGCCGAGATCACACCACTGCACTCCAGCCTGGGCGACAGAGCGAGACTCCGTCTCAAGAAAAAAAAAAAAAGACCTGCTATACCACTTCACCCACCTGCCAGGATGACGACCAAGTTTCAAACAGAAGGACAGTCTACGTCCCAAGAGTCTGTGAGCCCCACTTTCAGACTTGCCTGGTTACAGGAAAGGGCACTGTGAAGCACTGCCTTGTCCCAGCAACCCCCATCTGTGGATCCCATCAGCACTCCTGATGAAATCACCACTGCCCCCAGAAAAAGCCAACTACCTACAGGAATTCCAGGCCACACCAAAGGGAGGGCGGTCTCCCAGAGACACAGCTCCCTCAGGTGTACAGCGCTCAGACTATCTCTAAATTACACCATTATGGTAGCCTCTGGAGTCTACTTCTGTGAAGCCTGAAGGAAACACAGTCCCCTACACCTGCAGAGGACCCCTCCAGCAATGCCAAATTGCTTTACAAGCTGAGATAGCAGCAGCATTCCGATCCAATCACAGCCTACCTGTTCCCAAGTGACCCCTCGGAAAGGGTCCCGCCTGAGACTCACGCTGGCCTCCAACATGTGACTTCATGGACACAATGTTCTAATCAGCGAGAACTATCACGTGCCTCCCCTTACACTGATACAAGGGAAAGGAAAAAATAACTGAAGACCCATTCTGAAAGGCCCTTCTTTCTAGACACAGTCTTCACATCGAGGATGCCCACCAAATGCAACAATCCCTCCCCTGCTCCCCGCTGCCGTTTCTCGCCGACGAAGAAACTGTCTACCAACCCTCCAGAGCTCACTTCAGTCATCACCTCCTCAGCGACACCTTGCCAGACCTCCCCACAAGGGGATTCCCCAATCTTGTCCCCCCCCACCAAGAAGAAACCGTAACTCACACCAACACCCACCTACATCTCTTCTCTGGCAGCTAGGACCACAGGAAGGAACATCCAGAAATAAGGGGCACCCTCCTGTATTCCTTCTAATGTTTAGCCTCGTTTGTTTTGTTTTGTTTTGTTTTTTTTGAGGCGGAGTCTCGCTCTGTCGCCCAGGCTGGAGTGCAGTGGCGCTATCTCGGCTCACTACAAGCTCTGCCTCCCGGGTTCACGCCATTCTCCTGCCTCAGCCTCCCGAGTAGCTGGGACTACAGGCGCCCGCCACCGCGCCTGGCTAATTTTTTTTGTATTTTTAGTAGAGACAGGGTTTCACCGTGTTAGCCAGGATGGTCTTGATCTCCTGACCTCGTGATCCGCCCGCCTCGGCCTCCCAAAGTGCTGAGATTACAAGCGTGAGCCACCGTGCCCAGCCATGTTTAGCCTCATTAACCCAAATCCCTTAAAGAGAAATACAAGAGGCCAGGCGCGGTGGCTCACGCCTGTAATCCCAGCACTCTGGGAAGCTGAGGTGGTTGGATCACCTGAGGTCAGGAGTTCGAGACCAGCCTGGCCAACATGGTGAAACTCCGTCTCTACTAAAAATACAAAATTTAGCCGAGTGTCATGGTGGATGCCTGTAATCCCAGCTACTCAGGAGGCTGAGGCAGGAGAATCGCTTGAACCCGGGAGGCGGAGGTTGCAATGAGCCGAGATCGCACCATTGCACTCCAGCCTGAGTGACAGTGAGAATCTGTCTCAAAAAAAAAAAAAAAAGAAAAGAAAAGAAAAAGAAAAAAGAAAAAGACAGAAATACAGGCCAGGCACGATGGCTCATGCCCGTACTCCCAGCACTTTGGGAGGCCAAGGCAGGAGGACCGCTTGAGGCCAGAAGCTCCAGACCAGCCTGGACAACATAGCAAGATCCCATCTCTACAAAAATAAAAAAAATTACCGGGCGTAACTGCACGCGCCCGTAGTCCCAGCACTTTGGGAGGCTAAGGCGGAGGATCACTTGAAAGAGAGAGAAAAGCAGCTACACATCTATAGATTCGGTTCACAGATGAGAAAACAGAGGTCCCGAGAGGTGAAATTACTGGCCCAAGACCACACAACCGACAGGAGCTTGGGAGAGAGGATGTGGCTAGGAAAGGCGCCCAAGTCCGGGGAAGTGGCCCCCAGTGCCATCGCTCAGCGTGACCAGGCAGGGCAGAAGAGCAGGGCACCAGGAACGGGGCGAGGAGGAAACTGTCCCCGAGGACGCCTCTGAGAGCCCCGGGAAAGCGCCTCGGAACGCGGCCAGCTGTAACCTGGACAGGGCTCTCCCGGCGCAGGAGGGCAGGGGACCCCGAGGGACGGAGGCGCGAGAGAGCACGGGGACCCCCAAAGGACAGGCGCGCAGGAGGGCAGGGGGACCTCCGAGGGACTGGGGCGTGGGGCCGAACGCGGGGCGCGGGGGCAGGAAACGAGTCGGGGACCAAGCGCGGCGGCTGAGCCCCGTCCGCCGGGGGTGGTCGGGCCGCGCGCCCTGGGCAGGTGGGGGCTACCGCCGCCCCACGCCCTACCTGACGCCGGGGGATCCGCCTCCTCGTCAGCCTCCGCCTCAGCTGCCGCCCCGACTGCAGCCGCGGGCAGCGGGTCCATCGCGCGGCCAGTCATGTGAGCCCGCGCTCCCACGTGACTTCCTCCCGCGCCACCCGGCCGCGCAGCCCTGCCGCGCCGCGCCCTCGCCCCGCCCACACCCCGCCTGGTCACGCCCCCTCCCCCGCGCGCCACGCCCACAGTCCGCCCCTGCGGGCCCGCCGCGCTCCTCGCCCGGCCTCGCCACGCCTACAACCCGCCTAGCCACGCCCACATGCCCCTCCCCGTCCACGTGGACACGGAGCCTGCTGGTGGCGCAGGTTACCTCCCCTCAGGTTGGACCTCCGGACTCGCAGGTGCACTACCTCAGGCGCAAGCCTGCACCCACCGCACCCTCATTCACTCCCATCTCTCCTCGCCCAGTCACGCCCTTGTTCGCTCATTCACCGGTTACACTGGGGTTTTCTGACTCGCACTTCCTCATTCATCCACTCACCCACTCATTCGCTCACCCACGCACTGCATCCTGCATTCATTCATTCACCCACTCACTCACTGCATCCTACATTCATTCATCCACTCACACACTCACTCACCGCATCCTGCATTCATCCAGCCACTCACTCACTCACTGCATCCTGCAATCATTCACCCACTCACTCACTGCATCCTGCATTCATTCATTCACCCACTCACTCACTGCATCCTGCATTCATTCATTCACCCACTCACTCACTGCATCCTACATTCATTCATCCACTCACACACTCACCGCATCCTGCATTCATCCAGCCACTCACTCACTGCATCCTGCATTCATTCATCCAGCCACTCACTCACTGCATCCTGCATTCATTCATTCACCCACTCACTCACTGCATCCTGCATTCATTCATTCACCCACTCACGCACTGCATCCTGCATTCATTCACCCACTCACCCACTCACTCACTGCATCCTGCATTCATTCATTCACCCACTCACCCACTCACTCTCTGCATCCTGCATTCACTCATTCACTCACTTATTGCATCCTGCATTCATTCACCCACTCACCCACTCACTCACTGCATCCTGCATTCATTCATCCACCCACTCACTCATGCACTGCATCCTGCATTCATTCATCCATTCACTCACTCACTCACTTACTGCTTCTTCATACGTTCATTCACCCACTCACTCACTGCATCCTGCATTCATTCATCCACCCACTCACTCATGCACTGCATCCTGCATTCATTCATCCATTCACTCACTCACTCACTTACTGCTTCTTCGTACATTCATTCACCCACTCACGCACTGCATCCTGCATTCATTCATTCACCAACCCACTCACTGCATTCTGCATTCATTCAGTCACTCACTCACTGCATCCTGCATTCATTCATTCACCCACTCACTCACTTACTGCATCCTACATTCATTCATTCACTCACTGCATCCTGCATTCATTCATTCACCCACTCACTCACTTACTGCATCCTGCATTCATTCACTCACTCACTAACTGCATCCTGCATTCATTCACTCACTCACTAACTGCATCCTGCATTCATTCATCCACCCACTCACTCACTCACTGCATCCTGCATTCATTCATCCACTCACTCACTCACTGCTTCTTCATACATTCATTCACCCACACTCACTGCATCCTGCATTCATTCACCCACTCACTCACCCACTCACTGCATCCTGCATTCATTCATCTACCCACCCACTCACTCATGCACTTCATCCTGCATTCATTCACCCACTCACTCACTCACTGCATCCTGCTTTCATTCACGCAACCACTCACTCACTGCACCCTGCATTCATTCACCCACTCACTCACTGCATCCTGCATTCACTCACCCACCCACTCACTCACTGCATCCTGCATTCATTCATTCACCCACTCACTCACTCTGCATCCTGAATTCATTCACACAACCACTCACTCACTCACTCACTGCATCCTGCATTCATTCACCCACCCACTCACTGCATCCTGCATTCATTCATTCACTCACTCACTCACTCATGCACTGCATCCTGCATTCATTCACGCAACCACTCACTCACTGCATCCTGCATTCATTCACCCACTTACTCACTGCATCCTGCATTCATTCACCCACTCACTCACTCACTGCATCCTGCATTCATTCATTCACCCACTCACTCACTCACGCACTGCATCCTGCATTCATTCACACAACCACTCACTCACTGCATCCTGCATTCATTCATTCATTCACCCACTCACTCACGCACTGCATCCTGCATTCATTCACACAACCACTCACTCACTGCATCCTGCATTCATTCATTCACCCACTCACTGAGTCACTGCATCATGCATTCATTCATGCAACCACTCACTCACTCACTGCATCCTGCATTCATTCATTCACCCACCCACTCACTCACTGCATCCTGCATTCATCCACCCACCCACTCACTCACTCACTCACTGCATCCTGCATCTATCCACCCACCCACTGGCCCACTCAGGTTTGCTGGCTGCCACCAGGAGGTCAGGAAGCCCTGTGCTGGGTGCTGAGAATACAAAGATGTTTCCTGTGCATTCCTTGATCTGGAGGAGGCACAGATGGCCAGAGTGGAGCAAGTGTGCTAACTGTTCCAAAACGGGAGCAAGGCTGTGCAACACACCGCAGAAGAGGGTGAAGGGTGAAGGGCGATCCCTTCCCTACATGGGTGAAGGGATCCCTGGATGGGTGGTACCAGAGTTAGGGCTGGAGGAATAAGGAGTTAAGTAGGAGGAGGGCACGAAGGCTCTGAGACATCAGCTGCAGATGCTGTGGTCATTCCAGGCTAAAAGTGTGGGGTTTGGCATGGAGATTGGTAGGCCTGCATCAGGAAGGGCTTGTTTCCAAAGGAAGGATCCTGGACCTTCTTTTTTTTTTTTTTTTTTTTTTTTTTTTTTTTTTTTTTTTTTTTTGAGACAGAGTCTCACTCTGTTGCCTGGAGCGGAGGGCAGTGGCATGATCTTGGCTCACTGCAACCTCCGCCTCCCAGGTCAAGCGATTCTCCTGTCTCAGCCTCCCGTGTAGCTGGTATTACAGGCGTGTGCCACCACACCCAGCTAATTTTTGTATTTTTGTAGAGATGGGTTTTCACCATGTTGGCCAGGCTGGTCTCGAACTCCTGACCTCAAGTGATCCGCCCACCTTGGCCTTCCAAAGTGCTGGGATTACAGGTGTGAGCCACCGTGCCCGGCCATCCTGGACCTTCTAACGCTGATGTCACACAATGTCCGGGGAGTTGATTACAGAACCAAGAGCCCAGAACCATGTCAGTTCCTAGGAAGCGTCCCCTTCTCACAAGGTAGTTACTTCCTCTGGCTATAGCTGCTGGACCCTGCCTCGGTAACAGATGACTGCACCTAGGACGCCATAGGGTCCCCGCACACCAGGACCTCCATGCAAGCAGGCACACCATTGATGCTCTCTCCACCATAACCTGGGAGGCCAAGGTTGCAGTGAGCCGAGATCGAGATGTCCTTCTGCTGATGGACATATAACAACTTTCCCTAGGCACAGTGGGACATGGCAGGATCCTGTGACCTCCCCCCATATCTGATAGCTGCTTCCTTCCTCCACCCTCACTTCCTTCCAGCTGCTGTTGCTGCCAAATAATGTACTCAGCACTTTCCCTGTGCCACGCACACATATATACTCTGCCCACTTCCTGATCATATTTTTATTAGAGGCAGGGTCTTGCTGTGTTGCCCAGGCTGGACTGTAGCTGCCCAATCATAGCTCACTATAGCCTCAAACTCCTGGCCTCAATCAGTCCTCCCACCTCAGCCTCCCAAGTAGCTGGGACTAAGGCACAGGCCACCATGCCCAGCTGTTTCCTACGTATTTTTGGTCTCAAACTAGATTATAAAATATTTACTTATTAAATTTGTAGCCAGGCACAGTTGCTCACACCTGTAATCCCAGCACTTTGGGAGGCTGAGGCAGGCAGATCACCTGAGGTCAGGAGTTCGAGACCAGCCTGGCCAACATGAGGAAACCACTACAGTCTCTACCGGGCGCCTGTAATCCCAGCTACTCGGGAGGCTGAGGCAGGAGAATGGTGTGAACCCGGGAGGCAGAGCTTGCAGTGAGCCAAGATCATGCCACTGCACTCCAGCCTCGGCAAAAGAGCGAAACTCTGTCTCAAAAAAAAAAAAGAAAAAAAAAATTAGCTGGGCATGGTGGCAGGCGCCTGTAATCCCAGCTACTCGGGAGGCTGAGGCAGGAGATTGCTTGAACCTGGGAGGCAGATGTTGCAGTGACCTGAGATTGCGCCATTGTACTCCAGCTTGGGCGAAAACAGGGAGACTTTGTCTCAAAAAAAAAAAAAAATTTAAAATTAATTGTACTCAGCTGGGCACAGTGGCACATGCCTGTAATTCCAACACTTTGGGAGGTCGAGGCAGGAGGATCACTTGAGCCCAGGAATTCTAGACCAACCTGGGCAACATAGTGAGACCCCATCTCTAAAAAAAAAAAAAAAGCCAGGCACAATGGCACACACCTATAGTCCCAGCTACCCTGAAGGCCAAGGCAAGAGGATTGCTTGAGCCCAGGATGTCAAGGCTGTGGTGAGCTGTGATCGCATCACTGCACTCCAGCCTGGGTGATAGAGCGAGCCTCTTTGTCTAAAAATAAAAAATAAAAATAAAATTGTTGCACTAAAAAACTGTAAATTGGCCGGATACGGTGGCTCACGCCTGTAACCCCAGCACTTTGGGAGGCCGAGACCAGCAGATCACCTGAGTTCAGAAGTTCAAGACCAGCCTGGTCAACACAGGGAAACTCCGTCTCCAATAAAAGTACAAAACTTAGCCGGGTGTTGTGGCACATGCCTGTAATCCCAGCTACTGGGGAAGAAGCTGACGTGGGAGAACCACTTGACCCGGGGAGGCAGAGGTTGCAGTGAGCTGAGATCACACCACTGCACTCCAGCCTGGGTGACAGAGTAAGACCCTGCCTCAAAAAAAATAAAATAAAATAAAAAACTGTAAATTGTGGCCAGGCATGGTGGCTCACGCCTGTAATCCCAGCACTTTGGGAGGCAGAGGTGGGCGCATCACCTGAGGTCAGAAGTTCAAGACAAGCTTGGCCAACCATGGCCAACATGGTAAAACCCCATCTCTACTAAAAATACAAAAATTAGCTAGGTGTGGGCCAGGCGCGGTGGCTCACGCCTGTAATCCCAGCACCTTGGGAGGCTGAGGTGGGCAGATCACAAGGTCAGGAGATCGAGACCATCCTGGCTAACACGGTGAAACCCCGTCTCTACTAAAAATACCAAAAATTAGCTGGGTGTGGTGGCGGGCGCCTGTAGTCCCAGCTCCTCGGGAGGCTAAGGCAGGAGAATGGTGCGAACCTGGGAGCCGGAGCTTGCAGTGAGCTGAGACTGCACCACTGCACTCCAGCCTGGGCGACAGAGCGAGACTCCGTCTCAAAAAAAAAAAAAAAATTAGCTGGGTGTGGTGGCGGGCGCCTGTAGTCCCAGCTACTCAGGAGGCTGAGGCAAGAGAATTGCTTGAACCCAGGAGGCAGAGGTTGCAGTGAGCCGAGATCATGCCACTGCACTCCAGCCTGGGCAACAGAAGGAGACTACATCTCAAAACAAACAAACAAACAAACAAAAAACCGTAAATCGTTATACAAGTATAAAAGTACAATAATACCTTTATTGTATTTTTACATTTTACATGTGAGGCCAGGCACATGGCTCACGCCTGTAATCCCAGCACTTTGGGAGCCTGAGGCAGGCGGATCACCTGAGATCGGGAGTTTGAGACCAGCCTGACCAACATGAAGAAACCCCCTCTCTACTAAAAATACAAAATTAGCCGGGCATGGTGTCATATGCCTGTAATCCCAGCTACTTTGGAGGCTGAGGCAGGAGATTTGCTTGAACCTGGGAGGCGGAGGTTGTGGGGGAGGATTTTTTTTAAAGTTCCTCAGATAATTCAAATGTGCAGCCCAGTTGGAAGACCCCTGCTCTAAGTTGAAAAGTTTGTCTTCTTCCTGTGAACATTTCCAGAGTATTTACTGTTTATCAAAATTTGTATGGCTAGCAGCTGGGCACAGCAGCTCACACCTGCAATCTCAGCAGTTTGGGAGGCCAAGGCAGGAGGATGACTTGAGCCCAGGAGTTCAAGACCAGCCTGGCAACACAGCAAGACCCTGACTCTACAAAAAATACAAACAAAAAAATTAGCCTGGTGGTGGTGTGTTCCTGTAGTCCCAGCTACACGAAAGGCTGAGGTAGGAGGATCGCTTGAGCCTGGGAGGTCGAGGCTGCAGTGAGCCATGATTGCCCTGCTCCACTCCAGTCTGGATGACAGAGTGAGGCTCTGGCTCCGAAAATATAAACAAGGCCAGGCGCGGTGGCTCACGCCTGTAATCCCAGCAATTTGGGAGGCCGAGGCGGGCGGATCACCTGAGGTCAGGAGTTTGAGACCAGCCTGGCCAACATGTGAAACCCTGTCTCTACTAAAAATACAAAAATTAGCCGGGCCTGGTGGTGGGTGCCTGTAATCCCAACTACTTGGGAGGCTGAGGCAAGAGAATAGCTTGAACCCGGCAGGTGGAGGTTGCAGTGAGCCAAGATCGCGCCACTGCACTCCAGTCTGGGTGACAGTGAAACTCTGTCTCACAATAAATAAATAAGTAAAATAAAAATAAAAACAAAAACGAAATGTGTGTAGCCGGTGGGAGGCACTGCAGGGACAGCCAGACAAGGTCTCTGTCCTGCAAAGCCTCCTGATGGAAGCAGGTGGAGAAGAACACAGCAGAATTCTCACACACGCAGAATAAAGCCAGGGCTACAGGTGGGAACGTGAGGGCTGTGGCAGGAAACGGTGGGGGGAATAATCAGCTCTAATCCAGAATGCCGACAGGAGAGAAAAGGCAGTCTTCATACATCGTCAGCTCCGCTGCTGGATCCCTCTAGTGTTTGGAGAGTGCCTTGGGAATGTGCACCGACACGTCTGCCTTCAGCAGATCCTCCCCACAGAATACTATTCCTGCGTATTCAGGGAACTGTAAAAAGAAAATGGAATTTCTTTTTTTTTTTTTTTTTGAGACGGAGTCTCCCTCTGTCACCCAGGCTGGAGTGCAGTGGCGTGATCTCAGCTCACTGCAAGCTCCTCCTCCCAGGTTCATGCCATTCTCCTGCCTCAGCCTCCCAAGTAGCTGGAATAACAGGCGCCCGCCACTACGCCTGGCTAATTTTTTGTGTTTTTAGCAGAGACAAGGTTTCACTGTGGTCTCGATCTCCTTACCTTGTGATCCGCCCTCCTCGGCCTCCCAAAGTGCTGGGATTACAGCTGTGAGCCACCGCGCCCGGCCTTTTTTTTTTTTTTTTTTTTGAGACAGAGTCTCACGCTTGTCACCCAGGCTGGAGTGCAATGTTGCGATCTCGGATCTCGGCTCACTGCAACCTCTGCCTCCCAGGTTCAATCAATTCTCCTGCCTCAGCCTCCCGAGTAGCTGGGATTACAGGCGCCCGCCACCATGTCCAGCTAATTTTCGTATTTTTAGTAGAGACAAGCTTTCACCATATTGGCCAAACTGGTCTCGAACTCCTGGCCTCAGGTGATCTGCCGCCTAAGCCTCCCAAAGTGCTGGGATTATAGGCGTGAGCCACTGCGCCCGGCCTCGAATTTCTCAATTCTAAAACATTTTGCTTAGTAGCAAGAACCCAGTTATATCACGATGGTTAATCTGTTTTTTTGATTCACATGTAGTGCTTTTCATTTAGGAAAATGGGAACTAGCTGGGCAAATGGACAGAACTTAGCATGCAGAGCATCGGAGTCAGAATTTAACTACACAGGAGGACGTGCAGAAAGGACCTGCTAAGGACCTTTCAGAAACAGTTACTAAAATGCTGGTGTGGTGGCTCACGCCTATAATTGCAGTGCTTTGGGAGGCCAAGGCAGGAGAAGTGCTTCAGTCCAGGAGGTGGAAGCTACAGTGAGCTATGATTGTGCCACCGTATTCCAGCCTGGGCCACAGAGCAAGACCCCATCACTTAAAAATAAATGCTGGCTGGGCGCCGTGGCTCACACCTGTAATCCCAGCACTTTGGGAGGCCAAGGCGGGTGGATCACCTGAGGTCAGGGGTTCGAGATCAGCCTGGCTAACATGATGAAACCCCATCTCTACTAAAAATACAAAATTAACTTGGTGTGGTGGCGCACGCCTGTAATCCCAGCTACTCGGGAGGCTGAGGCAGGAGAATCGCTTGAACCCAGGAGGTGGATGTTGCAGTGAGCCATAATCGCGCCACTGCACTCCAGCCTGGGTGACAGATTGAGACTCCATCTCAAAAGTAAAATAAAATAGAATAAAATAAAATAAATGCTGTAGGCCAGGTGCTATGGGTCACGCCTGTAATCCCAGCACTTTGGGAGGCTGAAGTATGTGGATCACCTGTGGCCAGGAGTTCAAGACCAGCCTGGGCAACATGGTGAAACCCTGTCTCTACTAAAAATAAAAAAAAAATCCGGGCGTGGTGGTGGGCACCTGTTATCCCAGCTACTCGGGAAGCTGAAGCAAGAGAATTACTTGAACCTGGGAGGCAGAGGTTGCAGTAAGCCGAGATCTTGCTGCTGCACTCCAGCCTGGGCAACAGAACAAGACTCTGTCTCTAAATAAATAAATAAATAAATAAATGGTGTGGGCCAGGCATGGTGGCTTACACCTGTAATCCCAGCACTTTGGGAGGCCAAGGCCAGTGGATCATCTGAGGTCAGGAGTTCTAGACCAGCCCGGCCAATACGGTGAAACCCCATTCCTACTAAAAATACAAAAATTAGCTGGACATGATGGCAGGTGCCTGTAATCCCATCTGCTCGGGAAGCTGAGGCATGAAAATCGCTTGAACTTTGGGGGTGGAGGTTGCAGTGAGCTGAGATTGTGCCACTGCCCTCCAGCCAGGGCGACAGAGTGAGAGTCTGTCTCAAAAAAAAAAAAAAAAAAAACAACCAAACAAACAAAAAAACTAATAATGGGTAATGCATTGTTTAGCGTATCTTAGAAATACTAATAATGGCTAATGAGTTGTTTAGGATAGGCTATATCATGCTGCAGTAACAATCTCAAATCCCAGAGGCTTAAAGTCACAAAGGGGTTCATGTCTGTCACCGGCATGCAGAGACCCAGGATCACAGAGCGGCCACCATCCTGCATTTCTGCCATGTTAACAGAGAGAAAGGATCTGGAGGATGCTGCAGGAGCCGCTAAATGATATGGCCCAGAAGTAAGACTCATTGCTGTTCACAACGCATTGGCCAGGACCAGTGATGTGGTCTCGCTCAACCTCAGAAGGACCAGAAGTGCAGTACTACCACGTGCCTGGCACGCCAGAAGCCAGGACAGCACCAAACACTAACCACGCTAACACGTATTGAATGCGTACTAGGAACTGAGTCTTCTTGGTTTTTTGTTTTTGTTTTGAGACCGACTCTTGCTCTGTTGCCCAGGCTTGAGTGCAGTGGCACCATCTCGGCTCACTGCAACCTCAGGTGGATCACCTGAGATCAAGAGTTCGAGACCAGCCTAGCCAACATGGTAAAACCCCGTCTCTACTAAAAATACAAAAATAAGCTGGGCATGGTGGTGCATGCTTCTAGTCCCAGCTACTTGGGAGGCTGAGGCAGGATAATCGCTTGAACCTGGGAGGCAGAGGTTGCAGTGAGCTGAGATCACGCCACTGTACTCCAGCCTGGGGTGGCAAGGGCAAGACTCCATCTCAAAAAAAAAAGAATTTATAAAAAAAGAATGTATCTCATCCTGGCCGGGGGCAGTGGCTCACGTCTGTAATCATAGCACTTTGAGAGGCCAAGGCAGGAGGGTTACTTGAGCCCAGGAATTCAAAACCAGCCTGGGCAACGTAGTGACACCCCATCTCTATTTTCTTTCTTTCTTTTTTTTTTTTTTTGAGACAGAGTTTCACTGTGTCGTCCAGGCTAGAGTGCAGTGGTGTGATCTTGGCTCACTACAACCTCCACCTCCCAGGTTCAAACAATTCTCCTGCCTCAGCCTCCCAAGTAGCTGGGATTACAGGCATGCGCCACCACGCCTGGCTAATTTTTTGTATTTTAGTAGAGACAGGGTTTCACCATGTTGCCCAGGGTGGTCTCGAACTCCTGAGCTCAGGCAATCTGCCCACCTCAGCCTCCTAAAGTGCTAGGATTACAAGAGTGAGCCACTGTGACTGACCTATTTTTCAAAAAAATAAAAATAAAAATAAACTAAGAATAAAAAAAATTTAGGAAGTGGTATGATCAGTACTTTGCAGGCAACCAAGACCAGAAAAGTTCAACACCCTAAGATCCCAGAGCTGAGATCCTAGCCTAGGCTGCAAGACACCATTCTCACAACCCTTGTGGGCATTTGCCCTGTGTTATAAAGCTACCAATTTCTTCTCAACACTCTTCCTTTTTTTAATTTTTTGAGACAGGGTCTTGCTATCACACCCAGGCCGGAGTGCAGTGGTAGGATCATGGCTCACTGCAGCCTCCGTCTCCTGGGTACAAGAGATCCTCCTTCCTCAGCCTGCTGCGTAGCTGGGACTGCAGGCATTGGCCATGTAGCCAGGCATGGTGGCACACGCCTGTAGTCCCAGCTACAGGCTATTTATTTTTTGTAGAATGGTGTCTCACTGTATTGCCCAGGCCAGTCTCAAGGACAGTCTCAAGCTATCCTCCTGACTTGGCCTCCCAAAGTGCCAGGATTACAGGCATGAGCCACCATGCCTGGCCCACTGCTTTTATAAAAAAATTTTTTTAGAGACAGAGTTTTGCTCTCTTGACTAGGCTAGGGCACAGTGGTGCAATCAGAGCTCACTGCAGCATTAATCTCCTGGGCTCAAGCAATCTTCCTGCCCCAGCCTCCCAAAGTGCTGGGACTGTAGGCATGCACCATCACGCCAGCGGCAGTGGAAAAGTTTTGAGGTGGATACAGAAAAAGCTTAGGTTTCCTGGAATTGGTTGTTACTAGAAATAGGGAAGTTAAAAACTCTGCTAGTGAGGACTTTTAGAAGGAAATGAGGAACGTGGTATAGAAAACCTAAATCATCTGGGAGGATGCCTAAATGGTCACAAACAGACTCTTGGTAACAATACAGACGTTAAAGGTGCTGCTGATGAGGGCTCAGAATGTAATGAGGAATATCAGGCCAGGTGGGGTGGCTCATGCCTGTAATCTCAGCACTTTGGGAGGCTGAGGTGGGCGGATTGCTTGAGCTCAGGAATTTGAGACCAGCTTGGGCAACATGGCAAAACCCCGTCTCTACAAAATATATATACAAAAAATTAGCTGGGTGTGTTGGCAAGCGCCTGTAGTCCCAGCTACTCAGGAGCTGAGGCATGAGAATTGCTTGAACTTGGGAGGCGGAGACTGCAGTGAGCCAAGATCGTGCCACTGCACCCCAGCCTCGGCAACAGAGCAAGACTCTGTCTCAAAAAAAATTTTTTTAAATAAAAATAAAAAAATAAAAGAAGGTAACAGGAATGTGTTCTTGGAAACTGGAGAAAGGGGGACCCCATTATGTAGTCTCAGAAATCTTAGCGGGAATGTATCTTTGAATTATATGCAAAGCCAAACTTATAAATTATAAACTTGGATATTTAACTAAGAAGACTTCCAAGCAAAGTATTGAAAGTGAGGCTTGGTTTTTTCTTGCTGCTTATAGTAAATGTAAGAGGAAAGAGATAAATCAGCCAGGCACGGTGGCTCATGCCTATAATCCCAGCACTGTGGGAGGCTGAGTTGGGAGGAATTCAGGAGTTCAAGACCAGCCTGGGCAAAATAGTGAGACCCCTGTCTCTACAAAAAATACACAAATTAGCCAGGCATGGTGGCACATGTCTGTGATCCTAGTTACTTGGGAGGCTGAGGCAAGAGGATCGCTCGAACCAGGGAGGCGGAGGTTGCAGTGAGCTGTGATCATGCCACTGAACTCCAGCCTAGCAAGAGAGTGAGACCCTGTCTCTTAATAAATAAAATAAAAGGGGCCGGGCACGGTGGCTCACGCCTGTAATCCCAGCACTTTGGAAGGCCAAGGCGGGCAGATCACGAGGTCAGGAGATCAAGACCATCCTGGCTAACGCGGTGAAACCCCGTCTCTACTAAAAATACAAAAAAATTAGCCGGGCGTGGTGGCGGGAGTCTGTAGTCCCAGCTACTCGGGAGGCTGAGGCAGGAGAATGGCTTGAACCCAGGAGGCAGAGCTTGCAGTGAGCCGAGATCACGCCACTGCACTCCAGCCTGGGCGACAGAGTCTCACTCCATCTCAAAAAAAAATAATAATAATTAATTGAATTAAATAAATTAAAGGGATAAAATGTTGTGACCAAATGAAATGCAAGCTTGGTTTAATATTTCAAAATAAATCAAGGTAATTCACCATATATATTAGTTTCCCTGGGGTGCCATAGAAAAGTATCGCCAGGGGCTGGGCACAGTGGCTCACACCTATAATCCCAGCACTTTGGGAGGCCGAGGCAGGCAGATCACTTGAGCTCATAAGTTCGAGACCAGCCTTGGCAAAATGGCAAAACCCTGCCTCTACAAAAGATAATATAAAAATTATTTTTTAAAAAATATTACGAACTTGGTGGCTTGAAACAACAGAAACATATTGTCTCAGAGTGCTTGAGGCTAGAAGTCTGAAATCAAGTTGCCGGCAGGGCCACGCTGTCTCTGAAACTCATAGGGGAGGATTCCTTCTTGCTTCTTCCAGCTTCTGGTGTTTGTCTCCTAGGGGGTTCCTGGTTTGTGAACACGTCACCTCAGTCTCTGCCTCTGTCATCACACAGCTGCCTTCTCCTTGTATGTCTGTCTTCACAAGGCATTTCCTTTTTCCTTTTATTTTCTTTTTTGTTTTGAGACAGAGTCTGGCTCTGTTGCCCAGGCTGGAGTGCTGTGGTGCAATCTCGGCTCACTGCAAGCTCCGCATCCTGGGTTCACGCCATTCTCCTGCCTAAGCCTCCCAAGTAGCTGGGACTACAGGCGCCCACCACCATGCCTGGCTAATTTTTTTATTTTTTTTTTGGAAACGGAGTCTCGCTCTGTCGCCCAGGCTGGAGTGCAGTGGCGCGATCTCGGCTCACTGCAAGCTCCGCATCTCTGGTTCATGCCATTCTCCTGCCTCAGCCTCCAGAGTCGCTGGGACTACATGTGCCCGCCACCATGCCCGGCTAATTTTTTGTGTTTTTAGTAGAGATGGGGTTTCACTGTGTTAGCCAGGATGGTCTCGATCTCCTGACCTCATGATCCGCCCGCCTCGGCCTCCCAAAGTGCTGGGATTACAGGCGTGAGCCATCGCACCCGGCCTAATTTTTTGTATTTTAAGTAGAGACGGGGTTTCACCGTGTTAGCCAGGATGGTCTCTATCTCCTGACCTCGTGATCCGCCCGCCTTGGCCTCCCAAAGTGCTGGGATTGACAGGCGTGAGCCACCGCGCCTGGCCAGCATTTTCTTTTTCTTATTTCCTTTTTTTTTCTTTTCGAAACAAGGTCCCCATTTGTCACCCAGGCTGGAGTGCAGCGGCACGATCATGGCTCACTGCAACTTTCTGGACCTGCTGGGCTCAACGGACCCTCCTGTCCCAGCTTCCCACATAGCTGGGACCACAGGTGCGCACCACCATGTCCAACCTATTTTTTTATTTTGATTTTATTTGTTTGTTTGTTTTGAGATGGAGACTCACTCTGTCACCCAGGCTGGAGTGTTGTGACATGATCTCAGCTCACTGCAACCTCTGCCTTTCAAGGATTCAAGTGATTCTCCTGCCTCAGCCTCCCAAGTAGCTGGGACTACAGGCACGTGTCACCACGCCTGGCTAATTTTTCTGTTTTTAGTAGAGACAGGGGTTTCTCCACGCTGGCCAGGCAGGCTAGTCTCAAACTCCTGACTTCAAGTGATCCACCTGCCTTGGCCTCCCAAAGTGCTGGGATTACAGGTGTGAGCCACCATGCCTGGCCTGTTTTTTTATTTTCTGTACAGACAGGGTCTCACTATATTGCCCAGGCTGGTCTTCAACTCCTGGGCTCAAATGATCCTCCTGCCTTGGCCTCCCAAAGTGTTGGGATCACAGGCATGAGCCATCATGCCCAACCATTGAATGCTTTCAATATTTGAATCGAAATACTGAATGTGGCCAGTCACGGTGGTTCACGCCTGTAATCCCAGCACTTTAGGAGGCTAAGGCAGGCAGATCACTTGAGGTCAGGAGTTTGAGACCAGTGTGGCCAACATGGTGAAACACCATCTCTATTAAAAATACAAAAAATTGCACGCTGGGCACGGTGGCTCACGCCTGTAATCCCAGCACTTTGGGAGGCCGAGGTGGGCAGATCACAAGGTCAGGAGATCGAGACCATCCTGGCTAACCTGGTGAAATCCTGTCTCTACTAAAAATACCAAAAACTCGCCAGGCGTGGTGGCTCACGCCTGTAATCCCAGCACTTTGGGAGGCCGAGGTGGGTGGATCACAAGGTCAGGAGATCGAGACCATCCTGGCTAACATGGTGAAACCCCGTCTCTACTAAAAATACAAAAAAGTTAGCCGGGCGTGTTGGCGGGTGCCTGTAGTCCCAGCTATTCGGGAGGCTGAGGCAGGAGAATCATGTGAACCCGGGAGGCAGAGCTTGCAGTGAGCCGAGATCACGCCACTGCACTCCAGCCTGGGTGACAGAGTGAGACTCTGTCTCAAAAAAAAAAAAACAAAACATACAAAATACAAAAAATTAGCCAGGTGTGGTGGCAGGCACCTGTAATCTCAGCTACTCGGGAGGCTGAGGCAGGAGAATCGCTTGAACCCAGGAGGCGGAGGTTACAGTGAGCCAAGACTGCGCCACTGCACTCCAGCCTGGACCAGAGCAAGAGTCCATCTCAAAAAAATAAATAAATAAAAATAAAAATAAAAAATAAATAAATAAAAATAAAATTTAAAAAAAAGGTAATGCCTAATGCTTGGGAACAAGGCCAGATATACAGCGTCTTATCACCCACAGTCAGCACCCTATTGCCGGCCTAGTCGGCACACAGTTGTGGTGTTATGAACTACGTTGTTTTTCGTGCGGGGGCTCTTGGCTCCTAACTCCATGGTCCTTGCTACAGTGTTTTGTGATGATGTTGTCTGTTAGGCCTCGGGCAGCCTCTGACCTTCTCCTGGTCTCCTTTTGCCTGCCCCAGGGCAGGACTCTAACCTTCCCCCACCTTAAGACTGTGGGTCTTAAGACCCTTCCCAGACTGTGTCCAGCCCTATTCCCTGGGGGAAGGAAAGCTGACGTCATGAAGCCTCCATAAAAATCCAAGAGGACTGGGTGGTGGAGCTTCTGGATGCACAACAGAGAAGGTTCCTGGAAAGTGGCACGGGGAGGGGTATGGAAGCTCCACCGCCCCTGCCCCAGACCTGGCCCTAGTCAGCTCTTCATCCATATTTTTTGCAATGTCCTTTTTTTTTTTTTTGAGACAAAGTCTCGCTCTGTTCCCCAGGCTGGAGTGCAGTGGTGCGATCTCGGCTCACCGCAACCTCCGCCTCCTGGGTTCAAGCAATTCGCCACTCCACCCACCCCCCGCCCCATGTAGCTGAGATTACAGGTGCATGCCACCACGGCTAATTTTTGTATTTTCAGTAGAGACTGGATTTCACCATGTTGGCCAGGCTGGTCTCGAACTCCTGACCTCAAGTGATCAGACCACCTCGGCCTCCCAAAGTGCTGGGATTACAGGCATGAGCCACTGCGCCCGGCCCTTTTTTCTTTTTTTTTTTTTTTTTGAGACAGGGTCTCACTCTCTTGCCCAGGCTGGAGTGCAGTGGCGGCATCTCGGCTCACCACAACCTCCACTTCCCAGGCTCAAGCGATTCTCCTGCCTCAGCCTTCCAAGTAGCTGGGATTACAGGTGCCCGCCACCACGTCCAGATAATTTTTGTATTTTTAGTAGAGACAGGGTTTCACCATGTTGCCCAGGCTGGTCTTGAACTCCCAACCTCAAGTGATCTGCCCGCCTTGGCCTCCAAAGTGCTGGGATTACAGGTGTGAGCCACCGTGCCCAGCCCTTTTGCAATATCCTTTCTAATAAACCAGTAAATGTATGCATTTCCTGGAGTGCTGTGAGCCACTCCAGCAAATTAATTGAACCCCAAAAGACGGTCCTGGGAACCTCAACATGAAGCCAGTCAGTCAAAAGTTCGAGAGGCCCAGACTTGTGATCAGGGTCTGGGGGGATAGGTAGTCTTGGGAACTGAGCCCCCAACCTGTGGTATCCAGCTCTATCTCCAGGCAGACAGTCTCAGAGCTGAGTGGAGGACACCCAGCTGTGCCTGCTGCTTGATCTGTGGGAAACCCCCACACATTTGGGCACAGAAGCCTCCCTCTGTGTTGACTGCTGTGGGGGAATGAGAATGCAGGAAAAACATGGTTTTTCCTAAAACAACAGTGAAGCAAGAAAAAGAAAAGAATGCATATGGATAGAAAAGAAGATTAAATCATAACCAATATAATATACACAGAAAATTCCTAGACACCGGGCGCGGTGGCTCACGCCTGTGATCCCAAAACTTTGGGAGGCCGAGGCAGGTGGGTCACTTGAGGTCAGGAATTCAAGACCAGCCTGGCCAACATGGTGAAACCCCGTCTCTACTAAAAATACAAAAAATTAGCCAGGCATGGTGGCAGGCACCTGTAATTGCAGCTACTTGGGAGGCTGAGGCAGGAGAATCGCTTGAGCCAGGGAGGCGAAAGTTGCAGTGAGCAAAGATTGCACTACTGCACTCCAGCCTGGCGACAGAGCGAGACTCTGTCTCAAAAAAAAAAAAAAAAAAAGAAAGAAAGAAAAGAAAAGAAAATTAATTCATAACCAATATCAATATAATAATATACATAGAAAATTCCATCAAATCCAGAAAAGCTACTAGACTAATAATCTGATTTAGCCATATTGTAAGATACAACATCAAATATAAAATTCAATTATATTTCTATATACTAGCGATGTACTATTGGAAAATAAACTTTAAAAAATACCTATATAAAAAGAATAAATAGGCCAGGCGCGGTGGCTCATGCCTGTAATCCCAGCACTTTAGGAGGTCAAGAGGGCAGATCACGAGGTCAGGAGATCAAGACCATCCTGGCTAACACGGTGAAACCCCGTCTCCACTAAAAATACAAAAAATTAGCCGGGCGTGGTGGCAGGCGGCTGTAATACCAGCTACTCAGGAGGCTGAGGCAGGAGAATGGTGTGAACCCAGAAGTCAGAGCTTGCAGTGAGCCAAGATCACACCACTGCACTCCAGCCTGGGCAACAGAGTGACACTCCGTCTCAAAATAAATAAATAAATAAATAAATAAATAAATACCATAGCATTAAAAAACAGGAAATACAGATACTCCGCAGGCTGAGGCACAAGAATTGCTTGAACCCAGGAGATGGAGGTTAAAGTGAGTCAAGATCACGCCACTGCACTCCAGCCTGGGTGACACAGCAAGATTCTGTCTCAAAAAAAAGAAATATTTAAGGACAGATTTTAAAAGATATTACAAGGCCGGGCGTGGTGGCTCAGTCCTGCAATCCCAGCACTTTGAGAAGGAAGGCAGGAGGATGGCTTGAGGCCAGGAGTTCGAGACCAGTGTAGGCAACATAGCAAGACCCTGTCTCTACAAAAAATAAACAAAAATTAAATGGGCATGTCGGCTTGCACCTGTAGTTCCAGCTAGTTGGCAGGCTGAGGTGGGAGGATCGCTTGAGCCTCGGAAGCAAAGGTTGCAGTGAACCAAGATCACACCACTGTACTCCAGCCTGGGTGACAGAGCCATAGGCTGTCTCAGAAAAAAATATATATATATGTATATATAATATATACACATATATAATAAAATAAATTACAAAACATTGCTGAGAGAAACTAAAGATGACAGATATTTACATTGACATATTAGGACGTCAGCTCTTCCCAAATGAATCTATATCCTCAGTGCAGTTCTAGTCCTAATCCTAGCATGATTTTTCCACAGATATTTATGAGCTATAAATTTCATAAAATTGATATAGATAAGCAAATCATCTTGCATAACCAACACAATCTTAGAGAAGGCTGGGTGCGGTGGCTGACGCCTGTGATCCAGCACCTAGGAAGGTCGAAGTAGGAGTATCACTTGACCCAGGAGTTTGAGACAAGCCTGGACAACCATACTGAGACCCCATCTCTACCAAAAATTTAAAAATCAGCTGGGCGTGGTGGAGGACACCTGTAGTCCCAGCTGGAAGGCTGAGGCAGGAGGACTGCTTAAGTCCGGGACATCAAGGCTACTGTGAGCTATAATGGGACCACTGTACTCCAGTGAGAGAGAGAGAGAGAGAGAAAAGGAAGGAAGGAAGGAAGGAAGGAAGGAGGGAAGGAGGGAAAGAAGGAAGGGAAGGAAGAAAAGAAAGAAAGAGAAAGAAAGGAAGGAAGGAAGGCAGGGAGGGAGGGAAAAAGAGAGAGAGAGAAAGAAAGAGAAAGAAAGAAAGAAAAGAAAGAAAGAAAAAAGGGAAAGAAAGGAGAGAGAGAGGGAACAAACTTGGAGAATTCTTACTATCTGATTTCAAGACTTCTAAAGCTGTAGTAAGCTGGGCACAGTGGCTACACCTATAGTCCCAACACTTTGGGAGGCTAAGGTGGGAGGATTGCTTGAGCCCAGGAGTTCTTTTTTGTTTCTTTTAAATTTAAAAAAATAGAGACGGGGGTCTCACTATGTTGCCCAGGCTGGTCTTGAACTCCTGACCTCAAGCAATCCTCCTGCCTCAGCCTCCCAAAGTGCTGGGATTACAGGTGTGAACCACCGTACCCAGCCAAGCCCAGGAGTTTGAGACCAGCCTGGCCAAGATAGTGAGGCCCCCTCTTTACAAAAAATAAAATTTGGCTGGGCGCAGTGGCTCACGCCTATAATCCCAACATTGTGGGAGGCTGAGGCGGGTGGATCCAAGGTCAAGAGATCAAGAACATCCTGGCAAACATGGTGAAATCCCATTTCTACTAAAAATACAAATAGTAGCTGGCCATGGTGGTGTGCGCGCCTGTAGTCCCAGCTACTCGGGAGGCTGAGGCAGGAGGATTGCTTGAGCCCAGCAGTTCAAGGCTGTGGTGAGCCAAGATTACACCACTGCACTCCAGCCTGAGTGGCAGAGTGAGAACCTGTCTCTAAATAAATATGTACATAAAGCAGCAGCAATCAAGATAATGTGGTATTGTCATAGGGAGACACAAATAGATCAATGGAACAGAACAGAAAGCCCAGAAATTAACTCACTCACATATGGTTAATTGATTTTCAATAAACGTGCCAAGGTAATTTAATTGTGTAAAGGATTAATTCAATTAACCTCATTGAATGAATCAATGTCGATTTGAAGAAAAAAATGAACCTCAATTCTTCCCGGATACCATAAACAAATATTAACCCACGTCATAGGTCTAAACATAAAAGTTGGCCAGGCACAGGATTACAGGCTCATGCCCGTAATCCCAGCACTTTGGGAGGCCAAGGCGGGAGGATCACTTGAAACTGGGAGTATGAGACCAGTCTGGGCAACATAGGGAGATCTCATCTCTACAAAAATTTAAAAATTAGCAGGCAGAGGGGCACACACCTGTAGTCTCAGCTACTCGGAAGGCCAAGGAGGGAGGATCCCTTGAGCCCAGGAGTTCCAGACCAGATTGGGCAACATAGGGAGCCTCAGTCTCTACAAATAATTTTTAAAAAGGCTGGGCACAGGCCAGGCACGGTGGCTCATGCCTGTAATCCCAGCTGAGGGGGTCGGATCATGAGGTCAGCAGATCGAGACCATCTTGGCTAACACGGTGAAACCCCGTCTCTACTAAAAATACAAAAAATTAGCCAGGCGTGGTGGCGGGCACCTGTAGTCCCAGCTACTTGGCAGGCTGAGGCAGGAGAATCACTTGAACCCGGGAGGCAGACGTTGCAGTGAGCTGAGATCGCACCACTGGACTCCAGCCAGGGTGACGGAGCGAGACTCCATCTCAAAAAAAAAAAAGTGCTGGGCACAGTGGCTCGCGCCTGTAATCCCAACACTTTGGGAAGCCAAGGCGGGCGGATCACTTGAGGTCAGGAGTTGGAGACCAGCCTGGCAAACACAGTGAAACACTGTCTCTGCTAAAAATACAGAAAAAAAATTAGCTGGGCGTGGTGGTGTGGGCCTGTGGTCTCAGCTACTTGGGGGCTGAGGTGGGAGGATCACGAGCCCAGGAGGCAGAGGTTGCAGTAAGCTGAGATCAAGCCACTGCACTCCAGCCTGGGTGACAGAGAGAGACTCGGTCTCAAAAAACAAAAACAAAAACAATTAGCTGGGTGTGGTGGCACATGTCTGTGGTCCCAGCTACTTGGAGGCTGAGGCAGGAGGATCACCTGATCCCAGAAGTTGAGGCTGCAGTGAGCTATGATTGCACCACTGCACTCCAGCCTAGGCAACAGAGTAAGAGCCCATCTCTGAAAAAAAAAAAAAAAAAAAAAAAAAAAAGACTTGTTCAAGTATTTACACAGCAACTTCATTTACAATAGCCAGAGGTACAATTTGGGAGGCCAAGGTGGATGGATGACCTGACGTCAGGAGTTCGAGGCCAGCCTGTCCAATGTGGTGAAACCCAGTCTCTACTAAGAATACATAAATTACCTGGGTGTGGTTGTGTGCGCCTGTAATCCCAGCTACTTGGGAGGCTGAGGCAGGATAACCATTTGAACCCTGAAGGCGGAGTTTGCAGTGAGCTGAGATCATGCCACTGCACTCCAGCCTGGGCAACAGAGTGAGACTCTGTCTCAAAAGAAAAAAGAAAAAAAAAATAGCCAGATGTTGGAAACAAGCCAGAGGTTCATGAACAGCCAACGGATAAACAAATTGTTCTATGCTCATACAATGGATACTACTCAGCAGTAAAAAGGGGCAAACTACAGACACAGGCAACAAGGAGAAGCCTCTCAAACAGCATGCTAGCCGGGCGTGGTGGCTCACGCCTGTAATCCCAGCACTTTGGGAGGCCTAGGCGAGAACATTGCTTGAGGCCAGGAGTTCGAAACCCGCCTGGGCAACATAGCCAGAGCCCATCTCAATAAAAAAAAGAAAGAAACAATATGCTGAGTGAAAGTAGCCAGGCGCGGTGGCTCACGCCTGTAATCCCAGCACTTCGGGAGGCCGAGGCGGGCGTATCACGAGGTCAGGAGATCTAGACCATCCTGGTTAACACGGTGAAACCCCGTCTCTACTAAAAATAGAAAAAAATTAGCTGGGCGTGGTGGCAGGCGCCTGTAGTCCCAGCCACTTGGGAGGCTGAGGCAGGCGAATGGCGTGAACCTGGGAGGCGGAGCTTGCGGTGAGCCGAGACCGCGGCACTGCACTCCAGCCTGGGCGACAGAGCGAGACTCTGTCTCAAAAAAAAAAAAAAAAAAAAAAAAAATTCTACAGTAGGCAAAACTTGATGGAATTTCAGAAAAATGAATGTTAATTTGTGGTGAAAGAAATCAGAATAATGCCAGCCTGGCCAACATGGTGAAACCCCATCTCTACTAAAATTGCTAAAAATTAGCTGGGCATGGTGTCAGGCGTCTGTCATCCCAGATACTTGAGAGGCTGAGACAGGAGAATTGTTTGAACCCTGGACGCAGAGGTTGCAGTGAGTCAAGATCACACCACTGCACTCCAGCCTGGGTGACAGTGTGAAACTCCATCTCGAGAAAAAAAAAAAAAGGGCTGGGCACGGTGGCTCACACCTGTGATCCCAGCACTTTGGGAGGCTGAGGCAGGCAGATCACCTGAGGTAGGGAATTCGAGACCAGCCTGACCAACATGGAGAAACCCCATATCTACTAAAAATACAAAATTAACCGGGCATGGTGGCGCAGGCCTGTAATCCCAGCTACTCAGAAGGCTGAGGCAGGAGAATCGCTTGAACTGGGTGGCGGAGTTTGCAGTGAGCCGAGATCGTGCCATTTCACTCCAGCCTGGGCAACTTCAGCCTGTCTCAAAAATAACAATAATAACAAATTTTTAAAAAATGCTGGGCGTGGTGGCTCACACCTGTAATCCTAGCACTTTGGGAGGCCAAGGCAGGCAGATCATGAGGTCAGGAGTTTGAAACCAGCCTGCCTAACGCAGTGAAATCCCTTCTCTACTAAAAATACAAAAAATTAGCTGGGCATGGTGGTGCGCACCTGTAAACCCAGCTACTTGGGAGGCTGAGGTAGGAGAATTGCTTGAACCCGGGAGGCGGAGGTTGCAGTGAGCCGAGATTGCGTCACTGCACTCTAGCCTGGCTACAGAGCGAGACTCCTTCTCAAAAAAATAAATAAATAAGCCTGGGCACAGTGGCTCACCCCTGTTATCCCAGCTGTTTGGGAGACCAAGGAGGGCAGATCATTTGAGGTCAGAAGTTCGAGAGTAGCATGGCCAACATGGTGAAACCTCATCTCTACTAAAAAAACAAAAAAATGAGCTGGGCATGGTGATGCATGCCTGTAATCCCAGCTACTCCGGAGCCTGAGGCATGAGAATCGCTTGAACCCAGCAGGCGGAGGTTGCAGTGAGCCGAGACTGCGTTACTACACTCCAGCCTGGGTGACAGACTGAGTCCTTGTCTCAAAAAAAAAAAAGAAAGAAATCAGTATAGCGGTTGCCTATTGTGGAGGAGGGCGTGGGGGAATTTTGCCAGTGACAGAAATGTTCTGTCTCTTGATAAGGGTCACACCACTGTGCGTAGCTGTGAAGATTCTTTAATTTGTAGCATATAAGATCCGTGCATTCCAGCCCGGTGTGACGGGTCATGCCTGTAATCCCCACACTTTCAGAGGCCGAGGCAGGCAGATCACTTGAGGTCAGGAGTTCGAGACCAGCCCGGGCAACACAAGGAGACCCTAAAAAGTAAAACAATTAGTGAGGCGTGATGGCACGCACCTGTGGTCCTAGCTAGTTGGGAGGCTGAGGAGGGAGGATCACTTGAGCTCAGGAGGCAGAGGTAGCAGTGAGCTGTGTAATTGCACCCCTGCACTCCAGCCTGGGTGACAGAGCAAGACCCTGTCACAAAACAAAACAAAAGTCTGTGCATTTCCCTTATGTAAATTACACTTTAATAAAAATCAGTAATACATTTCTAGCCAAAAATCTCCAATGTATTTGGAAATGTAAAATAATCCATAATAAAATTACAGACTATTTGAAATTGACAATGAAAGTTCTACTTATCAGAACTCAAGGGAAGCAGACAGAGAGCAATGCCTGGAGGGAAACGTATAATCTGAAATGCAAATACGAGAAAACATGAAAGATTGAGAATTAATTAGCTCAGGGTCAATTTTAGATGTTAGTTAAAGAATCACAGAGTCAACCCCTTTATTACATTAAAAAAAAAACAAGTATGCAAAAGACCTCTTTTAGCTAATTAGGAATATAAAGGAACTTCCTCAAGCAAATAAAAGGATATCTTGTAAAAAAAAAAAAAAGGGAAAAGAAAAACCCTAGAGCAACCATTATATCAAAAGCTTAAACTTCAAAATTATTCCCTTTAAAATCAGGGGGGAGAAGTATGCCTGTTATAATGAAAACTATTAAACTCTGTATTTAAGGATCTAGCTAAAGCAAGAAGACAAATACAAACAGTGTAATAAAGACTGCGAAAGGGCCAGGCGCAGTGGCTCACGCCTGTAATCCTAACACTTTGGGAAGCCAAGGCAGGCAGATTGCCTGAGCTCAGGAGTTTGAGACCAGTCTGGGCAATATGGCGAAACCCCATCTCTACTAAAAAATACTAAAAATTGGCCAGGCGCGGTGGCTCACACCTGTAATCCCAGCACTTTGGGAGGCCGAGGCGGGCGGATCACGAGGTCAGGAGATCAAGACCATCCTGGCTAACATGGTGAAACTCTGACTCTACTAAAAATACCAAAAATTAGCCGGGCACGGTGGCAGGTGCCTGTAATCCCAGCTACTCGGGAGGCTGAGGCAGGAGAATGGCATGAACCCGGGAGGCAGAGGTTGCAGTGAGCCGAAATCATGCCACTGCACTCTAGCCTGGGCGACAGAGAGAGACTGTGTCTCAAAAAAAAAAAAAAAATACAAAAAATTGGCGGGCGTGGTGGCGCAAGCCTGTAGTCCCAGCTGTGCGGAGACTGAGGCATAAGAATTGCTTGAACCCGGGAGGCTGAGGTCGCAGTGACCCGAGATTGCACCTCTGCACTCCAGCCTGGGCGACAGAGCAAGACTGTCTCAAAAAAATAAAAAATATTGGGAAGGAAGAAATACAATGATTGCTAATCTCAAATAACAGGGTTGACCCCAACTCCATAAAATATATAAACTAACTGTTAGAACTAACAAGAGAATTCAGCAGGATTTTTTGATTCAAGAGCAAAATACTGGCAGGGTGTGGTGGCTCATGCCTATAATTTCAGCACTTTGGGAGGCCGAGGCAGAAGGATCACTTGAGTCTGGGAGTTTAAGATCAGGAGTTTGAGACCACCCTGGGCAACATAGCAAGACCTTGCCTCTATTTCTTTTTATTTTTCCGAGACAAGATCTGTCCTGTCACCCAGGCTGGAGTGCACTGGCACAATCCCAGCTCACTGCAGCCTCAACTTTTCAGAGCTCAAGTGATCCTCCAACCTCAGCCTCCCCAGTAGCTAGAACCATAGGCACAAGTCACCACACCTGTTTTTTAAAAATTATTTGTAGATACAAGATCTTGCTATGGTGTCCTGACTGATCTCCTAGTCTCAAGCAAACCTCTCATCTCAGCCTCCCAAAGTGCTGGGATTACAGGCATGAGCCATTGTGCCCAGCCTTATTTATTTTTTATTTTTTGAGATGCAGTCTGGCCCTGTCGCTCAGGCTGGAGTGCAGCGGCACGATCTCGGCTCACTGCAACCTCCACCTCCTGGGTTCAGGCAATTCTCCTGCCTCAGCCTCCCGAGTAGCTGGGACTACAGGCACGTGCCACCACGCCCAGCTAATTTTTTTTTTTTAATTTTAGTAGAGATGGGGTTTCACCATGTTGGCCAAGATGGTCTCGATCTCCTGACCTCATGATCCACCCACCCTGGCCTCCCAAAGTGCTGGGAGAAAATTATAAAACTTTATTAAAAGACTTAAAAGAAGATCTAAAGAGATGAAGACCTAGAACTATTCACAGATAGCAAAGATTCAATATATCTAAAGTGACAATTGACCCAAATTGATGTATAAAATTAATGTAATTTCCATTTTTTTTGAAATCTCATCAGGAAATTACCAAGCGAATTCTAAATCCAAATGAAAGAGTATAGAATCAAGATTAGCCAAAGCAATTTTGAAGAAGAAAGATAAGGAGAATTTTCACTACCAGATATCAGAAATTATTATGCTATAATATTTAAAACAGGCAGAATTAGATATATAAGAACAGATAAATAAGAACACGTAGATTTATTTTTAAAAAGAACAGAATAGAGAGCCCAGAAACGGAACCATGTATTTTCTGCACGTGGTAGATAACAGAGATTGGCACTTCGATATCACTGGGAAACACCATTTATGGAACAAAGAGTGCTCTACAATTGGCTATTTTAAGAGAAAATAAAAATTAGACCCATCTTGCACACCAAAAATACAAACAAAAAATTTGAATTGAAACATATATCTACATATGAAAAGCTAGGCTACAAAACTTTTTTTTTTTTTTTGAGACAGAGTTCCGCTCTTATTGTCAGGCTGGAGTGCAATGGCACGATCTCAGCTCACTGCAACCTCTACCTCCCTGGTTCAAGTGATTCTCCTGCCTCAGCTTCCCAAGTAGCTGGGATTACAGGCATGCGCCACCATGCCCGGCTAATTTTCATAATTTTTTTTTTTTTATTATAGATGGGGTTTCTCCATGTTGGTCAGGCTGGTCTCGAACTCCCGACCTCACGTGATCTGCCCACCTTGGCCTCCCAAAGTGCTGGGATTACAGGCGTGACCCACCATGCCCGGCCTACACTACAAAACTTTTAGAGGAAAATAGCTTTATGAGTGGGAAAGGGTTTTTTTTTTCTTTTCTTGCTTTTTTTTTGGAATTTTCAAAATTCTATTTTTCCCTGTTTCTGTTCTTTTAATGGTTATTCTAGGACACTCTATATTTTTACAGGTTCCTTTAGGACTACTGCATGCATACTTTAGTTGTCAAACTCTAAAACTAGGCCAGGTGCGGTGGCTCACGCCTGTAATCCCAGTACTTTGGGAGGCTGAAGAGGGCGGGTCACTTGAGGTCAGGAGTTCAAGACCAGCCTGGCCAATATAGTGAAACCCCATCTCTGCTAATAATACAGAAGTCAGCCAGACACAGTGGCGTATGTGTGTACTCCCAGCTACTCAGGAGGCTGTAGCAGGAGAATCGCTTGAACCCGGAGGGCGGAGGTTGCAGTGACCCGAGGTTGCGCCACTGCACTCCAGCCTGGGTAACAGAGGGAGGCTGCTTCTCAAAAAAAAAAAAAAAAAAAAAAAAAAAACTCTAAAGCTAATCAGTACTCGGGTACAGTGGCTCATGCTTGTAATCCCAGCACTTTGGGAGGCCAAGGCAGGAGGGTCACTTGAGCCCAGGAATTTAAGACCAGCCTGGGCAACATAGCAAGATGCTGTCTCTGAAGAAAATTAGCCAGGCATGGTGGCATGCATCCCCAGCTACTCAAGAAACTGAGGTGGGAGGATCACTGGAGCCCAAGTGGTTGGGGCTGCAACAGGCTGTGATCACGCCATTCACTCCAGCCTGGGTGACATCCAGATCTTCTCTTAAAAAAAAAAAAAGAAAAGGAAAGAAAGAAAAAGAAAAGAAAAGAAAAAAGAAAATAAATAAAATTGATCAGCCAGGTGCAGTGGCTCACATGAGGCTGAGGCAGGAGGATCGCTTGAGGCCAGGGATTTCAGACCAGCCTGGCCAACATGGCAAAATCCCTTCTCTATTAAAAATACAAAAATTAGCCGGGTGTGGTGGCAGGTGCCTGTAATCCCAGCTACTCGGGAGGCTGAGGCAGGAGAATCGCTAGAACCCAGGAGGCAGAGGTTACAGTGAGCTGAGGTCGCACTACTGCACTCCAGCCTGGGCAACAAGAGCGAGACTCCATCTCAAAAAAAAGCAAAAATGAAGTTGAAGGCTAGGTGCCATGGCTTACACCCACAGTCCTAGCACTTTGGGAGGCCGAGATGGGAGGATTGCTGGAGCCCAGGAGTTAGAGGCTGCAGTGAGCCATGTTCTCACCACTTCACTCCAACCTGGGTGATAGAGGCAAGAGCCTATCTCAAAAGCAAAAACCAAAAACTAAAAACAAGCATCGGCCACGCGCAGTGGCTCACGCTTGTAATCCTAGAACTTTGGAGGCTGACGCAGGCAGATCACCTGAGGTCAGGAGTTCAAGACCAGCCTGGCCAACATGGTGAAGCCCCGTCTCTACTAAAAATACAAAAATTAGCCGGGTGTGTAATCTGAGCTACTCGGGAGGCTGAGGCAGGAGAATCACTTGAACCCAGGAGTTGGAGGTTGCAGTGAGCGGAGATCGCACCACTGCACTCCAGCCTGGATGACAGAGTGAGAAAAAATTAAAAATAGGCCGGGCCCGGTGGCTCACGCCTGTAATCCCAGCACTTTGGGAGGCTGAGACGGGCGGATCACAAGATCAGGAGATTGATCCTTGCATCTGGATCTCTCAGATGCAAGGAGAATCGCTTGCATCTGGGAGGCGGAGGTTGCAGTGAGCCGAGATCTCACCACTGCACTCCAGCCTGGGCAATAAGAGGGAAACGCTGTCTCAAAAAAAATAATAATAAATAATAAATAAATAAATAAATAAATGTACTTCAGGTAGAAAGAAAGCAATTCCAGGTAGAAGGCCTGGAATGAGAAAAGAAATGTTCAACACGCAAGATGGATAAATCTCAAAAGCACTGATTGCATGTATTAGTAATAATAATCTCAAGGGTTTTATTAAGGATAGAATTACAGGGCTGGGCGCAGTGGCTCACGCCTGTAATCCCAGCACTTTGGGGGGCTGAGGAGGGCGGATCACTTGAGGTCAGGAGTTCAAGACCAGCCTGGCCAACATGGTGAAACCCCGTCTGTACTAAAAAATACAAAAATCAGCCGGACGCAGTGGTGCGGGGCTGTAGCCACAGCTACTTGGGAGCCTGAAGCAGGAGAATTGCTTAACTCAGGAGGCAGAGGTTGCAGTGAGCCGAGATCAGGCCACTGCACTGCAGCCTAGGCGACAGAGCGAGACTCCATCTCCCAAAAAAAAAAAAAGGATAGAATTACAGTGCATGACAAAAGTATCACGTAAGTGGAGATGAGAGAAGACAGAGTAACTTTTATAGCCCAGGACACAGGGTGACAAACTATAGCCCATCAGCCAAATAGGGCTCCATCCTTGCTTTTATTTATTTATTTACATTATTTATTTATTTTTTATTTTTTTGAGACGGAGTCTCGCTCTGTCGCCTAGGCTGGAGTGCAGTGGCATGATCTCGGCTCGCTGCAAGCTCCACCTCCCGCGTTCACACAATTCTCCTGCCTCAGGCGCCCACCACCGGCTAATTTTTTTGTATTTTTAGTAGAGACGGGGTTTTACCGTATTGGTCAGGCTGGTCTTGAACTCCTGACCTTAGGTGATCCACCTGCCTCGACCTCCCAGACTGCTGGGATTACAGGTGTGAGCCACCACGCCTGGCCTGATTTTTGTATTTTTAGTAGAGGTGGGGGTTCACCATGTTGGCCAGGCTGGTCTCTAACTCCTGACCTCAAATAATCCACCCACCTTGGCCTCCCAAAGTGCTGGGATTACAGGCATGAGCCACCGCACCTGGCCTTGATAATTTTAAATATTAATTTGGCCATTTAGTATGACCAAACTGTATGATGAAAGAGACCATGAACAAAGATGCAAAGATGAGCCACACCCTGGGAAAAAATATTTTTAACATATACAAAGTTTAAAGACTAGAAGCCTGAACTTACAAAGAGCTCATACAGGCCGGGCATGGTGGCTCACGCCTGTAATCCCAGCACCTTGGGAGGCCGAGGCGGGCGGATCACGAGATCAGGAGATCGAGACGATCCTGGCTAACACGGTGAAACCCCGTCTCTACTAAAAATACAAAAAATTAGCCGGGTGTGGTGGCGTGCACCTGTAGTCCCAGCTGCTGGGGAGGCTGAGGCAGGAGAATGGCGTAAACCCGGGAGGCGGAGCTTGCAGTGAGCCAACATGGTGCCACTGCCCTCCAGCCTAGGCGACAGAGTAAGATCCAATCTCAATAAATAAATAAATAAAAGAAGATTATCTTCCCACTGTAGAAGGTAAAAATGCCAGATATGAGCCAAATGCAGTGGCTCACACCTGTAATCCTAGCACTTTGGGAGGCCAAAGGGGGCCGATCACTTGAGGTCGGGAGTTCAAGGCCAGCCTGACCAACATGGAGAAATCCTGTCTCTACTAAAAAATACAAAATTAGCCAGGCACAGTGGTGCAGGCACAGTGGTGCAGGCCTGTAATCCCAGCTACTCAGGAGGCTGAGGGAGGAGAATCGCTTGAACTGGGGAGGTGGAGGTTTCAGTGAGCTGAGATCCTGCCATTTCACTGCAGCCTGGGCAACAAGAGCAAAACTCCATCTCAAAAAAAAAAAAAAAAAAAAATTAGCCAGGTGTGGTGCCGTGCGCCTGTAGTCCCAGCTATTTGGGTGGCTGAGGCAGAAGGATTCCTTGAACCCAGGAGTTCAAGGCTGCAGTGAGCCATGATCACGTAATTGAGCCTGGGCGACAGAGCAAGACTCAGTCTCAAAAACAAGAAAAGGAAAATAAAAAGAAAATCCTAGTACTTTGGGAGGCCAAGGTGGGAAGATCGCTTGAGCTCAGGAGTTCAAGATCAGCCTGGGCAACATGGTAAGACCTCCTCTCTATTTTATTAAAAAAATTATAGACAGTGGCTCACACCTGTAATCCCAGCACTTTGGGAGGCCCAGACGGGCGGATCACGAGGTCAGGAGATCGAAACCATCCTGGCTGAGATGGTGAAACCCCGTCTCTACTAAAAATACAAAAAAATTAGCCGGGCGTGGTGGTGGGTGCCTGTAGTCCCAGCTACTTGGGAGGCTGAGGCAGGAGAATCTTGTGAACCTGGGAGGCGGAGGTAGCAGTGGGCCGAGATCGCGCCACTGCACTCCAGCCTGGGTGACAGAGCGAGACTCCAACTCAAAAAAAAAAAAAAAATTATAAAGTGGCTGGGTGTGGTGGCTCACACCTGTAATCCCAGCACTTTGGGACACTGAGGCAAGCAGATCATTTAAGTTCAGGATCATCTGAGGACAGCCTGGCCAACAGGATGAAACCGCATCTATACCAACAACACGAAAATTAGCCAGCTGGGCACGGCGGCTCACGCCTGTAATCCCAGCACTTTGGGAGGCTGAGGCAGGCGGATCACATGGTCAGGAGTTCGAGACCAGCTTGGCCTTTTAGATCCTTTTAATAATTTCATTTTCTGCTTGAATCAGACATCTACTTACATCAGAGAAATGCAAATTCAAACAACACGATACCCTTTCACGCACAGCAGATAGGAAGAAACAGCAATATTCCCACACTGCTGGAGGGAGTGTAAATTGGTACAGATACTTTGGAGAACAACTTGTTAATGTCTAATAAATTGGAATGCAGATATCCTGTGACCCGCAAATCCTACTTTTAGTCATATTCTCTAAACTATAGCTCATAGAGACAAGCATAAGAGTCTTCACTGTAATACTATTTATAACACTGAAAAAAACCAAAACAACCTACTTTTATACGAATGTGAAGTGAATAAGAAATTGTGATATATTCATGCAATGTATAAACTAGAACAGCATGTACAGAATGGATAGATCTTGAAAACATCATTGTGGGTGAAGAAAACTGCAGAAGGGTCTGTGGAGTGCAGCACGTCCATTTAAAGACGTAAATGAACCAAAGGGGACAAATAAAACTGAGGAAATCTGGCCAGGCACAGTGGCTCACATACTTGTAATCCCAGCACTTTGGGAGGCTGAGGCAGGCAGATCACCTGAGGTCAGGAGTTCAAGACCAGCCTGGCCCATGTGGAAAAAACCCCATCTCTACTAAAAATACAAAATTAGCCGGGCCTGCTGGCAGGCACCTGTAATCCCAGCTACTTGGGAGGCTGAGGCAGGAGAATCACTTGAACCCAGGAGGTGGAGGATGCAGTGAGCCAAGATCGTGCCACTACACACTCTAGCCTGGGCGAGACAGAGTGAGAATCCGTCCAAAAAAAAAAAAGAAGAAGAAATGTGAATAAGGTTGGTGGATTTTATTTGCGTCAACATTCTGGTTGTGATATTATTGTGTACTTCTGCATCATTAGAGGATACTGGGCAAAGGGTATTATTTCTTATTTTTGTTTTGTTTTTTGAGACGGAGTTTCACTCTTGTTGCCCAGGCTGAAGTGCAGTGGCAAGATCTCAGCTCACTGCAACTTCCACCTCCTGGGTTCAAGCGATTCTCCTACCTCAGCCTCCCGAGTAGCTGGGATTATAGGCACCCACCACCACTCCCAGCTAATTTTTGTATTTTTAGTAGAGACAGGGTTTCACCATGTTGGCCAGGCTGGTCTCGAACTCCTGACCTCAAGTGATCTGCCTGCTCAGCCTCCCAAAGTGCTGGGATTACAGGCGTGAGCCACCACACCCAGCCTATTTCTTATAATAGCATATGGGTCTACTATAAATCAATAAAAATACCAAACAATGAATACATTACTTACAGGTACATGATGGCTTCCTCTGAGGAACAGAGGAGAAAATATATTTTAGGAGAGGACTTGAGCCCAGAAGTTTGAGCTCACATAGTGAGACCCTGGTCTCTACAAAAAATAAAAAGAAAACTAGTTGGGTATGGTGGTGCATGCCTGTAGCCCCAGCTACTGGGGAGGCCGAAACAGGAGGGTTGCTTGAACCCAGGAGGTCAAGGCTGCTCTGAGCTGTGATTTCACCACTGCACTCCAGCCTGGCTGAAAGAGCAAGACTCTCAAAACGAAAAAAAAAAGGTGAGGCAGCCAGGCACGGTGGCTCACACCTGTAATCCCAGCACTTTGGGAGGCCGAGGTGGGAGGATCACGAGGTCAGGAGATCGAGACCATCCTGGCTAACACAGTGAAACCCCGTCTCTACTAAAATACAAAAAATTAGCCGGGCGTGGTGGTGGGCACCTGTAGTCCCAGCTACTTGGGAGGCTGAGGCAGGAGAATGGCGTGAACCTGGGAGGCGGAGCTTGCAGTGAGCTGAGATTGCGCCACTGCACTCCAGCCTGGGCTGGACTCCGTCTCAAAAAAAAAAAAAAAAAAAAAAACAGAAAAAAATTAGCCAAGTATGGTGGCTCACACCTGTAGCCACAAGTACTCAGGAGGCTGAGTTCAGAGGATCTCTTGAGCCTGGGAGGTGGAGGCTGCAGTGAGCCGAGATCACACCACTGTACGCCAGCCTGGGCGACAGAGATTGAGACTCCGTCTCAAAAAAAAAAAAAAAAAAAAGAAAAAAGGAATAGGGAAATAGGGAGCATCTGATTCCTGTCCATGCCTCACTCCTCTACATTTGAAGAAGCCAAGCATCATAGGGCAGAAAGTCAAATAAGTCTTTGAACAGGGTGTGTTGCTCACCTGTAATCCAGCCATGGGAGCCTGAGGTAGGAGAATTACTTGAGGCCAGAAGTTCAAGACCAGCTGGGGCAACATAGCTAGACACCCTCCGCCCCCACCATCTCCACAAAACAATAATAATAAGAGCCTTTGGGCTGGGCGCAGTGGCTCACGCCTGTAATCCCAGCACTTTGGGAGGCCGAGGCTGACGGATCACCTGAGGTCAGGAGTTTGAGACCAGCCTGGCTAACACGGCGAAACCTGTTTCTAATAAAAATACAAAAATTAGTCAGGCTTCGTGGTGGGCGCCTGTAGTCCTCAATCCTCAGGAGGCTGAGACAGGAGAATCGCTTGAACCTAGGAGGTGGAGATTGCAGGGAGCCAAGATAGCACCACTGCACTCCAGCTTGGGCGACAGAGCAAGATGCTGTCTCAAAAAAAAAAAAAAAAAAAGAAAAAAAAAAGAGCCTTTGGCTGAAGGCAGTAGGCGGCAGGGAAAACCAGGAGGAAACCAGCATGGTCAAACGAGACAGGGAAGTTCAGATGATTTGGGGCCACACTGGATTCTTTTTTTTTTTTTTTTTTGCTCATTTTATTTTCTTTTGCTTTGTTTTGTTGAGATGGAGTCTTGCTCTGTCACCCAGGCTGGAGTGCAGTGGTGTGATCTCGGCTCACTGCAACCTCCACCTCCCAGGTTGAAGCAATTCTCCTGTGTCAGCCTCCCAAGTAGCTGGAATTACAGGCGTGTGCCACCACAGCCAGCTAAGTTTTGTATTTTTAGTACATGGGGTTTCGCCATATTAGCCAGGCTGGTCTGGAACTCCTGACCTCAGGTGATCTGCCCGCTTCGGCCTCCCAGTGTTGAGATTACAGGCGTGAGCCACCACGCCTGGCCCACACTGGACCCTTTGAATCCATGGATGCCTCTTTGCGTCTCCAAGTGCCCTGCGAGATTGGACATAGACCGGTTTATGTAGAACATCCTGGAGAAATTACTGAGATACTGAGAAACTTGCTGGAGAGAAAGCTGCTTTTTCGGCTTCCTACTATGTAAGGAATTTAAAAAAGAAACTAAGTAAAAAAAGCAAGCCTAGTTCACACACTGAAAAGGGCGGGCTAAGATCGCCATCTGTAGGTGAATCGTTTCTTCTGCCAACTCGAATTCTGTCCACAGTTCCTGACACCTAAATGGGTCCAAGCTACCTAGCTCCCCCTCTAGCCTGCACGCTCCACCCAGGAAGGACAAGGCAGAGGCTCTGGCGAGTACAGTATCTTTTTCTTTTCTTTCTTTCTTTTTTTTTTTTTTTTTTTTGAGACAGAGTCTCGCTCTGTCGCCCAGGCTGGAGTGCAGTGGCGCGATCTCGGCTCACTGCAAGCTCCGCCTTCCGGGTTCACGCCATTCTCCTGCCTCAGCCTCCCGAGTAGCTGGGACTACAGGCGCCCGCCACCAGGCCCGGCTAATTTTTTTGTATTTTCAGTAGAGATGGGGTTTCACCGTGTTAGCCAGGATGGTCTTGATCTCCTGACCTTGTGATCCACCCGCCTCAGCCTCCCAAAGTGCTGGGATTACAGGCGTGAGCCACCGTGCCCGGCCCAGTATCTTTTTCAGGGTTACCCAGCCAGTGGCCAGGCGCGGTGGCTCACACCTGTAATTCCAGCACTCTGAGAGGCGGGCGGATCACCTGAGGTCAGGAGTTCAAGGCCAGCTGGCCAACATGGTAAAACCCCATCTCCACTAAAAATTAAAAAAAAAAAATTAGACGGGCATAGTGGTGTGCGCCTGTAATCTCAGCTACTGGGGAGGCTGAGGCAGAAGAATCATTTGAACCCGGGAGGCGGAGTTACAGTGAGCAGAGATTGTGCCACTGCACTCCAGCCTGGGCAACACAGTGAGACTCTGTCTCAAAAAAAAAAAAAAAAAAAAAAATAGGCTACCCACAAGTTAGCAAGAGAACTACAACCAAAAAATCATGACTTTCAATTTTTTTTTCTTTAAAAAAATTGTAAAAAAGCCTGGTGAGGTGGCTTACACCTGCAATACCAGCTACTCAGGAGGCTGAGGCAGGAGAACTGCTTGAACCTGGGAGGTGGAGGTTGCAGTGAGCCGAGATCACACCACTGCACTCCAGCCTGGGTGACAGAGTGAGGCTCCGTCTCAAAAACAAAAAAAAAAAAAGTAAAAAAAATGCGTAATATTATAGTAAAGTGTACATAACATAAAATGTACCATCTTAACCACGTTAAAGCATATGGTATATTGGCATAAAGCATGTTCACACTGACGCAGCCATCACCACCACTATCTCCCAAATTATTTTCCTTTTTTAAGTGTTATATTTTTAAATTTGTTATATTTTTAGTTTATTTTTTTCACCCTACCCCCTATATTTTTAATTTAACTTTTTTTTTTTTGAGACAGTTTATCACTCTGTCACTCAGGCTAGAGTGCAGTGGTGTGATCTCGGCTCACTGCAATCTCTACCCCCACCCCATGTTCAAGCGATTCTCCTGCCTCAGCCTCCCAAGAAGCTGGGACTACAGGAGCACGCCCCCACACACAACTAATTTTTTGTAAAGATGAGATTTCACCATGTTGTCTAGGCTGATGTTGAACTCCTGCCTTCAAGAGATCTGCCCACCTCAGCTCCCAAAGTGTTGGGATTACAGGCGTGAGCCACCGCGCCTGGCCAATTTAGCTTTTCTTAAGACAAGGTCTCACTCTGTTGCCCAGGCTGGAGTGCAGTGGCTCGATCCTGGCTCACTGCAGCCTCAACCTTCCAGGCTCAAGCTATCCTCCTGCCTCAGCCTCCTGTGACAGGTCCTGAATGTCCACAAACCCACCCAGGCTGGCCCATGGTGGACAGGTGGTGAGGTCAGAGTCTCAGTCCTCTCCAGCCCAGCATGAGGCTCCCAGGCTACACCCGGAGCCACCCCACTAGAGATCTCACCTGCCTGGGCCCTGGAAGGGTCACCCTGGATCTCTACCACCCGGTTCATGGCTCCCAGGCTCAGGGACTGGACACTTCCCGGCTCTGAACCTCTTCCTCAAAGACATGAAATCCCCACGCTCAGAACCTGGTTGGCCTACTTGGAAATACTTCTCATTCTGTTAAGATAAACCCACAGGAAAATAAAGGCACAGCTTTCCTACATTATCTCATCCAAACTCCCCCAAGCCTGCGAGGTAAGAAAACTGAGGCCTAGAGACGTTGAGGCTCTCTTGATAGCAAGGGAGGGGTTAGTCTCGGCCCAGTCTCCGGGCTCAGGCAGCCTCTCTCCCCAGCCAGGTCAGGCTTCCCCAAGGGGCCGTGTGGCGGAACATTTTTCATTTTCATAGTTATGAACCAATGTTAATATCAATAGAAATGCAACAAACCCATAAAACTTATAATTTCACGGAAACTATAAATTTGGCCTTAAAATGAAGTCACGTTTCTTTAGAAAGAGTTTTGAGGGAAATTAAAGCTTACCCCTGGGCCGAGCGCGGTGGCTCATGCCTATAATCCCAGCACTTTGGGAGGCCAACGCAGAAGGTTTGCTCTAAGCCAGGAGTTCAAGACCAGCTTGGGCTAACAGTGAGACACTCTCCCCCATCTCTAAAAACAATTTTTTTTTTTTGACACAGAGTCTCACTCTGTCATTTAGGTTGGAGTGCAGTGGCACAACCTCGGCTCACTGCAGCCTCTGCCTCCTGGGCTCAAGTGATCCTCCTGCCTCAGCCTCCTGAGTAGCTGGGATTACAGGCGCCTGCGGCCACACCCGGCTAAATTTTGTATTTTTAGTAGAGATAGGGTTTCACCATGTTGGCCAGGCTAGTCTTGAACTCCTGACCTCAAGTGATCCTCCTGCCTCACTCTCCCAAAGTGCTGGGATTACCGGTGGGAGCCACTGTGCCTCGCTCTCTAAATAAACAATTTAAAAAATTAGCCGGGCACAGTGGTGCACGCCTATAGTCTCAACTACTCAGGAGGAGGCGGCGGGAGGATCACGAGCCTGGGAGTTTGAGGCTGCAGTGAGCCATGATTGCGCCACTGTGCTCCCGGCCTGGGTGACAGAGTGAGACCTTGTCTCAAAAACAAAAAGAAAAAAATCTACCCCTGGAAGCACAACACAGGCCACGCTGCAGGTCAGCCTGGGAGCCTCATCCGGCCATCTCTGCTGCCAGGGTTGGTGCGGTGCCTCAGGTTTCCCACTCCTTCACCTCAGAGGCTCAGAAATAGACCAGCGGAGGCCAGGCCTGCTGGCTCATGCCTGTAGCACTTTGGGAGGCAGAGTTGGGAGAACTGCTTGAGCCCAGGAGTTGAAGACCAGACTGAGCAACATAGTGAGACCCCATCTCTACAGAAAAACAAAAAGGTAGCCCGATGTGGTGGTGTGGATCTGTACTACCAGATACTCAGGAAGCTAAGGTGAGCCTGTGAGACTGAAGCTACAGTGAGGTGCGACGGCACCACTGTACTCCAGCCTGGGTGACAGAGTGAGACCCTGTTAAAAAATAATAATAGGCCAGGCGCAGTGGCTCACGCCTGTAATCCCAGCACTTCGGGAGGCCAAGGCGGGCGGATCACGAGGTCAGGAGAGTGAGACCATCCTGACTAACAGGATGAAACCCGTCTCTACTAAAAATACAAAAAATTAGCCGGGTGTGGTGGCAGGCGCCTGTAGTCCCAGCTACTCGGGAGGCTGAGGCAGGAGAATTGCTTGAACCCGGGAGGTGGAGCTTGCAGTGATCCGAGATAGCACCACTGCACTCCAGCCTGGGCGACAGAGTGAGACTCCATCTCAAAAAATAAATAAATAAATAAATAAAGATAATAATAAAAACAAAAAATCGAGTAAGTTTTTGTTGTTGTTGTTGGTTTTTTTTTTTTTTTTTTTTTGAGATGGATTTTTGCTCGTTGCCCAGGCTGGAGTGAAATGGTGCAATCTCCGCTCACTACGCCCTCTGCCTCCAGGGTACAAGTGATTCTCCCGCCTCAGCCTCCTGAGTAGCTGAGATTACAGGCATGTGCCACCATGCCTGGCTAATTTTTGTATTTTTAGTAGAGATGGGGTTTCACCATGTTGTTCAGGCTGGTCTCGAACTCCTGACCTCATGTAATGCATCCGCCCACCTTGGCCTCCCAAAGTGCTGGGATTACAGGTGTGAGCCACCATGCCCGGCCATAATTTCCTTCTTCTAATAAGGACATCAATCACTGATTTAGGGTCCACTCTCGTCCACTTTGACTTCATCTTGATTACATCTGGGAAGACTGCTTCCAAACACAGTAGCCCCCCCGACCCCCAGTTTCACATTGCACTGTTTCAGTTACTTATGGTCAATTAGGTTGGAAAATATTACATAATGAAGAAAATTTGACAGAGAGAGACACAGACACACCACCAGACACCACATCCACATAACTTTTATGACAATATATTGTTATAATTGTTCTATTAGTTATTGCTGTTAATCTCTTACTGTGCCCTATTGTAAGCATGCATATGTAGAAAAAACATACTCCCAGGCGTATTGGCTCACACCTGTAATCCCAGCACTTTGGGAGGCCGAGGCAGGCGGATCACAAGGTCAGGAGATCGAGACCATCCTGGCTAATACGGTGAAACCTCGTCTCTACTAAAAAAATACAAAAAAAATCAGCCAGGCGTGGTGGCGGGCACCTGTATTCCCAGCTACTTGGGAGGCTGAGGCAAGAGAATGGCGTGAACCCGGGAGGTGGAGCTTGCAGTGAGCCGAGATCGTGCCACTGCACTCCAGCCTAGGCGACAGAGCAACACTCCGTCTAAATAAAAAAAAAAAAAATTGTCATCCCTTATTGTACAGATGCGGAAACTGAGGTGGAGGCATTAAGTGACCTGCCCAAAGATACACCACTGACAGCATGATGAGGAGTAGTCAAACCTGGTACTAGGCATGGGAAGACTCTGCTTCTTTTTCGCTCTTTTAAACACCGTTAGGATGGGATGGGTGTGGTGGCTCATGCCTATAGTCCCGGCACTTTGGGAAGCTGAGGGAGGAAGACTGCTTGAGGCCAGGAGTTTGAGACCAGCCTGGGCAACACAGTGAGATGCTATCTACAAATAAAGAAATTAGCTGGGCACGGTGGCACATACCTTCAGTCCCAAGTACTTGGCAATGTACTTAATGTCACTGAACTGTACACTAAATTGCATATTAAAATGGCTAGGCCCTGCGCGGTGGTTCACGCTTGTAATCCTGGCACTTTGGGAGGCTGAGGTGGGAGGATTCTCTTGAGGCTGGAAGGTCCCGATTGCAGCGGCGCTGTGATTATGCCACCGCACTCTAGCCTGGGCAACAGAGCGAGACCCTATCTCTGAAAACAAACAAAACAAAAAAACTATAGGATGAAATATACATAAAATTTACCTTTTTGGCATTTTATTTTATTTTTTCGAAGACAGGGTCTCGCTATGTTGCCCTGACTGGTCTTGAACTCTTGGGCTCAAGTGATCCTCCTGTCTTGGCCTCCCAAAGTACTGGGAAGAGAGGTGTGAGCCACCGCGCAGGGCCTAGCCATTTTAATATGAAGTTTAGTATACAGTTCAGTGGCATCAAGTACATTCACCATGTTGTACCATCACCACCGTCATCTCCAAAACGTTCTCATCCTCCCAAATTGAAGGTCCGTCCCCGATAAACACTCCCCACTCTCCACCCCAGCCTCTGGGTACCACCTGTTTTATTTATTTATTTAATTTTCGTAGAGATGAGGGCTGGCGTGCGGGGGGTGGTGGTGCTATGTTGGCAAGGCTGGTCTCCAACTCCTAAGCTCAAGCGATCTTCCCACCTCAGCCTCCCAAAGTGCTGGGATAACAGGCGTGATCCACTGGGTTGTTTTCTAGGATGATTAAGACATCCCCCAACCAGTGGTTGTCCTCCACTCCGGCAAAAAACAAGATAGAAGCCACATGCACCCAATGCCCGTCCCGTGAGCACCCGCGCAGAGCGAACCGCTCCGGTCCCTCCGGAGTCAGCCTCGAGCTCCACGCGGCGAGGACCCGCCCCCGCCCCCACGTGACCCGCGCTGTCCCGCGCTGAAGGCGGCGGCCTCGGATGGACTGAACCACTGTGAAAGCCCGAATGGGGGGAAACAGGCAGTGACGGCCGCTAGGGAAGGACTGGGGGTAAGCGATTAAAGAAACTTCCATACATTTTTGTATCGCGCCAGGCAGTCGTCCTTCTAGTCGTGTGGGCCCTCTCTGGCTCGCCCCGAATTCCTTTTCTATTTTGAAGTAGTCTGTCCTTTTGCTCAGTCAGTAGGCGAGTCCAAGTGACAGACACGGACAGGGGGGACTTTAGTAACGTAAACTAAACGGTTTCCCTAGCGAAAGGCTCAGACGCCCTGAGCAATCGCCTGTTGAGTCTCCACTCTTCCAGGGTATTAACTGTTGAGTTAGAGGACATTTTCCTAGCATTCCGGGTACTAAAATCATTTCTTGTCCCCGCCTTCAGCTCCACAAATAGTTCAGTCCCGCCCCGCAGCGTCCGACGGGAAAGGAAAGGGGGAGGACGCCATGTTGGACGGAACCATCTGCTGCCACACATGGGGTGGTCAATGCTCCCATGAGTTTACTGATGCACAGAAACAACCTTGCTGAATGGAATTAAGCACTTTCTTGTCACAAATATATCAGTTTGATGATTTTCGGGCGCGGTCTTGTGGATGCGAGTCCTCTCAGGGTCGTTCGTGAGGCCCCAGGGCGTGGGTGCGCCCCCCGCCCCGCGGCCTTGGTGCGGCCTCCCCGTCGCACGCACATGGCTGGGCTGTAGCCGTCGCGGCGCGCGGTGCGGCCTGGGAGAGTCGGAAGCGCGGCGGCCGCGGAGCCCTGCGAGTAGGCAGCGTTGGGCCCATGCAGGACGCGGAGAACGTGGCGGTGCCCGAGGCGGCCGAGGAGCGCGCCGAGCCCGGCCAGCAGCAGCCGGCCGCCGAGCCGCCGCCAGCCGAGGGGCTGCTGCGGCCCGCGGGGCCCGGCGCTCCGGAGGCCGCGGGGACCGAGGCCTCCAGTGAGGAGGTGGGGATCGCGGAGGCCGGGCCGGAGTCCGAGGTGAGGACCGAGCCGGCGGCCGAGGCAGAGGCGGCCTCCGGCCCGTCCGAGTCGCCCTCGCCGCCGGCCGCCGAGGAGCTGCCCGGGTCGCATGCTGAGCCCCCTGTCCCGGCACAGGGCGAGGCCCCAGGAGAGCAGGCTCGGGACGAGCGCTCCGACAGCCGGGCCCAGGCGGTGTCCGAGGACGCGGGAGGAAACGAGGGCAGAGCGGCCGAGGCCGAACCCCGGGCGCTGGAGAACGGCGACGCGGACGAGCCCTCCTTCAGCGACCCCGAGGACTTCGTGGACGACGTGAGCGAGGAAGGTGAGGGCGCCCGGGGCGGGGCTGGCGAGCGGCGCGGGAGCGTGGCTGGGGTTCCCGAGGTGGGAGATATCGTCGGGCTGTGCCACCGGTTCGTGCAGAAGTTCCAGCGAGGGTGTCCGTGTGTTCCTGAGAAGCCACCGAGGGAGGGGTTCCCGAGTGCCCTGGAAGTGTTCTGAGAGCCCAGCGCCTCCCCTTTTCTTTCCTGAAAAAGGGGACAGGGTGGAGCTCACTTCGGGAGCCAGGCATTTGCATGACAACCAGAAATCTGAGAGGGTGGGAGAGGGCACATGGGGTACTCCGTTATGGCTGGGTGTGCTGTGAGTGTAGCAGCTGGGGGTACGGCAAAAACCGAAGACCCGGTGGCAGGTTTGCGGGTCTACGTGTCCCCAGAGCTGACCAGTCAGACCTCCCAAGGTCTGGATCGGAGGAACAGCTTGTGGCAGAGCCGGTGATTTTGTCCTCCTGCCCCTCAGAATTGTCCATCTCCAGAGACTTCCTTAGTGGGACAGGCACCCTGTGAAATTCCAGTTTGATTTTTCTTTATCTCTTGCGCTAAATCTATAAAGAGAGTTATTTTTCCAGGTTTTAATATTGCCGATAACAGCCAGCTTTGCCTTCATCTCAACCTTGATTGGATTTACAGGCATATTTTTGCTTCCTGTCTCAGAGATTTTTTCCTGAAGCTACTTCTGATGAGAGCTGGTCTCATTTGTTTTTCTTTTGTTTTTTAGCTCTCTTAAGCCTTTAAGTTGGGAACACATCAGCCTCTGCAGATTGGCTAAGTTGATACTAGAGTGAGAAAAATAAAAATACCCTTGCTGATGTAGCCAGCGATACACCAGGACAATTTCGGGAATAACATGGAGTTGCCAATTTATGATTTAAACGTATTTTTAAAAGGCTATCAGAGGGCCGGGCTGGGTGGCTCACGCCTGTAATCCCAGCACTTTGGGAGGCCGAGACGGGTGGATCACGAGGTCACCATCCTGGCTAACACGGTGAAACCCCGTCTCTACTAAAAATAAAAAAAAATTAGCCGGGCGTGGTGGCGGGCACCTGGATTTCCCAGCTACTCTGGAGGCTGAGGCAGGAGAATGGTGTGAACCTGGGAGGCGGAGCTTGCAGTGAGCCGAGATCCTGCCACTGCACTCCATCCTGGGCGACAGAGCAAGACTCCGTCTCAAAAAAAAAAAAAAAAGAAAAAGAAAAAAAGGTTATCAGAAATACAAGTCAGCCAGGTGTGCTGGTGCACACCTGTAGTCTCAGGTACTTGGGAGGCTGAGGCACGAGAATCACTTTAACCCAGGAGGTGGAGGTTGCAGTGAGCCTAGATCCCACCACTGCCTGGGCGACAGAGTGAGACCCTGTCTCAAAAAGTGAAAAATTAAAAAATAAAAACGCTGTCAGTTACTGTGACCATTACTATATTACACTTTTTTTTTTCATAAAAGACATTTTAGCATGAAAAGCAGGAAGGACACCACAAACTAAAGACTTTGGGAACATCTAGTCTACGCCCCTCAGTCCTGAGGAAACTTGTCCCTGAAGGTGGAGTAGGCTGCTGAGAATTCCCAGTGGGTCTATACTGCTTGGCCCACCAGACTCTCCTGCTCAGAACAGTGTTCTTTCTAACGCTTCAATTGTTATTATGGTTTAAAAATCAAAACTTTTGGTTTAATGATTATTTTGAGCCCTTGGATATTCTGCTACTTTTTTAAAAAGCATTATTTGAGCCCATCGAATTCACAGATTTCTAATACGTAGATTACTTCTGGAATTGGGAAGAGTCAGAGGATGCTAATATGACGACAGGGTTGGCCAGGCTGGGTGACGGCTGTGGGTCCTCAGCGGGCCCACGTGGCCCTGAAGGTGCAGTGTTGGCCAGAGTGACAGGTGAGGCATCTGGTCCTGAGGACTAAGGCTCAGGAAGCCGACTTTGTCATGGCCCTCCTGGTTGTGGTAACGCAGGTTTTGTGCTTTATGAGAAGAGCTGCCCTTCAGGGTCATTGTGCAAGACCGTAGGTGACTGTATCAGTTCTTTCCAGAAGGGCCAAGTCTTCCAAGGAGCAGGCCAGAGGTGGCCTGGAGTCCCTGTCTTGCTTTATTACTTTTTTGGTACAGATTAGCTTCTCAAACTGTAATCATCCTTTCAGTTTAATGTTTCAGCTGATCCAGGATTTTAACTCTAAATGTCTTTTTTGGCTCATTAACTATTCTTTCTCTTTCTATTTGCTATTTAGTGTTGAGAATTGTTCTCTTCTGTTTTTCCTGGAGACCGCTTGGGAATCCATGAGCCACGTGTAACCGATGCTTGGGCTGAGAGTGATCAAGGCGTTGTGTCTTCATGGTGTAGTTACTTCATTTATTTCCTTCCTACGTGTGGGCAGTTTCTCCTAGACTAGACGCTTTGAGCTTGTGGGAAGGAGTACCCAATTTGTGTAAAAGTTGAGCTTTTTATTGCAGCCTTATAAATTCAGATCAGGCTTGTCAGGCTATTTAATTGTATGGTAAGTGCTTTAGAAGTTACCCTAGGATTTGACTAGTTTCCATAGCAGGGTGTCCGGCACTGCAGTGACTGGCAACTGCCTTTTTCCCTTTTTTTTTCTCTTGTTCGTCTCAATTTTAGCATCGTTGAAAATAAAACGGCGATTATTTTTTAAGGCAGTATTTTCAATATTTCCTTTTTTTTTTTGAGACAGAGTCTCATTCTCTTGCTCAGACTGGAGTGCAATGGCTCACCGCAGCCTCTGCCTCCCCGCTTCAAGCGATTTTCCTGCCTCAGCCTCCCAAGTAGCTGGGATTATAAGCATGTGCCACCATGCCTGGCTACTTTTTGTATTTTTAATACAGATGGGGTTTTGCCTTGTTGGCCAGGCTGGTCTCGAACTCCTGGCCTCATGTGATTTGCCTTCCTTGGCTTCCAAAAATGCTGGGATTACAGGCGTGAGCCACCATGCTGGGTCAGTTTTCAATATTTCCGAAAGTGTTTTTTTGAGACGGAGTCTTGCTCTGTCGCTGGAGTGAGCCACCATGCCCAGCCAACTTTTGAGAATAAATACAGTAAAGAATATTTTCGGACATCTGCATATTTAGTATGTTGGAATTATCATTATTATTATTATTTGAGATGGAGTCTCACTCTGTCTCCCAGGCTGGAGTGCAGTGGCATGATCTTGGCTCACTGCAACCTCCATCTCCTGGGTTCAAGCGATTCTCCTGCCCCAGCCTCTCCAGTAGCTGGAATTACAGGCACCCACCACCATGCTTGGATCATTTTTCTCGTATTTTTATTAGGGACAGGTTTCACCATGTTGGCCAGGCTGGTCTTGAACTCCTGGCCTCAGGTAATCTGCCTGCCTCGGCCTCCCAAAATGCTGGGATTACAGGCGTGAGCCACTGAGCCTGGCCGTGTTCTAAATTCTGACACGTGATGCTTTCCAGCAGCCCTGCGAGGCATTTCATCACATCAAGAACAGCTTCACCTACCACTAAGAAAAAAATACTGTTATTTAATCTCAGTGGGGGTGGCAGCTCCCACCTGTAGTCCCTGCTACTTGGGAGGCTGAGGCAGGAGGATTGCTAGAGCCCAGGAGTTCCAGGCTAGCCTGGGCAGCATAACAAGACCCTGTCTCTTTACAAAGAAAAAAAAAAGTTGTTTCAGGAGCTTGTATATTCTCCAGTCTCCTAGTTTAAGTGCCGGTCTCTGCCCTGATAGTGTTTTTCAAAAAGGCTCTTTGTGATATAATTAAGAAATGTGTATTTGGGCTCTGCCTGGCTCTTGGCACTCAGCGTCTAAACCCTTGTAATTTCCAAAGTGGTAAGTGTCTTTTTGTAGACGAGGACTTGATTGATGGCTGGGGCTCCTTGCCAGGGAACCAACCACGTGATTAGAGGGTGGGACCTTTTAGGTCTCCCCCTGCCACCCAGAAGGAAGAGGGCTGAAAGTTGAGTTGATCACCGGTGCTCAGTGATGTCATTAATCACGCCTCTATAATGAGATCTTCATAGAAACCCAAAAGGACCAGGTTCAGGGGCTCCATGCAGCGGAACAGGTGGAGGCTTCTGCAGGGTGGTGGCCTGGAGAGCACAGGGAGGCTCTGCGCTTCTCCTCCATCTGCCTTTTCGTCTATATCCTCTGTAACGTCCGTTATAATAAGCTGGCAAACCTAGCTCTCTGAATTCTGTAAGCTGCTGCAGTAAATTAATGGAACCCAAGAAGCGAGGGATAGTGGGAGCCCTGCTTTGTAGCCTGTCGGTCAGAACCGGAGGTGACAGCCCACTACTTGCGACTGCCATCTGAAATGGGGGCCAGTCTTTGGGGCTGAGCCTTCAGCCTGTGGGATCTGATGCTAATTCCTGGTAGATAGTGTCTGAATTGGATTAAGTTAGAGGACACCCAGCTGGTGGCCCCTGGAGAACTGCTTGATGCGACACCCACGTCCGGTGTCAGGCGTTGTGTTGAGTGTTACGTGAGTAGGAAAGACACTGTCACATCCCTGTCTCCTGCAGTTCAGTTGTTTATCCTTAGAGCTTTTTAACCTAAGGAATATTGGGTAAAGATTGTTCTGAACGAAGGTGCGTGGTGGTGGGCTCTGCAGCGGAGAGAGGTGGGGAAGCTCACCCCAGACGCGCTTCCTCTTTGGGTTTTTTCCCCATCCCCTGTGAATGGCCATCCAGTTCACGGCCTGAAAACATGAAAATCACTGGGAACAGGAGGTGGGAGAAGAGTTACTACTTTCATCCCAGTTCACTCGAGAGAGGGTTCCTCCTTGAATAATTTCTGGTAATTTGTATTCACAGCACAAATGTGCTGTGAATATATTGAGCATTTAAATATTTACTTGTTTGCTAAAATCTTCTGTAAAAAGTCAGTTTTCATTGACATTGGGATGGGATTCTGCCTGCCTAGATGTTGCAACAAACCTTTCAAAATCTAGGCATCTCTGGAAGATCTAATAGTGGATATTCTTGAGATGGTCTTCTTCATTTGCATTGTGCATTGTTAAAAGCTTTTCACTGTTATTCTCCTGTAGTCTTTGGTTATTACCAGAACTTAATTGACCTGTCTTGACTGTTTACATTTCCATCAAAGGGAGAGAGGAGAGTTCCAGTCCCCCCAGCTGTCATGTTTAAAATCTGAAACAAGCTAGGGTTAGGATTTCTTTTGCTCACAGTGAAAGCATTTAGACAATTCATTGTCTCTTCTTGAAGACTTGTTTAGTGTGCTCAGTTAATGTATTAATGTTTTTCTTGGTAAAAATGATCATTTGAAAAATCTCTCTTGTTCAGAATTACTGGGAGATGTACTCAAAGATCGGCCCCAGGAAGCAGATGGAATCGATTCGGTGATTGTAGTGGACAATGTCCCTCAGGTGGGACCCGACCGACTTGAGAAACTCAAAAATGTCATCCACAAGATCTTTTCCAAGTTTGGGAAAATCACAAATGATTTTTATCCTGAAGAGGATGGGAAGACAAAAGGGTGAGTGTTCTCCTGTTGGAGAAGTATCATCTGTGTCTGGCACGTCATGATGAGGGAGTGTTGCAGGAGATCCTTACTAACACAGCTCCTGCCTTGCCCAGGCACGTGGGCCGTTCACTTCTTCAGGCCGCCCTCAGCTGGAAGCTATCCAGAGCAGTGAATGAGAAGATGATAAAGTTTGTTTTTTTAAGTTAAGGTTTTAAAGTTTTTAAAATTATCTAGAATAGGCCAGCATGGTGGCTTATGCATAAACTCCCAACACTCTTGAAGCCTGAGGCCAGGAGTTGGAGGCTGCAGTGAGCTATGATAACGTAGCTGTACTCCAGTCTGGGTGACAGAGCAAGACTCTGTCTCTAAAATAAATAAATAAAGTAAAAACTAACTAGAATAGTTTTAGTTTCTAGAATTATCAAATACAGGTAATGCTGCTGCATTTTCTGTGTTGGGCAGTCAGTTGAAGGATGGCCTCTTGACCCTCAGTTACTCGTGTTATAATGAAACATTCTCTGAGGTTCTTTCTTTCTTTCTTTTTTTTGAGTCGGAGTCTCGCTCTGTCGCCCAGGCTGGAGTGCAGTGTCGCAATCTCGGCTCACTGAAAGCTCCGCCTCCCAGGTTCACACTATTCTCCCGCCTCAGCCTCCCTAGTAGCTGGGACTACTGGCGCCCGCTACCACGCCCGGCTAATTTTTTGTATTTTTAGTAGAGACGGGGTTTCACCATGTTAGCCAGAATGGTCTCGATCTCCTGACCTTGTGATCCACCCGCCTCGGCCTCCCAAAGTGCTGGGATTACAGGCCTGAGCCACCGCGCCCGGCCTCTCTGAGCTTCTTTCTAATCTTGCCTGTAATACACAATATTAGACTACTTTTAAGTTTTTTTTGTTTGTTTGTTTGTTTGAGACAGTCTCACTCTTGCCCAGGCTGGAGTGCAGTGGTGTGATCTCAGCTCACTGCAACCTCCGCCTCCCGGGTTCAAGCAATTCTCCTGCCCCACCCTCCCAAGTAGCCGGGATTACAGGCGCACACTACCACGCCTGGCTTGCTTGCTTGCTTATTTATTTATTTATTTATTTATTGAGACAGAGTCTTGCTCTGTCACCCAGGCTGGAGTGCAGTGGCACGATCTTGGCTCACTGCAACCTCCGCCTCCCAGGCTCAAGCAATTCTCCTGCCTTAGCCTCCTGAGTAGCTGGGATTATAAGCATGTGCCACCATGCCCGGCTAATTTTTGTATATTTAGCAGAGACAGGGTTTCACCATGTTGGCCGGGCTGGTCTCGAACTCCTGACCTCAAGTGATCTGCCCACCTTGGCCTCCCAAAGTGCTGGGATTACAGGTGTGAACCATTGCGCCCAGCCAAGATTTTTTTTTAAACAGCTTTATTGAGATAATTGATATACAGTAAATCTGCATAGTTTTAAAGCGTACAATTTAATACATTTTGATGTGTACATATCACGAAACCATCGCCACAGTCAAAATAATGGACGTTTTGATTAACTTTTCTATAATTATGATAATGAAACTAGAGACTTCGGATCTTCTGGTTAGGATTTCCCTGTCACTTAGGAGCTCCCTGGCTGTGGATCTGTCCCCCGTGTGACTGCCTTAGGCTCGAGGCAGGAAGAGCAGCACAGATACTCCTGGCACCGAGGGCTTGTCCGTGGAGAGGGGTGGGGCGGACAGCGCATACCTGCCTAGCCTTACAGTGTGGGTATGTGCCAACGGCCCTCTCTCACTCAGGTATATTTTCCTGGAGTACGCGTCCCCTGCCCACGCTGTGGATGCTGTGAAGAACGCCGACGGCTACAAGCTTGACAAGCAGCACACATTCCGGGTCAACCTCTTTACGGATTTTGACAAGTGAGTTCAGACTTGGCCACAAGGAAGTGGACGTTGACGTGCAAGTGACTGGCTGTGTGCGGGTGGCTTGGTGCTTCTCGGTGCTGGTGTCTGTCAGATTGTTCACATCCTTTCTGGTCAGGCTGCCGCAGAGCCATTTCACAGCCCTGCCCCACACTTCTGGCCTACAGCACCCCTCCCTGTTATGCCAGTCACAGCCCTGGGGGCGGGCAGGCAGGAGCACAGCAGGGCCATGCTGGAGCCCCCACGAGTTGCTCTTTCTAGTCGTCAGGGCGTGGGGCTCAGCAGTCTCCTTTCTTCTCCAGGTATATGACGATCAGTGACGAGTGGGATATTCCAGAGAAACAGCCTTTCAAAGACCTGGTGAGTGGCCTGAAACCTACATCTCAGTGGTTTAAAGAAATGCTGCTGGGTGTGGTGGGTCACACCTGCAATCCCAGCACTTAGGGAGGCTGAGGTGGGAGGATCGCTTAAGCCCAGGAATTCAAGACCAGCCTGGGCAACAAAGTGAGACCCCCGCCTCTACAAAAAGTAAATAAATACATACATTAGCTGGGCCTGGCATGCACCTGTATTCCCAGCTACCTGGGAGGCTGAGGGGGGAGGATCACTTGAGCCTGGGAGGTTGAGCCTGGGAGGTTGAGGCTGCCGTGAGCTATGATTGTGCCACTGGACTCCAGCCTGGGCAACAGCGTGACTCTGTCTCAAAAAAAAAAGAAATGCTAGACGGTGTCTTGACTTGAGGTTAGGGTGTGACTTGGGAGTTAAGATGTGGACTGAACTTGTCATATCTTTAAGAGCAATAGTTGTGAATGAGTTTTTTATTAAAATTAATGAAATGTTATATTCCTTGTCTTTGTTTTTAAGGGGAACTTACGTTACTGGCTTGAAGAGGCAGAATGCAGAGATCAGTACAGTGTGATTTTTGAGAGTGGAGACCGCACTTCCATATTCTGGAATGACGTAAAAGACCCTGTCTCAATTGAAGAAAGAGCGGTGTGTATTTGCTGCTGCTGGGGGCGGGGACTCACCTCTCCTGTATTTCCTTAACAAAGTGGAACTTTGTTTCTATCAGAAAACTGGAAGAGCAGGTGACGTTATATTTTCTTTGAGATTACTTTCTGAAAACAACTTCTTTTATTCCTCTTCCAGCTTTGAAGTAAATCCTGAGAAGTGAACAGGCTTTGTGTATTTCACTTAAGAGTTTGCAGAATAGGCCGGGCGCGGTGGCTCACGCCTGTAATCCCAGCACTTTGGGAGGCCAAGGTGGGTGGATCACGAGGTCAGGAGATTGAGACCATCCTGGCTAACACGGTGAAACCCCGTCTCTACTAAAAATACAAAAAAATTAGCTGGGCATGGTGGCAGGCACCTGTAGTCCCCGCTACTCGGGAGGCTGAGGCAGGAGAATGGCATGAACCTGGGAGGTGGAGCTTGCAGTGAGCTGAGATTGCGCCACTGCACTCCAGCCTGGGAGACAGCGAGACTCCGTCTCAAAAAAAAAAAAAGTTTGTAGAACAGATTCATTGTAGGATAAATTCATTGTAGGAGGGGTCTTTGTGTTTGCCATTTTGTTGTATTAACGTTGGCACTGCCTTTTTCTGCAGAGATGGACAGAGACGTATGTGCGTTGGTCTCCTAAGGGCACCTACCTGGCTACCTTTCATCAAAGAGGCATTGCTCTATGGGGGGGAGAGAAATTCAAGCAAATTCAGAGATTCAGCCACCAAGGGGTTCAGCTTATTGACTTCTCACCTTGTGAAAGGTAAGCTGCTAGAAAAACACAGGGGAGTCTATGCATTTCACCCCATGCCAGCCTTCTACAGGTGATCTTTCATTTTGTAGCATTTCAAACTTAGTAGAAAAATACGGGAGTATGCAGAACGCTAATAAGCTTTTTACTGAGATCTTCTCACATTTGGTTGCATTTACGTCATCATCTCCTATACAGATATTTTTTCCTGAGCCATTTGGGAGTGAGTTGAAATAACATGTCCCTTTAGCCCTGAATGTGTATTCCTAGAAATAGGATTTTGTTAGTGTGACCATAGTGTGGGTACTGACTTCAGGGATTTACCATTCATTTAATACTTCAATGTATTGCCATATTCTGATTTTGTTACTTGACCTAATAATGTTCTGTATAATACTTACTTTCCTTCAGTTCAGGATCTAGTCTAAGGTCACGTATTTTACAGATAATAAATTGTCCTTCCTCTATCACCCAGGCTTGGCGCCACCCAGTGGCACCATTGCAGGCTCATTGCAACCCCAGCCTCCCAGGTCAAGCGGTTCTCCCACCTCAGCCTTCCTGAGTAGCGGGGACCGCAGGCACACGCCATGACATATGGCTAATTTTATTTTTTGTAGAGATGGGGGTCTCACTTTGTTGTACAAGGTAGTCTTGAACCCCTGGGCTCAAGTGATCTCCTGCCTTGACCTCCCAGAGTGCTGGGATTACAGGCGTGAGCCACCGCACCTGGCCGAGCCGTGATTTTTGATCTAGCTAATCCGGCTGTCGGAGGCCTGCTAGGGAAAGGGGCGGTTGTGGGAGGCAGTGTGAGGCGAGCTGGGGCCACTCTAGGGAAAGGGACAGTTGTGGAAGGCAGTGTGAGGCGAACGGGGGCCACTCTAGGGAAAGGGGCAGTTGTGGAAGGCAGTGCGAGGCGAGCTGGGGCCGCTCTGTTTTCGCCCTCATGGGTTGTGTCTGCCTTCCCCTCTGGTGTTGTAAGGGACCGTCTGTTACACACTTTGTGTGAACTGAGTAAGCAGGTGCAGTAGCTCCAGACAAGCCAGCAGTCAGGTAAATCATGGCTGGGAGGAGCCCCCAGGCTCTGAAGTTTCTATCAGACCTGTGCTGGCTTTCGAACTGGATGGGACTTGTTTTTTTGTTTGTTTGTTTGTTTGTTTGTTTTGTTTTTTTTTTTTTTGAAACTGAGTTTCATGCGTCGCCCAGACTGGAATGTAGTGGCACGATACCAGTTCACTGCAACCTCCACCTCCCGGGTTCAAGCTATTCTCCTGCCTCAGCCTCCTGAGTAGCTGGGATTACAAGTGCCTGCCACCACGCCCGGCTAATTTTTGTATTTTTAGTAGAGACAGGGTCTCACCATGTCGGCCATGGTTGGCCAAGCTTGTCTTAAACTCCGGACCTTGGGTGATCCACCCACCTCGGCCTCCCAAAGTGCTGGGATTACAGGTGTGAGCCACTGCGCCCAGCCGTATTTTTTTAACTTGTTAGTCTTTATTAAACATGGGTAAAGATAGAGTTCCACACTGCGCCACCCTCTGGATCACTTAGCAGCCTTGTGTGGGATCGGTGAGATCTTCTGTGCTGATCTTGGAGAAACCGGAGCGCCTGCAGCGTATTGACACCAGAATGAACAAGCGCCGCTGCTTCCCGCTTCCGCTTGGGTCTCTTGGGGCCGGGCAGTGTGGGGTTTGGGGAGAGAGCTGGTTCCGCGAGTTCTGACGGCGTGTTCTGGCCGCACAGACAGACTGTGATCCTCTCGTGAGAGGAGGATAGTGTACAGTGTTGCCCTTCTCTTCTAGGTACCTGGTGACCTTTAGCCCCCTGATGGACACGCAGGATGACCCTCAGGCCATAATCATCTGGGACATCCTTACGGGGCACAAGAAGAGGGGTTTTCACTGTGAGAGCTCAGCCCATTGGCCTATTTTTAAGTAAGTGGACCATTGTAACGAGCTCTGTAGCCTTTGTCTTTTCATGGGAATACCCTGGCACTTTTGTTTTTCTTAGGTGGAGCCATGATGGCAAATTCTTTGCCAGAATGACCCTGGATACGCTTAGCATCTATGAAACTCCTGTAAGTGGCCTCAGTGATGGCAAACGCCCCGTCCGGTCCTTGCTTGTAACCGGGGTGTGGTGCCTTTCCTTATTTGTGCTAGAAGAGGAGGAGGAGGTTTCACAGATGCATAGGAAAGGCCTGTCTCCTGTGCCTTTTTAACTGCCCCTGCTCTGGGCAGAGCTCTTCAGTCACTCCTGCCCACCTGGCGCAGCCGTGGGAAGTCCTGGATGGGAGTTAATGCAGTGGGCTTCAGAACTGCAGTTCTGGGTGGCGGGTGGGTGGATGGGTTCACTGTCACGCTCTGTGTGCACTGCCCCCTAGGCAAACTCACATCAGACTCTTGTTTCCTTTTGTAAAAAGTTAGGTGTGTTTCTGAGACACTGACATGATTTGACTCAACTGCAGCCTTCCTTTTTTTTGGGCAGTCTATGGGTCTTTTGGACAAGAAGAGTTTGAAGATCTCTGGGATAAAGTGAGTATTCTTATCAGTTTGGTGTCTTAGTGTGTTCAGGCTGCTTAACACAATACCAAAAAAAAAAAAAAAAACACAATACCATAGGCTGGGTGGCTTATGACAGCTGAGATTTCTTTCTCCCAGTTCTGGAGCTTGGGAGCTTGAGGTCAGGGTGCCTGCAGACTGTCTGGTGACGGCCCACCTCCCTCCTAGTGGACAGCCCCTCGGTCCAGCCTTCCCTGGAGGAAGGCCTCCGTGGCCTGTTCTGTAAAGTCTCTCATCTCATTCCCAAGGGCTTCCCCCTCAGGACCTCCCACCCCCCAAAAGGCCCCACCCCATGCCGTCACCCCAGGGGGTTAGAATTTCACCCTGTGAATCTGGGGGACACAGACGTGGTCCATTGCAGTTGGTTTCCTTTATTTGCTGTCTCTCCTTTAGCACTCAGCTTTTTGTTGTTGTTGTTAGAGACAGAGTCTCGCTCCGTCAGGCTGGAGTGCAGTGATACGATCTTGGCTCGCTGCAACCTCCACCTCCTGGGTTCAAGTGATTCTTCTGCCTCAACCTCCCGAGTAGCTGGGACTACAGGCATGTGCCACCAAGCCCGGCTAATTTTTGTATTTTTAGTAGGGATGGGGTTTCACCATGTTGGCTGGGCTGGTCTCAAACTCCTGACCTTGTGATCTGCCCGCCTCAGCCTCCCAAAGTGCTGAGATTACAGGCGTGAGCCACCATGCCCAGCCTGTCACTCAGTTCTTAACCAGTTGGAGAGAAAACGGTGAGTTTGTTCTTTTTTTAAAATTTTTTTTTTTTTTTTTTTTTTTTTTTTTTTTTTGAGGCAGAGTCTTACTCTGTCTTGCAGGCTGGTGTAGAGTGGCGAGATCTTGGCTCACTGCAATTTCCACCTCCTGGGTTCAAGTGATTCTCCTTGCCTTAGACTCCCAAGTAGCTGGGACTGCAGGTGCCTGCCACCATGCCTAGCTAATTTTTGTATTTTTAGTAGAGATGGGGTTTCACTGTGTTGGCCATGCTGGTCTCAGAACTCCTGACCTCAAGTGATCTGCCCACCTCAGCCTCCCAAAGTGCTGGGATTACTGGCGTGAGCCACCACACCCAGCCATTTTTAAATCTTTTTTGAGACAGAGTCTTACTCTGTTGCCCAGGCTGGAGTACAGTGGCGTGATCTCGGCTGACTGCAGCCTTCACCTCCCAGGTTCAAACGATTCTGGTGCTTCAGTCTCCTGAGTAGCTGGAATTACAGGCGCGCAACCACTACGCCCAGCTAATTTTTTGTATATTTTAGAAGAGTCGGGGTTTCACCATGTTGGCCAGGCTGGTCTCGAACTCCTGACCTCAAGTGATCCGCCTGCCCGCCTCAGCCTCTCAAAGTGCAGGGATTACAGGTGTGAGCCACCGCGCCCGGCCTAAGGTGAGTTTGTTCTGGACACAAGGATGGAGGCTTGAGTCAGTGGGCAGCAAGGCTGCTCAGCATTGGGCCCGCCACCCTTGAGGCACCACTTCAGTGACCCCTTCCCGTGCCTAGAAATGAATTTTCAAGGCCAGAGCCTTGAGTCGGCTTCCTTCCATCTACCTCGTCTTTGATCTAGAAACTGAGGAGGGTGGGGTTTCCAGCCTTTTAAGGAAAAGAGGGGACTCTGCTTAGGTGAAAGGTTTTCCTGGTACTCTTCCATCCGAGGCAGGGTTTGGGGAGCCTTCGGCTCATTTTCACCAGCAAAGAATGGGCACGTTTTTATTTATCGCAAAACTTGGGACTGGTCAGTATCACGGCAGTGAACTTCCAACAATCCAAGGACATTGACGTTTCTTCTTTCGTTTTTACATTCTTGGGCAAAATTATGGCTTATAAAATGAAAAGACCAGGACGTTGGTTCTCAAAAAATGCAAAACAGCACATAGCGTGTATAAAGATGTTTTTCATGTAGGTGAGCTCAGGAGCCGTTCGTTACAGCAGCTCTTCTGTAGAGTAGTTGATAAAGTGGAGGGAGCTGCCCTTGTTCTTGCTCATTCCTTACACTTGATTTGCCATTTTCCCCATTTGCACCTTAATTAATCTTTAGATGACATGTAGCCAGATCCGTCAGCCTAAAACTTATTTGCCTCAAAGCAGCAGTGTGCGGTGTCTTAAGAGTGGGCTGACGGAGCCCAGGCTGGAGTCCATATGAGTCTGTGCGTGATGGTGGGGTTGCTAATATTCTGTCTGCATTCACTCCTTGTCACAGTGAGCACAGTAGTGCCACAGGGTCCTGGCGAGGACCTATGAAGCTGCGCGGCATGCCCAGAGCAGTGGCTGTGCAGAGGGAGCGCTCAGCGTCAGCTGTGACAGCATTGAGCTTCTATATAGCAAATGAGTTGTTCTATTCTCTTCTGCTTTTCAGTTTCGTCATCACTTGGTCTTTGCTTTAACATTTTATTTTCCTGTTCTGCAGAGACTTTTCTTGGTCTCCTGGTGGTAACATAATCGCCTTCTGGGTGCCTGAAGACAAAGATATTCCAGCCAGGGTAACCCTGATGCAGCTCCCTACCAGGCAAGAGATCCGAGTGAGGAACCTGTTCAATGTGGTGGACTGCAAGCTCCATTGGCAGAAGAACGGAGACTACTTGTGTGTGAAAGTAGATAGGACTCCGAAAGGCACCCAGGTATGTAGATTCCCACAGGAACTGACGATTCCTTATCCTGAGCTCTGAAGTGGCCACCGTATTGTTTGGAGGGTGTTAATGGATTTTTTTTTTTTTTTTTTTTTTTTTTTTTTGAGATGGAGTCTCACTCTGTCACCAGGCTGTAGTGCAGGAGTGCGATTTCGGCTCACTGCAGTCTCTGCCTCCTGGTTTCAAATGATTCTTCTGCCTCAGCTTCCCAAGTAGCTGGGACTATAGGCGTCCACCACCACGCTTGGCTAATTTTTGTATTTTTATTAGAGACAGGGTTTCACCATGTTGGCCAGGCTGGTCTTGAACTCCTGACCTTAGGTGATCTGCCCGCCTTGGCCACCCAAAGGGCTGGGATTACAGGCGTGAGCCACCGTGCCTGGCTGAGAATATTATTTTCTTTCTAAGCACAAGGAGTAGTATACTCAAGATTTATTTTTTTATTTTTTTATTTTTGGTGGTTGATCATTTAATATTTATTTTATCAAAAAATTGCCTGAGTTGGCTGGGTGTAGTGGCCCATGCCTGTAATCCCAGCACTTTGGGAGGCCGAGGTGGGCGGATCATGAGGTCAAGAGATTGAGACCATTCTGGCCAACGTGGTGTGAAACCCCATCTCTACTAAAAGTACAATAATTAGCTGGGCGTGGTGGGAGGCTCCTGTAGTCCCAGCTACTCGGGAGGCTGAGGCAGGAGAATCGCTTGAACCCAGGAGGCAGAGCTTGCAGTGAACAGAGCGAGATTGCGCCACTGCACCCCAGCCTGGCGACAGAGCCAGACTGCGTCTCACAAAAAAAAAGAAATTCCTGAGTTTTCCCTCTAATAGAAGTATTCTTCTTTCTTTTATGTTAAGAAAGCTTTAATTGACATGTAGTTCACATGCCTGAAAACACCCCTTTAGAGTGGTGAACTGGTTCAGTGGTTTTTCGTGTGTTCAGAGTTATGCAGCCACCACCACTCATTTCAGAACGTTTTCATCGGCTGGGTGCGGTGGCTCCCCCGGGGTGGGAGGGAGGATAGCTTGAGGCTAGGAGTTTCAGACCAGCCTGGGAAACACAGTGAGACCCCATCTCCACAGATAATTTTTAAAAGATAGGAAAAAGGCCGGGCACGGTGGCTCACGCCTGTAATCCCAGCACTTTGGGAGGCTGAGGCGGGGCATCACAAGGTCAGGAGATCGAGGGTTTAGTAGAAACCCCGTCTCTACTAAAAATGCAAAAAATTAGCCAGGCGTGGTGGCGGGTGCCTGTAGTCCCAGCTACTCGGGAGGCTGAGGCAGGAGAATGGCGTGAACCCGGGAGGCGGAGCTTGCAGTGAGCCGAGATTGCACCACTGCACTCCAGCCTGGGCAACAGAGTGAGACTCCGTCTCAAAAATAAATAAATAAATAAATGTTTTTGTCACCCTACAAAGAAACAACATACCTGTTAGCAGCCTCTCCGCCCAGCTCCTGGCATCACGAATGTCTATGATTTCCCTATTCTGAACACACAGCTGGAATCGGATACTATGCCACCTTCTGTGTTTGACCTCCTTCACGGAGCACAGCGTTCCCACAGCTGGTCCACGGTGCTGAGTGTCAGCAGTAATCTCTTGTTGGGTGGACCCCGTTTCTTGGCCTCCTTCCTCTGTTGATGGACATCAGGGCAGTTTTCCCTCAGACTCCTCGAGTAGGGCAGGACTTCTTGAAGGTTATGGCTACAGGACACCCCACTGTCTGAAGTGGTTTACCCAGCCCCATTGGTGTGCCTTTAGGGCCCTCAGGACCCTGGCCTGCAGCCTGCAGTGTGGACCCTGGGACTGCTTGTGCCCAAGTGTGGCGGGCAGGGCGGCTCCTGGAGGTGGGATCTGGGTCAGAGTTACTTCATGCATGTCCAGTGGCTTCCAGTAGACGTGGTGCCGGCAGTTCTCCAGCCTTAGAACCGTCTTCCATCCTGAGGGCTGTGGCTTTCATCACTGCACATGCTCGTGTGTGAACCAGGCATGCACACTGAATCTTTCATTGTGACGTTGATCTTTGATTTAAACCTTTTCTCATATTTTCACTGTCCAGAATGTCACCCCTTCCCCCTTTTTTTTAAACAGGGTGTTGTCACAAATTTTGAAATTTTCCGAATGAGGGAGAAACAGGTACCTGTGGATGTGGTCGAGATGAAAGGCAAGTTGTATTTTAGTCACTTTGAGGCGAATGGGGCCTACGTGCTGTTTTACTCTTGGCTTTAACACTTCCATGCGAGGGGTTGTCTGAGCAGCTGAGTCAGGACTGTGAGCCCTCACCATGAATAGTCATCTCCAGGTCACAGAACGTGTTTAGAGCCTGGGCAACATAGTGAGACCCTCTCTGTACAAAAAACAAATAAAAAAAATTAGCCAGGTGTGGTGGTGCGCACCGATAGTCCCAGCTGTTTGAGACGCTGAAGCGGGAGGATCACTTGAGCCCAGGAGCAGAGGTTGCAGTGAACTGAGATTGCGCCCCTGCACTCCAGCCTGGGTGACGGAGCAAGACCCTGTCTAAAAAAAAGAGAAAAGAGATTGAGCCTGTGTTCTTGTTTGGCTTTTTGTTTTGCCATGGAGAAAAGGAGGAAGGAAGGGTTAAAAATAGGTGAGAAAATGGGAAACATGGCCGCCCTTCCAGGCAGGGAGACCGGAGGTCAGGATCCCACTGTAGGTGCACACTGGGTGCGAGGGAAGCGGCATCCACAGCTGCTGACAATGTCGGGCTCCTGCGGTCCTGCTGTGGGTGTCCTGCTCTCAGGAAGGGAGCAGTTTCACGTAGGTCACTCCACACAAGTGGAAGCAGCTGTCTCTGAAACTCCAGGAATGTGCACCTTTCCTGCTGTTGCTTGCTCTCCCGTCCTTTTAATGAACTTTTACACGTCGGGGGATATTTCTCTGTGGTTGAATAGTGAACATTTTAACTGATCAAGAGCACTATGTTCTGAATTGACCAAAAAGGGAGGGGTCTGTTTTGTGCATTTTAGAAACCATCATAGCCTTTGCCTGGGAACCAAATGGAAGTAAGTTTGCTGTGCTGCACGGAGAGGCTCCGCGGATATCTGTGTCTTTCTACCACGTCAAAAACAACGGGAAGATTGAACTCATCAGTAAGTAACCTGGTCCCTTTCCTCTTCTGAGTAGGTCAGCACAGATGATGACCCAGTCGCTGCCCAACAGTGAGCATTTGACTGGCCTAGGACCACTGCTGGGCAGGCCGGGACTCGCCTATGAATGGGGTGTGGCCTCGGCTGATGGAAGTGAGCGATGGCCTGGAGGTGCCGCCTCCTTGCAGGGTGTCTCTCTGAGCCCCGTTGAGCCCTCACGTTTAAGCGAGTATTTCCAAGGCTTCCATTCTCTGCCATCATCTCAAGTGAAGCTTTTTCTCTTCTGGCTGTAGCTGCTGTCCCTGGGCTTGGGGTCACTTCCTGTGGACATACTCCTGCCAGTCCCCAGTCTGGGTCAGGTGCCTTTGACCAGGGTGCGCAGAGCTGTTGCACACAGCTGTACTCTGCCCCCGTGCACCCGGTTCCAGGGGTGCCACACTGCACCCACCTGGGGCTCGCTCCTCACAGTGGTGCGTGGGCCCTCGCCTGTCTCACGGCACCTGCTGCCTGTGCCCTCAGCTCCTCACTTCATCCTGGGGTCTCTGCTCAGCACAGAGCCCGGTGCCCGCGGGGATTGAATGAGCCATTGCTTGTTGCTTCATAGGCGTGGGGTGTGTGTGTGTGGTAGCCAGGAGGTGGCGATGGGCTGTGTTCCTCACACAGGACTCTGGCTGCCAGCTGCCCTCCTGCAGAGCCATGGGTTTGGCTCTGTACCAGGAAGGGGTTGGAATCTCCTGGCCGCACCTTTCGCAGCATGATTCTGTGAGGAGTTTAGTTTTCACTTTGCTAGAGCTTGGCAGGGTGCGTGGTGCCCTCAGTTGGCAGTGGATTACAAGATTGGCTGTTTCATTAATTCTGGTTGATAGAAACATATGGGCAATTGCAGACTGTCCAGAGACTTGTGTAAGTCTTCTAGGTCATAAAACATAGGCAAGCAGAGGCACCTTGTACCTTCCAAACATGCTGCGTGACACGCCTCTCCTGAGGTTTGGCATGGACGCTGGGGCCACCGCATGGGCTCCATCCCATGCCCGTGGCTGTTGGGGTTTTCGCTTGTGCAAGTCTGAGACCCCTGCCCCTGCCAGGGTGCACTGCCCTCCCACATCTCCTCCCCTCCTCCCCACGTCAGCCTGCCCCATGCCTCTTTTTTGGATGTACCACAGGCTGAGGGGAGAGAGGCCACAGGTTGTCAGCTCTGTTTGAGATGCAGGGAGCATATGCTCTGAGGGGGACTTGAGCCAGCCCCAGCTGGCCTTCACTTCTCACTGTTCCAGCGGCTCTGCCCGAGATCCATTCCGGAAGTAAGAGTTAGTACCTGCAAAGATGATGACTGTAGTCAGTTTCAACAAGCATACAGCTTATCCAAAGACGCCTTGTCGCTAGGAGAGTGGCTTTGGTCTTTTGGGGTCACACGTCTCTGACATCTCTCTGTTGGGGTCCCTGCAGCAGTGAACATTTGCTGTAAAGGGAATTCTTTGTCCAGTTACCTCAGGAAATAAGATAGTATTGTTTTGAAATACCCCTGTCGCATCTTCTTTTTTTTCCCATTTAAAGTATGGATCATGACTTAGGGGGTACTTGGCGATGGACTTTGTAAAATTGTTTTCCGAGGTGGTCCAGCATTACCAGCTCTGCCCTCATGGGCAGCATGAGCACGGCCAAGTCCTCCAGCCTTGGCTGCCCCGGCACTGTGGAAGCCCTCGCAGCTCGTGACAGGCGCGCTCTTTCCTTTCAGAGATGTTCGACAAGCAGCAGGCGAACACCATCTTCTGGAGCCCCCAAGGACAGTTCGTGGTGTTGGCGGGCCTGAGGAGGTAGGTGTCTGCGCTCTGAGCCTGTCCGCCCTGTGAGTAGCGCTCTGCTGTGGCAGAGACCCCTCAGGCGCCTGCACCCGGCTTCTTGGTAGAGAGAGTATTGTGCGCTGAAAGGGTTGCCCCAGTGTCAGTGGATAGGACTTCATTGAACCTCTGCAGACCCACGGTACTCCAGGACTCAGGCCAAGCCCGCACAGAGTGAAATAAGCGCTCCCAGATGCTTTCGTGAAGTGACCAGGCAGACCTGTCTGCGGGTTGTGGTTCTCTGTGGTTAAACAAGTGCCTTCCAGCCATCCAGTAACCTCCCCCCGGGGGTCAGTCCCTTGTCTTCTAGTGGGAAGGGTATTCGTTACACAGCTGTGAGGCTGCCTTACCTTTGTGGTTGGTGTCACGGTGTCGGTCTCAGCTGTGTTCCAGCAGTGTGTCGAAATCATGGAGAAGCTTCCAGCTTTCTGCTCTGAGTTAAAAGAATACCCTTTTGTTGCTGCTCTCCCTTGCTTCATTGTCCACACTTGCTACTGTATTTTTGGAGGCTTACTTAGCCTCAGATAACATTTCCAGTAAAAATAATATGATGGCAGTCATATGTAATACTCACTGCACACTCTGCATCTGTGATTTGGTAAGTCTCACAGCGGCCACCAGAGGCTGTTGCTGTGCTTGTTTCCATGTTAACGCCGAGGCTGGCTCCCTGGGGACCCCATGCCGCAGCACCTCTCAGGAGTGGGATGCCAGGAGGTATGCGTCTCCATGAAGCCTGACGGTCCTGTCTGTCTTTGCAGTATGAACGGTGCCTTAGCGTTTGTGGACACTTCGGACTGCACGGTCATGAACATCGCAGAGCACTACATGGCTTCCGACGTCGAATGGGATCCTACTGGGCGCTACGTCGTCACCTCTGTGTCCTGGTGGAGCCATAAGGTGCAGGCCTGTGGGGCATAGTTTTGACTGTGGATAGAAGCAGGGAGTGCTGGCTAGCTGCTGACTCTGGTGCTGTCCTGGGACCTCAGGGAAGGGGCACCAAGCCTCTGTGTTGAACAGAAGCCTTGGCTGGTGTTAGTGGCAGGAGGAGGAGGATTCTGGGTTGTAGAAGAGGTGGCGCCGAGTGCAGGAGCAGCCCCTGCTCATGGTTGCGGGGAGGTGGGGGGTCTTACCCTGGGCCCAGGGACCCCTGAAAAGGAGTGAGAATGTCTGCAGAGAGGAGTCGTTTCCTTTGAAGTCTGAACAGAGTTCCATAACCGCAGACATTAAGATCTGTTTTGGGGTCAGTGGTTGAGTCCAGCTGCCGCGTTACCCACAACTCGTATTCCAAAACTGCTGGTTAAGTTTGTCAAGGACTTTCAGTATTTAGTGACTTGTAAAAACATTGATGGAGGCACTGATACTTGAACTAGTCCATGCCAATAGAGCCTGTGAAACCAAACGCGGGTAATTTTGTTTAATGAGATACAGAATTTGTAGGAATATCAACTTCCCAAATGTTACTGCAAGTGTCTAGAGTTAGAAATCTTCGCATTCGAATCAGGATATGTTGATCACAGCCTGTGTCCAGGTATGTTCAGATGTCACTGCGGTGGGGCCTGCCTTGACACTTGAAATCACTTTAGGCCAGGCACAGTGGCTCACACCTGTAATCCCAGCACTTCAGGAGGCAGAGGTAGAAAAATCACTTGAACCCAGGAGTTTGAGACTAGCCTGAGCAACATAGCGAAACCCTAGCCCCATTAAAAAAAAAAAAAAAAAAAAGACTTTTTAAGCTGTTGACCACTCTCCTTGAGTTATGAACACTTAGCTTCCAAAATGCCGGCCTGCAACAAGGAGTTTATGCTGAGTGCCAGTGAAGGCGCCCTCCTTCATGAGAGAGGCCTGCCATGAGGAGAGCGGAACTAGGCGGCGTGTAGTGATGCAGTTAGCTTACATCCAGCACAGGGCTCCGCACAGCTCACACCCGGCCCAGGGCTCAGCAGTGAGTAGTGCTATGCAGTTAGCTTACGTTTGGCACAGGGTTCAGTCCAGTTTAAATCCAGCACGGGGTTCAGCGGCGCAGTAGTGAGGCAGTTAGCTTACATCCAGCATGGGGTTCTTATTGCCAGCCAGAATGTGCAGGCCTGTGCTGTGATGAGCGCTGCTCCAGCTGCTCCGTGCCCCGCACTCCGGGTCGGTTGCATAATGGAGGTGTCTTGCATTGACTGCCCACCTACCCTGCTGTCAGCTCAGCACAGGCAGAGCTTTGTTTGCTTCACACGTGTCCCCGATACCCAGGACCTTGTTCAGCAAGTGACATAGTCACGGTTGTGGCTCTCTGACCCCTCTGTGTCCTGGTGTGTCCCTGCCCTGGCCTAGGTGGACAACGCGTACTGGCTGTGGACTTTCCAGGGACGCCTCCTGCAGAAGAACAACAAGGACCGCTTCTGCCAGCTGCTGTGGCGGCCCCGGCCTCCCACACTCCTGAGCCAGGAACAGATCAAGGTCAGCATGCCCCCACCCCCGGGTGCAGGGCACATGGAGGCAATTGTGGCGTTGAAAAGGTGTCAGTTTTTTCTGTTATTGTTAGGGTGGTGACTGGGGGATAAAAACGTGACATTTGCAAGGATTCTTTGAAGAGACGCAGGAACAGTGAGAACTGAATGGAATAGAACAGCTTTAGGATAGTAACTTGAGGCTTTCAGCTTCTTTAGGGAAGTTTTGCATGAACCCGAGGGGTGGATAAAAAGATGCCAGGGCCATTAAAAAGTCCTGCTGGGATTAGAAGCGGCTTGTCTGGGATTTACATTATTGTGGTAAAATAGGCCGTTGGTCTTAGGTCAGAGCAAAGAGGAGGGTTAAATCCCAGGGAGAAAGTCCGTCTCAAAGTGAAAGATGGAGGAAGGAGCAGGCACGAGCGCTCCTGGGATGCTGTGTTGTGTGAATGACCCTGGGTGTCAAGGAGGAAGGAGCAGGCACGAGCGCTCCTGGGATGCTGTGTTCTGTGAATGACCCTGGGTGTCATGGAGGAAGGAGCAGGCGCGAGCTCTCCTGGGAATCCGTGTTCTGTGAATGACCCTGGGTGTCAAGGAGGAAGGAGCAGGCGCGAGCGCTCCTGGGATGCTGTGTTCTGTGAATGACCCTGGGTGTCATGGAGGAAGGAGCAGGCGCGAGCGCTCCTGGGATGCTGTGTTCTGTGAATGACCCTGGGTGTCATGGAGGAAGGAGCAGGCGCGAGCTCTCCTGGGAATCCGTGTTCTGTGAATGACCCTGGGTGTCAAGGAGGAAGGAGCAGGCGCGAGCGCTCCTGGGAAGCCGTGTTGTGTGAATGACCCTGGGTGTCGAGGAAGGAGAAGGCGCGAGCACTGCTGGGATGCCGTGTTCTGTGAATGACCCTGGGTGTCATGGAGGAAGGAGCAGGCGCGAGCTCTCCTGGGATGCTGTGTTCTGTGAATGACCCTGGGTGTCATGGAGGAAGGAGCAGGCACGAGCGCTCCTGGGATGCTGTGTTCTGTGAATGACCCTGGGTGTCATGGAGGAAGGAGCAGGCGCGAGCTCTCCTGGGAATCCGTGTTCTGTGAATGACCCTGGGTGTCAAGGAGGAAGGAGCAGGCGCGAGCGCTCCTGGGAAGCCGTGTTGTGTGAATGACCCTGGGTGTCGAGGAAGGAGAAGGCGCGAGCACTGCTGGGATGCTGTGTTGTGTGAATGACCCTCGGTGTCATGGAGGAAGGAACAGGCGAGCGTTCCTGGGATGCTGTGTTGTGTGAATGACCCTTGGTGTCATGGAGGAAGGAACAGGCGAGCGCTCCTGGGATGCTGTGTTGTGTGAATGACCCTGGGTGTCATGGAGGAAGGAGCAGGCGCGAGCGCTCCTGGGAAGCTGTGTTGTGTGAATGACCCTGGGTGTCATGGAGGAAGGAGCAGGCGCGAGTGCTGCTGGGAAGCTGTGTTGTGTGAATGACCCTGGGTGTCATGGAGAAAGGAGCATGCGAGCGCTCCTGGGAAGCTGTGTTCTGTGAATGGCTTTGGGTGTCATGTCATGTTGGCAACTCTGAAGATTGCATTTGTGCTTGTTGCTTTGAATGTTAAATCCTGAGTGATGGGTCTTTTGTTTCAGCAAATTAAAAAGGATCTGAAGAAATACTCTAAGATCTTTGAACAGAAGGATCGTTTGAGTCAGTCCAAAGCCTCAAAGGTGAGCCTCATTCCCAAAATGAGGGCTGTGCTGTGACATCCGCCATCATGGCAAAGGCGGGGCTGCGGGGAGCTGCTGTGTATGTGCTCAGAGTTGCCTCTGCTCCGAAGACACTGGTTCTGTTCCCCCCCAGGAGGGATGCACTGGGGAACTGGGGTTGGCACGGGGACTTGGAGTTGGTGACCTCACTGCTGCCTTGTGGGTGGGGGGCAGCGTTGGGGGAAAAGTGAGAATGAATGGACTAGCCATTCCTGCTTGAGTGCCTCTGTATGCTGTCCTTCTGGCACCGTCCGCCTGGGTGTGGGCTCTTCGCGATGGGGAGGCACTTGTCTTACCAGTTCTGTGCTTTCCCCAACCTCATGCATAGGAATTGGTGGAGAGAAGGCGCACCATGATGGAAGATTTCCGGAAGTACCGGAAAATGGCCCAGGAGCTCTATATGGAGCAGAAAAACGAGCGCCTGGAGTTGCGAGGAGGTAACTTAGAGATCCCTCAGTCCCCAGGAGCTGGCCCTTACGCTGCCCCTGGGCCCTGGTGCCCGCGGACTCCTGCGTTCCTTCCCACTGGCCTCGGCGGTGCCACTAGGCATGTGCCCCCATGGGTGATCTGCGCCCTTTGTCCCCTCAGGGGTGGACACTGACGAGCTGGACAGCAACGTGGACGACTGGGAAGAGGAGACCATTGAGTTCTTCGTCACTGAAGAAATCATTCCCCTCGGGAATCAGGAGTGACCTGGAGCACTGTGGTGAGCGTCTGCAGGGGGCGCGATGGGGGTCCTGTTGGCTGCTCATGCTGCTTCAGTTATCCCCGTCACTGAGGAAGCACCTCCTTTAAGGCAGGGGTGAAGGGTGAAGCCCTAGTGTCATGTGCCCAGGGTTAGCTGAGCCTCGTGTGAAATGTAGAGTCGGTGCCGACGTGGCCTCGACTGCGCCCTCTGACCACATTGCAGATGGCGCCTTTCAGGCAGTGCTGGGTGAGGGAGGAGCTGTGGCCAGGTGTTGGGAAGTGCCAGGAAGAGGAGGGTGGCCATGCCTGGCCATTTCCTGATACCTGTGCTAGTGACGGCCGCGGTGTGTCCACTGGAAAGAAACACTGGCGTGCACGGCTGTGACTGTGGTTTCAGCAGTTCTGAGACAAGAGCCTTCCAAGTCGGGGGCTGGGGAGCAGAGTGCGGGAGCTCCTGAGTCCTGGGGGCCTCCGCGCCTCACAGCATGGGCACATGTGGGACAGAAGGCCTAATGGGGTGCCTGAGGGTGGCCTGGTTGCTGTCCCCCCAGGGTGGGACCATGAGCGAGTAGGGGTGGCACACGGGCTCAGCTCTCTGTGGCCGGGGTGGCTCCTCTTGCGGGACTCAACGTCAGCCCCAAGGCGATGTTCAGGGGGTCCCTCAGCCTTTTGAGGTGGTGCCGTTTAGGGCCGCCATGCCTGTCTATCCAGGGGACGGACTCCGCCTGCTGTTCCCGCGCTGAGCTACAGGACTCCCGAGTGTGAGCCGCGGTTCCTCTGTTGCAGCGCAGCCGTGTGTGCTGTGGAGCCGAGGCCGTCCTGCAGGAAGCCGCGTGACTCCCGCCTCCTCCCTGTGCTCTCTGGCTCTGGACTGTGACTGCGCCTGGATTCTGCCATTGCGACACATTTTTGTGCCTTTCAGCCCCTGGTGTCTGCAGTGGGGGATTTAAGGCACCCGCTTCCACTTCTTTCTTGTTTGGAGTTTTCTGTTGGAACCGCCGGCGTTGGCTCCGAAGACTTAGCGACGCCACTGGCGGCACCTTCTCCTGCGCCCAGTGATGTTTCCACGGTGCCTGTACACAGCCGAGCAGCATTTCCGTTGAAGGACTTGCATCCCCATTGCGGGCAGTGCTGGACGTGTCCCGGAGACCCACCGGGAGGGCGCCGCCATGCCTTGTACCCCCACCGTGCAGGTTGTGGCCGGTTTTCTCCGCAGGTTGAACATGGAAATAAAAGCAAACTTGTATGAAAAACCGGTCTTTCTCCTCTCTTTGAATGTAGATAGAGACCTTGAACTTGGTGCCTGCCTCCCTCCCCAGTGGCAAGGGCCTGCTTGCCAAGCCAGACCTCTGCAGGGCGCTGTCCCGTCCGGTCGTCACGCACACTCGGCCACCCTGTGTCCAGCGATGCACTAGTCATGCCACAGTCTCTTCTGTTGCGTTGTTTTCTGTGAAAGATGCTGGTCATTTTCCCTGGTGAGAACCCTGTGACTTTTCCTTGGAGTTAGACACATTGGGAAACTTGTATTGAGAATGGTCAGTTCTGCCCGTTTTTTCATTTTGAGATGGAGTCTCGCACTATCACTCGGGTTGGAGTACAGTGGCGCAATCTTGGCTCACTGCAACCTCCGCCTCCCGGGTTCAAGCGATGCTCCTGCCTCAGCCTCCTGAGTAGCTAGGACGACGCATGTGCCACCACGCCCAGCTAATTTTTTGTACTTTTAGTAGAGACAGAGTTTCACCATGTTGGCCAGCCTGATCTCAAACTCCTGATGTGGTTTACCCGCCTTGGCCTTCCACAGTGCTGGAATTACAGGAGTGAGCCACCGTGCCCGGCCAGTTCTGAACTTGTTTCCTGTTGGGAAGGGAGCCCACAAATTGGGGTAATTTCAGCCCCTCCTGTTGACAGGGTGTCACTTCCCACTGGCACCTGTGACCCTGCAGTTTCATCCACCTCTTTTCAACTCCTCAAACCTGAGGCAGCCCTCAGAACTCACAGCCAAGGGCCATTTACAAACCTAAGGCAACGTTTGGAGACTGGGAGGGGCTGTAATTCACAGGGCAGAGGACCCGGGCTCCTGCCACCCTGGAGGAGTGGCCTAGAGCCTCAGGTCACACTGGGTCTCCCAGGTGTGAGGAGGGCGCCTTGGTGCGTTTGCTTTTTTGGGAGCCCTACATTTCTCTCATCTGCGATTCTACAGTTCTAGAATTGTCGCAGTCCTGCCGTTCATCCTGTGTCCCTCCAGTGCACATTTTATTAGTAATTCTTGTTTATACTCTTGCTGCTTAAATTCTAGTGTGCCGAGAAAGTTTTTCTGATTTCATCGAAAGAAGAAAGGCACACAGTTCTACCATATGACAGATTTTTAACAGATATTCTAAAAAAAATTAACTTTCCACTGTTTTAAATGTACTAGTTGTCATTGTTTCATATAATTCGTAAAGGATTTCTGAAGCCCTTGCGTTGGTTTTAACTTTGCTACGGTAGACATGGATCTCCCAGAGCCGGCCTGCTGTGGAGGGACTTCCTGGGTATCAGGGTCCCCACGGCTGGCGGGCTCAGGACATCGGGGGGGGGGGGTGTTTGGGACCCCTGCTGCAGGCATGGCCTTGGTTGTGTTTCAGGAGGCTGAGGCAGGCAAGAACGCGGGGACTTGTAAACGTGTTCCCGGCAAGTGCCGTGGTCAGACGCTGGAGCCTCATCCTCCTAGAGGACAGGGATGTGGTTGTTGGAGGGGTAGCCGAATCCACCTGGCTGGGGTTTCCTGCTGCACAGTGTTGACCCGGATGCCAAGAAAGAGATGGATGTGGCCAAAAACATGCCCTGGCCTTGCACAGCTGAGCTGCCAGGCAGTCGGCTTATGGGAAAGGCATGGTGGCTCTTGGGAGGGCTTGAGTCGCCCACTCTGGCGGGAATGGACCCCCGGGCCCTTTCAGCTCCGTGGTTGGCATCATGAAGTTGGACTTGGCCAGGCTTGAACAGCTTGGATCCGATTTTAATGTGATTTCTTTACTTTTTTTTTTTTTTTTTTTTTCTGTCAAGACAAGGTCTTGCTCTGTTGCCCAGGCTGGAGTGCAATGGCGTGATCTCGGCTCACTGCAACCTCCACCTCCCGGGTTCAAGCAATTCTGCCTCAGCCTCCCGAGTAGCTGGGATTACAGGCGTGTGCCACGCCCGGCCTGGCTTTGGCGTGATCTCTGTCAGTGCAGGAGCGGGTTTCTGTGCTTGGCACCGACCCTGGCTCTGGGCAGTGTCGTCCTGCACTCTGGTTAGCTCAGCCTGGACGGGTCAGGTGACCTTGGGGAGCAGGTTCACGGTGCGGTGCCTTTCCCCGGGCTTGCAGTGGAAAAGGAGCACAGCCTTTAGGTGTTGAATACACCTGAGAGCCAATCAAGCGCTTACTGGGAAAGGGGAGGAGACGTGGTCGCGGGCCGGGCGCGGGTGGCTCACGCCTGTAATCCCAGCACTTTGGGAGGCCAAGGCGGGCAGATCACCTGAGGTCAGGAGTTCGAGACCAGCCTGGCCAACATGGTGAAACCCCATCTCTACTAAAAATACAAAAATGAGCCACAAAATTGTGGCAGGTGCCTGTAATCCCAGCTACTCGGGAGGCTGAGGCAGGAGAATTGCTTGAACCCAGGAAGCAGAGGTTGCAGTGAGCCAAGATTGTACCACTGCACTCCGGCCTGGGTGACAAGAAAAAAAAAAAGAAACATAGTCGCCGTTGGAAACGGCAGTTGCAGTCGAAGTTGCTCAAGTTGCTGTGTGAAGTTTCAGCTGCTGCCATTTGTCTGCTTCAAGGGAAAAGCTCCAGGGCCATCCTGGTTTCTGTGTGAGGGGCCCTGAGGTGGGCAGCGCCTCTCCTGGGCTCAAGGTGGTAGAGGGACCCACCCTGCAAAGAAGAGGGGCAGCCCCTCCACCTGTGTCCTGGTGGGTGTCAGGCTGGCTCATGTGCACCGGGTGAGGCACATGGAAACCGGGGGTTGCCATAGTGAGGGTGGAGATAGAGGCTGCTGTAGCGTCTGGCGCTGTCCCTGTGTGCCAAGGTGATCGAGAGGGCCACCCTGCTCCTTGAGGCCCCAACCACATGAGTGGTGCCAGCCCGGCTCCCCAAGGCCCAGCTGATGTCACCTAGGCAGAGCAGAGCGGGGCTGAGCGCAGGCAGGTCTCATCTCTGCTGTGATAGGGAGCGCATCCCGCTGCCCATACCCTCCTGCCAGGCTGCAGGTCCCTCCCCGGCCCGGGGCAGCCCGGCGTTGAGAGATGGAGCCCAAAGACCAGCCACTAATGGTGAGCGCCCTCCCTCGTGTTCCCGCCCCCCCAGTCTGCGAGTGCCCGACGCCGCCTCCCAAGCCTGCAACCCCGGCGACCCCTCTGCTCTGTTATCAGCCCGGTCTACTCCCCAACTTTCCCTCGCTGGGAGCTAGCTGCCCCGCTCTTCCCCACTGCCTCCGCACCCCCGCCTTGAGCCTCCAGACACCCTCTCCACCCCTAATCCCCATGCTGCTGGCACCTGGGTGTGCGGGCTCTGGGCTCCCCAGCCCCCTCCCTGGGCCCAATCCAGGCCATCTGCTGGGGGACTCAGAGCCTCCGCCAACTGGACAGCGGTGAGCTGAGCTGGGGACTTGCCCCAGGGCTGTAGCTGGGTAAAAAGAGATGCCAGTCATGACTGTCCCTCAGCCACAGCTGCTGTTTCTACCAAAAAATGTGTCCCTTTTATAGAGGGGGAAACAAGCGTCCTGGGGCCACAGTTACTATCCAGCTGGGTGGGTTTGAGGCCGGGATCTGGCCCTCAGAATAGGGAGTGGGGATGGCAAGGCCCCCAGTTTCCCCTTGGGGAAGTTTCCCATGAAGGAGCTCAGCATCTCTTCTGGAGGTGGCAGGACTGGGAGGCAAGGCCTTGGGCAGGCGCTCCCTGCTGTGTGCCTCAACCTCCCCATCTCCTCAGTGAGGGAGGCCATGTCTTGTTGGGGGCACGGGCAGCCCCGTGGGAGTGAAGTCAGAGCCCACCCTGAGGGGCACGGGGCTGAGCTGCTGCCTTCACCTCTTCACAGAGACTGAGCAGATCCCAGAGCAGCCGCCCTGGTGACTGCCTGCAGGTGGCACTTCGAATCCACCCGCTCAATGACGCAGAACTGAAGGAGGGAGCCGCGGTCATCGCCCACAAAGTGGGGGACCAGGTGAGGCTGGGGCTCAGGGGGCTCCCTGCTGTCACAAGCTCACAGATGGGGCTCTGTCCTGGAGGTGTGGCTAAGACTGACACCATGCCCACCCCACTGGGCCCAGTTTCTAGTCAGGGTTCGGGGCACACAAAGGGAGAGATGAGTGCCACCAGGAGAATACAGCAGAGCCCGTGGGGGTGGGCAAAGTCAGGGCAGGGGAGCAGGCTGGAGCCCCCCAGCAGGAGCATGTGGCAGGGCCACAGAGCAGGGAGGGGGCTGGGAGGAGGGCAGAGCCTTCAGCAGGCCTGGCTCTGAAATTGTGTGGCTGGAAAGGGCCTGGGTGGCTGCAGCTCAGCAGGGAAGGGCGCCAGCATGCTGTCCAGCACGGGGATCTCTGCCACTTTGAAGCAGGCTCAGAAGCCAAGCTGTTGCCACAGGTTAGGGATGTCTATGGCCTCGGTGGTCACTCATAAGAAGAAATGCCCAGTGTGGGGTGGAACTCAGTGTCGCCAAGTGGATCAGGTTTTCCCGTTCGTCATTAGAGAGGCAGCTTCATAAGGAAGGAGACATGGCCCCTGGGAGTCATGTGCACTCAGGGGCAGGGGACCCTGGGTGTGTCAGAGGGAGCTCCCCGCTGGGCAGGGGGGCACCAGTCCTGGTCCCAGGTCAGGAGGCTCAGGGCATCGTCTGCAAGAAGATGAAATGGACGGCCGGGCGCGGTGGCTCACGCCTGTAATCCCAGCACTTTGGGAGGCCGAGGCGGGCGGATCACGAGGTCAGGAGATCGAGACCATCCTGGCTAACACGGTGAAACCCCGTCTCTACTAAAAATACAAAAAATTAGCCGGGCGAGGTGGCGGGCGCCTGTAGTCCCAGCTACTCGGGAGGCTGAGGCAGGAGAATGGCGTGAACCCCAGGGGGCGGAGCCTGCAGTGAGCCGAGATTGCGCCACTGCACTCCAGCCTGGGCGACAGCGAGACTCCGTCTCAAAAAAAAAAATAAAATAAAATAAAAAAAAAAAAGAAGATGAAATGGACCAGGCGCGGTGGCTCATGCCTGTAATCCCAGCACTTTGGGAGGCTGAGGTGGGTGGATCACGAGGTCAGGAGATCGAGACCATCCTGGCTAACACGGTGAAACCCCGTCTCTACTAAAAATAAAAAAGATTGGGTGGGCATGGTGGCAGGTGCCTGTAGTCTCAGCTACTCAGGAGGCTGAGGCAGGAGAATGGCATGAACCCGGGAGATGGAGCTTGCAGTGAGCCGAGATTGCGCCGCTGCACTCCAGCCTGGGTGACAGAGCGAGACTCCGTCTCAAAAAAAAAAAAAAAAAAAAGAACAACAAAAAAAAAGAAGATGAAATGGACAGAAGATCAGGTGCACAGACATCCCCAGGGGGAGTGGACTGCAGAGGGGGCAGGTGAATCAGTGCTGAGTTCACGGAAAAGCAAACGAAAAAACCAGACAGGCGTTTAATTCGAGGGGAGACAGGCTCTGCAGGAAAGGACATGGCAGAGGGGGTCGAGACCCAAGGAATCAGCTGAGAGAGTGGGGACAAGTAGGGTGGGAGAGGACGGTGGCTTCATAGGATCTTTGCAGAGGTCCTTATCCTTTGCATGATGCACCTGCATCATGGATAAAAAGAATGGAAGTTGGCCAGGTGCAGTGACTCACACCTGTAATCCGAGCACTTTGGGAGGCTGAGGCTGGTGAGTCACTGGGGTTAGGAGTTCGAGACCAGCCTGACCAACATGGAGAAACCTCGTCTCTACTAAAAATACAAAATTAGCCAGGTGTGGTGGTGCACGCCTGTAGTCCCAGCTACTTGGGAGGCTCAGGCAGGAGAATCACTTGATCCCAGGAGGCGGAGGTTGCAGTGAGCTGAGATTGTGCCATTGCACTCCAGCCTGGACAACAAGAGTGAAACTCCATCAGGAAGGGAGGGAGGGAGGGAGGGAGGGAATGGAACTCACAAGAAAGAACAGAGTTTTGCTCTTGTTGCCCAGGCTGGAGTGCAGTGGCGTGATCTTGGCTCACTGAAACCTCTGCCTCACGGTTCAAGCGATTCTCCTGCCTCAGCCTCTTGAGTAGCTGGGATTAACAGGCATCTGCCACCACGCCCTGCTAATTTTTGTATTTTTAGTAGAGACGGGGTTTCCCTGTGTTGGCCGGGCTGGTCTTGAATTCGTGACCTCAAATGTTCCTCCTGCCTTGGCCTCCCCAAGTGCTAGGATTACAGGCATGAGCCTCCGTGCCCAACAAAGCCTGCTTTCTTAACTACCAGTGCCCTCCTGCTTCCTGTCAGATTCCTCCTGCAGCCCAGGCCTGGCCGATGGCTGGCACACGCAGTGGGGCTGTGTGTACAGGAGCTGCCCCAAGTCATCCTGTCTTTTGATTGTCTTCATCTTTGGAAGGAGAAAAACATAAAGAAAAGGGAGTTAGTTCACTTAGGTAGTGGAAAAGTGCTGGCTAGAAGCCAGGAAGCCCCAGGGACCCAGCCCCAGCCCTGCCACTGACTCCCGAGAACCAGTGGCTGGCCCTGGTCTCCTGGGATCTCAGTTTACAAATTTGTGAGCCAGCGTGGGGTGGGGTGGGCTGTCCGATGGTGGGGTGCTTGGTCCCACCCATTGGTGCCTCCCTAGACCCCGTGGCTCCTCTCGGCCACTGGGGTCCCCAAGATCCTCCCGGCCAGGGAACTGCTTGCTGGATTAACCAGCTGAGGGCGAATGTGGTTTCTAATTGTCCTGTGTCCCCCTCCCAATTCTCTGGGAAAGGCTCCTTTGAACCTATCTGTCCCCAGGGACCCGCATACACTTTGCATCATAATTAGGTATTTATACGAGATGGTCCTGGGGGCGACCCGGCGCTCAGAGAGACAAACAGCAGGGCTGGTGATCTTGGCTGGATCGTCCAGGCTGGAGTGCTGCGATGCGATTACAGCTCACTGCAGCCTTGAACTGCTGGGCTCAAGCAGTCCTCCTGCCTCAGCCTCTGATGTAGCTGGGACCACAGGCATGCACCACCATGCTCGGCTAATTTAATTTTTTTTTTTTTTTTTTTTTTTGAGATGGAGTCTCGCTCTGTCGCCCAGGCTGGAGTGCAATGGAACAATCTCAGCTCACTGCAAGTTCCACCTCCTGGGTTCAAGCGATTCTCCTGCCTCAGCATCCTGAGTAGCTGGGATTATAGGTGCCCGCTACCACACCCGGCTAATTTTTTGTATTTTTAGTAGAGATGGGGTTTCGCCATGTTGGCCAGGCTGGTCTCGAACTCCCGACCTCAGGTGATCCACCCGCCTTGGCCTCCCAGACTGCTGGGATTACAGGTGTTATTCACTGTACCCGGCTCGGTCCTTTGTTCTCCCGTTTCCTGTGTATGGTTCAGCCCCAGTGAGCCACAGGAGACAGGGCCAGGAGCGGAAACACTCAGGGTCACTCGCAGAAACCCTGCGCACAGCAGCCAGGCGCCAGCTCAGCACTTCCCATCTCCTTCCCATCCCCGCCCTGTGGGTTCATCAAAGGAACCTGGGCCCTGAGGGAGGCTGGTGGGTGCTGGGCCGCTGTCCTCGATGTGTTTTGACCAAGGCAGCGTTTCCCAGTGTGGGTGCTGGGCTGCAGAGCCCAGCAGGCCTGGGGGGGCTTCCTGCTGTGCTTTGAGGGTGCAATAGCGGTAAATGCTGCTCCTCAGAAGCAAGTGGAGAGGGTGCCGGGCCGGGGGGTGGGTGCAGGCCCCCAACTCTGCTCCTGGCTCAACCACAGAGGCCCACAGCCCTTTCCAGACCCGGACCAAGCCTCTTGGAGGGGTCCAGGGTGGGTGCCAGGCCTGGGGTCCATCCAGGGTGCAGACCCTGCCCTATCCTGACCAGCCTGGTCGGCTCGTTGCTTGCAGATGGTGATGCTCATGGACCCCAGCGAGGACCCCGAGGACGTGGCGCGAACACGCCGGTCCCGGGAGCGGACCTTCATCTTCGACAGGGTGTTTGGCCAGCATGCGTCTCAGGTCTCCACCTGCCCCTGCCATCCCTGCGTCCTCCTGTGGGGCTGGAGTCCCCTGGTGAGGACATGGTGGCCGGGCAGTCTCGGCCCCGTCTTCTCACAGGGGTCTCCCTGAGGACAAGGAGACTGTGCAGAAAGCCCAGGGGTGGCAGGAGGAGACCCTTTCACAGAAAGCCCATCCCAGGGGTGGCAGCAAGAGACCCTTTCACAGAAAGCCCATCCCAGGGGCTCCAGGAGGAGACCCTTTCACAGCCCATCCCAGGGGTTCCAGGAGGAGGAGACCATTTCACAGAAAGCCCATCTCAGGGGTTCCAGGAGGAGGAGACCCTTTCACAGAAAGCCCATCCCAGGGGTTCCAGGAGGAGGAGACCATTTCACAGAAAGCCCATCCCAGGGGCAGGCAGGGGGAGACCCTTTCACAGAAAGCCCATCCCAGGGGTGGCAGGAGGAGACCCTTTCACAGAAAGCCCATCCCAGGGGTTCCAGGAGGAGATCCTTTCACAGAAAGCCCATGCCAGGGGTTCCAGGAGGAGACCCTTTCACAGAAAGCCCATCCCAGGGGTGGCAGGAGGAGACCCTTTCACAGAAAGCCCATCCCAGGGGTTCCAGGAGGAGGAGACCGTTTCACAGAAAGCCCATCCCAGGGGCAGGCAGGGGGAGACCCTTTCACAGAAAGCCCGTCCCAGGGGTGGCAGGAGGAGACCCTTTCACAGAAAGCCCATCCCAGGGGTTCCAGGAGGAGACCCTTTCACAGAAAGTGAAGGGGTGGGTTGCCCCTCCACACCTGTGGGTGTTTCTCGTTAGGTGGAACGAGAGACTTGGAAAAGAAAAAGACACAGAGACAAAGTATAGAGAAAGAAATAAGGGGACCCAGGGAACCAGCGTTCAGCATATGGAGGGTCCACACCGGCCTCTGAGTTCCATTAGTATTTATTGATCATTTTTGGGTGTTTCTCAGAGGGGGATGTGGCAGGGTCATAAGATAATAGTGGAGAGAAGGTCAGCAGATAAACAGGTGAACAAAGGTCTCTGCATCATAGACAAGGTAAAGAATTAAGTGCTGTGCTTTAGATATGCATACACATAAACATCTCAGTGGCTTACAGAGCAGTATTGCTGCCCACATGTCCCACCTCCAGCCCTAAGGCGATTTTTCCCTATCTCAGTAGATGGAACATACAATCGGGTTTTATACGGAGACATTCCATTGCCCAGGGACGGGCAGGAGACAGATGCCTTCCTCTTGTCTCAACTGCAAGAGGCATTCCTTCCTCTTATACTAATCCTCCTCAGCACAGACCCTTTACGGGTGTCGGGCTGGGGGACGGTCAGGTCTTTCCCTTCCCAGGAGGCCATATCTCAGACTATCACATGGGGAGAAACCTTGGACAATACCTGGCTTTCCTAGGCAGAGGTCCCTGCGGCCTTCAGCAGTGTTTGTGTCCCTGGGTACTTGAGATTAGGGAGTGGTGATGACTCTTAACGAGCATGCTGCCTTCAAGCATCTGTTTAACAAAGCACATCCTGCACTGCCCTTAATCCATTTAACCCTGAGTGGACACAGCACATGTTTCAGAGAGCAAAGGGTTGGGGGTAAGGTTATAGATTAACAGCATCCCAAGGCAGAAGAATTTTTCTTAGTACAGAACAAAATGGAGTCTCCCATGTCTACTTCTTTCTACACAGACACAGTAACAATCTGATCTCTCTTTCTTTTCCCCACAGAAAGCCCATCCCAGGGGTTCCAGGAGGAGACCCTGTCACAGAAAGTCCATCCCAGGAGTTCCAGGAGGAGACCCTTTCACAGAAAGCCCATCCCAGGGGCAGGCAGGAGGAGACCCTTTCACAGTGCAGTGGCCGCCAGGTTGCGGCTTTGCACGGGCTCTTTCATTCATGTACTCAGCCCTTCATTCCACAAAGTGGCCCTGTGTTCCGTGGGGCTGGAGCACAGCCCTGCCTACACGCCCACATCCTGGCAGGGGGGCCGACCAAATGGAGAAGCAGGCGCGTTGTGAGCACATGTGGTGTCAGCGAGAGCCTGCGGAGGGGCTGGACACTAGACCCGGGGGAGGAGAGAGCCAGAGGGACAAGGATCTGGGCAGAGGCTTCATCGTGCCTGTTTCACAGAAGAAGCACCCTACAAGAGGTCGCATGGTGAGGCCCGGAGCTGAGCATTTGGACCCAGAGTCAGATCACACTCCCTCCTAGTCCTCCATGCCAACACCCTCTACTAGGGACAAACGCTGTCAACACGTCACCTGACCCCCACCTGGAGGGGGGCCACAGAGGGGAGCCAGGACCCAGGGATGGGTGATGGAGTGAGGGGCACCCCCCGCTGAGTGGGGCAGGTGGGATTTGAATCCTGGCCTCCTGAACTAGGAGCGACGGACCATCACCAGGGTGAGCAGTTGGGAGATGTTTGGCCCCAAGACAAAGCCCAACGGAGGATTTCATGCTCTCTCCAGGCCCTGCAGCCAAGTGACTTCCCTTCCTGTGATGAAGGGTAAAATCAGGGCTCCCCATGTCCTCTGCACCCTACCTTTAACTTCTTTTTTTTTTTTTTTTTTGAGACAGGGTCTCATTCCATCACCCAGACTGGAGTGCAGTGGTGCTATCTTGGCTCACTGCAACCTCCACCTCCCTGGTTCAAGCAATTCTCCTGCCTCAGCCTCCCGACTAGCTGGGATTACAGGTGCCTGCCACCACACCTGGCTGATTTTTGTATTTTCAGTAAAGATGCGGTTTCACCGCGTTGGCCAGGCTGGTCTTGAACTCCTGACCTCAAGCGATCAGTCTGCCTCAGCCTCCCCAAGTGCCAGGATTACAGATGTGAGCCACTGTGCCTGGCCCCCACCTTTAACTTCTGAGAAGCCATGGGCCCCAGTTGTGCACAGCTGTCCCCTAGTGATCAAAGACGGTTGCAGAACAAATCACTCCAAAGCCAAGTGGCTTAGAACTACCATTGATAATTGTCTTGCACAGTTCTGCGGGCTGACAGGGACCTGCTGGGCAGATTCCCACCCGGCTGCAATCTGATGTCAGGGGGCTGCAGTCATCCGGGCCACATGTCCACGGTGGTCCGTTCACATGACTCTCCGTGGATGCTGGAGATGGCTTGGAGTTCCACTGGGGCTGTCGATGTGAGAACGTACAGGTGTCTCCTCTGTGTGGCTTGAGCCTCCTCAAAGCATGGCAGCCTGGGGGCTCCAAGAGGGCCAGGTGGAAGCCGCCAGGCCTCTTGGAGACATGGCCTTGCATCTGCCACCCTTTGCTGACCAAGCCAGTCCTCAGCCTGGCCAGGTTCAAGGGGAGGAGAATGAGACTCAGCTTCCCAGTGGAGCTGTGGCCATCGTTAACCTACCACCCAAGTCCTCTCGTCTTCCCACTGGAGCCTGGCTGCTGAATTCACATGGAGAGCTTCTCGGGAAGAATGCTAAGTGCAGGAAACAGGACTGCTTAGAACACCTGGGCCACCTGTTGGCACCTGAAGCTCATCCCTGGATTCAGGAGATAGAGGATTCGCTCACAACGGCAGCTCCAGCTGCTGTCTCAGAAAACAGCTTCTCCCACTCTCCAGATCTGAACGGCATGGAAAGTTACAGGGGCTCAATCGTTGACATTTGTTAAGGCCAAGTGCGGTGGCTCACGCCTGTAGTCCCCACACATTCCGAGGCCAAGGCAGGAGGATCACCTGAGCCCAGGAGTTTGAGATCAGCCCAGATGACATAGAGAGATTTCATCTGTACAAAGAAAGATTTTTTTTAATTAGCTGGGCATTGTGGCACATGCCTGTAAGTCCCAGCTACTTGGGAAGCTGAGATGGGAGGATCTCTTGAGCCCAGGAATACAAGGCCTGATCGTGCCACTGCACTCCAGCCTCAGTAACAGAGCAAGACCCTGTCTCAACACAGAACAAAAACACACTTACGCCACGTGGCGGGGAGGTGAACTGTTTTCTCCACCTATAGACTAAGAAAACGGGGGCTGGGCGCGGTGGCTCACGCCTGTGATCCCAGCACTTTGGGAGGCCAAAGCAGGAAGATGGTTTGAGGCCAGGAGTTTGAGACCAGCCTGGGTAACATGGTAAAACGCCTGTCTCTACCAAAAATTTAAAAATTAGCCAGGCATAGTCCAGCTACTCAGGAGGCTGAGGTGGGAGGATCACTTGAGCCCGGGAGGTGGAGGTTGCAGTGCGCTGAGATTGCATCACTGCACTCCAGCCAGGGTGACAGAGCAAGACCCTCTCTCCAAAAAAAAAAAAAAAAAAAGTTAATGGACAAACCTTTTAAAATCTTTTTAATTTTAAAGACTATACATTCATTGTAATGTGTATTAAAAAGATATAATGAAGCCATCAGACACTGAAGTTCATCAATAATTTAAATGAGGCTAAACTTAAAAAATGAGTTTCTTCTTTTTTTCCTGTTTATTTATTTATTTATTTATTTTGACTGCTACATTTTCCTTTATTTTGCTTGTAAGGAAAACCAATCGACTAAGTTGTCCCAAAACTGTTAGTGTTCACTGATCAAGAAGGAAATGAGGTCAGAAGGCAAACTTTTCACTTCCTCTCAAACATATATTGCAAGTATCGGCCCGGCACTGTGGCTCACGCCTGTAATCCCAGCACTTTGGGAGGCCGAGACGTGCAGATCACGAGGTCAGGAGATCGAGACTGTCCTGGCTAACATGGTGAAACCCTGGCTCTACTAAAAATACAAAAAATTAGCTGGACATGGTGGTGTATGCCTGTAATCCTAGCTACTCGGGAGGCTGAGGCAGGAGAATCACTTGAACTGGGGAGTCAGAGGTTGCAGTGAGCTGGGATTGTGCCACTGCACTCCAGCCTGGCAACAGAGAGAGACTCTGTCTCAAAAAACAAAACAAAACAAAAAAACAACATATATTGCAAATATCACAGAGAATTGTAACAACACATGCAACACAGGCTGGTTTTCAACATACAGAGAGCCCATGCAAGAAGAAGTGAGTGCTGAAGATCTACAGAGCTCAGACTGGGAGCACTTTTGCAGGAAGTTTGAATCTATCCACGCAGCTCTTTCCTCCCACAGTCCAGGCTCATCACTTATTTCTATTCCAAGGGGGCTTATCTATACGCAGAAATCCAGGCCGCTCCATATATATTAATACTTGCCCAGCTGTGTTTCACGAGGCATCTCCACGTGCCAAGCCCCGACTCAGATTCTGCACGGGAAGTTCCCGCTGCTGTCAAAGAACTCTCGGCCCCTCTGCACTACTTTGCTGCTGAAGTGACCTGGCTCCTCTGCCTTCAACTCCTCCAGCTTCTGCTCACTTGGCAACGCAGCATCGCCGGTTCTTCTGGTGCTCTCAGAATCACTGGAGTACTTCTGCAGCTCTCTCTGATGACCTAGGGGTGCAGCAGCAGGCACAAAGCTCTCCTCCGGGTCCTGGACTTCTTTATTTCTTCCCTTCCATCTCCTTGGTGTATTTGTCCTGTGAGTGACTCTATCATTTTCTTCTTCTTTTTTTTTTTTTAGATGGAGTCTCGCTCTGTCACCCAGGCTGGAGTGCAGTGGTGTGATCTCAGCTCACTGCAGGCTCCGCCTCCCGGGTTCACGCCATTCTCCTGCCTCAGCCTCCCGAGTAGCTGGGACTATAGGCACCCGCCACCACGCCTGGCTAATTTTTTGTATTTTTTTTTAGTAGAGATGGGGTTTTATCTTGTTAGCCAGGATGGTCTCAATCTCCTGACCTCGTGATCTGCCTGCCTCGGCCTCCCAAAGTGCTGGGATTCCAGGTGTGAGCCACCGCGCCCGGCCAAGCCCTCTTCTCTTTGATGGCAAGGGCAACCTGGCCATGTTGCCAGCTTAGAGCTGCTCTATACACCCAGAAAGCTAACACCTAGAACAATAACTGCCCTAAGCATGCCGAACTCTCTAAACCGATGATGAAGTACGTCACTAGTGAAGGGAGCAGTGGTCTCAGGGGATCTGAACACCTGACACTGTGCCCCTAACAATGGGTAAGAAGGAGTAACAGTGGCAGGATGCCGGGCGCCAAGGGGGTGCGGTCTGGGGCACCGGGACTCAAGGCTCTGCTTCAAGCTGAGGCCTGGGGAGAAGCCGGTACCTCTCCACCTTCTGCAGCTCCCATTCCTCCGGCAGGAATCGGGGTCCTGCTCCCAGCCGATAGGGCCTGGGCCCGCTATCCCACAGGGCGCCAACCTGCAGCGAGGGACAGCAGCGCAAACACACCCGCCCAGCAAGAGACTCACGGTAACCGCCATGTCGACGCAAACCAGCCTTCAGCAGTCCGCTACCCTTTTTTGATTTTTTTTTTTTTTTTTTTTTAAGACAAGAGTCTCCTTCTGTTGCCCAGGCTGGAGTGCAATCTTGGCTCACTGCAGCCTCTACCTCTCAGGTTCAAGCGATTCTCCTGCCTCAGCCTCCAGAGTAGCTGGGATTACAGGCACTCACCACCACGCCTGGCTAATTTTTTGTATTTTTGGTAGAGACGGAGTTTCACCATGTTGTCCAGGTGGGTCTTGAACTCCTGACCCCAAGTGATCCACCTGCCTCGGCCGCCCAAAGTGCTGAGATTACAGGTATGAGCCACCATACCTGGCCAAAAAATGAGTTTCTGTAAAGAAAAAAATTAACTCCATAATAGTCCAGACAGTCCTGGGATAAAGTAACCATTGTAGGTGTGATTTGGGGGGCCTGGACTGCGGGACACGTGGCCTCCCCTTAGGGGCTGAGTTTGGTTGCCAATAACAGAAAATCCCCACGACAGTGGCTTAAATAAGATAGGGCTTATTTTTCTCTCATGCAGCAACAAGTCTGGGGGTGGAGCTGCGTAATGTCCTCCCCAAGGTCGTCAGGGACCCAGGCTCCTCTGGGTTTCTCTGTCTTGCCCTCTGCATTGGTCAGCATTCTCCAGGGAAACAGAACCAATAGGATGGATGGATGGATGGATAGATCGATAGATGGCTAGATCGACAGGTTGATAGATGGATAGATGGATAGATAGATATACATAGATCGATAGCTGGCTAGATCGACAGGTTGATAGATGGATAGATAGATACATAGATCAATAGCTGGCTAGATCGACAGATTGATGGATAGATAGATAGATACATAGATGGATAGATGGCTGGATCGACAGATTGATAGATGGATGGATGGATAGATAGATACATAGATGATAGATGGGATGGGAGATGACTTCAAGAGGTTCATGTTGGCTGGTATAGTGGCTCACGCCTGTAACCCCAGCACTTTGGGAGGCTAAGGCAGGAGGATCACTTGAGGTCAGGAGTTCGAGGTTTGAGACCAGCCCGGCCAACATGGTGAAACCCCATCTCTACTAAAAATATAAAAATTATCTGGGCGTGGGGGTGGGTGCCTGTAATCCCAGCTACTCGGGAGGCTGAGGCAGGAGAATCACTTGAACCCTGGAGGCGGAGGTTGCAGTGAGCCGAGATTGTGCCACTGCACTCCAGCCTGGCCACACAGCGAGACTCTGTCGCAAAAAACAAACAAACAAAACAAAACAAAAAAAAGCATCCTCTGTTGCGACTATCAATACAACCAGGGTTCTGTTAATGAGGAAGGATAGGAGAATGGGTATTGGGCGAGCACGCAGAAGTCTCAGCCACCCTCCCCTTGTCACGGATGGCAAAGCTGAGGCCCAGAGAGGGATCCAATGTTCTGGCTCAAACACCAGCTCACAGCTTCCGAAAAATCAGGATGTGTGGCCCCTCTCATGCTGCCTCACCTTCCCCGGTCTCCTCCCAGGTTCCCGTCCCACCGCTCCTTGCAGAGCCAGGCAGATCACAGGACCTTTCAGAGATGCTCAGGGCACTCTGCCAGCTGCCTTCATGTTTCCCAGCTCTGCTGTGCTGATGCCTTTGTCTACGCCATCCCTTTCTGTCCCCTGCCCGTGCCTGGAAGACCCCGCAAACTCCAACTGACCGTAACCCTATCCGTCCTGCGGGAGAAGGTCCTTTCTGCTCTGGGCTTCTGCAGGGATGTAACCTCATCCCTAAAATAGGAGTGATGGCTGGGAGTGTGGCTCACACCTGTAATCCCATGGGAGGCTGAGGCGGGAGGCTTTCAGTCTTTGGTTGTTGTTTGTTGTTGTTGAGACAGGGTCTCATTCTGTCACCCGGGCTGGAGTGCAGTAGTGCAATTATGGCTCACTACATCCTTGACCTCCTGGGCTCGAGCAATCCTCCCACATCAGCCTCCTGAGTGGCTGGGGCTACAGGTGTGCTACCACATCTGGCTCATTTTTTCATTTTTATTTTTGTAGAGATAAGGTCTCACTCTATCGCCCAGGCTGGAGGGCAGTGGCATGGTCATAGCTCACCCCAGCCTTGAACTCTTGGGCTCAAGCAATCTCTCACCTCAGCCTCCCAAGTAGCTGGGTCTACAGGCATGCACCACCACATCTGGCTTTTTTTTTTTTTTTTTTTTTTTTTTTTGAGACAGAGTTTCACTCTTGTCACCCAGGCTGGAGTGCAATGGCATGATCTCAGCTCACTGTGACCTCTGCTTCCTGGCTTCAAGCTATTCTCTTGCCTCAGCCTCCAGAGTAGCTGGAATTACAGGCGTGCGCCACCACGCCCAGCTAATTTTTGTATTTTTGGTATAGATAGGGTTTTACCATGTTGGCCAGGCTGGTCTCAAACTCCTGACCTCAGGTGATCCACCCACCTCGGCCTCCCAAAGTGCTGGGATTACAGGCATGAGCCACTGCACTGTTGTTTTGTTTTTTTTTTTGTTTTTTTTTTTTTTTTAAGAAACATGGTCTCTCCCTGTAGTCCAGGCTGGAGTGCAGTGGTGCAGTCATAGAGCTCACTGCAGCCTCCAACTCTTGGACTCATGGGATCCTTCCACCTCAGTCTTCTGAGTAGCTGGGATTACAGGCATGCACTAACATGTCCAGCTAATATATATAATTTTTTTTCGCTCTGTCGCCCACACTGGAGTGCAGTGGCGCAATCTCGGCTCACTGCAAGCTCTGCCTCCTGGGTTCACGCCATTCTCCTGCCTCAGCCTCCCCATAGCTGGGATTACAGGCGTCCGCCACCACACCCGGCTACTTTTTTGTACTTTTAGTAGAGATGGGGTTTCACCGTGTTAACCAGGATGGTCTCGATCTCGGGACCTTGTGATCCGCCCGCCTTGGCCTCCCAAATTGCTGGGATTACAGGTGTGAACCACTGCACCTGGCCTATTTATTATTATTATTTTTTTTTTTTTGAGATGGAGTCTCACACTGTTGCCCAGGCTGGAGTGCAATGGTGCAATCTTGGCTCACTGCAACCTCTGCCTCTCAGGTTCAAGCAATTTTCCTGCCTCAGCCTCCTGAGTAGCTGGGATTACAGGCACTTGCCACCATGCCCAGCTAATTTTTTGTATTTGTAGTACAGACGGGGTTTCACTATGTTGTCCAGGCTGGTCTCGAACTCCTGACCTCAGGTGATCTGCCTGCCTCAGCCTCCCAAAGTGTTAGGATTACAGGCGTGAGCCACCACTCCCAGTCTCCTCTGGGTTCAAGACACAAACATCCAGTGGTCTCCTGACAAGTGTGATGTCCTGTGGGTGTCTCTACTCAGCACATACAACACCAAGTTCACAAAGTTTGCTCCCCAAAACCGTTCTCCTCTGTGGTCTCCTATCTCTCATGTGGTACCACCATCCACTCCACTGGCTGCCCAGCAATCGGGGTATCACCCCAACTCCTCTCCCTTCCTCCTTCAGCTGATCCCCACACCTGCCCTATCCATTCTAGCTGCCGTCTCCCCACTATCTATCAGCTTGGTCCTCTTCCTGTACCACTGCATAAACCTAAGTCACCATCACCTCCATTGGGGCCACAGCGGCACCTGCAGCCCCTCTCTGGGTGCAAACCTGGTAGGTGCTAGCAGTTTGCACATCTCTGTTCCATGCATGGCCATGGCAGTGAGAGGGGCAATTATTTCAAGCATTATGCAGAGAAAGAAATGGAAGTCCAAGGTCATGCAGTGGCTGAGTAACAGCCTCAGCACCCAGCCCTGGGTTCCTACCACCTCCCTCTTACCTGACACTGCCCAAAAGAATGCAGTGAAGAAAGACAGGGGGCCTGGCACGGTGGCTCGTGCCTGTAATCCCAGCACTTTGGGAGGCCAAGGCGGGTGGATCATGAGATCAGGAGATCAAGACCATCTTGGCTAACATGGTGAAACCCTATCTCTACTAAAAAAACAAAAAACTTAGCTGGGTGTGGTGGCGGGCGCCTGTAGTCTCAGCTACTCGGGAGGCTGAGGCAGGAGAATGGTGTTAACCTGGGAGGTGGAGCTTGCAGTGAGCCGAGATGGTGCCACTGCTCTCCAGCCTGGGTGCCAGAGTGAGACTCCGTCTCAAAAAAAAAAAAAAAAAAAAAAGAAAGAAAGACAGGGATGGGGTGGGGAGGAGTGAGCTCACAGTGAATTAGGAGGGCTCCTCAGTCCATTCTCTTGGATTTATTTTATTATTTTATTTTATTGTTTTTGTACAGACAGGGCCTCACCTTGTTACCCAGGCTGGTCTGGAACTCCTGAGTGCAAATGATCCTCCTGCCTTGGCCTCCCAAAGAGCTGGGATCATAGGTGTGAGCCATCGTGCCTGGCCCTCTTGGATTTGCTTTTCTTTTCTTTTTTTGAGACAGAGTCTCACTCTGTTGCCCAGGCTGGAGTGCAGTGGCATGATCTCGGCTCACTGCAACCTTCACCTTCCGGGTGCAAGTGATTCTCCTGCCTCAGCCTCCCAAGTAGCTGGGATTACAGATGCCTGCCACCACACCTGGCTAATTTTTGTATTTTTAGTAGAGATGGGGTTTCACCATGTTGGCCAGGCTGGTCTTCAACTCCTGACCTCAGGTGATCTGCCCGCCTCAGCCTCCCAAAGTTCTAGGATTATAGGTGTGAGCCACTGTGCCTGGCCCCTCTTGGATTTTCATATCATCTACATGGTTAATTGAATTTTCAATTCACAGACCTTGTTTTGTTTTGTTTTCATATCCTGTTAATGATGCTTATATGGATCCCAGGGCCAGAGGTCATCAGGATCTCCCCGCAGCAGCGTGGCCAACGTAGCGAGACCTCCATCTCTACAAAAAAACTAAAGAAATTAGCAAGGCATGGTGGTGTGCACCTGTAGTCCCAGCTACTCAGGGAGTTGAGCCCAGGAGGCTGAGGCTATAGTAAGCCATGATGGCACCATTGCACACTCCAGCTTGGGTGACAGAGCAAGACCTTGTCTCTAAAAAAAGAAAAAAAGAAAAAGAAAAAAAAACAAACAAACCAAAAACAAAAAAACCTCCCGGAATTCCATAGCTGTTACTATCAGTAGCAGCTAATGTTTCCTGGCTGGCCTCTTGCCCAGAAGCCACAGTTACCGCTTTTCCTTTGTTGCAACCCTGGCTATGAAACCAGAAATAGTTGTTGCTGGTAGAGACACTGAAATACCTCAAAGTAAAACCCAGAGGTTGGGCCAGGCTGTGGTCAGCTCCGGGGAGACCACAGACTTTGCAGAGGGGCCCAGGGTCCCTGAAGATGGGTGGCAGCCAATGGAGCTGCTGGGGAGGGGGATGGGCAGCCAGCCAGAAGGAGCCTGGAGCCTAGAAGAGGAGGAGATAAAAATCATCACAGTGAGGTGTCTCCAGGGCCGAGCTGAGGCCCTGGCCCAGGAAGTCTCAAGGCTGTAGCGTGGCTCCATCTTTGGGGTCCACAATTTGGATTCAGGTCCTGGCTCTGTCACTTACACAGCTCTGTGTCTCTGGCTAGTTGGTTACCTTCTCTGGTCCCCTGCTTCCTTATCTGTAAACCAGGAGATAAGGTATAGCCACTGCAGAGTGGGTAAGTAAAATGTATCTGCATGTTGCTGATGTAAGAGGCGAAGTTGCCATAAAGTAAAAGTAACCATTTGAAAGTGAACAATTCAGGAGCATTTAGTGCATTCGCAATGCTGCTGACGTAAGAGGTGAAATTAACATAACATAAAAGTAACCATTTTATTTATTTTTATTTTTTTATTATTATTTTTTTGAGACGGAGTCTCGCTCTGTCGCCCAGGCTGGAGTGCAGTGACACGATCTGGGCTCACTGCAAGCTCTCCCTCCCAGGTTCACGGATTCTCCTGCCTCAGCCTCCTGAGTAGCTGGGACTACAGGCGCCTGCCACTATGCCCAGCTAATTTTTTGTATTTTTAGTAGAGATGGGGTTTCTCTGCGTTAGCCAGGATGGTCTCCATCTCCTGACCTCGTGATCAGCCCGCCTCGGCCTCCCAAAGTGCTGGGACTACAGGCGTGAGCCACCGCTCCGGGCAGAAAGTAACCATTTTAAAATGAACAATTCAGGGGTCTTTAGTGTATTCAAAATGTTGCTGATGTAAGAGGTGAAGTTGACATAACACAAAAGTAACCATTTTACTTATTTATTTATTTATTTATTATTTTTGAGACAGAGTCTCACTCTGTCACCCAGGCTGGGGTGCAGTGGCATGATCTCCGCTTCCAGCCTCCACCTCTCAGGTTTTTTGTTTGTTTGTCTGAGACGGAGTCTCACTTTGTTGCCCAGGCTACAGTTCACTGGCGCGGTCTCGGCTCACTGCAACCTCCAGCCCCTGCGTTCAAGCGATTCTCCTGCCTCAGCCTCCTAACTGGGATTACAGGTGCCTGCCACCACACCCGGCTAATTTTTTGTATTTTTAGTAGAGACAGGGTTTCATCATGTGTTGGCCAGGCTGGTCTCGAATTCCTGATCTCGTGATCTGCCCGCCTACACCTCCCAAAGCACTGGGATCACAGGCGTGAGCCAACAAGCCCAGCTGACCTCTCAGGCTTAAGCGATTCTCCCACCTCAGCCTCCTGAGTGGCTGGGATTGCAGGCGCCCGCCACCAAGCCTGGCTAATTTTTGTATTTTTATTTTTAGTAGAGACAGGTTTCACCACGTTGGCCAGGCTGGTCTTGAACTCCTGACCTCAAGTGATCCACCCACTTCGGCCTCCCACAGTGCTGGGATTACAGGTGTGAGCCACTGCACACGGCTGATAGTGAGAAATTTCTAAGCTGAGACAGGCATCACAGGGTGACATTGCCAGAGGCTGTCACCTTATTTACATACGTGCAATTGCATATATGTATGTATACAACATAGACATATTATACATGCATAATACAGGTCTATATGTATGTGTACAATATATAAACATATATACTACATACATACACATAGGTAACATGTATGCATTACACATACGTATAAACATATTATCTACTGTGAGTGTGTATATAATATACACATATATTTTGTGGTGGTTGTTTGTTGCTTTTCCCCCCCACTAGAATACAGGAGGGCAGGGGCCTTGCCCGTCTCCCTCACTTCCACATTTCCAGGGCCCGGTGGGTTCGGAACTCCTTTGGGACTGGCTGCAGGGAGTGGAAGAGTGAAGAGATGACCTTGGTTGGAAGGCTGCCTCGGGAGTCCATCGGAGGGGGCCAACTAAAAATATCACGGATTGAAAAAGTTCTTGGGGTGGATGGTGGGGATGTGAAAGTGCTTAATGCCACTGCAGGGAGTGCTTAAAAATGGTTAAGATGGGCCGGGCGCGGCGGCTCACGCCTGTAATCCCAGCACTTTGGGAGGCCGAGGCGGGCGGATCACGAGGTCAGGAGTTCGAGACCATCCTGGCTAACACGGTGAAACCCCGTCTCTACTAAAAATACAAAAAATTAGCCGGGCGTGGTGGCGGGCGCCTGTAAGTCCCAGCTACCCGGGAGGCTGAGGCAGGAGAATGGCGTGAACCCGGGAGGCGGAGCTTGCAGTGAGCCGAGATCGGGCCACTGTATTCCAGCCTGGGCGACAGAGCGAGACTCTGTCTCAACAACAACAACAACGACAACAACAACAACAACAACAACAACAAAGGTTAAGATGGTAAATTTTATGTTCTATATATTTTACCATAATTTAAAAAAAAAATGACTGGGCCTGGCGCGGTGGCTCACGCCTGTAATCCCAGAGCTCTGGGAGGCTGAGGCAGGAGGATTGCTTGAGTCTAGGGGTTCAAGACCACCCTGGGCAACATAGTGAGACCCCCGTTTCTATTAAAAATTAAAAATTAGCCGGGTGTGGTGGCACCTGTCTGTAGTTCCATCTACTTGGGAGGCTGAGGTGGGAGGATGGCTTGAACCCAGGAGGTCGAGGCTGCAGTGAGCTGTGACTGCACCGCTGCACCCCATCCTGGACGACACGGTGAGATCCTGTCTCTAAAAAAATAAACAAACAAACACACAAAACTACATTGATGCCAAGAACAATTACTGCATGCTCACTATGCATTAGGCATCTTGCTAAGCTCTTTACCCGTGTCATCTCGTTTGTCTCACATACTCCCTGAAAGGTAGGGTCACTAACCTATTATATTTTACGGATTGGCGACAACCTCAGAGAGGTTAAGTCACTTGCCCAAGGTCACACAGCGAGTCTCAAGCCCCAGCCGGTGAGCATCACGATCCTTTGCCAATGAGCCGATGCTCGAGAAAGGGTCGGATAGACAACAGGCACTGCATAAAGGTTGGTTAACGGGATCGTGTTTGGCTGCAACGTGGAGCTCCCGGGTCGAACGGCGAGACAGCTGCGCGTCCCCGAGCCGCCGCGCGCCCGGTCCGCCGGGGCGGAGTCAACGCCGCGGATTGGCTGCTGAGAAAGGGGCGTGGCTCGTGGCGGCCGGTGGGCGGAGTCGATCTCTGGCCGTAAATACGGCGCCACATGGCACTGGCTCGCGAGGGCGGGGGCGGGCGGGCTGGCCGGGCGCAGGCGCGCTGAGGGCGGGCGCCCCTCGGCCTCCGTGGCCCCTCCGGCGGCCGCGACGTCTCGCGAGAAGACGACCGGTAGGAGGGGCTCCTGCGCCGGGGGCGGGGCCGGCGAGGGCTGCCTCTGGGGGGTCCGCTAGTCGCGGGGCGGCGGCGGCGGCTGCGGGCGCGAGGTGAGGGGCGCGAGGTGAGGGTCGCGAGGTGAGGGGCGCGGCGGGCGGCGGGCTCGGGGCGCGGTCTCCCTCTCTCTCGGCCAGTGCTGGGCTCCCAGGGCCCGGGCGGGGGTCCCGGGCCGCGCTGAGGGGCGCGGGTCGGCTCTCCTTAACCTGGCCTGGCGGGCGCGGCTTGGGCCTGGGTTCGAGTTCCCGCGCCGGCGCGCAGTGTGACCTTGGCCCTGCGCGCGCCCTCTCTGAGCCCCGCTCGTCGTCCTCGGCCAGGGGGACCCAGCCCTGGGGCCCTGATCAGCGCGTTCTGCGGCTCCTCGGGGTCTGGACGAGAAATCTGTGGTTCTGATTCAGCGACAGCAGAGGCTGCAGCGGCCCCGCCGGCCCCCAGGAGTCCCCCTGCCCGGCATCAGCCTCTGCCGCCCGGCAGGGGTAGGACCAATTCCCGGGCTTGGAGTTCCAGGATCCCCAGCTCCCGAGGGCCCCCGTGTGCCTGCTGTCACCTGAACGGGGCTCCCCGGCCCCGCCGACCGCAGCCCTGGAGCCTGCAGACGCCAGCAGCACCGGCAGGTCGCTCAGGGTATCCCTTAAATGACCTCTCACTCCAGAAGCCGCAGCCCTGCCCCTCTGGGAGAGGAAACCGTGCATTTAGTCCGGGAACAGTGGGACTTAGACCTCCTCTGCGGGCTCCCGGCCACCGAGACACCGCCGGCAAAGCCTTGGCTCGGGCAGAGGCTCCGTCTGGCAGGCAGCACAACAAGCCATAGTGTTTCCAGCATTATTAAATTATTTAGTTCATAAGCGGGGCTGTGGGGACTCGGAAGCCCCGGGGTGAATAGGAATGTGAGTTGCAGGCGCGGTGCTGGACGCAGTACATCTTCCAGGACACCAGGCCCTACGGTGCTGTTCCCGGCTGTGGGTGGTTGGGGACAGCTCAGCGGGTCCCCCACTTACCCCCACGCGGGGACCCGGGTTAGCCCCTCACCGTGAGCATCTGGTGTTGGGAGTCAGGGCTGGTGTCTGAGTGAGGATGGAGAGAAAACAGGGGTAATGAGGAGATTGCTACACGAAGGTGCAACGCTTGAGATCTGAAAGAGCACCTGCCTGGAATGGCATAGATGTTTGATTTCCCTGCAAAGGAGTTTATGGGACTTTGGGCTGACGCTTTGGGGCCAGCAGTAACTGTCTGCTGTCACTCAGCTGACTCCAGCTTTATTATCAAACCTCCAATCGAGTGCAAGATGCTAAGCTGGGGTAGATGCCGGTAATAGCGTGGGCCTTGCCCTGGGAGCTCACGGCCAGCCTGGCTACAACTGTGTGGAGTTGAGACTGTGGTGCAGGCGTTAACAGAATGTGGCGACATTTTCCGACATTTTCCACAGTGGAGAGGACCTATGAATTGGGGCGTTTGGAGGCAAAGGGCATGCAGAGATGTGGAAGTGAAAGTGATGTTTGGGGGAGATGGTGGGTCGCCGTGTTCTTGATGAAGTGGGGTTTGAGGATTGGGTTGGAAGCTAAGACTGGAAGGCCGGGCGAGGTGGCTCGTGACTGTAATCCCAGCACTTTGGGAGGCAGAGGCGGGCGGATCACCTGAGGTCAGGAGTCCGAGACCAGCCTGGCCAACATGGTGAAACCCCATCTCTACTAAAAATACAAAATTTAGCTGGGCGTGGTGGTGCACACCTGAAGTCCCAGCTACTTAGGAGGATGAGTCAAGAGAATAGCTTGAACCTGGAGGCGGAAGTTGCAGTGAGCCGACACTGGGCCTCTGCACTCCAGCCTGGGCAACAGAGTAAAAAAAAGACTGGAAAGATGGGTTTCTGATTGTGCAGGGGCCTGAATGCTGTGTGAGGGAGTTTAAACTTTTATCCCTTTGGTGGTGGTTTGGGTGCGACGCGATTAGATGTGTTTCAGAAAAGTGGTCGTGGTGAGAATATGGGAGGTGGGTTTTGCCTCTGGGCAGTGGAGCTGAGTTGAGTAGCCTTGTGGGGCGTGGGTCTGGGGCAGTGAGAGAGTGGGGGCGGGCATGGAGCTGAAAGATGTTGCCAAATCCACTGGGCGGTGGCGCTTTGTGAGATGTGGCGACCTGTAACAGCGAGGGCAGCCGGGACTTCTCACCTGCGATGAGGAGCGCTGCGGCCAGGTGGGAGAGGAAGGGCCACACAAACACACGTGGGTTTTAGACCTGCAGAGTTGGCGGTATTGGTGGCCATCCTGGAGGAGATGTGACCTGGTGGAGAAGAGACAGCCTGTACAAGGAGGGAATCCCCAGGAACCCCAGTGGGAAGGGATCCAGAGCTGAAGAGAGGCCCGTTGGTTGGCTGACCTTGGGCGTGCAGTTCCTTGACTACGCACAGTCATTGAGGCTGGCAGGTGATTCTCTTCTAGTGTGGGTCAGGGGCTGAAGGAGCCATCAGTGGGAAAAGACGGGTTATTGATGATACTGAAACACATGCGGCTTGTTTGTCATTTAAAAAAACCGTACATCTTGAGTTTCGATTCTTAAGTTGTCTTTCTTTTCGGAGAGTAGCTGTTAGTTTCACACTTGCTTAGTGGGTCTGTGGCTGCAGGCGGGACTGTGGTTCTCCAGCCCTGGCCCACAGATGTGCCTGGAGATAATTGACTCTCCAACTTATTACTTCCTGCTGTTAAGGTGGTGGTTTCTGTAACTGTTTAGAAACTTTAAAGATATTTCAGAGAAGAATGGGAGACAGGTACAGTTGAGTACGGGGTGGGGGCACAGTTGAGTATGGGGTGGGGGCACAGTTGAGTACGGGGTGGGGGAACAGTTGAGTATGGGGTGGGGGCACAGTTGAGTACGGGGTGGGGGCACAGTTGAGTACGGGGTGGGGGCACAGTTGAGTACGGGGTGGGGGCGCGGTTGAGTATGGGGTGGGGGCGCAGTGCTGAACAGGGCACAGGAGGAGGAAGCGAACAGGGACCCTTTGGCTCCCAGAACATGACCAGCTGGGGCTTTTCCCTGTAGACAGGAGGATGGATGTGTCTTTGGGGAATCTGAGTAGCCCAAGAGAAAAGACCTAAAATTAATGACATCAGGAGGTCCCCAGTCAGCAGACCCAGCTGGATCCCTTGCTAACGAAGCCCGTCATTAATAACCCCCTCCCAGTGTTCAAGGCATCAAGCTTTAAAAATCCCCATCCCTTAAATATGAGCAGATAACCAAGGGCATCTGAAGAAAACCTCTGCTACAGGAGATTGAGACCAGAATACACACTGGGAAACCAGAGAGCGTGCAGGAAGGAGCCTTAGAAAGCAGGCTGTCATTAATGTCCACGCGGAGGTGAGCGAAAATATCGCGAACATGAGGCAAGAACAGGAAGCTCTAAAAAAAAGCCACCAAAAGGAGTATTCGAATATCCAAAAAGAGAACTCTCGGATGTAAAAAAAAAAAATAAAAGCAGAAATAAGAAAATCAGTTAGTGGGTGAAAGATAAAGTTGAGGAACTCCCTCAGAAAGTAGAACAGAAAAGCAACGAGGTGGCAAATGAGAGAAAAAAGAAACGGAAAGGATCAGATCAGGAAGTCAGCAGCTGAATAGTAAGAGCTTCAAAGCTGAGGTGAGAGGATCGTTTGAGGCCAGGAGTTCAAGACCAGCCTGGGCAACATAGCAAGACCCCCATCTCTACAACAAAATTTAAAAATTAGCCAGGTGTGGTGGTGTGCACCTGTAGTCCCAGCTACTTGGGAGGCTGAGGTGGGAGGATCACTTGAGCCCAGGAGTTTGAGGCTGCAGTGAGCTGTGATCATGCCACTGCCATCCAGCCTGGGTGACAGAGCAAGACCCCATCTCTAAAAAATAAAATAAAATACATTTTAAAAAGTTTCCAGAAGAAAAAAATAGGGAAAACAGGATGAAATTCACAAAATAATTTCCTAGAACCCAAACTTTCTGGGTTAAAGAGGCTCACCCAGTGGCCAGTACCACGGGTGAAAATGCAGGTATCCTTCACTTTCATAGCCTCTTCACTTCTCAGCTTGGATATTAAAAGCTTGGGAAGGCTGGGTGTGGTGGCTCATGCCTGTAATCCCAGCAATTTAGGAGGTAGGTGAATCACTGAGGTCAGGAGTTCGAGACCAGCCTGGCCATCATGATGAAACCCCATCTCTACTAAAAATACAAAAATTAGCCAAGCATGGTGGTGGGTGCCTGTAATCCCATACTCAGGAGGCTGAGGCAGGAGAATTGCTTGAACCCAGGAGGCGGGGGTTGCTGTGAGCCCAGATCGTGCCACTGCACTCCAGCCTGGGCAATAGAATGAGACTCCGTCTCAAAAATAAAATTTAAAAAATTAAAAGTCTGGGCAGCAAACTTGGATAGTGAGAGAGGCTGAGTTTCAGATAAAGACTAGTGAGAGCTTGGGAGGGGAAGGATTTATTTGAAAGCATGTCTGCAGCTGTTGACCCCAGAATTTGGATAGTGAGAGTTCAGAGGCCAGGCGCTGTGGCTCACGCCTGTAATCCCAGCACTTTGGGTGGCCGAGGTGGACGGATCACTTGAGGCCAGGAGTTTGAGACCAGCCTGGCCAACATAGTGAAACCCTGGCTAATACAAAAATTAGCCAGGTATGGTGGCAGGTGCCTGTAATCCCAGCTGCCCAGGAGGCTGAGACAGGAGAATTGCTTGAACCTGGGAGGCGGAGGTAACGGTAAGTGGAGATCATGCCATTGCACTCCAGCCCGGGCAACAAGGGTGAGACTCCGTCTCAAAAAAAAAAAAAAAAAAAAAAAAAAAAGATCCTTGCGTACCCTCTCCAGGACATACTGTTGTGAAATCTCAGAACAAGAGGAGAAAGTAAAAACAAATCACAAATAGGTCATCACAGGTCAAGAGGCAGAAGGTTAGAACATGTGGAAAAAGGCAGAAGAACTAACTACAATTAAAATGAAAAGAAGCAGAAGGGCTTGGGCTTTTTCAAAGCAGCACTGGGTGGCAGGAGACGGGAGGGCCTTGCTTGAGAAATTCTGAAGGATGCATTTGCAGCCTGGAAGTCTACACTCAGGCAAGGGAGGGTAGGGTAAAGACAACTTCAGACTTGCTCCCAGATTTGTTCCTCATGCTTTAAGGAGGTGATTGGCAGATGTAGTCTCCCCAGATGAGGCAGTAAGTCTAGACTGAGAGAGACTGGCTGGTGGGAACAGGATTTCCCCCAGGTGAGAGGTGAGAAGAACCTGCTGAAGGGAAATCCCAGCCAGGTGCTGGTGTGAAGAGCAGACATGTCCTGACCCCAGCTGGTCAGAGGCTCCAAGAGGAGATTCTTTGGGAGAAGATGAAATTAGCAGGACACCTGACATGCTGCAGCATCTGGAGAGGAGTTGATACAGTTGGCAGAGTTGGGGCGGGATTAGTGATAAGTACTAAACAAAGCAAATGAAAACACAAGGCTGTTATTAGTTCCAGGGAAAATAAACCATCGTGCGGGAAACGAAAAATAATTATGGTGTACTACAAGGCGCAGCTGTGGATAGCCTCGCCGCAATGATAGTAATTTATGTAAACACTGACTGCTGCTCTAATTGAAATTATGATGCACCTGGGCAGAGAAGGTGTGGGGAGGAGAGCGCTGCATTTTCGCCTGTCGCCTTGGGAAGTCAGTCGCTAATGCCCCAAGCTGAACAACCAAGGTTCACTCTGAAGGCAGACATTAAAAGAATTAGCTAAAAAGAATTATGGAGCGGGTAGGGCGTGGTGGTTCGCACCTGTAATCCCAGCACTTCAGGAGGCCGAGGCAGGAGGATTGCTTGAGTCCAGGAGTTCAAGACCAGCCTGGGCAACATGGCGAAACCCTGTCTCTACTGAAAATACAAAAATTAGCCAGACATGGTGGCCTGTGTCTGTCTCAGCTCCTTGGGAGGCTGAGGTGGGAGGATCACTTCACTTGAGCCCAGGAGGTGGAGATTTTAGTGAGCTGAGATCGAGCCATCACACTCCACTCTAGCCTGGGTGACAGAGCAAGATCCTGTCTCAAAGAAAAAAAAAAAAAAAGAATCATGGAGAAGGGCGGAGGTGAGAAAGGGAAGCAGGGACAGAGACTGTTGAGTTTCTTAATAAACTTCACCTCACGGAATGATTTCACTCTTTCATGGATATGTATGTGTGGCATTGAATTGACCCAAATGGGAACAGTCTCAGATGGGCTTTCTGCTCTGATGGAATGGCGGCCCTCGCCTGCCTCTGTGCACAGGCCCTGTTAACAGGGAGGGTTTCCTTGCTCTGATTTCCTCTTGGTTATTGTCATTGTTCTCTGTATGCTGTCTCGTCGTTGTGGTCATTTATCAGAGATTCTGAGCACTTTTTTTTTTTTTCCTTTCAGGCAGAGTCTCACTCTGTCACTCAGGCTGGAGTGCAGTGATATGATCTCATTGCAGCCTCTGTTTCCTGAGTTCAAGCAATTATGATTACAGGCCTGAGCCGCCACGCCCGGCCGAGCGCTTTCTTTCGTCGTTTTCCAAGGGGGTTTTAAAACATACCGACCAGTAGAGAGAGCAGTATTATACATCATCCTTCACCTGTCCCCAAGTTTCAGAAATTAGGCAATCAGAGTTTGTCTGGTTTTTGTTAGAACATCACCTCTTTCTTGAGCAAGTACTGAGTGCCAGATGCTACTGTAAGCCTTGAGAATACCCGCTGTGAGGCAGGACGAGGACCTCCCTTTTAAGTCAGTGCAGGAAGACAGTGAGTGGATTAACTGGTGTATATGAGCTATTTGAGGCCAGGCATGGTGGCTCACGCCTGTAATCCTGACATTTTGGGAGGCTGAGGCAGGAGGATGGCTTGAGCCCAGCAGTTCAGGGATTCTGCGATTGCACCACTGCACTCCAGCCTGGGTGACACAGTGAGACACTACTCTAAAAATAATAAATAAAAGATTTGAGGTAGGGATGGGATAAATGCTGCTATGAAGAAAACCAGGGTATGGGGAGTGCAGGGTAGAGACTGGGATCTACTTTCTCAGGGTGGTTAGGGAAGGCTTGCTGAGGAGGTGAGCGTCAAGCAGAGATCTGAAGGAAGCGTGGGACTGCCCTGGGATTCCCCAGCTGAGGGATGGTGGTGCAGAGGCCCAGCAGCAGGAGCCTGCTGGGTGCGGTGGATGAACGGCAAGGAGACTGTTGAGGCTGGAGAGGGTCGCCGAGGGGGACTGTGATAGAAGAGGAGATCAGTGGAGTCCTGGTCACGGGCCATCAGAAGGACTCGAGATAGGAAGCCACTGATCCAACTTTTAATAGAATAACCGTGGCTTTGGGGTTGAAAATGGATTGTGTGGGCCTGAGAGCAGAAGCAGGGAGACTGGTTTGGAGCCTGTTGCAATAACGCAGGTGAGAGCTGATGGTGATTGGGGCAGGGTGGGGTGTAGGTAGGGCAGAGGGGACTTGACAAGTTAGAGCCTGGATAACTATTTACTTTTTTAAATTATTTATTTATTTATTTTTAAATTTTGAGATGAGATCTCACTCTGTCATCCAGGCTGGAGGGCTGGAGTACAGTGGTGTGATCATAGTTCACTGCAGCCTCAGCCTCCTGGGCTTAAGAGATCCTCCCACCTCAGCCTCCTGAGTAGCTGGGACTACAGGTGTATACTACCATACCTGGCTAATTTTTAAATTTTTGTACAGATGGCTTCTTGGTATGTTGCGCAAGCTGATCTTGAACTCCTGGTCTCAAAATATTATCCTGCCTTGGCCACCTAAAGTGTTGGGATTACAGGCATCAGCCACTGCACCTGGCTGAGCCTGGATATATTTTGCATGTAAAGCCCCAAGCAGGTTCTTAAACTGATCATAGTGAGATTTATTATCATTTTCTTCTGAAATAATTTCTTTGAGTTAACTTAACTCTTTTTTTTTTTTTTTTTTGAGACGGAGTCTCACTGTTGGCCAGGCTGGAGTGCAGTGGGGCAATCTTGACTCACTGCAACCTCCACCTCCTGGGTTCAAGCAATTGTCTCTGCCTCAGCCTCTCAAGTAGCTGGGATGATAGGTGCCAGCCACCACACCCAGCTACTTTTTGTATTTAGTAGAGACAGGGTTTTGCCATGTTGGCCAGGCTGGTCTCCTGACCTCAGGTGATCCACCCAGCTTGGCTTCCCAAAGTGCTGGGATTACAGGCGTGAGCCACTGTGCCCAGCCACGAATTGATTTAACTCTTAAGTCAGTTGAGTCAAGTGAGTTATCGTTTGGATTCTAGAGTCAAATACCTATGCAACAAATATTTGAGCCTTATGAGGAATACAGAAGGTACATGAGATATGATCCCTGTCTTCTAAGAACTTGAAACCCAGTTTGGGAATATTGGACTGGTATACGTGCGTGGATTTCCTGTCTACCTGGGAAGGGCCAACAGAGGGCTTAGAGACGGGAAGGAAGAGAACAGGGTGAGCTGATAGCCTCTGTGCTCTAGGACCGGCTCTGCAGGGAAGTTACTTTACTTCAAAGGCTAAGTTTGGGCTCAGTTTTCATTCAGGTCTCCTGGGATATAAATCAACATTCCATTCTCATCAATGTGACCGTTAATTACATATTTTTATTTGGATATACTGTCAGATATAGTTAACTGAACACAAATGAAGTAATTGTATAAGCAAATAAACCATAGTCCTGGAGGTACCGCGTGAAAATGTGTCTCACGATGGAGGTTTTAATGTAGTACCACTGTGTGTAAGTTCCAGGCAGCCCAGGACATGCAGAGAGCAAATATTGACACCAGGAACAGAAACTTTCCACATTTTTGTTGACTACAGCGATGGGAACTGCAGTGAATTATTTGCCTTATATAGTGTCTGTAAAGCTGGAAAAGAAGTAGGTAGTTTCTGGTCTTTGTGTCAGTAGCATAAATAAATAAACTTGAAACATTCTTGCGCTTCTTATTGAAGGTCATGTCACTTGATTTAGTGCTCAAGAGCTTGGTTATTTGGACACGAAGAAGCTACTTCCCTCAGCAGTAAAGGAAATAGAAATTTGACTGTCTAGTGAAACCTACCAATTCTGCCTAAACATATACTGTAGAGGCCAGCAGAGCAGAGTGGCAAGGAAGGGGGGCTCTCCAACAACAGCCTGAGTTCTGAGGCCAGCTCTAAACACTGCTAGCTATGTAGACTTGTGCAAGTCTGTAGCTACTTTTCCCAGTTTCATCCCAGTTCATGTGAGGATTAAACAAAGTAATATGTGCAAAGCCCTTAGAACATCACTTTTAACAACATGTTAGCTATTGGTATTGTTATTTTAAAATCAATTTGCAAATAGACAGTTTTTTTTTTTTTGACTTGATAACTGGCTCTTGGTAGAAAGCATGAGTAATAATAAAAATAACACATATTTGTGTAACAAATATTTGAGCCTGATGAAGACAGAGAGATAAGTAAGGCCGGGGCAGATTCTAAAGAAAGTGCTTTACTATTTTATCAACCACTTAGCTGTGTTTTCTCATTTTTGTGCTCTCGGTAGCTCTGGTTAGCAGAAAGGCCTAGTTTGTTCTTCTTTTGTAGATGGACTGAAAGTCAGACATAAAATGACTTGGCCCAGGCCACTCAGCAGAGGCCGGACTTGGTCTCAGTATCCCTTCCCTCTTCCTCCCAGTCCCTCCGTGTCTGTGCGGAACTCTGCACTGGTGTTTTCTTCTGTACTGTGGAAATTGGTGAGAGCTGGGCCATTGCATTCATATTAGAGAGAGAAGTGTTAGCCTCTGGAGATCAGCTTCATAAAACCACAAACATTTTCTTTTTAACTTTAAATCAAATGTATTGAGTATGATTTACATGCAATAAAACGTACCCATTTTAAGTATGCAGTTTGAGGAACGTGGCCAAACATATTCACCTTGTACCTGCCTCTGCAATCAAACAGTAGAGCATTTCCATCGCCCCGAGTTTCTGCGTGCTCCTCTGCAGTCTATGATTTTCATCACGATTTTGGCCTCTTTTAAATGTCATATAAATGGAACCACAGAACATGCAGTCTTTTACGTCTGGCTCCTTTTTCAGTGTGCGACCTGTGGCGTTCACCCATGAATCAGCACTTCACCCTTTTTACACTCACTTGCTGATGTACATTGGGGTTGTTTTCAGGTTTTAGCTTTTTTTTTTTTTTTTTTTTTTTGAGACAGAGTCTCCCTCTGTCGCCCAGGCTGGAGTGCAGTGGCGTGATCTTGGCTCACTGCAACCTCTGCCTCCTGGGTTCAAGTGATTCTCCTGCCTCAGCCTCCCGAGTAGCTGGGATCACAGGCACCCACCACCACACCCAGCTAATTTTTGTATTTTTAGTAGAGATGGGGTTTCACCATGTTGGCCAGGCTGGTCTTGAACTTCTGACCTCAGGTGATCCACCCACCTCGGCCTCCCAAAGTGCTGGGATTACGGGCATGAGCCACCACGCCCGGCCAGTTATCTCATTTTAATTTGCATTTCTTTGATGACTAATGATGATGAGCACTTTCCTATGTGCTTTCTGACTATTTGTATCTCTTCTTTTGTGAAACGTCTGTTCAAATTTTTTGCTTATTTTTTAATTGGGTTTATTTTCCGTTGTAAGAGCTCTTTATATATTCTGGATATAGGCACTTTGTTAGATATACATATTGAGAATATTTTCTCCCGGCCTATGGCCTGTCTTTTACTTTCTTTTTTTATTTTTCTTTTTCTTTTTTTTTCTCTGAGACAGAGTTTTGGTCTTGTCACCCAGGCTGGAGCGCAATGGTGTGATCTTGGCTCACTGCAACCTCCACCTCTTGGGTTCAAGCGATTCTCTTGCCTCAGCCTCCTGAGTAGCTGGAATTACAGGCACTTGCCCCCATGCCCGGCTAATTTTTTGTAATTTTAGTGGAGATGGGGTTTCGCCATGTTGGACAGGCTGGTCTTGAACTCCTTACCTCAGGTGATCCACCCTTCTCGGCCTCCCAAAGTGCTGGGATTACAGGTGTGAGCCACCGTGCCCAGCCTTTACTTTCTTTAATGGTAAAATTTGAGAATCCTAAGTTTTAAATTTTGATAAAGTCCAATTTACCACATTTTTCTCTCATATTTGTGCTTTTGGTATCCCAACAAATCTTTGCCTTCTCCCAAGTCATGGAGATTTTTTCCTGTTTTCCTCTGAATATTTTAGTTTTAGTGTTTATGTGTAAGGCCATGATCCATTGTGAGTTAATTTCTGTGTGAGGCGTAGGGTTGAGGTTCATTCTTTTTCATGCAGATATCCAGTTGTTTCAGCACCATTTGTTGAAAAGATTGTTATTCCTTATTGAATTACTTTGCCACCTTTTGAAAACAGCCACATACATGTGGATCTCTTTTGGGACTTTGTGCTGTCTCATTTATCTCTACAGGCATACTTCAGAGATGTTGCAGGTTCAGTTCTGGACCACCACAATCAAGTGAATATCGCAATAAAGAGAGTCAACAAAGTTTTTGCGTTTCCCAGTGCATATAAAAGTTATATTTGGCCAGGTGTGGTGGCTCACGCCTCAGTCCCTGCACTTTGGGAGGCCAAGGCGGGTGGATCACCTGAGGTCAGGAGTTCAAGACCAGCCTGGCCAACATGATGAAACCCCATCTCTACTAAAAATACAAAAAATTAGCCAGATGTGGTGGTGGGCGCCTGTAATCCTGGCTACTCAGGAGGCTAAGGCAGGAGGATCACCTGAACCCCAGAGTAGAGGTTGCAGTGAGCCGAGATTGTGCCACTGCACTCCAGCCTGGATGACAACAGCGAAACTCTGCCTCAAAAAAAAAAAAAAGTTTTATGTTTACACTATACTGTAGTCTATTAAGTGTGCAATAGCATTATGTCTAAGAAACAATGTACATACGTTAATTTAAAAATATTGCTAAAAAATGCTAACAATTATCTGAGCCTTCAGCGAGTGGCAATCTTTTTGCTGGTGGAGGGTCTTGTCTTGATGTTGATAGCTGCTGATTGATCAGGGCGGTGGTTGCTGAAGGCTGGAGTGGCTATGGCAATTTCTTTTCTTTTTTCTTTTTTTTTTTTTTGAGGCAGAGTCGCTCTGTCGCCCAGGCTGGAGTGCAGTGGCACGATCTTGGCTCACTGCAAGCTCCGCCTCCCGGGTTCACGCCATTCTCCTGCCTCAGCCTCCTGAGTAGCTGGGACTACAGGCGCCCGCCACCACGCCTGGCTAATTTTTTTTGTATTTTTAGTAGAGACGGGGTTTTACCGTGTTAGCCAGGATGGTCTCGATCTCCTGACCTTGTGATCCGCGCACCTCAGCCTCCCAAAGTGCTGGGATTACAAGCGTGAGCCACCGCGCCTGGCTGGCAATTTCTTAAGACAACAATGAAGTGTGCTGCATTTATTGACTCTTACTTTTACAAAAGGTTTTCCTGTAGCACGTGATGCTGTTTGATAACATTTTACTTATAGTAGAACATCTTTTAAAATTGTAGTCAATCTTCTCAAACCTTGCCACTGCATTATCATGTAAGTCTATGGAATATTCTAAATCTTTTCTGGTCATCTCAGCAGCGTTCATAGCATCTTTACCCAGAGTAGATTCCTCCTCAAGAAACTGCTCTTTCGTTCCTTCGTAAGAAGCAACTCTTCATCTGTTCAGCTTTGAACATGAGATTGCAATTATTTGGCCACATCTTCAGGCTCCACTTCTGATTCTACTTCTCTTGCTGTTTCCACCACATCTGCTGTTACTTCCTGCACCGGAGTCTTGAACTCCTCAGAGTCATCCATGAGGACTGGAACCAACCTCTTCAAACTTCTATTAATGTTGCTATTTTGATCTCTTCCTGTGAATCCCGAATGTTCTTAAAGGCATTAGAATGGTGAATCCTTTCCAGGTTTTCAGTTTACTTTGCCCAGATCCTACAGAGGAATCACTATGGCAGCTTTAGCCTTACAAAATGTATTCCTTTAATAATAAGACCTAAAAGTCAAAATTACTGCTTGATCCATGGGCTGCAGAATGGATGTTGTGTTAGCAGGCATGGAAACAGAAACAGATCTCAGTCGATTTAGAGGTGTATTTTGCCAAGGTTAAGAAAGAAACACAAGTCATTGTAGGATCTGTGGCCTGTGTGCTTTTTCTAAAGAGGGTTTTGGAAACTTCAGTATTTAAAGAGGAAAAAGTAGGCAGGAGGGGAAGAGGGGAAGAAAAGGAGGTGGAGTAGGCAATGAGGCCAGTGGTCACATTTTTGTGAGGCTTTTAGTACCATTCAGTGAATCTACATTTTACATGTGAAAAGAAGGGAGTGGGGCAGAGTCACATACGCCTTCTCCGCACAGTAAATCTGCATTTTACCTGCGATAAATAAGCACGTAAATTACTTTATCTGGGAAAGAAAAGAAGGCAGCTTTTCTTTTGCGTAACTTGGTTGTTAAGCTTAACTTTCCCTTTAGCTTGGTGAATTCGGGGTCCTGAGATTTTATTTTTCTTTTGCAATGTGTATACAAAGAGATTGATGATAAGAAATTGGCTCACACAATTACGGAGGCTGAGAAATTCAGACCCTGGAGAGCCAATGGTATGACTCCAGTCTGAGACGGAGTCCAAAGACGAAGACCAATGTCCCAGCTCAAAGACAGGCAGGCAGAGAGAGTTGATTCTCTTACTCTACCTTTTTTTTTTTTTTTTGAGGCAGAGTCTTGCTCTGTTGGCCAGGCTAGAGTGCAGTGGCGTGATCTCAGCTCACTGCAACCTCTGCTTCCTGGGTTCAAGCAATTCTCCTGCCTCAGCCTCCTGAGTAGCTGGGTTACAGGTGTGCGCCACCATGTCTGACTTTTTTTTTTTTTTTTTTTTGTGATGGAGTCTCACAGTGTTGCCCAGGCTGGAGTACAGTGGTGTGATCTTAGCTCACTGCAACCTCCGCCTCCCAGGTTCAAACTATTCTCCTGCCTCAACCTCCCATGTAGCTGGAATTACAGGCATGTGCCACCAGGCCTGACTAATTTTTGTATTTTTAGTAGAGACAGGGTTTTACCATGTTGGCCAGGCTAGTCTCGAACTCCTGACCTCAACTGATCCGCCTGCCTTGGCCTCCCAAAGTGCTGTGATTATAGGCATGAGCCACCACACCTGGCCTTACTCCACTTTTCTGTTGTACTTGGGCCTTCAGTGGACTGGCTGAGGCCCTCTCATACTGGGAGGGCATCCGATATCTCAGTTCACCCATTTGGATGTTACTCTCCTCCAGAAACATGCTCACAGACGCAGTCAGAGTATGCTTAACCAAATATCTGGGTACCCCACGGCCCAGTCCAGTTGACACATAAAATTAGCCACGTATTACGTGACCTTTTTGTGTGATCGATGTCAGTTCTGCTGTAACAATGTGGAAAATGCGCTTCTGGGGGGCTTAATATAGATCTGGCCATGTGGCAGTGTCTTCCAGAGCAGGATGGCTGTGGTCACGTCACGGTGACACACAGCTGAACACGAGTGAGCTAAGGCCATAGCTGTCTGTGCTAGCTGCCTTTTCTTTCTCTAGTGTTTTGCCCACAGTCAGCATGAGTATTTGGACCAGTGGCCTTGCGTGGGCAGCCGGCATGGACTTGCTCCCTGGGGCTGCAGAGTCTGCCCCTGGCTTCATGCCCTGCATGTTGTGTGTGAGCAAAGAAATATTTAACAGCCCCACCCGGAGCTAAGACACAACTCTGTCAGCCTAACCACAGTGTTTGCGTTTAAACCTAACCTAATAATTTTCAGTGCCATTTATGAGGGCATCTGACACAGCCGCCGTGGAAAAGCACCTCCACCGCTACAGTTTCCTGGCGGATGATGCTTCTAGGTGAAACTTTGCTCTGTGGGTTCCCTTGCTGGAGGCAGCAGCCCACGGTTGGTGTGCCGCAGGCGGGTTATACGTCTGTTCATCTGAGATGCCTCTGCGTGCTCTGCTTCAAATCACAGGGGGCTTTTTGTTGAAACACTGGGAGATTTGCATTTGGAAATCATGTCCTATTTCTTTTTAATGAAAAATTACTTTATGGCTTCAGTGTTGCCCATGATGTGTTTTGGAAGCAGGTGGGATCATGACCGCAGTGCTCAGCCCAGCGGTTCTATCGGACCCTTCCCTGAATGCTTCTCTCCTGCCCAGAAGGTAGCAAAAGTCACGTGGGCTTCAGGCCGGAGCTGTGTCAGTCACTGGGCCAGACATTCTTGTATGTCCAAGCTGTTGTTTCTGTTGCTGTTGTTGTTGTTTTGTTTTTTGGGATGTGGTCTCACCCTGTCACCCAGGCTGGAGTACAACGGCACAATCATAGCTTACTGCAGCCTTGACCTCCTGGGTTCAAGCCATTTTCCCACTTCAGCCTCCAGAGTAACTGGGACCACAGGTGTGTGCCATCATGCCCAGCTAATTTTAAAAATTATTTGTAGACATGAGGTCTCACTGTGTGGACCAGGCTGGTCTTGAACCCCTTGGCTCAAGCAATCCCCCTGCCTTGGCTTCCCAAATTGCTGGGATCACAGGCATGAACCACCATGTCTGGCTGTCCAAACCGCCTTTTAAAATTAAAACTTGGCTGGGCGTGGTGGCTCATGCCTGTATTCCCATCACTTTGGGAGGCCGAGGCAGGTAGATCACTTGAGCCCAGGAGTTCAAGACCATCCTGGTCAACATGGTGAAACCCCATCTCTACTAAAAATACAAAAATTAGCCAGGCGTGGTGGTGCACACCTGTAACCCAGCTACTCAGGAGGCTGAGGTGGGAGGATCACTTGAGTGGGGAGGTTGCAGTGAGCCAAGATCACGCCACTGCACTCAAGTCTGAATGATAGAGTGGAACCCTGTCTCCAAAAAAAAAAAAAAAAAAAAAATGGCTGGGCATAGTGGCTTACGCCTGTAATCCCAGCACTTTGAGAGGCCAAGGCAGGTGGATTCCCTGAGGTCAGGAGTCCGAGACCAGCCTGGCCAACATGGTGAAGCCCCGTCTCTACTAAAAATACAAAAATTAGCCAGGCATGGTGGTGGGAGCCTGTAATCCCAGCTACTTAGGAGGCTGAGGCAGGAGAATCGCTTGAACCCGGGAAGCAGAGGTTGCAGTGAGCTGAGATTGTGCAACTGCACTCAAGCCTAGGCAACAAGAGCAAAACTCCGTCTCAAAAAAAAAAAAAAAAAATTACCATTGTAACCATTTTTAAGCATGCAGTTTGGTGGTGTTAAGCACGTTCACATCACTCTGCAGCAATCACCACCCTCCAGCCCCAGAACTATGTTCATCTTGTAAAACTAAAGCTCTGTCCCCATTGAACACAAACTCCCATCCCCCTCCCCTGCCCCCACAACCACCATTCTACTTTCTGTCTCTAGGAATTTAACTGCCCTGGGAACCTCATACAAGTAGAATCTTGAAATATTTGTCTTTTTTTTTTTTTTTTTTTTTTTGAGATGGAGTCTCGCTCTGTTGCCCAGGCTGGAGTGCAGTGGCACGATCTCACCTCACTGTAAGCTCTGCCTCCCGGGTTCATGCCATTCTCCTGCCTCAGCCTCCAGAGTAGCTGAGACTACAGGCGCCCGTCAGCATGCCCGGCTAATTTTTTGTATTTTTAGTAGAGACGGGGTTTCACCGTGTTAGCCAGGATGGTCTTGATCTCCTGACCTCGTGATCTGCCCGCCTCGGCTTCCCAAAGTGCTGGGATTACAGGTGTGAGCCGCCACACCGGCCAAGTATTTGTCCTTTTGTTTCTGGCTTATTTCACTGAGCATAATGTCTTCAGGGTTCATCCATGTTGTAGCATGTGTCAGAATTTCCTTTCTTTTGAAGGCTGAGTAATATTCTACTACATGGGTTGACCACAGTTTGCTTGTCTGTTCATCTGTCGCGAACACTTGGGTTCCTTCCACCTTTTGGCTATTGTGAATGATGCTGACATCAGTGTGGACATGGGTGTGCAAGCATCTCTTCAAGACCCTGCTCTAAGTTGAGTGCAGTGGCTCATGCCTGTCATCCCAGCACTTTGGGGGGCCAAGGTGGAAGGATCACTTGAGGCCAGGAATTCAAGACCACCCTGACAACATAGCAAGATGCCATCTCTACAAAAAATTAGCTGGGCATGGTGGCAACCACCTATAGTCTCAGCTACTCAGGAGGCTGCTTGAGCCCAGGAGTTCAAGGCTGCAGTGAGGTTTGATGGCACCACTGCACCCCAGCCTGGACAACACAGTGAGACCCTGTCTCAGGAAAAGAACAACAACCTTGCTTTCAGTTATTTTGGGTGTATACACAGAAGTGGAATTGCTGTATCATATGGCAATTTTATTTTATTATTATTTTTTAAGACGGAGTCTCACTGTGTCACCAAGTCTGGAATACAGTGGTACAATCTCAGCTCACTGCAACCTCTGCCTCCTGGGTTCAAGCAATTCTGCCTCAGCCTCCTTGAGTAGCTGGGATTACAGGCGTGAGTCACTGCACCTGGCCCCTCATATGGTAATTTTATATGATAATTCTGTGTTAATTTTTTTTTTTGAGACAGAGTCTCACTCTGTTCCCCAGGCTGGAGTGCAGTGGTGCCATCACAGCTCACTGCAACCTCCATCTCCTGGGCTCAAGCGATCCTCTTGCCTCAGCCTCCTGAGTAGCTGGGACTGTAAGTGCACACCACCATGTCCTGCTAATTCTTTTTTTTTTTTTTTTTTTTTTTACATTTTTTTTGTAGAGAAGGGTCTTGGTATGTTGCCCAGGCTGGGATGCAGTGGCAACATCATAGCTCACTGCAGCCTCAAACTCTTGGGCTCAAGCAATCCTCTCACCTCAGCCTCCTAAGTAGCTGAGACTACAGGCACACACTACCATGCCTGGCTAGTTTTTTAGTTTGGTTTTTTTTTTTACTTTTTTTTTTTTTTTTGAGACGGAGTCTCGCTCTGTTGCCCAGGCTAGAGTGCGGTGACGCGATCTTGGCTCACTGCAACTTCCACCTGCCAGGTTCAAATGGTCCTTCCATCTCAGCCTCTCAAGAAACTGGGATTACAAGTGTACACCACCATGCCAGGCTAATTTTTTTATTTTTAGTAGAGACAGGGTTTTGCCATGTTGGCCAGGCTGTCCTCAAACTCCTGAGCTCAAGTGATCTGCCCACCTCAGCCTCCCAAAGTGCCAGGATTACAGGCATGAGCTACTGCGCCCAGCCTTTTTAAACATTTTTTATAGAGATAGGGTCTTGCTATGTTGCCCAGGCTGGTCTTAAACTCCTGGGCAGTTCTCCCGCCTCAGCCTCCCAAAGTGCTGGGATTACAGGCATGAGCCACCATAGCTGGCCCTAAAAGATATTATTAATACTTAGTTATAATCCTAAAATATTTTCCTTGTAATTAAACTGAAATCTTATTAAATTATCCATGAAAAGTCATAGGTTTTATAAAATGATGTAGTCACTGGCATTGGTTGTATATATGTAATGCTTCTTGGCTGAAAAATAAGCAGAAGTGCTTAGGTTGGCTCAGTAACGCCCTTATCTAGTTCTTAGGTACAGAATTCGTGGACGGCGGCAGCATCCCTGGCCTCTGGCGTCTGCCTATGTCGGCGATGTGACTGACTCCCCTGCAGCTTCACTCTCCTCGTTAGTCTTCATCTTAATTGGCAACTTCCCTCTCAAGTTGTTTGTCATGTTAACTTTTCCCCTTTGCTACTTTCTTTTTCTTTCTTTTTTTTTTTTGAGAGGGAGTTTCCCTCTTGTGGCCCAGGCTGGAGTGCAGTGGCGCCATCTCGGCTCACTGCAACCTCCGCCTCCCAGGTTCAAGCGATTCTCCTGCCTCAGCCTCCCGAGTAGCTGGGATTACAGGCATGTGCCACCATGCCCGGCTTATTTTGTATTTTTAGTAGAGACAGGGTTTCTCCGTTATTGGTCAGGCTGGTCTCGAACTCCTGACCTCAGGTGATCCACCCGCCTCGGCCTCCCAAGGTTCTGGGATTACAGGCGTGAGCCACTGCGCCCTGCCTCTTTTTTTTTAGATGGAGTCTTGTTCCGTCACCAGGCTGGAGTGCAGTGGTGCGATCTCAGCTCACTGCAAACTGCGACTCCCGGGTTCAAGCGATTCTCCTGCCTCAGCCTCCCCAGTAGCTGGGACTACAGGCACACACCACCACACCCAGCTAATTTTTGTATTTTTAGTAGAGACAGGGTTTCACCGTGTTGGCCAGACTGGTCTCGATCTCTTGACTTTGTGATCCACCTGCCTCGGCTTCCCAAAGTGCTGGGATTACAGGAGAGAGCCACTGCGTGCAGCCCTGCTTTGCTGCTTTCTTAGCCTTCAGAAAACCTTTTTTTTTTTTTTTTTAGTGTGGTTTCATTCACTGTCATCTGAAGAAACTGTTGATTGTTACACATCCTCGAGAGGGGTGGTCCTGAAAACTTGAACAGCACAGGTACTTAGGATCTAGTTTTAAAAATAGGCTGCAGTGGCTCACGCCTGTCATTCCAGCACTTTGGGAGGCTGAGGCACTTGGATCACTCGAGGCCAGGAGTTAGAGACCAGCCTGGCCAACATGGAGAAAGCCCCTCTCTACTAAAAATCCAAAAATTAGCCGGGCATGGTGCGTGCCTGTGGTCCCAGCTATTTGGGAGGCTGAGGCATGAGAATCCCTTGAACCTGGGAGGTGGAGGCTGTGGTGAGCCAAGGTCACACCACTGTAGTCCCGCCTGGGTGACAGAACAAGACTCCATCTCAAAAAAAATAAAAAAAAGTAGAAAAATAGGCTGTAAAATCGTGTGGTTATAACCGTTCAGAGGGTATTGAAAGCTGGTACAGGACTGCATGTTCTCGTCCCACTCACACCCTGAACACACTGGGAGGGCAGGTGAGGAATGCGGTGGGGGCCATGGAGAGACAGCAGCGGGGGCCGTGGAGAGACAGCAGCAGGCCCTCTGATGCTCACGTTTTCGTGATTTCTGTAGTGGGGTCATTGCCTTTCTCTGGTTTGAGACACGTATTAGCTGTGCGTGATGCTGGTGCACTACAGGCCACAGGGCGGGAGGAGGTTGGAGTCCTCTGGGTGCTGGGCTTCTCTGCCTCCATCAGGCATGCTGAGCTCTGTGGGTCCAGGAAGCACTGAGTGAAGGTGGCAGTAGGCAGAGGGCATCCTTTTTTCTGAGAATCATCCCAGCTCCTTTCATGTGGAAGCCCACCACCCTCTGTACACTGAGCTTTTTACTGTGATTTACCTCATTACTCTTGCCATTGAAAAAATGAATTAAGAGGCCAGGCGTGGTGGCTCATGCCAGAAGCAGAGGCGGGTAAATCATTTGAGCCCAGGAGTTCGAGACCAGCCTGGGCAACATGGCAAGACCCTGTCTCTACCCAGAATACAAAAATTAGCTGGGCATGGTGGCACACGCCTATGGTCCCAGCTACTTGGGAAACTGAGGTGCCTGGGAGGTCGAGGCTGCAGTGAGCCGAGATTGCAGCACTGTTCTCCAGCCTGGGCAACAGCGCAAGACTGTATTTCAAAATTAATTGATTAATTAAGGCTGGGCACAATGGCTTATGCCTGTAATCCTGACACTTTGGAAGGCCATGGTGGGAGGATCACCTGATCCCAGGAGTTCAAGAGCAGCCTGGGCAACATAGGGAGATCCTGTCTCTACAGAATAATTTTAAAAATGAGCCAGGTATGGTGGTGTGCACCCATGGCCCCAGCTTTTTGGGACAACCCAGGAAGTTGAGGCTGCAGTGAGCCATGATCACACCACTTTACTCTAGTCTGGGCAACAGGGTGAGACCCTGACTCTAAAGAATATAAAGAAAGAACATGAATTAAGAATCCACAGAAGTTGCAGAGGTGGATGCAGAGTACAGCCACATTTCAGCCTCATGAACTTTGAGGTTCATTTAATGAGAATCTGTGAAGGGTCAGGCAGTGGCTTTTAGAGTCTAGTCCAGTGCGTGAGAGGCAGATAGACTCCGAGAAGCTTATGCCGGAAGAAGTCCAGGAGGGTCTCCCAGTGCGAGACTCTCCCCCGGAAGACTCCCGGGCAATCCGCCTGTTTGTGCTTGGATGCCCTCGGGAACAGAGATCTTACTACAGTTTTTGGCCCCTTAACTCATTAGCGTATCTGTTCATTCACTGGGCTGACTGTGCTGTCCGAGTGTTGTCTTCTGAAGCTGCAGAGGTCAAGCCTGCTCCCCCTCCTCTGTGACAGCCCTTCAGGAGTTTGAGGCACCAACAGAAATCCTCCTCGTCCTGAACAGCCCCAGCTCCCACAGAGCTCCCCTTCCACAAGATGCTGTGGGAAAAGAGACACTGAGAGCCTGCTAGAGCCTGTTGTAATCAGGGTGCCCCCGTGGAGGAGCAGGAGGAGGAGGCAAGACCCCGCTCCAGGCCGGGCGTGGTGGCTCACGCCTGTAATCCCAGCACTTTGGGAGGCCGAGGTGGGCAGATCACTTGAGGTCAGGAGTTCAAGACCAGCCTGGCCAACAGAGTGAAACTCCATCTCTACTAAAAATACAAAAATTAGCCAGGTGTGGTGGCGGGCGCCTGTAGTCCCAGCTACTCGGGAGGCTGAGGCAGAAAATCGCATGAACCCGGGAGGCAGAGATTGCAGTGAGCCGAGATTGCACCACTGCACTCCAGCCTGGTGACAGAGCAAGACTCCGTCTCAAAAAAAAAAAAAAAACAACAAACAAAAAAAAAACGTAAAAAAACAAACCCCGGCCCAGTGAGGACCGCGCTTAGTCAGCATGTCGGTCAAGACAGGTGTGGACACAACCACAGTGCAGACAAGGGTGAGTGCCAGGAGAGAGGGGTCCAGACTGTTGGGCTCTTCCAGAAACCCCAGACCAGGTCATAGCCACTGAAAATGGATATATTTCATATTCACCTTTTACCCTCCACCCCCAAAAGGGCCTATGAGATGGCCCTGCTCAAACATCTAGAAAGAAAGAGATAGGATCTGGCCTCTGACGGAGATGAGTGCCTCTGGGGATCCATGCCCTGTGGCCACCATTGTTTCTGGATGTGGCTGAGGTCACAGGACTGTTGTGAGCACAGGTGGTGAGTCACCTGTAAGGCCCACACGCGGGACAGGTGCAGGGGGCCCACATCTGCAGATGTGTGTGTGTTCAAATGCAAAATAGCACTGCATTTGCTTTTTTTTTTTTTTGTCTTTTGTCAAGCTTGTCCCTTTTCCTCTTGTATCCAACTTGCAGGTCTTCTCCCATGCTGTCTATTTGATCTTTATTTTTTTGGGTGGAGAACTTACCACTTATCCCACTATACGTTTCCATCTCTTATTTATTTTCAGCTTTACTTCTCGTCTTTCCAGGGTGTCATCTTTCTGAATGCAGATTCTGGGGAGTCTGCACTCTGGTGGTGGCAGCACAGGTGCCAGGGGTCAGGGGTTAGACGCTCTGGGGGAAGGGCCTGGCAGAAGGCAGTAAGCTGGAGGGAGAGACAGGCTGGGGACGACGGGGCTCGCTAGATCAGCAGGGGACCTCTTTGGGGGACCTGCATAGTCCGGGATGGGAGTAGGTAGATGGGCATCGTGCGAAGGGACTGCCAGTGAGAAGAGGGCAGCTGGCTGTGGGGACGAATATTCAGGGGGCTGGGACTCATTTCTGTAAAGGAACCAACGTCCTTAGCAAGAAGCCAAGGCAGGAAGGTGGCCCAGGGTTGCCCCAGGATAGGACCTGGCATGGAACCTCAGGGGCTTGGTCACAAGGGGCTTCAGAGCCAGGCTGATGTGATGGGGGCCTCTGAGCCTGAGATTCACTCGGTATTGACTGCACCCTACCATGTGCATGCACGTGGTGAGCACAACCAGACGGAGCCCACCCTCCCCAGCTATGTGAGTGAGAGCGGGAGTAATTAAACATACACACCCCAAATAAGCACACAGTTGCTGATGGGACCTATGGAGAGTGCATAGTCTGGGATTTGACCCAACTGGGAAAGACTTCGCTGAGCTGGGGATGAGTAGGTGTCTACTGATGACGGGGCAGGGGCGGGTAGACAGATGTCCTTGCCTTGTTCATGATCTTGGTGGTAAGGTACTCACTCTTGCACCCTTAATTATGAGGTTAGCTGTAGGTTTTTTTTTTTAAAGCACTCAGATTGTTGCTAATATTAAAAAAATATAACATACAAGAGTGACAGGAGAGACATACAGTCCGGGTGTGGTGGCTTATGCCTGTAATCCCAGCACTTTGGAGGCCGAGGAAGGTGGATCACTTGAGGTCAGGAGTTCAAGACCAGCCTGGCCAACATGGTGGAGCTCCATCCCTACTAAAAATACAAAAATTAGCCGGGTGTCAGGGTGGGCACCTGTAATCCTAGCTGCCTGGGAGGCTGAGGCATGAGAATCACTTGAACCTGGGAGGCGGAGGTTGCAGTGAGCCAAGATCATGCCACTGCACTCCAGCCTGGGTGACACAGCGAGACCCTGTCTCACAAAAGAAAAAGAGAGAGAGAGAGAGACATATAAATGAAAAAGTACTCAGTTTAAGAAATTTGTAGCACTTTGCAAGGCCGAGGTGGCCAGGCTGAGGCATGAGAATCACTTGAACCCGGGAGGCGGAGGTTGCAGTGAGCCAAGATCATGCCACTGCACTCCGGCCTGGGTGACACAGCGAGACCCTGTCTCACAAAAGAAAAAAGAGAGAGAGAGAGACATACAAATGTAAAAATACTCAGTTTAAGAAATTCATAGCACTTTGCGAGGCCGAGGTGGCCAGCTTGCTAGAGCCCAGGAGTTCAAGACCAGCCGGGTTAACATGGTGAGACCACAACTCTATAAAAAATTTTTAAAAATTAGCCCGGCCCAGTGGTGTGTATCTGCAGTCCCAGCTACTTGGAAGGCTGAGACGGGAGGATCACTTGAGCCTAGGAGGTCAAGGCTGCAGTGAGCTGTGATTGTGCCACTGCACTCCAGCTTAGGTGACAGAGCAAGGCTCTGTCTTGAAAAAAAAAAAAAAAAGTTTACACATTTGTTTGAAGATGAAAAGTTCAACACAGTTTGGGCCTTCCATCTGCCACCCCCCCCTACAGAGATGATAGAAAAATGGTACAGCTGTAGGGTGTTTGTAGATGCCCTATAAGTTGAGGATATCCTCTTTGCTAAGTTTGCTGAGAGTGTTTATAATGAATGGATATGGGTTTTGTTGTTCCTTCCTGTAGGAGTTGATTTTTTAGCTTGTTAATATGATAGATTACATGGTTGATTTTTGAACATTGAGCCGTTCTTGCATACCCTACTTGGTCATGCCGTGACTCCTTTTTGTTTGTTTGTTTTTTGAGATGGAGTCTTGCTCTGTCACCCAGGCTGGAGTGCAGTGGTGCGATCTCGGCTCACTGCAACCGCCACCTCCCAGATTCAAGCGATTCTCCTGCCTCAGCCTCCCGAGTAGCTGGGACTACAGGCACCCGTCACCATGGCCAGCTAATTTTTTGTATTTTTAGTAGAGACGGGGTTTCACCGTGTTTGGATCTCCTGACCTCGTGATCCACCCACCTCGGCCTCCCAAAGTGCTGGGGTTACAGGCGTGAGTCACTATGCTGTGATTCTTTCTATACACTGCTGGATTTGGTTTATTAATATTTTGAGCATTTTTGCATCCAAGTTCATAAGTGATATTGGCCTGTAGCTTTCTCTCTCTCTTTTTTTTTTTTTTTGAGACAGAGTCTTGCTCTATCACCCAGGCTGGAGTGCAGTGGCACAATCTCGGCTCACTGCAAGCTCTGCCTCTCGGGTTCAAGTGATTTTCCTGCCTCAGCCTCCTGAGTATCTGGGATTACAGGCGTCCACCACCATGCCCAGCTAATTTTTTGTATTTTTTAGTAGAGACGGTATTGTGGGATCTGGCCAGAAGCCCACAATGCAACGGGGCTCTTTTATTTGTTCCCAGGCGGATCAGCAGGTCGAGAAATAATAGACACACACAAGACAGTGAAAGCTGGGTCCGGGGGGTGACCGCCTTCTGGTCCTGCGATGCCGCCAATGCACTGGATATACCAGCATTTATTATTAAGTTTAGTGAGGGCGGGGGTAGGTTAGTGAGGGATTTAGGGTCATTTGATTATGAGGTGAGATGGTCACATGGGGATGAAGTAATTCTTTAACATAACATCTGTATGCAGAAGTACAGTATACAGAGATAAGAATTTACAATATAGCATGTGCATCAGTAATTTCTAACAGCCTTAAAACAGAAACACAGGCTTTCCATAACCTATGATTAGCAAGATATTAATCAGCAGTAATAGTTGCAGCAAAAGCTGGTTACAAACAATCCATAGAAACAGGACGTGAAGCTAGACAGCCAGTTAGACCAGAAATTCTCAGAAGGGAGTATGCCTTAACCCTAAAGAGGCCTAGAAGAGCCGTGGCAAGATGAGGGCGTTTATAGCACTATCTTATCCATATGGACAGGCGCCCCCCATGCGTCCGTTTGTAGGCTCTCCACAAGGGTCGCATTCCATTCCCAGAGCTATGAACATCTGCTTTTCTGGGATAGGAATCTTGGTGATGTGAAAGCTCCCTGACTGCATGTCCGTTCATAGGCTCTCTGCAGGGGGAAGCATATCACGTGCTGTTGGCTCATTCTGACAGTCCAACCTGGCATTGTCTTTACACAATCCTGAATGCAACTTTGTATTTACAGTAATCAGGAGCATTTCATCTTTTATTCCATAGCAATAGTTTCAGGGGGTCTCCCTACAAGACAGGGTTTCGCCATGTTGGCCAGGCTGGTCTTGAACTCCTTGACCTCAGGTGTTCCTCCTGCCTCAGCCTACCAAAGTGCTAGGATTACAAGCGTGAGCCACGACGCCCGGCCTCTTTTTTTTTGTACTTATTTTCACTGGTTTGGGTATTAGGATGATGAGTTGGACATGTCCTCTCTTCTCCTTTCTGTAAGAGATTGTATAAAATTGATGTTGTTATTCTTTGAATGTTTGATAGAATTCTTCAGTGAAACCATCTGGGCCCAGAGATTTCTTTTTAAGGAGCTTTTACGTTACAAATTTAGTTTCTTTAATTAGTATAGGATTATTCATTTTGGTAGTTTGTGGTTGTCAAGGAATTGGTCTGTTTCATCTAGGTTGCTAAATTTGTGGGCGTAAAATTGTTTGTAATAGTTCCTTATCCTTTCAATGGCTGCAGGATCTATAATTTCATTCCTTGTCTTGTTCCTGATAAAGATAATTTGTAGGTTTTTTTCATTTGTTTGGTTGGTTTTTTGTTTTTGTTTTTCTTTTGAGACAGGGTCTTGGTCTTGCTAAGACCAAGGCTGGAGGGCAGTGGCACGATCTCGGCTTACTGCAGCCTTGACCTCCTGGGCTCAAGCGATCCTCCTGCCTCAGCCTCCAGAGTAGCTAGGACTACAGGTGCATGCCACCATGCACGGCAGATTTTTGCATTTTTTATAGGGATGGGGTTTTGCCATGTTGTCTAGGCTGGTCTTGGACTCTAGGGCTCAAGAGACCCTCTCGCCTCGGCTTCCCAAAGTGCTAGGATTATAGGAGAGAGCCACCGTGCCCGGCCTTTTCTGCTTTCTAATGCTCTTGGCACCACAGTGACTGTAACATATGTTGTATTTTCATTCTCATTCTATTCTGTGTACTTTAACTTTTTCCTTTGCTATTATTTAGAAATGTGTCATTTATTTTCCAGGAATTTGTGTTTGTGGATTTTCCTGTTGTCTTTTCTGTTATTGATTTCTAGTTTTATTCCTTTATATAAAATATTTCAATTCTTTTATTTTTATTTATTTATTCATTTTTATTTATTTTTTTGAGATGGAGTCTTGCTCAGTCACCCAGGTTGGAGTGCAGTGGCACAATCTTGGCTCCTTGCAACCTCTGCCTCCTGGGTTCAAGCGATTCTCCTGCCTCAGTCTCCTGAGTAGCTGGGATTACAGGCGCCTGCCACCATGCCCAGCTAATTTTTGCATTTTTTTAGTAGAGACGGGGTTTCACCATGTTGGCCAGGCGGGTCTTGAACTCCTGACCTCAGGTGATCCACCTGCCTTGGCCTCCCAAAGTGCTGGGATTACAGGCATAAGCCACCATGCCCAGCCTAAATTTTGTATTTTCAGTAGAGACAGTTTCACCATGTTGGCCAGGCGGGTCTCCAACTCCTGATCTCAAGTGATCCACCTGCCTCGGCCTCCCAAAGTGCTGGGATTACAGGCATGAGCCACCACACCCAGCCTAAATTTTGTAATTTCAGTAGAGACAGGGTTTCACCATGTTGGCCAGGCTGGTCTCCAACTCCTGATCTCAAATGATCCACCCGCCTTGGCCACCTGAAGTGATGGGATTACAGATGTGAGCCACCGTGCCCTGTCAAGATTTCAATTCTTTTAAATTAGCTGAGGTTTGGTCTACCATGGTGAATGTTTTGTGGACACTTAGAAAAAACTGTGTTCTCTTGTTAGGTGAGTGTTCTGCATATGTCGGTTATGTCCTGTTGGTTGCTGGTGTTGAGTTCTTCTGTATCCTTGCTGATTTTCTGCCTCATAGTTTTGTCAGTTATCAAGAGTGAAGTGTTGAAGTCTCCAGCCATAATTGTGGATTTGTCTGTTTATCCTTTAGCTCTATCGATTTTTGCTTTTTGTATTTTGAGGCTCTGTTGTTTGGTGCATACATGTTTAGGATTGTTATGTCTTCCTGGGGATTGAACTGTTTGTCATTATGTAATGTCCTTTTGTCTCTAGTAGTTTCCTTCCTTCTGAAATTTGCTTCATCTGATATTAAGATAGCCACTCCTGCTTTCTTTTCATTAATATTTGCATGATTAATGTTTTCCATTCCCGGGAGAGAGGAGGTGAGAAAGTAGAGGGCCAACTTGCCCCACCTCTAACCACCTCACGCCATGTCATGGGTGCCAGATAGGGGTGGAGTAGAGTTGGAGTTCAGCTCCTACTGGGCCCTGACCTGGCTGGGGGAGAGGGAGTCAGAGTGTGGACTCTCCTGCCTCACACCATCTCCTTCCACCTTGTGGATGCCAGGTGGGGTCAAGGCTTAGCTCCCTGCTGGACCACACTGACAGTACCCTGGTGGGACAGACAGAGGAAGCACCTCTACTTCCATGGGCAGAGGAAGGGGTATCAGCTCCCAGCTCAGCCCCACCAACACCCCCTGGTGCCTGGCAGGGGAATAGCAATGTGCCACTTACTTTTGGGAAGCCAGGGTGGTGTGGAAGGTCAGCTCTCAGGGTGGCCCTGATGAAGCTGTAGGGTGCAGTTTTTCCATTGGCATTCGACTTAAGTAGAGTGGGTGTTGCCAAAACAATTTTCCTGTTGTTGGGTCACTGTGAAGTTAAGGAATGGTTCCCAAGACCCCTCTTACTTATGACACCAATAGCAAATGCAGGCGTCCCTGAGACCACTGTGGGGTTTGATGATTTGCTAGAAAGATTACAGAGCTCACTGATCACAGTTATTCTTGTGGCTATGGTTTATTATAGGAAAAGGATATAGATTCGAAGATTAAAATCAGCCTTGGCAGGAGAATGGCGTGAACCTGGGAGGTGCAGCTTGCAGTGAGCCAAGATCGGGCCACTGCACTCCAGCCTGGGCGACAGAGCGAGACTCCATATCAAAAAAAAAAAAAAAAAAAAAAAAAAAAAAAAAAAATCAGCCTTGGGAAGAGTTGCAGAGGGCAGAGTCCAGGAGGGCTCACACCTGGAGCTGGTCTCCACTCCCTGGGAGGCGTCCTCTTCTTGGGAGTTGTGGGCAATATTACTTTCCCGCCAGTGGCGAGTGTCAGCACATGTGGAGTACTGCCAGCCAGGGAAGCACGCGAGCCTTGGCGTCCAGGGTCATTACTGGTGCTCGGGCACATGGATGTGTAGACTCCCTGCACTGCTGACCTCAGCCTCCAGCCCCTCTGGAGGGCGAGCTGATATCACGTGGCCCAGCGCTCCTGCTCCTCCGGACCCCAGTCCCCCACTGATCAGAAGGCAGGAGTCAGAGCCCCAGTGCACCTCAGTCATTAACTAGTGTGTCATTGCATCTGCAGGTTCCCAGCAGGATGCCCCGGCTCTGCAGGAAGCTGAAGTGAGAGGCCCGGAGAGGGCCCAGCCCGCCCGGGGCAGGATGACCAAGGCCCGGCTGTTCCGGCTGTGGCTGGTGCTGGGGTCGGTGTTCATGATCCTGCTGATCATCGTGTACTGGGACAGCGCAGGCGCCGCGCACTTCTACTTGCACACGTCCTTCTCTAGGCCGCACACGGGGCCGCCGCTGCCCACGCCCGGGCCGGACAGGGACAGGGAGCTCACGGCCGACTCCGATGTCGACGAGTTTCTGGACAAGTTTCTCAGTGCTGGCGTGAAGCAGAGCGACCTTCCCAGAAAGGAGACGGAGCAGCCGCCTGCGCCGGGGAGCATGGAGGAGAGCGTGAGAGGCTACGACTGGTCCCCGCGCGACGCCCGGCGCAGCCCAGACCAGGGCCGGCAGCAGGCGGAGCGGAGGAGCGTGCTGCGGGGCTTCTGCGCCAACTCCAGCCTGGCCTTCCCCACCAAGGAGCGCGCATTCGACGACATCCCCAACTCGGAGCTGAGCCACCTGATCGTGGACGACCGGCACGGGGCCATCTACTGCTACGTGCCCAAGGTGGCCTGCACCAACTGGAAGCGCGTGATGATCGTGCTGAGCGGAAGCCTGCTGCACCGCGGTGCGCCCTACCGCGACCCGCTGCGCATCCCGCGCGAGCACGTGCACAACGCCAGCGCGCACCTGACCTTCAACAAGTTCTGGCGCCGCTACGGGAAGCTCTCCCGCCACCTCATGAAGGTCAAGCTCAAGAAGTACACCAAGTTCCTCTTCGTGCGCGACCCCTTCGTGCGCCTGATCTCCGCCTTCCGCAGCAAGTTCGAGCTGGAGAACGAGGAGTTCTACCGCAAGTTCGCCGTGCCCATGCTGCGGCTGTACGCCAACCACACCAGCCTGCCCGCCTCGGCGCGCGAGGCCTTCCGCGCTGGCCTCAAGGTGTCCTTCGCCAACTTCATCCAGTACCTGCTGGACCCGCACACGGAGAAGCTGGCGCCCTTCAACGAGCACTGGCGGCAGGTGTACCGCCTCTGCCACCCGTGCCAGATCGACTACGACTTCGTGGGGAAGCTGGAGACTCTGGACGAGGACGCCGCGCAGCTGCTGCAGCTACTCCAGGTGGACCGGCAGCTCCGCTTCCCCCCGAGCTACCGGAACAGGACCGCCAGCAGCTGGGAGGAGGACTGGTTCGCCAAGATCCCCCTGGCCTGGAGGCAGCAGCTGTATAAACTCTACGAGGCCGACTTTGTTCTCTTCGGCTACCCCAAGCCCGAAAACCTCCTCCGAGACTGAAAGCTTTCGCGTTGCTTTTTCTCGCGTGCCTGGAACCTGACGCACGCGCACTCCAGTTTTTTTATGACCTACGATTTTGCAATCTGGGCTTCTTGTTCACTCCACTGCCTCTATCCATTGAGTACTGTATCGATATTGTTTTTTAAGATTAATATATTTCAGGTATTTAATACGAAATGTGGAAGGGAATGCTGGAGTAAAATATCCCCTCTCCCCTCCGCCCGCCCACCCGCCCGCCCGCTCGCCCGCTCGCCCGCTCCTGTGGTTTTTCTGAGCGTGCGGGCGCCGGGAGGGGATGCTGAGGCTGATGGAGCTGCCTCCAGGGCTAGGGCCACTCACCGGAGGAGGGCGGGGCCTGCACTTGAAGTCAGGCCGCACCTGTCTGTTTTTGGAAGGGTAGCCGACAAATCCTTCCAGAGGGAAAGTTCTTTGTTTAAGTGTTGTACTTGAAAAGGTCAATCTTCAGGGCTTCCTGTTTGAAGTCAAGTCAGAGGTAAACCGGTCAGTTACAGAAGCAGGATTTCTAGGATTTCTAACTCCAGCTGTTCCCATACTGTCTAGTTTAAATTATGGCTGTTAAGGCCGGGCGGGTGACTCAGGCAGGTAATCCCAGAACTTTGGGAGGCCCAGACAGAAGGATCGCTTGAGGTCAGGAATTTGAGACCTGGCCAACATGGTGAAACCCTGTCTCTACTAAAAAAAAAAAAAAAAAAAAAAAAAAAAAAAAAAAAATGAGTCGGGTGTGGTGGTGTGCACCTGTAGTCCCAGCTACTCAGGAGTTCTGAGATGGAAAGATTGCTTGAACCCAGGAGGCAGAGGCTGCAGTGAGCTGAGATCGCGACATTGCACTCTAGCCTGGGTGACAGAGTGAGATTCCATCTCAAAATAAATAAATAAATATTAATACATTATGGCTATTAAGGCTGGGCACGGTGGCTCATGCCTGCAATCCTGGCACTTTGGGAGGCTGAGGGGGGAAGATCACTTGAGCCCAGGAGTTCAAGACCAGCTTGGGCAACATAGCAAGGACCTCATCTCTACAAAAAATAAAAAGGACGTGGTGGTGCACATCTGTAAACCCAGCTACTCAGGAGGCTGAGGAGGGAGGATCACTTGAGCCCAGGAGTTCAAGATCAGTTTGGACCACATAGCGAGACCCTGTGTCTACAAAAAATAAGAAAATCAGCCGGACATGATGGTGCACACCTGTAATCCCAGCTACTCGGGAGGCTGAGGCAGGAGGATCGCTGGAGCCCAGGAGTTCAAGGCTGCAGTGACCTATGATCGTGCCACTGCACTCCAGCCTGGGCAGCAAAGTGAGACTCTGTTTCTAAATAGACAGATAGAAGATAGGTAGATAGATAGATTAAATAGAAAGTAAACTATGGCTGTTGAGGTTTACAGTTGGCAGGAGTGGAGTGGTTTGGCGTTTATCTCTAGACCGTGCTGGATGACAGTACCCAGTGTCACCAAGAAGAGGCTCCGTGTGACTGTCTCTGTGGCTTTCTGGTTGGTTTAGCTCCAGTGCCTTCACCCTCAAGGACACGACTGACCTTGAACCCTCAGGTTTGATGGGCCCTGTCTTGATAAAAGTGTCAGAGGAGGCTCTGGAAACATCTGGCTGAAACTCCTTTGCTATTTCTGCTTCTAAGCTGTAGTTGGAGAGATGGTTGCAATCATTTCGTGGTGTCGGGCACCCTGCTTGACCTGTCTTCCTCGTGTGTGGTATTTGTCACCACTGCCCAGTCCCTGGTTGCTGGCCACGCTCAGTTGGGACATACCCTGGTGTCCTCTGTGTGTGGTGTCCCTGTGTTTCCCAGGCTCAGGTGGGCTTGTGTGGGTCTTGGCCCCCAGTGCCTGCTAGCCTCAGGTGTCCCCTGTGTTAGACACCTCCTGCCTTCCTTTCTGAAGCTTCGCTTTCTTTTATTTTTGTTTTGTTTTGTTTTTGGAGACAGGGTCTCGCTCTGTCATCCGGGCTGGAATACACTGGTGCAATCACAGCTCACTGCAGCTTCAACCTCCTGGGCTCAAGTGATCTTCCCATCTCAGACTCCCAAGTAGCTGGGGTTACAGGTGAGCGCCAGCCTGCCCAGCTAGTTTTTTATTTTCAGCAGAGATGAGGTCTCACTGTGTTGCCCAGGCTGCTCTCAAACTCCTGGGCTCAAGTGACCCTCCTGCATCACCCTCCCAAAGTGCTGGGATTACAGGCATGAGCCATCACACCTGGCCCCTCCAAGTTTTTTATTATGATAAAAATGTTTAATTTTAAACGTACCATCTTAACCATTGTTAAGTGCACTGTTGTGTGGCATTAAGCACATTCGTATTGTCGTGCCACCACCACCATCATCTCCAGAGCTTTCTCATCTTCCCAAACTGAAACTCTGTCCCCATTCAGCACTCGCTCCCCATTGGTAGAAGGCAGCAGCTTCCACTCTCTGATTTCTACTACCCGAGCTCCCTCAGAAATGGAGTCACACAGTATTGGTCCTTTTGGGACTGAAGTACTTCACCTCATGCAATGTCCTCTAGGTTCATCGGTGTCGTGGCAGGTGTCAGAACTAACTTCCTTTCTGAGGCGGAATAATGTCCCATTGTGTGGAAGAGGCATGGTTTGTTTATCTGTTCATCAGTTGGTGGACACTGAGTTGCTTCTGCCTTCCTGCGAATGTGAATTGAATGCTGCTGTGAACAGGGTGTCAGTGAATCTGCTGAGGGCTTGTTTTCCGTATTCTGGGCATGGCCCTTTGTGTCTGCCTTTGCTGGAGCACCTCCCCGGGATGCGTTTGTTTATAGGATGTTCAGACGAATGTCAGAACCCACTGGGCGGTTCACTCACTGAGGGGGGCCCGCGTCCCCTCCATTTCTGCATTCCCAGTTCTTGGTATGGTTCCTCTGAGGTTCGGTTTTCCTGAGCACCTGGGGTGTTTGCAGGGATGTGGAGGGGTTCCTGCAGAAGACACCACCCACATCCACGCACCTGCTCAGATTCCCGGGCCATGGTCGGGGCCACCGCCCGTGGGGATGACTCCGGATGGGAGTGGCAGAAAAGGGCCTGCTGGGCCGAGGGGAGGCGTCTCCGGGAAGAGAGGGAGGTGTGAGCGGGGAGAACCCACTTTGATTCTTCGCTGTTTGCCTGATGCGCAGCACCACACTGCGTAGAGACCTTTGGCTCTGGTTTTTTCTTTTTCCACTGAAACACAGCAAATTATACATTTTATGAAAATTGGCATCGTACAACTGGAAAATTTAACCATAAACTTAAAACTCTTTTACCCTGTTGGCCCCCATCCTCCAGCTGTGTCCACACTTTGAGCACAGTCATGAGAATGACTTGGTTGGGTGCGGGGTGGTGTCACAAAGCCCTGTCTCTTGTGTGATGGCTGCGCCTCGAATCAGTGGGAGGGCACCTCGCCCGTTTACAGTTGGGCAATGCTTGGGCTGGGCGGCCTGGCTGCTCCTGGACTCGCCTCCCAGCGTCTGATGCTGTGTATTTTCCATCTGCCCCAGGAATTTGACACAGGTGTGACTTGCAGGTTGTGTGGGTGATGCCTCCCTCCCTCTTTCCTCTTAAAGCATCTCATGCTTCTTCATTCGCTGATACTTACAACCCCCAGTGGATATTTAGTGGAGTTTGCTGTAGTGCTTTTGCCATTTATTTGGACTATTGGAAAAATTTCAGGTTTGGTTTTGGCCCTATGTCTTGATGGAGGGCAAGGGTTAGGATTTCAGTTTATCTTCCCGGTGAGGTCTGAGCACGTCTGTGCCCTGAGGTGGGTGGTTTGGTGAAGGTGGGGCTTTAACCTAGCTCTGCCACTTAGGAATCAGAACACACACACACACGCGCGCACACACACACACACACACACACTCTCTCTCACACACACATCGGGATATTTTTCTTGTTTCCTTCTTCCAGAGGGTGTAGGAGTTGTGTTCCAAGTTTGTTCCTGCAAACCCTCCGATGAGGCCAGCTGCATTCATCGGGGCCTGGATGGCCGCACCTCTCTCTCCCCGCCCTGTCTCCTGCACTCAGGTGAGAGGCTGGCAGGGCTGCCGTAGGGGTGGAGAGTGAACGCAGGGTGGCTAAGCCCTCGTCCCTGTGAGGGACAGTGACACGGATGGGAGCAGCCATCTGAGCTGGAAGCTGTGGACATGGTCCTTGTGTGGGTCCAAGCAAAGTGGGTGGCGTGTGCATTTTGTGAACACGTGGTCTGCTTCCTGGTGCAGACCAGGTCTCCCCAGAGGGACCCTCCTGAGCTGAGCTGCCCGGGGCACCTGTCCCTGGATGTGAACTGCCTTGGTTGTACCTTGGTGGGGGGACCTTTCCTGAATGTGTTGGTTCGGCATGGTGACAGGTGTTTCCCTGCGGCAGAATGTTGGGGCCACACCAACGTCCCCAGAGTCTTCTCCCTAGAGTCTCTGAAAGGAAGCCTGGGTTCCTGGTGGTGCTCCCCTCCATGTGTGCTCACCCGCCTGTATGGAGGCAGCCCAGGGGAGCGGCTGAGACTCTTGGCAGAGAGCTGGGGACGCTCTGTTCTCATTGGCAGCCCCACCCTGAAGAATAACAGACTCCCAAATATCACACAGGCTGCAGATACCACCCAGCCCCCAAGGATGCCATCACCAGGCTGGGGCGCTCCCATGCCCATTATCCAGGGGTAATTTTTGCTCACTTATTTATAAGCCACACATCCTCTTCTATCCTACCAAACCTAAGAATATCAAAAGGGAAAGCTTGGCTTGCATGGACGTAATTAACCTAAAAGTCTTTAAACGTTTCTCCCGAGTGTTGGAGTGACTGTTTGCACACATCTGTTGTGTTTTGCCTGTGTGCATTCCTCCTCCTGGTCAGAGAGCCCGTCTCTTCCGCCCTCTCCCTTACCCTAGGAGGGCTGAGTCAGGCCTCCCTACCCAGGCCCAAGGGCAGATGCACCTGAGCCATTGTGTCCCATGGTTGATACGGGACGGGGCTGATTTCCTGACCTGGACCCCTGAGACCCAGTGCTCTTAGCTGTGAGCCTCTGGGAAGAGGTTCTGGCAGGTGGAGGGGATGGACGTTACAGTGCTGTGGCCACCTAGAAAAGCCGTCCCGGAACTGAGACCAACTGCTGAGGGAGGAAGGGCCACCAGATCGGGGGCCGGGCCGGGGTGAGCACCTGAAGCCGGCTCCACCTGCTCTTCTCAGCTGTGCGCCTCCAGGAATTTGCACTCGCTTCAGCTGATTTGGGTTGGATTTCTAGCGTTTCACATACAGGATCTAGACTCGCACACAACTGCATTAATATGTTGGTGTTTGATAAACTAGGGTTGAAGGAGTTCCATCAGTGAAGAGAGAAGCCACGTGACCTGAGGATGCAGGGCACTGTTCACGTGGACATGAGCCGTTTCTTAGCATCATGAGATTTTAGAAACATGTTCTTACTCTGCCAGGACCCAGGGATAGGTGAGGCTCTCCTATTGGGATACCATTTCACCAGCAGAGAGATTAATTGGAGAATGTGTAATTTTTTCCCCTTTGGAAATAATTTGTTCTTTTTTTTTTTTGACAGAGTTTCTTTCTGTCATCCAGGCTGGAGTGCAGTGGTGTGATCATAGCTCACTGCAGCCTCGACCTCCTGGGCTCAAGTGGTCCTCCCACCTCAGCCTCCCAAGTAGCTGGGACTACAGGCATGCACCACCATGCCCGGCTAATTTTTACATTTTTGGTAGAGGCCGGGTACGGTGGCTCATGCCTGTAATCCCGGCACTTTGGGAGGCCGAGGTGGGTGGATCACGAGGTCAGGAGATCAAGACCATCCTGGATAACATGGTGAAACCCCGTCTCTACTAAAATACAAAAAAATTAGCCGGGCGTGGTGGTGGGCGCCTGTAGTCCCAGCTACTCGGGAGGCTGAGGCAGGAGAATGGCGTGAACCCGGGAGGCGGAGCTTGCAGTGAGCGGAGATTGGCGCCACTACACTCCAGCCTGGGCGACAGAGCGAGACTCCGTCTCAAAAAAAAATTTTTTTTTTTGGTAGATACGGGGTCTTGCTTTGTCACCCAGGCTGGTCTCAAACTCCTGAGCTCGAGTGCTCCTTCTGCCTCAGCCTCCCAAAGTGCTGGGATTACAGGCGTGGGCTGCTGTGCCCAGCAGGAATAATTTCTCAGTGCATCTCTGATGGGGAGGCTAATGAAGAAAGGACACCTGGTTTGAAGGCTTCTCTGTGTCTGTCCGTGGGCGCTACTGATCTGAGCCAAGCACCATTCCGCAGGCATGCCTGAAATGACTCCCATGGCTGTCATGGTGCCATCTGGAGAGCATTTGCTCACTGTAATGGTCCCGTCACACTTGTCTGATGAGGATCTGTTGGTTGACTTTGACAGTGATAAACGAACACAGCCTATCTGGGTGTTTTTTGCACTTATAGTTTGGGGGTTTGAAGTACTGGCTAGAAGCTGGCGGGGTGTGTGTGTGCAGGTGTGCGAGTGCATGTGCAAGTGTGCGTGCAAGTGTGAGTCTGCACTTGTGTGCAAGAGAATGTGTGTGTGTGTGTGTTTGGAGATTTGGACTTGAAAATTCTAGCTCAGGTCTTTGGGGTAGTGTTTGACCTGAACTCTGAAAGGCAGAGGGTCCCAGACTTTCCTGGGATGATGGGAACTGGGCACCCCAGATGAGGCTCGGTTGTGAGTAGGAGCGGGGTGGGCCACCGAAGAGAAGACAGAGTGGGCCTGTAGGGCCAGCCCGAGGTACCCACAGTGGAGGGTCTACAGGCTGATTTGGGAGGTGGTGGTTTATACCTGTAGTCACCTTCTATCTTAGTTAGGAATTCACCTTCACACTTCCAGAAACTGCCAAGAAGAATGCCGCCGCTCAGGTTTATCTGGTAGAATAAGCTGTTTGAACAAAGATCTGGAGGTTGCACAATCCTGTGTCATTCTGGATTTATCTTGGGGTCGGGAGTCAACGATACTTCTTGTGCTGTCGTTTCTCCGGCCGTGTGAAGTTACCACCTCGTGAGTGGTCATAAGTTAGCGTGTCTAAATGCACTTTGAAATCCTAGGATGAAAAAGCCAGGCCCTGTCTTTTTTCCTTGTCTAAGCACCATCCTTGCTTAGGAGAGACACGGCTGTGGCTCTCAGGCTGTGGGGCAATGTTCTGCTTATAATGTTTCAAGAGGTTCAAAGCGTGCAGGCCCCATGCTCCGTGAGAGCCTTGACCTGGGTCAGCAGGGGCGGCTGGGCTTGACTCGAGAATTCCCACAGGGCCCGAGGGAAGAGCAGAGCAAGAGGGAGGAGCGCGTGGAGCCCTATGTGGCCTGCGATATTGGGGTGGCGTCCAGGCCCGCCTAGATGGGGGAGGGAGACAACAGAGCTGCCACCTGCTCACCGCAGACCCAGGGGCCCAGGAGGAGCGGACTAGGACCGGCAGTGCCTTCCAGCCTAGGTCTCCTGCCCCTGGGCTGGAGTTCATCTTTTAGGCAAATTTGGAATAGGAACCTTAAAAATGCTTTCTTCACTCGTTTAAATAGTAATGATAAGAATATGGCTGCAGGGGGCAGCTTATGCCTGTAATCCCACCATTTTGGGAGCTCAAGGCAGGAGTATTGCTTGAGCCCAGAAGTTTGAGACCAGTCTGGGCAACATAGTGGAAACTTGTCTCTCCAAAAGCTAAAAGAAAAAGCCGTGCATGGTGGTATGCACCTGTAGTCCCAGCTACTTGGGAGGCTGAGGTGGGAGGATCGCTTGAGTCTGGGAGGTCGAGGCTGCTGTGAGCCATGATTGCACCACTGCATTCCAGCCTGGGTGACAGAGCAAGATCTTGTCTTAAAAAAAAAAAAAAAAAAAAAGGTGTTGTATTTTATCATTAGAAGGCCATCCTGTTTAGAAGAGTGGGTTTCTCATAAGAAAAAAAAGAAAAAGGTTGACCTTGTAAGTATATTTTCTTGGGTGAATTGTGGTGGTGGTAATGGTTTTAACTGGTGTTAATTTCAGTTCTTTTAAAAGTTGTGGTAAGATACATGCAACATAAAATGTGCCCTCTTCCCCATTTTTAAGTGAACAGTTCAGTGGCATTAAGCACATTCAGTTTGCCTGCCACCGTTACCACCATCCATCTCCAAAATTCTCTCCATTTACAAAACTGAAACTCTGTCCCTATTAAACACTAGCTCCCCATTCCCCACTGTGCCGCCCCCCCAAAGCCCCTGGCACCAACCATTCTACTTCCTGTCTCTGAGTTTGACTAGGGACCTCCTGTAAGTGGATTTGTACAATATTTGTCCTTTTGTGTCTGGCTTCTTCATGTAGTATAATGTCTTCAAGGTTCATTCATGTTGTAGTCAGGATCACCTTCCTTTTAAAGGTTGAACGATATCCCGTTGTATGGACAGACCACATTTTATCCATTCACCCAGGGATGGACACCTGGGTTGCTTCCATCTCTCGGCTCTTGTGAATAATGCTGCTGTGAACACGGGTGTGCAGATACCTGTTCAAGTCCCTGCTGTTTTCTTTTGAGACGGAGTCTCGCTCTGTCTCCCAGGCTGGAGTGCGGTGGCACCATCTCAGCTCACTGCAAGCTCCGCCTCCCAGGTTCAGGCCATTCTCCTGCCTCAGCCTCCCGAGTAGCTGGGACTACAGGTGCCCACCACCACGCCTGGCTAATTTTTTGTATTTTTAGTAGAGACGGAGTTTCACCATGTTAGCCAGGATGCTCTGGATCTCCTGACCTCGTGATCCACCCACCTCGGCCTCCCAAACTGCTGGGATTACAGGCATGAGACACCACGCCCCGCCGAGTCCCTGCTTTTAATTCTTTGGGGCAGGGATCCCCAACCCCCTGGTGATGGACCAATACTGGCCTGCGGCCCCTTAGGAACTGGACTGCACAGCAGGAGGTGAGCGGCAGGTGAGCGTGCATTCCCGCCGGAGCCCCGCCTCCCGTCAGATCAGCGGCGGCATTAGATTCTCATAGGAGCGGGAACCCTCCTGTGAACCCTGCATACCAGGGTTCTCCATGCAACAATCTAATGCCTGATGATCTGAAGTGGAACAGGTTTTTGTTTTTTTTTTCCAGACAGAGTCTTGCTCTTTCGCCTAGGCTGGAGTGCAGTGGCATGATCTCGGCTCACTGCAACCCCTGCTTCCTGGGTTCAAGTGGTTCTCCTGCCTCAGCCTCCCAAGTAGCTGGGATTACAGGTGCCCGCCACCATGGCCAGCTAATTTTTTTGTTTATTTGTTTATTTATTATTTTTTGAGGTGGAGTCTTGCTGTCACCCAGGCTGGAGTGCAGTGGTGCAATCTCAGCTCACTGCAACCTCTGCCTTCTGGGTTCAAGCCATTCTTGTGCCTCAGCTTCCCGAGTAGGTGGAATTATAGGCGTGTGCCACCATGCCCAGCTAATTTTTGTATTTTTAGTAGAGGCGGGATTTCACCATGTTGGCCAGGCTGGTCTCACTCTTGACCTCAAGTGATCTGCCCGCCTCGGCCTCCCAAAGTGTTGGGATTACAGGTGTGAGCCACCGTGCTCAGCCTGAAGTGAAACAGTTTCATCCCAAAAGCATATACCTCTGCCCCATCCATGGAAAAATTGCCTCTCATGAAACCAGTCCCTGGTGCCAAAAAGGTTGGGGACCGCGGCTCTGGAGTATATGCCTAGGAGTAGGAGTGTGGGGTCATATGGTAATTTATCTTTAATTTTTGGAGGAATTGAATTTCAATTCTTATTATTACCAAAAATACTTAAAATTCTTACAGATGGCATGGGAAAGTAGCACACAGTCGGGACTCTGCAGCCGAGTTTGCCTCCTTGAATGCACACATAACACAGGAACAAAGACAGAGCTGCTTCCCTCCTGTTGGGTCTCTGGCGGACAGTCAGGTATGCTGAGGGAGACACTGTTCTCAAACTCCAGGCCAGGGTGGTTTCCGGAGGGTCCACCGGTGGTCTCATCTCTTCTCTCTCAAACCATGGATGGTGCCTTTTAAAGAAAATGACACCGGCCAGGTGCGGTGGCTCATGGCTGTAATCCCAGCACTTTGGGAGGCCGAGGCGGGTGGATCACCTGAGGTCGGAAGTTCAACACCAGCCTGGCCAACATGGTGAAACCCCGTCTCTATTAAAAATACAAAAATTAGGCCGGGCGCGGTGGCTCACGCCTGTAATCCCAGCACTTTGGGAGGCCGAGGCGGGCGGATCACGAGGTCAGGAGATCGAGACCATCCCGGCTAAAACGGTGAAACCCCGTCTCTACTAAAAATACAAAAAATTAGCCGGGCGTAGTGGCGGGCGCCTGTAGTCCCAGCTACTTGGGAGGCTGAGGCAGGAGAATGGCGTGAACCCGGGAGGCGGAGCTTGCAGTGAGCCGAGATCCCGCCACTGCACTCCAGCCTGGGCGACAGAGCGAGACTCCGTCTCAAAAAAAAAAAAAAAAAAAAAAAAATACAAAAATTAGCTGGGTGTGGTGGTGGGCACCTGTAATCCCAGCTACTGAGGAGGCTGAGGCATGAGATTCGCTTGAGCCTGGGAGGCAGAGGTTGCAGTGAGCTGAGATCGCGCCATTGCACTCCAGCCTGGGCAACAGAGTGAGACTCTGTCTCAAAAAACAAACAAAAATCAAAGTGCCAACCTCTGGGCTGTCCCCTCCTGGCCTGCCTTGTTCCTGAGCTCACCAGGGTCCTTCACTCTGTGGCACTGGCCTCAGCCAGCACCAAGGCTGAAAGAGCCCATTCAGAGGCCAGAAAGAAACTGTTAGGCTCTGAAGCCGTGGGCCAGGCCAAGACAGAGATTCTGAGGCATGGTTCTGGAATGGGTTTTTCCGCCCACAGGCACTCAAGGAGGACAGCATTGGGAGATGGCTGGGTGGAGAGTCTGCGGGAGGCTACAAGGCAAAAATCCCCTACTCCCCCTGGGCTCCTTCACAGTTTGTGTGTCCTCACAGAGCAAGGAAGTTCTGTGAGCCTCATTCAATCATCTGAGGTTCTTCCCAGGAAAATTATAGTGGGAACTCTGGCTTTGATGAAACTGCTTTTTTTTCAAAGCAGTTTGCAAAATAACCGGGGCCTTAAAAAACAATCTGGATGAAATGGTTTTTGCCATTTCAATTGGTTCTCTTCCAACGTGTCTTCCTTCCAGTAGGTTTCCAGAATATTTTGGTTTCAAAATTTGGGGGCACAGATTTGCAAAGTGGATTTCAACATGTCGGGTTTCAAAGGGGGCTGGCTTTGAAAGTGGTCTGGGCTTCTAAAAGGTTTGATTGAAAACTGGTTTGGTTCTCAGACATTCCAGAAGCTTCTCCCGGAGTCCAGAGCCTCCCAGTGGTGCTTTGGGAAGGGGGCCAGGCAGGGCGTCCTGGTGAGTGGACGTAGGGTGGGCAGGGCCACCCTTGTCCTGGGATGTTGTGGAGGACTTGGCACGCCCTGTCTCAGGCCTGGCTCTGGCTCTGGGTGGATGTTTTGCATCTTCAGAAAAAAGCTCCTGTGGGATATTTCTCCTCCAGCCGACCCCGCCCCCCAGGGCATTCGAGAAAAGGGTGCTTGTCTCTTGGTGAGAGGGCCACGGTTCCTTCAGTTTCTCCGTTCCTACGGGCCTCTTTCTTTTTCCTTTTTGAGACGGAATCTCACTGTGTCGCCCAGGCTCACTGCAACCTATGCCTCCCGGGTTCAAGTGGTTCTCATGCTTCAGCCTCCTGAGTAGCTGGGATTACAGGTGTGTGCCACCACATCCAGCTAATTTTTTGTATTTTTAGTAGAGATGGGGTTTTCCCATGTTGGCCAGGCCGGTCTCGAACTCCTGACCTCGTGATCTGCCCACGTTGGCCTCCAAAGTGCTAGGATTATAAGTGTGAGCCACCACACCAGGCCCGTTTCATCCCTGCCTCAGCCTGCATGCCAAGCTCCCTGGGTGCCCGCCCACAGGTGTCACCCTTTAAGGAGAAAGTGGCCTGGGGCTGGAAACAGGACTTTGTAGGGAAGGACAGCGCGTGTGAGAAAAGGCCTGTTGATGGGCACGCCAGGGTTTAATGGACGGCTCTTTGAAGTCATGGGCTGAGCCAGAAGGAATTGTCATGATGTCAGTCTCATTTCCAGATGGGGAAAGGGAGACCCAGGCTGCGGTGACCCACTGAGGCACAGGATCAGTGAGAACCCAGCCCTGGCTTTGCCCAGACCTCTCAAGGGCACTTCGTGGGACCATTGCCGGCCGTTGTGGCATCTGTCCCTGGCCTTGCCCCCATCCGTCTCTGCACAGCCCAGGTGGGTCCGAGCCAGCCCCAGGTCTCCAGGGTCCCAGCCCAGCCTCTAGAAGAGCCAGCAGCAGGGCTGGAAGGGAGAGCACATGCTGGGCCTTGGGGCTGCCTTGGACCTCAGGCCGTTGACAAGGAAAAGCGGAGAGTTGGGAAAAAAGGACAAATAGCTGAGCGCCAGCCGCAGTCTGGGGGACGGGAGCCTCGTGCGACTCTCGGAGTGCTGGCCAGATTGGCAGAGGGGAGGAGAGAGGAAAAACCCAGGCTCTGAGGAAAAACCTCTCCAGCCCAGCGCGTGGCCTGGCATTAACCCACTGCAGCCCCAGGAAGTGGTTCCACCCCAGGCAGCCAACAAGGCGGTGCCTGAACTATGTCTGTGGATGACGGAGCCACGACCTGTCCCTCAGGGCTCAGCGCTGCGGCTATGTCCAGGGACCCCTGGCTGTGCCCACGTCGGGGCTTCCCGTTCCTTACCTGCCATGAGAATGAGATGTCCAGGGACCTCCCTGCTCCAGCTGGGACCTGTGGGGCTTTGTCTGTTGTCCCGAGCACCTTGGAGATGTCATTTCTAACATTTTAACCCAGGAATCCCCCCACCAAGGGACAGAGTGCAAGGACATGATCGAACAGAAAAAGTTCTGGTACAAGATCAACCCCGTGGGGTGGTGAGTGCTGCAGCCCCGGGCCTCACATCCTGCCGTCCCTGTGGGAGATTGGAGCGGTCCCAGTGCCCACCGCTGATTCTCTGGCTCCAGCAACCCCTCCAGGTGGATCCGTCCCACGCAGCCTGGCCTGAAACACTGCCCAGCCACTGGGTCCAGTAAGACAGAGCCTCGAGTCATTCTGCCAAGAGGATCCAGAAACACAGACTTTTTCTGGGGTCCTGGAGGCTTCTGGCCCATGGGGAGCCCCTGGGTCCCAGCGATCCAGCCCTGATGTGCTGAGGGTGCAGGGCCCAGCTGCAGAGCAGAGGAGAGTGGCCCCCAGGGACCAGCAGCACGAAAGGCACACTGAGGCACACTGGCAGGCCTGGGCTGCAGAGAGCCTGAAGGTCATGGGGTAGCTGGTGGAAGCAGGAAGACCCCATACAGCAGCGACCACTGAGGCTGGTGCTGCACTTTCTCAGGGAATTGAGTGTGGGCTCCCACCATCCCGGCCACTGGCTTCCTCCAAAGCCTCCTCCTCTTACATCAGCAAACCTTCTGTTCGGTGACCCCCTCAGTGACCCTCTGTGCTTGCCTTCGTGGTCTTCCTCATGGAGGATTTCGGGTCAGCGTGGGGGTCAGAGGTCATTTCCCATACCCCCTCAAAGGTACTTCTTGCTGTGGTCCCCACACTCTGACACCCTCTTCTGAAATGAACACTTTTTTGTTGTTGTTGTTGAGACAGAGTCTTGCTCTGTCGCCCAGGCTGGAGTGCAGTGGCACAATCTTAGCTCACTGCAACCTCCACCTCCCAGGTTCAAGCGATTTTCATGCCTCAGCTTCCCGAGTAGCTGGGATTACAGGCATGTGCCACCAAGCCCAGCTAATTTTTGTATTTTTAGTAGAGATGAGGTTTCACCATGTTGGCCAGGCTGGTCTCGAACTTCTGACCTCAAGTGATTCGCCCGCCTCGGCCTCCCAAAGTGCTGGGATTACAAGCATGAGCCACTGCGCCCGGCCACAAACACTTTTTTTTTTTTAAACAAGTGAAAACAAGTTTATTAACAAAGTTAAGAAATAAAGAATGGCTATTCCATAGGGAGAGCAGCCTGAATAAACACTTTTTTTGTTGTTGTTGAGGCAGAGCCTCACTCTGTCGCCCAGGCAGGAGTGCAGTGGTGCGACCTCAGCTCTCAGCTCCCTGCACCGTCCACCTCCTGGGTTCAAGCGCTTCTTCCCCAAGTAGCTGGGACTATAGGCACACACCACCATGCCCGGCTAATTTTTCTCTTTTTAGTAGAGACAGGATTTCGCCATGTGGGTCGGGCTGGTCTCGAACTCCTGGTCTCAAGTGATCCGCCCTCCTCGGCCTTCCAAAATGCTAGGATTACAGGCATGAGCCGCCGTGCCTGGCCACAAACATATTTTAAATTTGAACAATAAAGGAACTGGACCAGGAAGTGTGGAGTTGGGGAGACCCTGCTCTCGCCAGGTGCCTTCCCGGCAGGTTGTCTCTGCCTCCCCTTGCACCCCTTGAATGGCGGGCTCCCTCTCCCATAGCCCCTGCCAGGCTGGATAACCAACTTCATTCTTATACCCGTCCGAATCTGCCCCCTGTTAATGGCACCCACCAGTCCTTGTCCAAACCTCGAAGCTCAGGACCTCACAGAGCACCACGTCCTCTTCTGTGTCATATGCAGCTGGATCTCAGTAAATGGCAATGTCTTCTCTACCCGGGACTGAACAAAACCCATTCCTCCTATGAAAGCCGATAAGACCTGGGGGCAGAGCAGCCCGCCTTCTGTCCCCGCGGCTTTAGGGGACACCGGCCACCCACCCTCAGCTTCTTCCCCCACTTCTTGGAGAATGTCTGCGATGTGGGTGAAGACTGGCAGAGAAAAGCTGGTGTAACCTTCTGCAGGGGTTTCGAGCAATTCTGAATCTCAGCTGGTGAGGAGGCCAAAACCTGCTCTGCCTAGCAGACTGGTCATGTCTCCCTTTCCCTTCCCTTCCCTTTCCCTTCCCTTCCCTTTCCTTGTCCTTCCTTTTTCCTTCCCTTTTCCTTTCCTTTCTTTTTCTTTCAGAGTTTCGCTCTTGTTGCCCATGCTGGAGTGCAGTGGTGTGATCATAGCTCACTGCAGCCTTGAACTCCTAGGCTCATTTCTATTTATTTATTTATTTAGAGATGGAGTCTCGCTCTGTCGCCCAGGCTGGAGTGCAGTGGCACGATCTCTGCTCATTGCAGCCTCTGCCTCCCGATTCAAGTGATTCTCCTGTCTCAGCCTCCCGAGTAGCTGGGATTACAGGCGTCTGCCACCACGCCGGGCTAAATTTTTGTATTTTTAGTAGAGTCAGGGTTTCACCATGTTGGCCAGGCTGGTCTCGAACTCCTGACCTCAGGTGATCCACCCTTCTTGGCCTCCCAAAGTGCTGGAACTACAGGCATGAGCCACTGCACCCAGCCTTCTTTTTAAATATACATTTTTTGAGACAGGGCCTTGCTCTGTGGCCCAGGGCTGGGGTGCAGTGGCATGATCATGGCTCACTGTAGTCTCCACCTCCCAGGCTCAAGCCATCCTCCTACCTCAACCTCCTGAGTAGCTGAGACCACAGGTGCCTGCCACTATGCCTGGCTAAATTTATATTTTGTGGAGACAGGGTCTTGCTGTGTTGCCCAGGCTTGTCTCAAACTCCTGGGCTCAAGCAATCCCCCTGCCTTGACCTCCCAAAGTGCTGGGATTACAGGCCTGAGCTGCCGTGCCTGGCCTGGTCACATCTTGAATGGAATCGGGCTCCGTATTGTCCAGATACCTCCCATATTAAAAAAGAACTGGGGCCGGCAGCAGTCACACTTCCCAGCCCTTCCCTGAGCTTGGGTCTGGTGGGAGTGTGGAGACAGCAACAGGGTCCCTGTGTGTGCAGTCTGGCTGCAAGACTCAGGGGTGTGCGTGTGTGCACCTGTGTGTGCACCTGTGTGTGCACGGGTGCAAGGGCATCTGTGTGTCGTTTTCTTACAGGAAGGCGTGGGCCAATGACCAGCTGGAAGTGCAGGTTCATGTGTCCTCAGACAGTGGCTGGTGCCTCACGCTGGCTTCTGGCTGTGACCAGGGTAGCAGAGAGAGCAAAGAGGTCCTTTCCTCAGGTGGGTGGAGTGGGGCTTGAGCACAGTCCACATGCAGAGATGAGTGTGGACTCGGAAGACCCTGACCCCCTTGTATCAGTGTGTAGGGGAGGTCTCAAGGTCATTGCCCTACAGAAACCAGGCTGGGTGCGGTGGCTCACACCTGTCATCCCAGCACTTTGGGAGGCTGAGGCGGGTGGATCACCTGCGGTCAGGAGTTCGAGACCAGCCTGGCCAACAAGGTGAAACCCCGTCTCTACTAAAAATACAAAAATAAGCTGGGTGTGGTGGCACATGCCCGTAATCCCAGCTACTCAAGAGGCTGAGGCAGGAAAATCGCTTGAACCCGAGAGTTGGAGGTTGCCGTGAGCCGAGATTGCGCCATTGCACTCCAGCCTGGGCGACAGAGTGAGACGCCATCTGGAAAAAAAAAAAAAAGCGTAAAGAATTCCCTCCCTGGGGCCGAGGTGGCAGCTCTCCACACCTTCCCACAAGGGTGCCAGCTGAGGAGGGACAGTGGAAGGGGCCCCTGCAGGGCTGGGGGATGCCTCTGAGCGTTCCAGGCAGGCAGGCACAGGCAGGAGCTCCTGGAGCTGTAGCCTCCTCACCCAAGGCTTCCAGCTCCTTCCTGTGTGGGGTCTCAGACACGCGACCCACCCGGACGTCCGTGACAGTGTAGCTTCTTCATCTCCGGCATGACCCGAATTTCCTCGGGGCCCCCCACTCCCTGGGGAACAGGAAGAAAATACCCATTTCACCCTCACTGATATACACAGCACACAGGCACCTACGTACACACTTGCACACATCCAGTGTCTCAGCCCGTGGCTGCTTCCGCCCCACTGCCCGTCTTTGTAGCAGGACACAGGTGCACGCCTGGGGCCCAGGGCTCTCATCCAAGCTGGTATGTCCCACCGCCCCCCACCCTCTCCCAGGCACCCAGCATTTTGAGCCCAGAATCATGGGAAACTCCCGTCAGGTCCACACGGTGCTGAGCCCAAGCCTGCAGGGCTTGGGGGAGGTGGGCTGCTCTCAGCTTCCCCCAGCCTGGCCTGGCATCTCCTGGACCCCCGCAGGGGTGGCAGCTCAGCCCCTTGTGGGTTTTTTCTTTGGGGGGACAGACTCTCGCCCTGTCACCCAGGCTGAGGTGCAGTGGCACGATCTCGGCTCACTGCAACATCCACCTCCCGGGTTCAAGCGATTCTCCTGCCTCAGTCTCTTGAGTAGCTGGGATTACAGGCGCCTGCCACCATGCCCAGCTGTTTTGTATTTTTAGTAGAGATGGGGTTTCGCCATGTTGGCCAGGCTGGTATCGAACTCCTGATCTCAGGTGATCTGCCTGCCTCAGCCTCCCAAAGTGGTAGGATTGCAGGTGTGAGCCACTGCGCCTGGCCCTGTTCCAGGATCTTGGCTCTCTGTCCCGGGCAGGGTGCTTCCGGGCCTCTTTGATTCTGGCCACAATGCTGAGCCTGTCCCGCAGCCCTGGGAGTGGCCCCCAGACCTTCCACTGCCCCAGGAATGGCTGACGCAACTATTCCCCCCAACCAGTGAGACCTGTGCCTGCCCGAGGAAGGTGTGAGCCGGGCCATTTAGAGGAGCTCCCTCGGGTGGATCCACCTCTGAGTCCTGGGCCTGCAGCCTGGCACAGGGCTCCTGGAGGGGCTGCATGGAGCTGGGCAGGCCGGGCCCTGGGCATCTTCCACCAGGGGGCAGCCACGGCTCAGGAACGCGACCTGCGGCGCACCCTTGGCTAAACGCGGCTGCACGCAGGGCATGGGGTGGCCGGCCAAAGCGCATGTGAACCTGGTAATGCAATGTCCCCCGTGGGTCCGAAAGCCCTGAGGCCACCCGAGTGAGCATCCCTCCAGCCCTGAGGCCACCCTCCCGGGCCTCTGAGACACGGTCCCTGTGTGGGTGGCTGTACAGTCCCGGTTCTGGACAGGCCGTGGGGGGCACAGGAAGTGGCTGCTCAGCCCCCTGGGCGGCTGGACCAGGAGGGCACTGGGTGATCTGGGGGCACCGTGGCAGGGCTGGGCCTGGTCACCCAGGCTCTGACGCCCTCGTGATTCCTGTCTGCTGGGCCCCACAGCGCCCTCAGCACCATGCTGGCCATGCTGGCCAGAGCTGTCTTCCTCCCACCAAACACTGTCCGTGAGGGCGACCTGTTTCCAGTTTGAACCAAGTTCACACTGACTCCACCACTCACTTGCTGTTGGGTCACTGCTCTGGGCCCCTCTGGGGGACTCAAGGAGCTGAGTGGCTCCGACTCCCCAGGCCTGAAGCCCCAAGACGCGCTGCCAGGACCACGCTGGCTGAGGCCACTCTTTGAGCCCCTCCCCCACAGGTGGCCGAGCACACACAGTCCAGTGGGCTGAGGTGGCCCCAAGGGCAGGAACGTGGCATCTCTTCCCACCAGTCAGTGGCTCTGGGGGCACAAGGACTTGTCGGGGGAAGGAGGCAGCAACCGCAGGTCAGAAGCTGGAAGCAGCGGCCACTCAGCAAATGACACAGCTGAGCCGGAAAACCCAGTCCCAGGGCTGTGAAGAGCTGGGGCCGGCCTCACGGGGGCTCCCCAGTTTCCCCTGCCCGGCCCTGGGCCGGCCTCACGGGGGCTCCCCAGTTTCCCCTGCCCGGCCCTGCCCTGCCCTGCCCTGCCCTGCCCTGCCCTGCCCTGCCCTGCCCTCCCCTCCCCTCCCCTCCCCTCCCCTCCCCTCCCCTCCCCTCCCCTCTCCTCCCCTCCCCTTTCCTTCCTTTTTCTTTCCTTCTTTCTTTTCCTTCTTCTTTCCTTCCTTCCTCCCTCCCTTCCCTCCCTCCCTTCCCCCCTTCTTCCTTCCTTCCTTTCTCTCCCCCTCCCCACTCCCTCCCTCCCCTCCCCCATCCCCTCCCTCTCCCCTCCCCTCCTCGTCCCTTTGTCAGGGTCTTGCTCTGTTGCCCAGGCTGGAGTGTAGTGATGCAGTGAGCTGTGATCGCACCACTGCAGCCTAGAACCTCCCGGGCTCAAGGGATCCTCCTGCTGCAGCCTCCTGAGTAGCTAGGACTATAGGCATGCGCTACCAGGCCTGACTTTTTTTTTTTTTTTTTTTTTGTAGAAATGGGGTTTTACTGTGTTGTCCAGGCTGGTCTTAGGGTTGAATTCCTCCTGCCTCAGCCTCCCAAAGTGCTGGGATTACAGGCATGAGCCGCCACACCTGGCCGGGATTGTGCTGAATATGTAGATCAATTCGAGGAGCACTGCCCATCCATCCTTGAACATGGGCCCCGTCTCCATTTACTTAAGCCTCTTTTAATTTGTCTCAACAATATTTTGTCTTTTTCAGCATATAAGCCTTGCACTTTTTTTGTTACATTTATTCCTAAGTATTTTGTTATTCTTTATGCTATTGTGAATGAAATTGTTCTCTTATTTCTATTTTCAGAATGTTTGTTGCCAGTATATATAAAATAAAACACTATTTATTTATTTATTTATTTATCTATTTATTTATTTAGAGACGGAGTTTCATTCTTGTTGTCCAGGCTGGAGTGCAGTAGCACAATCTTGCCTCACTGCCACCTCCGCCTCCTGGGTTCAAGCGATTCTCCTATCTCAGCCTCCCGAGTAGCTGGGATTACAGGTGCCCACCACCACGCCCGGCTAATTTTTGTATGTTTAGTAGAGATGAGTTTCACCATGTTGGTCAGGCTGGTCTCAAACTCCTGACCTCAGGTGACTGGCCTGTCTCGGCCTCCCAAAGTGCTGGGATTACAGGTGTGAGCCACCAGGCCCAGCCTACAATTTGTTTTTATACATTCATCTTATATCCTGCCACCTTACTAAGCTTTATTAGTTCTAATAGCTTTGGGGTTGATTTCTTAGGATATACAGGACCATCATCTGTGCATAAAGATAGTTTTACTTTTTCCTTTCCAATCTGGATGCTTTTAATGTCTTTGTTTTGTCTTATTTCATTTTTGTTTTTCCTTATCACACTGAGTAGAGCCTGCAGTATAATGCTGAATAACAGTAGCGCATCAGATGTCCCACTCGCTTTGTCCCCCTGTTAGAGGGAAAATATTCTGGGATTTACTGTTATATACTTTAGCTGGGCCAGGCACAGTGGCTCACGCCTGCAATCCCAACACTTTGGGAGGTCAAGGCAGGAGGATTGCTTGAGCCTAGGAGTTTGAGACCAGCCTGGGCAACACAGCAAGATCCCATAAAAAATGCAAACAAAATTTAAGTTAGCTGAGTGTGGTGGTGTGCACCTGTAGTCCCAGCTACTTGAAAAGCTGAGACAGGAGGGTCCCTTGAGCCCAGGAGGTCAAGGCTGCAATGAACTATGATTGTGCCACTGTGCTTCAGCCTGGGCAACAGAGTAAGACTCTGTCTTCAGAAATGTATATATATTAAATACAAAAATTTTAATATATTGTATATATTTTATATAATATAAAATATTTTCATATATAATACTTTATATATAATATACATATTAGCTGTACATTTTTCATAGATGCCTTTATCAGCCTGAGGAAATTCCCTTCTATTTCTAGTTTATTGTGCGTATCTATCTTAAATGGGTTAGATTTTCTCAAGTGCTTTTCCTGTAGCTATTGAGATGGTCATGTGGTTTTTGTCTTTTATTTCATCAATGTGATGTATTACAGAAATTGCTTGTTGAGGGCTGGGCGCAGTGGCTCACGCCTGTAATCCCAGCACTTTGGGAGGCCGAGGTGGGTGCATCACAAGGTCAGGAGATCGAAAGACCATCCTGGCTAACACGGTGAAACCCTGTCTCTACTAAAAATAAAAAAGAAAAATTAGCCAGGCTTGGTGGCAGGCATCTGTAATCCCAGCTACTCGGGAGGCTGAGGCAGGAGAATTACTTGAACCCGGCAGGCAGAGCTTGCAGTGAGTTGAGATTGCGCCACTGCACTCCAGCCTGGGAAACAGGCAACCCCATCTCTCAAAAAAAAAAAAAAAAAAAGAAAGAAAGAAATTGATTGTTGAATATTAAACCAACTTTGCATTCCTGGAGTAAATCCCAGTTGGTCCTCGTGTGTGATCTTTTTTTTTTTTTTGAGACGGAGTCTCGCTCTCTCACCCAGGCTGGAGTGCAGTGGCGCGATCTCGGCTCACTGCAAGCTCCGCCTCCCGGGTTCACACCATTCTTCTGCCTCAGCCTCCCCAGTAGCTGGGATTACAGGCGCCAGCCACCACACCCGGCTAATTTTTGTATTTTTAGTAGAGACTGGGTTTCATCGTGTTAGCCAGGATGGTCTCGATCTCCTGACCTCGTGATCCGCCCACCTTGGCCTCCCAAAGTGCTGGGATTACAGGCGTGAGCCACCGCGCCCGGCCGTGTGATCATCTGTATATGCTGCTGATTCGGTTTGTAATCTTTTGTTAAAGATTTTTGTGTCTATGTTCATGAGGCTAGTCCTCTGTACTTTTCTTGTTGCATCATTTTCTGACCTTGGTGGAAGGATAGTACCGGCTTCACAGAGTGAGGTAGGAAACGCTTCCTCCTCTTTTATTCTACGAAAGATTTGGCATTATTTCTCTTTCAGTACTTGGTAGAATTTACCAGTGAATCTATCTGGGTTGAACTTTCATTTGTGAGAAGATTTTTTTTTTTTTTGATATGGAGTTTTGCTCTGTCGCCCAGGCTAGAGTGCAGTGGCGCAATCTTGGCTCACTGTACCTCCACCTCCTGAGTTCAAGCGATTCTCCTGCCTCAGCCTCCCGAGTAGCTGGGACCACAGGCGCCCGCCACCACGCCCGGCTAATTTTTTGTAGTTTTAGTAGAGACGAGGTTTCACCGTCCTAGCCAGGATGGTCTCCATCTCCTGACCTTGTGATCCGCCCGCCTCGGCCTCCCAAAATGCTGAGATTACAGGCATGAGCCACCGCGCCCGGCCGAGAAGATTTTAAATGACTAGTTCAATGTCTTTCGTTGTTACAGATCTTTTCCAATTTTTGGTTTCTTCTTAAGTCACTTTTTAAAGTTTGTGCCTTTATAGGAATTCATCCATTTCATCTAAGTATTTTACTTTGTTGGTATAAAGCATTCATAATATTCTCTAAGAAGCCTTTTAGTTTCTGCAGGGTCCGTGACATACGCTCTTTAATTCCTGAATTTGATCATTTGTATGTTCTCTCTCTCTCTTTTTTTTATTACTTTTTTTTTGAGATGGAGTCTAGTTTTAGATCTCTTTGTATTTATCCTACTTTGAGTTGACTGAGCTTCTTCAATTTGTAGATGAATGTTGTTTTAATCAAATTTGGGAAATGTCTGGCCATTTTTGTCTTCAAATACTTTTTCTGCCCCTTTTTCTCTCCTGGGACTGCCATTACATGCATGTTGGCACAGTTCATATTGTCTCACAAGTCTCTGAGGCCCTTTTCATTTTTCTTCAAATTTTTTTTCTCCGTTCTTCAGATTGGATAATTTTTTTTTTTTTTTGAGATGGAGTTTTGCTTTTGTCGCCCAGGCTAGAGTGCAATGGCACGATCTCAGCTTACTGCGACCTCTGCCTCCGATTCTCCTGCCTCAGTCTCCCAAGTGGCTGGGATTACAGGCGTGAGCCACCATGCCCAGCTAATTTTTGTAGTTTTAGTACAAATGGGGTTTCACCATGTTGGCCAGGCTGCTCTTGAACTCCTGACCTAGTGATCTGCCCGTCTCGGCCTCCCAAAGTGCTGGGATTACAGGAGTGAGCCACTGCACCTGGCCCAGATTGGATAATTTCTATTCATTGATCTGTGGTCAAGTTCATTGTTTCTTTTTTCTGTCATGCGACATCTGCCCCTCTAGTGATTTTTTTTTTTTCATTTCAATTATACTTGTCAACTCCAGAATATCCATGTGTTTCTTTTTTATAATTTTTTTTTCACTTTTTAAATATAATCCATGGGGTCACATTTTTTATATTTCGTTTCTTTATTGAGTATCTCTATTTGCTGATTCATTGTTGATATGCTTTCCTTTCATTCTTTACACATAGTTTTCTTTAGTTCTTAGAACATCTTTATATTTCCTGCTTTGGAGTTTTGGTCTGAAAAAGTCAACATCAGAGGACACTCAGGGACAGTTGTTTTTGGAATAGGGATCATAAATTTGTGTTTCTTTGTATATCTTGTAATGACTTTGTGGAAAACCAGACATTTTAAATGACACACTGTAGCAGCTTTAAAGTATTATTTTTCTCCCTTGAGGGCTGATGTTGCTGCTATTTTTCTGTTTGTTTCTTTTGTAATTTGCCTCAACTTAGTTTGTGAACTCTGTCCCCTCCATGATGTGCAGCCACTGATGGCTCTGATTGTGTCCTTTTTTTTTTTTTTTTTTTTTTTTTGAGATGGAGTCTCGCTCTGTCGCTCAGGCTGGAGTGCAGTGGTGCAATCTTGGCTCACTGCAATCTCTGCCTCCCGGGTTCAAGCGATTATCGTGCCTCAGCCTCCCAAGTAGCTGGGATTGCAGCTGTGCACCACCATGCCTGGCTAATTTTTGTATTTTTAGCAGAAACGGGGTTTCACCATGTTGGCCAGGCTGGCCTAGAACTCCTGACCTCAGGTGATCTGCCCGCCTTGGCCTCCCAAAGTGCTGGGATTACAGGAGTGAGCCACCGTGCCCGGCCTCTGATTATGTTTTTATTATTTATTTATTTTAAGACAAGTTCTTGCTCTGTCACCCGGCCCGGAGTGCAATGGGATGATCATAGCTCACCGCAGCCTCAACTTCTGGGTTCAAGTGATCCTCCCATCCCAGCCTCCCAAGTAGCTGGGACCACAGGCACGCACCACCATGCCCAGCTGGCCATGGGATATACTTATATTGAAAAAGTGAATTATTATTTATCTGAAATTCAAATTTAATTGTACATCCTGTTTGTGTTTTTCTAAATATGGCAACCCTACCTGGGGGGATCTTCTTGTAGTAATTAATATGGTGAACTGAGGGTGCTCCCACATACCTGTTTCCTTCCCATCCTCATTCCCATTTGATGACCTCGCTTTGAGATGGAGTCTCGCTCTGTCCCCTAGGCTGAAGTGCAGTGGCGCGATCTCAGCTCACTGCAAGCTCCGCCTCGTGAGTTCACACCGTTATCCTGCCTCAGCCTCCCGAGTAGCTGGGACTACAGGCGCCCGCCACCATGCCCGGCTAATTTTTTGCATTTTTGGTAGAGACGGGGTTTTACCGTGTTAGCCAGGATGGTCTCGATCTCCTGACCTCGTGATCCGCCCACCTCGGCCTCCCAAAGTGCTGGGATTACAGGCGTGAGCCACTGCGCCCGGCAGATGACCTCACTTTTTATTTCACCAAGGAAATTACAGCAACCACAAGAGACCTGCTGGGAGCCCTCACCACATCCTCCCTCCACCCACCCTGAGTCTGCACTCTGCCCCCTCCACTGCCACGAGGAAAGGACTGCTCCCACCTGCCACAGACCCCCATTGTGCACATGTCACATGAGCCTGTGGACAAGCCCTGCCACGCAGGCCCCTTCCTGTTGTGTTTGTATTGCTGACAGCACACCATTCCTGACTGGTTCCTGTATGTACCAACTTTACAGATAAGAAAACCGAGGCTCAGTTTAAGGCACAGATTAAGATTATACAATCAGCCGGGCATGGTGGCTCATGCCTGTAATCTCGGCACTTTGGGAGGCCAAGGTGGGCGGATCACTTGAGCTCAGAAATTCAAGACCAGCCTGCCCAACATGGTGAAACCCCATCTCTACTAAAAATACAAAAATTAACCAGGCGTCGTGGTGGGCACCTGTAGTTTCAGCTGCTCTGGAGGCTGAGGCAGGAGAATGACTTGAACCTGGGAAGTGGAGGTTGGAGTGAGCCAAGATTGTGCCACTGCACTCCAGCCTGGACGACAGAGCGAGAATCCATCTCAAAAAAAAAAAAAAAAAAAAGATTATACACTCAATAAGATCTGATAGCTACAGTATAGTGTAAAAAATAACACAGCGGTAATCCCAGCACTTTGGGAGGCTGAGGCAGGTGGATCACTTGAGCTCAGGAGTTTGAGACCAGCCTGGCTAACATGGCAAAACCCTGTCTCTACTAAACATACAAAAATTAGCCAGGCGGGGTAGCATGGGCCTGTAGTCCCAGCTACTCAGCAGGCCAAGGTTAGGAGAATCACTTGAACCTGGGAGGTGTAGTTTGCAGTGAGCCGAGATCACGCCACTGCACTGCAGCCTGGGTGACACAGCGAGACTGCATCTCAAAAACAAAACAAAACAAAATAACAAAACCTAAAAAAAAAAAAGGGCCGAGCACCGTGACTCATGCCTGTAATCCCAGCACTTTAGGAGGCCAAGGCAGTCAAATCACTTGAGCTCAGGAGGTCAAGACCAGCCTGGCCAACATGACAAAACCCCATCTCTACTAAAAATACAAAAATTAGCCGGGCGTGGTAGTGGGCGTCTGTAATCCCAGCTACTCAGGAGGCTGAGGCAGGAGAATTGCTGGAACCCAGGCGATGGAGGTTGCAGTGAGCTGAGGTTGCACCACTGCACTGCAGCCTGGGATACAGATCCAGACTGTCTCAAACAAAACAAAACAAAACAAGACAAAACAACAACCAGAAGGAAGTAGAGGCAGGTTTGACCCCAGGGCTGTTCCTCTGAAGGGTTCCCCATTCGTCCATCTCTTCTCTGAGCCCAGGACCTGGCGCTGTTTGGCCTGGAAACCTCCAAGGAGGAGCCACTGCCACCTCCCTGGGGCCTGGTGGGGGTCATAGGTTGGCCGGTACAAGCAATAGACCTGCTTTTATCCTTCGTTCAACACCCGAGTCTCAGCAGACATCACACAACCCATCCTTGGCTGATTCAGGCAGTGAGAAGGGTCCCTCCAGAAGACCCCCAGGTACCCTTCAGTCTCTGCAATGGGAGGGTGGACCCTGAGATCTTCTGCACCCCAAGACCACACAGCACAGGAGAGGAGCACGTCTCCAAAGAGAAGCTGGGCTATGTCTGGAAATGGGCAAGCAAAACAGGACCTGTGGCCCTTCCCACTGGATGGGGAGGAGCTGAGGAAGGCATTTCGGAGGAGGTGACGTCTTACGGGGAAATTTGTGTGTTGGAATCAAAGTGAGGGAAGGGCTTTGGGGTGGAGTGGCCAGCAGGAGCAAAGGCTTGGAGGCCAGAGAGAATCTGAGCGGCACACAGGCTGGGGAGGGGTTGGCCGTGCCTCGGACACCGGCCTCTGCAGCTTGAGCCTATTACTGACCCAAGTCCCAGTATCACCAGGTCCCAGTGATTCCTCACAGCAGCCGGCGTCCCTCCCCTTGTCTCATTCCTGCTGGCCCCGACTTCCTAGCTCCGTGCTTCTCCAGGCCTCAGTTTCCCCTCTTCCAAGGCCAGGGCCCGCTCCCCTTCCTGGGGCTGCCAGGAGCCTAGAGCGTGGGAAACGGCTCTGCTGTGTGTCCGGGGCCAAAGACACGCAGGGGCGGTCGTGCCAGCCAGGCTCTCGGGCTCTTGGGCGCTCGCCACACTCTGGCGGCCAAACAATGCCCACCTCTGAGTAGAGCTGTGGGTGGCGGTAACCATGGTGAGGGGCCCTCCACGCCAACTGCCCATCCGGGGTCAGCCGGGCCCGTGGCCCTGGTTCCGGCTTTGTCTCGGGGCTGGAACTGGGCCCAGGGATGGGCTCTGAATGGCTGGCGGGTGGGAGGGCACTGCCCACCACATAGCGGCGGCTGCTGGCCGGAGAGAGGGTCTGGGGTTGAGGAGAGGGCAGCCCAGCTGTTTCTGGGGTCCTGAATTCGCAGTGGTGTCTGGGTGGGAGCCCCAGCTGGTCGCTGTGCCCATTGGCAGCACCTTCCTTAACACCCCAGCCCTCTGTGCCCACTGTAAGGACAGGGCCTGGTGTGCCCCTGGAAGGAGGTGAACCCCATCTCCAAGTTCTGGGATGTTCCAGGCAGTTGGCCAGAGCACAGCGGGTCCGCTCCAGCCTCTCAGCCTGGACGAGGCTCCATCTGGCCACTGGCTTGCCCACCCCCAGTTCCCCCAATCCCTCCGTGACTGGCGGGAAATGGGCATGAGTGTGAGGCCTCTGCCAGGGCACAGAGTGACTAACCCTCCCCAGCTGTGGGGTTAGAGTCCCCCAAAAATTGTGGTTGCAAAACCCATGTTTGCAAACTCAAGACCTTGTTTAATAAAAAAGAGTAAGGAGGCCAGGCACTGTGGCCAGGGGGAGGAGAGCTGGCAGGGGCAGCGAGATGGGGGCTGCACCGTACTCTGGGCACTGGGTTCCCTCGGGCAATGTCCCTGGTGGGCCAAGGCTGCCCTTTTTGTCCCTCTACCTGTGCTTGGCAGTCCAGGGGCTACGGAATTTGAGAGGGGAGGCCTTTGGGTCTCACCCAAGCCGGGTGATGGCAAGGGAAAGGGACTCTCATTTCCCAGCCCCAGAGAGACCACGGTCCTCCTTCAGTGAAGTACCCACAAGACAAGAAGGCCCCAACTCCCCCTCCCCTAGGCCACTCCTGTCCCAATCTGGCCCCTGCCCCAGGTGTGGTGTGGAGGCCACGACCCCACCCCAACCGCTGGTTCCCTCGGTCCCTCCCTGTCCTAAGACACCATGGTCCCCCAGTGCCCCAGCCCCTGTCCCCTGGGACCCCAGCCCACCCTGCTCCTCTTCTCACTTCTGGGGTCTTCTCATGTCTGGGGCTCAGGTGCCTCGCCTGTGCCTTGCTGGGCAAGCGGAGGCACTGCCTGGTGCTGAAAAGACAGCTCCGGCCAGCCAGTGCCCCCAGAGAGCAGACCCAGACAGATGCAGAAATGACGCAGTGGATGAGGGGCACAGAGACCTGTCAGGGAGCGGGAGCTGGGCCAACGTCTGGGTACATGGGATGCCCTTGGCTACTGCTGAGGCCGTGCCCCAGCCCCAGGTCTACGCATTAAACTTCATCCTCCGCACAGCCCCAGTCTCCCACAGGCCCCAGCTTATAGAGACTGTTGTTGCTCCATTTTGCAGAAGAGGAAACTGAGGCAGAGCAAGGGAAGTTTCCCACCGTCCCCATGTGGAAGGAGTGTGGCCCCCACTGGGGCACTCATCTGCAGGCACAGTCCAGAACATGTGTGCCTGGACACTGGACCAAGCACGGGGCCTCTGCCTCTCCATGATTTTATTTATTTATTTATTTGTTTGTTTGTTTGTTTGTTTGTTTTTGAGACGGAGTCTCTCTCTGTCGCCCAGGCTGGAGTGCAGTGGCGAGATCTCGGCTCACTGTAAGCTCCGCCTCCTGGGTTCACGCCATTCTCCTGCCTCAGCCTCCTGAGTACCTGGGACTACAGGCACTCGCCACCACGCCTGGCTAATTTTTTATATTTTTAGTAGAGACGAGGTTTCACTGTGTTAGCCAGGATGGTCTTGATCTCCTGACCTCATGATCCACCCGCCTCGGCCTCCCAAAGTGCCGGGATTACAGGCGTGAGCCACTACGCCTAGCCGATGATTTTATTTTATTTTGAGATGGAGTCTCACTGTCAACCAGGCTGGACTGCAATGGTGCAATCTCGGCTCACTGCAACCTCCGACTCCTGGGTTCAAGTGATTCTTCTGCCTCAGCCTCCCAAGTAGCTGGGATTACAGGCATGTGACACCACACCCGGCTAATTTTGTATTGTTAGTAGAGACAGGGTTTCACTATGTTGGTCAGGCTGGTCTCGAACTCCTGACCTCAGGTGATCTGCCTGCCTCAGCCTCCCAAAGTGCTGGGATTATAGGTGTGAGCCACCGCGCCCGGCCCTCCATGATGATTTTATTTTCTAAATATTTTGTCTGGAGATACATAGCACGCAGATTACAGGCATGAGCCCCAGTACCCAGCCAGTGGGCTGGATTCTGAAATGCAGAATTCAAGGACATCAGTGGAAAATCTGTAGAAAATGGAATAAATTCTGTAGCTTCGTTAATAGTGTTACAGCAATGCTTTTTCTTAGTTTTGATGCAGATGCCCTGGGGATGTGACATGTTTACTCTGCATCTGCACTGCCTTTGCAATAAATAAAATGTGGTCTATCATGCAATGGAATACTATTCAGTCATAAAAAAGGAAGGAAATTCTGACAACTGCTACAACATGGATGAACCTTGAGGACGTTATACTCTGTGAAATAAGCCGGTCCAAAAGGGGCAAACTCTGTATGTGTCCACTTATATAAGAACAGTCAAATCTATGGAGACAGAAAGGAGAATGGTGGTTACAGGGGCAGGGGAGGGAATGGGGAGTGAATGTTTATGGGGGATGGGTTTCAGTTTGGGAAGGTGAAAAGTTTTGTGGATAAAGGGTAGTGATAGTCACACAACACTCTGAATGTGCTTAATGCCACTGAACTAACCGTACACTTTAGAAATGGTTACAATGGAGCTGGACAAGGTGGCTCATGCTTGTAATCCCAACACTTTGGGGGGCTAAGGCAGAAGGATCAATGGAGTTTGGGAGTTCAACACGAGCCTGGGCAACATAGTGAGACCCCCTCATCTCTAAAAAAAACAAAATGTTTACTGGGTGTGGTGGCGCATGCCTGTGGTCCCAGCTACTTGGGAGGCTGAGGCGGGTGGATCACGAGGTCAGGAGATTGAGACCATCCTGGCTAACACGGTGAAACCCTGTCTCTATCAAAAATACAAGAAATTAGCCGGGCGTGGCGGCCGGCACCTGTAGTCCCAGCTACTCGGGAGGCTGAGGCAGGAGAACGGCGTGAACCCGGGAGGCAGAGCTTGCAGTGAGCCAAGATCATGCCACTGCAATCCAGCCTGGGCGACAGAGCGAGACTCTGTCTCAAAAAAAAAAAAAAAAAAAAAATGTTTACTGGGTGTGGTGGCGCATGCCTGTTGTCCCAGCTACTTGGGAGGCTGAGGTGGGAGGATTGCTTGAGCCCAGGAGGTCAAGGCTGCAGTGAGTTATGATTGAGCCACTGCACTCCAGCCTGGGGGACACAGGGAGATCCTGTCTCAAAAAAATTTAAAAAGGCCAGGCACAGTGGCTCACACCTGTAATCCCAGCACTTTGGGAGACTGAGGCAGGTGGATCATGAGGTCAGGAGATCGAGACCACCCTGGCTAACACGGTGAAACCTTGTCTCTACTAAAAATACAAAAAATTGAGACCGGGTGTGGTGGCAGGCGCCTGTAGTCCCAGCTACTTGGGAGGCTGAGGCAGGAGAATGGTGCGAACCCGGGAGGCGGAGGTTGCAGTGAGCTGAGATCACGCCACTGCTCTCCAGCCTGGACGAAAGAGCGAGACTCCATGTCAAAAAAAAAAAAAAAAAAAAAGAAAAAATTAAAAAAAGAATAAAAGAATCCATGATCCTACATGACACTTAGGTATCATTCCAATCTGTATTGATTTATTTTAGGGTAAAATCTACACAGTAGAAGATTTGCCATTTTAACCTTTTTTTTTTTTTTTTTTTTTTTTTTAGATGGTGGGGGGGTCTCACTGTTTCTCAGGCTGGTCTTTAACTCCTGGCCACAAGCGGTCTTCTCGTCTCAGCCTCATAAGTAGCTGGAACTATAGGCACCCGCCATCATGCCTGGCTAATTTTTGTATTTATAGTAGAGACGGGGTTTCACCATGTTGGCCAGGCTGGTCTCAAACTCCTGACCTCAAGTGCCGCCTGCCTCGGGCTCCCAAAGAGCTAGGATTACAGGCGTGAGCCAGCACATCCAGCCTTTTGTCCACTGTTTTTTGTTTTTATTGTTTTTGTTTGTTTGTTTGTTTGAGACAGAATCTAGCTTTGCTGCCCAGGCTAGAGTGCAGTGGCACGATCTCAGCTCACTGCAACCTCCATCTCCCAGATTCAAGCAATTCTTCTGCCTCAGCCCCATGGAGTAGCTGGGACTACAGACACTTGCCACCACACCAGGCTCATTTTTGTATGTTTAGTAAAGACAAGATTTTACCATGTTGGCCAGGTTGGTCTCAAACTCCTGGCCTCAAGTGATCCTCTTGCCTCGGCCTCCCAAGTGCTGAGATTATAGGCATGGATTGTTGTTTTTGTTGTTGCTGTTGAGTTATAGGTGTTCTTTATATATTCTGTATATTAGTCCCATGTCAGATATATGATTTGCAAATATTTTCTCCCATTCTGTGGCTTGCCTTTTCACTTGGTTGATGGTTTCCTTTGATGCACAAAAGTTTTTAATTTTGATGAGGTCTAATTTATCTCGGCCAAGCACCCGTGGCTCACGCCTATAATCCCAGCACTTTGGGAGGCCAAGGCAGGAGGATCACTTGATCTCATGAGTTTAAGACCAGCCTGGCCAACATGGCGAAACCACGTCTCTACTAAAAATACAAAAATTAGCCGGGCATGGTGTGTGCCTGAAATCCCAGCTACACAGGAGTCTGAGGCAGGAGAATTGCTTGAACCTGGGAGGCAGATGTCGCAGTGAGCTGAGATTGCACCACTGCACTCCAGCCTGGGTGACAGAGCAAGACTCTGTTTGAAATAATATTAGAGGCCTGGTGCAGTGGCTCACACCTGTAATCCCAGCACTTTGGGAAGCCAAGGCAGGTGGATCTTTTGAGGTCAGGAGTTTGAGACCAGCCTGGCCAACATGGTAAAACCCTGTCTCTACTAAAAATACAAAAAAAGTAGCTGGGCATGGTGGTGGGCGCCTGTAATCCCAGCTACTTGGGAGGCTGAGGCAGGAGAATCACTTGAACCTGGGTAGGCAGAGGTTGCAGTGAGCCGAGATCGGACCACTGCACTGCAGCCTGGGCGACAGAGAGAGACTCCATTTCAACTAATATAATAGAAATAAAATAAAAAATAAAAGCACATCACAATAAATGAGATGTGCTTGAATCATCCCAAAACCATCTACCCTCTGGTCAGTGGAAAAACTGTCTTTCACGAAACCAGTCCTGGGTGCTAAAAAGGCTGGGGACCGCTGGTGTAAAGTGAGGGTCCAGTGTCTTTTCTTGTGCATGGAGACGCAGCCTTCCCAGCCCCATGGGTTTATCTGTGCTGATTTTTCACTTCTTGTTCTGACCAGGAGACGCCTGGCTCCCATGATGCACAACTTACTTATTTGTTCAATCCCAGTGTTCGTTGTTTCAGAATTGCTAAGATGTACCCCTGGGAGAACCAAACCTACTAACTAGAGTCCAGTGTTTGTACACAGTTGGTTTTGTCCTGAGCTTCAGGATGTAGACAAAACAGTGTTGTCCAAAATCATTGAGAGCAGCCTCTCCCCCACTCCCTCTCCCTGAGTGATGTCACACATTTGTAATTCAATTAGAGTCCGTTGTCACAGGCCGCGTTCCTCCTGGGTTCCCCTGACATCCTGGCTCATTTAAAAAAATTTGCATACAGCGAAGTTCATTCTTTGTGCTGTGGACTTGCATGGGTTTTGAAAAATGCAAGGAGTCACGCGTCCACCGCTGCACCCGACAGAACAGCTCCAGCTCCGAGACCATTTCCCGGGCAGCGAGAACCCCTGCCCACCACTGCCTATGATATTTAAGAAAAAAAGACAAACAGATTTTTTGAGATGCAATTCACATACCATGCAATTCATTCATTAAAGGTAAAATTCCATCATTTTGGGCATGCTGTATTGCCATTTTTTTTTCCTTTTTGTGGAGAATGGGGTCTCACCATGTTGCCCCGGCTGGTCTTGAACTCCTGGGCTCAAGCGATCCTCCCGCATCTGCCTCCCTAAGTGCTGGGAGTTCAGGCATGAACCACCATGGCTGGCCTAAACTTTCTTGTATGTGTGTGGTAAAATACACATAACAAGCCGAATACAGTGGCTCATGCCTATAATCCCAGCACTTTGGAAGGCTGAGGCAGGAGGATCACTTGAGCCCAGGAATTCAAGGCTGCAGTGAGCTGTGGTTGAGCCACTGCACTCCAGTGTGGGCAACAGAACAAGACTCTGTCTCTACAAAAAAAAAAAAAAATACGTGTAACGAACAATTTGCCACTGTAACCATTTTTAAGCGTACAATTCAGTGGCATTGATTACGTTCACGATATTGTGCAACCATCGCCCCATTACCAAAACTTTTTCATCATCCCAAACGGAAACTCGGATGATTTCTTTTTCTTTTTTTGTGATTTCTTAAATGAGCCTGCAATGTAACAAAGTTTCACAGTATTGTAGGTACACATGGAAAAATGCAATGAATATTGGCTCATGCCTGTAATCCCAGCAATTTGGGAGGCCGAGGCGGGCAGATCACCTGAGATCAGGAGTTCGAGACCAGCCTGGCCAACATGGTGAAAACCTGTCTCTACTAACAATACAAAAAAAAAAAAAAATTAGCTGGGCTTGGTGGCGTGCACCTGTAATCCCAGCTACTTGGGAGGCTAAGGCAGGAGAATTGCTTGAACCCAGGAGGCGGAGGTGCAGTGAGCTGAGATTGCACCACTGCACTCTAGCCTGGGTGACAAGAGCAAAACTGTCATAAATTAAAAAAAAAAAAAAAAAAAAAGCATGAAACCCAAGATAGGTAGGTAATGTGTGGGGCAACTGCAGTAAAACCTTCACGTTGAATCCAGGGGGTGGGTATGTGGGTGCTGGCTGAAAAATATTTCAACTTTTCTTTTCTTTTGAGACAGGGTCTTGCTCTGTCACCCAGGCTGGAGTGCAGCAGGGCAGTTAACAGCTCACTGCTGCCTCCGTCCTCCCGCCTCAGCCTCCCAGGTAGCTGGAACTACAGGCACATGCCACCATGCCCAGCTAATTTTTTTATTTTTATTTTTATAGAGACGAGGTCTCACCATGTTGCCCAGGTTGGTCTTGAACTCCTGGGCTCAAGCAATCCTCCCACCTCAGCCTCCCAAAGTGCTGGGATTACAGGTGTGGGCCACTGTACCTGGCCTATTTCAACTTTTCTATGTGTTTGAAAATTTTCATAATAAAATGTTGGGGAAAATGTTTGTGGATTTTAAAAGTGCACCCTGGCCTACCATAGCACCCCCAGCTCTCGGTCCCCTATTCAGGGGCAGCCTCTGAAGCCAGGTTTTCCAAATCCTTCCAGAGGCAGTCAGTCAGCAGTCAAGCATCTGCACGTCTCTTCTCTGTCCCACCAGTGAGGCAGGCCTTGGCAGCAGACGGGTCTTGGCCTTGTTCTGCCCTTGCCTTTTTATTGTTGTTTGTTGTTGTTTTTTGAGATGGAGTCTCACTCTGTCACCCAGGCTGGAGTGCAATGGCACAATCTTGGCTCACTGCAACCTCCGCCTCCCGGGTTCAAGCGAATCTCCTGCCTCAGCCTCCTGAGTAGCTGAGATTACAGACGTGTGCCACCATGCCTGGCTAATTTTTTTGTATTTTTAGTAGAGACATGGTTTCACCATGTTGGCCAGGCTGGTCTCGAACTCCTGACCTCAAGCGATCCTCATGCCTCGGCCTTCCAAGGTGCTGGGACTACAGGCACATCCACCGCACCTGGCCCCATCCTCTGCTCTCAGAAGGGAGGAACCACCCTGGGGCTTCATGGTCACCCCCTACACATATGGCCCTGATGGGTCCCCAGCCCTGCCTGGGTGGTGCTGAGCCCATGTCGGCCTCCCAGGAGCCCAGGCTGGCTGAGCTGCAGGAAAATCCGTGTCATCCCTGCACTGACATTGGCCACAGAGAGAGGCAGGACAGCTGTCACTGAACCTGCAGGAAGCAGGTGAGTGAGGCACAGGAGTCCCGGCCGCGATGGGGGTGTGGGGGGCACTGGCAGCTGCAGCAGGCCAGGCTGAGACTTCCTGGGGCTGGTGGACCACTCACTTCCTTGGTGGGGATGGAGGCAGGTGGACCCACGTGGACCATATCCTACTGCACTTGCCCGGCCCTGTACGTGCCCCTCCTCACAGCCACCCATCTTACAGAAGGGGAAACTGAGACTGTGATTCACTCAGGTCCACGCAAGGTTTCTTCTCCCACCATTCAGCTCGGAGCCGAGCTCTGGGCTCTGCAGCAAACGGGACAGGCTGGGCCAGCTCCCCTCCCTGGTTCTCCTCCTCTCAGCCCCTGGACTCAGGCCCAGGCTGTCCTCTTGTGGAAACCAAAACTGTGGATTCAGGAATGCGGGTCCGCCTGCCCCGAGCTGGAAATGCGGGTCCACCTGCCCCGAGCTGGGAATGCGGGTCCACCTGCCCCGAGCTGGGAATGCGGGTCCACCTGCTTGCCCTGAGCTGGGAGTGCGGGTCCACCTGCCCCATGCTGGTAAAGGAGCTTTGCTCCCTGGCTTTGGGTTGAGGCCATGTCGGGAGTGCCCTCTGCTGGCCGGTCTGTTCCTCACGGGGCCCTGAGAGGGCTCCCGTGGGGAGGGATCAGCAGGGCATCCCCCCACCCTGGGGAGACCACCAACCTCTGTCCTGGTGGAGAGGGAGGAACAGAGCAGAGGCCAGAACAGGGGAGAAGTTGGTTTTAAAGCAGAGGTTTCGGCCGGGCGCGGTGGCTCACGCCTGTAATCCCAGCACTTTGGGAGGCTGAGGAGGGTGGATCACTTGAGCCCAGGAGCTCGAGACCAGCCTGGGCAACATGGTGAAATCCCGTCTCTACTAAAAACAAAAATTAGCTGGGCGTGGTGGCTCATGCCTGTAATCCCAGCACTTTGGGAGGCCAAGGTGGGTGGATCACCTGAGGTCAGGAGTTTGAGACCAGCCTGGCCAACATAGTAAGACCCCGTCTCTAATAAAAATACAAAAATTAGCCGGGCATGGTGGTGTGCGCCTGTAATCCTGGCTACTCAGGAGGCTGAGGCAGGAGAATTACTTGAACCTGGGAGGCGGAAGTTGCAGTGAGCTGAGATTGCGCCACTGCACTCCAGCCTGGGTGACAGAGCAAGACTGTGTCTCAAGAAAGAAAGAAAGAAAAGAAAGAAAGAAGGAAAGAAAGAAGGAAAGAAAGAAAGAAAGAAAGAAAGAGGGCAGGGAGAGAGGGAGGAAGGGAAAGAAGAAAGAAAGAAGGAAAGAAAGAAAGAGAGAGAGAGAGAAAAGAAAGAGAAGGAAGGAAGGAAAGAACGAAGGAAAAAAGGGAAGAGGGGAGGGGAGAGAAGGAGAGAAGAAAGCAAGCAGAAGTTTCAGGCCAGGCACTCCTGGGGGCAGCTTTGCCTGCAGCCGATACCTTCTTTAAGTCTCACCATAGTGGCAGGTGTTTCAAAACAGAGATAGCAGACAGCACTTGAACCTCAGATGTTTTAAATTCAGAAGATCTGCCTGCTCTGGGTCCACAGGTCCCTGTGCATGGTTGGAAGGAGCTGGGCAGGATGGGGGTGGGGGCAGTGTGTGTTTCTGTTAGGCACAGACCCCACCAACCCCTATTGCCCTGTGTCCGCCTGCCTCACTTAGGCACGTTTGCCCTCCTGGCCCTGTGAGCATTTGAGTCGCTCCTTGACCCCGCAGAGAGCCTGGAGCTTTTGGCCGGCACGTGTCGTTAGGAGGCCTGTGGACCTGACCCTCCAGGGGCTGCAGCCTCCTTACCCGGGCAGCTGTGTTTCCCTGGACAGGCCCAGCCCAGGGCATCTGCCTGAATCTCACCCCAACTCCAGACAGAGAACTGAAGGGGAGACAGGTTCTCCCAGAGACGCGGCTTAGCGCGCCGGGGGCAGGGGCTGCCCTGCTCGACCTTCCGCAGCCGCTTTAGCTGGAGACAACACCCTCCTGATGCCTTTTGGTCTCTGGAGGCGTCAAGGAGTGTGTGGGCACTTTCTAAGGGGCCTCTGCCATGACACAGGGGAGGAGCAGATTTAAGTCAGCTCTGGAATTTGCTTCTGGTCAGCAGAGCGATGGGCTGCTCTGGGGAGGTAGTGAGCTGGCTGTCCTAAAAAGAGTTCAAGTGGAATGTGCTCTGGGCCAGCCTGGGGGCTGGGGTAGGACCTGGTCCCTGGCATCCAGATGAGGCAGTGTGATGGGAGGGAAGGGCCTCAATGAAAGCCAGGGCTGCAAGAGCCCAGCAGGAGGTGAGGGAAGGCTTCCCAGAGGAGGTGTCTTCTGAGCTGAAGGGGCAGGTGGGGGAATGGGCCACTGGGGCTGCAGCTCTGGGCTGAGGCCAGATCAGAAAGGAAGCTGCGCTTTGTGCTGAGGGCGGTGGGAGCCATGGAAGGTGTGATAGGAAGGGCAGCAGCTCCTCCAGCAGGATGCGTGGAGACCATAGCTCCCTGCACCCCATTTTATGGATGGGGAGACTGAGGATCAACATTGCTTCAGGGTCTGGGGCCCCTGTGGTCTGGTTTGCAAACTGGAGTGAAGGGCCAGCTCCAACTCTCACTTGCTGAGCAACCCTGAGTGAGTCACTCAGTCTCCCCGAGCCTGTTTGTACGTCTGTAAAATGAGCCTCACACTCCACACCTTGCCAAGTTCTTGGGAGAAGGTGCAGGCCTGGTCCCCGGGTCGTCCCCAGCCTCAGCCACCCCACAATAAGAAAAGAGCCTGTCATCTCACACTTTTGCACACTCTCACCTTGCATGGCTGTTGGGGAGGCAGAGCTTTGCGGGGAGGGAGGCTTTTGTTTGCAGGGAAACTGAGGCCCAGAGAGGGTGAGCAGGCAGCTTGGGTCTCAAGGCAAGGCCCTGGCAGGCCAAGCCGGACATCTTCCCTGCCGGGCTCAGAGACCCCAGGACCAGGAGCGGGCAGGCCTGAGCACAGATCCAGGTCCCGCTGTGTGGGTCCCCACTTCCCCACGCCCCAGTCCCGCCCAGGGCCAGGGCTTGTCAGTGCATGTCTCCCAGCTGTCCTCAGCCCCTCCCGGTGGACACAAAGGCCAGGCCTCTCGAAGAGGCGAAGAGGCAGCAGGAAGGGGCTCCTGCCAGCTGGGCTGTGGATGCAGGCGGGGAAGTGAGTGGAGACAGGAAGGAAGCCGCACAGCTGGAGACTGGGCCGCCATTGTGTCACCTGGAGCGGGGGCGCCGTGGTCTGCCCTCAGATGCCTCCCCAGCGCTGGAGGGCAGCGGGGGTTGCTGGGCCCTCCTCTCTCCGGGCCCCACCCTTCTGCTGACTTCCTGCCCCCACCCCAGCCTCAGTTTCCCCATTTATAAAACCTTAGGAGGCAAGACCTGTGGGAATTATACAGTAGCATTATAACAAGTGCCAGGCCGGGTGCGGTGGCTCATGCCTGTAATCCCAGCACTTTGGGAGGCCAAGGTGGGCAGATCACCTGAGATTAGGAGTTCGAGGCCAGCCTGGCCAACAGGGTGAAACCCCGTCTCTACAAAAAATTTAAAAATTAGCCGGGTGTGGTGGCGCACACCTATAATCCCAGCTACTCAGGTGGCTGAGGCACGAGAATTGCTTGAACCCGGGAGGTGGAGGTTGCAGTGAGCCAAGATTGTGCTACTTCACTCCAGCCTGGGCAACAGAGCAGGACTCTGTCTCAAAAAAATAAATAAATAAATAAAGAAATTAGTGAGGGGTGGTGGCTCACACCTGTAATCCCAGCACTTTGGGAGGCTGAGGCAGGCGGATCACCTGAGGTCAAGAGTTCGAGACCAGCCTGGCCAACATGGAGAAACCCCATATCTCCTAAAAATACCAAATTAGCCGGGAGTGGTGATGGGTGCCTGTAATCTCAGCTACTCGGGAGGCTGAGGGAGGAGAATCGCTTGAACCTGGGAGGCAGAGGCTGCTGTGAGCCAAGATTGCACCACTGCACTCCAGCCTGGGCAACAGAGTGAGACTCTGTCTAAAAAAAAAAAAAAAAAAAAAAAAGACTGGGCGTGGTGGTTCATGCCTGTAATCCCAGCACTTTGGGAGGCCGAGGCGGGCGGATCAAAAGGTCAGGAGATCGAGACCATCCTGACTAACATGGTGAAACCCCGTCTCTACTAAAAATATAAAAAATTAGCTGGGCGTGGTGGCGGGCGCCTGTAGTCCCAGCTACTCGGGAGGCTGAGGCAGGAGAATGGCGTGAACCCGGGAGGCAGAGGTTGCAGTGAGCCGAGATCACACCACTGCACTCCAGCCTGGGTGACAGAGCCAGACTCCGTTTCCAAAAAAAAAAAAAAAATCAAGTGCCAGCCATTGTCTAGGCATGCTGTCATCTGAAGTAACTCATTGAGGCAGAAAGATATGCTGAAGGCACTCATTTTCCTGTTTCACAGAGGTCCCCAGAGCTCAGGGCCTTGCCGCGCACAGAGAGTGGCAGAGCTAAGGCTCAAACCCAGGCAGCCATTCCCAAGTCCAGCTTCCCGTCTCTGCTCTCCTGTCTGTGCCACTGCAGACCTAATACTTTTATTCATCAATTCATTCATTCATTCATTCGAGACAGGGGCCTCTCTCTGTTCAGGCTGGAGAGCAGTGGCATGATAATTGCTCCACCTCCTGGGCTCAAGCAGTCCTGCTGCCTCAGCCTCCTGAGCAGGTAGGACCACAGGTGTGAGCCACCATATCTGGTTAATTAAAAAAAAATTTTTTTTTTGGTTTGGAGTTTCGCTCTTGTTGCCCAGGCTGGAGTGCAATGGCATGATCTCGGCTCACCACAACCTCCACCTCCCGGGTTTAAGCGATTCTCCTGCCTCAGCCTCCCGAGTAGCTGGGATTACAGGTGTGTGCCACCATGCCTGGCTAATTTTGTATTTTTAGTAGAGACGGGGTTTCTCCATGTTGGTCAGGCTGGTCTCAAACTCCCGACCTCAGGTGATCCACCCGCCTCGGCCTCCCAAAGTGGTGGGATTATAGGCATGAGCCACTACACCTGGCCAATTTTTGTATTTTTTGTAGAGATGGGGACTTGCTGTGTTCCCCAAGCGGGTCTCCAACTCCTGGGGTCTCAAGGGATCCCCTTGCCATGGCCTCCCAAGGTTCTGGGATTACAGGCATGCACTTGGCGTAATACTTTCCTTTAATAACTCACTTGTTAAGGCTAAATACCTGTTGAGTTTCATCCTAAGCTGTGACGTCACTAGTTTCATGTGGATAAATAATAGATTGGTAGGTGGGCACATAGATGAATAGATAGATAGATGATTGATGTTGATGACAATGATGACGGATATAGATGGTATATACATGATAGATGATAGATATTGATGATAGGTAGAGATAGAGATGAAGAGATGCCCGGTGTTGGTAATTGTAGTAGAATTAACATGCAATTACGAAATCTCATTGTGTGTGCCCCTGAAGTCACCTTCCCACCCCGGGGCTCTTCGGCTCTTCGAAGGCTGAGCCCTTCGCATACAGGAGGCAGGAGCCACAACTCCCATTGTATAGGTGTGGAACCTGAGGCTGGTTGGGGGGACTTGTGGATGGTCACGCAGCCAGGAGGGGCAGGCCTGGGGGACTCTCCCCACAGTGCTCATGTCCCCTTATGAGGCCTCCGGGGCCTTCCTGCTCCCACCACACACCAGCCTGGCTCTCACCACCACACACACATGAGGCTGCTGGGACAGGCTCACGTCTCCCTCCAGGTGGGACAGGAGAAACAGGAAAGGCCCCTGCAGGAAGTAGGGGGAGAGGGAAGCCTTGGGGCCTCTGAGGAGATGGCTTGGACCAGGCAGGACATGAGTGCCCCAGGGCTGACCCTTCCCACCAGGGCTGAGCCGTGGCAAGAGCCTGAGCCCAGTGGTCCTGGGTGGGGACTGGCCCAGGCCATGCCTGCCCCTGCCTTTCAGTCCCCTGGGCCCCGCTGGGACCTTCTGGCCCATGGCAGGTGCCCTCCCCACACAGGATGCCATCCGACACCCCTCCCCGGTCCAGGTCCATCCCGGCCGTATGCGAGACCGTATACGGCGAGGCCGTATGCAGGCCGCCGTATGCGAGAGCTTCAGCATCCTGGGGACAAAGTGAGGGGGTTGGGTCGTCTCTGGAGTGTCGGTCTCAGGGTCCCCCAGCCCCCCAGCTTCCAGGGCTGCGTAGCACCGGCCCCACCTGAGCCTCCCCCTGCCACCCCCTAGCAGCCAAACGCCTGCAGCCTTCTCAGAGTTTATTGAAGGTGGAGCTGCGAGGAGCACACAGGACCACAGACCCCCTCACCCAGCTGCCCCAGGGTGGGACTCCAGGTACCCTGGACATGGGACAAGCCGAGGCTGGCTCCTGGGGTGCAGGTGTCACTCAGTAGCCCCGGTCCCTGCAAACATCCAAGGCACGTCCCTAGCTCCTGCCCTGCCCATGCACAGACCAGGGTGGGAGGTGGACCATGGCCCTGCTCCCGTGGCCGGATATGCAGGGCTGGCAGGGAGAGGAGCAGGGTGGGACGCCAGGCAGACAACCCCTCCCCAGGCGGAGGAGGGTCCCCGGATCAGGGTGAGAAGCAAAATCCCTGCTGGGGTGGGCAGTGTGGGGCAGGAATGGGCAGGGACCTGGGTAGAGGCAGGGACTTTACCCCCAGCTCAGGCCCCTCTTGGCCAGCTCCACCTGGGCCAGGCAGTGGTCACTCAGCACGCGCACCCTGGTGGTGGCGCCCAGCGGCCTCTGACGGCATGGGAACTGTAGCACCTTGTGCTCCGGGGCGTAGACGTGGAAGTGCTCCGCGTCCCAGCTGACCTCTATCTGGGCAGGCTGGGGCCAGTGACCTCAGTGCCAGCCCCCAGGGCCTGGGGTCTGGTCCCGCTTTTAACGGTGATGTGCCTGCCGGCCGTCTCCAGGAAGGACAGCCTGGCAGGCCCCGGGGGTCCCTTGGCTTGGAGCCCCCAGCCCAAAGTCCCCTCCTTTCTCCCAAGATGGGGTGGCTGGTAGCCAGGGTGGTGGGTACCTACTGCACACGTAGGGAAACTGAGGCCAGGGAGGCCACCCAGACCTTGCCCTGGCCCACTGACCTGTAAGCGTCCACCGTGAACCCGCTGCCCACTGGCCCCCTGTTCCCCCACGGGCCTTCCCTGCCTAGCCCAGGCCCCACCCAGGCCCCTGTCACCTCAAAGGGCTCCCCCGGGGCCAGCGGGAAGATGCTAGACACCTGCTCCGGGCCCCAGCGGCCGTACTGGAAGGCATTGCCCACCACAGTGGCGCTGGAGAACCGGGGCTTGATGTGGAAGGCAATGTCCCCCGTCTCCAACAAGAAGTTAGTCTCGAACCTGGGGCGGACATGGTGCGGGTCAAGAGCTGCAAAGAGCTGGGCCGGCCACCCAGCCCAAGGCCCAGCGAGGGGAGGGCGGTGCCGCTGACCTGTCCTCTCCAGAGTCAGCATGTCCCTGGACCAGCAGCTTCCAGCCGGGGGCCAGGCCGCCCGCACAGAAGGCTTTAGACTGAGTGGAAGAGACAGGGGGACCAGCCTCATGGGGCTGCAGCCTCCTCCCTCCCACCCCCACCCCCACCCTATCCCATCTGTCCAGGAAGGTCCCTGCCCACCCAGCCTGCCCCCAACCCAGTGCCAGACATAGGCTAAGGCTCTGTTCATCTGGTGTCTTTGTGACAGGGTGACCAGGGCTGGGGTGGGAGGGACACACCTGCCCAGCAGGCCAGCTCTGGGGGGACCTTCACCCTGACGCCCTCTCAGCCCTGAGATCTGATGAGAGGCCAGAGCCCATACCCCATCTCTGTGCAGAGAGAGCACGGGTGGCTCAGGGAGCCCCCAGCCCTGCACCGTTCTCCTTCTCCAGGTCCAGGGTCTCACCCACCTGCACTGCCATCTGCTCCCAGCCACTGTGGGAGGGCGCGGGGAGCCTGGGGTATAGATGGGGGGCTAGGGGTGGGAAGTGCCGGGGGGCTGGGGGTGGGGAGCGCCGGGGGAGGGCTGGGGGTGGGGAGCGCCGGGGTGGGGCTGGGGGTGGGGAGCGCCCGGAGTGGGGGGGCTGGGGGTGGGGAACGCCGGGCCCCACCCCCGGGTGACTTGGCAAGGTCTCTGGGCCCTTCCCAGCCCATATCTCCCTACCCCTCGGGCCTCTCCCTTCCAGCTGGTTCTCTGTGCAGGCGCAAGGGAGATGGGTCACCTGCCCCTGCTCCCCCAAGCCCTCTCCTGCCTGACTCTCACCCACTTCACTCCTTCAGGATCCAGGAAAGCAGCCACTCCTTTCTCACTGGGACGGCAAGGTCTAGGCAGGGACCCTGGCCCGGCTCTTCCTCCGGGATCACGGGCCCCTCCAGGGACTCGAACCCTCCCATCCGGCCAAGGGCAGGCTTAGGAGGGGAGGCTTGGCTGCCGACCCCTGCCCTGGCTTCCCAGGTCCCGTCTGACCACGTGGTGCTGCAGGGCCTGTCCCCCAGCCCACCCTGGCCCCCGCCGCCTGCCCCCACTGGCTCAGCCACCCCATGGGGCATACAGCAAGGATTAGGCCGGCGCTGGTCAGCGCATTCCAGGCTCTGGCAGGCGAGGGGAGGGCTTTTCCCACACCCAGGATGCTCCCCACCTCAGGCTGAGCATGGGGGGGACCAGCTGGGCCCTCAAGGAGGAAGGGAGGTGAGCAGAGAGAGTCTCAGGCTGTCGGGCAGCTTTGGGGCCTCCGAGGACGGGAACCGGCCCGAAGTGGACCTGGAGGGGGCACAGAGCCCTAGGGCTGCTGCAGGTGGGTGTGTGTGCAGCCATGTGCAGCCATGTGCAGTGCGTGTGCAGTGATCTCGTGGGTGGGTATCCTGGCTGCAGGCCGGACGATTGTGTGAGCCCATGAGTGTGCGAGGCATGGGGTGTGAGTTCCAGAGACTCTGGGTGACAGGGAGGTTTGCTGTGTCCCTGCCTGTGTGTCTGAAGAGGCCTGGCCCCCAGGATGCCCCCGCCAGGATTCTCCATTCTCACGTCTCCTGCCGCCCTGTCCCCGTGTTCGAGTGGGCCCTCCAGTCCCCCATCCGCAGGGGTCCCTTCCAGCCATTCTCTCCAAGCCCTGGCAGGGCTGACCTGGGTCCCGCCTGACCTCTCCATGGGTGCTGCCGCTGGGGCCTGTGCCCGGACGTCCTGGTAGGAGGGTGGGACTGCTGAGGCCGGGAGGGGCCTCAAGGTGGTCGTGACTGTCCGCCAGCCCCCTGGGTGGTGCAGAGCAGTGCGGAGCCTGCGGCTGTGGAGCCCGTCTCTCCTGCCTGGCTCGTAGCAGGGCTGGCCGTGGCCCTGCAGGGGGCAGCCCTGGGCAGCAGAGGATGAGCGTGCCTGCCCTCCCCGGCCACATCCGCGTCCCCATCCTGCCTGGCCGTCCTGGGGCCCAGCAAGCCGCAGGTCCCTCCTACGTGCCTCCCCCAGAAGAGCACAGAGAGGGAAGCCCTCACCACAGCAGGAAGGGGAGCCAGTGCTTCCTCCCCCTCCCTGTCCTGCCCCCAGCCCCAGGGACAGCCCTGGTTTCAGCTGCGGAGTGAGGACACAGAGCAGGACTCTGGGTACAGGACTCAGGGCCAGGGCTGTGCAGAACATAGAGGCAGGGGGCTGGAACAGGCTTCCCACCAGCTGACAACCTGGCGCTCGTGGCCTCTGAGCCTCAGTCTCCCCCACCGTCCGCTGGGCACAGCAGTCCAGCAATGCCATCTGCTGTCCATGCCTGGGTCCTGGCAGGGTAGGGTGGCCCAGGCAACCACAACCCTGGACACAGGAGCCCGGCCGTCATCCCCTCGCTTTGGGGTCTGTGGGGGCAGCGGTAGAGGGCCTGGGTCTCAGGAGCTGCCTAGAGCCCCAGACATCAGGGGCCCTGTGGGTGGGGCTTGAGCCCCAGACTTGCCAGACAGAAGGCCTGCGTGCCGCTGCCTGGGATGAGGGGGGCCTGAGGTCCCTGCTTCTGCCAGGCCCACTCCTCTCTGAGCTTCAACCTCCCCATCTGGGCAGTGGGCTTGTGTTACAGGAAGCTCAGCAGGCTTCGAGGCCAAAAGGGCTGTGTGAGCCCAGTCCGGGCACCCACAGTTCTCAGAAAGCTGCATGCCTCCTAACACCCAGGGAGAAGCAGGCTGGCCCTCGTCCCCATGGTGACACGTGTACTTGGCCTGTGTGTAGACTTGTGACCTCACCCCGTTTACTGTGGCTTCAGAGCCTCTCCCTCCTGGGGCGGGAGCCAGGAGCCGCCAAAGATCTCGGCAACCCGGACAACCAAGGGCCCAGAAGTCAGAACTGGGTGGGTGACAGAGAGAGACCCCGAGCTCTGCAGGCACAGCCCGTCCTCAACCCTGACTCCAGGGAGTGCAGGTCCAACCCCGGCCCACTCCCCGCTGGCCAGCCTCAGGGGTCGGGGTGGCACAGCAGGCAGTGCCCATGCTGAGTTGCTGGCTGGGCACCAGCCACTGGGTGCTGTGGCTTGGGGCCCGGGAGCAAACAGACCTCTCCTTCTCCTGTCCCACACGCCCACCCGGATGCGCGGTTTGCCCAGGGGTTTTGACCTTCACGGGCTCCCGTCTGCACCCGGCTGAGCGAGGAACTTCACCAGGAGAGCGCCTGGACTCCGAAGCCCGTTCTGTCCTGAGCCTCTATCGCGAGGCAGTGCCCAGCATGGAGCTGGAACTCAGGGATGTGGGGGAAAAAATCCTGCCCATCGCATAACAACCACCACCGTCTACTGAGAGCTCACGCCGGACCAGGCGGCAGGCTGAGTTGTTCACACGTGTTACGGGTGGTTTTCTTTCTCCCCTTGAGGGAGGCTACGAGAGCACAGAGAAGTTAAGGGGCTTGCCCAAGGTCACAACAGCAAGGGAGTCACAAAGCCAGGATGTGAACCCGGCAGCCCGTCCCAGAGTCTGTGCACCCAAAAACCATGCTAGACTGTCCCCTGGAAACAGAGCCCCTCACCAGGCTGGGATATGGGGCTAACAGCGTTGGCTTCCTGGAGGAGGAGGCACCTGAAACGGGTCTTGAAGAATGAGTAGGAGTTAGAAGGTGGTGAGGAAGGGTGTCCCAGGGAGCAGGAACAGCAGGAGCAACAGCAGGATAGTAGGCCCGAGAGTGGGAGGCTGGACTGTGCTGGAGGGGGACCAGCCACGCTGGGCACCAGCCAGGATCTGACACGCCTCAGTGTCCCCAGAGCTTCCTGGCATAAGCTTCCCAGGGACCATTTAACAAGGATGGCCTCATCTTTCCGGGAGCCTGGCAGAGCTTCCGTGGAATTCCTGGAGTCAGGTGTCAATGTACCCATTTGAGGATGAGGAAACTGAGGTTTGGATGAAGAAGTCACCCCGTGGCCCCACAGCGAGGAAGCAGCAGAGCCAGATGCAAATGCAGCCTCTGGACTCCCCGTCTGGTGCTCCCCTCGGCCCCTGCCCTCCTCTCCTGTCCCACACTCCAGCCAGCACCGAGCACCCAGCCTGGCCTGAACATGGGTGATTCCAGGGGCCCTGGCTCGAGGGAAGTCTCAGGCTAGGCTGGCAGTTTTCTCAGCCTCAGTACCCTCTGAAGCTTCCAGGACCTTCCCAGGAACCCCCTCCCCGCCCCCGGCCACATCTGGAACCGCTCGTCCAGATGGTGAGGTCAGCACGGAAATTCTCAGCCCCCGCTGGAGGAGGCGCGGGCAGCTCCCGCCGGACTGGAACAAGAGCCGACCCCAGGACGGATGGCTGCAGCCAGCTCTGCCTCAAGGAGGGCCAGCTCCTCGCCCTGTCAGGCCGCGGTGCAAGTACAACCTTGGGTCAGGAGGGAGGCGAGCCGCACAGGGAGAGGGCCAGGGCAGCTGAAAAGCACCATGTCCTCATTACACGGATGGGGAAACCGAGGCCCGCCCAGGAGGTGAGGGGCTTGCTGGGAGCCGGCAATAGCAGGGTGGGCACCAGAGCTCTGGCCCCAGCACTTGCTCCAAGGCCCCTGTGGAACTTGGCCATGGGTCCCGTTAAAGGCTGGGGTTGGCCGTGACTGGGGAGCGCTGATCCCAGGCTGACGAGGACCCTGGAGCTCTGCAGAGGGGCAGCGGGGTCCATCACTCCCCGATACTCCCTCACCTGTCCCTTCTAAATTCTCTCACAGCTGTCCCCAGCCACCGCCTGTCCCATCAACTTGCCTGTCCCGAGTGCCTTCTCTCCACAGTCCATCTCGTAGAAGCTTCCTGGGTCCCTCTCTGCCTCCCTCAGGACGGAGGGCACTTCCCATCCAAACCATTAATTGAGGCCCTGCAGTGCGCCCAGGGCTGCCTAGGACCGTGAGAGGCTATAGGAGAGGAACAGGTCTGCACCTGACCCATGTGGGACCCCTGATCCTCCACCTCCCGCCCTCCTGCGTGGCACACAGTAGGTGCCTGGGCAGTGCCGTGACGCTGCCATCCCTGATTCAGGGCAGGTGAAGGCCTCCCAGGTACCAGAAAGAAGCTAGGGAGCCCCAGCTCATCCCACCCATAGCTGAGCCCCTGATATGTGCTTCACTGGGTGCTCAACTCTGGGAGGGGGGCCACCTGCCCCACAGCCCCGATGGGGGAGAAAACCAGCTGGCCATTCTGTTATTCCGCAAATATTTGTTGAGCACCTGCTAGGTGACAGGTCCTGTGTGGTAGTAAACAAGACGGAGAGATGGATACAATCCTTGTCCTCACAGAGCTTCTGGTGTCTGGGGGAGGGGGCAGACACTAAATGGCAAAATCCAGCATGCCGTTATTTAAGTACTATTAATATTATGATAAATGCTCTGAAAGGGAAAAGATGGGGAGTGAGAGTCTTATATGCTGGGGGGACCTGGCCTTGATATGGGCAGTCAGGGAAGACTTCCTGGAGGAGGTGACATTGGCACTGAATCTGGAAGAGAGAAGGGAAGGGTGTTTCTGGCAAAGGGAACGTCCCGTGCAAAGGCCCTGGAGTGAGAAGAGTTGGGAAGAGTAAAGAACCAAGATGGGGATGGAGAAGACACGTCCCCACCCCAATCTCTGCTGCCTGGCTGGGGTCTGGCCCTTCCTGGCTCCCTGATTAACTCTCAGTGGTCCAGCATTTTTCCTGGACCAGTTGCCCACCTAGTGCCTGGCCATTGTCTGCAGCCGGTGTATGCCAACCTTGAGTCTCTTATTACACAGAGAATCTGCTCACTCGGGGGCATTTTGAGGGCTGATAAGATTTGGCTGGAGCCAGCACCAAGCAGGGGCTGCCCGTTCTGATGCCACTCCCTTTCCCTGGCACAGGCAGGCGAGCATACGGCCCCAAGGACCTTGGACGTCACCTGGCTCCCTCTTGGTGGGCCTCCCTCCTGCAGGGTCTTAGCCAGGCATACCTCCCTGGGACTTCCCTGCTTCCTCTGCACCTTTACCCCTACATCCCCCGAAAATCAAACCAGGCCCAGCTGCCTCCAACAGGTGAAGGGCCTTTTTATTTTATTTTATTTTATTTGAGATGGGGTCTTGCTCTGTCGCCCAGGCTGGAGTGCAGTGGCACGATCTTGGCTCACCGCAACCTCCACCTCCTGAGTTCAAGTGATTCTCCTGCCTCATCCTCTCATGTAGCTGGGGCTACAGGCACGTGGTACCATGCCTGGCTAATTTTTGTATTTTTAGTAGAGATGGGGTTTCACCATATTGGTCAGGCTGGTCTCGAACTCCTGACCTCAGGTGATCAGCCCGCCTTGGCCTCCCAAAGTGCTGGGATTACAGATGTGAGCCACCGCACCCGGCCAGGTGAGGGGTCTTGAGAGAGTCCTTGCCCCTCCCTGGGCCTCAGTTTCTCCAAGTGGGATAATGAACGTTGCTCTGCACTCAATGCTGTAATGAAGGTTGTCTCCTGGGCTGGGGACAGAAGCAAGGCTGGCCTTGTCCCAAAGGAGGGACATGAAGGGTGAGAGCTGCAGAACTCAGGGCTGCTGAGATGCCCACTGTGTGGGTGAGGGACTGGGGGATTCTTCCTCCCTGTCTGGCCTGGAGCCTGGGACAGCACATGGAGGCTAATGCCCAGACAGGGGCTCCCCCAGGAAAGGACAGAGCCCACATTTACCAGACACCTGCACCAGGCTGGGACCTTCACCCAGAGTGCTCATGACCACCCTGGGAGGGAGCCACGGCACTCCCATTTTATTTTACTACCTATTTTATAGATGTGGCAACTGAGGCTCAAAGGGGCGCTCTGCCTGGCCCAGGTTCACGCAGCCAGTCACTGTCTGTGCTGGTGATTTTCACCGCTGCCCTGCAGAGGCAGGGCCAGGGTTAGGGAGGGCTTGCCCCCCTCATTTTCTCAGCTTCCACAGCTGTGCTCAGCAATCGTTAGCAATGGCCCCTCACTGTACAGTCCTCAAAGCAAGTTCACATCTATTCCCGTCCCTGATAGATGAGGGCTTTCATTCCCATTTTATTGATGGAGAAACTGAGGCCACTCTGCATGTTTCTAGGGTGAGTCTTGCTGTGAACAACCTCCAGGGGTCAGTAGGGAGCCTGATCAAAAGGATGTGCCTGAGAGACTCCAAAAGCCCTTGTAAATTGTGGTGCTGCTTGGGGCGGGGGACTGGGCTGAGGGGAGGGCTCCCTAATGATTCTGAATGAGGGGAACAGGGAGTGGAGTAGTGAGGATGAGGTCTAGAACACATGGGGGCTGGGACCTTGCTATGCTGTGAAAACTCCTTGGGCCTTGAGCCAGTACCAACAATGAGTGAACTCAACGTGGCAGCCATCTTTGAGGAAGCTCAACTACTCCAGACAGACCAATCAGAAAGGGCTGGCTGGACACTGGGACTATTGGCCAGGCGCCAATGGGGGCCAGGCAAGGTGGCTCACGCCTGTAATCCCAGAACTTTGGGAGGCCAAGGTGGGTGAATCAGTTGAGGTCGGGAGTTTGAGACCAGCCTGGCCAACACGGCGAAACCTGGTCTCTACTAAAGATACAAAAATTAGCCAGAAGTGATGGTGCATGCCTGTAATCCCAGCTACTTGGGATGCTGAGGCAGGAGAATTGCTTGAACCCGCGAGGTTGAGGTTGCAGTGAGCCGAGATCACACCACTGCACTCCAGCCTGGGCAACAGAGTGAAGCTCCATCTCTAAATAAATAAATAAAAGCCAATGGGAGCCAGCTGAGCAGGATGGGGTGGAGTGGGGTGGAGCAGCCCAGCTGACATCTGGCCTGGAGGAGGATCGTGATGATTTCTACAGATGGGTACTAGGCTCCAGGGATGCAGTCTGCACCAGGTTTATAAACAAACACAGCAGTGACCTGGAATTGAGGAAGGAAGAGCTGGGAATCCAATTAGATGAGAAATGGCTGGGGGATCCTGGAGCTGGCCTGAGATGGGGATGCTGGAGTCTCCAGGGCCGCAGGATCCCTCTCCCCCAGCACCAGCTTCAGAGCCAGGGGGGCCAGGGGGGACAGAGGTCAAGCAGGCACGGGTTCAAGCCTCCCTGTCTACAGACCTCCCCAGCCTGAACCTCGGCGTGCTGCTCTGTAACCTGGGGCCACAGAGTACTAGGTTTTTTTTGTACCAACTTTTGAAAACTTTTAGTACAAAAAAAGGTGAAATATCTCATTGATTTTTATATTGATTACATGTTAAAAGGATAAGGATTTTGACATATTGGGTTAAATAAAATATATCGTTAAAAGTAGTTACACCTGCTTAATTTATTTTTTCTTTCAGAGACAGGTTTTCCTTCTGTTGCCCAGGTTGGAATACAGTGGCAAGATCACAGCTCAGTACAGCCTCAGACCTCTGGGCTCATGCGATCCTCCCACCTTAGCCTCCCAAGTAGTTGGGATTGCAGATGCACGCTACTATGCCTAGCTAATTTTCTATTTTATTTTATTTTTTTGTGGCTGTGGTCAAATTCCTGGCCTCAAGAGATCCTTCTGCCTCAGCCTCCTGAGCAGCTGGAAGGGTGGAACTGGGGCGAGGGGAGGAGAGCCGTACCCTTGCCGCCCTTACTCCTCATCCATAAACATTTCCAGAGAGAGAGAGTGCCTACTGGGTGGCGGTTGTGGGTACGGGGATGCAGCGGTGAACCAGACAGGTCTCTGCACTCACAGAACTGATATTGCTGTGGGAGAGACAGATGATAAATACCTCAACCAATAAACAGGGTATTCTGGATAGTGATAGGTGCCAGGAAAAACGTACAACAGGACAACGGCATAGAGCTGTGCCGTCCTATCCAACAGCCGCTGCCTGCACGTAGACATGAAGCACCTGGAACATCCGAATTCAGACGTGAGCATCAAAAACACCCTGGGGCCCAGCACCCGGGCGCAATGGCTCATGCCTGTAATCCTAGCACTTTGGGAGGCCGAGGCGGGACGACTGCTTGAGCCCAGGAGTTTGAGACCACCCTGGGCAACATAAGTAGACCCCGTCTCTATAAAAAAAAATTAAAAACTTAGCCAGACATGGGGATACGCACCTGCAGTCCCAGCTACTTGGGGGTGCTGAGGCAGGATTGCTTGAGCCCAGGAGTTTGAGACTGCAGTGAACCATGATTGCACAACTGCACTCCAGCCTGGGCGACAGGATGAGACCTTGCCTCAAACACACACACACACACTCACACACACACACACACTCACCACTCACACACACACACTCCCACAGACACACACAGACACACACCCACACCCTCACACGCGCGCGCGCGCGCACGCACACACACACACACACACACACAGGAATTTGAAAACAGTTCAAAAAATGTAAGATTTCTGGGTAATAAGTCTCATATTGGGGCCAGCGAGGTGGCTCATGCCTGTACTCCCAACACTTTTGGAGGCCAAGGTGGGCGCACAGATCGCTTGAGCCCAGGAGTTTGAGACCAGCTTGGGCAACGTGACAAAACCTCATCACTACAAACGATACAGAAAATTAGCCAGATTTGGTGGTGCATGCCTGTAGTCCCAGCTACACGGGAGGCTGAGGTGGGAGGATCGCTTTAGCCTGGGAAGTTGAGGCTGCAGTGAGCCGTGATGGAGCCACTGCACTTCAGCCTGGGTGACAGGAGTGAGTTCCTATCTCAAAAAGAAAATGATAACAGTAATTTTCATATTGATTACATGTTAAAAGAATAATAGTTTCGACATAATTGGGTTAAATATCTTTTTTCTTTTTTTTTTTGAAATCGAGTCTCCCTCTGTTGCCCAGGCTGGAACGCATTGGCAGGATCTTGGCTCACTGCAACCTCTGCCTCCTGGGTTCAAGCAATTCTCTGCCTCAGCCTCCCCGTAGCTGGGATTACAGGCGCCTGCCACCACGTCCGGCTAATTTTTTTTGTATTTTTAGTAGAGACGGGTTTCACTATCTTGGCCAGGCTGGTCTCAAACTCCTGACCTCATGATCCACTCACCTCGGCCTCCCAAAGTGCTGGGATTACAGGCGTGAGCCACTGCGCTCAGCCAAAATATCTTATTAAAAGTAATTACAGGGCCAGGCGTGGTGGCTCACGCCACACAGCACTTTGGGAGGCCGAGGTGGGTGGATTACCTGAGGTCAGGAGTTCGAGACCAGCCTGGCCAACGTGGTGAAACCCCGTCTCTACTAAAAATACAAAAATTAGCCAGGTATGGTGGCGGGCACCTGTAATCCCAGCTACTCGGGAGGCTGAGGCAGGAGAATCACTTAAACCCAGGAGGCAGAGGTTGCAGTGAGCCAAGGTCATGCCACTGCATTCCAGCCTGGGCAATAAGAGCGAAATTCCATCTCAAAAAAAAAAGTAATTATAACTGCTTAAATTTTATTTTTTCTTTTAGAGACAGGGTCTCACTCTGTCACCCAGGCTGGAGTGCAGTGGCATGATTATGGCTCACTGAAGCCTCTACCTCCTGGGCTCAGGTGATCCTCCTGCCTCAGCCTCCTGAGTAGCTGGGGCTACAGACACATGCCACCATGCCTGGCTGAGTGATTGATTGATTGATTGTAGAGACGGAGATCTCACTATGTTGCCCAGGCTGGTCTCAAACTCCTGGCCTTAAGTAATCCTCCCCCATGACCTCCTAAAGTGCTGGGATTATAGGCCTGAGCCACCATGTCTGGCAAAAAGATGTCTTTCATGTGGCTAGTTGAAAATCTAAAATGGCAACCGTGGCTTGTGTCATACTTTTTTTTTTTTTTTTTTTTGAGACAGAATCTTGCTCTGTCGTCCAGGCTGGAGTGCAGTGGCGCAATCTCGGCTCACTGCAACCTCCACCTCCTGGGTTCCAGCAATTCTCCTGCCTCGGCTTCCTGAGTAGCTGGGATTACAGGCCTGTGCCACCATGCCTGGCTAATTGTTATATTTTTAGTAGAGACAGAGTTTCGCCATGTTGGCCAGGCTGGTCTCGAACTCCTGACTTCAAGCAATCCACCCACCTCGGCCTCCCAAATTGCTGGGATTACAGGCGTGAGCCACCTTGCCCGGCTGAGTCATATTTCTTTCTTTCTTTCCTTTTTTTTTTTTTTTCTTTTGAGACAGAGTCGTGGTCTGTCATCCAGGCTGGAGTGCAATGACGAGACTTCGGCTCACTGCAACCTCCACCTCCCTGGTTCAAGAGATTTTCCTGCCTCAGCCTCCCGAGTAGCTGGGATTACAGGTGCCCGTCACCACACCCGGCTAATTTTTGTATTTTTAGTAGAGACGGGGTATCACCATGTTGGCCAGGCTGGTCTCAAACTCCTGGCTTCAGGTGATCCACCCGCCTTGGCCTCTCAAAGTGCTAAGGTTACAGGCGTGAGCCACCATGCCCAAACTTGTGTCATGTTTCTATCAGACGGTGCAGGATGAAGATGATGGGTGGGGGGAGGGAGGGAGGGAGAACTGGAGCAGAATGTGGGGTGGGAGTGGGAGGCTCTTGGGCTCTTGAGGGTGACCCAGGACAGGACGCTGGAGGAGGAATGCTGGCACAGGGACAAAGCATGGTGAGATGGGGGTGCTTAAGGAGCAGGAAGGAGATCCGTATGGCCAGAGCAGGGGGTGCAGAGAGGATGGGGTGAGGGACATTGTGGGGTGGGTCCGAGGCCATGAGAGAGACAGGCTGGGGCTGGACGCCGTGGGGTCCTCCAGCATCCCTCAAAAGGCAGGACCCAGATGCCCAGGCCTGGGGAGTGGTGTGGGAAGGAGCTGGTCGGGGTCTGCTCCCACCCCTAATCCTCATGGGGCAGACCGTGGCCCACACAGCCGGAAACCCCTGCCCCACCTGGGACTGGGAAGTCAGGGCCCAGCTTTTCCACACCAGCTTCTGCAGAGACATGCAGCTGGGCTGGCCTCGAACTCATGCTCCTGCCAAGGCTGCGGGGAAAAGACCCAGGGGAGCCATCAGCTCCCAAAATAACTTCACACCAGCTCCAGGACAGCTGTGGAGGGTGGAGGAGCCCAGCCCAGAGCTGGGAGCACTGCCAAGTCCTGGGGAGGGTGGGCCTGGAAATGGATGGAGAGAGGGGGGCACGCAGAGAGGGCCAGAAGAAAACAAGGGATGTGGAGACAGGTATCCTCACCTGGAGAAACAGTCTGGGGGAAGGAGGGGAGAGGGACCCCCCAGTGAGTACAGGTCGCCAGTACTCCCTTAAGAGAGGCCTCTGCCGGACGCGCCCCCTCTCCCCCGCCCCCAGCCAGGAGGCCCTGCAGAGAGAGAGAAGACAGTGTCCCCAAGCCGGGGTCAGAGGGATGAGCCTCGGCAGGGATGGGGCCCCCACGGTGTCCAGAATCCCAGGAGCCCTATCTGACCAGGTTGGGCCCCACAGAGGGCCCATCTCCCAGCACCCCTGTTTTCCCAGAGGAGAAACTGAGGCTCAGAGAGACGGGGGAGTTAATCTGAGGAACCACAGCATGGCTGTCAGGCGAGGGCACAGCTTGGCCAGGCAGTCTTCCCCCATGCCCTGCACACTTGGTCACCACTAATTCAGCTGGCCAGCAGGCTCCGATAGAATGTTCCACCCACTCCTTGGGTCCCCAGGGCATTGGGAAATGTCCTCAGCGTAGCATGGCCAGCCCTGGGCAGAGCTGGTGGAGTTTCCCCAGCCCGAGGTGGTCAGGGGGCAAGGGAGAGCCGGGAAGGCTGGCAATGACGAAGTTGGGGAAGGTGAGGAAACTGAGGCAGAGAAGGAGCTCCCAGGGAGCCTGGCTGTCCCGTCTTCAGGCCCAGGCCCAGGGGAGGCTGGGAATTTAGGAGCTGGAGGTATTCTTCTGAGAGGAAAGCATTTTTGATGCAAGAAGCTTTATCCAGTTCTACACGAGCCAGTCATCTCCTTCATGTATTCAAGCAACATTTACGAATCGGTCACCGTGCCCTGGGAGCTGGGAGGCCACAGAGAACCACGACAATCTGGACCAAAAAAAACTAACAAGGACCAAAGCTCAGAGGGGGTTGGGGCCAGCCTGAGCCCACTGGCTGTGGAGGGGGCTGTCTGGCAGGCAGGGAGGTGGGCAGCCCGATGATGGGGCTGGAGTTGGGGGTCAGGGGCCAGGGGCTGGCCTGGAGTCTGCATGGGTCAGTGTCAGGGCGGGGTCTGCAGGGCCTCCCGTGCCCCCAGCTCACCCCTGCCCGGAAAGAGAGGCACTTCCTTCTGAAAGCCTTAAGCATCTGCTGAATGACCCACATTGCTTGCTCCCCGGTGCTAACTTTTTGCCACGTGTTTTTCAGGATAGAAAATATAAGCAATGAAAAACCGTGTGTGTTTAACTCAGGTATTGGATGGAGGGCCTTCTACAAGATGGGATGGGGACACTTGAGTGAGGGCCAAGTTCAAGAAGAAGAGACAGTCTCAAAGGAGAGCCTCACAATCAACGAAAAAAGAAGAGAGAAGACAGAGTGAGCCTGAGGTATCCAAGGGCGCAGCTGACCAGGGAGGGGGCAGGCTGGGCCCAGGCAGGTGTCTGTGGTGCTAGAAGACACCTGCCCCATGAGCCAGAGGACACTGGGCCCAGGACAGAGCCCAGAGCCACCTTCAGGGGACAGGAGAGGGCCTGGAGGAGGGGTGGGAGAAAGGTGGGCTTGTGGCTGGGTGCAGTGGCTCACGCCTGCAATCCCAGCACTTTGGGAGGCCGAGGCGGGTGGATCACCTGAGGTCAGGAGTTCGAGACCAGCCTGGCCAACATGGTGAAACCCTGTCTCTACTAAAAATACAAAAATTAGCCAGGCATGTTGGCGGGCATCTGTAATCCCAGCTACTAGGGAGGCTAAGGCAGGAGAATCGCTTGAACCCTGGAGGGAGAGGCTGCAGTGAGCCGAGATTGTGCCACCGCACTCCAGGCTGGGTGACAGAGTGAGACTATCTCAAAAAGAAAAAGGAAAGAAAGAAAGGTGGGCTTGTGCGCCAGGCTGGGAGCCAGGCAGAGGGTTCTGGGCGCTGACTGCCCAAGGAAAATGGTGTGAGAGGTGCTGGCACAAGGCCTGGGAGGGGATGCTTGGATTTAGCAACGAGAGGTCCTCAGAGGGCATGGAGTGAGTGGGCAGTGAGGAAACGGGGACCCTTCCTCCCCCTTTCACCCCCCTTTCCTGTCTCCCTCGGTCTCCACCCTCTCCACCCACCATCCCAGGACCCTGCGCTCTGGGGGCAGAGCAGACACAAAGAGGGGCTCAGGGGCTGGAGTCTGGCTGCCACTCACCCTGGCCCCCAGGGCCACCAGGGGCCACCCCCACCCACCCGCTATCCCCGCTCCAACTGCTGCTCCCACTTCCCTCGGCCGGGACGGGACACAAGAGTCTTTCAAAAACATTTCCTTTGCAAAATAATCCTTCCAAAAATGTTTTTGGAAACGGACTCCTGATCTGAACAGGAAGACGTTAATTATGGTCCCTCCCCAGAGGGGCAGGGGGAGGAAGCCTGGTGGTCGAAACAGGAGCGGGGGCCAGGACAGCCCCAGCCCACACCCAGCCTCAGCCTCCTGCCCCCCAGGCCCCTGGGCCCAGCCCCTCCACCCACAATGGGGAGACAGAGACTTAGGGAGGGCCAGCGACATGGCCAAGGTCACAGGTCAGAAGCTGAGCAGGGTGGAGTCTTCTACTTCTGCTGCCACGTGGCATCCGTGCGAGAGCGTGGCGAGGCGTTGTGCATTCGTGTGTCTCTGTGCCTTTGTGTGCAGGAGTGAAGGTGGGGCGGGGGCAGGCAAGGAAGCTCCCAGGGTCCACAGCCTCCCCAGGCCTGACTTCCTCCCCCAGCAGGCCACTTTCCCCTGGTGCCCAGGTGTTGGCCGGACTCCGACTACAGCAAGGAGGAAGGAGACAGGGCTGAGGACCTCCCTTTCTGCTGCTGCTCTTAAGCGCCAACCACCCTCCAAACAAGTGCCATCTGGGATCCCCCTGGGCCTAGATGAGGTCCCACCATAGACGTTTTCTGAATGTACCTATGTCCATCTCAGTCAGCCCTGATGCTTATGTTCTGTGTCATGTAGTCTAACTGGTAGTAGGGATTGTAGTTAGCTTGGAAGTTTGGGGTATCTAAACCCGCACCTTTGCTGAGCCATCTAGCCAGAGATCCCACCATCCAGCATATGGCACCAGGGTTCATCTGAGTATAAATTCAAGGAATGAGCTAGGAGCCATCCTTCCTCTCATCCATCCTTCTGACCATCCACGCACCCATCCCCCATCCATCCATCCATCCATCCATCCATCCATCCATCCATTCACCTATCCACCCATCTATCCACTCATTCATCCATCCATCTACCCACCCACCTACCCATCCACCCATCCATCCACCAACTCATCCATGCACACATCCATCCATCCATTCACCCATCCACCCATATATCCACCCATTCATCCATCCATCCATCCATTCACCCATCCACCCATCCGCCCATCTATCCACCCATTCATCCATCCATCCATCCATCCATCCTTCTGACCATCCACCCACCCATCCCCCATCCATCCATCCATCCATCCATTCACCCATCCACCCATCCGCCCATCTATCCACCCATTCATCCATCCATCCATCCATCCTTCTGACCATCCACCCACCCATCCCCCAACCATCATCCATCCATCCATCCATCCATCCATCCATTCACCCATCCACCCATCTATCCACTTATTCATCCATCCATCTACCCACCCACCTACCCATCCTCCCATCCATACACCAACTCATCCATGCACACATCCATCCATCCATCCATTCTTCTACCCATCCCTATCCACCCATTCATCTATCTATTCATTCATCCATCCATCCATCCATCCATCCACCCACTCATCAGTCCTCTGTCCATCCATCCATCCATCCATCCATCCATCCATCTATCCATTCACCTATCCACCCACCCACTCACCCACCCATCAGTCCTCTGTCCATCCATCCATCCATCCATCCATCCGTCTATCCATTCATCCATCCATCCATCCACCCACCCACCCACACATCAGTCCTTCTGTCCATCCATCCATCATCCACCCACACATCAGTCCTTCTGTCCATCCATCCATCATCCACCCACACATCAGTCCTTCCGTCCATCCATCTATGCATCATCCATTCATCCATCCATCCACCCACCCACCATCCATCTCTCCATCCAGCTGTCCCAACCTGCACTTTCCTCTTCATCCATCCACCCACCCACCCACTCACCCACCCATCAATCCTCTGTCCATCCATCCATCCATCCAACCATCCATCCACCCACTCACCCACTCACCCACCCACGCATCAGTCCTTCTGTCCATCCATCCCTCCATCCACCCACACATCAGTCCTTCTGTCCATCCATCTATCCATCATCCATTCATCCATCCATCCACCCACCGACCCACACATCAGTCCTTCTGTCCATCCATCTATTCATCCATCCATTCACCCATCCATCCATCCATCCATCCATCCATCCATCCATCCATCCACCCACACATCAGTCCTTCTGTCCAGCCAGGCAGCCAGCCTGCCAGCCAGCCATCCATCCACCCACTCACCCACCCACACATCAGTCCTTTTGTCCATACATCCATCTATTTTATTTTATTTATTTATTTTTTGAGATGGAGTCTCGCTTTGTCACCCAGGCTGGAGTGCAGTGGCACGATCTCGGCTCACTGTAACCTCTGCCTCCCGGGTTCAAGTGATTCTCCCACCTTAGCCTCCCAAGTAGCTGGGATTACAGGCATACGCCACCAAGCCCAGCTAACTTTTGTATTCATCTATCCATTTATCCATCCATCCACCCACCCACCCACACATCAGTCCTTCTGTCCATCCATCCATTCACCCACTTACCCACCCACCCACCTACCCACCCACCAGTCCTTCTGTCCATTCATCCTTCCATTTACCCCTCTGTCCATCTATCCATCCACTCACACGCCTAGCTGTCTGTCTGTCTGTCCATGTGGGACAGAATACTAAGGGGAGGAGGATCAGAGAGTTATGGGGACTGTGGAGGGGAGATATTGCAGGTTGGAGTCAGCGCCTCTGGTCAGTCTTCCTCTCCCCCATACTTCTTCATGGAGGCCTCAGTTACTGCCTGCCTTCCAATGGATAAACAGCTTCATCGGCTGCACCCACCATGCCCTAAGAGGGGCTGTTGGAGGACAGAGGCCGTCACTGGCCCTTCCCTGTCTCTGAAGCTGGTAGATGTTTGCCGAGTGAACTCAGACCTGGTGTTGTCCAAGGCACAGCCCCAGCACAGAGAGGTGCAGCCCACAGGCAGCCATGGAAGGGACTCACTGCCTGGATGGACAGTGGGGGCATGGACCCGCAGAACTCGCTGATGCCCTTGAGCTCCCTGTTGCCCCACTTGAGCTCAGCACAGCACGAGCTCTGGGTTCCAGGAGAGGCTATGGGAAAGGCCCCTTTCAGGCCCCTCAAAGGCCATAGGGCATCTTGTCGGGGACAGTTTGTCACCCCAGGGCTTGGGGAGAGAGACTTGGACCAAGCCCAGGATGATTTGATGGGGAAAAAATGCCCCCAGGAGGAGCATCATATCCTGACTGCCAAGTCAGCCCAAGCTTATCGCAGTCTCGTCCTCAGCGTCCCCACTGGGAGAGCAGGGGGGCTGCAGGCCTGGGGCGGAGTGGGGAGGGCCTGTGGCCCCGAATCAGAGGGTGGGGCCTGGGTCACCCTTGTACTCCCTCTTCTCTGTGCTTCCCTGTCTCTTTCCCTCCTGTCTCTAGCTCTCCCTATCTGTCTCTCTCCCAGTGTCTCTGTCCCTCCCTGTCTCTGTCCCCTGCTCTCTCTGTTTCTGTTCTATCTCAGCATTCTCTGTCTCTTCATCTCTGTCTCTCCCTCCGTCTCTCCTTCCTTGCTTCCCTCCAGGACATCCAGCCCCTCTCTGGGCCTCATCCTGCAGACGAGCCCTGCCCCCACCCCCACCCTGCCTTGGGTCCAGAACCTCCTCCCCTTCTTGGGGCCACTAGAGGTGACTGCAGTCCACACAGCCACCCCACGCTGGCCTGCACGACCTGCTTCCCTCATCTACCCACCTAGAGTGCTGAGGTGGGGCCATTCTGGGATCCTGGAGCAGGGCACAGGTGTGGTCAGGGCACAGGTGTGGTCAGGACACAGGTGTGGTCAGGGCACAGGTGTGGTCAGGACACAGGTGTGGTCAGGACACAGGTGTGGTCAGGGCACAGGTGTGGTCAGGACACAGGTGTGGTCAGGACACAGGTGTGGTCAGGGCTGTGCTTCAGCATTGCCCAGGGTCTGCAGAAGGCACTCAGGTTAGGATGAGACTGATGGGTGGTGAACAGAAGTCCCACCCCCAGTCCCAGTGGGGAAGGGGCAGTCACAGGTGCCCGAGCCCACCCTGCCCCACCCTGGGCCTCATCAGTGGCCCCCTTGAGGTCCTCCTATAATCTCCAGCGGTGCAGGCCACAGAGGCGCGGGGACTTCTGGCACGCGCCCTCCAGGAACAGGCGTGCCTGTCTTGTGGGCCAGGACCCAAGGAAGCGGTGGGGGCAGGAAGGGAGCGGGCAGTGCCCCGGGTATCCCAGGGGTCAGCCAGGAGGTGGGTGGGGCAGGGGCAGCTAGGGAGCCCCCCGTGGGCCCAGCCGGGTCTCTGCTGGCCACGGCTCCCTGGTATCCTGCTCCAGGAGACCCCTACTCTATGGCCGGCTCTGCTCACATCCAGAGGGGGAAGGGGTCAGGCCGAGGGATGTGCAAGAGGGGTGGGACCTGAACCGGACTTGGAGTCCTCCCGTCTGCAGGACCCTGGGCCCAAGGAGGACCCTCCGTGGTCTCTGTGGTGGGAGCAGAGCACCGCCCTCCCTTCCAGACGACCCCTGCCTCACATCTTCCCTCTCTGCCCTATGCTGGGTGGGGCTCTGGGCACTTCACACACGTGGGTTGCTGGAGCCTGGACTTGAGGAAGCCTGACTCCAGCACTGCTGGCCACCAGGGTCCCAGGCATCCTTGCCTTGTCACTTCCCTCTGGCTTTAGCTCAGATGCGAAGGTGCTGTCATCTGCGACCCCTCTAAGGGAGGCTCCCCAGGGAGGCCCGAGGGGCAGTTTAATGAGGAAACAACGTGGCCAACACGTGTCTCCCGGGGAGCAGTCAGGGCCTCCTGCTCTTGTCCCTGCCCCCGAGTCCCTTGTTCTCGCCATCCCCTCCACTGCACCTGTGAGGGGCCTCCAGGCTGGGTGACATCTGAGCATTCGCGGTCCAAGTGGTGTGGGGACTGGGGTCGAGAAAAGGAGAGGGGGGCCGGGCCCGGTGGCTCACGCCTGTCATCCCAGCAATTTGGGAGGCCAAGGTGGGCAGATCACTTGAGGTCGGGAGCTCGAGACACGCCAACATGGTAAAACCCCGTCTCTACTAAAAATACAAAAATTAGCCGGTCATGGTGGCGCATGCCTGTAGTCCCAGCAGCTACTCGGGAGGCTGAGGCAGGAGAATCACTTGAACCTGGGAGGTGGAGGTTGCAGTGAGCCGAGATCTTGCTACTGCACTCAAGCCCAGGTGACAAGAGCGAAATTCTATCTCAAAAAAAAAAAAAAAAAGAAAAGGAGAGAGGCTGGTGGCTGGAGGCAGGGGTGGAGGCAGGGGGTCGCCTGCCCACTGGCTGCTCCTCCGTCAGCCTCCTGTCATGCACACCCCGCACACGTGTGCACCACCGCTCAAACCATAAATATGGGCAGGGCCAGGAGCAGCACGTGGGGCTGAACACTGGGCGTAGTGGCTCCTCATCCCCCGCCACCATGCACAGCCTCGCTGAGCCCCCAGGCCCAGCCCTGTGCCTGCCCGGCCCTCAGTCTTGCCATCTGGTCAGTGGGTGGGGCTCCCACATCTCCAGGGGTGGCCCCCCGAACACCTACAGTCGGGTGAGTCTGTTTATGAGCCGGGACTCCCACCCCAATCCCAATTCTCCCAATTCTCTTTGGGTCAGGAGGGGAAATTGAGGCCCAGAAGGTCACTCTAGCCTCCTCTGGAGCACGGCCCCTCAGGCGCTGGCAGGGTGTGGGCTGGTCCTGTCTGTCTGTCCATTGTTCCACGGCCACCAGGGCCCCTGACCACCCCACCCCCACTGCAGAGAGGAGGCCCTGTGGGGAGGGAGTGGGGCGGGGTGCCGTGGAGGGGGCCTGGGGGGTGTGGGGAGGGCCAGACCTGTTAACAAGCTTCTTCCCAGCCTCACCCGCCTTCAACTCCCCAGCCCTTCCCAGGCGGAAAATTCAATTAGTCTCGAGCAACTGCTTTGCTGAAGAGCCAGAGAAAGGGGACCCGCCTGGCGGCTGTTGTGTGTGTTGGGGGAGGGGGGATGAGGGGGATGCAGAGGCAGCAGGAGGGAGGGTTAGGAGGTAAACAGGCTGCTGGTGCATGCAGTCCACCGGGTCCCTGTCTCTGTGCGTCTCTAGAGGTGGGTCTTTGTATGTGACTGTGTGTCCTGGGCCCCTGTGTGCCCACCTCTGCTCCTGCACAAACACAGCCCCTGGAATATTCCGTGTGTGCCCCTCTGTCCCCTTAGCCAAAGCGTCAAACCGGCTCATCTTAAGTCAAGCTCGGCTCTAGGTTCTCATGGCTGGGTGCCTGAGGTGGGGAGCACCCCCCTGCAAACTGCATCATGCCACGCTCTACTCACAGGGGTGTGGTGTGGCCCCAGGTCTCCCAGACTAGGTGTCCCCGCCCCCACCTTGGCTCCACACTGGCCTCTTGTCCCATCCTCTGTCAGCATCCTGGCCACAGGGCCTTTGCACATCCTGCCTCCCCCACGCCTGGTAAGCTTCCACTTACGAACCTTGCCTCCAGCAAGCCCAGGCCTCTTCTGTCTCCCATCACCACTGGGCCGCACAGCCAGCTGCCAGAAGTTTCCTCTGTCGAGGGGTGGAGGGCAGTCTTGTGTGGACTACCCACCGTCCCTGTGACCAGCACCGGGCCCAGCACACAGCAGGTGCTCAGTACATTTTTTGTTTGTCTGTCTGTTTGTTTGTTTGTTTTGAGACAGAGTCACTCTGTCGCCTGGGCTGGAGTGCAGTGGTGTGATCTCGGCTCACTGCAACCTCCACCTCCCAGGTTCAAGAGATTCTCCTGCCTCAGCCTCCCAAGTAGCTGGGATTACAGGCACGCACCACCACGCCTGGCTAATTTTTTGTATTTTTAGTAGAGACAGGGTTTCGCCATGTTGGCCAGGTTGGTCTCAAATTCCTGAGCTCAAGCAATCCAAACCCACCTCAGCCTCCCAAAGTGCCGGGATTACAGGCATGGGCCACCGCACCCAGCCAAGTGCTCAATAAATGTTGAGTACATTGATGAAGTGCCCAAGGGGGTCTGAGCACAACTCTCAGGCCCACATAGGAGTTTAGAAATGACAATGAGTTCTGCACGCCCCTCTCTACCTGGTGGACTCCTATGCATCCTGCTATGGCCTGATTTTCAGTACCCTCTCCTCCAGGAGAGGCTCTGAGGATCAGTGAGAACAAGCATTGCAGCTTGGCCTCAGCCTGAGGTGTCTGTGCTTTCCTCTGGGACCCTCTCCCCTGGTCTCTAGCCCATGGTCTCCCAGGTCCCACCCAGGTACCCCTGATGGGATGAGGGGCAGACCTCCTTACTCTGCTGTGATTGCATCCCGGACCTGCAGGGAGAAGAGCCGGCCAGCCTGGCCTCTACCCAGAAGCAATCTGTGCTGCCCGGAGTGCAGGATGGGGACAGAGCTGCCCATCTGACCAGCCCTGCCGCACTGCCCTCTTCCTCCCTCCACCTTCCCTGGCCCTAAAGCCCCCAATCCCTGCATGAGGAGTGGGGGGTACCCAGTTGAGTCAGACGCTCGTGGGTGTCCAGGAGCTGGGGGCAGCCATGGACAGGGCGTTCCTTCCCAGGTCGGGGGGGCCCTGCTCCCAGTACACAGGAGGGTCTGGGGCCACCAGGCGCACAGGAAGCCTCGGGAAAATTTGTCAAAGGGCTGAGGGAGTCACCCACAGGAGGAACAGGGGGTGACGGGCATGGACAGGGTCCCCAGACCCTGCCGGGGTGGGGCCCGGTGCCCATGTGACCTGTCAAAGCGGGTTTGGGATGGGGAGGGGGCCCCAGGGTCTGCTGGGGAAGGAGGGGGCGTGGGAAGGGCCAGATGTAGGGAGGGGCAGCGTGTGCAGGAATGCGGGCGGCCCCTCCTCTTCCCCGAGAGACAGAGGCAGATGGCAGGCTGGGGGCGCTGAGGATGGAGGGGGAGGCCAGCCAGCCCCGGCTCTGATGGGTGCCTATGGCCCCTCCCCCAGAGTTGAGGGGGACACAACCTTCTCAAGTTCCCAGCCCCATAACCTCTGCCAGCTGCGTGCAGCTGGGGCCATGCCCGGAGGAAACCCAACACCATGGGGGGGTGGACCCCGGGCCCGGCTGCTTCCTCATCAGGACTGTTTGTGAGCTGCTGGGATGCTCATCCCAGGGGCTGCAGGCCGGTGCTACAAGAAGTGACAAGGGTGGCCCCCAAGCCCGGGTGTCACCACCCCAGTAAAGGCTGGAGGGTGCTGCGTAGATGCAGCTCCCTGCTTGGAGGACCGCCTAGCGCACCCTGTGATCACAGTAGCCCCTCACGAGCTCCAAGCTGCACACAACCTCCAGGAAGAACAGGATCCTGAAGCTGGAGAGGTCGAGGCCAGGTTAGGGTATGGGGTACCCAGGGTAGGGGAGGCAGGAGCAAGAAGCTGCTCAGCCTCCACTCTTGAGCCTCAGTTTCCTCACAAGGGCCCTGGCCCCCAGCAAAGGGCTGTGATCTCACCTCCTAGCTGGCCAACCTCCCAAAGCTCCTTTCTCACGTGCGGGCCTCATCGAGTCCCTTAGTGGGACAGGGCAGAGCCCACCCGGAGGTCCCATGGAGAGCCTGCCTTTGCCCCCATCCCTACCCTGGAGCTCTGCACTCCCTCAAGTATACCCTACTCTTCAGGCAGGGAGACTGAGGCCCTGCCCAGAGCTGCCCCGTCTCAGCTCCCTGGTTCCTGCCCAGAGCCCGGAGTGGGGGCTGTGTGGGGAGGGGCTGCCAGATGGCTGTAATCCCATGTCAACAGGGGTTTAGACACCTGCTCAGCTCCTTGCCACCCCCTCAGGCCTGCCCCGCATTCCGGCACATCTCGGCTTCCAAGGGGCTTTCCCCACTTGGCTGGAGTCTGGGCCTCCCACACTGGGGTGGGGGTGCTGTCTCCCCACCCCTGCCCCATCTGAAGCACAGACTTCACAGCCTGGTCTCAAAGGCCAGGCCTGCCGCTGCCCCCACTCACTGTCCTGCCACGGGTCCAGGCCTGGGAATGGGCTGGGCACTGTGGCAAATCACACGAGTGAATTTTCTGGACAATTGGGGCTGGAGATGTGGTGGTGTCTGAAGCAGCATCATGGGGCTGGGTCAGGGAGGCTGAGGCCCCCACTTGGTGCTGAGCCGCAGAGGAGGGATGGCAAGAGGTCTTGGGAAGGGGTCTACTGCTGGGGCAGAGGGTCCCAGGGCTGAGCTCCGGGGTGGCCAGGTCAGGTGGGCAGGACCTGGTGGGTGGAGGCTGGGGGAATGGTGAACGGGGCAGGCAGAGCTGGAGGCCAGGGCCCTGTGGAAGGAGCCAGGACCGGGGTCTGTGAGACAGGAGGGCCCAGTGCCCACATGGCTGAGGCTAGCTCTGGGACAATCTCCTGATGCGGACATGGGTCACGTCTGGAGACAAGCCCTTGGAGGAACTGGAGCTTAGAGTTGTAGTTGGAGCTGGGATCAGCTGGGAATGAGGACAGGGGTCAGGCGAGCCTCGGGGGTGCTAGCTTCTTCCCATGCTGGGATCCCTGCTCTGTCTATCCAGGTGACCTTCCCCTGCCCTACGCTGTGGCCCACAAGCCTGACTTGAGCCAGCTCATCCACTTAGGAAATGCAACCCCTGGCCAGAGCACGTCCACAATGAGGACTGCCCCCAGCGACGCCCCACCCTGGACCCCTGTTTAGTGGTAGCCAAGCCAGGTAACACTCAGCCCCTCTCAAGCCTGGGAGTCAGACCAGGTAACACGCAGGCCCTCCCACTCAGGGTCTGAGTCTACGTGGGTCCTGGACATTCCGTTCCGACCTGCAGGGGTGCCGAGAGGGTTGGGGAGGAAGGTGGAAGCTGGTTCTTGTTCCGGCCCAGCACCTGGCCCCCTGGCCACCCCACCCACCCTGGAAACCCCCCTCCTGGCTCCCTTCTTTCAGAGTGGGACAGGCCTTTCAGGGCTAGGAACGGAGGGCCTGGATTTCCATGTCAATGGCGAGGCAGGCCCGCCTGGTAAGCTGCTTAACAAGCCTCCAGCCCCATTGGGGTGTTAACTCAGGCCCCATTCTCCGGGCCCAGTCTCGCGGTTGCCATGGTGCCCTGCGTGGCCCTTTGGGCCGCGGCTAATCCCTTCTCTGGGCCTCTCATCCCGGCTGTCCCACCCCCGGGCTGGTCGCTGGTGACTTGGCCATGCCCAACAAGGCTGGTTTCTCTGCCGGGGTCAGGGGAGGTCATAAATCCAGCCCCCGTGGTCCCCAGCCCCTCGGCCCCGGCGCTTTGTCCCCGCCACTGTCCCCACATCCCCGGCCCTCCCGCTCTGGGAACTCCAGTGGTGGGAAGCGCGTTTGCCAGGTGGTCAGCCCCTCTCCCTGAGGAGAGAAGGGTCCCCGGCCCTGCCCTGGCTCTCTCCTGCACCCTGGTCACTATCACCCCTTATTCTCCCTCCTTTCCACTCCAGCCCTTCCAGGAATGAGCCAGGCTCATCCCTCAGGGCCTTCACTCCAGTCTTCTCATCCTTGGGTCGGGAGCGGTGAGCTCTTCCCCAGCCCGCGTCCCCGAAAGTCTCCCCTGGAATGACCCTTCCTTCCTCCGAGAGGCTGCAGGCCTGGCCCCCCCATCCTGTGGCACTGTCCCTTCTAGCACTCCATGAGAATCACGTGCTGTCCACCCTAATCCAGGGGGCAGGCCTGCAGCACCCAGGATGTGGCTGGCCTGTGGCAGGCTCTGCCACTCTGCGTGAAAGATAGCAGCTCTCGGCTGGGCGCAGTGACTCACGCCTGTAATCCCAGCACTTTGGGAAGCCGAGGCAGGTGGATCATGAGGTCAGGAGACCGAGACCTCAGCCGAGGTGGATCATCTGAAGTCACGAGTTAAAGACTAGCCTGGCCAACATGGTGAAACTCCATCTCTACTAAAAATACAAAAGATTAACTGGGCGTAGTGGTGCTCACCTGTAGTCCCAGCTACTCGAGAGGGTGAGACAGGAGAATCACTTGAACCTGGGAGAAGGAGGTTGCAGTGAGCCAAGATCACGCCGTTGAGCTCCAGTCTGGGCAACAAGAGTGAAACGGTCTCAAAAAAAAAAAAAGAGGGCCGGGCGCGGTGGCTCACGCCTGTAATCCCAGCACTTTGGGAGGCTGAGGCAGGCGAATCATGAGAGACCGGTGAAACCCCATCTCTACTAAAAATACAAAAAATTAGCTGGGTGCGGTGGCAGGCGCCTGTAGTCCCAGCTGTTCGGGAGGCTGAGGCAGGAGAATGGCGTGAACCCGGAAGGCAGAGCTTGCAGTGAGCCGAGATCACGCCACTGCACTCCAGCCTGGGCGACAGAGCGAGACTCCATCTCAAAAAAAAAAAAAAAAAAAAAAAGAAGAGAAAGATAGTGGTTCTCAGCTGCAGAGGGGGTATGGCCTGAGGTCAACAGCAGTCAAAGGGTTGGTCACCCCCGGGGTCCGGGCTGACCTGACTCCACCTTTGGGGTCTCACCTGAGCCAGCTCCTCCCTGGCCCCAGAATCTCACCTCAGAGACCACCTTCCCTCCTTCCAGCAGCGTCTGTTCCCAGAAGACAGGATCCCGGGATCCTGGAATTCCCGGCCGAGGTGTGATCTAAGGTTCACCAATTAGCCTGGACTCCAACTTCATGCTTGCTCCCCGGCCCTCCTCCCCTGCCAGCTTCTGCTTACCTGCCTCCCAATAGGGAGCTCACCATCTGGGCAGTTCGGACAGGGAGAAAGTGTCTCCTTGGGTGTTTGCTTCCAGATCTGGGCTTGGGCTTGGACGGCCGGGAACCATAGCTCAATGGGCTTTGCCCCTGCTGGTGGCTCCCAGCCTTGGGGTGCAGTGGGTGACTGCTCGCTCTCAGCTCTCAGCTCCCTGGCTGGGCCGTGGGTGAGTGGCTGTTGGCCAGGGCCTAGGCCCTATATACCCAAGCATCCCCTGAAGGTGCAGTGCAGAGGGGCCCAGCCTGTCCCCTAGAAGTGAGGTGCAGAGGGACCCAGCCTGTCCCCTGAAGGTGGGGTGCAGAAGGGCCCAGCCTGTCCCCGGAAGGTGGGGTGCAGAGGGACCCAGCCTGTCCCCTGGAGGTGGGGTGTGGGGGGCCCAGCCTGTCCCCTGGAGGTGGGATGTGGGGGGCCCAGCCTGTCCCCTGGAGGTGGGGTGCGGGGGACCCAGCCTGTCCCCTGGTGGTGGGGCATTGGGTCCCAGCCTGTCCCCTGGAGGTAGCTGTGGGAGATCTAGCCTGTCCCTTGGCCATGGGGAGTGGGGGTCCCAGCCTGTCCTCCCCACAGCTGGGCATGTACTGAGGGTTGCCCACAGCCTTTATTGCCCTTCGGTGTCTCATGGAAATTTCGTGGGGTTGGAAGGACAAGAAATGGTCCCATTTGGCAGCTGAGTAAACTGAGTCTTAGGAGGAAAGGCTGAGGCCTCCTGGGGGAGGCAGAGGCTGACACTGACCCTGCGGGTCCTGCAGCTAGAGGGAAACAGCCCCAGCCCACGTCTCACTGACGCCCTCTCCCCTCGGGATGGCTCTCGGACTCCTGTGGCCCAGACACCCACGCCCAGGCCCCCTCCCACGAGCCACCACCAGGGCTCTCGGCTCCCTGAAGCCCACCCTGCCAGGGGCAGTCCCGAAGGTGGGGGCCATCGGGGTGGGACGCTGAGCAATGCTGGGGTGAGGGGACAGGAGGTGCAAGATGAGGTGAGGGTGCTAGGACCCCGGGAGGTGGGCGGAACACGGAGGTCATTTGGGGTGGGGGGTGTGTGGTAGGGGGTGTGCTGGCTGGGCGGGACCCCGGGAGATGGGGGGAGCGAGGAGGTCATTTGGGGGTATGGGGGGTGTGAGGTGAGAGAGGCCAGCTGGGGGGAGGGTCACGGAGGCCTCTGGGCAGAGTGGGAGGAGGAAGCTCCTGTCAGCCTCAGTTTCCCCATCTGCCACAGGAGCTGAGGAGGGGTTTGGCACCTCTAGGGCTTCTCAGGAGGTCTGGCAACAAGGCCTCCCATACACCCCGCATTGGGGAGGGATGGTCAGGGGCCGGGACAGCAGGAAGAAGGGATTTCGGGGAGGACAGGCGGGGGAGCTTCTCCCTGCAGTCTGTGCGTGGGTGAGAGCGAGATTCCAGAACTCTCCGGGGAGACTGTGGAAGATCTGCAGCCGCTGTGCTGTCTCAGCCTGTGGCTGCCCCGACCCTGCGCTTCCTGTCCGGACCCCCTCCCAGAGACCCTCAGCTGACACATCGTGGGGGTCGGGCTCCTCTGCCGAATGGGAGACTTCACAGCCCAGAGAAGACATGAGACTTGCCCAAGGCCACACAGCAAGAACCCATGACTGCCTGCAGAATCAATGCACGAATGAATGAATGTCCTGGTGGGCTGCTGTGTGAGCTGTCTGTGCCATGGGCTGACTCTTGGAGTAGCAGAGCCTTTCTGCTGCCCTCACGGCTGTACCTGCAGGTGGTCTCCTGTCCCCGGGTTCTGTCCTGGGGTGGAGGTGGGCAGAGACAGCAGACTTGCCCACAGCCACCCCTCTGGCTGCGGTGGCTGGCACAGGCTGCGCTGGGGGTGCACGGGTCTGCCGTTGTGTGGGCACCTGCAGCCGTGCCAGGCAGCGAGTTGGAGCAGGCCCGCCCACATGGGAATGGGCCCAGCCTCCTGCCTGCAGGGGCCCGAGGCCCCCAGCCCCCAGCCCTGCCTTCCTCCATCCACCCCCAGCTGATCCTCCCACTCCTTGGCACCCACTAACCTCACATGGTCTTTCCTCAGGCCTGCCCTCTCTGGGGCTCAGTTTCCTGGCTGTGGCAAGGCAGATAAAAGCAACCCCTAGGGCACAGCTGTGGGACTCAGAGACCCCGTGAAGGGCACAGGCTTGGTGGAGGGGGTCTCACTGGGGAGTCCGGGGGGAGAGGGCTCAGCCTCCAGGCAGGCAGACCTGCATTCAAGCTCCTGCTCCTATTTTAAAACCAGTCCCTGATCTAAACCGTATGCCCATGGCCAGGGCTCGGCAGTGAACAAGACAGGTGAGGCCCCGGCGCTTTGAAGTTCCCAGCACAGCTGGGACTGTGAGACAATTATAATGGTCATGGTAAGAATAACAGCGGCCTGGCACTGCACCCTCACCGTGTACCATACCCGATGCCTTGTGTCATCTGCACAACACCCTTCAAAGCGGGCCTTCTAGTTATTCCCATTTTACAGCTGAAGAAACTGAGGCACAGACAGGTTGTGCCACTCACGTAAGGCCACCCAGCTAATAACTAGCAGAGGCAAGATGGAAGCCCTGGGAGTGTGGATCCAAGAGGCAGATGAACTGGGCTGGCTGACGGCCTTGAGCAAAGCACCCAGCCCTTCTCAGCCTCAGTTTCCCCCTGAGGTTCTGCTGCCAAACCCAGGGCAGGTCTGGGAAAGGGCAGACAGGGAGTCGGCTTGCAGAGCTGTCGGGCTGTGGGCCCCCAGCACCAGGAGTCTCCCTTTCAGGACCTGTGAAATGGGGTCATGGTCCTGACCCCTAAGGAGGACTGCGTGGCTAAGGAGCTGCTTGGAAGCCCCTGGCCTGCAGCCCACCAGCCTCACCTGGGCCGACGCCCTCCACCAGCACGGGCCAGGGGCTGCAGAGAAAGCCTCAGGCATGAACATCGTAGGGGGCGGGCACAGGGGTCGTGGGAAGGGGCTTCGGGGGAGGTCCCTGTGGACACACCTGAGCAGCCCGGCCTCCTGGGGGCTGCGGGAGAGGCAGCAGAGCCAGCCCGCTCAACAGCAGGGCCACAATTGCCTGTGGCCCCTGGGGAGTGACACCCCCCCCCCCCCCCCCCGGCTCCACAGAGGCGAGGATGGGAAGAGGCGGAGGAACCGGCTGTGCGGGACACCTGAGCCCCGGACCAGGCCTCCCAGGGGGTGGCCGCCTTGGGGCTGAGAGGCAGAGAGGAGGTCAGTTCCCACCGCCTCCCCGCAGAGGCCCTGGGAGGAAGCGGGTCAGCAGGTGGTGGGCCAGCTGGGGCCTGGGCCTGCCCCAACCCGCATCTGCTGGGCAGGGGCGTCCAGGCCAGCGCCTCCTGGCCTCAGTTTCTGGATCTGTCACTAGGGACACTGTCCCTCCCCTCTCTGGCCCCTGGGAGCAAGGCTGGTGTGCAGAGCCCTTATCCCATTTCGCAGACGGGGACACTGAGACCCCCGGCAGGGCTCATGGGTGATGCAGGAGTGTTCCCAGCTCTGCTGCCGCCTGGCCGCATGTCAAGGTCGAGGAAGGCATCAGCAGGTGGACGCTCGGAGACCTGGCTTCAAATCTTGACCCTACCACCTCCGGGCTGGGGGAGCACCGAGCCTTGGTTTCCACATGGTGTAAATGGCGCTTTGGAAGATCAACTGAGCCTGCGCTTGGCACAGGTGATTATGGGGTGGAAAGCACCTTCCGGCTGGTGGAGCAAGTGCTGGAAGCCGGGACTCGCTGGCCCAGGGCCTGGTGGCCGCTGGCCCGGAGCTCATGCCCGGACCTGAGGGCTGGGGGAGAAACATCCTGCCCGTGAGTGGGCCTGGCATGAGGTCTATGGCGGGCCTGGGGCTAAGGGCCCATCTCTGTGTCTATGTGCGCCCCTCTGGGCCTGACGTGGGGTCTATGGCAGGCCTGGGGCTTAGGACCCATCTTTGTGTCTGTGTGCACCCCCTGTTTCTTGTGCCAGGCAGGTGCCTGCAGTCCCTAGAGCTGGGCAGGGGGCACAGGGGCCAGGCGTTTTCTCTCCATTCTTTTCACACAGGGGCGGGGACCACAGGCCGTGTTCCTAGTGGGCAGGCACGGTGCTGGCCTCTCCTTGAGAGGCCTGCCTGCACCATCAGGCCTCAGCCCCCCAACTTATACTTCCCAGCCCTCCTCGCTGTCCCCCAACTTACACATGCCAAGGGAGGCCGCCATGGCTCCCGAGCCCACCTGGATGAAGTGCAGGGGACCTGGCTCAGCAGTGAAAGAAGACCCAACTTCCCAGATTCCTGGTATTTTGGGGTGTTGTGGGTTGAATAGAGGACCCCCAAAATGATGTGTCCAAGTTCTAACCCGCAGAACCCATGAAGGGGACGTTGTTTGGAGAAGGGCTCTTTGTTTTTGTTTTTTTGTTTTGTTTTGAGATGGAGTCTCACTCTTGTCACCCAGGCTGGGGTGCAGTGGCTCAATCTCAGCTCACTGCAACCTCCGCCTCCTGGGTTCAAACAATTCTCCCGCCTCAGCCTCCCAAGTAGCTGGGACTACAGGCATGCGGCACCATTCCCAGCTAATTTTTGTATTTTTAGTAGTGCCGGGGTTTCACCGTGTTGGCCAGGCTGGTCTTGAACTCCTGACCTCAAGTGATCCACCTGCCTCAGCCTCCCAAAGTGCTGAGATTACAAGCATGAGCCACCACACCCAGCCTGGAGAAGGGCTCTTTGTAGAAGTAATTAAGTTAAGGATCTTGAGTTGAGAGGGCACACAGGCTCAGAGAGAAGGCCGTGTGAAGAAAGAGGCAGAGTTGGGGTGAGGTCTCCCTAAGCCACCCAAGTCTTGCGGGCAGCCGCCAGACACTGCTGGGGACAGAGCGGACAGAGGAGACCCTTCCTGGCCTCGGGAGGAACCAGCCCTGTGGGCACCTTGATCTCGACTTCTGGCCTCCCAAACTGTAAGATAATGAATATATTTTGTTTCCAGCCAAGTCTGTGGCCATTTGTTAAAGCAGTCCTGGACACTAACTCGGGGGGACAGCAGGAGGTTTCGAGAACCTGGGAGGGAGGGGCGAGGGCTTGGGAGAGGGGCTCAGTGGGGTGCCACGTGGGAAGCCCTCCCTCAGGGGCGACTCCACGGATGGATCCCTGAACCCCGGCTCAGGCTTCTGCTCACTGGTCGGGTGGGTTGTCGAGGTGGGCTCACAGCAAAGGCCTCCCAGACCCCCATTCCCCAAGGGACCAGGTCTGGCTGGGAACTCCTGCAGCCCAGCCACGGGATGCCTCCCAGCCCCCACAATCCCATGCACTGGGCAGGGATGCCAGGGGGCCTTTTTCTTTCCCCTCGAATTCTATCTCTGTAAGGAAGGACATCCCCTCACCCTCTGCACTGCCCAGCCCTGGCCCCCACCCCCCTCAGACCTGGGAGCCCCCCGAGTTCTCTCTGAAGCTTGGCCCATGCACACGAGCACAGCCCTGGCTTCTGGGAGGTGCTGCTCAGATGCTCCCTGAGCGAGGGAGCCAGCAGCTCAGCCGGCCCCGGGGCCTTTGCACCTGCCGTTTCCTGCCCCAGGATGGTGTCCCCAGGTACCCTCCATGTCTCGGCCCATGCACCTGCTTGTCTGTCCCTCCTCGGCTACCCAGGCTTGCCCGGCGTTCTCCACCCACTTCTCGCATGTTATCGCGGGACCCCCTCGCGGAGTTGTTTGCTGGCCCTCTCTCTCCCTGCCGGCCGCTGGGATGCTGTGAGTTCCGGAGGGCAAAGCTGGGTCTGTGTGGCTCCTGTCCCATCTCCAGTGTCCGACATCACAATGATATTTCCAGCTACAGGAAAGGGAGAGTTCGGTGGCTGCGCGGGGCTGGCCAGGGTGACCCTGAAGATTCTCCTGCCTGAATGGCCCATCCGTTTGCCCGATGCCGGCCTCCCTCTACCAAAGGCCTCAGCAGCAGCTGCCTCTCAGCCCCCAGCCTCTGCCCCATGCCTAGAGGAGTCACCAGGCCTGGCTCTTGGAGGACACACCCAGCCCAAATGCCCTCTGCTCCTAAAGCAAAGCTCAGTGGGGCCCAGAGTGGCCCTCCGGCAAGAAGCCCCAAGAGGATTTCAGGGCAGCCATAGTCACAAGTGCCCTGACCTGGGAGGGGCCCTCCTTGGGGTCTAGCCCCATCCTGCCAGAGCTGGCTGTGTGCCCCTAAGCAGACCCTACCTGTCTCTGGGAATATGTCCGCTGGGTCCAGGGAGCAAGTAGACAGCCTCCTTGCTCCACCTGCTCTGGAGACAGAGGCCACTGGGATGACAGCAGAAGTCACGGAAGGCTGCCTGGAGGAAGAGGCAGTCACATGTTAGGATGAATGCAAACACTGGGGAAGCTGACCCCACTTCTTGAAGCAAAACCTTCCTGATGGGGCCCAACCTCCTGTCCAAGGTTGCCGCCACTACGCTGGGCAGAAAACATGTGTTAGGGCCATGCCCCAGCCCGAGCGAGGCCTGGCCCTGGCCTCCCACCTTGGCCTGTTCGTCTTACCCCCATCAAGCAGGAGGCCAGCCCGACCCGCCTCCTCCTTCCGGAGTCTCCAGCTGTACAAGGGGAGGGAGCCATCTCGGGGCAGCCGGGTCGGGCTCTGGGTGTGTGCACACAGGGACACACGTGTCCCTGCACATGGCCAGCCCACATGTGCAGAGTGGCAGCGCGCCATGCTCCCCACGGGCTCACCCGTGCTTCCGCACACACGCGTGAAGCACGTAAGCACCGCACGATCACAGGCCCCTCTCGCGCTCCGAGGCATGTGCCGGCCGGCATGCATCCTGCCAGGGAATCTGCGTCTCTGTCGGTGACATACTCCGTTTCCTGCCACAGCCCTGGTATGCCCCAGGAGTAATTACTAACAGAGTTCCCTCCCAGCCTTGAAAGACGATATACTATGTGGTCACCTCTGTCTGGGCCACCAAGAGGATCCCAGCTGGGCTTTTGCTGAGCGGGGCACAAAAGCCATCAGGAGCCAGTCTTGGGGACTACAGCTGGGGGTCGGTGACCTTGATCAGGCCCAGGGAGGCTGAGAGGAGTCTCGCCCACGCTGCACCCACAGCCCCGCTCATTCCACACCTGAGTCTTCAGAGAAGGAAATGCAAGACCGTGCAGTTAGGACCTGGAATTGTCAGCCTGTCCCCATCCTGCCAGCGGGGATTGGCCTGTGGTTTTGTCAGCTGCCAGCCAGCGGCTGAGGACCAGCCCTGCAATCTGAGTGGGGGCCTGTGGGAGGATGCAGCTGAGGGGAGTGGCGAAGCTGAAGAAACTCTCGAGAAAGGTGGGAGGGGCCGGGGCAGTGTCAGGGCCGCTGTGCACATCCGTGCAGGTCGTGCACTGACTGGCAGCACACATCTGAGATCCAGCCCGTGCTCCGCTCATCGGGTTGTGAAGAAGCAGTACCTCTTTCCAAGCAGTGGCCCAGGCAGTAAGCGGAGCATCTGGCAGGCGGGGTCCACACTTCCCCAAGACCCTGTGCTGGCTGTGGCTGTATGTGCACACTTCTACATGACTTGCAGGGTGCCCAAACGGCCCGGAGGAGGCCGGGACCCCAGCCCCCAGGCCAGGGCTCCCGTGAGTAGGGAGACGCATCACTCTCTGGCCCCGGAGGCTGTGCTTCCCAGGCCATCACAATGGCCACACAACAGGGGCCCTCAGGGACGGAACCTAATCTTGAGCTATTGAAGACCTGAAAGCCGTGGCCCCTGGCCCGAGCCAGCAGACGCGCCTGCCGGCCCCACCAGAGACACCTGATCCACCGGTCGCCCCGCCACAAAGGGGGACACTGTCCCCCCAGGGCCGCCCGCCCCACCAACAGAGACAAGGAGGAAAACTGGGTCGCTGAGATAGAGTGACAGCCATGGCAGGTGGGGATGAGACAGGAGGGAGGGGCGGCCACCACTGGGCACAGCCCAGCCTCTGGGGATGCCCCAGGCCTGAAGATCTGCCCGAGGGGGGCTCAGAGCCCCGAGGAGGGCTCAAGTGACTGCCGGTTTGCAGGGAGTGGGGTGGAGGCTGGAGTGGGGGGCGCAGCTGAGACCAGAAAGAAACAGCTAGGACCCCACCTGAGGCTGGAGACACAGCCAGGACAGGGGACTCTCCACCCAGAGAGACGCCATAGGCCAGGTTGTTGGGGACAGGCCTGGACTGGTCCCCAGGCCCCACCCTGCTGAGGCAGGCCAGCCAGCTGCCCACCCCTTGGCCTGGGCATGTCCAGCTTTTGCTCAGTTTCCCAGCCTGGCAGGGCTTTCCGAGGGGTTGCAGGGAGAAGCAGGCCTGGCCAAAAGACCGCCATGCCTGAAGGTTCACCTTCACCCCCTGGCACCACCAAAGACCCCGCCCAGGGGAAGTCTTGGAGCCTCAGCGCCTCAGAACTTTGGGACTTCCTGGCATATGGGAGGCACCCGGAGGTGTGAGCCTGAGGGGTTCACTTTCAAGGGTGGCTGGAGACACCTGCTGCTGGCCATGTGGGCCTGGGAGGCCTTCTGGGGCCTCCATCTTCCCATCTGTGAAATGGGACTTGGACCTAGATGCTCTTCAAGGTCCCTTCTTCCAAGTCTTCTGGCAAGAGCCAAGTCCAGGAAGCTCAGCTCCATTGCGTCGGCATCTGGACTGAGTACTCTGTGGGTGCCGGGCTGTGCTGAGGGCTGGACGGGACCCAGGAACAGACAACAGGTAGAGTGGAGGAGGGAGCAGCGAGGAGACTTCCCACAGGGGTGGAGACGCTGAGCACTCCAGGCAGACACAGAGGGGCGGCTGGAGTGTGGGGATCCTGGGCCTGGCAGGGCCTGGGGGGTTCGGCAGGCAGAGTGGGCCAGGGGGTGGCCTGAGGACGCCAGGGGCAGAGCCAGCCCTCCCAACTGGGCAGTGGGGAGCCAAGGGAGGGTGGCAGAGCCGAGCCCCATCTCTAAGATATGGGGACAGCCCTCAGAGCCAGCTCCCACCCAGCTCCAGCTCAGGACAAGCAGTGGGCATGGAACTGAGATGCAGGAAGGCCGAGGTCTGGAGACGCACGTGGGCTCCCCGAGGTGACCTAGGGGTGGGCGGCCCTCAGCCCTGCCCGGAGATCCCTGGTCCTACTGAGTCAGCCACCGGGGAGAAGATAAGGGACCGCCAGGCTCTTAAGGGGCCTGACGTTGCTGTTGGGTGAAGTGCCCGCCCAGAATGACCTCAGAGGCTGCCGGGGCCACCTGGCATATCACCCTGCCCGTCTCCGCAGCTTCCTCTGGCAGTGGGTGGATGTATAATGTCCGCCCGCTGCCAGAGGGTTCACGGCACCACAGCCCTGCTGAGCCCTGCTGAGCCCCAGCTGGGTCCGACCTCCTGGGTACCCCAGGGACGGGGAGGCCAGGCACGGGGGTTGCTGTGCGGGTTGGACAGTGGTGATGGTGGACAGAGCCACTCCCAAGAGTGTTAGAGACCTGGGGTGGGGGCATCCAGGCAGACCACCCTCACCCCACCCTGTGGGACCCAAACCAGCTCACTTCCCTCTCTGGGCTCAGCTTCCTCATTTGCAAAATGAGGCCAAGAGTCACACCCGGCCCGGCCTGTGACCCCGGAGCCCCCTCCAGCCTCCTGCCTCACTCTGGCACCAGGCCTCCCTGCAGCTTGCAGAGCAAGCGGGGTACCGTCTCCCCGAGGTGCAGCCTGGGGGGCTGTGGCAGGTGATGGGAGCAGCTGTATTTGAGGGCAGGGTCTGTCGGGGAGCCCCCCAGCGTGGGGAGAGGAGGAGGGACCAGGGAGTGTAACCTGGCAGCCCGCAGCAGTTCCGGCTGCTGCTTCTGTCAATACGGCCTTCCTGTTTTGGAGATTAAACCCCGGCTGAGCAAACAGCTTTCCAGGCGGCCCCTCCCTCCACCCCAGCCCCAGCCTTGTCTTCAGGTCCTAAGGCTGGGACCACCTGGAGGCTGTGGGGGTGGTGGGGGATGGAGGGGACCAAGCTTTGCCATCCCTGCCCTCACCAAGGCCTGGACCACAGCCTGAGCAGCCCAGCCCCTGCCCCTGCCGCAGCCTCCTCCCAGCCCCCCGCCGTGGGCTCCCCCGGAACCCCCCCGTGCGATCCTTCCAATCCAGGGCAGCCTCACTGTCCTGGACGCCCGGCCACTGCATCCTCTGCCCTTGTGTGACCTCCTGCAAGAAGGCGGGAGCACGCCGTTCCCGGGCCTCATGGCCAGACACAAGCCCACCTTGTGAGGACCCCAGGCGAGGCAGGAGAGCCACCGCAAGAGCCCCACCAAGGCACGGCCAGGGGAGGGCCCGCCATCTCTTGGATGGTTTCTGCGCCGTGGCCACTGACATTGAGGGTGGATCATTCTTGGTTGTGGGGCTGTTCTGTGCATGGGGGGCTGTGGGGCAGCCTCTCTGGGCCCTATAGGCCAGACCCTACTGTCTGTTCAGCCCCAGCCCGGTGGCGACAAATGAAAGTGTCTCCAAACATTCACTGTCAGGTGTCCCCAGAAACCAAGACGAGCACTGGATAACCCCGTCTGGGCAAGTCCCTAGCAGATGGCGTGCACAGAAACGGGCTGCAGAGAGAGGACGGTGCCTCCAATGCTTGGACTTTCCTCTGATGCCAGCCTCAGCCCAGCCTCTGCCGCCCTGAGAGAGACTCTGCCCCACCTCCCCACACCCGCCTCCACCATCCCCTCCTGCCAGGGTCCCACCCCTGAGCAACACGGCCCTGCCTTCTCTCTGCAAATCCTTCCCAGACTAAGCTGCAACACTGGCAGAGCCTCCCAAGGAAGGGAGGAGGGAGGACAGAGGCCAAGGCGGCTCCTGGCCACCCTCGCAGCTTCCTCCCTCCCTGGCCACAAGGACCCAAAGCTCAGAGGGATGGATGAACAGACAGGAAGGCTCAGGCTGGACACGTATTGTATGAGGTGGGCCTCAGGGTTGCTTTTCCTCCTAGAATGCCACTCAGAGCCGTCCCTCTTGCTCGTGAACCTGGAGCCCCCTATGTCTCCCCCAGTACCCCTGCATTCTACACCTAGATCCTCAGGCTTCTCTTTATCTCCAGCCTCACCTCCATGAATGCCCCACACACCTGTGCCTGACCACACAACCTCCACCTCCACCTGCTCCCACACCCCTGCCCAACTTCCACCTCCACCTGCTTCACACACCCCTGCCTGACTGCACAACCTCCACCTCCACCTGCCCAAGCCTTCAAGCCCCAGGGCAAATGTCACCATCTTTTCCTGGAAGACTTTCCAGAAGTCCCCTGCCTCCCAGCCCCAGCCCACAGTGGGTTCTCCCTCGTCTGGGCCCTGGGCACCTTTGGGCTGGACCCATTTTTCTAACCCCTGTTGAATCCTCACCTACTACCTTCCCCCAGTGCCAAGCAGATCTGGGCATGGAGCAAATGCTCAGGAAGGCTGTGGGATGAGCACATGAAATGGATGGAAGGATGGACGGACAGATGGACAGATGGATGGATGGATGGATGGATGGATGAGTGGAGCCCAACACCAGCTCTCAGGTCCTACGGAGGTGGCCTCTCTCAGCAGGTGTGATCGCCATTCCTGGGGACATAACCTCCCCTTCTTCTGCTTCCAGAGCAGCCTGGAATATCCTTTGATGCTGTATCGTCTTCCCTGATCCTTTCAAGGGGGAAAGATGGCCCATGGTAGCGATGGGGAGCCTGGGATCAGGGAGGTACACAAGCCCAGGATCACATAGCAAGCAGGGCTCCCCTGGGGCCAAGACTGACCCCTGCTCCCTCCACCCGGCCTGGAGCCCCTCCTCCCACTGCTCTGTATCCCATCCCACTGACATGGGCACGGGGTCATGACTAGGGTGGGGGGTCATGCCTGGGGCCTGACAGGCACCACCGTGGCCACAGCCCACCCCCTGCCTGCTGTGGCTGCCACACAAGCCAGCCATTCTTGGCAAGACAAAGGCCGGCTGGGGCAGGGTGGCTCTGGTGCCTCCCTGGTGGGTGTCTGGACTCTGCAGGACGTCAGTAAGTGGATCCTGGTGGCTGCGCTCTGATGCTGGGGGCTGCAAATCAGATTAGCCCCATCCAGCCCCATGGCCCAGCTGGCCTCAGACAGAAGCGCCAGAAAGAGGCGCAGCTGCCAGCCCAGGCCTGCCGTCCTCCTGGTGTGGACAAGCCCTGGCCTCCAGGCTGAGGCCCCTTGCTGTTCCTGCTGTGGGCTTAAGGGTGTGCCACCTCTTCTTTCTGGCCCCCTGGACCCGTCTGTAAGACCAACAGTTAGAGTGAGACCCCCTGAGGCCTTCTGGAGGTGGTGTTTGGAAATGCCCCCAGGGCAGGGCAGGCACATAGTGCCTAGGCACTGGGAATTCACCTTCAGCACAGCCCTCCCCCAGGCCCCAGGCCCTGTGCGGGCTCAGAGGCCAGCGGCAGCCCTGCCAGGTCTTCTCACCCTGAGACCTATGCTCCCCAGGGCTGGGCATTTGGGAGACAGAGTCAGAGAGGCGCCTTTGAGCCCTCTGTGTATCTGCACATCCACCCATCCATCCTTCCATCCAACCTCTACCAACCAATGTTCATCAAGCACCTGATACACACAGGCACTGCTCTAGGCCCTGGGGCACAGCCAAGAATCACATCACGGTCCCGCTGTCAAGCAGCTGACATCCAGCACCCTCCCAGCCACCCGCATGCCTCTGTGTCTATGTGTCTGTCCATCTATCCATTAGACCATCTGTTGGTCCATCTGTCCATTCACCTGTCCATCCATCCATCCATCCATCCACCCATCCATCTGTCCATCCATCCATCCATCTATCCATCCATCCATTCATCCATCCATCTGTCCATCCATTCATCTGTCTATCCATCCATCCATTCATCCATGCATCCATCCATCCGTTAGTCTGTCTGTCCTTTCACCTATCCTTCCAGCCATCCATACATCCATCTATCCATCTGTCCATTCACCTGTCCATCCATCCATCCATTCATCCATCCATGCATCCATCTGTCCATTCATCCATGCATCCATCCATCCATTCATCTGTCGGTCTGTCTGTCCATCCATCCATCCATCCATCCATCCATCCATCCATTCATCTGTCTATCCATCCATCCATTCATCCATGCATCCATCCATCCATTCGTCTGTCTGTCCATTCACCTATCCTTCCATCCATCCATGTATCTATCCATTCATCCATCTATCCATCTGTCCATCCATCCATCCGTCCGTCCATCCATCTGTCCATTCATCTGTCTATCCATCCATCCATCCATCCATCCATCTGTCCATCCATCCATCCATCTGTCCATCCGTCCATCCATCCATCCATCCGTCTGTCTGTCTGCCCATCCATCTGCCCCTCCATCTAACTGTTCATCCATCCACCTTTCCATCCATCCATCTATTCATCCATCCATCCATCCGTCCCTCCATCTGTCCATCTGTCTATCCATTCATTCATCCATCCAACCATCCATCCATCTGCCAATCTATCTGTCCATCTGTCCATCCATCTGTATGTCCATTCCCCCCACCATCAGTTCAACCAGTGTTTACTGAGCACCTACTTTGTGCCAGGCCCTGACAAGCAGCAAGAGGCAGCCTCTTCCCCCAGGGACACAGACGTAAAGGAGCAGCTACAACCTCATGTGATCAGCACCAGGATGGGGGTAGCAGAGGGGGATGGGGAGGACGTTCTAGGAGGGGTAGCCCTTGGTGGGCCCTGCAGGGTGCCTCAGGCCAGGATGCCCCCCGAAGCCTTGCTCAGCCACTGAGGCCAAGTCGGCTGAACTCTAATGGGCCTGGCCTCTCTGTCCATGCCTGACCCCAGAGTGCAGGCAAAAGGGCCAGGCCACTGTTGGAAAGGCCGTGGCTTCACGGCTGCAGAGCACCAACCCCAAGGCAGCCTGGTGGGCAGGGCGGGTGAGGCACCAGCCATATCCCTATTACAGAGTCAAGTAACGTCCCAAGACCCACAGAAGGGCACTGGCCCAAGACCACACAGTGGGCGAGGGGTCTGGGCATAGCAGGCAGGCAGGGTTGGGAATGGTGGGGGTGCTACTCACAGCTGGAGTCTGCTAGTCTCAGGGCAGTGCCCACTCCAGCTGCAGTAATGGGAATCAGCTGTGCCACCCTGCGGTATCCCTCCCCCGGCCTTGGGAGCCGGCTGTGCTGAGCCCAGCCAACCTTCCCATCACCCTCCTTCCTGCCACCAAGGGCTGCTCACAGAAGCTCCTGGGTCGGGACACTCACTAGGCCACGCCTGCCTTTTGGAAATCCATGGGCCCCCTGGCATCTGGGGGCTTCAAACACTGCCAGTTCTGATGCCTGGCCCCAGCCTGGGGGTTGGCATTCCTGCGTCTGTGTCAGGAGAGGACAGGGAGGTGCAGGCTTGCCCGAGCCACAGCCACCACCATGCTGAGTCCTGTCCAGGAGTTTCCATCTCTGGGCACTGCTACTGGCCCAGAGGAAGCTGGTTCCCAAGACACTGAGTGGGGCCGCTCTCCATCAGCCGATGAGTGGACAGGCGCCTCGGATGGCTTCCTGCCGAGTTAATGGGTCACCCATTATGTCTCCACAGATCTTCCCAGGACCCTGCAGGAAGGCAGGCCAGAGCAGCCCCAAGGAACAGCCCGGGGGAGGGAAGGCAGATGGCCACCTCAAAGCCAGCCCCGAGCCCTTCCCCTCTAGGCCTGAGTGTCAAGGGCAGACCCAGCCCATGGCTTTGGGGACCTGGTGGCACTGACTCCAGCAGGAGAACCCCCGGGCTGAGCCCTGGCAGTTAGAGGAGGCCTGGACTCAGATGGGGACAGAACACTGTCTCAGCCTGATGGCGGCTAGAGGAGGAGGGTAGGGCCCCTGGTCATGTGGGTCCTGGCTCCGTGGGCCTGCTTTCCACCTGACCTCAGCAGGCAGGTCTCTCGGGCCATTCGCACACCCAGCTGCCTGGGAGCCCCAAACTGGGACTGGTGGAGGGGCCCTGCAGAGGGGAAGACTAGGGTCCAAGAAGCCCATGAAGCCATGCGCCAGGGCCAGAGCTGGCCTGCCTGGTCTGGATGGTATGTCATCCTTGTGTTACAAGTGAGGAAACTGAGGCTCAGGGAGTAACACCACCGGTTCAAGGTCTTAAAGCCGAGAAGTGGCCCCTCTGGGTTCGGAAGGCAGGCTGGGCCCTGGGGCAGCCTCTATCCCCAGCCCCTCTTCCCCAGGACCCTACGGCCCCAAGAGGCTTCACTGGCAACTCGGTCAGCCCTCTCTAGCCCCCTCCCCAGCTCCCCTTTGTCCTGTCCAGGGCTGAGCACCATCCCACAGCCCACTTCCCTACCAGGGCTGTGTGGCCCAGTGGGCCCCTAGAGGGAGACCTGGGGTCTGGATGGGGAGGGAAGTGTTTCAGGCTGAAGCTGAGCCTGGGGAAGCGGGCGGGGGTGGCTAGGCGGGCCACCCCCTCAACAGTTTTCAGACCTCAAGAAGTCACCACGAAATTCCATTCTCCTGACAGCAAAGAAATTGATTCACTCTTGCCAAAGCCTGCGGCCCCCACAAGAATGCTGTAAAGCTTCCTCCCGCTGCTTCCAGACAGGCAGCAGCATCAGGTCCCCCACTCCTCCCATTCCTGGCTACAGAGAGACGCGGGAACCCCCCCTACCCAGTTCTATGCATGTGCCCCTGCCAGGCTGGGCCATCCACCTCTGTATGGTCACTCCCTTGGTACAATATCCCCCTTGCTTTCTCTACAATGGGCACATTGCTCCCACGACCTGCTGGGTCAAAGGCACCGCAGTCAGGGGTAGCTGGGGAGCAGGAGTTGCGGGGGTGGGGCGGCTCAGGGCAGGAAGCCCCATCCCCTGGCCTGGGAACTGTGGGGAGATGGACTCACAGCATCTTGTCAGGTGGGGTGCAGGGTGGCATGGCACCCACCATCGGTGCCACTGATGTAAAGTCCAGGTACAGAGCACAACCCGTGCACATATTTGGGGGCTTGGCCATGCTTGGCTGCAGGGGATTGAGGAGGGATTGGGCCTCAAGAAACGGGGCTGGGACTAAGTCACGAGGTGCGTGAATATCAGGCGGGACTTTAACTCAGCCAGTGGAGAGCTATGGAGGGTTTTGCTCTTTGTGTGGGTGTGTGAGTGGCTATGATCCTAGTTGTCCAGCTGCTGCGTGGAGAATAAGTAAAGCAGGTAGGATAGGAGTGGGTGGGATGGGGGTGGAGGCTGCCCAAGTGATTCAGGGAAGAGATGATGGGGATGGATGAGGCTCCGTCTCTGAAACAATTCAGATATGGGAGAGCCTGAAGTCAGCGGTGTGACTGAAGCACGTGGGGTCATGGACACCCCTCAGTCCGGAGGCTGGGGCTGGGCTGGGACTCAGCTGACTTTGTGGGGGCAGCCAACCCAGTCACTGGGTCCTTTTCTCCCCGGCTCACCCTCAAGCCTCTCCAGCTGCATGGAGGCTCCAGGGCTAGGCTCTGGCTGATCGGAAGGGGTTTATGGCAGGAGGTGACGCCATGGGAGACTTGTCACTTGGGCACAGCCAGCACCATCTGCTGGGGCATCTGCTTTCGGAGGTGGTGACTGCTAATTACCTGGGGCCAGGAAGAGGCCTGGGAACCCCCATCCCCCACACCACCCAGCGGGTACAGGGGCTAGGGGTGGGGCCCCTGGGGCCCTAAGAGCAAATGGGCTACAGCGTCCTTAGCGGGGGGAGAGGGTCTGACAGTGGGGCCAGACATTTATCCAGTGAATTTTTTCAGAGCACCTACTATGTCCCAAAACCTGTTCCAGGTCTGAATGACACCAGGTCGCTGCTGTCTTGCGGCTGACATTCAGGTAGAGGTAAGGAGAGGGGCTCCAAGGGCACTTAAAGAATTTAAAATGCCATCTCAGGCGTGAACATAACTCCGAGGGGGGCAGTTTAGCCACGGTGGTGGCGGTGGTGGTCGTGGTGGTCGCAGAGACCCTGCTTAGGAGGGCACGGGAAGACAGCGCAGCCACGGGCAGAGCCGCCTCCGTCCACGCTTCCGGAGGACGTGGCGGGCAGGGGGCTCACACCCTGCTCAGGCGACCCTTGGCCACTTCCGGGCCCCTCGCCCCTCACCCTCGGCTGCCGGCGCGCATTCCTGCCGCCCCCGCTCGTGCGAGGGGCGGGCCCGGGCCCGTGGGAAGGGCCGGGGATGGGGGCCGTGTGCCGGGGAGGCGGGGTGGGGAGGGCGCACAGCTGGGCCGCATCTGGCCCGAGCGCAAGGAGACCAAATGGGACAGAAGGCGGCCTTTCATCCGGCGAGGGAAGTGGCGGCCTTCGTTTCTCCTCGCCATGGGGCGCCTGAGGATTTCGGGGAGCCAACCCTCCCGACGGAGGGCCAGGATCGAGGAAATCAGCCAGGGAGGAAGGAGTGGAATTTGGTTCTGGTGCTTTCTCGTTAGAACCTCGTGTCCCCACCTGCGGCACAGGTGGCCAAGCTCTTGCTCTGTACAAATAACGGCTCCCCTGAACCGAGCGCTCGGGAAGACCCAGGCGCCACCCCAGTTTGCAAGGCCTGCCGCGTCCCAAGGGGAGGAAGCCGTGCTCAGGAGGGGAAGCGCACAGCGAGGAAGTAGGATGTCCCCCGCGGTGCGTCGGAGCCCAGAGCCCGGGTCTCAGCACCCTGCCCGCTGCGCCGAGGGCGCGCCCCTCCCGTGCCGGGACGCCCGGTGCATCCCCGGACGGCGCTGGCCAGGCTGGGTTTCCTCTTCAGGGACACCGGCGCGGGCCGGGCCCGTCCCCAAGCCCCTCGGCGGCCCGCAGGGGCTACCCGGGGCGGGGGGGGTGCGGGGCGTGCACGTGCGCGCCGGGGGCGGGGCCGCTGCGCCCTCTGGGCAGTTCCCAGCCCCCAGCCGCGGCCCCACGTGGGTCTGCGGGCGTGGAGCGGCGACCGGCGCGAGGCCCCGCCCCCGAGCCCGGGAGCCAATGAGCGCACGGGGGCGGGACCGGGGCGGGGAGGTTTAAGAGCGCGGGACACTGGTGCTGCGCTGCTGGACTGCGCCGCCGGAGCGACGGGCTTCGGGTCGGTGCAAGGCAGGCGCACGGGGAAGGGCGCGCCGCGCGGCCGCCACCCCACCATGCTCAAGCGCTGCGGCCGGCGCCTGCTGCTGGCGCTGGCGGGCGCGCTGCTCGCCTGCCTGCTGGTGCTCACCGCCGACCCGCCGCCGCCTCCACTGCCCGCCGAGCGCGGCCGGCGCGCGCTGCGCAGCCTGGCGGGCCCCGCGGGGGCTGCCCCGGCGCCCGGGCTGGGGGCGGCGGCGGCGGCGCCCGGGGCGCTGGTCCGCGACGTGCACAGTCTGTCCGAGTACTTCAGCCTGCTCACCCGCGCGCGCAGAGATGCGGGCCCGCCGCCCGGGGCTGCCCCCCGCCCCGCCGACGGCCACCCGCGCCCCCTGGCCGAGCCGCTCGCGCCCCGAGACGTCTTCATCGCTGTCAAGACCACCAAAAAGTTCCACCGCGCGCGCCTCGACCTGCTGCTGGAGACCTGGATCTCGCGCCACAAGGAGATGGTGAGCCCCCCGCGGCCTGGACTGGCGGGCGAGCGGGGCGGGGACCCACCATCTGGTCCAGCTGGTGGCAGTGTCCCATGGGAGTCAGGCTGCATCCCCATCCAGCCACTAGGGCCATCTGTGGGCGACGCCAGTGCACCCCGGTGCACCCAGTTTGCCTGCTGGGGCCACTCTCCCGTTACAGTTGTGTTACTGTCCCCGGGGCCCCGCCTCCTGTCCAGCTCCAGAGTCCTGGATGGCTGCAGGACCCTACACCAGTCTCCAGTGCTTGGGGTTGGTGCCCTGTGATACTTCTCACCCCGTAAACATTGGAGCGCATTCATAGGGCATTATGTCCTCAAACTTCCACAAGCAAATTCTGTTCGGACCCACCCTCAGCTCAGACCCCTTCCTGGGGAGAAAGGCTCTTCCTTTAGAGAAGTGAGGGGTTCTGACCTCTGGGCCCTTTCCTCATCACAGTGTTAAGGTACGGGGAGGGAGGGAAGTCATTGCTGGTTGGTGGGTCCTGGGGAGTACATCTCAAAGAACTCCAGGTTTTGGGGTCTGTGTGGGGACCCTCCCCGCACAGTGCAGTAGTCTCTGAGGCCTGCAACCTTGGGCACAGCCCACTTCAGTTGGGCATCAGCTTCTTACACACACATAATTAAGACACACCCCACTTTGAACATTTCCCTCGAGGCCACAGCAGGACGGTTGGGCTGGGGCGGGATGGGGACAGTGTGTGGGGCTTGCAGTCGGGGACTGGGGGGGTGTCTCTGGGCTGGGAGATGCAGAGGCATTTGCTGTGAGGGTGGGGGCTCAGGGAAGACCCTGCACGCCTTCCTCCCTGCTCAAACCCCGGAGACCCAGGGCCTTCTGACCTGGCGCTGTCCTGTTTTGGGGCACTGTGGGTGGGTGGGAGCAGGGCTTGGTGAGGTCATGAGGGCGACGGGGAGGGGCAGGGTCCTCCCTGGTCCTGGCGTGGGGAAGGGGCCCTGGGAACCCCATGGCAGCCTCCTGGGAACACAGCGTCCCATTCCCAGGGGCTCAGCGGGCTGGCGGGAGGGGGCGGCGGGGGCCGTGGGTTTTGTTTGGCGGCCGGGCCGTTAGGATTCCCAGCGCCGGGCGGCTCTCACGCCGGCCCCTTGGGCAAGGTAACAAAGCCCCTTTCTCCAGCGAGAAAGGCGTCGGGCCCCTTGTGTGCAGCTACGCGCTCCGTGGGAACCGCTGCTGGCGTGCTGGCCACTCAGGTTGCCTGGCGATGAGGGGACCAGCGGGCCCCCCCAGCATCTCTTACTGACAGTCCTTTTGGGGCACCATCCCTGAGCCTGGCCCCCCCACCCCCAGCACTCAAGCCTTACTGCTATGTGATCTTGGGCATCCTTCAGCCCCACTCTGGGCTACCACCAGCTCTGAGCACCTCTCATCTTGGAATTTGGGGCCTTTCTCCAACAGAGGGGATGTGGTCAGAGGGCTGGGCTGTGTGATCCTGAGCAAGACCTGGGGCCTCTCAGACCCTCACTCTGATCTCTGAAATGGGGGAACATGGTCCTTCCAGGAGCACGTTGTAAGAGACTGGCAAAGCCTGCAGGCATGGGGTGAACCCGGCGGGCACTCAGGGTCGAGGTGGGGGCCATCACTCCCTTGAGCCCTGAGGTCCCTACTGGAGGGTCACCCCACCAGGGGACAGGTTGAATCTGCCCTCAGCATCAGTTCACCAGCACACAGCAAGCAAAGACCCCCTTGTGGTGGGTGATGGGCAGGGGTCCTGGAAACCCACAGAAGAGGGCCCCCCTCTCCCAGCCCTGCACGGAATGACTCAGACATGGTCTGATGGGGGAGATAGAAAGATGTCAGGGCTGTGCGGGGGGAAAACCCCGAGAGGCTGTGTGAGGCAACAGTGGGCATCTGACCCACATGCTGGGGGAAGGGAGGGAGGAGGGAAGACTTCCTGGAGGAGGCGCCATTTGAGCTAGACTAAGAGTAAAAAAGTGCCCAGAAAGGGCACTCCATCCGGGCATGGTGATGACCACAGCATGGGGGTTGTGCAGGAAACTTCTAGCAACTGGAGTGGTGGCTGGGGGGAGGGTCGGTTGGTCAGCAGGGGCCGCGCTGAGATGGGCCTGGAGTCCAGGATGAAGAGCCTGGCCTTTGGCCCAGAGGTTCCCCGCCCCTCCCAGGAGCAGCCAGGCTGCCGCGCTGCCACCACAGCGGCCACAATTGCTGGGGAGAACTTGGCATCCTGTGTTTCTTTGAATCGCGGCTCCAGGAACAATGCTGCTTCCTGTGGGTGTCCCCCGGCCCCCGCCCCCGTCCACCCTCATCCACCCGGCTCTTCCTCCTGCAGCCCCGTCTTCGTCTGGAAAGTTAGGTGGCACTGGGGGGTCTGGGTCCCTAGAAGGCAGGGACTGGGCTGGTCTAGCACCGCCTCGGCCCCAGGGTATGACCTCAGGCTGGTGCCTGCACCTCTCTGGGCCTCAGTTTCCCCACTTGGGCCTCAGCTGGTAATGGCACCCACCTCCGAGGGCTGTCAGGGAGAGGAAGGGAGAGAATCTGTCTTTGCACTTTGTTCTCTGCCCAGGGGAGCTCTGTTATGCCCATTTTACTGAAGACGAGACTGAGGCTCTGAGCGGCAGGTGAGGCCTATAGCCCAGCAGCGCCTTTTTCCTCCCCTCCTGGTGGCTCAGGTGTCGGGAGACAGTTCGACCGGCACCCCCGCACCCCATAGCCCCGCCTTCTCAGATGCTGTTCTAGAGGCCTCCCTGCTCCCTGAGCTGAACAAAGGTGACTTTAATCTCCGTAGCCTTGGGCTGGGTTTTTAGGGCACCACCAAATCTCGGGAGAACAGGCCTCCCTTGATCTCATTAAGAAAGCATTTTCCTTTTAACCCAGCGGCGCAGTGGAGCGTCTGCAGGGGCTGGCCCTCCGCCTCCCACGGCATTCCTGGGCTGAGATTCTGGGGAGGCCAAGGGGCTGGGTGCGAGTCTGTGCGTGTGGCTGCCCTGGGGTGTCTATGGGTGCTGCAGGAGGGGTGCATGCATGGAGAGGCGGAGACCCAGCCTGCCACCCCCTTAGCTCTGGGCCTCACCCTAGTGAGCATGTGCCCAGGGCTGGGTCAGGCTGGATAAGGATCTGAGACTACCAAGGTGTTCCAGGGCCTCTGCGGGACCTGTGTGTACAGGGAAGGAAACTGAGGCTGGGTGGGCATCAGGGGGTTGTCCCTTGGTCAGAGCATTGCCCGTACACCCTGGGTTTTGCACTCAGCCATGCCAGGGTGCGCCGGGCGGCACGCGCTGGGCGGGCCGGGCAGAGGAAGGAACATTCCTCCCCGTGTGCCGGCAGGCCCAGGCGGGCGCCGGCGACTCCTGGCCCCGCCCTGGCGGCCCCCTCCTCTTCCGCAGAGCGCTCCTGGCAGGGGGCGGCCGCGTGCTGGCACAGGTGGGCTGTGGCCTTGGGCAAGCCTGGGTTTCCTTGCCTGAGCAGTGGGAGGGGTGCTGGGCTGCATGGGTACTGGGGGCCCCTGACCTGGGGGCTGGGGACACCTGAGGTTTCCTGCCACAACCCTGCTGACCGTTGGCAACTTTGCAGAACTTCAGGGCTGCTTTGGCTCAGAGTGGGTAGCTTGTCCTGCAGGTCACCCAGGACAGGGGTGCTGGCCCAAAGGGCAGCTGTGGGGTGGCTGCAGTGCTGGTGGCTGCACCCTACGCGCGGGACCTCATGCCCAGCCTGGCCCGGTTAACCAGGCCAGCTGTATGGTAATGGGCGGCGCGGCCACTCTGCTTAACTCGGCCGAGTTAAGGCCGGCCCGGCGCCCCTCTCCCGCCAGCCCAGGACAAAGCTGGCGGACAATGCCTGGTGATTCATCCTCCCTCCAGGCCCTTTGTCCGCCAGGGCTTGGCAGCCGCCCAGCGAAGGCCTTTGTCCCCAACCCCGAGTGATTGAGACTTGGCTTCCCACAGCCGACCTCCTCCGCCTGTCCCTCCCGCCACCCCGCCTGTCCCCCGCCTTTCCAGCAGCCTCCAAGTGGCAGGCTGGGTGCTGTGTCAATAAGGGTGTGTGCCCTGCCAGGTGCACGGGGCGGGTCGGGAACCGGTTACCTGGCGGGCGGGCGAGGCGCACCACCTGGCTCGTGCCTCACCGCGCCTGGACGACCTTGGGTGCAGCTGTCGAGGTTGGGGAGTGAGGCCCCCATCCCCCACCCCCAGGGCGAGTGAATGCGTGAGCTCTGGCCCAGATGGCACTGAGATGGGGCACTTGAGCCCTTCTCAGCACGAGTGGGGAAACCAAGGCCCGGAGAAGGGTGGGTGTCAGTGTGACGCAGCTGCAGCTGCAGCAACTCCAGGGCGCCCCGTCCGGCCCCCACAGATGGCCCTGGGGTGGGGATGAAGGGCTGCCTGCTGAAGGCCGATTTTCTCCTTCCAGACGTTCATCTTCACTGACGGGGAAGATGAGGCCCTGGCCAGGCACACGGGTGAGCCCTGGACTTGGGGCGGGAGGGGGCCCAGGCCTCCATCCAGAGCCGAACGCTCCCCCTCCAGTCTCCCTGCCCCTCTGGGCCGAGAGGTCACCAAGGGCAGGACAGGGAGGGCAGTTTACTCATGGGGTTTGCTCCATGCCCCGCCCCACCACTCGGGCCCCCCAATTCTCATGCAAATGAAGCCCATTCAGCCCCCCGGGTCCCTTTGAGCCCAGGCAGCGGCAACAGGTGGCGGGTGCTGGGAAAAAGCTGCCTGAATGGGCGGGGGCGGGGCCGCCCTGGAAGGGGCTGGGCTGCGGGAGGGTCCACAGGCCCAAGCCCCGAGCTAGGGTGGGGGAGGCTACGGCCGCCGGGCCCAGCTTGAACTAGGGGGCTTTTCTCGAGCCCCTGGGCCCTGTGGCGTCCCCCAGGCCAGGCCCCTCTCTGGGAGCCGGCTCAGACCTACTCACAGCCGCTCCCCTGTCCACAGGCAACGTGGTCATCACAAACTGCTCGGCCGCCCACAGCCGCCAGGCGCTGTCCTGCAAGATGGCCGTGGAGTATGACCGCTTCATCGAGTCCGGCAGGAAGTGAGTGTGGCCCCGGGGGACCCCCATCTCCCTGCCCGAGCCTGGCAGCGCCCGCCCCGGCATGCCCTCCCCCGATGGCCCTGCCTTGTCCTCAGGTGGTTCTGCCACGTGGACGATGACAACTACGTCAACCTGCGGGCCCTGCTGCGGCTGCTGGCCAGCTACCCGCACACGCGGGACGTCTACGTCGGCAAGCCCAGCCTGGACAGGCCCATCCAGGCCATGGAGCGGGTCAGCGAGAACAAGGTGGTGAGTGCCTGCCCCTCCCAGTCCCCCACGCCCACGCGGAGCGCACACCCGGAGTGGGGGTGGGACCGTGAGGGGCAGCAGCGCCTGGGTCTCAGGACACCTTCTCCCTTCTCCCAGCGTCCTGTCCACTTCTGGTTTGCCACGGGCGGCGCTGGCTTCTGCATCAGCCGTGGGCTGGCTCTGAAGATGAGCCCGTGGGCCAGGTGAGTGCCCTGCACAGGTTAGGCCAGCCCGGTCCCAGGCTCCTCGCCACTGTGGGGCCTGGCTTAGTTCATCTTCCCAGCCATGGGGTGTCCCCAGCCTCCTGTGTGGCACTGCCCACTTACTTCCTATATTCCACTTCCCTCTGGGTTTCAGAGGGCAGCTGTGTTTACGGCGGCTGCCCCCAAGCCTGACCTGCTCAGAGCAGCCAGGGGGGCGATGAGCACCCCAGGCACCATCCGGCAGGACTCTTCCCTGCACCCAGATTCCCTCCACAGAGAGCCACGGAGCACAGGAGCTGTGCAGGGAGTGTGCCCTGGCTGTGGCCAGGGGAGGCAGAGGGAGCTGCAGCCCAGAGCTCTCCTCAGGGCTCCTCTCCCTGAGGAGTGCAGCGCCTTTGCCTGGTGGGGCCTCCCCAGCTCCCAGCAGATGGCTCCCGCCTCTGCTCACTGGTCTGGGCCCTTCCCTCCCGCAGCGGGGGTCACTTCATGAATACGGCTGAGCGGATCCGGCTGCCTGATGACTGCACCATCGGCTACATCGTGGAGGCCCTGCTGGGTGTGCCCCTCATCCGCAGCGGCCTCTTCCACTCCCACCTGGAGAACCTGCAGCAGGTGCCCACCTCGGAGCTCCACGAGCAGGTGCACCATCCTCCGGGCCCCGCCAGGACTCCGAGAGCACAGGAAGGGACGTGTGGCTGCCGAGAGGGGCGCAGTGGGGTGGGGCACTGTTCTAAACAGGGAGGCCAGGCAGCACTCCACTGTCAGCCAGGGGGGGTCACTCCTGCCATGAGCTCAAAGCTGTTTATGGCGGGTTGTTTTCCTGCCGTCTCTTCTCTTCACTGTGATGCGCCTACTGTGCGTATTTTGTCCACGCTGGCAATGCAGCCAGCCCCAGCTGGTCCCCAGTTTGGGACCTTATTCCTGGGGTGTGCAGGGCAGGTGTCCTTCCAGGTCCAAGGGAGGCCAGGGCAGGGCCGTTGCCTCACTCAGGGCTGTGTGGCCAGCCTGGGGCGGGGCCCAGGGATGTCGGGCCCCTCCCGGCATCACTCCGCCCGCTCCCCACAGGTGACGCTGAGCTACGGTATGTTTGAAAACAAGCGGAACGCCGTCCACGTGAAGGGGCCCTTCTCGGTGGAGGCCGACCCATCCAGGTAAGGAAACCCCGGCCCAGATGGGCTTGCGTAGGGTGGCCTAGGGGCGTCAGGGGGCCTCGTGGAGCTGCAGCAGGGTCTCTCTAAGCGGCATGACTCTACATAGAGGTGTCCCCCGGAGTCCTGCTTGCTCGGGGTGGGGCCGCCAGTGTTGTGGGACTGCAAATGGGAGCTCAGCACCTGCCTGCCACCCACGCAGACCAGCCCCTGCTCTGTTCCCACAGGTTCCGCTCCATCCACTGCCACCTGTACCCGGACACACCCTGGTGTCCCCGCACTGCCATCTTCTAGTGGCCATGGCTGAGACCCAATCCCTGGGCGCCCCTGGTATCCAAAGGGCCCAGGGACCCTGTTGCGCTGCCCTGGCCTCGGCATTCGAGGCTCCCCTAGGGCCGTGCCTGTGCGTGTGCGTGTGCGTGTGTGTGTGTGTGTACTGCATGCCCACCCGGGTAGCAGGCTGCTGGGCAGTTCTGCTCTGTGGAGGGGCGGGCACCAGCGCCACTTATGTGCCTCTGCTCCGAGGGCCAGTGGGCTGCAGGGCCTGCTTGGAGGAAGGATTTGTGTGTCGGAGGCCACTCCGAGGGCAATTCTGTTAGGATTTTTGGATCTTTCTACAGCTACGGGGCTCCGGGCTACTTTGCAGGGATGCGATGCGTAGGTGCCTTTCTCTTCCTGCTGACCACAAGCTCTGTGCTGGGGGTACCTGTGCCCTGAAGTCCTGGCCCCTGTGTCATAGCCCCAAGTACGACTCACTGAGCCATGCTCATTGCAGGGGAGGCTGGGTCTGGGGGTGCGTGACCCAATCCCCTTCCTCCTGGCCTGGACGCTGTGGCTTAAGAGTAACAGCAGCCACCGCCCAGTTCCAGTGGCCCCACGAAGCCCCCAGTGGCTGGCTGTCCAGCTGGGCAAACAGTGGCACCCCTCCCAGCTCTTCTGAGTGGGGAGTCTTCCAGGCCTCCTCAGAGGTCTTCCCTTTGCCTCCCCAGGACAGGGTGAGTCAGAGCTCAGCATTTAATCTCCTCTCCAAAGTAGAGAGCAAGTCGCCCACAGTGGGCGTGTCTGTAAATATTGTGACAGTATTTTTTTACTGTGCTGTTTTTTTTGAAAGGGGATGGGTAAAAAGTAGGGTGTTCTTGTTTTTTGCTTGGGAGGGTGGGGGTGGGGGAGGGTCTTATTTTATCTTATCTTTTCTGTGGATCAGAAAAAACAGAAGCCAAACTCGGGGTCATCTTTGTTTTTAAAGCTGAAGTGGGACTGTCTGGCACTCTGTGTATTTATGCGTTCCAGCATCTGGAACCTCCCATCCCTGCCCTCCTCCTGTGTAGCTGCCACCTCCCCGCTGGGCCCAGCATGGCTCACCTGTCCCGTGGGCTGTGTTTCTTGTTGTTTTTCTCTTTGCAAAGACATAGCTAGGAAAGCGAATGATAAGGGAAAAGTTCTCAGGGAATTGAAGTGTTGTTGCTATGGTGACGTCCTTTTGCTGTGAATAAAGGTGCTCTTTGCAGCAATCCTGGGGGTCCTGGTCTTGGCTGGAGGTGGGGCCTAAGCCCCAGGGCAGCCAGGGTCAGGAGAGGCACACAGGTGAAGGGGAGGCTTGGCCTTGGGTGCACCGCATGGAGCAGGTAGATAGGAAACGCTTAGAGACAACTATTTTGGAACGAAACCTGGCGTCACTATAGCTGCCTGCTGGTGACTACAGGTGCGGCCCACCCAGGGTCAGGGTGGTCGCTGGAGCGTGAGCCCTGTGCTTCCAGGAGGAACAGGTCTAGGATGCTGGGGGCTCTAGGTCCCAGCCAAAAGCACAACCCCAAGGCTCTGGCCTGGTCTGGCCACTGGGGAGCCCAGCCCCTGCAGGAGGGACAGTGACTCCTGTGACCGGGCCTGGGGCCTCCTTATCCAACTTCACTCCTGCCACGAGCTCACAGAGTCCACATCATCGCCTCACTTTGCAGGTGGGGAAACTGAGGCACGGAGCAGCTGATGCCCAAGGTCCAGCAGCCATGCTGGTGGGCTGGGGAGGCGCTCAGACTCCAAGCCAGGCAGGCCGTGGGTCCGGCCGCCCCACAGCTGGTAATGCTGCACCTCCCTCTCCTGTGATGTGGCCCCAGGCCCCGACCCCGCTCAGGGGTGGTGGGAAGAGTCCTGGAGAGCAGGAGCAGTGCCGGAGCCCCCACTGCAGCTGGTCCCAGCCCCTGCAGAGATCCAGACGCTTGTTTTTTAAATACAGCAGCTCTGCGGTGCTTTTCCTTCCTCAAATCCAGCCTTTGAGGGTGACTGAGTAGGGGACGGGTGCTGCAGCCTCTGCGGGGATTCCCTCCCCTCACCCTCCTGGCAGCCCCGGGGCGGCTCACTTCCTCTTCACCATGAGCCCCCACCCCTTCCCTGGGGCTTACACCCTTGGCCTGGCACTGCCCTGGCCGCGCCCCTTGCAAGTTCCTGCTCTGGCCTGACCCTGCTTCCCCCGACCCCAGGGCTCCAGGTCCCCCTCCTGGTGCCTCTGCACCCCCCACTCTGCTCCAAGGAGACGACACACTGTGAAAAGTGCCTCTCTATGGGGGGGTGCCTTGCCCTCCCCCGTCGCTGCCCCCTCCAGAAGAGTGCTGACGTGCTGAATGGGCCTGCAGAGACCCCCTTACTCTAAGCCTGGCTGGGGGCTACCCTGGCCTTGGGGGCGGCTGGCAGGGCTGTGACCCCACCTTGGCCTTGGACGGTCCTGAGTCAGCAGAGCAGCTGCCTGGGGGGTGTGGACAGTGATGGGGATGGCGGGAGGATGGAGGGCCCTCACCGTCACGTGGCCTGACCCCCGTCTGGGTGGCTGTGGTCCTCCCTGAGCACCCACCATGTGCCCACCCACTTCTCATAGGACGGCATAGGCCCCTCTTCTGAACGAGGAAGCTGAGACTCTGGGGTGGGGCGGGGGGGTCGTGACGGAACAGGCTGCGGGCAGAGGCTGCTGGCCTCCTTCCTGCCCGGCTGACTCAGAGGCTTGGGGCCTTCTGCCCTGGCCCCGACGCTGTCCCCGCCTGCAGCTGGCATCGCCTCCCCACAGAGCTGGTGGGGCCCCGGGGGCAGAGGTGTGGCTGGACCCAGGGGTCGGACAGACCCATGGATACAGCTGTGGGGGCCCTGCCAGGGCTTGGGGAGTCCCCATTAATGTTCATATGTCCCTGTGTGTGGAGCGGGGTGGGAGTGGGGGCTAAGTGGGCATCGGGGAGAGCAGAGGAGCAAGAAGTGGGGTGGGGAGGAAGCCCGGCTCCTCCCGAGGCCTCGACCTCTCCATCTGACAAATGGGAACAAAGGTAAATGCAGTCCCCGGGTGCTGGAGGTCAGGGGGTGTTTTGGAAGGTGCACAGGACAGCGCATCTGGCCCCTTCCTCTTCCAAGCTGAGGGAGGGACGTTTCTCTGCCCTCAAAAGGGGAAGCAGGCCCAGCAGTGTCTTAGGGGAATGAGGCAGCCTGACCTCTTCCATCCACCGCCCCCCCACCCCCCAGAAGGTGACTCACCCGGCAGGGGAGGTGAAGTCATTCCTCCCCCAGGTACATTCTGGGGACAGCTGTGTCCCACCCACCAGTGGTGCCATCACATCAGATTAGAGGTCTGGTCAGAAAGGGGCCTGGCTGGTCCCTGGGGCTCCATGTCCCCCCAGTCTAGCCCAGCCAGGCCCCCTTTCCCAAACTTCTGATCATTAATGGGGCTTTCAAAACAAGTAAAACTGCAACCACAGGGGCTGCAGGGCGCTCAGCGAGGGTGGCAGACCTCAGCCGCCACCCCTGCTTCCGTTCTGCCAGGCGAGTGCCTGGGGAGCCCCAAGGCTGCTTGGGGTCTGGGAGGGGCTGCTAGGGTGGGGCGCCTCCCCACTCAGTTGAAAGGAACTTCCCTTCCACTGGGGCCATCAGGGCCAACTTCCTGGAAGAGGTGCCTCTGAGCTGAAGCAGGAAGGCTTTGTCAAGATGGAGTAGGGAGAGAAGGGGCCTTCCAGGTCTCAGCACAGCCTGGGCAAAGGTGCAGAGGTGGGATCCACTGGGAGGACTGGAAGCCTGGGAAGGAGGGCAGGCAATGCAGTTGGGTCTCTTGATCCCCCCTCCCCAATCACAGACAACTAGGGCTCTCCACAGGCTCAGAGGGGCCAGGGCCAGGCTGCTATGTGACTTCAGCCATTCTTGCCGGGTGGGCCTGGGGTCAGAGGGAAAGCAGGGACCAGGGCCAGATCCATCTTCGAGTCTGTCAGAACAATGGGCAAGTCTTGTTCCCTGCTGGGTCCATGTGCCCACACAGCCTCAGCCTTCTTAGATATTCTGCAGGGTGACCCCCTGCTTCTGAGCCCAGAATTGGACACACAGGAAGGCCCTTGGGGCCAGGCGTGGTGGCTCACAGCCGGGCTGTGCCCTCTGCCTGGAGCCGCAGCCTGGATGCCTCCCACCCCACATTTAGGCTTCAGGCCCCACAGCTGCCTCTTCCCAGAACCCTCCCGGCACGCACTTCGGCGACTCTTACAAGTACCTGTTCAGCGTCAGCCTTCGCCCAGGAGTGCAGGCTGGGGACGAGGGCAGTGGCCACCTCTGCCGGTCCTGTCAGCACCTAGTGCAATGTCCAGCCCACCGTGGGCACTCAACGCAGGCGGCTGTGCTGCCGCAGGTCACAGCACCAATCAGACACCCCCATCCCCACACACACCCTGCACCGGCCCACGCGGCCATCACACTCGGAGCACACGCGCTCCGATGTGGCTGCACTGTTGGCACACGCACAGGCGCGCACGTGGGCGCATACACGCCGGGGCGCCCTGACCTCCCCGCACGCCCTCCCGCAGCCGCCCCGGCCTCTGTCCCCACGCGTGTCACACACGGCTGGGTGTGCTCGCTCACGCCGTCCCGCGACGTTGCTCCAGCCGGTGCCCGGAGCTCGATCGGGAGAGCTGCTGTTGGCCGCCTCTGCCTGCCAGCGTTTGCCAAGCGGTTTCCATGGTGACACATCTTGGCTCCGACAGGAACCAAGGAGTGTGGGGAAGAGGGTCCCCACGGAGGGGGCGAGGCGAGGCAGGAGGTCTCTGCGTCTTCAGGCTCCCGGCAGGCATGGGGGGCTCCACGAGTGCAGACACCCCCCAATCCCAAGCCAGGCTTGCACCCCGAGAAGGAGGCTCTGGGCTGGTCCCTCTGGGCTGCCTGGCACAGGGACTGACTTAGGTCAGTCAGTCATTCAACAAACTTTCTGGAAGAGCCACTCTGTGCTCACAGCCGGGTCTACGATGCTGCCCAAGACGTGGTCTCGCAAGAGGCTCGGAGTCGAATCCTGAGGCTAAACTGACGTCCCGCCACCCTACTGAAGGCCCCATCTAGCAGGTTGGTCCGTGGCTGCGTAAGCACCAAGGCCCACCAAGCACTTTCTCAAAGGGGGGCTCCCCTCTGTGGTAGATCAGTTACAAACGTGTCCCCGATGCCCCACTCCTCCCTGAATCACCACGCCCTTTGCTGTGTGACTTTGCCCCAACTCCTGTCTAGAGGTGGCGTCTACTTCCCCATCCTTCAATCTGAGCCTGTCTTATGACTTGCTGTGGCCAATAAAAGGTGACAGCAATGACATTCCCAGCTCTGAGCTTAAGCCTCCAGGGACATGCGTGCCTCTGCCTGCTCTCCCCGACTCCTGCTATAGCACGAGAACGGGCTGGGCTGCTTTGCTGGAAGGCAAGAGGGCGATGGAGCCTGGGTCACCCTAGCTGAGGCCATCCTGGACTAGCTAGCTCCCAGCTGCCCACAGATGTGTGAGTGAGCCCAGCTAGGACTTGCCAGGCCTAGCAATGAGCAGCAGTACCACCAGGCCCTTTAATACTAAGGACATGTGAAGTCATGTGTTTGGAGCTATTTGTTACTCAGCACTAGCTACCTGATACCCCTCTCTCTAGGGCCCTGGCCAGCAGCTGCCCAACCTCAGTTAGCACAGGCCAGAGGCTCTAAAAGTTCCCAGGGGTGCTAAGAACCAGGCCATGGTGACAGCTGGATTCCGCTGGCTAACAGTGCCAGAGGGTGCCGGGGACAGAGCTTGTGGGAGGGGGTTCCCATGACAAGTCCATGGCAGGAGCTACTGAAGCAGAAGCACGAGTCTCCACTGCCTTTCTTTGCCTCGGTTTTTCCCCCTGTGAAATGGGCCCATCACCCTGTCCTGTCTCTTGGGGACCCCTGGTAAGGTAGCGTGTGTGGCAGCTGGAAACAGACCTACTACGTGCCAGCCCCGGGTTGCAACCTAGGGAGAGAGGCCCATTGCTGCCTTCTAGGTTCCCACAACTGAGAAGGCAGCGTCACTAATCCCAGCTTACAGACTGGAAACAGTGGGGAGAGGATGAGTGGCTTGCCCGAGGCCCAGGACACACAGGAGCAGGTGGGCATGGCCACAAGCCCCGGCTGGGTCTGAGCTGGTGGTTATCTTCATGTTTTTCTCCCTGTGGTCACCTTTTTGGAAATTTTTTTTTTTTTTTTTTTTTTTTTTTTACATTTGACTATTTTCTTGTTTATTGGTATTTCTTTGGGAGATTTTTTTTTTTTTTTTTTTTTTGAGATGGAGTTTCGTTCTTTTTTTTTTTATTTTTTTTTTTTTTATTGATCATTCTTGGGTGTTTCTCGCAGAGGGGGATTTGGCAGGGTCACAGGACAATAGTGGAGGGAAGGTCAGCAGATAAACAAGTGAACAAAGGTCTCTGGTTTTCCTAGGCAGAGGTCCCTGCGGCCTTCCGCAGTGTTTGTGTCCCTGGGTACTTGAGATTAGGGAGTGGTGATGACTCTTAACGAGCATGCTGCCTTCAAGCATCTGTTTAACAAAGCACATCTTGCACCGCCCTTAATCCATTTAACCCTGAGTGGACACAGCACATGTTTCAGAGAGCACGGGGTTGGGGATAAGGTGACAGATCAACAGGATCCCAAGGCAGAAGAATTTTTCTTAGTACAGAACAAAATGAAAAGTCTCCCATGTCTACTTCTATCCACACAGACCCGGCAACCATCCGATTTCTCAATTTTTTCCCCACCCTTCCCGCCTTTCTATTCCACAAAACCGCCATTGTCATCATGGCCCATCCCCAATGAGCCGCTGGGCACACCTCCCAGACGGGGTCGTGGCCGGGCAGAGGGGCTCCTCACTTCCCAGTAGGGGCGGCCGGGCAGAAGCACCCCTCACCTCCCGGACGGGGCGGCTGGCCGGGCAGAGGGGCTCCTCACTTCCCAGTAGGGGCGGCCGGGCAGAGGCGCCCCTCACCTCCCGGATGGGGCGGCTGGCCAGGCGGGGGGCTGATCCCCCCACCTCCCTCCCGGACGGGGCGGCTGGCTGGGCGGGGGGCTGACCCCCCACCTCCCTCCCGGACTGGGCGGCTGGCCGGGCGGGGGGCTGACCCCCCACCTCCCTCCCGGACGGGGCGGCTGGCCGGGCAGAGGGCTCCTCACTTCCCAGTAGGGGCGGCCGGGCAGAGGAGCCCCTCACCTCCCGGACGGGGCGGCTGGCCCGGCGGGGGGCTGACCCCCCCCCACCTCCCTCCCGGACGGGGCGGCTGCCGGGCGGAGACGCTCCTCACTTCCCAGACGGGGCAGCTGCCGGGCGGAGGGGCTCCTCACTTCTCAGACGGGGCGGTTGCCAGGCAGAGGGTTTCCTCACTTCTCAGACGGGGCGGCCGGGCAGAGACGCTCCTCACCTCCCAGACAGGGTTGCGGCCCAGCAGAGGCGCTCCTCACATCCCAGACAGGGCGGCGGGGCAGAGGCGCTCCCCACATCTCAGACGATGGGCGGCGGGGAAGAGGCGCTCCTCGCTTCCTAGATGGGATGGCGGCCGGGAAGAGGCGCTCCTCACTTCCTAGATGGGATGGCGGCCGGGCAGAGACGCTCCTCACTTTCCAGACTGGGCAGCCAGGCAGAGAGGCTCCTCATATCCCAGACGATGGGGGGCCAGGCAGAGACGCTCCTCACTTCCCACATGGGGTGGCGGCTGGGCAGAGGCTGCAATCTTGGCACTTTGGGGGGCCAAGGCGGGCAGCTGGGAGGTGGAGGTTGTAGCGAGCCGAGATCACGCCGCTGCACTCCAGCCTGGGCACCATTGAGCACTGAGTGAACGAGACTCCGTCTGCAATCCCAGCACCTCGGGAGGCCGAGGCTGGCGGATCACTCGCGGTTAGGAGCTGGAGACCAGCCCGGCCAACACAGCAAAACCCCGTCTCCACCAAAAAAAAAAACGAAAACCAGTCAGGCGTGGCGGCGCGCGCCTGCAATCACAGGCACTCGGCAGGCTGAGGCAGGAGAATCAGGCAGGGAGGTTGCAGTGAGCCGAGATGGCAGCAGTACCGTCCAGCTTTGGCTTGGCATCAGAGGGAGACCGTGGAAGGAGACCGTGGAGAGAGAGGGAGACGGAGAGGGAGAGGGAGAGGGGGAGGGGGAGGGGGAGGGGGAGGGAGAGGGAGAGGGAGAGGGAGAGGGAGAGGCTGTGTGTCAGAGGTTTTCCTCGGAGTTTCGTTCTTGTTGCCCAGGCTGGAGTGCAATGGCACAGTCTTGGCTAATTGCAACCTCTCCCCTTTTTGGAAATATTGTACTTCCTGAGCTAACTGCACTTACGAGGTAATGATTGGTGTGAGTTTCTAGTCTCTGTTTGTTTGTTTTTTGAGACAGAGTCTCATTCTGTCACCCAGGCTGGAGTGCAGTGGCACAATCTTGGCTCACTGCAACCTCTGCCTCCCGGGTTCAAGCGATTCTCCTACCTCAGCCTCCTGAGTAGCTGGGATGACAGGCACCTGCCACCATGCCCAGCTAATTTTTGTATTTTTAGTAGACAAGGTCTCACCATGTTGGCCAGGCTGGTCCTGAACTCCTGACCTCAAGTGATCCACCCGCCTCGGCCTCTCAAAATGCTGGGATTACAGGCGTGAGCCACTGCGCCCCGGCTCGCTCCTTTTTTTTTTTTTTTGAGACAGAGTCTCACTCTGTTGCCCAGGATAGAGTGCAGTGGTGTGATTTTGGCTCACTGCAACCTTTGCCTCCCGGATTCAAGTGATTCTCCTGCCTCAGCCTCCTGAGTAGCTGTGATTACAGGTGCCCACCACCATGCCTAGCTAATTTTTGTATTTTTAGTGGACGGGGTCTCACCGTGTTAGCCAGGCTGGTCTTGAACTCCTGAGCTCGAGAGATCCGCCCACCTCGGCCTCCCAAAGTGCTGAGATTACAGGCGTGAGCCACCACGCTGGGCCCTGCAGTCTCTTTTCACTGGGTACTGCGGTTCAGTGTTACTGCCTAGGGGCAGCTGATCCGCAGAGCCCCTCCCTCTCTGAGTTCCCCCAGGCCAGAGCTGAGAGCCAGGCTCTCCAGATCCCTGTGGGAGGGCCTTGTATCTGAGTCCAGTTTTCCTCCAGCACGAGGCCTGGCATTTAATTACCTGCTATCTTGTCAGCTGTTCAGTGTTCCTGGCCTTTGGATATTTCACCCAGCGTGTTTCATCGTCTTCAGGGAAACGGCTGGTCCAGGCACCTAGCCTGCTGTCACCAGGAAGGGACATGTGCCCCGAGGCGGGGCTGATGTCACTGCTGCACCCTGGTGGGGCGCACCAGCCCACGGCTGTGCCACCCGGGAGGTGCCCTTTTGTTGGAGGGCATTTGCCAAAACCAGCAAACTTGGGTTCTCATTCTGTGGCCTTGAGGGGTCAGGGGGACAGAAGTCAAGGGCCAGTCCTGCCCAAAATGGGGAGCATTATAGAAAACCCTTCCCACCTTAAGCTGAAAACCTAAAGGTCTACACTCTTAGGGTAAGAATGAAACGGAATTAGCCCTGCTCCCTCCACACGAAAGACACTTGGTGCTAAGAGAAGCAAAAAGAAAAAGTTCTTCAGAAGTTAGGGCTACAGGTCTTCTCTAGCACAGATTTGAGGTGCTAGCACAGATTTGAGGTGCTGCCAAGAATGCAGAGAACTCCAAGCACTCAATGCGTTGTTTTGACATAGGGTCTCTCTCTGTCACCCAGGCTGGAGTGCGGTGGTGTGATCACGGCTCACTGCAGCCTCGAACTCCTGGGCTCAAGCAATCCTCCCACCTCAGCCTCCCAAGTAGCTGGGACTTCAGGTGCATACCACCATGCCCAGCTAATTAAAAACAAAAGAGATACGGCAGGTGGATCACCTGAGGTTAGGAGTTTGAGACCAGCCTGGCCAAACTGGTGAGATTCTGTCTCTACTAAAAATACAAAAATTAGCCAGGCATGATGGTGGGCGCCTGTAATCCCAGCTACTGGGGAGGCTGAGGCAGAATTGCTTGAACCCAGGAGGCGGAGGTTGCAGTGAGCCGAGATCACACCACTGCACTCCAGCCTGGGCAACAAGACTGAGACTCCATCTCTGAACAAAAAAAAATGTGTAGAGATGGGGTCTTGCTATGTTGTCCAGGCTATTCTCAAACTCCTGGCCTTAAACAATCCTCCTACCTCGGCCTCCCGAAGTGTTGGAATTACAGGCGTGAGCCACTGCGCCCAGCCCCCAGGAATAATTTTAACCAAAATAAATTGGCCGGGCGGAGTGGCTCACGCCTGTAATCACAGCACTTTGGGAGGCTGAGGTGGGTCAATCACCTGAGGTCAGGAGTTCGAGACCAGCCTGGCTAACATGGTGAAACTCCGTTTCTACTAAAAATACAAAAAAATTAGCCAGGCATGGTGGCGTGCGCCTGTAATCCCAGCTACTCGGGAGGCTGAGGCAGGAGAATCACTTGAACCCAGGAGGCAGAGGTTGCAGTGAGCCGAGATCGTGCCATTGCACTCCAGCTTGGGCAACAAGAGCGAAACTCCATCACAAAAAACAGACAGACAGACAGATAGATAAAAAATAAACAGTGCTGGGAAAACTGGATATCCACATGCGAATGAATGACACTGGACCCTTGTCTCAGATCATTATTATTAAATTAACTCAAAAAGGGTTAAAGAAAGACTTCAATGCCATTTATTTTGAGTAGAAATAAGTCATTTCTTTAATACATCAAACTGTGGGATTTCTTGACCTTGCTTCTCTCCTGGTCCTGGCTTCCCCAGAGGATCCACCGGGCTGGGCTGGAGCCCTGGGGCTGGCAGTGTCCCACAGAAGGACATGGTGCTGCCTCCCTTGGTCCTGAGCCCCAGTGGCAGACTCTGGTTCTGCTCAGTAGCAGTCGGCCTCGTCCCCCTGCAGGAAGCCTCCCGTGGCCAGCATGTCCTGCAGGAGGGACTGGGGACTCTTTTCCACGTGGTCGCTGCTCTCGGCCAGCGTGCTCCGCAGGCCCTCCAGGTCTAGGGACCTGAGCATGGCCAGCACAGCCTCAGGCTCCTGGTCCCCTGGGGGCTGGGCCTGCTCACCCGCCCGCCACCTCGGCAGGGTGGCCTCTGCGGAGGCAGTGTTGGGGCTGCCCCTGGCCTCCCGCAGGCTGCTGTAGGAAGCAATCTTGTCCCTCAGGAAGAGAAGGAGGTCACAAGACTTCTGCGCCACAGGGCGGTCGCAGTCAAACAAGGCACAAAAGGCGAAGTCAAAGAGCCCCACGTGGCAGAGAGCCCTCAGTGCCTCGGTGAGTGGCTGGGCTGGGGCCACCTCGGGTAGGGCCACGGCATAGGGGCAGTGGGTACGCGGCGGCCCCAAAGTCTGGCCCAGGAACACGAGGGCCAGCTCCAGGCCCTGGGCGCGGACCTCCCAGTCCAGGTCTCGGCTCGCCGCCTGCAGCACAGTGGCCACGAACTGCTCCGTGTCCTGGGCCGCGTCGGCGTGGCCGTCCCGCAGCCACTCAGTGAAGACTTGCATGACCGCCCGCCGTGGGAAGCCCTCCGAGTCTACGGAGAGGATGTGCAGGAGCTCCAGGAACAGGCTCTGGGGGACAGGGAGCAAGTGCGGATGGTTGGTGGGGTGGCAGGAGCGAGGCTCCCGCAACAGGACTCCGGTACATGATGGGGGCTGGCCCCGGACATGCAGTCTAGGGCCACAGCCCGCTCTGACACCTTCCCATGCTGCGCAGTGAGCACACGGCCCTCCAATCCTCAGTTTACCCATCTGTCAAATGGAGGTAACCATGTCTAAGTGGAGGGGTGCTGGGGAGACAGAAGGCGAAGCGCACAGGTCCCACACCCAGCACAGCCCCAGGGCCTCGGCAGTCACTGCTGCAGGCGCTGCCCACAGCAGCAGCTGCTCCCACGCTGCATGCTGGCCGCTCGACCACCCGCAAGCAAACGAGCACACACGATGGCCAGGCGGGAGTTGCTGGCTGAGGAACCTGCCACCTCCTACCTGCCGGGCCTCTGCATGCTCAGGGCTGGTGGGGGCGTGCAGGCCCTGGCTGGACAGCTGCCCCATGGCGGTCACTGCACTCGCTCGGACATAACTCTCAGGGTCCTGGAGGAGCTGCAGGGCCAGCTGAGGCACCTCTGAAGCCAAGAGTGCGCATCTGAAGTCAGCCTGTCCTGGGGGTCGAAACGGCCACATGCAGCTGTGACTGAGGGCCGAGCCTTGTCGCCTCGGCCTCTGCCTCCATCCCCTTGTGGGCAGCCGACATGGCCCAAGTTTCTAGAGCCAGCAAGAGGCTGCTGGTGCACCCTGGCTCAGTGAGCCCCCCACAGGCGGGGAAGGCAGCCCCTCCACCTGCCAGCACTCACCTCCCCAGTGCCTGCTCAGCTGGGTCAGGAACTCGAGGGCGGAGTCCCTCACCTCCCAGCAGGGGTGGCACAGGCGTTTCTGCAGCACAGGGAACAGCTCTAGGGTGGGAAGGGACAGGTCAGGGTGACCTTGGGGCCAGGCTCACCCTGCCCTCAGAGCCAGCTGAGCCATTCCACCCAGCCCCTGCTGCCTCCACCCCTGCGACTCCAGCTCCGTTCACCCCTGCAAGGGGCTGCGTTACCTCTGAGGAACTGCGGGATGAGGGGGCCGAGATCAGAGCAGCCGGGGGTCTTGGGTGAGCTCAGGAGCCACCTGAGCGTGGCCTGGAAGGCCTTCTTCAGAACCTGGAGCAGATAGGGTGGGCTGCAGGGCCACGGGAGACGGAGGGGCAGGCTGTCTGTCTGTCCCCCTCGCCTTCACCTGTGCTGCCCGTACTCCAGGGACAGCAATGGGGACAGGAAGTGGAGAGAGAAGGGAACGCTGGGCTTCCTTCTTTTTTAGAGACAGGGTCTCAATGTGTCATCCAGGCTGGACTGCAATCACAGTTCACTGCAGCCTCCACCTCCCAGGCTCAAACAGTCCTCCTGCCTCAGCCTCATGAGTAGCTGGGGCTAGAGGCACACATCACCACGCCTGGCTAATTTTTGCAGTCAAATGCTCTACCCCTGAGCTATACTCCTGGGGCTAATTTTTCTATTTTTTTGTAGAGATGGGATCTTGCTATGTTGCCCAGGCTGGCCTCAAAAGTCCTGGGCTCCATTGATCCCCCCACCTCGGCCCCCCAACGCACAGTAATCACAGCTGTGAGCCCCACGCCCCTCCTGGGCTGATTTTAATAGGGCAGAATATGCTGCAGAACCGGCTTCCCAGACTGTGAGCAGGAGGAGGTGGTGGCAGCCCTCACCAGAAGACCCACAACCCAGGCAACGGGATTTCTACATCAAAACATGACCAATTACGCAGGGCACCTTTTCCTTAGGATCCCAAGAAGCCCTGGGCCCTTCCTCCAAAGTTGTCTGCTGTCTGCTCAGCGGCAGGTGGCACAAGGTCTGTACCTGCCAGGGCCCAGCTCCGTGAGGGGCTGTGGAGTAGGCACATTCACAAATGGCGCTTAGGAGAACCCAAAGCCCACGCCCAGGGCCGTCTTGGTGCCACCTCATTTCCCTTGTCCAGAATTCCCCGCAGGCCGCCTGACCAGTGCCCCTGCTCCCCACGGCCCCACACACCCCTGCGTGCTGATGTATCTTCACCAACAAGAGGCCCTGGGCCCGCCCCATGCAGCCACCTGCATCGTGAAGCTCTCTGAGCAGCAGCTCTGTGGCCCTGTGTGAAGGCCCCATCCGCAGAGGCCTGCACGGGACGGGGTGGAGTCAGGGGTGGGTCCCACTGCCTCTGCCTCCCTCCTCTCCTCGCTCTCTATCCCCACCACCGTACCGTGGGGCTGGAGCCGGGGCTCTCGAGGCACTCCAGGAGGACAGCAAGCGCCTGCGTCACCAGCTCCTGGGGGCCTGAGACAGAGGTGAGTGGATAAACCACCCCCACCCCCACCCTAGGACCCTCCCCATCAACTCTGGGAAGGAGCAGAACAAGGCCTCATCCGCCAGCTGAAACCTCCTGCACGGCCCCTGCACCCCTCAGCCCCCACCCCAGAGAAGAAACAGAGAGGGACAGCAGTTCCCGGGTGCCTCCGAGCAGAAAGGAGAGTGGGGGCACAGGGATAGCCCCACGCCAAAGCCGTACAGAACACACTCACCTGTCCCCTGTGACAGCGTCCCCAGGAAGTCGAGGGCTGCTCGCTGGACCCGGACGCAGCCCGCCAGGGTCCCACAGAGGTGGCCCCCCACACTGGAGGCAGGGGCAGCCGAGCCGTCACAGAGCCGCAGGACAGTCACTGTAGCCCCCAGTAGAGACGCCTGGGGCCACGGTGAAGGGCGCTGGGGCTGCGAGGAAGAGGGCCGTCAGCCAAGGTTGCGGTCCCACTGCCGGCGTGGATGCAGGGGTGCTGGGACTTCGAGGCATGTGGGGCGGGGGACATCAGCCAAGGTTGTGGTCCCACTGCTGGCGTGGATGCAAGGGTGCTGGGGCAGCAAGGGGTGGGGGGCGTCAGCCTACGTTGCGGTCCCACCGCCAGCGTGGATGCTGCTGGGCTGCATGAGGACCGGGCCGCACCTACCAGCGGCTGCAGCTCCTCCAGGTGAGCCAGGGTGCGGCACAGGAGGCCGGCGCAGGACGACTTGGAGGCCAGGAGTGTGTCCACCGTCGTGGCATCGTCTGCCGTCCCGTCCAGCAAGCCTGGGGGCCAAGCCAGGAAGAGCTCCCTTAGAGAGCACTTCAGCCTCCCCACGGTCACCAGCCACCCCACGGTCACCACCCACAGCACAGGCCAGGACCTAGGTGCAGAGCAGCAGCTCACCAGGGGAGATGGCCATGTCCCCGGTCCCCTTTGCTCTTGGAGGGAGGCCTGGGTGTGATTAAAGTGGGGCGGGGGTGGCGAGCCAGCTACTCTCATCCATCTCCCTTCCCCCAGCCGCAGGGACCCAGGTTCTGCCCTCCCAGCCCTTTCTAAGCAGCACACCTGGGGGTCCGGGGGCCTGAACCGTGGCCTTCAGGACACAGGCCAGGGGCTGGAGAAGGACCTGGAAGGCCTGGGTCCTCAGTGCCTGTGGACTGGAGACAAACGCGAGGTGAGTGCCGCGACCCTGGCTGCGAGACAAGTTGGCTGTGCTCCTAATGTCCCCAGCAAGCCTGGGGCAAATCAGCCAGGGGGTTGGGACACCCCCCGAGAAACATTCTCTGCAGGCCACTGGCCAGGGGATGCCATGGGACAGAGTGGCGGGGAGGACAGGCCTGACCAAGGAGATGGGCCTGACACTCCTGATGTCCTTAGGAGCAGATACTGAGGGGCCTCCAGGAGGGCCTGGCCATGCACCCAGAGAGAGGGGCAGTGCCCGCTCAGGGGGACAGGGATGGGGTGCCCCCAGGTGTGTACAGCGTCCACTCTGTGGGAGGGACCTGCCCTCACGTCTGGGCCTAGGTGGAGGCAGTGTCCCCACAATGCATTCCTGCAGGGCCGGGCCTGTTCCTCCATCCTCCCCCGGTCTACTCTCTCCTAAACATTCGGAGACCCCGGAGCTCAGAGCTGGACCCTCATGGTACCCCTGGGCCCTGTGGGCAGCAGGTCCTGAGGTCACTTCCACCCCTATTGTGAGCCCACCTGGAACACTGGCAGGCCATCCACGGCCTTCCCACCTGTCCTGACCCCAGGCTCTGCCGTTGCACCGCCCCCAGGCCCCCCACCCGCATGGTGTGTGTGCTGGGGAGCTCCGAAACCCCCAACCAAAGCTGCGGTGGGGGACAGGTGGGAGGGCAGCGGAGCGCAGGGCGTCGGCAGGACCACCCTGCTCTGAGCAGAGCAGCTCCCGCATCCTTCTCACCTCTGGGGATCTCGCAGAGCTTTGGTCTGAAACAATTATTCTGTTGCTAAAGAACCTTCAGAAGCTGCCGCGCGCAACCCACGCACCACCCAGTCACACCCCGCACGGCCGCCTGACTGTCCCTGGTGTCCGGAACTCCCCTGCCATGAGGGCTGCGCTCTCAACCTCCCTGCCTGCCCCAGCTCCCAGCACCCGCCTCGGAATGAAATGCACCCCAGACCATACCAGTGCTCGAGCTTCAGGATCCCCAAAGCCAGGGGTCCCATGTGGGTGGGACCCAGGCAGCTCAGAGCCCGCGCCACTGTCTCCCACAGGCTGCCGTCGGAAGAACTGAACACGGGAGAACTGCAGGGAGACCCCAGAGAGAAAAATTACTCCCCCACCCTCAAAACCCCATTCGAGGCCTGGCTGAGACTGCCATGGCTCCGGCACTGGAGGCGCCCAGCCCAAGACAGGCCTTTCCCCATGAGGGTTCCAGGGTCACCCCGGTGCCGCTTCACTGCAGGCCATGTCCTCAGAGAGTCTCCGGCTGCCAGTGGGACATCCCTGGGCGTTATCCGAGGAAAACAGTTGCCCACCCAGGCCCCCCAGCTGCGTCCCGGGGCCCTGACCGAGCCACACAGAGAAGCAGGTCCACGAACGAGTGTGCGGCGGGGATGGGGTCTCTCTCCAGCAGACAGGCCACGCGGGGACTCAGCCGCACCCACAGGGCTTCCGTCCAGGGGCTCTGGCAGCGCCCGAAGGTCGTGGTCAGGACGTTCAGGGCCTGAGTGACCTTGGGGGTGGCCGCGGAGCACAAGGACTCTTCAACGTGATCCATGATCTTCTGGGCACACGCGGGCCAGTCACCCCCCGGCAGGCAGGGCTGCCCCTCGGCTCCACCTCGCATGGACAAAGCCAGGACGTGCACCAGGAGCTGACTGGCCGCCGAGGCCACAAACAGGCTGGAGTCTCCCTGCAGGGAGAAGATGGTGTCGACCGCACCTGGGTAGGGGATGGGGGAAGAGAGGGAAAAGGGGGTGAGCCAGAATAGAGCTGGGGGAGGCAGAGGGCCTCAGGGAAGATACAAATAGCAGAGGGCCCCCCAAGATGCCCCCAAATGCCTCTCCACTCAAAAGCAAAAAAGAACAGGAACTGAAGCTCCCTGGAGACAAGCACCTCCTCCCCCCGAGCGTTAAACACACACAGCTTGTGATGCTTCCCAATTCGTTCCTTCTTGTTGTTTTTTTTTTTTTTTTTTTTGAGACAGAGTCTTGTTCTGTTGCCCAGGGTGGAGTACAATGGTGCGATCTCAGTTCACTGCAACTTCCACCTCCCAGGTTCAAGCCATTCTGCCACCTCAGCCTCCCAAGTAGCTGGGATTACAGGCACCCGCCATCATGCCCGGCTAATTTTTGTATTCTCGTAGAGACAGGGTTTCACCATGTTGGCCAGGCTGGTCTTGAACTCCTGACCTCAGGTGATCCACCCGCCTCGGCCTCCCAAAGTGCTGAGATTACAGGCGTGAGCCACCGTGCCCAGCCTCGTTTCTTGTTTTTTTGAGACGGGGTCTTGCTCTGTTGCCTAAGTTGGAGTGCAGTGGCTCAACCACTGCTCACTGTAGCCTCGAACCCCTGGGCTCAAGTGATCCTCTTGCTTCAGCCTCCCGAGTAGCTGGGACTATAGCCACGCATCACCACGCCTGGCTCCCAAATAGTTTCAAAGACTGAGTCCTCACGGCTGATCTGTAAGTGGCTGAGAAAGCCGTCCTGGCTCCTAGGGCCTGACCTGCCAACCAGAGAACACTGGACAGCCGTACTGTCACAGTGCAGTCTTTGCAACAACCCTGAGACATCGCACAGACCAGACACTCAGATTCAGCAAGGTGCAGTGAATTCCCTGGGATCACACAGGCAGGATGAGGAATGGGGTGGGGTGTGGGCGCACTCACCATGGTCGGCCAGGAAGCGCAGGGCGCTGGGGTGCTGTGCCAGGGAGCGCAGGCCCTGGATCCAGCCGCTGCGCACGGTGGGGACGGCCCAGGTTGCTCGGCCGAGGGGTCCTGGCTCCCCAAAGAGCCCTGGTAGTAACTCCCCCTGCTGGGAAGCAAAAAAAGAAGTGAGGGTGGCCAGGCGCAGTGGCTGAAGCCTGTAATCCCAGCACTTTGGGAGGCCGAGGAGGGCAGATCACGAGGTCAGGAGTTCGAGACCAGCCTGACCAACATGGTGAAACCCCATCTCTACTAGAAATACAAAAATTTGCTGGGTGTGGTGGCATGCACCTGTAATCCCAGCTACTAAGAAGGCTGAGGCAGGAGAATTGCTTGAACCCGGGAGGCGAAGGTTGCAGTGAGCCAAGATCGCACCACTGCACACCAGCCTGGGTGACACAGCGAGACTCCATCTCAAAAAAAAAAAAAAAAAAAAAAAAAAAGAGGTGAGGGGACCTGGTAGGTTTCCAGGGATGTGGAGCAAAGCAGAGATGGGTTTTCAGTTTTCCAGGGCTGGTGGAGATACTTCTGGAGGACACTTTCTTCTTCTTTTTTTTTTTTTTGAGACAGTCCCACTCTGTTGCCTAGGCTGGAGTGCAGTGGCACATCTCGGCTCACTGCAACCTCTGCCTCCTGGGCTCAAGCTATTTTCCTGTCTCAGCCTCCTGAGTAGCTGGCATTACAGGTGCCCACCACCACACCCAGCTAATTTTTTCATTTTTAGTAGAGACAGGGCTTTACCATGTTGGTTAGCCTGGTCTCGAACTCCTGACCTCAGGTGATCCGCCTGCCTCAGCCTCCCAAAGTGCTGGGATTATAGGCATGAGCCACCGTGCCCAGCCTGGAGGGTACTTTCATACCAGCTGCTGACAGACAAGGGCCCCCGGATTCACTGTACGGCAGCACCCTAGGACACCTTGGAAAGTCTGTCCTGCAGCAAGATGGTGCCTGGGTGGGCTGCTAGGGAGCCTGCAGCTGCTTAACTGGGGGGCATCGTGAACGGCAAGCTAACGGTACTGGATGTGCCTTCGCACAACCTGGCGAGGGCCTGTGAGGCACCAAGAGAAGCCGTCGTGGTAGACGGGCAAGGGCCCTGAAGCTCACACCACGCATCCCGACAGACTCAGCGGTGCCTGTCTGAGGCACTTGAAGCTGGAAGACACAGCTCTGGGAGGCTCTCGAGCTCTCATGCCTTGCTATGTAGAAATTCTTGGCTGGGAGCAGTGGCTCACGACTGTATCCCAACACTTTGGGAGGCCGAGGCAGGATGATCGCTTGAGACCAGGAGTTTGAGACCAGCCTGGGCAACATAGTGAGACCCCATCTCTACCAAAGATAACAAAGTTAGCCAGGTGTGGTTCATGCACCTGTGGACCCAGCTACTCGGGAAGCTGAATGGGGAGGGTCACTTGAGCCCAGGAGGTCAAGGCTGCAGTGAGCTGCCACTGCACTCCAGCCTGGACGACAGAGCAGGACTCTGTCTCTAAAAAACAAAACAAAAAAAGGCCGGGTATGGTGGCTCACGCCTGTAATCCTAGCATTTTGGGAGGCCGAGGCAGACGGATCACTTGAGGTCAAGGAGTTCGTGATCAGCCTGGCCAAAATGGTGAAATCCTGTCTCTACTAAAACTACAAAAATTAGCTGGGCGTGGTGGCAGGTGCCTGTAGTCCCAGATACTCGGGAGGCTGAGGCAGGAGAATCGCTTGAACCTGGGAGGTGGAGACTGCAGTTAGCTGAGTTCGAACCATTGCACTCCAGCCTGGGTGACAGAGCAAGACTCTGTCTCGAAAAATAATAATAAAATAAAATAAAAATAAATAAAATTAATTTTTTAAAAAAAAGACATTCTCATTAGTCATTCACATTCTCATTAGTTATTCATTCATTTGTAGGCTGGGTCGCTGGAGGTGCAGGATGTGCGGTCTCATTTGGTCCTCACGACAACCCCACGGCGCAGCTACGACTCCTGTCTCCGTCCCAGGAAGAGACGGGGGCCACGGGGCAGCTACGACTCCTGTCTCCGTCCCAGGAAGAGACGGAGGCCACGGCGCAGCTGCGACTCCTGTCTCCGTCCCAGGAAGAGATGGAGGCTTGCGGCCGTGGGCAAGCTCAGACAGCTGGTCAGAGCTGGGAGCCCGTGCCAGTCATCTTATTCCAAAAAACCTCAACTCCTTAGCCCCAGCATCACTCCGGGCGAATTTTTCAAAGGGGGCTACAGTCGGGGGTAAAAAACATGCAGTTCTAGTGAGGACACAGGGTCGGGGCAGGCCGCTGGGACTTGGGATGGTGATGGCTACAAATGCCCCACCTGGCTGCGGGAGGAAAAGCCTGCCCACCTCTCCACGGGACACTCAGGTGGGAGGCCCCAGGCTCACCTGAAGATACTGGAAGCAGTTTTCCTGGGCTGCGAAGGTTCCTGCCAGGCGCAGTGAGAAGGAGAGGACCCCAGAACTCAGGTCCTGGACTTTCAGCACATGGGACAGCAGCTCCACCAGGCAGGGGTGCTCCTGCAGCAGCACGACACTGGACTCTGTGGGGATGGCCCAGCCCAGGGGTCACCAGGGGTACGGCACCAGGTGTCCCCCTGGATGACCGCTCTTCTCCTAGCAATTCCCAGACCCTTTTCTTGCAGGGTGTTAGATTTAGGGATCCAACTGGGAAAAAAATATCTGCAACAAATACGGCAAATGACTCATAATTTTAATTCAGTAAGGGCTAGAAAGCCAACACCTTAACAACAGGTGAAAGGCGGAACACTGTCACCTTTCACAACAGGTGAATGGCCAAAAATGCTGAAAAAATGTTCTGTCTCACTGATAGTGAAAAAGAAATGCAAATTAAAGTGAAAGACCAGGCTGGGCGTGGTGGCTCACGCCTGTAATCCCAACACGTTAGGAGGCCAAGGCGGGTGGTCACTTGAGCTCAGGAGTTCGAGACCAGCCTGGCCAACATGGCGAAGTCCCATCTCTACTAAAAATACAAAAAATTAGCCAGGTGTGGTGGCTCATGCCTGTAGTCCCAGCTAATTGGAAGGCTGAGGCAGGAGAATCGCTTGAACCTGGGAGGCAGAGGCTGCAGTGAGCCAAGACCACGTCATTGCACACGGCACACTCCAGCCCTGGGCGACAGAGCGAGACTCCATTCCAAAAAAAAAAAAAAAAAAAAGTGGAAGAGCATTTTCACCTTCCAAATGGGTACTTTTCCTTAGACAGTGCTCCATGCAAGCAGGTACAATGGAACAAACATTCCTCTCCAGAACTGGCATCCTGTATTTCTATAACCAGCTATGCTATCGCTCAAAAGCACCAGTGGGGGAAAAAGACATTTTGAGGCAAAGGTTGGGAGAGTTTCCCAGTGAGAAGCCCCTGTGGAAAGAATGTGGTTCAGTAAGGAGAGTGAGGAGCATGCAGAGGAGGAGAACCAGGCCAGGACCCAAAAAGCACTATGTCCACCTGAATCAGCACTGCAGGCTGGGTGAGGTGCTCATACCTGTAGTCCCAGCACTTTGGGAGGCCAAGGCAGGAGAACAACATAGCAAGACCCTGTCTCTACAAAAAATAAAAAAAAATTAGCCCGGCATGGTGGCACACATCTGCAGTCCCAGCTACTCAGGAGGCTGAGACGGGAGGATTGCTTGAGCCCAGGAGTTCGAGGCTGCAGCAAGCTATCACTGCACCACTGTACTCCAGCCTGGGCGACAGAGGGAGACCCTGTCTCTCTAAAAAAAAAAAAGGCGGGGCGTGGTGGCTCACGCCTGTAATCCCAGCACTTTTGAAGGCCAAGGCAGGCAGATCACGAGGTCAGGAGATTGAGACCATCCTGGCAAACATGGTGAATGAAACCCTGTCTCTACTAAAATATAAAAAATTAGCCAGGCATGGTGGCGGGCGCCTGTGGTCCCAGCTATTTGGGAGGCTGAGGCAGGAGAACTGCTTGAACTCGGGAGGTGGAGGTTGCGGTGAGCCGAGATCGCACCACTGCACTCCAGCCTGGTGACAGGGCAAGACTCTGTCTCAAAAACAAACAAACAAACAAACAAAAAACAATGCCACTGAGTTCAAAATCTAAAAAATCATTGTTGAAGGGTTTTGAAACAAAACAGAATTAAAATACTAACGACAATAATAGAAGGTTGTGATGGCCTGAAGTTCAAGTGCTCTGAGGTCCTTCGGTTGCCTGGATAGAGAATGGAAAGTCTAATTAACTTCAGACTTTTTAAAAAATCCGGTTCTCATGTTAAAAATATAAGGGTAGCCACTGAAGAACACAAATAAGCCTGTGGTCCCAGCATCTTGAGAGGCCGAGGTGGGCAGATTGCCTGAGCCCAGGAGTTTTAAGACCAGCTTGGGCAACACAGGAAGATCCCCTCTCTATAAAAATTCGCTGGGCATGGTGGCGCGCATCTATAGTCCCAGCTACACTGGAAGCTGAGATGGGAAGATCACCTGAGCCCAGGAGGTCAAGGCTGCAGTGAGCCGTGATTACACCACTGTCCTGGACAACAGCACAAGAACTTGTCTAAAAAGAAGAACATAAATAGAATGTATAACTTCAAAACCAGAAGAGGAAAGATTTAAAAGAAAAAAAAAAGCTTTATCAATCTGATGGAGGGCAGAAAAGGAGGATAAAGGCACAAAGGTAAGGCACAGGAAATTAAAAAATACAAAAGAATTCAAATCTAACAGTCGCCTCAACAAATTAAAGAGATCAAACTTATCTGTTAAAAGAAAGAGTTGCTGAGATTAAATTAAACACTAAAAACAAGCAATGTGGTGTTTCTAAAAGCAATAAAATGCAACGACAGGAAAGGCTGGGAGCAGGAGAGAAAAGACACAGTAGGCAAATTCTAACTTTAAAGAAGCTGATGTAGCAACAGAAATAGCAAACAAAATGGGCTGTAAAGCAAAAAGCAGTATTCATGCAGAAGTAAGTTAACTGATCACGGAGATAAATTCCAGAAAGACACAACATTCCTACATCTATGTATACCTAACCTCACTTCAAAACGTGTAAAGCAGCCTGGGCAACGTGGTGAAACCCCGTCTCCGCAAAAAAATACAAAAAATTAGCTGGGTGTGGTGGTGTGTCCCTGTAGTCCCAGCCATCCAGGAGGCTGGGGTGGGAGGATCACTTGAGCCCAGGAAGTTGAGGCTACAGTGAGCCGTGATCACACCACTGCACTCTAGCCTGAGTGACAGAGTGAGACCCTGTCTCCAAAAAAAAAAGAAAAAAAAAATGCCAGGCACAGTGCCTCACACCTGTAATTGCAGCGATTTGAGAGGCCAAGGCGGGCAGACTGCTTGAGCCCAGGAGTTTGAGACCAGCCTGGGCTACATAGTGAAACCCCGTCACTACAAAAAATACAAAAACTTAGCCGGGCGTGGTGGCGGGCTCCTGTGGTCCCAGCTATTAGGGAGGCTGAGGTGAGAGAATCATCTGAGCCCAAGAAGTCGAGGCTGCAGTGAACCGAGATCATGCCACTGCACTCCAGCCTGGGCAATAGAGCAAGACTCCATCTCAAAAAAAAAAAAACAAAAAAAAAAAAAGAAAGAAAAGAAAAAGAAAAAAATAATATGTAAAGCGAAAAAAAAAAAAAGGATGCATCTCAAAGAAAAATCATGAATCCATGATCTTGGTGTAAGCTTTTTACACACCTCTCAGAAACAAGCAAACAAATTAGCAAGAACATAGCAGGTCTGAACTAATGAACGAGTGTGGAAACTACACTCTTTCCATCAAGTACAATGCAGGAGAAATGACAGAGGCTGGGAGGGAGGAGGAAACAGGGACTCACTGTGAACCCAGACTCGGTTTCTTTAGGGGGAACAAAATTAGATTGTGCTGATGATTTCAGAGCCCTGTAAATTTACTAAGAACTGTTGAATTGGTACCATTTATTTATTTATTTTGTCCATTTCTCATGTCAGACGGGTCACGTACCGACATCATACCAGGGTTCCATGGTGCCACATCTCACACATGCGCCTGAACACTCAATTATCATGCTTAGGTTGGGTGCAGTGGCTCTCCACTGTAACCCCAGCACTTTGGGAGGCCAAGGTGGAGGGATCACCTGAGGTCAGGAGTTCGAGACCAGCCTGGCCAACATGATGAAATCCCACCTCTACTAAAAATACAAAAATTGGCCGGGCATGGTGGCATGCACCTTTAATCGCAGGTACTCAGGAGGCTGAGGCAGGAGAATCGTTTGAAACCCAGGAGGCGGAGGTTGCAGTGAGCCAAGATTGTGCCATTGCACCCCAGCCTGGGCAACAGAGCAAGACTTGGTCTCAAAAAAAAAAAAATCTATATCTATATATATATCTATATATAGATATATATATATCTCATGCTTACAAACTGTAAAAGGATCTGGTACACCTTAAATGGGAGAATGGCATGGTATGCAAATTATATCTCAATAAAGCTACTGAAAAATACTTCTTAAAATTTAAATACAGGCCAGGCATGGTGGCTCGCTCCTGTAATCCCAGCACTTTGGGAAGCCCAGGCGGGAAGACTGCTTGAGCCCAGGAGTTCCAAGCTGGCCTGGACAAGATGGTGAGACCTCATCTCTATGGGAAAAAAAAAAATAGCTGGGCCTGGTACACACCTTGATCCCAGGAACTCAAGAGAATGAGGCAGGCGGACTGCCCAGGAGGTCAAGGCTGCAGTGAGCCGTGTTCACGCCATTGCACTCCATCCTGGGTGACGCGCAAAAACCCTGGCTCAAAAAAAAAAAAAAAGAAAAAGAAAAACTGACTACTACAAACTAGGCCACAGTTGAAGACCTTCAAATACCAAAACATCAAAATCATATAGTGAAATCTCTAGAACATTGAGAAAACTCGCCTGGGTCCTATGTCTCAATAAAAGTCTCAACAGCTATAAAGATTCAAAACATATGTTATGTTTTCTAACCTCCACAAAGTAAATTAAAAATCAATAATAAAAAGACTGGAAAAATCCATATTTTGAAACTAAAGGATACTCTTTTAAGTAACTTGTGGGTGAAAAAAAAATTATAATGAAAAGCATAAAATACTCAGAACTAAATTAAAACCAAAGTACTGCAATGTAAAACGTGTAAGATGTAGCTAAAGTCATACTTTTAGAGAAATGCATAGTCTTAAATATATATATATATATATATATATATTTTTTTTTTTTTTTTTTTTTTTTTTTTGAGACAAGAGTCTCACTCCATTGCCCTGGCTGGAGTGCAATGGCGTTATCTCGGCTCACTGCAACCTCTGCCTCCCAGGTTCAAGTGATTCTCCTGCTTCAGCCTCCCGAGTAGCTGGGATTACAGGCATGGACCACCATGTCAGGCTAATTCTTGTATTTTTAGTAGAGACGGGGTTTCACCATGTTAGCCAGGCTGGTCTCCAACTCCTGACCTCAAGTGATCTGCCTGCCTCAGCCTCCCAAAGTGCTGGGATTATAGGCATGAACCACCGTGCCTGGCCTTAAATATATATATTAGAAAACAAGGAAGACCTAGATATTTAGCTCAAAGAGGGTAAAAGGCACTTTGGGAAGCAGAGGCAGGTGACTGCCTGAGCCCAGGAGATCGAAAACAGCTTGGGCAATACGGTGAGACCCCATCCTTAAAAAAAAAAATACAATATAATTTAAAAATAAAAAGAATAAAAGAACACGGTAAACCAAAAAAAGGAAGTAAAGAATAGCAGAAATTAACAACATGCAGTCTATCCCAATGCAATTATCAACCATGAGAATAAACATTTACATGCGAGAATATTTATGTAAAAGGAAAGCCATTATGACACTATTTTTTTTTTTTTGAGACGGAATCTCGCTCTGTCGCCCAGGCTGCAGTGCAGTGGCGTGATCTCGGCTCACTGCAAGCTCTGCCTCCTGTGTTCACGCCATTCTCCTGCCCAGCCTCCCAAGTAACTGGGACTACAGGCGCCCACCACCACGTCTGGCTATTTTTTTTTTTTTTGTATTTTTAGTAGAGACGGGGTTTCACCATGTTAGCCAGGAGGGTCTTGATCTCCAGACCTCGTGATCTGCCTGCCTCGGTCTCCCAAAGTGCTGGGATTACAGGCTTGAGCCACCGCGCTCGACTGACACTATTTTTTTGAGACAGAGTCCATTCTGTCGCTGGAGTGCAGTGGCACGATCTGGGCTCACTGCAACCTCCGCTTCCTGGGTTCAAGCGATCCTCCCCCTCAGTCTCCCAAGTAGCTGGGATTACGGCGCATGCCACCATGCCCGGCTAATTTTTTTATTTTTAGTAGAGACGAGGTCTCACCATGTTGGCCAGGCTGGTTTCGAACTCCTGACTTCAAGTGACCTACCCGCCTTGGCCTCCCAAAGTGATGGGATTACAAGCATGAGTCACCGCGCCTGACCTATGACACTACTTAAAATGATGAAAAATGAGAAATATAAACATCTGACAGTGGAGTGATTCAATTAATTATGGTCTATTCCTACAGCAAATAACATGTAGTCAATAACATTAACATATTATGTGGAGAAAACACTCACTATGATAGCAAGAGAGAAAGCAAGACACCAAAATTGTGTTTACAGTATGACCTCATTTTTTTTTCCCCAGAAAAATACAGCTTTATGTGTTATGAAAAGGCTGGGAGTAAATTAAAACGTTGATGGTTTAATTTTCCTCTTTACTCTTTTGTTCATGTTTTAAAGAACATGTATTACTTTGTTTTTTTTTTTTGAGACAGGGTCTCACTCTATCACCCAGGTCAGGGTGCAGTGGCACAATCATAGCTCACTGCAACCTCTACCTCCCGGACTCAAAGGATCCTCCCATCTCAGCCTCCAGAGTAGCTGGGACTACAGGTGCGCCACCAGGCACAGCTAATTTTTGTTTTTTTTTTTTTTAGAGATGACGTCTCGCTATGTTGGACCAGGCTGGTCTTGAACTCCTGGACTTAAGCAATCCGCTCGCCTCAGCCTCCCAAAGTGCTGGGATTACAGGTATGAGCCACTGCATCCGGCCCCTACTTTCATAATCAGAAAGAAAACAAATCTGATGTCTTAAACACACTAAATACAACGAGAACAACAATAAAACAAGTTTGTTCACGCCTTCTGTAGAACTGAACCTTGGGGTGCCCTGATCGTGGCTCAACTGGCTGAATTTCAGGCTCTAACTCTCCAGATCATTCTCTCGGGCTTCATCTTAACTTGCCCTCAGTCTGCCACAGATAATCCTTAGGAAGTGAAGGAAAGACATCTGATTGGCAGTTTCTGCCCTTCCTCCAGGACAGGGGAGTCCCCATCTGGCCCCTGCTCCCTGTCCCAGCCTCTGCGTCTGGTCTCTGGATAGGCAGTAAACAGCAGCACCACCTCCTTACCTCCTTCAGTGACCGTTTTAAACCAGTCCAGGAGCTTCTCCAAACAGGTGTCATCTGCCACCGGCTGCCTGGGATCTACCAGAACAGCACAGAGAGCCGGGAGCAGCTGGGCGCATTCTGGGTCCATGGTGAGGCCGCAGGCCCTGCAAAGGCAATGTGAGAGCCAAACCTCAATGCCCACTCCAGACCCAGCTCGCTCTAGTCACAGCAGCCCACCATGCCTGCTCAGGCCTGGGAAGGGGCCCCAGAACTTTCATCTCAGACCAGGAGAACCATGATCCCCAGACCAGAGGTCTGTACTGCAGGGATGGATGCAAAGCTTTGGTCTAGGTGGGGCCCTGAGCGCTGGTGGCGGGGCTGAAAGGGGCAGATGAGGGTCTAGCTGAAACCACAAGGCCTCCGGAACTCAAAGTCTGTCACCCTTGGTCTTTGGTGCAGTCGGGGCAACAGCGTGGTGCTGGCCCAGGCTGCAGGTGGGCCAGAGTCAGGGGCATCTTTGAGTTCCGGGGTCAGCCATGTGTGCAAGGGGATGTCTACCCATGCCCCAGGGCCAGCCTGGGCTGGAAAGTTTCTGTCCCTCCCAGCGTCAAGTGGTGGCTGCATTTGACGTCCTGAAGCCAGCAGGGGGGTGCGGAGGGGAAGGGGCGCCTGTCCGTGTGTCTGTCCCTCTCAGGGTCAGTGGTGGCTGCATTTGCTGTTCTGCAGCCAGTAGGAGGGTGAGGAGGGGAAGGGGCACCTGTCCGTGTGTCTGTCCCTCCCAGGATTAGTGGTGGCTGCATCTGAAGCCGGCGGGGGGGAGAGGGGGGCGGCGGGGTGCGGAAAGGAAGGGGCGCCTGTCTCTCCCAGGACCAGGTGTGCATCCGTGCGTCCAGCCTCGGGGGTGGGCGGGGTGGTCAGCGGCTCTGTCTAACCGGGGCACCGTCTGCCAATGCCCGGGAAGGCTGCGTCCCGGGAAGAGGAACCCTCCCCACACTTTGAAGTCAGTTTTGGCCGCGAGCGCCAGGCCCGAGAGTCCAGAAGGGGCGCCAGAGCAGGCGGCCACAGTCGGGCTGGGAAGCGAGCCCAGGTCGCGCACGCCCCGGGCTGGGCTGCTCCCTGGCCCGCCCGCCCCCCTCGGCCGGGTCTTGGCCTCCCCGCGCCCCACTACCACGACCTCGACCCCCGAAGGCCCACGCGCCTCACCGCTCGGTTGCGTCCTCCGCCGCAACCACCCCTCGCCCAAGGCTCCGCCTCCGGACAGTGCCACCTGCCAGGCCCGGAGGAGGCGGAGGACGGAGACGGCTGGCGTGGGGAACTGAGACTGCACCCCTGGAGGCCGCTCTGGAAGCCTCGAGGGCCCAGACTTGAAGGAAGGAGTTCAAGCTGAGAGGGGCTGGGGACAGGCAGGCGCCAAGCCGGTCGCTCCGACAGATCACCCCCGCCAGGCGCCTAGTGGTTCATGCCGAGCATCCGGTGGGTGGGCGGGGCGTCTCGAGGGCGGGGATCTCTGAGGAAGGCGCGGGGTTGTGTCCGGAGGGGCGGGGCTTCGCCTGCAGGGCGCCCAGTGTCTGCACCGGCGGGAGCGAGAAAACTATGTGCCGGAGAGAAGCGTCCTGATCCGTGCACCAAAGCCCTTGGTCATTTAGCTTCAGGTTCTCAAATTAAGTCCTCCGCGGCCGCGCTGTGGCTCATGCCTGTAATTCCAGCCCTTTAGGAGGCGCAGTTGGGAGGATTGCTTGAAGCCAGGAGTTGAGACCAGCCTAGGCAACAAAGCGAGACCCCATCTCTTAAAATTTAAAAAAAAAAAAAAAAAAAAAAAAAAAGGCCAGGCGTGGTGGCTCACGCCTGTAATCCCAGCGCTCTGGGAGGCCCAGGCGGGCGGATCACGAGGTCAGGAGTTCGAGACCAGCCTGGCCAACATGGCGAAATCCCGTCTCGTCTCTAATTTTTGTATCTCTAAGATATCAAAATTAGCCGGACGTGGAGGCGCGCGCCTGTAATCCCAAGTACTCGGGAGACTGAGGCAGGAGAATCTCTTGAACCTGGGAGGCGGAAGTTGCAGTGAGCCAAGATGGTGCCACTGCACTCCAGCCTGGGCTACAGGGCGAGACTCCGTCTCAAAAAAAAAAAAAGAAAATCAGCCAGACCTGGTAGCATGCGCCTGTGGTCCCAGCTACTCCAGAGGCTGAGGCGGGAGGATCGCTTGAGCCCAGAAGTTCAAGGCTGCAGTGAGCTATGATCCTGCCCCGGCACTCCAGCCTGGGCAACAGAGCAAGACCCTGTGTTTTAAGAAAGCAAACAGGCAGAAAAACTAGGTCCAAAAAATTGAGTTCAAAACACTAACTGTGTGTTCGAGAGTCTCAAAGCCAGTGGATAGACAAGGCTCATGTTCCCAAAGCATTGTTTTATAGCAAGATTGTTGGGAGCCAACACCAGATTTAGGAAACAAAGCAGAATTCCTATGGATATTAAAATTTAAAAATTTAAAAGCACTGACTTTGCTGGGTCACCTTTATTTTATTTATTTATTTATGGAGACGGAGTGTCACTCTTTTTGCCCAGACTGGAGTGCAATGGCTCAATCTTGACTCACTGCAACCTCCACCTCCTGGGTTCAAGCGATTCTCCTGCCTCAGCCTCCCGAGTAGCTGGGATTACAGGTGCGGGCCACCACGCCCAGCTAATTTTGTATTTTTAGTAGAGACGGGGTTTCACCATGTTGGCCAGGCTGGTCTCGAACTCCTGACTTTAGGTGATCCGCCCACCTAGGCCTCCCAAAGTGCTGGGACTACCAGCGTGAGCCAACGCGCCCAGCCGTGCTGGGTAACCTTGGAAAAGCAACTTCCCTGACGCTTGCATGCCCCCTGCACACACACACACACGTACATCCTTAGAACTACATGTGTGAAAAAGTTTGAAATGCACAGTTATCTTCCCTGAAATTTGGTTCCTCATTGTGAAATGAGATACTAACATTCACCCAGTTAGGTAATTGTGGAGTAAAGAAAACTCAACAACAGCACTGTGCTAAGTGCTTCACTTACTGTAAACTTGTATGATTCTACAGCAACGGTAGGAGAGTACCACTACCAGCCCATCAGATGAGGAAAATGAGGCACAGAGAGGCTAACTCATAAGGCCTTACAGCTACTGGATTGGCACAGTTTGGATTTGAACCCAAGCAGTCTGGCTCCAGATTTGAATATTGTATTGCACAGGTCCACAATTTTTTTTTTTTTTGAGGTGGAGTCTCGCTCTGATGTCCAGGCTGGAGTGCAGTGGTGTGATCTCAGCTCACTGCAACCTCCACCTCCCAGGTTCAAGCAATTCTCCTGTCTCAGCCTCCTGAGTAGCTGAGACTACAGGCACCCACGACCCCTGGCTAATTTTTGTATTTTTAGTAGAGACAGAGTTTCACCATATTGGTCAGGCTGGTCTCAAACTCCTGACCTCAAGTGATCCACCCACCCTAGACTCCCAAAGTGCTGGGATTACAGGCGTGAGCCACCATCGTGCCTGGCCCAGGTCCACAATTTCTTATCTCAAACTTTTGGGGACAAATGTTTTTTCAGAATTCAGAACTGTTCAGATTTTAGAAATGTGACATGGCACATGTACATTAAATATGAGATTACAGCAGAGTGTGACACACACCCCATAATTAAACGTATTAATAGTTATTCAGGGCCGGGTGCAGTGGCTCACGCCTGTAATCCCAGCACTTTGGGAGGTGGAGGCGGGCGGATCACGAGATCAAGAGAGCGAGACCATCCTTGTCAAGGTGGTGAAACCCGTCTCTACTAAAAATACAAAAATTAGCTGGGCGTGGTGGCACGCACCTGTAGTCCCAGCTACTCGGGTAGCTGAGGCAGGAGAATCGCTTGAACCCAGGAGGCAAAGGTTGCAGTGAGCGGAGATCGCACCACTGCACTCCAGCCTGGGCCACAGAGCAAGACTCCGTCAAAAAAAAAAAAAAAAGAAGTTATTCAGTGAAACTCACTCATGTACACCCCGTGGGATAAATAAGCACTATAAATAGCCTCAGCTCAGAGTTTTCCTCCCGGAGAGTTGAGGTTAGGACTGGTCTGGCCTTCAAATGAGTTGTGAAGGGCTTTCGGAAGTTTGTGGAATTCAGAATCACAGATAAAAGGTCGTAGATAGGCGCTGGCTCTATAATTAGATAAGAGAAGGGCAAAAAGTTTGCGAAGCCCAAGGGTGGGAGAGTGGCAAGAGGTACTTATGCACAGGGAGCACGTAGAGCAAAGCGCCCTGGGTGAGACCCTGAAAGCAAACGAAAGTTTATTATGTGTGTTTGTTTGATTGAGACAGGGTCTTGCTCTGTCGCCCAGGCTGGACTGTAGTGGTGCAATCATAGCTCACTGCAGCCTCGACCTCCTGGGCTCCAAGCGATCCTCCCACCTCAGCCTCCCGAGGAGCTGGGACTATAGGCGTGCACCAGCATGCCTGGCTTTTATTTTTATTTTATTTTTCGAGAGACGGGGTCTCGCTACATTGCCCAGGCTGGTATCAAACTCCTGGGCTCAATTGAATCTCCTGCCTTAGGCTCCCATAGTGTTGGGATTACAGACGCGAGCCACTGCGCCGGGCCGGTTTTTTTCCCCCTCTCAGCCCCCGCGCTCCGCCCCGGGAACTCCGGGAGCGCTCCTGGTCGGCCGGCCGGCGCCCGCGGACTCTGCGCACGCGCATGGTCGCCCCAGGGGGAACGCAGGTCGCTTACCCGGCTGGGTAGGTCGGCGGCCTGGTTGCCATGGCAGCGGGGTCGCGGGCCGGCGCCAGGGAAGGCCCCGAGGCTGCGGGCGGCCAGGGCTGCCCGCGGATTCCCAGACCCGGACGCCCGAGCCAGCAACCCTGAGGGGCGGCCGGGCAGCGCCGCCACCATGTTCCTGGGCACCGGGGAGCCGGCCTTGGACACGGTAAGAACGGGCGAGGGGGCGACGCCGGGCGGGCGTCCGCGAGGCCTCGGCTCGTCTCCGTCGCCCGCAGCCTCGGGGCCCCGCGCAGGGGCCGGCCCGGGGCGTGAGGACGGGGCGCACGGCCGGGTGACAGCTGCCATTATTGTTACCGCACAAGAGCGCGCTGCAGGCCCCGCGCCGCCTGCAGCCTCGCCCGCGCCCGCTTTCGCAGAGGCCGCCGCTTCCAGGAAGCTCTCCGGGACGCCGCGCCCTCGCCTCTGGGCGCCTGCGAGTCTGCGGCCCGCAGGTGACGGAGCTCACGGTGTAAGTGCCTCCGGGCACCCCCGATCTAAGGCGGGATCCACGGATCCCGTGTGGCCCCAAGCCTTCGGGGTGGGAGGGAGGCAGCCCCAGGGTCTGGGAACCCAGCTTGGTCAGAGGAGGCTTCCTGGAGGAGGGTGGGGCCCGATGTACTCCCCAGGGCGAGGGTGCATGAGCCTTAGGTTAGTTACTTTGCCCGGTAAATATCTACTGTGTGTTAGAGACACGGGAATAAGCTGCATTCCAGTGGGGGGGGGGGGGGGGGCGGAGGGACAAGGTAATAAACAGGTAATTAAGATCGTGTCAGAAAGTGAGAAGTGCTGTGCAGAAAATGAAACAGGCCCATATGGCCGGGAGCCGTGGCTCAGGCCGGTAGTCCCCCGGTAGTCCCTGCACTCTGGGAAGCCGAGATGGGAGGATCGCTTGAGGCCAAGAGTTCCAGACCAGCCTGGGCAACATCGCAAGACCCCATCTCTACAAAAAACCATCACATTAGCCGAGCTGTGGTGGTGCCTGCCTGTAGTCCCAACTACTCAGGAGGCTGAGGTGGGAGGATCGCTTGAGCCCAGGAGGTGGAAGCTACAGTGAACTGTGATCATGGCCCTCCAAGGCCTGAGAGACAGAGTGAGGCTGAGGTGGGAGGATCGCTTGAGCCCAGGAGGTGGAGGCTACAGTGAACTGTGATCATATCACGGCCCTCCAGCCTGGGCAACAGAGTGAGGCCCTGTCTCAAAAAAAAAGAAAGCCCGTTGGGACGCGGGCAAGGAGACTGAGCAGAAGATGGGCATGAGCCTGACTATGGGGAGTCCTGCTGGCCATGCAGGGAATTTGGATTTTATTGGAGAAACAGAGGAAGCCTTTGGAAGGTTTCACATCAAGGGAACTGTGCTCACCTTGCTTCCTCCTAAGGAGACCACAGGGTTCAGCACAGCTGCACCCGCAGTAGGGGCTTGGTGCTGCTGGCCAACTTGGAGCAGCTGAAGTTGCCTGCTTGTTCCCCAGGGCACCACGTCCTGTCTCATCTGGAGGGCCTGCCTGTCTACACTGGCCTTCAGTTACTGCTTCTTCATCTTTAAGAACAAAACTGCTTGTTGTGATTATAAAAATAATTTATGTATATTATTTATTTTTTATTATTTTTTTAAGACAGAGTCTCTTGGCCGGGCACGGCGGCTCATGCCTGTAATCCCAGCACTTTGGGAGGCTGAGGTGGGCAGATCATGAGGTCAGGAGATCGAGACCATGCTGGCTAACACAGTGAAACCCCATCTCTACTACAAATACAAAAAATTAGCCGGGCGTGGTGGCGGGCGCCTGTAGTCCCAGCTACTTGGGAGGCTGAGGCAGGAGAATGGCGTGAACCCAGGAGGTGGAGCTTGCAGCGAGCCAAGATCGTGCCACTGCACTCCAGCCTGGCAGCAGAGTGAGACTCTGTCTCAAAAAAAAAAAAAAAAAAAAAAGACACAGTCTCGCTTTGCCACCCAGGCTGGAGTGCAATGATGCCATCTCAGATCACTGCAGTCTCTGCCTCCCAGGTTCAAAGGATTCTCCTGCCTCAGCCTCCTCAGTAGCTGGGACTACAGGCGCCTGCCACCACACCCAGCTAATTTTTCTATTTTTAGTAGAGGTGGGGTTTCACCATGTTGGCCAGGCTGGTCTCTAACTCCTGACCTCAGGTTATCTACCTGCCTTGGCCTCCCAAAGTGCTGGGATTACAGGCGTGAGCCATTGCTCCCAGCCCTATGTAGATCTTTGATTTCTTTCAGCAATGGTTTATATTTTTCAATGTACAAAGCCTATGCTTTTGTTAAATTTATTCCTAAGTATTTTATGCTTTTTGATGTTATTGTATATTGAATTTTCTTAATTTCATTTCAGCTTATTTACTGCTAATATATACAATAATTTTTTTTTTTTTTTTGAGATGGAGTCTTGCTCTGTTGCCCAGGCTGGAGTGCAGTGGCGCGATCTCGGCTCACTGCAAGCTCCGCCTCCCGGGTTCATAGCATTCTCCTGCCTCAGCCTCCCGAGTAGCTGAGACTACAGGCGCCCGCCACCATGCCCGGCTAATTTTTTTGTATTTTTGGTAGACACGGGGTTTCACCTTGTTAGCCAGGATGGTCTCGATCTCCTGACCTCGTGATGCACCCGCCTTGGCCTCCCAAAGTGCTGGGATTACTGGCCTGAGCCACCACGTCCGGCCTTACAATAATATTTTTATATGAATCTCATATCCTGCAAACTTGCTGAACTCATTTATTATGTTTACTAGTTTTTTAGTAGATTCATTAGGATTTTCTATGTATAAAATCATGTTGTCTGTGAATAGAGATAGTTTTACTTCCTTCTTTTCAATCTGAATGTCTTTTATTTACTTTTCTCACATTAATGTCCTGGCAAAAGACTCAAGTATAATTTGAATTGAAGTGATGAGAAAGGACAGCCTTGTCTTGCTGCTGCTATTAGAAGGGAAACATTCCGTCTTCCTCTGTTAAATATTGTGTTGCCCTGGATTTTTGTAGATGCCATTTATTAGGCTGAGGAAATTCTCTTCATAGATTATTGAGTATCTTTATCATGAATGAGTGTTAGATTTTGTCAAACATACCTTCTGTATCTTTTGAGAAAATCATATGTTTCTTTTTCTTCATTTTATTAATATGGAATATTGACTGATTTTTGTATGTTAAACCAATCTTTCATTCTTGGTCTTGGGGTGTGTGTGTGTGTGTGTGCACATAAATATATACCAGTACCAATTAGGGTACATATATATATATATATAAAATCCTTTTCATGCCTACTAGCATTTTGTTGAGGATTTTTGCAACTGTATTCATAAAGAATGTTGGTCTGTAGTGTTCTTTTCTTGTGATATTTCTTTGTCTGCTTTTGGTATCAGTGTAATATAGGTCTCATAGAATGAATTGGGAAGCATTTCCTTCTTTTCTGTTTTTTAGAAGGGTTTGTGAAGCATTGGTATTAATTTCTCTTTAAATGTTTGATAGAATTCACCAGCGAGACCATGTGGTTCTGGGTGTTTCTTTACTTCTATAAGGTCAGTAGTGAGGCCCCCTTTTTTTTTTTTTCCCCCTGTATTTTGGTAATTTCGTGTCTCTGGGTTTTTTTTCTTGGCTAAAGGTTTGTCAGTTTTGTTGATCTTTTCAAAGAACCAACTTTTGGTTTCATTGATTTTTCTATTGTTTCTATTTTCTATTTCATTTATTCACTGTAATTTTTATTCCTTTCTTTTACTTCCTTTGAGTTTAGTTTTCTATCTCCTGGTTCTGAAGGTGAAAGTTTAGATTATTGGATTATTGCCTTGAGATCTTTCTTTCTTTTTTTTTTTTAATATAGGCATTTACAGCTACAAATTGCCCTCTAAACATGGCTTTTGTGTTTTTGATTATTTGTTTTTGTTTTTCAGAGACAGAACCTCACTCTGTTGTCGATGCTAGAGAGCAGTGGCACAATCACAGCTCCCTGCAGCCTCATACTCCTGGGCTTGAGTGATCCTCCTGCCTCGGCCTCCCAAGTAGCTGGGACTACAGGCGTGTGCCACCATGCCTGGCGAATTTTTTAATTTTTTGTCAACACTGGGTGTCACTATGTCACCCAGGCTGGTCTCGAACTTCTGGGCTCAAGCAGTCCTCACTCCTTGGCCTCCCAAAGTGTTGGGATTACAGGCATGAGCAGGTGCTCAGCTTGCTTTTGTTTCTTTGCGCCTGGAGTGCAGTGGTGCGATCATGGCTCACTGCAGCCTCAACTTCCCGGACCCAGGTGATTCTCCCACCTCAGTCTCCTGTGTAGTTGGGACCACAGACATGTGCCATGATGCCCAGCTAATTAATTTTTTGTTGTGTGTGTGTGTGTGTGTGTGTGTGTGTGTGTGTGTACAGGGTTTCTCCATATTGCCCAGGCTGGTTTTGAACTCCTGGGCTTTGAGTCCCAAAGTGCCGGGATTACAGGTGTGAGCCACCACGCCCGGCCCTGCTTTTGTTTTTTAAGGTGGAAGATTAGGTTATTTATTTGATGTGATCTTTTTAAAATATAGACATTTACAGCTGTATGTTTCTCTTTGAGCCCTGCTTTAGGTACATCCCATAAATTTTGATTTTTAAAATTCACTCACTTTCGGAGGCCGAGGCGGGCGGATCACGAGGTCAGGAGATCGAGACCATCCTGGCTAACACAGTGAAACCCCGTCTCTACTAAAAATACAAAAAATTAGCCGGGCGTGGTGGCAGGCGCCTGTATTCCCAGTTACTTGGGAGGCTGAGGCAGGAGAATGGTGTGAACCCGGGAGGCGGAGCTTGCAGTGAGCCGAGATTGCGCCACTGCCCTCCAGCCTGGGTGAGAGAGCGAGACTCCATCTCAAAAAAAAAAAAAAAAAAAAAAATTTCACTCATCAGCCGGGCACAGTGGTTCACGCCTGTAATCCCAGCACTTTGGGAGGCTGAGGTGGGCGGATCATGAGGTCAGGAGTTCAAGACCAGCCTGGCCAACATAGTGAAACCCTGTCTCCACTAAAAATACAAAAAAAAATTAGCCTGACATGGTGGTGCACACCTGTAGTCCCAGCTACTGAGGAGGCTGAGGCAGGAGAATTGCTTTAAGCTGGGAGGCGGAGGTTGTGGTGAGCCAAGATCATGCTATTGCACCCCAGCCTGGGCAACAGAGCAAGACTCCACCTCAAAAAAACAAAAAATTTCACTCATCTAAGATATTTTTAAATTTCCCTTGTGATTTCGTCTTAGACCCATTGATTATTTAGGAATTTGTTGTTTAATATCCAGGCCAGGCACAGTGACTCACACCTATAGCCCCAGCACTTTGGGAGGCTGAGGCGGGTGGATCACCTGAGGTCAGGAGTTTGAGACCAGCCTGGCCAACATAGTGAATATAACCCCATTTCTACTAAAAATACAACAATTATCCGGGCGTGGTGGCGGCACCTGTAATCCCAGCTACTCAGGAGGCTGAGGCAGGAGAATCGCTTGTACCCGGGAGGTGGAGGTGGCAGTGAGCCGAGATTGTGTCACTGCACTCCAGCCTGGGCGACAAGGCGAGATTCTGTCTCAAAAAAAAAAAAATCTATACATTTGTGAATTCCTTTCTTTTGTTGATTTCTAGTTTTCCTTGTTGTAGAAGAATATACTTTGAATGATTTTCTCTTTTAATTCATTGAGGCTTTTTTGTGGCCTATGGTCTGGTTTATGTTTAATGTACACTTGAGTAGAATGTGTATTGTGCTGTTGTTGAGTGGGGTGTTCTGTAAATGTCTGTTAGGTTTTTAGTGTCTGCTGATCAAGTTTTTCTAACTCCTCGTTGATCTTCTGCCTCGCTCTCCTGTCTGTTAGGAGCCTGGCCCTGCCAACACCTTGATTCTGGACTTCCAGCCTCCCAAACTGAGACAGTTAATTTCAGTGTGAAACCACCCCATTTCTTCTGTTACAACCACCCTGACACAGGCTGATTGAGCTTAACCTACTGTGGAAATAAGTGGCAACCTCAGATAGTGCTTGAAGGAGGCGGAACAGATTGGCCATTTTGTGTGAGTGCATGTGTGCGTGTGTGTGCGTGTGTGTGTGTGAGTGCATGTGTGCATGTGTGTGAGTGTGTGTGTGTGTGTGTGTGCTGTGTATGGTTGTATTCTGCTGACTGCAGTCATGGATCCTTGGACTGTTGTGTGATTTTAGGTGCGTGCATGAGTGTGTGTGCGTGTGTGTGTGTGCATGCGTGTGTGTGTGTGCGCTGTGTATGATTGTATTCTGCTGACTGGTGTCATGGATCCTTGGGCTGTTGTGTGATTTCCGGTCCTGACTGCGTTTCACCTCTTCCCTGCACTATGACCGGCAGGCTGGAGGCAGCACGGCTGGAAGGGAGTGGTGGAGAGGGCAGCCGTTGTGGGTGAGATCAATGCATTTTGTTTACTACACATAAAATCTCATTCCTTTGTTGAATTTCAGGTCATTCAAAAAGTCTTCAAGATTTTATTCACAGCAAGGAATAATGACAGATGTTTACAGAGAAAGTTGCTGCTGCTTTTCTAGACAGTTTTCAGCAGTTTCCCCTCTGTTCTCTGCAGGCACGTCCTTGTGATGCCCAGGGCTGACTTGGCTTTTCTGATCCCCCGCTAACCTGTGTGTCCAGTTCCCGGCCTGCCCTTCCTCAATTTTGTGCATAATTTCAATACACTTTGCTAAAAGGAAAACTTCTCTCTATAATTGTCATATGCTGTTTATGTCTTAAAAGGTCACCTTAAATAGGTGATATAAAAAATGATATAAAAAATTTCAGTCAATGGCTGATTTTTTTAAACGCTCCATTTATTTGGAATGCACCGTCTTTCCTTTGCCCCTCGAAATGCAGTCACATTGCACTTGTGTCCTGGCCTGTCTAGTTGCACCTTATCCATGTTATCATGCAGCCAGGCATTTCTAATACAGTTTCACACTGCTAGCAAAATTGGCACTTCATGTACTATTAGCCTTGTAGAAAATAAGTTTGCTTTTCAGAACGCAGTAGCATCCCATTATGATACTGCGTGGACTCAGCTATACCAGGGACAGGTAGCACAAATGTCATCACCTCCACCCCAAGCTGTAGAACTATTGGCTCATAATGGGGCATTCAGCTCTAACTTCCAGTGTCCGCATTGGAAAGCACCAATATGATCTTCCGAGGGACTTTAAACATTTTATGCTTCTCTTTTTGGATTTCAATTTGAGTGAATGAGTTAATACAGAAACACTTTTGTCTTCAAAAAGCTTCCTTTTTTTTTTTTTTTGGCCATCCTCGTGCTGAAATCAGACAGTACAAGTCTTATTTCATTCCCTGGACCAGGACAAAGTCACTGGAATAAGAAGGCAAGAACCTTTATAGGCCCAAATGCCTTCTCATTGTAATGCATATGTTTTGGTTTTTGTTGGTTTTCGTTTTTTTTTTTTTTTTTTTTCCCAGCTGGGGTCTTGCTCTGTTGCCCAGGCTGGAGTGCAGTGGCATGATTATGACTCACTGCAGCCTCGACCTCCTAGGCTCAAGCGATCCTCCCACCTTAGCCTCCCGAGTAGCTGGGACTACAGGTGTGTGCAACCACAGCCTGGCTTATTTTTTAAATTTTTAAGATTTTTTTTGTAGAGACAGTGTCTCACCATGTTGCCCAGGCCGAGTTTGCTTTTTAAAAGATGACTCTCACCCGTTCTTACCAGGAGACAGTCACAGATTCGTTGTGCTTTGATGTAAAGATGAATAAGAGTGAGAACATTTATGTAAAAATGAAATGCTTTCAGCAAGAACTGGTTTTGTTTTTCTTTGTCAAGACACAATTCTGTGGGAAATAGTGTTACTAGATTTGCAGACATTTGCACGCCTGCTGGGCGGCGTTTTGTGTTTTGTTCCCCCCACCCACCCATTCCTTCTGATGAGACTGAGGAACTGGCTGCTGCCCAGCTGGAGTGTTCTGAGTGGCCTCAGAGCTGGATTTCTGGAGTTTCTGTTTCAGCAGCTGTGGACGGGCTGTTTTCGCTTTTGTAAACGTGATGGTCGGAAGCCCAGCAGGTGCCGTCGAGTTACAGTGTTTGCCTCTCTTCCTCCAGGGAGATGACAGTCTGTCTGCAGTCACCTTTGACTCTGATGTGGAGACGGTGAGTGCCGCTGGGTGTCAGCCGTGCGACCTCGGGCTGGTTGCGCTGCCCTTGCAGACTGCACTCGGAAGCGTAAAATAGGCCGTTCTCCACAATACTGTGTCGAGAGCTGGAATGCATATTCCGAATGCTCCTTGGTGTTTGAAAAGTTTCCAGCCCTTAGGTTTAAATACCTGTGGTGATAACTTTAAAACTTTTATCTGGACGTGAATCCTGAGCAGGGCTCATGTGAGACAGATTGCTAGTCCCTGGCCTGCAGCTGGTTTTGCCCTGCACCCCACGCCCTCATCCTGACACTTGAGGGGAGGAGGAGAGCCCCTGCTAATGCCGTCGGAAGGACCCGATGGGAGAAAGCAGACCTGGGCAGCCGCCATCCCAAGCTGAACTGCTGCCTGGCCTCCCAGCCCGGAAAGGAGAGGGGCAGGAGTGGTGTCCGATGGCCCAGTGGCACACTATGGCCCCGGACTGGGCTTTGGGTTTGTTTGGCAAGCTGTGCTGGGTAGAAAAGGAAGTGTGCCAATTGCTCTTCTCGTGTATGAGCGAAAAAAGCTTTTCTTACTGGAGACGCAGATCTAGCAAACCTGCAGCCAGCAGAACGAACCCGGCACCAGCAGATCTCAATTCCACGTTTGCTCTGTGGACTCAAGGGGGAGCCTCAGCTCCACTGTCTCCCTCCAGGGACCTCTGTTCGCAAAGTTAAGGATTTTCCCTCCATGTCACAGAGGGCAGGGGATGCTCCTCTGATGTTCCCCGGAGGAGGAGGGATCCAAACCAAGCCCCAGGGAAAATTCCCCCCGCGCAGAACTTGGGGCTCAATGTTTCTGCTGGAGGGGAAGTGAGGAGACCTGGCCGCGGTAGCCTTATCTGCTCGGTCTAGTGCAAGGTGATGAGGAAGTTAAGGTTGGAAGCATGGCAGCATCTTCCCCAGGCCACGGCACGACGGGTTGTGTGTCTCTAATGCAAAATCCAAAATGCTCCAAAAATGGAAACTTTTTGAGCACCCTCATGAGGCCACAAGTGGGAAATTCCACCCTTAAGTACTTCACACAAGCTTTGTTTCATGCACAAAGTTATTAAAAACACAATATAAAATTACCATTGCACTATGGGTATAATGTATATATGAAACATAAATGAATTTTGTGTTTAGACTTGGGTCCCATCCCCAAGATACCTCATTATATGGATGCAAATATTCCCAAATCAGAAACACTCTTGGTCCCAGGCATCTCGGATATGGGACACTCACCCCGTAGTAAGCAGTGGAACCAGATCTGGACCCCGTTCTGTGAGATCTGGACCCCATTGGGTGTTTGGCATCGTGGTTGTCACAGGAGACCACCTTCCAGACAGGGTCTCCCTTTGCTCGGCTTTCTTCCATAGTGGGCTTTGCAGTTGACTTATGTGCAGGGATTCATCTGACCACCTCCACCTGAGTGGACAGAGGTGCGCTGGGCTCCCAGGCTGGCTGTGCGGGCGGTTTGGGTGGGGGCAGATCCGCCATTTGTGTGGGACCCTCAGTCTGAACGTCAGGAGCCCGGGCCCGATGGTTTTCTGTAATTGGAACTTGTGCTCTGAGAGCCCAGCCCTGAGCACTGACGTGAGTGCATTTTTGTGGGGTCTGCATCGGGCCCTGCGTGTCCTGTTCCTGGACCCTCCTTACGTCCCCGTAAGCTCACGTCCTCTTGCTGCTCTTACACGACCCCTGACCCTTTCTGAACATGGTAGGGTCTTGTGATGCACCACTGTGGGAGCTCAGCAAGCCTTATGCCATTTCTTCTTTCTTTCAGAAAGCAAAAAGGAAAGCTTTCCACAAACCTCCACCCACATCGCCAAGTAAGTATGACGAGGCCTGCCTTCCCTCTCACGCCGACGTTCCCTGGTGTCCTGGAGAGAATGAAGGGTATTTGCTTTGTACATTTAGGTAGCTGAGACCTGACGCCTCAGCCAGTTGGCCCCATTCCCACTGGGGTCTCCCAGTTCGCGCTGGAGTCTCCCCCTTTCATGTTGGGGTTCATGCTGGGGTCTCAGGAGCACGTGGAGTCCCTGTTGGTGCCAGAGTGACGAGCCCTTTCTCAGGGCTGAGGCTGCCACCAACTCCCCAGTCTCCCCCGACAGTGCCTCTAGGCCTTTTGTTTTCTTTTTCTTGCTTTCTCAAAGGCTTACCTCTTCTGAATGCTGCCAGAGTTAAAGGATTTTTGACCTGGGATTTGTTCCTGAGAGTCGAAGTTACTGAGAAGGTGTAGTTGGTGGGACGGGTGGCAAGTTCACCTTTTTCCCCTTTGGATCATCCTGGGCTTGTTTTGCTGCCAGGGTTCTATTCTTCCTCACCCTCAGCAGGAGGAGGGCAGCATTTGCCACCCTGCTTGTCCAGGAGGGTGCCGCGGAGGTGGGGTTAGTCCAGGTGGCCCCGAGGCCCCTCTGTCTCTAATGCCGCTCTCGTGTACAGCAGCCCGTGTGCCGACCTTGTGCGTACGAATGTGTTCGTGACCCTGTAAATCCTAGGCCGGCATCCTGTGCTACCCCAAAGCCTGTGGCCTTCCCTGGCTGTGCCATCTGTAGATGTGTGTCTATTTTATATACGCGTATCATATATTTCAAAGGTTCAGTCAAGTATATGACGCACTCAGAGAATATAAACAAACTTTGCTACTAGCCCAAGGAAAACATAATTAGGTAAATCCCTGCACAGAAAAGAATGCATGTTATATGTTACAAATCAATATAAACACTAGAAGGAAATCACCTAGCAATTTGGATTTTTGATGTCCTTTCTCTCCTTCCATGGAGAAAATTGAGAATTGATATAAAGTAAAAGGCCAGGACCGGGGGTGCCTCCTGACTCACACTCGGGACCTGTTTTTCTCCGGGTTTCTAGTTTCGTGAGTGTAGGGACCATGTCTGTCCTGTTCACTCAGCAAGTGTTTTTCTCCAAGGCCTGGTCAACCTGCTTGTAGGTTTGCAGCTCCCACCACGTTCCGAGGCTTTTCATCGTCCTGGTCACTCTGCCAGGAGGGCGAGGCAGGCGATGATGTTTTCCTGCTTTCCGAGTTTGTCGTTTTCCGGGCAGTATCAAACGCTGGCATCTCTCCACCACCCTGTCTCCGTCCTCTCTTCTTCCCTCCCCGCTTTTATCCCCGCTTTCATGCTTTCCTGAGGAACCCTTCCTACTCGCCGATAAGCCCACACACTCTTAGGAGGGAAATGTAATGTGTAGGGCTTTTTTCTGCTCACTCATTTACTTGTATAAATGACAACTTAAATCTTTACGTTTTGGAAGAATTTGAGACTATCTGGGAGGCCAGGTTCTGTGGTCCCGGGTAAGTGAAGATGCAGCAGGGTCCCTGCGTCTTTATTCCCTCATTCACAGTTACGGTGGCGAATTTCACATAAATTGTGAAACCGCGGGAAAAACTTAGAAACTTAAACATTTTGAACATATTAGACTTAAATTTTCAGACCCTACTGACATACATTTTGCAATTTAAGATATATAAGAATGTTTTAAGAGTGCCTTAGTTTTTGCATACGTTTATTATCTTTTTTATACTTAAAGAGGGAAAATCTCAGATAAAGAATTTTAAAACATTTCCCTTACTTTCATACAAAATCAAGAATGCCCTGAAACAGTAAGATTTTTCTCATTTATTTTAGATATTTTACATATTAAGTTCTAAATATTGCTCTGTCACTATGTAGTGACATTAAAAATGTGACATGTTAAAAAGGCACAAAACGATGTGTTCACTGTGGCTGTGAGTGTGTAAGAACACGCACATCTCTCAAAATTGGGGGTGAGAAATTAAATGCTATAATAAATGTTGGTAGAATTCATATATTTCCCATTATATTCTTCCCATTCTTTTCTTTTCTTTTCTTAAGAAAAGCCTGTTACCCAGGCTGGAATGCAGTGGCATGATCATAGCTCACTGTAGCCTCGACCTCCTGGGCTCAAGAGATCCTCCTGCCTCAGCCCCCTTGAGTAGCTGGGACCACAGGTGTGAGCCACCACACCCAGCTAATTTTTAGATTTTTTATAGAGACAGGGTCTTGTTGTATTGCCCAGGCTGGTCTTGAATTCCTGGCCTCAAGCGATTCTCCTGCCTTAGCCTCCCAAGGTATTGGTATTATAGGCATGAGCCACCATGCCTGGCCTCATTATGCTATTTCTTTATAATAAAAGTTAAAGGAGAAATGTCAGTATATAGGTAAAGTAACTCTTTTTTCATTTTTGCCAGAATGTTTGACTAGAGTCACCACGCTCGTGGATTTTGTTTTCCTATTTCTGTCTTTCTGAAGTTCATGTGTTGAGCTCACATGTTGCTGTCCGGCACCTCTGAATCCACGTGTTGGCTTTTCCAGAGTCACCTTATCTCTCTAAGCCGAGAAAAGTGGCCTCCTGGAGGTCCCTCAGGACGGCAGGGAGCATGCCTCTGGGCGGCCGAGCGTCCCTGACCCCGCAGAAGCTGTGGCTGGGAACCGCAAAGCCAGGTATGTGGTTGTCGCACTGGAGACCCTTCCTGCTTGAGAGAAGAGTTCGAGAAATTTCAGGGAGTGGTTTGAGATGGAGTTTTTAATATTCCTTGTTTGAATTACATTGTCTTTAGTTTTCTCGAAGACATCAAATATACACATCGTAGTTTTATGTCATGCATAAATGTGGTTTCGCCAAGTGGCGCTTTAGCCTCCCTTGGTCCCGTGTGGTCTCTACATGGGAGTGGTGAGTTGTCTTGCCAGAGCCAACTGTTATAGTCTTAGGAGTTTGGTGGGCTGGTCAGTGTCATGCTGGCAACCTGATATTAGACATGGTAGAAATATGTATACCGTGGAAATAGGCAAACATTGTAATCAGGACTGTATTAATTGATATTTGGGAGCTGGTTGGTTAACCATTTACCAGCACGACACTGACGGCTGGCGTCTATCAGTGATTCAGCTTTCTTCAATCCAGGAAAGTTGATTAGAAACAAAACCTCCCATTGTGTGTGCTTGTATCTGTCATATTAAACCCATGCACATTCAAACCAGGAAGTCTGACCCAGGCCCTGAACTCACCCCTCACCTGGGAGCATGCGTGGACTGGCGTCCCCGGCGGCACTCCTGACTGTCTGACAGACACCTTCAGAGTGAAGAGGCCACATCTCAGGCGCTCTGCCAGCAACGGTGAGCATGCCGATGGTGGCGAGGCTGAGGCCAAGGAAGAGCAGAAAGGAAAGGACAGTCTCTGGGCTGGAGGCGTCCTTCGTCAGAGCAGGATTTCTGGCTTCGTGCATGAGCTCCGTCACTGGGAGGTTTTGGGAGGTCGTGGGAGCAGTGACTCACACAGTGACTCACAAAAACCCGCCTGCCCCAGAAGGTAGCTTTCCTCGTGGGTGCAGGGATATCTCGCCAGGTGTCATCTGTACCTCCCTCCCTAAACATAGAGGCGTACTTAAATTTATTCATTGAGTAAATGATATTAGGAACAAATACTAATAAATAAATAATGATAAAAAGTCCAAGTCGCACCAAAGAGAATCAGCTTGTTTCTGTGTTTATGTTCCTGCCTAGTCTCTTTTTTTTTAGAGACGGAATCTCGCTGTGTTGCCCAGGCTGGTCTCAAATTCCTGGACTCAAGTGATCCTCTCACCTTGGCCTCCCAGAATCCTGGGATTACAGGCATGAGCCACCGTGCCCGGCCTCTCTCTTTATCCACGTGTTTCCCACCTATCCTCCTTAAGGAAGAACAGCCTCCAGGGTGTATTGAAAACCTCCTCACTGTACTCCAGGAATTGATTACCTTCCTGCTTTTACTGGTTGGGAGTTATCTTTTAGGCTGAAATTTAGATGTTTAATATACTAGGTATCATTAAAACCAAAGTAAGCCTGACTGTTTTTACATTGGAATGGGTGTTGAGATGCTCTGTGCATTTTTTGTGTTTGGTATTTGTTTGTTTTGCTATTTAAATCTGAACATGTCCCTCCTCCTTCCGTGAGTCCCTTCTTTCATCCTTTTACTGTCATGAAACTTGGTCTTCACATGTTTATTTATTTACTTTTTGCTTCATCTCTCTCTATCTACCATTTTTGCTTTTCTTGCTACTTGGTGTGAAGTATCATGATCAGGCTGGAAAACATGGAATTATTTTGGCTTTTTTATTTTCTTCTTTTTTAAAAGGAAATGTTACTAACTTCCAGGTTTTCCTTAAAGTATAGCCAAGAATTCTTTCTACTTTGTAGATAGTCTTTGAAACGATTTGTTTATGTTTCTCTAGGTCATGTCCCTGGGACTCCTGTCTACAGAGAAAAAGAAGATATGTATGACGAGATTATTGAGTTAAAGAAGGTAGTATTTCGGTTTGTTCTCTATTGATTTGAAACGGTGAAAGCTTCCTATAACAATGTATTAGAACATCAGTGCCTGTGCTGGGAGGTGCCCAGATGGGAAGAGCGGGAGCGTTAGGGTCGAACCTGAGTTTGAGCCGTGGCGTAGTGCCCTAGGAGCTGGTGTCCCTGGTTAAAGGCCGTAGCACCAGCACATAAAAGGCAGCAGAGCTCATGTTCCATCCGTGCTCTGCTTCTCCAGCACGATGGAGAAGACTGGATGAGGACTAGATTAGCTTCAGAGTCGCCTTGCGTCCTGAGATTGGGTACTGTGATAAGGTCACTGGTAGAGTCATCAGTAACCTTCCATGCATGCCACGCTTTATGTTATCAAGACATCTCACATGCCCTGTCTCAGGCCCTCTACAGAAGCTCTGTGGGACGGGCAGAACCACTTGTTACAACCACAGTCTGCTGATGAACTTGAGACTCAGCGACGTTAGTGGTCTGTCCAAGGTTAACCAGTAGCAGAACCAAGATTCAAGGTCACCTGCCTCCCAAGGCCAAGACTCTGTACTTCCCCATGGCCCCTCCCATTTATGAAAGCATGAACTGCATTGAGCTGTATCGTCATTGTCACTGCCACCAGCACCGTGACCATCACACTGGCTTTCAGTATCCGTAAATGTTTGCCCCTGGAGAAATCATCTGCGTTCATTTCCTTCCATAATTTTAGTCTGTTTATACAGCTACTGTCTCCACCAGTTGATGTGTGTCTGAGACACTGCGTTCAGTTGGGGCACCAGAGGGCAATAGGGCATTGGCAGCCTCGTCCCCAGAGCACGGAAGAGGATCTGGAAGCCGTTTCCATTGGGGAGCTGGGAAGAAACTGGGGAACCTGGTGTAGACCATTATACAAAAGACAGCGCCTTCTCTGTTGGCCAGAGAGAACAGTCAGACTTGAGGCTGTGTGAGAAGAACGCTCTAACCACGAGAGCTGTCTGACAGAGGCTGCGCTGCTGAGGAGCAAGTGCGCACCCTGGCCATGGAGATTTTGAGCACAGGTGGCAGCTGTGTGTCGGGGATGTTACAGAGGGGATCCTCATTCCGGTTGGAAGACTGCGCTGAATGAACTCAGTGTGGATTGGGGGGATTATCTCGTTTGGGATTTTCTCAGTCTCTTGAATCTATAGGTTTGTCTTTTGTTAAATCTGGGACATTTTCAGTCATCAAGTCTTGAGTTGTTTTTTCAGCCTTGCCCTCTTTGGTTACGGCTGCTCAGGTCCCTTGTCTCTGTTCAGTGTTTTCCCCTCCGTCTTCCCTCGTGAAGATCGGGTAGCTTCACTATTCTGTCCTCGAGCTCACGGATGCTTTCTGCTGGCCTCTGCATCCTGCAGTTGAGCCCGTTGTTTGTTGGGTGTAACCTTACTGTCTCGGTTCAGTTCTGAAATCTCTGTGCGGCTCCTTCTGTCTTGGTCTTCGCTGAGACGCCCACCCTGTGCCTCTTCACTTGTTTCAAGCGTGCCTGTCATTGGTCACTGGCGCATCTTTGTGGCGGCTGCCCTAAGTCTGTGGCGGGATTCCAATGTCCAGGCCATCTCAGTGTTGACATTATGGCTTGTTTTTCTTCATTCAGGTTGAGCTATTCTTGGTTCTTAGTATAAAAAGTGATTTCCTTGAAACCAGGACGCTCTGAGTGTTTCATCGCGAGACTCTGACTCTTGCTCAATCCTGTGTTGTGGCAGGCCTCCTTTCACGCTGCCCTGTAGGTCAAGGGGGTACCACCTCGTTATCACCCGCGAGGGTGGAGGTCCAGTTCCCACTCAGCCATCATCGACACCTGCACCGGGAGGGGCTCCTCATTCCCACTGGGCAGGGTGGGAGTTCAGGCCCCTCACTCAGCCTCTGCTGATGCCGCCCTAGCTAGGAGGGAAGGTGCTGACACCGCCCTAGCTGGGAGGGAAGGGCCACCTGTACTGCTCCTGCTCAGCCTTTGCTGATGCAGGGATGGCCTTGTTGCCGCCAGGTAATGATGGTCCCGACTCTGCCCGACCTCCTCTGGAGCCCCACCAGTGCGGGAGGGGAGGGTACTGGGTGCAGCCGGGCAAGGGTGAGTGTCTGGGCTCCCCACACAGCCTGTGCTGTGGGGAGGACTGTGGTGTTTTCCGTGGTCTGCCTGGGGTAGAGCGGTTCCTGCCTGTCGGTTTCTGCCTTGTCGGTCTGCTCCTCTCCCTGACCTCTGGCTGGAGAGAAGAGGCTTTGCGTGGGTTTTTATGGTCTGCACCCATTGGCTTTTTTAGGCAGTTGGTTTCTCCAGCATCCAGCTCAGATGAGGCAGAAAGAAAACTGAAGGAGCTCCCTGCCGTGTCGATCGCTGGCCCCCCGGCTCCCGGCCCATCCGCCTCCTTCTCCACCTTTCCAGTCTTAGGTTGCATTACACATGGAGCGCAGGTGTTGAGTGGTACTGACAGGAGGAATTGGGAGGAGTGAATCTGCTTCACGCTCTTGGAAGCGGCAGTCCCGTTACTAGAGCTCCCATCTTCCTTGACTGCTGGGCCTTCGCTAATTTACTTCACAAGCTGAGTACCGGCTTGCTATCATGCCTCCTGAATCTGTGGGTTTGTCTGCAACGATCTTGCCAGCTGTGGATGTGGCTGAAGTGCCGAGCCGCCCCCGCGGGGTGTGCATTCCAGATTGTCTTTTGCTCAGAGGTCCAGTCTCTGGAATACCACAGTCTTTTGCAAGGAGAAGGCCGTGTATGAGGATGGCTGGTGGTTAGATGCAGGCTGAGGCTGGGAGCTGGTGAGCTGCGGCACAGCCCAGCCTACACGCTGTTTCTTTCCTGGACTTTACCACGAAAATAGTAGGAAGAACATAATTTCAAAGTACAGGATAGTTGTAGAGATTGAATAAACTTAGTTTTGTGAGAAATCCACTACAGAGTCTTTTTTTTTCTTTTTTTTTGAGACAGAGTCTCACTCTCGTCTAGGCTGGAGTGTAGTGGTGCAGTCTTGGCTTACTGCACCCTGCCCCTCCCAGGTTCAAGCCTCAGCCTCCCAAGTAGCTGGGATTACAGGTGCGTGCCACCACACCTGGCTAATTTTTTGTATTTTTTGTAGAGATGGGGTTTCACCGTGCTGGCCAGGCTGGTCTCGAACTCCTGACCTCGTGATCCACCCACCTCGGCCTCTTAAAGTGCTGGGATTACAGGGGTAAGCCACCGTGCCCGGCCCCGACTACACAGTCTTTTTTGTCCCCACTCACGTCACCACAAATTGGTAAAGAATTTGTCCACAGATAAAGATTGGGAAGCACTGCCTTCCACCTGAGCTGTAACTGAGGATGAGCATTTGAAATGCATGTTAGCCTTGGATGAGTTTTATTGATAAAAATGCGAACAAAACGGACTTTCTTGTGTGGTCATGGGAGAAAACGCGTGGTGCGGCACCGTCCAGCCCCGGTGTTGGCGGTATTCGTTTAGGCGCGCATTCCGTGGGACGGGGTTTCTCATCACGGGTTCCGTTGGTATCTAGGGTGGGACCGTTCTTCTCTGTGGGGGACTTCCTGTCTATCCAGCCTTCCACGTCCCCACCCACTAAATGCCAGGCGTGCCCTCCGGTGCCCTCACGTGACATCCAGATTTCCCCCCACCCACCACACACAGAGCCCTGAGTGGGAGCCACGCAGCTTTCCAAATCCCCCAGCTCAGTGCTTCCCTGGGCCTGTGCGCGGTGTGGTGTGCGTGGCTGTGTGTGGTGTGTGTGCAGTGGTGTGTGCATGGCTGTGTACGTGGGGACGTGTGTGCGGTGTGTGCGCAGTGGCGTGTGCTTGGCTGTGCCCGTGGGGATGTGTGTGCGGCGTATACACATTGGCGTGTGCGTGGCTGTGCGCGCGGGGACGTGTGTGCGGCGTGCGCGCATTGGCGTGTGCATGGCTGTGCGCGCGGGGACGTGTGTGCGGCGTGCACGCATTGGCATGTACTTGGCTGTGCGCGCGGGGACTGTGTGCGGCGTATACGCATTGGCGTGTGCGTGGCTGTGTGTGCGGGGACGTGTGTGCGGCGTGCCCGCATTGGCGTGTGCGTGGCTGTGCGCGCGGGGACGTGTGTGCGGCGTGCCCGCATTGGCGTGTGCGTGGCTGTGCGCGCGGGGACGTGTGTGCGGCGTGCACGCATTGGCGTGTGCTTGGCTGTGCGCGCGGGGACGTGTGTGCGGCGTGCACGCATTGGCGTGTGCGTGGCTGTGCGCGCGGGGACGTGTGTGCGGCGTATACGCATTGGCGTGTGCGTGGCTGTGCGCGCGGGGACCTGTGTGCGGCGTATACGCATTGGCGTGTGCGTGGCTGTGCGCGCGGGGACGTGTGTGCGGCGTGCGCGCATTGGCGTGTGCGTGGCTGTGCGCGCGGGGACGTGTGTGCGGCGTGCCCGCAGTGTCGTGTGCGTGGCTGTGCGCGCGGGGACGTGTGTGCGGCGTGCCCGCAGTGTCGTGTGCGTGGCTGTGCGCGCGGGGACGTGTGTGCGGCGTGTGCGCATTGGCGTGTACTTGGCTGTGCGCGCGGGGACGTGTGTGCGGCGTGTGCGCATTGGCGTGTGCGTGGCTGTGTGCGCGGGGACGTGTGTGCGGCGTGCGCGCAGTGGCGTGTGCGTGGCTGTGCGCGTGGGGACGTGTGTGCGGCGTGCCCGCATTGGCGTGTGCGTGGCTGTGTGCGCGGGGACGTGTGTGCGGCGTGTGCGCAGCTTCGTGTGGATGGCTGTGCATGGCCCTTGTTTTCTTCAGTCATTGCACGTGCAGAAGAGCGACGTGGACCTGATGAGAACGAAGCTCCGGCGCCTGGAGGAGGAAAACAGCAGGAAGGACCGGCAGATAGAGCAGCTCCTGGATCCCAGCCGCGTAAGCTCCTGGCGCTTCACGGACGGGGCAAGGGGAGGGTCCTCGGGGCAGCATCTGCCAGCCAGCCCTGCTGGGGGCTACACCGAAGGCCGTCTTCATGTCTCAATCTGCTTACCACAGGGCACGGATTTTGTTCGGACTCTGGCAGAGAAAAGGCCCGATGCCAGTTGGGTGAGTATGGTGTGTGCAGGACAGAGCCTTTCCCCAGACGCTAGTTACTGGGGACAGCCACAGAGGGACGCCTTTCCCTGCAGCACCCACGCGTGAAGAGCAGCAGGCAGGGGGGAGGCTGCGGACCCCCAAACCCTTCTCCACTGACACCTGGGGACACCACGGGGAGGGGGGCCAGCAGGCTCACCACAGAGGCCAAGCAAGACACTGTAGGAAAAACCCATCACAACGGGCGACTTCCCCCTCACACCTGAGAAAATACATTAAGCTTAACAAGCGCTCCCAGCGCTTTGGGAGGCCGAGGCAGGCAGATCACTTGAGGTCAGGAGTTCGAGACCAGCCTTGCCAACGTTGTGAAACCCTGTCTCTACTAAAAATACAAAAAAGCCGGGTATGGCAGCATGCTCCTGTAGTCCCGGCTACTCAGGAGGCTGAGGCACAAGAATTGCTTGAACCTGTATGGCAGAGGTTGCGGTGAGTTGAGATCGCGCCACTGCACTCCAGCCTGGGTGACCAAAAAAAAAAAAAAAAGGTGCTACAGATGTAAATCAGGGAACCAGGGCAGCAATAACGTCCTTCAGATAGATCCAGACCCCCCTCAGATACTATGTGACAATATGTAAGAAGTTGAATGAAATGGAAGCAGGGAAGATGTTGCGGTTCGGTGGTAATGCTGTGGCGATCAGCTGTAGGTGGCACAGTACACCTCCTAGCAGTCAAGGAAGTACTTCTCTAAAGTGGGACATGGTGGAAGAAAACCGAAAGGGATACGATTTTGAGATTATTGAACGCAAAGAATAAAATAACATTAATGATGTGATTAATGGATTTGATAATGTAAAATTAAAAGTTACATAATAAAAAGCCATGGGACTAAGGTAGCAACCAGATCACTGTAATGGGGGAGGAGAAGGATATTATGGATCAATACAACAAAGTTTTCTGTTTAGAAAATACAAAAAAAACTATAAATCTCTAAAGAAAAAAGGCCGTGTCCTCTGAACTATGTCACAGATATAGAATGTAGAAAGATTGTATAATCATTACATGTTTAAAGTAGATGGTGAAAGCCTAGCTCGGCACCTAGGACGGCACAAAGTAAATCCTTAACAAATGCCTGTAAGTAGTGGGTACTTTTGTAAAGAAAAGGCTCCATGTTTTTGTTGTTCTGGTGGTGTGTGTGTGTGTGTGTGTGTGTGTGTGTGTGTGTGTCTGTGGGTATTTTTTTTTTTCTTGAGACAGGGACTCACTCTGTTGCCCAGGCTGGCGTGCAGTGGCAGGATCATGGCTCACTGCAGCATTCAGCTCACGTGATCCCTGGCTTAGGGGATACTCCCACCTCAACCTCCTGAGTACCCGGGACTACAGGCACGTGCCACCACAGGCAGCTAATTTTTTTTTAGTTTTGGTAAGATGGGGTCTTGCGAAGTTTCCCAGGCTCATGTGATCCTTCTGCCTTGGCCTCCTAAAGTGTTGGGATTACAGGCCTCAGCCACTGCACCTGGCTGAGGTTAGTTTAAAGTAGGAATTCCAGATCCTAGGGTATATGCAGTATTCATTATCATATGGCAAATTGTCCATCAGTGTGGCTGTGCCCTGTGGCCTGCCGTGTCTACGTGTCATCACCTGCCTTCAAGAAACATTTGCAGATGTGCCTGAGGAGGCCTGGCCAAGGATTTCGATTGGAGGATTGACCAGAATCACAAAAATGGGCTACAACTTAAGTATGTGTCAGTAGGCTACAGTGATAGATTTTAGAGCATAGCCAAAAAAAAAAAAAAAGATTTTAAAAGTGTCTATCTGCCGGGCACAGTTCCTCATGCCTGTAATCCCAGCACTTTGGGAGGCTGAGGCAGGTGGATCACCTGAAGTCAGGAGTTCAAGACCAGCCTGGCCAACATGGTGAAGCCCCATCTGTACTAAAAATACAAAAAAATTAGCCAGGTATGATGGCGCGTGCCTGTAATCCCAGCTACTCAGGAGGCTGAGGCAGAAGGATCACTTGAACTTGGGAGGTGGAGGTTGCAGTGAGCTGAGATCGTGCCACTGCACTCCAGCCTGGGCTACAAGAGTGAAACTCTGTCTCAAAAAAAAAAAAGTGTCTATCAATAGAGGCTGGATAGAGATACTGTGGGAAATAGTGTGGATTCACAGGCGCCAGCAGGGACAGAGCACCAGGAGGATTTGTTGAATGTTAGAATAAAAAAAAAGAAAGATGCAGAGGGATGTGTGTGGCAGAGCCCCGTTTCTGTGAGAACAGAGGGCCTGACTCCCTGAATGCACACACACGGCCATGCACAGAACCAGGTGCTGAGGGGCACGCAAGCGGAAACAGGATTTGGTTGGCCGAAGAGGGGAGTGGCCAGGTCAGAGTATTTTAGCCTCTATAACATCATCTTTTTTTTTTGAGACGGAGTCTGCTCCAGCTACTCAGCTACTCCTGAGTAGCTGGGACTACAGGCGCCCGCCACCATGCCCGGCTAATTTTTTGTATTTTTAGTAGAGACGGGGTTTCACCGTGTTAGCCAGGATGGTCTCGATCTCCTGACCTTGTGATCTGCCCACCTTGGCCTGCCAAAGTGCTGGGATTACAGGCATGAGCCACCGCGCCCAGCCCTGTAACATCTTCTTTTTTTAAAGGAAAATGTATTCATCTATGACTAACATAATTTATTTGTTTATGTATTTATTTATTTTGAGACTGAGTCTGGCTCTGTCGCCCAGGCTGCAGTGCAGTGGCGAGATCTCGACTCACTGCACCCTCCACTTCCCATGTTCAAGCGATTCTCCTGCCTCAGCCTCCTGAGTAGTTGGGATTACAAGCACCTACCACCATGCCCGGCTACTTTTTGTATTTTTAGTAGAGATGGGGTTTCACCATGTTGGCCAGGCTGGTCTCAAACTCCTAACCTCAGGCAATCTGGCTGCCTTGGCTTCCCAAAGTGCTGGGATTATAGGCGTGAGCCACTGCACCCGGCCAACTAACATAATTTAAAATGACTTTAAAATCCAATTTAAAAGTTGTCTGTTCAAGCCTGGTGTGGTGGCTCACACGTATAATCCTAGTACTTTGGGAGGCCAAGGCAGGCAGATTGCTTGAGTCCAGGAGTTCAACACCAGTCTGGGCAACATAGTGAAACCCCATCTCTATTTAAAAGTTGTCTATTTAGAAGAAAAGAATGTTCTTTTTTTTTTTTTTTTGAGATGGAGTCTCGCTCTGTCACCCACGCTGGAGTGCAGTGGCGCAATCTCGGCTCACTGCAAGCTCCGCTTCCCGGGTTCATGCCATTCTCCTGCCTCAGCCTCCCGAGTAGCTGGGACTACAGGCGCCCGCCACCGCGCCTGGCTAATTTTTTTTTGTATTTTTAGTAGAGACGGGGTTTCACCTTGTTAGCCAGGATGGTCTTGATCTCCTGACCCCATGATCCACCCGCCTCGGCCTCCCAAAGTGCTGGGATTACAGGCGTGAGCCACCGCGCCCGGCAAAAGAATGTTCTTTAAAGAATATAAGAATATTGTCTCCTCTAAGCAAGACATTCACAGAAAAGGAGGTGAGGAGGCCGCTGGAGCTGTTCTCCCTTCCCCAAATAGAGGGGAGTGGCTCCTCAGGCCCCTACGGCCGCGCTGTCTCCCACCCTCACTCACTGCCCCATGGAGACTGAACTGGGCGGCCCTAGGGGCTTCAGGTCTGTGGTTTATCCAGCTGGTGATGGGGCTGCTTCTTTTATTTAATATAATCAAGGGCACACCCTGCTCTGTCCCCCAGGTGTGCAGTGTGCTTGGGGGAGGGCTGCCAGTCGGTCAGTGTGCCCACGATGGCTGCCACCTCCTGCTCCAGCCGGTGTCGCACCCCTGCCATTCACCCAGCCTTACTCAGGGACAGGACAGCACAGTGGGGCCCTCCCTCTTCCCTGGGCCCGTAGTCTAGAAGAGAGCACAGCGCTGGAGGGAGGAAGGACAGTGAGGTGTGCCGGTGCTCTGGCAGGAGGGGACAGCCGCTTCTACTGAGGGAGAGAGGGCGTGGCCTGCCTGATGGGCACGTTCCCCGGGCAGGTCATTAACGGGCTGAAGCAGAGGATCCTGAAGCTGGAACAGCAGTGCAAGGAGAAGGACGGCACCATCAGGTGGGCGCAGGGCTGCACCCTCTCCCCTGCCTTCCGCCCCGTGTTCTGCTTGCTCAGACGCCCGCCTTTGTTCCTCCCCCACCCCGTCCTGTGTCCCTACTCCCAGCCCAAAGCCGAAGGTGAATGTTAGCTGCCTCTTTTTAATTTTTTTATTGTCTTTGTTTCCTCCAGATAATTCCCTTTAACTTCTTCCTGTTATATTTAAAAGATGCTTTCTCGAAACCTGCTTGTTCTGTGGACCCCTGTATCTTTCCAGGATGAGGTTTTAACGCCTCAGTCCTGCGCCGTCCTTGTGCTGTTTTTGGCGTGGCTACTCGCATTTCTGTACCTGACTTTCGAGTGCGAAGGGAGAGTCTTTCTGGGCTGTGTTTTGGTTTCTTTAAGGGAAACTGAGGCCACACGTCCATTGCCTTATGTCTCCTGTTCGTACAATAGTTCCCCCCTCGTTTCCTGCCGAATTTTGTCAACTTAAGTTTGCAGATTTTGTCTTATTTCAGTGCAGAACCTCCATGACTTTGCTTTCGTTTCTCTATCGATGTGTCTATCTAAAGTCTACTCTCTTTTGAGACCGAGGGGATGGCCTGACAGTGCCAGGGAAAAGTGATTCTCTCTTCCTTACAAAACCATCCATTCAAAGACGGCTTGTCCTTTCTAAGCTCCAAGGCCTTTCCGCACCATTAATCTAGTCTTTTAAAGACAGCATCTTACTTGGAGAAGAATATCTCTGGAAAAGCTGTTTACTCACTTTGGAAAGTGGCTGGTCTACACAGGAGATGCTTTCCAGCGTGAGGAATTCTCCCATCAGGCTCGAAACGAGTCACTTGTTCAAGGAACAAGTCAAATGAAGGCCCGTTCAGGCTTTTCCCTCCCATCCTGGGTCTTTTCCAAAGCCTCTCCTCTTCTGAACGTTCTGGGAAACTCTTCCTCTTGCTCTGTCCCCTGGGAACGCTGGCACATCCCTATTAACGCTGAACTTGGGTTTTCAGCAAACTCCAGACCGATATGAAGACTACCAACCTGGAAGAGATGCGGATCGCCATGGAGACATACTACGAGGAGGTGCGCCGTGCTGGGCGGCGGAGCGGAGGGCGGGCACCGAGCTGGGCGGCGGGGCGGAGGGCGGGCACCGAGCTGGGCGGCGGGGCGGAGGGCGGGCACCGTGCTGGGCGGCGGGGCGGGCACCGAGCTGGGCGGCGGGGCGGAGGGCGGGCACCGTGCTGGGTGGCGGGGCGGAGGGCGGGCACCGTGCTGGGCGGCGGGGCGGGCACCGAGCTGGGCGGCGGGGCGGGCACCGAGCTGGGCGGCGGGGCGGAGGGCGGGCACCGTGCTGGGTGGCGGGGCGGAGGGCGGGCACCGAGTGGGAGGGGACCGGCGCTGGCCCCGGGTGGTGGGCCGAGCCCAGGTGGCCCAGAGCTGTGCTCCTGGAGCCTGCTCCTGCTTCAGCCCAACGGAAAGATGAAGTGCGGCCACTTAGTTCCCGCTTCTGGCCGTAGGCAGCGGTCAGGACTGTGATGTTGGTCTTTTCAGATAAGGTCTTCTCCATGCTAGCCTTGTGTTTTCATGCATTTCAATTTGGTATTTACAGGTGCATCGTCTCCAGACCCTCTTGGCAAGTTCTGAAACCACCGGAAAGAAGTATGATGGCCGCTTGCAAGCTGTGTTTTGTGTGTTGCCTTCACGTTGTGGAAGCTCCTCTGAGAATGTGTGGCTGTCACGTGGGTGCGGCATATACTGCCCTTAGCTTGGCAGTGCTGCCAACACTGCACCTGTTCTGTTCAGGGTTAGAGTTGACACGTTTCCATTTGCAGTGTTCACAGACTCCTCATAGTGACCACGTGTTGATGGCCAACGCGTGTTCAATGCCGCCCGTGTTCGTTATAGATTCTACATCCTGCCTTCCAGCTTAGAGCTAGAAAGTGCTGTTTCAAAGCAGAGCCACCTTTTTAGGAAGACATTGCACACAAGGACAAGTTTACTTTGCCACCTAATGTTTTCCTAAATAAGTTTATCAGGAGAAACACCGAGGTTCTCCTTGTCTGGTAGATCTCCCACATCCCTTTCCCAAAGCTTCCATCTGCTTCTGGGTGGCTGATCTCTGATCATGGCTTTGGCCACGTCACTGGCCTCTGCAGCAGTTTGCTGACGTCGTGGACTGCTTTCCTTTTTCTTTACCCCTAATCCTTAAAACTGGTTGGAAAACTTTTTCTGTAAAGGACCAGATGCTAACTACAGTCGATTCTCATTATTCAGTTATAAAATGTCTGCAGGTTTCTGTAGTGTAGTGGTAATCACGTCCGCCTTACAGAGTTATAAAGTCTCCATGAACATAGAACGAGCGAATACTAAACCACTGCTCCAATGGGAGGTACAGGGCTCCTGCGAGCTTCTGCTCATAACATTTTTTTTTTTTTTTTGGCAAATGTTGCCCAGGCTGGAGTGCGGTGGTGTGATCTCAGCTCACTGCAACCTCTGCCTCCTGGGTTCAAGTGATTATCTTGCCTCTGCCTCCCAAGTATCTGGGACTGTACAGGCACATGCCACCACACCCAGATAATTTTTGTATTTTTAGTAGAGATGGGGTTTTACTATGTTGGCAAGGCTGTTCTCGAACTCCTGACCTCAGGTGATCCGCCTGCCTCAGCCTCCCAAAGTTCTAGGATTACAGGCATGAGCCACCATGCCCAGCCTGGTCACAGCATTTTCATCAGCTAGTCAATGTATAACCTGGCTAACATGTGTCTCTGTTTAAAGACACCCTGTTTAATAGTGATTGTGGATTAATTTTCATCAAACTCATGGCTGGCCTGAACGAGGCTTCTTGCACGCGCATAAGCGTCTCCACGGGGGCCCACACAGCCTTCCTGAGCTTAGAGGCACTGGACGGCACTCAGCACTGCAGTCCAGCCCACGCAAGGCAGCGTCACGAGCAAACAGCACAGAAACGTGAGAGCCACAGCGCCAGGCAGGCCACAGAAAGCACACTTGTTTTTACCTGAGCTGAGGTGAGGAGCTGAGCACCACCTGGGTCAGCCCCAGCTGGGAACGTGCGCGCCAGCGACTGGCATTTTTCATCACCTGTGCACGTGCAAGAATCCCCACAAAACCTGCATGAGTATTGATTTTCGGCTGATGGATCCATTTTAGCAGCAAGCACATTTGCAATTACGGGACCTGCAGATAATGAGGATCGACTGTACTTTACACCTCCTGGGCTAAGAGGCGAAACCCGAGCTATCCTGCAAGCACCTGGCGTAACAAGATGCCTTTCCACAGCCCTTCTAGTGATGGCATGGAAAGTATAATACTGATGGTTGAACACGGTATTTTGTTACACAGGTTTACCTTGCATAAGGATGGGGTTCCATTTTGGGTGCTAACATTTTGCTTATTTAGAGTTCAAAGTTATTACTGCCTATTCGATTTCAAATACTCACCTGCAAAAACCACTCTGAGCTCACAACCAACAGAGCAAGCTGTGATTCACCTGTCCCTCGTTTCAAGCATGTGTGAAACCAGCTTAGCAATGCAAACCTCAGTCCACGATTTGGTTGTTCCAGGCCCCTGGGGGAGAAGAAGACGGGCGCCAAAAGGCAGAAGAAGATGGGCAGTGCCCTCCTGAGCTTGTCCCGGAGTGTCCAGGAGCTCACGGAAGAGAACCAGAGCCTGAAGGAGGACCTGGACCGCGTGCTGAGCACCTCCCCAACCATCTCCAAGACACAGGGTACCTTCCTGAAAGCCACTCCAGGAGGGAGGCCAGGGAATGGCAGGGAATGGCAGGGCATGGCCACTGGGTAGGCCCAACTGAGGACAGGCACCACGAGGGCAGATGTGAACCCTTGGGCAACGCCAGTTCCCACATGTGCCAGCACCTGCCGCGGGCCACGCGATGCCCCGGGGATGGAGCCGCAAACAGAAGCTCACAGACATCCCTGGAGGAGACAATGCTGTGGGAGGGAGAGAGGAGCTGGGTCAGATGCGTGACATGTGTCAGATGGCTGTAAGTGCCATGGAGGAGGGGAGGAGGACACATTTTGGGGTGAGGCAGGTGGTGTGTGCAGCTGCAAGCAGGGTTGACAGGAAGGCACCCCCAAGACGGTGACAGCTGAGCGGGACCTGGAAGGGGCGAGATAGCCATGAAGACGGCAGCAGGCGTGGGACAGGCGGGGCAGAGCTGAGTGCCTGGGAGACACGTGGAGTGTGGCCCCTGAGGCCCAGCGGGGCGAGGCAGGGTGCCATGGGAGCCTTAGGGGTGCTGTGGGAGTGTTAGGCAGAGGGTGGAGGGGGGCCGTGCTGCTTCCCGAGGCCCCCTGGCTTCTGTGCAGAGATGGGGATGGTGGCAGACAGAGGCTTCTGCGCTTGTCTAGTCGGGCTGCTGGTGGCCTGGATGGGGGCAGCAGTGGGTGTGGTGAAAGGTGTTCAGGGTCTGGTTGCATCTTGTAGCTGGAGCTTAGGGAAACTGCAGAGAGGGTGTAGGCTCTGAGAGGGAGCAGCCAGGCTCCAAGGCTTTTTGTCCCAGCAGCTGAAAAAGACAGAGTTGCTATTTCCTGAGATGGGGGAGGCAGAGGGGCAGGTTTGGGGAAAGGCCACGGGAGGTCTGAGTGTGTGGGAGTGGGGGCCAGGCAGTGGCTGTGTGGGGGTGCGAGGCAGAGGCCTGGGCTGGAGAACTGAGCATGTGGGTCACCAGCACTTAGGTGGATCGAGTGAGGTCACCTGGAGTGAGAGGAGCAGGGGGTCAGGCCCTGAACTTGGCGGTATATGGGGGAGGCGAGGGGCAGCCAGCGAGGCAGAGGGGAGGAGTGGCTAGCGAGGGGCTGTGCATGCCAGGAAGGGGACAGGCTGAGAACCGATTGTTGGATTTGGCAGACTGACAGTCATCGGAGATCTTGATGAGAACTGTCTTAATGGCCTGGCCAGGTGGAATCGGGAAAGGATGTCACCCCGAGATGCTTGGAGGCTGTTAATACAGACATCTATCTCTTCACGATCCAAGGGGGCAGAGACTGGGCCAGCGCTGGCAAAATTCTCTGGTAGCCAGGACCTGTCGGTGTGGCTCTGCAGCCCCGCAGGCTGCTCCGGCTGCGGAAGAGGAGCCTCAGGCCATACCTGAGAAGGGTGGCCCTGCTGGCAGTGCCCACCAGGATGCCGTTTTGAAACCGCATTGCTTCCATCAGGTTATGTGGAGTGGAGCAAGCCCCGGCTGCTGAGGCGCATTGTGGAGCTGGAGAAGGTGAGCGGGCGTCTCAGTGCCACTGTCGTTGGGGACCAGGGGCCTCATGCTGTGGGGACGGGCTCACAGGGTGCGGAAGGTGGCGCTGAGCATGGCACTGGCTGTCTGCCAGGCAGCGCCACACACAGACCGCAAGGAGACTTCTTCCAGGTCTAGACAACGCTGAAGGCAGCTCTCATGCCCCTCGCTGGGCTGTGAGCTTCTGTGCGTGGCCGCAGGCAGACGCGCTTCGCACTGGAGCCCCTCACAGTCCAGCCCGCCTGTGCAGGCTGTGGGCTGTGCACTGCCCGCTGATGACCAGGCACTGCTTCCCACCACTCAAGTCGTGTTGGAATCCACAGGAAATTGTTGACCCAACTCCTGGCCAGGCAGAAATGTCGGGAAATGAACATTTCCCCACATCCCCTATGCGACTGCAAAGTAGGAATTAGGCTGATTCTATTGGAATTGGACCTTTGTTTTGTTTTTGTTTTTGTTTTTTTTTTCTTTTTTTTTGAGATGGAGTCTCACTCTGTCCCCAGGCTGGAGTGCAGTGGCGCGATCTCAGGTCACGGCAACCTCCGCCTCCCGAGTTCAAGTGATTCTCCTCCCTCAACCTCCCCAGTAGCTGGGACTACAGGTGCCCACCACCACACCCGGGTAATTTTTTGTATTTTTAGTAGAGACGGGGTTTCACCATGTTAGCCAGGATGGTCTCGATCTCCTGACCTCGTGATCCACCCACCTTGGCCTCCTGAAGTGCTGGGATTACAGACGTGAGCCACTGTGCCTGGCTGGTTTTTTTTTTTTTTTTTTTTTTTTTTTTGAGGTGGAGTCTCACTCTATCGCCCAGGCTGCAGTGCAGTGGCGTAATCTCGGCTCACTGCAACTTTTTGCCTCCTGGGTTCAGGCAGTTCCCCTGCCTCAGCCTCACCAGTAGCTGGGATTACAGGTGCCCACCACCACGCCCAGCTAATTTTTGTATTTTTAGTAGACATGAGGTTTCACCATGTTGGCCAGACTGGTCTCGAACTCCTGACTTCAAGTGATCTGCCTGTCTTGGCCTTTAAAGTGCTGGGATTACAGTCGTGAGCCACCGCGCCTGGCCTGGACCTTTGTATTTTAAATAGTAAATTAGAGCATCTGTGTTGTTTGGCCAAGCAAAATAAACCTAGAGGGAAAAACGTTTTTAAAAAATAGTTTTTTACATATTTACAACATAGAAAACTAGCCAGGTACAATGACTCACACCAGCAATCCCAGTACTTTGGGAGGCTAAGCTGGGAGGATTACTTGAGCCCAGGAATTTGAAACCAGCCTGGGCAACATAGCAAGACCCCATCTCTACAAAAATAAAAACAATTAGCCTGGTGTGGTGGTGCACACCTGTATTCCCAGCTACTTGGGAGGCTGAGGCAGGAGGAACGCTTGAGCCCAGGAGTTCAAGGATGCAGCAAGCTGTGATTGCACTCCAGCCTAGGTGACAGAGCCAGACCCCGTCTCAAAAAAAAAGAAGAAAAGGTTCTATAAATTGTGGGCATTTAAAATATAGAACTTGTTGGGAAGTCAAGGCACCCAGAGGTGGTTCGGAAGCACAGTGGGCAGCACGTCCAAGATCCGGGAGAGGCAGGAGTGGAGGGCGGGGACGGGCTCAGCGGCACTTTGCAGGCGACACCAGGATGTCACTCGAGACTGAAAGCATGAAGGCTGAAAATGTCGGCAGTTCCAGGGGACAGGAGGGAAGATGTGCAGAGTCGTTTGAGTCCCCTCCCCTCGTGCCCTCCTCTCTGTTTTAATGACTTCTGCCTGCGCCCTGGCTTGGCGGGGGTCTGCGCGTGCCTCACTTCTGATTAAAGAGACTGAGCAGGGATCATGCTCTTCCAGTAGCTTGTGCCCGGCAGCTTCTCTGGGTAACTCGGGTCCCCTCAAAGCTTTCTCATGGCCCTGCTGGAGACTCAGTTTGCCCTGGTTCAGTGTCTCTTTTCTGGGTTTGGTAAATAGAAAGTAGAAATGAGAACTAGTATCTAACACATGTCTGTGTTGCCTCCAGAAACTAAGTGTGATGGAGAGCTCAAAATCACACGCCGCAGAGCCAGTCAGATCACACCCGCCAGCCTGCCTTGCATCCAGCTCTGCGCTGCACAGACAGCCACGAGGGGACCGCAACAAGGACCACGAGCGTCTCCGAGGGGCTGTGAGAGACCTGAAGGAAGAGCGGACCGCGCTGCAGGAGCAGCTGCTGCAGAGAGAGTAGGTCCTCCCAAGGCCCCGCCAGTGTCCCCACGGGCACAGGTGCTGCAGAGAGAGTAGGTCCTCCCCAGGCCCCGCCAGTGTCCCCACAGGCACAGGTGCTGCAGAGAGAGTAGGTCCTCCCCAGGCCCCGCCAGTGTCCCCACAGGCACAGGTGCTGCAGAGAGAGTAGATCCTCCCCAGGCCCCACCAGCAGCCTCACCAGGGAAGCAGCTCTCACTCCCTATGGAAACTGATTGTTGCCGGGGTTAAACAATTGTCAATTTGGAAAACTGTTCAGCTCGTAGTAGTCACTGCATAAATATTTTTATATGATTCTAAAACTGCTTACATTTTGGTGGTAAAATAAAGGCAGCTTTAGTGATAAAAAGATACTGGCCGGGCACGGTGGCTCATGCCTGTAATCCCAGCACTTTGGGAGGCCGAAGTGGGAGGATTGCTTGAGGCCAGGAGTTTCAGACCAGCCTGGGCAACACAGCAAGACTCCATCTGTACAAAAAATTTCTTAAATTAACTGGGCGTGGTGGCTCATGTCTGTAGTCCCAGTTACTCAGGAGGCCAAGGCAGAGGATCACTTGAGCCCAAGAGTTCGAGGCTGCAGTGAGCTATGATCATGTCACTGCACTCCAGCCTAGGCAACTGAGTGAGACCTCAACTCAAAAGTGTAGGGAACGGTGGGAGAGCACATTTAAATCTCTCTACCCTGAATTCCAGAGGAATCTTCAAATTGTCTGTTAGAGAGGAATTGACTTTCATTGGTTTATGTAAAATCAATTCGATTTTATGCAGCATGGTCTTAATTCAGTAATATGTTTATGGGGGATATGATCTATTAATACGTAGGAAATAAAGCATAAATGCTCCAGCCTGACGCAGTGGCTCACGCCTGTAATCCCAGCACTTTGGGAGGCCAAGGTGGCAGGATTGCCTGAGTCCAGGAGTTCGAGACCAACCTGGACAGCATGGTGAAACCTCGTCCCTACAAAAAATACAAAAATTAGCCAGTTGTAGTGGTTGAAGCCTGTAATCCCGCCTATTTGGGAGGCTGAGGTGGGAGAATCGCTTGAGCCTGGGAAGTCGAGGCTGCCGTGAGCTATAATCGTACCACTGCATGCCAGCCTGGGTAACAGTGAGACTCTGTCTCAAAAAAAAAAAACGAAGGAAGACATAAATGCTATGAAATAGTTGGTGTGACCACAGGGCTGGGAAGGCAGGGCCTCACCGGGGGTTCTGGAGTTCCATGACCTGTGGCCGTGGAACACCCGGCCTGGCTCCTGTCCTCCTCCTGTTGATAGCTCCTCAGGGCTCGGCTCCTTCATGAATCAGCCACCTCCATCATCTTTGGAATGATGTTTCTCTCTAGTTTGCAAGAACTACAGTGACTGCCCCTCAGAGTGGCCTGTGAGGCCAGCAGCAGCAACAAGAGCTAGGAGCTGGTTAGAATGCAGCCACCGAGGCCCTACCCCAGCCTTCGGAATCATACTCTGCTTCCAGTGGGATCTGCGGGTGATTTTTTTTTTTTTTTTTTTTTTGAGACAGAATCTCACTCTGTTGCCCAGGCTGGAGTTTAGTGGCACAATCTGGGCTCACTGCAAACTCTGCCTCCCCAGTTCAAGCAATTCTCATGCCTCAGCCTCCCAAGTAGCTGGGATTACAGGCATGTGCCACCACACCTGGCTAATTTTTGTATTTTTAGTAGAGATGGGGTTTCACCATGTTGGCCAGGCTGAGTCTGGAACTCCTGATCTCAAGTGATCTGCCTGCCTCGACCTCCCAAAGTGCTGGGATTACAGGCGTGAGCCACCGCACCCGGGCCTGCCTCGGCCTCCCAAAGTGCTGGGATTACAGGCGTGAGCCACCGCACCCGGGCCTGCCTCGGCCTCCCAAAGTGCTGGGATTACAGGCGTGAGCCACCGCACCCGGGCCTGCCTCGGCCTCCCAAAGTGCTGGGATTACAGGCGTGAGCCACCGCGCCCGGCCCTACAGGTGATCTGTGTGTACTTTAGGGACTGAGAAAAACTTGGCCGGTGCCTCCCGGCCAGCTACGTTCTCTGCTGCCTGCTGTGAACAGTAGAAGGCCAACCCGTCACCACTGTCCTTACCCCTCACGTGAGGTCTCGGAGTGCATTTATGCCAATTGATAGGTCCTTTGTAAAAATTAGTATTTCACGACAAGCTTTTCCAATTAAACAATCATTACAGAGTTCATAGACATTAGGTAAAAAACATTAAGGTAGTCATTATGAAAGGTAAATCACTTCTGGAAGGATCTGTGATGCTGTCAAGTGGCGTGACAAGAGCCACCTCTTAGGAGCCCTTACCGTGTGACAGGGGCTCTGCGAAGCACTCTAGGGTTGCTGGCATTTAATACAGAGACTCACAGGCCCTGAGCAGTCGGGGCTCGCAGACAGCATACAGTCCATCTGAGACTCGGACAGAAGTCTCCGTCGAAGGCCAGTGTGTGGCCATCACACCGCATGGGACGCAAGAAACGCATCTGGGAGCAGTTCAGCTGGAGCCCCGCACAGGCAGTGCCACGGTCTAGGCGGGGCAGGCCCCTGCCCCATTCACGGACCCCGCGCCTGCCTGCAGCACCCTCACACGGGTGCGAGGTCCGTGCCAATGAGTGGCGGCTGGAGGGGCAACTCCTCATTCTATGGCCTGATGGCAGGGCCTTCTCTGGCTTAGTCCGGTTGATCCCCTGCACACAGCAGGTGCTCGGTTCAGGGCAGGCAGAGCCCTGAGGTCTGTCCTTGGCAATGTGTGATTAGAAATGGGCCTTTTGTGCTCCTCCTGCCCCACCATCCACTGTCCTAAGGAAGGGCTGAGCACTGTCATTTTCTGAAGTGCCTTCCTGCTCTGACATAACCTACAGTTTTTGTGAACGCTGACGAGTCTCCTATTCTTGTGTGCAGTTTGGAGGTGAAGCAGCTCCTGCAGGCGAAGGCCGACCTGGAGAAGGAGCTGGAGTGCGCGAGGGAGGGCGAGGAGGAGAGGAGAGAGCGAGAGGAGGTTTTGAGGTATGTGACCCGGGTCAGGGCTGGAGAGGACCCAGGCGAGTCCGCACTCCTGCTACCACTGCGGCCCCCCGTGGCGTCTCAGCCTTGCTGCCAGCCGGCTTCTTAGAAAGGCCACACCTCCTCACAGTCTTTCATGGTTTTCTGTCACCCAGCCCGGGACTAACCTCTTGGTGCTGAGCAGGGCCTGCCCTCTGGCATCGTGGCCACCTCTCAGGGGCGTCCTCTGCTCTGGCTGTGCCAGCACCTGCCCCTTCCCAACCAGCTGTCACACTGGCCTCTGGTCAGAACCACCCAGGTGTGGGCCACATCCTTAAGAGGGGCCGCCCGTGCCCTCACAGTAATGCCATTCGCGAGAGCCAGGAAGCAGCGCCCACCCCACGGCCCATCAACTGCTGGTGGACAAACACCCTGAGGTCGACCACGCGTAGGCGCAGAGTGGACGGAAGCCCTGACCGGCCCGGCCCGGGGACCCTGGAAAACCTGGTGCTCGGCAAAGAAAGCCAGGCACAAAAGGCCGCGTAGCACACGATTCCTTGCGCAGGAAATGTCCAGAACGGGCGGACCCACGTGACAAGTGCTGCTGCTAGGGGCTGGGAGGGGAGCGAGGACTGCTGACGAGCATGGCTTCCTTTCTGGGGCGATGTAAACGTTCTGGAATTAGAGAGGGGTGGTAGCTGCACAGCATTGTGAAGATGCTAGAATTCACTGAATTATACCCTTTAAAATAGTGAATTCTATGTGATGAGTCTTAACTTTTTAAAATGCACAAAAAACTAGGTTAGAAATCTGAGCAGACATATTTAGCACTCAGAATAATTAGTAAGACATAGACTACCGGAATGAAGAAAACTGTGGCCGGGCACAGTGGCTCATGCCTGTAATCGCAGCACTTTGGGAGGCCGAGGCGGGCAGATCGTGAGGTCAGGAGTTCAAGACCAGCCTGACCAACATGGTGAAACCCCGTCTCTACCAAAAATACAAAAATTAGCCGGGCACAGTGACAGGTGCCTGTAATCCCAGCTACTTGGGAGGCTGAGGCAGGAGAATAGCTTGAACCCGGGCAGCAGAGGTTGCAGTGAGCAGAGAGCATGCCACTGTCCTCTATCCTGGGTGACAGAGCGAGACTCTGTCTCAAACAAACAAAAAAAAAGAAAACATTTCATTTTCAGGAGAAATCTGACTGAATTCTGTCAGAAGACTTGAATTAAAGTAAATCTGAAAGGGCACATGTGCAGAAATGAATTTTTTTTTGTTTTGCCTTTAGTACCTGGAATGAATATCTAAATTGCAATGCCTTCTGTTCATACTGTTTACTAAAACCCCAGTGGTCAGTGGTCCCTGCTTATTTATCTCAAATGCTTGGGCTCAAGCGATCCTCTGGCCTTGGCCTCCTAGAGGGTTGGGATCACAGGCGTCCGGCCTGGCCTCCTACTTACTTATCATTCACACAACGGATTCTTTTTTTAGTTCTTAGTTGTTTCAGGAGAGGTGCTGGGCCCTGGGGGTCCTCAGCCACGGCCTCGTGGGGCTTCCAGCCCAGAGCAGGAGACAACAGGAAGTCCCGGCCTGCGATGGTTTCTGGTGTTGTCAGGTCATAGCTGGAGCCCTGTGGCTCAGGGAGACATGGCCCCACCAGCTCTCTACAGGCTGCCTGGTGTCCCCCTGTCTCCGCCTGGACCGCCCGCCCCACCCTGCCCTGTGCCGGCCTTCATCACATAGTGACAGGTGAGGTGTCTCATCTTTTCCCTTTCCGCCTTAGAGAGGAGATTCAGACACTTACCAGCAAGCTCCAAGAATTGCAAGAAATGAAGAAAGAAGAGAAAGAGGATTGCCCGGAAGTTCCTCATAAGGTACAGTGACCATTCAGTTGAGTCTCCCGTCAGGTGCGGTGAGACTTTGGTCGTGACGGTTCTGACCGTTTCCCTGTCCAGAGTTTTTTCTGACCAGCCACTGAAAATCCCACTCCCCTTTATCATCACCATTGATTTCTATAACTCATGTCGTGTGTATCGAAGTCCGGGTTTTGGATTAATTGACTGTCAGCAAATTGACTTCTCGAACTGATATTTGAGTCTCAAGGCTGGTGAGTAAAGAGTTTTCCAAATCTTGGTCATGCGGAGGGTGTAGTTATGCGGCCGGAGCTGTCACTGAGAGGCAGGAGGGGCTTGGGGGGAAAGGACGAAGGCTCAACCAGGCCCCTGCATGGACCTGGGCATGCGTCCTCTCCTCTCATCTAAGTTCCAGAACACAAGTTGGCAAAGCCTCAGCGGGCACTGCCCTCTGGGTGGGGTGGGGCTTCCTGTGCCCTCCCTGCCGTCACTCAGCTGTGCACGGGTTGAACGTGGAGTGACTGTTAGCAGGGACCCGGCAGGTGAGCAGGGACCCTAGATGGATGCTCTCCTGCCTCTCCACTCCCTCAGCGTGTGTGGACGCTACCCGGGGGCAGCTAGTCGCGGCGGCGTCTCTGTGGCTCCGAGGTCCCTGGCTCTCTGCTGCCTCCCTGGAGGGTCGCAGCCATGCTCTGCTCACCATGGCCGGTGCTGCACTTGCCTCCCTGGAGGGTCGCAGCCATGCTCTGCTCACCATGGCCGGCGCTGCCTGCACTTGCCTCCCTGGAGGGTCGCAGCCATGCTCCGGTCACCATGGCCGGTGCTGCACTTGCCTTCCTGGAGGGTCGCAGCCATGCTCTGCTCACCATGGCCGGTGCTGCACTTGCTTCCCTGGAGGGTCACAGCCATGCTCTGCTCACCATGGCCGGTGCTGTACTTGCCTCCCTGGAGGGTCGCAGCCATGCTCTGCTCACCATGGCCGGCGCTGCCTGCACTTGCACTTCTGGTGGTAGAAGGGCGTCCTCACAAATCCCCTTCCAGTGGGTAGGAGGATCCTTCAGAAGGCAGATGTGAGCCCATGCATGTTCAGACGAAAAGCAAGGAACTTGGTGTCACCATCCTGAGGCTGCAGTTTGCTCTAAGAGGAGCTCATGGATAAAACCAGTAGAAGCCACCACCTATGGTCCCAGCTGCTCGGGAGGCAGCGGTGGGAAGATCGCTCGAGCCCAGGAGGTGGAGGCTGCAGAGAGCCAAGGTAGCACTGCTGCACTCCATCCCGGGCCACAGATCCAGACCCTTTTCTCACTAAAAAAAGAAAAGAAAGAGAGAAAGAGAAAAGAAAAAGGTCTGAAAATAGAGGAGAGAGAGAGAGAGAGAGAGAAAACAAAAGTGTCTGAAAACACTATTGAAATACAGCCTTTTCTGTGTGGTGGGGTTATAAGCATTTTTTTTTTTTTTTTTTTACTTTCTTTTAGTATTGTCTGAATTTTTCGTAATAAGCATGTATTAGCTTTGTGTTATTTTCCTACTCAGGAAACATTTCTATTTTAGAGAAAAGGAAGAGTGGGATTAATTGAGTGATCAGCTCTCCAAGTAGGGGATCAGCTCTCAGCATTCACATGGGAATGATTAATTGTAGGTTAAATGGAGTGAGGAGAGTCGGTTTAAGAGTTGCCTCAAGGAATTTATAAGCGTGTGAAAATTTAGACTTTTTTAGCTGTCTGTAGTTGTGTGAGTAAATGTTCATTTATCTTCGGAGAAGCTGATTTTCCTTTCTGATCACATTGGCACAGGCCGCGGACTAACAGATGATCTCACTTTAGCGGAACAGAGGCCTGAAAATGTGTCAGGACTGAGGGAAGATGAGGCTCTTCTTAGGGTTACAAAATCAGAATGTGGAAGCCAAGGGCCGGAATGCTGGTGCCAAGCAACTTGTTGCCACAGCTAAAGAGATCTGGAAACAGCTGGCTGTGTGGATGTACCCAGGGCATCTTCGTCAGGGATGTTAAGATGTGCAGACACCCAAGTGACCATCCTAGGAAGATTACACTCCCAGGTCCCTAGAAACAGGAGGCAGGGCACGCAAGGCCACGCAGGAGCGGCGCGTCGGCCAGGAGGCGGCAGGGTCGTGCGGAAGACCTGGGCCAGGGCCTTTATCATGAGAAGGAGAGGGCGAGGTGAGGTGAGCCGGCTGGTTAGGGCCGGCGGGCTGGAAGCTTGAAGAATTTCAGCAGGATCTGGGCCACAGGGTGGTCTTCAGCTGTCCCGCACCTGGCCCTGGGTGATTAAGGCTGAGAAACACTGCCTTCTGGAGTGTGGGGCCCAATACAGGAGGCGATTCTGAGTATGGGCACCAGATTAGCTGCTCGCATAGGATGGCCGTGCCCGAAGGCAGGCCCTTCACTGTCTAGGAATTGGCCAGGCCCAGAGGGGCAGCAAGGCCCCAGATGCCCAAGCATCGTTAACACACAGAAAATGAAAAGCCAGAGCAAGCCGTTCTGTGTTTGTTGAAGTCTGTGGACAGGCCACCTGCGCCTGGCGCCTGGCCCGGTGTGCACTGGGAGCAGTCTTGTGTCTCCCTCCGGGGAGGGCTTTCAGCAACAGCGTGCTCTCCACCGAGCTTGCATTCTTGACACGAGAGGCCTTTTCATTTGTATTGGGTAGTGTCCTATGGATGATACATTTGGAGTCATCAGTGTTAGAAATCATAATTTTTCTTTTTTCTTTTTAGAGACAGGGTCTCACTCTGTTGCCCAGGCTCGACTACAGCGGCACAATCATGGCTCACTGCAGCTTTGACCCCTGGGCTCAAGCGATCCTCCTGCCTCAGCCTCCCGAGTAGCTGAGACCACAGTGGTGTGCCACCACACCCGGGTATTTTTTAAATTTTTTCATAGAGATGGGGTCTCGCTATGTTGGCCAGGCTGGTCTTGAACTCCTGGGCTCAAGGGATCCTCCCTGCTTGGCCCCCCACATTGTTGGGATTACAAGCATGAGCCACTGCGCCCAGCCTGAAATCATGGTTATTTCAATGGTCGTTATAGCAATCCTGGCTTGTTTCTACCTTAAAAACCATGCTAGAAATATATATCAATCCCAGAAATCCCATGTTTATAATTTAGAGTATTAAACTAGAAAACAGAAAAGGACCCCAGAAAAACAGACAATTCTTGCAGGAACAAAATGTGACTGAGTGTAGTGAGTGTGTGACGGCCGTGTGAAGAAGCGTCCTCTCTCCCTCCCAGGAGGCACTGCCAGACAGAGTTAAGGGAGTTTAATGAGAAGCACGTCTGCACTTGTGTGCTCGCCTAGACGCTGTCTCTCAGCAGTACAAGAGACCGCTGTCATGTGGTCTGCAGACCAGTGTGGAACAGCTCTCTCCTCCACATTAGTGAGACTCACCTGATAAGCGCAGCCGCACCATGCCGGGTAATATCCTGTCCCCTTGCCGGATACTGGTTGTCCCTGCCCTGGCTTCATTGTCCTCTTACTCCTTCAATTTCCTGCAGGCCCAAGAGCTCCCAGCTCCCACTCCCAGCAGCAGGCACTGCGAGCAAGACTGGCCGCCGGATTCCAGCGAGGAGGGGCTCCCGCGGCCCCGCTCCCCCTGCTCTGATGGGAGAAGAGACGCCGCGGCCAGAGTCCTGCAGGCCCAGTGGAAGGTGTACAAGCACAAGGTGAGGCTCCCCGGGGCGACCCGGGCTGCTCCCTGTGAGTCTTCGTGCTCCAAGGCAAGCCACTCACTCTCCAGGAATGACTGGGCCTGGAGGGCCAGCCAGGCCCCAGGTGTCTGAGCACCGTAACATACAGAAAATGAAAACCTCATTCACACGCTGACACCTCCGTTCTGGGTGCGTTTTGTGCAGTAGTGGATAACTCGCCAGATTTCTTTCCATCCAGTTTTCTTCCAGAACTATTCGAAAGTAAGTTTTAGACGTTATGAAACATCGGCATGTATCTTCTAAGAAAAAGTGTCTTCTCCTACCTGACCACAGCACCGTGACTGCACCTAGGGCTGCCAGCAGTTTTACATCCTCACCTAACGGCCCTTCCTATTCACATTTCCCAAATGTCCCCATATGCCGCCTGCCGCTATCTGTTTCCCGCCAGCATTCGGTCACGGCGGTTCTCAGTCCACATCCCATCGGAGCCTGGGGGTCGGTTGGTTACGTCTCCTTAGTGTGGTTCACAGCAGCCCCCACCCTTTCTTTTCTTTAACCAACAGTTCACCCTGACCGATTTTGTTTGTTTGTTTTTCTGAGTTAGAGTCTTGCTCTGTTGTCCAGGCTGGAGTGCAATGGCATGATCTTGGCTCACTCCAACCTCCGCCTCCTGGGTTCAAGTGATTCTCCTGCCTCAGCCTCCCAAGTAGTTGTGATACAGGTGCTCACCACCACGCCCAGCTAATTTTTGTATTTTTGGTAGAGACAGGATTTCACCTTATTAGCCAGGCTGGTCTCGAACTCCTGGCCTCAGGTGATCCACCCATCTTGGCTTCCCAAAGTGCCAGGATTACAGGCATGAGCTACCACACCCGGCCTTTTTTTTCTTTTTTCATAGAGACAGGGTCTCACTCCATCACTCAGGCTGGAGTGCAGTGGCACAATCACAGCTCACTGCAGCCTCGACCTCCCAGGCTCAAGCAGTCCTCCGGCCTCAGCCTCCCAAGTAGTTGGGACTACAGGCAGGCACCACCACACCTGGCCAATTTTTGTAGAGACGGGTCTTGCTGTGTTGTCCAGGCTGGTCTTGAACTCCTGAGCTAAAGCCATTTACCTGCCTCCGCCTCCCGGAGTGCTGGGATTACAGGTGTGAGCTACCACACCTAGATTTTTTTTCTTTTCTTTTTTTTTTTGAGATGGAGTTTCGCTCTTGTGGCCCAGGCTGGAGTGCAGTGGCGGGATCTCAGCTCACTGCAACCTCCGCCTCCCAGGTTCAAGCGATTCTCCTGCCTCAGCCTCCCCAGTAGCTGGGACTACAGGCACACACCACCATGCACAGCTAATTTTTGTATTTTTATTAGAGACAGGGTTTCACCATGTTGTCCAGACTGGTCTTGAACTCCTGACCCCAGGTGATCCACCTGCCTTGGTCTCCCAAAGTGCTGGGATTATAGGCGTGAGCCACTGTGCCTGGCCTTTTTTTTTTTCTTTTCAAAGACATTTTCTTTGGCAATGGGCAGGCCAATGTGTTACAGAACGTTCCCTTTCCTGGATCTGTTTCCTTGTGGGGTCATAAACTTATTCCTCTGTCCCCTTAATTTCCCATAAATGAGAAATAAGGTCTCCAGCTCTGATTCACCCGGGTTTGCTTTTGGCAAGAATGTCTCACGTCGAGGCTGTGTACCCCATCCCCTCGGGACGTGGATGGACCAGGCCGGCCCCTGTTTGTGTTTCTAACCTGGCCATGGCTGCTGGCTTTCGCCATTTTAAAGAAACGAGTTTCCCTTGGTAACTGGCCGGCAGTCTACAGGGGAGAGTTTAGCTCCCTGAGGTCTGTCCCCACCACCTTTCCCCTTGTGGTCTTAGTGTCCTTCCCGTCACAGCTGTCTCCGTCTGAAAAGCAGTTTCCTTATTAGCGGGGCCAACTCCTCGTCCTCCCGAAAGCGTGGGAGAAAACTTAGTGACTTCCCTTTAGGTGCTAAGCAGATGCTGGCTTGTCTGTCTGTCTCACTCTTATTCAGTGTATATATTTCTTTGCTTCCATCGTATATTCTGCTGGTCCTTGTACTCAGTTCCTCCTTAATCTCCCAAGGGAAAGATCCTGTGTACAGTAGTACAAATGTGGGACGTGCACTCTGATGTACCTGTCATCCGGCCGTGGTGGTCATTCCGTGCCATTAAGTGCACATTGATTAACTTGGCATCAACATCTGGGGAGGACTTCGCTCACATCTATAAGAACACATGCTCCGAGGGACCCTCTCTACTGATTGTGACGCTGCGTGTCAGCTGCAGCCTGAGAAACTTCCCAAGACACCCAAGGGTGACTGATGACCAGTCAGGGTGGGGCCAGTGATCCAGACCCCTGAACCAAAGTCCCCTTCATAACGTCCCCAGCAGGCAGCCTCAGCCTCCGAGTTCTGGGGCTTATCCAGAGAGCACAGTGGTCCGGACACCTGTGCTGTGAGAGAGCTCTCACATTGGGCCCACATCCACCTCCATAGGTGCACAGCTTGGCCTAATGGAGTCCCTTCTGCACAGCCAGGGGACTGGCACACGGCACAGAGACGTCCCTTCATCTGCAGCTTGGGCCACCTCATGTGACTCCTGGAGAATTCCCGCCATCCTAATTCTGCCTCTCACTTTCGTCCTCCTTACAAAGGCGTTTGTTTGCTGGGTCCCGGCAGCTCGGGAGGGAGGAGCCAGGGCAGCCAGGCCTCTTGTTGGCTTGATGGACACCTGTTGGCAAGATGAAGGAATCAAAACCACATTCATCCTTCTCGTGTTAATTCATGTATTTTTTCTTTCTTTTTTTTTTTCCAGAAAAAAAAGGCTGTTCTGGATGAGGTAAGCGAGGTTTATTTCTTGTTTCAAAATTCGGATTTGTATTTTGTTGAAAAGTAGGTGAGGGGATATTTAAAGATGTGTTGATTCCTTTTCTTTTTTTTTCGAGATGGAATCTCGCTCTGTGGCCCAGCCTGGAGTGCAGTGGTGCAATCTTGGCTCACTGCAACCTCCGCCTCCTGGGTTCAAGCGATTCTCCTGCCTCAGCCTCCCTAGTAGCTGGGATTACAGGGATGCACCACTGTGCCCAGCTAATTTTTGTATTTTTAGGAGAGACGGGGTTTCTCCGTGTTGGCCAGGATGGTCTCCAACTCCTGACCTTAGGTGATTTGCACATCTTGGCCTCCCAAAGTGCAGGAATTACAGGCGTGAGCCACCGCGCCCGGCAAGTCCTTCTTTTCATGAAACCAAACCAGACCCCAACGTTAAGTATAAAATACATGAGAAATAGAGACATCAAATAAATATTTCGATAATTTCCCACTTTCAAAATCTCTTCATTCATTCCTTCCTTCCATTCATTCATTCTTTTCATGCACACTCACTGATCACCAGCCCTGCGTGGGGCAGTCTCAGAGGCCCTGGGACGCAAAGGCTCAAACACACAAGTGAACGAGTGGTTACAGCCCGGGGTGGCGCTGGGGGTGGCCAGCCCTGCACACAAAGGCCAGGAGGTCCCTGCGAGGGGTGACATGCAAGGTGGGCCTCGCAGGATACATCAGAGCTCACTGGACCGGGAAGTGAGGGGAGGGCATCCCAGCAGAGCCGGTGGGACAAGGAGTCTGAGACGGGGCCAGGGCATGGAACTGGAATGGAGGTTGAGTATGTCACCCACAGCTGAGAACTGACAGATTGATGAACAGTGCAGTTCCAGCCATGACCCTTTTTAGGGAGGAGCTAGAAAGTGAGATCTTTATTTTGCTGGAGTCCTGGTGGCCTCTGAGATGCTCCCCTCTCCTCTAGGGCCCCTTCAGGGACAGCAGTGTATTTCCACTTAGACTGCAGGAGAGGACCCCGCCTCAGTCACTCAGAGCTGGCGCTGGGCCACAGGGCTTCTCACGCTGCCTTCCTCCTCACCCACAGCTGCTTCTAAGTGGCAGGGCAGACTCAGCACCCGCTTGTCCTCACACTCCCCAGGTGCATCTGATGTCAGCAGGGTTGACAGCTCTGCCGTCAGGGCGGGGCTTGACTTCCCCCTGCCCCACCCATGTCCCCTTCCCCTTGGCCACATTACTCATCCACAAGTGTTTGCTGGGCTCCTGCCATGTGCCGGGCACCAGAGGAGCTTGTAACAGACCAGCCAGACACTGTCCAAATTGCACGGGGTTCATACTCTGCAGTCAGGACAGCCAGTATGGTCGCGGGTGTGGGCGGCACACCAGGCTCAGTGGCCTGCGCGCAGCTGCAGTGGGAGCATGTTGCCATCTGATGGCCAGGCCACAGCCACACGAGCGCCCTCCACGAGCAGACAGCTGGACTGCCCACCTGGCCCACCACACTGCCCCTGAGGAAGGGACCCCTGCTCGCCACTGCCCTAGTCCTCAGCCTTCGGTTCTGCAGCCCCTCCGTGCCTGGCCTCCTGGTCCCTAGACCTGCCCCACAGACACACCCTTGTCCATACCCATCTCACACATCTGCAATGGCAACTTCCAACATCCCCGTCTCTGACAGTCCCTCCCATCCTCCAGCAGCCCTCAGGCCCTCATCCCGAGGTCTCCAGCATGTCAGCCTCCCACCTGTCCACCCACCACAGCCTGCCCAGGCTCCCGGTCCCCACAGCCCGCTGCGGTTCCTAGCACACGCCCCTGCCTGGCATCTCACTTTGTGGTTATTCTTGCCAGCCTCCCGTCAGAATGCAAGCTCTGTCTTTTTGCCACCACACCTCTGGTGCCTAGACTGGCGCCTGGCATGTGGGAGGCATGGGGTAAATGCCCTCCAGTGAGCGGGTGAGGGGATCCGGGCTCCTTGTCCGATCGGCCAGTCAGTGGTGGGTGCCGTCTCCCCATCCTGCTTCTCTCCCTGGCGCCCCCCATGCCTCAGGGGCCTCGTCTCTAAGTAAAGACAGCAGTGAGGCTGCCTGTGTGGGGCTGTGGTGAGCGTGGGGTTTGCCAGTGTGTGCGCAGTGTGTGGCGTGACGGAGATGCGTGCCCCTCTCACCCCTCCGGCTGGTGCAGAGCCTCCCGTACCTGGCAGCCACTTTACCGGAAGCTTCTGGGCAGCCTCCACATGGTCACCACACTCTGGCGGGTCGTTCACCGTTAATAGCCGGCGCTGCCTCGCCCTCCTTTGCTGAGCTCTTTTCCCACCCTAGCTTTAAGACAAAACAAAGGTGCTTTCTGTTCCAACAGCGGCAAGCCTGCTAAACTCACGTGGCATGGGGCTCGGTGGGCATGCTTGTCATTCTTCTAACGAGTTTGAGAGATGCCCATCTATCAGGCTGGGAGGGTTCACAGGGCTAGAGGCAGATCGTTCAAAAATAAGTGCTTCCCCGAAAATGGAGTGTGAACTTCTTACGGAGCTTCCCTGTCTTTTTTTTTTTTTTTTTGAGATAGAGTCTCACTGTGTCACCCAGGCTGGAGTGCAGTGGCCCAATCTTGGCTCACTGCAACCTCTGCCTCCCAGGTTCAAACGATTCTCATGCCTCAGCCTCCTGAGTAGCTGGGACTACAGGCATGCGCGCCACGTCTGGCTAATTTTTGTATTTTTAGTAGAGACAGGTTTTTACCATATTGACCAGGCTGGTCTCAAACTCCTGGGCTCAATGGATCTTCCCACCCCAGCCTCCCAAAGCACTGGATGACAGGTGTGTGCCGTGCCCAGCTAATTTTCTGTAGAGACGAGGTCTTGCTGTGTTGCCCGGGCTGATCTGAATTTCCTGGCCTCAAGTGATCACCCTGCCTCAGCCTCCCAAAGTGCTGGGATTACAGGCATGAACCACTGCACCCAGCCACATAGCCTAAGAAAATCATTTCAGGATAAATAATTCTCTTAAGATCACTTCAGAGGTCTTGTGGCCCCTTGCTTGATTTAGAAGACATCTATGGAAAGTAGATGAAACCAATAAACTATTCCAACCTGAAAAAACGCTCCAACATGAAAACCTAACCATGTGTGAAATACCAGCTCCTATTAGCCGCTGAAAGGGACTGCAGTGAGCAGCGGGCACCTTGCCATTCCCAGAGTCCCCACTGTGCTGACAGGTGCCATGCCCTGTCAGCTCCCTGGGGCGCCAGTGAGTTTCTCCCAGACTGGGGTGAGTGGGAGCACGGACGGCTCTTTGAGAGAACGTGGCTGCACAGCAGTGAAGGGAGTCACGTTCCCTGCTGCCGTGGCAGCTCTCTCCTCGGCGCCTCCCTCTCGCCCGCCGTTGCCCCGGGCACTCACACCCACTTTTCTCTCCCTGCTTCCTTCCCTGACAGGCGGCTGTGGTGCTTCAGGCAGCTTTCAGGGGACATCTCACGCGGACAAAGCTCTTAGCAAGCAAAGCACATGGCTCAGAGCCACCCAGCGTGCCAGGCCTCCCAGACCAGGTAATGTCGGGGTGCTGGACGTCCCAGTGGCCATCTGCAGAGCTGCTCGTCTCGCACTCCATCCATCGAGAAAGCGTAGGGCACCCCTCAGCCTCCACATCCCCGCCCGCCCAGCAGGCGTCCCCTGCGCTCCATCCCTGGCCACGCAGGCCATGCAGGCTTCTCTGCGCAGGCCCCTCTGCACAGGCCCCGGATGGATGTGGCGTTAGGGCCAGATTGCGTTAAGCTGCCGGAGAGTCAAGTAGCTCCATGAAGATGTAGCTAAAAACTACTAAAGACAGATGCAGGCCATTGCGGCCCCTCCTCTGTATTGAGGACCAGGTTTTTGTTTAAGAATCCCTATAGTAGGCCGGGCGCGGTGGCTCACACCTGTAATCCCAGCACTTTTGGAGGCCGAGGCAGGTGGATCACAAGGTCAGGAGATCGAGACCATCCTGGCTAACATGGTGAAACTCTGTCTCTACTAAAAACACAAAAAATTAGCCGGGCGTGGTGGCGGGCGCCCGCAGTCCCAGCTACTCAGGAGGCTGAGGCAGGAGAATGGGGTGAACCCGGAAGGCGGAGCTTACAGTGAGTCGAGATCACGCCACTGCACTCCAGCCTGGGCAACAGAGCGAGACTCCATCTCAAAAATAAATAAATAAGTAAATAAATAAATAAATAAATAAATAAATAGATAAATAAGAATCCCTACAGTTTAAAAATTCAGAACCTGCCACCAGGAGGCTGTTCACTGACCAGCAATTCCCGGGAGGCAGGGCCATCTGAAAAGGAAACTGAGCTCTTCCTGTCTCCCTGACGCCCAGGGTGCCCTGGGGGTTGAGTGCTGGGAGCCAGCAGGGGGCTGCCAAACAGTCGTCTTCCCTGCTGTCCTTGCACCCCAGAGCTCTCCTGTGCCCCGCGTTCCGAGCCCCATCGCCCAGGCCACGGGCAGCCCTGTGCAGGAGGAGGCCATCGTCATCATCCAGTCCGCTCTGCGGGCACACCTGGCCCGGGCCAGGCACAGGTGAGTCAGGGTCACGGGGACGTGGGACACAGACATGGCACGAGAGGCTGCCCACCGCACTGGGCCCGGAGCACTGGGTGCAGGGCATGTGGCGGAAACTGGAGCAGCGCCTGCCGCCTGCCAGCGGGACCTCGGTTTGGAGCCAGAGTAAAGGCTTCACATCCTGAGGACTCCCTGCTGCACCACGGACGTGGAGTGGGCTGGAAGGTGTGATCCTCGGGGGAGGCCTTTCCAGAGTCGCTTCTTCCCTACCGGGAGGAGATGAGAAGAGGAGCTTCACACACCGTGTAGCTCAGGTCACCATCAGTCTGTGGCCTGGCTTTTGGCTGTGCTGATAGGTCATCCCTGTGAAAGAAAACTGTGTTGTGACCTCCGTGTTGGACACGGCATATGACAGGCGACGCGTGCAGGGTCTAGATGGCAGCGTTCCCACAGGCCTCTTGGTGGGTTTGCTAGGACTCTCGGTTGCAGAAATCAAAACCCCTTGAAGTGAGCCTGGCCGGGGGGAGTTTACAGTAAGGGGAAGAGACGGCCCCGCTCCGTCACCCCCGTCTGCTTCACCCCGCATGGGGTTTGTTCCCCTCTTATCACAGACTGCTCTGGTTCTCAGCCTCTGTGGTGGAGCCGCGCGGCCACCCAGCACTTCCGAGTGGGCAGTTTCTCCCTCCAAGGCCGCATCTGCATCTCATGGTCCTGACCCCATGTGACCTGGGACACACTGTGGGCTCAGGAGTCAGGGACCCATCCCTGGGCGGCGAGCCCCAGCCAGGAGGTGGAGGGCCATGCAGCCTGCAAGCATGTCCCCGGGGAATGGCAGCTGGGCTGACCCAGACAGGAGACAGGGAACGGAGCCGTCTGAGGCCAGCTTATAAAACCATGCCGGCCTGACCTCAGCATGGTCCCCGAGGAGATGGACGGGGACGTGTCTGAGGCTCTTCACCGCCGGACGTTTCTGGACCCTGGGTGCATATTGGGTACAGCGCTGGTCGTGGGGCTCGGGACTGGCTCTGTGTTTGCTTTCATTGGAATACTTGCCTCCAAGCAAATTACTGAGGCTGCTGTAAACCTCAGAGAGGTTTGTACTCTCTAAAAGCAGAATCAGCTGGCGTTTTCTGTTTTTTTCCAGTGCTACCGGTAAAAGAACCACCACCGCAGCTTCTACCAGGAGGAGATCGGCTTCAGCCACACACGGGGACGCCTCCTCCCCACCCTTCCTCGCAGCTCTTCCTGGTAATTTCATTCATTTGGATTCTGGCACCAGGGCAGCTGGTCTGCTGAGGTCTCAGCCAAAGAGTGGCCACCTCCAGGAAGCCCGGGCTGTGTCGGGACGGAAGGGAGGAGTGTCCCATCTGGAGCTGCCTCTGAACTAAGCGTCGCCTTATGCCAGGAAGGCCCACAACAGGGCCCCGCCTTGGCCCAGCTTGTCCTTTGTGCCTGGAATTGCCGAGGTCCTTGCTGTCTTTATTTTTTGCTCTCAGCTCCAACAGGACCGAGGTGGCTTCCTCCTTCAGGCCAGCATTTCTCCTGTTTGTTTGTTGAGTAAAACCGTGTTATTGTTTCCTTTTCTACTTTGTTAAAGTCCAAAAACAGTCAGTGAAGAAGCCGCTGGCACTGCAGGATGCCACACCCTGGTGTGAGGCCTCATCCCTGCTCTGCCCGGAGCTGACGGGGATGCCCCAGCAGGCCCTGCCTTTCTCTGGCCGTCAGTCCCTTCATGTTTAAAGTAGAGAACGGGCTAGACAGCTGGAAAGCCACTCTCCACCCCAAATCTATGCTGCTCTGCGTGGACTTGAGATCCCGTGTCTTATCCTGCAATTAGAAACCCCCCATTGACACCTCCTGTAAAGGGAAGATGAGTGCGGAGGCACGCTGTTGAGACTCGGGACTGTCGGGAGATGGAGAAGGGCAGCCTTAAGACCCTGTTGAGGAGGGGAGTGTGGCGTGCGGGGCTGTTTCACGTGGGAAGTGTCAGGCGAAGGGCTTTGCTGTGCTGAGTCCTTAGGTCTCCAGGGTGGAGTCAGGGAAGGAGGAGAGAGAACAGCAAGGAAAACCACAAAGGAAGAGGCTCTTCTGAGCCCAAAGGGTGAGGGTGAGGAAGGCCAGGGGGTGAAGGAAGGGTGAGGCCTGCCCAGGACCCACATGCCTTAATTTGAATGTCCCTTCAGGACGGGCCCAGGGAGCCGGCAGCCCCCCAGTACCACTCCAGTAAGTGTGGGGGCCCGTGGCGGGCGGAGGCCTCGCTTTCCTGGGAGATCCCTCCTGTGCTGACGCGGAGTCACGGAGTTGGGAAGAGGCCGTTTTGAGGCCCGCATCAGACCTGGAGCCCGAGAGCCTTCCCTCCCCAGGGGGTCCCGCTAGGGGCTGTGTTTTAGAGAGTCTCCTGCACGAGCTAAGAACCGTATACCACGTTTGACCTGGAAATACCACGTATGAAATCACATTTTATTTTCATTTTTTAACCTAGTTTCGTCAGAGCTAGAAAACTTTGAACTTTGATATTCTCTCCAAAACTTCCATTTGTAAAGCTCAACACAAAGATGAGCAGCCTGGGGTTTCGGGGAGAATGTACAGACACGCAAAGCGGTCGGGCCGGCCTGTGACTCGTGGGCTCTGCAAAAGGCTTTCAGTTGTTCTCCGGGAGCCGATTCTACCGGCTTCGCCAGACCCTGCCTTTGGTGACCTTTAGAGGCTTTGATCAGGGCTAAAGCGTGCGTTGATGCTGCCCTTTTCTCTTGCTCAACGCAAGTGATTTTAAAGACGCAAGTTCATCCCCGTGACCCAGGGATTCAGCTTTATTGACCTAAGGAAATGTCTCTGTGAAAAGTATAAATCAAGCTTTTGTTTGAGCTGATTGGTTGTTTTTGAAGATAACCATGAAAGCTGTTTTTAATTTCATAAGGTTCCCCTTTAATATGAATTTTCTTGAAAGTTGCAGGAAAAAAAAGCTGACACAGTTACAGTATCTGCGGCATGGCCGAATTGCCATTTCCTTCCCTTTTTAAAATCTCACATGAGCAGTTCATTACTTTTTTACTTTCGTCTTTCAAGGCAGCGACACTCAGGCTCCCCGGCAAGGAGCTCTGGGGCTGCTGCTGTGGTAGGACCCGTCCCTTCTTCAGCTCTGGTACCCACCTCCATCCCGTCTGTAGGTGGCGTCCCATTCTAGAATGGATTAAAAGTTTGGAACGCTCTAGATGCTTAGGAAGGAGCATCCAAGGGGGAATGGCCGAGCAGCTTGCAAGCTCACAGCGATCCGTGCCTTGCCCCCTCCTGCCCTCTATACCAGTGGCCAGCGAGTTAACAGGGAAGTTGGCTTTTTTTTTTTTTTTTTTGAAGTGCAGTCTAGCTGTGTTGCCCAGGCTGGTCTGGAACTCCTGGGTTCAAGCCACCCTCCCACCTCGGCCTCCAGAGTCCTGGGGTTACAGGCATGAGCCACTGCACCCAGCAGAAACGCTCCTACACACGGGTAGCCACCCACCCAGGCCCCAGACTCCTGGACTGCTGCTGTGGGAATGGCTTTCAGGGAATGACTCCAGTGTGGACTCGAGGTTCCTCCATGCTGGCAAATGTCTGCTTTTGCAGGTGTTTTGACTGGGGGAAATGGTGAGAATACTCAGAGCTGAGTTTGAAGGTGAGGAGAGTGAGGCTTTCTGGCAGGTGTGTAAGTTGGTCCTGAGGCTGGAGAGTGAGGCTTTCTAGCAGGTGTGTAAGTTGGTCCTGAGGCTGGAGAGTGAGGCTTTCTGGCAGGTGTGTAAGTTGGTCCTGAGGCTGGAGAGTGAGGCTTTCTGGCAGGTGTGTAAGTTGGTCCTGAGGCTGGAGAGTGAGGCTTTCTGGCAGGTGTGTGAGTTGGTCCTGAGGGCGGAGAGTGAGGCTTTCTGGCAGGTGTGTGAGTTGCTCCTGAGGGCCTGTGTGCCCCATGGCTTACTGCTTCTCGGGGTGGCTGCCGTCTTGCCTGCCGGGGAAGAGCAGACAGTGTAAGGGTGTCCGTGGTGGCAGCCCCTGAGGTCAGCGTGGCTGACCCCTCTCCCTGTGGTTCATTTCTGCAGACCCCTCTCCCTCAGGGCCACAGGCCTTGGCACCTCTACCTGGGGATGACGTCAACTCCGATGATTCCGACGATATTGTCATTGCACCGTCTCTGCCCACGAAGAACTTTCCAGTTTAGGTCCCCGTCACTGTCTCCACGCCGTGATGGCAGCGCTGCCGAGGACATAGGAACCACGACTGGAAAGATAATTTATCGTGTTAGGAGAAGAACGATGATACCTACTTAACACCTCAGCATCTGCGTCGTGTCTCTTTGTGCTTTTGTTTGTGGAAGGAGACCCAAATGCCTTTACTTTATTCTCTGGGGAGGGCCAGCGGCTCGCATCCCCCTCATCTCCAGCTGCAGCTCGGATGGTGGATTTTCAGTGCCAACAGACACATCTGCCGTGAACTCGCAGATGCCAGGGAGCCCTGTAGTGACACGTTCTCTGACAGCACCTTGCCGCCTGCCCACGACCTTGACCGTGAGGAGCTGCTATCCGCAACCAGCGCCGACACCATGCCCCCTCTTCCTGGTGACACCCTCAACAACCAGGATTTGCTCGATCTCAGCCCAGCAGGCCAGGCAGACACACCCCGCTGTGCCTTAGGAAGGTGTGAGACCGGCTTCCCCCATCCCCACAGCAAAACACGGCCTGTCCCAAGCCAGTGAGGAGCTAAAGACACCCAGGTCCCCAAATGATCTTACTCCATGCCCCACCCGCTCACACCGTCCTTTCCCGTCACCCTTGCTATCCCCTGGAGCACTGCCCTCCAGAGCTGCCCTTCCCAGGAAGGAATTTGGTTGGATTCTGTCACTGTGGAGACCAAGATTTTTTAAAATTCCCAATTACAAAAGCAGCATCACACTTGCTTCTGAGAACAGCAGGGTGATGTCTGTTCCCAAGCTGGTGGCGGGAGCCTTAGCCTGTGTGGGGCCACCCGGGGAAGAGGAGGAGAGGAGGGTGAGGAGGCAGGCTCGCCGTTCCAAGGGACAGCATAGGCTCGTGGTGGGGCGTGTTGCATCTGGTGTCTGGGACAGTCCCCGTCACCCCATGTGTGCGGCCTCTGCACTCCCAAGCTCCATGGCTGGGCTGGGCTGGGCTGGGCTGGGCTGGGCCGGGCGTGCGGAGCCTGTGGAGCCAGCAGCTGCAGAGGCCTAGGAGGGAGTTCCTGGGGGAAGCGCACAGTGTCCAGTGCCCATCTCTTGCTTGTGTGTGAGATTAGCCCTTGCTGGGGCGTCAAGAGGAAGAGCCTTAGACCTGGGCGGGCCTTCAGGGGCATCTAGACCCCTGCACAGCCCAGGCCTGGTGTCTGCATTTCCACAGCACCCCTGTGGGGACTCCTGCCGGGGCTGGCCGCTGTCTCAGGAGAGACCCAATGGTTAGAAAGCCCCTTTTTACACAGCTGACAGCTTCTCCCAAGGCTTCCGTCCACGGGGACAGGCTTAACCCCTGGGCGCCTTTTCTGCAGCATGGCGGCCTTCTGAGTCACCTAAGCTGAGCCTGGGTCATTCTCTGTGGCGGTCAGAAGGCCGATGGCCCCAACACAGTGGCTTGTGAAAGGGAGAGAGGAGGCTCTGCATGTCCACCTGCTCTATGGGAGGAGGACACAGGTGTCCCCAGCCCAGCCTGTTCTCTCCCAGTCACTCAGGGATGGGGCCACCCAAAGTGCAGGACCCGCCCCACCCTGCGGTTCGAAGCCTGGCCCCTGTCTCCACTTAGCTTCTGTTTCTGCAGTGGGTGGAAGCGAGTCAGCGGGGGGCCTGGCTTGTGTACGTGTTTTCCTTATTTGGTCTGTGGGTTGCCAAGTCCATTTTTTTTTCCACTGAACTGGCTGGTAACTTGATGGACTGTGTAACTGACACAGGCCCTCTTTAGACCCCTGCCTTCACCCCACCCGCCCGGGTCCACTCCCTGGGGCGCTGTCCCAAGCCATCCCTGCTTGCCAGCTCAAAGCTTCAGGTCCTAGGAGCCAGTCCACCTCGAAAGCCCTGAGAAAGTGAGACACCTGCACATTCGCTGGGGGAGACCCTCCGTTCTCTTGTGGCAGCTGCTCCCACTTGTTAAACCAAGCTGTTTCTGCGGGACGTGCTCACTCTTGGGAACCAGTGGCCTAGAGCTTTGGGTTACAGGCATGGAGAGGGCTTTCCTGCCTCAGGCTTGGAGGCCAATGTTCCATACATAAACCGCCATGTCCTCTGGTGCAGCTGGGCTGCTCTTTTAAAAGCCAGCATCCATCTTGAAGCTCGCTGGGTAAATGGCAATGCATTCTCAAGCCAGTGTCTTCAGCTGATGCCCAGTGTCCAGTGCTGGTCACCAGTCCCCTTTGCTGGGTACAGCCTGCCTGGCTGTTCTGTGGTCCTGGAACGCTGCAGTGTGGTTTTGTTCCATGGAGACAGTACCAAGCGGAGAGGCCTCCTTGCCCACGGCCCCAGGGCCTGGGGGCCAGGGGTTCTGGCCCTGCGGGGACTTAGGCAGGAGGGGAAGAGAAGCCCATGGAGCCATGGGAGGGGTGAGCTGTGGGCGGGGCCTAGTCATGGGAGGGGTGAGCTGTGGGCGGGGCGAGCTGTGGGTGGGGCCTAGCCATGGGAGAGGTGAGCTGTGAATGGGGCTAGCTATGGGTGGGGTGAGCTGTGGACAGGGCCTAGCCATGGGAAAGGTGAGCTGTGGGCGGGGCCTAGTCACGGGAGAGGTGAGCTGTGGGCGGGGCCTAGTCATGGGAGGGGTGAGCTGTGGATGGGGCCTAGCCATGGGAGGGGTGAGCTGTGAGTGGGGCTGAGCCATGGGAGCAGCAAGCTGGTGGAGTGGGCTGGGCGGAGCTGTGGGGGCTGCTGGCAGGGCCTAGGAAAGTAGACAACTCCCGGGGGAGACGAAGTAGAGAGTGAGTCCCCAAGAAAGGGACTCCTGCCCCAGCGTCAAGTGCCAAAGCAGGCCCCATCTACCACTTCAGGGTCGACGTTGGTGGCAGGTGTTGTTCACGGTGTACTGATTGTCACTGCAACACCTCCACATCACCTTGAACTTCAAGAACAGCAGCAAAGCTGTATCTGCTATCAGAGGCTGTTAGGTAGTCCAGCTTTAAAATAACACACTCTTTCTCTATCCCATGCCCTTTAAACAAGCAGCCACAGGAGATGTCAGTCTCCAGGGCCTGGCCCCACTGTGTTGACAGCAGTCACGTCTGTTGAGCTGACACTGCTGAGGCTGAAGCTGGCCCCGTGCAGGTGGCTGGTGAGCCACAGGTGCAGTACCCGGAGGTGTGCTCTCCCCTAGAGGCCTGTCCCCAACTCCTCCCCTAGAGGCCTATTCCCGCTGCTCACAGACCTCAGCAGAGGCACCAGCTGGAGGGCTCCAGGGACATCCTTGGAGATACAGGAGGCTTTCCTGGCACAGGGCACAGCTCTTAGGAGGCCTTTGTAGGACGCTGTCTCCCCAGCGTGTCCTGCTCATCCAGGATGGGGAGAAAGAGGAGGAGGCCCCAGGCTCAGAAGCCAGGGACAGACTGCCGACGATTACCAAACTGAATCCAGGCAGTGCCATGACCCTGGGTGTCCCTTGGTTCACATCACCCACCAGACAGCTGCGGAGAGAGTGCAGGGAGGGGCTGGGACCAAACAGGCCAGAAACCAGCAGAAAAGAGGCAGAAGTGAGGTGGGTGTGCCTGGGGCACGAAGCCAGCGCCGGGGGGATTTCAGTGGAGCCTTACAGCCAGGCTCCGTGCGGACTGTGATGCCAGAGAGGCGTGCAGCCTCTGGGCAAGTCGGGAGAGGGCTTGGGTGGTCCCCACAAGGCAGAAGAGGTGGAAGGGCCAGAGAAGACCACCAAGACCACCGTTCCCGCAGGCCTGGGGTGAGTGACCTGACTGAGACTAGCGGGCAGAGCCAAGCAGGGCTAAACTCCAACCCAGGGCCCGGTGTTGGACAAAGTAGCTTTTTCTTTGCTCGTTTGTCTGTGTATTAAGAAGAGACTAAAATAGCCAAACGACGCTGGTCGCATGCGCTGGCTGTGGTCTGTCTGCTGAATGTCTATTTTTGTCTCCTGACGAGACGTGAGGACCATGCCCTTGATCCCTCCGATGGACCAGAAACCCCCTTCCTTGCAAAAAAAAGGCAATTGAATTAGGAAAAGATAGCCCAACCTAGCTCAGATCCACCAAGATAAGCACAGCAAAGCTTGGCTGCATTTTTGAGGAATAAAAACCTGCAGAAAGCACCGATAACCTTCAAGATCTGAATGAGATTCTATTATAACCCGTCTAAACGATTGCAAAATTCCTCCTTTGGTTTTGGAAGCAGCGTTTGCTCTCCCGTGGCTCGGATTCTCTGAGGACCAGGGAGTTGACACACAAACCCCGCCATGGGTCCGAGCCAGCTATTTCTCAAGGCTCCCACCTCGCCAAGCTCCCAAGGGCCTGCTGGCAGTGCCTACGCTGTGCCAACTACCCTGTCTGGTACAGACCACGGCTGGGTAAGCACCCTTAAAAGCAACAGAAATGACGTCTGGAAGCTGAAATGTGAAACTGTCAAGATGGCTTAGGAGAGGAAGGAGTGGACCCGCTGGTCTTTGGCATTTTGTATTTAGAATTATTCTAACTTTATACATAATGTATAGGCCGATCTTTTGGAAGGGATAAGGTTTTCATTCTTGTGCAACTCATTATTCTCATTATTGGCCTTTTAAATAAAAAGTTGTTTTGCAGTGTGCCTTGAGTGCCCCGTGAAGACTTCTCTTTAATGACCTCCAGGTGTGTTCCTGCCCCACGCACTCGGGCTGAACAAACGATCCGCTTCAGAAACCCCGCTTCTCTGGGCTTCTGGCATTTTGCCGTGGTCGTAATGCAGGCTTGGGGTTGGAGAGCCAGCTGGAGGGACGGGTCCCGCCGCCAGCTCCCTGCCACGCATGAACTCGGATACATCTGTTGACACCCCGGTCCCCCGTCGAATATCTATTCCTTAGATATGAGGACACAAAAATGTGCGTGCGTGAGGGAGTTATTTCTCCATATTTGATTTCATTTTTGTTTCAGGAGCAGGGAAAGAATAATTTACTGAGGAATCAAACACAGATGGAAACGACCAAAAGGAGCTGATATCTGGGTTTTGTTTTCCAATATTTTGTTGCATAGAACAAGGAGCATCTGTGGCTTTGTGTGCTTGTGGCTGCCTGCCCTGGGGCCCTAAATCCTGAGTGGAGTTTGTCCGAAGCCTCCACAGTTACTGTGGTTGGCTCTGGCATTTGCCCAAGCCTATTTTCTCTCTATCGATCTTATATGTGTGTGTGTGTGTGTGTGTGTGTGTGTGTGAAAATATATGTATATTTTTAAATTGAGATAGGGTCTTGCTGTCTTGCCCTGGCCGGAGTGCAGTGGTGCAGTCATAGCTCACTGCAGCCTCAAACTCTTGGGCTTAAGCAATCCTCTTGCCTCAGCCTCCCAGATAGCTGGGACTATAGGTGTGCACCACTGTGCCCAACCACTTTTTAAAAAATTTCTGTCACGCCTGTAATCCCAGCACTTTGGGAGGCCAAGGCAGGCGGATCACGAGGTCAGGAGTTCAAGACCAGCCTGGCCAATATGGTGACACCCCATCTCTACTAAAAATACAAAAATTAGCCGGGCATGGTGGCGTGCGTCTGTAGTCCCAGCTACTCGGGAGGCTGAGGCAGAATTGCTTGAACCTGGGAGGTGGAGGTTGTAGTGAGCCGAGATGGCGCCATTACACTCCAGCCTGGGCGACAGAGCGAGACTCTGTCTCAAAAAAATAAAAATAAAAATTCTGTAGAGATGAGGACTTGCTAAGTTGCCCAGGCTAGTCGAACTACTAGGCCCAAGTGATCCTCCCACCTCAGCCTCCCAAGTGGCTGAAACTACAGGTACGCACCTGGCTAATATACAAAATTTGAGGGGTGGGGCACAGTGGTTCGTGCCCGTAATCCCAGCACTTTAGGAGGCTGAGGCAGTGAATCACCTGAGGTCAGGAGTTCGAGGCCAGCCTGGCCAACATGGTGAAACCCCGTCTCTACTAAAAATACAAAAAGTAGCCGGGCGTGATGGCACATGCCAGTAATCCCAGCTACTCAGGAGGCTGAGGCAGGAGAATCACTTGAACCCGGGAGGTGGAGGTTGCAGCGAGCCATTGCACTCCAGCCTGGGCAAGAAGAGCAAAACTCCGTCTAAATAAATAAATAAAATTTTATTTTGGTGGAGGTTGCAGTGAGCCATTGCACTCCAGCCTGGGCAAGAAGAGCAAAACTCCATCTCAATAAATAAATAAATAAATAAATAAAATATATTTTTCTGGTAGAGATGGGGCCTTGCTATGTTGCCCAGGCTGGTGTCCAATGCCTCGCCTCAAGCGATCCTCCCACCTTGGCCTCCCAAAGTGTTGGAATTACAGGTGCGAGCCACCGTGGCCTGCCCCGAGCCCATCTTTACACTCCGATGGCCTGTGTGCTGTCCTGGCAAGCGGTTCATTTGCAGACTTGCACTTTGCAGACGAGCTGGTAGGGCCTGAGGGAGCCTGTGGCATTGGAGAGCATGGTGCACCAGGCACTCGCCCGCTGCAAGCTCGCTGCCCCCGCAGTCGCCAGCTGTGATCTCCCCTAGGGGTTCAGACCCAGGAGCAGAGAGGAGGCAGCCTGTGGGGGCTTCTCAGCTAGAACTGGCGAGAGGAGGAGAGAGAAGGTCCAACCTCAGGCCTCCACCCACCGTGGGCCGGGGTATGGATAGACATGGAAGTATGTGAGCGTGGACATCCATGCGCACGCGCACAGGCACACGGGGAGAACCCTCTTCCTCTTCCCCATCCAGCCCTCTGGTTTTTGGTGCTCCCAGACGTGCGCTGAGTGCATGAGGGCCTCCTCAAAGACCGAGTGAGGGTCACCACAAGCTCTTGCCAAGACAGTTTTAAATATGAGATTCCTCCAAGGTCCCTGGGGGACATAGGAAAAAAAAGAAGTAAGCCTCTGAGTCCCTCGCTCCTTTCAGCACTGCTGTCGGGCTTGGAATATGAATGACGGGCTGCAGAACAGGGTGGCGTGTCTCTGCGTGGGTGCCAGCTAATGGCCTTTGGCCAGCACCTCCCCACTGGATCCCGGGAGCAGGGCCCAGTGTCAGCCCCGAGGGCCAGCCCCATTAGATGGGGCCTGCCTCAGGAACCTGGGGACGTTACCATGGTGCTGTGTCCCTTTCTGAATAAGAGGAGAGGGTGCCCCTGAGCTATTCGTTAATTAAGTCCCAGAGCAGCCTGGGATTCAAAGGACAGAGTCCAGCGCTGCCAGGGCTCCCACGGCTGCCATTCATGGCAGCCCTGTCTGGGGGCTTCCTCCCCACCAGCCCTTCCCTTCCCAGGCCCGGCTCGCAAAGGAATGAAAGCAGGGAAGGGTGTGAGTGGGTGGGCTGGGGCGAAGCTCGCATAAAATATACAAAGGGAGCTGGTTCCCGCTCATTGCAGCCTCGCCCCGCCCCATTCCCTTCTCTCACCCACTTCCCCCTCCAGCACCCTGTGGGCTGCTGGCTCCACTATGCTCACCGCTCCTGCTACCCTCGCCCGAGAGTGCACCCTTCCCGCCTCATCACTCCTCCCTGCTTTCGGGATTTCTCTTCTGCTCTGGCACCCGGTCCTACCCTCTGCCTGTTGAGTATGGGTGTATCCACGGCTCCGTCCCCAACACCCCAGCCTGCCTGGATCGTCCACTGGGCGTCCGCACGTTCTTGTCTCAGATGCCTCCAATTCAGCTTGGCTCGGCTTCAATTTATCTTCCCTCATGACCTGCTCCCTGTTCAGTAAACCACATCACAAGCCACATGGTTGTCCCTGCCAGAAACCTAGAGATCATCCCCGTCTCCCTGCCCGTTCTCACCAGGCCCCACAGGGGCTACCCCCTCAGCAGCCCTCAACTCTGCTGCCACATCTGCAGTGAGGCCAAGTGACCCCACCAGACAGTTCCCACGGGCTCCAAGACAAAATTGAACTCCTGAACATGCCAGACTGCTGCATGTCCACGCACACAAAGACACGTGCACACACAAAACACCACAATGCAACATACATGCAAACACCTGCACATGAGCAGACATATGCCTGCAAACACATGCCCACACATGAAACAATGCAAACTTGAAAACACACACAAAACCAACATGCACACACCAATGCATGCACTCTCAGACACACACACACTTCGCACAGACGTGCACACAAACACGTACAAATACACACAAACCCACATGCAAACATACAAACATGCATGCAAACACACCTGCAAGGGCAGAAACATACACAAATTTGCATCCCACACACGTACACACAGGCACACACACATGACAACATACATACACATAAAACGCGCACACACACACACACAAACATGCACACACACGCGCGCGCACTTGAAGCTCAAGCCAGCCTGAGCTATGTGAGGCTCCACTTTTCCAAAGAGGAGACTGCAAAAAAGAAAACCCATCCAGCCAACTTGAAAGTGTGAGCTTTTTATAGGTGTGGACGAAAGTGTCAGATGCCAACTTGTGAATAATTAATATGTTAATTTGGTCACACATCATGCATATTTCAAGTCATAGCTAAAAGAAGACACTGATCTAGGAGCATGCCTCTGGTGGTGCTCCCAGGACTTGGCTGCACCAGCAGCTTCGTCCCCATGTTTTGGATCCTCTAACACAGTTTCCCGTGCACGACATCTCCACTTCCATCTAAGCTGTTTGCAATCCACGTGACGGCTGAGAAATCTGCTCCTGCCGGGCGCAGCGGCTCACGCCTGTAATCCCAGCACTTTGGGAGGCCGAGGCGGGTAGATGGCTTGAATCCAGGAGTGTGAGACCAGCCTGGATAACATAGTGAAACCCCTTCTCTACAAAAATACAAAAATGAGCTGGGCATGGTGGCATGCACCTGTGGTCCCAGTTCTTTGGGACGCTGAGGTGGGATGATTGCATGAACCGGAGAAAGTGGAGGTCGCAGTGAGTTGAGATCGCGTCATTGTACTCCAGCCAGGGCGACAGAGCAAGACTCTGTCCCAAAAAAAAAAATTCTGAACAGGGTGTGCCATGATTGGAGCATTTCTCCCCAAGCCACGAGTGCCGGTGTGCTGGACCTGAGGACGGTGGTCCAGGTGGTGTCACTTTATGATCGCGTTTCCACAGTGGAACCGCTGGCTGTATTTTTAAACGTTTTAAAGTCTGATTCACAAAGACAGCCAATGCTTGCAAATGTGAGGTTCTGCTCCTGGAAAAATGACTAATCTGAGTTAAATTTATTTCTGACATCTTTTTAGTGGATTCTGCCAGGCGACCTCCATACACATTGCTCCCAGCTTTCAGACTCCTCCGTCGGTTCCCAAACAGTGTGTGGCTGTCAAAATAAACTAATTGAGAGCCTCATGCTATGAGATACTTTCTAAGGACTTAAGAAGGCAGCTCCCTCTTTTGTGAAGGATACTTTAAAAATTTTATGTATTTATTGATTTTACAGACAAGATCTTGCACCCCAGGCTGGAGTGCAGTGGCACAATCACAGCTCACTGCAGCCTTGACCTCTTGGGCTCAAGCAATCCTCTGGCCTCAGCCTCCCAAGTAGCTGGGACTACAGGTGTGTGCTACCATACCTGGCTAATGTTTTCATTCTTTTTCCTTTTCTTTTTGAGACGGAGTCGCGCTCTGTCGCCCAGGCTGGAGTGCAATGGCGCGATCTCGGCTCACTGCCATCTCCGCCTCCGGGCTCAAGCGATTCTCGTGCCTCAGCCATCTGAGTAGTTGAGACTACAGGCCCACACCACCACGCCCAACTAGTTTTTGTATTTTTAGTAGAGACGGGGTTTTGCCATGTTGGCCAGGTTGGTCTAGAACTCCTGGCCTCAAGTGATCCACCCATCTCAGCCTCCCAAAATGCTGGGATTACAGCTGTGAGCCACCGCGCCAGGCCTCATTTTTATTTTTGTAGAGACAGGGTCTTGCTCTGTCACCCAGGCTGGAGTGCAGTGGTGCAATCATAGCTCACTGCAGCCTCGACCTCCTGGGCCCAAGCGATCCTCCCACCGCAGCCTCCTAAAGTGCTAGGATGACAGGTGTGAGCCACCAGGCCATGAAGGATAATTTTTTTGGGGGAAGGGGAATCCCCCACTTCTATTTGAACTGTCCCAGAATGAAACCAGGGCCTTCTTCACCCCTCAGCCTCAGCCTGCAGAACCACCCTCCAATGCCAAGCTCAGCGGCCTCCCAATCTCAGCCCCTGCCTCATCCTCCCACCTCCTAAGCCTGATGCTCCTCCCTTTCTGACCCTGAGGGATGCTCCCACTCCGATCCGATGCCTCCCCTCACATACTCACCTGGCTGTTTCCCATGGGCCATTTCTATTTTACAGTCACATTTTGTTTCTTTTTTTGAGACGGAGTCTCGCTCTGTCGCCCAGGCTGGAGTGCAGTGGCGCGATCTCGGCTCACTGCAAGCTCCGCCTCCTGGGTTCACGCCATTCTCCTGCCTCAGCCTCCCGAGTAGCTGGAACTACAGGCATCTGCCACCACGCCCGGCTAAATTTTTTGTATTTTTAGTAGAGACAGGGTTTCATCGTGTTAGCCAGCATGGTCTTGATCTCCTGACCTCGTGATCTGCCCGCCTCAGCCTCCCAAAGTGCTGGGATTACAGGCGTGAGTCACCACGTCCAGCCAACATTTTGTTTCTTAAAAAAGATATCTGGCCAGGCATGGTGGCTCACGCCTATAATCCCAGCACTTTGGGAGGCCAAGGCGGGTGGATCATGAGATCAGGAGTTCAAGACCAGCCTGGCCAAGATGATGAAACCCCGTCTCTACTAAAAATACAAAAATTAGCTGGGCGTGGTGGCGGGTGTCTGTAATCCCAGCTACTCGGGAGGCTGAGGCCGAGAATCGCTTGAACCTGGGAGGCTGGAGATGCACTGCACTCCAGCCTGGGTGACAGAGCGAGACTCTGTCTCAAAGAAAAAACAAAGATATCTAACACATTATAAAAAGAAAAACAGAAAAGTATAGAGTAGCCTCATCTCCCTCTGGCACCACTGATTCTGGGGTCCTGGGCTTTTGTCTCGCCTCCCCACCGCTACTACGGGACTCTTAGTCCAGAACCAGGGTGAGCCGTTCCTTAGCCCCTTGCTCCACAGACTTGCTCAGGTCCCACGTGGCACCCTGGATCCCATCAGCAGCTCCACGCGGCACCCCACGCCTGCCCTCGTCTGGCCTCCCCTCCAGCCACACACCCCTGACCGCGGGCCTTTGCGGAAAACGCCGGGCCCTCCCCCACCTCCAGCTGGCCTCTCGCCTGTGCTGTTTCTGCTGCCAGGAATGTCCTTCCCGTGGAGCCGGCCTGGGTGATCCTCTGCTGAGAAGCTTTTCACGATCAGCTCCTCCTCCCTGTAATCTCACTGCACCCAGCCCGCGTGTGTGTTTTAGTATTTATTGCACCTGAGGGCACTTTGTACACATTATATTGGGGTTTATTTCGTCTGTTTGCAACTAGACTAAGCTCTGTGAGGACTGGATCTTTGGGGCCAGGAAATAATTTTTTTTTTTTGGCAAGGTCTCACTCTGTTGCCCAGGCTGGAGTGCAGTGGTGCAATCATAGCTCACTACAACCTTGAACCCCTGGGCTCAAGCAATCCTCCCACCTCAGCCTCCCAAGTAACTGGGACTACAGGTGTGTGCTCCCACACCTGGCTAAGTTTTAAGTTTTGTTTTATTTTTTTTTTGCCATGTTGCCCAGGCTGGTCTCAAACTCCTGGCCTCAAGCGATCCTCCCACCTCGACTTCCCAAAGTGCTGGGATGACAGACATGAGCCACTTCACCCATCCTAAATTCATTTACTCACCAAATTTCCACTGGCTTAGGTGTGGAGAACCCAAGTGGGGCAGACCACAGCCAAGGGCTCCCCTCTAGGGTGGTGTGGACCCAGGTGGTTTAGACCCAGTGTTGGGGAGCCGTTCTGGTATCCCAGAAAAGGGAGTCGGGGCTGCAGCTGAGCAGGTGGGGGAGGCGAGTACCTTCCAGGCCCAGGGAACTATCAGCCTCCTTCCAGAGGAAAAGGGAGCAGGGCCCCCACCTCCAGGATGGGAAGGGCCCCAAGGTGGCCAGACACAGTGGGTCAGGTGTGGCAGGGGCGACAGGGCTCAGGAGAGACACAGAGGCCGGGCTGGGGGACCTTGCCCTGAGAGCTGTGGGAACAGGATCGGATTTGCATTTGAGAAGGGGAGGCTGGGAGCGGGAGGGGACGTCATGGGCTGATGAGGAACCACATACGTGCTGACCCCATGGAGGAGAGAGCCCAGGGCCCCCGGAAGGGGACAGCCTGGCTGTTGGCCAAGAGACGCAGAGGGGAAGGAGGCCTGGCCAGGCAGGGGAGGGGGAGCACATTCCACCTACCCCTCCCCCTGGAATGGAGCCACATCCTGGCCAGCTCCTCCTGCCCCAGCTCCTCCTGCCCCAGCAAATCCTGCCCCAGCTGCTCCTGCCCCAGCTCCTCCTGCCCCAGCTGCTCCTGCCCCAGCTGCTCCTGCCCCAGCTGCTCCTGTCCCAGCTCCTCCGGCCTCAGCTCCTCCTGCCCCAGCTCCTCCTGCCCCAGCTCCTCCTCCTCCTCCTCTCAACTCCTACTGCTCCTCCTGCCCCCACCTCCCCCTGCTCCTCCTGCCCCCACCTCCCCCTGCTCCTCCTGCCCCCATCTCCTCCTGCCCCAGCCTTTCTGTGCTCACAGGGACCCTGTGGAGCAGAGAGGGCTTTCTGGGGTCCACGGAGGCTGGGCTGGGTCCCCAGAGCTGGGCCTCCACTCTAGCCCAACTGATTAAGCCCGGCAGGGCCTCCTGCATCCCACGTCCTCCCTGCCAGGCTGCAGGCCCAGCTGGGATGTCTGGGAAGGAAAATGGGGGTCCTGGGCCTGCAGGTAAAAGAATTCAGCCCAGGGTTCCAGCCAGCACCACCCCCCGCAACACACCCCCCACCCCCCATTGCGGGCGACCTGTGGCAAGCCTGAGGTTCACCATCTGTACCCAAGGGTGTGCTGGCCCTGTCTCTGGGTAGCTGTGAGCCAGTGGGCGGGGAGGGCCTATGCCAGCCGGCAGAGCTCTGGAAGAGCAAAACACCATTCATCCCAGACACACATCCTAAGCGTCTATCCCAGGCCCGGCCCTGGCCCTCATAATATTGCCATCACCATCTCACTTCCAGAAGCCTCTGCCTGCTCCTCTCCAGAGCCCTGCGCCCCTGCACTGCCCCCCACCCCCGGGAGCGATGTGGAGGCTTCGCCAGTCCTGGGAGGACTCTGGACTTGGTCCTGAGGCCCTGGGAGGCCAGGGAGGGGCTGGCAGGGGGGCAGCAGGCCAGATTCCTTGACAGAGATGAACTGGGGCGGTGCAGAGAAGTTCAGGACAAAGGGCAGGGCCTTGCTGCCCCGTGCTCCGGGGGACCTTGAGCAAGACACTTCCTTTTCCGAGCCTCCAGAGCTGAGACTGGCAGGAGTGGAGCTGGAGAGCCCTTCCTGAATGGTGGCTGGCACTGGGTGTGCCCGGAGGAGGCGGCCCTGCCAGGGGCAGGATGGTGATGCCTCTGAAGGGCTTCCCCAGGTGGCCCCTGGACATCTTCACGTGACCCAAAAAAGGCCCCACCTCCTGCCTCCAGACCTTTCCCATGAGATGAGCCCCTCCGGGCAAGTAGGCCACCCCTAGAGCGGCCTCTAGAACCTTCCGTGCTTGTCCTAGGCTGGGGGCTGGAAGAGGGGTGGAGGCCACGGAGGGGCTGCCTGTTGCCCACCTCCACGCACAGCACTCCTCCCACGCTGAGCCGGGTCTCCAGGGTGTTGTGTTCTGGACAAAGCCTCCGGGGTGCTGGGGGGGCCTGCATTCCCTCCTGGGCCCCCTGCCTTGGAAATGGCATGTCAAGGGGAGGATCAGCTCTCCAGAGGATCCCCAGACCCAGCAGCCTGCCCGGCCCAGTGAGGGAGACCCCGGGTTCCCTGGGCTCCTGGGCCCACCCTGACCAGAAAACCAGCCAAGGAAGCTGAGCTGGCCTTTCCCCATGCGTGGGGGAGTGAAGTTTGTCAGATCCAGGCTTTGAAACCTAGAGGGTGCAGGACACTCCCTTGCCCAGGCCAGACAGAGACACAGTGGATGTGGGGTGAGGACAGGGTCCCCCAAGGGGACATGGGGCAGAGCACGCAGGTTATGTGGGGCCTGGCCTTGGACACCCCTTTTCCAGCATAATCCCAGTACCCACCCAGGGAGAGAAGCATGACCCTCCTCCTGTTACAGCTGGGGAAACTGAGGCTTAGAGAGTTGCCTGGCCGAAAGGTCTCTGCTCTTGGAGGGGGAGCAGTGTCTCCTTGGCAGCTCAAGCCTGTGACAGCCTGTGGTCCTGTGAGAGCAGCGGGCGGGGCTCCCGAGAGGGAGGTGAGAATCCATCCGGCAACCCCTCCCCACCCACTCTGCCCCAGCGCCTCCCTCCACGCCCGCTGCTGGCCTGTTTCTGAAGGTCGGTGAAAGACGTCTTACTCACCAAGCTCAGGCAGTGGGGTCGGTGGTCCACCTGCCAACAGCGACTCAGCCAGCCTTTGTCACCAATGCCAATTGCAGCCCACAGAGTGGCCAGATACCCTCTCCCACTGCTCCTGGAATTGGGGCACTGGAGGCCGCCAGGAAGAGACGGTAGTCCTGGGTCTTGATGAATATCCTGCTCAGACTCAGCCGGCTCCCGGCACCCCCAGAGCAGGAATTTACTGGCAGACAACGAACATCCCTTGAAAGCATCAGAGCATTAAGAAAGCTTTCCCCATTTTGTTTTTTGTTTGTTTGTTCGTTTCATTTTTGTTTTTATGTTTTTGAGACAAGGTCTTGCTCTGTTGCTCAGGCTGTAGAGTGCAGTGGTGCAATCACCGCTCACTGCAGCCTTGACCTCCTGGGCTCCGGCGATCCTCCTGCCTCAGCCTCTCAAGTAGCTGGGATTACACACATGTGCCACCACACCCAGCTAATTTTTGTATTTTTAGTAGAGATGGGGTTTCGCTATGTTGGCCAGGCTGGTCTCGAACTCCTGACCTCAAGTGATCCACCCATCTCGGCCTCCCAGAGTGCTGGGATTACTGGCGTGAGCCGCCGCGCTCGGCCCTTCCCCCATTTTGGAGTCCCCGGTATCTATTGTTTCCCTCTTTCTGTCCATGCTTACTCATTGCTCAGCTCCTGCTTATGAGTAAGAACGTGCGGTGTGTGAGCTCACTTAGGATGATGGCCTCCAGCTCCATCCATGTTCCGGCAAAGGCCATGATTTCATTCTTTTTTAAAAAAATGGCTGTTTCCTCAGTGAGTCAGGGCTATGGGTGTGGGATGAATCTCTTCCCTTCTCGGAGCCTCAGTTTCCCCATCTCTAAAATAGGAAACTGGACGCTAAGTTCCCCCGTCGGTGACATGGGTTCCCAAAGGGGTCATAGCAGTTGGGCCAAGCCTGACATAAGTCCCAGGTCTCACAACTCTCAGCACAGTGCTCATTGCAACAAAACCTAGCTGGTGGGTGGGGCTGCGTGGACAGGCTAATTTTTTTTTTTTTTTTGAGACAGCGTCTTGCTCTGTCGCCCAGGCTGGAGTGCAGTGGCGTGATCTCGGCTCACTGCAAGCTCCGCCTCCCGGGTTCACGCCATTCTCCTGCCTCAGCCTCCCGAGTAGCTGGGACTACAGGCACCCGCCAACACGCCCGGCTAATTTTTTGTATTTTTAGTAGAGACGGGCTTTCACCATGTTAGCCAGGATGGAATCGATCTCCTGACCTCGTGATCCACCCGCCTCGGCCCCCCAAAGTGCTGGGATTACAGGCGTGAGCCACCGCGCCCGGCCTCTATTTTTGAAATGTTTTGTAGAAATGGGGTCTCCCTGTGTTGCCCAGGCTGGTCTGGAACTCCTGGCTCAAGTGATCCTCCCACCTGGGCCTCCCAACGCGATGGGATTACAGGCGTGAGCTGCCATGCCTGACCTCAGGGCACTATTTTCTTTTCTTTTCTTTTTCTTTTTTTTTATTTTTTATTTTTGAGACGGAGTTTCGCTCTTGTCGCCCAGGCTAGAGTGCAATGGCGTGATCTCGGCTCATTGCCTGTGATCACTGCAGTCTCCGCCTCCCAGGTTCAAGCAATTCTCCTGCCTCAGCCTCCCGACTAGCTAGGATTACAGGCATAAGCCACCACGCCTGGCTAATTACGTATTTTTAGTAGAGATGGGGTTTCTCCATGTTGGTCAGGCTGGTCTCGAACTCCCGACCTCAGGTGATCTGCCGTCCTCGGCCTCCCAAAGTGCTGGGATTATAGGCATGAGTCGCCATGCCTGGCCTCAGGGCACTATTTTCAATCTACACTGGGCTTGGGACTCTGAGACCCGGTCTTGATAGTCTTATGTGGCAAGTAGGGAGGTTCTGAATGAGACACTCGACTTAAGTGATGGGACTTGGGACAGAATTCTTGGCAGCTCAGAGGCCATCCCCACTGGTCTCCTGGCTCCCAGTGGCTTTCTGGACAAGGCGAGGCTGCTGGCCAGGTGAGCCCAGATAATGAGAGGTGCTCACATCCTCACTCTGGCCAGGTGTGCGTGGCTTGCTCCGTGGTCCTCTTGGGGACCATGCTGGCTGGCACCTCTCCCAGCCTCCAGAGCTGCGGGCCAGTTGCCTCAGACCCAGATTGAAAGCAGTGCTTCTGTGGCTCCCCTGCGGCCGAGATCCATCAGCCAGGTGTCTGTGGTCCGCCAGGCACCGGCTGGCTGTGCGACCACAGCATCACCCAGCCTCATCTTAGCAGGCGCCAGGAAGCCCAGCCCCGCAGCCTTCTCTTCCCGGCCAGTGAGGTCCGTCTCCACAGAAAATGTGAACCTCTTTGGATGGGGCCCAAACACAGGGAATTCCATTGTTCTGGCTTCCGCCCCAGCATCTGGAGGAGCGGTCCAGGCCTGGCCATGCTCAGCTCAGGCCTGGCCTCTCTCCGGTGCCTGCAGGCCTTTGGACAACCATTCGGGAGCCTCAACCCTGCCGCCTTCCTGGCGTAGGGGAAAGACCCTGGGAGCTCCTGGCCTGGCTGCTCCCCTCCCTCCGTGCCAGACTGCCTCAGCAGTCTCTCACAGACTTTCCCAGGCCTGGTTTTTGCTCACAATCCCTATTTCACTTGAAAGAAGGAAGGGAAGGAGAGAGGGAGGAAGAAAGGGAGATAGGAGGGAGAGAGGGAAAGAGGGAGGGAGAAAGGAAGGAGGGAAAGATGGAGGGAGGGATGGAGGAAAGGAGGGAGTGAGGAAGAGGAGGGAGGGAGAGAGGGAGAAAGGAGGGAAGGAGGGAAAGAGAGGAAGGGAGGCAGGAAAAAAGGGAAAGAGGGAAGGAGGGAGGGAAGGAGGGAGGAAAGGAGGGAGGGAGGGAAAGAGGGGAAAGAAGGAAGGAGGGAGGGAGGAAAAGATGGAGGGAGGGAGGAAAAGATGGAGGGAAGGAAGGTGGAAGGGAGGGAAGGAGAGAGGGAGGGAGGAAACGAGGGAGGGAGGAGGAAGGAGAGAGGAAAGGAAGGTGGGGGGAGGGAGAAAGGAGAGAAAGGGAGGGAAGGCAGGAGGGAAGGAGAGAAGGGAGGGAGGACAGAAGGAGGGAGGGAGGGAAGAAGTGGGGAGGGAGGAAGGGCCCCTGGAACTAGGCTGAACCCTGGTTCCCTGACCAGCTTGTGATTCTCAAGGCCTCCCATGCAATGGCGGGGACCGGGCCTCAGTTGCTCCGTCTGTAGAGTGGGACTAAAGTCCAGCCTCCAGCCACAGTGGTTGCAGGACAGATGGGAAGAACCACACAGCTCTGGGCAGTGACTGTCGGGTCAAAGCAGGTGGGATGGTGGGCGGAGCTTCCTCCATGCCCTGGCCCACACTAGATCCTCTCTCTGGCCTTCTCTCCTTTACCCTTCCTGGCAGCTGGAGGGAGGGACCCACGGAGTTTCTCTTCAACACCCGGATCCCAAGCAGCATTGCACGGGGGTGAGGTAGGGACTCTGGCTGTGTTCTTCCAGAACCTTCACTGTGGGCCCCTTATTCTCTCCACCCTGGATCCCTTTTACCAAATTCTTCCTCCACAGGCCCCTTAGGAATAGATTTCATGGCCCAAACACACTGCAAATATTACTCAGTCATCAGTACCTTTTCATCCCATACCATCAGAGGCACAGGGCGCTGGCCACCAGGAAGCTCTGAGAAAGCCGGTGTGTTTGTTTCTGGATTTGCCGTGACAAAGCTCCACAAACTGAGTGGCTTCAAACACAGACATGCATTGTCTCACGGTTCTGGAGGCCAGAAGGCTGAGATTGAGGCGGGGCGCTCTGAGGGAGGGAGCGCCCCAGGCTTCTCTGCCAGCTTCTGGTGGCCCCTCGGCGTTCAGGGCTGTGGCGGCATCCCTGAGATTCTGCCTCCGTGTTCACACGGGTGCTTCCCTCTGTGTCTCTGTATCTCTGAGTCTGTGTCCAAATTTATCTTTTCTTATAAGGACACCATCTTTGCATTAGAGAACACTTTAACCCAGTATGACCTCATCTTCACTGGATTACATTTGCAAAGACTCTCATTTATTTATTATTTTTTTGAAATGGAGTTTCACTCTTGTTGCCCAGGCTGGGGTGCAATGGCGTGATCTCGGCTCACTGCAACCTCCGTCCCCCCGGGTTTAAGCTGTTCTCCTGCCTCAGCCTCCTGAGTAGCTAGGATTACAGGTGCATGGCACCACGCCCAGCTAATTTTGTAATCTTAGTAGAGACAGGGTTTCTCCATGTTGGTCAAAGTGGTCTGGAACTCCCAACCTCAGGTGATCCGCCCGCCTCAGCCTCCTAAAGTGTTGGGATTACAGGCATGAGCCTGTCACCCAGGCTGGAGTGCGGTGGCACGATCATAGCTCACTGCAGCCTAGATCTCCTAGGATCAAGTGATCCTCCCGCCTTAGCCTCCCAAGTAGCTGGAACTACTGTGGTGGCACAAGCCACCACACCCAGCTGATTAAATTTTTTTGTAGAGAAGGGTCTCACTATGTTGTCCAGGCTGGTCTCAAACTCATGGCCTCAAGCGGTCCTCCTGCCTTGGCCTCCCAAAGTGCTCGGATTTCAGGTATGAGCCACTGCTCCCGGCCCCTTTCTTCAAAGAAGGTGACGTTCACAGGTGCCAGGAGTTAGGACTTGAACATATCTTTTTGGGGAACATAATTCAATCCACTACACCTGAGTTATCATTTCTTTCTTTCTTTTTTTTTTTTTTTTTGAGATGGAGTTCGCTCTGTCACCCAGGCTGGAGTGCAATGGCGCAATCTCGGCTCACTGCACCCTCCACCTCCCGGGTTCAAGCGATTCTCCTGCCTCAGCCTCCCGAGTAGCTGGGATTACAGGCATGTGCCACCATGCCTGGCTAATTTTTGTATTTTTTTGTAGAGACGGGGTTTCACCATTTGCCCAGGCTGGTCTCGAACTCCTGACCTCAGGCGATCTCCCCTGCCTCGGTCTCCCAAAGTGTGGGGATTACAGGCGTGAGCCACTGTGCCTGACCCTAAGTTATCATCTCACATCATGTCTGCATCAGACTTTCTGGCTTTATCAAAAGGAAAGGTACAATTTTGCCAGGCTTCTGGAAACAGGGGAAGGAACTCCTGTACCCCCTGCCTGCATGTGTGTACCCTGGCAGGGCTGCCAGGCTGGTGTGGAGGGCACTGGAGTTGTGGTGGGGGGAAGCAGGAGGTCTGTTTGTGGCCATGGGAGCTGCTGCTAACAGCAGGAACCAGAAACGATCTCAGGCCATGAGGACAATTTCTGCAGCTGGCCAGGGACTGCCCTGTTCATCCCTGGAGTTATGCGACACAGAACTCTGAGGTCAGAGTCAGCCCAGGGCACGGGCCGTGCAGGCGATCCCCTGGCTGTGGAGATGAGGTCACAGGCTGGATGCTGGAGCAGTGTCAGGCTAGGAGTGGGCGTCCTGCCTAAGCCACCTGTTCACAGTGAGCAATCAGCTGGCGCCAAAGAAGAGGACTCACCTGGCCAGGTACCAGCCCACTCCAAGTAGGTAGCCTTGGTCTTAGGGGGTTGGGGGGGGCTTCATTCTGCCTGGAGCTCCCACCATCCTTGGCATTGGAGAGAGAGGAACCTGAGCCAGTATCCCCACCCCACCCCAAATTTCTGGCTCTTCGGCCTTTAGGGATGGAGAATGCGACCTCCCCCCTTCTGCCTGGCTGTTATTTCCCAGCTGGGTGGTGTCTCCAAGTTATCCAGCGGGTGGAAACCGCAGCTCAGCTAGTCCCTCTTGCCCGGTGCCCTATCACAGGAAAACAGGCGAGTCAGGGCAGTCAATGAGCCAAAGTCCAGGCCTCCTGGGAAGACACTGCCCGGAACCGTCCCTGCCTGCAAAGAGCTCTTCCTGCCAGGAACGGCCTGCCTGCCCACAGAGCTGGCCAAGTCGGGCACAGCAGATGGTGGAGCCCGGGTGTGGAAACCTGTTTCTCAGTACACAGGAGGTCCAGGAATAAGGCCCCAGGTGATGAAGCAGAGCCAGGATGCACCCACTGCCCTAGAGTGCGGAGGGAGGCGTGCACCTGGGCCCAAGCACGCACTATGTCCATCCTCCTGGCTCTGGCAGCTCCCATCTCCCCTTTAGCAAAGGAGGAGGCACAGGCATGGGGAGGCCCTGTTAGGAAATTTGGCTGTGTGGCTCCAAAGCCCATGATGGGCCCTCTCTGGCAGGTGCCTGAATTTTTAGGCCCCAGGACACCAGAACAGGGCACCGTCTTCATCTTAGGTCTTGACAAAAGACTCAACCTTCCCCAGAGGGAAGGCCGGATGGGGACTGAATCTACCTGCGGATCCACTTAACACTCGTACCTTTTTAAAAAAAATTTTTTTTATTTTTGAGATGGAGTCTCACTCTGTTGCCCAGGTTGGAGTGCAGTGGCGCAATCTCCACTCACCGCAACCTCCATCTCGCAGGTCCAAGCAATTCTCCTCCCTCAGCTTCCAGAGTAACTGGGATTACAGGCGCCCGCCACCACGCCTGGCTAATTTTTGTATTTTTAGTAGAGACGGGGTTTCACCATTTTGGCCAGGCTGGTCTCGAACTCCTGACCTCAGGTGATCCGCCTGCCTCGGCCTCCCAAAGTGCTGGGATTACAGGCATGAACCACCACCACGCCCTGCCAACACTCGTAGCTTTATCATCCCCTTTTACAGACAAGGACACCGATGCACAGAGTGGTTAAGTAACTTGCCCCAGATCACACAGCTCTAGGTGCCCCAGCCAGGCCCTGAATCCAGATCATGTCCATTGTACAGATAGGCCACTCGGTGCCTTGCTGGGCGCTGCGGGCTGTGGGCTGTTGTGTGTGCAATGGGGAGGCCAAGACCAGCCCAGCCCACCAGGCCGGACCCTCGAGTCAAATAAGAAACATGCAAAGATCCAAACGAAGAGCGAATTCATGGAATGAAGCGCAGCTGCATATGCAGCCAGGGTTCCAGCCCCCACGGCCACGTGGAAAGACTGGCTGGCCCGGGTCTTACAGCGCTGAGGGTCGGTCTTCCAGCGCCTTAGGGGCCAGGCGTCCCTCCAAGAAGGCGAGGAAGTAGGCGGAGCTTCTGCCGGCGGACTAATGACGGTACAGAGGCGGGGCCGAAGGGCGGGGACACGTGGAGGGGCGGGGCCATTGGGTAATGGGCGGGGATGCGAGTGGAGGGGCAAAACCATCAGGTAAAAGGACCAATAGAGGTTCAGGAGCGAGTGGGCGGGGCACGCTGTGGGGCGGGATCGGCGGGGGATAGACCAATGGTGGGTAAGAGGCGGGACAGAGGGCGGGGCGCGCGGGGGCTGGGCTGGCGGGAGGCGGGCCAATGGAGGCTCGGGGGCGGGGCCGGCGGGCGGACGGGCGGGGGTGCGGAGGGGGCGGCGGCGGCGGCGGCGAACAAAGAGGCGGCGGGCGCGGGCGGCCGAGCGGAGCCGAGCGCAGCCGAGCCGGGCCGAGCCGGGCCGGGCCGGGCCCAGGAGCGCGCGGATGATGCGGGCGGCCAGGCGGGGGTCGACGGGTCCCTGAAGCCCGCGCCCCGGGCCAGCAAGGGAGCCCCGCGCAGGCCGCGCGCATCCGGAGGCGGCCGGGCCCCGCCATGGCCGGGGTCAGCTACGCGGCGCCCTGGTGGGTGAGCCTCCTGCACCGGCTGCCCCACTTCGACCTGAGCTGGGAGGCCACTAGCAGCCAGTTCCGGCCCGAGGACACCGACTACCAGCAGGTGACATGGGCCTCTCGGGGTCGCGGGGTCAGGGACCCCAGGTCACGGCCCCCTCCTCTCCCAGGGTCACGGCCCCCATCCCCGAGGGCCTAAAGACCCCTCATCCCCCCCTCCAGGGTCACGGCCACCTCCTCCTCGCAGGTACCGGCCTCCTTCCTTCTCGAGGGTCCCTTCTGAGTCCTAGGACCCTTTCTTCCAGGGTCATGGCCTCCTCCTCAAAGGTCTAAATACCCTCCAACCCCCAGTGAGGGTCCACGGCCCCCCTCCCGATTCTGGCCTTCCCTTCTGGTGTCACTAAGGCCCCTGGGTTTCATGGAGCTGCCTCTCCCCACTCCGTGAGCCCCCTTGGCCAGTGGAGGGCCTCTCCACCATCACTGTTGGCGGCCTGGTGCTGTGTCCCAGCAGAGACCCCTCCCCAGATGACCCCCAGGCTCTGAGATCAGAGCGGGTGCCTGAGCACATTGGGTGCAGGCAGGCAGAGACTCCTCGCCCACTCACCCCCGACTGGGGAATCCCACTGCCAGGCTTCCAGTGGGTGAATGGCCTGGGCCGCCGCCAGCCCTCTGTGGCCGGTAATGACCCCCTGCTTGGCGGTCAGGCTGTGGGATGTACACAGGGTGCCGTGTGTGGCCGTGGGAGACCAGGCTGCCTGTAGCCCCCGGGGGAGGGAGGCCCGGCGGCCAGGAAGCACCGTGGGCCTCAGGCAGGGAGGCTGGAAGCGGCTGAGCCCAGGCAGACCTGGGGGGCGGCTGGGGGCCCTTTGCAGCCCTCTCCCAGGGGAGCCCTTAGCCTGGCATCATGCCAGGCCCCAGCACCACCCCCATCGCCAAGCTACTGTCATTTGAGTGCGGGGCAGGGGACCAAGCTGTGGGCATTTCCTTCCTGCCTAGAGATCCGGATTCCAGAAGCCCCGTGACCAGGGTCCCTGGTCACCCGGAGTTTCTCTCTGGACGGATCATGGCAGAGCCCCATGGTGGGGTGGGGATGGCTTTGCTTATCAAAATGGCTTGGGAATCCGGTATTCCGCGGGCAGCCTAGCACCTGGACTCTTCAGAACTGCGTTGTCTGTGGCCTCCCGCATCCAGAGGAGGGAGGCGGAAGTGGAGGAGCAGGGCACCTGGGAGCCCACTGCTCCCAGCCTCGCGCTCACTTGCACCCAGGCCCCCCAGCCGAGCCGATGACGTTTCCTAACAGATGAGGAAGGGGGCGAGGGATCGGCCCAGGCACGCCCAGACACAGCAGGGAGGAGGGAGGCGGAAGGATTGGTATAAAATCTCACGCCTGCGTTCTAGAAGCCCAGCCCTGGGGGACCGTTCAGTGTGGGGGCAATGCACATTCAGGAACTTCTGGAACTTATTCCATGCTGATGGCTTTGCCACTTGTCCCTGGAGGACTCTGTTGAAGCTGCAAGGAGGGTGTGCTTCACTTTGGAAAGTTCTCTGCCCTGAGGGTTTGGCCCATTTGTCAGTTCTTAAGCTCCGGGGCAGCCCTGGGGCGTGGGGGGCGGCTGTTTCCTGCTGCCCCTTGGGCTGCCACCTGCCCGAGCTGCCAGCCACAGTTGGACTTCCTTCCAGCCCTCCGGGGTGCCTGCATTCCCACATTCGAGACAGGCAGTGAGAGGGAGTGAGGGGCGATGATGTCTGCAGCCCACAAGAGCCTCCGGGCAGTAGCCAGGCCCCTCTGCTCAGCCTGACCTGCCTGGCCTCCAGCAGGGTGCTATGGCCCTGGGAGGCCCTGGCTTCTGCCCCCTTTCCTCCCCTGCCCTGCGCTCTGCTCTGCTGTGGGAGGGCTCTGACTCACTCTCTCTCCTGCCTCATCTCCACAGAGCAGAATTAGCCACTGAATAATTCACGATGTGGAAACCGGCCTGCCTCCATCCCCCGCCGCCTCCACTCCCGGCTCTTGGCGAGGGGCTGTGGCGTGAGCTGGTCCTGGCGTGCGTCCTGCCCCTGCCCTTCCAATACTGGTGCTTTTCGGCAACTGCTTGGTGTCTCTGAGCCTTCATTGCCTCATCCTGAATCTGGGCTGGCCGTGCCTCCTGTGTAGGGTCACCCCTGGGAGGCAAGGGCCAGGAGCCCCCTTCCTGGGAGAATGGGCAGTGGGTGGGCCTGGGCTGTGGCAGGCGCCCCTTCCTGCCTCCCCTGGTGAGGAGTTGCTGGCTGTAGTGGGGGGTGGACCCCTCACCCATCCTGACTGAGGGCTCCCTCTTAGCTGTCTCTGTGCTGCCCCAACCTGGGCTGTGCCCTGCTGGGGAGTGGGCATCTGCCCCGTGGTTATGGGGGCGGGGGGATGGAGGGGAGGTGGGGCCTGGGGTTGGGAGTTGGGGGTGTGGCACGGGGGACTGGCCTTTGTCCTTTGCTATTTCTGGCCCCCGTGGTCTGCTGTTGGGAACCCTGGTGAAACCCCCGGAGGGACCAGGGCCAGGTCCTGTTTCAAGGCCCTGCGTGGGACTGCCTGTCACTAGTCACTTTTCCCACAGCCCCAGGAGGTGGGGAGAGTTGTCCATTGTACAGATTAGCAAACTGAGGCTCCGAATCACATAGTGAGTAAGTGGTGGGGCCGCAGCCCTGCTGTAGGTCCCTCGTCCGGCCCCCCGAGGAGCCGGGGTCAGCCTGGAGTCGCAGGCTCCCCGGATTCCCCCACGGCTGCCTTGCCGCTGGGGGTGTGACCGTGGGATTAGAAGCTGATGGGGGCTGAGGGAGCTGTGAGAGGGCAGGGGGTGGAGGGGCATCTGGGGTCGGCTCTGTGCAGCTCCCCAGCCAGTGACTGTCGAGAGGGGCTCCCGTGCTGCCTGAGCATCTGAGTGAATGGGGGGCTGTTGTTCACAGGAGGGATTTGGAGGCCCACAGGAGGCCTGAGACTCCCTGGTGGCCCTGCAGCTGAGCTGGCAGGGCTGGGCCTGAGGCCTCTGGCGTGGCCCGGGGCCAGTCAGTGCTGCATAGTGAGTCCTGAATGTCAAGTGGGTCTGGCTGTCCTGCCCCGGGCAGGGGCCCTTGAGGGCAGCAGAGCCTTCTCTTCAGCTAGAGCATCGCAGGCCTGCACCCTCGCTCTGTCGCTTCTTCCTGCGTGACCTTGGGTGGTCCAGACACTGTCCTGGGCTTTATTCGGGGGAGGCCTGCCTGCTCAGCTCCCACCAGCCCTTTGTGACCCCGTGTCCTCAGGCAGGGATCAAGTTCATGCCCACTGACCTCAGCCTCTCTCTCGGGCTGTCTCCTCCAGCTCAGGGCAGGCCAGATGCAGGACAACAGCTACGGACTGTGGTGGGTTGCGAACCCAGGCGGTGGGAGCCCAGTGGTCAGGGAAGGCTTCCTGCAGGAGGTGGTGTTAACTGGCTTGCCATGGAGGTTGCAAGCCCGGCTGCCGACAATCAGAGGGTTAGGATTTGCCTGCTCATTTCTGACTCCTCCATGGGCCGTGCTGGCCCTGGCAGGTGATGGTTTCACTGGGACATCTGCCTTCCAGGGCAGATAGTGGGCCCTGCCTCAGTTTGCCTAGCATGGGGGACGTGTTTTCCACTAGAGCCTGGAATGCCCAGATGTTTCTGTTGAGACCTTAATGATAAGACTGAGGTCACCATACAGAGACCTTGGGGAAGAGCTTCTGGGCTGGGGGAACGGCAGGTGCAAAGGCCCTGAGGCAGAGAGAAGCTTGAGCCTCGGGGAGAGGCCTCAGCCCCACGTGCCAGAGGGTCGCTCTGGTCTGACTGCGCACGGGGAATGTGCTGCCTCAGGAACTGGTGAGCCCTCTGTTCCAGGCACTGTGCCAGCCCAGGCTGGATGGCCACTCAGAGGGGATCTGAGCTCTGGGAGTAGGGCCAGTGTTCTCCTAGCAGAGTTGGGAGCCTGGCTCCTAAGAGCACAACACCTCTGTCTGTGCCGCCACAAGGTGAGGTCAGCCTTGTGCCCAGTTGCAGCCTGGGGGGCAGTTCCCTGGGGCAGGGCTGGCCTGTTATCATCCTCCCCACTCATCAGAAGGAAATGAGTTCTGGTTAAAACGGCAGTGTTGGTCGCCTGTCGCCTGTCTTGTCATTTACGAAAGCAGTACACGTTCATGGAACATTTGGGGAAAAGGGAAGAGCGTGAGACAGAAGCGTCCCTCCAGCTGGGTTCAGTCCAAGAGCATAGAGCTGTAGGGTGGGTGTCCCTGAGAACTGGAATCCTATTGCTTTTGACATGTCTCGTACTTTGGACCGTGTTCCAGATGCTTGTCCAGCGTCCCACGGTGCCAGGCAGGATTCTGTACCTACAGATGACAGAAGCGGGCCAGACACGGAGGCCCCCGGGGAGCTGGGTGGAAGCTTCAGGAGCAATCCCTGAGTGGACAGGAGCTGATGAACTAGGCTGGGGGTGTACAGCGAATGGGACCCTGCATTGGGGGGTGGAGGTGGGCAGGAAGCCCCTGATGGCTGGTCCCAGTCCACTCAGGATTTCCATCTTGGCCGGTGTCTGCATTCCTGGGGAGACTCCGATTGGCTGAGCTTGCCTTTTGGCCAGGGGGTGTGAAGCTGTGGGCCCTGGACCTGCTTGGGGTGGGTGTCAGGCCACCCTTGGCCCGGCCGCTGCCCGCATCAAGGGTTCCTATATCTGGGCTCCTGGTTTTTGTGGTTCTGAGGGTACTCTGGCCACCTCTGTCCCCAGGAGACTCTGGGGTTCTCAAGCCCCTTCCTTGGAGTGCAGCAGCCTGGGACCCTCTAGAAGTCCCCGAGGTCTTCACGGCTTTTTGTAGGTGTGGATGTTGGGGTGGTTATTCTTGCTCAGGGTGCTGGCTCCCTGATCTCCCCAGTTCTAGCATCACCAGGGGCCACTCCAGTCTGTGTGTGCGGGACCCCCGCCTGCCCCCCACTCGCCTGAGACTCGAGGGCCAGCTCTAGGACCCCTCTTCTGGGCATCTCCATGGTGACCCTTCTTCCTCCCCTGACCCCTGGGCAGGCCCTGCCAGCCAACCCCGTCTAAGGGATTTGCAGTGTCAGCCGCTCTGACCCCCGGCCGGGGGCTCTTGGTCAGGCTCTGGGGGAGCGGGGAGCCCTGCAGCTTGGTTCCCCAGGCCACGGCGGCTCTCCCCGGATGCTTGTGCTGCTCGTTTCTAAAGCACTTTTCTTGGAGAGCCACCCAGTGGCCCTGGGAGGTGGACACTGTGTCCCCGACATAAGCAGAAACGGGGGCCGGCCAGCATGGGGGGCCGGAAGACTGGGCACGGGTTCCAGCTGCAGCCCAGCCACGTCCGTCCCAGTGGATACAGCGTCAGCACAGTTCGTGAACCCAGGGGTGCAGGTTTAGGGGGCTCAGGGGCATCTACACTTCCCCCACCTGCCCCACCGTCAGTTCTGCTGAGGCCTCGGCTAGAGAAGAGGAACCGAATCTGCAGCCAGGGGCCTGGGGTCAAGGACATGGGAAGTGCCTGACGTGGCCACCGGGGAATTGGCATGTGACAGCGGGTGGATGGTGGGTGTGGGAGGGTCACAGGAGGGCCTCCTGTACCCGGGCCTGCCGCTATGTTCTGCAGGGAGCCCACCCAGGCCCTGTGCTGGGCCTCACACCATCCGAGGGGGCTTCTCACAGTCTTGGGAGGCTGGCTGAGACCTGAGTCCTGTGGGGCAGCACCCACTGTGGCTGGGTCAGGCCCATGTTGGCCGAGGGTGTGGGAGGAAGCCGGGCCACCCACAGAGTGCCAGTGCCTTCGGCCTCTGAGGAGGGTACCAGCCACAGTGCCCCTAGCCGTTCTGCCCCCCTCGGGCCTGTGCACGCTGGCTGGGTTCCTGGCCATCGTGGAAGAGCACTCCTGAAGTTCTGGGGTGCACCCAGCTCTGAGCCCTGCAGCCCTGTGTCTGGGGTTCGGCCGTGCCCTCTGGGCTGCCTCTCCCTGGTAGGGAGCTGATCCCGGAGATGGGGCTCCAGTCTGGCGGCTCCTGGCTGGGTCTGAGGCCTGGGGCCCGGTCCCCAGGCAGCTGGTGCAGAGGGCTGCAGACAAGTGGGAAGAGCAGGGGATTTTCCGGGTGTCACGCTGGGAGATGTGTCGGAGCACGGGGACCAAAATAGACACGCTTGCTGCAGCTCTTTGGTGTCTGTTCCTTGCACGAGGGGGAGGGCGGGCGTGGGCAGCGGGAGAGCTGGGGTCCCCCGGCTACAGGGTGCAGGAAAGGGGCCCGGCCTGTGGGGAGACGGGCAGGAGCGGCTCTGAGCCTCAGCCCCAGGGCTGCCTCTCTGGCCTCCTTCCAGGCCATTCCTGGAGGGTGAGGGCCAGCCCGGAGGGAGCCCCGGGGGGTGTGGGGCCATGTGCAGCCTGGCGACCTGGACCTCGGACCTCAGGAGTTGGGGACAGGGACACAAAGTTGGCCCCGACCCCGGCTCCCACGTGGCCGCTGCTGGCTGCACGTCCTCCAGGCACGGCCAGGAGCTCACCGTCATGGAATGCGTGAAACCCAAACCCAGCCTGGTGGAAAATCTGTTTTTAATTTTGGGCCAGTGTCGCTGGGAGCCTGGGCCGAGTGTGCTATGGGTAGGGGCTGGGGCCACGTGTCCAGCTTGGCCGCATGGGGGGCTGAGGCCTAGCCAAAGACTGTGACCCTGGACCCCCCACTTGTGCAAGGGGACCCACGAGGCAAAGGTAGGGGGACCCACTTCCCAGTGGCGGGCCCCTGACATGGGGGTGGTGGTAGTGGCTCGCACACGCCGAGCCCACCCTGGCCTCCCCAAACAAGTCTGGGCCCTAGGGATCCCGCCCCTTTCCTGACCCTGGCCCAGGACACCTGGGGGGTTCTCACAGTGCTGGGGGCCAGAACCCCTCGGTCTGCACTGGGGTGTGGGACCCCAGCCAGCCTCTCAGACACCCCCAAACCTTGTTGCTTCCTCTGGAGGAGGGGCCTTGGGAGTTCCAGGGCTGGAGTTCAGCATCCGTGGAGGCAGGTGGGGGTCACTCCCCTCCCACTCCCACCTCTCGCCTGCCACGTCCTCCCGGAGCCCCGTGCTGCTGCCATACGCACAGGCTCAGGCCAGGGCCTGGCTGGTCCCTGCTGCCAGTGTATCTTCGGCATGCAGGAGACGTTTGCCGCCTGGACCCTGTGCCAGGCCTTGGCTGACACTGTCCCCGGGCCAAGAGTGCCCTCCCCCACCTGTTGCGGTACCCACGATGCTCCCCACAACGGGAGTTTCAGTGACCGCCTCATTCCTCTTCCTGCCTCCCACAGCCTCCGAGCTCACGGGGCCAGCACTGTGGGCACAGGGGAGCCCCCGACCTAGCGCGGCCGAGCTGTCTGTCCAAGCCTGGGCCCCAGCACCCAGCGCAAGCTGCTGCTAAGATGCCCTGGAAGCTGATGCTCCCAATTAGCCCGGAGCCCAGCCAGGACCACAGCCGTCAGTGTGGGGACTCCGTCCCCATCCAGGAAGCCGGGGGTGACTCTGTCCCCACTGCAGTCAGGCTGTGTGGCCGTTACCATATTGTGTGTCTGTCACATGCCGGCACCTCTGGTGGGGTTCTGGCCCCTCAGTGGCCTCTGTGGAGCCTGTCCCTTTCCCTCCTCCAAGCTGTGTCACTTCCACACGGAGCTGGCACGAGGGGCGGGGCAGGGCTGGAACCCACCTTCTGCCCACCCCTTCTCTGGCCACCGGGGGCTGCTTCTCCTGCCACCCCTGCTCACCGTGCCCCGTGGCTGCACCCCTGGGGCTCGCTGGTCTCTCCCAATGCCTCGGGCAGCCATCATCCTCAGCTGTGGTCACGCTGCCTGGCCTGCCAGCTCACCCGCCCCCGCTGTGTGACTGTGGACTCTGGAACTCCCTGTGCCTAGCAGCGTGGCTCCAGGACACGGGCCCTATGTCTTCGCTTCCCTCCCTGCTCAGGGCAGACCCGCAGCAGTGTCCAGCCGAGGAGCGAGCAGCCGTGGCTGGAATGGCAGGGTGGTGGGATCGTGGCCACTGCCTGTGGCTGGGGCTGGAGGCTGCATCGGGCCAAACTTCTCATCAGAGTCCCTGTGAGCACCCCCCAGTGGGCCAGGGCCTCCTCAGCCCAGCCACGCGCCACGGTAGCCCACAGGTTGGTGGCACAGAGCGGCGTGTGGGTCCGTGGCGCAGGGTAGCGGGGTGGGCAGCTGCTCCCAGGCGTGTGCATGTAGAGCAGCCGCCTGTGTGTGTGTGGGGGGGGACGTGTGTTCCATAGGCCGGCCGTGACTTGCTGTGCACCCTCCCGAGTGGCATGCTTCCTCACACGCTGCCAGGCCCAGGTCCTGCCACCAGGTGCTCCGGGAGCCACCAGGATGCCCAGCAGCAGCCACCTGTGCAGGTGGCAGGCAGTGTGCCCTGCCCTGCTGTCATGCATGGCCCTCCCACCTTGGCAGCCTGGTGTGGTGTGGCCTGTGCTGGCGCTGAGCCTGGCATTGCGTTGGGGGGTGCCTGTGTCTGTGTGGCTGATGGGAGTCACGTCCAGACAGGGCCTGGAGGCAGAGTGGGCATGGCCAGGAGGCCGCGGCAGGCGTGGGGCACAGGCCTCACAGCTGCTCGTGCACGTCGTCTGCTCAAGTGCCCCGTGGGCCGTCCTAAGGCCTTGTGGCTCACTGGGCCCTCCCTTCTCCAAGCAGGGCTGGGTTGGGGCCACCCACCTGTGCAGGCAGCCAGGTCAGGTTGGGGGTCTCGCCTTACAAGTGCGGAGCCAGCCGAGGTTCACACAGAGCAAAGGCTGCAGCACCGGGTTTGGGCCTGGGTCTCTAATATCCTGGGGACATCCTGGAGGAGATGGCCTGTGTATGGGGACAATGGGGCTTCCCTGAAGGGGAAGGCTCCAGGCCCAGGGACAGCATATGCCTGGGTGTAGAGGCCACAGAGCCCTGCCCCGAGCCACACCCCAGCCCTGCCCGCTCCTCACCAGCCAGTGCCCCAGGCATCCCTGCCAGGCCAGGGAGGTCTTGCTCTGGCCCAGGGTATACTGGGATCCTATCGGTAGCAACCTGATCTGGGACAGAGTAAGGCTTCAGGCCCCGGCTCTCTGGCTGGCTGGGTGTTTCCAGAGTTGGTGGGGTTTTGGGGGCTGCATTTTGGGGGCTGCGGGGCAGTCGGGGGAGTCTGGGCTCACGGTGGGAGGGGGCATCCCCCATGGATGCCGTCTGTGGCTGTGGGGCTGCAGGGGCTTGGAGAAGGAGGGGGTGGCCCAGGGCCGAGACCAGGAGCCCTAGGGTGGGGGCAGGGGGACTGAGGCTGCAGGAGGGGGTCGCCCCCAGCCCCCTTGGCACATGTGTGGCAGTTGAGTCCTCTCCGTGTGCTCCGCGGAACCCAGCGTGCAGTTTTCGCCTCGCCTGACCGAGCCCTTACATCACTTCCACCACAGACGGAAAATTCCATTTGGTCAGAGCCCAGCTGCTGATCAGACAGTTCCCATTCTTTCTCTGAATGGGCCAGGGAGGGGCGGAGGGGCCGCCAGCCCGGTGGAGAGAGGTGGCTGGGCCACCGTAGGAATGCCGCTGGCCCGGTGCCCCGCAGGAGACCGTCTGCTGGGAATCTGGCTTCGGGAAGTGGGTGCAGAGGCCAGGCTGGCCACGGCACGCTCCCCGCAGACAGCTGGGCTCAGGCCTGGCGCGTTGGGTGCCGGGGCTCTGACGTGGGATGAAGCAGCTGCCCGGTTTGCTGAGCACCCTGACACCCAGGCTCTGCATGCTCGCAGTGGTGGGCTGGGACCCGGGCAGCCCAAGTGGGCTCCCTTTGAGGGAGGCGCCATCTCCTTCCTCAGTTGGGGGAAGCCAAGTGAGGCTGTCCTGGCAGGGGCCCCGAAGCCTGGCCTCTGGCCCCCAGGGGCTGAGGAGCGAGGCTCCGTTTGCAGCTGGCCCCATCCAGGCAAGAACAAGAGAAAGCTGCCTCAGCCAATCGCGGTGCTCACACCTGTAATCCAGCACTTTGGGAGGCCGAGGCAGGTGGATTGCTTGAGCCCAGAAGTTCAAGACCAGCCTGGGCAACATAGCCAGACCCTGTCTTTACAAAAAATTTTTTTAAAAATTAGGGCAGAGGCCAAGCACAGTGACTCATGCCTGTAATCCCAGCACTTTGGGGGACCGAGATGGCAGATCACCTAAGGTCAGGAGTTCAAGACCAGGCTGGCCAACGTGGTGAACTCCCCGTCTCTACTAAAAATACAAAAATTAGCCAAGTGTGTTGGTGCATGCCTCTAGTCCCAGCTACTCAGGAGGCTAAGGTAGGAGAATCACTTGAACCTGAGAGGTGGAGGTTGCAGTGAGCCGAGATCATGCCACTGCACTCCAGCCTCAGTGACAGAGACTCTGTCTCAAAAAAAAAAAAAAAAAAAAAAGAAAGAAAGAAAAAGAAAATTAGCCAGGCGTGGTGATATGTGCCTGTGGTCCAAGCTACTTGAGAGGCTGAGGCAGGAGGATCACTTAAGCCCAGGAGGTTGAGGCTTCAGTGAGTGGTGATCGTGCCACTGCACTCCAGCCTGGGCCACAGAGCAAGACCCTGTCTCTAAAATAATTTTTTTCTTTTCTTTTTTTTTTTTTTTTTTAAATCGTAGACTTGGGCTGGGTGTGGTGGCTCACGTCTGTAATCCCAGCACTTTGGGAAGCTAAGGCGGGCAGATCACCTGAGGTCAGGAGTTTGAGACCAGCCTGGCCAACATGGTGAAAACCCATCTCTACTGAAAATACAAAATTAGCCAGGCATTGGTGGCGGGTACCTGTAATCCCAGCTACTTGGGAGGCTGAGGCAGGAGAATGGCTTGAACCTGGGAGGCGGAGGTTTCAGTGAGTCGAGATCACACCACTGCACTCCAGCTTGGGCATCACCAGTGAAATTACATCTCAAAAAGAAAAGGCTGGGCACGGTGGTTCACGCCTGTAATCCCAGCACTTTGGGAGGCCGAGGCGGGCAGATCATGAGGTCAGGAAATCGAGAGCATCCTGGCTAACACAGTGAAACCCTGTCTCTATTAAAAATACAAAAAATTAGCCAGGCTTGGTGGCGGGTGCCTGTAGTCCCAGCTACTTGGGAGGCTGAGGCAGGAGAATGGCGTGAACCCGGGAGGCGGAGCTTGCAGTGAGCTGAGATGGCGCCACTGCACTCCAGCCTGGGCGACAGAGCGAGACTCTGTCTCAAAAAAAAAAAAAAAAAAATCGTAGAGTCCCCGGTACTCCAGCTCCTGTGCTGCCTTTTCTGTTTTTCTCAGCGTCTCTCACCATCCAGCAGGCTTCACAGTTCACTTACGATGATGCTGAGTGCCTGTGTTCCCTCACCACCCTGCAGGCGGCGCCAAGGGCAAGGGTGCCTGGTGCTTAGCAGCCTCTCCCCACCGGGCATGGGCGTCCCCTGCCCACTGCCCCTGGGCATCAGCCCTCTGCACCAGGGCAGTGCCATCTGAGGGACGGGCTTGCCTCGCCCAGATCCTGTTTGGCCAGGGCTTATCTCGCTCTGCCTCCGTTTTCTCATCTGGCAAGTGGGAGTGGGTGGCTCTGGCGCCGCTGAGGAAGTGATCTGGACCTGGAAGCCCTTTGATGTACGCTGATGCCCCGAGCTCTGGGTGGACATGCCAGGCCGGTGGCTGCGGAGGTCACACCTGTTTAGGCTCTGCGTAATGCGTGTCTGGGATTGACCTGCTCTTCCAGTCCCCAGCTCCTCACCCCAGGAGGAGTTTCCCTGCGAGGCTGTGAGTCCCAGATGTGGGGTGCAGTACAGACAGGCCCTCCTAGAGTCATGTCCCACCGGAGCACAGGGTCGGGGGAGCGAGGGTGACTCCAGCCAGGGACTGGGGAGGCCTCTGCAAGTGGAGAGCAGAGGGAGGGCTCGCTGGAGGAGTCTGACCAGCCCGGGGCCAAGATGCGGCTGGTTGACATGGCCCCCAGGCCATGGGAGCCCAGGGGAGGCCCTGTGGATGGAAGTGCAGACGTGGGCATGGGTCCTGTGGAGCTCTGGTCCCGGGGGGCATGGTCAGCTGCCCCTACAGGTCTGTTCTGCCGTTGGCCTCTGAGCTATAAGGAGGGTACTGGCAGGGCCTGCAGTCACAGCCGGTGGGGTCAGCACCTCCACTCCATTCCCAGCCCCACACAGGCAAGGGCAGACCCAGGGAGCCCCAGAGCGTGGCTTTTCCAAGCTCCCTAACGTTTATAGACAACCCACTGAGCACAGAGCATGGGTACCGTGCTGGGACTGTTAATATGAGGCCCTGCCAAGTGACTGGACTGTCTCCGCCTCCCTGTGTGATCTTGGGTAAGCCCTACTGGGCCCTGAGGACCCCTCTGTGACATGAGCTCCCTGGGACCATGAGACCGCCCTGAGCTGATTCAGTTTCAGTGGCTCTGGTGCCAGCCCTGGGTCCTGCCCCTGGAGGGTGGGGGTGCAGGGCCCAGCAGTCCTCCTGCCATTGCAGGGGCGGTAGGCACTTGTGCATGGCTGAAGGAGTGGGAGGGTGCCCGCCCCTGATGCTCTGCAGTGCCCAGATTGCTGGCTGCTGGGCAGCCGTGGACACACCGGTGTGGCTTTGGACCATGGCGGCTCATTTCTGGGTGTGCCGGGCTGGTCAGCACCTCCCTGGCTGGGTGGAGGTGGAAAGGCCGCCTTCGGGTGTGGACGTCGGCCGGCTTCCTGGAGGGCAGGACACGGCATCCTCCCACTGCCTGGCAACCGTCTCCTGGGAGATCCAGCAGCAATCCCATTGCCCACTGTGGCTGAGCCTCTCATCCCAAGGGGGGGCCAGGCAGGGGACCATCTGCCCCAGCAGCTCCCAAGGCTGGGGTCCCAAGAGGGCCACACTGCTGAAGCATTGAGATGTGGGGAGAGAGGCGTTTCTCTGCAGTAGTGCCAATGAGGGCAGCGCAGGTGTGCCTGGTGGCCACCCCACAACACTGAGGGCCCCAGCTGCTGACACCCCCCAGGGCACCCCCAAGTTAGCCTCTAGGTGGTCCCTGGCCCCATGATGAGGCGCAGCCCTGTATCAGCTCCCCATCCCTCCCCCGGCACAGGAAGTGTGTGGAGGTTCTGGAGGGCTGAGCCGGGGGCAGGGCTATGCTGAATCCAGGGACCTGGGGTTGCAGGGCCTGTGTGCTTTCTCTGTAGCTTCTATGAAGCCCAGTTTCCCTGTGGATGAAATGGGGTGAGAGCACTCGGCCAGGCAGATCGAATGCAGTGCCAGGAGAAGGGACAGCTCTGGGGCCACGTTACCCTCCCTCCCCGCAGCGGGTGCTGAGGAAATGTCACTGTTGCATCAAATTAGCCACTTCCTGTGGGGGTCGCCTGGCCTCGGGACAGGGGAGCTCTGGTGTCTGTTCTGTGGTCTGTCTTTTGTGTTCAGAGACCTGGGGAGAGCCACACTGGAAGGCCGTGCTTGGAGCCAGACAGGGCTGTGTGTCCGATGGGGCGCCTGTATGCAGCCTGTAGCAGTGTGGGGCCAGCCCCACCATCTCATCCAGCGTGGGGGCACGCCATGGACGGTGCCCACCCCTGAGTGCAGCTTCTCGGTGCACAGACCCCAGACAGGATCAGACTCCTGATGGGGCCTCTTCCATGTTCACCCCTCAGAAACACTTTCATGGTCAGCAAGAGGGGGTTCAGTCCCCCACAGGCTCCCAATTTCCCTACCAGACCTGAAAACCTCAGGACTACAGCTGGGGTGGGGGATCCTGCCAGGACTCAGGTAGGAGAGTTCTGGGCCTGAGACGGGGACGGGCTCTGGGGTCCTGGGGCTGTCTCGGGCTGGGGGTGAGGACAGTAGCTGATGCCGGCAGCCCCCTCCCCAGGGCTTCGCTTCTTCGGGGGAGCAGCAGCACTTTTTTTTTTTTTAGACAGTGTCTCGCTCTTGTCGCCCAGGCTGGAGTGCAGTGGTGCAATCTCGGCTCACTGCAACCTCCGCCACCCGGGTTCAAGTGATCCTCCTGCCTCAGCCTCCTGAGTAGCTGGGATTACAGGCACCCGCCACCAGGCCTGGCTAATTTTTGTACTTTTAGTAGAGATGGGGTTTCGCCACGTTGGCCAGGCTGGTCTCAAACTCCTGACCTCAGGTGATCCGCCCGCCTCGGCCTCCCAAAGTGCTGGGATTACAGGCGTGAGCCACCCTGCCCTGCTCAGCAGCACTTCTTTCTACAGAAGATAAACCAGGCTCGGAGAGGTGGAGGGACCTCCCTAGTGGGGCTGTGGCTGCAAAGATGGTGGCTCACCAGCAGCGTCCTCGTTTGTCACCCACATTCTCTGGCTACCTCCATCCAGCGCCTCTCCTTGGGGCCTGGTGGGGCAGACGTCCTGAGCACCTGCCCTGGACTCTGGGGACCCGGTGGGGAGGGGACATGTGCCCTTGCTGGAGCCACAGAAGCCTGGAGTCGGTTCACCCGGCCCCTCCTAGTGGCTATGGAGTCTTCATGCTGTGCAGCCTTGAGGATGGCGAGACCGGGGTCCCAGGTGTGGGGTCCAGGCCTGGGTGACCCCAGGTGCATCACTGAGGTGGTGGGAGACTCCATGCCTCACCTACAAGTCGGGGATGGGGCCCACCTCCCAGGGCTGGGGGCAGGATTAAATGGGAGTCTGCGCCAGGTCCCCTGCTGGGGCGGGGCGTGGGACTCTGAGCTGGGGGTCCACCCCTCCAGCGCCGCTTCCTGCCTGCCCTCAGGCCCTGCTGCTCCTGGGGGCCGCCGCCCTGGCCTGCCTCGCCCTGGACCTCCTCTTCCTGCTCTTCTACTCCTTCTGGCTGTGCTGCCGGCGGCGCAAGAGCGAGGAGCACCTGGACGCCGACTGCTGCTGCACGGCCTGGTGTGTCATCATCGCCACGCTGGTGTGCAGGTGAGCGCGGTGGGGCGGGGACGGAGGGCGGGGCCAGAGGGGGCGGCCCGAGGGGGCGGGGCTGGAGTGGGGTGTGTGTGGGTGGGCGGGGCTACATCTCACGGGCCCGCCCTCTCCAGCGCCGGCATCGCAGTGGGATTCTACGGCAACGGGGAGACCAGTGATGGCATCCATAGGGCCACCTACTCGCTCCGCCACGCCAACCGCACGGTGGCCGGGGTCCAGGACCGCGTGAGTGGCCGCGGAGTTGGGGCCAGGAGCACTCTTGCTGCTCCGGAGCCCCACGTCTGCGCGAGGACGGGCGGGGCAGCCGGGACTGGGGCTGTGCAGGAGGGGCCCAGACTCTGGGGCGAGGCGGGCGCGCTCCCAGCCTCACGCCCGCGGGTCCGGCGCAGGTGTGGGACACGGCGGTGGGGCTGAACCACACGGCGGAGCCCAGCCTGCAGACCCTGGAGCGGCAGCTGGCCGGGCGGCCCGAGCCCCTGCGAGCCGTACAGAGGCTGCAGGGCCTGCTGGAGACGCTGCTGGGCTACACGGCCGCCATCCCCTTTTGGAGGAACACGGCGGTGTCGCTGGAGGTGCTGGCGGAGCAGGTGGATCTCTACGACTGGTACAGGTGCGGCCAGGCCCTCTTCCCTGCCCGCCCCACGTGGGAAAGCATCACCCTCCTTGGGCCAATTTTTGCTCTCAGCACCTAGTACATGAGGCCTGATGGGCAGGGTGTGGCCCAGGGCCACTGGAGGTCACAGGCAGTGGCTGGAGTTCCCCTAATGGGAGCCTTTCTCAAGAACTGACACCAGTCCCCATGACCCAGACGCTCTGAATGCCCTCTGGGGTGCCAGGCTGCTGGCCTCAGCTCCCCCTCAAGGGCCCCTGGCGCCCCACTCCCAGGCCCCGGGTCCCTGTGCCCTGGCGCACTCCCAGGTTTGCCTGCAGGTGGCTGGGCTACCTGGGCCTGCTGCTGCTGGACGTCATCATCTGCCTCCTGGTGCTGGTTGGCCTCATCCGCAGCTCCAAGGGCATCCTGGTGGGGTGAGTCTGGGGGTGTCGGCCCCCCGTGGGCCCAAAGCGGAGGGGCAGGGCAAGGCACCATGTTACCCCTTCCCCCACCTCATCTGCAGATCCTAGCCACAAGCTCTGCGGTGGGGGCTGAGCGGGACCCCCCTGCACTGGGCCTGCTCTGAGATGCCCCTTCTGTGCCTGTGGCCTGTGCCCCTGTGGCCAGCATCCCAGCACACTTGCCCCCAGCCCTTGATTTCCTGCAAGAGTCTGCACGTGGGGCACTTGTAGCCCAGGACCTGAAGCAACCTGCCCAGGTCTCCGAGTGCCTGGGGCCACCCAGAGACCAGGCTGGGGCTCCTTCCTCCACCCCTTCCATCCTTGGCCCTGGGGCAGCCTGGGTTCCAGCCCCAGCTCCGGCTCACTAGGAGGGTGACCTTGGGCAGGTGGCTTATTGTTGCTGGGCCTTGGTCTCCTCGTTTGGAAGGCAGAGAGAGCGGCAGCTCCTCTGTGGGAGGTAAGGTGTTGTCACTGCCCTTCACCACGCAGCTGCACAGCCATGGCTGGTGCCTCCCTGGGCCAGGCCTGGGAGAGATGGGAGAACACACAGCCTCCCCCCACGTGGCACTCACAGGCCACAGAGGAGCAGAATGAGGGAAACGTGGCATGGGCCAGAGGTGATAGCACCCTGGAGAGGAAAAGCCGGGGTGGTGTGAAGGCCTGCAGTAGGGTGGTGGGGGGGGGTGCAGCTTCACGCTGTGCCCAAGGAGACCTGAGCGAGGAGGGATTGAGCAGGGGCCCAAGGGAGTAAGGGACGCCTGGACAGACAGGAAGGATGACAGTGTGCAGTGGGTTGTGGGGTCCTCAGTGGGGTGTGCAGGCCTGCAGTGGGGTGTGGGGCCCGCAGTGGGGTGTGGGGCCCGCAGTGGGGTGTGGGGCCCGCAGTGGGGTGTGGGGCCTGCACTGGGGTGTGTTTTGGGGATCTGAACTGGGATATGGGGGACTCGTGGTGGGGGCACCTGCAGTGGGGTATGCACAGGAGGCCTGTGTATCTGGATCAAAGGGAGCCAGATGTGGGTGAGGTGAGGCCTCAGATGAGGGAGAGGCCAGTGCCGTAGCAAGAGCTCTGAGTCCCCAGTTGCTGAGCGAGGGTTCAGCACAGGAGGGCTTGATCTAGCTGACGTTATCAGGCCCCTTGGGCTGCTACGTGGGCGGCGGGATGCGGGGACCCACGTGAAAGTGGACACTGTTGCCTGTTCAGGAGAGGGACCTGGGGGACAGGAGGGGCGGGGCCCCAAGAGCCACGTGGCCCTCCAGTCCTGCTTCCAGCTCAGATCTCTGAGCCCCACCCCACCTAGGAGAGGGATCCATCTGGGCCCTGGGCTGTGGGCAGCTCTGGCTGAGGCCAGGCCACAGGAAGAGCCCCAGCCCATGTGTGGGCTGACCCCTGATGTGCACTGGGACCTGCCTTCTGGCCTGCAGCCCAGCAGGTGGCACGGCCCCCACCCTGGCCTGGGGGCTGCTGACTGGCTGTCTCTGCCCCAGGGTCTGCCTGCTGGGAGTCCTGGCCCTGGTCATCAGCTGGGGCGCGCTGGGCTTGGAGCTGGCTGTGTCCGTGGTGAGTGGCAGAGGGGGTGAGGTCCCCGGCTGCTGGACCTGGGCACTGGGGGAGGGACGAGGGGAAGCCACACTCCTCTCCCCTCCCATCTTCCCGGGCACTGGGTCCCGAGAGCGGTGGGGACCCACCATGGGCACAGTCCACCTGTAACCCCAGATTCACAGTCCACCCTCCTGAGTTGAAAGCAGACTCCAGGGGACGGGTTCTACCCCCGAGAGCTTCCCTTTAGGCCCAGCTTGGTCAACCCCTCTTGCTTGCCCACGCCCACCTCAGGGCTCCAGCGACTTCTGTGTGGACCCTGACGCCTACGTGACCAAAATGGTGGAGGAGTACTCGGTGCTGAGTGGGGGTGAGTCTGTGTCCACGGCCGTGTCCCAGCGGGTTCCCCAGGGTTGGGCTGAGCCAAAAGAGTGGGGTAGCTGAGGCCGAGACACCCCTGCCCTGTGGGTCCATGGTCTCAGGGAGACAGGTCCCAGGCCAAGATGCTAGTGAGCAAACAGGACCACCTTTCCCAAGTGGGAGGCTCTGCAAAGAATGACAGGAACTATGTGGGGTGGCGGGTGCCCGCGTGGCAGGGGGAGCGGCAGGTGACCCAGGGCTGCTTCGAGTAGATGCCCAGGGGAGGCCAAATGGGTGGCATTAAAGTACAGCCAGAGGTCTGGGTGCAGTGGCTCACACCTGTAATCCTAGCACTTTGGGAGGCCGAGGCGGGTGGATCACCTGAGGTCAGGAGTTCAAGAGCAGTCTGGCCAACATAGCAAAACCCTGTCTCTACTAAAAATACACAAATGAGCTGGGTGTGGTCGTGGGTGCCTGTAATCCCAGCTACTCCGGAGACTGAGGCACGAGAATTGCCTGAACCCAGGAGGTGGAGGTTGCAATGAGCCGAGATCGCACCACTGCATTCCAGCCTGGGCAACAAGAGTGAAACTCCATCTCAAAAAAAAAAAGTAGAGCCAGAAGGACGCTGCATCTCTTCTAAGAGCCCCGAGGCAGGAGGCAGACCCGAGGGGAGAATGGAGGGTGGGAGGCCAGTGGGGCTGAGTCTCTGTGGCAAGCTTCGCTTTATTCCAGGGGGAGGCCATTGGAGGGAGGGAGGCAGGGGAGAGATTTGACCCATGATTGAAGGTCCCTTTCAAAGCTTCCTCAGGCCTCAAGGGTTACAAGAGTGGGTGAGGAGGATACCTCAAGCAGGAGACAGCAGGGGCTTGAATAAATGGAGCAAAAGGTGGACAGGGATGGGCTTTGAGGGCGGAGCTGGCAGGACTTCCCGGTCAGTTGGATGTAGGGAGCGAGAGGGACGGAGCAGGAGTTGGCGTCCCTGGTTTCAGCAGCTCTGTGCTGCGGGACCATAAGCTGTACTGTGGGTGGGGGAGCAGGTCTGGAGGTGGGGGGCAGGGAGCTGGGGCATCGGGAGTTTCGGCCCCCTCGGGAGGTTTGCGATGTGTGTCGGACGGCACAGAGGCAGGTGGACGTGGGAATCTGGAGATCGGGGTGCCGTCAGTGTGTTAAGCTTCTCAGGCCCCCCTTGTGGAATTATTGTGTGTTCCCCAATAGGAAATAGAAGGCCTGTCCCTGTGGGGGTGAGGGTTACTGAATGACCTTGAAGGTGACCATCCTGCCACCCTTTGTCCCTGGAGGCCACAGGATTGGCTTGTGGGCTGGTTTTTTACCTGCCTTTGTTGAAGGAACCACTTCCACCAAAGCCTGAAGAGCCTCCTGGAGGAAAAGTCATCTGCCGCCCACTGACCTTGTCCTCGGGGGCGAGGGTGGAGGGGTGGGCCCGCTCTGCTAGGGGCGGGGAGGGCTGGTGACCGCTCAGTGCTACCCACCACTGTCCTTGGCCCCGGTGCTATCATCCTGGTCCCTCCAGGTCCCTACTGTAGCCGGCGGCCTTTGGGGGGATCTCATCAAGTATGAGCAGCGCCCCCTACACGTGTACATGTACACACGTAAGTGTGAGCTCCAGCCTGCGGGCCAGACAGCCCCTCCCAGAAGGCAGCAAGGCCAGCCACGCTGGCTTCACTGCACAGGCGGCCACAGTGATGCCTGGTGCTCTCCTATGTTGTTAAATACTTTCATCATTTTTTGAACTTTTAAAATGTTTTTTTTTAATGTTCTTTTATAATTGGAAGAACTGAACTTGTAAAGAGTTCGGAAGGTGGAACCCAGGCAAGGGGCAGTGTGTGGGGACTCTGGCTTGATGGGAGCCCAGACCCCACTGCCACACACACAGACATAGGCATGTGTGTAAATGCATGCAGACACACATGCGAAGACATGTACACACAGACATGCACACATATAAACACACAGACACATGCACACCGGCACACGTGCACACGAAACGTGCACAGAGACACATGCACGTGTAAGTAAACATGCAGACACATGCACATGTGTAAACAGGTGCACACAGACACACATGCACACATGTAAACATGCACGCAGATGCCCTGAAGATATGCGTGCAGACACAGGCAGACGTGCACGCAGTCTCACAGGGACAGCTGTTGCAGCTCAGCCTTCCCTGATGTCTCTCCGCAGACATCCTGCAGTACTACCTGGCCTGCTCGCCCCGCGCCGCCAACCCCTTCCAGCAGGTGAGAGCCTGGGAGGCCGGGACTGGGCTTCAGGAGAGTCTGAAGCACATTGCTGTGTGTGGAGGGGCCCAGCAGGCCTGGCGCCTGGCTCCTCAGCCTGCAGGACTGGGGAACTGGGGGAGGGAGCTGGACAAAGGCTGTGTGGATGTCACCAACAGCCCCTGGGGTTACCATGCCGGTGACCTGGTGACCTGGCTGAGAGCCTTTCGGGGGGACCTGCTCAATGCACCCGCATCGCTGGGACTGCTTTTGCTCCTTGGATTGGCCTTGGTGGGGGAAGGAGGAGCCCCAGGGATGCCTCTGTAGGGTAACCGTGTTCAGGCGTCCTGGTGGGGGAGTTTGAAGAGGTCGGCCGCACCAGCTGGTCAAGCCCTGTACACACTGCCTGTCATTGTACCGGTAGCATGTGACCCTTTGAATCCTGAGGGCCGTGTGACTGTGCTTTGCTTGCTGGTGTGGGTGCGTGGTTGGCTGTTACCACCTCAGGGCTCTGTGGTCTCTGGGTGTGTCCCGGGGGAAGCAAGGGCAGGGAGTGCCCTGTTGGCCTGCAGAGCAGAGCCTTGATGGTCTCCCAGGCTGGACGTCTTGCTGGTGTCCCCGCGTTGGAGGGTCCTGGGGAGGGAGAGGCGGGCGGACCCAGCAGCGCCCATGGACTTGGTCTCCTCTCTGGAGCAGAAGCTGTCGGGCAGCCACAAGGCACTGGTGGAGATGCAGGATGTCGTGGCTGAGCTTCTGAGGACCGTCCCCTGGGAGCAGCCGGCCACTAAGGTGAGGGGCTGCGGGGTAGGCACTGGGGCAGGCAGGGCTCCTCTTTTCTCAGCATGAAAGGAATTTGTGGTGCAAACACAGCTCAGGGCAAATTTGGAGAAGGCACCAGGCTGGCCGAGTGGGGACCTGGTGTTGGAGGTGGCATGGGAGGTGTTCCTCTTCCCTCCCCCAGCCCTTTCCGCGTTAGGCCTCATTTTTTCCTCCCCTTCCTCCCTCCTTCATTCCTTTCCCTTGGGAATTTTTGGTAGGTTTTAAAAATCATTTCTTTTGAGATGGGCTCTTGCTATGTTGCCCAGGTGGGTCTCAGGGCTGGGATGACAGACGTGAACCACCACACCCAACGTTTAAAAAATAACTTTATTCTTTGTTTAAAAATAATACAAGCTCTTTATATTTAAAAAAATTGAAGAAAATGGAAAGAGATGAGGGAAGAGAGTAACAGAATCAGATCCATTCTCTGGGTGAGTGCCCTGGGGGCATTGTGGAAATTTGAGAGGATTCTTGTTTTTCCCTGTAGTGTTCTGGGCCCGGGCATTTCTACATTACAATATGTTAAAAAAATAAAATAAAGGCCTGGCGCGGTGGCTCACGCCTGTAATCCCAGCACTTTGGGAGGCCGAGGTGGGTGAATCACTTGAGCCCAGGAATTCAATACCAGCCTGGCCAACATGGTGAAACACCATTTCTACTAAAAATACATAAATTAGCTGGGCGTGGTGGTACACGCCTGTAATCCCAGCTACTTCAGAGGCTGAGGCAGGAGAATCACTTGAACCTGGGAGGCAGAGATTGCGGTGAGCGGAGATCACGCCACTGCACTCCAGCCTGGGCAACAGAGCGAGACTCCATCTCAAAGAATAAAATAAAAATAAAAAATAAATACGTTGCTATACTCTTGATAAAACCCAAATCTCTTTGGAGGTGTTTGGTCCACCCGTGGGGATCCCTGCCCCCACACACACCGCCCCAGGACTGGACATGAAGAGGGAGGAGTGCGTCTGTGGGCACAAGTGTGGGTCTCAGACTCCATTTGGGAGCAGCTGGCCCTTCTCCAAGGAGCTCTTCACAAAGATAAAAGCAAACAAATGTGTATACACACACGGGGCCGGGCACGGCACTCATGCCTGTCATCTCAGCACTCTGGGGGGCTGAGGCAAGGGGATCACTTGAGCCCACGAGTTCAAGACCATCCTGGGCAACATAGCAAGACCCCATTCTACAAAAAAATACAAAAACTAGCTAGGTGTGGCAAAGCATGCCTGCAATCCCAGCTGCACAGGAGGCTGAGGCAGGAGGATTGCTTGAGCCCGGGAGTTCAAAGCTGCAGTGAGCTGTGATGGCACCAGTTCACCCCAGCCTGGGCAACAGAGCAAGACCCTGTCTCTCTCTCTCTTTCTCTCTGTATGTATGTGTATATATATATAACATATATACACACACATAAAAAAAAATTAAAAATAAAAATTATACACACACACACACAATTGCTTTGATTTAAAGTTACTTTTTAGAATTTCTGTTACAGCTAGAGCTCCCTCTTGGCGTTTTTGCACTCGAGTGGGTAGGGAAGTGGATTCGTTTCCTGGGACCCCCATAGCACAGCAGCCCAGATGGGGCAGCCTCCGCAGCAAACGTTTATCATCTCACAGCTCTTGGCAGGGCCGGCTTCTTCCAAGGCCTCCCTTTTGCTTGTAGACGCTGTCTTCTCCCACTGTCTTCACAGGACCATCCCTCTGTGGGTGTCTGTGTCTTGATCTCCTCTTCTTTTTTATTTTTATTTATTTATTTTTTTGAGACAGAGTCTCTCTCTGTTGCCCAGGCTGGAGTGCAGTGGCGCAATCTCGGCTCACCGCAACCTCTGCCTTCTGGGTTCCAGCGATTCTCCTGCTGAGTAGCTGGGATTACAGGCGCCTGCAGCGCACCCAGCTCATTTTCCTCTTCTTATAAGGACACCCGTCCCATGGGGCTAGGACCCACCCATGTGACCTTGGTTTACCTTCAACACCTCTTTAAAGGCTGTGTCTCCAAGTGCAGCCCCTTTCTGAGGTCCTGGGGGTTCAGACCGCAACACAGGAATTCTGGAGGCACCATTGAGCCCGTAACAGTAGGCTCTGTTATCCCGAAATCCATTTCTTTTTTTTTGGTGTTGTTTTTGAGATAGGGTCTTACTCTCTTGCCGAGGCTGGAGTGCAGTGGTGTGATCTCAACTCACGGCAAACTTCGCCTCCCGGCTGAAGCGATTCTTCTGCCTCAGCCTCCTGAGTAGCTGGGACTACAGGCGCGTGCCACCACGCCTGGCTAATTTTTGTATTTTTAGTAGAGACAGGGTTTCACCATGTTGCCCAGGCTGGTCTCCAACTCTTGGCCTCAAGTGATCCACCCACCTTGGCCTCCCAAAGCGCTGGGATTACAGGGGTGAGCCACCGCTCCCGGCCCCAAAATCCATTTCAGGATTGTAGTGGGTCCTTAGAAAACGTGCCGTAAAAGGCAGCAATGGGCCCAGTCACTGCTCCTGTGGAGTCGCTGTCAGCCTGGCAGTGTTTCTGTGCAGCCGTTTCTCCAGGCATGAGACAGAGCTGGTGGTGTCCGTGCACAGGTGCACACGCATGCACACACGTAAGCACCGGTGAGCACACGGACACATTACAGGACTGCGCTCACTCTGCATGGAGAGTTTTGTCAGTCAGTATGAGACTCTTCCCTTGTCTTTAGCTGTTCCTTGAAATAATACTTTCAAAAGCAGAGCAGGTCCGTGTCAGTAGACACGTGGGGGTTCGCTGTTTCTCCCATTACAATAAAGGGAGGTCTGTCTTCACGTAGTGGCGACCACACTGGACAGGCGCTTCTGGGTCCTCATGTCCTTGGTAGACCCCACGGGTCTGAGGAGGGGCCTGGGGTCACCATTTCTCAAGGCCCAGAGTCCTTGTCCTCAGGACCTGCACTGAGACCCCAGGGTGGGGGGTATCTCAGTCGAAGATTATGGGCTGGAGGGAGACCTGGGGGCTTCCCAGATGGGGCGAGGCTGGCTCGAGGTCCCCCGTCCAAATGAAGTGCTGACCATCTGCGGTGCGTGCCCCCCAGGACCCCCTCCTCCGCGTCCAGGAGGTGCTGAATGGCACGGAGGTGAACCTGCAGCACCTCACCGCCCTGGTGGACTGCCGCAGCCTGCATCTGGTGAGAGGCAGGGCCTGGGACAGGGCCATGGCAGCTTGTAGGGTGGGAACAGGGGAGCAGCTGTTCGGGAGGATGGGGACCCTCAGCAGACAGTGGGTCCTCAGCCCTGCCTCTGGGGGGCGGTCCAGGCCGCCGTGGCTGGGCTGAAGGTCTCACGCTGCCCCCTCCACCCTCCCTGTCTCTGGATCCTGCCATCTCATCCCACGGCCTCAGGACTACGTGCAAGCGCTGACCGGCTTCTGCTATGACGGCGTGGAGGGCCTCATCTACCTGGCCCTCTTCTCCTTCGTCACAGCCCTCATGTTCAGCTCCATCGTCTGCAGCGTCCCGCACACCTGGCAGCAAAAGAGGTGAGGGGCCCTGGGGGGTCGCAGGAGCTTGCCCCAGGCCACATGGCATGCGGGACACTTCAGGGGCATGCCTTTATGGACACCCATGTGCCAGTCCCAGAGGTGAGGGACAGACACCTCCTCACCTCGTGACCCTCCCTAGGCCTCTCTAGTGTCTCTGAGGCTGCCGGTTCCCAGGTGAGCATCATCATTTCACAGGAGGAAAACAGCCTGGAGGAGCTCCCGGCCTGGGTTGCAGGAGTCCAGAGCAGACAGTGGGGAGGACTGGGGTCTCTTGCCTCCCCAGACTGGCTCTGTGCCCTATGCCCTGAGAGCTGGCCTCAGACTGTCTACTCTGTACCGCCTCCCAGGCAGGTGTCCCCCACCATGGGGTGCAGGTGCACGACGCTGTGGGGGAAAGGTTGGTGGTCCACTGTGCAGGCTTAGCTCTGCCAGGGGTAGTCCAGGTAGCTGTGGCCTCCAGCTAAGTGACCAGGATAGAAGCCAGCTCCCCTGGAGCCACTATGTCCTTACCTTTGAAGTGGGGGTCCTGGTGGCCCCTGCCTGAGTCTTCCCATTCAGTACTGGTTTGAGTGGTGTATTGGGGTGACAGGCTCCTTCCCTTGCCAGAGCTCCTATGGCTTATCTTTGAGACCTTCACCTCCTCTCCCACTTGGACTGTGGCTGCTGCTTGGTGGCCCAATATGGATGGCAGGTAGCTCAGCTCAGATTTCTTCCTTTTGTCTGGATTTCTATTATTTTCCTTTGTGATGGTGATGGTGATGCTGCCAACGATGATGGTGATGGTGATGGTGGTAATGATGGTGATGGTGATGGTGGTGATGATGGTGATGGTGGTGGTGATGGTGATGATGGTGATGATGGTGGTGGTGGTTGTGGTGGTGGTGATGGTGATGGTGATGGTGATGTCATTGTTGATGTTGGTGATGGTGATGGCATTGGTGATGTCGGTGATGGTGGTGGTGATGGTGTCAGTGGTAACAAAGATGGTAGACATAGGGGAGTAGATAAGAGCATAGCCCTGGACCCACAGGGCTAGATTCAGATTCTGTCTCTATCCTTGCTTATTGTATGATGTGGGCAAGTCACTTAACCACCCTGGGCCTCAATTTCCCTCATTGTAAGAGGACACAGCTGGAGTGTCGAGTGGGCACTTGAGCCACTGCACGTGAGGGGCTTGGCTGGTGGCCCCTGCGCAGCCAAAAGCTACCACTGTCCTGTTTCTGAAGTGCTTGCTGCCAGGCAGCCCACCCTGTGTCCCATGTGGGACCTCCTGGGGCGTGGAGGCTCCAAAGTGCCAGAGGCTCGCGCAGAGTGGAAGACAGAAAGCCAGAGGGCAGCAGGGCTAGGAAAACTGGCTCAGGCCACCCAAGGGTGCAGTTGGATCCTGCAGAGCCAAGAGGCACCCCAGCCTCCTGTGCCTTCAAGAGGCACCCTGGCCTCCTGCACTCTCCCAGGAGGGGCCCTGCACTCTTCTTTCAGTAAGCAGCCAGCCAGCCTTGCCATGCACAGGCCGCAGTACAGGGCCTGGCACTCGGGTGACCACACAGGTCTCATAGCACCCCACCTCGCAAGGGCAGGGCTGGATGCAGAGCCAGGTGACCTGCCCACAGTCCCACATGGAGTGTGCACACGGCCGAGCCAGAACTGGAACCAGGAGTGTCTGTCTGCACCAGAACTGACCCCCATGGGTCTGTGGCCAGCTCCTTCCTGCTGGGGCCTGAGCCCGTGCTGCGTGTCCCTCCTCACAGAGGCCCTGATGAGGACGGGGAGGAGGAGGCCGCTCCAGGGCCGCGGCAGGCGCACGACAGCCTCTACCGCGTCCACATGCCCAGCCTGTACAGCTGTGGCAGCAGCTACGGCAGTGAGACCAGCATCCCGGCCGCGGCCCACACCGTCAGCAACGCCCCGGTCACTGAGTACATGTGAGTTGACGTGGGCCTAGTGGGGCCAGCGGACACGTCAGCTGCGGCTGAGAGCGCGGATCTGGGCTGGGGCTAGCTCGAGGCAAGGGGCTGGAGAAGGGGCGGCCTCCGGGCTGGGCAGCCCTGGCCTTGAGTGCCTCCTGCCCCAGGTGAACACGGTCCAGGGGCCATGGAGAGGCCACATGGTCACATGGAGGTTCCGTGTCCAGGGCACAAGGACTCTGTGGCCAAGGACCTCAGGGCCCAGCTACATGGTGAACAGGTGGCTCGGAGGGAGTGGACTCTGGCTGGGCCAAGGTGGGCAGGGGTCTCTCTGTGGGCCCTCTCTGAGCCCTTTGTTACTGTGCTGGGTTCGTGGGACCCCCAGTGAGAATGGATGTGCCCATCTGGGCACAGCGGGCCTACCCATGGGCCCCCCGACCTGCAGCTGGGACTGCATGGCCAGCAGGCACTCACAGCCTCTCTCCCCTCATGCCTCAGGAGCCAGAACGCTAATTTCCAGAACCCCCGCTGTGAGAACACCCCACTCATTGGGCGCGAGTCCCCGCCGCCCTCAGTAAGTCTTGGGGCAGGAGGGTGGATGGGGGGCTGCTCAGCCTTGGGGGTCCGCTGTTCCACTGCGTCGGTGGGCTGGTGTGGCATGTGCAGCCAGTGTGAGCTCTGGGGGCAGCTGTGAGCTGCCACCACCGGGGTCCCAGGTGACCCTTCCCAGCTGGGACCTCTCTGCAGGACGCCTGACCTGAGTTGACGGGGCTGGGTGGGACTGCCAGCTCCTCCCCGCTGGCCTTGGAGTGTCCTGGGGCCAGAGTGGGCAGCCTCGGGACCAGCCGCCCAGGGGGTCAGCTCTCAGGCCCTTTCCTGGGGAAGGAGAGTGGGTGGGCGGGCAGATGTGGCCCCACTGTGGCCCTCCCAGCTTGTAGGCACGGCCCTGCACCAGGCCCTCCCTGGCCTCTTACCTGCCATTCTCTGTGCCTTCTGGACCTGTGGGGTGCCACCGCTCCAGTTCCCAGGGGCCCCGGCCCTGCCTCCTTTTCTTTTTCTTCCTTGAGTCTTTTCCTGAGTGTCCACACATGGCTGTTTCAGCCCAGGCCTGGTGTCCCCTTTGACTTCCCGCGTAAGACACAGGCAGGAGGGGACAGGGTGCCGAAGAGAAGGAGTTGGTGGCGAAGCTGGGGGACCGGGGAGGGGGCGGCCGGGCTACCAGGACAGGGCTTGGGAGGCCGAAGGCTGCCTTGCTCAGAAATCCCCATCCCGGGGCCACTGTCATGGTCCCCTGTAGCACAGAGCTGGGCCTGGGGGGCCTGGGAGGGGCCGGGCCTGTGAGGTTCAGGCCACACAGGTGCAGGCCCAGTCCCGCTCGGCTGCCCTCGTCCTCGCCATCACACGGCCCACAGCCCACTCCTGGCCCCACACCCTGGCGTTGAGGCCACACTCTCTCTCTCTCTCTCTCTTGCACCCCACCCACCCCGGGCCCTCCTAGCGCTATCTGGCTGCCCTGGACTCTGGCAGCCACGCGGGCTGGCAGTTTAAGCCCATGGACAGTGCCCGAACGCTGTGGTAGCTGTTCCCTCAGAGCGACAGGTACTGACCCACCGGTCCCCCATCCCGCACGGCCACCCGCCTGCGCCTCCCGCCTCCACCCTGCACTCACTGCCGCCCTCCCGTCGGCACTGAGCTGGGGCTCCATCTGTCCGGCTCCTGTTGGCAGGGCCAGCTCTGAGTGCCACGGCTCAGCCAGAGACTTCTAATGCCGGCTCTGGGCCCGCCAGCCTCACAGTGGGGTTGGCAAGTCCCCTTCCAGGCTCCCCCTGCCCAGTTGCTTGGCCTCTGGGGACTCTGCCACAGCTCCAAGTGGCCCCAGCCCCTTCTGTCACCTCCCAGTGAGGAATCCATGCACCCAGACCCCTGTATGTGCCCGGGCCCCTGGGCATGTGGCCAGCAGGCCCTGCCCTGGAGGCACCAACTGCGTGTCAGGGGCGTGCACACGGACAGGCACGTGCCGGCGAGCACGTGAGCTTCTCCCGCTGGCCCCACGGTGGTGCGGGTGCCTGCTTGGGCTCCTTCAGGGGTCTGCGCGTCTGCCCCGTCCCGTCCAGTCCCGCCCCGTCCCGCCCCCATCCCCTCCCCTTGTGCTGCATGTCAGTGGAATGACGAGGCTCCGGGCCGTGGCTCCTCCCCCCACCCCCTCCGTGGCGTCCCCACAGGCTGCTCGAAACCTTCTTGGTGTCCCAGGAGGGCCCTCGGGGACCCGGGGAGCTCTGTGCCTCTGAGTCTGGGGACTATGGGGATGGGCCTGGGGCCCTGGGGTTCTGAAGCCCTCCTGGGATGGGAGCCAGCCTGCCAGGTCTCCTCACTGCCGCCGGCCCCTGACACGTGCCAGGCCTGTGGGTCCTTTGGCCTCAGCACATGCCTCGCACATGTGGGTTTCTCTGTGAGCACACACATGCATTCTCTTGCACACACACGTGCACTCAAGACCTTCACACTCCTGCCTGGACGAGGGCACCCACGAGGTGCAGGCCAGCTGCAGAGCCAGGCACAGGACAGCGCCCCCTGCAGCCGCCTCTGTTCCTAAGTCCAAGACCCCCAGGAGCCCACAGTTGGGTCCCCCACGGGAGGGGGGGCTGCATTGCTCCAGCCTCCTGTGTGGCTTAAGGGGCCCTCCTTCCATGGCGTGAAGGGGCAGAGTAGCCCGGGGGATGTCCTCAGGCTGGGGCCTCCGTACTCCTGCATGCTGTGGCCTGGCTGTAGGTGGACCCGGCCCTGAGCCCGGAGGAGGCCTTGGCCCGGCCCTGGAGGGTGGCTGGTTTGTGTCCTTCAGGTCCTGGGTGCGTAAGGTGCAGGTAGGGCCTTGGAGCTGTGGCTCCTGGGGGTGGCAGAACTCTGCCTGGCCCAATGCCCAAATGCCGCTGGTGTGGGCATGGGAGGCTGTGTGTACGCCCCTCCTCAGAGGAGACATCCCCTGTCCTGAGCCTGGAGAGTTCGGGGGCTGCCCCTCCCTCAGCCTCAGCCAGACCTAGAGCGCAGGGGCCCCCAGCCAGCGGCCCCTCCTTAGCCCCTCCCTATAGGCTCTGTCAGGGCACCCTGTACTGTCCCATTCTGCCCCCAGGGCTGTTGGCTCAGCCAAGTGAGGACCACGCGGAAGGCGCCCCTGGCTGCGTGCGCCATGCAGGGGCCCTGCTGATGCCTCCCCCTTGTCTCCCTCCAGTACACCTCCAGCATGAGAGCCAAATACCTCGCCACGAGCCAGCCTCGCCCTGACTCCAGCGGCAGCCACTAGACCGCGCCCGGCAGCCACCCACCCCACGTGCCAACTTCCCCTCCCCGTGCCAGCACTGCCGCTTCCACCTGGGCCACCCACCGGACCCTCGCACGCCGTGCCAGGCCTGCCCCAGACGCGTCTGCAGGCCGCTTGCCCTCCTGTCCCCTCCCCGCAGGGGCACAGTGGAGACGCAGGGGCTCTGGGCCCGTACCGCCAACTCGGGTCACACCTGAACGCTGCTGCCAGCCGATGCCCCAGCCCTGCACGCCACCCACTATCCCGGCACGCTCCCTCTGCAGATGGTCGCCGCACCTACAAGCCCTGGCCGCACCCAACCTGTGTTGTTGCCGCCCGGCCCTTCCCTCCACAGCTCTCCTTCCTCCCGCCCGGCACTTCTGTGGACCCCTTCTTAGTTCACAGGCACGGCTGGGGCCGCTCTGTGCTGGCGCCTGCTGGCCACTGAGGGACAGGGACACGTGCCACCTGCTCATCTCTGCCCTGAGGTCACCCCGTGGTCCCTCCACGTGCCCATCTCTCTGCAGTGCCCTCCTCGCCTGTGCAGCCCGCCCACCCACAGGCTCACCCCTCCTGCCGGCTGCCAGAGGCCCCCTCCAGCAGGGCCTCTCTCCGTTGCCCCAGCTTCACTCTCTCCCTCAGCACCTGCCCTGCTGGAGGCCCCAGCCCTCCGTGGACAGCAGGGGCCACGTGGAGCCCGGGCCGCTCACCCGCCACCCAGTGCTGGCCGCCTTCTTGGTGCCAAACCCCCTTCCCCCACCCAGAGACTGGGCAGCTGTGTCTGGTTCGTTCTTTGCACTAACCACATTTGTCATCTCTAGGGCAGGCTGGGGCTGCGGGCTGAGGGGGACCGCTGGCACCCCCCTTCCCTCCCTTCTTGGTTCCATTTCCATCCATGACAGGTACAGCATCCCAGGAGCCCGGCCTGAGGGGCTGGACCCGAGCCGGCTGTGAACATCCCTCAGCCCCTGCTGTCCCCCCTTGGGACTAACCACTAACCTCACCCCCAAACTCCACGGGTGCCCCTAGCTGGCCCAGAGCCGGCAGTGTGAGCCCAAGTCCGGGCTGGAGCCGAGGCCGGAGCAGCTGTCTGGGAGTCAAGGCTGCAGTAGCGTTTCTTCATGGGGTGCTCCAGGGGGTGCCACAGACCGACAGGCAGCCCAAGGGCCTGGACACCCCTCCCCAGGCAGGTGCTGCCCCAGGAGGACTGTCCTCGGGAATGAACCTCCCGCGGGCTTTGGACTGAGGTCCCTGTGGCCTCGGTCTCCTCCCCATGAAGTGGGAGCGAGGCTCCCCAATGGTGCTTTTGGCTTTAGTGTACGATGTTTGCTGTGCTTCCCGCCGTGGAGGGCAGAGCCACCCCACATCAGGATCGGACGTGCTACCCCTCCCGGTCCCGGCCCTGGCCCAGCCAGCCCAGCCCTCGAGGCTCGATGCCTGTGCCAAGGCCAGGGGCAGCCAGAGGGCAGCTGGATGGCCACGTGCAGGGGTCAAGGCTGGGCCCTGCAGTGGGGCGGGCCGCCAGCCCCAGCAGTTTACAGACGCATGGCTCTTCCTCCCAGAGCAGCCGGCAGCTACCTGGACCGGAAATGTCCTCATCCCCTCCCTGGGGCCAGGCTCTGCCCTGGCCTTCCTCTGTGAACCCCTCCTTTCTTTGTGCTGGTGTCTGGGACCAAAAAGGGGGAATATGGGAGGGCAGAGTGGGGAGGGGAGTCCATGGGCCTGGGGCCCCAAGCCGGGGCGTCTGAGCTCCCCAGGCATGACCAAACCTCAGTGGAGGGGCCTCTGCTTCAGGCCCCGCCTGGCTGACATTCTGAGCCCCCCTCGGAGGCCCCGCCACAGCCAACCTGCCCAGTCTTTCCTCTGGGCTTGACCCGCCAGGGGAGTTCTCCAGGCCTAGGGCCAGGAGAGAGGCCCTGGCACCCTGGCGTGGGTGCCCGCCAAACGCCCTGCGACCGCTCAGAAGCACAAATGCTGTCCATGGCCGTGAGGCTGCCTGCCAGGTGAATGGACATAGCGTGAGAGGCGGTGAGGCCAGGGCTTCCAGCCTCGTGCTGTCTCGGGACTCCTGACCGTGGTGTGCGTGTGTGCCCGTCTGTGACTTTCTACTCACCAAGGTTGAAGAAAGGAAACGGGGAAAATCAAAAGGGGTTCAAACCCCACCTCAGTAGGTGGAGGGGAGCGCCTGCCATTGGTTGTATTTTTGTTCTGAGTTTTCGGTGCCGTGTTCCTAACTACTCCATCCCATGACCTCGCCACACCTACTGGGGCATCTGGCTGGTGCCTGCTGCCATGGCCAGCCCCCACTCTCACCCTGCACAGGGGGTCTTGCAGCCCCCAGGCCCACAGCCTCGTTGGGAGGACAGGGTGGCCCTGGGGACAAGAGGGAGGAGCCCAGGGGCTTACCTCACTGAGAGTGCTCCCCAGCAGGCATCCACTACCCCAGGGCCCCCCACATGTCATGGCAAGGTTGGTAGTGAATGGGCCTGGTTGGGAGCAGCCCCTGGCCCATTGCCCACCCACCCATCTCACTATGCAATTCGAGTTCCAAGCAACATTTGCTCCTGCCCTGGGGCCAGCTCTGCCCCAGCCCTGAGAGGGGTGGTGAGGCAGCCCCCTGGACCCCAGAACCCCAGACAAGGGGGCAGGCGGGGGACCAGGGCCTCTCCTGTGGGATCTTTGTTTTGTGTTTAACCATAATGGTTGTGTACTGAACCACTTCATATTTGTTATATATAATATATATATATATAATCTCCTTAAGACTCAGCCTCCTGGTTTACCCCCCCGGCCTGGGCATCTGACCTCCCCCACCCCAGTGTGATTTAACATCCAGGAACTGAGGCCTGAACCATTTTGCATTTCCCCCTCCTCCAGCCTCTGTAGGGCCATGGCTGTATGTACTGTCGCTGTGTTTTTTTGTTTTTTTAGAACTGGGTTTGGGGGCTGATTTTTATTTCTTTGGGGGCTTTTTTTCTTGGCAAATACTAAAAATCTCGTCAATGTAATTTCTGTGGTTTCTATTCAGCTTGGGTTTCATGTTTTAAAATAAATTTTAAAAAGCAAGCCTCTCTTCCTGAGCTGCTTTGGCTCCTGGCTGGGCGCTGGTAGGGAGTCCACGGCTCCAGGCAGGGGCATTGGGGGAACAGGGGGACACTGAGGGTGGGGCCGACCAGGTCAGCTCCGAGGGGTCGGCTGGGCGGGGCCTCTTGTGGTTGCGGGCGGGGCCTCTCGGGGTTGTGGGCGGGTCTTCAGGGGTGGGCGGGGCCTCGGAGTGACTGGGCGGGGCGCCGGGGACAGGCTCTCCAGGGATGGGGTGGGCGGGGCGCCGGGGAAGGCTTTCCAGGGTTGGGGTGGGCAGGGCTTCTGGAATGAGTGGACGAAGGCCTTGCAAAATGGGTGGCCGAGGCCGGGCGCGGTGGCTCACGCCTTTAATCCCAGCACTTTGGGAGGCCGAGGTGGGCGGATCACGAGGTCAGGAGATCGAGACCATCCTGGCTAACACAGTGAAACCCCATCTCTACTAAAAATACAAAAAATTAGCTGGGCGTGGTGGCGGGCGCCTGTAGTCCCAGCTACTCGGGAGGCTGAGGCAGGAGAATGGCGTGAACCCGGGAGGCGGAGCTTGCAGTGAGCTGAGATCACGCCGCTGCACTCCAGCCTGGGCGACAGAGCGAGACGCCATCTCAAAAAAAAACAAAAAAATGGGTGGGCGAGGCGCCGGGAACGAGATCTCGGGGCATGGAGTAGGAGGAGCCTCTCGGAGCGAGTGGGCGGGGCCACGCTCGCTGGGTGGGCGGCTTCTGGCGGGCTCAGGGCGTCGCTCAGGGCGTCGGTGTGCAAAGCAGCGATGGACCCGAGGGTCTGGAGCTGGGAGTGCTGATCCGATCGACGTAGTGAAAGCCTCACTTTGCTGTCTGGACAAGTACTGCCAGGGGCCCGCGGGGACCGGGATCGCTGTGCAGAGGCCCCACTGGCCCTCAGGAGAGGTGAGGGTGCCTGGCCAGGAGCAGGGATGATGGAGGCGTCGAGTGGCCGGGTTGGAGCAATGATGGGTTCCGGGCCGAGCTCTTCCTGAGCCCCCAGTGGCCATCACTCCCCGTCCTTCCAGAAGCAGCATGGAGGCGGGTTCCCGTGCTCCCCGGCCTGGGGGTCCTCTGGCGCCCTTCCTGGAGGCCCGCACAGGGCCCACGTGTTTCAAGGACCCTCCCCACCCCAAGCTCCTGCTAAGAAGCAGGCTTGGGAAGGCACATAACCCTGTAATAACACACTCACCCCACAGGGAGATGTTAGGACCTCCGAAGTTGGGGGAGGCCCCCTTTTGACCAGCAGAGCACAGGCTTGGAGCACAGGTGGTGAGGGAGCCACCAGGCCCAGCAGAGGATGCGGGGGCTCTCTGTGGCTCCCAGCTCTCAGGGCACCTGTGGGCACCTGTGTATGTGGGCGGGGGGGGGGGGGGTTGGGTCCGCTGGGCAGGGCCCCTTCCTCCTGCCACCAGCAGCTTTGCCCAGTGTGCTTGGATTTGACCGTGGCTGCTCCAGGATGGGACCCAGGACGGGCTGGCTCTGAAGGAAGGCTGCCAAGCTCCCCAGAGTGGGGACGCCAGAGCTCTGAGGCTTCTGGGAGTCATGTGATAAGGGACATCTGGGGCTAGGAGCCCATAAGGTCAGAACCCCAGCCTTGGAGCAAGAGCCAGTAGCCACAAGGGAAAGACCCTGGGCATGTCCTTCCCCTTTCAGATCTCAGTCCCTGTCTCTATATCAGGAAAGGTGGAAAACAACATCCTGGTTCCTAACAGGGCAGGGGAGGGAGGGTTCGGGCGGTGGGAGGGTGGGGAGTGGGGCTCATACCACTCATCCACGTACCGGGCCGGTATTTCTAAGTCCAGCCAGTGTTCTGGGCACTGGAGTGCGCCCAGCGAACCAAAGGACAAAGGGCTCTGCCCTCAAAGAGCTGATGCTCCGGTGGAGAGAAACGACAAAATTAACCAGCAGATGACAGACCACGTGAGAACGTGCTGCAGGAAAAAGATCGCGGTGGAGGGATCGGGAGGGCAGGGACAGGGGTGTTGGCCAGGTGCAATTTCCAACAGTCAGGAAATTCTCCCTGGAAAACTGGCAGCCAAGAGAGACTGCTGGAGGCCAGGAAGTGCATGAGGTCCCAAGTGTTGCTATTGCAAAGCACAGCAAGCTCCGTGGGCTTAAGACAACACACCGTCCTACTGTTCTGTGGGCCAGAAGTCTCCATGTGCTAAAGCCAAGGTGTTGGCAGGGCTGGTTTCTTCTGGAGGCTCTGTGGGGAGAGAATCCAGGCGAGAGTCCATTTCCTTGCCCTTTCCAGCTTCTAGAGGCACCCACATTCCTTGGCTGGTGGCCCCTTCCTCCACCTTCAAAGCCAGCAGCAGAGAGTACCATGTCGTCTCTGGCTCTGACCCCGACCCCCCTGCCTGTGATTACACTTGGCCCACGTGGGTAAGTTCCAATCATCTTTCCATCTCAGGATCCACAATTAACTCTTGTTTCCAAAGTCCCTTGGCTTTGCCACGCTAAGTCTGGGGGTGAGGACATGGACAGCTTTGGGAGCCATTATCCTGCCTACCATGGGAAGTCAGGTTTAGTTTTGAGGCTATCTGAGGAAAGCAGGTTCCAGAAGAGAGAACAGCCAGTGCGAATGCCCGGAGGCAGATGCATGCCTGGTGTGTTCAAGCCAGGAGGTGAGGCTGGCCGGAGTGGAGGGAGCTAGGACGAGAGTGGGTGGCTGGAGGTGGGAGAGACTTTGACATTGAACCAGAGGGAGGTGGGAGCCATGAAGGGTCTATGAGCAGAGTGGCATGACCTAACTTTTTTTTTTTTTCTGAGATGGAGTCTCACTGCGATGCCCAGGCTGGCGTGCAATAGTACGATCTCACTGCAACCTTTGCCTCCCGGGTTCAAGCCATTCTCCTGCCTCAGCCTCCCAAGAAGCTGGGATTACAGGCACCCGCCACCACACCTGACTAATTTTTGTATTTTCATTAGAGACGGGCTTTCACCATATTGGCCAGGCTGGTCTCAAACTCCTGACCTCAAGTGATCCGCCCGCCTCGGTCTCCCAAAGTGCTGGGATTACAGGCATGCGCCACTACACCCGGCCCCTAACATTCATTTTAATAGGATTGCCCTGGCTGCTGCACTGGGAAGGGGACAGAGCAAAAGTGGGTGACCAATTAGCAGACTGCTGCAGGGGGGCAGGCGAGAGCTGACGGTGGCCGGGCTGGGTGCAGGGAGTGATAAGAGATTGGGTTCTGGAGGGTAACACCAGCAGCATTTCCTGGCAGACTGGGCATGGGTGTGGGACTTTGATCGAGCAACTGGCTAGGGGGAGGGGGGTAGGGTATTGTCATAAACTGAGATGGGGAGGGCACATGATTGGGTCAGGGGAGGTCAGAGGTCCAGTTTGGGGCACCTTGAGCATATTAGCCATCAAGGGGTGTGGGACGGTGGTGGGATGTACAGTCTCTGGGGTTTGGGGGGAGCACTGGACTGGAGATGCTTTGGCAATTGGGGTCTTTGGCATGGATACAGTGTTTAAAGCCACCAGCCTGGGTGAGATTGCCAAGTGGGTGGGTGTCAAAGAGGAGACAGAGGACCAAAGACTGGATCTGGGCACCCCCCCTGCCCACCTGGTGTTCAGAGTCTGGGAAAAGAGGGAGCTGCAAAGGAAGAGGGGAAGGGGTGAGCTGGAAGGAAGCCCAGGAGAGTGGGTGTCCTGGAAGACACATGAAGACAGCATGTCATGGAGGGATGGAGGACCACGTCAAACGCTGCTGACGGTCAAGCTCAGCGAGGACTAGAATGTAGCCTGCACGTCTGGTGACCATGAGTCACCTGGGGCACAAGACAGGTCTGGTGAAGCCCTCCAGCTGGTCCAGGACAGCATGGGAGAGGAGGAATAGGCACAGCAGCAAGTCTTTTTTTTTTTTTTTTTTCCCCCTGGCTCTGTTGCCCAGGCTGAGTGCAATGGTGCAATCTCAGCTCACTGCAACCTCTGCCTCCCGGGTTCAACTGATTCTCCTGCCTCAGCCTCCCGAGTAGCTGGGATTACAGGTGCCCACCACCATGCCTGGCTAACTTTTGTATTTTAGTAGAGATGGGGGTCTCACCATGTTGGCCAGGCTGGTCTCCAACTCCTGACCTCAAGTGATCCACCCGCCTCAGTCTCCCAGAGTGCTGGGATTACAGGCGTGAGCCACCACACCAGCACTCTCCCAGCACTTTGGGAGGCCAGCATGTGCCTGTAATCCCAGCACTTTGGGAGGATCGTTTGGGCCCAGGAGTTCAACACCAGCCTGAACATAGCAAGACCTCATCTTTATAAAAGATAAAATAGGCTGGGTGTGGTGGCTCACCCTGTAATCCCAGCACTTTGGGAGGCCGAGGTGGGAGGATCATGAGGTCAGGAGATCGAGACCATCCTGGCTAACGTGGTGGAACCCTGTCTCTACTAAAAATACAAAAAAAGCAAAATTAGCCGGGCTTGCTGGTGGGCGCCTGGGGTCCTAGCTACTCAGGAGGCTGAGGCAGGAGAATTCCTTGAACCCGGGAGGCGGAGCTTGCAGTGAGCCGAGATCGCGCCACTGCACTCCAGCCTGGGCGACAGAGTGAGACTCTGTCTCAAAAAAAAAAAAAAGATAAAATAATAAAAATTAGCCAGGCATAGTCATGCACACCTGTAGTAGCAGCTACTCGGGAGCCTGAGGCAGGAGGATCCCTTGAGTCCAGAATTTGGAAGTTGTAGCCAGCTGTGACCGTGCCACTTCACTCCAGCCTGGATGACACAGCAAGACTCTGTATTTAAAAACAAAATCCACACACGTGCCCACACACGAACAGGCACACTTACACGGCTTCTCTGAAGCAATTCTCCTGCCTCAGCCTCCCGAGTAGCTGGGATTACAGGCGCGAGCCACCACGCCCAACTAAATTTTGTGTTTTTAGTAGAGACGGGGTTTCACCATGTTGGCCAGGCTGGTCTCCAACTCCTGACCTCAGGTGATCCACCCACCTGGGCCTCCCAGAGTGCTGGGATTACAGGTGTGAGCCACCACACGCACCCAGCCAACGTGTGTGTTTTCAGATGGGGAAATAACGGCATGTTCGTAAGGTTAATAGGACTGATCCAGTAGACAGCAAATGCATGCAGGGGAGGAGAGAGGCAATGTCATCAGTGGCACAATGTTCTTGAGTAGCCAAGGGGAGCTGGACCCAGGGCACAGTGGAGGCTGGCTGCAGACAGGAGTGTGGCCCCGTGGGGACATGTGGGTGGGTCTCGGAGGGTCTCGTGAAATAGCAAGGCAGTCAGGTGGGCAAGAGCGGGTGGGAGCTGAGGAGAGAGGAGGAAGGGTGAGCCCCAGGAGAGGAACAGTGGGATCCCTGAGGCCCCCTGAGGTCTGGGACTCCAAGTGAGACTCAACAGAGGGTGAAGTGGCTTTTCTCCAGCGGTGTTCGGCTGCCCAGGTGCAGGCAGTGGGCTGGGTGCAGCCACGGGACAGGTCCTGCCAAGAGATGATGATGAAGGCAACATCGAGCCCAAGAGGCTCGGCCCTGAGTTTGCCGCCAGGTGAGGGTACGCTTGGGTGGGAGGGCGGAGATGGGGAGGGTGGAAAGATCATGAGGGATCATCAGGACCGGCAGGTGGAGGCAGAGTGGGAGGCGGGGATGGCTGAGGGCAAGGCCACGGGCAGGGCCAGGCCTGGAGAGTGACCATGAGTGGGGGCCTGGGGGAGAGGGTGTTTGGAGGGAGGGGACACCAAGGTCACCGAGAACAGACCCCTGAGCAGTGCAGAAGAGGGGGCGCTGCAGCTGGGCACGGGGCTCACACCTGTTAATCCCAGCACCTTGGGAGGCTGAAGCAGATGGATCACCTGAGGTCAGGAATTCGAGACCAGCGTGACCAATATGATGAAATCCCGTTTCTACTAAAAATACAAAAATTAGCCGGGCGTGGTGGCAGGCGTCTGTAGTCCCAGCTGCTTGGGAGGCTGAGGCAGGAGAATCCCTTGAACCCGGGAGGCAGAGGTTGCGGTGAGCCAAGATCGTGCCACCACACTCCAGCCTGGGTGACAGAGTGAGAGTCCATCTCAAGGAGGAGGAGGAAAGAAGAAAGAAAGAAAAAAGAAGAAAGAAGAAATAAGAGTGTCTGGGAGTGTGAGCCAAAATCTCCTCGGAAAGAGGGAGCCCGTGGATTCCCGCAGGAGGCCAGGTGGGCAGCAGGTGACAGCTCCCGTCCCAGAAGCCAGAGAGTTCAGGATGAGGGTGGGAGGACGAGAAGGGTCCGGGATGGCAGTGAGAGCTGCTGTGTGGACCGCAAGTGCCCAGCAGGCGGCGCCGGGTGCTCAGAGGAGGAAAGACCGGGCGGGCCCCTTTCTGCAGTTCCCGCCGTGCTGGGCGAGGCCTGGGAATCTGCATTCCCCACCTTGCCTGGAGGCTGCTGGTGGGTCTCTGAGGACAGGGGGAGCCATGGCTTAGCTGAGATTGCGATGCCATCCCCCAGAGCCGGGGCAGACAGCAGCCACAGGAAGCTGGGTCAGGCGTGCCCTCGACAGGACCCAGGCTGCATGAACCAGGCTTCGGTCGTGGTGCTGTGAGTTGTGCTAGGAACTCTGAAGAGCAAGCATGGGGCTGTGGGGTCTCCTTCTTCCCCACTCCTTGGGGCTGCACCCCTGGGCCTGGGTTGGGGGCTTGGGAAAGGTGGGATTTGGAAGGGGTGAGAACCACCTGCCATCACCACCAGCCAGCGCCCAGGGACTGCTCAGGTTGTACAAGGCAGGGAAGTGGGGTCCTAGAGGCCTGCACGGGGGAGGCAGAGGGTGCGTGGTGTAGTTGGCGGGGGTGGGGGGGAGCGGTTACAGCTCTGAGCCTCCAAACTCAGCACAGTGACATCATCAGGGCAACCTCCAGCCTCCAGGGGCCGAGAGGAGGAGCCCCTGTCCTGGGGTCACTCCTTGGGATGCACCAAGTCCAAGTGCCTTTTTATTTTGTTTATTTATTTATTTTGAGACGGAGTCTTGCTCTGTTGCCTAGGCTGCAGTGCAGTGGCACAATCTCAGCTCACTGCAACCTCCACCTCCTGAGTTCAAGCGATTCTCCTGCCTCGGTCTCCCAAGTAGCTGGGATTACAGGCACCCGCCACCACGCGCAGCTAATTTTTGTATTATTAGTAGAGACGGGGTTTCACCATGTTGGCCAGGCTGGTCCTGAACTCCTGACCTCAAGTAATCCACCCACCTCAGGCTCCCAAAGTGCTGGGATTACAGGCATAAGCCACCACGCCCAGCCCTATCTTATTTTTATGTATTATTAGATGAGGTCTCGCTGTTTCCTAGGCTGGTCTCAAACTCCTGGCCTCAAGTGATCCTCCTGCCTTGGCCTCCCAAAGGGCTGGGAGTACAGGCATGAGCCACCAAGCACAGCCCTTCTGTTTTTAAAAATATTTTACGAAGCCAGTTATGGTGGCTCATGCCTATACTCCCAGCCCTTTGGGAGGCCAAGGCAGGAGGATCACTTACTTGAGGCCAGGAGTTCGAGACCAGCCTGGGCAACATGGCAAAACCCTGTCTCTGCTAAAAAACAAAAATTCGCTGGGTGTGGTGGTGTGCACCTCTAATCCCACCTACTTGGAAGGCTGAAGTGGGAGAATCTCTTGAACCTGGGAGGCAGAGCTTGCAGTGAGCTGAGATTGCGCCACTGCACTCTAGCCTGGGCAACAAAGCAAAAAAAAAATTTTTTTCAGAGACAGGATCTCACTCTGTCACCCAGGCTGGAATGCAGTAGTGCAATCATGGCTCACTCACTGCAGCCTCGAACTCCTGGGCTCAAGCGATCCTCCCCACTCAGGTTCCTGAGGAGCTGAGACTACAGGTGTGTGCCACCTGTTTGTCTAATTTTTAATTTTTTTGTAGGGATGGGGTCTCACTATGTTGCCCAGGCTAGTCTCAAACTCCTGGCCCTAAGCAATCCTTTCACCTTGGCCTCCCAAAATGCTGGGATTACGGATCCTCTGGGGAAGCCAGGACCAGGAGAGAAGCAAGGTCAAGAAATCCCACATTTTGATGTATTAAATAAATGACTTATTTCTACTCAAAATAAATGGCATTGAAGTCTTTAATCCTTTTTGAGTTAATTTAATAATAATGATCTGAGACAGGGGTCCAGTGTCATTCATTCGCATGTGGATATCCAGTTTTCCCAGCACTGTTTATTTATTTTTTATCTATCTGTCTGTCTGTCTGTCTATTTTTTGTGATGGAGTTTCGCTCTTGTTGCCCAAGCTGGAGTGCAATGGCACGATCTCGGCTCACTGCAACCTGTGCCTCCTGGGTTCAAGTGATTCTCCTGCCTCAGCCTCCCGAGTAGCTGGGATTACAGGCGCACGCCACCATGCCTGGCTAATTTTTTGTATTTTTAGTAGAAACGGAGTTTCACTATGTTAGCCAGGCTGGTCTCGAACTCCTGACCTCAGGTGATTGACCCACCTCAGCCTCCCAAAGTGCTGTGATTACAGGCGTGAGCCACTCCGCCTGGCCAATTTATTTTATTTTTATCTTTATTTATTTATGTATTTATTTTGAGATAGAGTTTTGATCTGTCGCCCAGGCTGGAGTGCAGTGATGCAATCTCAGCTCACTAGCCTGTGCATGCCAGGCTCAAGTGATCCTCCCACCTCAGCCTCCCACAGTCACACATCATCATGCCTGGCTATTTTTGGGGGGTATTTTTTGTAGAGATGAAGTTGTGCCATGTTGCCCAGGCTGGTCTTGAACTCCTGAGCTCAAGTAATTTGCCTGCCTTGGCCTCCCAAAGTGCTGCGATTATAGGCATGAGCCACTGCGCCTAGTGCTGTTTTAGTGTTGTTTTAGAGATGGGGTCTTGCTCTGTGGCCCAGGCTGGAGTGCAGTAGCACAGTCATAGTTCACTGCAGCTTCAACTTCTGGGCCCAAGCCATCAGCCTGCCTCAGCCTCCCAAGTAGCTGGGACTATAGGCACATGCCACCACACCCAACTAATTTTTAAAATGTTTGTAGAGATAGTCTCCCTAGGTCCTCTTTTATTTATTTATGTATTTATTTACTGAGACAGAGTCTCGCTCTGTTGTCCAGGCTGGAGTGCAATGGCGCAATCTTAGCTCACTGCAACCTCTGCCTCCCAGGTTCAACTGATTCTCCTGCCTCAGCCTCCTGAGTAGTCTGTTCCTCTTTTATTAAAGGGACTGTCCTTTCCCCACTGTGTATTCTTGGCACCCTTATCAAAGACTAATCATGTATGTGAGGGTTTATGTCTGTACTCTCTTCTGTTCCACTGGTCTGTGTGTGTGTTTTTATGCCAGTACCATGCTGTTTTGCTTACTGTAACTTTGTAGTATACTTTGAAGTCAGGTAATGGGATGCCACCAGCTTTGTTCTTTTTCAGAATTACTTTGGCTCTTTGGTCTTTTGTGGTTCCATATGAATTTTAGGATTGTTTTTTCAACTTCTATGAAAAATGCCACTGGAATTTTGATAGGAATTGCATTAAGGCTATAGAGCACTTTGGGTAGTATGGACATTTAAAAAATATTAGTTACTCTCATCTATGAACATGGGATTTCTTTCCATTTATTTGTGTCCTCTTCAGTTATTTAAATTGGTGTCTTAAGAGTTTCCAGTGTACAGATCTTTCACCTTTTTGGTTAAAATTATTCCTGGGGGCTGGGCGCAGTGGCTCACGCCTGTAATTCCAGCACTTTGGGAGGCTGAGGTGGGCGGATCACCTGAGGTCAGGAGTTCGAGACCAACCTGGTCTCAAGTGATCCTCCTGCCTTGGCCCCCATAAGTGCTGAGATTACAGGCGTGAGCCACCACACCACATCCAGCTAGGCAGTTACTTTCTTGTAGTACATTGGTTTGTTCAGCACATCCCAGCGTCCTCCGACTTCTGTTGCCGTGTTCGAGAGTTTGGCTGTCAGTCTAATGTCTGTTCTTTCAAAGTAACCTCTCTTTTTCCTCTGGCTGCTTTTAAGATTTATTTTTTTTGAATTGTCCTTGGTTTTCTGCAGTTTTACTGTCTTATGTAGGTGAGAGTTTCTTTTTATTTATTCTGCTTGGAATTCGCTGGGATTCTTGAATCTGTGGATTAGTGGTTTTTTCATCAGTTCTGGGAAATTCTTAGCCTCTATCCTTTGAAATATTCTTTCTCTCTCCTTTCTCCTCTCATCTCCCATCTCCTCTTCCCCGTTTCCTCTTTTTTTTTTTTTTTTTTTTTTTGAGACAGTGTCTCACTGTGTCACCCAGGCTGGAGTGCAGTGGCACAATCTTGGCTCATGGTAACCTGTGCCTCCTGGGTTCAAGCGACTCTCCTGCCTCAGCCTCCCGAGTAGTTGGGATTACAGGTATGTGCCATCACACCCGGCTAATTTTTGTATTTTTAATAGAGATGGAGTTTCGCCATGTTGGCCAGGCTGGCCTCAAACTCCTGACCTCAGGTGATCCACCCGCCTCTGCCTCCCAAAGTGACAGGATTACAGGCATGAGCTACTGCACTCGGCCCTCCCTTAACTAACTTCTTTGAGAGTTTATTATCGGCTGGGACTGGAGGTTGCTCCTGTCATTATCAACCACATTCCATCGTCCAGACTTCAGCCATGTGGCCGTGCCCAGCCACGAAGGATTCTGGGGACTGTGGTTAGGCCAGGTGCCTGGAAACAACTCAACAGGACCACCTGGCCAGTGTCAGTCATAGTCATAGCACACAAACACCCCAGTGTCTGGCACAGTGTGTGACCGTCCTCGTGTCTGCAGCCTGTGCAGGTCACTCATGGTGCCTTGTTTCCCTGTGTTCTTGGTCATCTTTAGCTGCATGCTGCTCTTTGGCTTTGAAAAATGTTGATGGAGAGATTCTTTGAGGCCTGGGATGAAGGTGGAATCCGCTAGGGAGGAGCTAATTTGGGGCATTACCCACTGGAGGCCACAGCAAACCAAATATACTGGCCCCCCAAAGGTCTGGGCGCAGTGGCTCATGCCTGTAATCCCAGCACTTTGGGAGGCCGAGGTAGGAGGATTGTTTAAGGCCAGGAGTTTGAGAATAGCCTGGGCAACATAGCAAGACCCCATCTCTACACATTTTTTTTTGTTCGGAGATGGAGTCTCAGTCTTGTTGCCCAGGCTGGAGTGCAGTGGTGTGATCTCGGCTCACTGCAACCTCCGCCTCCTGGGTTCAAGCAATTCTGCCTCAGCCTCCCCAGTAGCTGGGATTGCAGGCGCCCACCATCATGCCTGGCTAATTTTTGTATTTTTAGTAGAGACAGAATCTCACCAGTTTGGCCAGGCTGGTCTCAAACTCCTAACCTCAGGTGATCCACCTGCCGTATCTCTTTTGTTTTTAATTAGCTGGGCATGGTGGTATGCACCTGAAGTCCCAGCTACTTGGGAGGCTGAGGTGGGAGGATTGCTTGAGCCCAGGAGTTCGAGGCTGCAGTGAGCCGTGATCACACCACCGCACTCCAGCCTGGGTGACAGAGAGAGACCCTATGTCAAAACAAACAACGCATTGAGTGCTTGGAGTTCTCTGCATTCTTGGCAGCACCTCAAATCTGTGCTAGCACCTCAAATCTGTGCTAGAGAAGACCTGTAGCCCTAACTTCTCAAGAACTTTTTCTTTTTGCTTCTCTTAGCACCAAGTGTCTTTCGTGTGGAGGGAGCAGGGCTAATTCCGTTTCATTCTTACCCTAAGAGTGTAGACCTTTAGGTTTTCAGCTTAAGGTGGGAAGGGTTTTCTATAATGCTCCCCATTTTGGGCAGGACTGGCCCTGACTTCTGTCCCCTTGACCCCTCAAGGCCACAGAATGAGAACCCAAGTTTGCTGGTTTTGGCAAATGCCCTCCAACAAAAGGGCACCTCCTGGGTGGCACAGCCGTGGGCTGGTGTGCCCCACCAGGGTGCAGCAGTGACATCAGCCCCGCCTCGGGGCACATGTCCCTTCCCGGTGACAGCAGGCTAGGTGCCTGGACCAGCCGTTTCCCTGAAGACAATGAAACACGCTGGGTGAAATATCCAAAGGCCAGGAACACTGAACAGCTGACAAGACAGCAGGTAATTAAATGCCAGGCCTCGTGCTGGAGGAAAACTGGACTCAGATACAAGGCCCTCCCACAGGGATCTGGAGAGCCTGGCTCTCAGCTCTGGCCTGGGGGAACTCAGAGAGGGAGGGGCTCTGCGGATCAGCTGCCCCTAGGCAGTAACACTGAACCGCAGTACCCAGTGAAAAGAGACTGCAGGGCCCAGCGTGGTGGCTCACACCTGTAATCTCAGCACTTTGGGAGGCCGAGGTGGGCGGATCTCTTGAGCTCAGGAGTTCAAGACCAGCCTGGCTAACACGGTGAGACCCCGTCCACTAAAAATACAAAAATTAGCTAGGCATGGTGGTGGGCACCTGTAATCACAGCTACTCAGGAGGCTGAGGCAGGAGAATCACTTGAATCCGGGAGGCAAAGGTTGCAGTGAGCCAAAATCGCACCACTGCACTCTATCCTGGGCAACAGAGTGAGACTCTGTCTCAAAAAAAAAAAAAATAAAATAAAAGGGAGCGAGCCGGGGCGCAGTGGCTCACGCCTGTAATCCCAGCATTTTGAGAGGCCGAGGCGGGTGGATCACTTGAGGTCAGGAGTTCAGGACCAGCCTGGCCAACATGGTGAGACCTTGTCTACTAAAAATACAAAAATTAGCTGGGCATGGTGGCGGGTGCCTGTCATCCCAGCTACTCAGGAGGCTGAGGTAGGAGAATCGCTTGAACCCGGGAGGCAGAGGTTGCAGTGAGCCAAGATTGTGCCACTGCACTCCAGCCTGGGTGACAGAATGAGACTCTGTCTCAAAAAACAAACAAACAAAAAAGAGACTATAAACTCACACCAATCATTACCTCGTAAGTGCAGTTAGCTTAGGAAGTACAATATTTCCAAAAAGGTGACCACAGGGAGAAAAACATGAAGATAACCACCAGCTCAGACCCAGCCGGGGCTTGTGGCCATGCCCACCTGCTCCTGTGTGTCCTGGGCCTCGGGCAAGCCACTCATCCTCTCCCCACTGTTTCCAGTCTGTAAGCTGGGATTAGTGACGCTGCCTTCTCAGTTGTGGGAACCTAGAAGGCAGCAATGGGCCTCTCTCCCTAGGTTGCAACCCGGGGCTGGCACGTAGTAGGTCTGTTTCCAGCTGCCACACACGCTACCTTACCAGGGGTCCCCAGGAGACAGGACAGGGTGATGGGCCCATTTCACAGGGGGAAAAACCGAGGCAAAGAAAGGCAGTGGAGACTCGTGCTTCTGCTTCAGTAGCTCCTGCCATGGACTTGACTTGGGAACCCCCTCCCACAAGCTCTGTCCCTGGCACCCTCTGGCACTGTTAGCCAGCGGAATCCAGCTGTCACCATGGCCTGGTTCTTAGCACCCCTGGGAACTTTTAGAGCCTCTGGCCTGTGCTAACTGAGGTTGGGCAGCTGCTGGCCAGGGCCCTAGAGAGAGGGGTATCAGGTAGCTAGTGCTGAGTAACAAATAGCTCCAAACACATGACTTCACATGTCCTTAGTATTAAAGGGCCTGGTGGTACTGCTGCTCATTGCTAGGCCTGGCAAGTCCTAGCTGGGCTCACTCACACATCTGTGGGCAGCTGGGAGCTAGCTAGTCCAGGATGGCCTCAGCTAGGGTGACCCAGGCTCCATGGCCCTCTTGCCTTCCAGCAAAGCAGCCCAGCCCGTTCTCGTGCTATAGCAGGAGTCGGGGAGAGCAGGCAGAGGCACGCATGTCCCTGGAGGCTTAAGCTCAGAACTGGGAATGTCATTGCTGTCACGTTTTATTGGCCACAGCAAGTCATAAGACAGGCTCAGATTGAAGGATGGGGAAGTAGACGCCACCTCTAGACAGGAGTTGGGGCAAAGTCACACGGCAAAGGGCGTGGTGATTCAGGGGAGGAGTGGGGCATCGGGGACACGTTTGTAACTGATCTACCACAGAGGGGAGCCCCCCTTTGAGAAAGTGCTCGGTGGGCCTTGGTGCTTACGCAGCCACGGACCAACCTGCTAGATGGGGCCTTCAGTAGGGTGGCGGGACGTCAGTTTAGCCTCAGGATTCGACTCCGAGCCTCTTGCGAGACCACGTCTTGGGCAGCATCGTAGACCCGGCTGTGAGCACAGAGTGGCTCTTCCAGAAAGTTTGTTGAATGACTGACTAAGTCAGCCCCTGTGCCAGGCAGCCCAGAGGGACCAGCCCAGAGCCTCCTTCTCGGGGTGCAAGCCTGGCTTGGGACTGGGGGGTGTCTGCACTCGTGGAGCCCCCCATGCCTGCCGGGAGCCTGAAGACGCAGAGACCTCCTGCCTCGCCTCGCCCCTCCGTGGGGACCCTCTTCCCCACACTCCTTGGTTCCTGTCGGAGCCAAGATGTGTCACCATGGAAACCGCTTGGCAAACGCTGGCAGGCAGAGGCGGCCAACAGCAGCTCTCCCGATCGAGCTCCGGGCGCCGGCTGGAGCAACGTCGCGGGACGGCGTGAGCGAGCACACCCGGCCGTGTGTGACACGCGTGGGGACAGAGGCCGGGGCGGCTGCGGGAGGGCGTGCGGGGAGGTCAGGGCGCCCCGGCGTGTGTGCGCCCACGTGTGCGCTCGTGCGTGTGGGTGTGTGCGCGCCTGTGCGTGTGCCAACAGTGCAGCCACATCGGAGCGCGTGTGCTCCGAGTGTGATGGCCGCGTGGGCCGGTGCAGGGTGTGTGTGGGGATGGGGGTGTCTGATTGGTGCTGTGACCTGCGGCAGCACAGCCGCCTGCGTTGAGCGCCCACGGTGGGCTGGACTTTGCACTAGGTGCTGACAGGACCGGCAGAGGTGGCCACTGCCCTCGTCCCCAGCCTGCACTCCTGGGCGAAGGCTGACGCTGAACAGGTACTTGTAAGAGTCACCGAAGTGCGTGCCGGGAGGGTTCTGGGAAGAGGCAGCTGTGGGGCCTGAAGCCTAAATGTGGGGTGGGAGGCATCCAGGCTGCTGCTCCAGGCAGAGGGCACAGCCTGGGCAAAGGCCAGGAGACCAGGGAAGAAAGGACAGAGTCTGGAGCCCGGGAGAGGTGGCGAGGGGCCATAGCCCTGAAGGAGCTTCATCCTGGGGCTTCATCCGAGTTGAGGAGGCCCAGCTGGGGGTGAAGGGTGCCTCGTAGGCAGAGGGACCCCGGAGGTAGGAACTAGGGATGTGAGGCTGGGGCAGACAGAGCTGAGGGACGCAGCTCACAGCTGGCGGTAGTGAGACGTGGTCTTTGAAAGGCTTCCTGTTGGGGCAAGTGGCTTGGCAGGGGGTGTGTGGAAGCTGGGGAGTCTATAGCCGGCCTGGGTGGGGCGGGCAGTTGAGAGAGATTTTGGAGGTTGACTAGATGCTCCTTGGTGACAGTGGCACTTGAAGAAGGAGGGCAGGGCTGGGATGATGTGGTTTCCTGGGATGGGAGGCGCTGAGAAGGTCTGGGTGCTGGTGGCGGTCTCACCAGGGGGCTGCTTCTGGAGCCCCCATTAACAGGCACTCGGCTCTCTGGGGACCTGCCTGGGTCTCCGGCCCCACAGGCTCCCCGAGCCCTGCCAGGCTGGGCAGGTGTGCAGCCCACCCAGCAGGCACTGGAGACCCCGGGAGACCCCGGATCCTGCAGGGCTTCTCCAGGTGTTTCCAGGAGCCCAGACATGCAGCCGCCCTGGGCCGCGAAGCCTCAAGAGGGAGCCGGGCACGTCCTTGGCACCCCAGCTTTCCTTGCTACCTGAGATCCCCTCTGTGGCTGGGGTTGCTGGAGATGCCCAAGGAGTAGGGGCTCCGTCCTCATTTTCACCCCCGACCCCAGCTCCGACTATGTGGGAGGTGGAGGTGATGGCTCAGGAAGGTCTTGGCTGCTTCAGGCCAGCTCTGGTCTCTTGGACGAAGCCGCTGGGCCGTGGGTTCAGCCTCCTCGTGCTGGCCACAGAGTTGGGGCCCCTCACGTGCCTCACAGGCCTGCCCAGCGCAGCCCATGCGCTCACTGGGGGCTCCTTCCCAGGGCACGACCCTGATGGATGCTGGGCCTCCCTGACGACCCTGCTGGTCAAGCCCGGGGCCAGGCGTGTCTGAGGACTCCGAGGAGATTTCCATGGTCCGTGGTGTGGCCCTGGGTAGGCGCCTGGCCAAGTCACCAGACACCAGGCCTTCGGGATCCCCGCATCCACCAATGGGGTACTGACCCACAGGCGCCGGGCAGGGCGGCCTCCAGGTCAGAAACCTTCCAGGACGCTGAGCACCGACTGTTTGCTTCCCTGCCCACGGATGCCCCCTCGTGGCCAATCCCATCCATCTTAGAACTACGTTTCAGAGTTGAGGATGCAGGGCTGGAGCGGGGCCATGGCTGAGCTCGGTGCCACTCAGGCCCGAAAGCCCCAAGTCAGCCTGGCTAGCGTGCGCCTGGCCATGGGCATCATCAACACAGCTTTTGTTATTCATTATTATTTTTTGAGACGGGGTCTCACTCTTGCCCAGGCTGGAGTGCAGTGGTGCAATCATGGCTCACTGCAGCCTTGACCTCCCCGGCCTCTGGTGATCCTCCCACCTCAGCCTCCTAGGTGCATGCCACCACGCCCTCAGGTGATCCTCCCATCTCAGCCTCCCAGGTGCATGCCACCACGCCCGGCTAATTTTTTTTTAATTTTTGTAGAGATGGGGGTGTCTTGCTATCCTGCCCAGGCTGCTCTCAAACTCCAGGGCTCGAGAGATCCATCCGCCTTGCCCTCTCAAAGTGCTGGGATTACAGGCATGAGCCACGGTGCCCAGCCAAGCCTTTGTTATTCTTGTTGTTGGGGTCCAACTGTGGGGGCTGTGGGGAAGTCTGCAGACAGCTCAGAGTCAAGACAGACCCCGACAGGGACAGGTGGTGCAGGGAGATGTCATTGGAGATTCGTCCCCACGTGCCTGGTCCGTGTGTCTTTTCCTGCTGGAGAAACTACATGTGGGGTTACTCCTGGGGCCCCTGACTACACACAGCATGAGAGGGTAGGAGACAGGGATGGAGGGAGGAGGGAGATGGTGACAGAGAGAGAGACCAAGAACCCCAAGAGACAGAGACAGACAGACAGAGATAGAAACTCAGAGAGACAGACAGACAGACAGAGAGATGGACAGGCGGCCCCTCCCTCCCAGTCCCCCAGCCTTGCTGAGCCCATGGGAGCCCAAACAGCGGAGGAGGGGTCCTGGGGGAGCGGGCTAAGGGCCCCAGTTTATGTGCTGGGGCTGTCACTTTGCACTGAGCGCGCCCCCAGCTCCAGCCGCTCTGGCTGCTCTCTGGAGGGAACAAGGGCTTTCAGAGCTGGGGACCCGACGTGAATACTAATCCAGAAGCTCAAAGGGCGGCCTCACAGGCTGGGCACAGGGAGGCTGGGCCGGGGCCAGGGCCAGCTGAGCCTGTCTGGGAGCTCGCCCTGCTTGGCCTCCCCCCGCTCTTCGTGCTGGGGAGCTCCTGTCCTCCCCTCAGGCCTGAGAGGGTCCCCAGCTACCCCAGGACAGGGTGGGGGGTGGGAACTGCAGCTCCAGGAGTCAGGGTCTCGTGTCCAGCATGAGATGACACCGGGTGGGCCCCCAGCACACAGTCCCTTGAAGAATGGCTGCCCAGGAGGCCTCAGGCCGATGCGAGGGTCCTTAGCTTTGCTTTGCATTCCTACAGTGCTCCAGCGACAGCTCCAGGGAGGCCTGGGGAAACGGAGGCACGGGCACGGAGCCCATGGCAGGGAAGAGGGCTTGACTGTACTCTGTGCTAGGACACCCCAAGTCCCGCAGGCAGTGCTGGGGTCAGGCCCCGTGCATCCTGCCTGGACCAGGATTCAGACCCCTTTGCCTCCTTCCTGGACGTCACCTACTGCACCCAGGAGACCTCAGTGTCGGGCCATGGAAACCCCTGCTTGGGCCATACACGGCTCCCCTGCTTGTGTTCCGAGCCCCTTCACCCCCCAGCCCCTGGCCCTCAGCAACCCCCCTCCCCAGATGCGGCCTCATCTCTTCTCCAGCTTTTCTGACCCTGCCCCACTTCCTGCACCCATCTTTGCCCAGATCCCTGCAGGCATTCTGTACAGGGAGGCCTGTGCTCGCACGGTTCCTTCCACCTGGCACACCCCCATCTCTGCCGTTGACCCGGGCTCATCTTGCTGTGCGGTGAAGCCAGCCTCAGAGCCGTCCTCCTCTGTCCCCACAGCACTGTCTGCCTGCACCCTCGCCTGCTGGCCTTGGAGCAGGGCTGAGCTGCAGAGAGGCCAAGCCCCTGTTCTGTGGCTCGAGTTTGCTGGGTGAGCAGCTGCTGCTTCCCAGGACTCCTTGTGCCAATGCCCCGGGAGAGTTTTCCTCTTCCTTATAAAACCCGTGTGAAGCATTTTCCTGTTTTCCAATGTGGATGAGTTTCCTGCGGCTGCCGTGACAAATGACCACAGCTGTGCGGCTTCAAACAGCACACATTCACTGTCAATTCTGGAGGGCAGTGGTCTGAAGTCAAGGCTGGGGCAGGGCCGAACTTCTGCAGAGGGCTCCAGGGGAAGGTCCTTCCTGCCTCTTCCTGCTTCTGGGGGCTCCAGGTGTCCTTGGCTTGTGGCTGCACCACTCCCATCTCCGTCTTCTCCTCTGTGTCTCTGTGTCTTCAACTTTCTGTTTTTTTGTTTGTTTGTTTGTTTTTGTTTTTGTTTTTTTTGAGACAGAGTCTGGCTCTGTCACCCAGGCTGGAGTGCAGTGGCACGATCTCGGCTCACTGCAAGCTCCGCCTCCCAGGTTCACACCATTCTCCTGCCTCAGACTCCCGAGTAGCTGGGACTACAGGTGCCTGCCACCACGCCTGGCTAATTTTTTTATATTTTTAATAGAGACGGGGTTTCACCGTGTTAGCCAGGATGGTCTCGATCTCCTGACCTCGTGATCCGCCTGCCTTGGCCTCCCAAAGTGCTGGGATTAGAGACGCGAGCCACCGCGCCCAGCTCTGTCTGTTTTTTACAATATTTTGTAGAGATGCTGCCCAGGCTGGTCTCCAACTCCTGGGCTCAAGTGATCCTCCCACCTCGGCTTCCCAAAGTGTTGGAGATTACAGGCGTGAGCCACCTCACCCAGCCTCTTTCTCTCTCTTTTTAAAAAATTGTTGGCTGGGTGTAGTGGCTCATGCCTATAATCCCAGCACTTTGGGAGGCCGAGGCGGGTGGATCACTTGAGGTCAGGAGTTTAAGACCAGCCTGGCCAACACAGTGAAACCCCATCTCTACTAAAAATACAAAAATTAGCTGGGCTTGGTGGCACGCGCCTATAATCCCAGCTACTCAGGAGGCTGAAGCAGGAGAATCGCTTGAACCTGGGAGGCAGAGGTTGCAGTGAGCCAAGATCACGCCACTGCACTCCAGCCCGGGTGACAGAGCGAGACTCCATCTCAAAAAAAAAAATTGTCATTATTTTTTACATTGTCTTGTTCCTCCAATGAGGAACCTCTTTCTGTCTCTTACAAAGTCACTTGCATTGGATTTAGGGCCCACCCTGACTCTGACCCAGGATGACCTCATCTTGAGATCCTTACTTTAACCATATCTGCAACGACTCGGTTTCCAAATAAGGTCCCATTCTGATGGTGCAAGTAGGCACATTTTTGGGAGCCGCTATGTAACCCACCCTGGGGAAACTGAGGCAGGGCAAGGTGAAGCAGCTTCCCCAGGCCACACAGTTCTCTTTTAACCCCAAGTCGGCCTGGGTCAGAGGATGGTGATGGGGTCAAAGTTGGGGGCGGCCCCCTTTGTTCATCACTGAAAGGACAGGGGTCCCCATATCACGGCCTCTTTCTAGAATAGACTCTGACGAGGTAGCTTCAACCAGAAAGGGGTGTGCAGTCTGCCGGTGGGAGACCAGCGTGTCCCGGGTGCAGTGTGGACAGGGCGTTGGCTGAGTGAAGCCTTGGCTGGCAGGGGCCAGGTCATCAGCAGGCTGCCTCTGTGTTTCGGGGGTCCTGGCACTGGGCATGGCGCCACCCAACTTGGGGCACCCAGGAGGGGCCCTACTCATCTGGGCTTCCAGTCTCCCGGGCTGACCCAACAGACAGAGGAGGAACTGCCACTCTGGGCTTGACACATAATTGCTTTTTTTTTTTTTTTTTTTGAGACGGAGTCTCTGTCGCCCAGGCTGGAGTGCAGTGGCGCGATCTCAGCTCACTGCAAGCTCCGCCTCCCAGGTTCACGCCATTCTCCTGCCTCAGCCTCCTGAGTAGCTGGGACTACAGGCGCCCGCCACCACGCCCGGCTAATTTTTTGTATCTTTAGTAAAGATGGAGTTTCACTGTGTTAGCCAGGATGGTCTTGATCTTCTGACCTCGTGATCCGCCCGCCTCGGCCTCCCAAAGTGCTGGGATTACAGGTTGAGCCGCCGCGCCCGGCCTCGATGCATAATTTCCTTTCCGGTGGCTATTCAGGGAGGGGCGTGGGGGTTGGGGGGAGGATATTCCACAACTTCTTTGTAATAAGCAGCTTTAGGACAGAACATTCAGGCCAGGCTCGGTGGCTCACGCCTGTAATCCCAGCAATTTGGGAGGCCAAGGCGGGTGGATCACTTGAAGTCAGGAGTTCGAGACCAGCCTGGCCAACAGGGTGAAGCCCTGTCCTTCCTAAAAATACAAAAATTAGCCGGGCGAGGTGACGGGCACCTGTAATCGCAGCTACTTGGGTGGCTGAGGCAGGAGAATCGCTTGAACCCAGGAAGTGGAGTTTGCAGTGAGCCGAGATCGCGCCACTTGTACTCCAGCTCTGGGCAACAGAGTGAGACTCCGTCTCAAAAAAAAAAAAAGGCCGGGTGCGGTGGCTCATGCCTGTAATCCCAGCACTTTGGGAGGCCGTGGCAGGCGGATCACGAGGTCAGGAGATCGAGACCATCCTGGCCAACATGGTGAAACCCCATCTCTACTAAAAACACAAAAATTAGCTAGGCATGATGGCAGGCGCCTGTAGTCCCAGCTACTTAGGAGGCTGAGGCAGGAGAATGGTGTGAACCCGGGAGGTGGAGCTTGCAGTGAGCCGAGATCACGCCACTGCACTCCAGCCTGAGTGACAGAGCGAGACTCCGTCTCAAGAAAAAAAAAAAAAAAAAAAAAAGAACATTCATCTTTTCTCAGGTTCTGGGTTCTCCATCCCCAACAGAAATAACCTGGAAAATCCCTGCGGCAACACGTGTGAAGAAGTGCAGCTTTCTGAGTCACAATCTATTTGTAGGAATTTATCCCAAGGTGAGGGGGACCAGATACCTGTACAAAGATCTGTGGAAACAAGATCGTCTATCACAGTGATATATGCTAGTGAGACACCAGGAGAAACCAAAATATCCCAAAGCAGGTGACAGATCCATGACACGGAGTCCAGCGCAGACCATCAGGGTGTGGAGACGGACTTTTGGCTATTGATGAGTGTGAAGTCACGGGCCGCCTGCAGAACGCAGTATGTGACGTGAATCCCTTAAAATATGTATTTAGGCTGGGCACGGTGGCTCATACCTGTGATCTCAACATTTTGGGAGGCCGAGCTGGGAGGGTTGTTTGAGCCCAGGAGTTTGAGACCAGCTTGAGCAACATAGCGAGATCCCATCTCTACATAAAAGTTTCAAAATTAGCCAGGTGTGATGGCACGTACCTGTAGTCTCAGCTACTCAGGAGGCTGAGGGAGGAGGATTGCTGGAGTCTAGGAGGTCGAGGCTACAGTGACTCGCGTTTATACCAGTGCATTCTAGCTTGGGCAATAGAGCAAGATCCTGTCTCAAAAAAAACTTTTTAAAAATACATTTCAATGTGGAGGAGAAGGCGATCAGAAGGATGTCTGACAAGAAGGTGAGAGAGGTTACCTCTACACAGTTGGCTTATGGGGTCTTCTTTTTGTTTTTATTTTTCATAATTTTCCAAATTTTGCACACCGGACACCTAGTGTTGTGTTGTTTTTCTCTCTCTCTCTTTTTTTTTTGAAACAAAGTCTTGCTTTGTCACCCAGGCTGGAGTGCAGTGGCATAATCTCGGCTCACTGCAACCTCCGCCTCCCGGGTTCAAGTGATTCTCCTGCTTCAGCCTCCCGAGTAGCTGGGACTATAGGCACCAGCCACCACGCCCAGCTAATTTTTTTATTTTTAATAGAGACGGGGTTTGACCATACTGGCCAGGCCGGTCTTGAACTCCTGACCTTGTGATCTGTCTGCCTCAGCCTCCCAAAGTGCTGGGATTACAGGCATGAGCCACCACGCCCAGCCGTGTTATTTCTTAAGGCTTAAAAAAATTCTTTGAGGCTGGGTGTGGTGGCTCACGCCTGTACTCCCAGCACTTTGAGAGGCTGAGGCGGGTGTATCATGAGGTCAAGAGTTTGATACCAGCCTGGCCAAGAAGGTGAAACCCCATCTCTATTAAAAATACAAAAATTAGCTGGACACAATGATGGGTACCTATAATCCCCACTACTCAGGCGGCTGAGGCAGAAGAATGACTTGAACCCCGGAGGTGGAGGTTGCAGTGAGCCCAGATTGCACCATTACACTCCAGCCTGGGCGACAGAGCGAGACTCCATCTAAAAAAAAAAAAAAATTCTTTGCACTGGTGTGGGACGATGGTGACGAATCCCTCAGCCATCTGTGGGGCGCTGCTGAGGGCGTGGGGGGCATTTCTGCACGGTGAAGCAGAGCTGGTGGGAGGCTGCCCGAGGGAAGCTGGTGCTGGGAGGGTTTGCAGAGAGGAAAAGGGCAGTTTATGGAAAAGGCCTCTGGGCTCTGTCTGGAGCCGTCATGCCGGCCTTCACGGCATCCTTCCGCACTTAGAGTCCTTTCCATCTCCTGGTGGCTGGCACAGGGCCAGGGCTGCACTCACAGCTGGCCAGGGTAGGGCAGGGCGCCCGTCCTCAGGGCCACTGACTGTAGGGCTAACCTAGGGGCCTGGTTCACCCCTCTCACCTGGGGCTTCGCTGATAAGCCTGGTTCACCTCCTCACCTGGTGGCCTCGTTCACCCCCTCACCTGGCGCCTTGCCTGATAGCCTGGTTCACCCCTCTCACCTGGGGCCTCTCCTGGTGGCCTGGTTCCCCTTCCTCACCTCGTGGCGCTGGTTCACCCCTCTCACCTGGGGCCTTAACTGGTGGCCTGGTTCACCTCTTCACCTGGCGCCTTGCAGAGTAGCCGGGTTTACTCCTCTCACCTGGGGAGGCACGAACTGGCCCGGGCTGACTGACCTCCCTCACCTGTTTGGCTTTAGGCTCTGGGGCCCCCCTGCCCGGGTGTTTCTGGGAGGCTGGAGGGTCCCACGTGAGCTCCACCGCGGGCAGCTGGAGGGAGTGGGGCAGGACGCTGAGCGCCGGGAGGGGTGTGGCCCTCCTGTCCTGCCCGCGGCCCCACACCGGCCCCAGTCCCGCCCGCCTCGGTCCCTGCCCCGCGCGCCGACGTCACCGGGACCTCCCGATCCTCCCGGCCCAGGCCGAGCTGCCCACGCTGCTGCCCGGGGCTCGGTGCCCGGCGCGGCCTCTGCCGGCTCCGGCGGGCGCGGGACTGCGAGGTAGGGGGGCGCGCGGGGAAGACTCGGGGGCGCAGGGACCGAGAGGGACCTCCGTGCCGGGGCGGGTGGGTAGGGGCAGCTCCGGGTCCAGCCCGGCCCGCGCACCAAGTCCCGAGGGCGCCCGGGCGGCGGCGGCTACGGGCGCGCGGGGACCGCGGAGACGCGAAGGGCGCACTTGGCGAGGGTTTGGTGCAGCGCCGCGCCGGGGTCCGCACAGCCCCGGCAGGTCCTGCAGAGGGAAGGCCGGGCCAGGGAAGGGCCACGCGCCCCCTCCCCGCCATCCTCTCCCAGGCCAGGGCGACCTGCGCGCTTCCCGATGGGAGCAAACTGGGGACGGGTCGGGAATCCAGGGCCAAGCGCCCGAAAGAAGGCGTTTCCGGGCTGGGGCGAGCCAGGTGGGTGCGGGACGTCCCCGGGGAACCTCCAGGGCGCCGAGAATCTCGTCGTGCCCAGGGCTCCCCGCAGCCTGTGTATGAGCCGGGGAGGGAGAAGGCTTCCTCCCCCAGGAGACTGAGGGAGAAGGCTGTGGATATGATCCCTGCAGGGATGTAAGACAGGTCTCAAAACCAGAAAAGCAAGGGAGGGGTGACAGAGAAATGGCAAACTTTACAAAGGACAGGGGAGGGCAGGGACCTGGGTCCTTTCTGCCCCCATCACGGGAGGGAAACACTTGGCAGAGGAGTTTGGGGTTCGCAGGTGAGGAGAGAGAACAGGAAGCCAAGAGTCTGGCCCGGAGGCCACTACCCCTGCGGTCTAAGCCCCCGGTTTTCCCTCCTAGCGAATGGAAACTGAGAGGTGAGAAACCCCCAAAACCATCCGTCCGTCTGGTTCTGCCTGAAGGTCTCCGCTGTCAGCTAATGAATAGCTCGATGCAGCTGCTGGGAGGTTTTGCAAAGCGCATTCAGAATAGCGAGAATCAGAGCATGGTTTCTTGCCCAAAGGCCAGGCATCTGCGTGGTCAGATGGGGGAGCATGAGTGCCCGGAGCTGTGCGGTTTAGGGCAGCCTGACCTTGGATACCTGGTTACTGGGCCAGTCTGGCGGCCCTTGTTGCTTAGAGCGGCAGAACCTCCCTGGGGGGGGGATGCGGACGTGCTCTTTTCCAGTCTTTGGACAAAAAAAGGCAAGGGGAGGAGGAAGGAGAAGCGTCTGAGTTTACCCATGGTATTAATAGCAGCAGGGCTGGAACTCGGGTGCTCTGGGAGAGGAGACGTCCTACCCCCTGTCCCCGTCAGAACATCCCTGCTCCAGGAGCAGCTGGGGTTCCAGTGTGAAGCGTGGCTTTGAAACCAGGCCCCGCTGGCCCCCAGCTGTGTCGCCAGGGCCAAGTCACTTAACGTCTGAGCCTCAGTTTCCCCACCTGAAACACCGCAGTGGCACCTGCGGCTCCGTGTGTGGCTTGGAGGACGCAGGCATGAGACCTGTTGGCTGCTGTCATGACTGCAGTTAGCAGAGGAGGGGGACACACTGTGACAGGGTCCAAAGGACAGCGAGAAACCTCCATCTGGGGGTCTCCTTTTTGGAGCATGGATGGGTTGGTGAGTGCCAGAGGGTGCTGCGAAGCTGACCCCCACTAAGGCGGCTCCCTCCCCGTGGGTACCCCCAGGGCTCACATGCAGCTCTGGCTCTATGTGAGGAGTGGTCTTGTGCAGAAATGACCTGGCAGGATGGAAGGACTCAGCTGGCAGCTGACAGTGGGGACCGGGGTTTTCCTGAATGACCCACGAAGACGAATGTGGCCACAAGGCTTCTTGAGAGGAAATAGTATGTGGGCAGACGTCATGCCCTGGATGCCCGAGAGCTGTACCCGTGTTAAGGGATGGAGGGAGCTAAGCGTTCTCATTCCTAGCTTGGAGCCTGTCACACCATTCTCCAGTCTGCACTAGGAGGTGGCTGTGTTTTTGTGTGTGTGTGAGAGAGAGAGAGAGACAGACAGACAGACAGACAGGGTCTTGCTCTGTCTTCCAGGCTGGAATGCAGTGATGCAATCATAGCTCACCACAGCCTCGACCTCCAGGGCGAAAGCAATCCTCCCATCTCAGCCTCCCTAGTAGCTGGGACCACAGGCATGCACAACCATGCCCAGCTAATTTTTAAAATGTTTTGTAGAGACGGGGTTTTGCCATATTTCCCCAGGCTGGTCTCAAACTCCTGGACTCAAGCGATTGTCCCGGGAGGTGGCTATTTTTAGAGCTTGCCTCTCACATCCTGTTGATCTTCCAGCCGGGCTAGTCTGGAGCTGGCGTGGCCACTCCTTCCCGGGCGGCTCAGGTTGGCTGAAGGTGGTGTTGTGTCTCTGGCTGGGTTTCCGATGTAGATGCTCTTGAGTTACCCACGTGCCCGCCACTGCTTGCGGGTGTGCAAACGGCCTCTGTGGTCGTGGCTCCTCTGTGCGTGTGCTCTGGTCCCCTGCAAAACTTGTCGCTGTGGCCCTTCCTGTTGCTCCCATTCGGTCCTCCCTGAATAACTTAGATGGGCCTGAGGTTGGCAGTTTGGGCCCAAGTCACACCTGGAACCAATGTGGTAGGGCTTGTGAACTTTTGGTAAAAAGAAGGCATTTCTCAGCCGGGTGTGGTGGCTCACCTCTGAAATCCCAGTGCTTTGGGAGGCCGAGGCAGGCAGACCACTTGAGGCCAGGAGTTCGATACTAGCCTGGCCAACATGGTGAAACCCTGTCTCTACTAAAGATAACAAAATTAGCCTGGCATGGTGGCATGCGTCTGTAGTCCCAGCTACTAGGGAGGCTGAGGCATGAGAATCGCTTGAACCCTGGAGGAGAAGGAGGTTGCAGTGAGCTGAGATTGTGCCACTGCACTCCAGCCTGGGTGACAGAGGCAAAAAAAAAAAAAAAAAAAGCATTTCTCATTTCCTGATGCTTTGCCTGGAGTAGGAGGGTTTGCTGGCAGGGAAGCCTCTGACCAGGGTTTTCGGGTGGTCAGGTGGGTGTGGGTGCTGGCAGGAAAGCCCCCTCAAGAGTAGGGGAAGGTCCGTGTGTGAGGACTGGAGTCAGGGGTCTCTGTGCTGGGAGTCAAGATCCAGGTGAGCTGTGTAACCCTGGGCAAGTGGCTTTCCCTCTCTGAGCCTCAGTCTCCTGGGTTATGACATGGGTGAATCTCAGGATGGCTTTGGAGGTCGGACAAGGTGTTGCATCAGAAAGTGATTTTGGGCCGGGCGCGGTGGCTCACACATATAATCCCAGCACTTCGGGAGGCCGAGGCGGGTGGATCACAAGGTCAGGAGTCTGAGAACAGCTTGGCCAATATGGTGAAACCTCGTTTCTACTAAAAATACAAAAATAAGCTGGGTGTGGTCGTGAGCGCCTGCAGTCCCAGCTGTTCGGGAGGCTCAGGCAGTGAACCCAGGAGGCGGAGGTTGCAGTGAGCCGAGATTGCGCCACTGCACTCTAACCTGGGTGACAGAGCAAGGCTCCGTCTCAAAAAAAAAAAAAAAAAATAAGTGATTTTGGGGCTTTGCAGGGTGGCAGGCACCGGAAGGGGAATGTTGATCAGGGCTGGTCCAGGGTGCCCGCAGGTATTGCTATCTGTTTTACCATGTCATTCTCTGGAAAGCTGGGACACAGACCATCCTGGGCATCTGGAAGGCCCTGGGCTGCTCCAGAGAAATAATTGATAGGCCCCTGTGGACAGAACAAATAATTCTGAGCTGGCTGCGGCGCTAGGGGAATGATTTGGAGGTAACTGGGAGGTTATGGTGCTTGCCCCTTGTGGGCGGCAGTGCTGGTGAGTGGAAGGTCTGGGAGCGAGAAGCCGGTGAGCAGGTCATGTCACCGGTACCCAGAAACTACAAAAATAAGCTGGTGAGTCTCCTGTGGCGTCGGGTGCTCCGAGGCCGGCTAAGTGCCTCCTCCTCCTACTTGGGCCAGCCAGGCTCCTGGAGGAAGACAGGTGGGACCACACCCATCTCACAGGGAGGACACAGTGGGGTTGAAAGAGGACCGAGCTTGGCCGGGCGTGGTGGCTCACGCCTGTAATCCCAACACTCTGGGAGGCCGAGGCGGGCGGATCATGAGGTCAGGAGATCGAGACCATCCTGGCTAACACGTGAAACCCCATCTCTACTAAAAATACAAAAAAAAATTAGCCGGGTGTGGTGGCGGGCGCCTTTAGTCCCAGCTATTCGGGAGGCTGAGGCAGGAGAATCGCTTTAACCCGGGAAGCGGAGGTTGCAGTGAGCCGAGATTGTGCCACTGCACTCCAGCCTGGGTGATAGAGTGAGGCTCCATCTCAAAAAATAAAAAATAAATAAAGAGGACCAAGCTCATGCCAGAGCCCTCGGAGTTGTTGAGGGCATTCCAGCTTCAGGGGTTTCCTGGGCGCCTCTTCCGTAGCGAGGTCCCCAGGAGTCCCCGAGGGGACTCTGAGAGGTTGCAGGGGGTGCTGCCTCCACACGCTGACACCTGGCATGGCTAGGGCAGGAGTACCCCACCCCTTGGCCACAAGCCCAGCAGCGGTTCCCCACCTCACCCAGAGCAAAGGTTAAAGCTCTTCCAACAGCCTCCCGGCTCCTGCGCGATGTGTCCCCATCTTCCCCCAATCTCGTCCCCTGTTCTTTCCCCCAATTTGTTCCAGCCACACTGGCCTCCTCCGGCTGTCCCCTGAGCCCCCAGACGTATCTGCTGCGGGCCTGTGTACACCCACCTCTGTCTGGGACGGTCTGCCCCTCCTCCCCGCTGCCTCCTTGCTCAGAGATCCCACCTCAATGGAGCCCACTGTGATCACCCTCTCAGGAATGGGAGTGTGGGCCTGGCACGCCTGAGCCCTGCCCCGCTCTGTAGGGGGGTGTTTGTTTGTTTGTTTGTTTTGAGATGGAGTTTTTGCTGTTGTTGCCCAGGCCGGAGTGCAGTGGCGCGATTTCGGCTCACCGCAACCTCCGCCTCCCGAGTTTAAGCAATTCTTCTGAGTAGCTGGGATTACAGGCATGCGCCACCACGCCCAGCTAATATTGTATTTTTAGGAGAGATGGGGTTTCTCCATGTTGGTCAGGCTGGTCTTGAACTCCTGACCTCAGGTGATTGCCCGCCTCCCAAGGTGCTGGGATTACAGGTGTGAGCCACCGTGCCTGGTTGGTGGGATTGTTGTTGTTGGACACAGGGTCTTGCTGTCATCCAGGCTGGAGTGCAGTGGTGCGATCACAGCTCACTGCAGCCTTGGACTCCTGGGCTGGAGACTTCCTCCGACCTCAGCCTCTCGAGTAACTAGGACCACAGATGTGTGCCACCACACCCAGCTAATTTTTGTTTTGTTTTGTTTTGTTTTTTGACACGGAGTCTTGCTCTGTGGCCCAGACTGGAGTGCAGTGGCGCGATCTCCGCTCACTGCAAGCTCCGCCTCCCGGGTTCACTCCATTCTCCAGCCTCAGCCTCCAGAGTAGCTAGGACTATAGGCGCCCGCCACCACGCCTGGCTAATTTTTTGTATTTTTAGTAGAGACAGGGTTTCACCGTGTTAGCCAGGATTGTCTTGATCTCCTGACCTCCTGATCCGCTCGCCTCGGCCTCCCAAAGTGCTGAGAATGCAGGCATGGGCCACTGCAGCCAGCCAGCCTTTTCTTTTTCCAACAGGACCTGTCACCTTCTAACCTACCTTCTATGCTATTTACTTAGCACTTTTGCCACCTGCCTTCCTGCTGGAGCACCTAACTCCATGGGGCCAGGGACCTCTGTTTTGTCCACTCATGTTGGAAAACCCCCAGCACAGGGCCCAGCACCCAGGAAGCCCTTGGCAGCTAATGTCACTGTCATGAGTCCGCTGAACTGGGCCACAGGGTGCCTGATGCAACACCGTTCCTGGGCGTGTCTGTGAGGGTGCTCGAGATGACATTAGGATTAGGACAGTGGGTTCAGGAAGGTGGACTGCCCTCCCCAAGTGGCTGGGCACCTTCCAATCCCTCCAGACCCTGAATAGAACAGACGGCAGAGGGAGGAGGAGTTCACCCCTCATTTCCTGCCTCGCCGCTGGAGCTGGGACATGTCATCCTCTCTTGCCCCGGGACTGGATGTCCACCATCGGCTGCCCTGGTTCTCAGGCCTTCGGACATGAGCTGAGTTTGAATCACGCCTTGGGCTTCCCTGGGTCTCTGGCTTGTAGGCAGCACACTGTAGGACTTCTCAGCTTCTGAGGCCTGTGAGCCAATTCTCATAATAAATCCTTATTTTATTTTCATAGAGTAGAGATGAGGTCTATGTTGCCCAGGCTGGCCTTGGCCGCCCCTGCTCAAGTGATCCTTCTGCCTCCCGAAGTACTGGGATTACAGGTGTGAGCCACCGTACCTGGTCATAATCCTATAAATATACATGTGAGATTATATTACATTAATATATTATCGTATATATTAAAATCTCATATATATAATATATATTTTATTTATTTTTTTTTTGAGATGGAGTCTCGCTCTGTCACTCAGGCTGGAGTGCAGTGGCGCGATCTCAGCTCACTGCAACCTCTGTCTCCTGGATTCAAGCGATTCTCCTGCCTCAGCCTCCCGAGTAGCTGGGATTACAGGCATGTGCCACCACGCCTGGCTAATTTTTGTACTTTTAGTAGAGACAGGGTTTCACCATGTTGGCCAGGCTGGTCTCGAACTCCTGACCTCGAGTGATCCGCCTGCCTCGACCTCCCAAGGTGCTGGGATTCCAGGCGTGAGCCATCGCGTCCGGCCTATTATTTTATATATATTGGATAAATGAATGAACCCGTGCGTTCACCTGCCCTGGGACCCGCCTGGCCTCTTTTGGAACCACTGATCGTGCATCTCAGCTGCTTCTGGCTGACTTGGGTCTGTCCTCACGGCTCCTCCTTGCTCAGCCTCTGGCCCCGCTGCAAGACTTGCCCACTACGGCCCTTTCCATGGCCACAGGATCTGGTCCTGTCCATCGTCTGTGCATCTGATGTTTCTTTCTTCCTTTATGGTCCAGAGGCGGGAATTCCACCCTGGTGTGAACCTGCCAGGACTGCCCTGTGCACTCCAGGAGTCCAGGAGTGAGACCCACGCTGGAGTCTGGTGGTGGGCATGCGGGTCTGGGCACAGGCTCGGTCTGCATAGAACCCACGTGGTCCCAGCAAGGTGGGGCCCTGCTTCCCATGGTGATGGGAACCATGATGCTTGAAAATCTGCATGTTCAGGCCCATGTGGTGGCTCAGGCTTATAATCTCAGCACTTTGGGAGGCCCATAAGGGAGGATTGCTTGAGCCTCGGAGTTCAAGACCAGCCTGGGCAACATAGTGAGACTCTTCTCTACAAAAAAAAAAATTGACTGGGCGTGTTGGTACATGTCCGTAGTCTCAGCTACTCAGGAGGCCAAGGCAGGAGGACTGCTTGAGCCCAGGAGTTGGAGGCTGCAGTGAGCTGAGTGCACCACAGCACTCCAGCCTGGGCAAAACAGGGAGATCCTGTCTCATTTAAAAAAGAAAAAAAGGCCGGGCGCAGTGGCTCATGCCTATAATCCCAGCACTTTGGGAGGCCAAGGCAGGTAGATCACATGAGGTCAGGAGTTCGAGACCAGCCTGACTAACATGGTGAAACCCCGTCTCTACTAAAAATACAAAATTAGCCGGGCGTGGTGGCGGGCACCTGTAGTCCCAGCTACTCGGGAGGCTGAGGCAGGAGAATCGCTTGAACCCGGAGGCGGAGGTTGCAGTGAGCTGAGATAGTGCCATTGGACTCCAGCCTGGGTGACAGAGCGAAACTGTCTTGGGGGGGAAAAAAAAAAAAAAAAGGAAATGGACATAACTATTATTAGAAAACAAAATCTGTGTGTTCCAACCCCCCTCGCCCCGCCCCCCACAACCTCTGATTCTGGGTGGCATGGTGTTGCTTAAGTTAGATTTAACCCTACTCCACCTCGGTTTTGAAAATGGGGACAAAAACTGCACCCACTTTTCTGAGGGTTAAAGCAATGAAGCCCTGCCTGGAACACAGTGCGGTTTGTGGCTCTTGATAGTCATTTTTTTTTTTTTTTTTGAGATGGAGTCTCGCTCTGTCACCCAGGCTGGAGTGCAGTGGTGCGATCTTGGCTCACTGCAAGCTCCGCCTCCCAGGTTCACGCCATTCTCCTGCCTCAGCCTCCCAAGTAGCTGGGACTACAGGCGCCCGCCACCACGCCTGGCTAATTTTTTTGTATTTTTAGTAGAGACGGGGTTTCACCATGTTAGCCAGGATGGTCTCGATCTCCTGACCTCGTGATCTGCCCGCCTGGGCCTCCCAAAGTGCTGTGATTACAGGCGTGAGCCACCGCACCTGGCCAATAGTCATTTTTATCTGCTGCTGATGACTTAGAACTTCCAGGGCTGGCCGGGCACGGTGGCTCATGCCTGTAATCCCAGCACTTTGGGAGGCTGAGGTGGGCAGATCACCTTGAGGTCAGGAGTTCAAGACCAACCTGGCCAACATGGTGAAACCCTGTCTCCACTAAAAATACAAAAATTAGCTGGGCATGGTGGTGGGTGCCTGTAGTCCCAACTACTTGGGAGGCTAAGGCAGGAGAATCGCTTGAACCCAGAAAGTGGAGGTTGCAGTGAGCAAAGATCGTGCTACTGCACTCCAGCCTGGGGTAGAGGGAGACTCTGTCTCAAAAACAAAAAACAAAAACAAAAAACCTTGAGGGCTGGTGGGATTGTAAACTGGTGTGATCTTTCTGCAAAGCAATTTGCAATACAAATCACGATCCTTCAAACATCCACATGTGGAATTTTCCCTTCTAGGAGTCCATCTTGAGGAGATGGAAACACAGACTTATGTACAAAGATGTTCATTACGGCGTTTTTGGGCAGTGGTTGAAAGTAGCATTTTAATTTATTTTTTATTTTTGAGACAGAGCCTTGCTGCAATGCCCAAGCTGGAGTGCAATGGCGCAATCTCGGCTCACTGCAACCTCTGCCTCCCGGGTTCAAGTGATTCTTCTGCCTCTTGAGTAGCTGGGATTACAGGCACGTGTCACCACGCCCGGCTAATTTTTGTATTTTTAGTAGAGATGGGGTTTCACTGGGTTAGCCAGGATGGTCTCGAACTCCTGACCTCGGGTGATCCAGCAGCCTCGGCCTCCCAAAGTGCTGGGATTACAGGCGTGAGCTGCTGCGCCCGGCTCTATTTTTTATTTTTTAAAATAAAATTTAAATTTGTTGTTTTTTTGAGACAGGGTCTCACTCCCTCCTCCAGGCTGGAGTGCAGTGGCACGATCATGGCTCACTGCAGCCTTGACTTTCTGGGCTCAGGTGATCCTTCCACGTCAGCCTCCTGAGTTGCTGGGACTACAGGTGCGCGTCACCATGCCCGGCTAATTTTTTGTGTTTTTAGTAGAGATGAGATTTTGCCATGTTGCCTGGGCTGGTCTTGAACTCCTGTGCTCAAGTGATCCACCCGCCTCAGCCTCCTGAAGTGCTGGGATTACAGGTGTGAGCCACCACACTCAGCCAAAAACAGCATTTTTGTAGAATGTTTAAGAATTTGGAAAATGCTCAAGATTTATGAAGCAAAAAGATACAGGATTATATATGCAGTTGGATCTTAAATTTGTAAAATATATTTGGAGAAAGAAGTTATAGAAAGCTCCAGGCTGGCAGTGATCTCAGTGGAAATTCAGTACCAGCCCCTCCCCTACTCTAAGCCAGTACGTTCCTCTGGAAAAAAAATATATTTGTGTATATTTGTGTGCACACATGTATATACAGCTGTGTCACATTTTCCCCAAAAGAAAATATATAAATTACATATATCAAATTTATTTATGTATTCACATATACATAGGAATATGAGCACATATACATGTATTTTCCAGATGAATGTGTGACACTGGAGTTAGTGGGCCAGGCGTGGTACGTATGCCCATGTTGCCACTACTCAGGAGGCTACTGTGAGCCATGATTGTGCCACTATACTCTAGCCTGGGCACAGAGCTAGAACCATTCTGTTAAAAAAAACAAAACAAAAAACAAGCAAAAAAACCAAACAGGCGTGGTGGCTCATGCCTGTAATCCCAGCACTTTGGGAGGCAGAGGCAGTCGGATCACTTGAGGTCAGGAGTTTGAGACCAGCCTGGCCAACATGGTGAAACCCTGTTTCTACTAAGAACACAAAAATTAGCCTAGCATGGTCGGGGGCACCTGTAATCCCAGCCACTTGGGAGGCTGGGGCAGCAGAATTGCTTGAACCCGGGAGGTGGAGGTTGCAGTGAGCCCAGATCACGACACTGCATTCTAGCCTGGGCGACACAGCAAGACTCCATCTAAAAAAACAAAAAGAAGTTGGGGCTCGGGGGGTCTGTGTGCAGTGGCTGACGCACTTTGGGAGGTTGAGGAGAGAGGATTGCTTGAGCCCAGGAGTTTGAGACCAGCCTGGGCAACATAGTGAGACCCCCGTCTCTACAAAAAATACAAAAATTAGCAGGACATTGTACACACTTTGTATTCCCAGCTACTTGGGAGGCTGAAGCAGGAGGATCGCTTGAGCTCAGGAGTTGGAGGCTGCAGTGAGCTATGATTGCACCACTGCACTCCAGCCTGGACGAAACAGCGAGACCCTATCTCTAAAAAAGAAATCAGGGTTAGTTAGAGAATAGGGCTGTTCATTCTCCCTGCAAAAACATAGCTGTTTCTGGTTTTCCGGCTAGGACTGGCAGGTCTTGCAACTTGACGGTCGCAGACAAGTGGGTTTTGCGTGTCTAGCTCAGCTTTCTACAGGAAGCTTGTCCGAGGGCTGCTGATTCATAAGGGTCTATTCACACGTCCTTAGCTGCACCTGCCTTGCTATATTATTTGTGCATCCCCCTTCTGTGGTTTCTGGTTCGTTTCTAGCCTCTCCCCACAACCACCCCTTTGCTTTTATCTGTTCTGCGAGGCTTCCCCTGCCCAGCCCACTCTCCATCCGCCCTGGCAGGTCTCACAGTCTCTGAACAGAGACATAAATGTAGCCCGGAACCAAGTGTGCGGTGACGACTCTCAGGCGTGTTCCTAAGTGTGGGGTTGCCTAGCTGCTGCTGCTCCGGTCAGAGCATCTGTTTTGCAGGGCGGCTTTGTCACGGTTCTGCCAGCTCCACACCCCCCACCGTCTCCTCCCTACCTGGTCCGTCCTGGGTGTTGAAATCCGCTGTTGCTTCTCCACTTCTCCCTGTTTCTAGCTGGTGGGGTTTGGCACAAACGCCTGCCCTGACTGCTTCATCTGGATCTCGGGCCCTCACGTGTGTCCTGGGGACGTCTGCGTGCTGTTGGGGCTGCGTACCCCCGCCCCCCCCCAAACATATGCTTGCTGGGCGCACAGGGACCTGCTAGGAAAGCTTGTAATTGGGATGAAGAGCTGCCGTGATGGGAGTTCTTGGGTGTTGGGGGGTCCCTAGGTGATAGGGGCTCTGGGTGAGGAGGAATCCCAGATGATGGGGGCTCTGGGTAAGGAGGAACCCCAGGCGATGGGGGGACCCAGGTGAGGATGCACACTTTGTGATCATGCCGTGGAGAGGAGCATTTGGTTTCCACCTGGAGGGGCCCTTCTAGCTCTGCAGGGAGGGGAGGAGGTCTCTCTTCCCTCCAAGGCCTCTAGACAGAGTTGGCTGGTAAGAGGGAATGGAAGAATGGCCTTGGGGGCCCTTGCCCTTCTGTGGGGGCCCATGGACACATGTCCCTGCCCCTGCCGAGTGGGAGGTACTTCCCCATACCCAGTTCTGGATGAGGGAAGCTTCTGGAAGAGACTGTGACCGTCCCCTGGGTGGCCCATGGGACCCAACCTGCTAGAGAAGATGAAGTGGTTGAATGTGTCCTTCCAACCTCGCTGGGTGGCAGTGCTGTGTCCTGGAGGGGCCAGGGCTCCCTCTGACACCCTCGTCCTCTGCAGAGCTTCTCCCCAGGCCTGGGCAGGAGCGGCCCATCCCTTGCCTGGGACATCGGGCCCTGTGTGCTCGGCAGTGAGGGGACCCCTGTTCGTGTCATCCACAGGGTGCTGTGGGCCCAGAAGCGCCCATGCCTGAGAGCGTCCAGGACCAGGCAGAGCTGGGCCTTAAGGGCCCTTGGACCAGTGTCTGTCTGCAGGGAGCCCCCGGTAGCCACTCGGATCAGCCCGAGGGAAGATTCTGGACGAGACCGTGGCCGTCCCCCGGGTGGCCCATGGACAGCAGCAGGGGCTCCCAGGAGTGGCCAGGCCCTGCCCGCCCACCATGCTGCAGTGTAGACCCGCACAGGAGTTCAGCTTCGGGCCCCGGGCCTTGAAGGACGCTCTGGTCTCCACTGACGCAGCCCTGCAGCAGCTGTATGTGTCCGCCTTCTCCCCTGCCGAGCGGCTCTTCCTGGCCGAGGCCTACAACCCGCAGAGGACGCTCTTCTGCACCCTGCTCATCCGCACGGGCTTCGACTGGCTCCTGAGCCGACCCGAGGCTCCCGAGGACTTCCAGACCTTCCACGCCTCCCTGCAGCACCGGAAGCCCCGCCTGGCTCGGAAGCACATCTACCTACAGCCGATAGGTACGGGACGCCTGCAGCCATCGGCACGCTCCTGGGGGACCAGCTTATATATAGCACAAGTGGGGGATGTCTGTGCATAGCCCCCAGGCAGGACTGAAATGAGGGAAGAGGGTCCTGGGTGTATGGGATGCCAGGGTGGAGGCAGGGAGGTCCTGGCTGGGCCAAGGCTTCCTTCCTCCCACCCCATCCTGACACGATGCTCAGACGGCCCAGGCTCTGGGACTGGTCCACATGCAGGTGTGGCCTCATCCAGATGTGCACGGTCCTGGCTACGCCTGTTGAAACTAGAGCCATCCCAGGCACTGTGCTGCGGGCTGTATAAAGATCACGCCGGGTGTGGTGGTGCACACCTGTAATCCCAGCTATTCAGGAGGCTGAGGCAGGAGAATCGCTTGAACCTGGGAGACAGAGGTTGCAGTGAGCTGAGATCATGCCACTGCATTCCAGCCTGGGTGACGGAGTGAGACTGTCTCAAAAAAAAAAAGACCACTTTCTCTTTGGGGTGCTGAAATGAGGATCAGCCCATTTCGCCGGCAAGGAGATGGAAGCAGGGAGAGGTCCCTTGACCTGTGTGACTGGCAGAGCTGGTCACTGGTAGGGACGGGACTGGAACGCAGTTCTATTTGACCCTGGGGCTGGGGTGCTCATCCTGATGCTATAGTGGGAGGGGCTGGGCTGAGCAGGGTGGGGGCTTGAGGGCCCAGAGTGGTCACTGTCCTCAGAGCTCTGTGTCTGGCAGAGTCTGGGGGACCCAGGGTGAATGGGGGGCCGAGACAACAGGCATCCGTGCTCAGAAGGGAACGGCCCAGGCAGGTGCGGGGAGCGCGAGGGGCAGGGCCAGCTCTGTGCCTCTCACATGCCAAGAGCAGCCTGGCAGAGACAGCACACGGGACGGGGGCCCTTGGGCTCGGAGAGGAGGAAAGGGCTGGTGTCCGCTTCTGACCAGCGCACCACGCCTTTCGGCATCTCGACAGCAAGCCAGAACAGGGCTGACCTCGCCTGGCCTTGCCCCACGCAGGCTTGTCACCAGCCCTGGTGGTCCACGCAGCCCCTTTCCTGCCCCTCAGGACCCAAATCCTGCGGGTGTCCGTTGGTCTCAGCATCCACCACCCCACAGCAGCCAATCCAACAGCTTGGGAGCTACCCGCTTCCCTCCACCTCCCTGCTAATGGCTCAGAGCCTGGTGTCCCAAGCTCTGACGCACTGACACATGGGCATGTTGTTGAAACACAGGGGCCGGGTCAGGAGGTGGGGACTGGGCCAGGCTCTGCATTTCCCTCCTTTCCTGGGTGAGGCTGATGCTGCTGGCCTGGAGTCCTGGCAGCTGATTTCTCACTGGTCTCCTGGCCTCTACCCTTGGTCCTTGTCCATCTGTCCTCCTGACCTGTGATCTGGTGTGTGCATCCCTTCAGGGGCTGCCCTGGGAGCTCCCTGCTGCCTCTCCAGCCTCGACCTGCACCCTTGTGTGCTACTCTGCCCCAGCCAGGCTGGCATTTTGCAGCCATGCAGCCTGGCTCTGTGTCCTGCTGTCTGCCCCAGCCAGGCTGGCATTTTGCAGCCATGCAGCCTGGCTCTGTGTCCTGCTGTCTGCCCCAGTCAGGCTGGCATTTTGCAGCGAGGTGGCTCGGCTCTGTGTGCTGCCTGCTCAGCTGCAGTGCCTGGCGCTAACCCTAGAAGTCCCTGTCCCTGGTGAGTCCCTGCCTGCTCTCTCCCTGAGCTCATATGCGATTGTCACTGCTGTCCTTTCATCTGTGCATGAATCTTTCCTCTGTGTCCCTCGGTGTTTGCCCTTTTGAAAAAGTCATGCTTTCCATCCCTTTTCTAAGCCTGACGCTCTGCTTGCTGTCAGGGTAGGTCCACATTGGCCTTGTTCACCCAGCAGGCCGGTGTCTGCGAGTGATTCCCGGGGAGAGGGTCCCAGGCGGGCAGGGGCGTCGCAGGGCTGACGGTGCTGCTCTCCCACCAGACCTGAGCGAGGAGCCGGTGGGAAGCTCCCTGCTGCACCAGCTGTGCAGCTGCACAGAGGCCTTCTTCCTGGGCCTGCGCGTCAAGTGCCTGCCGTCGGTGGCAGCCGCGTCCATCCGCTGCTCCTCGCGGCCCAGCCGGGACTCTGACAGGCTCCAGCTCCACACAGGTGAGTGAGGACGGCAGCCGCCGCTCAGGCCAAGGCAGGCCCCTTCTGGAAGGAAGAGGTGGGAGGAAGGCGCCCAGGAGAGGAAGGGAACCTTTTCTTCCTTTTTGCTGGGAAACATCCATTTCCCAGGTGTTTGGGAAGCAGGACCAAGCCGGAGAGCTCCTTCTTCCCACCCAGGAGTGTCTGGGGACCTGACCATACAGCCAGTGCCCACAGGAAAACGCCAGAGCATGCAGAGCAGGAGAAGCGAGCCCTTCTTTTTTTGTTATTTTTTTGAGACGGAGTCTTGCTCTGTCACCCAGGCTGGAGTGCCGTGGCGCGATCTCGGCTCACTGCAACCTCCCGGTTGAGGCAAGCGATTCTCCTGCCTCAGCCTTCTGAGTAGCTGGGACTAAAAGCGCCCACCACACCCGGCTAATTTTTGTATTTTTAGTTGAGACAGGGTCTCACTGTGTTGGCCAGGCTGGTCTTGAACTCCTGACCTCAAGTGATCTGCCTGCCTCAGCCTCCCAAAGTGCTGGGATGACAGGCGTGAGTCACCGTCACTGGCTTGAAATGAGCCCTTCTAAGGCCACTCAGCATGGCTCCAACCTTCCGTCTTTGCATAGTACTTTACACGTGCCTAGATCTCAACCCTCAAGCCCTTGCCCCTTCCCTGAGGGTCGCTGGTGACTGGAGAGTGTGAGGCAGGGTTGAGAGGCAGAGGTGAAGTGAGGGCTCTGTTGGTGGATAGGAAACCTAGACTCAAGTTTAGGGAGGGCCTCAAAGGGGCTGGAATGAGCGGATGGACAGCTTTCATCAGTTCTGGGATACTCTCAGCCATTGCTGCTTTTGTCAGTTATCACCTCTGCCCCATTCTCTTCTCTCCTATGACTCCAACTGAATGTATATTAATCCATCTTACTCTCTTCTCTATAATATCTTTTATGATCATTCATGCTTTAGTCTGAATTTATTCTCATCCTTTGGCTAAGGCTTACTCTCTCTGGAGTCACATCCAAGGTACTTTTTTTTTCTGAGACAGAATCTTGCTCTGTCGCCCAGGCTGGAGTGCAGTGGTGCAATCTCGGCTCATGGCAAGCTCTGCCTCCCGGGTTCACACCATTCTCCTGCCTCAGCCTCCCGCGTAGCTGGGACTACAGGCGGCTGCCACCATGCCCAGCTAATTTTTTTGTATTTTTAGTAGAGACGGGATTTCACCGTGTTAGCCAGGATGGTCTGGATCTCCTGACCGCATGATCTGCCTGCATTGGCCTCCCAAAGTGCTGGGATTATAGGCGTGAGCCACTGTGCCTGGCCTCATCTAAGGTACTCTTAAACCCATATATTGAGGCTGGACATGGTGGCTCACACATGTAATCCCAGTACTTTGAGAGGCTGAGGTGGGAGGATAGCTTGACAGCAGGTGTTCAAGACCAGCCTGGGCAACTAGGCCAGACCCTGTCTGTGCAAAAAATATAAAAATAGCTGGCAGTGGTGGCACACATCTATAGTCTCAGCTACTTGGGAGGCTGAGAGTTTGAAACTGCAGTGAGCTGTGATCGTGCTACTGTATTCCCCTCTATCCTGGGTGACAGAACAAGACCCGATCATTAAAAAAAAATCACAACCCCCATATATTGTGTTCCTAATTTCAGTTGTCATGTTTGTGAGTTCTACAGTTTCCAGTGGATTCTTTTTGAAATTAGCAGTGTCACGCTTTTTTTTTTTTTTTTTTTTTTTTTTAAGACGGAGTCTTGCTGTGTCACCCAGGCTGGAGTGCAGTGGCATGATCTTGGCTCACTGCAAGCTCCGCCTCCTGGGTTCATGCCATTCTCCTGCGTCAGCCTCCCGAGTAGCTGGGCCTACAGGCGCCCAGTACTGTGCCTGGCTATTTTTTTGCATATTTAGTAGAGACGGGGTTTCACCGTGTTAGCCAGGATGATCTCGATCTCCTGACCTGGTGATCTGCCTGCCTCGGTCTCCCAAAGTGCTGGGATTACAGGTGTGAGCCACTGCGCCCGGCCCAGTGTCACATTTTTATAGGTCTCAGTTGCCTATGACACTTCTTTAAGTTCAGCATTGATGTCCATGAACATAGTTGCTTGACCGTCTGTCCGATGATTACACTATCTGGAGTGCCCATGTGCCTGTATTTGTTATTTCTGCTAATTTTGTCTCAGTTATCCTGCTTCATTGTGCCTTGTTATTTTTGATTGTTAGTTACGCATCTTATTGGAAAAATTAGTTTAACTTTGAGAATTTTTGGCCTGGGCCGATGTTTTTCACCATAGAGGATTTTCTTTTCCTTCTGCCAGGCACCAAAGGGCTGACTGTGGGACAAAGACATGAAGCTTTTCTGGGTCATTCTGATGGTCCCCAGGGCTCCGCATCCCTCCCAGGGCAGGAAGCATGTCAGGGTCATCCTGCCCACTCCCCCACCCCAGAAACAGTCCAGCTTCATCTGTTTGAGCTCCAGTCCTCCCCGTTTTTCTCATTAGGTCTCTGCCTTGGTTATTGAGGTATAATTTAGATAGTAAAATTCATCCTTTTTAGTGTAAGGTTCTGAGTCTTGACACACGCATACATCACGTGGCCATCACCATAATCATATAGAGGGCGGCTCTCTACCCCTCTACCGGCCACCAAACCTTTCTCCTTAATCCACTCCTCCCCATCGTGGGTGTTGGAAGCAGCTGTTCTTTATCATTCACTCTGCCTGTCTGGCCATCTTTTGGCGGGAGGGTTGTCTAAATTCCCTAGGGTACTGTTACAGGGAGCAGCCACTGTTGAGATTTGGGGGTTGATAGGGGTCCCCTGGCTGGGGTGGGGTGCCATCCCCTGGGTGGCATGTTTCTTTGTCCTGGCCTGCTTTCTGGGTACAGCCTACACTCCACAGGCTTCCCCAGCCCCTGAGGTCCTACAGTGGGGTCTGGGGACAATGTGGCCTGCCTTGGCCCTGGCCCTAAAACACAGCCGGGGACCCCGTGCCTCTCAGGCTTGGCCTCTGCAGCCTCAGCTCTCCTCACCTCCCCCACGCCGTACACGGTGCGTCTCACCTGTTATGGCCTCTGACCTGTTGGTGCCAGGCCTGTGGCAGCTCAGAGACAGCACCAAGTCCCACAAGGGTCACTCCAGGGCTTTCCACCCCCTCTGCTTAGTGGACAAACTGCTGTTTTCCCCAGCCCCACACTTCAGAAGGTGCACGGGGGAGCCCTCGGGAAAAGGACATGCACTCGGGAAGGTTCAAAAGCAGGTGGAACTCAGAGGGTATGCCAGGTTGCATTTGTGGGGTCAGCTCAGCCTGGTTTTTAATTTTTTTTTAGAGATGGGGTCTTGCTTTGTGACCCAGGCTCAAGCGCAGTGGTGCGATCATAGCTCCCTGCAGCCTTGAACTCCTGGGCTCCTCTGCCTCAGCCTCCCAAGTAGCTGGGACCGCAGACACGTGCCATCACACCTGGCTAATTATTTTGATTGTTGTAGAGATGGGGTCCTGCCATCTTGCCCAGAGAGTAGCATGCTTTGGATCACTGTACTGGTTTCCTGGGACTGCCGTAACAAAGTACCACAAACTGAGTGGCTTAGGGACATTTCTTGTCTCACATCGCTGGAGCCTGCAGTTCTTAACCAAGGTTTTGGCAGGGCCACGTGGTCTCAGAAGGCTCCGTGGAGGGTGCTTCCTGGCTGCCTCCAGCTTCTGGAAGTTGCTGGCAATGCCCAGCCCTCTGTGGCTTCCAGATGCACAACTCCAACCTCAGCCTTTGACTTCCCGTGAGCTTTACGCCATGTGCCTCTGCGTCTCTTCTAAGACTCCAGTCACTGGGTCTCCTTCATGACCTCATCTTAACTGGATTACATCTGCACAGATCCTGTTTCCAAACAATGGCAGGTTCCGGGGGTTAGGACTTCCACCTGTCTTTTTGGGGGACATAGCCTGATCCACAACAATCATCACTGTCAATCATCATCACCTCATTAGCATCATTGTCAATCAATTACCCAGCTGCTCAGGAGGCCGAGGCAGGAAGATTGCTTGAGCCCAGGAGGTGGAGACTGCAGCGTGAGCTGTGATTGTACTCCAGCCTGGGTGACAGAATGGGATGTTATCTCAAAAACAAACACAGGGCCAGCTGTGGTGGGTCATGCCTGTAATCCCAGCACTTTGGGAGACCGAGGCAGACGGATCACGAGGGTAGGAGTTTGAGACCAGCTTGACTAACATGGTGAAATCTCCTTTCTACTAAAAATACAAAAATTAGCTGGGTGTGATGGCACGTGCCTGTAATCCCTGCTACTCAGGAAGCTGAGGCAGGAGAATGGCTTGAACCTGGGAGGCGGAGGTTACAGTGAACTGAGATAGATAGCGCCACTACACTGCAGCCTGGGCAACAAAGCAACACTCCATCTCAAAAAAAAAAAACAAAAAAACACACACACACAGAACAACCTCCTTGTCAATCTGTTCCTTTTAATGGTAGAACTCCTTGGAAAACACTTCTCCGGTGTGCCTCTGTGCCGCAACCCCTCTTCTCTACACTAACTCTGAGACCCTCTCCGGGTTTCCTGGGCCCGTGGTGGCTGCTCTGCCCCCTTCCCTCCCTGGGCTTCTGGTTTCCCGGCTTTGATGCCATCGTGCCCAGGTTCAGCCCCTGGGCCTCTCCTGTATCTGTCCACACTCATGCTCCGGGGAACCATGCTAACAAGTTACACAACTTGCTAGCTTGGATGACCCACTGTGATCTCACAGTGCTGTGGGTCAGGAGCGCCCCCACTGCCCAGGCTAAAGTCAAGGGTTGGCTCCAGGAAACTCCAGGGAGAATCCATTTCCTGCCCTTTCCAGCTTCTAGAGGCACCCGTATCCTTGGCTAATGGTCCTTCCTCCGAGCCAGCCCTGCAGTGCCCTCAGGCCTCACGTTCTCACCCAGACCCCCTGCTGCCTCTAACGAGGGCTTTTTTTTTTTTTTTTTTTTTTTGAGATGGAGTCTGGCTCTGTTGCCCAGGCTAGAGGGCAGTGGCGTGATGTCAGCTCATTGCCACCTCTACCTCCTGGGTTCAAGCAATTCTCCCGTCTCAGACTCCTGAGTAGTTGGGATTACAGGCACGCACCACCAGGCCCGGCTCATTTTGTATTTTTAGTAGAGATGGGGTTTTGTCATGTTGGCCAGGCTGGTCTCGAACTCCTGACCTCAGGTGATCTGCCCATCTTGGCCTCCCGAGTTGCTGGCATCACAGGTGTGAGCCACTGTGCCCGGCCTTACCGAGGGTTCTTGTGATGGCATCAGGCTCAGCTGGCTGCTGCAGAAAAACGCCTCCATCCCAAGATCTTTAATCATCTGCAGCCCCTTTGGCTGTGGGGACTCACAGGTCCCAGGGCTGAGACGTGGACTCTCTGGGGCTGTCGCTCAGCTGCTGAGGTGGCTTCTCCTTCCTGGGGCTGCAAGCGCCAGTCTTGTTGGCCCGGCTGCCTCTCCAGCGTCCCCACTGGGCTGTCCATGGCCTTTGACTTACCATGTCCTGATCTCCAAATGGCCCTGGCTGTCACTCCACATCATGCAGTACTGTGTGCCCTCAGGTCACACCAAACGCTGGTGGCCCACACCTGACTTGGGAAGGGGCAGGGCCCAGGCAGAGGAAGAGGATGACGGGGTGCCAGCCTGAGCCTGGAAGATGGGGGTCCCCGGCTGCCTCCTGACCCCATCCTCTGGCCCTCTCCCCGCAGACGGCATCCTGTCCTTCTTGAAGAACAACAAGCCAGGGGACGCGCTGTGTGTGCTGGGCCTCACACTGTCTGACCTGTACCCCCATGAGGCCTGGAGCTTCACCTTCAGCAAGTTCCTTCCAGGGCACGGTGAGCCGGGGCCCCAGCAGCTGTGCGTGGGGGGTAGCCTGGCATGGGGCTGTGGCCTCCGTGGCTGCAGGGCACCCTCTTTGCTTTTGCTTCAAGCACCCTCCTGGTGGAAGTCAACACCTGTGCATGGGAATAGATGGCCCCTTCCAGCTCCTCCTGAGGAATGGCATAGGGGCTGTTCCTCAGCTGTGGCGTCTGCCCCAGGGCCCAACTTCATGTGGGCAGGACAGGGCCTCCCAGGACTGGTATGTCTTTGGGCCATGGCCAGCTTGCATGAGAGCATGAGGTGGGTTTGACGGTGGGCCCCCCAGAGCCAAGGCTGACCCCTGAGAGTGCCCTTCTCTCCATCTCTCTCCAGAAGTGGGCGTCTGCAGCTTCGCCCGGTTCTCAGGGGAATTCCCGAAGTCGGGGCCCAGCGCCCCTGATCTGGCCCTGGTAGAGGCAGCAGCAGACGGCCCCGAGGCCCCCCTGCAGGACAGGGGCTGGGCCCTGTGCTTCAGTGCCCTGGGGATGGTTCAGTGCTGCAAGGTGGGTGGGGGCTCTGGGGCTGGTAAGAGGGGACAGGAGGGTGCTGTCTGAGCCCTTGGTGCCTCGGTCTGTTACACTGCCCCATCCTCACAGTGAAGTGGATGGACCCCTAACTCTATGGAATGAGGAAAGCAAGGCTACACAGCTATGAAGCAGCAGGGGAGGGATTAGAGCCCCAAGCCCCTATCCTGTGTGGCCTCCCACCCTGACTCACCTTTCCCCTGGGGCCCTGAAAGTGGCCTGTGCCGCCTGGGGCAGGGGGAGGGCGCCTGGACCACCTCCCGGCCATCTGGCCTCACCCAGGTCCTCATTTTGGTCCTGCTGGGGCTGCCTGGGGATCTGCCGGATGCAGGGGCAAGGCAGTGAGGCAAGGTGCTTGGTGGCCTTCCCCCCAGGTCACGTGCCACGAGCTCTGCCACCTTCTGGGCCTGGGGAACTGCCGCTGGCTCCGCTGCCTCATGCAGGGTGCGCTCAGCCTGGACGAGGCCCTGCGGCGGCCCCTGGACCTCTGTCCCATCTGCCTGAGGAAGCTGCAGCATGTCCTGGGTTTCAGGCTCATCGAGAGGTACCAGGTGAGTGGCTGAGTTGCGCTGCCCGGCTGCTGGGACCTGCGCTCCGGAGGCCCGCGAGCGCCGCCTGGAGGCTACGCAGGGCATGGGGACCGCACACAGGCTTTGTCAACTGCCGGGTTCCAGGCAGTGCAGAGCCCTGGGACCTGCGCTGGGGTTGAGCTCCATCCGGATCTCACTGGCAGTAGATCGAGTCCTGCCAGGGCCCGCGTGTGGTGGCTGTGACTGGGAGGTTGCAGCGGGGTCGAGTGGGGACGAGGGCTTTTCTCCCTCTGTCAGGAAGAGCTGGCATTGGAGCCCAGCCGGCGGGTGGCACGGTCTTCCCAGGGTAACTTTCTCTTTGCTTTCCCGTCACCCACACTTGGGTCACTGCTGCTCAGAGGAGGCACAGGCCCCTTGCGAGGAGGTGGGAGCTGACACAACAAGGCTTGTTGGAGGTGGCCTCCATTCCTAACTCCCTCTGTCGCCTGGGTGGGGTTGCCGAGCAAAGGGCTCGTCCGTATTCATGGACATTTGTTTGCAAGCTCAAAAGCTTTACTCTGAGTTCTGAGTGCAAAGGCAGGTGGTGGTAATTTTTCTTCAAACCCAGCTTTGGACTACAACCAGTTATAAGGTGCTCACTGCGTACAGGCACCAGAGCAGTCAATGAAACCGCGCTGGAAAGCCCCTGCATCCTCCTCCCGCCCGTTGAGGCAAGTGGGGGTGTGGTTCCCGGACCGAGCCTGTCAGAATCCCCTGCAGGGCCTAGCTGGGCCCTCCTTCCTTCTGGGGTAGAGTGAGGAGCTGTATCTTGCAGGGTCCTGGGTGACACTGAACTAGAGGCCGTGGCATTTCTAGCTCACAGTGCTGGAATCTCTCTGCAGGGATCCTCTCTGAAGACTCTGGCAGTCAAGGGAAGGTGAAGGGGGCACAGAGGAAACAGCTTTTCCAAGTGTAAGGAGAAGAGCCTGTGACTTGGGGGGAACCCAGGCGCAGCCATGGCTGAGGGTAGGAGCATCTCCCGAGGGTACAGGTGGCGTGATGGCTGGTCAGCACCTGGTGATGCCTTGTAAAGGTTGCTGCTGCCAGCTGTGCCCCGTCAAGGGGCAGCTCTTAGTACCTTCCTGAGGCTGTGTAACAGGCACAGGGGCAGCTTGGTCTGCAGAAAGGGTTGAGAGCTCTCATTTGATGCCTTCACCTGGGGTCTTGTGCAACCATCTGACATGAACTTTTAGAAAGTGTATGCCCCTCCCTACACGTGCTGACCTGGCATAGCCTGGATCCACCTGGATCTGAGCTGGAGGGTGTAGCTCCTCCTCCTGCCCAGAGCTCTCTCCGTTCCGTGAGCACCATCTCCTGAGGCTGTGGAGGGAAGAGGGCCAGGGCAAAGGCACTCCAGGGTGGCCTGGCCCTCCTGGCTGTTGTAGGGAGGGCAGTGGTGTGGATGTGAGGTCACCTGCTGTCCCAGGGCTTGGGGAGGTGCTGGAGAGCTGACCAAGGGCCTGGCCAGAAAAGGTCACTGCTGTCCACTGACAGCAATCAGTGAAATGCCTCTTGAAGAAAGCCTGACTTGTTGTGGTCTCTGCCACTTCCTGTGGTGTAAACAGTCTCACGATGGCTGATGTGAGCTCCCAATGTGATGTCAGTGAGTGCTGAGTTGGGAACAGATGTGCAGTGGGACCTTGTTAAACTGTGTGTCCCCTGTACAGATGCAGGAGAGGAGACTAACCTTGAGAGCAGAGGTGAGAGTGAAATGGAGAAAACATTTAGGAAGTGAGTTTCAAGTACTGCCTTTGCTTTACATTTTTTTCCCCCTGGTGGTCTCACTATGTTGCCCAGGCTGGTCTTGAACTCCTGGTTTCAAGTGATCCTCCTGCCTCTGCCTCCCTGTGCTGGGATTACAAGCGTGAGCCACCATGCCCACACCTTTGCTTTAAAATTTTAAATTTTATTTAATTATACGCTTTCTGGGTGGGTGCCGTGGCTCACACCTGTAATCCCAGCACTTTGGGAGGCGGAGGTGGGTGGGTCATCTGAGGTCAGGAGTTTGAGACCAGCCTGGCTAACATGGTGAAACCCCGTCTCCACTAAAAAATGTAAAAATTAGCCAGGCATGCTGGCAGGAACCTGTAAAATCCCTGCTACTCAGGAGGCCAACGCAGGAGAATTGCTTGAACCTGGGAGGGGGAGGTTGCAGTGAGCTGAGATCGCAGCACTGCACTCCAGCCTGGCCAACAGAGTGAGCCTCTGTCTTAAAAAAATCGAAAAATGTTAAGTGTTCTAACTTTGGATGACAAGGAGCTTGCGAAGTTCCTGAATGGTGAGCTCTTGGGGGTGGGTACCTCTGACTCTGGCACAGCCTGGACATGAGTCCTCAAAGGGTGCTGGTCACAAGAGCCCTCACACCACCAGCCTGACTCCCGCCCCTGGGTAACTGAGGACGGTGGGGTCCCCTTAGGTAAGGAGGTCTCCTGGCAGTTCCCTGGCTAGACAAGGGCTGGCACGGAGCAAACTCAGCCTGTGTTTCTCCCTCTTAGAGACTCTACACCTGGACTCAGGCGGTGGTGGGGACGTGGCCCAGCCAGGAGGCGGGGGAGCCGTCAGTGTGGGAGGACACCCCGCCTGCCAGCGCCGACTCGGGCATGTGCTGTGAGAGTGACTCGGAGCCCGGCACCAGTGTGTCGGAGCCCCTCACCCCTGATGCCGGGAGTCACACCTTCGCCTCGGGGCCAGAGGAAGGGCTGAGCTACCTGGCAGCCTCAGAGGCTCCGCTGCCACCTGGGGGCCCTGCGGAGGCCATCAAGGAGCATGAACGGTGGCTGGCCATGTGCATCCAGGCCCTGCAGCGGGAAGTGGCAGAGGAGGACCTGGTGCAGGTGGACAGAGCCGTGGACGCCCTCGACCGCTGGGAGATGTTCACGGGCCAGCTCCCGGCCACCAGGCAGGACCCACCCAGCAGCAGGGACAGCGTGGGGCTGCGCAAGGTGCTGGGGGACAAGTTCTCCTCCCTGAGGAGGAAGCTGAGTGCCCGAAAACTCGCCAGAGCAGAGTCGGCCCCCCGTCCCTGGGATGGGGAAGAGAGTTAGTACAGCAGGGGCTGCCCTACGTCTCCTTCCCTAAGGATGCTGGCCAGCACTGTCCAGTAGCTGAGGCCACTACTGACCTGCCAGGGATAAAGAGGAAGGGTCTGCCTGGGTGGTGGCTCAGGCCTGTCATCCCATCACTTTGAGAGGCCAGGAGTTTGAGACCAGACTGGGCAACATGGTGAGACTCTGCCTCTACAAAAGAAAAATTAAAAAATTAGCTGGATGAAGTGGTTCATGCCTGTGTTCCCAGCTATTCAGGAGGCTGAGGTGGGAGGATTGCTTGAGCCTAGGAGGTCGAGGCTGCAGTGGGATGTGATCATACCACTGTACTGCAGTCTGGGCCACACAGAAAGACTGTCTCCAGAAAAAAAAAAGTTCTTTGGAGAAGCCACAGACCACCTGTCTTCAGGCGCCTCCTTCAACTCCTGAGTCCCAGCCAGCCGCTCCCAGGGGCCTGCACACATGGAGAGGCCTCCCTGATCCTGGGTGCTTCTCGTGGAGTACAAGCCGGACTGTGCTGAGGTTGGGACAGAGCCCCCTCCCCTGCAGAGGCAGAAGGAAGCAGCGTGCGTCCTGTCTCCTTCCAGGCTGTGGGCCTGCCCTTCAGTTATTTATAGCTGGAGCTGGAGAGGCTGGCTCAGATGAGGAGTGACCCCGGGGGCACACAGGCTCCACACTGCCACCCAGCTTCCAAGGCTGAGTCTCCTCCCTAACGGGGAAGTGACGGGGTTTTGTCTCTATCATCTCAGGCGTCAACCACATGCACACACACACTGTCACGTTCTGTGGCGCTAACAGCATCCTGATCCTGACGGACTTCACCGGGGCTCTCCAGGCATCTCTTCTGACAAACACTGCAGGAGGTGAGGGTGTCTGACGTGCACTGAGGGCAGAGGCCCCCTTATTCCTGAGGCGGCTACAGCTCACCGTGGGGAAGATCAACTGTGGTGATGTTTTTGGGACAGTTTCTTGGCAAAGGTGGCCGCGCTGTCAGTACCAAGTAGCTGGAGGTGGTGATCAGATGATCTGTCTTTCCTTTTTTTTTCGGTCTAGTTCTGTCAGTTGCTGAGAGAGGGGTATTATTGCCATGGCTGGGCGTTTGATCTGTCTCCCTTTAGTTTTGCCGGATTTTGCTTCCTGCACTTTGAAGCTCCTTTACGTCCCTGCACATTTGATTGTTGTGTCTTCCTGAGGAATTGACCCTTTTATTGTCACACGTACCCCCTCAGCCTGTGGTGGAGGGTCTCTGGGAGAGAGACTTCCGGTTCTGACAGCGGAATCCCTTCGGAGTGACGAGGGCGGGGTCACAGCTCGCGCACCCTCATCTGGAGAGAGGCAAGAACAGGGCAGCTTGGACCTTTTGTGGGTGGGTGGCTCACACGGTTATGGAGGGCTTCTAAGAAAAACAAAATACAAAACTAAAACTAGAAGGGCTATGCAGGTGAGGTGGGCTGAGGCTTCCTTGTGAATCTGACATTGGTGGAGGCCGACTGAAGGCTCCCGGTCCTGGTCCCACTCCGTGTTGACTTCAGAGAAGCAAAGATGCAGCTCAGAAGTAGCATTAGGATCTTCGTCCCGTTCTCTTTTGCGTAGCTTCAAAAAGGCGTAACAGTGACCTGGGAGGGGAGATGAAGAGCTAGGCCTTTCAGAAAGTGACCAATGGAAGGTGCCGGCAGAGCACCCTGCAGTAACAGAAGGTGAAAGCCGGAGCCTGGTGGCTGTTGCTGCAAACAACCACCCAAAACTTAGTGGCTTAAAATCACCACAGTCTAGCTCATGAATCTGTAACTTGGGCAGAGCTCGGTGGAGACGGTTTGCCCCTGTGGCTCGACTGGAGTGTTCGTTCACACGGCTGCCAAGTGGAATTTGGCTGGGAATCTCAGGCCTTGGTTCCTGCCCACGTGAGACTCTCCATGGAGGAGGGGCATCTTCTTAGGAAGGCAGCTGCCATACCGTGAGGAAACCCGACAAACAGGGCAGCCAGAGCCAGACAGCAGGCTCCTGGTCCCAGTCCCGGAAAATGCAAAGGGACAAGTATGTGTTGATTTCAGAGAAGCTCAGATGTAGCATTAGGACCTTCATCCATACCCTTCTCTTTTGCATGGCTTCTAAAGGGCATGACAGTGACCTGGGAGGTAACTGTGCCAGAATAAAGAGGGGAGACGAAAAAAAGAGGGTCACTTTCAGAAAGGGACCTGGGCTTCCTCACAATATGGCGGTTGCCCTCCTAAGGTGGACATCGGGAGGGTCAGATGGAAGCTCTGTGGCCTTTCCTAACTCGGCCTCACGTCACAGAGCGTCACCTTTCCTGCACTCCACGGCGGCAGTGACAAGGACCCCACCCCAGGTTCACGGGGAGGGGACGTGGCAGGGAATGTGAGACAACACAATATTGCTGTGGCCATTCATGAACAGTCAGTCAGCCCCACTCGGCGTTCACTGTGGGGATTTGGCTGGTGCACCTGCGAGGTGGCCTGACCTGTTTTCCGATTTCCTTCATCTTCTGCAAAAGGTTAACCGCTGGAGTGATGCGAGATTAAACAGAGGTGATAAAAATAGAATGCCTGGCTCATGCTGAGGGTGGGAGCCCACTGGGGTTATGACCAAAGCCTCGGCGCTCTCTGTACCCGTGTCCTTTGACCCTCAGCTGTGATGTGTGTCCCAAAAAAGCGTTTTGAAGTGGGAAGGAGCAAACCACTAAAAAAAACTCCTTTTATCCGCAGCGTTTACCAACTTGCAGATGTCAGTGAAATTTTTTAAGACAGCTGTTAGAAGGACTGTTTTGAAATGCAACTTTGAGGAAGAGAAATTGGTTTCCCTCCTCTCCCCCGTGTTAGCCCCAGGTTCTGTCTGTGCTGTGGTGAAGAGTGACTTGGGACAGTCACCAGGAAAGACGCAAGGCAGAGGAGAGAGAATGAGGGCTGCCTTCTCGAGGAAGGTCACAGCTCACGAATCTTTCTAAACTTAAGTGCTGCAGAAGTTGAACTGAGATTAAATTTAGAGATGATGGTTTCCAAGACACACAGGGCCACGGTTCTTTCAGTTTTTAAACACGTGCAAAGTCCACTGAATTGCTTTCTCGTCTCATCTGTCAGAAGCCCCTGCATTCACAAGGATGGGTCTTCCAGCTTGACGATGACCTCTCTTCGGAGAGCCTCACCCATCTTGGTAAGCCAAGTCAGCGGGGCCTCATGGAGCTAAAAATAGTTTCAGGTCATGACAGATGTTATCTGTATTGCTGTGTGTGCGATGAGTCTGGGGAAGCTAACACATGCCTTCTGAAGTGGCTAGAATACACACTCCCACGTCACAGCCATGCTATGATGAAGGGGTGAGAAGCAGTGTCCCCTCTGAGGCAAATCTCTCTTCAGGCAGCCCCGCAGTCCTCTTCCGAAATCTCATTCTTTTCCCTCTCTTCCTCCCCAAAAAGCCCAAACTCATTGTCAGAGTGGGGAGAGGGGAGAAGCAGCATCCTGACTCCTGTCCATGGTGTGAACCCTGAGGGCACGGGACAGTGAGTGGAGCTCTGCCACCACCCGTTTCCAGAGCATGGGTGAGGAGGGAGGGATGCCGACCTGTTAATATTTGCTTCAGACCTTTCCCCGATGAACGAAATCTCCAAAAGCCTTAAACATAAAATGGCTTAGTCAAGCACGAGTGATAAAGCTGGGAGTCCAAATTTAGATCCCACCAAGTTCAAAGGGGGAGGCTAGAACATTCCAGGGACACACCTACACGCAGAGGGTCTCCATACAGTGCCAAGGGAGCTGCTCTGCAGACCCACCAGGCAGGGACGGCCAGGCCTCGGAGAGAGGGACCGGCTGCCCTGCCCAAGGCCCACCTGGACAGGCAAGTCTTCCCTAGTGGGTCAGTCAACTCCACCGCTTAAGGGGTCCTTCCTATGTAACGGAATTTTTTTACATCATCATCGAGTCTCGAAATGACCTGTAAGGCAGATGGCTGCATCCCCACCATATGGCTGTGGCTGTCGAGATGGGACTGGGAAGGGCTGGAGCCTCAGAAACGGCAGAGCGGAAGTTGAGGCGCAGTCTGTTCTTGCTTGAACCCCGAGTTCTCCCGCTGTTGTGCAGCTTTCTAAAAGCAAGCTGGAGCGGTCTGAGCAGGAAGAGAGTAAGAAGGCGCACGGACGCGGGAGGCCTGCACCCTGATCCCTGAGCAGCCCCCACACACCGGCACCCACGCCCCTCGGTTCTGATAACCAGGAGGCTTTCTGGCCCGTGCAGCTCCTTCGGACTCTGAGGAGAGGCCTGGGTGGGTGGCCGGCACTCTTAGGTGAGGTGCCAACGAAAACACCCCCGTGATTGCTGGGGCTTCACTGATTTGTTTTGTTTATAAAAGGAGGGCGAGGCCTGCACAGGAATATTTTTATCCCCGTGAAGACGGAGAGAATCAGGGCTTCGCGACGGGGCTCATAGACCTGAACTGGGTCTGCCTGCCTGTGTGCTGGAAGCAAACGACGGCCCGTCCTCTAAGCTGGCTTTGCAGCTCCAGTAAGAGTGAGAGACTCACGGGGGCCTGGCTGCCGTCCTGGGAGAGGCCCCGGGAACCGGCTCGCCCTGTACCCAAGGGCTCTCTGGAGCTCACCCCGCACGCAGGCTGCTCCAGAGCTGAAATCTAGCTGTGATCCCTGTGGGGCAACTGCACACAGAGGTGCCCAGTTTCAAGGAAACCTAAAGCAGCAGCAAATTTATGGCTCTTGGAACACGAGGCTGTCAAAGATAAACACCGCAGGGTAATCTAGGAAACACTTCCGGCTTGACTGTAAAGAGCCCTGGCCTGCGAACGCTGTTAAAAACAGATGCAGATCGCGGGTGGAGACGGCCGGCCGAGCCTTCCCTTTTCTGACATCCTACAGCAGCACCTTGATGAATGAGAACCCGGAAGAATGGAGGTTTATTTTTGAACTCAGCTTCTTGGGTAGGGAGGCAAATGAAAACAGGCTGATGTCAGGGGTTTATTTTAAAAAGCAATTTCCAAGAAGCGTCCTGGGGTCACCACGCGTTCAGTCCAACTCTTCCCCGCTGCAGTGTTCCCGTGACGATGAGGCAAATCCAAATAGTCACCGGAGTCGAGCAAACACGGCGGCCCCTGCCTCCCCCGGCGGCTCCACAATGGCCCTCAGAGGGTCCGCGGCAGCCAGGCCCGTCCAACCTCCTGCCCTCTCTGAGAGGGGCCCGAGCTCTCGCAAGATTAACCAGAGACGACACCTACCAGATTCCACCACTGAGGCCTCCCTCGATGCCTGCTCCCTGGGCTTTTTAATGAACGCACTTCTGTCACATGGAAACTGAGCCCGGCATGGAGTCACGTGGCTCCACCCTGGGGCTCCTCTGATGCCGAGAGCTCTGGCTCTCCTGACTGTGGGCCCAGTGTCCATTTTCTCTCTCAGGCAGGGTGCTCTGCCCGCCACAGTGTGCCTGGTTTTCTGGATACAGCATGACTGAACCGCCCCTTCTCAGCAAAGGCCAACACGTCTTTCTCGAGTCCAAGACCATCTCCCGTTCAAGGGCCCTCACCGCGCTTTGTGAGTCTGTCTCGTGGGCCTCCTTCAGTGGTCTGTGACCAGCGGGAATGAATGGGGACGTGTTTTGTTCAGCCCTGACTCTTGGACGCTGGTGGCAGCCGCGGGCGCCCACTCACCTGGCACGTGGACGAAGGTGATGAGCGCGGCTGACGGCTCCCGGGGGCAGTGTGGGGTCCAGTCTGAAGCCGACGCCCCTCTCGGTCAGGCTTTCAGCAGCAGAAGGCAGTGGACTCTTCACCATTTCTTCCAACACTTTCTCACGTAGGAGCTCCACTGTCCCTTCTAACAGGACAGGGCTTGTGCAGCCGGGCTTGGTCTTGTGGTCAGGGAGAAGCGGGCAGGCCAGGGCCGAGCTGCGTCCGGCTCTCAGGGACTTCCTCTCCCTGTGCTCTGCCCACCTGGGGTAGGCCTCTGGGAACAGGGGAGTCACAGAAACCACGGGAAACGGAGTGGGTTGGAAGAGGCAGAGAACACGCTTTTCTCAGGGTCGCTTAACACAGGCAGGGGTACAGGAGAGCTCCGGCCATTTATTCCAAATGTATGAGCAGGAAGGAAAGAGGGAGGGAAGCTGCAAGAACAGGCGACTTTTTTTTTTTTTTTTCCCCCCCATCTGAAGTGAGATCAAACTTCTACCACATTCTACCTGTGCCCTTCTGGGTGGGTGGTGGCCGTCCTCTTGGGCGCCCCCTTGTGAGGGCTCGAGGCCTTTACTGGATGGGCAGGATGCGGGCAGCAGCTTTGTCGGCTGCCAACCCAACTCCTCCGACAGAACGGCAGGTGGCCCCTGTCGGAAGGGGGGTGTCTCTTTATTCCTGCCATCCTCCGGCCGCCTCTCCCGCCTGCACCACTTGGAGGCAGTTGTTTCACGTGGGGCTCTTGATGGCATAACCTGATGTCTGTCACGGACCCCCAAGCAGGAGCAATGCCTAAAGAGGGCAAAGGCCCGCGCGCCTGGCAGAGCTCCCTCCTCTGCTCCAACAGCAGAGCCCAGAGCATCCCTTGGCCCGACGCACAAGTCCCACAATAGCCTCTCCCAACGGGAACGACTTAGCCCTAATTACATGAGCTTTGATCACCGCTCGATTGTATGGCACAGTTATTTTTAAAAATCCAGTCCAAGTGGAAATACACCTGGAACATTTTATACTGCAATGACTGATGGACGACTTTGATATACAAAATAAATTGTTACTCAGCTTTTCTATAATGCTTACATCTTACATTTTCATTCTCAAAATTAATAAATGCTATCAACCCCAATTTTTTTTTTTTTTGAGATGGAGTTTCGCTCTTGTTGCCCAGCCTGGAGTGCAATGGTGTGATCTTGGCTCACTGCAACCTCTGCCTTCCAGTTTCAAGCGATTCTCCTGCCTCAGCCTCCCACGTAGATGGGATTACAGGTGCCTGCCACACCATGCCCGGCTAATTTTTGTATTTTTAGTAGAAATGGGGTTTCATCACCTTGGCCAGGCTGGTCTCAAACTCCTGACCTCGTGATCCACCCGCCTTGGCCTCCCAAAGTGCCAGGATTACAGGCGTCAGCCACCGTGCCCAGCCTCAACTCCAAATTTTAAAAAGGGCTTAAACGAAGAGGATGAAATTCTGGAAGGCTAAATGAAAAGAGAATGTGTCTGTTGAATTCGATAAGCAATTCCTTGCATTTGAGAAGGCAAGGAGCCGACGGGAACCTACCGACAGGGCTGCCACGCACTGCTGCAGAGCTTTCCGTGCAAAGCGCGGCTCCCCTCTGAGACTCGGCTCCTCTGCTGACATGGACCGGTTCATCTACCCACGCGGACGCCCATCCACAAACACTTAGTCACTGCTGGAGGCTTTTAAAACACCTGTCAAATGAAGAGTCACTTCACAAATGTTCACTCCCCGTTTCCATGTCTCCCCACGTCAGGGTGAACACTTTTTATGCGCTGTGACAAAAAGAGAAAGACTAGTGTGTGTTTTGGGGGCTGGAGGGGATCATTATTTTTTTGAATTTTTATTTATTGAGACAGAGTCTGTGTTGCCCAGGCTGGAGTCCAGTGGTGCGATCTTGGCTCACTGCAACCTCCGCCTTCTGGGTTCAAACGATTCTCCTGTCTCAGCCTCCCAAGTAGCTGGGACTACAGGCGCCTGCCACCAAGCCTGGCTAATTTTTGTATTTTTTAGTAGAGACGGGGTTTTACCGTGCTGGCCAGGCTGGTCTTGAACTCCTGACCTCAAGTGAAACACCGAAGTCTCCCAAAATGCTGGGATTATAGGTGTGAGCCACTGCGCCCAGCCTTTAAAAAAAAAAAATTATTTTAGATACAGGGGTCTTGCTATGTTGCCCAGGCTTATCTCAAATGCCTGGGCTCAAGCGACTCTCCTGCCTCAGCCTCCTAAGTAGCTGGACTACAGGTGTGTATCTCTACACTGAGCTAACTAAAAACTTGTTTTTGGTAGAGACAGGGTTTCAGCCACGTTGCCCAGGCTGGTTTTGAACTCCTGGGCTCAGGCAATCCTACTGCCTCGGGCTCACGAAGTGCCTGGATTACAGGTGTGAGTCACCACGCCCAGCCCGTTATTTCTGTTTATACGAATGTCACAGCATGTTTCCTGTGTGACCCTGCGGGCTGTCATCGCTGGCTGCCTGCCTTACGCCCACAGGTCTGGTGGTGGCGACCAGCAGCTGCAAAACGACCGACTCTATTGAAGACACACTGGGTGGCGCGGGAGGTTCCTGCCAATGCCGGGAGGAAGAGCAACCCAGGACGCCTGTGCCTGGGAGGGATGGAAAGGCCAGGGGAGGGTGGAGCTCAGGAGTGGAAGCACAGGGACTAAGGCCTGAGCCGGGCCCTGTGCTGAGCGCTCACCTCACTCTCCTGCCGCGCACCGCAGATGTGTGGAAGATGTGAGGAGGCCTCTGCTTCGGGAAAGGTGCTTGCCCCACGGTGGAACGCACTCTGGAAGCCCGTGGATGCGACGCATGCTGCAGAATCCACTGCCACACACATTCTTCTGTTTGAAAGCAGTAGGTGGGCTGGGCGCAGTGGGTCACTGTAATCCCAGCACTTTGGGAGGCTGAGGTGGGTGGATCACGAGGTCAGGAGATCGAGACCATCCTCGCTAACACGGTGAAGCCCTGTCTCTACTAAAAATACAAAAAATTAGCCAGGTGTGGTGTCAGATGCCTGTAGTCCCAGCTATTTGGGAGGCTGAGGCAGGAGAATGGTGTGAACCTGGGAGGTGGAGGTTGCAGTGAGCCGAGATCGCGACACTGCACTCCAACCTGGGCAACAGAGCGAGACTACGTCTCAAAAAAAAAAAAAAAGATAGCGGCGGGTGGGTGCCACACTCAGGGGCCCCCCACTTCTCAGCAGTGGCGGGGGAGGCAGGGACATAACACGCCAGGAAAACAGGTGTAATTTAAGGCACATTTTAATAGATTTATAAAAATCATATATACAAAACATGTTAAACTAACCACCGTGGCTATAACATATATTTTTACACTTTATCATATCTTAACCTCGTACACTGTATTCGTAAACCAAGTCCGGTCACGGCATGATGGCCCGGCGCAGGTGGTGCTGGCGCTGTAGCGACCGTCTTGGAGGGGCTGCACAGAGCACTCGGTTCCTTTCTGTATTTAAGGTCCTGAAAGGCACAGGCGCTAAAGCCAGAAGGCCGTCCAACTGGTCCCTTCGGCAGTGTGTCCTCCTGCTGCGTGGGCTGGGGCCTGAGCACAGGAAAGGGAGTTCAGGACACGGTGGCCATGAGTAGGTGCCAAGCTTACCACACTGAATTTCCTGGCGACGCTTGTGCCCATCGATGTGAGCTGGTTCAAATGGAGTTAAGAAAAAGGGCATTTCGAATTTTTTTTTTTTTTTTGAGACAGACTCTCGCTCTCTCGCCTGGGCTGGAGTGCAGTGGCGCGATCTCGGCTCACTGCAAGCTCTGCCTCCCGGGTTCATGCCATTCTCCTGCCTCAGCCTCCCAAGTAGCCGGGACTACAGGCGCCCGCCACCATGCCCGGCTAATTTTTTATATTTCAGCAGAGACGGGGTTTCACCGTGTTAGCCAGGATGGTGTCGATCTCCTGACCTCGTGATCCATCCGCCTCAGCCTCCCCAAGTGCTGGGATTACAGGCGTGAGCCACCGTGCCCAGCCAGGACATTTTGAATGTTTTAAACCAATTTGCCTGACAGGTCAAAAGGTAATTTTTTGAGATTCGAGACTGACAGATGCAACAGAGATTTTAAATTTTGCATAGGCTTGTTAAGAACCCAGACTGGGTGCAGCGACTCATGCCTGTAATCCCAGCACTTCAGGAAGGCTGAGGTGGGAGGATCACTTGAGGCCAAGAGTTCAACACCAGCCTGGGCAACACAGTGAGACTCCATCTCTATACAAAATTTAAAAATTAGCCAGGTGCGGGTGGTGGCCACATGCCTGTGGTCCCAGCTACTTGGAAGGCCAAGGTGGGAGGACTGCTTGAGCCCAGGAGTTTTGAGGCTGCGATGAGCTATGATCACACCACTGCACTCCAGCCTGGGCCACAGAGCAAGACCCTATATTTAAAATAAAATAAAGTAAAATAAAATAAAACAAAATAAAAATCAAGAAGGTTCACTGTGTAAAAAAAAAGTAAATCTGAAATGCATTTGCATGGCAGTTGTACAACCTGTGAGTGGTGTAGAAATTATATGTGACTTGAGTACATTTTATAAAAGAAGAAAAAAAAATTGAACAGGTTGACTCCTAATAAGAAAGCACCACAGAGTGTACAGCCCACGGTGCCTGTGGGCTGTGTGGGGGCCCTGCTGCAGACGCGTGCTCAGCACCTGTCACCCACAGCTAAGTCACAAGAGCTGCTGGCACCTGTTTGCAGGGGAATGTGGCAACATGCACCCGGGTGCATCCAGACAGCCTGGGTGAGCGGGAGAGCCACAAAGAACCAACTTCATTCGTGTGATTTCCAGATGCAGGTCTGGTTCAGTTCTTGATGCCCGAGTTTCAAAGTCTCCTACCTGACCAAGTGTCCTCGGCCTAGTTTGTACTGACCTTCTTTGAGGAGCACAGATGGGAAACACATTGGTGGCGAAGATCTCCTGCATCACCCCGAGGCTGCGGGAGATCCCTTGGGAGCCAGCTGTCGGACTGAGGAGGAGGAGGGGTGCCACAGTCTCGAGGGGTTCACGCTGCTGGCCACAGCCCTGCATGCCCCCTCGGCGCTCCCCAAGCTCTCGGGGACGATTCAGATCAGCTTTCCCCACAGCTTCAGGGCAGAGGCTGAAGTTGCAGACAGCAACGATGGAGGCCTGCAGGTCAGGCACCGCGGCTGTCCCCAGCAACCCTGTTCTCAGAGACTCCCTCTGCGCCTGGAGCTAGTACCAGAGAGCCCCGGAGCTGGGCCTGGAGGACTTTACATCCTCCTCACAGAGGGCCACGCTCTTGACCACCCCTACATCTGTCTCTGCGGCGATAAACTTTCCCTCGACTGGACTTCTGGCCAGATTTTTTTTTGAGACAGTCTTGCTCAGTTGCCCAGGCTGGAGTGCAGTGGCGTCATCTCAGTTCACTGCAATGTCCACCTCCTGGGTTCAGGCAATTCTCTGCCTCAGCCTCCCGAGTAGCTGAGATTACAGGCGCCTGCCACCACACCTGGCTAATTTTTTGTATTTTTAGTAGAGATGGGGAGTGGGGGGGCGGGTCTCACCATCTTGGCCAGGCTGGTCTTGAACTCCTGACCTCGTGATCCACCCGCCTCAGCCTCCCAAGGTGCTGGGATTACGGGCATGAGCCACTGCGCCCGGCCACTTCTGGTCAGACTTTAACAGACGAGCTACACGGTCTAAGCCAGCTGGGGCTCACCAGCGCCGGGCAAGGCCAGACCTGCGACCTGTCGAGAAGATGTGGTCCTCCAGGAAAGCTCTACTTCAACGACAAATAGGTGGGGTTACGTTCATTTGGGTGAAATGCATCAGCTTTTAAAATCACAGAATGAAGTGAGTTCACTGTTAATTAAAGGGTGCCAAGGTGACAGGCCTGGAACAAGAGCCCTTCATTTTCACCAACAGGACCAGGCAAGAGACGGGAAGCCCTTCCACCGACCATGGCCCTCTGTGCCTCTCTGCACCCTCCCACCCCACCCACGAGGGCCAGGCTGTGTGTCGGCCCGGCAGGAAATTCAGGCTGACGTGGGACCCCACGGTAACTGCACCTGTGTCCCGCTTTGGTTCATGTTACAACACACATCCGAAAGAAAACCAAAGGGAGAAAATAACCTCCTTGAACCTGCTTAAGAAAAAGCACCTAAGTTTTGGGTGGAGCTGTTTCTACTACTGTGAAGTCAGCCACTGAGCCGCATTTCCAACACGACTTCCAGCAAATCACCGTCAGCCACGTGCCGAGGCTGCCGGGCGCGTGAGAGTCTCACAATGACAATGTCCGGGAAGGATTTCCAAACGTCAGGGTTAAGCATGGGAGCGATTCTCGTCCCCGCCACACCCGGATCCGCCAGGACAGAGAAGCCGGTACCCCAGCGGGTGGTCTGCTTTTCTGCGCAGAAGCACTGTGGTCTATTTCTGAGTTCTACCCACTTCCTACCCCTCACCGCACACAAACACTAACTTGCAGCAGCATCCACCAGGACGGGGTATCTGGAACTCCCTCACTTCTAGGGACCTCCTGTTCCCTCCTGCTGGGTTCTGCGAGCGCACCCTGTGAATGGGAAATTCAAACACTGAGAAAAGCTTATCTGCCAGGGACTAGTTCAGTGGGATGTGGATTAGCTAAGGCCCAAAGCATGGCTGTTCTGGGCCCTCAGGTCCTCCGGGTTCAGGGGCTGGAGCCATGGCCATGGCCTGCGGTAGGCAGAACCACGCCACGCCAGCATCTCCTAGAAGGGGCTGCCCTGGGCCCGCGGCACCAGACGGACACAGCTGCGCGAGGGGAAGGGCGAAGGATGCTTCCAGGGAGCAGTGACCTGTGTCTGAAGTGAGCTTCCACCCGAGGAGATGCCAATACTGCAGCCCAGAAATCCAATGCGTCTATTTCAATATGGCGCCCTGAACACCGCAAATAACCTGCCTCCAAGTTCCAGAGGGTTCTGGAGGGAGAGATGGAGCAGCAAGTGAATGAGAAGCCATAGGGCAGGTCTCAGTGACCTGAAGACTTTCCTCCAGAGAGCGTGCAAGACAGGCCATGAACCTGGGACCTGGAGGCAGGAGCAGCACGTCCACACCCTGTGGGCTCCACTCCCAGAGCTCAGTTACCCCCGAAAACCGTAGACTCTGCCTCTCCCTGGTCGCCTGTCAGCCGCCGTTGAGGCCTGCTCAAAAGGCGGCTTCAGCTCCTTTCTTGGGAAACCTAACGCTTTTCTGTTCCAGGTCCAACACAACGCCTCACAAAACGATCACGAGATTGAAAGGCTGATGTCAGTGAACCATCCCCTTCCAGGGCACGCAGTGCCAGACCCTCCCCTGGTGCCTCTGTATACAGGCGTCCAGCCCGCCCGCTGCAGTCCCCCCACCGACTCTCAGGTCTGGACCAGCTCCCCTGAACGCCAAGGCTTCAAGGAAACACCAGGATCCCATATTTCAGGACCATCTCTCCCCGGGGCTGCTGTGCAAATTAAGCAAGTCTTAAAGTGGCCTGTCCTCTTCAAAGCAAAGCCTCCTGAATTTCAAGCAATCATTTCGGAAAGAGACTGCTAAGCACATGTGATGCACCTTACAGAGAAATGGCACTACCAGATTTGGAAAGGCTGCATGTGCGTGAGGAAAGATTAGCAAGGATTTCATCTCTGCCCTTAAATCACCAAAGAAAACCCACCATCCCCGCAATTCTCGAGGCAGGTTGCTGGCCACAGTGAGAAGACCTTGGTGGCACGTTACACGGTGAAATACAATCCTCACCACATTAAACATGGATGTCCCCAAACCTGGAAGGAACCTCCCAGCTTGCCTCTTCAGTGACTGTCAACCCTGGCTGACATCAGAACCGCCTGGGACATGGAGAAACCTGTATGAGTTGGTGTCTCAGGCCTGGCGGCTCAGCACACTGCCCGGGTGAGAGCTCCTCAGGTGATTCGACTGTGTCCCCAGGGCAGAGAGCCACTACATCATCCAGCATGGAGACGTGAGGACATCCAGGCTCCCAGAGCTCAGCCTACAGTCGGAGCACACTGTGTGCTCAGGGCAGGTGTTTTTCTGGCGCACTCTCTGCCTTTCCCACTTGTGGTCAGTTCAAGCCCCCACCAGCCACACATGGGCTAATGGTGCTAAGTGGCATCCCCACTCCTCTTTCCAGAAAGCTGCTTGTTTGGGCAAGAAGAGAGATGCCCCGTGATGCCGAAGAGCAAGTTATGGTGGAGGCCTGAGCATGAGAGCTCTGGTCACACCACGCCGAGGACCGGACGGTGCCCTTGCTTCCTGTGAGTGGTCTCTTCGCTTTCTGGCTGGAACGATAACCCCAGGGGTTGTGAGGACAGAACCTCCACCTGCCATCCCCATGGGCACCGCTGGTCTCCAGAGCACGTCAAGGTCCTTCCCCTCCCAGCTTCTGATCTTGGAGAGCGAGGCCTCTCATGCTCACATGCATGTGTTTAGGTGTATATGCTGCCATGCCATGCTTTAAAAATAAAAAGTGTTTTGAATAAAAGCCTCTGGAACACAACTTTATTTATTTACTTTTTTGGAGACAGAGTCCCACTCTGTCACCAGGCTGGAGTGCAGTGGCATGATCTCGGCTCACTGCAACCTCTGCCTACCGGGTTCAAGCGATTCTCCTGCCTCTGCTTTCCGAGTAGCTAGGATTACAGGCGCCCACCACCACACCCAGCTAATTTTTGTATTTTTAGTAGAGTTGGGGTTTCACCATGTTGGCCAGGATGGTCTCGATCTCTTGACCTTGTGATCCGCTCGCCTCGGACTCTCAAAGTGCTGGGATTACAGGCATGAGCCACTGCGCCCGGCCATCTTCATTTATTTTTAAGATGGGGTCTTTGCTCTTGCCCAGGGTGGAGTGCAGAGTGCGATCGCAGCTCGCTGTAGCCTCAAGCTCCTGGGCTCAAACGATCCTTCTGCCTCAGCCTCCCAAGTAGCTGGCACTACAAGCATGCACCACCATGCCCAGCTGATTCTATCCGTAAAGATGGGGTCTCTTGTGGCCTGGGTTGGTCTCAAACTCCTGCACTCAAGCAATTCTCCCACCTTGGCCTCCCAAAGTGCTGGGATTATAGGTGTGAGCCACACCTGTATTATTTACAATGGTTCTCCTACATGCCAGGCTTTGTTTGGTATGTGGAAATAAAAACTGTGATGAATAAATAATAAACCACCTTCAAATAACATTAGGATTAGAGCTGGGTGTGGTGGCTCATGCCTGTAATCCCAGCACTGTGGGAGGCTGTGGGAGGCTGAGGTGGGCCGATCACGAGGTCAGGAGATAGAGACCACCCTGGCCAACATGGTGAAACCCTGTCTCTACTAAAAATACAAAAAATTAGCTGGGTGTGGTGGCGGGCGCCTGTAGACCCAGCTACTTGAGAGGCTGAGGCTGAAGAATCGTTTGAACCCACGAGGTGGAGGGAGACTCTGTCTCAAAAAAAAAAAAAAAAAAAAAATTAGGATGAGAGTGATCTGCTGTGAATCCTGGGGAATGAAAAATCAATTTAGTGTTGGTTTTGAATACTGGCACTATTTTATATTAAGCAAAGAAAGACTAAATTTATTTTAATAAACATTCAGAGGCTGAGGGTGGCCAAATTTTCAAGCCAGACCCTCCCAATGTTAATACACTGTGCAAAGCTTACACCATGAACAACTGACCCGGACCACTACCATTCCAATGGGAGCCTCTGCCTTACAATACCAGGTTAGATGTCTGTGCCCAGAACCCCTAAATTAGTTACAACTAATAATCTTCTTTCAAGAGTTTTTTTTTTCAATCTTGGAGTTAACAATCTGACTTATTTTTCTTTTATCAAAGAAGTAGGAAAATTACAATAAGAATTCTAGAGATCTCTATAAATTACAGACCTATGACTCAAAATCCTTGAAACAATTTCTCTACGAACATAAGAGTTAAAAATAGATTTCAGTAAAACCCTATATGCGTCTTATGTGTACACAGTATAGCTATGAGGAACAGATCTTATTTTGAGGAACTTTATTGTTACATTTTTGCAATAATTGAGGCACAACTACCTCCTGCTTTTCCAACATCTTAATAAAAAAGACAATAAGGATTAACAGTGAAATTAAAATTAAAAAATACAAAAGCCTAAGGTTCTGGAGACAAAACTGACTAGAGTCTATGTGTAGCCAAGTTGTGAATGACAGTTTAGCCTTGCAGAGTTTCCTTCTTCTCCAATTACAATGTGTTACAGAATTTGGAAGGGGGTGTCTTTAAAAACGTTCTAATTCACCCCGGTCATGAGGAGGAGGAGGAGGAAGTCCAGCTCAGCAAGGCCAAGTGCCTCGGCCAGGGCGGTGGGGTCAGCGCTGAGCGGGTCAAGAGCCCGCGCCGGGGGCCATCCCCCTGCGCTTTCTATCGAGTTAAACGGACCCCACAATATCTCCTTCCTCTCATGCTTCTGGTTTGAAAGTGACGAGTAAATATGTCAGACTGTTTAAAGGAAAACAAGCACTCATTGACAAGGCCGGACTACTCAGGAAGGTGTTTCAAACAACTCCCCTGCTACGCGAATCACAGCGCTGCTGTCGCCAACAGCGCCGCGAAGAGGCTCTCCCCGTTGGCGGAGGACCCGCTTGCACTTCCTCTGGGCTCTGGATTCTAACACACACAGGAGACACAGCGAAAGCTGACCCAGAAGGCAAACAAAGCTCACCACGCTCCGGACCGGGCTGCGCGTCACTGTTGCAGACTGCAAATGGGACCTGAGACCACCCCGAGGGCCCCACCAGGAGCTCTCTTTCTCCTTTAAAACGTGGTCATCGGCACTCATCTCCGGTCACATCCGTGAGGTCTGTGAAGAGCCACAGAAGCAGTACAAAAACAGCGACTTCTTTATCCAGCCAAAAAAGGAGCCACAAGCCCAGCAAACACTGACACACAGCCTCGAGCACTGCGAGAGAGAGTTCCATGCTGTCTCCCGATGAGAACGCTGTGCTAACAGGGTGACCCAGAGGCAGGTTTCCCCTCCCTCTTCTGCTTCTGCATCTGCCCCAAGGGCTTGCGTTTACCGGGTTTGCGGAAAACAAGCCAAGGGTGAGCTGCAGAGGGGCTCGGGGCTCGGGGCAGCACGGCCTCGGGACGAGGGCCCTGGGATATGTGACTGAGCCACAGCAACATTCGGGTGCCAATTAAGAGGACGCTTTTCATTTTCTTGTAAATGCTAGGACACATCCCAAAACACACTAGGCAGGATTTCTCAGTAGAGTGATACACAGAGGGGACCAGCTTGGAATGCAATGTATTTTAAACACAGTGAAAGCCACCTGGCAGGTAGCTGGACAAGTGAGCTGGGCCCAGGACTGGCCAGCTCGTATCAACATTCACAGGCTCCCGCGGGCTCCCCCAGGACAGCGGCATCCGAGAGTGTTTACTCTTCTGCAAGCACAGTCATAGAAGCGAGGGGCCTCGATGAGAATCAGACTTAGGGAGAGCGGCGAACAGGCACGGCTGTCCAAAGGCACTGGTGGAGCGGCAGTTTGGAGAAACTCAAGATTCCTCCAGCGTCTGTGGGCTTCCCGAAAGGTCAGCTGTTAGCTCGCCAAGCAGCTGGGGCATTAACAAAAGCTCTGCTAGTGGCCTTGCCAGCTTTCTGAAGCCCCAGAAGAGGAATGTTTCTGAAAGAAGGAAACGCTATGTGCTGCCAACTGTGTGTGAGCAGATGACTTGCAGGAAGATGGGAGAGCCGTCTGCAAGGGGACCTGGTTTCTGTGTCTTTGCCGTTGGGTTGGGCAGTGGGTGGCTAAGGGGAGAAGAGCACCGCTGTGTGTGCACGGACGGAGCGGCAGTCACCGTGGGCATCCTGTCTCACTCCGTGTTGTGCTGCTGGGCATGGGGCAGGGTGGGAAGGGCTGAGCCTGCTGTAGGGGCGTAAGGTGAATCCACACCTGCAGAGCTCTGCAGCCCGTCCTCAGAGCTGGGAAGGGATCCTAGGCACGGCTCCTCAGCTTCATCTGAGAGGCTTGGACTAGGGGCTCTTAGGAAATCGGCACGGGAGTTTGAAAAGGCAACGTGCTCCCTTTGGGAGGTGGCCTTCAGACACTGCGGCTGGGGCTGCAGGGCCGGGCTCAGGCACTGAGTTTAGCAGCATCGGCGTGCACTGGATCTCTACAAGCTACTGTTAGGCAAAGCTTTCAGGTTAGTCTGTCTCAGGGAAGACTTGTGAGTTAGAAAAGCCGTCTGCAAGGCCAGCTGGTTTTTGTGTTTCTGTCATTAAAGACAGAGCGTGTGTACACACATACACACACAACACGGTCCTCAATTAAACTGCGTCAGAAAAAGAGGAACGTTTCTGTAAAAGCAAAGCAAGCTGTGTGATTAGGTGTTCCGTATTCACAACATCATCACTCGGATTTTCAGTAGTTTCACTCGCCCCCAGGATTCAGTAGCTAACGTGACAGTTTCCATGTCCTTTTGCCTAGAGCTCGCTGGCTGGCTGGTCTGACAGCATTCCTGAGCCAGGTATTCCAGGGCACGGATCCGAGAAACCCACTCAAGGACCACACAGACAACACACACCCAAGAGTCTGACCGACAGCCGTGGGGGCTGCTCAACGACGACAAACCCCGGGGCTTCCTCGCTCACTGCAGCATGATGTCCTTCAGGTTCTCCTGCAGGATGGTGTCTTTCACAGCATGGAACACGAAGCGGACGTTCTCGGTGTCGATGGCGGTGGTGAAGTGGTGGAAGAGTGGCTTGCTGCGGTTCCGTCTCTTCCTGTCGAAGCACTGGACCAGGTAGCGCTGGACGTCCTCCAGCCTGTGCGGGTCGCCCCTGAAGTCCGGGAAGTGCTTCTTGATGCTCACGGTCTTCACCTTCTCCACCAGGAGGTCCATCTTGTTGAGGAAGAGAATGATGGAGACGTTGAAGAAGAGCTTGTTGTTGACGATGGTCTCGAAGATGTTCATGGACTCCACCAGCCGGTTGGTGCGCCTGTCCTCCATGAGGACCTGGTCGTACTCGCTGGAGGAGACCATGAACAGGATGGACGTGATCCCGTCGAAGCACTGGAACCACTTCTGGCGCTGGGACCGCTGGCCGCCCACATCCACCATCTTAAAGGGGATCTTCTTAATAACGAAGTCATGCTCCACAATTCCCTTGGTGGCTTTCCTAGCCAGCAGGATATCTTGCTTACTAGGAAAGTAATTCTGTAAAATACAGGATGAGGCAGAAATTTAGGGGGAGGAAGAAAGAACAGAGAAAATAGAAACAAAAAGATGGCAAAAAGATAAGAAGGAAAGAGACTGACTTTTGCAACAGGTTGAACCAGAAACCAAAAGCAAATTTCATTTATAACATTATCAACTGGCCGTGAAACAGAAAGAATCAAATACTTCATTTCAAAACGAACGGAGGCTCACCAGTCTGAGGACGAATGCTCAGAACACTCGTGGGCAGGCCCAGCGCAAAACCACATCCATTTTCTTCTCCAGAGGAAATTTACCATCTTTTTTGTTTCCATACCAGAGATACCTTTTTATTTTTCTAACTCCTAAAGCTTATAGCTTCCAAAACCTTACTGTGAATTAATTTAGGTTTTGAATGTGATGTAAATTCAATCTGCAATACATTTAATGTTATTCTTAGACAATTCTTTAAGTCTTTAGCGACACACAGGCAAGCATACTCTTCACTCACTTTGACTTTGCACTATTAATAATCCTCCAGGCCAGGCACGGTGGCTCACACCTATAATCCTGGTGCTTTGGGAAGTGGGAGGAATACCTTGAGCCCAGAAGTTCAAGAACAGCCTGGGCAACATAGTAAAACCCCATATTTACAAGAAGTAAAAACATTAGCTGGGCGTGGTGCCTCATGCTATAGTCCCAGCTACTTGGGAGGCCGAGACAGGAGGATCATTTGAACCTAGGAGGTTGAGGCTACAATGAGTTACGATCGTGCCACTGTACTCCAGCCTGGGTGACAGAGTGAGACCCTGTCTCAAAAAATCGAAAAACAAAACAGAACAAAAAACCAACAAAACACCTCCCGTGATGAGTGCACACACCACTCAGGCAGCTTCTTGCCAAAACACCAAACACGGACATGATCATGCCTCGATCTAGAGGTCTGACTACCACCCACGGGGTGTGCAGGGGACAGAGAAACATCTTCAATAACACTGCAGGGGTGGAAGAGCAAAGTCCACATGGTAAGAAACCCTACAGGATAAATAATCCAGTTACTCCAATAAACAAGTTGAAAGAAAAAAAGGAGAGACATACAGATTAACACTTAAGTGATCCTGACCAATGGCAATGCATGACCTTATTAGGTTGTTGATTCAAACTCTGCTAAAACAAAGCAAAATCAACATGAAAACATTAATGAGACAACAGGGAAAATCTCTAAACTGACTAGGTTGACATTACGGAATTACTGCCAATTTTTCAGGAGCCATACGGTACTGCGGTTGTCATTTTTCGTCTTGTCTTTTTGAGGTACACTCTAAAATATTCTCTGCATTTGCTCCCGGAGGCCGGGGGAGGGCTGCTGAAACAAGACTGGTAATCAGTGATAACTGCCATGCCTGGGGTTTCATTAGACTATTTGTTTTTGAGTATGTTTGAATTTTCCATGAGATAAAGGAAGTCCTCCTTTCACTCATGAACTCCTCTGTCTGTCTCCTTTATGGTGATCTGGGCAAAGGCAGTTTCCTCCCCTCCCCACTGAGACGGGGCCCAGATCCAAGTGAGAGCGTGCCATTACAGTACTATTCGTGGTAATGTGACAGAACAAGCTCGGCCTGTCAGTCCAGCCAAAGTCCTCACAACGTGGACTGCTTTGGTCTCTGGACACGTTTTCTAACCCTGGAGCCCAGCTTCTTCGGGCGGGCGTGCTTACTCACCAGCTGGCCGATCCGGTCCAAGTTGTCCAGGAAGTACTTCACCGACTCCCCCTGTCAGGAAGGAAGAATATTCACAGCTCAGTCTGGACTGAGGAATCCTGATGTGGCAAATACAAGAACTGAACAGGGTAAGAGCAGTGGCATTTCGCCTCCGTGTGAATGGGAAAGCAAAGGAAAAAGGCAGAGAGTGTCCGTGTGTTTTCTAAAATAAAAAAACTACCATTAAAGAAAATGTTTAATGCAGGTTCTTTAGCTCCAACCCCAAGGTTCAAATTCTGGCTGTTTTTCAATTTTCGCTGCTGGGTTTTGGTGTGTGGTGCGATGCAGGCCCCTCTGATGGGGGACTCTCTTTCCAGACATGAAGGCTGGCCCACTCCTGGCCATGCGGCCAGCAAAGGACAGGCTAGAATAGGATTTTAGATTTTGGCTCCTGGGTACAGTCTTGCTTCTGTCGAAGATGGCCTAAGGGACCCAAGACATTGTCCTTAAAGACAAAACATCCTGACGAAAAGGAGCATCTAGCAAAACATCTTCCAGTTTCTAGAAAGAGTCCATTATTCCTTCCCACATTTTTATGACCTGATTTATAGTAGCAAACACAGGGGAATCTTCCATTTGGATTGTTGTGGTGGAATGATGGCCAGTCTTCTCCTGCCTGGACCAATCATCGATACAATCTGAGACGTGTTCCATAGTGCGAAGGGCCCTGCGGAATCACCCAGGACCCCGTTTCAGGAAGCGCTGAGCCGCCAAATGCGAGGCACACACGGGGCACGGGAGGAGCCGGGAGAGCGCAACCACCGACCACAGAGCAGCCCGCATATGAACAGGCACGCAATGAGTCCCTTCAAAGGTAGCGTATTAAAAACCAATTATACCACTTTCTATAAGATTCCACTTTGAACCCTGCTCTAAAGACAGACACCAGCAGGCGGGGTCAAGGCTTCCAGGCTGCCCTGACATCAGGGCTTGTGGGAAGAGCAGTCACTTTCTGTGTTCTCATGGAAATGTACAGGGGCAAGGTCATACACATGTGGCGAGCTGACGCAGGAGAATTTTAAGGAGAGAAGGCCATCAGAATGGACTACGTGATGGCGCTGAAGCTCGTGGCGTTGTAAGGGATGGAGAAAGGCGGCCAGCACCTGCTCAGTCTATCTCTTCCTCCTCTGTCCCAGACAGACTGAGGGGAGAAAGCAGAGAGGAAGCTCCTTCAGGGAGGAGCCCACCTTCCTACTTTAGAACGAAGGCCTCTGGATGTTTTCAAAGTGAGTGTTTTGTTTGAGGGGACAGAAACACACGTCTCCCCATCCCAGCACTGCCTGTGTTGAGCGAGCACACATCCTCCTCCTCTGTGGCAGGACGGGGCGAGCACGTGCACCTCGTGACCACCGGCTCTCTAGAGCCCCAGGCAGAGGCCCAGCTCTGCAGTAGGGAAGGCATCGGGAGTGCCAGGGTGAACGTACCCCAAGGGCCCGGCACGACTGACCTCTCGTGCCTGCTCTCTCCCTTCCTCGCCAAGCCCCCGTGATGTGGGAAGCCAGCGTGAGGCCGGTGGGGCAGCCGCCTTCCCGTGGCTGTGCCAAGTCCCCCCGGTCCTCTGCACATCATGCCTCCTTCCACACCCTGACAGGAAGCAGCTGGGAGAAGCCGTTGGGTGCACTCACTCCCTGATTTACGACAAGTTCCTTCCTCAGCGCCTCTCTCTCCTGCCTCCTCCTGCTCTCCTGCCCTCCCCTGGGCCTCGGGAGGTGCCACGCAAGCCCAAGAAGCATCAGCATACTGTCCCTCCCTCTCCTGTGGCCACGGGCTCCCCCAGGGAGCTGAGAGTAGCAGCAGCTCACAGCCCAAGCCACCCTTGCCCGTTTCTAGGCAGGTGGTGGCACCAGGCACGAAGGAAGCAGAGGCAGTTCTCCTGCAGGGTTCTAGCTGGGTCAGGCATGGAGAGTCACAGTGGCACAGATGCCCCAGCCAGTGCTCTTATCACCACAGGACACAAAGCCCTGGACACACGTGCTCCGCCCAGATAGTACGGACGCAAGGGGAAAAGCACCACAGAGGGCACAATCAGGACAAGCTCGATGGGAAGCAGAAAACAGGAGGGACGTTTCCCTCGGTGTGAGTCTAAACACCCCTCGAGTCTGCAATCAGTCCCCCAGCTGCACTTCACAACACAGCAAACACTCACTGCTGCTTTCTCCACGATGACTGAATGAGGATGGCTCATTTAACTCATCACAGCATTTGTATCACTACTTGGAATGCAGGAAAACTTATCTGTGACTCTCGGTCATCTTGCATGAGTGGCGGAGGAGAGGAGTCAAATCTAGTTTCATGTCAGGGCGGCCTCATCTCGAGAAACAGCCCAGGGGGTCCGTGGGAAAGCTGCCACTGAACTGTAAGGTGCCAGGGACTGTGCCACAAGCTCTCTAATGGGGGCTGGAGGGGAGGGAAGAAGGGGACACAGAGCAACCCTGTGTGATCCAGAACGCTGTCACTCACATCCGCACTCTTGCTGTCCCTGAGGTTTGGTGCACTGCGGTTCACCAACAGAGACTGGACAATGCACCTGCTGATTGGGCACGCAGCCCACGGGACGATCGTTTGCGACGGACTCCTCAAGTCTTACAGCAGCAGCTCATTAAAAGGGCCAGGTTTACAATCCCATGCATTTTCAACACTAAGAGAATTCAGTCATTTCTTTAGAGAAAATGCATGTGGCAGAAACTGAGATGTCCACATGAAATTAACCGCTTGGTGGGTTTATAAAGAGGCACTGTGCCTGCCAAGACGAGCCCAGAGTCCTCTCAACGGCTGCTGCGGTCACACGATCTAGAAACACGAGTGGATCCAAAGTGGGCTCTCGGGACTCTCCTTGGTGTGAAAAACCTACACCACTCAAGATTAACACAAACTTGGACTTGCGGATTAAATGAAATGAATTTCATTAGGCTGGGGCCAGCGGCCACTGAGCACACACCTGACAGGGGCCTGTCCCCTGCCTCAACTGTCCCACGAATGTGTCTGTCCTCTCACGAGCAACAGAAGGGATGAACCTGAGCAGGGGCTGGTGGCAGTGAAAGAGGGGTTGTCTGTTTCAAGCAGCAGCAGCAGGTTGATATGGGGCCTGTGCACCTGTATTGGGCACAGCCGGGCAGATGTGATGTCGTGACACTGGGCAGGACCTAGGCCGACACACGCCCATGAGGAGACCGCCTTTCTGCAGAGGCCTGCAGCCTTCAGCAGTTTCTGGAAGCACCTGTCACCCACACCTCCGGTGGGAGAAAGACACACGCTCGGCTTGCTGCCGCTCAGAACTCCGTCAGCACCGTCAGGCAGGCACTGCAGCAGCCTCGCCCGTCACCTCTGTCTCTGCACACAGCAAGCTGCCCCTTCACAGACCCCTGCTGGCCTCACGCACTTCCTTCAGCTAATTTAGGACCACGAGAAAAGAGCTTCAGATCATTCAACCCTGCACAGGACCAGACCCTCGAGATCAGTACATGAGGGGCTGACTCTGGTTCCCTCTTGTCCTCTGCTCCTAATTGGAGCCTTTCTACCCACATGCTTGGTTCAGTTCCTGCCTGTCAATGTCACAGACTGACAGGGTGTGCATTAAAGACAGCCCATGTGTGGGTCCCACTGGGGAGTGAGAGGAAAAGGTAACCGTGGATTGGTCTCAGATGTAAGCGTCTAAGTAGGGACAGATCAAGGACCAGAGAGTGGTTACAAAGAAAACAAACACCAACTTCCAGCTCCTGGCCAGAGGGCCTTTTAATTTTAAACCCTATCTGCCCATTCAGGAGCTATCTCACAGTTTTGTTTTGTTTTTTTTTTTTTTGTTTTTTTTTTTTTTTTTGAGATGGAGTCTCGCCCTGTCGCCCCGGCTGGAGTGCAGTGGTGTGATCTTGGCTCACTGCAACCTCTGCCTCCTGGGTTCAAGCAATTCTCCTGCCTCAGCCTACAGAGTAGTTGGGACTACAGGCGTGCACTACCACACCCGGCTAACTTTTGTATTTTTAGTAGAGACGGGGTTTCACCAGGTTAACCAGGCTGGTCTCGAACTCCTGACCTCAGGTAATCCACCCACCTCAGCCTCCCAGAGTGCTGGGATTACAGGCGTGAGCCACAGCGCCCGGCCCTGTCTTACAGTTTCTGCACTTAGTGAGGTTAACTCTAAAATCCTAAAGCGGGGTCATTCACACTGTGACCGAAAACAGGGCTTGTTAATGGTGAGCTAGAGGATTCCAAAATCTAGTTCACTCACTTCAACGTGACAAATTACAAAGACAAATTTTAAAACTGCTGTGTATGAAAAGTAACAGCAAACTATGCCAAAGGCCCAGGTTTTCAATTTCATTACTTAATAAATAAATATTAAAGTTAGCATTTGATTTCCACTGAATAGAGACGCTAGCCAAACAACAGAGAATCTTTCAAAATACTTTTAAAAACAGTATCTAGTTCCCCAAAAGAAATCCTCATTTTGAACTCAGGCTTTGCTCAGTGAACGCCTGTGACATCTCACAGGGCTGGCGTGAGATTAAATGATACCACAGCTGTGAAAGTATTCTGGAAAAGAGATACAACACCACATTCATATACATTAGAAAAAGGAAGCTTTTCAAGTTTTAATTTGGGTACCTATGAATTGTTTGTTGCTAATTTATCATCCCCAAATATTAGGTAAGAGGACCAGGCGTGGTGGCTCACAGTAACCTCAGCACGTTGGGAGGCCGAGGCAATCACTTGAGGTCAGGAGTTCGAGACAAGCCTGGCCAACATGGTGAAACCCTGTCTGTACTAAAAATACAAAAACAGAGTGAGGCTCCATCTAAAAAAAAAAAAAAATTAGGTAACAGATTCACTGGCAGAAATACAAAGTGACGCAGGCACAAGCTGTCACTGCAGGAAACGTCTAGTAGGAGAAGCTGCTTGAGGAAACTGTGATCTCCACGCAGTCAGGGGCTACGCACCGGCGAAGGAGAAGAGCTCCGTGGCTGGAAGGAGGTTTCCGATACCCACTGCCAAAGGAAAAGCACAAGGCACGAAACAACGCAGAGTATCTTCCTTTTATGTAAGAAATGGCGGGAGACTAAAACCCATATTCTGCTTGCTTATATTTGGAAAAGGAAACGTGGATACACCAGCAGCAGATAAAAATGACTTCTAGGGAGGGAGGGAATGGGGGATGGGACAGAGACAGGAGTAGCCCTCTCTGAGTATGTCTGACTTTGGAACCATGCTAACATCTTCCATAATTAAAAAAAAATTAAATAAAAAACCAACCCCTCAAAATTGAACCCAAATTAAAGCAAATGAACCCAATAGGACAATAAGGTTAGAGGCGGAACCTAGAATTCTGGCCTCCTCCTGTTTTTTATTTTGTTTGTTTTTTTGTTTTTTGCCAGAATGTGAAAGTACAGAGGAGCTGGCCCCTGACTCTGGCCACGCTTTGGCCCCCTTGCCCTGTGTGTAGCCTCGTGGCTGTGCCTGTGGACACCTCGTCTCCAAGCCTGGCACACAGCCACCCCTTGGTCACAGCAGTGAGACCCCAGGAAGAGCTGCACAGGGTCCTTGGCCGTGGAGCAGCCTCTACAACTGTAAGCTCAGGCTCCGCAGGGTGTGTCCTCGGCGTGTGCAGGGTTGCTGTCACAGGGGTGCCACGCCGGGCCCCTAAAGCACCAGCCCCCTTGCCTGGGTTCTTCCTTTATGTTTTCATTAGGTAAGATCTACATAATAGAAAATTCACCATTTTGACATGAACCATTCAATGGCATTTACTACCTTCAAAATGTTGTACGGCCACCACTTCTACAGCCTATCAGCCGCCACTCCCACTGCCCTGGCCCAGACCCTGACAACACGAATCTGCTTTCTGTCTCCATGGATTTGCCGGTTCTGGATCTCTCATTGGAGCGCATTCACACAGCATGCAGCCCTTTGTGTCTGGTTCTTTTACTTGGTGCGGCATTTCCGAGGCTCGCCCATGCTGTGGCACAGGCCAGTGCAACATTCCATTTTACGGCCAATATATATATATGTATATTACATGCCATTGTATGGATATGTGGTTTGTTTTTCCATTTGTCAGTTGATGAACACTTTGTTTCCAGTTTTTGGCCGTTGTGAACAGTGCTACAAACAGCTGTGTGGAAGTTTTTGCTTGAATATCTGTTTTCATTTCTTGAGTATACACCTAGGAGTGAAACTGTAGCATCCTATGGTAGTTCTTTTTTTATTTTAAAATGGAGTCTCGCCCCGTTGCTCAGGCTGAGTGTAGTGGTGCGATCTTGGCTCACCGCAACCTCTGCCTCCTGGTTCAAGCAGTTCTCTTGCCTCAGCCTCCCAAGTAGCTGGATTACAGGCGTGCGCCACCAAACCTGGCTAATTTTTGTATTTTTAGTAGAGACGGGGGTTTCACCGTGTTGGCCAGGCTGGTCTCGAACTCCTGACCTCCAGTGATCCGCCCGCCTTGGCCTCTGAAAGTGCTGGGATTACAGGTGTGAGTCACTGTGCCCGGCAGTCCTTTGGTAATTCTGTGCTTAATTTTCTGAAGACCACCAAGCTGTTCTCCACGGCGGCTGCACAAGTTTACATTCCCATGGGCCATGTACAAAGTTTCCAATTTATCCACATCCTTGCCAACACTTGCTGTTTTCTGATTTTTAAAAACGGTGGCCATCCTACTAGCTGTGAAATGGCACTCCAGTGTGATCTTTTCTGGGTTTTCTGGCATTTCCTGGTGATCTTTTCTAGGTGGTTCTATTTGTATCATCATTATAGACTGCATGT